>NC_000023.11:138429381-140929381 GCF_000001405.40 Homo sapiens
TTCTGCATTAGAAAGGTTGTCATTTCCATTAGGTTGACAAAGGTCGAAACCAGGCCAGTAGTTCTTGTTGAAGTGGATTAATATAAATGTTGAGAGTTGAGAGCTAGTTACTATCCAGTGGTAGAAATAAGAACTTTGTCCAATACTCTAGCTTTACAGATGAGGAAGACAAGGCCAATGAATAGGGTGTGACTTTACCACCAATATATTGAGGGCCTAGAATTTGAGCTAGGTCTTAAAGAATGGTTTGTATTCTAGCATTTCAGTTTTCATTATACTCTAGTGTGTATTCTGGCAACAAGGGAAACAAGTTATAGGATATTGAAAATACTTCATCAATGTCTCCTTTTAAATACCCTCTCACACCAAGGGAAAAAAAGATACAGATATTATTAATGTTATTTGTACATAGATCTAAAAATGTCTAACAGTAGCCCCTTAATATACAGTATTTGTAATGAAATAAATAATGTCTAACTTTCACAAAGTGCTTTAGAGTTGACAAAGCATGTTATAGATTCAATTTAATCCACAAAACAACCTTATGTGGTAGGTATTATTATCCACAATTTTGTAAATGGTGAAAAAAACAAAGAACACTTAAATAAACCTTTGAGTGCCCCAAATCATACAACTAAAAGTTTATTAAAGTTCAACCCTAAATTTCATGATTCAAGTCAACTCTAGGAATTATCCTTGACTACATAATCTATGTTTCTAAGTCCTGTCAATTAAATCCTGCATATTTTTCCTCTTAAGCAGGTTTTAAATCTATCTTGTTCTCCATGCCTACTACCCCTGGCCTCATCAGACTTTTGTTGTATTTCCCATGTGCTGTTGTAATAGTATTTCAACTTTTCATTCCTCCATTCTCATCCTCCTTAAATTTACCTTTCATGCCACAGCAAAAGTGTTATCAGCCGGGCGTGGTGGCTCACGCCTTTAATCCCAACACTTTGGGAAGCCAAGGCAGGCAGATCACAAGGTCAGGAGATAGAGACCATCTTGGCCAACATGGTGAAACCCTTTCTCTACTAAAATACAAAAAGTTAGCCAGGTATGGTGGTGTGCACCTGTAGTCCCAGCTACTCAGGAGGCTGAGGGAGGGGAATCACTTGAACCCAGGAGGCGGGGTTGCAGTGAGCGGAGATCACACCACTGCACTCCAGCCTGGCAACAGAGCAAGACTCCGTCTCAAAAAAAAAATGTGTTATCTAAATACAAATCAGACTTGTCTTTATAATACTTCAAATAAAAATAGAAGAATAAGTCAAAATTTGGTAATGTTTTAGTTGAAATGGATTAGCACATTGTTAAAGGGAACTCCAATGCTGCAGTGCCATGTAGTGTTGCACTGTATATATGCCTTCAGTGGTTTTATAACTTTACTGGGGAGATAGAATTAACATTCTCAGCACAAATATCCCAAAAGAAAGGAGAGTATATAATAAAGTGCTAAACTGCATAAAATTAAGAGTCAGGATCCGTGAAAAAAGTACCATATGGTTTATTCTCTTGGTTTCAGAAACTGCTTTGAAAAAATATTTTTTTGTCAACTTGAATAGTGTACCCTTAAAGTGTCAATTTTTAAATTTTCCTTTTAATCCTTAAAATAGATGAATACAGTTTGATATGGTTTGGCTCTGTGTTTCCACCCAAATCTCATGTTGAATTGTAATTCCCAATGTTAGGGGAGGGACCTGATGGGAGGTGATTGGAATATGGGGGCGGATTTCCCTCTTGCTGTTCTTGTGATAGTGAGTGAGTTCTCATGAGATCTGGTTGTTTAAAGGGTTTAACACTTCCCCCTTTGCTCTCTCTCTCCTGTTGCCATGTGAAGATGTGCTTGTGTCCCCTTTGCCTTTCTGCCATGATTGTAAGTTTCCTGAGGCCTCACATCCATGCTTTCTGTACAGTCTGTGGAGCTGTGAGTGAACTAAACCTCTTTTATTCATCAATTATCCAGTCTCTGGCAGTTCTTTATAGCAATGTGAGAACAACTAATACAGAAAATTGGTACTGGAGAAGTGGGGCACTGCTATAAAGATACCTGAAAATGTGGAAGTGACTTTGGAACTGGGTAACAAGCAGAGGTCAGAAGAGTTTGGAGGGCTCAGAAGATGACAGGAAGATGAGGGAAGGTTTGGAACTTCCTAGAGAGTTGTTGAATGGTTTTGACCAAAATGCTGACAGTGATATGGACACTATGAATTCTTGGTTGAGGTGGTCTCAGATGGAGATGAAAAACTTACTGGGAACTGGAATAAAGGTCACTCTTACTATGCTTTAGCAAAAAGACTGGAAGCATTGTGCCCCTGCTCTAGAAATCTGTGGAACTTTGAACTTGAGAGAGATGATTTAGGGTATCTGGTAGAAGAAATTTCCAGGCAGCAAAGCATTCAAGATGTGACCTGGCTGATTCTAACGGCATATGCCCATATGCAGGAACAAAAAGATTATCTTAAATGGAAACTTGCATTTAAAAGGGAAGTAGAGTGTAAAAGTTTGGAAAATTTGCAGCCTGACCATATGACAGAAAAGAAAAAAAACTATTTTCTGGGGAGAAATTCAAGCCAGGTACAGAAATTTGCATAAATAAAGAGGAGTGGAATATTAATAGGCAAGACAATGGGGGAAACACCTTCAAGCTATTTTGGAGACTTTCGTGGCAGACCCTCCCATCACAGACCCAGAGGCCTAGGAGGGAAAAAAGGTTTTGTGAGCCAGGTCAAACACATACAATACTGCACAACTCCATTAAAATATCATACTCATTAATGAGAATGATACCTCTGATGGAAACCATGACTGCTTTCCACTAACACTTTCACACTGATTGGCACCAGCTCTATCCTTCTCAGCCCAAATGGCTGCTCAAGTTGCTGAAGAGAGTTCTTCCTCATCATCATAGTGAACTGGCAAGCTTATAATAACCACTGCCTGGAAATAGGAATTAGCAATCTCTTACACTGAACCTCAGAATCAATTAAACTACTTTATTGAATTGATGAGTCAAATTTCCATCAAGTATCCTCTCTAAGGTCCTAAAGCACAGCCATTCTTTCCTTAGATATCCGTTTGTCTCAGAGTTTGCCTTCCTTTTTCATTATCCTATATATCTGTCCATTTTCCATTTTGGCAAAAGATACATGGAGTATTTGGTAGGCCAGGAAAGTGGGTCTTAGTATATGACCACTAAATACAACTTTAGTGAAGAAGGTGATGAGGATAGGAAGGGGAAGAAATAAAATACTAAGGATATTGAAAAGAATAATTTAAAAAAATTTTTAAAATATATCAAAAATCACAAACCTTATTTATAAAAAGACAGCTGCATGAGAATAAACAAAACACATGCCATGTTATTGAATATGAAGACTCCATAGTATACAAATGTCCATTCTTTCTGAATTACTCTATACACTGAACACAATATAAGAAACAATGAAATTCATTCTGGAACTTAAAACTAATATGTTAATCAGGAAAAAATAAATGTATGAAACCCATCAAGAAAATTGTGTAAAATGAAAAAAGTTAGAGGGTATTTGTATTATAAAATAATTTTAAAAGCATAATTTTATCACAGAAAGAGTCAGCACTTTGAAACAGAACAGAAACTCTTGACAGATATCACATGTATATCCGATATAAATATGTGATTAAAAATCCATGCAAATTTAGTTGATAAAGCAAAGCCGTCATATATTATGTAACAAAATCCAGCAAACCATTAAAACCTTATATAAGGAAAAAATACTATGAAGAAAATTTGAAGGCAAATGACTAATAAGAAAAAAACCCTACTACTTGAAGTCCTATTACAAATCAAAAAAAGAGTAATGTTTCCCCAAAATTGGCAGCTATAAGTTTGAAAAAGGAGTACAAAAAGCAAACAAATGTGAAGACTAGATAAAATATGAAAAAGCTCAATTTCAAAAATAATAAAGTGATGTAAATAAAGTGAGACACAATTTCACCTCTTAAACTTGCTAAATCATACAAAATTATAATTACTCATGTTGGCAATGTAATGGGGAATGGGAATGTTGATAGGCCTAATTTGGGAATGTAGTCTGGTGAGTCTCTGGAGGCAATCTGGCAATATGTACCAAAAACTCTAAAAACGTGCATCAGCTAGGACACAGCTATTCTGCTTCTAGGAATTTATTTTTAAAAATAATCATGGAAATGCAGAGATTTAGCTGCAAGAATGCTCACTTAATATTATAAGCAATGCCAAAAATTATTTCTATCTTCTTTTGATCTCCTTTTCCCCTAAATTTCTACAATGAGGAGTACTTTTGATACAGGAGAAAAAGAATTGTTGCTTATGAGCAAATTAAATAAACAAGAAAGCCACATTAGTTTAATGGAAAGAATACTGGAGACTGAATTCCAAACCTAGATGCAACTCAGAATCACCTGAGTAGCTTTTTTTAAAAATTATCTTAATTGGAGAATATGCCAGTTCTGACTTCTTGCCTCTACTACTCTATTACCCATCACCCCCATGGCTGCTAACAAGCAAACTACTATCATCCCTGGCATACAGAAAAGAGCCACTACTGAACTTGGTGATGCTAGCGCCTTTGCACTAGCACATTCTTGATAACCTTGATGAATGGTGAGTCCTTTGGGTTCTCCTGTGGAACATAACTCTCTGGTGAGTTTTATGGCCTCGCATAATAAATCAATTCCAGCATTCCTCCTTCCCTGAGCCTTTTTATTTCTTCTTCTACCATCTGCCAGGGCAACTTTGACATTTTCACTTCCCACAGCGTGAGACATCACTTTCTCCAGGCTTGTAAGAAACATGCTAGCAGTGAGTTTGTCCCATCCAAGGAGTCTTTGCCAGGGTGTTAAATCCTGTGTCCTAAGGAAGTGCCCCTAAATCAATGAATTCTTGGTAATCTAGTCTTACATTCCAGATTCCTTGTAGAAGCATCCTCGAAACTGAATCCCAGAAAATACTATGGTTTCTGCAGGACATGCTAGCAAATTTTTGCAACTCTTTCAGAGTGTAACGTCTTTACTCCTTATCAAAACTATCACATTCTGATCCAGGTTATGTTAATATTTAACCCTAGTTATTGTCCTGGCAACCAAGAGAGGAGATGGGACATCTCTGTGTGCGGAGAGGGATAGTACCAGCTGCCTTGCATGAGAGAAGCCTCTGTAATTTCTTTTCTCATAGTAAAAGTACTAACTCTTACTCCAAAATGGTGGGCCACTTCTAGAAGCTTTGAGAGATGTAGGGGGGATCTATAGAGTGAAAATCTTCAAGACCATCCCCTTAGATGTCTCCATCTCATGTTTCAGCATCCCATCTAATAGTAGACTTGACTTTTGCATAACGGACCTACTTTGGCTGATAATTTAAACATTTCTGGACCTCTAGGACCCTAATTAGCAAATCCTTAATTTACCCCTAACCTGTAACTATTCTCCCATTGGAGGCCTCCTGTTAGGCTACCTTGAAGACAGTCTGGCTCTCACATTTGGCCTTTAATTGTTTGTTAACCAACCTCATTTTCTCATTATCTCTCTGCAGGGCATTAGTGCAATTTAGTAACAACAAACAATCCCTACTACATCAAAATTGAAAACTTTTACTAGCCAAAAGACATTGTTAAGAAAATGCACAGGTGACAATCATAAAGACTGAACATATTCTGGGCCATAAAGCAAAACTTAACACATTTAAAATACTTCAAACTAAGTTCTCTGATTGTTACAGAATTAAACTGGAAACCAGAAAAGAAATATTTCTGGACAATCCCCATGGGTCCAAATGGAAAATATTTTGAGTTGTATGATAACAAAAACATAACATATCAGAACTTGTGGGATACAGCTAAAGCAGTGCTGAAAGGAAAATTTATAACAGTTAATGCCTATATTATAAAAGAAGAAAGGTCTCATCAGTGATACAAGATTTCACCAGAAGATACTAGGTAAAGAAGACCATACTTAACAAAAAGTGAGGAGAGGAGAAGAATCAATGAGTCAAAAGCAGGTACCTTGAAAAAGTCAACAAAATAGAAAAATTTCTAGCCAGACTGATCAAGAACAAAATATGACACCAATTACAAATATCAGGAATGAAATTGGGGAAATCACAGAAGACAATATTGATATTAAAAGCATAATAAAGGGATATTACAAACAACCCTATGGCAATAGATTCTACAATATAGGTGAAATGGATGAATTCCTCAAAACTTGCAAACTTCCAAAATTCACTGAAAGAGACATAGGTAACCTGAATAGTACTATGTAATTCTGAGAAATTAAATTTGTAGTTTAGAAGCTTCCAACAAAGAAAAATTCTGGTCCAGATGGCTTCACTGGCAAATTGTATCAAATATTTAAGTAAGAAATAATAACAACTCCACAGGAATTCTTCCAGAATTTATTTGAGGAAGAAATTCTTCTTAACTCAGTTTATGAGACCAGAATTACACTAATAAGGAAACCAGATAAGAGCATTACAACAAAAGAAAATTGTACGACAATATCCCGTATAAACATCAATGCAAAAAACATCAACATAAATACTACCAAATAGAATCTAAAAATATATAAAAATTATATCATGACCATGTGGTGTCTATCTTGGGAAACAAGGTTGGTTCATTCAAATATCAATCAGAGTAATTCATCATATAATAGATAAAAGAAGAAAAACATGTCATCATCTCAATAGATGTGAAAGAAACCTTTGACAAAATGTAACATCCATTCATGATTTTTAAAAACTTCCCAGAAATCTAGTAGTAGAAAGAAACTTCCTCAACTGTTGAAGGCTAACTAAAAGAACTTTTGAATTTTTTCATCGATGATTTATGTTCATTATTTCTTTCATAATTGAAAAAGTTTAGTTTTCAGTTTATGCTGAATAGTGACATTTAGTCAAATCCTAAAAATTCACCATAAGCTTTTGAGACATTGGATTAGTATGGAATATTCTAAGCTTTGAAATGAGTAATATCACACCACGCAGTCTAGAAACTCTCAACTGTAGTTTCTCCAGAAGATAAACCTCATGTCTCATCCTCTTTGAGTTAGACATGTGACTGTATGAGTTGGTGTTGAGGACCAGGAAGTCTAACAGCATTTTCTGTCGATTTTAAAACTATCCTTATCCTTTCATATCACCTCAAGTTCACACATACTTTCTGTGGGCATGTGTGGAATGGGGCCTACTAATCCAAAGCCTATGCTCAGGTTTGTCTAAGAAAAATTATTTCACTTATTATTTCCATAACTACTTAGGCTTCAGCTCTTTCTGTTCTGATAAGTCATTTCCATCCACTTCTGTCCATTGCTTTCCTTTCAAAATGTTGTTTATTTCTCTCTTGTGCTATAGTTTCTTCTCTTTCTCTGGTGGTTGTGTTTATATGTGTGTTATTTTTCTGTTGTTTTAATGGGATTTAGGGTGGCAGCGCAGACAAGCATATGTTTTCATGTGCCATTTTTATAGCTTTATTATTTTGTAATTTATACAACATACAATTTACCCACTCTGATTATATACTTCAGTTACTTTCAATAAATTTATAGAGTTGTTAAACTGCTCCAACAGTTCAGTTTTAGAACATTTCTATCACCCCAAAAAGTTCTTTCATGCCCAAGTGTTGTCAGTCAACACTCTCAGACCCAGCCTCAAGCAACCAGTGATCTGTTTTCTTTCACTGTAGATTTATCTTTTCTGGCTAATGCATATAAATAGAACTGTACAATGCACAGTCTTTTGTATCTGGCTTTTCTCACTTAGCATTATGTTTTTGAGGTTTGTTCATGTTATAGAATTCATCAGTAGTCTCTTTCTTTTTATTGATGAATTGTACTGCATTTTATGGACACACCACATTTTTCAAAATTCTTTTACTAGTGGATGAATATTTGGATTCCAGTTTGTAGCTGTTATAAAAAGAATGCTTTTATGAACATTCTCTCACAAGCCTTTATGGAAAAATGTTTGTATATCTCATGGATAGATATATAGGAGTAGAATTGCTGTGTTGTGTGGTATGTTTAACTATTTAAAAATTTGTCAAACTGTTTTTAAAATTGCCTAAAACATTTTACATTTCCACCAGCAATGCTCTAACTTTTCCACATTATTGTCAACACTTGTTATTATCTGGCTTTTTGGCTACAGTCATTCTAATGGTTGTATATTGGTATGTTATTGTGGTTTTAATTTTCATTTTCATAATGACTAATGATTTTGACCATTTCTTCATATGCTTATTTCCTATTCCTATATTTGCTGAGCTGTCTATTCAAATCTTTTGCCCATTTCTTAATTGAGCTATTTGTCTTATTACGGACAAGAAATTGAGTTGTATTGAGTTGTGAGAATTGTTTAATTACTCTTGATAACAGTCCTTTACAGATATATGACTTGCACATATTTTTCTCCTGGTTTGAGTTGTCATTTCATTTTCTTGTCTTTTGAAACACAAAAGCTTTTTATGCATATAAAGTCCAACTTGTCAATATTTTCTTTTATGGATCATGCATTTGGTGCTGTATTTAAGAACTTGCCTAATCCAAGGTTACAAAGATTTTCTTCTAAAAGTTTTACCTCTTACATTTTGATATGATAGATGTTTAATTGATTTTGGGGTACTGTGTGAGGTTATAATGTAGATTCATCTTTTTGCATATGCTACCTCAATGTCTCAGGACCATTTGTTAAAGACTACCTCTCCTCTATCAAATTGACTTGGCAATTTATTGAACATCAATGGAGTATAAAGGTGAGGATGTATTTTGAGAATTTCAGTTTAATTCCATTAATATATATGCCTATCTGTTTACCACTACAATACTATCTTTACTAAGGTATCTTTATAATAATTTTTGAAACTAGGAAGTGTGAATCCTCCAACTTTTTTTTTTCAAGTTTGTTTTTGACTATTCTGGGTCCCTTGCATATCCATATGGATTTTAAGAAGAGCTTGTCAATTTCTGCAAAAAGAGCTGTATTAGTCCGTTTTCACGCTAATGATAAAGACATACCCGAGTCTGGGCGATTTACAAAAGAAAGAGGTTTAATTGGACTCAGTTTCACGTGGCTGTGGAGGCCTCAGAATCATGGCAGAAGGCAAGGAGGAGCAAGTCACATCTTACATGGATGGCAGCAGGCAAAAAGGGAGCTTGTGCAGAGAAACTCCTGTTTTAAAACCATCAGATCTCATGAGACCCATTAACTATCATGAGAACAGCACAGGAAAGACCCACCCCCATGATTCGATCATCTCCCACCGGGTCCCCCGCCTCCGCAATTGGGATTTATGGGAGCTACAAGATGAGATTTGGGTTGGGACACAGAGGCAAACCATATCAGAGCCACCTGGGAATTTGGTTGCATTGAATCTATGGATCAATTTTCCATCTTATCATTACTGAGAATTATAATCCATAAATGTGAAATATCTTTCCATCTAATTTGATTTTCTTTAATTTCTTTCAACAATGTTTTATGGTCTTCAATGTATAGACTTCCACTTGAAATTTGTTTCTAAACATTTGCTTATTTTTGCTGCTCTAGTGAATAAAATTGTTGTCTTGGTTTTATTATCATGTTATTCACTGCCTTACAAGAAATACTCTATAATGGTCTTTCTCAGCTGTTTTATCTAAAATATAAATTGCATGATAATGTGTGAAAATGTATTATACACAAATATGATTTCCTGGACCATTTGCAATAACTCTTTGTACCTTCTCCATCAGAAATCCGAGGTACAACATTTTAAAATTACTTTTTTGTTAATATAAACAACTTGGTACCTAAAAATATAATTTAAAAAACAGTAAATATTGCTTTCTAAATTTAGAGAAATGGGATTAAGAGAAAATCTCAGATAATTTATACAAATTTAAAGATTTTCTTTGTTGGTTTAACTCCTGACAATAAACTTTTATTAGAGAGTAGAGTTAGACTTGAGAGTTATAAGTAGACAGGCTGAAAAAATGGAAATAAAGTCATTCTCATAGAGTACTTCTGTGTAATATTCTATACGTATATTTGGTTTTCACTCATGACAATAGAGTTTTATTATGGCATAAAATTAAAAACCTTTTTAACGTGCCTTGTGAACAATTTATCAGTTTACTATGGCCACAACTACATCATGTGACTAACAACCACAAAATCTCAATGGTATCAATGTTAATCATTTGTTTACCTCACAACTCGGTGGGTCAACTAATTTAGGCTGGACTCTGCTGGGCAGCTCTGCTAATCTCAGTTTTGCTTGCTTATACATGTAGGTGATGTTTGATCTAGGCTAGGCTCATCTGGGCAGCTCTTCTTAACTCAGGTGTGCTGGCTCACACATCTGGGGGTTGGCTGATCCAGGCTGGAGTAGAATAGGCTGTTTTGCTAATGTGAAATATGCTTTCTCAAACATATGAAGATAAGCTGATCTAGGCTGGTCTCTGCTGTGGTAACAACTCTGCTCCAGTTTTCTCTCATTCTTCTTCAGGGTTCAATGGGCGAGCCTGAGTCACGTTCTTTTTCTGACAATAGGAGAGGTCCAAGAGCAAGTGTAAACATGCAAGCCTCTTGAGGCCTAAGGTTAGAGCTAGCTCACTGTTACTTCTAACTTTTTCTACTCTCCAAAGCAAATATCATAGTCCTACACAAATTTGAGTTTGGGAGGACATTTCTGCAACATGGACATAGGGAGGGATGAGGAATTTGAAACAACACAATATACAACAAAACCCTAAAAATAACTCATTATTAAAATTCTGAAATCATCATGAGTTTACTCAAGACTTTTCAAACTCATATTTGAGAGTTTCACCCTTAGATTCTCTCAAAATGACCTTCAAGAATGCCAACTCAGTGTCACAGTAAGGGACTACTGAGTCTTATTATCTGAGCCTTTGTTGTGTTTTCTGTGTTTTTGGTAAATAAATACATTTCTAATACAAGGCTATATTGGTGTGCTGACCTACACAGTATGTCTTAAATGGCAGACATTTATCTAGATAATGCTTTTTAATGTCACAATGAATATATTTAATTTGATAAAAAATAAAAAAGGCTTTGTACTTTTGAAACTGTGCTCTAAGCATTTGCTAGCCGTTTGTACATTACTCCCTTTGATTGTTATACAGCTCTAATGGATGCATGTTTCAACACTCCCTCACCCTCTTGTGTTGAGGAGACTCTGAGTGGGATGTTCAGTAGTTGGTATATCATTCCTAGTTGGCCAGATTCCATATAATCACCAAATGGTAGAAATTATCTCAATGTGTTACAAAAAAAAAGAAATATTTGACATGTAATTAGACTGTACTTATTTAGTAAATTATATTGGGAGCAGAGGGAAATTGCGTTTGGAATAAATATACCAAGAAGCTAGTATTTTACCCTAATTTGTAGTTTCACTATGGTTTTCCATTCAACTGTGACTAGGAAATTATCTCACGCAGTGAATTCTAAATATAGAAAAAAAATTAAAAACAAGAAGCAATTCATTTAAATTCTAAATTTCTTACAAATCTTTTTCTGTTGGTAAAAATACGAATAATATTTCATAGTCTAAAACCCCATAAAAAGTCACTTGGCACCCAGATATACTGTCTTCAGAATGCTATGAAACCTAAGGGAATCATAAGTTTTTGCTATAGTTAGTGATATGTTTGGACAAGAACAAACCATTGGTTCAGTTTAAGTCCTCTTCTATTCATGAATCTGTTGATCCACTAGGAAAATGGCCACAGCTCTTTTAAAATCAATTCATTTTAACAACTACTTATTGCGTCCTCATTACTTCCAAGGCCCATGATAAATGCTGTACGCATCCAGACATGGTACTAGAAGGCCTAAGTCTAAGAAAGGAGAGAAAAATCTAGAGAAATACTTATTATAAGAACTCACATTTATTGAGTGCTTACTACATGCCAGGTACTACATTAACTGTGTCATAATCATTGTGTCATTTAATCTTCACAATAACCCTAAGACATAGGTATTATCATCATTCCCATTTTACATATGAGGGAACAGAGGCTTAAAATGGTTAAGTAACTGGTGCATGGTGTCAGAGCTAGTAAAGAAGGCAGAACTTGTACTTGAACACACTTTTGTTGGAGTCAGTATTAATCACCATGGTTCAATAGGTTACAAGTACTCTTATTAGTGAAAAAATGCAATAGGCTCAAAGAGAACGAAGATATTAGATAGGAAGGAAGGAGTCATAAAGGGGTGGGGTCCTGTGAGGAGGGGAATTCCAGGCTGAAGGATACATGAGCAAAGCTAAAACTCTGCAGAGCATATTCAGGCAATGGTAAGGAATTCTAGCACGGCTGCTGCATTTGAGGTTTGAAGAGGAGGGAAAATAGAGGGAAATGAGCCAGACATGGTAGTTTGGGGGAGAGTTTGTCTCATGTTTTGAATGCTTTTCATAAGATATTGAGCTTCAGTTTTGAAGGCAGTGGGTTGTCATAGAAGGTATTTTAGAAAAGGAGGTGATTAATTTAAAATTATGAGATCTCTATGTTTACATAAATGGTGACACCATGTACTATTATTCAGAAAGCTGCAAACTTCTATTATTATGGCATGCTGGTCCCAGAGCAGGTGGATGAGACAGTCAACTTAAAAAGCCCAAGATTGGGCCAGTTTTAGTATTAGACATGTAGTGAAGCTATTGAATCAATGCTATATTAAACAATGCTCATATACAGACGTTTGTAAAAGCTAAGCCATTTGAAATTTATTTCTCAAGTGGGCAAAATTGATAGTAAACATTCAGGAATCTCAAGATTCTTTTGAGAAATGTATGGGTTATAAACTGAAAGAAATATACCACCTATAAAAGGTGTCTTCACAAATGAATTGTTTAATGAGGTGATGAGGTATCACATTAAGGACTAAAAATGAACTTTCCTATCCTATTGATGTTTTTGTTTGTCTTTTTCCTTCCAGAACTCCCATCCTGAATCTCTCTTAGTCTTATCTGAATGTCTTTGCACATAGTGATCCTTCTACTTGGAATGCATTTCCCCTGTCTCTTTGCTTGATTCATTCCTAATGATCACACAAGACTTATCTTGGGCATCACCACCTTCTCCAGTAAGCTACCCTAATACATTTTCCCCACCCAAATCTTAATTAAGTACGTATTTTGTGGTCAATCAAAGCCTCTTGTTCCCTCTTCCAGCATCTCTTACAGTCCTTCTTATATTACATTGTAGTATTATGTTTACTTTTCCATGTCCTAATGACTGTGAAGTCCATGAGTGCAGGGACAGTTTTATTCATCTCTGGGTCCTCAATTTTTGTGTTATTTGTTCATATAACTACATATGCAATAAAATGTTTGCTGAAGGAATGAATGCATATGTAACTGTGCAGCTAATACCTCTGAAGAAGCAATTTGATTGCTTAAAAGCCATAAGTTTAATCCTAAATGCTCTAAAATGAGATGAGATAGCCTTTCCTTTTAATGAATGTTTGTTTTTATTTAATGGTTATGTATTTACAAGGGAAAACAAATGTTGAGGCTAAAAACTGGATGAAACTGAACTATTACAACAAACCTTACTCTGAGAATGAATACAAGGACAATCAAAGGATATAAAGTAGTCCCCCTTATCCTCAGAGGATAAGTTCCAAACACCCAGTGGATGCTGAAACTGTGGATAGTACTGATTCCAACTGCCATCAATTGGAACATGTTTCTGTTCATGTCTCCCATCCACAAATGTAATGCTTTTTCCATCTTTCAAAAAATGGGGTACATAACAGGTGTATATATTTACGGGGTAAATAAGATGTTTTGATATAGGCATGCAATTGTGTAATAATCACATCATGCAAAATGAAGTATCCATCCCCTCAAGCATTATCCTTTATGTTGTGTCTTTTTATCTCAACTAAGTACTTATTATGCACTGTGGTCATAAATTTTGCAATGTGAGGTATGACAGCAAAACTAGCACAAATTTATTTTTCTTTCTTCACAAGTTCATGGACAAAAGATTTGTTCTTACTGTGTATCATAGCAACCTCAGCATACGACTTTTTTCTTTCCTTATTAAGTGAAGAACTTTCAACTTTTCACTTAATGGAAACACTTTACTGCTTCTCTTTGGCATATTCAAACTGCTAGCTTCACTACTCTTCATAATCTCATGCCTTCACTTGGAAGCTAGAAGTTAGATAACCATCTACATCTTATTAAAGTCATTGCATTTTATTAGGTCAGCTCCCAGTTAACACAGTCCAGAAATTTCATTCATTTGCATGATTTGGGAGTTTTCACTTACATATTTATCTCAACCGACATCTCTGAATTTGTTTATATATTTCTTAAGAGAGAAAATTTTATTGGAATAGCAATAGGCATTCCCAGTGTTTTTAGACCTATGCCCTCAAGACTGCCATAAGATTCAAGAGGGGACTTCCCAACTTTTAGTTACTTGAATCCCTCTCATCCCAGGATAGTAGGACTGAATTGTCTGTGACAATGTTTTTATATTTACAGTTTAAAACCTCACATACTACACAACAAAAATACACCTTATTATCTATGATGGCATGATGTATAAAGAAATTCAAGGCCCTTTCCTACCAACAGTACCACTAAGAAGCAAGAAACTAAACATTCACATGGTATACTGAGTTGATTTATCAGTGAATTTACTTTAGGGTTTAAGTGTATTGCATTAGATATCTCTTAAGGAATATATTATCAATGCAGTTTCTTTTCACATTGTATTAGTTGTCTCTTAAAATCCAAGCATTTATGTTTAAGACATCCTCAAGGAAGAACATGGTTTAATTACAAGGAGAAAAGCCAACAGAAACGCTTTTGGCACAGAAAATTTGCACTCTGCCAGAGTATAATTTATCCCTGCGTGTACATACATAAGAGTATAGAGTGAAAAAAAAGGGGGCATATTTTCCTGTCAGACCACATCGTTCACTGCATTCCCAGCAAAATGAAGGGAAGATGGGTTAAATAACACGTAAAGCCTAGGATTTCCACATTCAGCAGCAAAAATAAGATAAGCATTAATTAATTAATCCAACTAAACTTTGAGTACCTCTTCAATGCCATAATCTGGGGTTGGATTTCCGAGGAAGCCAGTTCTGAGATGGGCTTCATTATGCAGGATATTTACTAAGAAGTGACCTTGAGATAACATCTGCAGAAAAGAGAGGGAAGGAAACAGGAGTAGGCAGCAGGAGAAGGTGATGTTTGATGCAGCCCAGTGACAGCCTTGTACAACCCCACAGGATCTCTGAAGCTATAGCTGCCCTTCAGAAGTCCCACACCCCTCCATGGGTGGGTAGGATCAGGCATATGTAATCCTAAATCATTTACTCGTTGTGTCTTGGCCACCTTGGGAAGGGATGTGACTTTGAGCAAGGCAACCCTCTACAGCTGAGCTGATCCCTGAAGGGGCTGATTACTGAAGGCTGTTTGCGGACAGCACTTCCAATAGCTGAGATGAGTCCTTCCCTGAAGGGGGATCTGGATAACACACCATTGTGTCTACCATAGCCATGCACTGTGCTAAGACTGGAAATACAAAAATGGGCACAATTTTTGCCCTTGGGAAGGTCAAAGTCTTGTAGGGTAGATTGTCTTATAAACACACAAGCAAAAAAAAATATTTGTTTTATGCTATTTGTGTTATTTATTTTGTGTATTTAAGGCACCGTTACAAACATTTACATACATTACCTTATTTAATCATCACTAGAACCCAATGTGGGTGGAACAATTAATATCCTATTTATCAGAAAAGAGGAATAAATGAATCAATGGTAAAGTGACTTGCTCAAGGTCCAATAGTAAGTGGTTAACTGATCCAGCATTCAAAGCCTTTCAGTTTGACTCCAGTGTGATAACTGTTTTTTGTTTTTTTAAAAAAAAATAGGTACTGCAGAAACGACGAAAGGTGTGTGATCAACTTTGCCTATGTTTACAGGTTTCAAAGAGCAGGATCTTTCCCAAACACAACACACACATGTCACTTCCCTGTTTTAAAGCCTTCAATGACTACTCATTGCCTTCTAGGACAAGTCCAAACTCATCAGCATGAGGTTTACCAAAGCTGATCTAGCCTTTCTAATTAACTGTGTGGCCTCTCTCATCCCACACCTCCTCATTCATAGGTTAAACAACTTGTAGTTTTATTAACCAAATAAGTTGATGTTGTTTTAAACTTATGAGCCTTTGCACACACAGCTCCCTCTACTAGGAATGGTTTTACCAGAATGGTCCATGCCCATCCAAGCAACTTTTATGTGTTCTTGAAGACTTGGCTCAAAGATCATCTGCTCTCTGAAGACTTTGTCAAATTTCCCAGTTAGGGTAAATCACTTCCTCTTCTTTAGTCCCCATTGTAGCTTGTACATAATTTTACTAAGGTTCCATCATACTGTCTTATAAATATTTTTATTTATTTCCATTTATTTTACCTGAAGACAATTATTGTGTTTTACTTATTTTTAGAATTCCAGGCTCTAGCAGTTTCTGGCACAAAGTAGGAGATAAATATATTTTTGAAATAAATGGATAAATAAGTCATTCTGGACTCCAACCTCTACTTCATTCTCCACACCCAATTGGTCACCAAGTCTTGGGTCATCTGCCTGTTAAAAAAGATTCTAAATTTCTGGTGCCCTCTTTATCCCTGCAAGCACAGTCTCATTCAAGTCAGCAGCCTCCTAAGTGGGGTTTCTGTTTCTTGCCTTCAATCATACTTCCTCCTCTCCTTGTTCAAGCCATCTTTTGCATGGCTAGCAGAGTAATTTGTCTGAAATGTAAATAAAATTACACCAATCTCATAGTTAAATCTCTCCATGGGTCCCAACGACACACAAGATCAATTTTATATTTTACATTGCATATATGGCCTGCTAGTTATTTGTCCCCTGCTGATCTTTGTAGCTTCATCTCTCTCATTACTCCCCCATATTCAGAGCCAGAATGATAAAAAGTGGGACTCTCAGGAAAGCTAACAATTCGATACTAATCAAGTCAGTATTTTTTCAATACTTCTTCAGCCATTTTGTCTAAGCGAGGATAGGAAGAAATTGATTTATTAAGGATAAAATTTTATTCCTCTTTATGCTTAAGGTAAAAGATTTATGACATTAATTTATACCATACAATTTCTAAATTCTGACAACTACTTGGGAAGCAGCGTGAACCAGTTAAAATGTAGCTACTAGATAATTTCTAATTCTAAATAAATAGTCCAATGTATTGTTGCTGAATATAGGTGACTATCCTCTGACTGTCTTGGGTTTAGTTGTGCCAACTGTAGTTGGAACATGCAACTTGTGCATGTGTGTTGCAGAAAACATTTGACAATGAGAAGTCAGTACCAGTAGGAATGCTTTTTAATTTTTAGGCGAGGTACTGAGTATTTCTGTCAAAGAATGTGTGATTTCTATTTTGGCAGTGATATAATGAGTTGTAGATAGAAACATGACTTAACTGGTGCCATCTACTACTTAATATTTTAATGTTTAATGCCCATAGTAGATTGACATCAGAGCAGCTGCCTGCCTGGCCTCTTCCTGGATATGGTTCATTCCCTACTCACCTTGACCATACCATATATATGCAAGTTTTCAACATGTCATAGTGTCCTGAACACATGCTTTTTGGATACACTGTTCTCTCTCCCTTCAATATCTTTCACTTTCTTTTTCTTCCACTAGGTTTATTTTGTTTTTCTTTTTAAATTTTTTATTTTGACAAATTATAATCATATACAATTATGGGACCCACAGTGATGATATATGTATATAGTGTGGAATGATTGAATCAAGCTAATTAACATATCCATCACCTTAAATACTAATAATTTATTCCCCTGTCTAAATGCAATTTTCTGCCCTTTGACCAACGTCTCCCTGATTCCTCTCCCCAACCCCACCAGCCTCTGATAACCATGGTTTTCCACTCCCTGCATCTATAAGTTTGACATTTTTAGATTCTACAGTAAATAAAAACATGCACTGTTTGTCTTTCTGTGACTGGCTTATTCCACTTAGCATAATATTTTTGAGGTTCATCCATGTCACAAACGCCTGAATTTCCTTCTTTTTAAAGGATGAATAATATTCTTTTGTGCATATATGCCATGTTTTCTTTATCCATTCATCCATCGACGGACACTGAGATTGATTCCATAACTTGGCTTTTATGAATAATGCTGCAGTGAACATGGAGGTGCAGATATCTCTTCGACACACTAATTTTAGGTTTTCTTTTTGGTGTCATCTCTTCTGTGAAGCTTTCCATGAAGCTTTTCCTAATGCCCACCTTCAAGACACTAGATGTGGAGATAAAGTTCTCCCTCTTCTTCATTTCTATAGGGCTCTTACATGATTCCTAGTTTTATCTTCAGTCATTGAGTAGGAGGTGTCCATTACCAGGCTAGATTATGAAGATATTTGTAAGAAAGATAAAGAGTTCATTTTTAACATGTTTAATTTGGGGTTTCTTTTAGAACATCCAAGTAGAGATGTCCAGTGTTCTGCTAAATATGTATGAGTTTACAGTTCAGATGAGAAGTGTTGGGAAACAGTTCCTTATGGTTTCTCACATTTTTGTGCATCTTGAGAGCAGAGTATTCCATGTAGGAGTTCTAGATTTAGGGGAATTTTTTTTTACCATGGAATGAAGATTTCTAAACCTACAGCGGAATAGGCCATGAAAAAAAGTCGGTAGAGGAAGGATGATTTCATGCAGAGAACTAAGAAGTGAGAGCAACAATGTCCTTGACTCTAAAAAATAATCTGCATTTAATTATCCTTGTCTGCCTAAAAAGCTTCTATTCATCCTTTTATTCTCCATAATCTGCAGAATCAAAAAGTCAACAACTCTATGAAGCCTTCCCAAATTTCCAAGAAGACAGGTTTCCCTTTCCTATGATATATTTGCAACATCTACATTAGTCTATCACTTTTCACACAGTATTATTACTACTGATTTACATGTTTGTCTTTTCTTCTGGGGCAAGAAATAAATAAATATAAAGAAGACAGTAATTTTCTGAATGTATAGTTATTATAAGTGGGTTTGATGAAAAAGGAGAAGAGAGGTATCTGCAATTGGGCTGATAATAGAGAAATGGAGGCAGATCCAAATCCAGAACAATCTTACACTGGGCAGAAGTATCATTGAATTGTGGGGCAGGGTGGAGAGGCTTAGGAGAGTTGCATGGCCAGTGAGCCAACACTCGGGCATGGCCATGGGGGGAATATTTGTGGTTCTGCAGGGGATGCACAGATGATGATGAAGAGCAGGACATGGTGATAATATAGAGGTGGATGCTAGGTAATGGCTACGTTGCTTCAGCATCTATGCTAGGCACTTTTTGTACATTATTCTATATAATGTTCAAAACATCAATGCAAGGTAGATGTTATTGTTACCAAGAGGCTTAGAGATATTAGAAAATTGACTCAAAGTTGCAAAGCTGATAAAAGTGAAAAATGGAAAAGCCTAGGCCTGTCTAGCTTCAGATGCTTTTTCGAGTACACCCGTTTTTCCCTATCTGAGATTAACATAACACTGATTTATGCATAACTGGCCAGGAGATGTTAGACAAGTGGTACACAATAAAGTATTCTGAGGTCAAATAAGTTGAGAACACATAAATAAGAAAGATAATCAGGTATATTAACTGCAGAATTCCAAAAATTAATTTGATTATAGTATTCCTTTGTTCATATACCAAAAATTACCATCTATCATGCCACTAGCATCAGGTCAGAGTCTGGAAAATGCTACACTCCACTATGATAGCAAATGTCACCCATGTAAAAATCTTATTTTGTTTACAGAGAAATTGTAACCAAAACAAAACTTTCACGGCCTTCACCCACCAATTGTCACTCAGAAGTTATTAACAAGTGGATCATATGGCTCAGAGCTCCTATGAGCTAGTTCACATTATTAGTTGTCAACCTTTCATTTCATTAAAAAGGTATCAAAGTATACTTATTTCATACCAGGGACACACATTTTGCTTCTGACTAGTTCTAGATAGGAAAATGCTTCCCTCTACCTTAGAAATACTACCCAAGTATAATTATAGAGGAACAAAAAGATCTGCCAGTGATCTTATGCAAATTTTGGAAATATCAGTGTGAGTTATCTTAAATTAAGCAGACTTTCTATGTAAGAGTACTGATTACAAACTCTTTAGGGAAAATGCACTATTTGTTGTTACATAGTAGCTAGGAAGTCCACCTGCTCTTCTTTGATCACTGTTCTATTTTGAATGACCATTTGGTATTTAATTAATCATCTTATTGGAGAACCCATCTCGCATTTTCTGCATGTGATCGTATAGGCAAAGGAAGATGGAGACACTAGCTACCAGAGGCTTCTTTGTATATTTTCATGTAGGTATTATTTCAGATGGATTGCATTTTACTCACAGCCTCAAAACAAATAAAATTTACACTAACTGCTATTTTATTATAGGGAAGTAATACCACAGTTCCACCTGCTATTTAAAGTAAATGCATTAGAATAAAATTTTAGTTCAACTTGGCATAGTAGCTAGAAGTAAAGACTCTAGAAACACACCTTGGACTCTGTCCCTTGCTAGCCAGGTGGTATGGAACAAGCAAAATATTCTCTCTGTGCCTTTGTTTCCTCAACTATAGAATAAAGATAATACTGATCCCTGCCTCAAAAGATTTTAGGTGAATTAAATGAACTAACATATATAAAGCACTTAGAAGAGTACCTGAAACACAGTAATGCTATATAACTGTTAGAAGATTAATTAAATACAGACTTTTAGGTCTTCTCAAAACCTTTAATATGCTTGTGCTTAGTGTGCATCTATAAGAACCTAGTTGTTAAGAAGGCGACTAGCATCCTATCTATTCGGTATTGTACTAGAATTCCTACAAGCTAGCACTGTAAGGCAAGAAAAATAACCAAAGGTATTAGGTTTCTAAATAAAGAAACAGAACTGATATTAATCACAGACAAGTTTATCGACATAGAAAACTAAGAGAACATGCACACTAGTTTTTGGAACTAACAAGAGAGTTCAGCCACATTGCTGCAAAAAATATCAATATGCAAAAATAAATCTTGTTTATTCACACTAGCAACAAACAGAAATTGCAATTAAAATTAAAACCATTGATATTAGTAACAAAATACCATCTAGAAATAAATCCAATCAAAATGTACAAAAGCACTATAAAAATTATAAAATTATGCTTGAAAGGTATTTTAAACATTTTATTTAAAATAAGAATTGTAGTCATGAGAAGACTCAGGAGAGTACAGAGATGAAATTTTGCTGAATTAATCTAAAATTCAACGTAATTCCAACTAGGAGAGTAAGCTCTGGATATAAACTTGGCAGCATTCAAATTCCAATATAACCACTTACTATGTTATCTGGGGCAAGTTACTTCAACTTTCTGTGCTTCGGTTTTGTTATCAGATAGAGGCAATGTAGTATTTTTCTCTTTAAGTTCTTCTGAATGATAAATAAAATAATAAGGATAAAGTTCTTAAAATACTCCTAGCACATAGTCAAGTGCTCAAAAAATGTTGCCTATTACTTTTGTTCTTGTTATATTAAGAACTCCTACAGGTTTATAAAGAAGAGAAATGACCTAATAGAAAATAGGATATCAAACTAAAAGGAGCTCACAGAATAAGAAATACAAAGTCCAATATGCATTTAAAATATTCTTTACTAATAATTTTTAAGGAAAATAAAACCCTATATTTCTTTGGTAATATTGGCAAAGATTAAAAAATATGTTTCTAAGAATATAAGAGAAATAAGTGTTTTCATACACCACAAGAATGTAAATTAGCACAATTTTGAAGAAAAATATGACAGCATCTAACAAATTATAAGATGTGCATAAATTTTGATATAGCAATTCAATTTGTGGGGATTTATCCTACAGAAGCAATAGCATAAGTAAACTAAGATGGAATACAGGATGTTTATTGCCATAATTGTAGTAGCAGAAACTGAAAATATCCTAAAGATTCGTATTATTCAGCCAATGAAAATGGAGAGATAGACAGATATACATTAACATGGAAAAATGCCCAAGACCTATTGTTAAGTGAAAGAGCAAGATGCAGAACAGTAGTCTAATGAGACATCACAATTTAAATTTTTCATATAAGTTTTGTAATATACATAAAATCCTCTGAAAGAATATACAGAATCTGTTCACTGTGGTAAACTCTGGGGATGGGGGTGGGGAGGGAATACATATGGCTTTCATTATCTCTTTTAAGCATGTCTCAACTGTCTAAAAATGCTACAAGGTGATTGGCTTACTTTTATGGTAAATAGATTTACTTCTGCTAAGTTTTATTTAGTTAACATGGTTTTCACTGTTAAGCTGTCTCTTAGCTTCATATATATGTTACATTATTTATATTCATTTACTAAATACTAAACACTTCTCTAATTCAGTAAGATGTTTACTATTTAAATTTATGAAAATTTTAGAATGCTAGGTCATTGACGTTTTAGTTCAATCTTTTCTGGTTCATGCTTAAAACTGATTATATATTTCTCCAGTATGATGGTTAATATTGAGTGTTAACTTGATTGGATTGAAGGATGCAAAGTATTGTTCCTGGGAGTGTCTGTGAGGGTGGTGCCAAAAGAGACTATAACATTTGAGTCAGTGGACAGGGAGAGACAGACCCATCCTCAATCAGGGTGAGCATCGTCTAATCAGCTGCCAGAGAGACTAGACCAAAGCAGGCAGAAGAAGTTGGAAGGACTTGACTTGCTGAATTCTTCTGGCCTTTATCTTTCTCCAGTGCTGGATGCTTCCTGCCCTTGAACATCAGACTCCAAGTTCTTCAGCTTTTAGACTCTTGGACCTCTACCAGTGGTTGCCAGGGGCTCTCGGGCTTATGGCCACAGACTGAAGGCTGCATTGTCGGCTTCCCTACTTTTGTGGTTTTGGTACTCAGATTGGCTTCCCTGCTCCTCAGCTTGCAGACTGCGTGTCGTGGGACTTCATCTTCTTTAAAACCTCCCCTTCATATATACATGTATCCTATTAGTTCCGTCCCTCTAGGGAACCCTGACTAATACAACCAGAGTCAAATTGCAAAGGTTTCAGTTGTCCATTTGAACAATTTTGTCATTTCCCTATACAGTATATACCCCTCACTAGGACAATGAAGAACCATACCCATAAACTTTGTTTGATCAGCATGGCAACTTTGGGTTCATTTGGACATTTAAAAAGCATGACTCTTGATACCTCTGGGCAGGAGTTGGGGAAATGGTAGTGAAGCCAAAATGCTCTGATTGGAGAAAGAGGGTATCTTTTTAGTATCCCCTAAACAGCCTTCCTGAAATGACCTTCCACCTCTCCTCATTTCCCTATGTTCCATTCTGTTGGCACACATGGCAGGGAGAGGACGTTTTCTCTAAGCCTTTCCCCATTGCCAGCCCATTCAGTTAGTGGTTTATTCAATTCTCCCTTACTCTTCACCAGCACCTACTATTTTGGATGTCTTGCCTAACATCCATCCAAGGTAATGTGGCTGTATTTAGTATTTAAGTCTTGGTGAATATGTGAATCATCCCACTTTTCTTTCTCTCTCTCTCTCTCTCTTTCTTTCTTTGTTTTCCTCTCTCTCTCTTTCTTTCTTTCTTTTTTTTTTTGAGACGGAGTCTCGCTCAGCTGCCCAGACTGGAGTGCAGTGGTGCGATGTTGGCTCACTACAACCACCGTCTCCCGGGTTCAAGTGATTCTCCCATCTCAGCCTACTGAGTATCTGGGATTACAGGCACCCACCATCATGCCTGGCTAATTTTTGTATTTTAGTAGAGACAGAGTTTCACCATGTTGGCCAGGCTGGCCTTGAACTCCTGACCACAGGTGATCTGCCCGCCTCGGCTTCCCAAAGTGTTTGGATTACAGGCGTGAGCCATTGCATCCAGCCTATCCCACTTCTTTCTTATAAATTTCCTGTTAAATCTTGGAGGCTTTGTTAATCTCAGAAAGTGTATTACCCAGACTTAGGCTTTTTTTGTCATATAACTGAAGAAGGGGCAGATATTCACATGCTGAAAGTTGTTCTGAGTGTTTGCATTCAGGAAAGTACAACTAAAAGCAATCTGTTTACCTAGGAGGTTGTTCAATTTTGTACTGGAGATTCTATCCAGTGCAACAAGAGAAAACATAAAGATCTCTAGATATGAAAGGGTGATGTAAAACTGTCTTTATTCACAGACTCCAAGATAGCATATGTAGAATATCCTATTAATCTAAAAAAAAAGTTTCAAGAGCTAATAATTGAGTTTGGCAATATTATAGGACAAATGATCTATATGCAAAAAATCAGTTGTATTTTTATATACTAGTAATGAACAATTGGAAACTGAAAGTTAAAACAGTACAATTTAAAATATTATCAGTAAATATTATCAGTGAAAAATCTGGCAAAACATGTAGAAAACCAAAAGCTATAAAAACCATTGCACATATAAATTAATGAAAACCTAAATAAATGTTGATCTTGAGGAAAAACCCTATAGAGAAACAGGTTTTGGTGGATTGAATTGTAGTCGTCAAAATATATGTGCAAGTCCTAACCCCTGGCATTTTAAAATGTGACTTTATTTGGAAAAATATTCTGTGAAAAGGTTTAAGTGAGGGATATTGAGATAAGATTCATCCTGGGTTATCTGAGTGGGCCCTGAATCCAATGACAAGTGTCCTTATAAGAAGAGGAAAAGACACAGAGAACACAAAGGAGAGACACAGGAGAAGTCATGAGAAGATGGAGGCACAGATTGGAGTTACGCAGCCCCAAGCTAAGGAACCCCTAGAGCCACCCAAAGATGAAAGAGGCAGAAAAGGACTTTTCCTAGAGCCTTGAGAGAGGACCACTCCACCAACACCTTGATTTCAGACTACAGACCTCCAGAACGGTGAAAGAATACATTTCTGTTTCAAGCTACCCAGTTTGTGATAATTTATGACAGCCCTAGAAAACTAATATACAGATATAAGAATTACAATGGACCTCTTGTCAGCAACCATGCAATAAAAGAGAGTGAAATGAAATATTTAAAGTGTTGAGAGAAAAAATTAATCCACCAACCTAGAATTTTATATCCAGAAAAAATGTTATTCAAAAATGAAGGAGAAATAAAGACTTTCTCAAACAAAAACTGAGAGAATGCATCACCAGTAGATATACCTTGCAAGAAATGTGAAAAAGGTCTTTGGACAGAAATGAAAAAAATATATATTAAAACCTTATATATATAAGAAAAGAAGAGTGTCAGAGAAGGAATAAGTGAATGAAAACAAAATGATTTTTTTCTTAATTGACGTAACTGACAACTGTCTGAAAACAGTGTATTGGGTGATCATAGCATATGTGTAAGAAAAGTGAATAACAGCAATGTCACAGGAAATGGATGGAAGAAATTGGGAACAATCTTTTAATAAAATATACTACATGGGAAGCAGTTTAGTGTTATTTGAAGGTTGGACTTATATTAAAACTATATGTTGTAAACACCAGGGCAACTTAAATTTCTTGAAAAAGAAATATTATTGATATACTAAGAGAGAGAGAATGAAATGGAATCATATTAAATGCTCAAGTAAAATCAGAGAAGGCAGAAAAGAGAAAAATGAAGAATAAATGAAACAGAAAGGTTACAAACATGGTATATATGAAACCAGCTATATCAACTATACCTTAAATGTATCTATGTACACAATTTTTTAAAAACAGAGATAGAAAAATTCATGGAAAACAACATCCAATCATATGTTGTTCACAAAAAATGCATTTTAAATATAAAGACTCAGGTTAAAAGTAAGAGTATATAAAAGATACATCATACTAACAATAAAATAAGAAATCTAGGGTACCTATATTAATTTCATATTATAGTTGGATAATTCTATACTATTCTATCAGTAATTGGTAGATCAAGCAGGCAGAAAATCAGTAGGGATATAGGTGACCTAAACAGCACTATCAATCAACTTGATCTACTTGACATTTATAAAATACTGTATCCAAAAACAGTATAATACTTATGCACTTCAAGCTACATAAAACGTTCAATAAGATAGAACACAATCAGAGCTATTAAATGCACCTTCACAAATTTAAAAGAAGAGAAATTATACAAGATACGTATGTGTAAAATTCACAGACCACAATACGTATAATTCATAAAGCATGATGGAATTAAACTAACAATCAACAACAGAAAGTAGCTAGAATAGCCCCCAAATATTTGGAAACTAAATAACATACTTCTAAATAATTTGTGGGTCAAAGAAGAAGCCCTAAGAGATAGATAAAAAGACTTTGACTTAACTTAAAAATGAAAATAAACCTTCACAAATTTTAAAGAAAGTAGAAAAAATAAAAACAAAAATTAGATAAGACATCAGGGTGTAGAGCCAAGATGGCTGAATAGGAACAGCTCCAGTCTACAGCTCCCAGCTTGAGTGACACAGAAGACCGGTGATTTCTGCATTTCCAACTGAGGTACTGGGTTCATCTCACTGGGGAGTGTCGGAAAGTGGGTGCAGGACAGTGGGTGCAGCGCAACGAGCATGAGCCGAAGCAGGGCAAGGCATTGCCTCACCCAGGAAGCAGAAGGGGTCAGGGAATTCCATTTCCTAGTCAAAGAAAGGGGTGACAGACAGCACCTGGAAAATCAAGTCACTCCCAACCGAATACTGCGCTTTTCCAACTGTCTTAGCAAACAGCACACCAGGAGATTATATCCCGCTCCTGGCTCAGAGGGTCCTACACCCACAGAGCCTTGCTCATTGCTAGCACAGCAGTCTGAGATCAAACTGCAAGGCAGCAGGGAGGCTGGGGGAGAGGTGCCCGCCATTGCTGAGGCTTGAGTAGGTAAACAAAGCAGCCGGGAAGCTCAAATTGGGTGGAGACCACCCCAGCTCAAGGAGGCCTACTTGCCTCTGTAGACTCCACCTCTGGGGGCAGGGCACAGCCAAACAAAAGGCAGCAGAATCCTCTGCAGACTTAAATGTCCCTGTCTGACAGCTTTGAAGGGTAGTGGTTCTCCCAGCACAGAGCTTGAAATCTGAGAACGGACAGACTACCTCCTCAAGTGAGTCCCTGACCCCCTAGTAGCCTAACTGGGAGGCACCCCCCAGTAGGGGCAGACTGACAACTCACACGGCCGGTTACTCCTCTGAGACAAAACTTCCAGAGAAAAGATCAGGCAGCAACATTTGCTGTTCACCAATATCTGCTGTTCTGCAGCCTCCGCTGCTGACACCCAGGCAAACAGTGTCTGGAGTGGACCTCCAGCCAACTCCAACAGACCTGCAGCTGAGGGTCCTGACTGTTAGAAGGAAAACTAACAAACAGAAAGGACATCCACACCAAAACCCATCTGTACATCACCATCATCAAAGACCAAGGGTAGATAAAACCACAAAGATGGGGAAAAAGCAGAGCAGAAAAACTGGAAACTCTAAAAATCAGAGCGCCTCTCCTCCTCCAAAGGAATGCAGCTCCTCACCAGCAATGGAACAAAGCTGGACGGAGAATGACTTTGATGAGTTGAGAGAAGAAGGCTTCAGACAATCAAATTACTCCGAGCTAAAGGAGGAAGTCCGAACCCATGGCAAAGAAGTTAAAAACCCTGAAAAAAAATTAGATGAATGGCTAACTAGAGTAACCAATGCAGAGAAGTCCTTAAAGAACCTGATGGAGCTGAAAACCAAGGCACGAGAACTACGTGACGAATGCACAAGCCTCAGTAGCCGATTCAATCAACTGGAAGAAAGGGTATCAGTGATGGAAGATCAAATGAATGAAATGAAGCGTGAAGAGAAGTTTAGAGAAAAAAGAATAAAAAGAAATGAACAAAGCCTCCAAGAAATATGGGACTATGTGAAAAGACCAAATCTACATCTGATTGATGTACCTGAAAGTGACAGGGAGAATGGAACCAAGTTGGAAAACACTCTGCAGGAAATTATACAGGAGAACTTCCCCAATCTAGCAAGGCAGGCCAACATTCAAATTCAGGAAATACAGAGAATGCCACAAAGATACTCCTCGAGCAGAGCAACTCCAAGACACGTAATTGTCAGATTCACCAAAGTTGAAATGAAGGAAAAAATGTTAAGGGCAGCCAGAGAGAAAGGTTGGGTTACCCACAAAGGGAAGCCCATCAGACTAACAGCTGATCTCTCAGCAGAAATTCTACAAGCCAGAAGAGAGTGGGGGCCAATATTCAACATTCTTAAAGAAAAGAACGTTCAACCCAGAATTTCATATCCAGCCAAACTAAGCTTCATAAGTGAAGGAGAAATAAAATACTTTACAGACAAGCAAATGCTGAGAGATTTTTGTCACCACCAGGCTTGTCCTAAAAGAGCTCCTGAAGGAAGCACTAAACATGGAAAGGAACAACCAGTACCAGCCACTGCAAAAACATGCCAAATTGTAAAGACCATCAATGCTAGGAAGAAACTGCATCAACTAATGAGCAAAATAACCAGCTAACATCATAATGACAGGATCAAATTCACACATAACAATATTAACCTTAAATGTAAATGGGCTAAATGCTCCAGTTAAAAGACACAGACTGGCAAATTGGATAAAGAGTCAAGACCCATCAGTGTGCTGTATTCAGGAAACCCATCTCACGAGCAGAGACACACATAGGCTCAAAATAAAGGGATGGAGGAAGATCTACCAAGCAAATGGAAAACAAAAAAAGGCAGGGGTTGCAATCCTAGTGTCTGATAAAATAGACTTGAAACCAACAAAGATCAAAAGAGACAAAGAAGGCTATTACGTAATGGTAAAGGGATCAATTCAACAAGAAGAGCTAACTATCCTAAATATATATGTACCCAATACAGGAGCACCCAGATTCATAAAGCAAGTCTGTAGAGAACTATAAAGAGACTTAGACTTCCACACAATAATAATGGGAGACTTTAACACCCCACTGTCAACATTAGACAGATCAATGAGACAGAAAGTTAACAAGTATATCCAGGACTTGAACTCAGCTCTGCACCAAGCAGACCTAATAGACATCTACAGAACTCTCCACGCCAAATCAACAGAATATACATTCTTTTCAGCACCACACCACACCTATTCCAAAATTGACCACATAATTGGAAGTAAAGCAGTCCTCAGCAAATGTACAAGAACAGAAATTATAACAAACTGTT
This sequence comes from Homo sapiens, assembly GCF_000001405.40. NCBI lineage: Eukaryota > Metazoa > Chordata > Mammalia > Primates > Hominidae > Homo > Homo sapiens. The sequence continues at coordinate 138,458,630 of NC_000023.11, forward strand.
TCTCAGACCACAGTGCGATCAAACTAGAACTCAGGATTAAGAAACTCACTCAAAATCGCTCAACTCCATGGAAACTGAACAACCTGCTCCTGAATGACTACTGGTTACATAACGAAATGAAGGCAGAAATGAAGATGTTCTTTGAAACCAACGAGAACAAAGACACAACATACCAGAATCTCTGGGACACATTCAAAGCAGTATGTAAAGGGAAATTTATAGCACTAAATGCCCACAAGAGAAAGCAGGAAAGATCTAAAATTGACACCCTAACATCACAATTAAAAGAACTAGAGAAGCAAGAGCAAACACATTCAAAAGCTAGCAGAAGGCAACAAATAAGTAAGATCAGAGCAGAACTGAAGGAAATAGAGACACAAAAAACCCTTCAAAAAATCAATGAATCCGGGAGCTGGTTTTTTGAAAGGATCAACAAAATTGATAGACCGCTAGCAAGACTAATAAAGAAGAAAAGAGAGAAGAATCAAATAGATGCAATAAAAAATGATAAAGGGGATATCACCACTGATCCCACAGAAATACAAACTACCATCAGAGAATAATATAAACACCTCTACACAAATAAACTAGAAAATCTAGAAGAAATGGATAAATTCCTCGACACATACACCCCCCCAAGACTAAACCAGGAAGAAGTTGAATATCTGAATAGACCAATAATAGGCTCTGAAATTGAGGCAATCATTAATAGCTTACCAACCAAAAAAAGTCCAGGACCAGATGGATTCACAGCCGAATTCTACCAGAGGTACAAGGAGGAACTGGTACCATTCCTTCTGAAACTATTCCAATCAATAGAAAAAGGGGGAATCCTCCCTAACTCATTTTATGAGGCCAGCATCATCCTGATACCAAAGCCTGGCAGAGACACAACCAAAAAAGAGAATTTTAGACCAATATCCCTGATGAACATTGATGCAAAAATCCTCAATAAAATACTGGCAAACCAAATCCAGCAGCACATCAAAAAGCTTATCCACCATGATCAAATTGGCTTCATCCCTGGGATGCAAGGCTGGTTCAACATACACAAATCAATAAACGTAATCCAGCATATAAACAGAACCAATGACAAAAACCATACGATTATCTCAATAGATGCAGAAAAGGCCTTTGACAAAATTCAACAACCTTCATGCTAAAAACTCTCAATAAATTAGGTATTGATGGGAAGTATCTCAAAATAATAAGAGCTATCTATGACAAACCCACAGCCAATATCATATTGAATGGGCAAAAACTGGAAGCATTCCCTTGGAAAACTGGCACAAGACAGGGATGTCCTCTCTCACCACTCCTATTCAACATAATGTTGGAAGTTCTGGCCAGGGCTATTAGGCAGGAGAAGGAAATAAAGGGTATGCAATTAGGAAAAGAGGAAGTCAAATTGTCCCTGTTTGCAGACGACATGATTGTATATTTAGAAAACCCCATCATCTCAGCCCAAAATCTCCTTAAGCTGATAAGCAACTTCAGCAAAGTCTCAGCATTCAAAATCAATAAGCAAAAATCACAAGCATTCTTATACACCAACAACAGACAAACAGAGAGCCAAATCATGAGTGAACTCCCATTCACAATTGCTTCAAAGAGAATAAAATACCTAGGAATCCAACTTACAAGGGATGTGAAGGACCTCTTCAAGGAGAACTACAAACCACTGCTCAATGAAATAAAAGAGGATACAAACAAATGGAAGAACATTCCATGCTCATGGGTAGGAAGAATCAATATCGTGAAAATGGCCATACTGCCCAAGGTAATTTATAGATTCAATGCCATCCCCATCAAGCTACCAATGACTTTCTTCACAGAATTGGAGAAAACTACTTTAAAGTTCATATGGAACCAAAAAAGAGCCCGCATCACCAAGACAATCCTAACCAAAAAGAACAAAGCTGGAGGCATCACACTACCTGACTTCAAACTATACTGCAAGGCTACAGTAACCAAAACAGCATGGTACTGGTACCAAAACAGAGATATAGACCAATGAAACAGCACAGAGCCCTCAGAAACAATACCACACATCTACAACCATCTGATCTTTGACAAACCTGACAAAAACAAGCAATGGGGAAAGGATTCTCTATTTAATAAATGGTGCTGGGAAAACTGGCTAGCCGTAAGTAGAAAGCTGAAGCTGGATCCCTTCCTTACACCTTATACAAAAATTAATTCAAGGTGGATCAAAGACTTAAATGTTAGACCTAAAACCATAAAAACCCTAGAAGAAAACCTAGGCAATACCATTCAGGACATAGGCATGGGCAAGGACTTCATGTCTAAAACACCAAAAGCAATGGCAACAAAAGCCAAAATTGACAAATGGGATCAATTAAACTAAAGAGCTTCTGCACAGCAAAAGAAACTACCATCAGAGTGAACAGGCAACCTACAGAATGGGAGAAAATTTTTGCAAACTACTCATCTGACAAAGGGCTAATATCCAGAATGTACAGAGAACTCAAACAAATTTAGAAGAAAAAAAAAACAACCCCATCAAAAAGTGGGCAAAGGATATTAACAGACACTTCTCAAAAGAAGACATTTATGCAGCCAACAGACACATGAAAAAATGCTCATCATCACTGGTCATCAGAGAAATGCAAATCAAAACCACAATGAGATACCATCTCACACCAGTTAGAATGGCGATCATTAAAAAGTCAGGAAACAACAGGTGCTGGGGAGGATGTGGAGAAATAGGAACACTTTTACACCATTGGTGGGACTGTAAACTAGTTCAACCATTGTGGGAGACATTGTGGCAATTCCTCAAGGATCTAAAACTAGAAATACCATTTGACCCAGCCATCCCATTACTGGGTGTATACCCAAAAGATTATAAATCATGCTGCTATAAAGGCAAATGCACATGCATGTTTATTGCGGCACTATTCACAATAGCAAAGACTTGGAACTAACCCAAATGTCCAACAACGATAGACTGGATTAAGAAAATGTGGCACATATACACCATGGAATACTATGCAGCCATGAAAATGATGAGTTCATGTCCTTTGTAGGGACATGGATGAAGCTGGAAACCATCATTCTCAGCAAATGATCGCAAGGACAAAAAACCAAACACGGCATGTTCTCACTCATAGGTGGGAATTGAACAATGAGAACACATGGACACAGGAAGGGGAACATCACACACCGGGGCCTGTTGTGGGGTGGTGGGAGGCGGGAGGAGTAGCATTAGGAGATATACCTAATGTAAATGACGAGTTAATGGGTGCAGCACACCAACATGGCACATGTATACATATGTAACAAACCTGCACGTTGTGCACATGTACCCTAGAACTGAAAGTATAATAAAAAAAAAATTGAAAGAAAGAAAGAAGTTCGAACAAGCTAATAGTGTATAATTTCATTTATATGGCATTCTGAAAAAAGATAAAACTATAGAGACAGTAAAAGGATCAGTGGTTGCCAGGGTTTGGGAGAAAGGGAAATAGTTTAATAAGTTTAGCAGAAGGGATTTATTAGGGCAGTGAAATTATTCTGCGTGATCCTGTACTGGTGGATACACCAGTTGGAGACACTGAACATTTGTCAAACCCTATGGAACTTTTCAGCACAAATAGTTAACCTTCATGTATGCAAATTAAATAAAATCATTTAGAAGGTTGGGGGAAATCTCAGGATGGTCTGGAGAATACAATAAAACAGCCTAATTCTATTACAATGGTATGGAAAAACCTCACTAGAGGGTATTGGCTGGGGCGGGGAGGGGGGTGGCAAGCTGCTGACCTAGATAACTTTGGAAATGAGTGAACCTCTTCAAAAGTAAAAAAATAAATAAATAAAGAACCAAAATGCACTGTACAGAGCAGAGGGGATCAAGGTGGATGGGAGGCAGGACTAGAATGCAGCTCCCACTCAGACGGACAGAGCAGCGTGTGGTTTGGAGGCTCTCGCATCGTGAACTTTTGTTCTAGAACAACTGCAGGAATACATTAGGAAAGTCAAGAGAACCAACAGACCCTCTGAAGGAAATAGATTGCTCCTGCAGAACTTGGGAGACACCCCAAATACTGTGAGTGCCCAAACTGTGGAAGTGGAAAAGGGAACCACTGGGGAACCTGAAGTTCTAGATTATGGGAGAAGATTCTGACCTTACCTGGAGCTAAGTCCATTTAGAGAACCGAGTGAAATACAGGGGTAGAAGAAGCAGCGGGAAAAGCCCTGTAGGCTTGCTGGGACCCCTAGCAAGCCATTTCTGCCCTACCTCACAGGGGTCCTTGGGGAGGGGGGCCAGAGGCACTGGAAAAAGGCCACAGGGAGAAGGAAACTTCCAGCTGAACTTTGTAACAATTTGAACCCATCAAGATGTCTCCTGGCCAGAACTCGGAAGAGGGCATAAATGTGGTGTTCAGACTCCACAGGCAGGGGAAGAACTAAAGCGCTACTTGCTTTCGCAGCTGGGAGACAGGTAGCCTGGGGCAAGCTCTCAGTGCTGCTCATCCACTGCCTAGAAACAGACTTGGTGTTGTTGGGGGATGGGGGGAACAGTGGGAGTGAGACTGGCCCTTTGGGTTGCGTGCGAGCTGGTTGAGGCCTGTGAATGCCAGCTTTCCCCCCTTCCCTGACAACCTGCATGACCCAGTAGGGGCAGCCATAATCCTCCTAAGAACATAACTCCATTGACCTTCGAACCTCACCCACATCCCTGACAGCAGCCGCAGCAAGACTCGCCCAAGGAAAGTCTGAGCTCAGACACGCCTAACTTTACCCCCACCTAATGGTCCTTCCCTACCCACTCTGGTAACTGAAGACAAAGGGTATGTACTCTTGAGAGTTCTAGGACCCCACCCACTGCCTGTTCCTCCCCATACTATGACAGCTGATGCTCTCTTGAAAGCTCCATCTCCCGGCAGGTCAACCAGCACAAAAATAGTGCATTAAGCAACCAAAGCCAAGGACCATTTTAACCCCCTACCACCTCCAGCAAAGCAGGTGCTGGTATCCATGGCTGAGAACCGCAGATGGTTCACATTACAGGAATCTGTGCAGACAACCCTTAGTACCAGCCAGGAGCCTGGTAGACTTCCTGGGTGGCTAGATCCACACGAGAGATAACAATCTCTACAGCTCAGATCTCAGGAAGCCACATCCCTAGGAAAAGGGGGAGAGTACTACATCAAGGGAACACCCCGGGGGACAAAAGAATGTGAACAGCAGCCTTGAGCCCTGGACCTTCCCTCTGACAGAGGCTACCCAAATGAGAAGGAACCAGAAAACCAACTCTGGTAATATAGCAAAACAAGGTACTTTAACAGGCCCAAAATTCATGCTAGCTCACCAGCAATGGATCCAAACCAAGAAGATATTCCTGATTTACCTGAAAAATAATTCAGAAGGTTAGTTATTAAGCTAATCAGGGAGGCACCAGAGAAAGGCAAAGCCCAATCTAAGGAAATAAAAAAAAAAAAGATGCAAAAAGTGAAGGGAGAAATACTCAATGAAATAGGTAGCATAAATGAAAAACAAAGCTTCAGGAAACAATGGATGCACTTATAGAAATGTAAAATGCTCTGGAAAGTCTCAGCAATAGAATCGAACAAGCAGAAGAAAGAACTTCAGAGCTCAAAGACAAGGTCTTCAAATTAAAGCAATCCAACAAAGACAAAGGAAAAAGAATAAGAAAATATGAAGAAAGCCTCCAATAAGTCTGGGATTATATTAAACGACCAAACCTAAGAATAATCGGCATTCCTGAGGAAGAAGAGAAATCTAAAACTTTGGAAAACATATTCATGGGAATAATCGAGGAAAACTTCCTCAGCCTTGCTAGAGACCTAGACATCCAAATACAAGAAGCTCAAAGAACACCTACCTGGGAAATTCGTCGCAAAAAGATCATTGCCTAGGGACATTGTTATCAGATTATCTAAAGCTAAGATGAAGGAAGGAATCTTAAGAGCTGTGAGGCAAAAGCACCAGGTAACCTACAAAAAATTTTAAAAACCTATCAGATTAACAACAGATTTCTCAGCAGAAACCCTGCGAACTAGAAGGGATTGGGGCCCTACTTCAGCCTCCTAAAACAAAACAATTATCAGCCAATAATTTTGTAACCAGCAAAACTACGCTTCATAAATGAAGGAAAAATACAGTCTTTTTCAGACAAACAAATTCTGAGAGAATTCTCCACTACCAATCCAGCACTACAAGAACTGCTAAAAGGAGCTCTAAATCTTAAAACAAATTCTGGCAACACATCAAAACAAAATCTCTTTAAAGCATAAATCTCACAGGACCTATAAAACAAAAATACAATTTAAAAGAAATCAAAAAACAAAGAACCAAGCTATATAGGCAACAAATGGCACGATGAATGGAATGGTACCTCACATCGCCATACTAACATTGAAAGTAAATGGCCTAAATGCTCCACTTAAAAGATACAGAATTGCAGAATGGATACGAACTCACCAACCAACTATCTGCAAACACATAAGGACTCATATAAACTTAAGGTAAAGGGGTGGAAAAAGACATGCCATGCAAACAGACACCAAAAGCAAGGAGGAGTAGCTATTCTTCCCCTCCCCCCCGCCCCCAACCCGAGATGGAGTTTCGTTCTTGTTGCCAAGACTGGAGTGCAATGGCGTGATCTCGGCTCACCACAACCTCCGCCTCCCGGGTTCAAGTGATTCTCCTGCCTCAGCCTCCCGAGTAGCTGGGATTACAGGCATGTGCCACCATGCCTGGCTAATTTTGTATTTTTAGTAGAGACGGGGTTTCTCCATGTTAGGCTCCTGGCCTCAGGTGATCCACCCACCTCAGCCTCCCAAAGTGCTGGGATTACAGGTGTGAGCCACCGTGCCCAGCCGAGTAGCTATTCTTATATCAGACAAAACAAACTTTAAAGCAACAGCAGTTAAAAAAGACTAAGAAGGACATTATATAATGATAAAAGGCCTTTTACAACAGGAAAATATCACAATCCTAAATATATATGCACCTAACACTGGAGATCCCAAATTTATAAAGCAATTACTAATCAACCTAAGAAATAAGGCAGACAGCAGCACAATAATAGTGAGGGACTTCAATACTCCACTGACAGCACTAGTCAACACAGCACAACACAGGTCATCAAGACAGAAAGTCGACAAAGAAACAATGGATTTAAACTACACCCTGGAATAAATGGGCTTAACAGATATATACAGAACATTCTACCCAACAACTGCAGAATATACATTCTATTCAACAGCAAATGGAACATTCCGCAAGATAGACCATATGATAGGCCACAAAACGAGCCTCAATAAATTTAAGAAAATTAAAATTATATCAAGCACTTTCTCAGACCACAGTGGAATAAAACTGAAAATCAACAGCAAAAGGAATATTCAAAACCATGCAAATATATGAAAATTAAATAACCTGCCCCTGAATGATCATTGGGTCAAAAATGAAATCAAGATGGAAATTTAAAAATTCTTTCAACTGAACGACAATAGTGACACAACCTATCAAAACCTCTGGGATACAACAAAGGCGGTGCCAAGAGGAAAGTTCATAGCCCTAAACGCCTACGTCAAAAACTCTGAAAGAGCACAAACAGACAATCTAGGGTCACATCTTAAGGAACTAGAAAAACAAGAACAAACTAAACCCAAACCCAGCAGAAGAAAGAAAATAGCCAATATCAGAGCAGAGCTAAATGAAATTTAAACAAACAAACAAACAAACAAACAAAAAATACAAAAGATAAATGAAACAAAAACTGGTTCTTTGAAAAGATAAATAAAATAACAGAATATTAGCAAGATTAACCAAGAAAAGAGAAAATCCAAATAAGATCAATTGGAAACAAAATGGAAGATATTACAACTGACACCACAGAAATACAAAAGATCATTCAAAGCTACCATGAACGCCTTTATGCACAAAAACTAGAAAACCCAGAGGAAATGGATAAATTCCTGGAAAGATACAATCCTCCTAGTTTAAATTAGGAAGAACTGGATACTCTGAGCAGACGAATGACAAGCAGTGAGGTTGAAATGTTAATAACAAAATTACCAACAAAAATGTCCAGGACCAGACGGATTCACAGCAGAATTATACCAGACATTCAAAGAAGAATTGATACTAATACTACTGACACTATTCCATAAGATAGAGAAAGAGAGACCCTTCCCTAAATACTTCTATGAAGCCAGTACCACCCTAATACCAAAACCAGGGAAGGATATAACCGAGAAAGAAAACCACAGACCAATATCTCTGATGAAGATAGATGCTAAAATCCTTGACAAAATACTAGCTAACCGAATCCAACAACATATTGAAAAGATAATCCATCATGATCAAGTGGCTTTCATACCGAGGATGCAGGGATGGTTTAACATATGCAAGTCAATAAATGTGATACACCGCATTAACAGAATTAAACACAAAAATCACACGATCATCTCAATAGCTGCAGAAAAAGCATTTGACAAAATCCAACATCCCTTTATGATTAAAATTATCAGCAAAATCAGAATACAAGGGACATACCTCAATGTAGTAAAAGTCATTTATGACAAACCCATAGCTAACATAATACTGAATGAGGAAAAGTTGAAAGCATTCCCTCTGAGAACTGGAAGAAGACAAGGATGCCTAATCTTACCACTCCTCTTCAACATAGTACTGGAAGTCCTAGCCTAGCCAGAGCAATCAGACAAGAGAAAGAAATAAAGGGCATCAAATCAGTAAAGAGGAAGTCAAACTGTTGCTGTTTCTGATGATATGATTGTTTACCTAGAAAACCCCAAAGACTCCTCCAGAAAGCTCCTAGAACTGATAAAAGAATTCAGCAATGTTTCTAGATACAAAACTAATGTACACAAATCAGTAGTTCTTCTCTACACCAACAGCAACCAAGCTGAGAATCAAATCAAGAACTCAACCCCTTTCACAATAGCTGCAAATAAAATAAAATAAAATAAAACACTTAGGAATATACCTAAGCAACGACGTGAAAGACCTCTACAAGGAAAACTACAAAACACTGCTGAAAGAAATCACTGATGACACAAACAAATGGAAACACATTCCATGCTCATGGATGGGTAGAATCAATATTGTGAAAATAACCACACTGCCAAAAGCAATCTACAAATTCAATGCAATTCCCATCAAAATACCACCATCATTCTTCACAGAATTAGAAAGAAAAAATTCTAAAATTCATATGGAACCAAAAAAGAGCACACACAGCCAAAGCAAGAGTAAGCAAAAAGAACGAATCTGGAGGCATTATATTACCTGATTTCAAACTATACTATAAGGCTGTAGTCACCAAAACAGCGTGGTACTAGTATAAAAATAGGTGCATAGACCAGTAGAACAGAATAGAGAACCCAGAAATGAACCCAAATACTTACAGCCAACTGATCTTTGACAAAGCAAACAAATACATAAAGTGGGGAAAGGACACCCTTTTCAACAAATGGTGCTGGGATAATTGGCTAGTCACATATAGGAGAATGAAACTGGATCCTCATCTCTCACTGTATACAAAACTCAACTCATGATGGATTAAGGACTTAACTCTAAGACCTGAAAATATAAAAATTCTGATTCTGGAAGATAACATTGGAAAAACCCTTCTATACATTGGCTTACGCAAGAATTTCATGACCAAGACCCCCCCAAAAATGCAATAAAAACAAAGACAAATTGCTGGAACTTAATTAAACTGAAGAACTTTTGCATGACAGAAGGAACATTGAGTAAAGAGACAACCCACAGAGTGGAAGAAAATCTTCACAATCTATACATCTGACAAAGGACTAATATCCAGAATCCACAAGGTACTCAAATAAATTAGCAAGAAAAAAAACAATCCCATCAAAAAGTGAGCTAAGAACACGAATAGACAATTCTCAAAAGAAGATATACAAATGGCCAACAAACATATGAAAACATGCTCAACATCACTATTGATCAGTGAAATGGAAATCAAAAGCCCAGTGCGATACCACCTTACTCCTGCAAGGATGGCCATAATTTAAAAAATCAAAAAATAATAGATGTTGTCATGGATGCAGTGAACAGGGAACACTTCTATGGTGCTGGTGGGAATGTAAACTAGTACAGTCACTATGGAAAACAGTGTGGAGAGTCCTTAAAGAACTAAAAGTAGAACTACCATTTGATCCAGCAATCCCACTACTGGGTATCTACCCAGAGGAAAAGAAGTCATTATACGAAAAAGCTACTTGCACATACATGTTTATAGCAACACAATTCGCAATTGCAAAAATGTGGAACCAACCCAAATGCCCATCAATCATTGAGTGGATAAAGAAACTAATATATATGATGGAATATTTCTCAGTCATAAAAAGGAATGAATTAATGGCATTCACAGCGACCTGGATTAGATTGGAGACTGTTATTCTCAGTGAAGTAACTCGGGAATGGAAAACCAAGAACTGTATGTTCTCACTCATAAGTGGAAGCTAAGCTATGAGGATGCAAAGGCATAAGAATGACACAATGGACTTTGGAGACTTCGGAGGAAGGGTGGGAAGGGGGTGAGGGATAAAAGACCACAATTTGGGTGTAGCTTATACTGCTCAGGTCATGGGTGCACCAAAATCTCATAAATTACCACTAAAGAACTTACTCATGTAACCAAACACCATCTGTTTCCCAATAACCTATGAAAATAAAAAATTTCAATAAAAAAATTAAAATGAACTGTACATATAAACACTGTTTTCTAGTTCTATACAACCACTTTACCTGTATACTGGAATTGAACAGTTAAATGGGTGGCAGATGGTGAGAGCCATGTTTCTCACTATTGGAGTAAATATTACAGCAAAGCAAGGCTCGAATAATCCTTGCCATAATGAATTACAGGTAGAAACACCAATATAAACTAATGTTCAGTTTGATATAGACGCAGATAGTTACATATATTAATATTTATAGATATGTGTGTATACATGAATTAATACACACACACATGCACATATAGACAGTAGAGAAACCTGAGAAATACCATCTCAGCCAGATGACCAAGATGAGTACCAATGGTGATAAATCGTGTTGCTCAAATGTACTCTTGATATGGTTTGATAAGAATAGCACTTCATCTCTCATCTTCCTCCTCAAACTCCATAACCCCAGTCTCATCATGGAAAACCATCGGAAAAATCCAAGTTTAGTGTCATCCTACGAAATACCTGGCCGGTAATCCTCAAAAATTTCAAAACAAGCAAAGTTTGAAAAACTGACATAGCCAAAAGGAGCCTGAGCCACAATGACTACTAGCATCATGGCATCCAAATGAGATTCTGGAGCAGTAAAAGAACATTAGGTCATACTGATTTGTTATTTGTGGCAAACGTACTACACTAATATATGACATTAATGGGAGAAACCAGGTGTGAAGCATATGGGAATATTCGTTATTATTTTCACATTTTTCATGTAAATTTGAAGTTATCCTAAAATTAAGTTTTTTAAAAAAATACACTGTTAAGATAATTTGAAGGAAACAAGTCACAGGCTGGGAGAAAATGTATGTGCATACCATATCTCATTAAAATAACTAATTTTCTGAATGAAGAAATCTTAAAACACAAACATAATTCCATAAATGCATACTATTATGATTTGCTAATCAAAAAAATTTAATAAATAATTTTTTTAAAAAAAACTTAAATCCCCAGCTACTTAGGAAGCTGAGGCAGGAGAATCGCTTGAACCCGGGAGGCGGAGGTTGCAGTGAGCCAAGATCGTGCCACTGGACTCCAGCCTGGCAACAGAGTGAGACTCCGTCTCAAAACAAAAACAACAGCAACAACAACAACAAATTTCAATCCTAAAAAACACAGCAAAATGAAAAAACATATGAATAAAAAGATGTGCAAAAGATTTGAACAGACTTTTCACCAAAGAGGGCATACAGATTACAAAAATTCATATGAAAAAATGTTCGATATCATTTGTCCTTAGGGGAAAATGCAGATAAAAGCCACAGTACGATTCCACTGTACACTTATTAGAGTAGCTAAAATACAAAATCTGAAATTTCCAAATATTGGACAGTATGTGGAGCAACAGGAACTCTTATTCATTGCTCCAGAGAATAAAAATTGATACAGCCACTTGAGAAGACCATTTCTTATAAAGACAGAATTACCAAAAGTTGAAACAATCTTATACTTAGGTTTTACCCAAGTGAATTGAAAACTTACATTCACAAAGCAACCTTTACATGAATATTTATAGGAACTTTATTCATAATTGCCAAACAAGATGTGCTTCAACATGTAAATGGACAAATAAACCTTGTTACATCCATACAATGGTATACTAGTGAGTGATAAAAAGAACTAGCTATTTATTCATATAACATGCATGGATCTTAAATGCATTTTGTTAAGCGAAGAAGCCAGATTCCAAAGACTAAATATTTTATGATTTTACTCATATGACATCCTGGAAAAGACAGTGATGTAGATACAAACAGCAAATTAGTAGTTGCCAGTAGTTTAGGAAGGGGAGGAAGTGGCTGAATACAAAGGGGCTGCACAGAGGAATTTTCGACTTACGGAACTGTTCTATATGACAGTTGAGTGGTAAATATATGACTGTATGCATTTGTTAAAATCCTTACATCTGTATATCATAAAGAGTTAACTAACTCTGATGTATGAAAACTTAAGTAATTCAACCAGCCATTGTATATTTAAAAGAATCACTGGCTGCTGAGAGAGGAATGAATTTTACAGGGGTAAATGAGGAAGGAGAGGTACCAGTGTGGAAGCCTTTACCATAGTCTAGGTAAGAAATGATGTTAGCTTCACCCACAGAGGTAGTGATGGAGATCCCAAGCAAGGAGAGTCTGAGAAACTGGCACGGATAGGAAGAGGCTAAGGAGATGTGGCCATTGACAGCAGTGTGATATACTGGAGGGCATAAAAAGGAAACTAGCTAAAAATTAGGTAAGGAATTATGAATAAACTATAAGTTTTTGTTAATAATGATGTATCAATATTGATTTATTAGTTGTAACAAATGTATCATAATAATGTAATCTGTTAACAATAGGAGAAACTGGTTGTGGGGCATATAGGAACTTTGCACCATCTGTGCCATTTTTCTGCATGATTCCACTCACATGATGTATATAAAGTAGTAGAAGTCACAAAAACAGAAAGTGGAATGGTTGTTGGCAGGGGATATAAGGAGAGAGAAATGGGAAGATGTTGTTCGATGGGCATAAAGTTTCGGTCATGCCAGATGAAAAAGTTATAGAAATTTTTTGTACAACATTGAGCATACACTTAACATGTTAAAAATTGTTAAGATGATAAATTTATGTGTTTTTAATCACAGTGAAAGAAAAACTGCACTAGAACACAAGGTCAGGGATATTGATATCAAAACAAGTTAAGAGTGATGAATATTGAAAGGAAAGAGAACATATTTGGTAACAATACAATCTACCCAGAAAATCAATAAATTAGGCATGGGGGAAATTCAAATACTTAAGAGACTTCCAAAAGATTGTGTATGGAATTCACTATAGCAAAATCAAGAGTGCTGCCCCACAAAATCAATAACTAATTAGAACATGTAATAGAAAATATCCCACTTACAACAGCAACAAAATCCAGAAATTATCTAAGAAGCTTGACAAAATTGTGTAAGATCTTTATGCAGGCACCTAGAATAGTTTCCTGATAGATTCAGGTAAAAAATAAAAGTCCCAAATAGAAAGATCAATATACCGTATTTGTCGATGGAAAACAGAGTATTGTAAATATGTCAATTGTCCTTAAATTATTTACAGATTTGGTGCCTTATCTATATTTGCCAAGATGACAAGCTTGGCCTACTATCTTCCTGGGAAACAGCCCTGGGAAATTATAGAAGGGAGAATGACAAACAAAGGAATTAAACTTGCTAACTATATTGTATTCGTTTCTCAGGGCTGCCATAACAAATTGCCACATACTAAGTGGCTCAAAGCAACAGAAATTTACTCTCTCACAATTCTGTTCATCAGAATCTGAAATCAGTATCACTAGACTAAAATCATGACATCAGGAGGACTCACTTTCTTCATGCTTCAGGGGAGGATATGTTTCTTGACTTTCCAGCTTTTGATGGCTGCCACTATTTCTTGGCTTATGGCCTCATCACTCTAATTTCTGCCACCATCTTCACGATGTTTCTTCTGAGTATGTGAGAAATTTCTCTGCCTCTCATTTATTAGGACACTTGTGATGTATTTTGGGTCTACCTGGATAATCCAAGTTAATGTCCTCAGCAGAAGATCCTTAATTTAATTACATTTGCATAGACCTTTTTTCCAAATAAGGTAACATTTATATTTTCAAAAATTGGGACCTTATAGCTTTCAGAAGCCATTTTCTAGAATACCATAGTCTATTATCTAGCACCCAGAGATTCACATCCATCCCACATGCTATATACATTCACACTATCCCAGCATCTGAAAAAGTCTCAATCTGTTACAGCATCAACTCAAGTCTAAAATCTCATCTAGATAACTTTAGCTCAAAAGTCCCAAATCTGAATCATCTAAATATGGTATAGGCATGATCCATTCTGGGGCATAATTTTCATCTCTATCTCTGAACCTGTGTAACAAAAAAACAAGTTAGCTGTTCCCAAAATACAATGGTGGAACTGGCATAGTGTAACATTTATAAACATTCACATTTCTAAAGAAGATGGGAGGAAAAAAGAGACCACATTTCCAAATCATTTAAAAATCCAGCAGGACAAATTCCATCAGGTTTAAAATCCTGTGAATAATCCTCTCATGATTCAAGGCTTTCATCACTGGGTCCAAGTCTTTGCTTCTGGAGTTATCCATCTTTTTTCTTGAAAGGTAGCACATGTGTACTGATGAGTAGTTCTATCAATCTGTTTTCTACCCATAAAATTTTAAAAATTCAATAGCCTTCCTTCATTTCATATTGTCTTTGTCCCTTTCAGTCCTATCTGGAAGTATTTCTGTTGATATAACTTTCATAAAAACTTTGTGGGCCTCCCATGTATGTCACAGGGATTCACTCCATTTTAAAAGATGGTCCTCCCAAGATATTGCCTGGAAAATCTCAACTCTATTCCTGGCTTCTAACGGTTGAGTGTATTCATGAGTTGCACACATAATTTCTTCAGCATTGGCCTTCTCTGCAGAGTATACTTTCTTAACAGTAAATCTAATTCAGCAATTTTTGAAACCTGGTAAGTTGAGAATTTCCCAAATCAAGGGCTGGTTCAAATTTGCTTAATAATTCTTGCCTCAATTTATCTCTCTCCTGTCACACTTTACTATAAGCAGCAAGGAGAACCTAGGGAGAATTCATTCCTTGACTCTTCCAGTTTCTGGTGGCTGCATCGGACCCCATCACTCCAATCTTCATGGACAGTACCTTCCAATCTCTCTGGTCCATCTTCACTTCACCTTCTCCTCTGTGTGTGTCAAATCTCCCTCTGCCCCCCTCTCAAGAATGCCAGTGATTGTATGCTCACCCATGTAATTCAAATAATCTTCTTATGACAAGACTTAATCACATTTGCAAATACCCCTTTCTCAAATAAGGCAACATTTACAGGTTCAAGAGACTGGAATCTGATATCTTGAGGGGCTCACCACAAATAACATCAATATCTAAACAACATGAGAAATGCTTGGGAGGGGCTGAAGATTGTGTTGAATTGGTACTTGTGTTTGGAATGAGAGTAGAGGGAGGTGGCAGTGAATTTGGGGAAAGTCTCCAACCTGCAATAGATACTAGATGACAGAATAGATATGCTATGGTCTGAATGTGTCCCTCCAAAATTCATATGTTGAACCATAATCACCAATATGATAGTGTTAAGAGGTGGGGACTTTAGGAGTTGAATAGGCAATGAGGGCCCCACCCTCCTGGATGATATTAATGCTATCAACTAAAAAAAAGAATCAAAAGATCTATACATTTAGAAAAGGAGATTCTATTTCTTATAAAAGATTAGAACCTGCAAGGTGGCCATCCCACAGACTGGCAAGCATAGGCACTGGTAAACACTAGAGACAGGCACTTAGAAGGAGGAGGGGTTAGGGTACAAGCTTTATGCCGAATGGATTCGCTAAACATACATATTCAATAGGTTATAGGAGTAGTTATGAATATTTATGAAGGTGGTTCTGATACATGCATATTGAACAAACATGCATGTTACATATGACCCATGTTCACCTTAGGGTAAAGACTTAACGTTTAAATGTATACAACTACAAACTAGCCAGAACCAGTCCATTGTGAATAGAATGTTATTGAAATCAGCCTCTTGTCCAATCAGAGCTCTAGTTATGACTGCTGGAAGAGGGGAGTCAGTTAGTCAGTGCCTGTGAGCTGGGTGAGCTGTTATTGTTTCAATACTGCTTATCTTGAGGCCAGTGCTTGTTCAGTTGGTAGAGAAAGAGAAAAACCTTGTGGCAGTTAGAACATAAATTATTCTTTAAGTGTAGAAGGTACATGACTTAACCATTGCCTGGCACATCCATTAAGTCTTACTTATAATTTGGTATCTTATTGCCACAAAGAGTTGATGCTGTCAGTCTTATGATCTCTATTTTAATATTAATGCTGGTAAGTGGTTGTGCATAAACTACAAAGGGAGTGGATATAACGAGACATGTCCAACTTCCTGTTTCCATCATGGCCAGGAACTCAGTTCTTAAGAATTCTCTGGGGTCCCCTTGGCCAAGAGAAGTCCATTCAGTCTGTTGGGGAGGGGGATTTAGGATTGTATTTTTAATTTACAGTGCCTTTACAAAAGCGCTTGAGAGAGAGAGTTCAGCCCCATTTTGCCCTTCCATCTCTTCTGCAATGTGATTACACTGCTTTCATCCCTTTTTGCTCTTTTTGCCCTTCTGCTTTCCATCATGGGAAGATGCAGCAACAAGGCTCCATCTTGGAAGCAAAGACTAGAACCTCACTAGACCACAAACCTGCCAGTGCCTTGATTTTAGACTTCTGAGGCTTCAGAACTGTGAGAAATAAACCTTTATTATTTAAAAATCACTTAGTCTCAGATGTTTTGTTATAGTGGCAGGAAAGAACAAAGACAAGATAGCAGGAAAGATTTTAAACTTTGGTCTCTGCTTCACCGCATAATTCTGAGGCAGTCCCTCCAAATACAAGTGCCATTAGCCATGGGCCAATATCAGGACAAAAGGAAAGATGGAATGGACTGAAGCAGTATGACTTGAGTCTGTATTGACAACCACCTGAAACCACTTTACAGGAGGAGAACTATTCTTTTAAAAAATTTATTATTTTAACAGTGTATAAAAATGGAGTACAAATAAAATAGCAACTATCATAGTAAATCACACATTGGGTAGGTATTCTTTCGTGTATGTGTGTGTGTGTATGTATTCTACACATATGCTTTGTAGAGATGTAAAATACATTTCATACCAAAAATGAGAGTTAAAAAACTAAAAATCATTGCATCGAATAATGCAACGTTAACTTCAAAAGAGCAGGACCTTTCAAGATGATGAAGAGATAAGCCACAAACTGAGAGAAAATATTTGCAACCGACATATCTGAAAAAGGACTGTTATCCAAAATATACAAAGAATTCTTTAAAACTCAACATTAAAAAACAAAAACCTGATTTTAAAATGGGTCAAAGACCCGAACTGATACCTCACCAAAGAAGCTACACAGATGGCAAATAAGCATACGAAAAGATGCTCCACATCATACATCATCAGGGAAATTCAAATTAAAGCAACAAAAATAGAGCACTACACATCTATTAAAATGGCAAAAATTCAGAAAACTAACAACAGCAAATGCTGGCAAGGATGTGGAGCAACAGGAAATTTCACTCATTGCTGGGGGAAAGGCAAAGCGTATAGCAATTTGGAGGAAAGTTTGGCAGTTTATTGAAAAATTAAACACACCCTTACCCTACAATCCAGCAACTGCACTTCTTGATGTTTACCCAAAAGGGTTGAAGACTTATGTCCACACAAAAACCTACACACAAATATTTACTGCAGCTTTATTCATAATTGCCAAAATTTGGAAGTAACAAAGATGTCATTCAAAAACTGTGGCCCATCCAGGCAATAGAATATTATTCAGTGCTAAAAGGAAATGAATTATTAAGCCATGAAAACAACATAGAAGAAACTTAAATGCATACTACTAAGTAGCAGAAGCCAAATTGAAAAGCCTTCTATTGTATGATTCTAACTATATGACATTCTGGAAAAGGCAAAACTATGGAAACAGTATAAAGATCAGCGGTTGGAGAGGTTGGGAGGAATGAGGGATAAATAGGTGAAACACTGAGGATCTTCAGGACAGTGAAACTATGCTGTTTATGATACAACAATGGTGGATACATGTCATTATTCTTTTGTTCAAACCTGTACAATATCCAGCACCAAGAGTGAACTATAATGTATACTGTGGGTTTGGATGATATGATGTGTCAGTGTAGGTTCATCACCTGTAACAAATGTCCCACTGTAGTAGAGGATGTTGATAATAGGAGAGACTATGCATTTGTAGGGGCAAAGCGTATATGGCAGTGGTCCCCAAACTTTTTGGCACCAAGGACTGGTTTTGGGGAAGACAATTTTTCCACGAACAGGAGCGGGGAGGATGGTTTCAGGATGAAACCGTTCCACCTCAGATTATCAGGCATTAATAAGATTCTCACAAAGAGCGTGCAACCTAGATCCCTCACATGTGCAGTTCACAACAGGGTTCGTTTTCCTATGAAAATCTAATGCCACCACTGATCTGACAGGAGGCGGAGATCAGGCAATAATGCTTGCCTGCTGCTCATCTCCTGCTGTGCTGCCCTGTTCCTAACAGGCCACAGACTGGTACTGGTCTGCGCACCGGGGGTTGGGAACCCCTGCTATACGGGGCATCCATATACCTTCATCTCAATGTTGTTGTGAACCTAAAACTGCTCTAAAACCATAAAGTCTTTTTTAAAAAATGAATTGGCCACAAAATGTCATAAAGTGTAGCAGATTAAAGTACTTTTTTGAAGTCTTGAAAACAAAGAGCATGGCCTTCCAAAATCAGGCTGTTCAGCCTCTTCCATGTAGAAAATAAATATCTCAGAACAAAAGGCTTTGAAAATCTAAATCTGCCTGGTGAAGTGACCCCAGAAAAAGGTGTGCTTCTTCTGTAACAGATCACTTCATATCATGTGTGCTGCTGCTCTCCCTTCTAGCATCTAGCCTGGGAGCTGAAAACATCCTCTGTAAGAGTTACAGGTGTATAAATGCTCAGAGCCGAAAGGGTGTGGTTTCTCTCATGGAATGTTTAATCCAGGATCCAGGACCTAAGACAAGGACCCTCAAGAATGAAGAGTGGAGTTTGCTGTGGGATGGGGAAGAGATACACCCACCTCAGAACTTGAGGTCCTTGGTTTGAGGTAAATGGACTCCAGTTTGCAGAGGGAGGAGGCCAACTCAGTGTCAGAAGTCAAGGTGATGATACTGAGGAAGGCTAAGCAGAATCCCCACCACAGAAGAGTCTGGGCTACAGGCCCATCCTGCCTTAGCTGTTAGCCTTAGAAGGCTTTGGGGACATGATGACCCTCAACCTGATTTCCACCCTGAAAGGGGAGCAGTTTCAGGGAAGTGAGGGTCTTGGTCTGAGGGGGTAGGACTCAGGTCAGCAAAGGTAGGAGTTCCAGGCCCTTCAAAGTGAGGACCCTTATTGGGGGCTGAGTTAACCTCCCACCCTCAGAAGGGTCCCCACCAAAATGCAAATTTGTCGTTAGCCTTTGGAGGTCCCTGGCTGTCAGGAACAGGCGGGCGCCAATACCCACCTTCTCTGCAGTTCTGTGAAGGATGTCTCAGGTAGACTGGGGAAAAGGCCTTGTGAAGACAGGGAGTTGAGGTCCTGTAATGAGAAAATATGTATACTTTGAAAAGGACTGATGGTAACCCTTAACCCAGAACAAAGAGAATACCACAGAATCTTATGCTGCCCAGCTCTGGTGGCCCCTTGTACAGGCATGTCAGGCTGAAGCCCCACCGGTTTGGTGGTCTTAGTGAAGTAAAGGCATCAATGAGGGGTGTGGCCTCTGGTGGACAAAAAAACGGGCCCCAGGTATTGCCAGAAATCAAAGTGAGGCCACTGAGCTAGGTCTAAGGGGTTTTTCCACCCAAAGTGGAAGGGGACTTATGTTGCCCTGCTCTTGTTGTCAGCCCTGAGAAACCTCAGGCAGAGTGCCCAGATGTGGTGTAACTTTTTTTTTTTTTTTTTTGGAGATGGAGTCTCGCTCTGTCGCCCAGCCTGGTGTGCACTGGTGCGATCTCAACTCACTGCAACCTCTGCCTCCTGGGTTCAAGTAATTCTCCTGCCTCAGCCTCCCGAGTAGCTGGGACTACAGGCACGTGCCACCATGCCTGGCTAATTTTGGCATGTTGGCCAGGCTGGTCTTTAAGTCCTGACCTCAGCCTCCCAAAGTGCTAGGATTACAGGCGTGAGCAACCGTGCCCATCCAATGTGGTGTATTTCTTTCTTCTTCTTCTTCTTTTTTTTTTTTTAATTATACTTTAAGTTCTAGGGTACATGTGCACAACTTGCAGTTTTGTTACATAGGTATACATGTGCCATTTTGGTTTGCTGCACCCATTAACTCGTCATTTACATTAGGTATATCTCCTAATGCTATCCCTCCCTGTGTCCCCCACCCCATGACAGGCCCCGGGGTGTGATGTTCCCCACCCTGTGTCCAAGTGTTCTCATTGTTCAATTCCCACCTTTGAGTGAGAACACGTAGTGCTTGGTTTTCTGTCCTTGTGATAGTTTGCTGAGAATGATGGTTTCCAGCTGCATCCATGTCCCTGCAAAGGACATGAACTCATCCTTTATTATGGCTGCATAGTATTCCATGGTGCATATGTGCCATGTTTTCTTTATCCAGTCTATCATTGATGGACATTTGGGTTGGTTCCAAGTCTTTGCTATTGTGAACAGTGCTGCAATAAACATACATGTGCATGTGTCTTTATAGTAGCATGATTTGTAATCCTTTGGGTATATACCCAGTAATGGGATGGCTGGGTCAAATGGTATTTCTAGTTCTAGATCCTTGAGGAATCGCCACACTGTCTTCCACAATGGTTGAACTAGTTTACAGTCCCACCAACAGTGTGAAAGCATTCCTATTTCTCCACATCCTTTCCAGCATCTGTTGTTTCCTGAGTTTTTAATGATTGCCATTCTAACTGGTGTGAGATGGTATCTCATTGTGGTGTATCTTAACTTTCACTTTGGAAGTCTGAGGGAGGGGAAGCTTCCTCTGAGGCGGCGGGCTCAACTTAGGCAAGCAGAAGAAGAGTCCCAGACCCTGTCAGGCTCCAAGGTGAGGCCCGGAAGAAGTAAGGGAACCGCTCACCACACTGGAAGGGTCTCCTCCAGCTTCACCTTGCCCCTGGATGTGAATGCCTCCAGGTAGGGTTCCGGGATTTGGTGTGTCTGGCCTTTCATCTTTAGAGTCGCACGGAGGAAGGAGGCGTCTTCTGAGAGGACTGAAGTTGGCTTGGCAGAGGGAGGAGTCCCAGGCTCTCCAGGTATTAAGGTGAGGGCCCTGAAGAAAGACAGAGGAGATGTCTTACCGCAGAGAGAGGACAACCCAGCTCCCTGCCCCTTCAGTCAGCCCTGCGATGCTGCAGACAGGGTTCCCGGATGTGGTGTATCTGGGCGTCCCTCTTTGGAGTCTGAGGTAGGTGAAGCTTTATTTGAGGGGTGTAGACTGAGGTCAGGAGAAGGAGTCGTCCTAGGCAGTGCCAGACATCAAGATGAGGACCCTTACGGAGGGCTGAAGGGATCTCCCATCAGAAAAAACGGAGCCCGTAGAAACTCATTCCTGCTGTCAGCCCTGGGAGGCTCCAGTCAAGCAGGCACACCTTCCCCTATTCTCCGCACTTCCTTGTTGGAGAGATAGGAATCTTCACTTGAGGGCTGCATCCTCAGTTCAGCAGAAGGGAGGCAGTGCAAGTCCTGTCGGGAGTAAATAGGATGACTTTGGGAAGAACTGAGGAGACTCCATCTCAGAACCCAATGGGATCGCCACAGAAATTCACCCTAATCCTCACTGTCAGCCTGAGAACCCCAGGAAATACTCTCTGGCTGAGCGTCCTCTTTTACATGCATCATACACAGGTTGGGTGTTGTAGGGGGATGAGAGCCTTGGTCTGAATGGCCAAGCCTCTGCTTATCGTGGGGAGGAGTCGCAGGCCCTGCTAGGCATAAAGGCAAGGACCCTTAGGTAGGGCCGAGAGTACCTCCCACCCCAGATAGAGAAGGCACCACAGAAACCTCCCCTTCCCTGAAAGGCCTCAAGCTTCGCTCTAAGGCAGAGGTCCCCCCACCCCACTCATCCCCCTCATTTCCTTGTCTGGCCCATCTGGGATATGGGCACCTTAGCATAAGAGAAGCATCCTCTAGTCAGAAAAAAGAATGGGTTGCAAGCCCTGTTGGGAGTAAAAATACCCCCAACTCAGAACCCAAAGGGAGCCGCATAGATACCTGCCCTGACCCTGCTATGAGCCCTGGTAGAATTTACTCAGGTCTGTTAGGCTGAGGCCCCAACTCATTTCCTTCTGGGTGATCTTAGTTAAGTTAAGGGCGTTAGACGGGGTGCAGCTTCCAGTCAACACAGTGGGGAGCCCAGCCCTGCCAGGAGTCAAGGTGAGAACTCAGAGAATGGACTGATGAGGCCTCCGACTGTAAGTAGAGGGACCCAAACCATGTCCTGCTCCTGCAGCCAGCCCTGGAATACCCTGAGTAAGACTGTTAGGCATAGGCACCTCCCTCCAACCTTCCACTTCCCTCACTTGCTTGTCTGGCATGTCTGGCCATGGAAGCCCTGGCCTGAGGGAGGTATCCTCAGGACAGCAGAAGGAAAGCAATGCAAACCCTGTCATGAGTAAATTTGAGTCCCTTTGGGAGAATTGAGGGCAAATCTTACTCCAGACAAAGGAAGTTTCCATCAAAACCTGCCCCACACCTATTGTCGGCCCTGGTAGCCCCCAGGGAGGTCTGTCTGTAAGTCTCCCCTCATTTTCCACTGACCTGAGAGTCTCAAAGAGGAGAAGGCCTTTGTCTGGGACGGCCAAATTCAGGTCACCAGAGGGAGGAGTCCCAGGCCCTGCTGGGCATGGAGGTGAGGACCCTGAAGGATAACTGAGTGTACCGACCACCCAAGGACATATTAAGTCCAGCCCCTGCTATCAGCCCTAGGAGTTCCTGGGCAGGGGTGGCTGTATGTGGTACTTCTTCACTTTTGTCTCATTGGTCTCAGGGAAGTGAAGGCCTTAGTCTAAGGGGGCAGCTTCGCATCAGTAGAGGAAGCTACATCTAGTCAGCCCAGGAAGGAGAACTAGGTTATACCAAGAGTCCAAGTGAGGATCCTGAATGAGGATTGAGGGGACCCCCTGCCACCTTCATAGAGTTGAGGCACCTGCCCTACACTATTCCTTCCCCGGGAGGCCCTGGAGCATGGTGTCCAGATGTGCTGTGCCCTCCATCCCATCAGCTGGACTCAGTTCAGCAGAGGGAGGAATTTCAGGCCCTTCCAAGAGTCAATTTGAGGATGGAGGGGACTTGACAAAAACAGATGGGCCCAGCCCTTCCTTCCCTGGTGTTAGCTATGGTAGGACCCAGGAGTAGTGGGGGATCCACTCCAAAGCTGTGAGGACCTCAGAGTCTGGCCCCATCCCACCTATCAGCCCTGAAGGGACCCCCTGAACTCCTCTTACAGGGGATCCAGGAACTGGAAGTGAAGGCCTTAATATGAGGCACATGTCCTCAGCTCACAGAGAAGAGGAGATCCAGTCAATGCCAGGAGTCATGATGAAGTGCAGGACGGGAGACCTGTGGGGCCCTAGAGCACTAAAAGAGGACCTGTTAAGACAGTATTTATCAGAATGACAAGGTTAAGTTTTTCACACTCTTCCTCTCCCCCAGTCCAGTTGGCTTCATCAGCCATCTCCTGACCATGCTCCTGTAGGCTGCCCCCGAAACAAGTCAAGATGCCTCACAGCCAAAAGAGTCGGCACTGTGAGCTTGAGCAAGGGCTTCAGGCCCCCAAAGAGGCACAGGGCCTTGTAGGTGTGCAGGTTGCTGAAGCTGAGAAGGTGAATACCACAGCCTCCTCCTCTCCCTCTACTCTGATCCAGGGCACCTTGGAGAAGGTGTCTGCTTCTGGAACACCAGGTACTCCCCAGAGTTCTCAGAGAGTCTGCTCCCCCTGCACTACCATCAAAGCCACTCCATGGAATCAATCTGATGAGAGTTCCAGAAGCCAGGAAAAGAAGGATCCAGGTGCCTCCCAGGCCCTGTGAGAGCCCGAGTCCTTGCTTGGTAGCATGCTAGAGAAGAAGGTGGACGAGTTGGTGAAATTCCTGAGTGTCAAGTATACAACAAAACAGCCCATCACAGAAGCAGAAATGCTGAAGGGTGTCATCAAAGAACACAAGGATCACTTCCCTCCGATCTTTATGCAAGCCCATGAATGCATGGAGATTGTCTTTGGCACTGACATGAAGGAGGTGGACCCCATCAGCCACTCCTGTGTGCTCCTCAAATCACTAGACCTCACCTACGATAGGAGGCTGAGCGATGACCAGGGAATGCCCAAGACCGGCCTCCTGATTCTTACCTTCGGTGTGATCTTAATGGAGGCCAACTGTGCCTCTGAAGAGAAGATCTGGGAAGTGCTGAATATTATCAGGGTGTATGCTGGGTGGAAGGATTTCATCTATGGGGAGCCCAGGAAGCTCATCACCAGAGATTTGGTGCAGGAAAAATACCTGGAGTGCTGTCAGGTATCCAACAGTGATCCTCCAAGATACAAATTCCCGTGGGGCCCAAGGGCTCATGCTGAAACCACCAAGATGAAAGTCCTGGAGTTTTTCTCCAGAGTCAGTGGGAGTGATGCCAGTTCCTTTCCACTCCTGTATGAGGAAGCTTTAAGAGATGAGAAAGAGAAAGCTCAGGCTATAATTGCCACCATGGGTGGTACTACTCTCATGGCCAGTGCACATTCCTGGGCCAAGTCCAGCAGCTTCTCTTGCCCTGAGTGAAGTCTCAGGCAGATTCTTCACTCTGTGTTTGAAAAGAGAAGTCAAGGTTTTAAGTAGTGAAGGGCTGATTGCAGATTTTTATCTTTTTGTTTGTTTGTTTGTTTTTGCTTTTTGGTATTTTTCAAATGTTTCTCTTAAAAGGCTTATTAGCTTCAGAATGCAGATTCATGAATGACATTGCTCACACATTTATTACTGTTTATCAGGTTTAAAAATAAAAGTTTTCTATTATATAAACCAAAGGGGGGAAGCTTCCGTCTTATTTTGTGATCTGGAATAAGATAACATGGTGTTGGAATAGGAATTTTCTCAGAAATGTGTAACAGCCTAGCAATAAAACTAATGAGATCAATAAATACAGGAAAAACATAGAAGATGGTTAATTGTAGGATTTATGTATGCCTCTTAATCTGTGGTTTTGTATTAAAGATTTATACCTGAATTATTTGGCTTATTCAAGAATGTATGAGAAATTAAATCTTATTAAATATGAGCCCCAGTTCACTGGCTCATTTATTCCCCAAACATTAATTGAGCATCTGCTCTTTGTAAGGCACTGTGTTAGTAGTGGGGATTCCAGGTTAAGTGAGGAGGTTGGCAAGATGCCCTTTAAGACCTAAAGAGCAAGTACAAAGAAGGAGTGAGGAAGTGGGACTTCAGATTAAACAGTCAAGAAAAAATGCTTGAGCTAAGGAAGTTTGGAGATTTGGAAAAGTGCAACTCCTTCTGTGGGAGTTAATTTTAAGTTAAGCTGGATGGTGGCAGGGGCCAGGCGCTCAATATGTCTTATAGGTGAGATAAAAGCCTGGAATGGAAAACTGCTCCTAGCAGTTCCTTCTAGATGGTGGACAAAGCAGAGAGGAATCTCCACCTGGGGCAAAGTATGGAATGTGGCCTGCACTCATCCCAGTGTAGTTGAACAGGGTGCATGAACTAAGTGTTCATACACATCATCTGCAAGGGTTTCCTGAGAAATAGGGTGATACCCCCTTAAAGTGGTGCCCAGAAGCCTCTAGGCTGGCATTCATTTCCCTGGTGTGGGAGAGCCAGGGCCGACTCTATTAAAAAGGCATTTAATTAAATGATCTTGACTGTAATTTGGCCAGTTCTAAGCAAAGGCTAGATTTTGAGTGAGAGTGGAATGAATGAAAATAGTGATTTGCATGGAAGAGAAGTTGGGAGGGTTGGAAGGAGTTACTCCTTGACTCAAAACTTCTAGGATCCTTGAGTTGCATCCAGCTGGTGAAAACTTCCCTACATCCAAATCAAATAATGTGTCTATCAATAGGAAAAATTTACTGAGTTTTATTTATAAAGTAGCATTTCTGACCCATTTGGTGTGTTATGTCCTAGTGTGCTGCATATTCTCTGAAATATCCTTGATATCTCTTTCTCTCCCCCACCTTCCCAACACACACTCCCAGAGAATATGGTACATATGGAGGGTTTAGGGTTAAAATCATATTGAAAACAACTGCCATTCATGAAAGATCCAATACATGCAAGTGGCTGTGCCAGTTGCCTTACTCACATTACGTACATTCCAACACTTCTACAAGACAGGGCTTATGAAATCCACCTTACGTATGAAGAGCCTGAGGCTCATAGTGCTTGATAATTTCCCCAGATCATATAACTAGTAAGTGACAGGACTGGGACTTGACCTCTGGCCTGAATTCATCTAGGCCCACACTGCCCCACTCATCCTAGCCTGAGGCAGGCCTTCTGCCTCTTGGTTCATATCTGTTCTCAGTTCTCCATAATGTTGTTCAGGTAACAAAAAGAACCTTGTGGCTAAGGTACTAAAAAGCAGGCCCAAGGAAGGAAGATGGAATGAGAAACACAATCTGAGAGTAGTCTGTGGGCTTTATGAACCTAGGGTCCTCCTGCCTGAGCCCCGTGGTCCTTGAGAGCTGATTCTGCCCAGGCGCTCACATTTTTGTCCTGTCCCAGCACTTCCCTGCATTACAGTACCCTTTCTCTGGTGTTGACCTGTGTGCCCCCCTGTCCAAACCTGGAACCTGGACTGCTTACCAGATCATCACTGCCTCCTCCTCTGAGGGCTGTGCCCTGCTCCAGGTGGAAGAACTCAAAATCACCTGCCCTTCCCCTGACACAGAGCATTCCTTCTATCTGCAGATGTTCCCTGAACTGTTCCCTCCCTCATTCTGGAATCCCGTTGATAGCAACAGCCCTTTCTAATGTTAAAAGCACACTTTGGAGGATGTTTTGATGCCTGGTCATTCCCCCTGGGCCTCTTCAACACATACTCAAATTGTCTTGCAAATGGATTAGTGAGTAGAGTTTGATTTGCACATAATATGCTGGTTCTTGGGATATAATCCTAAAGTTAGAAAAAGAGATCTTTTAATCATCCTGATATTTGCGATAGGAATTTAATAAAGTGTATTATTTGAAGCAGGCCACTGAATGCATTGACGAATGGTAATACTTTGATGGTTGAAAAACCAAAGCCTCCCTTATAAGCAGTAGGCAAAGAAAGACCATATAAATTACTTGATAAGCAAACATCTACAAAAGGCTGAATTCCTAAAATCCTAAATTTCTCCTAGGAGGTGAACAATAATTCCCTGACAGACATGCTAGCTCTGATGAAAAAGAAAATAAAGGTTCATCATCATTCTACTTGCTCTTGTCTGTGTTTCTGCCTCCACAGGAAAATCCTGTTTTGTAGTTCACTTAATGGTACCTGTACAGGTGTTCCAAAGTGTTCAGTCCTGTGGAAGGTAGCAGAGACTCGTAAGTTAAGATTTTGACCATGCATCAAATAGAAGGAAAAAATTCTTAGTCTACTAAAATTATGGAAGTTTTTGCAAAGATCAGTGCAGAACTCCCTGCAAAGATTTCTAGGATTCTTTGAAAACTGGATGTGATCCTGTATTTGAAAGCACTTAAGAACCGTGGTGAATTTCAAGATGAGTTTAGTTTTCTCAGAAACTCCTCCAAGAAATGAAGAGTGTTGTAATAACAAGTTATGATAGTTGCTTTTTATTGAGCACCTATTATGTGACAGCAAAAGCCAGTGTGCCATTTCCATGCCTCCTCTCTCATCGAGCAGCAAACACGGTGGCCCTGAGTTCAGATGGTGGAGCTACAGAACAGGGAAGCAGCCTGTATCCCTGGGTGGCCTGACGGAGGAAGTCCCTGGCAACCTACATCAGAATTTATGCACACAAAAAGGAAACTTTCGTTGTGTTAAGCCATTCAAATTTCAGGTTTTATCTGTTGCATCAGCTAGCAGTTACTTAACTGATAAATGCACAACTTTTATTTATATATATGTTCATATAATACGTTTTATTTCAATATAAAATTATTATATTTAAATTTTTTATACTTATATGTATACTTGTTTACATAAATATTTGAATAAGTCTCGAGGAACTCCTAGGCTTATTTAAATATTTTCATTACAAAAGTAGCTGTGCAAGTACACTTATTGCAAAAAATTTTAAAAATACAGATCAGATCAATCAAAATTCTTGCCTTTAGAAAGTTCCTCCAACATTCAGGCACCTTTTTGGGGATAACCACAATTAACAATTTGATGTGTATTATTTTAAAGCTGAATCTAGGCTTTTTCATGGATTAATATAGTAGAAAATTATATTGTGAGTTTTTTTGGTAGAGTCAGCTGAGTCTTTATTTTGGAAAAATACAATTGAATTGGTTTTTAGTTAGGGGGCATGGGCAAGATCAGGTACCCCAGGCAGCAAACTCCCCTCAACGGTAGGCTAAGGGCTATGGCTGAGCGTCAGATGGGTCTCCCGCTCCCTATGCTCCCCTGTTTAGTGGCCTCTCCCACAGGTTCTGGGGCAGCCACAGGAGTGGGTAGTCTGGGAGGGGCATCTCTGGCAGCACATCAGGGGACCCTGACACTAGCTTCCCATCACAGGTCTCGATAATCTTCACAACCATGGCCCTGGAGGAGCTCCTGTGGCTAAAGGCATCAGAGCCCCTGCCAGAGCCAAAGCCAGAGCCCAGGCTGTAGAGCTTGTGAGGCTCCCATAGGCCAAGCTCAGCCCACCTGAGTAGCCACTGGTGGTCTTCCTACGGATACTCATGTTACTCATCCCAGATTCCATCCAGCTCTTCTCATCCTCCACTCCAGCAGCCTCCTGTAGGTGGCAATCTTGATGTCCAGGGCCAGCTTGAATTTCATCAGCTCCTGGTACTCACGCAGCTGCTGGGCCATGTCCTGGTTGGCCCCCTGCGGGGCTGCCTCCAGCGCCACTAGCTTTGCATTGACGTCCTTAACGGGCATTGGTGTCCTTAACAGCCAGCTCCCCACACTGCTTGGCATCTGCCATGGCAGCCTCAGGTAAGCCATCTGGCTTTTGAGGCCCTCAGTCTCATCTTAGAGCTGGCTGATGTTCCAGTTCATTTCAGAGATATCCATCTTTGTACAACACAGGTCATCTCTGTGCTTCCCAGGCAGAATCTGCAGCCCCTCACACTTGTTCTGGTGCATGTTCTCAGCCTCAGCTGGGTTATGGCTGGCAATCCCCTCACACTGGGCACACTTGGCAATGATGCGGTCCACATCCAGGGAGTAGCTGTTGCCCATGGACAGGAACCACAGGTGTGTCCAAAAACTGGGACTGCACCTCAGGATCTTTTCTTCATACAGCTGCCTGAGGAAGTTGATCTCATGGGTCAGCTCTTTCAGCTGAGACTTTAGCTCTACTTTGTTCATGTAAGCTTCATCCACATCCTTCTTGTTGAGGACAAATTCATTATAGCTGTATGCTTATTGATCTCATCCTTGTACTTATTCCTGAAGTTTTCCACCAGTCCCTGAATGTATTCAAGATCTGCTTCCAGCTTCAGCTTTTTCATGGCCCAGGGTTTCCAGATGTTTCCAAAGGTTACTGATGTAGTTGTCAAACATGATGTTGTTCCAAGCTGCCTTCTGCTGTGGCACGAGGCTCCACTTGGTCTCCAGCATCTTGTTCTGCTGCTCCAGGAACTGCACCTTGTCAATGAAGGAGGCAAACTACTTGAGAGTCTTGATCTACTCTTTCTCCTGGGCGCCCACAGCCTGGATGTTGGGGTCCACCTCCACCTTAAGAGACTCTGATTCACCTTGAGTGGAGGCAGGCCGGCTGAACCAGATGGAGATTCAAGGAGCCCAGAAGCTGCTTCTGAGTAGAAGCATTTTTTAAAAAATATGCATGGGTAATGAAGTACACATTCACCTGACATTTGCGTTTGCCACTTAATAAAGTGGATGCAGAATCTTTCCATAACAGCACACATAAATCTACCTCGCTTTTGTACCTACTCCCTAGTATTCTAAAGAATGTAAGAATGTATGTGTCATAAATAATTGAAAATTTTTCCTCCTAATGGACAAATGAGTTGTTTCTAGATTTTTTTGTATGATTAATAGGACTTAAATCAACATTTTTTTAAACATGAATTCTTGGTCAAATGTGTGTTTTTTTCTCATAAGAAAGACATTTTAATGTGGAAAATTGGGTTTAAGTGGGAGAGGTGTGAATGTTTTTAATTTTTATAAATGTTGCTGACATTTTATTCCAAAAATGCTGCAACATTCATTTTCTCATAAACCAATGTATGTTAATACCTACATGCTCAGAACCATTTTTTATTATTAATATTTTAAATTTGGGGTAAAATTATGGGTGAACAAGTATTATCTCACTATTGTTTTAATAGATATTTTCTCATTTTCTCATTAGGTTAAGCAGAAAATATAACTTAATTCCTCACCCATACAAAGCGAGATTTATGCAGTGATGTCCAGAGCAACAGAATTCTTCCGGGTATGGTTTAAAATTCTGAAATGTCAACCATTCTCCCTTTGCTTTGAGAAGCAAGGGTTTGGTCAGAATGTTCAGGAGCAGAGCCAGGGAAGAGGACCAGACAGGACACCCCTAAGCTAGTGAGGGGCATTGGAAGGATCTAAGGAAGAGTAATTGCCAGAGTCCACGAGCAAGACCACGTGCAAAATGGTTCCAGAGAGCCCAAGGCCAGGTGACACTCAGAGCTGTAAATCCGGAGTTCAGTGTAGAGTGAAGCAGTGCCTATAAGAGAAGGTGGGAAATCTGGGTGGGGAGCATGGTGGTTCAGGACAACTTATGTGAATAGGCTTGGGGAATCTCTGAGTCTTTGTTACAAGCTGGAAGCTTCATTGTGGTCTGGGTAGGCAGGTCTCGTGACAGAGCGGACCAGTGGCATGCCAGACACACCACCTTGCCTTAGAGTCATCTTATGTCCTGTCAGGAAGAGCATGGCTAGCTACCCAGCATTATTCTAGGTGAGTTACGTCTCCTGACTACTCTACTAGTCCATGACACCCTTGCCAGTTTCCCAGGCCTGGAGTTGTTGCAATGCCTGCCAGAGTGTGGTATGTTTTCCCCTCCACAGTGGCCCTCCTCCATGGAGGCTGAGGCTTTGTGAATGAATGGGGTTGGTGACTGATGACCAGCAAGATAACAAGCAGAAACACTGAGGAGCAGTGGAAGGGATGCTGCAGCTTCCAACAGGGGCAATTGGAGTGGGAATGCCCTGGGACAAATTATCTCAGTGACTGCAGATAAAGGGCTGAGGGTAGACTTGCCTGGAAAACGGTCCAAATGATGTCCCCTGCTCAGATTACCTCCCTTGGAATCTGAGCCGTTGGCACTCTAGAGGGTGGGTGTCTTGTGGCTATGACTGCTGGCCTATGTTGCCACCAGATGCTGTCTGGCTTAGAGGATTGGCCCAAGGTGCAGACATGTGCAGTGTAGATGGAAAACCCATGCAGATGGCACATGCTTCCTTGTTAAACTAACAGGAATATGTGGGGTGCAAAGCAGGAAGCATCATGTATGATGATGTTGAAAGCATCCCCACAGCCAAGATAGTGTTTAGGCCTGGAGATGAGACATCCATAATGACACACTCTGTGCTACTTTCCCTTGGGAATTCTGAAGTTACATGAGCAGTTGTGGCACTGTAGGTTTTTTTCCATGGAGGCAGAAAGCCCAGGCATGAGGCAGCCTCCACATTTTGAACCAGCTAATGTGACCCTCTGGTACTTTCATTTATTCATTTATTCTTCCAGCAAACATTTATTGAACACGCATTGAAGAAAAACAAATGAAAAAGACAAAGCATTAAATTCAGACTGGAAATTAGGCTGTGCTGCATCAATAGAGATCATTTGAGGTCATAGGTTTAGGGAAAATTGAGGTTTGTATACATAGCAGCCATCCTCTCTCTGGCAAACACAGTTAGCAACCAAACTCACACAAAACTTGATAAATCCAGGGAAGAATTTAAAGGGAGAAAGTACCCATCCAGAAAAATCCACCAGAGAAAAATGCCCTGTGTTTTCCTAAATATAGTCTATATGTATGTATGTATGTATGTATGTATGTATGTATGCATGTGTGTAGGCTTGTGTCCATGCTTGTGTATTTGTTGTTTGTTATATGTGTATGTAAAAAACACCCACACATACAATTATATATTGTGAGTTTTCAATCTCACATCTGCTATCTTAGGTCACCTCTAAGGCTCTAATCTTACTGGCACCAACACCCAGACACTCTTCTAACCCTGTGTGGCTGTTTGAGGGAGCTGGCAGATCTGCATTAACTAAAGTTTCTACAGCAAACAGGCAAAGTGTTGGGTGCAATCTTGGGCGCCAGGACCTGAAGGCCAGGTCTCAATTATCTATCATATTTATATCTAGCTGGTGGACAGCAGTTGTCAAAATTTTAGATGAGAGACCCATCATTCAATCTGAAGCCTTCCACAGAAATCCAATAAATGAACATGACAAGGCAGAGCAGTCTGATTGCAATGAGGACCATAAGACCAGAGTTTCATCCACTCAGTACCCTTTCTTCTTCCTCTGAAGCAGTGGGCCTTGACGCTCAACCCACAGAACTTTAGTCTTCCCTTGAGCCCTGCTAGGAAAGCTCTATGCTAAAAGACCCTTCCTCAGACACGGATTTCATCATACTCTGGTACAGGCAGTTATCTATGTGGACTTCATTGTGTCCAATGCACTGAATTTCAATTTTGCTGTCTAGCTTTTTGATACTGTCAACAACCTGTGGCCCACCAACCTCAGCATCTCCCGATTACCTTACCATTCATTTCTTATTTCTGTGACTCCTCATTGCTCCAACCCATCAAGTTAGACACCTATAGATACACACTGTCCTCCTATCCACTTACCTAGTCTTCATTCTTAGCATGGGACTGGCTACCTTCCCTCTAATGCATCATCCACTTTCAGATTTTGCCCAGGCTTTTCCTTCCTACCAACACCAATCCCTGTCTCTACCTTGTATAGGTCTGTGTCAAACTCTCATCTCGGAAAAAGTCTCCTACTATTGCCTTTACCTGGTAGCCTCTTCAGCACCAAACAAAACAACGAAGAGAGCTTTCTCTGACTTTCCACCATTCCCTTCTTTTAAAACTATTCTCAGGTTCTGTTCCAGCTTTTTCAACAAGAGCAGGGAACTTAGATCATTTTACCTTCACATGTTCTCTCTGCTCTTCCAACATGGCTCACAACCTTCTTGATGATATTCAGAAACTTAATTCCCTTTAAATCTTTTATTATGTAGCTTAATTTCCCTTTAATAACAAAAGGGGAAGTTGTTCCCATAAGAGTTCCCTATGTAAAATAGAGAAAAGTAATTTGGGGATTGCAACATCCGTTCTAATAACCATGTGCTCAGTCTTTAAATTATACATGTTTCTAAAATCCTTGGTATGTGTGACCACAGTGACCACACTGTGGTAGGAGGGCCCTGGGTATAAAGAGGGAAACAGCTGGCTCTACCCACTGGAAATTCAGAATGCTCAGAAATGCAAAAACCAGCGATATACGTTTATTTCAATAAATCTCTTCATATGTTTTTTTTTATTTTAAACTGTCAATTATCACAAAGGTATTTGCATAATAAGGAAAACATATTTTATACTTACCCATGTAGTTGCAATTTCTAGTGCTCTTCATTCCTTTATGTAGGATACAGATTTCTATCTGGTATCATTTTCCATCTGACTGGAGGACATTTTTTTTTAACATTTCTTATGGTGCAGAACTGTTGTTGGTCAATTCCTTTAAGGTTTTGTATTTCTGAAAGAGGCTTTGTTTCATTTTTGTTTTTGAAATACATTTTCATAGGGTATAGAAAACTAGGTTGACATTTTATTTATTTTTTTTTCCTTTCAGTACTTTAAAGATAGTGTCCCAATCTCCACCGGCTTTCATTGTTTTTGACAAGATATCCACTTTCATCCTTATCTTTGTTCTTTTGTAGGTAAAGTGTCTTTATTTTTCTTCTCGCTACTTCAAAGATTTTCTCTTTATTAGTGGTTTTAAGCAATTTGATTATGATATGACTTAGTATAGTGTTCTTCATGTTTCTTGTTCTTGGAATTCGTTTTGGATCTGTGGGTTTATAGTATGCATAGAAATTGGGGATTTTTAATTTACAATTTATTCAAATATTTTTTCTATCCCCATTTGACCCTCTTTTTCAGAGTCTCAAAGTTTATGTATATTAGGCCATGTGAAGTAGCCTCATAGCTTGCTAAGTTTCTATTTATTAGTATTAGTCTTTTTTCTTTCTCTGAGAGCATCACTGTTTCATGGTGGAAAATGTCTATTGCTATACCTTCAAGGACGTTGATTTTTCTTCTGCGATGTCTAATCTGCCATTAATCCAGGCCAGTGTAGTTTTTTTATTTTAATATTGTAATTTTCTTTTCTCAATGTTCATTTGGGACTTTTATTATATCTTCAATGTCTGCATTTAACATGTTTAACTTTTACTCTTATTTCTTGAACGTGTGAAATACAGCTTTAATAACTGTTTTAATATCCTTGCCTACTAACTCTATCATCTGTGTCAGTTATGACCAACTGATTCTCCTTTTAAGTAGCAATCTTGATTTCATGCTTTTTTGCATGTCTGGCAATTTTGATTGTATGTTAGACTCTGAATTTTACCTTGTGGAGTGCTGAGTATATTTTTTAATTCCATAAATAAATATCCTTGAACTTTTTTTCTGAGACATAGTTAAGTTACTTGGAAATACTATCATCCTTTCAGGCCGTCCTTTAAGCTTTTTTTAGGTAAGATCATAGCACTTTTTAGTCTATGGCTAATATTGCCTCACTACTAAGGCAAAATCTTTCAGAGTACTCTACCTAATGCCCCATGAATTATGAGGCTTTTCACTCGGACTCATGGGAAGGAGAACTATCCCCAGCCTTGTATGAGCTCTTGAGTTCTCTCTGTATGTTGTTCTCTCCTCTTTGGTATTCTACCCCGAAAATTCTAGCTACATGGGCCTCCCTGGACTCCCAGCTCTATATCCTCAATTCAAAGAGAAATGTCAGTTCCCACTGTGGCTTGCATTCTCTCCAAAAGCAGTAAGCTGAAGCAAAGGTAGGGCTCACTTCGTGTGTTTTTCTTTTCTTTTCTTTTTTTAGTACAATAAAAAATTGTTTATTGATACATAATGACTGTACATATTTATGGGATACATGTGATGTTACATAATACAATGTGTAGTGATCAAATCAGGGTGTTTAGAATATCCATTACCTCAAACATTTATGATTTCTTTGTGTTGGAAAAATTTCAGATCTTCTCTTTTAGCTATTTTGAAATATATATTATTGTTAACTATAGTCACCTTATTGTGGTATTAAAAACTAGAACTTATCCCCCTCCTTCTTTTATGACATCAACTTTCTTATTTTATGTGAAGTAAGCCAGGCACAGAAAGATAAAATGGTAGGTTAATGGGTACAAAAACATACAGCTATATAGAAGGAATAAGTTCTAGTTTTTAATACCCTCCCTTTCTCAGCCTCTGGTAATTATCATTCTACTCTCTACTTCAATGACATCAACTTTCTTAGCTCCCACTTATGAGTGAGAATGTGCATTATTTGTCTTTCTGTGCCTGGCTTACTTCACATAACATAATGAATGACCTCCAGGTCCATTCATGTTGCTGCAAATGACAGGATTTCTCTCTATTTATGGTTGAATAGTATTTTATTGCTTATTATTTCTCAGAAATCACTGTTTGTCATTGCCTGATGTCAATAAATTAAAAATCATTGTCTTATATATTTCATCTGGTTGTTAATGGTGTATCAGGTAGGAGTGAAGATTCAGTTCCTGTTGCTATGTTGTGGCCAGAAGCAAAGTCCTACAATCTAAATTTAAAACCTAAATTACCTAGGCATGATACACATCCCAAAATTTCAAACTTATTTAAATTAAAATCAGAATTGAAAGACAGGAGGACACACATTATGTTCACATAGACACATTACATACAACTGGGAAAATACCAAAAACATTTTTCTCTGCTAGTTGAAATATGTTACTTTTTATTTTCTTATTTATGGTTTTAAAATGTCTAACATTTATTAAACACATATGAATTATTTTATCTTTAAAAGTTTTAAATAATATAAATATTTTGATTTAGACGACCAAGAATAAACACACAGACATTCTCAAGATTGTTTGTTGGCAATGTTGATCAACCTCTTGCTGGGTTCTTCTCAGCCTCTGGCGTGCCTACCATTTGTTTAACTAGAAAAAAAAATCGCAATCCAGTTAATAAGCTGTGGTTAGTCATCAAACTTTCCCTGCAGTTTCAAATACAATGCTGCACAAGTAAGACTCTATCTTCTTTTTAAAGCCCTCCCTCTAGAAAAAGTACTAGCTTATAATTTAAAAGGGGGAATTACATTAATATCTAAGCCATATTCTCCATGACATGATTGCATCCAATATTTATATGAAGACAGTATACAGGCAATATGGGGCGATTGAATTATAATGATCACATTCATTATTGTGACTGTTGTTTTATATGTCTCTTGTCAAAGCTTATAACAAATAAATTATGATATTTACAAAATGTGTTCTTTAGTCGTTACTGCCACTAATTCCAAGTTGTACTTGGAAATGCACCTTTAGTTAAATACTCCTTGATTTTCCTATGAATGTTATTATTCAACATATAGTCTCTTAAGTTTCCATATGATTATCTTTCACAAAGGAAATAGCATGGAGAAAGAGCTTTGATTTATGGTTTTGTTAATGCTTCTCTACCATATACATTATGTGCTTTGTTGTTAGCTATGTGTCACATACTCATTTTCTTCGTTCAACAATTCCACCATTTGAATGATTTCATTCACACAATGTCCTAATGAAACCATTAATTGTCGCTGATATGATACCATATTATCCTTGTGCTTTAGGATTTTCTCTTCAGTATTACTTGTTCCTTTGTCTTTTTCTTTTTAGAAGAACCACACAGCCCCTTTCCTTATATAAGCCCCTTTCCTTATGTAAGCCCCTTTGCTTATATAAAAATCTCTTTATTTTTTTGACCATGGCCTTCTTTCTGAGACTCACGAATCCCTGGGTTTTACCAAATGATTTTGATTCCAAAGTGTTTGTATACATTTTCATTTGTAAAATATGCACACGTTATCTTTTATTTGCAATGGAATCATCTTATAAGGCATATTTTAAAATTTTTTTTAAAATGTAGGTTTACGTTCTCCACAAAAGGTGCAAATGAATTAATAAGCACCAATATCTTTGCCGGTACTGTTTTTTTCCAATACCATTTAATATTTAACCAGCATTTTCCACTTGTAAAAATAAGGCTTTCAAAATTTTTTATGTTATCACTTTGTTTCCTCTATATGCATTTGCTATAAATCTAAAGAATTTGATGGCTATTCCACAAGTTCAAAGAATTACAAATTATTATTACACTATAAGGCATGTATTCATTTATATGATTATAATACGTCCTCTTTTATTTTTCCCTTTCTGCAAACTCCTATATCATATATTCTTTTCTCTATTTGCACAGCTTTTTATACTTCAAGTTGTGTTCAAAGTCATTGCTTTTCTATAGTCTTTAAAAAAATTTTTTTAAATATTTCAGCTGATATATGTGTGTGTGTATATATATATATATATATATATATATATATTTTTTTTTTTTTTTTTTTTTTTTTGAGACGGAGTCTCGTTCTGTCGCCCAGGCTGAAGTGCAGTGGCGCAATCTCGGCTCACTACAAGCTCCGCCTCCCCGGTTCACACCATTCTCCTGCCTCAGCCTCCCGGGTAGCTGGGACTACAGGTGCCTGCCACTACGCCCGGCTAATTTTTTGTATTTTTAGTAGAGACGGGGTTTCACCGCGTTAGCCAGGATGGTCTTGATCTCCTGAAATCGTGATCCGCCAGCCTCGGCCTCCCAAAGTGCTGGGATTACAGGCGTGAGCCACCGCGCCTGGCCTTCTCTGATATTTTTAAAGAAATTATTTTTGTTCCATTGATAACTATTTATTGTTTTATGAATTTCAATTACATTGAATTCTGCTGTTATCTATATTATCACTATCTTCTGCTTGCCTTGTGTTTAATTTATTTGCTTTTATAATTTCTTAATTTGGAAGCTGATATTATTGAATTGTCTTTTTTGTAATATGAGCGTTTAACGACATAAATTCCCACTAAGCACTTATTTGGCAGAATCTCACAGATTCTGATATGCTTTAGTTAGATTTTCATTCAGTTCAAAATATTTGCTAATTTTCCTCAATAATTTTTGAAGCATGG
Source organism: Homo sapiens (assembly GCF_000001405.40). Lineage (NCBI taxonomy): Eukaryota > Metazoa > Chordata > Mammalia > Primates > Hominidae > Homo > Homo sapiens. Next base: position 138,497,468 of record NC_000023.11, read on the forward strand.
GTTAGTAAAATGTATCACGTAATTTCTGCATATTTGTGGACCTTACAGATAATAACAAAATGTAATATTAGAGCCTTAAATGCCAGAGTGACATGTTTGTACCTAATATTTTGAAAAATGGGAGTCATTGATGGTTTCTGAGAAGTACACTCACATGATCAGAGCCATGTTTGAGACAAATCAATCCTGGAAGGTAGAATAGATTGGAGGCAGGAAATAAGTAGGTAGGAGTCTGCTACTCATTCTAGCCAACTATACCATAGCCTGCACTTACATGTATTGAGTTTGTCTCTGTTTCTGAAGGATGATTCATCTTAGTACTCAGCTTACTTTGAAATTAAATGCCAATTTGAATGTACTGGCAAATTCACCAGTTAGTGTCATCTTCAATCCTAATTAACACACACTTTATCTACATAAATGACTGATTTCACTATTATCATGACCAAATCAGTTAAATAACTCAAACTGGGCTAAAACTGTTATTAGTGGAATAGATATTTGCATTTAATATATGCTTTTCAAACTGTAAGTAATTGCTACTTAGTTACACAGAATCTAAAATGCAATCGTCATGAGACATAATTAGTATGAAATCAGAATCTTATAAATCTGTACCTAATTATTCTGACTCATATACCTAGAAGTCTGGTTGCTATATACTTTAAAAGGTTTTATGATCTTTTAAATCAAAGCATTTATTTCAACAAATCTCTTGAAACTTACGAATACTGTGGAAGTAGCACAATTGTTATTTAACATGTGTGACTTACAAGGTAAGCAAAACTAAGTTGACCTGGACTCATAAAATAACATTACATTTTATTCAGGAAGAATTCCGTGATTTTAAAGGTTTTTGTTATTTTTTCAGAGCAGCCAATTATCATAAGATCCATATTATATAGGCAGGAAGTTGGAATATTCTATTCATTTGGCATAAGGGTAATTACTTGCCATAAATGGGAGAATAGACAAGCATTTCAAACCAAAGCCCTGCAGTTAAAACAATCTTGTCTCACCTGCCTCTTCACAGACAGTCGGCATTGGAGAGACACATGTATCATGGATTTGATATGCAACACTTATTCTGAGTCACAAAGCAACTTTCAAGTAACACTTGAGGACTTTGTCCATGGCACGCTTCTTAATGTTTTGGGGTATGGACCTCTTTCAGAATCTGATGAAAGTTGGGGAAAGGAGGACTTTTGCCAAGGAAATTCTTTAACATGTACATAAAACTCATAATTTTTTCTATAGTTTCAGGGAGTTGGTAAGTTCCTCCTTGTTGTAAGTTGAATTGTGTCCCCCGAAAACATATATTGAAGTCCTAACTTCCAGTATCTGTGAATTTGGAGAGAGAATCTTTGCAGATGTAATCAAGACATTAGGGTAAGCCCTAATCCAATATAACGAGTGTCCTTACAAAAAGAGGGAAAACAATGTGAAAACAAAAACACAAGGAAAATGCCATGTAATGAAACAGGCATATTGGAGTGATGCATATAACCCATGGAACACCAAAGATCCCTAGTGGTGTGGATTCTCTTGACATCCATCCGCAGAAGACTGAAACGATTTTTAAGAATTTCACCAGCAAAGCATTGCCAGCCTGGAGAGAAAGAGAAAGAGGTGGGGCAAAATGAAGCAAGAATGACTTCAAGGGCAGAGCCATGCATGCAGAGGCAAGAGATAGCACAGGCCTTGAGGGGCAGGGCTTCCACTTCACAGCTGCCAGAGATTGAAGCCACCACTCAGGGTCAAGAGGGCAAATCCACATCAGTGGGCCCAGAGGACAGAGCACTGAGTCACAGAGAATTATTCTCAGGCCTTGGAACCTATTGAAAGTTGCCCTGCTGTGTTGCAAAATTGCTTTAGACCAGTACCCCTTTTTCTTCCAATTCCTCCCTTTTGAAATAAGATGTCTACATTATACCTGCCCCACGGTTGTATCTTGGAAGAAGATAATTTCTTTTCCAGGTTTCACAGATCCATAAAAAGAGAGGAACTTTGCCCTAGTATGAATCACATCCAGAGTCTCATTCATAATTTATTTAAATAATTTACATGATGAGATTTGGGACTTTTGGAGTTGATTATATATAGATAATATTTTGGGCTTAAAATTAATGCTGGAATGGGTTAAGACTTTTGAGGATGCTGGGATGAGGTCCAGGTATTTTGTGCATGAAAGGGACATGGGTTTGGGGAGGGCAAAGGGCAGATTCTTCTGGGTTGAATTGTGTCTTCCAAAATGATACGTTGAAGTTCCACAGTACCTGTGAAAGTGACCTCTTTTGGAAATACATTCTTTGCAGATATAATTAAATCATTGGGGTGGGCTCTAATCCAATATGACTAATGTCCTTATAGAAAGAGAGAAGATGATGTGAAGACATATATACAGGGAAAATGACATGTGCAGATGCAGCGAGACACTAGAGTAATGCATCCAAAAAGCCAAGGAATGCCAAGGATTCCTGACCATCACCAGAAGTGAGGAGAGAGAAATACAACAGATTCTCCCTCAGAATGCTCATAAGGAACGAACACTGATGACACTATGATTTTGGACTTCTAGCATCCAGAAAGGTGAGAAAATAAATTTATATATTTTTATGCCACCCAGTTTGTGGTACTTTGTTTCAGTAGTCCTAGAAAACTAATGACTTCACCTTCAAGTCCCATTCATAATGTTTTTAGCAGTCTATGAAACCCAGGATCCTTCCATTGGCAGGTATTTGTTTAGCAGCCAGACATAGTGGCAAGATGCCTTGAATACAGTATAAAGCATATTTTGAACCAACTTATATGACTAAGACTAGATAATATTATACCTTTTAAGATCTTTGCATAATGAACTACTGAAGAGTGTGCTTTGAAAACAGGATAAACTGGCAGCAGACATTTCATTCCAGTATTCTGATTATCCATCTGACTAACCTTTGCTTACTCATTGATTAATATGTTTACCTGTCTTCTCCATAAGCATAGGATTGAATATCAAGTTTGGAGCTGACTCACCATTCAATAGATATTCAAATACACTCTTTTTCAAATGCTGGGTAAAACATTCTTAGTAAAATAAAATATAGGCAATGGACAAATAAAGTTTTACTTACTAAGCTCTTGATATGAGTTCTTCTTAGGCTGTTACCTTGAATGTATCAGTCTCCCATGCCCATAATAAATATTTGAAATACGCAAAATATGTGAGTTTAGCAATGTATGGTGCCTAAGTCAAAAATCAAACAATATGGGCCAGTACATCATATTGTTTTGAGGTCAAAGCAGTTTTACTGAAAATTCGTGATATAGAGAAGGTTTTACAATGTTAAAAAATAGATAAAAATTAAAAATTGTTTTCATTAAATTTATTTTTATGTTTCACTCTTCAGGGAAAAATGTACTGTTCTATCAAGTTTGAGTGTTTGACTATATTTAGGAAAGATTTTCTTCTAATTTTCTTTTGTGCAAATGGTAAAATAAATTATTCCAATTAGATATAAAGAGAAAATATAAATACTAGTATCGGGAGAATCATTCATTTATCAAATATTTACTGAGTGCCTATAATGGGTCTGGTACTCTGCTGGATAATAACAATACAGGGACAAATAAAGCATGGTCCCTACCCTCAAGGAATTTTGCTGATAGAGAAAGACACTCAAAATAGTAATTATACAGTATTGGTGGGAGAGAGTGTGGAGAATGGGTGTCCTACTGGAGATAGTAATTGAGCTGATATTAAAATGGGCAAGTGAATTCCAGAGAGATATAACAGCATGAACTAAAACAAATGTAAGAAACAGCATGTTACATGGGAAATACTTACACTAAAAATATATTAGTTGTTTATCTGAAATTCAAATTTAACTAAATGTCCTATATTTATACTTCATAAATTTGGCAACTGTTTATGTGGAGAACTGAAAGCACTTCTGTGTTGTTAGAATGTCAAGTGTAAGGCAGGGTTTGTGACAGTTAATACTGGAAAGGTAGGTAAGAAGATGTCAGATCATGAAAAACTAGGTTTGCCAAATCAGGCAGCTTGCTTTAAGTTCTGAGGAAAGTAGTGAGCCATTGACAAGTTTTTAGCAGAGTGGTAGTACAATCAGACTTTTAGTATGGTATTCTGACAACATACAGGGAATACATTGAAGTGAATAAAATTAGGGACAGGAAAATTATTAAACTGACTAAAGCTAGGTAATCCAGGAGAGATGATGGCAGCTCAAACTAGTGCAGGTTGATAGAGCTGGAGATAAAGTAATGGAAGAAACTTTTAGAAGTAAAACCTGGAAATTTGAGTGATTAACTAAATAGGGTAATGAGGGAGGGGAAGTCTAGGATGACTCCAAAGATTCTATCCTAGTGACTGGATGGATGTCATGGAAAATTTAGAAAAAGGGTAAATTTTTTAGAGAAGATAACAAGTAATGTTTTGGACATGTTGAATTGGTAGTGCTTGTGGGACAGCCAGAGAAAAATGACCAGCAGAAATCAGGGAGCAGTCTAGGTTGACAATATAGATTTAGGAGTCATTAGAATAGAGTTAAAGTTATAAAAACTAGGGAAAAAATTAAGAATAATCATATTTGCAGTTGGTAGAATTAAAATCTTCTTAAAGGAAAATTGCCACTCAATGTAATCATAATTTTGGCTCATCTATACAGCATAAAATTAGTCAATAAAATAAATATATAATTATGGATAAAGGCACTGTACTTGTTCCAAATCATGTTTCTTATTTGTGGAATGACTTTATATTTGACAGACCTGAACATAATGTGAGAAATTCTAGCAAGGAATGGGGAAACTTGTAGAAAAAGCTAACCATTGATATTTGTTATGGCATGGATATATCATTCACTGCACAAGGCATGACCTAACATGAACAATAAGATAATTCATATGTTCCAATGTGGGCATTTATAAAAGGAACTTCCAGCCTTTAATGTGTGTATATATATATACATATATGCAGCCTAATTACATTTTATCATTGTCAAAATAGTAAGTTTTAATTTTGATTCATGGTTCATATCATAACATCTTCTTCAAAGGGAAGAGTGTAACATAGATTCCTCCCTCTCTGAACACCTATATCATTAAACAACCAACATAATGCTTTGCCATATGTCAATTTACCTTGTAGAGTTGAGCCATGGAATCTCAGAGTTGAAAACTACTTAAAAATGTATCAAGTCTAACCTCATTTTCTATGTAGGAATCTCTCTGTCATCCCTGATATATGGGTTTTATTCCCTGCTCAAATACTTACAGTGACTAGGAGGACAAAGGTCCCTCATTCCATTGCTGGACAGGTGCAGTAGGTCCTAAATCTGCCTTCTAAAGGTATGCAGAACCACACCTTCTGTAACAACACTCTGCTTTTTGAAGACATGTTTTAGGTTATTCCTTTAGTTATCCTGGCTTTTTCTTTTCATGAAATTTCCTTCAGCCTTTCTTTGCATGATTTGTATGGTAGTTTAAAAATATGTCCACATATTCTTTGATACTAACCCCTTCAAGAAGTAGTGCTTAATTTCCCTCCTTTTGAGTACAAGTTGGATTGATGAGTAGAATGTGGCAGAAGTGACTGTGTATGACATGTCATAAAAAGCAATGAAGCGTCTTCCTTGTTCTCCCGTTTAGATCACTTGCTCTGGCAGAAGCCAAATGCCATGTCGTCAGGACACTCAATCAGCCCTATGGAGCAATCCATGTGGTGAGGGGTACTAAAGCCTTATGTCGAGATCCATCAAGGAACTGAAACCTCATGCCAGGAGCCATGTGAGTAAGCATTCTTGGAAGTGAATTCTAGCTCCCCTAGTCAACCCTTCATATGACTGCAGCCCTAGCTGACATTTTGATTGCAAGTACCTGAGAGACACTGAGCCAGAACCATGCAGCTAAGCTCCTCTTAAATTACTGACCCTCAGAAACTGAAATGATAAATGTTTTTTAAGCTGCTAAATTTTGAAGATGATTTGTTGCACAGCAAAAAAACTAACATGATATGGTTTCTAGGTCTTACATTCTTGACCTTGTCCTCTGGACACATTAAAGTTGTTGATTTCTACCATAATATGTAACACAATAATTGATCCAACATTTTATCAAGTGTGTAGGTTTGTATATCTACCATGGTAGTCAAGTCCTAAACTGTTAAATACCAGAAGAATCACCAAACTAACTTAAACCAACTTAAATTCTTCTCCCAAACCAACCTAAATTCTCTCTCCAAGCAATCTTGACCATTTTGGTAACCACTGATCTATCAACAGTAGAAATGGCAGAGTAGGTAGCTAAAGAGGTCACCCCTACGCAGAAACACACACCAAAAAAATGAGCAAAAACTGTCAGAATCAACTATGTCAGAACTCTGGAAAATAGTCAAATGTTTACAAAACTGAAGGAACCAATAAGTCAAGACAAATACAACTTTAAAATAATAGGAAAGGTTTCTGGTGTTTTTACTTGCCCTTGCCTCACCCACCTCCCTGGCTTGACAACTATCTTGAAGATAGGAGCTAGGATAGCCAGTATGAGAACTTTGTCTCTCATTCTAAAAGAAGCAGAATGATTTTATTCTCAAAGCATTGTGTTTGTTTCAACCTATCTGAGGGTTATATGAAAGACTGATGCAAGGTGGTTGCCTTTGTTCTGCCTAATTTAGAACTCTCGAGGTGGAAAAGTAGCTATGCAGAAGGCATTCCTTAAAAACATTGTAAGACAGCTGAACAATCTGCCACCACTGGAGAAAAGACATCGTAGATGAAGCAAACAACAGACATATTGAAAGTCTGGGAGGAAAATTTTGGAAGAAGTTTCATGAGAAATTCATGTTGTAAAAATCACCTGCATATACAGAGGAATTTAGAAAAGTATACACATGACCAGGGCAAGATAGTTGCTCAGAATATATCTGGGAATACTCCAGACATTCACTTCTGGATGATCTCTAGGCTCAGCACAAGCAGAAAACGAAAGCGAAGGCAGAGTTGTAAGTGGCCTGGCTAAGCCCCAACACTGAGAGAATCTGCAAAAACAGGGAATTTTTTTCTTTTTCCTTTTGCTTTCTTTTTTTATCTTTTTTTAGCTTTAGGTATTCAAGGAAATATCTGTCAAGAGACTAGTTGACTACAAGCTAAATAAACCGGAACTTCAGAGACTACACACAATAAGAATATAGACTTTACAAAAATAGACACTAAACAAATGAACAAACAAATGTAAAGCACAGTAAATTTACAAATAAAAAGATGAACAAAGGAACAATCTGATTTCCAAGAGTTACCACATTATAGTATTCAGAGTGTCCAAATTTCAACAAAAACTTATGAAGCATTCAAAGAAACAAGAAAACACGGCCCATTCACAGGATAAATTAATAATAACTGTCCCCAAGGAAGCTCAGAAATTAGATTTACTGAAGAAAGACTTTATTTTTTTTAATTTATTATTATTATACTTTAAGTTTTGGGGTACATGTGCACAATGTGCAGGTTAGTTACATATGTATACATGTGCCATGCTGGTGCGCTGCACCCACTAACTCCTCATCTAGCATTAGGTGTATCTCCCAATGCTATCCCTCCCCCCTCCCCCCACCCCACAACAGTCCCCAGAGTGTGATGTTCCCCTTCCTGTGTCCATGTGTTCTCACTGTTAGATTCCCACCTATGAGTGAGAATATGTGGTGTTTGGTTTTTTGTTCTTGCGATAGTTTACTGAGAATGATGATTTCCAATTTCATCCATGTCCCTACAAAGAACATGAACTCATCATTTTTTATGGCTGCATAGTATTCCATGGTGTATATGTGCCACATTTTCTTAATCCAGTCTATCATTGTTGGACATTTGGGTTGGTTCCAAGTCTTTGCTATTGTGAATTGTGCCGCAATAAACATACGTGTGCATGTGTCTTTATAGCAGCATGATTTATAGTCCTTTGGGTATATACCCAGTAATGGGATGGCTGGGTCAAATGGTATTTCTAGTTCTAGATCCCTGAGGAATCGCCACACTGACTTCCACAACGGTTGAACTAGTTTACAGTCCCACCAACAGTGTAAAAGTGTTCCTATTTCTCCACATCCTCTCCAGCACCTGTCGTTTCCTGACTTTTTAATGATTGCCATTCTAACTGGTGTGAGATGGTATCTCATTGTAGTTTTGATTTGCATTTCTCTGATGGCCAGTGATGGTGAGCATTTTTTCATGTGTTTTTTGGCTGCATAAATGTCTTCTTTTGAGAAGTGTCTGTTCATGTCCTTCGCCCACTTTTTGATGGGGTTGTTTGTTTTTTTCTTGTAAATTTGTTTGAGTTCATTGTAGATTCTGGATATTAGCCCTTTGTCAGATGAGTAGGTTGTGAAAATTTTCTCCCATGTTGTAGGTTGCCTGTTCACTCTGATGGTAGTTTCTTTTGCTGTGCAGAAGCTCTTTAGTTTAACTAGATCCCATTTGTCAATTTTGGCTTTTGTTGCCATTGCTTTTGGTGTTTTAGACATGAAGTCCTTGCCCATGCCTATGTCCTGAATGGTAATGCCTAGGTTTTCTTCTAGGGTTTTTATGGTTTTAGGTCTAACGTTTAAGTCTTTAATCCATCTTGAGTTGATTTTTGTATAAGGTGTAAGGAAGGGATCCAGTTTCAGCTTTCTACATATGGCTAGCCAGTTTTCCCAGTACCATTTATTAAATAGGGAATCCTTTCCCCATTGCTTGTTTTTATCAGGTTTGTCAAAGATCAGACAGTTGTAGATATGCAGCGTTATTTCTGAGGGCTCTGTTCCATTCCATTGATCTATATCTCTGTTTTGGTACCAGTACCATGCTGTTTTGGTTACTGTAGCCTTGTAGTATAGTTTGAAGTCAGGTAGTGTGATGCCTCCAGCTTTGTTCTTTTGGCTCAGGATTGACTTGGCGATGTGGAGAAAGACTTTAAATCTGTCTTAAATATGATCAAAGAACTAAAAGTACCCATCAATGGTTTCTAGCTAAAGGAAAGTAGGAGAATGATGTCTCAATAAATAGAGAAAATCAACAAAGAGATAGAAATTTTAAAATAAACCATGGAAATTCTGAGCTGAAAAGTATAATACCTTAAATTTTTAAAAAACTTACTAGTGGGCTTCAATAGAAGCTTTAAACAGGCAGAAGAGATAATTAGAGAATTTGAAGATATGTCAATTGAAATTATCCAGTCACAAGAGCAGAAAGGAAAAAAGAGTGCCTAAGAAACCTGTGGGATACCATCAAGCCTACCTATTTTCACACAATAAACATTTCAGGAGAGGAGAGAGAGAAAGAGATGGAAAGAATATCAGAAAATGTAATGCTCAAAATATCTCAAATTTCACAAAAGACATTAATCGACACATCTAAGAGGTTCGACAGAGTCAAAAAAGGATAAGCATAAAGAGGTCCACACTGAAACATATTATAACTAAACTGTTAAAAGATAAAAGCAAACAGAATGTTGAAAGCAAAGATAAGTGACTCATGATTAACAGAGGATCCTCAGTGAGATTAGCAGCCAGTTTCTCATCAGAAATTATGGAGTCCAGAAGGTAGTGGAAGCGCACATTTAAAATACTGAAAGAAAAAAACTGTCGGCCAAGGATTCTATATCCAGCCAGATTATTCTTCAAAAATCAATGAAAAAATAAGACAATCTCAGATAAGTAAAAGCTGAAGGAGTTTATTGCTAGAACCTGCATGAAGGAAAGCAAGAAATGCTTTCAAATATAAATGAAAGGATACAAAACAGAAACAGATAAATAAAGAACATTGTTCAAGTTTAATACAAAAGCCAGTATCATTGTGTATTTGTTTTTGTAACTCTTTTTTTGCTTTCCTATATGTTTTTAAGAACAAGTGCCTGAAACAATCATTGTAAATCTACATTAAGGGGCAAAGAAGGTATAAAGTTTTCATTTGTGACAACAATTATATAAGAGATGAGGGAAGAAGCTGTAAAGAAGCAGAGATTTGATTACTATTGAAGCTCAGATGGTATTAATTCATAAAATATTTTAACTGAGCCTAAAAGGTTAATTGTAATCCTCATGGCAAACACCAATAAAATAACAAAAAATAAAGAAAAAAATAAAAATAAATCAAGATGGTACCCTACATGCATTGTCCATTCTTAAATAACTTTAAAGGAATACCTGAGACCGACTAATTTATAAAGAAAAAAGAATTTAATTGGCTCACAGATCTGCATGCTGTGCATAAAGCGTGATGGAAGGCAAAAGGGGAGCAAGCACCTCACATGACCAGAGCAGGAACAAGAGAGAGAGTGCAGGGGAGGTGCCACATAATTTTAAACAACCGGATCTTACAAGAACTCACTCACTATCATTAGGACAGTACCAAGGGGAATGGTGCTAAACTATTCATGAGAAATCTGCCCCTATGATCAAATCACCTCCCACCAGGCCCCATCTCTAACACTGAGGATTATAATTCAACAAGAGAGTTCATGAGGACACAGATCCAAATCATAACACTATAAAAATCAATTAAACATAAAGAAGGCAGCATGGAGGAATAGGGGAACAAAAAGGATGTCAGACATAAGTCCTTCCTTGTCAGTAATTACTTTAAATTTTAAAAGCTTAGTTCTCCAATTAAAAGGCAAATACTGCCATGAAGTCTTTGCCCATCCTATGTCCTCAATGGTATTGCCTAGGTTTTTTTCTAGAGTTTTTATGGTTTTGGGTTTTACATTTAAGTCTTTAATACATCTTGAGTTAATTTTTGTATAAAATGTAAGGAAGGGGCCAGTTTCAGTTTTCTGCATATGGCTAGCCAGTTTTCCCAGCATCATTTACTGAATAGGAGATCCTTTCCCCATTGCTTGTTTTTGTGAGATTTGTCCAAAAGCAATTGCAACAAAAGTCAAAATTGACAAATTGGATCTAATTAAAGAGCTTCTGCACTGCAAAAGAAACCATCATCAGAGTGAACAGGCAACCTACAGAATGGGAGAAAATTTTTGCAATCTACCCATCTGATAAAGGTCTAATATCCAGAATTTACAAGGAACTTAAACACATTTACAAGAAAAATGCAAACAACCCCATTAAAAAGTGGACAAAGGATATGAACAGACACTTCTCAAAAGAAAACATTTATGCTGCAAACAAACATATAAAAAAAGCTTAATGTCACTGATCATCAGAGAAATGCAAATCAAAACCACAATGAGGTACCATCACATGCCAGTCAGAATGGCGATTGTTAAAAAGTCAGGAAATAACAGATGCTGGTGAGTCTGTGGAGAAATAGGAACACTTTTACACTGTTGTGGAGAATGTAAATTAGTTCAACCATCGTGGAAGACAGTATGGTGATTTATCAAGGATCTAGAACCAGAAATAACATTTGACCCAGCAATCCCATTACTGGGTATATACGCAAAGGAATATAAATCATTCTATTATAAAGACACATGCACATGTATGTTTATTGCAGCACTATTTACAATAGCAAAGACATGGAATCAACCCAAATGCCCATCGATGATAGACTGGATAAAGAAAACATGGTACATATACACATGGAATACTATGCAGCTTTATAAAGGAATAAGATCATGTCCTTTGCAGGAACATGGATGAAGTTGGAAGCCATCATCCTCAACAAACTAACACAGGAGCAGAAAACCAAACACTGCATGTTCTCACTCATAAGCGGGAGTTGAACAATGAGAACACATGAACACAGAGAAGGGAACAACATACACCAGGGCCTGTTGGGGGGTGGGGGGCAAGGGGCGGGAACTTAGAGGATGGGTCAATAGGTGCAGCAAACCACCATGGCACACGTATACCTACCTAACAAACCTGATGTTCTGCACATGAATCCCGCTTTTTTATAGAAGAAATAAAGAAAACAAATGAACAAGCAAAAAAAAAAAGGCAAAGATTGTAAAGTAGTTTAAAATCAGGTAGTGTGATGACTCCAGCTTTGTTCTTCTTCTCAAGATTGCTTTGGCTGTTTGGGATCTGTTGTGGTTCCACGTTAATTTTAAGATCGTTTCTTTCTATTTCCATGAAAAGTGTCTTTCGAAATTTGATACAGATTGTATTGAATCTGAAGACCATTTTAACATAATTAACAAGATTAATATTGTTAATATGCAGGATAATATTAATTCTAACAATTTATGGACACAAGATATCTTTTTATTTATCTGTGTCTCCAATTTTTGCATCAATATCTTACAGTTTTTAATATACAGAGTTTTCACATCCTTGGTGACATTTACTCAAAAGTATTTTATTCTTTTTGATGCTATGGTAAATAGGACTTTATTTCAAATTTCTTTGTTGACTATTGCATTTAATTTCTTTCTTGGATAATCTTTCTGTTAGGGTATAGAATCACAAATGATTTAAACCCTATGGTACTGGCATGAAAACAGACACAAAGATCAGTGGAACAGAATAGAGAGCCCAGAAGTAAACCCACACATACAGAGTCAACTAATCTTTTATGACAGTGCAAAGAATACACAATGGGGAAGGGATAGTCTGTTCAATAGATTATATTATAAAAAATAGATATCCACATGAAAAAGAATAAAACTGGACCTTTGTCTTAGACCACATACAAAAATTAACTAGAAATGAATTAAAGACTTAAATATATATTCTAAAACTATAAAATCCATAGGAAAAAAACATAGAAAAAGCTCCTTGACATCAGTTTTGGCAATGAATTTTGGATATGACACAAAAAGCATAAGTCAAAAAAGCAAAAATAGGCCAAGCACAGTGGCTCACACCTGTCATCCTAGCACTTTGGGAGGCCAAGGTGAATGGATCACTTGAGGCCAGGAGTTTGAGACCAGCCTGGGCAACATGGCAAAACACTATCTCTATTAAAAATACAAAAATTGTCTGAGCGTGGTGGTACACATCTATAGTCTCAGCTACTGGGGAGGCTGAAGTGTGAGAATTGCTTGAACCTGCGAGGTGGGGGCTGCAGTGAGCTGAGATCGAGCCACTGCACTCCAGCCTGGGTGACAGAGCAAGACTTTGTCTCAAAAAAAAAAAAAAAAAGGAAAATTAAATAAGTTGGATTACATCAAACTAAAAAAGCTTCTGTACAGCAAAGGAAATGATCAAGAGGGTGAAAGTCAACTTATGGAATGGGAGAAAATAATTTCAAACCCCATATCTAAGGCATTAATATCCAAAATATATAAGGAACTCACACAACTTATAGGAAAAAATGAGCAAAGACCGGAGTGGACATTTTTTTAAAAGACATACAAACAGGTATATGAAAAGGTGTTCAACATTGCTAATCATCAAGAAAATAGATACCAGAACGACAATGAAATATCATTTCAAAACTGTTAGGATGGCTATTATCAAAAATGCAATAAATAACACATGTTTGTGAAGATGTAGAGTAAAGGGAATCCTTGTACACTGTTGGTAGGAATGAAAATTGGTACAGTCATTGCAGATAACAGGATAGCTGTTAATTCAACAATTTTAAATACAGCTACTATATGATCCAGCAATACCTCTAGTGGGTATGTATCCAAAGGAATAGAAATAGATATCTTGAAAAAATATCTGCACCTCCGTTTTCATTGCAGCATTACTCACAATAGCCAAATATGTAAACACTCTAACCATCAATTGAAGGATGAATGGAAAAAGAAAATGTAGAATACATATATATGTATATGCATGGATATATGTAGACAATGTAGAATACATATATATGTATTGCCATTCATCCTTCAATGGAATATTATTCTACCAGAAAAAGAAGGAAATCCTGTCATTTGGTACAACATGGAGGAACCTGGAGGACATTATGCAAAGTGAAATAAGCCAGACACAGAAAGACAAATACTGTATTATCTCACTTAAAAGTAGAACCGAAAATAGTTGAACTCATTGAAGCAGGGAGTAGAATCTTGGTGGTTGCCAGGGGCTGGGGGGTGGGGGAAATGGGGAGATGTTAATTAAAGGGTACAAACTTTCAGATATAAGACGAGTAAAGGCCCAGCACAGTGGCTCATGCTTGTAATCCCAGCACTTTGGGAGGCCAAGATGGGCGGATCACCTGAGGCCAGGAGTTCGAGACCAGCCTGGCTAACATGGCGAAACCCCGCCTGTACTACAAATACAAAAATTAGATGGGCGTGTTGGCACATGCCTGTAATCCCAGCTACTCAGGAGGCTGAGGCACGAGAATCACTTGAACCTGGGAGGTGGAGGTTGCAGTGAGCCAATATCATGCCACTGCACTACAGCCTGAGTGACAGAGCGAGACTCAGTGTCAAAAAAAGGGAAGATGAGTAAATTATGGGGATCTAATGTACACAATGGTGACTGTAGTTAATAATTTCGTGTTGCTTAATTGAAATTTGGTAAGGAGGAAGATTTTAAGTGTTTGAACCACACACACAAATGCAAGATTGGTAGCTATGGATGATGGTAGATATGTTCATTGATTTGACTGTGTAATCAATACACAATGTACACATATTTCAAGTCATTATATTGTATGCCTTGAATATAAACAATTTTTGTTAACTAAATATTTTAAAATAAGAAAACCGAAATTGGCAGAATGGAATTTTAAAAAATATGATCCAACTTTATGCTGTCTCTGAGAAACTCATTTTAAATTGAGAGACAAATGGGTTGAAAGCAAAAGAATGGAAAAAGATGCAGATATACCTTTGAGATGTTGTGGGCTAAGTTCCAGACAACCGCAATACAGCAATTATCGCAATAAAGCAAGTCACATGAATGTTTTGTTTTCCCAGTGGATATAAAAATTATGTTTACACTATACTGTAGGTATATTAGCCATGCAATGGCATTATTTCTAAAAACCAATGTACATGCTTTAAAAATATTTTACTGCTAAAAATTCTAATGATCATTTGAGCCTTCAGCAAATCACAGTCTTTTTGCTGGTAGAGGATCTTGCCTCAATATTGATGGCTGCTGACTGATCAAGTTGGTGGTTGCTGAAGGTTGGAGTGACTATGACAATTTCTTCAAATAAGACAATGATGAAGTTTGCAGCATCAAGATTTCTCTGTAGCATGTAATGCTATTTAATAGCATTTTACCCACAGCAGAACTTCTTTCAAAATTGCAATCAATCTGCTCAAACCCTGCCACTGCTGTATCAACTAAATCGAAGGAATATTCCAAATCCTCTATTGTCATTTCAACAATATTTATGGGACCTTCACCAGAAGCAGATTTCATCTTAAGAAACCATTTTTTTTTTTTGCTGATTCATAAGAAGCAAAGCCTCACTCATTAAAGTTTTTTTTTTTAAATAAGATTGCAGCAATTCAGTCACATATTCAGGTTCCCCTTCTAATTTCAATTCTCTTGTTATTTCCACCACATGTACAGTTACTTCCTTCACTGAAGTCTTGAACACTTCCAAGTGATCCATGAGGGTTGGAATCAACTTCTTCCAAACTCCTTTTAATTTTGATATTTTGACTTTTTTCCCCATGAATTAAAATTGTTCCTAATGGTGTCTAGAATGGTGAAACCTTTTCAGAAGGTTTTAAATTTACTTTACATGGATCCATGAAAAGAATCACTATTTATGGTAGCTATAGCCTTATGAAATATATATTTCTTTAAACAAGAAAACTTGAAAGTCAAAATTATTTCTTGATCCACGGGCTTCAGAATGGATGTTGTGCTAGCAAGCATGGAAACAACATGAATCTCTTTGTACATCTCCATCAGAGCTCTTGGGTGACCTGGTGCATTGTCAATGAGAAGTAATATTTTGAAAGACATCTTTTGTTTTCTAAGCAGTATGGCTCAATAGTTGGCTTAAAATATTCAGTAAACCATGCTGTAAACAGATATGCTGTCCTCCAGGCTTCATTGTTACACTTACAGAACACAGGCAAGTGGAATTAGCATAATTCTCAAAGGCCCTAGGATTTTCAGAATGGTAAATGAGCACTGGCTTCAACTTAGTGTCACCAGCTGCATTAGCCCCTAACAAGAGAGTCAATCTGTCCTTTGAAGCTTTGAAGCCAAGCATTGACTTCTTCTCTCTTGCTATGAAAGTCCTAGATGGCATCTTCTTCCAATAGAAGGCTATTTTGTCTACATTGAAAAACTATTATTTAGTGTAGCTAACTTCATTGATGATCTTAGCTAGATCTTCTGGATAACTTGCAGCTTCTACATCAGCACTTGCTACTTCATCTTGCACTTTTATGTTATGGAGATGGCTTCTTTCCTTAAACCTCATGAACCAACCTCTGCTAGCTTCAAACTTTACTTCTTCAGCTTCCTCACTTTTCTCAGCCTTCACAAAATTGAAGAAAGTTAGGGCCTCTGGATTAGGCTTTGGCTTGAGGGAATGTTGAGGCTTGTTTGATCTTCTATCCAGATCACTAAAATTTTCTCCATATCAGCAATAAGATTGTTTTGCTTTCTTATCATTTGTATGTTTCCTGGAGTAGCACTTTTAATTTTTTCAAGAACGTTTCCTATGCATTCACAATTTGACTAACTTGGGCAAGAGGCCTAGCTGAAAGCTAGCTTTCAGCTTTCACCATACCTTCCTCACTAAGCTTCACCATACTTTCCTTTCATCATACCTTCCTCACTAAGCTTAATCATTCCTAGCTTTTCATTTAAAGTGAGAGGCATGTGACTCTTTCCTTCATTTGAACACTTAGAGGCCATTGTAGGGTGAATAATTGGCCAAATTTCAATATTGTGTTTCTGGGAAGAGGAAGGCCCCAAAATGATCAAGTGTGGGGAGGAATGGGCTGTTGTTAGAGAAGTAAGAACACAGACAACATTAATCAATTATTATCAATTATTTGTTGTCTTATATGAACATGGTTTTTGGTGCCCCTAAACACTTAAAATAGTAGCACCAAAGATGACTGATCACAGTTAGCAATAACAGATACAATGATAATGAAAAAATTTGAAATCGTGTGAGAATTACTGAAATGTGGTACAGAAACATGAAGTTAGCACATGCTGTTGGAAAAACAAGACCATTAGACTTGTTTGATGCAGGGTTGTCACGAATTTTTAATTTGTAAAGAAATATCTGTGAAGCATAATACAAAAAAAACCCCACAATACCTGTGAAGCTACAAAACAAGCCTCAATAAATTTAAAGAGGTTTATATCATCCTATGTATATTTTCTGGCAACAATAAAATGAAACTAGAAATCAATGACAGGAGGAGAATTGAAAAATTCACAAATATGCGCAACTTAACAATATACAACATATTCTTATGCTGTGAAGCATAATACAAAAAAACCCACAATATCTGTGAAGCTACAAAACAAGCCTCAATAAATTTAAAGAGGTTTAAATCATCCTATGTATATTTCCTGACCACAATAAAATGAAACTAGAAATCAATAACAGGAGAAAAATTGAAAAATTCACAGATATGCACAACTTAACAATATACAACATATTCTTAAGTAATGAATAAGTCAACAAAAAAAAAGAAAAATTACAAAATAATTTGTGATGAATGAGAATGAAAATAGAACATACCAAGACTTATAGGATGCAGTGAAAGCATGGCTTAGAGGGGAATGTATAGCTGTAAATGCCTACATTGAAAAAGATACACAATCTCATATCAGTAACCTAACTTTACATTGTAAGAGATTAGAAAAAGCAGAGCAAACTAAACCCAAAGCCAAGAGAAGTAAGAAAATAGCAAAAATAAGAGAATAGAAAGAAAATAGGGAAAAATCAACCAAACCAAAAGTTGTTTCTTTGAAAAAAATCAACTAAATTTACAAACCTTTACCTAAATTCACTAAAAAAAGAGAGATGACCCAAATTCCTAAAAATCACAAATGAAAGTGTGGACACTACTGCTGACCTTAAAGAAATAAAAATGATTATAAGATAATACTGTTAGCAAGTCTACATAAACAAATTAGAAAAGGAAGACAAAATGAACAAATTCCTAGAAAGGTACAAACTACAAAAACTGTCTCAAAAAGGAAATAATGAATCAGAACAGACCTACAACAACTAGAGATTGAATCAATAATTCAAAACTTCCCATTCCTGAACAGCTCAGCACTAAATGGCTTCACTGCTGAATTATACCCTATCTCATACCATATAAAAATTTTAAACATAAAATTGATCAAATATCGAAATGAGGAAGCTGAAAGTAAAAAAAAAGTCTTAGAAGAAAGATTTACACTTAGAAGTGTAAATCTTTGTGACATTGAATTTGGCAATAGATTCTTAGATGTCACACCAAAAGCACAAGCAATAAGAAAAAAAATAGGTAAATTAGACTTCAAATTTTTAAAAAAAATGTGCATCAAAGGACATTATAAAAATGGTGAAAACACAATCACAATATAGGAGAAAATATTTGCAAACTATGTATTTGATAAGGGTGTAGTGCCCAAGATATAAGAATAACTCTTACAACTCTACATCAATGACAGCAACAACCCAATTAAAAATGAGCAAAGGGCTTGAATAGCCACTTCTCTAAAGGAGATACCCAAATGATGACAAACAGACACATGAAAATATGCTTAACATCATTAGTCATTAAGGTAATGTAAATCAAAGCCACAATATATCACTTCACACCCATTACAATAGCCATAATCAAAAAATGCAAAATGAGCGTTGGCAAGGATGTTGAAAAATTGCTGATGGAAACATAAAATGGTGCAGCTGCTGTGAAGACCAGTTTGGTGGTTCCTTAAATTAAACATAGAATTACCCTATGACCCAGCAATTCCACTCCTATTTACCCAAGATATTTGAAAATAGATGTTCAAACAAAAACTTATACATAAAATGTGCATAGCAGCACTATTTATAGAAGCCAAAAAGTGGAAAACAACTCTCAAATGTTGATCAAAGGGTCTTCAAAGGAAACTTCTCATTACCAAACTAAAATTGATTCTCAATATATGAAAGGAAATTCCATTTTCAGGAGTTCAGACTCAAAGTTTCATTCCTATCTATAAGTAGATAAACAAAATATACATCCATACAATGACATATTATTCAGCCACAAAAAGAATGAAGTATTGATATGTGCTACCATGTGGATGAATCTTTAAAACATTATACTAAGTGAAAAAAAAAAAAAACCAGACACAAAGGGTCACATGTTGTGTGATTTCATTTATATGAAATATCCAAAATTTTTAAATCCATGAAGACAGAAAGCAAATTGTTGTTTTCCAGGAGCTGGGGGAAGGGTTTAATGGGGAGTAACTGCTTAATGAATACCGTATTTCCTTTAGGGATGATGAAAATGATTTTGAACTTGATATAGGCAGTGGCTGTACAACATTGTGAATGTCCCAAATGCCATTGAAATGTACACTTTAAAATGATTAGTTTTATGTTATGTGAATTTTGCCTTAATAAAAATAAATGGTATATAAATGCAATCATACAGTATGTGACCTTTTGAGATTAGATGTTTTCATTCAGCATAATTCCCCTGAGATCCATCTAAGTCATCTGCCTTTTTTGTCTTCAGAAAAACTGATGAAAGAGTCAGTGCCAAGCACAAAGCCAGCTAACATGTCAGTGGCATTCTCTACCTATGTTAACATTGCTCCCTTTGTATTTGTGTACACTTCTACCAGGTGTAATGACACTTCTCTGTCCTATCAGCTAGTCTACATTTCTCTCTCTTGTTCCTAAAGCGATATTAAAATTCTTTGCTGAATTTAATAAGTATCTAAATTAGTTATTATTGCTGCTGTAACAAACTATCACAAATGTAGAGGCTTAAAACTACAGAAATTTATCTTACGGTTCTGGAAGTCAGAAATGTGAAGTGGGCTTCACTTGACTAAAATCAAGGTGTTGTCAGGGCTGCATTCCTTTTGGAGACTCCAAGACAGAATATGTCTCCCAGCCTTTTCCAGTTTTTAGAGACTGCCAGCATTCCTTGCCTAGTGGTCTCTCTGTCTTCAAATTACATCACTCCTACCTCTGCTTCCATCATCACAGCCCCTCTCTTTCTGGATGGGTCATTTTTTAGTTGACCAAAGTATTTTTTTTATTATACTTTAAGTTCTGGGGTACATGTGCAGAACGTGCAGGTTTATTACATAGGTATACAAGTGCCATGGTGGTTTACTGCACCCATCAACCTGTCATCTACATTGGTACAAAGAGGAGCTGGTACCATTCCTTCTGAAACTATTCCAGACAATAGAAAAAGAGGGAATCCTCCCTAATTCATTTTATGAGGCCACCATCATCCTGATACCAAAGCCTGGCAGAGACACAACAAAAAAAGAGAATTTTAGACCAATATCCCTGATGAACATCAATGCAAAAATCCTCAATAAAATACAGGCAAACTGTATCCAGCAGCACATCAAAAAGCTTATCCACCATGATCAAGTTGGCTTCATTCCTGGGATGCAAGGCTGGACCAAAGTAATTTTTGCTGAAATCCAGACATATTGGTTCAACATCATTCCCTTGACTTACCAGCCTAGATAGCCTTTCAAGGATACCAATCTAATCTGTCAACTGCAATGCATTAAATGAAGTGAGTGGAAAGAACCACAGTAAACTGGATATGCCAAATACGCTACAGCAAGGTTGGACATCCACAAACTGACTTTTTTGAGTTATGAATTTTATTAAAGCATAATTAGTACTGCTTTTTCCCACACTCTGCCAGTTTGGGGGCAATGCTTGGGATATTTTGCAGACAAAATATGCATTGATTAATGATTCCTTCTGGTGTCTCTTCACTAAGATATTATTTTGGTGGTTTGTATTATTGATTTACATTTTCTTACAGTAAAAGCAAAGTAATAATTTGTATTAATAAATAGAATAAACTGATACTTATTCGTTTGACTTATAATACAACCAGCTCTCTAGAAGGCAGAAGAAAAGAGAGACAACATAATCTCAGAAAAGCTAAGCATTTCTTCTAAATATATGTAAAATGCAAAATACGGCAATGCATTTAATGTATATTTTATATATATAAACAAGACAGTAATGTACATATATGTCCCCACATAAAGTAAATATTACGTGGATGTGTTTTCTCCCCTTAAAATGTGAAAGCATATCCCAATGGGAGCATTTTTTTTAATCCTTACCCATACCGGGTCTTCAAAAAAATTTCCCATTACCAAACTAAAATCTATTCTCAATATATAAAAGGAAATTCCTTTTTCAGGAGTTCAGACCCAAAGTTTCATTTCTATCTATTGCAATTACTAGCTGTATACATAAAAACCTAAAAAAATTTCACCATACCTTCTGAGTAACATTGAGAATACTGGAACATGTATTCTCTCTGTCTGTGATTCCACAGGGACCTTAGTAGCTTCCTAGCTTAAATGTTATCTACTAGGTTTTGTGACATCTGCACATTTATTTAATAAACTTTTTTTTTTCTGGGGATCCATTGAATATGTTGACTGAGTAGGGCTAAAGACAGACACTAAAGCAAGGAAGTCCCTTTAGGACACTCATGGCAGATAGGCCTTCAATCTTTAGATGCTTCCTAAAACTGCTTTAGGGTTTTTTGAAGTTGCCTGCTACCCTCTCTTTCTCTCTCTTCCTTCCCATCCATCCCATGCTACCTGCTTTGATGATCATGCCCTTTGCTTTGTATTTACACATATATCTGGTTGGAATATTTTGATATAAGGGAGTTACTGAGGATCTCTCTTTAAGCTTCAGTTTCATTCTGTGTCACTAAGTCCAGGGGACAGAAATCTCTTTTTTACAGATGGTGAACTCTATTAATGTTTCCATAATATCTTTGCTGCAGTTTGTAGCAACTGTGGATTTGCCTTACCTTACCTTTTCTCTATATGTTGTCACATTATTTATTTTTAATCAAATGATATATATTGATATTTCATTGTTTCTGTGTTTTTCTTTGTTTCCATTTGTCTCTCTAAGCTGTGAGCTGACAGGGTTGAGAGCCAGACTTTGAAATGAGTCAGCTGTGTAGAGCCCAGACACTGAAAGAGGTTTCCTTAGCAACGGGAGATGTGTGGGAAAGCCTTATGCACACTATAGCTTAGGAAGCAGGATTTACTGGCTGAGGCACAAAGCTTTCCTTCGGTCCTGGAGTTATATTCTTAGTACAGGGATACTTGGTCTGTGTTAGTTTTAGCTAACAAACATTGTAAAATTTCTTCTCAACATAAACTTTGCATTATGTGAAAATAAATTAAATACTGATATTTAGCACATACTGTTTCAAAAATAACTGTAAAATCAATAAAGCACTATTGACCAAAGGGGCCAAGCTTGAATCAAAGGTAAATAACAAAGGCATCTTGTTGATCTCATCACAAATACATACACTGCAACAATGACTTCAATCTGGAAAATGTCTTACCTCCATACTTATCTATAACGCTTTCCTTAAATACATGGAAAATATGTGACACCTGGCAGGTTTCCTAGAAGATATTTGATCTTTCAGATGGCCAATCTTTATTTGATCTGTTGTCAATTGATTTAATTGGTTAAACATGGTATTAAGCTAGCCAAGACTTTAGGTGCAATACCCCGTTCCTCTCAATCCTAGGTGGTTGCATTGTGAGACAGGTATTTGGCAAAAATGAAAGAATCAGTGCATTTTCACCTTCACTGCTGAAGACGCAACACCAAAGACATTATTTCTATTATCTAGACTACTATGTAATGTTCATAAACTCTAAGTGCCATGCTAATTCTTATTTCTGCATTAGTATAACAATATTAAAGGCACAGCTATAGATTTAGCAACCTACTTTATTCAAAACAAATAGTCTTATGGCTGAAATGAGAGGATGTTTGTGTTGGTTGTCTTTTATTAGGTAGGCTCTAAATAGAAAGAATGCCTATAAAAATGTTTTACAAATAAATATATCATTTTCGCTATTCTGCCTCCTTTTCGTCTTGGTAGTACTGAGGTAGTAAAATTAACTCAAAAGCCAATAACAAGTTTGTTGAATAATTAGTATGTTTTAACAAGTATACAGCACATAGTTTGCGCTTAGCAAGTGCTTATTAAATGAATGGGTGAGTGAATAATATTCCCGACTGGTTTTAACCAGTCTCTCTCATGGACTCCCTGTCTTCCATCTAATCCCCCCAAATTGCGAGTATTAACCAATGTCCTATATTATGGTTTCAAATGTCACATAACTTGCCAATTTAATCCTTTCATTTGAGTCCTAGTTGTAATAACTCTACCTGGATACTAGACATGTTTTTTGAATTGTGAGTTCTTTACCCCGAAACCAATTATGTCCATAAGTGAACTCCGTTTCCCACAGCTACCATATCCAATCAAATTCAGTTTTATTCCAAATAACTTTGTCCCTGTTAATAACATTTTTATTCTCTTAGGCTATTCAGACTTAAAATTTTGAGTCATCTTTGGCAATTTCTACTCACATAGCTCTTATTCCAGTTAGTCACAGACCCTATTCATTTCCTTTCAAAACGACTGTCATTTCCATCCATATTATGTTCCTTCTCAAGATTTTGTCTTCTCATCCTTAGATTACTGGAAAAGCCTCCTAGCCAAGGCCCCGGGTACTGAGTTCTCCTTTACCCCAAATTACCTCAAGTGCTCTCCCTTTCTGCTATCTCCTACAGCATTTAAAATTTATGTCTCTCAGTTTAGCACTGAATTACATAGTTTTACACTGGTCCTCATTGCTGCATATAAAGTTCATTTCCCTGATATATTATAAATTCCAAGAGGCATTAATTTCTTAAACTGCTCTGTATATTTTACAGCCCTGAGCAGACTAGCCACTCAAAAACTTAAGAAAGGCGTATGAGTAAAACTAAAGAGAAAGTAGGGTGGTAGGAAACAGGCAAGATGAGGAGAAAATAAAGAGGAAATGAAAGGGAGTTTCTCTATGCAAAATTTCCCTTAAAGGAGCGATATCCCCCAATCCTGATCCACTCTGCCCCTGTTGCACTTGCCCTAGTCAAGTAGATAAGAAACTGTATTCTTTACCTTACTTGTCACCTTTTGGTTGGACTGAATAATCTGATAGACAGGTAGCAATGGCAGAAGTGAGCTCTTAGACTTAGCATCAGAATAGAGCCTGTGATGGAGCTGATGTCTTGGCTAAAGTACTGAATTTTGAGAAGGTTTGGAGAAGCATTGGGGAATAAAGCACCTTCGCTAAAGAAACAATAAAGCCTCGCATTTGTCTTGCAGGGACCACTGCCAAAAGTTTGTCAGCATTCTACATCTCCGGTTTCCTACTGCCTTTCACACACACAAAAATGTTAAACAACAATGTCTTATGCTTGTGCTATGGTCTGCATATTTGTGTCCCCTCAAAATTCAAATGTTGATACCTGAAATTCCCAATGCAATAGTAGTGAGAATTTGGGGCCTTTGAGAGGAGATTATTTGATAAAGGCAGAGCCCTTGAGAATGGGATTAGTGCCCTTATAAAAGAGATGCTAAAAACTTTGCGTCATCTGCCATGTGAGGACACACAGAAGGTGCCATCTATGGGGAAGAGGCCCTTACCAGACATGAATCTGCTGGGGCTTTGATCTTGGATTTCCCAGTCTCCAGAACTGTAAGCAATACATTTCTGTTGTTTATAAATTACCCAGTCTAAGATATTTTGTTATAGAAGCCCAAAGAGACTAAAACAGTTGTAACACTGTTAATCAGAAGATGCTTCAATATGTTTCAATAACATACAGCCTCAAAATCTCAAAAGATTAATACACAAGTATTTATTTCTCACACACGTAAGGCCAATTGGGAATCATTTGGGGGTAGGATTTTCTGCTATTTAGTGACTCAGTGATTTACACCTCTTCTATCTTACAATGCTATCATTTCAACATATTATCTCTGCAGTTGCTAAAGAAGGGGAATAGAGAGCTTAGATAGCACACCAACTTGTAATGCTTTGACTTAATAGTGACCCACATCTTATGTACGCAAAACCCATTGGCCAAAGTGTTTATATGGTCCCAACATAACTAAAAACATACTGGGCTATTTAGGGGAACACATGAAAAATTTGGAGAGTACTACTGTCTTCCAGGAGAACCTTTATGTTATCCAATAAATTTCACACCTGTTTCTTACTTGATTCCTGTAACAGTTCTATGAGGTGTACAGAGCAGATAGCCACTCCTTCATAGAAATGTAGCAACTAATTCCCACAGGGTACAATGACTTTTCTAAGGTCACAAATTTGACTGATATAGAGGTTGAATTAGAACCCAGGATGCCTCGGTTCACTCCTTAGTTCTTCGTGTTTCAAAAAATTTCCTCCTGAAAGGAAAAAAATTAAGTTCCAGGAAGAATCCTAGAAGCTAAAGGTGGTCCACTCACTCAGCCAATTTCAGCCACTTTCAGATATAAAATGTGATTCTCTATATTCCAAATATATTAATAAATAATATATTAAAACATTAGGAATCTTTTAAAAAGAGATTATTGTATATTTGATAGCAAAAAAGAAAATTAATTTGGTAGCAAAATTAATATTTACTGGCAAAAAAGAAAATTAAAAAACTCTGTTGATCTGACAGCAATTAGCACCACAAAGCAGTTTTAAGGAAATAGTAGAGAAAGAAAATCTTGATTAATACGCAAAAGGGATACTGAAAGGAAATCTAATCAGAGGAAGTTTAATATTAATTATGTGGTCTTATGTCATGATCATTTGACATTACACACACAAGAGTTAATATAGTGTGCTAGACAGATAATTTGGTCAACTGGATTTCAAAATAATTAATATTATCCATTCATTACTATGCCTCTCCTTATACTCATCTCTCCCATACTTATGTACCCCTGTTTTACTACTTGTCATATTGTGTTTTAATCATTGATGTTGGTGTCTCTTCCCTCCCCCAGATTTTGAAGACAAGCACTGTGTTTTATTGGTTGTTATAGTCACAACACATAGTGCAGTGCTCCTACCTCTCTTGTTACTTCTCTGAAGATTCTTCAGCTTTTGTTAATCACTTGCTCTTCCATGTTCCTCAATGTTCTGTCCTACATCTTCTTCTCTTCTCAATCTATACTCTCCTCTTGGGAGATTTTAGCTACTCTCATGGATTTAAGTACCATCAATATTGTGATGATCCTTGATCTCTATTTCTAATTGATCTTTAGACCCATCATTCATTGTCTACAAGACCTCTCCACTGGTCCTGAAACTCAAAACATTTCTAGTTGACTCAATTTTCTCCCTCCCAACCCCCAAAGTGCTGTTGATTCTATGTTCTCTAGCTCTTTGAATGGCACCATCATCTAACTAGTTGTTCAAGCCAGATATGGAGGAGTCATTTTTCTTCCCCCCAATCATCCACTATGATCAATCAATCACAAAATTCTACCCATTCTACTTCATTAAAAATCTCTCAGATACATGAAATTTATTTCCGTCTCCACTTCCATTGTACTAATCATGACACTATTACCTCCCAACTGGAATACTCCAGTCTTTCCTCTTCTACCTCACTTTCCATACTTCAGAGAGAGTAATCTGTCTAAAATACCAATAAGATCTTATTGCTTCCATATTTAAAAATAATTAATACTCTGTTATTACTAGGTGCTTTGAGTATACAAAGAAGGAAACATACATGATTCTTGTTTTTAAGGAGCTTGAAGTATAAATTAGAGTGGTGATGGAAATAAAATAACTAAAGTTTTTTTAATACCAACAACAGAAACTGACTCTGGCTAACTTAAGCAAAATTTAAATAATATATATTAAAAGAATAGTAGATAGTTTCCAAAACCAATAAGAAGTCTGAAAAAGTAGGTTTGGAAAAGAGTCAAGAACCAAAGGTAACTAGGCAGCAAAAAAATATAGCCAAAGTCACTCCACAGGAGCAGCTGATGTTGGCACTACTGCCTCTGGCCACTGACTCTACCGTGTTAATGAATAATCTTTACCTGTCCACATTTCTTTGCATCATTCCCTTAAAATTCAAAATCCCAGAAGGAACCATTCAATTAGAGAAGTCTAAGTCATGCATTCATGACTACATGCCAGGGAGGAAGGAGTGGGAGTATCTGGTTACTTCAAAATCCATGAAGGAGATGGAGCTCTAATTCCCACCAAGACTCACACAATGGAAGATTCTCTCAGAATAGAAAGGTTGTTTAGAGAGTAAGCAGCTCCCAAAAGTGACAACTATATATAAATATATGCAAGTTTACAATTCTTTATCCAAAAGCCTTGGGAAAAGATGTATTTGGGAATTCATAAATTTTCAAACTCAGAAGAGTAACAAGGTTGATATACCATATATTAAGTAATATGATGAGTGGGATTTGGAGCAATATCCCATAATTAAATACACTTATATTTCTTAATTGAAATATATTACTATTAACACTAAACTTGGATAAATAAAGACTAGAAAGAGCCTTACTTCAGTTCAAGTTAGGTTTCACTACCAAATAATTTCAGGTCAGACCAGATTTTTTAATGAATTATGAAAAAATTTCTATTTTCATGACTTTGGGGATTTAAACATTGTAAGAAAGAGTTGATTGTCTTGTTTGTGTTAAGCAACATAAATATTAATCAAAGTTTCTCAGATAAAGGACACAATTATTCTGAAGAGATCAAGGAACAATCATCCTAGTCTATCTTAAAAGATTACTAGGATTTGAATGGACCTGAATGTGAGGAAGGACATAAACTCTGGAAGGCATAGCATGAGGAAACACTCTTGGATGGGAAAAAAAGAAAATATGTGAAGGATAGCTTAGATGAAAGTTTTAGGGTCTGTGAAGGGGAAGGGCAGGACATAACCTTGAAAGGTTGAGAACTAGATTAAGGGAGTTCTCCAACCAAGGGGGAGTCATTGAAAGTTTTGAATATAAAATTATAAAATCAGAGCTATGCTTTGTAAAGATTAATCTGGTTGTACTGTGTCAGTTTCAAACCATCTATATAGATAAATTCTATCTGGTGTCACAGGAGGTGTTTATACAATTGAAATCCATATTCTCTTGTCCTTGTCTCAGTAAAGATAAACAGCTGCTCAACACCAACAAGTCAATATTACCACACTTGCAGAACATTCCTACTCAGTTGCCTACTAAGAAGTATAGAAAAATTGTCGGAAGACTTGTGAAGATCTAGGATACAAATGTAAGATAAACCATAAACACACAATGTAATGCAGAATACTGAAATTAAATGTTAATATTTAGTCACTTCTTCAATTGTTGCTTGTTTCTTTTAATGATCTAATATCAGTATGCCAGATGTTGATCATAATAATGAGTTAATTACAAGTATTCCATTGTGAGGGAAATAGTCAAAGAAAATATAAGTTCCAACAAACATTTGTTGAACATTCAGTGGAGCCGGATATTATCCTGGGCAATTTCTGTACGTGATACTCAGGTCAGGAGTGAACTATTTCTTGGACATACACCAGGACAGTAACCTCTCTCCCCTCTCTCTTCACCCCAAATTCCACCCTCCTTTCTTGGTTGCAGAATAAAACCTCCATATTTGGCACTTATTTGTTCTTAGGAACAGGAACTGGTAGTTTTCTTCATTTTCAAAGCATCTCTAGTCTCAACTACAGGAATCAGAATGGCTATATATCAAAGAGCATTGGCTGCTCCAGTTGTTTAGCAGCAAAAAGCACAAAAGAAATGCAGCCTCAGCACGTTTGAGGTTATTATCCCATTAAGAACCACTAAGTGTGAGCTATAAAAATCTCATAACTGTCTCCACTTCCACCACTGCATTTGGCTCTGTAGTACTGTCCTCCCCACAAGCTGTTACCTGCAGACTCTACCATGACACATATTTGCCAGTTATGGTTGTGCTTAAACTGTAGAATAATTTTGCTCTGTACGCTAGAATATTTCCAATATTTCCAGGACTTAAGGGTCTTCAGAATGAGTTATTTTAGAACTGATTATTGTTCACTTGTTTCACTAATATCATTACAAAACTATATAGTACAGCTCTTCAAATCTCATAATCCCTCCCCAACAAACAACTCATTCTCCAAAGTGATTCCCCTTTAACTGGGAAAAACATTTTGTCTAAATATTCTTAAAATTGGCTCGTTGTGTTAAAGAGATTTTTAAACAATGGATTCATAACTAGAAAGACAATGTGACACAATGCAGCAATTTTGAACTTTATTCTCCTGTGGCACATGAAACCAAAAAGGTGCATATACTTACAGCACTCCCCTGAGAGAGTTCCGGTGCACTAGTCATAATTGCATCCTGTTTTCTTTGATCAAGAAAGCAAATAAGATTTTAATGGACTGATAGTAACCACATATTCTCCTGGTTTTCCTTCTGTTCCACTAAGTGTCACTTTTTGGCTCTTCCTTCACAACCTGACTTCAAAATAGTGGAGAACTTTGTGATTCAGTCTGGTGACATCTCTTCTCATTCTGTACTCTTTTGTTAGGCATTTCCCTAGATATCTTAAGATCGATTTAATATCTATATGATGATGACTCCAGAAATTTCTATTTCTAAGGCAAATCTCTCCTCTGATCTCCAGAAATCTATTTGTCCCTCTGTCTATTTGATACCCCTTCTTTGATGTTTCAAAGGCATTTCAAATTCAACTTTTCTGCATAATTTTTCTTCAGCAGCTGAGTCCTCTTTCAACAGATCATGCTTCAGTGAATAGTTTCACCATCCATCCAGTCTTGTATGTCAGAATCCTAGAAGTCAGCTATAAACCTACTTCTCACTTAACATCTATAGCTAATGTATTCCCAAATCCTGTTAATGTCCTTAATCTATTTTTGTATTTTTCCCTTTCTATAGCTATCCTTCTAGTCTAGGCCATCATCTCATTTCACCTAGACTACTATAATTTATTTTCTGCACAGTAGACATCAAATATAATATGAATAGTGTCTTAGGAGTTAGGAGTTGCTCAACTCAGCAGTTCTCAAGCTACTTGAGAGGAAGTAAGGTCAGGGGATCATGGTCAGAAGTCAGTTACTAGAATTGTAGTTGAAGAGATGCACAACTTTATGCAGATTAATATGAAAGACATACATTTCTCTGTAGAACAGTCTGAGGTCACAGGTAATAAGGAAATGTTAGTAAAGACTTTAAGAGTCAGGATTCAGGAGCTGGGAAGACTAGGTTCATTTTCTGAATCCGTTCCTGCTTCCATGACACTTATGACAATCCTGCATCTACCTGTGAGAATGAAACTTGGCCATCTTAAAAACTCACTACACTGACCTAGCACCTGGCATATAATTTGTTTTCCACAAAGGTCAGCTCTGCCTCCTAGATTATTTAAGCTCTGTCTGATAAATCCAATTCTCTTGAAGAGGGAAAGGGGTAAACAGGGAGATGTGAATGAAGGCAGGGATAAAGAAAAAAGAGGTGCAGTACTAGAAAAGAGACAAATAAGATGTTCTTATACAATGAGAAATTGTTGCACCTATAACTACCTCTGTTCTCTTGCAAAATCACAAAATCAATTTCGTCATATACTTCTAACTGGACATGAGCCTATAGCAAAATAATAATATGTCTCATCTTTTCCACTCTCCCCTTCCTTATTCCCTTCTAACCACACCATCTTTTTGGTATTATTGAAATATACCAGGTTTTCCTCAGCCTTAATGATTTATACTTGGTGTTGTCTCTGCTTGGACCCATCTTCTCCCAGATATCCTCACCACTATCTCCCTCACTTCCTTCAGGTCACTTCTCTGACAATATTTAACCTGAAGTCTTTCCTGACTTCTCTCACTTGCACATATTATCCCCCTTCTTGTCTGTGTCACACCAGCAAAACATGAAAGCCACCAGAATAAGGTCTTCCCGTTTTTTGCTGTGGTATCCACAATATTTTAGAATAATGTCTGACTTACAGTAGGTGCTCAGTAAATATTTGTTATATGAAAATAATGAGCAAATAATCTGATGCAACCTAGTGATGAAATATCGTAGTGAAAATTCTTCTATTAATTACTAACAAAGGCTAACAAAGAAGCCTTACTTAAGAAACATCAGTCTGGTTGGATAGAATCCAAGAACTGTGACAATCTCTGCCAACACCCGCTCAGAACCTTCTTTGCCCCATCCATCTGCTAAGTGTTTCTATTCATGGATTTGCCTTGCGGCTTTGTTTGCAGTCCCATCTAAACTTTTTCTTCCCCAAAGGAAGAAGCATAATCTCAGTGTCTGGTACATGTTTAGCCTTTTCCTGTTCAAGACTTGGTGTCATTTCTTTTCTCAGGCAATCTGAGCCACAGTCCCACCTCTTCAATGGTTTTCCTACAGGCCAGGCCTTGTGCCCTACTCACCAAATTGCTTATCTGAAAGAGATTCAGATTTTCTACAGATTGAGTTAAGTCCCTGCTTCATACTGGGAACGTATGGATGAGCTAAGTTGTATGTGGGCAGTACAACTGTGGGAACTAGTTTTCAAGCTACTTTTAGGAGCTGTTTGAGTAGTATGCTTATGACAGTTAGCAGCATAAGATTGTATTCATGTTCTCTAAACCCTAGATAAAAATACTAAGAACTCAGGTTTTCAGAATTTAAAAATAAAAATGTGTACTTATTTATATAGAACCAAAATAAAACACTAATTATTCTACTGCAATTATATTGGACATTTTTCTCTGAAGGTTTTGCAGAATTTTACAAACATGGCTAAATCAGTGTAGCAGGGAAAATAACAGAAAATGCAACTCTCATGCAGTAATTTAGTGACTACAGAAGGTCCATAAGACATATTTTTAAAAACCCAAATATATGACAATTAAACAACTCACTTAAATAACAGGTGAATAATGAATAAATCACAAGGAAAATTAGAAAATATTTTGAACTGAATAACAATAATAATATAACATATAAATTGTGGAAGGTAGATAAAGCAATGCTTATAGGAAAATTTATAGCTTTCAATGCTCATAAAAGAAAAAAGCCTCCATCCCTAAAAGCTAGACTAAGAAGAGCAAACATAATCTTGAATCGTAAATAAGTAAAATGAAATAAATAATGAAGATAAAAGCAAATATCCATGGAATAGAAAACAAACATTACAAAATATAAACAAAGCCAAAATTTGATTCTTTAACAAGTTCAACAGAAGCAATAAACCCCCAGCTAGACTGGTGAAGGAAGAAGGGGAATCCCGATTACCAATATCAGTAATTAAAAATATGTAATCACTGTAAATCTTACAGACATCAAAGGTATAGTAAGGGATATTATGAATAATGTTATGATAACAAACATTGTTTGTTTCGACTTTCTATTTTACTTTTTGTCAGTTTTGATAAGTTGTATTTTTCAATAGAAAAATATAAAATAGCTGGGTCAAATGGTATTTCTAGTTTAGACCCCTGAGGAATCGCCACACTGACTTCCACAATGGTTGAACTAGTTTACAGTCTCACCAATAGTGTAAAAGTGTTCCTATTTCTCCACATCCTCTCCAGCACCTGTTGTTTCCTGACTTTTTAATGAATGCCATTCTAACTGGTGTGAGATGGTATCTCTTTGTGGTTTTGATTTGCATTTCTCTGATGGCCAGTGATGATGAGCATTTTTTCATGTGTCTTTTGGCTGCATAAATGTCTTCTTTTGAGAAGTGTCTGTTCATATCCTTCGCCCACTTGTTGATGGGGTTGTTTTTTTTTCTTGTAAATTTGTTTGAGTTCATTGTAGATTCTGGATATAGCCCTTTGTCAGATGAGTAGGTTGCAAAAATTTTCTCCCATTCTGTAGGTTGCCTGTTCACTCTGATGGTAGTCTCTTTAGCTGTGCAGAAGCTCTTTAGTTTCATTAGATCCCATTTGTCAATTTTGGCTTTTGTTGCCATTGCTTTTGGTGTTTTAGACATGAAGTCCTTGCCCATGCCTATGTCCTGAATGGTATTGCCTAGGTTTTCTTCTAGGGTTTTTATGGTTTCAGGTCTAACATTTAAGTCTTTAATCCATCTTGAATTAATTTTTGTATAAGGTGTAAGGAAGGGATCCAGTTTCAGCTTTCTGCAAATGGCTAGCCAGTTTTCCCAGCACCATTTATTAAATAGGGAATCTTTTCCCATTTCTTGTTTTTCTCAGGTTTCTTAAAGATCAGATAGTTGTAGATATGTGGCATTATTCCTGAGGGCTCTGTTGTGTTCCATTGGTCTATATCTCTGTTTTGGTACCAGCACCATGCTGTTTTGGTTACTGTAGCCTTGTAGTATAGTTTGAAGTCAGGTAGTGTGATGCCTCCAGCTTTGTTCTTTTGGCTTAGGATTGACTTGGCAATGAGGGCTCTTTTTTGTTTCCATATGAACTTTAAAATAGTTTTTTCCAATTCTGTGAAGAAAGTCATTGGTAGCTTGATGAGGATGGCATTGACTCTATAAATTACCTTGGGCAGTATGGCCATGTTCATGATACTGATTTTTTTCTACCCATGAGCATGGAATGTTCTTCCATTTGTTTGTATCCTCTTTTATTTCATTGAGTAGTGGTTTGTAGTTCTCCTTGAAGAGGTCCTTCATGTCCCTTGTAAGTTGGATTCCTAAGTGTTTTATTCTCTTTGAAGCAATTGTAAATGGGAGTTCACTCATGATTTGGCTCTCTGTTTGTCTGTTATTGGTGTATATACCCAAAGGATTATAAATCATGCTGCTATAAAGACACATGCACACGTATGTTTATTGCAGCACTATTCACAATAGCAAAGACTTGGAACCAACCCAAATGTCCAACAATGATAGACTGGATTAAGAAAATGTGGCACATATACACCATGGAATACTATGCAGCCATAAAAATGATGAGTTCATGTCTTTGTAGGGACATGGATGAAGCTGGAAACCATCATTCTCACAAACTATAGCAAGGACAAAAAACCAAGCACCACATATTCTCACTCATAGGTGGGAATTCAACAATGAGAACACATGGACACAGCAAGGGGAACATAGCACACCGGGGCCTGTTGTGGGGTGGGGGGACGGGGGAGGGATAGCATTAGGAGATATACCTAATGTTAAATGATGAGTTAATGGGTGCAGCACACCGGCATGGCACATGTATACATATGTAACAAACCTGCACGTTGTGCACATGTACCCTAAAACTTAAAGTATAATAAAAAAAAATCTTGGTTCATATTTAGATGACGCATTTTCTTCAACTGAACAAGAGTCCACAGTTACAAATGCAAACAGAAAGGGCACATCTGCGAAAAACAAGCCTCTTAAGCTGGAAGAATGAATAATGATGATTTGTGGGCTGTGCTTTCTATACAGCGAACTCTGGGAAGACCTTTCTGTGAACAGCTATCTGATAACAATTGAAGAGGCTTTGTGCTCCCACCCACTTCCCACTCT
Organism: Homo sapiens; assembly: GCF_000001405.40. Classification (NCBI taxonomy): domain Eukaryota; kingdom Metazoa; phylum Chordata; class Mammalia; order Primates; family Hominidae; genus Homo; species Homo sapiens. Next base: position 138,531,852 of record NC_000023.11, read on the forward strand.
CTTTTGTATCAGTAACTCCGCAGGGGAAAAGGAGATTGGTAGTAAAGATTCCTTGGTCATTAGAAACTCAGATATCGATTCAGAATCACAGAATTTGCAGGAATTCTTTTTTTCATCACTTATAGTTTTGAGTATAGAGTAAATCCTTGAGTGTTTTCTTTGGGGATATGAAAGTTGTTTCTACTTTGAGTCTTAAATCCCCAGTAGAAGCTTCTAGATAATGAACCAGATACTTAAATAAAATACTGGTTCAATTAGGATTTAATTAAAGTTTATGGTTATGAAACAATTCCATTTTCATTATAGAAATTGCATGTGGGGTTTCCCATTTTTATTTTGCATACATTTCTGTTATTCTAGAAAATGTATAAATTTGCTTCTAATTTGAAAAAATATATATAAAATATATCTTAAGGAAATTGAATTTGTCATTTTAAAAAAAACTGCCCCAAAAGAAAACATAGTGCTTTTATAGTTTTACCAGTTAATTTACCGGACATTTAAGGAGGAAATAAAATGAATCTTAAAGAAACATTTTCAGAAAATAGAATAGGAGGGACCAATTCACAACTCATTTTATTATGCCTAAACTAAAGACACAACCTGAGAAATTCATTACAAGCTGGGCACGGTGGCTCACGCCTGTAATCCCAGCATGATGCAAAGCTGAGGCAGGAGGATCACTTGAGCTCAGGTGTTCAAGACCAGCCTGGGCAACATGGAGAAATCTCATCTCTATTAAAAATACAAAAAAAAAAAAATAGCTGGGTGTGGTGGCACAAGCCTGTAGTCCCAGCTACTGGGGACGCTGAGATAGGCGGATAGTTTGAGGCCAGGAGGCAGAAGTTGCAGTGAACTGAGATGCACTACAGCCTAGGCAACAGAGCCAGATCCTGTTTCATAAATAAATAAATAAATTCATTACAAAAAAAGAAACCAAGAGACCAATATCTCTCATAAATACAAAACCCTTAACACAATTAGTACAATTTGAGCAAATAGAATTCAGAAAAAGAAAAATATACTGTAACCACATATCTTTTATCCCAAGAACATAGGATTGATTTAATTTGTAAAGGTCAATGTAATTTTCTATAGTTGTTAAATAAAGGAGAACCAGCATTTGATAAATTTCAACACCCATTCATCAAAAAGAACCTTCAGAAAACTGGGTACAGAAAGAAACTCTCTTAGTCAGATAAGAGTCATTTACAAAAATACCTAGAGCCAATATCATATTTAATGGTGCAATATTGAATGAATTTCCCTTTCAAACAAGGAAAGAATGACTTCTTTTACCACATCTATTCAGCACTTTGCTGAAAGTAAATGAGGAAAGAAAAAGAGATGAAAGTCATAAAGATCAGCAAGAAGGAAACACCAAAATTAGGGAAGGAGAAAGGAAAGAGACAGCCTGCCTGTCTGGATGATATGGTTTGGATTTGTGTCCCCATCCAAATTGTAGTCCCCAGTGCTGGAGGAGGGGCCTGGTGGGAAGTCACTGGATCATGGGAACTGACTTCCCCCTTGCTATTCACCTGACAGTGAGTGAGTTCTCATGAGATCTCGTTGTTTAAAAGTGTGTGGCACCTTCCCCCACCTCCCTTTTTCTTCAGCCATGTAAGAGGTGCCTGCTTTCCCTTCGCCTTCCACCACGATTGTAAGTTTCCTGAGGGCTCCCCAGTCATCCTTCCTGTACAGCCTGTGGAATTGTGAGTCAATTAAACCTCTTTTCTTTATAAATTACCCAGTCTCAGGTAGTTCTTTATAGCAATGTGAGAATGGCTAATATACTGGGAACTCCTGAGAGCCAGAAGTGACTTTCCAATGTAGGGAAAGGGTGAGTGAGAGACTCCCAGCAGCCAACATCCCCATCATGGAATTGTGCAACCCTGGTTATGGGTTACCTCTTGATGTTCCCAACCTGAAAACTAATGTAGAGAGCTGCCATGAGACTGTGGGATGGAAAAGCTCCAGATAGGGAGCTTGCATTGGGTTCTACACCCTTTCTGAGACCTAAGTGGCTAGAGCAAGGTGCTGTTTTCAAACCCATCCTTTGGCAGACTGCACAATTTCCTGGGGGCCAGCAATGCTGGGACTAAGCCATCAGGGAAAATTGGACTGTCACTGCTGGTACTGGAGAGTAAGCTAGAAGCAATCCCGTAGCTGGAGCTGGCCCTAAGAAGCAAGCAAAGCATGGACTACAGCTGCTGATCCCAGGAAGTTAATGTTTTTGGGACAGAGACTAGAACATGAGTGAGGTTTTGCTGCTGGGAATTGGTCACTACTAGGGTGACAGCTCCTGCAGCAAAGTTGGGGGCACTTCTAATCCTTGGGAGCAAGCCCCATCAAAACCAGGGTGGGAAAGGGACATGCATTCCCCACCTGCTAGCCTACACTGTGGCCACTGAGAATGGCCACACCCTCTTCAGTGACAGGGTGTCAGAATGGCTGCTACTGCTCCTCATTCAAGCACTCCATTTGTGGCCTGAGGATTGCCCAGCCCCAGCCCATCATGGATGTTCCCTGCTTTTAGCATTGGGTGATCAGAGCACAAGCCCACACAGCCTAAGTTTGTTCCCCCACCCCCAAGGCATAGCACATATCCCAGAGTACTGGGGATTTCCCAAATCAATCCACCTCCTTGAGCATCTGAGCACTCCTCCTGAGAGCCTGAGGTTGAGCCTAAACTCCTAGCTGCTACCACCTCAGCTGGCACCTGCCTGCAAGTGCCAATTGCGGGCCTGGAGACTGGCCCAACCAGCCCATCTCAACCACCACCAACCTAAACACACTGTGCTCTGGACCCAGAGAATCGTCCTGCCACTGCTACTTCCATTGCTCATGCAATGCTGGCTGCCCAGGGCCTGAGAATTTGCTCACCTGCCTGGTCCACCACTGCCACAACCAGCATCTGAGCAAGCAATCTGGAAGCTTAACAATCAGCCTGCCAGTAACTGCTAATACAGGTGCAAGTAGACATTGCCCTGAGGCACAAAGATAGGAATGCTCAGCCCTGGATAAAGAGATCAATCCAGCAAGATGATATAATAATTCTAAATATATATGCACCCAACAATGGAGAACCCAGATTGATAAAGCAAATACAATCAGATCTAAAGAAAAAGACAGACCATAATATAATAATAGTCAGGGACTTCAACACCCCATACTCAGCCTTAGACAAACTGTCTAGACAGGAAATCGACAAAGAAACATTGGCTTTAAACTGGGCTTTAGACCAAATGGACCTAACAGAAATTTACAGAACATACTATCCAACAATTGCAGAATACACAGTCTTGTCATCAGCACATAAAATATTCTCCAGGATAAGTTATATTTTAGGCCACAAAACAAGTCTTAACAAATTATTTAAAAATTGAAATCATATCAAGTGTCTTCTCAGACCACAATGGACACAACATAACTGAAACATATATGATTAATATATGTTCATGGATTGGAGAAATTATTATCATTAAAATGACCATATTTCCCAAAGCAAACTACAGATTCAATGCAAATGGTAGCAACATACCGACATTATTTTTCACCGAATTAGACAAAAGCAATCCAAAATTCATATGGAACCAAAAATTGTTCTAAATAGCCAAAGTAACCACAAGCAAAAAGAACAAAACTGCAGGCATAACATTACCTGACTTCAAAACATGTTACAAACTATAGTAAGCAAAATAGCATGGTATTGGTGTATAAAATAGACACACCAACCAATGGAACAAAATGGAGAACCCAGAAAGAAAGCCACATATTTAGAGTCAACTGAACTTCAACAAAACTGACAAGAACTTTCACTGGGAAAAGGATGCCCAATTCAATAAATAGTGCTTGAGAATTTTGATAGCCAGATGCAGAAGATTGAAATTGGACTCATATCTTTTATCATATACCAAAAACCAGCTCCAAATTGATTAAAGACTTAAATATAAGACCCAAAATTATCAAATTACTAGAAGAAAACCCAGGGAAAACTCTCCTGTATGTTGATATAGGCAAATAATTTATTGCTAAGATCTTAAAAGCACAGAAAACAAAAACAGACAAATGGAACTATATTAAACTGAAAAGCCTGTACACAGCAAAGGAAATAAGCAACAGAATGAAGAGACAACCCGTTGAATGGGAAAAAAAAAATTGGCCAACTATTCATCCAACATGGGACTAATATCCAGAATAACCAAGGAACTCAAACACCTCAAGATGATGAAAATAAATAATCTCATTTAAAAGTAGGCAAAATACATAATAGACATTTCTCCAAAGGAAATACACAAATAGCCAACAGGTATATGAAAAACATGCTCAATATCACTATCATCAGACAAATGCACATCCAAAACACAGTAAGAACACCATCTTACCCTAGTCAGAATGGCTACTATTAAAAAGACAAAAATAAAAGTTGTTGGCGAGGATGTGGAGAAAAGGAAACTCTTATACACTGTTGGTGGAAATACAAACCATTACAACGACTATGGAAATCAGTATGGAGATTTCTCAAAAAACTAAAAATAGAATTACCATTCAGTCCAGCAATCCTACTGCTGAGTATCTACCCAAAGGAAAAGAAATCCGGATACCTACATTCCTATGTTCATTGCAGCATGATTCACACTAGCAAAGATGTGGAATTAATCTAAGAAGTGTTTATCAATGGATGAATGGATAAAGAAAATATACTATATACTATTCACAATAGCAAAGACATGGAATCAACCCAAATGCCCATCAATGATAGACTGGATAAAGAAAACGTGGTACATATACACCATAGAATACTATTCAGTCATAAAAAAAGGAAAAAGGTCATGTCTTTTGCATGATCATGCATTTTGCATGATCCATGACATGGTTGGAGCTGGAAACCATTATCCTCAGCAAACTGGAACAGAAAACCAAACACTGCATTTTCTCGCCTATAAGTGGGAGCTGAACAATGAGAATACATGGACACAGGGAGGGGAACAACACATGCTATGGCCTGTCAGGGCAGGGAGATGCGGAGGAAGGGAGAGCATCAGGATAAATAGCTAATGCATGTAGGCTTAATACCTAGGTGATGGGTTTATAGGCGCACCAAACCATCATGACACACATTTACCTATGTAGCAAACCTGCACATCCTGCACATGTATCCTGGAATTTAAAATTAAAAAAAAGAAAATGTGCTGTATATACACAATGGAATGCTATTCAGCCTTAAAAACATGAACTCATTTCATTTGCAGCAACATGAATGGAACTGGAGATCATTATCTTAAGTGAAATAAGCCACACATAAAAAGACAAATATCATGTGTTCTCATTTCTATGTGAGAGCCAAGAAATTTGATCACATTAGATAGTGGAAAGGTAGATAATAGAGACTAGGATAGGTGAATTGAAAGGAAGAAGGAGGATGAAGAGAAATGAGTCAAAGGGTACAGTAAGATAGAAGGATAAATTCAATATTTGATGGTAGAGTAGGGTGACTATACTTAAAAAAGTGTATTATACTCAGGTAACGAAGACTCAAAATACCCTGACTTGATCACTATGCTTTACATATGTGTAACAAAATTTCTCATGTACCCCATAAATTTGTATACATTTTTTAAAAATCAGTAAGGAAGAAGCAAGTCTTTTGTTTTTAAGTCCCATGAAAGTATATGTAGAAAATTATAAAGAATCTACCACTAAAATTACTATAATATTTATGTCATTTTAGCAAGGTAGCAGGATATAAACTAATATAAAAATCAATTATGTTTTCATATTTTACTGTTGAAAAATAAAAAATAGAATTCACAATAGCAACAAAAACCTATTACTAGAAATAAATCTAATGACAGATGTGCAAGACCTCTACAATGAAAACTAAAAACCATTGCTGAGAAAAATTAAGGCCTAAATAAATGGAAACATTTTCATATTTGTGAATTGGAAGACAACATTTTTAAGATGTCAATTATCCTCAAAATTATCTGTAGATTCCATGCAATCTTAAACATAATGCCACCATGCTTTTTTTGTAGAAATTGACTATCTGATTCCCTGAATATATATGGAATTTAAACAACTGACCTAGAATAGTGAAAGTAGTTAGAAAAATCACAACAAATTTGAAGAAATATACCACCTTATTTTTTTATTAATAATTTTTATTTCAGTAGTTTTGGGAGTAGAAGTGGTTTTTGGTTACATGGATGAATCATATAGTGGTGAAGTCTGAGATTTAAGTCCACCAGTCAACACAGTAGTGTACATTGCCCACAATGTGTAGTTCTTTATCCTTCATCCCCATCCCACCCTCCCCTTTCTGATACCACTTAATTTTGAGAATTACTGTAAAATTACATTACTCAGGACAGTATGGTACAGTATGGTACTGTTAATAGAGCAGAGTTCAGAAAAAGACTCACACTTATAACAGTTATTTAATTTTTGGAAAAGTCACTAATGCAATCCAATGTTGAAAGAAATGGCTTTTCAACAGTTTTCAGAAATACTGGCTCTCCATATGGAAAAATAATAGAACTCAACCCTCACCTTACATCATAAACAAAAATTAATTTGACATAGATCACTTATATAAATGTAGCATAACGCATGTTGTATATTTATACAATGAAACAAAACTTAATAATAAAAAGGAGAAAACTACTGAAACACAAAACAATATGGAAAATCATAAAAATATTATGCTTAATGAAACAAGCCTTACACAAATGAGTACCTACTGTGTGATTCCATTTACATGAAGGTCTAGAACAGGTAAAAGTAATCTACCATGGAAAAAAATCAGAACATTGCTTCTGATGAGGGTATGGGCACAATTTGACTGGGAATGAAGCACTAGGAAACTTTCTGGAGTAATTGCAATGTTCTACATTTTTATAGAGGTTAGAGTTATATTGCACATTCATTTGTTAACAATCTTCGAATATTACACTTAAGCTTTGTAGGGACTTGAGCTCATAGGTGCTGCTCGGCAACAGGGGGTCCAACTATAAAATCAATATACCATCCTGGCTAACATGATGAAACCCCTTCTCTACTAAAAATACAAAAAAATCATCCAGGTGTGGTGGCAGGCGCCTGTAATCCCAGCTACTTGGGAGGCTGAAGCAGGAGAATGGCGTGAGCTGGGGAGGTGGAGCTTGCAGGGAGCCGAGATCGCGCCACTGCACTCCAGCCGTGGCAACAGAGTGAGACTCCGTCTCAAAAAAAAAAAAAAGGAAAAAAGAAAAAATCAATATAATGTGTATACTGGTGCTATTGTACCTTTCTTCCTACATTTTGTGTTCTTCAAAGATTTCATTACAAAATGTTGGTAAAAATCAAACAAATAGAATATCTATTTATTTTGTCTGTTTGATTTTTACCAACATTTTGTAATGAAATCTTTGAAGTGCACAAAAGGAGGTCTTCAGAAGCGTAAAGATGTACTCTGCCTCTAAGGGAGAAAGGGTTTGAGATGGTAAGGTTTACTTCTGTCATTGCTTTATCTCATCAGTAGAAGTGTCTAAGCTGACTGAGAGAAACTTGGGTAGAGAGGATATGCAATCCACTTTTTCTTTCCAACTGAGATGATGATAATGAGCTTTCACTACATTCTAATTACTGATTTCTGCCTGGAGGAACATCTTGGCTTTTCCAATTAACAATAATTTAATATGTTATTGCTTATCCTTTGTTCTTTTTTCTTTGAGCTCATCCAATTACTGCATACTGCTTTTTTCTTAGCTCTAAACACTAGTTTTATTATTTTTCTTATGAGTTTTTTTAGATCTTGTCCTAATTATGAAATATTTCCAGTTGTACTTAAAATCATGGTTAAATGCTTTGTATTTTTGGCATGCATTAAAAGAGTGGATAAAATATCATCTGTTTGTTACTTGGGGAATAATGTAACATAAAATATTGTTTTGAATTTTTTAAACAAATCATTTTCATCTCTTTAAAAGATTATCAATACAAGGTATATGCAATTTAAGCTAAATTGCATCTTCTTTGCAAACCAGTGGCTTCGTAAATAATTTCTTTGTTGATTGAATAATCAGTCCGGGAGCCATTCTGTATTTTCCTTCTTTTACATATTGCGGATCTCAAACCATCTGAGAAGCACAGTGGTTTCACCATATTCCTGAAATATTTTAGAAGAAATCATTCACTGACGTAAAATTTCCCCAGATGACACTCTGTTTTTATTGAGTAATAACTATCTGGTAGGCATCATAATTAGTGTCTTCCAAACAGAGCTTGCAGTCTATACCTCATAATTTACTGTATTGCAATGTTTTACAGTTCCCAAATGTAACTACAAAACTTCTTGAAGGCAGAAACTTATATCATGCCTTTGTATGTCTCCATAGTGCCAAGCAAAAAGGTAGAGTCAGAGTAGGATTCCAAAAGTAAACTAACGGATATGTTGTAGTTGCATTTCTCCTTCAGTGCACTGGCTATATTTGTGCTAAATGGGAATACCTGAGGATAAAGTTCAGTAAAATTAATCTTTTTTAATCTAATTGTTCATCTACAATTACATTGAAATCATGCTTGGTCCCTCTGTGTGCTCACAGACAGACTGACTGATCTGCTGATGAGACAAAAAAAGAAAAAAGAATTGTAGAATAAACACGTTTCTAGTCTCTACTAAAAAAATTCTATAGCCCAAAGGCCAAAGTACAACTTTTTTGTTGTTGTTGTTGTTGAGATGGAGTCTCGCTCTGTTGCCCAGGCTGGAGTGCATTGGAATGATCTCGGCTCACTGCAACCTCTGCCTCCTGGGTTCAAGCGATTCTCCTGCCTCAGTCTCCCAAGTCAAAGTACAATTTTTAAGACTACTTTATTAGCAGAACTTATCAGCTTTATTTAACTAATTTCATTCAAGATTTTCTGGTCTAATAGAAGAAATGTAACCTCTGAACCATTTATTATAAGAGTACTATACTTTCAATCAGGTTGTATACTTTGAAAAAGGTTATAGATATTGGTATGTCTCAATTGCTTACCAACCCATACTCTCTTAAGAGACTGGGGCAGTTTCCCTCACTGCAATAAATCATATCCTTGTACAAATAAATTATTAGGAATGTGTCTGTGAGCATTCTCATTCCATTCAAGTTTGCTAAAAATCTTTTCAGTTGAATTGTGCTTATATAAGAGAATATGTTCTAAATGTTGATCTAATTTCAGCTGTAAAATATGTGGAATAGGCCACGGGTAGCAAAATAAATTCTGAACTTGCAACTGGAAGAACTGTTTCTAGGCCTGAGCATATCACTTATTAGTCAGATAATCTTGGGGGAGTCATTGTACCTCTCTAATGCTTTGACTTCCCCTGTAATGCTGCCTTCCTTCCTACCTCTCAGGGATGTGAGGATTTACATGCTTTGTAAGTGGTTGAACATGATGCAAATTTAAGGGATGATAGCCATAACTTAACCAAACAAATTTCTAGCTTTAGCTGTTCTTTTATGGCTTGAGCATAAATTTTCCTGGGGGAAATTCTAGTATATAAAAGAATGAAAGTTAAAGTCACAGTGGCTAATGTTTGCTTCTTGCATACAAACATTGTCCAGCTCTCTCTAAAAACGTACCTCTGCTTCCCTCTCTCTGACTTGAATACCTTATACTTCTAACTACTGCTCATGCCATGCAATTCCTCCTCATTTTTTTCAGGCCATTTAAAGTCTAGTTCCTTGATAATGTATCTACACCATGCTGATTTCTTCTTCACTGAACTTCTAGAGATTTTTTGATGGTTCAAATTATTTGATTAAGCCAGCTCCTCCAGCAAGCCTTCCCTGACCACTGCTACCAAGACTGGCTTATGGGCTCCTCCTTTGTGCTCCAGGAGGCCCTTGGGCATATGTCTCTTCCAGCGCCTGTCATACTTAAATGTTTTAAAGAGCATTACGAACTGCATCTGAAATAAAATTGAATTAAATCATATTGTGATCACTTACTTACTCAACAGGAAGCTTAAGAAATAATGACATAAATATATTAAAGCCTCCTAGGTACTTTTTTTGAATTCTGTTCCTCTCCATAACTTTCAGAAAAACCTACTGAATTGATGTACATTATTGCATGTAATTCGATATTATCTAACTACCCATAAGTCTAGAACTATAAAATATATAGTATTATTTGGCATGTTGTAAAAATTTTATCTGGAATTACACTGAAGTATCCTTCTGTGATATATACTTTTACTCAATGTTGTTTGTGAGATACCTCCATGTTGCATCCTTGAGTACAATACTCAGCTTTGAATATACTACAATGCATTCATCTATTCCTCTAACTGATGGTTTGACTTTTCAAAGAATATTTTAAGAGAACTGTACTATGAACATTCTTACCCTCGCTTTTTGCCATACATGTCTGTATAGAAGTGGAATCGTTGGGTCTTAAAGTTATGCACATGTTAAGCTTTAATAAATATTGCCAAATCATAAAAATTTACACTCCCAGCATCTTGTAGAAGATTTGTGCTTGCTCTACACACTCTTCAACACTTAATATAGTTATACTTTTAAAATCTGATGAATCTTTGTCCCACTCCAGATTTACTCTTCATTCTTTTCTGCCCTACTATGTGATCCAAAAGACTGAACTGTATGGAGGACAGCAAAGGATTACCTTGTCTTTGGCTTCTATTTGGGTTCCTATGGGAAGCAATAGAAGAATATTGAAAAAAGGGAAGAAAGCTATTCTCATTCTTCAGTCCCCACTCTGTGAATAATAGATTTTTTTCCCTTCAGTTTCCTTTCTGTGAAGTAACCACATCAGAGCCTGGAATACTTTCTTCATCATTTCTATTGAAGTGAACTTTTTCTTACTAATTTGTAGAAGTTCTTTACATATTCTGAGTACTAATCCTTTTGGGGGAGGATATATGCATTGTAAATATCTTCTCCCAATGTATGACACGTAAAAACATTACATGTTAAAATATTAAGATTTTTAAAAATTTTATAATGGTTCTATTTATCAAGTCAATCATTTTACAGTGTGTAATTTGTCTTCTTAAATAAATATTTTTGTACTCTAAAGTCATGGAGGTATTTTCTTAAATTTTCTTCTAGAAGATTAATGAAAATTTGACTTTTAATATTAGACTTTTAATCCACCGAGAATTTATACTTGTATACAGTGTGAAAAAGAAATCCACCTTTACTTAATTTTTAAGGCCATACTGCCTCTGGAGGCTCTAGAGGAGACTCCTTTCTTGTATTTTCCAGCTTCTGGAGGCCACCTGTACTATGTGCATTCCTTGGCTCATGACTCCTTCCTCCATGTTCGAAGCCCACAGCATAGCAACTTCGAACCGTTCTCTGCTGAGGTTGTCACATCTTCTCTATTCTGTGGAAGAATCTCTTACTCCCTATTATAAAGGTACTCATAATTACATTTAAGGCCCACATGGTTAATCCATGCTAATCATCTCATCTCAAGATCTTTAATTTAATCACAACTGCAAAGCCCCCATTACAATAAAATATAACATGCACAGGTTCCAGGGATTAGGACCTGGATGTATTTGGGGGGCCATTATTCAGTCTACCACATGCTACATTAGATACGTGAGCTTCTTGAGGGCCTATGGTCTTATCAGGCTCAAAATCTCTAGTGCATCACATATAGCAAATGTTAAGCAATGTTAAGCTAGTGAATGAATACAATTTTGTTTCATTTCCATGGTATTATTATAAATTCCTTCAAGGAAGACTTTGCATCTTTAGCTTTTTATATACCTTACAGTTACTCTACAACAACATAGATCCCTAGTAAACTCAATACACTTGAGGTAATATGGTAAAGTATAAAAAGATCAAGAGTCCAGTCCTGGTTGTGTCACTTATTAACAACTAATTTTAGGGCAAATTTATTTTTGCTTATCTAGGAGTATCTTTGTTCATTGATAAAATGGAGAAGAGAGAGTAAGCCTAATTGGTAAGAACCCAATCTTCTCATTCCTGATTCATACAGGGCATTTCTGTTTTTATCTGTTTTATGTAACTACTGAGCTTTTTAATACAAAATTTCATTGGTAAAAACAAAGGGTTCTGCTTCTTTAAAAACTTCCGAAAATTATTGTTCTCATCACAGCCCACCACGGGGATCCTGAAGCACAGAGAGGTACATGGCTTTGCCTCTTTTTTTTTTTTTTCTTTTTTTTTTTTTATTATACTTTTAAGTTTTAGGGTACATGTGCACATTGTGCAGGTTAGTTACATATGTATACATGTGCCATGCTGGTGCGCTGCACCCACTAACTCGTCGTCTAGCATTAGGTATATCTCCTGATGCTATCCCTCCCCTCTCCCACCACCCCACAACAGTCCCCAGAGTGTGATATTCCCCTTCCTGTGTCCATGTGATCTCATTGTTCAGTTCCCACCTATGAGTGAGAATATGCGGTGTTTGGTTTTTTGTTCTTGCGATAGTTTACTGAGAATGATGATTTCCAATTTCATCCATGTCCCTACAAAGGACATGAACTCATCATTTTTTATGGCTGCATAGTATTCCATGGTGTATATGTGCCACATTTTCTTAATCCAGTCTATCATTGTTGGACATTTGGGTTGGTTCCAAGTCTTTGCTATTGTGAATAGTGCCTCTTAAATTTGCTTTCTGAAACCATTGCCTTGAAACCATTCTGTTGAAACCAGTACCTTAAAACCATTGTGTTAAAAAGGCTACTAGGACCATGTCTGTCTTTATCCTGGGGGTTGCCAATATTTCCTCTTGTCCCCACTCAAAGGACAACTGGAGAAGTTCTGAGACACCATGTAAATATATTATTATCAGTGACACATTTCCTATAGGCAGACTGAGATCCAAATCTGCAGCACAGTTTCAGAAATGCAATACTGCAGCAATCATTTAGGGAGGAAGGACATAGCAGCACTAGTCAATCAGTAGGTTAGGCAACTTACTGTATGCAGTGTGGTAAGGTGTACAAAATGCTCCTTGAAAGCAGGAATGGTGTCTTATTTATATTTCTATGCACACATTTATGTTTCATAAATGACACAATATCTTCCCCAAAGGAACTTATATCTCAGTATATTATGTCATATGCACAACTTTAATCTATTTTCATCAGTAAGACAGCAAAGCTGATTAGACTGACTGTGGGCCAATATTTGCAGTCACTCAGATATGACTTACATTGTTTCTCTCTAAACTTCATCTTACGGCTCCTAGAGCTCACTGTCATAAATCCAGGAAATGGTCAAAAAATTACCGATGAAGAAGATCTTAGCTTTTCTTGCATGTACTCTCACAGCTTTTCTGAAAAATAAACTTAAAATCACAGCTTCACTTTGTCACATGAAAAATAATCATGTTTATGTATTCTGATCACTATCTGTGTGACCTTAAGTAGTCCCTTCCTAACCCAGTGAGTTATTTTTACCATATAAAATGTGAAGACTCAGACTAAATAATCCCCAAATTCCTCTTCAGATTCAGAGGTCTATGATCTATGGTTACGTGAATAAATATATCACTTTAACCCACTGAATTAGTTTTCTTAGGTGTCTTTACTATTAAATGACTATTTATTAAATGCTTGCCAGGTACAAATACTTCACTCAGAAAGAGTAAAAAAGGAGAATAAAAAATGTTGATTCTGTTACTGATAAACAATAATATTCATTGGCACAAACTGTGACTTCTGGAAATTTTTTTAACTCCACCAAGAGTAACCATGGCAACATAGATTAAATTGACTATTGCCCTGTAGTAAAGTATGAAAGTCTTAAATTCTTCCCTTGAAGCAACAATATGGAAGTAAGAAATGTGTCTCTTATTTCTGAAGCTGAATTAGTTGAAATAAATGCAGTAAGCTGAGTAATTTCAATGGACTTTTCAGAAATTCTGTGACAGATCATTTAAGGGTTGAAGAGCAATCTAACTGCTACAAACAAAATAAGATTACCATTTATTAATGTCCCATTCTGTCCACACAACTTAAAACCAATAGTCTGGGTTCTTGAGGAATGTGATAATGAAATATTAATATTGTAATTTTTGTTATGAAAGAGAAGTCTGGTCAATTTTCTAAATGATTAAAATCAGGAAATAATTTTTTAAATTGCATCAATATTATAAGAAAAGTTGGATGAAAAAGATCACATGACATGTGGAAAAGATGAAAAATAAACCAGTGCATCATGAAACATAATTTTTAAAAGCTTGAATAATTTAGAAATACCACTCAAGTAAATCACTTGGGTATTTTATCTTAATTCATGGTTATGTTATAGTGACCCATTTTTTCACTACAAGATATATATTGACAGTATTTGTCAACATGTTAAATTGCTTCCCAGATAAAGACAATTGAATATTTTTTAGTTCCTCAATATGACATGTTAGGAGCAATGCCCACACATGTCGTGTCCCTAATCTTTCTTTAGCTACTCTCACTTTCAGCTCCAGTTTTATCAAGAAGATCCAAGGAGATAGAAGTCATCTTCTTTGAGTTCACTCAGAGTCTTTCCTTTCCATGTCTGAAGTCCTTTCTCTGTGCTCTCATTCTCTAATTTTCCTTTTGTATTGTAGAGAAAGAAATGTCTCCCATGGTTTTAAATCTAAAAAATTCATTCCTACTACTCCTTTAATCCCATTACTCTCCTCTGGTTCTTTCTCTCAAGCATATTCATCTCTATTTTTTTTATCCACTTTCTTTACTTCCATTTCTAGTATCTACCTTTCAATCTAGGATCCAAATCAAACACTACCAACTTCTGGGTGGATATTTTTAGGCAAATATTCCTTAGAGTCCTTAAATTTAGTGTTTTTTAAAAATAAAACTCACTATTGCCTTCTAAACTCCTATCCAACATGCTGCCTCTCTTGATTCCTCATTTTGTGTAATAGTACTACCCAGTTACTCTGTATCCTCTTGTACCACATTTTGAACCATTCTCCCTGTAATCCTCTATATCCAGGTAGTCATCAAGCTCTATTGATTGTAAGACTACAATATTGATGACATCTGTCCTCTGCTTTGTGGTCAAGTTAACCTAATTCAAGTCTTCATTCTTTCTTTCCTAAGATTACTACCAAAGTCTCCTAAGTCATCTTTTTCTATTCTCATGCCCCTTCATTCCATCCTTCATACCACCACTAAAGTCTCTTAATATATAGCTCTAATCGTGTCATGAATCTGTTCAAACACCTTTACTAAATCCACAGTATAAAACATAAACTAGTTAACATGTTATTCCATATCCTCAGCAATGTGGGATGATGTTCCTATAAAATTTGCTTCTTAGATATACTTAACTGCTTTCTTTTCTAGACATGATCCTAGTACATTTCAGTCTTTGCAGACCTTGCCTTCGGTATTGGCAATCTTGTTCTCATGTATCTTTACCAAAATTCAAGGTTAGTTCAACTTTCAACTCTTCTGTGAAGACTTTTATCTCTTTGTTTGAAATCAGTCTTTCCTGTTCTGTTTCTCCTTCACTCTCTACTTGTTCTTATCATGCTTTCCTTATAGCTGTTATATTCCTACAAATTCTGACATAATATAGGCACTTGTATGTTTGAAGTGAATTGAATCAATACATAATTGGTATGATACATTGATTATGGTTGTGGTAATAGTATTATATTCTGCCATATGAAATAACTGTTTTTCTTGGCAATAAATGACTGAATTTAAGTGATTTTCCATAATTTAACCAAACACTTTATTTTTTTCTACTTATTTTTTTTTAGAAAAGAATTTTTACAGTACAGCTAGACCATAATTTAGCTAGTTTGAGGGCCATGGTTCTGCTAGTTAGAATAGAGGATGTCAGTTAGACATTCTTATTTGTATTCCCAACTTTTTAGCAGTCTCGTTTTATTCCCTAGATCACGTCACCTAAATAACAGCACTAAGATCATATACGATCAAAGCTAACAACTAGGCACAGTGCATCACTGAAGAAATGTTGGCACACATATTTGATGGAAAACAGTCATATGGGCCAAAACCAGTATGATCAAACATCCCAATTCAATGGAAAAGTGCAATTTTGGTTTAGCTGATCTGGTTCCACTGAGAGAATATGACTACATTCTTGCTGCACTTTACAAATGAACTGAATTCTGATTTTCTTCTTTAAATTCATGAAGTCCTGATGGTAGGAACTTCTAAAAAATTTTCACACATGCAAATGAAATGCACTTATGACCTCCCTATAATTTACTTCACGGCATTGAGTCCACAGAGGCAAATGATTTTCTGGAAATAGGTGGCTTACATCAGGATGGAGATCAGTACATTTGAGTTACACCTTGCATTTTCTCAACTACCAAATATGCTCTTTTGGAATCAAAAATACACTGGAAAGTATATAATTTTATTGTCCTATATTTAATTTTTATTATCTAAGTCAACTAATCTTCCCAAAAGTCATAATCCATTTTTAACTGTGCCTCAGATATTGTACTGTTCCGGTAATTATATACCAGGTATTATACCAGAATGATAGCATATTATGAGAAGGGTAGAATGATTTTTTATATTTGAATGGCCAATGTACAATTAATTCTACGTAAATATTCAATAAATAGTAATTTGTAAATACATCATCAAGTAATTTTTAAGTAATACATCATTTGACAAAATCAAGCATTTTCGTTCATTCCTCTGTTAAATACTGAAAGGAAGGAAATTGACACTTTGTCAACTGGGATTCTAAAATGCTTTCCAGGTTCAACCTATGTATCTGAGCCAGGGTGAAATCCTAAAAAATCTCTCTTTTCCCACCCATTGCCAAAGGTGCAGGTGCCCTAAAAAGAAGCTCAGTAATTTTTTCTAAGTTCTACTTCAATTTTCCATCATCTGTCTTGCTCTGGCCGTATATTGCAGATCTCTATCCTACTTCATCATTTGTGGATGATGCTCTTTGGCCTCAGTCTTTTGTTTGGAATTCTTGAACTCAGTTTTTTTTTTTTCTCTGGATACTATCACTCAACACTCTGAAGACCGGGGGCAGATCACTACTACACCCTTTGGATTGCAGCCTAGGTACCCCAGGCCTCAGCTTGTTCAAGCAAAGAGTTCAGACACTTGGTCTGATCTAATATTGGCCATATTGTGAAGTCAAGACCAAATTCTCATGCCAAATGTTCTTGAAAGTTTTCAAAAGCCAGGAATTGGGACAAATGCATTTTGGTAACTCGATTAAATGTGTTAAAAAAAAAAGAGATCGGGGTGGGCACGCAGGAGCAGCAGTTCAACAAAGTGATTTGGAGTCAGTGGGGGTAAGTTTGAGTCTCTGCTCAGGCACATACTGGCTGATGACACTAGACAGGCTACTTAATTTCTATGGGCTTTCACTCCTCGTGTATAAAATAGGATAACACCTTTTTTGCCAATTTCTGAGGGTTGCTGTAAGAACTGAGCAAGGTAACCAACCAAAACACTTTTCATGAAAAGCAGTATCATCCTTATTGAAACCAAAAGGACAAACAAGGTAACATTTTGAAAGGAATAAAACCTTTGACACTTTACCAAGTAGGTAACAAAATAATAGCCTAAAATATAAAGGTAGCCCAGCAAATATTATTTTCCTGCAGCTCCTGGAGCCTCCTAGCAGAGTTAATTGTTCAGCTAACTGGCCGTTGCCATTTTTTACTTACAATTTTGCCCATACCACACCATCAATCTTATTTCTTACATGCAGAAATAGCTGCCTTTATACATCACCTCTTCTTTCCAATATCCAGACTAATACACCACAGTGACATGAATAATAGCCAATCTGCCACAGCGTGCGCTACACCTCATAACATGATTCATTGATGCAGTTTTGGTAGTGCAATTCTTCTTGATTAGAAGTTCTGGAGGTCTATGGTTTCCCTCTATATTAACTTTGAACATGTCCTGTCTAAGACACAGTGGCTTTGGACTGAAGAATGCTATATTTTGAGGCCCAAGAACTCTATTGTTCAGTACAGAACTATAGTTTGCAAACTAATTCATTTTCTCAGTTTTCATGCCCTTGTTTACATAAGAAATAACTGTCACACTACAATTTATATTATGATTGGGTTTACAAAGTTTTCCATTGCTTTTGCTTAATTTCCTTTTTATAAAGAGCAAGGCTGAGTTAGCAAAGCTACCACCAAAAGCCTTTTAATTGAATGAGCAGTCTATAAAGTTATCAATGGCCATGATGAGGGCAATCCCATCTATGGCTTGTCGGCTTACTTGTAACTTAAAATAACTTCCCAGCACTTTCTGAGAGATTCGTTCTTCAAAACTGTGAGATATTCTCTTTGTTCTTAGATATCAACCCTATTTATATCTCTATACCTGTAAAGTCATGTATCTGTAGAAGAGTCAGCTCTCTATTTTTAGCTGTGCTAATGGCCAATTTTCAAACAAATAGAACAACTTGACCAAACAGTGACCTGAAACAGCATGTTAAGACAGATGACATGTAGACCTGCTGCTATAATCCAAAATATTGGCTATTAAAAGCTATATATGGCAACAGTTAAATCCAGGGCTGTTTAAAGATGACAACCACAGTACAACTTTGGTAGAGTTATTTTCAGCTCAGTTTCATATAGACGCTAAATTCATGCTATGGGACAATGCAACAAGCCCTTTTATGGGCTGAGGTTGACATTTCAACTGACTGATACATATTTCTTGAGCCCTTGCCAAATGTCCAAGGCTGTCAAAATGACTGAATTGTTTGATTGTGTTAGAAGGCAAAAACAGAGTTTTAAGGCAAAGATCAAATTTATGAAGTGAAAAACTAAAAGCTAAAATAAAAATGCCTGTACCAGGGCCTGTGATGAGATACCTTAAAAATTCCTCAAACAGAGAACCAGAAGAGCAGGCTGGGGGACAGCCACAGCAAGGGACAGAAAGAGCAATGGTATACACAGCCTCAGAATGGGACTGTGGAGATGAGGGCAGACCTCCAGTCATTCTGAGAGAACACTGGATGACTCTAGTCTCTTTGACATACAGGCAAACTAGTCAATTGGTAAATATTAACCATGTGTACACACTTTTCTAGGTATTGTAAGAGAGGGATGCAAAGAAACATACTATGGTCTCCATCCTTTAGTTGTTTATAGTCTAGTTAGAGAATGAAGATATCTATGCATAACCATTCTGCCTTAAAAGTTCGAATTGTGTGCCAAATGAATGGCATGGTTTATAAAGGTTATGGAAGTTTATAGTTCTCCATCTGTTTGGACCAACTTCTGCCTTCCTTACCTGACTTCTTAAGCTAGGGCAGGTTATTTCATTATAGGCCGTCCTAGAACCTCCCCTCTTCTTCCTAGTCCTTTTTCCGGTCTGTAACTCTCTGTGATTGCATTATTTCTAGCCACCTCCCCATATAACCTGTAATCAGGTCATGAAAGACCAAGGCCATTTTTCTGTTTGCCACTGTATCTCCAACACCTTGCACAGTTCTTAGCTTCTCTCTCATGTACTTAATTTAATATATTTTCTAATATTATTTTTAATTAACTTTAATTAGGTATGATTTACTTGCAATCAACCAAATTTATTTAAAATGTTCAAGCTTCGATAGATGCATAGAGCCATGGAACCACCACCAACAACAAGATACGGAACATTTCCATCTCCCCTAAAAGTTCTCTTGAGCACCTTTACAATCCATCACTACCTCTGATACTGGCCCCAGAAAATCACAAATGCATTTGTCACTATAACTTATTCTGCATTTTCTAGAATTTCATAGAAATTCTTATTCTGCATTTTCTAGAATTTCATGGAATTACACAGTTTGTATCATTGTGTCTAGCTTCTTTTACTCAGTCTAAGGATTTTGAGATTTCTTCATGTTATTGTCTACCCACAATATTTTTTTTGCATCCTCCAACGGCATTTTCTGACAAAGAGTGTATTTCCATTTTACTATCATATTTTCTTACATATCATTTCATTTTACCACAAAAAAAAATGTGTTTCAACTGGTGTGATATTTTCTAATCTTATAGTAGTAAGTAAGAATCCTCAGATGAGGCTTTAATACTTTTATCATTTTAAATGAACATATATAATGTATTGAAATGGGTATTACATTATTTTAAACATTTTAAAACTCTGGAGTTAACTTTTTTCTTCTTTTATTGTCCTTTTAACTGAATCCTTTTCAGATGTGTAGTCATGATTTTTCCCTTGTAATACAGCTGATTTGTAACAGGAGTAGGAAATATGTCAGATATGGCGTTTACTTGTCATTAATTTGTGCTTTTGTTATTTGTTTTAGTCTCAAAGCTAAGTGTCTTCAAAGGAATATTTTTAAGTTACTTGTCAATTTTGTAAAGGTTTGTTTATTTCAGGCTAGATTTTCAAAAATCCACAAATCAACTAGGCTCACAGAAACCATAAATAGTTGTAATCAGCGGAAACTGAGAGGATGAGTGAGGATACCACAACAAAGGGATTTGTCCACTCTTTCCTCAGGACACTTGGCCTCCCTTATGCAATAGGTGGTCATATAAATACCAAGTGGGGGTGCCAGCGCATATTTACATACTCAAAACTAGTAGAACTAGTAGAGACTCTTTTCTTTTTTACTTTTTTGAGCTAAAATTTAGAAATAGAATATACCCCACTTTGGAGACCATTGCTAGGCAAAGGAGAAGTATTGAGAATCTTTAAGCTGAGAAGTGACCTGACAAAAAAAAGGAAGTTTTAATTATATTAACCAGGTGATACTACACACACTGTGTTGCAGGG
Organism: Homo sapiens; assembly: GCF_000001405.40. Taxonomy (NCBI): domain Eukaryota; kingdom Metazoa; phylum Chordata; class Mammalia; order Primates; family Hominidae; genus Homo; species Homo sapiens. The sequence goes on from NC_000023.11 coordinate 138,552,613, forward strand.
ATTAGAGACTACAGGTAGAGGGAATAATCAGAGGTTGTGTTTGTTTTTATTTCCATTTATTTTTAATTAGTATTTTAAGTACTATACACTCAAAAGATTTAAAGGAATAAAGGGTATATAAAGTCTTCTTCCCCTTCTTATCCTTCAGCCCAAGTCTTCAGAGTTAACTACTATTAAGAGTTTATTGTGCATCCTTCTGGATAGTTTCTAAGTACATATACCATATAGATGTATGCCCATCCTTGTCTATTTGCATAAACGTGGTTAACTGTTCACACTGTGCTGAATACTGCTTTTTCATTTAACGATATCTACCTTGAACATCTTTCCACATATATAGGTAGAGAACAACCTTATTCCTTGTCAGTGCTACTGAGATATGTTATAATTTGTTAGCCAGTCCCCTTAAAAATTTTGATCCTTGTTAGAAACACAGTAGTGAACATATATGTACATGTGTCTTGTGTAGGATTATCTTTAGAAGCAAAATTTCCTGGATAGAAGTATATTATCAGTCTCTATTGCTGCATAACAAATTGTCCTGTAAAACAACAGTCATTTACTTGTGCATAAGTTTGTGGGTTGGCAATTGGAGGAGGGTTTCTTTGACATGGTTTATCTCTGCTCCACATGATGACAGTCGGACCCACTTAGGCATTTTCAGTTTGTTGGTGGGTTGTCTGGGAGCTTGCTATTCTTAGATGGCCTCTCTCACCTCTCATGGGCTCCAACTCTGAGTGCTGCTAGAGCTGACATGGCTGGGCCTCTTTTTCTCTCCACATGGTCATTCTCTCTACGTGACATCTCATTCTCTCAGAGGTTAGCCCAGACTTGTTTACAAGGCTTTTGTGACCCAGGTGAGTGAGATCAGAAGCTGCAAAGCTTCTTCTAGACTTGGAAGTCATACACTGTCAATTTTGTCACATTCTATTGGTCAAAGAAAATCCATAGCATCCAAGACTCAAGGAGTAGAAAAATAAGCCACTTCTTGGTGGAAGTTGAGACAAAGTAACACTGCAAAGATATGTGTACAGAGATGGGAGAATATTTTCTGGCCATATTTGTAAACTATCCTCAACAAAGAATGTGTGCAAGATCTTTCCAATGAGGGGACTATTGTGATATTCAGGTAACTGCAGGTTAATAACCCAAGAATGATATAAGACACATTGTAAAGGAAGAGCCAAAAGAACTTGTTAACTGATTAGTTGTGAGATGATAGACAAGAATTTAAAAATTTTGATGTTCAAAACTAGACTTCATCCGTCAAGTTTAGAATTTAGGACTGGAAGAAATCTGCTCCAACCCTGACTAATGCTCAGATTCCCTCTACAAACTCATTCCTAATATGCTTGAGCACCTCCAGTAATAAGGACATCTCTACCCTTGTGACAATAAATTTTTTGAACGTTCTGCTACATGGGTCTTTCCTGAATCAGACCAAACTTTGGCTCCCTGAAACTTCAACTGCTCAGTCCTGCTTCCAATCTGTAAGCTCCAGAGAATGATTCCATTTCTCCTTTGACATAAGGCCTTCAACAGCTGAAGACAATTATCAAGCGCTGTCCTTCCTTAGTAACTTTTTCTCTAAACATCTCCAGTATTTTGATCTGTTCCCATATCTCATCTCTTCCAGAATATTCTTTTGCTATATGTATAGCAGTATGTGGATATGCTCATGTTTGCCAATCTCTCTCTCTTCCTCAATATATAATGTCCAGAATGAAACACAGTACAGAAGCATTGCCTAATATACAGCAAATGAGCGTGATTAGTTTTTCCCCTTGTTCAATTTAATGTTTAAAATTTTTTAAATTTTAATTATTATGGACACATAATAGTTGTACATATTGATTCAATTTTGATTAATGCAAACCAATACTACCCTAGCTTTTCTGGAATCTGCATGTTATATTTTATCCATTTCTACTTTCAATACATGAGCAACCTTTTTTTTTATCAGATATACTTCTTTTCACGATGTTACAAGAAACCGTTGAAAAATCATGTCCTTCCAAGCCAGGAGCTTTTTGCCATTCTCCACAGGACAGCCCTTCATCTGTTAAAAAAATCAGCTTAATACACTGCTGTTCATATTCCTAGAGAGTAGTATCACAAGTACTGGGGCAATCTATCCTCAAATGACAATTTATGTATTGCATGCTTTGTGAGGGAAGGGAACAAAACATGAGATACTCTACAAAAATGTTATATCTGGCTTTTTGTCCTAAGACACTATGTATGTTAGTTACCTTGTAATTTTTTAAGTACAGGGGAAGCCCATTTCTCAGTGTTCCAAAAAAGAAAGAAAAACTTGTAATAAGGCATTAAAACTGTCAATCATCTCGGTTATAGAAGAGGTCACTGCAGTTTCCCCTAAGAAGCAATTATCAGGTGAGCTTAGCTTTCCGGAGAAGGTGGAGGAGTGAGGTTTATACTTTTCAGATTTTTAAAACATAAGAAAGAAAGGTTAGCAGCATAGGGTTTAAAACTCATTACAAGTAAACACAAATTGTTCCTTAATATTATCTTTAGTAGAAGAGGGCCTTTGTTAAAGAAAAAATCTTTTGACTTCCTTTGTGAGTCTAAATTTTTCACCAAATTGCCTTATAAAAATAATCAATTAATACATTTAGGACCTAGAAAGGAAAAATGTCCTTTGATATTTGGTTAAGGATTCCCCTAACATAAGGTAGTATTTCCCTAAATTATATTTGCAGAACTGTTTTTTTCAACACAAATATAAAACTTTGTATTTATTTATATCAGTCAAGGTACATATGTTAGATTGAGACTGAGTCTACCTTGAAGAAATCTTTAAGGTTCCTGATTATGTCTTAACAATATAGTCACTGTCCCTACTAAATTATTTTCATAAGCAGATTTTATATGCATGCTATGAATGTCCTCGCCCAAGTCATTAAAAAATTGCTGAACAGGGCAATCCCAAGTATCCAGCTCTGCAGCATGTCACTAGAAAATTCTCTTCAGGTTTTCGGTGAGCCATAATCAGAACCGTTTTGGCTGCAGCAAATCAGCTGGTGCTGAATCCACCAAGTTCTCCTGGACATCTAGCCCATGCTTCTCTAACTCATCCAAGAGGACATCATGAGAAATACTAATATCTGCTTTCTTGATGCCTTCTTATCTTTTCCTCTTGGAATTCACAAACTCATCAAGGTTAAAGTTTATTTAAACTTTATAAGAAAATGTTTTCTAATGCTGAGGTATTTTTTAATGTCCATAAGGTTCTTTAATTAAAAAATGCCAAATTCATCTATACAACAAATAAAGCAAAATAGCCCAATGCATTCTATTCTTAGCTCAATCTGCCAGAGCACATTTGCATAATATCACAATGTACTGATTTCAGCTGTTTGTTATATCAGTACCAAATGGAGCAAGGCCAGGAAACAGAGCGGAAGTGGCTATAGATATTACCGTACTGCTTTTCATTAATAAGAAGCTTAAAAACTGGCCTTCAAAAAATAACACTTGTCAGAACCTCAAATTGGTGCTGTCTAAGGAGTATTGATTGATCTTGACTAGCCAGGAAATTACAAAGAGGAGAGTCATAGTGCAACAATTCATCTTTGTCAATAAAAGAATCTCTGTTTCCACTGGAAACCATCTCTCTCCTGGTTCATGGGATGCAAACTTAAAGAACTGTACGTTTCTGTAGGAGCTTTCATGCGTTGTCTTGGAAAGTCCTTCAATTGTAATAATTATGTGTGCTTACACTTGTCACCTTGAATCACTTTTAGTCACATTCTCTTACCAAGCAAAGTGCCACAGAAGTGAAATGTTGACCCAACATACCAAGGAATTTATTAGCATGGTAGCATTGAAAATGGGGAACATTTATCACTTACTTCAATGCAAACTACAAGTTACATTCAGTTATGTTGTCTGGATAGTAATTTTTTCACTAGAATGTAAATGCCATGAGAGCAGGAACATTATTTTGCTCAATGCCATGTCCCTGGCAATGAGATGAGTACCTGACCCATACAAGACAGTCAATAAATATTAATGAGACTGATAAATAAATTAATGAACAGCTAATACATATCCATAGAATTACTACTATGGAACAAATATTAAATGCTTACTACGCCTCAGACACTGAACTAGGTTCTAATGGTATAGCTATGGAGAAGACAGAATGTGCCCTCTTGTTGATTATAACCCAGTGGCAGGTAGCCAGAAGTAAAAGATTGGTTCTCTGCTCTTGGGAGTTAGCTATGTTAAAATTGAGTTGGAAGGGCAAGAAACAGACACACAAAAAGTTAAATAAGGAGACTTTAATATATATAATACAAAGGCTATCATCCTTTTTATATGTATAGCTCATAAGGCTTACAGAGTCCATCTGCAATTAAGTTCATGTCTAGGCTTTTTGTTTTGTTTTATGAAGGCTTAGCTGCCCTTACCACAAACACTTAATCTTATCATTTCCTTCCTCCCTCTAACTATTTTATTTTCACGTATCATTTTTTTCTTTCCTGTATACTATAAACCCCCAACCAAATAGGAAACAAAATAAAGTGTGATACATCTTGTTTACTTTAAAACATCTCAACCTTTCTGCCTACACCACCAAAAGCAATCATACTTCAAAGTCTGTTGGCTGTATCATCACAGCACTTTTAATTTAGATGTAGTTACATTTGCATAACAGTTTAGCTGTGAATTTGGCAGGAAATTTCTGAAGAGTTATTTTGGTTTTACAGAAAGTATGCCCAATGTCTAATAAGCAGATCTCCTGTGCAGTGTTGCATTTTTATCTTTACGAAAAAAAAAAAGACCCGGAGGCTCATACCTTGGCAAAACCTTTTTTCCTAACAAATAATACAATTAGCAATATTGCTTTTCTCAAGGGTGATAATGTAGTAAAGCTTGTTAAATTTCTGAAACCATAGTAACACTACAGGATAAACTCAATGAAAATGATATTTAATATTTGGTTTACTTTTTCTGAGTATAAAATAAATGCATATTCATATCATATTTTTGGAAGATGCAGAGAAATATAGAAAGGATAAAAATTACCCATAATCTTATCACCTGAAGCCTACTACTTTAATATGTTAGAATAAACCATTCTAGTTATTTTTTTCCTATGTGTGTACTTGTGCATATTTAAGAAACTTAGAAGTATACTCTATTGGCCAAGGATAGAAAGTAAGTGTTATCTAAAGTGGCCTTCCGGTTGCTTAATAGAGACTACTAACATATTGAAGAGGCTTCTTAGATAAAGATACCATGAAGAATTAGTAAAGGCTGCCTTTTTTCTTTCATTCTTTCTTCTTTACATTCTTTCTTTCTTTTCACTTTATATTACAGAAAATTTCAAACATAAATTAAGGAAAATAATATAATGAAACCCCATGTACCTAATCACCCAGCTTCAACAACTGTCAATGTTCTGTCATTATTGTTCCATCTATATCTCCACTCAGTCCTCACACTACTTGATTATTACATTTGTACACTTCTTTTTTAGGTAAAATTTGCATACATTAATATACACACGTTTTAACTGCACAATTTTGAAAACAAATCACACCCATTTCCAGATAATTCCGTGTGTCTCTCCACAGTCAATCCTGCCCTCATCCACCTTGGAGGTACCCAGAATTCTACATCTTCTAGAACTTCACCTACATATACATGTACAGCATGTACTCTTGGCTTCTTCACCCAGCACAGTGCCTAGGAGATTAATCCATGTTATTGTGCGTATCAGTAGTTCAATCTGTTTTATTGCTGAGTAATAGTCCATTGTATGAACATACCGTGGTTTGTTCATCCATTTTTCTGTTGATGAACACCTGAAGTATTTCCAGTTTTGGCAATTATGAATAACAATGCTATAAAATTCTGGTGCACTAATTCACATGTATGGGTGTAGATATATTTTTGTTTTTCTTGAATAAATACCTAGAAGAGGAATGGTTGCGCCATAGGGTAAGTGTATGTTTATTTTTGTAAGAAACTACCAAACATTTACCAAAGTGGACGTGCCATTTTCCACTCAACCAACAATGAATGAGAGTTCCTTTTGCTCCATATCTTCATCTACATTAGGTGCTATCAGCCATTCCTGTGGGTATATTGGCTTCACATTGTGGTCCAGTTATTAGGATGACCAGCTTCCTCACATGTACGTTTCTAGACCAAAGCCTGACCAGGGCCCAGTGGACACCAATGGCATCCCAATATCTAGAGAATCACAAGGTTATTCCTTTACCAGTCCCAATAACAGGCTGGGTCACAGAGTTATAGTGTCCAGGAATGAGCACTTGTTATAGGTGTCTTGAGAGGCTCAGGCCTGTTGGACAATCAAACTGGGCCAATCATAGCAAAACGCAGCAAATACCATGTTTTCGAAGAGAAGGCAAAGGAGCTCCTATAGGTGTAGAAATCAGACTTTCTCCTACTCCATAAGAGCCAAGCAGCAGTTCCTCTTGAGCTGTGTGCACTGCCTTTTGTGGAAGAATCACTGCCCAAGACCTGAACTTGTTCACTACTTTCAAATACTTGGTGGCAACATCCTGGAGCTGATGGGCAACAAGGTCCACAAAAACTATAGGATGCACATCACCCCAAAATATGTGGAAAGAGTAGTGGACAACAATCCATTGCTCAGCCACCTCTTTGAAGGTGACACAAATTCAGGCTGATGAACTATTTTGATCCAGAAAGAACAGCTGTTGTCTGGATCCCAGAACCTGAAGGGAGTCCACACAGCCTCATTTAGCTCTCAAACTTTAACCAGCTGAAGGGCCCCTAGGATACTGCCATCAGCAAATGCTAATAAAGAATCTAAATCCATGGGCATGCTTCTGGCTCCTCTCAATTTCAGACATTCTGAGCTGAAAGTATTTGTGAGACATCCAAGAGGAGAAATCCCATATAAAATTGAAGGGATAGAAACTGTGGTCAGTGTCAGGTGTTTGAGTCAGTGATTTTAGAGAGGAGCAGTTTCTAATGATGAGAGTGCAGAGCTCATTAGCTCTATGAAAGGCCTTATGAGATCAGGAAGTTGTCCGGGGTCCTCCTAGGCATGTTGAGTTCTCACATGATGATTGTAGTTGGGGTGAGCTGAAGACCGTGGCTGAGATGCAGAAGGCTACATTCGTGATAGGGAATGCCTAAAGGTTGGAGGTGAGAAGGTTGCATAATGGTTGGCATAAAATTAATGGAGTTTTAAGGTGAAGATTTAGGCATGATGGAGAAAATATTAAATAAATATACAAAAAAGAATTATATTAATGTTGATTTTATTTATTTATTTATTATTGATTTTATTTAATATTTATTTATTTATACACTACCACATTCCAAAGAAGAACTTGAAGCAAAGATTATTAGCTACTTAGTGTTATGGTTCTTCCTGTGAAATACGTCTTTCTGTCCTCTCTTATGGACACTGGTAAATAGTAATATTACATACAAGCTACTATCCAGCCTACGGCATGCACTTCAAGCAGTTCTTACTGCTTATTAAATGTTAATGAATATATCTACTTATTAATGTATTCCATTATAAACACAATTATTAATCTCATTCTCAGATGAAACACCAATGAGTCTAATGATTATATATTTGAGAGAGCACCATACAGTGGTTGAATAAGTATTTGAAAATGTGTAAGTATACTCTATGCAAATTCTGTTTCCAGTGATGGATTCAAAAGAAAATATAATTCTTACAGACACATTAACACACGGTATTAGGTTAAAAATAGGTGCCGCATTACATGCTGTGGAAATCTGAGATTAATTTTTATTAATAATAACTATTCTCCCTTGTGAGGGAGATTTTCACTTGCTCACTGGATATTCAAGGGCCGCCCTCTACTGCCTCTTGGCCTTCTTACAGAGAGCTGATAAAAGAAAGTCTGTCCAGATGATTTAAAAAATGGAATTAGAAAGCCTAGCTTTGAGACTGCAGTTCACTACTTACTGGCCATGTATTCTTGGACATTCATTTATTCCCTCTGAGCATCAGTTTCCTGTTCTGTAAAACGGGGATAATAAGAGTTTCTTCATCTTTGTGTCTTTGAAGGGATTAAGTCAGCCTGTGACTTAAAGCCACCTGGCACAAAGTACATCCTTAATTAGTGGCTCCATGGGTCTTCCATATATACCAGATATTTAGGTGTGCTTCCCCAAGGTACAGCTAGATGTGGTTCTCATGTGATTGTTGGATGCTTAGGCAACTAGATGTGAAAATCAGACTCTGCTAAACCTTTTGGAGAGACATAAGAGTGTTGTGAAGTGGAAGTAAGAGTTAGAACAAAGAACTAGACAGTCCATACACTGGTTTCCTCTTGGTTCTCCACTGCCTGGTGATCCACCCTCTCTCTGCTGCTTTCCACCATCTTTCAAAGCAGAAGGACCTGGCTTGGCTTTTGCCTGCTCCACAGGAGTGACCTGAGTATGAAAAATATAGTACTGGTGTTGGGTTTTCAGCTGTTTGGAATATGTGCTTGCATAAATTCCAAGAAACCTTTGTTGCCACATAATGCTTACAAAGCATCATGTTTACAGACAGCGCATTGTCAAAATGTTCACAAATTTGTGATTTGTTACAGAGTCACAAAGCCTTCTTAACATCAGCCAAGGTAAACTCTTAGTCTTCTTTTTGTTTTACCTGGCAAGCCAGCCTCTCTCTGCAACAGCTGGCAGTGGAGATTCGTTTTCAGGTGAAAACACCATAACACCCACATGGCAGCCATCACCCAACCCCAAAATGAAGTATCTGTTTGTCCAGAACACTGGTTTCTCATATTAGGTTGGTGCAAATGTACTTATGGTTTTTGCATTGTTGGAATTGCCGTTTGATATTGGAATACATTCTTAAATAAATATGGTTATGTTATAATCATTTTAATGGGCATTTCTCACTTATTTATTTTGCTAATGACGTATTAGTTGCTGTTTATTTTAGAGTATGGAAATGATGTTACACAAAAAGCAAATTTAAGTGATTTTCTTATTCTAGTTCAAAATGGCTCATAAAGCAGCGGAGACAACTTGCAACATCAACAATGCATTTGGCCCAGAACTGCTAACAAATGTACAATGGTGGTGGTTCAAGAAGTTTTGCAAAGGAGATGAGAGCCTTGAAGATGAAGAGAATAGTGGCTGGCCATCAGAAGTTGACAATGACCAATTGAGAGCAATCATCGAAGCTGATCCTCTTACAACTTTTTATCTTATTTGTCTAATTTATTGGAGTAATATTTCTCATTTGATATCTGTAGAATCGGTAGGAAAGTCTGTTTTTGCATTACTGATACTGATTATTTGTTCTTTCTCTCTCTTTTTTCTTAGTCAGTCTTGCTAGGCTTTTATCAATTTTATTAACTGCTTCAAAAACCAACATTTGACTTAGTGCATTTTATGTTGTTTATATATTTTCAGATTCATTCGTATATACTCTTTATCATTTCCTTTCATTCTACACATGAGGTTCAATTTGGTACAGTTTCTAATATCATAAGGTAGAAACAATGATTTTTACTTTCTGTATTATGAGGATTTTTAGCATGCTTTAACTGCATATGACGAAGTTCGTTATGTTATATTTTTATTTTCTTTCAATTTGAAATATTTTCTATCTTCCCCTTTGATTTATTTTTACCATGGGTTATTCAGAAATATATTGTTTTATTTTCAATTGGGACTTTTATAGCTATCTGTTTGTAGTTGGTATCTAATATAGGTCCATTATAGTCAGAAAGATGTTCTGTAATATTTCAAACATTTAAAATTCATTGAGAATTGACTTATGTCCCTGAATATGGTCTGTCTATCTTGGTGTACATTCTGTACACATTTAAAAAGAATGTATATTCTGCAATTGTTTGGTGTCATATTCTGTAAATGCCAATTACGTCAAGGTGGTTGATAGTGTTCTTCAGATTTTCTATATGCCTAGTATTTTCTGACTAGTTGTTCTATTAGTTACTGAGACTGGGGTGTTAAAAATCTCTGACTATGTTTGTGAGTCTACCTATTTCTCTCTTTAATACAGCCAAATTTGTGTCATTGATGTTTTCTGGCTGTGTTTTGGGCATTCTAACTATGAGTTAGAATTTCTGTGTCCTCCCAATGTATTCATGTTTATTATCATTAATAAATGCCCCTACATTTCTCCAGTAATACTATTTGTCTTGAATTATATTTTGTCTATTTATATAGTCACTCCTGATTTTTTATGCTTCTCATTTATATATTTTCCCAACTTTTTACCTTCAACCTATTTGTGAATGTTAATTTAAAATTCATCTTTTGTAGACATGACATAGGTGCACCTTGTTATTTCTTTGTTTGTTTTTATCTTGCCCAGAATTCTCTGCTTTTTAGTTTGATGTTTGGTACATTTATATTTAATACGATTATTGACATGATTGCATCTCAAACTACTAATTTGTTATTTATTTCCTAATCAGCTCATCTGGGTTTTGTGCTCCTTTTAATGTCTTATTTTGATTTAATAAAAATATTTTTGGCATTTAATTTGAATTCTTCTATTGGCTATTTATTGTACAATTATTTGTAACATTAAAAGCATACCAAGCTTATACACAAGTTGTAAGCACAACTTTTAAGAAATATTTTTAAAATATTTTTTCCTAATCTCATTGAGCTAAGTTTGGTGACATGATGCTCTATTATCCCTAAATATTTTATTAGTATATCTTTTAATAGTAAGGACATTCCCCCCAAACAACCACATTACATTACACCATTAAAATTAGAAAATCAACACTGAAACTATTATTTAAACCAAATACTTCATTTAATTCCCATCAAAATTCCCAAAGAGTAGTAAAATATTCAATTCAAAAAGATGTGTTGTATTTAGCTTCATGTCTTTTAGTATTCCTTGGTCTGCAAAATTTTCTTAGACTTTATATGAATTTCATGAATCACACAACTTTGAAAATGGTAAGGCAGCTATTTCATAAAATGTCTTTTAAGTTGAGCTTGTCTGATATTTCCCTATAACTAGATTTAGGTTATACATATTTTACAGTTATATCACAGAATTTATGTTGTGTTTTCATTTTATTCTATGAGTACCCAACAATGTTGATTTGTCTCATTACAGATGATGTTCACTATGTTCACTTTGTCAGGCTTCTATACTTAAATATCCTTGTGTTCCAAGTTTCCTTTTGGCATCATGCCTATTCCTCTAACTTAAATCCAAGACAACAAAATTCATTCATGTTTTCTCCCTTTCTGTATTTAGAACTCCGTTCTCTGACATTGAAAAACTAAAATTCCTAATTCATTCATGAGAAGACTGTAATGGAGGTAAAAGCCAATCATCCCAATAGGTCCTTGGAGAGGTCCTAGGCTCAAAATCAGCAGGTTCATAGGATGGAAATAAAAAACAGTGATTGTTAAAAGCAACATGAATTGAAGGTCTCTCTTTCCATCTTATATATTAACAGAGAGTATATTTGACTAAACAAATGAAGAAAAGCAGCATCCCAAAGAGAAGGAAAAAGTTAAACAACTGATTGTGGAGGAAACAGATGTTTCAGGGAATAGAAGATAAATTTAAATAAAATAAAATCTTTCTAAATTGATATCCTTAGGCAGATTTGAGGAATTTGTGCCATCCATGAAAAAAGATATCATAAAAAATAATTAAGGCATAAGAAACAGCTCTTAGAATTAAATATGATTGCTTAAAGAAAAAATTCATAAGAAGAGATGGAAGAAAAAGTTGAAGAAATTTCCTAGAACATTGGGGGAAAATATTAATGATACACAAATTCAATCAAAAAGTCAATATCTGATTAATAAAAGTTCCAAAAGAAACAATAGAGGCTGATCATTAGAGAAATGCAAATCAAAACCACAATGAGATACCATCTCATGCCAGTCAGAATAGCGATTATTAAAAAGTCAAGAAACAACAGGTGCTGCGAGGTTGTGGAGAAATAGGAATGCTTTTACACTGTTGGTTGGAGTGTAAATAAGTTCAACCACTGTGGAAGACAGTGTGGCAATTCATTAAAGATGTAGAACCAGAAATACCACTTGACCCAGCAATCCCATTACTGGGTATATACCCAAAGAAATATAAATCATTCTATTACAAAGACACATGCATGCATATGTTCATTGCAGCACTATTAACCATAGCAAAGACACAGAATCAACCCAAATACCCATCAATGATATACTGGATAAAGAAAATGTGGTACATATACACCGTGGAATACTATGTAGCCATAAAAAGATATGAGATCATGTTCTCTGCAGGGACATGGATGGAGCTGGAAGCCATTATCTTCAGCAAACTAATGCAGGAACAGAAAACCAAACACTGCATGTTCTCACTTACAAGTGGGAGCTGAACAATGAGAAAACATGGACACAGGGAGGGGAACAACACACACTGGGGCCTGTCGGGGGTAGGGGAAGAGCATCAGGAAAAATAGCTAATGCATGCCAGGCGTAATACCTAGGTGATGGATTGATAATTACAGCAAACCACCATGGCATATGTTTACCTATGTAACAAATCTGCACATCTTGCACATGTACCCAGGAACTTAAAAAAACAGAGAAACAATAGAGGAAGCTGAGGGTAATAAATTATCAAATAAATAACAAAACAAAATTTCCCATGGGGGCACAAAGACATGAATTGTCATATCAAAAGGACCTATAGAGAGGTGATTAGAACGAACTTTTAAAATATCGTGTCCAAATGTATCCTCATAAAATTTTAGAACACTGAGTACGAAGAAATGATTCTAAAAGCCTCAGTGGGGGCAGGGGACAGTTCATCTACAAATAAACAAATATCAGACAAGCATCAGACTTATGTGTAAAATTGGATGGTAGGAAACAATACGAGAATACCTCAAAATTCTGAAGTAAAATGTTTTTGATCCTAGAAGTTAGATTTGACTTCATTGTGCTAAGTAGTTAATGTACTTCCTCTGTCTTGTGTACTAGGCTTGTTGCCCTGCTTAGTCTCTCCCTTGAAAAGGAGTATGACTAAGATCTTTGTAATACAGATCTTTCTTTTTCTTTTTCTTTCTTTCTTTCTTTCTTTTTCTTTCTTTGTTTCTTTCTTTCCTTTCTTTCTTTTTCTTTCTTTCTTCTTCCTTCTTTCCTTCCTTCCTTCCTTCCTTCTTTCTTTCCCTCCTTCCTTCTCTCTCTCTCTGTTTTTTTTTTTTTTTTTTTGAGACAGTGTCTGGCTCTGTCTCCCAGGCTGGAGTGCAACAGCGTGATCTCGGCTCACTGCAACCTCTGCCTCCCAGGTTCAAGTGATTCTCATGCCTCAGCCTCACATGTAGCTGGGACTACAGCCACGTGCCACCATACTTGGCTAATTTTGTATTTTTAGTAGAGACGGGCTTTCACCATATTGGCTAGGCTGGTCTCGAACTTCTGACCTCAAGTGATCTGCCCGCCTCAGCCTCCCAAAGTGCTGGGATTACAGACATGAGCCACCGTGCCCTGCCAGATTTTTCTAAATCATATATTTCTGCTTTTTTTCATAGATTGAATTTTTAGCATCTAGGATGCTAGATATTGAGTTTTTTGTTGTTGGAACTTTGTTCTATTCTTTTAAATAACCTTAGACTTTTCTATCTTAGTTTAGTTAGTTGGGATATGTTTGAGCCCATGTTAATTGCAGCACTATTCACAATAGCAAAGACATTGAATCAACCTAAATACCTATGAATGACAGACTGGATAAAGAAAATGTGGTACATATACACTATGAAATACTATGCAGCCATAAAAAAGAACAATATCATGTTCTTTGCAGAAACATGAATGGAGTTGGAGGCCATTATCCTTAGCAAACTAAGGCAGGAACAGAAAAGCAAATACTGATGTTCTCACTTATAAGTGGGAGCTAAATGATGAGAACACATGGACACATAGAGGGGAACAGTACACACTGGGATCTACCAGAAGTTGGAAAGAGGGAGGAGGGAGAGGAGAAGAAAACTTTAGTATTGAGTACTAGGCTTACTACATAGGTGATGAAATAATCTGTGCATCAAATCTGTGTGACACGAGTTTACCTATACAATAAGCCTGCACATGTACCCCTGAACCTAAAATAAAAGTTTTTTAAAAAGATAAATATCTCATGTTAATATTGGTTATTTCTGGGTAGTAGGATTGGTAGTAACTTTATTCTTATTCTTTTACTTTGTATTTTTCTAAATTTTTGAAAATTCTACAGTAAACACATTTCTTTTATGGCAGAAAAAGGAAATAGAAATTATTTTATTTATTAAATAATGAGGTCTGGTATTAGGACAGTATTTTGGTTACTTGAAAGTACAGGAATCTTAAAATAGATGAATGCTTGCCCAATTTTCAGGTCTATACAGATTCTGGGTTTTCTGTGCTAAAGTACAGGTAGTAAACTGACAAAAATATGTCTTCTCATCTTTCTTTTTCTTTCTCTTTCTTTTTCTTTCTTTCTTTTTTTTTTAAGACGGAGTTTCGCTCGTTGCCCAGGCTGGATTGCAATGGCACGATCTCGGCTCACTGCAACTTCCACCTCCCAGGTTCAAGAGATTGTCCTGCCTCAGCCTCCCAAGTAGCTGGGATTACAGGCATGCGCCACCATGCCCGGCTAATTTTTGTATTTTTAGTAGAGACAGCGTTTCACCAGGTTGATCAGGCTGGATGGTCTTGAACTCCTCACCTCAGGATATCCAACTGCCTCGGCCTTCCAAAGTGCTGGGATTACAGGCGTCAGCCACCGCGCCCGGCCCTTCTCATCTTTCTGTTGCAGGAGGTGGAACATTGATGTGGTACTGATCATTTTGTTCAGGACTCAATTAGTAGGAATTCTTCCCCCAAACTGTCAGTGGGTTGTCTTTCTTAATTTTCACTGCTGCTTTGTGTTTTCATCTTTCTATGTGACTTCATTGGTGTTTTAGGAAGAAGCTGTGCAAGGCTGCATTGGCGATGTTAGCCTGAAGTCTTTGTAAAACTTTGAACATACAGGAAAAATTGTTTCTGCTGATCTACAATTCAGTTGTCATATACACGATGATATCTTAAGTGGACATTTTTTTCTTTTATATTATTTCACAGAGATCTGTAATTCCTCTCACTTGAAGGTCACTTTAGTAAGTTGAGTGTGGCTTCCTGACATATTGGGGAAATTTGTTTTGTTTTGTTTTGTTTGTATTTATCCCAGATCTCTGAACCAGAGCACATGTAACCCACCCTAAGATGCAAAACAAAGCAATGTAACAGGTAGGGACTGAGCTCTGGGTGCAGCAAGTTTATTGTTTCCAAAGATCACCTCTGATGGCAGAGGCTACTTTGGTTTTAGTTTCCTGAATCATGATTCTGAGGCCTTTTCAGAAAAGGGAAAACTATTCTGAGTCAATATAGAAAGTTCTAGAATCAATGCTGCCTTCTTGGTTTCCAGGAACTTCAGTCACCTTGTAGTTGTTAGTGTGCTTGGGGTGAAATCACCCTAAAAGTTTGATTTTTGTCTATATTGAAATTAAGGTCAGCACAAGAAAAAAGTAACTGTACATAAATCCCACTTCTTATGTATATGTTGGTAAAACTATTCTTTAAAATTTTTCTGCCAGAGCTGCATTAAAATGTATGAACAGATACATCTAGTTGCATGAACGTTTTATGCAGATTGGGAAATTAGGCTGTCTTAGAAGTTCACTGCAATTTTCTCCTAATATAATTTTTTTGACACCTCAAAATAAAACTTCTTTTTAATTGTGTACTTGTTTTTAGTGCCTTATGTGGGTTACCTTGCATATGTATAATTAAGTTTTATAGATTTATATTTAAAATTGAGAGAGTTTTGGAATTTGAAAATTATCATTCAAAAATAATGATGTAACTGTAGAGTCAGGTCATGTTTCAGTTTTGTGCTGTCCTTAAGACAGTGTGATTAGTAATAGTTTTGAATTCTTCTTGCCGAAATTGACAAACCTGAAACATTGTAAAAACTAGTATCGCATTTTTTTTAGATTGAAGAAAACTTGGATATTATCTAAACATAAATCTTCATTTTATAAGACAGAAGGCTGAGAGCCATTAAGAATAAATATATAGCCTAGGATCATACGCCAGTGTTAAAATCACGCTTTACTGTGCCTTTATGAGATAATCAACTGTACACCACATGACCTGCAGAGGACACCATTGCAGGTATACCCTATAATAACAAAATTGTGTACTTATTTGTCAAACAACTATTTCCTTTCTATGAAGAGAAAGGAATCAGAACATCTATTGCTCCTGCTATCCCTTTAGCTACTTAAATTTAGTTCAGATTTTTTTCAAAAGCCTATTTGACAATTGCACAAAATCACAACCATTAGGGATGAGTCATTCTACACTCAAGCAAATTTTTATTGAGATTAATTTATGCTAATCAAGGATAATGGGCTGACCATGAGCAACAATATTAGCTAAGGTAAATACCTGTTCAAGTTATAACAGTGATGGCGCTCTTAGGAATAAGCCAGTTTGTAATGAAATAGACCTCTTCCACATCTGAGCTACAGCTGTAGACCTGTCAATCCTTCAAACTCCCTGAGGCCTATGCTTCCTAAACTTTAATGGTAGCTAGCAGAAACTAAAAACGAATTCATAATGTTTTTCACAAAAGTCCTTCTGGCATTTAGTGTCTTATTAGGCGCCTGAGCAGCAGATAAATATCAGCTTCATGAAATTTGACTGTTTGGCTCTGTCTCTAATGGAGATGAAACTAAAGAAAAAGACCATTGATTTCTGACATTATCATGATTTTCTGCAAAATTATGTGAATATATTGTCATTCTGGTATGGACCACTCTAGCTGTTTTTTGGTGGGCTTTTAGATAATAGTTACTAATAGAGTTCCTGGATAATGCAATGGTTGTCTAGTGATGACTCAGTTTGCCACATGCAGTTAATGCCTGCAATTTTTTTTTTTTTTTTGAGACAGAGTCTCGCTCTGTCACCCAGGCTGGAGTGCAGTGGCATGATCTCAGCTCACTGCAACCTCCGCCTCCCGGGTTCAAGCAATTCTCTGCCTCAGCCTCCCAAGTAGCTGGGATTACAGGCATCCACCACCACGCCCTGCTAATTTTTGTATTTTTAGTAGAGACGGGGTTTCTCCATGTTGGCCAGGCTGGTCTTGAACTGCTGACCTCATGATCCACCTGCCTCAGCCTCCCAAGTTGCTGGGATTACAGGTGTGAGCCACGACGTCTGGCCAATGCTTGCAATTCTACAAGCACCGCCAACCCCATATCCTCCCCCATCTCTCCCACAGGAAGTGATCTCAACCTAAAAATGCAACAGTGACTTCAATCCAATATATAATTCCATCTAATTTCTTCTTAAATACATCTGTGCATAGTAGAAATTGTTAAGAGGCCAGTTTGGATTAATGAAAAATTGATATTTCTGAACGCTTTAGATAAAGAGTAATACAACATTTGGCATGTGGAGTGCCTTTATGCTTCCAAAAGGATTTCAAATCCATTGTTTCATTTGATGCTCAAAACAGCACTCCGAAGTTCATGGCACAGGTACTAGCATTCTCATTTTACATCTGAGGAAACTGAGAGGCAGAGTGGTTGAATGATTTTCCCCAGCTTACTCATAGAGTAAGTCTTACAGTAGAGACAAGTACCTATATACCTTGACTCCTATCTAAATGGCTTTTCTTCTACAAACAGCTGAAACATTTCCCTTTATAAACTGCCATCATTGATATTGTTATTAGCTTATTTACATTAATAAATTTAACAATACTATTTGTTATAAATGAACTTCACCATAACATAACTAAATGAGCATTTCTAAAGTGTTTGAAAAGAGTTAATAAAAATCACGTTATTACAAAATTATTGCAGAGATACTCAGAAGTTTGCATAGAAAAGGCAAGAAATCAGAGAATTCTAGATAATATACAAAATGCTAGCATACAGCCCATCATTTTCTGATCAAAAATTGACCTTTTAAAATTAACAGAATGAGGTTAGCAGGGTTACCATTGCCATTTTAGCATATTTGAGTTGGTGTTTCTAGTGGTGAGTACAAAGTCCATGAAAGTTGAAGAATAAGACATTTTCACTCTTTTGTATGTCATCATGTGTCCCCTTTGCCTCTATCTCACTTAATTGTAAGTCCTGTACCCAGCAAGTTGGCTCTACCAGGAAGTTTTCTGTTCTTATACTTTAAACTCCAAGGAAACATAGCTTATTCACTGCTAGTGGCACTGAGGCTATAACGGCCTCTTGTCTTTTTCTCTTATGTATTAGTCATATCTCTCATTCCTCACATTTATCATGCTGCCCTTCAATACAGGAGGCAGTATAGTGAACTCGTTAAAAAAAAAAAAATCATAGATTTAGAAGTCAGACCAAGTGAGGCTTGATCTTATCACTTACTGCCCTACCCACTTTGTAGCCATGTGACTGCCTACCCAGGGTTGGGTTGTTGATTCCTCATCTGTAAAATGGTGTTCATGCATTAATCTGCAAGTGGTTGGATAATGTTTGTACATAGAACGTATGTAGCTGAAACAATGCAGGGATTAACACTAAAAGTGGTTCAATTGATTGTTAAACCAGATTGGTTTGAGGAGTCGCTGTGTCATTTAACATGGTTGTTACAGCTCTTGAATTATGGATATGTAGGTAGGTAGGTAGATAGATAGACAGACAGACAGACAGATAGACAGATAGATAAACTGATACAGATATTGATAGGTAACTTTCAGATTCTTCCAGGGCTAATTGATTATGCTACTACCTAACTATAAATGTATTCTTCTATATACGTGTATTTGTCACATTGTTTCTGCAGTTCTTTCAACCAGAATTCTTCTTCTGGGGCCCTATTTTTAGAATATTTATGTTGCAAGTAATAGAATATCTAACTAATAAATGACTTTTAAAACAGGGATTTATTATCTCACTTAATAAAAGCTCCATAACTGGGCTTTTCCTGGGTCTATAATGGCAAGACTCTCAGTTGGTTTCTCTGAAATTATTTTAGCTTTCCCATCAGGGTTGCGAGATGGCTGCCAAAATATCACATTGTCAGAGAACCCATCAAAGAGTGGAAGAAAGATACTTTCCTGCTGCATCCTCTGCTATTCAACAGGAAGGAAACCTTTCACAGAAGCCTTCCCCCCTCACCCCCATGAAATAATTCCTCTTACATATTTTTAAACAAACTTGGTCACATGCTCATCCCTAAACAGATCACTGGCAAGAGGGCAATGGGGTTACCATGTTTGGTTTGGACTGGAGAGATATCCACCTTCCCTGAGCTTGTCGCTGCTTATACTGAACAAAATCAGTATTCTGTTAGGAAGGTATCAGGGGGCATGGCTGTTGGATGAACAATAACCAGCAGTGCCTGCCATAAGGATGCAGAGACTGTTATCAGGCAATAGATTTCTATCTAATGTAACTAAAACAAAGCTCAAGCCTCCTCTTGACCTGAAACTAAACTAAACTAAAATAAAATAAAAAGCCAAAGTGATTTACTAAAAGCAATATTATGATGTTAATTATGGGACACTGCTCTGTGCTTCTTTTTTTCTTTCTCTTTTGATATAGAAGTGAAATTTGTTATTCAAAAACATATAGGCTGAAATTGGAACATAGGCTGAAACTGGAGTGGAGAAGAATAATTTGTACATGAACAATTCACAGAGTTTTTCAAGGTTGGAAGGAACATTAGAAAATATCTATACTTATGTCTCAAAATCCTCCATCCATTGTTTCAGTTTGCAAAAGAGAAACTATGTCAAATAATTGTTCCCCTTCACTTGAATACTTTTGATGATGGGCATCTCATTATGTCATGAGCCAGTCCAGTCTCTTTTTTGAACATTCTAACTATTACAAATTTCAACTTATAGTGACACAAAATCTATCTTCTTCATTCATTACAGTGCTTAAATCTAGTGCCACACAGAACTGATCCAATCTCTCTTTAAAATTCTTTAAATTTAGAAGAAATTGCTCAGTCTTGTTTCCATATAATAACCCTGAAAATAGTTGAAGGAACTTATGGTGCACCCTTTTGTCTCCCCTAAAGTTATTTGTCTCTTGATCCTGTATGGTTTCATCCCACGTCCATCCTGGTCCTTTGCTTGCAGTCTCTGCTCATCTTAAAAGTGGCACCTAGAAAACAGTAAAGTCCTCCTGAGTGGATTGACAAGTGCAGAGTAGAGGGTAACACATCTCCATCATTCAAAATGCTAAATATCTGTTAAAGCAGTCTACTTGTGCACTATTTTTATAATGATATTTAAACGATGGACTCATACTGAACTAAGTCTTTTTTAAAATCATGATTTAATGTTAAGCCTCAGCACCTATATCTTGTAAAGATATTGTTTTTATCATTTGAGGAATTTTTAGGGGAGGGATGGAATTTGAGTAAAGGATGTTAAATTGATTTCTCTTAAATTTCATCATATTAGGTTAAGGTGTTTCTTTTTCAAAAAAAATCTTATGCTCTTAATTTTTTTAACATACATCTGAGTTTTGGTAACTGCTAAAGTTCTATAAAAAAAAGGGGGGGCTTACAGAATTTCTTTAGATTGCTGCTCTCAATCCTGACTACAAAACAGTATCACCTGGGAGACTGAAAAAAAGTCAAATCAAATATCACAGACAAAAACTCTAATATTTAGGCTCAACCCTAAACCAATTTAATCAGAAACTCTGGAGATTGGCTTTGGCATTACTATTTTTTTTTTAAAACTCCTCATATAATTCTTATGAGCAGCCAGGATTGAAATTAACTGTGCTGTATTGACCCAAGGCAATTCTAGATAGCTGATGAAATGGTCCTTCAATTCAAAAATTATAGCTCTATATCATAGAGACAAGATAGACCTCTCAAGTTCAGATGTCTTTCCAAATGTTTATGTATTTCAGACACAAATTAGAAATTCCTAACATTAATTTATATAATCCCTTTTCTACCCTAATACAATTATTATTAACATTTTTGTATGGTTTCTCACAGTATCCGATGTATCTTTTTTTTAACAGTTTTAACCATATTAATAGTAACCCAAAATATTTTAGATGCTGTTCTCTATTCTTTATAGTTATCATTTTAATGAATGTGTACTTTTCCAGTGAAAGAACATAATATACTTTCTTCCCACTTCCCTATTATGAGACATTTAGGATGGTTGTTTTAGACAATGCTGCACCAAACACTCTCATTGATATAATGTTTACTGTATTTTGATTTTGAATAATTTCCTAAGCATAAGTCCCAGAAGTAGAATTAATTAAGGGTATTAATATTTTATTGTATATTTTTAAATTGCTTTCTAAGGGGTCTGTAAAATTGCCATAAAATTTTATACATATAAGGATACTGGTGCTGCCTGATTGTGCCTGCATTAGGATGTGTCATTGAAGTTTTTACAACTTATACAAAAAAAAGACCTTATATTGCTTTTAAAAAAGAAATCCCCTCCCTAGATTATCAGCAGAGTTAAATGCGTGCCTGCTTGTAAATATTTCCTTCTTGCTCAGGGTGGCTTTGGCTGTGTCTTTTGTGGTTTCCTGTAAATTTGAGGATTGTTTTTTCTATTTCTGTGAAGAATGTCAGTACCGTTTTGATATAGATGGCATTGAATCTATAAATTGCATTGAATCTATATTCTTCGGGTACTACGAACATTTTAACAATATTGATTTTCCAATCAATAAACATGGAATATTTTTCCATTTTTGTATGTCCTCTTCAATTTCTTTCATCAATGTTTTATAGTTTTCAATGTAGCTATCTTTCTTTGATTAAGTTTATTCTTCAGTAATTTATTTCATTTGTAGCTATTGTAAATGAGATTAATTTCTTCATTTCTTTTTCAGATTGTTCACTGTTGGCATACAGAAAAGGTACTAATTTTTTATGTTGATTTTGTATCCTGCAACTTACTGAATTTATTCGTTCTCATAGTGTTTTTGTGGAGTCCTTAAATATTTCTAAATATAATATCATATCATCTCCAAATAACAATACTTTGACTCTTCCTTTCCAATTTGCATACTCCTTATTTCTTTCTCTTTAATTACGCTGGCTAGGACTTCTAATACTATACTGAATAAAAGTGGTGAAAGTGGGCATCCTTGTATTGTTCCAGGTCTTAAAGGAAAGTCTTACAGTTTTTCCCCAATCAGCATGATACTAGCTGTGTTTTTGTTGTATATGGCTTTTATCATGTTGAGGTAAGTTCCTTCTACATGCAGTTTTTTGAGGGATGTTGAATTTTCTATATGAAGGGATGTTGAATTTTATCAAGTGCTTTTTTCTACCTCAATTGAAATGATCATATGATTTTTGTCCTTCGTTCTGTTGATATGATGTATCACATTTACTGATTTGCATATGTTGAACCATCCTTGCATCCCTGGGATAAATCCCACTTGATCATAATGAATGATCTTTTTAATATGTTGTTGAATTTGATTTGCAAGTTTCTTGTTGAGGATTTTTGTACCTACGTTAATCCGAGTTAGTGCCCTATAGTATTCCTTTTCTGTTGTGTCTTTGTCTGGTTTTGTTATCGGGGTAAAACTGATCACATAGAATGAGTTTGGAAGTATTCCTTTCTCGATTTTTTGGAATTGTTTGAGTAAGATTGGTATTGATTCTTCTTTAAATGTTTGGTAGAATTCTGCAATAAAGGCATCAGGTCCTGGGATTTTCTATTATGAGAGACTTTTTATTACTGCTTTTATCCTATTACTTGATCTTGGTTTATTCAGGTCTTGGATTTCTTCATGGTTAATTCTTGGTAGGTTGTGTGTGTCTACGAATTTACTCATTTGACGTAGGTTTTCCAATTTATTGGCATATAGTTGCTCATAATAGTCATTAATAATCCTTTGAATTTCTTTAGTATCTGTTGTAATGTCTTTTTCATCTCTGATTTCATCTGTGTCTTCTTTATTTTTATTAGTCTGGCTAAAGACTTGTCAATTTTGTTTATCTTTTCAGAAAAACAACTTTACATTTAATTGACATTTTGGATGTTTTTAGTTTCAAATTTATTTATTTCTGTTCCTATCTTTATTATTTTTTTTCTTCTACTAATTTTGGGTTTAGTAATTTTGGGCTTGCTTTTATTATTTCTTTTCTTCTACTAATCTTGGGTTTAGTAATCTTGGGCTTGCTCTTGATTTTCTAGTTCTTTAAGACACATTGTTTGATTGTGTATTTGAAGTTTTTCTACTTTTCTGATATAGGTGTTTATTCCTACAAACTTCCCTCTTAGTACTGCTTTTGTTGTATACCATAGGTTTTGGTATATTGTGTTTCCATTTTCATTTGTTTCAAGAAAAGTTTTAATTTCCTTCTGATTTTTAAAATGACCCTCTGGTTGTTCAGAAGCATATTGTTTAATTTTAATGTATTTGTAGAGTTACCAAAGTTCCTCTTGTTATTGATTTCTAGTCTTATTCCATTGTGGTCAGAAAAGATAAAAGATTCTTGATATGGTTTTAATTTTTTGAATTTGTTGAGATGAGTTTTGTTGCCTAACATATGGTCTCTCCCTGAGAATCTTCTACACACTGAGGAGAAGAATGTGTATTCTGCAGCTGTGAAGCAAAATGTTCTATAAATGTCTATTAGGTCCATTTAGTCTATAATGCAAATTACATCTGATATTTCTTTGTTGATTTTTGTCTAGGTGATCTGCCCAATGCTGAAAGTCCTCAGTTATTATTGTATTAGGATCTTTCTCCCTCTAATTATAATTTGCTTTATATATCTGGGTAATCCAATGTTGAGTGCCTATATATTTACCATTATTATATTCTCTTGCTAAATTAACCCATTTATCACTATATAATTACCTTTTTGGCAGGTTATATTACCTATAAGCTTTATTTTAAGTTAACACAGGGCAGTTACAAATCAATAAGAAAAGGAACATTTGATTTAATAGGATCGAGACCCACTGTTCCATATATTAATTTATTTGTGATTTTGACATTGAAAATGATCTTACCCTCATCATTCTTTGTCTATATTATATTTTAATGAACAGAGCCTTAGATTTTGATATGATCAAATATAGCTTTTTCCATTATATTTTGTGTTTGTTTCATCTTTCTAAAAAATATTCTGAAAACCCAACATTAATGGATTTTATCTCATATTTTCTTCTAAGAAAGTTACAGCTTTGCATTTCATCTGGAGTTAATTTTTTTGCACATTGTGAAAAGTACAGGTCTTAGTTCACCTTCTCAGTGTGGTAAAAGTTTTTCCAATTCTATTCATTAAATAACCTATCCTTGATTTGTGATACAACCTTGTAATATGTTTTAAAACTTGGTAGGGCAAGACCCTTTCTTAGTCTTCTCTTTTAGAATTGTCTCTGCTATCTGTAAACATTTACTTCTTTCTAAAAATTGTAGAATCTGTTTGCCTGATTACTGCTAAACTAGTGCTGCATTTTGTTATAATTTCATTAAACCTGTAGATTATTTTGGGTAGAAATGCATGAAACAATATGGGATATAGTTCCATTTATTCAGGTATAAATTAAAGCTTTTTGTAAGCATTTACAAGTTCTTTATTATATTTTGTGGGGGTTTTGAATAAATTACATTTTAGATAACTTATAGTGTTCTCTGCTATTGTAAATTTTATCTTATTTTCTATTTTAATTAGTTATTGATCTAGAGAAATGCTATTGATTTTTATGTTCACTTGTGTTCAGCAACCTTTTTGAACTCTTCAACTAGTTCTAATAGTTTGGGGATTCTCTTCAACTTTCCGTGAAAATTATCATACCATCTGCAAATAACAGCACTCTTTTCTCTTGTAGTATTAATACCTTTTATTTTCTTTACTTTTCTTATTGCATTGATCAGGACTTCTAATACAGTCTGTTCTGTTCTAACAGGGAATATGAATTCCTAAAAAGCACAATGATATACAAAATTATTCAATAAATATCACAGGGCTTGTGGACAAATGGGGTTAGGGTCACAACATTTGAAAACTTCATCAGGGACACATTTTAAAAAATAATTTTAAGAACTTAAAATAAATGGTATTACAGATTTTTACATGTTAAATGGTTAGGAAATATATGAATGCACCAATAAATATGGCATTTTACCTTGAAAAAGATTTGAAGTAAGTTTGTGGACATGGGTAGTGGAAGTATTGCAGCTTGTGAGTTTTTGTGAAATGGTAGGAGGATTATCTGAAATCAGGTAGAAAGTTGGAATGCCAGATGTGAGCAAGCGTGGCTCATAAGCACGGAGTAAACTGAGAGAGCTGGTGGATGTTGAAGTTTGTGAATGTGTTTGTGTGAGAGAGAGTGAGCACAAACACATGTTTTGTTTACTCCTCTTTGGTTCAGTTCAGCTGGGTATGGTTTCCTGTGTTTGCCTAGTGTTTCTCCTGGAAGAAATCATGCATAAGAAAACACAAAATGCATGTTACACTCAAATTGTTTTGATATATTAATCATGCTAGAAAAAAGTGTGTTTTCAAAATACACATTATATCAGAAACAACGTGCTATCATAAAACATAGTAATGATAGTCAGCATCCTTGTTTAGTTTCTAACGTTACAGAAAATTTGTATGTGCTTTCTGTCTTAAAAAGTGCTTGTGGCTGGGTGCGGTGGCCCATGCCTGTAATCCCAGCACTTTGGGAGGCCTAGGCGGGCAGATGACCTGAGGTCAGGAGTTCGAGACCAGCCCGGCCAACATGGTGAAAACCCTTCTCTACTAAAAATACAAAAATTAGCCGGGCATGGTAGCAGGCACCTGTAATCCCAGCTACTCAGGAGGCTGAGGCAGGAGAATCTCTTGAACCCGGGAGGCAGAGGTTGCAGTGAACCGTGATCCCCCCATCACACTCCAGCATGGGGGACAAGAGCGAGACTTCATCTCAAAAAAAAAAAAAATGTGCTTGCTTTGGGTTTTTGGTATATATATTTTATGAAGTTAGAAATATTTCATTCTATTATTAATTTGGTAAATACTTTTATCATGAAGAGAGACTCCTTTTGGTCTGTTAAAGTGGAAATTACATTGACAAAATTTTTCTGGCACTAAAGTATTCTTTTGTCCCAGAGGTAGATCCTATTTTGTCACAACATGTTATTTTTTCCTATACTTGAATACAGCTACCTAACACTATGTTAATAATTTTAATATCAACAGTCTTTGAATTTCTTAATTTTTTATAATATGTTTAACTGGTTTTGGTATTAAGGCTATGAGAGTCTAATAATATTAGTTTCTCTGCAAAAATTTGTATCAGGTGGTGATATAGTTTGGCTGTGTCCCCACCCAAATCTCAGCTTGAATTTTATCTCCCAGAATTCCCATGTGTTGTGGGAGGGACTCAGGGAGAGGTAATTGAATAATGGGGGCCAGTTTTTCCTATGCTATTCTCGTGATAGTGAATAAGTTTCATGAGATCTGATGGATTTATCAGGGGTTTCCACTTTTGCTTCTTCCTCATTTCTCTCTTGCTGCTGACATTTAAGAAATGCCTTTCACCCTTTGCCGTGATTGTGAGACCACCCCAGCCAAGTGGAACTGTAAGTCAAATTAAACCTCCTTTTCTTCTCAGTCTTGGTTATGTCTTTATCAGCAGTGTAAAAATGGACTAATACAGATGGGGTTGACTATTCTTGGAAAGTCAGTAAAAACCTAGCTATAAAAAAAATTTGGGTCTGGTGCTCATCTGAAGGGAAGCCTTTGCCTTATCATTTCATTTCTTTAATGTAATTAGTTTAATGAAGTTTTCAAATTGTTGTGACAGTTTTGGCATTTTGTTTTTCCGGATTGATTCAACTTGTGTAAGTTTTAAAATTTTTATATATTAGTGACTGTTTCTCCTAGTATGTATCCAATGAGTAGCTCTAATTTTCTTGATGCAAATGTTCTGCTAGTGGTTTGAGGGTTTCGCATTTTAGTTTTATTGCTTTCAGATGTCTCTAGCTTCACAAAGTTATAAGCCCAGTTTGATAAGTGAAATTGTTTCAGAGCTGAATTCCCCAATACTGAAGAGATGGAATATTCATGGGTTCTTGAATGTTGGGAACATGTAGCATTCTTGCATACAAAATTAGGAGTTGGCAGTTGTTCTGATGGGGGTACTTGTGTAGATGCAAGGTACTGATCTCCGAGCATCACAGATTTTAAAGATATAGTGAACACCTCTGTGGTCAAATTCATCCCAGAGGTAGTTTAGGCTGTGATTAGGAAAACTGACAGATTTTGAGTGTATTATTATGGCTTCAATATCTTCTCAATAACCACATTGGATTAAAATCCAGAAAGCTTTCCTGAGACCCATGCTGAGGGGAGCTCCACCTCTGAGCTTTCATAATTGCTGAGCCAGAAAAAAAGAATGTGATGGATTAGATACTGGTTCTTAAAGCTTTCCCTTGAAAATTACAAACATACTTTTCACTGACATTTAATTGACAAGGGGGAGAAAAGTGTCACCTACCTCCTCCCATATCTGGAAAGAGAATCAGAAATATTTGGTGAATAGCAATAATGACTACCATATTTGATGATGAATATGAGACAATATATGGCTTCAAGGAGCTCTAAGTTTATGACTTAGGCTCATAAATACCTGCAAAATAAAGCATAATATAGTAAATCCCAAAAGAATGAAACAAAGTTTTGTGGGGCATTAGAGGAGGAGGAGATCTATTTGGCTATGGTGGTCTAAGAGCACACCATTTTCTTCTATGAAGGTACTGATCTTACTTCTAGTTTGTGAGACCAAACTAATCTTTATGGTAACCATGCCCACTATTATATGAAAACATTAGGCTTCAAATGCCTCACACAATGAATAAGCTCAATGATTTCCAGGTGTACTGCATTTAAAAGGTAAAAATAAATGTAAGATGGAGTTAGAAGATCTATCAGTCACTGGGCTTGATCTCTGATTTAGTCTTGGAGAGAGAATAAATTTTAGGTTCGTGTTTGTAATTCAGTTCAACTGCTGCTATTGTGATTATTCTGAGTTTCCATCATTTCAAACTTTCTTCCGAATATATAGAGTCATATCTGAAATGTTTCCCGCCAACACTGGCAAAGTAAAAGTGAACATCATAGTAAACTTTTCAGGGATGATAGTTAGGCCTTGGGCATCAAAACTGATAATATTTTGAAGCTTTCCATTTGCAGTACAATGTTCACTAAATTACCACTCAATTTCTTTTAATCATGCTCTGAGAACTTCTCAGTGGATTTGAATTGAGGCATGTTTTATTTATTCATTTAACAATGATGGTGCTATTAGAATGTCAATTCCAAGCCTCATTATATGTGGAACTTCCTAGATGGTTCTGCTTTTATTTGTGGATTTCTAATTCTCTCATTATTTTGTTACCCTTGAAAATGCTTAGCTTAGGACTCAGCCAATTCCTGTTCTCTAACTCTGATATACTTTGTCTGATGATGGCTTACTTCAAATTACCCTGGCCAGAAAAGAATGGGCCCAGGTTTCCATTGATCATAGAATCTCAACCCCAGTCCCAGTGTTTGCCTCAATAGTGTGAGCTATAGTATGTCCCCCATGACACACTCAGATTCGTATTATTCTTGGTACTATTTGCCTGTGTATATGGTCCTCACAGATAGATCCTGCAAAGAAAACTTCCCGAGAATTTCTATAACTATTCTGTTTGGCTTTGGCAAAGTTTATATTTATCAGGTCTTTATGTAATTTAGGGAGAGGGATGAGATATTTAAAAGCTTAAATAAGCATTTTTGACTACAGCTGGCAAAAGTCATAGTTACTTTGTATTGGCAACAGTTTTTGTTTTGTTTTGAGACAGAGTCTCGCTCTATCGCCCAGGCTGGAGTGCAATGGCACTATCTCGGCTCACTGCACCCTCCACCTCCCAGGTTCAAGCGATTCTCCTGCCTCAGCCTCCCGAGTAGCTGGGATTACAGGCGCCTGCCACCATGCCCAGCTAATTTTTGTATTTTTAGTAGAGACGGGGTTTCACCATGTTGGCCAGGCTGGTCTCGAACTCCTGACCTTGTGATCCGCCTGCTTCAGTCTACCAAAGTGTTGGGATTACAGGCGTGAGCCACCATGCCCGGCTAGCAACAGTTTTATTGTTCTCAAATTCTATGAACTGTCTTTATACCAGAGGTTAGTTGTTATAAGAAATTACATATTACCAATGTAGTTTTACTGTCTCTCTTCATTCTTAGGTGATGACATCCCTACTTTTACTGATAAAATAGAAGCAATCAGAAGAGAATGTCCACATCATCCCACTTCTAACTCTACTAACCCAATTACATTGTGCACTCTGCTTCATTCTTGCTTCTAACACCAACCCTTTCACTTTTGTACAGGGTTCCTAAGCAAGGATTAAAACTATCACCCCTTTCTACCATATCATTATATGCTGATGAGAATGATTGATGACAAACAGAAAAAACAAATATGCTGTATCTCCCATTTAAAAAACCCTCTTTAAACCCCACAACCACCCTCCTCACTCCCCTACCCCCATATTAGTTGTCTATTGCTGTGTAACAAATTCCCCAGAACTTAGCAGCTAAAAGCAATGTGCATTATCTCACAGGTTATGTGGATCAGAAACTTGGGAGCAGTTTACATGGTGTCTCTAGCTTAGTTTCTCTCATGAGACTAATTAAACTATTATCTTCAGTAACAATCCTGACTCTACCATACTCACTCACAAGGCTGTGGTCACAAAGCTGGATTCACTTCCATATTCACTCACATGGCTATTGGCTGGCATCAGTTCCTCATGGGCTACTGGACGGAGGGCCTTAGTTCCTTGATATACCACCTGGGCCTCTCCATAGAGTTTCTCACTGTATGGAAGCTTGCTACCTCCCACACCAGTGTTCACAGAGAGTCATGGAGAAAGAAGGAGACATCAAGAGAGAAGCTACAGGCTGGGTGTGTTGTCTCACGCCTGTAATCCCAGCACTTTGGGAAGCCGAGGCAGGCAGATCATTTGAGTCAGGAGTTTGAGACCAGCCTGACCAACATAATGAAATGCTGTCTCTACTAAAAATACAAAAAATTTAGTCAGGCGCGGTGGCACATGCCTGTAGTCCCAGCTACTCAGGAGGCTGAGACAGGAGAATCATTTGAACCCAGGAAGCGGAGGTTGCAGTGATCTGACATCATGCCACTGCACTCCAGCCTGGGCAACACAGTGAGACCCTGTCTCAGAAAAAATAAAAAATAAAAAGAAAATAAAAAGAAAGAATCTACAGTCTTTTTGTAAGTTAAACTCAGAAGTGACACTATTCTTCCTGCCACTTTCTATTCTTAGGTGTAAGTCATTAAATCTAGCCAGAACTCAAGGGAAGAGGATTACACAGGGGTTTGAATACCAGGAGACAGAGAATCATGGGAGAGTAGTTTAGAGACTGCAGACTCCTCTAGCTACTGCCATAAGTCCTCTGCCTCTCTTTCTAACTAGCCTCACTATTAGGATAGTGTCTTAGTCCATTTGTGCTGCTATAACAAAGTACTACAGAGTGAGTAATTTATAAATAATATAAATTTATGTCTCACAGTTCTGAAGGCTGAGAAGTCCAAGATCAAGGTGCCAGGAGATTCAGTGTCTAGTAAAGGCAAACTTTCTGTTTCCAAGATGGTGCCTTGTAGCTGTGTTCTCCACAGGAAAAGAATGCTGTTTCCTCACAAGGTGGAAAGGACAGAAGGGCAAAAGGGAACTCCAGAGTTCATTAGAGCCTCCTTTAAAAGGGCATTAATCCCATTCATGAGGGCTCAAGCCTCATGACCCAATAATTTCCCATTTATTGCATTGAGGATTAAGTCTCAACATGAATTTTGGAGGAACACAACATTCAACCCATTGCAGATGGCTTCTATTAAAAATATGAAGAAAGAAAGTAAGTGTTGATGAGAATGTGGAGAAATTGGAACCATTGTCCACTGTTAGTGGGATTGTAAAATGATGCAGCCACTATGGAAAGCAGTATGGGAGTTCCTCAAAAAGACATCACAAGAAAAGGAAACTATAGGTCAATCTCTCTGATGACACAGATGCAAAAATTCTCAATAAAATACAAGCAAACTGAATTCAACAATACATCAAAAAGGTTATACATCATGACCAAGTAGGATATGTCCCTGGATGGAAGATTGGTTTAACATATG
Organism: Homo sapiens; assembly: GCF_000001405.40. Lineage (NCBI taxonomy): Eukaryota > Metazoa > Chordata > Mammalia > Primates > Hominidae > Homo > Homo sapiens. The sequence continues at coordinate 138,583,832 of NC_000023.11, forward strand.
CCATATCACTTTGCCCTTAACTCCTAAAAAGTGTAATCCATGCTTATTTTCATCATTTTCTCACCTCAAACACCCATTAGATTTATAGTTCTTTCATTCCACTGAAAGAATTCTCACCTTGCCAAATTCTTTTTTTTTTTTTTTTTTTTGAGATGGAATATTGCTCTGTTATCCAGGCTGGAGTACAGTGGCATGATCTTGGCTCACTGCAACCTCTGCCTCCCGGGTTCAAGAGATTCTCCTGCCTCATCCTGCCCAATAGCTGGAACTATAGGTACATGACACCACACCCGGCTAATTTTTGTATTTTTAGTAGAGATGGGGTTTCATTATGTTGGCCAGGCTGGTCTCGAACTCCTGACCTCAGGTGATCCACCCACCTTGGCCTCCCAAAGTGCTGGGATTATAGGTGTGAGCCACCATGCCCGGCCACCTTGCCAAATCTAATGATCCATTCTCAGTCCTTATATTAAAGATTCAATCACAGAATTTGATGGGGTAATTATATCTTACATTTTGAAACACTTTCTTCACTTGGCTTTTAGGACTCTGTAGTCTTTTGGTTTTTCTGATACCACATTTGCTTTTTTAAAATCAAACTCTAGTTGGTTTTCCCTCCCCTTATGTCCCATTTCTAAATGTTGCAGTCTACAAGAATTCACTCCTAGTCTTTCTTCTCATCTCTAGATTACAGCCTCCAGATGCACATCTAATAAGCATCTAAATCCTAAAATGTCCAAAACAGGACACTTGAGTTCTACCCACAAAATTGACTTCCAGTTTTCCCCTTCTCCCTGAACAGCATCACCATAAACCCAATTGCTTAGGTAATTTTTAGCAAATCCAATATACTCCACCTTCAAATATATCCTCAATTCAATCCCTACATACCGCTTGCATTATTAGCATTTTGATCTATGCCACCACCACATTTTGCCTAGATTAGTGACTCCAAATTGGAAATTATGAACTTCAGGATCTTCACAAGATGACCGATGAGAACATGCCAAAAAAACAGAATTATGATCAATATTTTTCCTCTAATCATTTATTGCATAGGTTTTAGAAGATACATGATATATTAGAACATCATATGTGTATATAATCTATAAATAATTAAATACACATATATTAGGATATGTGCTTGCTTGAAATTTGTTACCATTAAGGGAAATTGATTAAAATGTTGGGAGATATATTTAACGGAGACTACTACCTGGAGGTCATTTCTGTTATCTTTTTAAACCAAGAAATAACTTTCCTATAACAAAATTTACCATTTTATAGTGTATAATTGAGTGGTTTTTAGTGTATTTGTGAGGTTGTGTAAACACTACCACTTCCTAGTTCTACATTTTTATCACCCCAAAACAAACTTTATTTTCACTAGCAGTGACACCGCATTGTTTTGTTCCTTGATCCCTTGGAAACCATTAATCTACTTTCTGTTTTTATAAGTTTCCATATTCTGAATATTTCAAATACATTGAGTCATATTATATGTGATCTTTTGTGTGGTTTATTTGACTTAGCGTAATGGTTTCAAGGTTCACGCATGTTGTAGCAGCTATTAGTATTTCATTTCCTTTTATTGCCAAGGAATATCTCATTGTATGAATACATCACACCTCATTCACCTATCACTAGGTTGATGGACATTTGAAGTATTTCCAGTTTTGGTTATTGCAAATAATATTTCAATGAGCATTTCTGTACAAGTTTTGTGTAGACATATCTTTTCAATTATCTTGAACCTATAATAACATTACTGTGTCATATATCAGTCTCATGTTTAACTTCTTCAGGGACTGCCAGATAATTTTCCAAAATGGCTGCATCATTTTATGTTTCAAACCAGTAACATATGAGGGTTCCAATTTGTCCACATGCTGACCAACACTAGTAAATGTCTGTCTTTTTTATTGTAACCATCTTAGTGGGTGTGAAGTCGTATCACATTGTGGTTTGGATTTGCATTTTCTTAGTAACTAATTATGTTGACCATCTTTTCATGTGTTTATTGGTCATTTATATCTTCTTTGGAGAAATGTTCATTCAAATTCTCTGACCATTTTTACTTTTAGTTTTTTAACTTTTATTTTACATTCAGGGGTACATGTGCAGGTTTGTCATATAGGTAAATCGTGTGCCACAGAGGGTTAGTGTACAGATTATTTCATCACCCAAGTAATAAACATAGTATACCATACATAGTTTTTCAAACATCACCCTCCTCCCACTCTCCACCCTCAAATAAGCCCCAGCTTCTGTTGTTCCCTTCTTTGTGTCCGTATGTACTACATGTTTAGCTCACACTTATAAGTGTAGTTATCTAAGTATCTTCATAGGTCTTATATTTATGATGGTTAGGTCTTCTTGTTGAATTGAGCACTTTACCATTATGTAATGCATATATATTTATGATGTTAGATGCATATATATTATTAGGTGTTAGGTGCATATATATTTATGATGGTTAGGTCTTCTTGTTGAATTGAGCACTTTACCATTATGTAATGCCCTTTGTATTTTTTGATCCTGGTTGGCTTCAAGTTTGTTGTGTCTGAAATGAGAATAGCAGTCCCTGCTTCCCTCTTTATTTTTTGTTTGTTTGTTTGTTTGCTTGGTAGATTTTTCTCCATCCTTTTATTTTGAGCTTCTGAGGGTCATTGCATGTAAGAGGAGTCTCTTGAAGATCGTATACCACTGAGTTTTGCTTCTTTATCCAACTTGACACTCTGTGCCTTTTAATTGGAATATTTATCCCATTTACATTCAAGGATAGTATTGATATGTGTGGATTTAATTCTGTCATCATGCAGTTAGCTGGTTATTATGCAAAGTTGTTTGTGTGGTTGCTTTATAGTGTTCCTCCAGTGTGTTTTTGCAGTGTCTCATAGAGATCTTTCTTTTCCATATTTAGCACTCCCTTCAGGAGCTCTTGTAAGGCAGGTCTGATGGTAACGAATTTCCTCAGCATTTGCTTGTCTAACAAATATTGTATTTCTCTTTATCTTATGAAGTTTAGTTTGTTGGATATAAAATTCTTGGTTGAAAATTATTTTCTTTAAGAACGCTACAAATGGGCTCTGAATCTTTTCTGGCTTCTTAGGTTTCTGATGATAGGTTTGAGGTTTGCTGTTAGCCTGTGGAGGTTCCCTTTGTAGGTGACCTGCCCCTTCTCTCTAGCTGCGTTTAGCATTTTTCTTTCATTCTGAACTTGGAGAATCTGATAATTGTGTGTCTTACTGCTTGTGTGATATTTCACAGGGGTTCTCTGCATTTCCTGAATTTGAGTGTTGACCTCTCTAATGAAGTTGGGGAAATATTCATGAATGTTATCCTGAAATATGTTTTCCAAGTTGCTTTCTCTCACCACATCTTTTTCAGGAATACCAGTGAATCACAGATTTGGTCTCTTTACATAATTCCATATTTCTTGGAGGTGTTCTTTATTCTTCTTTATTGTTTTTCTTTATTTTTGTCCGATTGAACAATTTTGAAGAGCCAGTCTTTGAGCACTGAGTTTCTTTCCTCAGCTTGATTGATTCTGCTGTTAATACTTGCAATTGCATTATGAAATTCTTGTAATGTGTTTTTCAGCTCTATCAGATAAGTTTGGTTCTTTCTTACAATGGCCATTTCATCTATCGACTTCTGTATTGTTTTATTACAATCCTTAGTTTCCTTGGATTGAGTTTTGAATTTGTCCTGAATGTTGATGTCTTCATTCCTATTCATATTCTGAATTCTATTTCTGTCATTTCAGTCTTTTCAGCCTGGCTAAGAACCCATGCTGGGGAACTAGTGTGGTCATTTGGAAGTAAGAAAACACTATGGCTTTTTTAGTTGCCTGAGTTTTTGTGCTGGACCTTTCTCATCTTTGTAGGCTGATGTTCCTCCAATCTTCGGAGTTGCTGTCCTTTGGATGTTTTTTTTTTTCCTTTTATCCTCTTTGATGTGCTTAGGTGTTTGATTGTGGTATAAGGTGGGTTCATTCAACTAGCTACATTTCTAGAAAATTTTAAGGGGGCCAAGGCTCGGCCCAGGGCTCCTGGGCTAAGTTCACTCTGGCAGGCTTGTACCAGGCCCCTGGCTTTCTTTTCTGGCCCCTTCAGATTAAGAACCTGCTGTGCTGGAGTGATTGAGATATTATCAGTCCTGTCATCACAGGACTCTGATGGGTGGTGCCAGGCAAAGCTCTTCATCGGGCAGTGGCAGCAGATTCCATACTCACTTGCATATGCCAGCAGCAGTGGCAATGTAGTGAGGTGTACTCTCATTGGCTATGGTGAGGCCTTGGTGGATGCAGGGGTGCCAGCCTCCATGCAGGCATTCACGATGGTGGCAATGACGGCACAGTACGGCAGGGTTGGGCTCTTTGCTCATTTTAAAATTGGCTATTTGACTTTTTATTGTTCAGTTGTAAGAGTTCTATATATATTCTATATACACGCCCTTATCAAACTTATGATTGCAAAATATTTTCTCTTATACAAGGGCAATCTTTTCATTGCCTTGATGGTGTCCTTTGAACACAAATGTTTCTAATTCTGCTGAAGTCTCATTGGTCTACTTTTTCTTTTGTTGCTTATGCTTTTGGCTTTTTATACTAGAATCATTGCCCAATCTAAGGTCATGGAGATTTATGTTTATGTTTTCTTCTTAGAGTTTTATAGTTCTAGATTTCAAATTTAGGTCTGTATCCATTTTTAGTTAATTTTGTATATGGTATGTAAGGTATGGAACCACATTTGTTTTGTTGCCTATATATATCCAATTATCCCAACGTCATTTGTTGAAAGAACAATTCATTCCTATTGATATCTTAGCATCCCTCTCTAAAGTCAATTGACCATAAATATACACATTTATTTCTGTACTTTAATTCTATTCTACTTATCTATATACACAGTTTTAATTACTGTAACTCTGTTAGTAATTTTGAAATAAAGAAGCATGTGTCCTCCACATAGTTTCAAAAAATTTTTTAGTTATTTGGATTTCTTATATTTATATATAAATCTTGGGGTTTATGTAAAAAGCAGACAAGAGCAGACACCTTTGCCGAGTTTCCAATCTTAGATAGAAAATTTTAGTCTGTTATCATTGAGCTTCCTGTTAGCTTTTGGTTTTTGTAGACGTCCATTGACATTTTGTTTTTTAGTTTCCTTCTGATGTTAGTCTGGTTTTCTTAAATCATGAAAGGTTTTAGATTTTCTTAATTTTTTGCATCTTTTTCAATAGTCTAGTCAATTAATATGGTGTATTACATTGATTGATATTAATATGTTGAACCAACCATGCCTTCCTGGAATAAATTTCACTTGGTCATGGTGCATATATTTTTCATATGTTGCTGGATTTGGTTTCCTAGTATTGTGTTGAAGGTCTTGCATTTAATTTCATTAGGAGTAATGGTCTGTAATTTTCTTTTGTTTTAGTTTCTTTTCTGGCTTTTGTATAAGGATATCACTGGCCTCATAGAATGAAGTGAGAAGTGTTTTTTTCCTCTTCTATTTTTTGGGAGAATGTGTGAAATAGTGGTTTTAATTCTTATTTAAGCTTTTGGTAGAATTCAAGAACAGTAAAGTCATCTGGGCATGGGCTTTTCTTTGTGGAAAGTGTTTTGATTACTAATTCAATATTTTTGCTTGTTATAGGTTTATTCATATTTTATACTTTTTCTTCATTCAGTTTTGGTAATTGGTGTCTTTCTATGAGTTAACTCATTTTATTTAGGTTATGTAATTTGTTGGTATACCATTGTCCATAATATCCACATATAATACTGTTTATGTAAGATCAGTAGAAACATCCCCTTTATCTTATCTCTCCATCTCTATTATGTCTCTCACCTTTGGTAAATCTATAATACCTAAAGGTTTGTCAATTTTGCTAATCTTTCCCAAGAATCAGCTTTTGGTTTCATTGATTTTTAAGATTCTTCATTCTCTATTTTGTTATTTTCTACTCGAATCTTTTATTTCCCTCCTTCTGCTTGCTTTGGGTTTAATTTTCTCTTCTTTTTCCATGTCTTAATGTGGAAGATTGATTTGAGATTCTTCTTATTTTTTGTTATAGGCATTTGCAGCTATAAATTTCCTCACTAAGCACTGCTTTTAAGGTGCATCTTATGAATTTTGTTATGTTGTGCCTTTGCTTTCATTCATTTTTATAATTTCCCTTTTTTGATCCATTGATTATATAGGTTTGTGTTTCATAACTTCCACACAAATGTAAATTTCTCAAATTTATTTCTGTTATTGTTTTCCAATTATATTTTATTGTGGTTGCAGAACATACTTTGTATGATTTCAATTATTTTATGTTTATTTATATTGTTTCGTAGCCTAACACATGGCACATCCTGGAGAAGTTCTGTATATACTTGAGAAGAATGTGTATTTTCCTGTTGTTGAGTGGACTGTTCTACAAATATTTATAAGATCTAGGTTTGTATAATGTTATTGTTATTTTCATCTGGAGAATTTCTATCTTGTTTTTTCAAATAATTTCTCTCCATTTATGTTCTCTATTTAGTGATACATTGGTCTTCTAGTTTCCTTTTTTTTTTTTTTTTTTTTTTAGATAAAGTTTCACTCTCGTTGCCCAGGCTGGAGCACGATAGCGTGATCTCAGCTCACTGCAACCTCCACCTCCCAGGTTCAAGCGATTCTCCTGCCTCAGCCTCTCGAGCAACTGGAAAGTGTGTGCCACCACGCCTGGCTAATTTTTTGTATTTTTAGTAGGGATGGGGTTTTACCATGTTGGCCAGGATGCTCTGGATCTCCTGACCTCGTGATCTGCCCACCTCGGCCTCCCAAAGTGCAGGCATCAGCCACCTTGCCTGACTTCCTTTTGTTCTTTTTTTTTTTTTTTTTTTTTTTTTTTTTTTTTTTTTTGTGATGGTGTTTCGCTCTTGTTGCCCAAGCTGGAGTGTAATGGCACGGTCTCGACTCACCACAACCTCCGCTTCCCCTGTTCAAGCAGTTCTCCTGCCTCAGCCTCCTGAGTAGCTGGGATTACAGGCATGCGCCACCATGCCCTGCTAATTTCGTATTTTTAGTAGCTCTTTTGAGCGTATTTAAGACAGTTTGTTTAAAGTCTGTTAAAGTGTAACATCTGTGTTCATTCAGGGACAGTTTCTATTAACTTCTTTTCTTTCTGTTTATAAGGGCCATACTTTCTTGTTTCTTTGCATGTATCATATTTTTTGATGAAAACTTGGGATTTTATATAATATAATGTGTCACTGATGGAAATCAGATTCCTCTACATCCCTGACGTTTGTTATTTTTGCTTTTTGTTTAGTGAACTTTCTGAACTAATTCTCTAAGGTCTGTATTTATTATAAGCAAATTCTTGTGTGTAGTCACTGAAGTCTCTGCTCAGTTAGCTTAGTAGTAATCAAGTAATGATTAGACCGAGATTACCTAAACACTTGGCACTAATAAGTCTCCAATGTTAGCTGGGGATCACTGTTTTCGTGTAGTGCATGGCTTCCACCCTCAAGCGGTTAATTTACAACTTTATTTTCACTTTCCACTTGTGCAGAGCCATAACTTCAGCTTAAGGTGAGAATTTAGGACCTGCTCAGGTTTGTCCTGGCCATGCTTAAAGCCCTGGGAATACACACAGCCCTTCATATGTGCATGGTTTTCTAGATTTCCAAAAATATAACAGAGCTTTTCAAAGTCTCCTGTGGACATCTCATTCCCCAGCTTTCTTTTTAAGCTTTTGATTAGCATATAGTTTGCTCCAACTGTTATCCACTGTCTCAGGCAGACATGATTTTAAACAACTGCTGTAATTGTTTTCCACAAATACCTCCAAGAAAAGATAGTTAACTTTGGGTGATTTTTGACCCAGGCCAAATAAAGACAAGCCATGGGAGTGGTGTCTTCCAGAGAACCACCAGATGGATTAAGTAATGATCCCTCTGGGAATAGGGCTTTAACAAAACTTCAATCCCATTCTGTCCCCTCCAGTGGCTGCCAACTGCTGGTTTTCATTCTGATTGTAGATCGTTTGCTTTTTTGGCTACTGTGCAGCAGGGAAGAGGGGATTGGAAATAGGATAAACTAAAATGCCACAAAGCTCTCTGGTCTTACCAAGATGCAGCTATTTTTCTTAAATAAGTGTTCTTGATTATTCCAAGCCTTTGGTTAATTCCCAGCATTCTGAAAAAAAAAAAGTATTAACAGTTTTTACTGGTGCTTTCCTTGCTTTTACAGAGGAGAGTGGTTTCCAACATCTGTACTCTACCATTTCCACTAATGTAACCTAAATGTTTTTATTATGACAGAACATTCATCCTCTGGATTTTGCATACTTGGTTATCTCACTTTGATCAGGTCTTTGCTCACATTGTAACTCCTCAGGGTGGCTTTTCCCACTCACTGTTTTCACAATACTTATAACTACCTAACTGTACTGTATTATCTTTATAGTACGTGGCAATGTACTATATAGTTAACCAATGTTGTCCCCTGTAAAATATTACTCTGTAAGGGTGAAGACTTTGTGTATTTTGTTCACAGTTTTAACTCTCTCATAACACCATCTTTGGCACATGGTATGAGCTCAATAATTATTTGTTGAATTATTAAATTCATTGATGACCACTTTTCCTTTCCCCACATCAAATACCTGGCTAAATGAAATCAGTTTTTAATAAAATAATATTTATTATTTTTTATGAATATTAATGTGGTATATACTAATTAAAATATGGAAATGTAGAAACATATAGAAAATAATAATTACCCATGGATACTCTTGTGAGCAGTTTGTTACATAACAGTTTGTTTTACTGAATTGGATTTTTTTTTCTGAACACATTTTTAATGTGGATGAACCTGCTTTATTTAACCACTTCCATATCGTTGGACTTTTTGAGGTTGCCTTCAATTTTTTGTTAATCCATGATAAATATCTTTGTAAAAAATACTTTTTTTCATTTTTATGTTTAGTTCCTAAGATTAAAATTGTACAATTAAAGTTTCTGAGTCTTAGAATATACAAAATGATGAGTTATTTTGATACATATTACTAAATTTCCCTTCAGAGATGATTTTCTTAACTTGTAACCATTCTGTAGTCTTGGAGATTTCCTATTCCCTCAAAACTTTCCAACCTTTACTACTTTCGTATTTATTTTATCAGTTCATAGGCCAATAAAAATGTTATCTTGTATTGTTAATTTCTTTCATTACCAATGACACTGAGCATTTTTATATGTTTATTAATATTGATTTCAATTTTACAATTGTCTGCCCCATAACTGTTTTTAGTTTTTTTAGTGTTCAGCGTTTCCTTTTTTATAAGGGAGCCCTCTGTTAAGTAAACAATTCTTTATTGAACATATAAGCTCTTTCTTGGTTTCTCATTTCTATTTTTATATAAATTCTAGCATTTTTATTTCTTATGCAGTCAAATATCATAATTTTATTTATATAAACACTTAACTCTATTTGTTGTGTTTAATTCTTAATATTTAATATTTTTTTGCTATTGTGATGAGGTTTTTGTCCTTTATATTTTCTAAATAATTACATTGGTAGATTAAAAAGGCATTGATATTTATTCAATTTTTACAGATAGTTTTATTGCTTTAAACAATATATTAATTATTCTCTTTTATTTTCATAGTGATTATATTACTTGAAAGTAATAGTTCACTCTTTTCTTCATTTAACACATAATTATTTGGTACATACTCTATGCCAGAGACTGTTCCTCACACTGAGAATATATTTCCACCTACAGAACAAGACACATGGTGACTCTATCCTCATAGCAGAAGAAAGGTAATGATGAAACAAAACCATCTATAATATATCATATGATGATAAGTGTTATGAGTTAAAAAACGGGGAAAGGGGCTATAGACTGATGATGGCAGAAAAAGGTTACAATTTTCAATTTTCAATGGGGTGATTAAGGAAGAATGCTCTGATAAAGTGACATTTGAGAACAGACTTGAGGAAGTTAGGAAGTAAGTTATGGGAAGATCTAGATCTGGGTAAACAATGTTCCAGATAAAGAGAAGAGTACATGAAAAGTGCTTCCCTGAAGCGGAAACAAGTCTAACATTTTTAAGGAACAGTAAGGAGGCCAATGTGCCTTTTGTGAAGTGATCTTCAGGGAGAATAGTAGGAGACAAGGTCAGAGAAGGAGTAGGGGTCGCAGCATATGTATACTCTTGTAGAATTTGGACTTTTATCATGAGTGAGATGAGAAACCAATAAATAATTTTAATGAAAAAAGTGACATGATCCAGCTTAAATTTGTTAATGTTATTTTTCCGACTACTAGGGGAAGAATAAAGTAATGGAGAAGGACAGAACATAGAAACTAGTAGTTGTGAGGCTATAGTCTAGGCAATAGATGATGTTGGTTATGACCTAGGTGGTAGTGTCAGAGGTTGTGGGAGTATACAGATTGGGAATATACTCAGATGGAATAACTGATAATAGTTGTCTGGTCATAAATTATGAGAGAAAGAGGATAAAGAGTGTAATTCCTAAGTTCTGGGCCTGAACAACTGAGTTAATGACCTAACCATTTATGCAGATGTGGAAATCTAGGAAAGGGTTGGGGTTAGAATGAGGAATAAACCAAGCATTCTACCTTGTAAACAGTAAGCTTGAGTTTCCAATTAAGCATCCAAGTGGAGATGTCATGTAGGCAGTTGACTATACAAACATAAGTTCAGGGGGAGTTCTGGGATAGAGATGTAAGTTCAGGTGCCACCCATTTATGGGAGGAATTTGAAGTCATTGGGTTGGCTGAGATCATTTTGTGTATGAAATCCTCAAAGGCTGAGCACTGAGGCATTCTCACATGCATACATCATGAAAATGAGGAAGACCTAGCAGTGGAAATGGTAAGAAGTGGCCTGTGAGGTACAAAGACAATTAAGAACAAGTGGTGCCATACAAAAAAGTACTTTAAGAAGGAGCGATTGGCTCTTAGTTTCTAAAATGTGTATTTCCTATTTGTATTATTGCGTTATATAGAAATTCCAATAGTGATAGTACTAACAGTGTCTATTAAGCACCTAGTATGTATTAGGCATTTTGTTTAGCAGTTGACATTCATTATGCAATTTAATTCTCATAATAATATAGGAGTAAGTGAAAATTATCATCCCAATTCCTCAGATGCAAATCCAAGGACCAGGTAATTTAGACCACTTGCTTGAGATTTCATAGCTAGTAAGTTTTGAATCTAGATTTGAACTCAGGATGTCAGAAGTCAAAATCAGTGTTTTTAACTGCTGTGTCATTTTGGCAAAGTACTGTTAATCAATAGTGATATTAGCAGTAGTCATCAATGGCTTTGAAATACTTGCATTTTTGCATTGAGTATGATACTGGTTGTTGGCACATAAATATAAATAGATTATATGATAGGTAGGTGGGTAGATAGATAGACATAATCTTGCTATGGAAATGTAAGAAAATTACCTTTTCTAATTTAGTAACAATTTTTATTAGAAGTAAATACTGAAATTCATTTAAAACCCATTTGGGGCTCTTTTTGAGTAAATATTGACAAGATTATTTTTAAATGCATATGGAAATTCAAAGGACCCAGAATAGCTAACATAGTTTTCAATAACAGCAAAATGAGACAACTTATCTATTTGATTTCAAAACTTACTATAATGCTATATCAATATAGAGAACTAAATTGTATAATGAATGTCAAGTGCTTAACAAAATGCCTAACACATACTAAATGCTTAATGTATTAATTGTTAGTACTATCACCAGTAGTAGTAATAAAAACAAAATAGCACTGACGTAAAGGTAGACATATAGATCAATAGAACAAAATGGAAGTTCAGAAATAGACCCATACATACATATATAGCCAATGATTTTTGACAAAGGTGCAAAGGCAATCCAGAGTCAAAAAGATAGTCTTTTAAACAAATTGTGCTTAAACAGTTGAAAGCAGAAACAATTAACCTGATTTTTTTTTCTGATCATACACAAAATTAACTTGAATTGGATTTTAGACCTAAATCTAAGATCCAAAATTATTAAATTTCTAGAAGACGTAAGAGAATACCATTATGATCTTGGGTTAGGAAAGAATTTCTTAAAGAGCACACAAAGTATATGGACCACAAGAAAAATGTTTAGTAAATTGGACTGCATCAAAATTTAAAAGTATTGTTCTTCAAAATACATGAGTAAGAAAATGAAAAGATAAGCCATAGACTTGAAGAAATAGTTGCAAAACATGCTGATAAAATACTTACAACCTTACAATAAGTTAAACAACCCAATTAAAAATTGGCAAAAGATTTAATCGGCCACTTCACAAAAAAAATGGTATATGAACGGTCAGCAAGCACATGAAATGAGCAGACACTTCACAAAAGAAGACATTTATGTGGCCAACAAACATGAAAAAAAGCTGAACGTTAGATCATTAGAGAAATGCAAATCCAAACCACAGTGAGATACCATCGCCTGCCAGTCAGAATGGTGATATTAAAAAGTCAAGAAACAACATGCTGGTGAGGCTGTGGAGAAATAGGAAACTTTTTACACTGTTGGTGGGCGTGTAAATTAGTTCAACCATTGTGGAAGACAGTGTGGCGATTCCTCAAAGACCTAGAACCAGAAATAGCATTTGACCCAGCAACCTCATTACTGGGCATATACCAAAAGGGATATAAATCATTCTATTATAAAGATACATGCAAGTTATATTCATTGCAGCACTGTTCACAAAAGCAAAGACATGGAATTAACCCAAATGTCCATCAGCGATAGACTGGGCAAAGAAAATATGGTACATATACACTTTGGAATACCATGCAGCCATAAAAATGAAAGAGATCGTGTCCTTTACAGGGACATGGATGGAGCTGGAAGCCAGTATCCTCAGCAAACTAACACAGGAACAGAAAACCAAACACCATGTGTTTTCACTTATGAGTGGGAGCTGAACAATAAGAACACAATGAGAACATATGGACACAGGGTGGGAACAACACACACTGGGGCTGTGCAGGGGAAAAGGAGCATCAGGAAGAATAGCTACTCCATGCAGGGCTTAATACCTAGGTGATGGGCTGATAGTTGTAGCAAACCACCATGGCACATGTTTACCTACGTAACAAACCTGTGCATCCTGCACATGTATCCTGGAACTTAAAATAAAATAAAATAAATTTTGAAAAAAAATAAAATAAAAGATGCTCAGCATATTATCAAAAATGGCGATTAGGCCAGGTGTGATGACTCACGCCTGTAATCCTAGCACTTTGGGGACTCGAAGCAGGTGGATCACTTGAGGTCAGGAGTTCAAAATCAGCCTGACCAACAGGGCGAAACCCCATCTCTACTAAAAATACAAAAATTAGCCAGGTGTGATGGTGCCTTCCTGTAATCCCAGCTACTGGGGAGGCTGAGGCACGAGAATCGCTTGAACCCAGGAGGCAAAGGTTGCAGTGAGGCGATATCACGCCACTGCACCCCAGCCTGGGTGACAGAGCAAGACTCCATTAAAAAAAAAAAAAGGCAAATATAACCACAGGAGGTATCAGCACTCACCATTAAATTTAAAATTTACAAAAAGATAGAACATGACAACTGTAATTTTCACACACTGATGGTGAGATGATGAGATACAAAATAGTATAATCACTTTGGAAAACAGTTAACATTTTTCTTATTAGGTTAAACATACACTCATTCATTCAGCAATCCCACACCTACATTTTTATCCAGGAAAAACGAAACCATACGCCCACACATAGAGTTGTGCACAAACGATTATAGCAGCTTTGTTGTTAATAGCCAAAAACTATCAACAATACAAATACCCATCAGCACAACAATACAATTAAATACTATTCAGCAATAAAAAGGAATGAAATACTACAGACACATGCTACAACATGAATGAATGTCAAAAATATTAGGCTGAGCAAAAGAAGCCAGATAGGAAAAATACATACTGTATTATTCCATTTATATAAAACTATAGAAGAGACAATTTAAACTGGTGGACTGGGCCTGGCACTGGATGTATTTGGAAGGAGGATTGATGGTGATAGGACTATGATGAGATTTTGATGGCAAAAGGACACTTTTAAGTATAATAGAAAAGTTCATTTTCCTGATAGTGGTGATGGTTACCTCTGTACGAATTTGTCAAAACTCAACAAATTGCAGAAAGTTGTATTTTATTATAGATAAATAATCCTTCAATAAGCTTTATTTTAAAAAAAAAGACAATCTATTTTGGCAACCAAGGAGGTAATAATAGATTTTTCCTGTCAATTATTAATGTGAGAAAGATAATAATAAATGTCCTAATATTCAACCTCTTTGCATTTCTGAAATGAAGCATACTTCATTATAACAGTTTATTCATTTACTATCTTGCTAGATTTCAGTTTTTAGGGCTTAACTCAAGATTTTTTGTATCTATACTCATGAAATTGGTCAATGATTTCATTTTCTTATTTTCTTTGTCAGATTTTAATCTCATGGTTATGATAGCACTGTAAATATATTTGGAAGCATTTGTAAAAGAAATTAATTTTAGAAAATCTTAAAACTGGTATTACTTTTTTTTCTTGAAGGCTTGAAACAGCTCATTTATAAAGCGTTTTTTACTCAACACATTTATGGAGATTGTTCTTTGATAATGCTTTGGTTTTGTCATTGCAGTGTTAATCTTTTGAACTTTTCTGGGTCAATTTTTTACGTTGAATTGTATGTTGTGTTGTTTGACTTGATTTCTTCTTCAAGATTGTTTGTATTTGCTAACTAGATTTTTGGCTTCTTTTTACTTTTTATTTTCTTTTACGTGAAATATCCAATTAATTATCATGACCAAAATAAAAGCCAAGTCAGCAGGTAAAGCCTTGCTTAATTTCCAAATAATATGCTTCTCCTCCTTCCAGCACACCCACCCCCAAGATTCCGATATACTTTCTTAGAGGTGTTTTTTGTATGTATGTTTGTGTTTTTTGTTTGTTTTGTGACTTGTGACACGCACAGCAATATTAACAATTAACAATTATTAATTGTTAACAACATTAACAATACTAATAACCATCCATTAAAAGAAAGCAAAAACGAATTTATTTATTCATGTTACGATAAAGCCCAAGCATTACATGTTCATTGCTAAAGAAATTGTCCTGGCTAGGAGCACTCAGTGTTCTCAATGGACAGGTCAGGTTCACGTCCTGTATGCACATCCTCTGGGAAGAAAATAGGGTCAGATACCTTGCAGATGAATACTTAAAATAACTAATTAATAAATAAAAATTGCAGTGGTCATATTTCTCTGGTTCACAATGATTAATTTAACTTATTCTCCACTAATTAATGATGTCCAAATTGAAATGATGTCAATTTAATTTTTTCTATGAAAAATGAACAAGTTTTCATTGAGTCAGTCAAGATTATTTGCAGGGGCAAGTGACGAAAATTGAAAATCCAGCACAAACTAGATTAAGCTAAAAAAAAAAAAAGAGGGTGGAATGTATTCATCATTTACGCAATTATTTCTTGAATGCCCAATACATCACAGGGAAATAAATGTATTGGGTTACATAACTGGAAAGTTTAAGGATTCTAGTTTTTGGCAATGCTGTGGTCTGAGATATTAATGCTATCATCAATGTTCTATTGCTCTCTCTTAGTTCTCCTTTCCTTTTTGTTTGCTTCACCTCTGGCTGATTCTTTTCATTTCATAGCCAAGATGTCGCCCAAAACTTCTAGATTTACATCAACAATATAGCCATTGATTTCAGTTAATAAGAACACCTATTTTCACACAATGCTGGCAAATGTTCAAGGAAGGATTGTGATTGGCCCAGCTTGGGACATGTGCCCATTTCTGAACCAATCATATTGAGTTAGAAATTGAGGTACTGGGGCCAGTCCTGGGCCATGTGCTCACTCATGTATTCATCTAAAGAAAGGTCAATCTATTAGAAGCTCAATTATATGAGTTCTCAAAAGGAACAAGTGATATTGTTAACAGAACAAAGGGGAATGGGAAATATGCTAGGCTTTCAAACACTGTATGAACACTACTACAAGTACTCTCTTGCACTTCTTACCTCTTTTTTCCTTTTATTCCCCAGTGTTATTTCATAGTCTGTTATTTAAGATCAAGTTGATTACACTTTTTTATTTATTTATTTATTTTGAGACGGAGTCTCACTCTGTCACCCAGGCTGGGGACATGATCTCGGCTCACTGCAACCTCTACCTCTGACTCCCAAGTTCAATCAATTCTCCTTCCTCAGCCTCCCGAGTACGTGGGATTACAGGCATATGCCACCACACTCAGAAAATTTTTGTATTTTTAGTAGATATGGGGTTTCATCATTTTGGTCAGGGTGGTCTCGAACTCCTACTCCATTCAGTTTCCTTCCAGAGACTGAATCTAATTACAGGAAATTCATTTATCTTTTGCTCCACTGAACTCTAAATATGCGGCCATTTCTCCTCATACTTCCAACAGAGTACCTGGCCAGTCATAGCTTCTCACCTTTAGACTTTTCAGAAAGTCTTTAAACACCATTCTTTGAATCCCATCAACTTCAGGGGATACATGTCAAGTTCTCTAAACTGTTCTGTTGAAGTGACCCTCTCTTGGCGTGAGGTAGAGGGAAATAATTCTTTCTCTACTCTCACAAGTGGTTGAGAGAGACTATATACCATACCAACAACTCTAAATTTTTCACTCTCTTCATTTTCTCAAAGAATTCTTAGTATTTGCCTATATTATTTAGCGATGTATGATGGTGGTAGATCCAGTTTGGGGACATAGCCTTTGCAAGTCCTACACAGAAGGCTTAACTGCACTCTGAAATGAAGATGTTTCATGACACCCATGTATCTCAGCCTTTGGAGTTTTTGCAGACACCCTGGTACAAAAGAAAATGTCTTATTAAACAAATCAGCTATACACAATTTCAGTTACTTAAAGTTAAATCTGTAACTGGTTCCAGAAGTCACTACCTTTTATAACATAACTTCGCCATTTTAGGTGATTTGTTCTGATGCATACTACTTTTGACTGATGAATATTATTGAAGAATATATACGCAAAGATTTTTCCCTACAATTTTTCTTACATACTCATACTTAGTCTCTTATTTTGTACTGTCCGTTTTTAGAAGGCTCATTAAAAACAGAAGTTATCTAAAATGTGTTCTTGTTTTCTCCTGTAAATCATTTTTAAAAGTATGCCCTTTCACTTGCAAGACAAGATATTGTCCATGATTGTTATTTTTCCATTTACAAAGTATAATAGACTTAGTTGATTTGACACTTCGAAGGTATTCATAGTACCCTTACAGCTTGCCTTCCTTCTTTGTAAAAGCAGAGTATCTAAAATACCTTGCCAGACTGCCTTGAAGCTGACTATGGCTATATGAGGCAATATTTGGTCAATGAAATGCAAACAGATGTTGCTGGGAGGGCTTGCTACAAACTTTCTATATGAACATACTAAGCATGTATGTAAGTGTATGAGCATACTAAACCAGCATGTCCCTTGGATACTTTGTATATTCCTGCCTGAAATTCAGATATGAAGCTAGGAGATACAGCCACCTTGTAACCATGCAGGGAAAAGCTACACACTAAAGCTAACAGAGTAAGAAGATAGAAAAAGCTTAGATATTTGTTGACGTCCTTGAGTAGCTGTACCAGCCCTGGGTTGCCTGCCTCTGGCCTTTACATCACTGAAATATATAGCCTCTCACCTTTGTAGGTGCTGTTGGTCAGCTTTTCTCATATATGCAGACAAATGTGAGTGCAATTTTCTTGTTTACATTTAATACCTACCAGGTTGCTGTTGAAATCTCACACCTTATACTGGAGAGCAGAGTAATAAGTAATATGTATTAAAAGTAACTATAACTAATGGCCGGGCACAGTGTCTCATGCCTGTAATCCCAGCACTTTTGGGAAGCCAAGGTGAGCAGATCACTTGAGGTCAGGAGTTCAAGACCAGCCTCTACTACAAAAACAAAAATTAGCCAGGCATGAATGGTGCATGCCTGTAGTCCCATCTACTTTGGAGGCTGAGGCAGAAGAATCCCTTGAACCCGGGAGACGGAGGTTGTGGTGAGCCGAGATCTCACCACTGCACTCCAGCCTGGGTGACAGAGTGAGACTGTCCCCCCCGCCACAAAAAAAGTAACTATTGATGGAGCAGTGTATGAAGAAGGGGTTGGTGCTTTGAGAAACCTCTGGAGAAGATTTTTATATTTCTGTGATAGCTTCCCTCTATTTGGTAAGCCACTGAACTATAGGACAGCTTTCTGTATTCAGATGTCTTTTTAGTTAGCTTCCATCCCAGTTATTCGGTAGCTCTGTCTGTCTGGCCTTCTTCCCAAGCCTGTTGTCAGAAATGCAGCCATCTGTACAAATGGCTATCTGCTCCTGGTAGCTCTGTGAATCATGGAGCCTCCCAGAGTAGTTGCTTGTTGATATTATGGCTCTTCACTGGCAAAGGGTACTTAAGGAGGGTTGTTATACATCTGCCCTAACATCCCTCCTTGCCTGCAGCCCTTACTCTTCTAAATGAGGTGGTAATGGTTGACTTTTTCTGGGATTGCCTCTACATATGGTCATGATTCTGTGATGTCTTTTCAGAAGAGAGTTGACATTAAGATTTGCAGCTTTCTTCAATATGCTGACATGTTCATAATATTAAGAAGAAATTCCCAGTATGTGAATAGCACCCTTTCCAGATTTCCAGAAATGAAACAAATTCCTTGCCATCCTTTTAATTCCTTGGCTTGTTCAATAGGTGGATATTTAGAAAGAGGCATTATTCAAGTCTCAACTTATGCAGAGTTCTCGAAGTTTGCTTAAATTTATGAAGATATGTAAACATTCAGAAGGGAAATTAAACATATCTGTCCCAAATGCAAATGTTCTGCTCTCTGACACTTGATATTAAATCAAATGTCCCTCAGTCCGATCAGTGTGGTGCAATGTGAAGTGCAATGGCTTGGGACCTAGAGATTCAGTTACCAGGTGTGTGATCAGGGGCAAGGGATTACAATTTCTCCATTTCCTCATCTCTAAAAAAAAATGTTTGGATTATAGTTTTCTGTTGTCATTTGTTTGTTTGTTGACTAGTCTGTTCTTCTATTATTATTATTATACTTTAAGTTCTGGGATACATGTGCAGAACGTACATGTTTGTTGCATAGCTATATGCATGCCATGGTGGTTTGCTGCACCCATCAACCTGTCATCTATATTAGGTATTTCTCCTAATGCTATCCCTCCCCTAGCCCCCCATGCCCTGATAGGCCCCGATGTGTGATGGTCCCCTCCCTGTGTCCACATGTTCTCATTGTTCAACTCTCACGTATGAGTGAGGACATGTGGTGTTTGATTTTCTGTTCCTATGTTAGTTTGCTGAGAATGATGGTTTCCAGCTTCATCCATGTCCCTGCAAAGGACATGAACTCATCCTTCTTTGTGGCTGCATAGTATTCCATGGTGTATATGTGTCACATTTTCTTTATCCAGTCTATCATTGATGGACATTTGGGTTGGTTCCAAGTCTTTGCTATTTTGAACAGTGCTGCAATAAACATATGTGTGCATGTGTCTTTATAGTAGAATGATTTGTAATCCTTTGGGTATATACCTCGTAATGCAATTGCTGGGTCAAATGGTATTTCTGGTTCTAGGTCCTTGAGGAATCGCCACACTGTCTTCCACAGTGTTTGAACTAATTTACACTCCCACCAACGGTGTAAAAGTGCTCCTATTTGGATTATAGTTTTTAACCAAAATTATACTGAGAAATAGAAACTATCCAATGTCTGTAGTGTGAAACTCAGGAGTAAACACATAGAAGAGAGAAACAAAAAGGGACATATTTTCAAGGCATGAAATAGTAGGCAATCAACTAAGAGTCCTTCTAGCCCTAATAGTCTACTATATAATCTGTTTCAGTGTGTGACATTTCTTGGAATTACCATACTTTCATCAAAAATGGGCTTCCACATTCTTGTGAATTAAAGATAGGTAGAATAGATATAGATTTACATACATACAGCGGTTATTTTTAACTTGGTGGTTTTTATGTTTTAAAAGTTTGTGCCTTTCTGGATTTTTCGTATTTTCTACAGAGCCATATATTTTACATTTATATAATATAAAATATACATTTCGTATATTTTACATATATATGAAAGGAGAATTATTTTCCCATAATGACACACATTTGGGGAAGGGGTTGTCTAACAAAGACCAATGGGCTGTGTAATATACTGCTGTCAGTTTCTAAAAAGGTTAATATAATAATTGCTGCAGCAGCAGCAGGAGCAACAATAATAATGATAAAAAACATTAAGCTCTTACTTGAGCCCTATTTTTATACCTTTATTTTTATGTTATATAATATAGTTAATATTTTTATTTACCATGTGTCATCTAACTTCTTTAATCTTCATAAGAAACCTAAAAGAAAGGAACTATTATTTATCCTATTTAATATATAAATAAACTTTGAGATATAGAGTTGTATACCATCAGAATGATGCGTCATTGCATGAAACATCAAAGAAGAACCACACAAACCCAAAGAATTCTGCAAAGGTGAAGTCAACTTCTCTGGCACCAGAGCATTGACGAAGTGCTTTCTTTCTTTGTTTCCTAGAGCTGTGGGTCTTAATTGTGTTCATTTGACACATATGTTCTGAAAGGTTTTAGACATATTTTGTTACTAATACTAGTTCAAAGACAGAAGTTTCTTAATTGTATACATTTTAAGTTTTCTTTTTATTTTTAATTTTTAAGGTGTACAATTCAGTGGTTTCCAGTATATACACAAAGTTGTACAACCAAAACCACTCTCTAATTCCAGAATATCTCAACACCCCAGAGGAAACCCCATACCAATTAGCAGTGACTTCCCAATCTTCCCTTGCCCCAGTCCCTGGCAACTATGAATCTACTCTTTGTCTCTCTCTATATATAAATTTGCCTATTCTGAACATTTAATATAAATAGTATAATAAAATATGTTGGCCAGGCACGGTGGCTCATGCCTGTAATCCCAGCACTTTGGGAGGCTGGGGGGTGGGGGGTGGAGCATCTGAGGTCGGGAGTTCGAGACCGGCCTGACCAACATGGAGAAACCCTGTCTCTACTAAAAATAAAAAATCAGCCGGGTGTAGTGGTGCATGCCTGTAATCCCACCTATTCGGGAGGCTGAGGCAGGAGAATCGCTTGAACCGGGGAGGCAGAGGTCGCAGTGAGCCGAGATCACACCACTGCACTCCAGCCTGCGCAACAAGAATGAAACTCTGTCTCAAAACAAACAAACAAA
This sequence comes from Homo sapiens, assembly GCF_000001405.40. Lineage (NCBI taxonomy): Eukaryota > Metazoa > Chordata > Mammalia > Primates > Hominidae > Homo > Homo sapiens. The sequence continues at coordinate 138,605,195 of NC_000023.11, forward strand.
CAAACAAACAACAAACAAACAAAAAAGAGTAGTTTTTTGTGTCTTCCTTCTTTCAATTAGCATGTTTTTAAGTTTGTATGTTGTAGATATGTCAGCACTTCATTCACTTTTATGAGTGAATGATATTCCACTGTATGGAATATGACATATTATTTATCAATTCATTAGTTGGTGGACTTCTGGGTTACTTTTAATTTTTAGTGAATAATGCTGCTGTGAACATCCATGTACAAGTTTTTAAGAGAAAATATGTTTTCATTTTTCTTTGGTATGTACCTAGTAGTGGAATTGCTGTGTCATATGACACCATCATGTTTAGCTTTTTGAGGAAACGCCAGACTATTTCCCAAAGGAGCTGCAGCATTTTACATTCCCATCATTACTGCATGAGAGTTCCAATTTCTCCACGTCCTCATCAATATGTGTTACTGTCTTTTTAAAAGCCATTTTGGTGGATGTGTTTATTGCAACCTCGTTGTGGTTGTGATTTGCATTACCCAAATGACTAATGGTGTTGAACATTTTTTCATGTGCTCATTGGCTATTTCGATGTAGTCTTTGGAGAAATGTCTATTCAGATCATTTGATCACATTGAATCACAAACATTTGATCACAAAAGTTATGTATATATTCTGGATTGATTTGTAAATTTTTTTCCTTCATTCTGTAGGTTTCCTTTTCATTTTCTTTATATGACTTTCGAAGCACAAAAATATTTAATTTTAATGAAGTCAAATTTAGTTATTCTTTCTTTTCTTACTTGTGCTTTTTGTGTCATATCTAAGAAGGTTTGCCCAGTCTAGAGTTGTAAATGTTTATGCCTACATTTTCTTCTGAGAGTTTTAAAGTTTATATCTTATATTTAGATATTGTTTATATTTTGAATTAATTTTTATGCATGATCTGAGCAAGTTGTCCAACTGTATTCTTTTGTGTCTAGATATCCAGTTATCCCAGAACCTTTGGTTGAAAAAGTCTTCTTTTTCCATTAAATTATCTTGGCACTCTTGATGAAAGTCAATTGACAATAAGTGTAAGAGTTTATTTTTGTACTGTTAATTATATTCCATTGACCTATATCTATTCTTTTTTAACTTTTATTTTAAGTTCAGGGGTACATGTGCAGGCTTGTTATATAGGTAAACTTGTGTCAGAGTGAGGGGGTGTTGCTGAACAGATTATCTCCTCACCCAGGCATCAGGCCTAATACCCATTAGTTACTTTTTATCATCGTCTATCTTCTCTCCTCCCACCCTCTAACCTCTGGTAGGCTCCAGTGTGTGTTGTTCTTCTCTAGGTATCCATGTGTTCCCATTATTTACCTCCCACTTACAAGTGAGAACATGCAGTATTTGGTTTTCTGTTCCTGCATTAGTTTCCTAAGAATAATGGCCTCCAGCTCCATCCACGTTCCTGCAAAGGACATATCTCATTTGTTTTTATGGCTGCATAGTATTCCATGGTGTATATGTACCACATTTTCTTTATTCAGTCTACCATTGATAGGCATTTAGGTTGATTCTATGTCTTTGCTAATGTGAATAGGGCTGCAATGAATATATGCACATATATGTTTTATGATAGAATGGTTTATATTCCTTGGGGTATATATCCAGCAACAGGATTGCTAGGTTGAAAGGTAGTTCTGTTTTTAGGTCTTTGAGGAATTGCCACACTGTTTTCTACGTTGGTTAAACTAATTTATGCTCCCAGCAACAGTCTACAAATGTTCCTTTATCTCTGCAACCTTGCCAGCACCTATTAATTTTTTATTTTTTAGCCATTCTGACTGGTAGGAGATGGTATTGAGGCAGGAAAATAGGGTCTGGAGGCAGGGAACATAAGGCCAATTCACACTACAGCTATGACAGGAAATATCCTCTCCATAGAGGATATTGTCCAATTCTTTGTTCAAAATGCCAAGAACCTGGGTACCCTCCACCGTTGACAGAATCTCATGTAGTTTACATTTGCATTTCTCTAATGATCAGTGATTTTGAGATTTTTTTTCCTTAGGCTTGCTGGCCGCATGTATATCTTCTTTTGAAAAGTGTCTGCTCATGATCTTTGCTCACTTTCTAATGGGGTTGTTTTTTCTTGTAAATTTGTTGAAGTTCCTTATAGAAGCTGGATATTAGATTTCTGTCAATTGCATAGTTTGCAAAATTTTTCTCCCATTCTGTGGGGTGTCTGTTTACTCTGTTGATAGTTTCCGTTGCTGTGCAGAAGTTCTTTAGTTTAATTAGATCCCATTTGTCAATTTTCACTTTTGTTGCAATTGCTTTGGTTGTCTTCATCATGAAATCTTTGCCCTTGCCTAGGTCCTGAATAGTATTGTCTAGGTTGTCTTTCAGGGTTTTTATAGTTTTAGGTTTTACATTTAAGACTGTAATCCATCTTGAGTTAATTTCTGTATATGGTGTAAGGAAGGGGTCCAGTTTCAATCTTCTGCATGTGGCTAGCTAGTTATCACAGCACCATTTATTGAATAGGGAGTCATTTCCCCATTGCTTGTTTTAGTCATGTTTGGCGAATATCAGATAGTTGTATGTGTGCAGTCTTATTTCTGGGTTCTCTATTCTGTTCCCTTGGTCTATGTGTCTGTTCTTATACCAGTACCATGCTGTTTTGGTTACTGTGGCCCTGTAGTATAGTTTGAAGTTGGGTAGCATGATGCCTCCAGCTTTGTTCTTTTTTCTTAGGATTGCCTTGGCTATTTGGGCTCTTTTTTTGTTGTTCCATATGAATTTTAAAATAGTTTTTTTTCTAGTTCTGGGAAGAATATTATTGGTAGTTTGATAGGAATAGGATTGAATCAGTAAATTGCTTTGAGAAGTATGGCCGTTTTAGTGATACTGATTCTCCTATCCATGAGCATGGAATATTTTCCTATTTGTTCGTGTCATCTCTGATTTCTTTGGGCCGCGTTTGGTAGTTCTTATTGTAGATGTCTTTCACTTCCCGGGTTAGCTATATTCCTAGATATTTATTCTTTGTGTGACAATTATGAATGGGATTGCCTTCCTGTTTTGACTCTCTGCTTGGCTGTTGGTGGTGTATAGGAATGCTAGTGATTTTTATACATTGATTTTGTATGCTGAGACTTTGCTGAAGTTGTTTAGCAGTTTAAGGAGCTAGATCTGTATCTATTCTTATAGCAATATCACAATTTCTTGATTACTGCAGTTTTTTTTCACCTTTGTTATTGTTTTAGTTATTCTGGTCTCTTGCATTTCCCATGAATTTCAGGACAAGCTTTTAAATTTTAATACAAAAAGCAACTGTGACTTTGATAGGAATTGCAGTGAGTCAGTGGATCAATTTGTGGAATGTGATTGTTAGTTTTATGTGGCAACTGGTGTAGTACTCAAATCAAGCATTAATCTCAGTGTCTCCATAAAGGTATTTTCTAGATATAGTTAATGTCTACAGTCAGTTTCCTTTAGGTAAAGGAGATTACTTTTGGTAATGTGGGTGAGGCTTATGCAATGAATTGATAGGCCTTAGGAATAAAAACAAGTTTCCTGGAAAAGAAGAAGTTCTCTTTCCACAGTCAGCATCAATTTCTGCTTGAGTTTTCAGCTGGCTTGCCTGCCCTACAAATTTGGAACTTGCCAGCACCCACAATCACATAAGCCAACTCCTTGAATAAGTGTTTTCTTTTTTGTGTGCTTTTGAGACAGGGTCTCGCTCTGTTGCCCAGGCTGGAGTGCAGTGGTGTGATCATAGCTAAATGCAGCCTTGATCTCCCAGGCTCAAGCAATCCTCCCATCTCAGCCTCACGAGTCGCTGGGACTACCAGTGCACACAACCATGTCCTGGCTAATTATTTATTTTTTGTAGAGATGGTTCTCAATATATGGTCGTGGGTTGTCTGGAATTCTTGGGCTCAAGTGATCCTTTTGCCTTGCCCTCCCAAAGTGCTGAGATTCTAAGTATGAGGCACCACACCTGGCCTGAAATAAATGTCTTCATAAATATTCTTTCTCTTTTTTTTCCTTCCCTCTCTTCCTGTCTCTCTCTCTCTCTGTCTACCACTCTTTCTCTCCTATTTGCTTTCTCTGGAAAACCCTAACTAATAACAGAGAGTATAGCCATCTTAACAATACAAAGTCTTCTAATGCAGGATTATGAGATGTCTTTTCATTCATTACATCTTTTCCATTTCTTTCAACAATGATTTATACTTTCCAGTGTACAAATTTTGCACTTCGTTCACTTAATTTACTTCTGAGTATTTTATTCCTTTTGATGCTATTGTAAATGGAATTGCTTTCTTAATTTCATTCCATATTATTTATTGATAAAGTACATAAATACAGCTGATTTTCATATATTGATTTTTGTATCCTGTAACATTGTTGAACTCATTTATGATTCTAATAGGTTTTTTTGGAAATTACTTATAATTTCCTCAATACAAGGTCATGTCATTTGCAAATAGAGGTAGTTTTACTTCTTTCTTTCCAATCTGAATTTCTTCCATTTCTTTTTCTTACCTTATTTCCCTGGCTAGGAACTTCAGTAAAATTTTGAAAACATATGGAAATGGCAGATATCTTGTCTTGTTCCTGATCTTATAGGGATAACTTTTAGTCTTTCATCAATAATTGTAAAGTGAGTTGTAGTTTCTCTTTATCAGATTGAGGAAGTTCCCTTCTGTGTTTAATTTGTGAGTATTTTTCATCATAAAAGAGTGTTGGCTATCTTCAAATGGTTTTTCTAAATCTATTGAGATGATCAAGTGTTTTTTTTCATTATCAAATGAATATGGTACATTTTTTATTTTTATATGTTGAATTAACCTTGCATTACTGGATTAAAGCTGCTTGTTCATGGTGTATAAAAATTTTTTATTTGTTTCTGGTTTTGGTTAGCTAGCATATTTTTAGAATTTTTACAACTTTATTCAAAAATCACATTGGTCTGTTTTTGCTTCTTGTATTTTGGGGTGCTGTTGGTAGGTGCATATACATTTATAATTATTATGTCCTCTTGATGGATTGAGCCTTTATCATTGTAAAATGTTATTTCTCTCTAGTATGAATTTTTGTACTAAAATCCATTGTTTTCAATAGTAGTATCTACTCCTCTATCATTATTACTTTTTGCACAGTATATCTTTTTCTATTATTTTACTCTCAACATATTTTTGTCTTGGAATCTAGAGTGTGTTCCTTTTGAAAACATGTATCTAAACATATCATGTGGTTTTCTTCATTCTGCCAATCTCCACGTTTGAATTGGAGATTTTAATCCATTTATTTTTATTGCAATACAATATATATAACCTAAAATTTACTATTTAGACCATTTTAAATGTACAATTGAGTGTCATGAATACATTCACAACCCTCAAAACTATTTATTTTCAGAACTTTTTTGTCTTCCCAAACTGAAACTCTGTCATTTTATGCACAATTTTTTAAATTATGGTGAATCCAATTTACCTATTTTTTCATTTGTTGCCTGAGTTTTGGGTGCCATATCTAATTCATTTATTTTAATGGCACTACTAAGACAGTAGGATTGACATCTGCCATTTTGCTATTTTTTTCTATATATCTTACATCTTTTTTGTTCCTCTTCTTCATTACTGGGTTTTTTCCCCTGTTAAATAGCTATTTTCTACTGTACTACTTTAATTGCTTTGCCATTTTTATGCTATGTTTTAAAGTTATTTTCTTAGTGCTTGCCCTCAGGATTTCAATTAACATATTAACTTATAACAGTGTATTTTAGATTAAAAACAACTTAAATTAAGTAGTATAGAAAAACTTTCCTCCTATATATCTCTGTTCCCTCCATGTTCCTTTTTACTATCACTGTCATACAAATTCAGTCTTTATACATTATAAGTGCATCAACAGAGTTTTATAATTATTATCGTTTAATGCTATTTTCTTTTAACTCAGTTAAGAGAAGACAATTACAAACAAAAAAATATACTATCATTTGTATTTGCTTTATGTTGTTACTGGTACTCGTTATTTCTTTATATGGATTTTAACTACCATCTTAATGTTTTTTTTCTTTTTAACCTGAGGACTTTCTTTAGTATTATTTATAGGCAAGATCTGCTAGTGACAAATTATCAGTTTTTGCTGATCTGGGAATGTCTTAATGTCTTCATTTATGAAAGATAATTTTTCTGCATAGAGAATTGTTGGTTGACAGTCTTTTTCTTTAAGCACTTTGAATATGTCATCCAACTGTGTTCTGTCATCCACGATTTCTGATGAAAAATTATCTGTCAATGTTATTGTGGATTCTTTTTACACAATGAGTTGCTTCTCCCTTTCAGGTTTTAGGATTCTCTATTTTTGAATTTTGAGAGTTTGATTATGATCTGTTTCTGTGGGGATTTCTTTGCATCTATCCTACTTGGATCTCATTAATCTTGGTCATACAGATTAAAGTTTTTCTTCAAATTACTGAGATTTTGAAAAGTGTTTCTTCAAATATTCTCTCTGTCTCTTTCACTCTCTCTTCTTCTGGGATTTCTATTAAGCATATTGTGTTGGACTGAATAATGACCCTCAGTGATATCCAGGACCTAATCCCTAGAACCTTGAGAATATCACTTTAAATGCCAAGAGATATTTTTCACTGTGATTAAATTAAATATTTTGAGATGATGGGATTATCCTAGATTAATCACAGGGCCTTAAATGCAATTGCAAATGTCTTTACATGAGAGAGACAGGGGGATATTTGACACAGCAGGCATAAGGTAATAATATGAATGTGAAAGTACAGAGAGACATGAAGACACTATATGGTTGACATTGAAGATAGAAGGAAAGGGCCATACATATAGGAATGAAATTCTAGGAGCTGAAAAATACAGGGAAACAGATTATCTCTTGTGTCTCTGAAGGGAGTGTGGCCCTGACAACATCTTTGTTTTGGCCCAGTAAAACTGATTTCAGTCTTCTGGCCTCAGAACTATAAGAGAATAAGCATTTTTAAAGAAGTCACAAAGTGTGTGATAATGTTTTTTACAGCAGCCAAAGGAAGCCCATATATGTATGTTGGCATGGTTGATAGTATATCAAAGTTCTCTGAAACTCTGTTAATTTTTATTCATTTTTTTCTTTCTGTTTCTGAGACTAGATAATCTCAATGACCTCATCAAGTTAGCTGATTCTTCATCTTCCTTTTGTCTTTCTTCTGTCTGCTGTTGAATCCCTCTGGTACATCTTTTATTTCTGTATTACACTTATCAACTCTAGAATTTGTAGTTCATTTGTTGTAATGTTCATCTCTATCAATATTCTCTACTTGATGAGACATAATTCTCACACTTTCATTTAATTATTTAGAAGTAGTTTCCCTTGGTTCTTTGTACATATTTAAAATAGCTGATATAAAGTATTTTGCTGTTAAGTACAATGTCTGCTCTTGTATTTTCCTTTAGTTTGGTCTTGAGGTCTCTCTCTGGAGAGAGGTTATAAATTCTAGCCCTGCTCTGATGGGGGTTCCAGAGGATTTGGTTGCAGATGATTACAGTGTGCCTTTCATTTCTTAATCCTGGAAGACAGCCTAATACCTAGATGTCCAACCCACATGGAAGGTATCTTTTTCACAGGAAACTTGTTTATATTGGCAGACACCCTTATGGCTTTTGTCTGAACTGTGTACAGTTCATTTCTACCAGGATAGCCGTTCTCTAAAAGAGCCTCACTGAGAGGAAAGTAGAATTTGCTTTTGCCAATCAGGTGAGAAACATAGGAGGCAGCACAATACAACACATGAAATAACAGAAGCATTTTTAAACTCTCAGATCCATAGGAGAAGAGGGGTACCCATGAGGGAACACAGAAAGCCTGAAGGCAACGAAGTGCTCAACTAGTAGGTGAGGGGTGACAGACTCGGGGGACATGTGGGACTATGCCTTTATTAAGGCTCATGGGTGTTATCCCTTAGGCTCTCCCACAGGGACTGTGGGTTGGCTAGTTTAAAGAAAACATGTATGAAGCAGGAAAATTATTCACATGACTCTGGAGTTGATCATTAGATTTTGTTATGTTCAGCAGCTATGGGATGTGTTAGGTTTTGAGTAAGCGAGATGAAGAACAATCAGGCTATATCAAAAACACAGAGAGAGCAAGTTTTAACTAGGCCAAATGGGTCAGAGTATGACTAGTCAGAGTATGACTAGGTTTTGAGCAACTTATGTCAGGACTAAAAATGGATGCTGAAATAGCAACTATGCTAAACAAATTTCTGATAGCTCTTCTTTAGGGATAGTTTCTACTGACTGCTTTTTCCTCAGGTATGGGCCATAGTTTCCAGTTTCCTTGCATGTCTCAGTTGTTTTGTTGTTGAAACTGAACATTTTAAATAATATAATGTGAAAAATCTGAAAATCAGATTTTTTCTCCATTCCTAAAGTTTGTTGGTGTTTTTCTGTTTGCTTTTGTTGTTGCAGTTTGATTAATGACTTTCTTGAACTAATTATGTAAAGTCTGTATCATTTGATGTGTATGGTCACTAGTCTCTGCTCAGTTAGCTTAGTGGCCAGCTAATGATTGGACATATATTAGATTAGACACATATAAGAAATTAGGGCCTTCTCAAGTCTTCCCTAGGTATGTACACAGCCCTGCCCATACATGCAGCCTTCTAAAATTCCCAAGAATATATTGAAACTTTTAAAATCCTCCTATGGACATCTCATTCCTTAGCTTTTCCTTTTAAGTTTTTCTAGTCAACTTTGTGTTTGCCCTAACTGTAGTTGACATCTCAAGCAGCTGCAGTGTGGAACAACTGCCACGGATTGATTTCAACAAAAGCCTGTTCACACTGAATGAGGTTGAATCAGGTGAAACAAAGACAAGTTCTACAGGTTGGGATATTTAGAGAACAGGTCCCTGATGACATTCTGTAGGGATAGAGCTGGCAGACACCCTTAATGGCATTCTTCCACTTTTGATGGCTGCCAGACTGCTGTTTTTATGCCACTATAATTGCAGGGCACTTGGCTTTTGAGAATATTGCAGAGCTGAGTAAAAGAATATGGAAATATGGTAAGTTAAAATGCCACAGATTTCACTGTTCTTGCCAATATCCAGCAAATTTTCTAAAATAAAGACTTCTCAAATTCTTACAAGTTTTTAGTTAATTTCCAGAGTTATGAACAAGTTAATTTAGAATTTTCACCTGTGTTCTTATTGCTTTTATGGATGAAAGGGTTTTCAGAAGTTCTTACACTGCAATTTTAGTAATTAACCACAGGAAGAAAATATGCAAACTACACATCTGACAAAGGATTCATAACTGGACTATATAGCAAACTCTGAAAACTCAATGAAAATTTCTTAAAACATCCAATAGAATATAGAGAAAATTCATCAACAATCATTTTGTAAAATAGGATATATGTATCGAAAATAAACACATGAAAAATATAGCTACTTTAAAAAAGTTTGGCAATATATTACAGAACTGAATATGTGATTATTATATAACTCAGAAATGCTTATTAATTTGTCTTAGAGCAATGAAAGCCAATGATCACACAAAATCTTATACATGAATGTTCATAGCAACTTTATTTGTAATAGCCCAAAAGTAGAAAGAACACAAATGTTGTTCAACAGGTGAATAGTTAAACTATGGCACATCTCTACCATGGAATACTACACAGAAATTAAACATATTGCATTACTGATATACACAACAGTTTGGATGCATCTCAAGGGAATTGTGCTGAGTGACAAAAGCCAATCTCTATGTGTTATATACTGTATGATGACATTTATATAACAATTCTGAAATAATAAAATTATAAGGATGAAGAACAGATTAGTGTTTACTAGCTTTTATGGGTGAAAAAGGATGACAGGGAGATGTTTATAAAGGAATAGCACAAGGGATCTTAGTGGTGACGGAACAGTTCCATATCTTGATCATTGTAGTGGTTACCCAAATATACACATGTGGTAAAATTGCATAGACCTACACACATAAACGTGCACGCACACACACACACACATACAAATTAGTGTATGTAAAACTAGAGAAGTCTGAGTAATGTCTGTGGATTATACAGATGCCAATTTCTTGGTTTATATATGATACTGCAGTTATGTAAGTTGATACCACTAGAGGAACTAGATAAAGGGCATATAGCACTTCCCTATACTCTTTGCATCTTCCTTTGAATCTATAAATATTTCAAAATAAAAGTTTTAAAAGATCAGTTGGAATATACACATGCTTATTCCTATAGTAGTGTTACTATATTCAGTTATTAATATATTCTCATAGCTTTCTTCATATGAAGATAAGGTATAGGGAAGAGTCATATCTAGTATTTGGGAAACTGAAAGAAACCCCAGTGGACCCACTTGAGTGTACATCATGGCAGGAAAAAAAAATTGTTTCAGATGTATTATTTTCTGGTACCATAGATAAAGAATAAGGATAATGCAATGGGAACAGTTGAAATATTGGCTTGTTTACTTGCATTTGTATGTTTGTTTTTAAATTTTTACCCTGTGCATTAGTTCATTCTCATGCTTCCATAAAGAAATACCCAAGACTAGGTAATTTATAAAGGAAAGAGTTTTAACTGACTCACAGTTCCGCATGGCTTCGGAGGCCTCAGGAGACTTACAATCATGGTGGAAGGCCCCTCTTCACAGGGTGGCAGGAGAGAGAATGAGTGCCAGCAGGGGAAATGCCAGATGCTTATAAAACCATTGGATCTGTTATAAATCACTATCATGAGAATAGCATGAGGGAAACCACCCCCATGATTCAGTCCTCCACCTGGTCCCACCCCTGACACATGGGGATTATTACAATTCAAGGAGAGATTTGGGTGGGAACACAAAACCAAACCATATCATTCTGACCCTAGTTCCTCCCAAATCTCATGTTCTCACATTTCAAAACACAATCATGCCCTTCCAATAGTCCCCCAAAGTATTAACTCATTCAAACATTAACCCAGAAGTCCAAGTCCAAAGTCTCATCTGAGACAAAGCAAGTCCCTTCCACCTATAAGCCTGTAAAATCTAAAGCAAGTTAGTTATTTCCAAGATACAATGGGGGTACAGGAATTGAGTAAAAATACCCATTCCAAATGGGAGAAGTTGGCCAAAACAAAGGGGCTATAGGCCCATGCAAGTCCAAAATCCAATAGGGCAGTCGTTAAAGCTTAAAGTTCCAAAATGATCTCCTTAGGCTCCATGTCTCACATCTATCCAGGTCACAATGATGCAAGGGGTGGGCTCCCACAGCCTTGGGCAGCTCTTCCCCTGTGGCTTTGCAGGATGCAGCCACCCTCACAGCTCTTTTCATGGGCTGGTGTTGAGTGCCAGTGGCTTTTCCAGGTGCATGGTGCAAGCTATTGGTGGATCTACCATTCTGGGGTCTGGAGGACTATGGCCCTCTTCTCAGAGCTCCACTATACAGTGCCCCAGTGAAGACTCTGTGGGGGAGCTCCAACCCCACATTTCCCTTCTGCACTGCCCTAGCAGAGGTTCTCCCTGAGAGCTCTACCCCTGCAGCAGACTTCTGTCTGGACATCCAGGCATTTCCATACATCCTCTGAAATCTAGGCAGAGGTTCCCAAACCTCAATTCTTGACTTCTGTGCTCCTGCAAGCCCAACACCATGTGTAAGCTGCCAAAGCTTGGGGATTGCACTCTCTGAAACAATGGCCTGAGCTGTATGTTGGCCCCTTTTAGCCACAGCTGAAGCTGAAGCAGCTGGGGACGCAGGGTACCATGTTTCAAGGCTGCAAAGAGCAAGGGGGGGTGCCTGAGGCCTGGCCCACTAAACCATTTTTTTCCTTCAAGGCCTCCTGGCCTATAATGGGAGAGGCTGCAGTGAAGGTCTCTGACATGCCCTAGAGACATTCTCCCCATTGTTTTGGTGATTAATATTTGTAGTGATAGGAATATTCTATATCTTGAAAGGAGTTTCTGTTACATGGTGCACGCATTTGTCAATACACATGAATTGATATACCTAACAGGTTTGTATATGATACAGTATATAATTTTAGCTCCATTTCTCCCCCAAGAAATATAGAAATATTAAACTCTACTTCCTGATATGCATGATAAAGGGTTTAAAGATGAAGTGCATTGATGTCTGTAACTTATTTTGAAATGCAAAAAAATAATTATTTTATAGATAAGAGCATTAATTGATGGATATATTTTCATAATGAAATGTTGGGGGAAATACTTGGAAGTGAATATAATCAACTAACTTGCAACCGTAAGTTGGAGATTGTATCAAATTTGTTAGAGGTGTGGACCAAGCCAAATTAAATTGTAACTATAAGTTTTTTAAAATTTGTGTTGAGCTAAATTGTAAGGTAAACTGAAAGAAGCTGTGTAAAAGAACCAAGGATCATCATGGTAAAGAGAATGAACATGAGGTGTGTGTGTCTGTGCATGCACACATGTGTGTGAGAGAAAAAGAGAGTGAGAAGGGGATAGCTGGGCACAGTGACTCACAATTGGTATCCTCAGGACTTGGGAGGTGGAGGTGGGAGGACCACATGATGCCAGGAGTTCAAGACCCACCTGGGCAACATAGTGAGACCCCATCTCTACAAAAAATGTAAAAATATTAGCTGGGCATGGTGGCACACGCCTTGTAGTCCCAGCTACTTGGGAGGCTGAAGTGGGAGGATCACTTGACCCAAGAAATTCGAGGCTGCAGTGAGCTGCGATTGTGCCACTGTAATCCATCCTGGGTGACAGAGTGAGACCTCAACCCCAGAGAGAGAGAGAGAGAGAGAGAATATTTTAAATTATTTTGTAAAACTCAACAATTCCAAAATAAACTTTATTCAAGGAAAAAAATAATTAAAATATGCATTTTAGATATTGGGGTGATGTCAGCAAGATGGCAGAACAGGAATTTTCTCCTGTCATTTCCCCACTATCTACAATTTTGACAACCACTCAAGTATGAGAGTACCTTTGTGGGAGTCTGGTAGTCCAGCTCACAGATGGAGCAAAACAATTACGAGAATAGGCACATTGAAAAGAACCAGAAAATAGTTTCACTACTTATGTCAACCGTCTCTCAAGCTAGCAGAACTCAACACCAAGAGATACAACTTTGACTCATGATTTCTCCATTGGGTGAAAGGGAGAGTGTAGTAAATGAATGCCTGGCTTTCCTAGCCACGTGGGACACTGACCAAGAGGCCTACTTCTTTCTATCCCCACTCAGAATACTGAGGGGATCATCATGTCTGAGTGACTGAGAGGCTGTGAGCAGGGAACAGCGGTAGGGGCTCACAGCAACCAGAGACTGGAAATTCAACAAAAGGACACATATACTACTAACAACTTCACAGACTCCATCAGGAGGCCCACCCACTAGTGGCTTGGGATGCCTGAACTGTAAACCCCCGAAGCTGACACATGGGTGCTCCCAAAACTTTGCATGTCTCCCTCTCTCCTCTACCTTGGCTTGCTCCCTGCACACGGCCCAAACCCTGACAGCGAGTGTGAACTTGTGTGCATGCAGAAGCAGGCAGCTTGACTCTGTGGGAATGGGAGAAGGCACAAAAACTTGAGCACTTCAGGGCACCACGTTAGAGAAAACAAATGGGAAACTCTCAGAATTTGGTTTGGTTTTATGAAATTAAGAAAATACAGATGATCTTAAAATTTCTCAAAAAGAGCTTGAGTGACACATCTACAGAAAAGATGTGCAAGAGTCTTAGTATCCCCAGTCAGGCTAACTGGTATAACTGTTTCTCTTCTGAAGCCAGTCAGTATAGGCTGAAGGAGGAGACTACTTCTTCAAATGTGAACATGGCAACACGAGATTTCAAGGAACACCTGCCAAAAACAACACAAAAATAATACCACCGAAGAAACTCAGTAATTTTCCAGTTGCCAACAAAAAAAAATGGAGATCTACAAATTTCCTGACAAAATATTAAAAATAATTGTTTTAAATAAGCTTGGGTTGCTACATGAGAACACAGACAAAGAAGTCAGTAGAATCAGGAAAACAATGTATGACCAAAATAATAAGTTCAACAAAGAGATAGAAACTGTGAAAAACAAACAAACAAACAAACAAACAAATTCTGAAGCTGAAGAATACAATGAATAAAATTAAAAAAGTAACAGAAAACATCCACAGCATACTCAATCAAATGAAAGAAATAATGAAGTCAAAGCATTAGGAGAAACACTTAATATAGATGACGGGTTGATGGGTGCAGCAAACCACCATGGCACGTGCATACCTATGTAACAAACCTGCACATTCTGCACATGTACCCCAGAACTTCAAGTATAATATAAAAAGAAAGAAAGACAGAAACTATCACAGTGAACATGCAACCTACAGAGTGGGAGAAAATTTTTGCAATCTATCCATCTGACAACGGTCTAATATCCAGAATCTACAAGGAATTTAAGCAAATATACAAGAAAAAAAAAACCGCATCAAAAAGTGGGCAAAGGACATGAACAGACACTTCTCAAAAAAAGACATTCATGAGGCCAACGAACATATGAAAAAAGTTCAACATCACTGATCATTAAAGAAATGCAAATCAGAACCACAAGGAGATACCATCTCATGCCAGTCACAATGGTGATTATTAAAAAGTCAAAAAATGACAGATGCTGGCAAGGTTGCAGAGAAATAGGAACACTTTTACACTGCTGGTGGGAAAGTAAATTAGTTCAAACATTGTGGAAGACAGTGTGGTGATTTCTCCGAGATCTAGAACCAGAAATAACATTTGACCCAGCAATCCCATTACTAGGTATATACCCAAAGGAATATAAATCATTCTATTACAAAGATACATGCACGCATATGTTCACTGCAGCACTGTTCAAAAGAGCAAAGATGTGGAATCAACCCAAATGCCCATCAATGATACAGTGGATAAAGAAAATGTGGCACATATACACCATGGGATACTATGCAGCCATAAAAAGGAATGAGATCATGTCATTTTCAGGGACACACATGGCGCTGGAAGCCATTATTCTTAGCAAGCTATTGCAGGAACAGAAAACCAAACACTGCGTATTCTCACTTATAAGTGAGAGCTGAACATGAGAACACATGGACACAGGGAGGGGAACAATACACACTGGGGCCTGTCAAGGGGGGTGGGGTGTGGGGAGAGATACTATTAGGAAAAATAGCTAATGCATGCTTGGCTGAACACCTCAGTGATGGGTTGAAGGTGCAGCAAACCACCATGGCACATGTTTACCTATGTAACAAACCTGCATATCCTGCACATGTACCCTGGAACTTAAAATAAAAATAAAAATTATTAAAAAAAAAGAAATCAAACCATAGTACTACAGGAAAATCATCAATCACAAAGAAAGACAGCAAGAGAGGAAGAAAGAAACAAAAAAACTTACAAAACAGCTGAAAAACATTTAACAAAGTAGCAATAGTATGTCTTTACCTATAAATAATTAATTTTAATGTAAGTAGATTAAATTCTCTAATCAAAAGACAGTGAGTGGCTGAATGGATGAAAAAGGAAGAACTAAGTACTTGCTATCTATAAGATAGTCACTTTAGCTGCAAGGACACGTATAAACTGAAAGTGAAGAGATTAAAAAGATATTGCATGTAAATAGAAACCAGAAAGAAGCAGAGACACCTATACTATATCAGACAAAACAGACTTAAAGTCACAAACTGTAACAAGAGACAAAGAATGCCATTATATAAAAATAAATGAGTCAATTCATCAACAAGATGCAATTTTGAATATATACACACCCAACATTGGATCACCTAAATATATAAAGCAGGTATTAATAGATATGAACAGGAAATATAGACTGTAATAGTATAGTAGTAGAAGACTTTGATACCCAGCTTTCAACAATGGACAGATCACCCAGACAGAAAATCAATAGGGAATTGACTTGAACTACACTTTAGACCAAATGGACCTAACAGATACAAAACATTCCCTCCAAAAGCAATAGAATGTACATTCGTCCCAAGTAATTGCGCAGGTACATTTTGAAGATACATCAACTGTTAGGCCACAAAACAAGTGTTAACAAAACTAAGAAGATTGAAATCATACCAAATATCTTTTCTGACCACAATGCTAAGAAACTGGAAATCAGTAAAGGGAGGAAAACTGTAAAATTAAACAATACACTCCTAAATAGCCAAAGAATCAAAGAGCAAATCAAAAGAAAAATTTAAAAAACTTGAGACAAACAAAAGTGGAAAAACAACATACCAAAATATATGGGATGCAGCAAAAGGCATTTCTAAGAAGGAAGTTTATAGTGATAAATGCCTACATTAAGAAAAAAAAAATCAAATAAACGACCTAACTTTACACCTCAAGGAACTATAAAAGAACCATAAACTAATCCCAAAGTCGGAAGAAGGAATGAAGTAAATATCAGAACAGAAAAAAGTGAAATAGAAACTAGAAAAATAAAAAAGAGCAATAAAACTGAGTTGTTTTTTGAAAAGATTAAAAAACAGACAAGCCTTTAGCTAGAGTAACTGAGAGTGAAAGAGAAAAGACATAAACAAATAAAATCAGAAATGAAAGAGAAGACATTACAACTGATACCATAGAAATATAAATGATCATTAGAGACTATTATGAACAATTATACACAAGTTGGGTAATCTAGAAGAAACAGATAAATTTCTAGAAACATACCACAACCTAGCAAGACTGAATCATGAATAGAGAATCTGTAGAGAGCAATAATGAAAAAGAATATTGAATCAGCAATTTTTTAAAAAAGAACTTCCCAACAAAGTAAAGCCCAGAACCAGATGGCTTCAGTGGTGAATTCTACCCAACATTTAAAGAAAATCTAATATCAATCCTTCTCAAATCTTCCAAAAAAAAAAGAAGAGTGAGGAACACTTCTAAACTCATTTTTCTATGAAACCAGCATTATTCTCCTACCAAAGCCAGGCAAGGACACTACAAGAAAAAAAAGGAATACAGTCCCAAATCCCTGTTGAACATAGATGCAAAAATCCACAACAAAATACTAGCTAAAAGAACTTAACATCACATTAAAAAGATCATTCACCATAATCAAGTGAGAGTTATCCCTGGGATAAAAGGATGGCTCAACATACTCAAATCAATAAATATGAACAATAAGACAATGAAGGATAATAATCATATGATCATTTTAACAGATACAGAAAAGGCATTTGAAAAAAAATCAACACCCTTTCATGATGAAAACATTCAAAACATTAGGTAGAGAAGGAATATCCCTAAATATAACAAAGGCCATATATATGACAAACTCACATCTAACGTGATAGTCAGTAGTGAAATGCTGAAAGCTTTTCTTCTGAAATCAGGATGAAGAAGAGAATGCTCACTCTTGCCACTTCTATTCCACATGGTACTTGAAGTTCTGCTTAGAGCAATAAGTCGAGAAAAAGAAATAAAATGCATGCAAATCAGGACGGAAGAAGTAAAATGGTCTGTTTCAAATCACATGCTCTTCAATACAGAAACCCAATGACTCCAACAGAAAAATGTTAGAAGTGATAAATAAATTCAGTGAAGTTGTAAAGATTTTTGGGGACTTATGTGGTGCCATATGAATTTTAGAATTTTTTTTTATTTCTGTAAAAGATTCGATTAAGATTTTGATAGGGCTTGCATTGACTCTGTAGATCACTTTAGTTAGTATTAACATTTCTGTAATATTAATTCTTCCAATCTATGAACAAAGGGATCTGTTCCATTTGTCTTCTTCAATTACTTTCATCAATATTTTATAGTTTTTAATATAAAGATCTTTCACCTCCTTTGCTAAATTTATTTCTAAGTATTTTTTTGCAATTGCAAATGGGATTGTGTTCTTTATTTTTTGGATAGTTCATTGTTCGTGTGAAGAAACAACTGATTTTTATGTTGATTTTTTTATCAACATTGGTGAATTCTACCCAAGTGAAATTGGTGAAATCCCACTTGATTATGGTGAATGATCCTTTAAATGTGATGTTAAGTTCTTTTAGCTAGTATTTTGTTGTGGATTTTTGCATCTATGTTCAACAGGGATTTGGGCCTGTAATTTTTTTTCTTGTAGTGTCCTTGTCTGGAATGGTATGAGAATAATGCTGGCTTCATAAAATGAGTTTGGAAGTGCTCCTTCCTCTTCATTTTTTTGGAAGATTTTGAGAAGGATTGGTATTAGTTTTTCCTCAAATGTTGGGTGGAATTCACCAATGTTGATACAAAATCAACATAAAAAATCAGTTGTTTCTGTACACTAACAATGAACTATCCAAAAAATAAATTAGTGGCTGGGTGCAGTGGCTCACGCCTGTAATCCCAGCGCTTTGGGAGGCCGAGGAAGGTGGATCACCTGAGGTCAGGAGTTTGAGACTAGCCTGGCCAACATGGTGAAACCCCATCTCTATCTACTAAAAATACAAAAATTAGCCAGGCATGGTGGTAGGCGCCTATAATCCCAGCTACTCGGGAGGCTGAGGCAAGAGAATCCCTTTAACTCGGGAGGCAGAGGTTGTGGTGAGCCAAGATCACACCACTGCACTCCAGCCTGGGTGACAGAGCAAGACTCCATCTCAAAAACAAACAAACAAACAAACAAACAAAATAAAATAAATTAGAAAAACAATCCCATTTGCAATTGCATCAAAAAGGAAAATGTACTTAGGAATAAGTTTAACCAAGGAGGTGAAAAATCTGTACATTAAAAACTATAAGATACTGATGAAAGGAATTGAAGAAGAGAAATAAGTGCAACAGTATCCTGTGTTCATAGTTTGGAAGAATTAATTTTGCAAAAATGTTGATACTAACCAAAGTGATCTACAGAGTCAATGCAAGCACTATCAAAATCTTAATATAATTTTTTACAGAAATAGAAAAAAAATTCTTAAAACCTTATGGAACCACCTAAGTCCCCAAAGATCTAAAACAATCTTGAGAAAGAAGTTTAGAACATTTCCTGATTTCAAATTATATTGTAAAGCTATAGTAATCAAAACAGTATGGTATTGGCATAGAAGCAGACACATAGACCAATGGAACAGAATAGAAAGCCAAGAAACAAATCCACACATATATGATCAACAAATCTTCAACAAAGGCACTAAAAACACATCATGGGGAAATATAGTCCATTCAATAAATCGTATTTTAAACATTGAATATCCAAATACAAAATAATGAAATTGGACCTTTATCCTATACCATACACAAAAATCAACTCAAAATCGATTAAAAACTTAAACATAAGACCTAAAATTGTAAAATTACTAGAATAAGAAATAATGTCTATGGCATTGGTCTTGGCAATAACTTTTTTGGCTGTAACACCAAAAGCACATGCAACAAAGTAAAAATAAACAAGTCAGACTACATTAAATTAAAAAGTTTCAAAGCCAGGCATGGTGGCCCATGCCTCTAATCCTAACACTTTGGGAGGTCCCAAGGTGGGCAAGATGGCTTGAGCCCAGGAGTTTTAGACCAGCCTGGGCAACAGGGTGAAACTCCATCTCTACTAAAAATACAAAAACTGAGGTGGGAGGATCACCTGATCCTGGGGAGGTCAAGGCTGTGGTGAGACATGATCACACCACTGCACTCCAGCCTGGGTGACAGAGTGAGACACTGTTTCAAAAAATAAAATAAAAAAATTATCTGCCCAGCAAAGGAAATAATCGACAAAACGAAAAGGCAACCTGCAGAATAGGAGAAAATATTTGCAAACCATATTTCTCATAAGGGGTTAATATCCAAAATATATAAGGAACTCATACAAGTCAATAGCAAAAATACAAGTAAACTGTATTTTGAAAAATGGACCAAGGAGCTGAATAGACATCTCTCCAAGGAAGACATACAAATGGCCAACATATATCTGAAAAGGTACTTAACATCATTAATCATAAGGGAAATGCAAATCAAAACCACAATGTAATATCACACATGTTATTAATAGGAATAATATTATCCAAAACTTAAAAGATAATGTGTTGGCAAGGAGGTATTCTTGTACACTGTTTATGGGAATGTAAATTAGTAAGCCATTATGTAAAACAGTATGGAGATCCTCATAAAAGTAAAAATAGAACTACTGTATGATCCAGCATTCCCACTTCTGGTTATATATCCAAAGGAAATTAAATCAGTATGCCAAACAGACATCTGCACTCCCATTCATTCCCATTGCACCATTATTCACAATAGATAAGTTATGGAACAACCTAAGTGCCCACGGACAGATGAATGAAGAAAGAAAATTATATATATATACATATATATATATAATATATATATATACATATATATATATAATATAATATATATATATATCTTAGCCATATAAAGAGGGAGCTCCTTCCATTTACATAAACATGGATGAAACTTCAGAGCACGTTGAAATAAGCAAACTAAGTGAAATAAGCCAGATGAAAAAAGAAAAAAATGCTACATGACATCCTTTGTATAAAAAGAATCTTAAAAAGTTGAACTAATGGAAACAGAGAGTTGAATGGTGGTTACCAGGGTCTAGGGGGTGAGGTAACGTGGAGCTGTAAAAAAAATTATTTTAATTTTTCACCTTTATATACCATTTCGGTTGTTCGTAGTAATTATGTTACCTTAAAAAAATAAAATGTGCACTTTAGATGGGAAGATGTTGTTAGAACATAATTTTGCTGATTTTTTTCTGATATGATTGTACTGGTCAAACTGCCCCTATAACTTGAGGAATTCCTTTTTGAGCAGGCAAAATACAGATTGTTCAACAGACGAAAAGGAGGAATTAGTAGGGCAATCTTCTATAGCCTAATAGGCAAGGTTGTGAATCATACTTTGCTCAGAGTCTATTTTCTTTCTTTCATTTTGTCTACTGATGAGAATAAATTACTCATTAGGTTTCTACAAAACATGTAGAGCAACTCCATTTCAGAGATGCTCAAATAATACAGGCCTAAGTGGCTCATAATGTTTTTCTGGTAATGAGGTATGATGGAATGAGGCACTGTAGAAAGATTGCTCCTTTCCCAGACATCACTTGCATACCAGGGGCTCTGCCCCTCATTGTCCAGCTACACTAGGCTAATTAATATTTTAGAGATACCCAGTGCTATTTCATGTGCCTTTCATGTGAAGCTCTATGCCTTCACTTATACTATTCTGTTCTGTTTTGTTTTATGTGACACAGAGCGTCTACACTTCCCTTCTGGCTGTTGAATTCCTACTCATCTTTTAAGACTCCACTGAAACATTAACTCTTCTTTGAAAATGTTTAAATTTCCCTAATCAAAAATTTTTCCTCCATTGTATTTTTTACATCACAGCATTTATTGCAATCTAAGTGTGATGCTTGCATGTCTATCTACCACTTTACACTGAGAGTTTGTAGAAAGATCATGCAAATTCCGCTTTTAGTACAGTTAGCCTTGCAGGTGACTCCAAGGAACTTTGAAGCTCTCTTTACCAAAACTTCCCTAAGAACAGCAACATGACTTGTTTATTTAGTGTCCTGCTACACACACACACAGACACAGACACACACACACGCACACAGAAACAATAGGGTAGTGTTTGTTCTGTGTATATCTGGCACTAAATATGTTGGTAAATATATTGGTGGTGTATTTTGAAACGTTCTTAAGACCCATGAAAGTCAAATATTGTTCAAGCTGTTTTATTCAGCTGTTTTACATTAAGAAGAAAACTATAGTATAGCCAGACTTGGAGAACTAATTCATTCTGGTTTTGAAATTTTCGAGGAAGAAAATAACACTTGGATGGTAATCATCCAGTTTGTCCCAGGGTATTAGTGACAGAGAGGTTTCCATATGTGAAGAACATAAAACTGAATAGTTACTTGCAATTGGAGTTCCACTTTATTAATCGCAGTAAGGAAAGAAAAATTCTCTGTTACTAAACCCCAGAATATCTTTTTCTACAAAATTGACACAGTTTCAATCCATTTATCTTTGTGTGAATGCTTTATCCAGGCCTCAGTAATGTGCTGTGAAGCGCTGACAGTATTTAAGGTCATAAATATCTACTGTGCCAACAAGCTGAGTGATTGACTCAAAAGGAGCTGAGATTTTACTCAATCATTATCCCATACGTTTCTCTTACTCTAATTGCTAACTTTACACAGCATTAAAAACAAATTATTAAGAGCGTACACATTATTACAGTACAAAATATGTAGATATGCTAACATGTTGTAGGGCAAACCTGGGCAATACTATTTAGTGTGTGTGTCATAGCTGAAAGGATAGCTTCTGAAGCCAGAGAGCCACATGGATTTTGAACTTGACTGCTCCATTCTCCCAACTGAATAGACATATGATCAACCTCCCAGAGGAAGACAGCAGCTCTGAGTTCTTTTGGAGGCCCATCTAGTGTGTGTGTGCCTGTGTGTGTGTGTGTGTGTGTGTGTGTGTGCGCGTGTGTGTGTGTGTGTGTGTGAAGTGTTTGTACAAAAGAGAAATAGGCAGTGTTTGTAACAAAAACTAATATAAAATGAGAAACTGAATTGACATTTGGTTAGTTTACAATTCTAAAACTGAAAATCATCCACATTGTGTGTTCTAGAAAGACTTCCTGCATTGTGACAGAATTGCAACTGTTACAAACTTCTTCCAGTATGCCCACATAGAAATTGGAAAATCCCCAAAATGATGCCATGTATTATACTTGTCTGCATTCTTTATTACGGTAAATGTGATGAGAAATACAAGATACTTGTACTCATGTGATATTAGCAAAAGGGTTCATTAATTTGTCATAGATTATTGTTCTCTGTGCAACAAATTCAAACCAACCTCTAAAGAGTAACAGTGTTTAAAGATTACAAAGGCCCAGAAAATGTGATGGTTCATGAAAGAGTAACTTCCAAAATTCCTCTAAGCTGGGATTTTTTTTCATTCTCTCTCTCTCTGTTTCTTGGAGATAAAGAGCAGTCCAGAATTAGAGACATGTTCTTTTCAGTATACTATTACTTGTAGCATTCTCAATCGTGTGAAACCATGAGACCACATCTTTGTGGACAGAGCAATAAAAGTTATGAAAAGCTGTCTTTGTAAATATGGTTAAGAATTTGAAGGGTACTAGTGGCCTGACCTAGCTATACTTTGCTAATTGTTTTATAATTGGAAATGGTCATCTATTATACCACTGCCATATCCCTGTACAGATTTTTGTACTGACAATCACAGCCCTGCTGTAATCAATTTCTAAAGTGAGAAAATGGCTTTGAATAGAGGTTGAAAGGATTTTCAGAAACAATAGAAAAAAGCGTAGATTGTCTTGCAGAGATTGTTAAAGACTCTGCCAGTGAAGGCACATTTCAATTTTACCCATGAATGACATCGCATCTAAATGAGGCTTCTAAGACACATTCGTATGAAATTTGTTGAAAATGGTTATCAGTTCTGATCCCACCACCCCTTATCCACAGCATAGTTATGGTCAGCTGATGTAGATGAAGAGATATTCATTTTCCCTCATATGTTCATTTGGACAATGGATGCTTGGTAAAGTTAAATCCATGTAGCTAAGGTCTTTGAAAAACTCTTCGGTGAGCTTGACTGGCTTAAAACTGGAACAAATGTACTGGTTAGGGAGGGGAGGAGTGCCACAGATCACTTCCCTCTCAGTCCTTTAAGGATTCCATGGCAATGAGCATGTCCTCTCTTTGGATACAAACAAAACTCCTGGGAGGGGGAATTGGAGCCTGTTTTGCTTTTAAAAAGTTGCAAAAAGCCTGAAGAAAGTGTTGTTTTCTTTTCCATATTCATTCTCAGGCTAAATACAGTATAATGATTGAATACACGTTCACAGATGGGGTGGAAAACTGACATTAAGTGCCATGCCATAGAACACTGACATTAAGTGCTGTGGCATAGAACAGTAGGTATCAGATTCAGGAGATTCCCAGGCCAAGCTTAAAACAAAAGAAGCATATAAAACACCACAGGTGATTCAGGTACACATAAAAAGCTTGAGGACTACCACTCTACTGCAATGTTAATAGACGCTCCATGAAAATGTGGCTTTGTGGCCCAATAAGTTTGTCTCAGCATTTGTAAAAGTTAAACAGATTTCTTTAACACAAGACTTTTCAGAAATTAATTTGCTAATGCACGCTAATCCTGAAGAAAGGAATAGTGTATGCCAGTGTGATATGGTTTGGCTCTGTGTCCCCACCTAAATCTCATTTAGAGTTGTAATCCCAATGTGTTGAGGGAGGGACCTGGTGGGAGGTGATTGGATCCTCGGGGCGGTTTCCCCATGCTGTCTCATATAGTGAGGAAGTTCTCACTAAATCTGTTTGATAAGTGGCGCTTTCCCATTCTCTCTCCTGCTGCCACGTGGAAAAGGTCCTTGCTTCCCCTTCATCTTCTGCCATGATGGTAAGTTTCCTGAGGCCTCCCCAGCCATGCAGAACTGTGAGTCAATTAAACCTCTTTCCTTTATAAATTACCCAGTCTCAGGTAGTATCTTTATAGCAGCGTGAGAATGAACTAATACCAGTGGTTCTCAAAGTCCCGAGGATCAACAGCCTCAGCATCACCTGGAAACTTGTTAGAAATGCCAAGTTTTGGGCCCACACAAGACTCACTCAATCAGAAACTCTGAAGGTGAAGTCCAGTGATCTGAGTCTTACAAGCCTTCCAGGTGATTCTGATGTGAGCTAATATCTGAGACCCAATAGTATTTGAAGTGTTTCCCACAACTATTTGACTAGAGTCTTTTTTTCTTTCATCAGTTATGTGGCAGGACTAGTATTTTCTGCCAGGAGGAATGCTACTAAAGGATGTGCATGAGGGGATGGGGTGGGAAAGGGTGTGTGTGTATGTGTGTGTGTAATGAAGATGTGTGAAAGTATTGATATCATCACTTGTAGGAAGGTTTGAGGACTATTTATTTACTTATTAATTTATTTTAACACCACTGTCTGTTTAAAGCAACTTTAAGGCAGCTCAAAAAGAATGCTGGGGGTAAAGGATTCTTCCTGGGCATTTTGACTCCATCCTATTAACGCAGGCATCCCTGAGACCCACATAGTGCTAATTTGCTTACTACCAGCAGACCTACACTATTTCTGAACAACAGAAAAAGCAAGACCAGCAACTGAAGTAGTCAGTGACCAAACTTTAAAGTTCTTAGAGAAAGAGGGAGACAATGCACTACTTTTCCCTACTGATTGAAAATTAGTAAGAGTTAATAGGGAGAGGTGGTTGAGTGAGCATCTCCTGATTTTTAAAACATGGTACAAAGGATCCTGCATCCAAGATAGCTAGGCAGGTGAGCGTACCTCATGTAGGTGTGTTTAGAGCTCAGGCAGGATGAAGCAGGATGAGGAGGACTTATCTCATGAAATTACAAGGTGACTTAGACTGGGCTGGGGTGGGCAGGGATAGGAGCTCATGCTGAATCTGGTCCAAACATCTTAGAAATGAGGAGTCTCCCCTCCTTGCAAAAGCAGGCTGTTTGGGGCCCCAGTAATTTTATTTGCAGATGCTCTGAAAAGCACTAGTCAACTACGTTTTATGTATTTCACAATTCTTCCCTCCATATACAGATGATCCTTCACTTACGATGGGGGTCACATACCAATAAACCCATCTTAAGTTGAAAATGCATTTAATACACCTAACCTAGCAAACATCATAGCTTAGCCTAGCCTACTTTAAATGTGCTTAGAACGCTTATATTAGCTTACAGTTGGACAAAATCATGTACTACAAAGCAAATTTTGTAATTAAAAAGTGTTGAATAGCTCATGTCATTTATTGAATAGTGTACTGGAAATAAAAAGCAAAATGGTTGTATGGTAAAGTATGAGTTCTACTAAATGCCTATTGCTTCTGTACCACTGTAAAGCCCCCGAAAAAATGTAAGTTGAACTACTGTAAGTCAGAGACCATCTGTATTGACTGTTCTCAAAGTGTTCATTGCCAGACAATGCAGCTTTGGGGAGCTAGAGAAAAGTCATCAACATTTAAAAAAATTTACATTTTCCTTCAGTTCTCAAAGGTAGAAAGGACACTATTTAGTCCTGTGTATTCCCTCTAGAGAGGAGAGAAATAAGCAACAGAGAGGGGAAATGACACTGTGAGTGGCAGAGAAAATACTAGCACAAACGCCTCATTTGTATAATTTGACTACTGAACGGGAATGTGAATTCCTTTGTACCAATCTGAAGTGCAAGTACAGTAACTAGTAAAATAAACACACTTTAAAGTGTTCATGTTAATATGACTCTCTAGACTGTAGACTATCTGAGGACAGTGACCTTATCTGCATTATACAATGTTTACTTCCAGTTGCTACTTCAGTTACTGGCACATAATGGACGCTCAATAAATACATGTTGGAAGATTATTCTTTGAATGAATATAAAGAGTTTATTCGGTGCGTATTTGGGTATACAACAACAAATATTAAACAACTTTTTTAAACTTTTTGTGCACAGGACAGAAAACTGCCTGTACATGCTATGTCCACTTTTGGAACACAGATTTTTAACAATTATGAATGCACAAAATCTTACATATCATGCAACTCTATGCCAAGAACCCAACTTTCTTCCATGCAACAGATATGAAGATCTAAATGGAAACCTAGCTAAGTCTTAAACACTTTTCCAGTAGCAAGTATAATATATGTTGTTGAGGGAAAACCAGTCTTAACAATTCCTTGTACACAATATTCATGTGCCAAATACAATGACAGGAAGACTCATACATATACAGATAAGACATTTCTTATTTTAACAACACAAAAGACAACATCACAGTTCCACAGTTCCTGTCTTTACACAAGAAGCCACAACAATAGTTTAACATGATACACAAATGGAATTAAGAGAAATCTACACTTGAGGATAATTTTTTGAAGTTCTCTTTACTGACTGGGGTTGACAATACAACTCAATTTCTACGCACAAAGTACAGCACAATAACTTGACCAGAATACCACAAATCTAAAAAAAAAAAAAAAGAAAGAAAAACAATTGGTCAAACCACAAGAACACTGTTACCTTGAGCCTGAGAAGCCAATTCAGATTCAACCCTGAATTTGGTTGATTTGGATTAAGTGACGCAAAAAGTCAATAGAACCATTGAATTTCAGAAATCATAAAGTTGCACTATGCCAAAGAAAAGAGTACATGTGAATCAAGCGTAGATAGAAAACATCAAGCCAAGAAAACAACACAATTCACATAATTTTGTTTGCCCCGACAAAACATTTAAGCAGTTAATTTTGTTTTGTTTTGTTTTGTTTGTTTTTGAAGAACAATTGTGGTCTTTTACATTTTCTTGGTGGGAGAGCAAATTTTGATCAGCATTAGTGCTGTGAAATACTTTTGGATTATCATCCCCAAAGTATAGGTGAGATCATGAGAAAATTTGGCAGTCCTTCTCTCAGATTTAGTTCACTAAAATGCTTGGCATTCTTATGCACAAGCTCAATCTAAATAATGGGGCTTTAGTATGGATGATAAGAAGGTCTAATGGCAGATAGAATAGTGAACTCTGCCTGTTTGTTTGGTAAATGTCACTGACAAATTTGAACTTTTGGGTGAAGGACTGCTAGAAGAATTCAACAGCACCTGGAGGTAAGGTTCTGTTACAGAGCCCTTCTTTTGCCCTCACTGGCTACGTTGATTCATTGTGGCTCATGGATTTGCCTCCGTTCAGCACGCCAGAGACACTTCTGCTCTTGGTTGGGGTCCCGCTTCCAGATCGGGAGAACTCCGTGAGATCGTGCAGTGATGGCTCCTTGTACATGGCCACTGAAAAGCACACAAAGATGGTGTAAAAGGCCTTCAAATGGGCATACCAATTGTGAAAATTTCTAAGAATAGTTTGTAGGTGTTCTATTCCACACACCTAAATGATAAGTATGTGAGGTAATGCATATGTTAATTAGCTTGATTTAGCTATTCCACAATGTATACATATTTCAAAATACCTTGTTCATAA
Source organism: Homo sapiens (assembly GCF_000001405.40). Classification (NCBI taxonomy): domain Eukaryota; kingdom Metazoa; phylum Chordata; class Mammalia; order Primates; family Hominidae; genus Homo; species Homo sapiens. The sequence goes on from NC_000023.11 coordinate 138,633,177, forward strand.
TAAATATATACAATTTTTGTGTCAATTATAAATTAAATTCAGAAAAGGAAAAAGAGAAAAAAAATACATTAAAAAAATGGGCCTACCACACTGGTCCTCAACTTTTCTTTTGGTTACTAGGCTTCTGTGCCTTAAGCCAGACATGAAAAACACTGCTTTCAAGGACTCAGTAGAGAGTGGACAGGTTCAGATTAAGCAAAAATCTAGCCTTGGTGTAGTAGTGTGTAAAGAATTTTAATGCCTAACTTCAACCACATATGGTTATGTAAGAGAGGATTAATAAAAAATGCATTTAATAAACCTCTTAGAAGTTTAAATATGATCTATAGCATACTGTACAAGGCAAATATTAAAATTTAAAATATTTTAAAACACTGATTTCTATCATACTTTAAAATGAAACACTTCAAGAGTCTAAGTATTGGATAATTCTTGGTACAGTAAATGGTAAAATTTATTATTGTGCTATAAATAAACATAATAGCTTATAGTTATGGAACACATAACATTAGATACTACTCTAAGTTCTTTGCATGCATTATCCCATTTAGTCCCTATGAGAATCTTATAAGTACTCTTATCCATATTATACAGATGAACTTGAGGCATACACAGGTAAATAACCTGTTCAAGACCATCCAGTTAGCAAAAAGTGAAGTTGGGCCTTGAATTTAGGTAGTCTGGCTCCAAAAAATGTGCTGTAAAACACAGTGCTGTGCTTATTCGAATTGCACAGTGTCTGCCTCTACTCTAAACCCCTACTCTTACCTCAGGCTAGTAATCTCTTTGAAGTCTTCCTCTGCTTTGCCCGCATTTTCTGTCTCTTCTCTACCATATCTCACTATTTCTTACCTCCCTATCTTCCATAGCCTATTCTTGTCCCTCACCCTTTCTAATTTGCTATTAATCTGCTAATAATGATGGGAAAACTATAAGCAAAATTTGCTGAAATAATATGTTGGGCCCTTAGAGAGGACCCAAGGAGCTTTCTGGTAAGTGTTAAGTGTACACACATTTTTTTTTTCTTTTGTTTTTTGAAACGGAGTCTCACTCTGCCGCCCAGGCTGGAGTCCAGTGGCACGATCTCAGCTCGCTGTAAGCTCCGCCTCCCAGGTTCACGCCATTCTCCGGACCTCGTGATCCGCCCGCCTCGGCCTCCCCAAAGTGCTGGGATTACAGGCGTGAGCCACCGTGCCCGGCTGTGTATACACATTTTTAACACCTATGTTTCTGCCCAGGCAACATTTTAGCATAATTTGGGGATCTTGGCTGTCCTGAGTTAGCATGTAAGTTACTTCCACATAAGTAAAGTGTCACTATATGTACATGCACTATGGAAAAATTAAAATCAGGAGAGCAAATGTTTTTGAGTGTTACAAAATGTAAGTTTTTTAAATAAATGTCTTAATGTGGAACAACTGTTTCATTTTCAAAAGTATTATTAAGGACTGCTTTAAATTACTATTTCTAAATGTTCAACATCACTAATCATCAGGGAAATGCAAATTAAAACCACAATGAGATACCACCTTACTGCTGCAAGAATGGCTATAATTAAAATGTCAAAAAACAACAGATGTTGGCATGGATGTGGTGAAAGGGAACACTTTTACACTGCTGGCGAGAATGTAAATCAGTACAACCACTATGGAAAACAGTATGGAGAATCCTTAAAGAACTAAAAGTAGCATTGGATCCAGCAATCTCACTCCTGGCTAGCTACTGAAAGGAAAATAAGTCATCATATGAAAAACACAACTGCACAGGTATGTTTATAGCAGCGCAATTCACAATGGCCAAAATATGGAACCAACTTAAGTGCCCATCAATCAACGAGTGGATAAAAAAATGTGGTATATATATACACCATGGAATACTACTCAGCCATAAAAAGAAATGATATGATATCTTTTGCAGCAACTTGGATGGAGCTGGACGCCATTATTCGAAGTGAGGTAACTCAGGAATGGAAAGCCAAATATTGTATGTTCTCACTTAAGTGGGAGCTAAGCTATGAAGACATAAAGCATAAGCATGATATAATGGACTTTGGGAACTTGGTTGGGGGGAAGGTTGAGAGTGGGGTGAGGGATAAAACACTACATACTGGGTACAGTGTATACTGCTTGGGTGATGAGTGCACCAAAATTTCAGAAATCACCACTAAATAGCTTGTCTATGTAACCAAAAACCACCTGTACCCCCAAAACTATTGAAATTTAATAAATAAATAAGTATATTTAGTAGCATAATCCATAGTTCCCACAATATCAAATGTACCTTTCAGTGGTTTAGGCAGAAAATGAGCTGCAGGCTTGTTCTTCTTCACATGGTTGCCTTTCATGATCTCTCCTTCTTTGTTCAGACCCAGATACCACCCTCGGCCTGACTGCTGCTGACGGTATATCATTGATGAATATGTCACATAATAATTTTCAAACACTGATTCTTTGAATTTGCACTCAGGTGTGAAAAGTTCCTGCAACAAAAGTAAATAAACAAAAGTTCAGTGTTTATAGCTATGAATTTCCTGTAGAATCATGTGGTATTGCCTTTTAGGAGATTAAGACATACTTTGTAAAAGCTCGTGTGACTGGTGCTCTATTTTAATAGCATAAACTATCATCATTGGAAACCATCAGACTACATATAACATTTCACATGATGCTTTAGAAAAAGTCATAAGTGAAAGTGCTATTGATCAATGATTAGCTCTCTTTGTAATAGGTAATGGGAACATTAGAACAAGCCACATAAGTGAAATATATTGGACAACTACAAGAGCCAAGGATTGAAAAGACAAGCATAAAACTGACACATGGAGCTTTGTTCCCTTCAGGGTTCAATATGAGAAAATAAACATTCGGTCCTTGTACTTAATTTTCATGGATTCTTGAGTTATTATACACTATGGTTGTCAATTGCCTCAGGCTGAAATCTGTGTTACAATGCTTTCTGCCTATATTTCTAAAAGAATGCTACAAAGAAAGCCTACCTTTTACTTTTAGGTAAACCAAATTGATTTTTTTTGGATCATTGGACCTTGACTTGAGACAGAAAGAAAAATTCCCCCCTCACCCCATCCTTGCCTTACAGTAACATTTACATGCAAATCAATACAAAAGCAAGGAATTTACAGCAATTTTACTAGCAGACACGATAGAGCAGCCCAGTGGACTTTGAACTCAGGAATATGGTTTTCTGTCATGCATTTGGCCATTTTTACTTTAGACTGGATTTTTCAAATGAAGGGCTCCTGCCCTCAATAGACCATTTCAAGGAAACAAACAAACAAACAAAAAAACCAACAACAACAAAAAACCTTTTGTGTGTTTGAGTGTACACGTGTCTATGTGTACAATAAACAGCCATTAAAAATGATAATTTCTAAGCTAAATGAAATGAATAGTAGATTTGAATGTATAAGTAATCCATAGAGTAGCAAAGGGCCTACTTGGAGTGGAAGATTATTAGGAAAATGCTAAGTGAGCTACATGTCATAGAGGCACCAATTAAACTATCAGATTTTTGCTAATTTGCTGAGATGTTATCAGGAAAAACACTTGGTACTATCACCAAAAACATGTATACAAACAAATATTGCAAGCTTTCTGGGGCACTAGTCTTTTAAAAACAATGTCTCCATGGTTCTACCTTCCTTTATTTTTCATATTGGATACCATTTTAAGCAATACACACTAGCTGAGCAGCAACATCTGAAGCCCTCTCAGTCACTTCAGCAAAGAGGGATATATTCCTCAGGCAAGGCAGCTTTTCTCTGAAATTTAAGCACTCAAGCAATTTCCTTTCCTTTTTTCTGGGATTCTACAAACAGTGTTTCACACAGTAATCTGCCTAATCTCCCCCCATCTTCCCAATCTGGCTCCCAGAATGCACGAACTGAAGTATCTTTTGGGGTTATTTCAGCCTAGGGGCACACTCGATAGATGTTCAGAGGATTCACACAAATTCAACCTACTCAAGAAGCAATGTACTTCTAAGGCAACTGTCACATGTTAGGAACCAAAATGTTCTATTTATGGGCTGTGAAAACTCCTCTTTGTAGGATTTCTCAACATAGAGAAAGCCAAGAAAGTACCAAGAAATTTGACTAGAAGTCTCCACATTTCCTTTAGTGATGAGGACAAGTACATAGAACGTTGCTGAAATTCTTTGGGAATTAAATCACTGTACGGAAAAAAGTCATCATTGGAGAATGGATTTTCCTTTCATAAAGAATCAAACCATTTTGAAAATATATCTGGTGAAAAATGCATATGATCAAGGCAAATGATACCAAATAGCCACATAAACAATGTATGGCTGACTCCAGAATGGTGAGATGGGATCATTGCATATTCTAAGTCAGGTCCCAAAAATGGGCTGCATTTAATGTCTTGTGTGATAGCAGCATTCATACATTCATTTAATACACATTTTCTAAGGATCCATTATGTAGTTGATCGGTGCTAAATATTCATAGGTAAGTAATATGTGGCTTCAGACAGCTTATCATATATTTGTAGGTATCAAGCATGTACACAAATGTCATAGATACAATGTGTGCTACCATAAGGAAAGAAAGGGAGGCTTACAGGAGGTGCTGTATGAAAACAGAAAAAGCCAGACTTAATTCTGACTGAGGGACTAGGGAGGGATTCACAGAGAGGGTATCATTTTAGCCGAGCTTTTCAATACAGAAAACAGGGAAGAATAATATTTGAAGCACAGGGCCACACTTCCTCTACTTTTCCTGTGTTCCCTGTCTTAGTAACTGGAATCCACCATCCTGGCAGTTGCTCACTTAACACTTCAGAGGGCCTTTCATTTCATTCCTGTGCCCTCTAGTCCGTGATCCATGACCTTCACCTTCCATTCCCAATGCCACTGCTCTACTTTGCGCCTTATTACCTCTTCACTGGACTGCTGTCATAACATCCTAACTGGTTTCTTCTCTTCAGCTGGCAGGTTTGCTTTCCTAAAGCAAAGTTCCCTTCCTTGGGAAATTTTGATGATTTCACCTTGCCTATAGTAAAAACAACAAACAACTTGATGTAACATTTAAAAATTCTCCACAATTCAGTCACTACCATGCCTTCCAGCGTCATCTTCCAGTGTCATTCACCACAGAACCATGTGTGCCTTTGCGCTTTACTGATGCCATTCATTTCCTTTGCTTAGAATGTCATTCCTTTGTTTCTCTACCTACTGGCTTTCCTCTAACCCTCCAAGGCCTAGCTCAAATATGACTGTTTCCAGAATCACATATAATCTCTCCCAATCAGAACTGATTACACCTGTTATCTGTGCTCCCATAAACTCTATCTACATCTCTAGCATGGCCCTGTGACTCATACAACTGTATGATTAGCTCCAGATGGTAGGGAACTTGTCTTATTTTTTCCCCAATCTACCTTCCCCCAACAAAAATGACACGTTAGCACATGGCAGACCGCTTGATTATTGTTTATGTGATTTGAATTTCAGAGATTCAGATTTAAATATTGGAAATTCTAGGACTCAGAATTATCAACTAGTAAAAAGTCTGCAGGGATTTTCCTTAATACCATATCATGAAATCAGCTGTATGTAAAATGAGGCTGTCACTGCATGGACAGATTCTGCAAGTGTAATTTAGTATCTGGCACCTATAACGTGGCACCTATAACATCAGGAGAAAATCTTGGCAATTGTTACAACTATTGAAAAATGGCAAGGAAGGACTCAATGAACTGAATGCTCTGTCACATCCTGGCAATTTCTTAGTCATCACCACTAAATTTGGACTCAAAAACTCAGTAAAGAGGGAGAAAAATGAGGCCAAAAAAAGAATGCTGAAGCAACCAAAGGAGTGTTCTGTTCTCTGTGTATGACACTGTCATTTTATCCAGTGTTGAGTAGGCAGAAGAGGCTTGATTTTTATCAAATGTGGAAAAATGTGAGCATGTCACCCAACACAGGCAGGTCCACCAAAAGGATACAGTTTCACCCCTATGTCTCTGCAGTGATTCATATGAATAATAGAAATTGGATTTGTCCCAACCCACGAAATCCCTGTTCAGAGGAGACTAAGTAGATGTATGCCAAGGAACCAACCTACTTTGACTGATCTGGAAGATGCTCACTAGTGCCCTGGAAGAAGGTACCATAGCGCTCTTGACACATGAGAGGCACTAAATAAAGGCAGCAATCACTGTGTTCTGGATTTAACAGGCACTGGATAAATGTCTGCTATTGTCGTTAATGCATGAATGAGTTAAAAAGATGTCATGCATTCCCTGCATAGTTACTGAGAAATTACTTGACATGAGTACAAAATAAAAGATGCTTTAAGTCTTCTGACCTTTTATGTGTTGATTTCTCTTAAAAGAAATGTATGTTTGGCATATCTATGTTTTTTCAGAAAAATAACAACTTTTTAGTTAATGAAATAATCAATCTGTCTCTAATATCTTTCCTCTGTATAATCATGTCTATTTCTCTTGCAGTTCAATGTTTGGTTCTTCTCAGTGAATACTGAACCTTTTATTTAAGAAATTCATGGTGGCTCATGCCTGTAATCCCAGCACTTTGGGAGGCTGAGGCAGGCGGATCCTGAGGTCAGGAGATCAAGAGCATCCTGGCTAACACAGTGAAACCCTGTCTCTACCAAAAATACAAAAAAAAATTAGCCGGGCATGGTGGTGGGCACCTGTAGTCCCAGCTACTCAGGAGGCTGAGGCAGGAGAATCACTTGAACCTGGGAGGCAGAGGCTGCAGTGAGCCGAGACTGCACCACCGCACTCCAGCCTGGGTGACATAGCGAGACTCCATCTCAATAAAAAAAAAAAATTCTTATCAGTTAGTATCATTATAGTATAATGATAATATTTTGGATAAGGAATGAGGAATCTACATTCAGAGAGTAGGTGGATCCAGGAGCAAAATCTAATACTCCTTTTTACCAATGTACTCACATTATTAAGGAGGAAATAATTCTTTGGAGGTTGAAATATCACTGACAAGAATAAAACATTTGAACCCTAAACACCACATCTGTATAACATATTGGGGAATTGTTACAGCCACAGATGTTAATGATCAGCTGCCCTTCTCAGGGCATATTAAGACCTCCACACAGACTTTAGAGAGGCAAGTAAAGAATGCATTAGTGCAACCAGTTATGTTGAATATATGGAAATAACCGCAAGACCCAAAGGTGTGCCAGAAAACGTTTTTTCCCCCGAACAAAGGCTTGGGAGCAATATAAATTGTTATTCTCTGTTACAGTCAGAAGAAGCAATAGTGGCCTGGCTTGCCCCTGGCACCGAGGGCAAAGTATGGACAGAGTGTAGTATCTCTTTGGCCTCCCGGAGCTGGAGCCAGGTTAATAGACGAGTGGGCTGTGATGATGGCTTCCCTGAATTGAGCCAAGTAAGGACCATGTCAGTCAGCAGATGGTGTGTAGCTATATCTTCAGTAGCCATACCAAAATGATGAGAGCTAAAATATCTGTAAAACATTTATGTTGTTTCAGCGTCTTAAACACATCTCCAATACCAAAAGATACACACCAAGACTAAATGCCTTCCTGATGCAAATAAGTAATTTGGCAAACATAGGCCTTAATAACAGGTTTTTCATACTTTTTTTTCACCCTGCTCTTGTATTTTCAGCTATAGTGCAACTGATAGGGTGGCACTGTTTCATGTGTGTCCGTATCTCAGCAGGATGGGAGGCTTTGAGGATTGCCATGCAGACTGTAAATGTTTCCCTTTAACACATTTCTCTCAAAAACATATTTTTTTTTTACATGGGCTGCACTGATTCCCTTGGATCTGGAGAGAACAACAGAGGGTACTGAAGTTGTCCATACATAAAATGGGAACACTAAGTCCTCAGCCTGGCGAACAAAGCCTGTGATGGCAGTGTTGCCAAGTGCACACATCCTGGTATAGATTAATGTGTCTCAATACATTTTGTTTAATTCACATGTAACATTTTTTAAAGCAAGAACCATAGAACACAGAAAGAAAAACAGTTGATAGATATTATGAGTAGGCATTTAAAGAATGTTTCATAATGAACCTAGAAACACAGTTTCCTCTTTTCAGTAGGTTTTATAAACCTATTTTAACTAATCTACCTTTTCCTTCTATATTCCCACCTCTCTCTTCTTCTCCTCTCTTCCAGTCACATTTTCAGTAGCCTGATCATTCCAATTAATTGAACAATTACTGCCAATAGCAAGGGTCACTCTTCTAATTCTGAGCCATGTTCCGATGATAATTAATTTTCCAGATTAAAAGTTAGGTTATTTAAGCAGGTTTGACTTGTGTACATCAATTATTCCCCAGCCTAATGAAATTAATATGCAGATTAAAATTAGATTTTCAACTCTGTTAAAAAACTTGAAACAACAGAATCTTAAAACATAAATCATGCCCATAGGGGTGACAATGTAACTACCTATATTCTCTATACAGGCTTCCCCTCCACCAGTGATTTCAAAATCCAGGACTAATTATTATATTTAGGGCTTTGATGTTCTCTTCCAGGGTATATTTGATGTGAATGAATTTCATTATTACTGAGATCAAAGCATGGGAAGGGAGAGACTGGGGAAGAGGGAATCAATACTCACCCAGTGCACTGTAGCTAAGCAAAATTATTAATTCACGATAAACAGAATATGGATTGCTCACTCAAATATCTGCTGGACTATTAGATACTTGAGGGCAGCTCCTAACATAAGGGCTGGCATACAGTAAATTATCAATACATACCTAGTGAAACAAATAAATTAAAAATAGAATATATGAAGAAACTTTGGAAGCTCCCTTGTGTAAATCCAAAAAAGGGTTAAATGTGGCACTACATTTTCCAATGAATAGAGGACTATTTTAAAGTAGATACAGGCAAGTCAGAAACTTGCCTGTGAGAGCAGAAAAAGTAGGCGATCAAAGGAGGAAAGTGGCCTAGAGGTAAATTCAATTTCAAAACTGGAAAGGATGAGAGAAAGGGGAAGGAGGGGAGGTATAGAGAAAAGGGGGAGAGGGTGAGGGAGGGAAGCAGGGAGGGAGGGAGGGAGAAAAGGAGGAAAAGAATAGAGAATAACAAAAGCAAAACAATACTTAAGCAAAAATAAAGAAATTCCTAATAATCCTGACATAGGCAAGAACCTCATACTCCTGGTCTTTTTGTCTGCAAATAGTTAAGTGTTTCAATTAAATTCTATTAGACCGATTTTTGTAAAATGGTGAAAAAAATCTACCAGTTCTGCTGATCTTACTGGTTGTTGTATGAGGATGCAATGAGATGATCTAGGGTGAAAGAAGCTCTGAATATTGTAAAGCTCCATAAACATGAAATGTGGGATTGCTTCTGATAATACGGGCCCAGAAATCAAGGCCAAATAAATAAATCCACTTTTCAAGATTCTTTTTCACTATGGAATCAATTTACAAAAAAAAGGCCTGGCTATATGTGTTTTATTAACATGGAAGAATATAAATTCTATCAAAAATTAGGACTGTACATGAATTACACTTTGTGTTCAGCACTCTCCTTCAAGCTTGGTTCTCAGAGAACTGTTTTGCCTCCTTTCATTTTTCATTTCTGTCTGCAATAGGCTGAAATGGCTGCAGTAATCCAAGCCATAGCACTAAAGAAATGCAGTGCTTAAATAAAAGGGCTTCATGAAATACCATGCCACAAAATGACTTAAAAATACACAGGTTAATTAGCAACGATTTCTAAAGAAATGCAAATTGGAATTAAGAGTATGCACATTGGGACTATTTTGCCTCATATGGTTACACTGAATTCTTTACCAAGACTTTCTATATTCCTAGATATTTCATAGATATTTTAATTTACCTTATGTTGGCCCCACAAAATATGTCAACACAGTGTTGCTTTTTCTCCTTAGTTCTTCACAAACAAAAATAAGAAAACTATTCAGGAACCTGTCAACCAATGGACTGCTGAAAACAGAGCTAGGACTCAGATATGACCATATTTCAGCCCTGGAGTTCATTTAGTCCTCTATACTGAATTGTTCTGGATTTTCATATATTTCTCTAAAGCAATGTCATACAATGGATTACCCAGGCTCTCCATTCTTCCAAAACAATGTTTTATAAAACACACTGAAATAAGCTAGAAGTTAAAGAATGAGAACAAACAAATACAATACATCCCTTCCAGAGGCTAAGATGGGTTATTTTTGTCGTGATACAAAAATTACATGATCCAAACGCCTCACTCTCCTGCAAGACTGGTCAGCAAATACATTTTGACATGGAAGTAGCTTGTTGAGACTCGTGACAAAGAAGAGAGATAGGCCATATGTCTTCAAGACTGTGTGACTGGCCCAAGACTGTGTTAGTCTGACCTTAACCCTGCAGAAGGATACGGATTGTTTAGGCAATCCAATTAGGTGGCAGAGGGTGTAATTCATTTTACATAAAATATGTTCTAGAGAGACTGTGTGAACTGTTGTATATTTTAAAACTTATTAGGGCATCTCACTGTTTAACAGAAATCTGTGGAATTTTTTATTTCAAGCGAAGAACACTTCTCTAAGGTGAATAACCCCCTAAAAAACCCCCTATTAACCTGCTTATTATGTGTATTAATTCAGTATATTGGTTTTTTTAATGGCAGTGTTGATCTATGTGTTTTGAAAGGTGAATCAAATATCAGATATGATTTCTAAAAACAAACCTTCTAGTCTTTTAGCCATTCTCTGTAATTAATTTGTGCCTATTGGATACATAGTCTCTGCTACTATGAAGCTTTCTCATTTGTGGCAGTCCTCTTCTCTGTACTGACTTCAGAGTGGGATCTAAATCCAGCTGCAAGAATATGAGTTCTGAAGTACATGTTATCAGGAGAACAAGCTTAGTAGGTTGTGTCTTTTTAAATAGCTGTTGCAAGCACTTGACTAAAAATTCAAAGCTTAGGAGCTCTGAAAAATTTTCACAGAGATCCAACCAACTGTCATGCACAAGACAAAGGTCCTTTCCTCCTAGATGAATTGAAAAGCTCTGGCAAGGCCTATTAAAAATAAAATGATACCAAGGTGGGTGCATATTATATTCTTGTACCTCAGGATTTTTTTTTTCTTTTCTTTTTTGAGATGGAGTCTCGTTCTGTTGCCCAGGCTGGAGTACAATGGCATGATCTTGGCTCCCTGCAACCTCCACCTCCCGGGTTCAAGGGATTCTCCTGCCTCAGCCTTCCAAGTAGCTGGGATTACAGGCAAGGGCCACCACACCTGGCTAATTTTTGTATTTTTTTAGTAGAGACGGGGTTTTACCATGTTGGCCAGGCTGGTCCCGAACTCCTGACCTCAGGTGATCCACCTGCCTTGGCCTCGCAAAGTGCTGGGATTACAGGTGTGAGCCACCGCACCTGGCCAGGAATCTTTGAGAATCACACTTTTGACACACATTGGATAGCAGCTCTGTTACATTTGGTAGGGTTTGTCTCTGAAGAAAAGTGTCACAGTAATTAGGAGTCTGCTTCTTCAAAAACTTTGAAAGGAGACTTTCTTGAACAAGTAGGAAAGTAATGCTAGCCAACAGCAACTGCTCAAATGGAAGTCACTATAGCATTCTTTCTGCTGCAAAACATAAAAGCTGGTGTCACAGGGCAAGGTGCAAAGGCCTCATCTATAAACCAAGGATTTGAATGGATGAGAATGGTGCTGCAGAGGACTATTAAACTGCTGCATCACATTACATCTGCAAATGACTGCTGAGGATAACAAGTGCTAAAGAGAGGAACCTTTTTTATGAAGAATGCATTTCTACTCATCAGCCCCTTGAAAGGAGCTACATGAGAGGATGCTAGTGGCAGTCATTTGTCACGAATCTGAATGGAGGGAGCCAATTTATTCATTTGAGACCCAAATAGAAGAATTAATTCTAATCTAGGATTTAATGAAAGCCTACTGTGTCCCAGGCACTGTGACAGCCCCCTTTGAAATATATAACAATCTGCTTTACTCTTGAAGGCACCTCTCAGTAATTACTTCCCTCTGGCCTGAGAGGAGAGTTCCTCCCACCTCACAGGTGAGAAAATCACAGCAATGGTGCCCTTAACAAGTCATTTTTAAAATAAACTCAATTGCAAGTGCACCTTTTCACCCACAGAGTAGTCACTGGGTAGACAACAGCTGTAATGCCAACTCCCTTCTAAATGCGCAACTTCAACGTTTGCTGAAGGCTCAGCCCTCCCTCCTATTTGTGTGCCCTGGCCCTTTTGAAGAGCTCAGCTCAAAGTTGCCTCTTCCACTTCCAAGTTTTCTGACTGTAGGCAATTCGTGTGTTTTCTGATCCTGCATCTGCAAGATGGGGACAGCATCATGTGCTTCATACGGAAGATCACAGAAGGCATGGGGAAGCAGTTAGCTTAAGTGGAAATGCTCGACAACTACCAGATCTCTTCCCTTCCTTTAACTTTCCATTTGTGTGATATATAAGAAAATGTAGTATTCTCCCCACCCCGCAACTTGAAATTGGTATAAAAACTGGTGGTGGTCAATAAAAACAGAGAAGAAAAGCACCTTTCCATTTCTGTGAGGGGCTAATGCTACACATTAATTGTATGTGTGAGAAATGCTTACAGTAGTGATTCCTTTTCAAGGATGACAATGCATGAGCCTTTGATTTAGCGCTTAAAATATTCTAAGAATCTAATACTAGAATTACTATAATGTGTATCAGTGAGACCACATGATAATAAAGGGATTTGTGAAATAATTCCATATTAATAGGCCAGATGACATTTACACATCTCACTTTAATTACTATGCTACAAAACTACAATGTTATTATCTCACTTCTTTTGTTCCAAACCACTGTTTTACTAGTTCTACTTTCATAATGTAGATTACTAATAACAATAATGAAAAATATAACAGTATTTTATGTTTAAGCAGTGCCTACATTTAAAGTTTTCTACAACTGCTTGAATAGTTATGGCATTCAAGTGACAGGTAAGGGACAGTTTAACAAAAGTAATGATAACAAAAGTAATGATTATAATGGGTTTTGGTAGACTTTTAAAAAAATCTCTAAAGAGCTTGTTTTAGAGTCAAAGAAATGAAACAAGAGATGCTAATACACTGGAACCTGGCATTAACACTTTCTGCTGGAGAACTAATCCAGTGCAGGGAAGCAGCTCCTTCTAGAGGAAGCTGGAATCTGTTTACGGTAGCTGGTACTGGCATGTGATATTTCTGGGGCTGCAAGACACTGAAGATCCAGGAGCTCCAACTGATCCTGAGTTCCAGAGGGTAGGAAGAGGTCTGACACAGAGCAGAAGCCAAGCCAGGCAGCCTATCCCCTAGGCCGCTTCTTTTTCCATTACAACGGGCAGCAGCATTCCATTTATCTTATATAAATCTGTCCACTTAACATTCTCCTAGATCATGGCATGAAAAGTTCACTCTTCTACTGCAAAAATACTCACAACTGAGTTTGGGCACATGTTGGGTTTTTTATTTCCAGTGAACTCTACTCTAGAGGTATTCAGGAAATGACCCTAGAGCACCTTTACTGAAATTAGGCTTCTGCCTTTTCAGGTACAGACGCAGGTAACACATATAAGGAGATATATAAATTATTTAGTCAGATTCGTGTGTGTGTATGTGTGCACTCACATGCATACATACATGAGAGAGACAGAGCGAAACACAGAAATACAAAGCGGAGAAAGACAACAGAGAGTGAAAACACAGAAAGTTAAAAAAATGGGCCATTTGCTTTCCCCAATTCTATAAACCTGTGGACTTTGAGAAATATCCACCACCCTCACCCGTGAATGTTTAACGGGGAAGGCTGGAAAGTAAGTTGTCTCCCCTTTGCTGGAGAAGACATCTCTTTACTGTCCAAACTCCCAGCTGTGCTCAGAGCTCAGGGTGAAATCCGATAGGCTGCCCAAGGTAAGTAAAGTTCTTCTGTAAAGTTAGTGTCTATAGAGGAGCCAAACAGAGGAGTAAACATATTTCTTCCTGGAGGTTTTCCTATGCTTAATGCACATCCATCTCTGGGGAAAAAAAAAAAAAAAAAAAAGGAAATCCAGGACTCTTGAGAAGTTCAAGATTGGTGCAAAGAAATCCTGTGAAAGCTCATTAAAACAAGACACTTTGAAATATGAATGTCACCATCATAAAGTGAATCACATTTTCACAAGGGATATATAATGCTTACATGTGTAGCTATGTTGCAGTGAACAAGACAACGGTTTCCTATTTACGACTAAACTGCCATCGCCTGTGATGCTGTTTATGATTATCATCTTATATTATGGCTCTACAGAAACCACTGCGGTGAAGCCTGAATCCTAAAAATGCAATGCTTTACGGGAGTGTTTGGCCACGTATCTAGCTACAATTCATAACTGAGCCCCTAGTAGCTTAAATTAAATTTGGCTTGCCTTGTATTTCCTGAAATACTGCAACATTTTATATTAATATTTTAAAAGGATTTTGATGACATTAAATTTTGAAATTGGCAAATTACAGTTCTTTATCAAAACATGCAATTTAAATTTTCAAATATTTGTTACCTAAGTATCACTGTAGCTGAAAACACAACACAGTAATATAATATAAACCATGAGAATATATAAAAATGATGAATACTTCATAAGCTTTGTACAACCATTACCTATCTGAAATAATGTTCAGTTCTATTTTCAACAATGTAGACTGTTAAAGTATTTGCATGAGAATGCAAAATGCATAAATTATCCCTGCAGGGAGCACTTAAAACTTAAGGTAATTATATAGCATAGAAGTGGTTTCAGATAACTCAAACAAAATAACAAATAATTCTACAGTCACCCTTTAAAATGATTACTATTCTGTGTTACCAGTGATCTTGATCATTTAAAAATCCCTCCTTACAATTACATTCACATGATCAATTCGTACTTTGTTCTTTTACCATCAACCTCTTACAGCTGGCTCTGAAAATTTGCATGCTATAAAAACTGAACTAGTCAGCTAGTAGAGATGAATCCTACAGTTATATTCATGCTGTGAACAGAACCGTAACACTCCCTTAATATATCTTATCATTGCACTTTTATACTAAGCGTGCATCCAAATCAAGTCCTATTTTTTACATTCCTCCTGCTCAAAATCTTTTAATGGCTCTCTGCTGCCTACAGGATAAAATCTAAACTCCCTGGCCGGGCGTTCAAGGCCCTCCACAATCTGGCACCTGCTCTCCTACAACTCTAGCATAAGATTCCTCAACTCAAGCCAGATTGGAGAAATAAGTCCAGGATGAAAAGTAGGAGATATTTTTTTCTTATGAATGGAAAAATATCTCCTACAAACCAATTACTGTGCTTCAAGGGTAAGATAGTCTCTGTGGGTAGAGAGAGAATCATTAGGTCACAAGGAGTATGTAACTAATTCCTCCTAAATCTCTTTCTTATGTTCTGCAGTATTATTTTTTTTAAATCCTGAAAAATGACTTGCAGTTCTCGAACATCCCAGTTGTGTCATGTCATGCTTCCTCACACTGTGATTTAGCAGGCAGTGCACTTGTGCAAGGCTGCCACTATGCACGCAATTCTTTGGGGCCAGTTGATAATAGGCACCTCTCCTTTTCACAGCGCACAGAGAAAAAGAATCAAACGTCAGCATGTCAGAAACCTCCAGGCTCAGCTTTGACAGGAATGCAAATGCACTTTACCATTGATTATTTCTGAAGACTTTTCACAGCATCAAGGAAGAGGATAATGAAGTTGTATCTGAACAGAAGGAAGCTAAATTATTTATCTCATACTAATTTTTACCAGATGGCTGGTGAAGAAAAATCTATATTGGCAAATATGTTGTATATATTACCTTAAAGATAATCAAGGGGGCTAAAACTTTAAATGTCCACAATATATTTGCATTTAGTCTTAGCGCTCACATTGATTTCATGCACAGGTTCTTCTGAGTGCACGTGATTGGTATACAATAAATTGTTATCACCAAGTCATTATAAGTTGCATCATTTATTCATGAATCACATCAGCAATTGGATTGCTTCTAATTTTTAAACTCTCAGATAAAATACATTTGGTATGTCATTACATGATGATGGCTACTATATCCCTCAACATCAGGAGGATACAAACAACACTCCTTCCCCAAGAGAAAGAGAATATTGCCCTTCAGTGAGAACACAGTTCTCAGAATCAAACTCCCTCACTAAGCTTCAGGCAGAACTGGTTAAATGCTGACTTCCAACTAAAATAAACACAGTCAGTTGATGGAAAGGTGATAACTGTAAGGGAGACAGGGTGTACCAGATATACATTCTTTTCCTCTCCTGCCCAAGTTATGTCTCTGGGGGTAGGGTTGCATGCACTCCACATCTGATTCTTCCCTCCTCGGCCCTGTCATGGATCCATTTGCTCTGCTTTGAAGCTCACTACTGGGGAAAGGAGACATAGACTTGTTCTTTGACTGACTCTCAAATGTCAGTTGTTCAGAAAAGAAGACATTCAATTATGTGTGCTGGTTTATATCAACTAAAACATTTTCAGATGAGCCTAGCTATTCTATTCTGTTCTCTAGGTAAAGCAGGTATAAGTTCTGGTTCCAGAAAGAAAGTGGTTTGTGTAAAGAATCACAATGCATGATTTCCCTAGACAGTCAGAACTCCTCTGAACAACATCTTCACATAATGTTTGTTGTTTAGCAGAATGTGTGGTATCACCTCTGGCTGACTTATGAAGACCATTTTTTCTATATGCCATTTAATGAAGAGTTTACTCATTCAATTCAACAAAGAATTCTTAAGTGCCTATCACGTGCACTAGTTTTCCTAAACTAGATTCTGACAACCATGGTGCTTAGCACTTTTGGAATAGCATGTGCCTTCTCTAGACAGTTGTCCAAAGAGCACTTCCCAGGTCTCAGCCTGAACTCATGAAGTATCCTAAAGTGTATTCTTACAGCAAGAAGACAACAGACCAAAACTGAGTTCTATAGTCTACACTGGCCAAACAAGATATAACTCTACTTTGCATGAATCTCTTCCTACTAGAATAACCTGCTTGAGCATTTATTCCATTCCAAAAGGATTCATTTGGTAAATTCATGTTATAGTTAAGTATTCTATTATCATTAGAAGCGGCAGCAGCTAATTGCTTACCAATCTCTAAAAAAAAATGTGATTATCCTAGAGCAAGGAACAGATTAAAATTTAAATAACTTTTGTTGAAACCTAAAACCAGATCTTTCAGAATCACACTTCAGAATGACCCAAGTTGCCATCATGACAGTACCTACAAGAACATACAAGTCGTACATGTTCCTACAAGAACATACAAGTCGTACATGTTATGACTAGCCAAATATGAGTCAATTAATCATAGTGAACTATAAACAATACACTACATTCTATGCCAATATAAGATATTAAGATTCAATTTTTTCTTTCTCTTTTTAGTTTACACATAATAACTGTACATATTAATGGGATAAGAGTGATGTTTCGATACATGTATACAAGGTGTAATGATCATATCAGGATAATTAGCATATCCATCACCTTAAACATTCATCATTTCTTTGTGTTGTGACCATTCAAAAATCCTCTCTTCTAGCTTTTTGAAACTATATAATAAATTATAGTTAACCATATTCACCCTTTACTGCTGCACAACACCAGAATTCATTCCTCTTATCTAGCTGTAATTTTGTATAAGGCGGCTCCATTTTTAAATCACCTTTCTGCACAGGAAGATTGCTTCAATCATCAGAAACAACATGCTACAAAACACACTTTGGTGTCACTGAAGTTATACTCTATGCAATTCAGATCTACTGAAGGAATGTTTACAGAAGCTGGATATTTGCTGAAAACCATAGGGAGGAGGAAGGAACAGGGGAACCATAAGCCAAGTGACCAGAGTAAAAGATAGTATGAAGACTCTGAGTAAACACTAACAGAGTTTCAAATCTCATAGCTTTGGGGTAAGCTCTGCAGACTATACTTAGTTGCCAGGGACTTCACTAATTTTCTAGCATTTGAAGGAAATAGGAGTAGACAAATTTAGCAGGTATGAAGCCATTAGAATAGGGATGTTTAACTCTGTGCAAGCACATCAAATTATGTGTACAACTCCAACAAAAAAGCAAAGAGATGGGTGTGTAAACAGCAGTGACAGGAAGACAGACATACACATAAGCAGTGAAAATAATTTCAGACTACACATTTGTTTTCTTAGCAATATTAACTCTCCATTCTTTTAAGTATTCTCAATATTTAGCCACAGTTGCTCACTGTATTCTGAATATATAATAATAGATTCGATTTTTCCTGAGCCTGAGTCACAGCCTGGTAGTAAATTAGGTGCTTAGGAAGATACTTTATTTCCTTGAGGCCACTGAGCCATCATTTAGGGTGTAATATGCTTGCCTTGGTTTATGAAGATGCTCCTGACTCACTTCAGTGGGAGTTGTTTTTGCTGCACTGCTGATAGCTGAGTTAAATGAGTGTACTCATTATTTTCTTTGTGCAGTGTAGATGGGATGGGCTGAGCTAATTATACTTTCTTGCCAATTCCATTCTGACCTACAGAGCAAATGTCCACAATGTTTTGTTAAAATCTGAGGTTCATTCTTTGTCTGTGGAACAAAGCAAAGCCAGTGAGGCCACATGGGGTGGAGGGAAAATTGTGGACTCCTTGATAGCATTCCCTAATTCACTCTGTTAGTTGGCCACTATACATGTAAACTATACATGTAGTATAACATTAATTTACAATATAAAGCAGATCATGTCATTCTTCTACTCTACACCTCCCAATAGCTTTTCATTTCACTCAGAGTCAAAGACAAAGTCCCTGACTTGGCCTATGAGATCATCTGTGATCTGACCACTACTACGTCTTTGATCTTATGTATCATTTGTCCTCTTTTTTCATTTTATATGTCACACTGGCTTCCAAGCTTGTCCCTTTAATATGCTAAGCATATCCCCACCTCTGACTCTTTGAACTGGCTTACACCTCTGCCTTGAATAATTTTCCTCCAGATATCCGCCTGAACCTTCCCCTCTCATCCTTCAAATACCACCTCAACAGAGAGGCTTCCCCTGACCATCCTATATGAAAGAGAAACCCTTATCTCTCCGCACTCTCTACCCCTCTAACCCTTCTTGTTTATTCTCCAAAGAAAACTATATCTTTATTTGTTTAAAGTCTGTCTACCCTCTCTATAATATGAGCTCCCTGTGGGCAAGGATTATGTTTTGCTCATTGCTGTACTCCAGTGTTTGGAACAGTACATGGTACTCTATTCCTGACATAAAAATTTACTAAATTAAGGGATAGATGAATCCTGGTAGCCTGGTACAGTGAAGGGACAAATTATTCCAAATTTTTAAGGTCTTTGCATAATTATTAAACAATTAGACCTGTCATAAAATATTTAGGACCCTACTGAGGTACAGTTCTCAGGACTTTAATTTTCACTGCTGTTACGAACTGCATTAAAATTATAAATCAGCATCTCTACCCAAAGAAACGAAATAAACCTTTATGAATACTCTTTTGAGCTAAACATGAAAGGCTATTCACAAAAAAGGTAGGGCAAGATGAAAGGAAACAGCTAAAGAGAATACCTTTGAAAAGTGTGCCAACAGGTAATTAATCATTAAAAGCAGCAAATCCTGATGGCTAGTAAATTTCAAGGACTTATCCTAGTAATATGTGAAAGTGAAATCTTCTCAACATATCAGAAATGCCAACTCCTTGTATTGAACCAAACAACAAATGAAGAATACATCTTTCCAAAGAAAATTCTGTAATTTTGATGATTTAATTAAAATACACTGCAGATTACAGATTGAACAGTAAAACATCGAAAGCAGGTTAGCCAGGGACCTAGTATTTATCTCTGATGTTTCATGGGGGCTTAACACCTGATATCACTCATGCTTAAATTGCTCTTTGTAGAATATGGGCATCTCAGGCTGAGCACATACCGTACAGATGGGTTCATGGTTCATTCTTTTTGCCATGGACCACAATTTCTCTTCAATTTACCAAAACAAAGATAATAATCTTTTTAGAAAGAGAAATATTAACCAAATACATGCCACAACTTGCTAATTAAGTACAATGGGATACAAAAATCTATCACTTCAGTGCCACGCTTCCAATGTTGTTTAGAGAAGGAAATGATTTCAAAGGAAGCATAGTGAAGGAGAAAGAAAAAAAGAATGATTAAGTTAATTATTAGTAATTAATTATTAAAATTAAAAAGTTAAATTTTTAATTAAAAATTGAATTAAAAGTGATTAAATTATAAATTACACTTTACACAAGTGTTTTATCAACAGCAATAAACACAAAATGTATCTTTATTCTACTCACTGGCAAGTAGGTACATCAGGACTCCATCATAGTGTGCCTTGCTAATAAGTGAACTCAGAAGTAACGTATCTAATCAAATACCTGGGATGGCTTAGCCAGGAGCAAAGGTTCAGGGCCCTGACCTAAGAGCAGTGCAGAGGGTTAGCTGAATTCCCTGCAAGATAGTCTCTTCTGTATATAAACTAACAGACTAGATACTGGACTCAAAATAAAAGTAAGGCAACAAGCACAATAGGCCCTTTAGTCGCTCCTTTCATGGAAACTGGTTTTTAAGACATGCCCACTGCAATCAACTGTCTTGGCTTGCTGATTTTGGCACACTGGGAAAAGGAAAAATGTATAAGGGGTGATTACATGCCTTTAAAAAAATCTGAACTAATGGCAAATAGCGTCCCAGATTGGTGTGCTGTACACTCTTGTTCTTCACTTTACATTCTGTATTAAGGAAGCTTTGAATTTGCATACTGGTTGAGTTTTTAAGTCAGTAAGTTGCAGAACAATAATTAGAACCCAGTCGGGTCTAACTTAGTAACTTTGGGCAAGTAATGTTACCTCCATGCCTCAGTTTCCTCATCTTTAAAATGGGGAAAATATAGTACATTCTCCATAAAGTTGTTAGGAGGATAAAATAAGTTAAGATTTGTAAAGGGTCACCCAGCCTATAATAAGGAATACAATTTCCTAAAGAAGAAGTTTATAAATTGAGGAATGAATGGCAGTATTTTAGAATGTTTGCATTCATATAAAACAATTACTTCGTGCCTGAATAAAATAGCATAGTAATGGCTGCCCCTATGTATAAACCAAAACAGGACTAACAATCAATTAGTGTCTATAGTCAGCATCAAATCTGCTTCAAGGTGAGTGATTTAGGCTTTTGGTTTTCAAAATGGGGTGATGGGCTGGGCATGGTGGCTCATGCCAGTAATCCCAACACTTTGGGAGGCTGAGGTGGGCGGATCGCTTGAGGTCAGGAGTTCAAGACCAGCCTGGTTAACATAGTAAAACCCCGTCTCTACTAAAAATACAGAAATCATCTGGGCGTGGTGGCACTCACCTGTAATCCCAGCTACTTGGGAGGCTGAGGCAGGAAAATCGCTTGAACCCGGGAGGCGGAGGTTGCAATGAGCTGGGATTGCACCACTGCACTCCAGCCTGGGTGACAGAGTGAAACTCCGGCTCAAAAATACATACATACATACATACATACATACATACATAAATAGCGGGGTGATGGCAGGTAATGAAATTCTGTGACCTCATTTTTTTTGGTAAACTTTGCTTTTCTTTCTGTACTTCATCAGTCATCCTTAGAGCATAGGTTAGAATCCTCCAACTTGAAGAATTTAAACCCTATTTCTAAATATCTGGCTAAGAAATCCCCAGGAGATTTCTCTGCAAGTGCTTTTCCACTCCTCTGCTCTTCCATAGCTTTTGAGGAGTGAGGCTGCTCCTCCCATTGCCAGGAAATGAATTCCAAGAGCTTAAATTTTGATAGTGACCACCTAAAAATGCATTTCATTCTAGTGTACCTTCTTCTTGTCTACATAGTAGTTCCTAGGTTTTTCTTGTTGTTTTGTTAATACCCTTATCTAAAATATTGTCAAACTGTTGCTCTGCAACAGTAATCTGTGCCTGGTAGTCTTCATTTGGGAGTGGCCGTATCATAGAAAGAAGGAAACCCTGAGTATCCACTGGCTTTTAATTCAATGTCTGTTCAATATCTGTTTCTCCCATTTAACGATAAGCTCAGATAAGGCAGAGGAAGTTTTTGGCAAGTATCAGACAATCTGTGGATTATTGTTGAGTGAATAAATGTTTGGATGGATGAAGGGATAGAAATATATAATGTAGGAAGCTATCTTGACGATGGTAGAAGGAGTAAATATAAAAAGGTCAAAAATACATTTATTCAGAATCTTGCTAATTGGTTAAAGAAAAACAAGAGAAGTTTAGATTGTGTATATAATTTGGTGAGACTATTGATAACAGGTAGACAAAGTAAAAAGTGAGAGAGGGTTAAGATGTGCTAAGGAGGGGCTACCAGGGTTGATGAATGTGGGTGACAGTTACTTGAGAGGTGAAATGCCTTTTCGAAGCTGCTACTCTAAGCAGATTTTAGCCAATCAGTAATGATACTGAATAATGATGGTAAAATAATATTATGCAATAAAATAATTTTAATTAATATTAAAGTGTTATTATTATGTTACATCCATCCTGAGATTAGTATTTGGAGCATAATTGCTAATATTAACGCTTTGCATCTATTCATAGAAAATATGTTGATTATGCTTACCCTATGGTTTCAGAGGGTAACTGGAGAATACATAGCTTCTTTGGGGACTTCTCTGTAGGAATAATTCAGAACCTGTGATACTAGGATACTTTTCATTCATTCATTAATTCAATAAACACTTACTGAACACCTACTACATGCATGAAAAGTGTAGACACTATGCTAAAGCCCTAGGGATACTACAGTGAACAAGTCACAGCTATTTCCTGCTTTTTCAGAATTTACAGTCTGGTTAGAGAAACAGGAAGGATAAATGTTGCAAGTATTGTTTGGCAAGATGAGTACCAAAGTAGGAGTAATCATAGTGCACTATAGGAACTTTGAGAACACATGGTGCTTTAATCAGAGAAGGAGCTGCTGTTTAGTAAGAGCATCCTAGACTGAGGTATAACAGTCATTTTAGCCTAAGGGCCACTAGAGAGGCTCAGTCATAATAATGGATATTTAATAATAGAAATAGCTGACATTTATTCAACACGTATAGCATGTCAGTAATGTGTACAGGACTTTACATATATTATCATAGGGAATACAATGGCATAGCGTATGTAAATCCCGTAGGTGTTAGGGGGGAATAGCAGAGTTGCCTTGGGAAATTTTCTAAGGCTTTCTCCAGGCTGCAGTGGCTCCTCAAAGCTGATAGCAACAGCAAATAAGAACAATCCTGTCACAGTATCTCTTGGTTGGCAAGGAGTTCAACTGAGCTTATTGGAGGAGGAGACCATAGCACCTTGAGGGGTTCATGATAACCGGTGAATGATAAGACTTGGTATAATATTTCACATTGCCAAACACTAGAAGCATATGGGTTTAACACTAACAAATCTTCTGGCAGACGCCAGTAGGTTATTAGCTTAATGCTGGTGGGTTAAAGTGTCAGAAAAGTAGGGGGCACAACCTCCTTTTCAATCTTATAGGTAGGTACTACTAAAGTGTGAAACAAATGGCAGGCAGACTCCTCCTCAAAAAACAGACACAATGTCCAAAAAACAAAGAAGGCTGAAAGATACTAATTTGAGAACATTGTGAGGCATCTTAACCAGGGAAATGCTACACATAGAAAGGAACAAAATACCAGCTATGGACATCATTAAGGCCTAACTTTTCAATCAGACTGATAGTACTGAATGAAATAATCTGTTATATTTAATAACCCTTGCTAAAGCTTTTCAGAAATCATGATGGCGTTTCATAGATCACCCCTGTGCACTCTGAGCTCAATTATCAATTATTGGTAAAATGACTCCTACATATTATTCTCCTTGACCTTGTTCTTTAGGAATTATTGGAAATCAATTTTAGAAAAAAAAAGCCAATTAATTGGCATATATTTATTGATTGCCTATGGGCAGGGTAATGTACTAGGTTCTTGGAAATGAATGAAAATATTTAGTTGAATCTTTAATTTTGATCCTCCGGGGTCCCATTTGTCATGAACAAACACAACCCACTAACTTAAGAATTAGGTGTTTATATGACTCCATCTATTATTAAAATAACATTAATCACCATGTTATTCACTTATCTTATTAGAACTGCAAACAGAATTACCTTTAGCAATTACTGACTTCCTATAGACACAAGCATTTAAATATGGGCATTTGCCGTTAGCCCTAAAGAGCCAATATTAGGAGCTTTTGCCTCAAGCCACATGGGTATGCATAAACTATTTGAAACTATTTTGAAATTTTGACACAATATTATACAATCATATTGCATGTGATGACGGAACTACATTGCCTACTTTTATTATCTCAATTTTCCACTTAATGGCTTTGACTATATACTTAAGGAAACCAAATCTTTTACTGACTACTGGGCTCTATGAAGGATTATTCTGGTAATCCACACTTGATCTTAGCCAAAAGGCCGAGAAGCAATTATTCTGGTAATCCAAAACCAAAATTCAGATTCTGCCTGCTAGAAATAAAAACAACCAATTCCCAGTATGATTACTACACTGATGTCAGAAATCACAATCTGAAATATGTCATTGATGTAGATCTTTGATAATTATGTTTCTTCCTCCATTACTGCATAGGACAGCAGAGAATTCTAATAAAGGTCTTGCCTTATAGAGTCGCTTCTGATTTTTAAAGTGACTATGTTCAAGTTACTAAATCAAATATTTATTATGCTTAACTGGTTGTTTTCTTTTATTGAGGATCAGTCGTGAAAGTGGAAACTATGAAATAAGCTTCCATTGTAATGGCAGAACCTTACTGAAACAAAGCCAACAAGTGAAGTTGAGCAGTTAGCTTTCACCAGGACTACAATATTTGTGTTCAGGAGGGAAGGATGTTTTTCTACAATACAAAGAAAATAACTTTTCTGCACTCAAGTAATTTTCCCAAGTAATTTTCAGAATGAGCAAAAAATGTGAGACTGTCAAAACAGACAAGTTTCCTTTAAATAAAGGTGTAAGCAAATACAACCAGCAATTACTAACAGAAATTGCCTTCACTACAACAGCTATCAGCTAGACTGCCTAGCACATGAAAGAAACTAATCCTTAAAACCTCTTTTCTTTTGTATGAATACTTAAATGAAAGCAACTAGTTAAGCCAATGATTCTAATTGGACTTTTTAAAGTAAACATTTTTATTTATTTAGGCTAGGTATATAAGTCAAAAGTTACAATTATGACAAATTTAAATTCAATCTATGAATGCAAAAGAATAATCATTCTTATATAATAGTACGGAAAATAACTTTTCAGTTTGTCTGAAAGACATTTGAACATTCGAGTGTCGGGAGTAGCTTAAGGTCAAGACCAGTTACATTCTTTTACATCCAGGAATTCTAATGGAGAGGAATCTCTGGATCGGTCACTGGTTTAAAGATGACCCTTACTAAAGTCTGGCAAATGCTCTGAGCCTTGAGCTTCAAAATTTATACAACAGAAAGAATGATACTGACCTTTCTCATTTACAAGTTAAGGGATGATAAATATTATTTCTACTAGGCTACATAATCATAGCTTGATTTTATTCTCAAACTTGTCTTTAAAGAAGAATTTTTTAAAGTGTAAGTCCTCATCTCTTGCCTATTCTGACAAATACCTCAAATTGAAAAACATTCGCCTCTATCACCTGTATAAGTCAAAATATGGAATCTTATCTCAAGCTGATGGTGGAAATACTGGCTTGCTTTTTCTATCAATCTTACATAATCTTGAAAGTTGATCTTCTTATCTCTCTAATCCTTCTGAAATGTGAAGGACACGAGTAATGACTTGAAAAAATGAATGACAGATCTGAACCATCACATTAATACCTTCTGAAGCAATGAGCTAAAAATGTTCTAGAAAGATATTTTTTAATTAAGTAAGGCTAGGTGCAGTGGTGCATGCCTATAGTCCCAGCTACTCAAGAGGCTGAAGCAGGGCGATCAGTTGAGCCCAGGAGCTGGAGTCCAGTCTGGACAACATAGCAACAACCTGCCTCTAAAATAATTAAGTATAAAAATGAACATTAGGTGCAAATCAAAACCACAATGAGATACCATCTCACGCCAGTTAGAATGGCGATCATTAAAAATTCAGGAAACAACAGGTGCTGGAGAGGATGTGGAGAAATAGGAATGCTTTCACACTGTTGGTGGGTGTGTAAATTAGTTCAACCATTGTGGAAGACAGTGTGGCCATTCCTCGAGGATCTAGAACCAGAAATACCATTTGACCCACCAATCCCATTACTGGGTATATAACCAAAGGATTATAAATCATTCTACTATAAAGACACATGCACATGTATGTTTACTGTGGCACTATTCACAATAGCAAAGACTTGGAACCAACCCAAATGCCCATCAATGATAGACTGGATGAAGAAAATGTGGCACATACACACCATGGAATACTATGCAGCCATAAAAAAGAATGCGTTCATGTCCTTTGCAGGGACACAGATGAAGCTGAAAACCATCATTCGCAGCAAACTAACACAGGAACAGAAAACCAAACACCACAAGTTTTCATTCATAAGTGGGAGTTGAACAATGAGAACACATGGACACAGGCAGGGGAACATCACACACTGGGGCCTGTTGGCAGGTGGGGGGCAAGGGGAGGGAGAGCTTTAGGACAAATAGCTAATGCATGTGGGGCTTAAAACCTAGATGATGAGTTGATGGGTGCAACAAACCACCATGGCACATGTATAACTATGTAACAAGCCTGCACTTCTGCACATGTATCCCAGAACTTAAAGTATAATATTTTTTTTTAAAAATGAACATTATAAACATAACCATTCTTCATGGTCTTATAAGCTATGTACTTAGTTGCTAATTTAACGCATGCTTGAAGTGTTCATTTCTAAATAAAGGTTTCACATAGGTTATTAATTCAACATTGGTGAGATGAAATAAAATGTAACTGTATTTCCAATTTAATCTGTAAAAGGAACTTACTCCTTGAGAAGTGAAATGTTGTAGCCTTTCCTGACAGCCCTGTGGGTGGCAAACAAGTCACAGTCTTTTTTTCCTTTTACCCAGCTGTATATTGTGTTAAAATAATTTACACTTTGTCTAGCAAGGCAAACCAATGATTTGGAGTGCCCTTCTTAGAAATTCTCATGACACACATTTAATTTTTTAAATTTGAATTTAAAAATTTGTTTGTGGGTACATAGCAGGTGTATATATTTATGGAGTACATGAGATATTTTGATACAGGTATACTGTGTGTAATAATCACATCAGAGTAAATGGGGTATCCATCACCTCAAGCACTTACCCTTTCTTTGTGTTACAATCCAGTTATACTCTTTTAGTTATTTTAAAATGTACAATAAATTATTGGTGACAGTAGTCACCCTGTGAATATGAAACACTAGATCTTATCCTATCTAACTATATTTTTGTACCCATTAACCATCCCCACTCCCTGCCTCACCCTTTCCAACCTCTAGTAACCATCGTTGTACCCTCTATTTTCTATGGCAAATATTTTATTTGAATGTTGCTCTATGTAAGATGTACTTCATTTTT
The DNA here is from genome assembly GCF_000001405.40 of Homo sapiens. NCBI lineage: Eukaryota > Metazoa > Chordata > Mammalia > Primates > Hominidae > Homo > Homo sapiens. Next base: position 138,660,850 of record NC_000023.11, read on the forward strand.
AGAATAAAGTGATTTGAAATATATTACAGTTGGGGGAATTACACAGATAATACACACCCACTATAGTATACATCTAAGAAAAATATAACTAGGAAGTTTCATTTCTGTCCCCAAACAGTATGTTATACAATCCAAAGGTCCAACAGAAACACATTTGAGGAAGTCTGCTCCTTTAGGTAATAAACACTGTGTTGTCTTTTCAGAAATCTACTACCACTACTCCTCATTCACTAGAGGAGTTAGGGGTAGTTAACAGATAACAAGTGACCCAAACTACGTAAGTTACTTGGCTAGTATATGTCCATGGAATTTTCCTTCCTTCTCCCAAACCCTATCACAGTTCTCTTACTCAGCCTTTCCTTTTGTTGTACTCTAAACAAATAAGAGCTTGGAAAAGGGTATAAGAAGCAGCATATCCCTCAAAGATCTTCCTCTCAGATACCTGGTGCTCCTCTACAATTGACATTTGTGGATACAGAGTAATGGTTTGCTTTGTGCCTCTTACATAAATCAAAACTGTGATTCCATTTCTTTGCAAAGACTTACGGCTAACGAAGGCTTCAGTTTCTTAAGTTCTGATGCTAAGTCCACTTGGTGCTTTGGAGTTCCAGTGGGGATGAATGAAAACATTTCACTGTGAACTCTGGTGATGTTACTAGTGCTGCATTACTTAATCATATTAGATGACTTCCATATTAGGAAGTCCAGGAGACACCATGATTGTTTGGAGATTTTCTCTGTTTCTCATATAGTCTTCTGTTTTCACCAATAGTATTAGATAGAAATTTAATTTCTCTGCCTCAGAGTACTTTGGTAAAAGAAAATGAGAGAAGGAGAGTTGGTACATTAGGTTAGAAATAAGGGTATAGGAATAGTTGAAGATCAGTATTTCCTTGTTCATTTTTACAGGCAGTTTGCCATTTTCATGTGTTTCATTCTATAGGAATGGCTTTGTTTTATTTCGTTTGATAATTGGGATATAATGAGAAATAGAATCAAGCTGTGAAAGTGTTCATGACAAAATCTCACTAAGTACTATTTCTTTGAATGTGATGCAGATTTCATCAGGGGGTTCTAACCTTCTTTACCACCTTAGTCTTTAAGAACAATAAAACACAATCCTCAATAAAAATTCTAATCTGCATATTAACCAAGATTTTCTTCTCTTTGGAGGAGTTACAATAAAAATGCAAATAAACAATGCATCAATATAAGAAATGAGAAAATTTGCATTCACATAAAGCTTCATCCAAGTCTATGTGAGAAATATAACAAAATCCACATTAGTAAAGTCGAAATTCCTGAAGCCCTAATGATGTTTCCCTGAATTCTATAGGACTGGCATTGAGTGATTCACTTCCTGAGCATTGACAAAATCAGATCCATTGTTCGTTTAATTTCATTATTTTTTCTTATACCATAGTGCCTTTTCAGACAAGAGTACAGTAATAGGTAATGACAAGTACAATAAAAATGATAATGTTCTTTGTTAACAATGAATGATTAAACTGTCTTGGTAGAAGTCAATATGGTTCCATATTCTTGTGAGTTAAAAGATGACTTTGGAATATGCTTCAACCATCACTTTAATGCTCAGCATGAAAAAGTTAGCTTACTAAACAATGCTTTCTAAAGAGCATCTGAAATAAATGCAGCAATCAGCAAGACATACTGAATCTACATCCAGAAAATTTCCGTTTTTAAATGGAATGAAGCATGTAACCCATGGCAGACGCATAAAATGGAATTCAGGTAAAATGGCAAATCTGACTCCAAAAAGAGCATTTTGATTCTGTTCAAAAGTTACATCTAAACACTAAAAGCAGCAAGGGCCTCTTCAATTTTCCATTTGCTAATTGTTTCTAATCTATTCTGCAATAAAAACATGGTGTGCTAATGGATAATCATTAAGAAGGAGAGAATGGTTTTCAGCTAGCTCCCATTCTCTCGAGGTCCACCAGTTGTACTTCAGATGCTCTGGTGCCTACTGCAGAGCTACTGGGTACTGTCACCATCCAGCTGACAGGCATAAGATTTGGGGTGTTTCTTTGTTCTAGAAGGCTCTGAGCTTTCACATTTCCTTTTTTATTGTCTGGTCCAAAGCCTTATTCAGGATTTCTAAACTATCTCTCATTAATAAGGAACTCCAGCTTGAACAAGACTAGTTCCCCCTCCACCCTCAAAGTCTAGAGTCTGGACTAATGGAAAGAAAGAAAAAATTCCACATTAGTGAAGTTGTGGAATCACAGGCCTCTACTCACAGTTAAGTTATCCAAGTTAAAAAAAAAATTACCTCAAATGTATTTCTCTTGGAGTTTTGTATTAATATTACGCATCACAGTATTCAGGGCAGAAATTTATCTTCCTATTTTATTTTGCTTAGGTGAATATTGAAATGATTGTGTATTTTCTGAGCCTCCTCAGATAGGGAGGAGGCAGTCAGAAGTGTGGTGAGGCTAAGCCAGCCTGGAATCAAACATTTTCTACAGACAGAAATCACTAATCAATCTTGTGTTAAATTGCTCAAGAAAATCCATAAAGCAGTTAACATCACCTTGATTATTTATATACACAGATAGTTGAAAGTTGACTAACAAGATTTGGGAACAAAATATACAAAGCAGCTGATGCCCATCATGAAAAGGTGCACATAAAATCCACACCATAATCCAGGATGACAATTTCTAAACTCATACCTTGTGTTCAGCCATCTATTAAAACCTTGAGAATGATAATATTTGTTTTATATTTTAATTCTGTATCTAGTCCCAAATGAATCATCATTGACTACTCTCCCTCACCCAACATTATGTAAACATATAATAAATGGAGTTGTGGTTGTGGATAATCTTAGGAACAGACATTCAAATAAACAGGCATATAATTCTTATTTAAAAGTAAACTGGCCATCTATGCAAAATCCAAATACAATTTGTATCAGAAAAATTATAGGGTTGGGGTGTGTTTATATGATAAGAGAGAGAGGAGGGGGACCATTTTAGTCTATGTTTTCAAGGCTTTACACTTCACTCAACATAACTGCAGCTGAAACTTTAGTTTTTCTAAAGTCATGGTGGGGAATTCCTTACAGAAAGTCTCACAGCATCTTCTTTTGTGATTCACCTGTATCTCTGGTATTCTTTGTCATCTGATCATCTACTAGTCTAAATTAGGTTTCATTCAGCACACCTCCAAGGCTGTTCTGACAAACAGGCAGCTGCCACTACAGCATCTTCTTAAATGGCTCCATAAATGAAGTAAAGAGTATGGCTGTTCCAGTGGCCTGTTTTGGCTCAATGGTACAATCTTCCAGCTGGTGAATTCCCCAGTAAGTAAGCACTACAAGAACAATTTGTTTGATTGATGCAATGAAGCCTGAAAATTGCTATGGCACAAAGCTGCCTCCAGATTGGGAGGAAACTTTGGCTAGCACAGTCCCTTGAAGACATAAATGTTAAAGGCCATCTAACATTTTGTTTTGGCTAGGGCCCTCGAAAAGCTCAAAGTTACTTCAAATTATTAGTCAGGTCGGAAATGTTATATTCAATACATGTACGAGTCTTTAAAAGACCAATCATTCCTTTGTTTCAGTGAAATTATTTAAGTGATTTTAGGAGATAAAATTCAGAAAAGCGATCAGCTGAAAAAGGGAAGTTGTTACAAGAAAGATCATTTGCTCATTGATCTTCAAACACTAGTTTGCATGTGTGAGAGAGAGAGAGAGAGAGAGAAAAGGGAAATGAATTAATTTAAAAAATTAACTTAACAAAAAAATATTCCACAGATGGCTAGTTATAGAACACTTGGCAGTTAGAAAATGCCAAGAGGGTTTCCCACATAAGGCTGAGAAAAAAATGAGTTTATTTCTTTTTAAAAGAAGCAGTGGCAGAAGGACCAAGAAACAGAAGAAAAAAGATAGAGATGGAAAATCTGAACCTCCCTCTACCAATAGCCAACAATGGTCTGATTACAAGAATTTAGGAAACATACTACTTATTTTGGCTCAAAGAAGTCCAAAGGAAGTTCCCTTCTCATCCTTTTCCACCTTCCTCACCACTGCTCCATTCAATTTTATACCTATGTTGTTTTTAAACTCAGTATGCACTGACCTTAATACTCAAGGGTATGCTCGGTCCAATGAGCTCTCTGGAAGTGAGGGAACACAACCAAGATCTTTGTTTGTAGGAAAGGGGTTCTCAGTGACCTAGAGTTTGCTCCTTTAGTCCCTTCATAGTCTTCTACCCTGGAGAGTAGATTATATCCCAGTTTCCAGAGATCACCCCAAAACAAGATCCAGGTCTCACTTAAACCTAAGATTCCTCCACTCAAAACTAATTTGAAGGAACAAAGTGAGGCTGTCTGCTTCTCCTTGAACCTGTGAGGCCTTAGAATCTGTGTCAATTCTTCTTCAAGTATCATAGGGATTCCACGGCTACCTGGGGTTCAGCTCGAGCCAAGGCTCTAATGATCTCAATTTATTATTGATTTGACTGTGTAATTAAGTTACTTTAATCCTTGTGCACTGAACAACCAGTGTCCTTACTGCAAGTGTTCCTGACTGGATAGAGGAGATAGTAGGGGAGCTGTTTCCTGTGCCTTTTAAGCAGACACAGGCAAAATAATTTTGGAAGATTTTGTAAACACTTAGAATATGTGTATCTGCAATATATCTTTCTGGCTGGGCCTTTGGAAATATATCAAAAGCGTCTAGCGTACTTTAGTTAATGCCTAAGCATTAACTCTGAACACAGGGATAATATTAAAAGCATTTCATTCGTATTTATGAAAAACATGTAGATTTTTTGCAGTAGATTATATTTCAGTATTCTGTAAGTGCTTGTCAGATGAAGGCAGTTTAACTGAGATGTAGTGGCACTTAATTTTTGAAAAGAAAAGAGAAAGCCCCTACCCTCATGTAAAACTAGTGACAAAAGTGTGTGCCTGACCACTTTTTAAAAGAGCACAAGGATAAGACAGGGCAGCAAAAGGTGCTATTTTAAAGTAAAAAAGAATAGCAATCTGCTATAAAGAGAAAAAAAAGAAAGCAGGGAGCAATAATGCCATCAACTAAATTAGGGCTGACACAGGGCTGGGAGGTACATAATCATCTGTTTCTCAGATACTCAGATGAGAAGTGAAACCATTCCCAGTGTTTTCAAAAATTTTAACATGTATGCTATCACTAAGATGTTTTCATAGGGAGTTTTTGTCCTATGATTTAATTCCCTGGCATTTACATTGTATTTCTTCAATTGTCTACATTTTGAAATCAAAATGTTCAAATGCTGAATGATGGTAGTCTAGACTCTCTAAACTGTCCAACAAAAGACATGGATTTTCTTCTTCCTGAGAAAAGTCTGAGTTGCTATATTATCTCATAAGCCTCATCAATAAGGATCCAATATCTGAGAGTTTTTTCTACATATAATACACTGTGTATTTGCATTCCTGAAAAGAAAAAAATGTGTTTTTATTGTTAAAATCTAGCCATATTCAGTTGTCAGCTAATGAGGAAATTCATGAGAAAGCTACATTCTCCTAAGGTATGATCCAAAAAGTACGTATGACAATAATTGAATAAGAGGTGCTAGAAAGAAGCACTTAAAGAAAGTGAAGTTGGGACATGGCAAAGTGTACTGGAAAGAGTATTGGTTAGGAGTCACAAGACTTGCTTTCTAATTCCAAATTCCAATGTTGTCAATTATTTATTAGCTACGTGTCTTTTGGAAAACCACTTCATCTTTCTGGACATAAGTTTCCTTATCTATAAGGACAGAATAATAAGCCCTTCTCTATCTCACAAGGTGTAGCAGGGATCAAATGAGGAAATAAAGATGAAAATACTATAAATTTTAAAGTGTTAGATATAGGTCTATTTCAATTATCATATATGAACAGAATACAGAAACATATACAACTTATAAATAAAAGATCATTATTCCATTTCCTAACACTTTTTTAAGAATTCAAGTGCCTGATCTAGACATAAAGGTTGTACACATTTAGGTGTGAACAGTTCCTTGTTCCCAAAAACAAAAACAAATAAACAGAGAACAAACTAAATAGATTATTACTATTCAACCACTAAAATGTAGATTAAGAATAATATTTTAATATATAGAGGAATAGTCATAATAACGAGTAAACAGCAGGTTTGAAACATGGTATGCATAGTTATTCCAAATGTACATATATATCTTTATGTAATATATATGTATTTTATATATGTACACATATATGTGTATACATATATTATGCTATATCATATATTAGGTTATATATGTATATTATGTATTTATACATATATATAAAATACGTATATATTACATGAAGATATATATGTATATTTGGAATATATGTATACATATATAATATACATATATATTACATAAAAATGTATATTTGGAATATATGTATATATATAGAGAGAGAGAGAGAAAGAAAGACAAAGACAGAGAGAGAGAGATATACACGAATTCCAGCTAGCCACTACAAGGATCTATAACAGAACATTAATATTGGTTTTCTCTTGGTTGGGGGACTTTGTAGATACCTTTTTGTATTTTCCAATTTTTCTGCAAAGAACATATATTACATTGGTAAACAGAAAATAAACATACACAAAATAACTGTTCAGAAAGAAAAGCTCAATTAGAAACTTAACATTCTTACTGAACCTGACTATAAGAGAGTTACAAAGACATTTCAATAACTACTAAAGAGACTTATCAGGATTGAGTTTCTTCATAGAAGAGGATCAGTTGAATTTTCATGAAGCATTGGGGTGGTGGGGTAAGATTCCAGGTGAAATGGCTTTGAAGTTGAGTTCCAGTCAACATTTGCCATACGGTGGTAGTCTGTGCCCTCTGTATGGGAAACCCTGCCCTGCACTCCCTTCAGTAAGAATACAGATAGAGTGCAGACCAGGGTCTCCCAACAGCAGCTGATTCAACATTCCACTCCATATTTTCTGTCTTCTGTTGTGATTCTATGTGGGAAATGGATGGCTCGTTGAGTTACCTTTTCCTTTTGAGTTATTCCACTTCAGTGATGGACACTAACTGATGAGGGTAGACTGTGGCCTTGTGGATCAGTTCGTCCCCTGTAAACAGCTGTACTTTTGGACTTTACATAAATTTTTCTTAGTCTTAAAAAAAATGACAATTTAATATATGATAGGATTTCCATAGTCTTCCAAGAATTATAGGCTTATATATATTGGCCTGAAGGCAGCATGTTATTATATGGACTGTAACGGCAAATAATATGAAGCATTTGTTAACTTAATGAACTTAACACTGTAAAATGCTGTGCATGTATTATCATTCCATTTAATCCTCTTAAGAACCCTATGAGGTCTATACTACTATTACCTCCATTTTATAGATGAGGAAACTAAAGGACAGATGGATTAATAATTCCTTTGCCCCAAATCATAAACCTTATAAGCATTTGAATTGTGTTTCAAATCCATGTAATGTCAGAGCCCTCCCTCTTAACCACTACAGGCATTTTAAAGGCAGATATTATGTATCATTTATTATGATGCTGCAGCCTGCTTAAAATCAGGATAGCAAAAGGTTGTTGCCACAGGGTAAAAAGGGGAAGAAGTGGGGGAGGGTAGTGTGTTCTATTTCAGAGATAGAGACAATGACTCCATTGTTGGTTATTTTGAGTTTAAAGAGCCATTAGTGATAGGTTAATGTGCAGCAGCCATTTGTATATATAAGCCTGGCTCTCAAGATGAAAGGTGTCTGCATATGGATGGTAACTGAAACCACAAGAATACATTTAATAATCTAGAGAACACAAGCAGAATACAAGACAACTACTGAGGCTGGAAACTGGGGGTGGGGAGGACATCAAACATTTCAGAAAAGACGAGGGAAGTGTAAAAATTAAAAGAAAAATAGTGATGGTGTAGAACAGAGAAAAAGCAGTGTTGTGAAAGCCCACAGAAGAGATGGTTTCAATGAAAAAGTTGACCAACCTGGTCAAGTGCTGTAGAAAGGAGAAATAAGGTAAGGACTGAAGGGAGAAATGGATTTTAGTTGGCAGTCACTAGCGACATTAGCAGGAGGAGTTCATGGATGGCAATGTGGGCAGAAGATAGAATGCGGAGGGCTGAATAATTAAGAATTAGATGAGAAAATAAAAGCAAAGGTGAAGCTGAATAATTTAAAAATAGGCGAGAAAATGAAGAAAGCTCTTGCCTATCAAAGGAAAGAGACAGTCTGAAAGAGAAACTTAGGAGGGACTTTTTAGGATGAGAAGTCTTGAAATGATCTGTATGCCAGTGGAAAAAAGGTAGTAGTCCAGGAGGTAGTGAAGGTACAGGACAAAGGATAATTGATGTATCTAGGTCCCCATGGCTTTGGGAAGAGATAAAATAAATGGAAAAAGAAGAGGAACTTTTCTTTTGGGAGATGGTTGTTGAACTGAATGGCTTTTAAGGCCCTTCACAATACTGATGCAATTTCATAAAGGATGGAAAAATCCTACAGTTATTGTAGTGAGTTCTGGAAAACTAGACAGAGGATGTACTCCAGTGGTATCAGGCTGGCAATACATGGCACAAAACAATGTTACAAGGCTCCAGTGTACTTCAGACAACTACCAATAACCCCTGTGCCTGATGCTAAACCCAGACTTTTTTCAACAAATAACTGTCTCTTTTCCTTTCTTGTCTGGCTTCTTTTAAATGCTAAGTTTGAAATGTGATACCTTTGCATGAAAGCGGCATGCAGTCTACATGTCAGTTGATAAGAGTATACTGGAAATATTTCACTTTAATAATGTGGATAGGATCCTTCTGCCTCTCCCCTTCTCCCCTGGCCCCCACACCTTGTTCTTAATATCTCTGGATTCCATCTCTTCCCTAAAATACCTTTAGGATTTCTCCTATGTGCATAACAAATAACAGCATTATTTACATTTTAGCACTTCTTCTAAGACGTTTCCAGGTGCTAGATACAAGCTGTAGAAGAGCTTGCATTTTTTCCTTTAGATCTAAATAGTCTGAATCTCAGTATTGCTCATGGGAAACTGTTTCAAAGGCTGAAGTGTCAGAAGCAGAAAGGAAAGAAATGAGTGGGTGGGAAGTTCTACATGCAAACCTGTCACACTCTTCTTTCATTTTCAGACCTGAATATGCATGGATGCAGAAATTATAGCTTATTCCAAAGTTTTTATTGTCAGCATCAAATTTAACAAAAAAACGTCAAGAATATCAGATTGGTATATTTAGGTGAAAATGTTCAACAGACTTCATCTTTAACACAAATAGTCCTATCCGTTAATAAGCCCTTTAATTCCCTTTGAATACACTTCAAGAGAGGGCTCCAGGCAAAGTACACAGTAAAATCTCATTTATTCCAATTTCGCTACTTTGAAATTTACAATAATTTAAAAACAGAATAGGGAAGAAACTTGATTTTGTTTAGAGATCCCTTTATACGTATAGAACAAAATAATGACACTGAGAAAGAAACTTTAAAAATACTTGCAAGTCAAATTATAAAGATGATGCATGCATAAGAATGTTTACCATAACATTATTTTGTAACAGCAACAAAGAAAAAAATGCATCAGCAGAGGACTGGATGAGCAGATTATGGTACATACATACAACAGAATGTTATTCATCTTTTAAAACAATAATGTGGATGTACATTTATTGACATAGAAATACATGCACAAGATGTGCGTAAAAAAGCAAGTTACAGAACAGGTCATATAAAGTTATCTCATTTACATACAATCAAGTAGATATATGTGTATATATACACAGGGAGGCATACAGGTGATAGACACTGAAATATCTGTGTAGTGAGTTTGGGGTGATGTTTTATTTCTTTTTGTTTCAGTATAAAATAAAAACTAGAGATGAAAAAGTGCCTACGAACAAACTTTTCTGGAATACTCAACTTATATTTACATGTAAACAACTGAAACACTAATTATATATCATTTCATTAATTCAAGTCATCTGAGGACAAGAGTTAGCATAGTTTGAGTTAATCTAGAAAATTCATGTAATTATGTTTCCTTAAAAATCCTTTATAAGACTGACCTACTTCATAATTAATTTTTAGTTATAAGTGGATTTTGTGTGTGTTGTGTGCACTGGAAAAGTTTCAATGCTGTTCTTTAGCTATGACAAACACACATGACCATCACCATCGCCACCACCACCACCGCCATCATCATTTCCATTATTAATCTACATCATCATAAAGTATATTTAAAATATATTAAAATTGATTACATAACTCTTAGTGGAAATAAATGTATATTTCAAATACTCACAATGCTCCCTAGCAACAAATGTCAGCAAGTGATAAGGAATCAATAGTTGGACTATAGGAGTTCAATATAAATTAGGCTGAATTACGTCTCTGCTTCATATAGAGGGATACTCTTATCAAGAAAAACCTCCGGTTTTTCTATTTATATTTACCTGCTTTTGGACAAGTCAACATTTCCTCATCAAAGAGTTGAGTAAAATTATGAATCTTATAAATACAGGCAACGTTTATCAATATCTTTTCCTCATACAGTACTTGGATATTTATCCATTACATTGATTGAGTTTAAACATTACTCTTGGAAGCTCTTTCAATGTCTGAACTAACTAATCAATTAATTAAATATTGTAGGCAACATTTATTGAGTACCTAGTATATTCCAGACTCTGTTCCAGGTACTCGGGAAAGATCACTAAGCAAAATAAAGACCCTGCCCTCAAGGAGCTGACATTCTAGTAGAGGAAGACAATAAACAAATAAGCAAGTACGTATTGATTCATTCAACAAAAAACAGTGAGCAAAACAAAAATCCTGACCGCCAAAAAATTTATACTCTACTGTGCATACACAAACAATATACAAATAGGCATTTTATTCAATAAATGTACATTTAACATATTTAACATGACTTGATTTATTTAAATGTGCTGTATAAATTATGGATGCATAAAATGGATATATAAATAATAGATAATGGGAGATAGGAAATTATGGTGACAAAATGCTATTTTAAATTAAGTAGTCAGGGAAGCCTCTGTGAAAAAGTCATATATGAATAGAGACCTGAAGGTAGTGAGGGAGTGAGCAATGGGGAATCTGGGAAAGAGCAGTCCAAGCAGAAGAAACAGCCAGTGCAAAGGCTCTAAAGCAGGGGTGGGTTTGTCATGATGTGAAGAAACGGCAGGAAAACTGATATGACTGGAGCACAGTGAGTGGTAAGTAAGGAGCTAGTAAGGGTTAGGGAGATGAGGTCAGAAAGATAGTCCCCTAGGCCATGTCACAGAGGGCATTAAATTCCATACTAAGGATTTTGGACGTTGAAGAATCCATTGGAGAAATCTGAACAGAGGAGTTGTCACATTATCTGACTTACTATGAACAGGATAACTGTGGAGCACAAAGTGGGGAGGCATAAGGATGGAAGCAGGGATGCTAATGAGGAGACTATAACAATAACTCAGGTGTGAGAGGGTAGATGTAGAAGGTAGAAGTGGAAGTGATGAGAGTTGGTTTAGTTCTGGAGTGCATATATTCTGAAAGAAAGCCAAAGATTTGTGGTGCATTGATGTGTCATGTCAGAGACAGAGAGAAGGCAAGGAAAACTCCAAGGATGTTGACCTAAGCAAATGGAAGGATGGGGTTGCCGCTTATTGAGATGGAGAAGACTGTGAACATATAATATTTAGGGAAGTGACATGAATATTTCTATTTGGGACTTGTTAACCGAAATACGATAATCAGGCATCTACATGGAGAAGTCAAGGAAGCAGTTGGAAATATGCCTGAACTTTAAATAAGAATGCCAGGCTGGAGAATTTGGGGAATCACCAGTATGTAGACAGTGTTTGAAGTCATGAGAGTAATACACAAAGAGGGTGAGTGTGCACAGAGAAAAGACCAAGTTCAAGGATGAGTCCTGGAGCCCACCAAAGTTTACAGGTTAGGAAGATGAAAAAGAACCAATAAAGGAGACTTAGAAGGATCAGTCAGTGAGGTAGAAGAAAAGCTAAGCGAGTGTGGTGTCCTGAAGCCAAGTGAAGAAAATGTTTTCAGGAGGAAGGAATGATGAACTGCATCAACCACCACTGTTTAGGTCAAGGAAGCAGATATTGAGGACAAGACACCATATTTGGGAAGGTGGAGGTAACTGGTGACTTTAGGAAGAGTAATTGGGTAGAATAATGCGGGGAGGGGTAAAAACCTGATTGGAATAGGTTTAAATAGACAGAATGGGAAGAGATGAAGTGGACACAATGATATACAATACTTTCAGGGATTTTGCTGTAAAGGGAAACTGGTAAATGGAATGGTAGCTGGTAAGGGATATGCAATAAAGGAATATTTTTTCTCATTTAAATGAAGCTGAAAGAGGAGACCTTGTGTTTAGGGGATACCAGCCAGTTACATGCGATGGCTGGAGGAGGTGGTGTTTGATTTGCATAGGGCTCAGGGGATTGGTTTGACCAGGCATGTTATTTACGTAGCCCGCGGAAAAACTGACTCTTCCACCCTAGTCTTTTAATATGGAAATGCAGGGAGCCATGATGTTTTACACACATGGGGATATGTGGGAGTAGCCATGCTGCCAAGCACATGTGGGGGCAAGGGCAAGGGGACAACGGTGGGAATTGCCATGTTGGGTGGACCCAGTTTTTCTTGGCTTGGATTTGCATATTAAAGACTGTCAGTTTGGGTTTAAGAGCCAGGGATTTTATGCTAGACAAGAAATTACTTGGAACTGCAAAAAACCTTTTAAGGACCCCTTTTTCTTTTTATTTGCCTAAATCAAATGGGATAAATAACAGTAATGATTGTATGCTGATGGGGTTGATATGGTGGAGAGGGATACGAAGACATGAGAGAGAGAGAAAGAAAGAAAAGAACAATTTCTAGACTGAGAAATTTGAGTATGAAATATGGAGTTGAATATACTGCATGACTGTAAGAGCTGGCCTTATATAAGAACAAGGAAAAGGATCCATAGTAACAAAGAAAAAGACAGAATATGGGTCACAGCTAGAAGTGGGTGAGTAGATATGGTGGTGGAGGTATGAGGCCATTTTGTTCTGACTTTCTGTTTTCTCTGCGAATTAAAAGCCTTAGCCTTAGGAGGGGGAGAGGGAGGCATTCAGGATTTCAGGAGAAATAAAGTTCAAAATAATTAATTAGGTTGGTATAAAGGTAATTTAACTAGGGGAATTCTAATGTAGTACTACTAAAAAGGAGAAGGTGGAAGAGGAGAGGGAGAAGGAGGGAGAGAGGAGGGGGAGAAGTAGAATAAATTGAGCCCTTACTAGGTACCAGGCACTATTGTCAGGTTCTTTGTATATGGGAATACACTTAAATCCCTCAACTCTATGACTATAGTTTTCTATTATTATCCCCATATTATAGATGAGAGAACAAAGTAAAGTCAGTAACTCATTTGAGTAGAAGACTTATTGGTCTGCACTGATGGTCATTAAGTTTAAGCAAAACCAATCAGCATGGTTGTATTTTCCTCCAGCAGAACTAGTATAGATGCTGAATTAGCACAGATGTGGATTGAACAAGGGCTGGAGTATTGCCAGTTGATTAATTACGGTGGGAGAAACAGAAAATTGAATCAATATCTGAAAGTGTGATTATTATGAGGTCTGCATCACCTAAGATGAGGAAAGAGAGAAGTGAAGACATGGAAGCAAGCTGAAAGAGGGAGTGGAGGTTGAGGAACTGAGAAAAGGTGTTAGGGTAAATATACTATCTCTCTGTGGGGTCAAGAAATTTGAAGTCTGAGAACAAGAAGGAATAATCTGTAAATGTAGAAGGTAACAGTCAAACAGTGGGATGCTTGAAATGGAGATGGGGCAGAGGGCAGAGGTTACTGATGATGACAGTCTAAGGTTTTCCATTAGAGTGGATGGCTGAGATAGGGTGGACAAGATCATTGGAGGACAAAAGTTCAAGGAACTGAGATGGCAGAGCACTTAAGAATCATCTATATGGATACTAAAATTATCAAGATTTATAGCAAGAGTAATGCTGGAGGGTGTGACAAAATTGTCAAGGGCAATTGATAGTGGTGTTGGAGAGAATGATAATCAAACACAGGAAAGGCTCCCAAAGAGTTTTATCTCCCCTTTACAGGAGGTGCAATCAAGGGAGAACTAAAGAGTCGTGTACAGTATAAGGTAAACTAATAGTTAAGGACAAACATTTGGCAGTTCTCATGGTTATGGCTCTGATGAGCACCCCAAACTCTTGCCGCTTTCCCAAGTAATCAGTTTACGTTTCTATCAGTTTGCTACTTGATAACTTATGTTGTCATGAGCTTGTTAAATCTATGGATACTGTTTCTCATGCCATTTTCTTCCCAATGAAGCAAGCTAGACTTTGTACGATGCAAACGCAGAGCTCATTTGTTGTAAAAAGCTCCAAACAGAAATATTTGTTAGAAAAATATTTTTCTTTAAAGTCCTGGTAACCTAGCCGAAGAAATAGGATTTACTCAACTGCAAGGCAAAGGATAAATGGAATCTAGATCTTTGACATTTGAAACATTCATAATTTTATTATGAAAATCTTGAGAAATCATAATATTCATCTGCCACATTTTTAACTCTACATTGTATATTACATGCAATAATAATTCTGTGAAAGAAAAATTCTTTTGCTAATTTTTGTATTTATTATATAAATGTTATAAAATAAGTATGAATAACATCTATAAAATATTACAAATTCTATTTACTATTATTTTCATATTTATTCTATTTTGATTTATTATTCTTAATTTTACTCCTTTTTTCACATTGATGCAATTCTGATAATCTAATATGCATCTTAAAAACGATGCCACAAATTAAATCAATGCCTACACAAAGGGGAGTGGAAAATTGAGATAAGTTAGACACTGTCTAAAGGGTCCATTCTTCTGCTTTTTTTTTCTTTAACAAAGGTAATAAAACTAATTTAGAAACTTGCATACGGGCATAAACGTAAGAATCACATATGATTCCACCATGTGGTGACAGCCATTTTGAATCTTTTTGGGGAATGTTCATCTTTGGTAGGGAAGGAGACCTAAGAGATGAGACCTGAGTCTTCCAAGATATATTTTTGTTGCTGTTATACCCTCTCACTGTTTGCATTTCGCAGTAATTCAGTGTTCTGCTAAATCATCGAGAAAAATGATAGTTGCTAAAGCATCATTATTATTAACTAACAGTTTTACTTTAAACAAGAAATAGTTGTTTTGAATGAATGGAAACATTTTCAATCTGCAGTAAAACCAAAGGGGGAAAAGCAACTAAAGATTAGAGTCAGCAGAAAAAGACATAAGGAAAAAAAGCTGAAAAACACTTCCATATTTTAGACTTGTAATAGCACAGTGAATCCACAGCTACCTCATGCCTGGCCCCACCAAGCCTACAAGGTCTGTTAGCCTTGTAGGCACACTAAGAAAACTGGGTGAGTTGGAACTAAGGTACAGGCTAAGTTTAGGGGCCATTCAGGGTTCAAAGACATGTTAAAACATGAATGGGATTAATGGACTTGGAAAACCCACTTAAATGTCCAGTAAAGATTTATCTTTAAGAATTTATCTTTTCTTCACCACTATGTCTCATTGACTTCATAATGCCTTAACTGTGTCCTCAGTCTTTCAATCTATGAAATACGGACCCTATAAAACAGTGGTCCCCAAGCTATTTGGCACCAGGGACTGATTTCATGGGAGAAAATTTTTCCACGGATGGGGGTGGTGGAAGCGGTGAGGGTTTCGTGATGAAACTATCCCACCTCATATCATCAGGCATTCGATTCTCATAAGGAATACACAACCTAGATCCTCCACATGTGCAGCTCACAATAAGGTTCAGGCTTCTATGAGAATCTAATGCTGCTGCTGATCTGACAGGAGGCGGAGCTCAGGTGGTAATGTTTGCTCCCCCATCGCTCAGGTCCTGCTGTGCAGCCAGGTTCCTGACAGGCCATGAATTGGTACAGAGGTTGGGGAACTCCTGCTACAAAGCATAAATGGTTATATTATCTGAATTATAGAGTACATCATCCTTATGGACACAGTCACTATTTCCTTATAAGGAATTCACATTGCTACAGAATGTTTCCCATAAATCATTCAATCAGAAATTTAAAAGGTTGAGAATATGATTCGTATTTCAAACTAGCTCTCTCTTCAAATTTCGTTGATCCTTTCACAGAGATTTTCATATTTCACTATATTATGTACTATCTATTATAGTTATGTGCTGACAGAAAATTTCTGTAAAACAGACCATCAGGAATAGTGATGAATTGTGGGATGGTAGCTTAAGAAATAAACGTTAGACCTAAAACCATGAAAACCCTAGAAGAAAACCTAGGTATTACCATTCAGGACACAGGCATGGGCAAGGACTTCATGTCTAAAACACCAAAAGCAATGGCAACAAAAGCCAAAATTGACAAATGGGATCTAATTAAACTAAAGAGCTTCTGCACAGCAAAAGAAACTACCATCAGAGTGAACAGGCAACCTACAAAATGGGAGAAAATTTTCACAACCTACTCATCTGACAAAGGGCTAATATCCAGAATCTACAATGAACTCAAACAAATGTACAAGAAAAAAAACAAACAACCCCATCAAAAAGTGGGCAAAGGACATGAACAGACACTTCTCAAAAGAAGACATTTATGCAGCCAAAAAACACATGAAAAAATGCTCACCATCACTGGCCATCAGAGAAATGCAAATCAAAACCACAATGAGATACCATCCCACACCAGTTAGAATGGCAATCATTAAAAAGTCAGGAAACAACAGGTGCTGGAGACGATGTGGAGAAATAGGAACACTTTTACACTATTGGTGGGACTGTAAACTAGTTCAACCATTGTGGAAGTCAGTGTGGTGATTCCTCAGGGATCTAGAACTAGAAATACCATTTGATCCAGCCATCCCATTACTGGGTATATACCCAAAGGACTATAAATCATGCTGCTATAAAGACACATGCACACGTACGTTTATTGCGGCACTATTCACAATAGCAAAGACTTGGAACCAACCCAAATGTCCAACAATGATAGACTGGATTAAGAAAATGTGGCACATATACACCATGGAATACTATGCAGCCATAAGAAATGATGAGTTCATGTCCTTTGTAGGGACATGGATGAAATTAGAAATCATCATTCTCAGTAAACTATCGCAAGGACAAAAAACCAAACACCGCATGTTCTCACTCATAGGTGGGAATTGAACAATGAGAACACATGGACACAGGAAGGGGAACATCACACTCTGGGGACTGTTGTGGTGTGGGGAGTCCCCATCACACTCTGGGGACTGTTGTGGGGTGGGGAGAGTGGGGAGGGATAGCACTGGGAGATATACCTAATGCTAAATGACAAGTTAATGGGTGCACCATACCAGCATGGCACATGTATACATATGTAACTAACCTGCACATTGTGCACATGTTCCCTAAAACTTAAAGTATAATAATAATAAAATAAAATAAAGAAATAAAGTAGCATTCCAAATAAATTATCCCTCAAAATGGATAACTAAACCGTTAGATTCACGCATGCCAATCTTTCTTATTGTAGTTTTAAAGCACTCTTTGCTCCTTTCTGATATATGGCATTCACATTGATCTTGAGTCCATGACCAAGTTAGAGGAAGCTACAACTGTGAGCCTATCATCATGCCCTATTTGTGCACATTTACAACTGAACCGTAGATTTTTTTATTGTTACACAGGTGAGCCATGTAAAATCTTTGCTTTGAAATGATGGCAAACTTATATAACATGAACTTGAATGAATGTAGTGTTTCTTTTTCCACTGATAGTCTCAGCTTATTTAACTTATAGGCTTTTGGCCTCTACTGAACAAAGTACCCTCAACCAAATTAAACAGGGAACAAAGCACTCACAAGAGATGTTTTTCTTTATAAAATGTTTCATTAAAAGTTCAAAAATCCTGATTGCTTTTCCTCAAGTTGCACTTCTAAGCTAAAATTAGATTTTAGATTCTACAACTACATGAGCCTCAAGAAATGTATCCAAAACTTTTGGCGCATAGAAGAAGGTAGCCTTAGTCCGATGCTCATTCAGCCACGGTGATGGGATGCAAACATTTATTTGGCAAATATATATGACTAACAATTCACACAAATAATCTCACATAACCCCATGAATAGATAATGCTCCATTTTATTTTTAGAGGCAGGGTCTCACTCTATCAATCACCCAGGCTACAGTGCTGTGACATGATCACAGATCAATGCAGCCTCAATCTCCTGGGCTCAAGCAATCCTCCCACCTCAGTTTCCTGAGTAGTTGGGACTACAAGCACATGCCACCACACCCCGCTAATTTTTTTTTTCTTTTTGTAGAGACAGGGTCTCGCTATGTTGCCGAGGCTGGTCTTGAACTCATGGGATCAAGTGATCCTTCCACCTCAGCCACCCAAACTGCTGGGGCTACAGGCACGAGCCACCACACCCAGCCCCATACTCCATTTTTTATTAAGGATTCTATTAGGTAACTTTCCCAAGAGCACACAGCTTGGGAGTGATAGAATATACAGGCATACCTTGGAGATATTACAGGTTCAGTTCCAGACTACTGCAATAAAGTGAGTATCTCAATAAAGTGAATATTGCAATAAAGTGTGTCACATGAATTTTGCTTTCCCAGTGCATTTAAAAAGTAGGCTTACACTATATTATGGTCTATAAAGTGTGCAACAGCATTATGTCTAAACATTCAGTGCATATACCTTAGTTTAAAAATATTTCATTGTTAAAATATGCCAATGATCATCTGAGCCTTTGGCAAGTCATATCTTTAGTCCTACTTGAGGGTTTTGCCTGGATGTTAATTGCTGCTGATTGATCAGGATGGTGGCTATTTAAGGTCAGGATGATTCTGGCAATTTCTGTGACAATAATGAAGTTTGCTGCATCAATGGACTCTTCCTTTCATGAAAGATTTCTCTGTAGCAGGTGATACTGTATGATATGACTTTACCCACGGAAAAACTTATTTCAAAATCGGATTATATCCTCTCAAACCCTGTATATGATTTATCAACTAAGTTTTTGGAATATTCTACATCATTTGTTGTAATTTCAAAAATTTTCATAGCATCGTCACCATTCAAGAATAGATCCATCCTAAGAAATTCTTTGCTCATCCACAAGAAACAACTCTTCATCCATTTTGTCATGAGTTTTATCATGAGATTGCAGCAATTCTGTCACATTTTCAGGCCCTACTTTTAATTCTAGTTCTCTAGCTGCTTCCATGACATCTGCAGTTACTTTTTCTAATGAAGCCCTAAACCCATCAAAGTCATCAGGAGGATTGGAATCAACTTCTTTCAAAGTCCTGTTAATATTTTGACCTCCACCTATGAATCATGAATGCCTTAATAACATCTAGAATGATGAATCCTTTTCAGGTTTTCAATTTGCTTTGCCTGGATCCATCAGAAGAATCACTATCTATGGCAGCTATGGCCTTATGAAAAGTATTTCTTAAATAGGAAGACTTGAAAATCAAAATTACTCCTTGATCCATGGGCTGCAAAATGGATGTTGTGCTAGTGGCCATGAAAACAACTTTAATCTCTTTGTACATCTCCATTAGAACTCTTAGGTGACTAGGTGCATTGTCATCAAGCAGTAATATTTTGAAAAGAATCTTTTTTTCCCCCCAGCAGTAAGTCTCAAAAGTAGGCTTAAAATATGCAATAAACTATGCTGAAAACAGATTTGCTGTCATCCAGGCTTTGTTTTTCCATTTATAGATTAGAAGTAGAGTCATAATTCTTAAGTGCCCTAGGATTTTTGGAATGGTAAATGAGCATTGGCTGCAGCTACACTAGCTCCTAACATGAGAGTCAGCCTCTCCTTTGAAGCTTTGAAGCCAGATATTGACTTGTCTCTAGCCACGAAACCCCTGGGTGGC
Organism: Homo sapiens; assembly: GCF_000001405.40. Lineage (NCBI taxonomy): Eukaryota > Metazoa > Chordata > Mammalia > Primates > Hominidae > Homo > Homo sapiens. The sequence continues at coordinate 138,680,843 of NC_000023.11, forward strand.
ATCTCCTTCCAATAGAAGGCTACTTCATCTACATTGAAAATCTGTATGGCCGAGCGTGGTGGCTCACCCCTGTAATCCCAGCAGTTTGGGAGGCTGAAGCAGGCAGATCACTTAAAGTCAGGAGTTTGAGACCAGCCTGGCCAACATGGTGAAACCCTGTCTCTACTAAAAATACAAAAAAATTAGCCTGGCGTGGTGGCAGGCACCTGTAATCCCAGCTACTTCAGAGGCTGAGGCAGGAGAATCTCTTGAACCCGGGAGGCAGAGGTTGCAGCGAGCCAATATTATGCCACTGCACTCCAGCCTGGGCAACAGAGTGAGACCAAAAAAAAAAAAAAAAAAAATCAGAAAAAAAGAAAATCTGTTGTTTTGTGTAGCCACCTTCATCAATGATCTTAGCTAAATCTTCTGGATAACTTGCTGTAGCTTCTGTTATCAGCACTTGCTGCTTCACCTTGCACTTTTATGTTACAGAGATGGCTTTCCTTAAGCATCATGAAGCCACCTCTAGCTTGCAACTTTTCTTCTGCAGCTTCCTCATCTCTCTCAGCCTTCACAGAATTGAAGAGAGTTAGAGCCTTGCCCTAGATTAGCCTTTGGCTTAAGGGAATGGTATGGCTGGTTCTATCTTCTATCCAGACAATTAAACCTTTCTCCATATCAGCCGTAAGGCTATTTCTTTCTTATCATTTATGTGTTCACTGGTGTAGCACTTTTACTTTCCTTCAATAACTTTTCCTTTGCATTTACAACTTGGTTAGCTGGTGCAAGAGGCCTAGTTTTTGGCTTATTTCAGCTTTTGACATGCCCTTCCTGCTAAGTGTAACCATTTCTAGTTTTTGATTTAAAGTAAGAGAAGTGCAACTCTTACTTTCACTTGAACACTTAGAGGCCACTGTATAGTCACTAGTTGGCCTAATTTCAATATTGTGTTTCAGGGAATGGGGAGGCCTAAGTAGAAACAGAGAGATGGGGGAATGGCCTGTCAGTAGAGCAGTCAGCACACACACAATATTTATCAATTAAGTTTGCCATCTTATATGGCCATGATCTGTGGTGCCCCAAAACAATTATAAGAGTAACATCAAAGATCACTGATTACACAAGATCACCCATAACAGATACAACAATAATGAAAAAATGTGAAATACTTCAAGAATTACCAAATGTTACCTGGAGACATAAAGTGAGCACATGCTGTTGGAAAAAATGGCGCTGATAGATTTTCTTGATGCAGGGTTGCCACAAACTTTGATTTGTAAAAACTGCAATATCTGCAAAGCATAATAAGACAAGGTATGCCTGTACATGCTTATGGTGGCTATATTTGGTATCAGGAGTGGATTCCCCTATATCTCTATTTTCTAACTCTGTATACAAGGAAAACAAGGCTGTGTGTAGCTACCACTGTAATTCTTTCCCATAGCTGTCTATAAGTATATTTTGAAATGGAAAATATAATGCATTGCCATGTCTAGGAAATATTTACAGTACCCACACAAGTTGTGCCATTCAGGTGAGCTATGTCTCTAAAACAGAAAACAAAAAGTGCCAATAGTGGAAAGCTACATCATTGAATAAGTTCCTTTCCTCTGTTAATATCAGAGGGGTGTGTGTGTGTGTGTGCGTGCGTGTGCGCACCTTTGTTTAATTTGCCCCCTACAGTGCAGTCTTCCAAACCATTTGTTATTTTTATTTTCATGTCATGTGAATAAATGTGAGTAATTGTGGTAGTTAGAGGCTTTACTCCCTCGGATGGTAATTATCCAATCTATAGTTCCATTCCAAACTCAGTAAAATAGTATTAGAAAAGTTGATCTTCATCAGAAAGGATCTCTGGGCATAGCAGAATAGACAAGACATGTAATCATAGGTCAAATTAAAATAATTTTACCCCCCCGAAAGTACCTGTTATTTACTATGTTAACAGGTTTTATTTGTATTACTGTAAAATGTCAGCAAGCTTATATTCATAGGAATCTTCTATCTTCTATGAATTTATCAAGCTATTATTGCCTAGGACTTATATTACTTTTGCTGGCAAGAAAACATGCTTGAGAATGCTTCAGAGGAATTGTTAGCAGATGAAACATCCAAGCTCTGGTGATCTGAAGTGAGTGGAAGGGCTAATGCACAAGGTTGGCCTTAGTTTTGCTTATTTATTCCTTTATATTTAACTCTATCAAGTATAAAAAATGTTGATATTTAGGATTTCTGAAAATTAAACCCAAGGAGTTCTGTCCTATTCCCTCATAAGCGAGCCAGGAAAAAGCTAGTTTATAGTTTACAAACTCCTTTTGTTGATCACTAAATGGCAATGAAATTACACAAAACTATTAGAGGACATAGAGTATGTCATAAAATTCCTATTTATGCACAAATTATTATATTTTAGAGAAACACAGTAAGATCAATGATTCCAAGTTCCTCCTGCAAAAAAATGTTTGAAGATGGGGATTATCGGTCAGGAACTATGAAGATTCTGAATCCACTTAATTTGCAGGACCATCAGTGCTTGGATGGAAGCTAAACAAACTAACACACACACACAAACACACTCTCTCTCTCTCTCTCACACACACACACACACACACACAGCTCCAATGTTAATAAAGAAATCATGTCTCTTCTCTTGTTGTATAGGGTATTGATATTTTAGTTTTAAGTCCACTTGATTTGCTTCCTGAGTCACTATCAGTGAGGCAAGTATACAGACTAGGCAAGTGAGCCCTCAATTAAATGATTTAACAACTAATTGCACCATAGATGCACACGTCTAAGCCCAAATGAGAATTTTCTTCAGTTTAGAAATATCTAGTTATATACCTTACCATTTTCAAAAGCTGTCTACCTCCCTTTACATAGAGCAAATTGCTGTATTTTGACACTATTCACACATTCATTTGTTATATGAGTCATAGGCCAAGGAAATGTGACATTTTCCATAATTCAGCGGGATGACGAGCAGGACAATTAAGTGGAGGCAAATAGAAGGCACAAAGAGTCATCCTTTATTGGTCAAGTCCAGTTATGCCCCAGTGGAATTCTGTTACTTTTATATAAATAAACCAAATAATGAAAGGCAGAGGAAAATAAAAGAATGCTGTCATGAAAGACTCATTAGAAACCTATGTCCACTGTTGTAATCACGAGCAGGAAATAACTGTTCATTTCCCTAGGTATATCCCATCTATTTCAAATATGATCCCCTGGCTACTCAGTACTAAAGAGCACTCATTAGATCTATATTCTACATAACCTCATTGCTGTAGATTTTATTAAAAATTTAATAATGCATGCAAAGTTAAGGGATTTATTACTTGCAAAATAGACTTAAGAGGTCAAAGAAATATATTATACACTATCATTTGATATTTAAGGTAATTGATAACCTGACAAAGGAAGGGAGCTGCTCAAGTTCATACATTCATTTGAACAGGGGTTAGAAACTGCACTCCTGTATTTCTAATTCGGTGTGCCCATATTGTGAAACACACATAATTTGAACCTCCAAATTCTTCCTTACTAAAGTGTATCATTTTGATCCAGTCATCTCTTATTATGTGAAAGAGAAAAATCACTCATTTTTTTTCTGTCTTTGGCTTCGTACATAGTAAAATTATCTTCTATCATTTATTTACTAAATATTGGTAAAATATTTACTTGGTATTTAGTAATGAATTTGGTATGGTGGGAAATATAAAAGATGGGGAAGGCACCATTCTTATATTCAAATAGGTTAAAATATGGTTTGGGAAATATCAGATTTACATGCAACAAACATTTGGAAATAAAGGAGATATGAGAAAATATTACACACATTGTGCGTCAAGAACACAAAATGAGGCACAGTGATGCCTCTGCAGGCTTTTTATGAGGTTGTAACATCACAAGAAAATAGCCTGATATTAGCCAATATTACTTATCTCTAATATCTGTATTTACAACGGACTTAATGAAGCCCAAACAGGGTATGTGGTCTCATGGGCATGCAATCCAACTTCTTCTACTCAAGAGATTTTTTGCTAAATAAAAATATGAAGGCAGTGAGTCCTTCCATAAACAATTCAAGAAAGGGAATAATTGCAGAGAACAACAAACAATAAAGCAAAAACAAACCAAAAGAAGATCCTAACTCATTTGAATTTAGAATGTTACACCTGAAAGGAAAATGAACTACTAAATATTCTTAGAAAACGAAACTTCAATTAAAAGCAGGAAGTACTGTTGAGCTGGTATGCTTCGTTTAGCAACCACAAGGAGATATAATAAAACTATCTAGAGCAACACTTCTCCCTTTAATTAAGTGGGATGACCACTAAAGGAGCATAATTGCCTTGGGGACCACCAGCAATGTCGTAACAGCAAGAGAAACTTTCTAAGACTTCCGGAATCTATACAAATCTGCCACAAGATCATACCAGGGGCAGTGATTTGAGAATTCTACACGAGATTGAGACTCATCAAACAACTAAAGAAAAGTTATTGTATCTTGCAAGAAAGCCAATTAATGGTTTCTTGGCCAGCACCCCTAACAAATAAAGGTACTTCATCTACAACTTCTAGAATGAAATAACCCTTTCAGTGTGACCCTACACCATAAAAAAACTGTCATAAATGAAAAAAAAATGGACAAAATGATGAATTGCACATTATCACGATTTACTTACTGTTACAAATATATTTACTTGGACTTTATATTTAATTCAACAGTTCAAAATAGCAACCCAAATACAGCAGCTTTTCTCGATCACTTGACAAGTGCACACAGTATGATGTAAGATAATGCAGGCAATAGGGCTTTAAAAGTATGAATTGCCATACTTAAAAGTATGTATTTTAATATTATTACACTGAGCTGTCTCTATAATCCTACTCTTAGAATCCTAGAAGCAATTTAAATGGAAACTATTTTTATAGCAAAGTTTATTTGGCATGTTACAAACTAAATTCCCTCAGATGAGATCCCCCTATATAGAGTGAGAACATTTATTATTTTTTTTATCAAGGGTCCCTATAAACTTTTGACCCTCAATGTATTCTGATCTAGTAGCACTGCATGTGGCTTCCTGAAACAGCACTTTTCTCAATATACTAAATGAAATGCTGTTTGTGATGAGACGGTAACAGGTTGCGTGACCACAGTAACAGCAAATAAACGTTCAATAAAATCTAATAAAAAAGAAAAATTCTTTACTATGGCTGTACTTAAACTTCCTATGAATAATATTACGTTTTAACATCTTGCTGCTAACTTTTAAGAAAAAAGGTTAATCTTACGTTCTAAGGGAAAAAAATACTATTTATGCAAAACTGATACTGGTTGCCATCAGCTTTTCCCTAATGCTCCAACAAATATTAGAGAATGCTGTTTAGCCACTTGGTAAGGTGAACCTATATTCTTATTTATAATGTATGAAAGAGTCATTGATTCATTAAGAAATTAAATGTTGGCAACATTCTGTAAAAGAGAGTGTTACTGTGCTTATAAAAGTGAAATGGGAACATGACGAACAATTTGTGAAATAATTAATGTGCCAGAAATGAACAATTTGTTGGTAATACATTCCAGGATTTTTCACAATGTGCCCAATTTTCATTTTTCTTGACTTGCAAATACTATATGAAGTTTGAGATCTGTAAGGTTCAGGGCTCTGAGACATATAAAAAGCAAGATTTAACTATTAATACATGTTATTTATTCAATAAATCAGTAGGATAATATTTCATACTCTTACAACACATTTCATACAGAGATCTTAATATACTTACGCCTCTATGCAAATGACACTGATGTCTTGGTAGAATTTCTTGTATTACTCAATTTTAGGTTTGATAAAATCTATACAATGTCAGCTAAGAAAATTATATCATATTAAAGGAGTGACTCAAACAAACTGTGTAAATGACACCTATACTTGATGATTAGTTATACTTAGAAAAAGCCTAGAATGTGTATATATAAAGCCTCTTAAAGGCTGACTTAGTATTCAATGATGCATAATAATATTTCAGGAAATAATAATAAAACAATTAAGCACGGGTGGTTAAAGCAATGTAAGAATCCAAAACAAAATAATGATCTATCTTCCTTCAGCATGCTTTTGTCAGCATTTCACTAGTACAATAACCTACCACATTCAACATATACAAAAATCAACTCAAAATGTATTAAAGATCTAAATGTAAGTCCTGAAACTGTGAAATAGAAGAAAACATCCAGAAAATGCTACAGGACATTGGTCTTGGCAAAGATTTTTTGGGTAAAACCTTAAAAGCACAGAAAACAAAATTTAAAAAATAGACAATACATGAAGCTAAAAAGTTCCTGCACAGCAGGGAAACAATCAACAGAGGGAAGAGACAACCTACAGAATGGGAGAAAATATTTGCATACTGTCCACCTAACAAGGGATTAATAAGCAGCATATATAATGAACACAACTCAATAGCAAAAATAAATAAATAAATAAATAAATCCAATTAAAAATTGGGCAAAGGACTTGAATAGACATTTCTCAAAGGAAGACATACAACTCTTCAACAGACACATGAAAAATATGCTCAACATAACTAATCATCAGGAAAATGCAAATCAAAATAATGAGATAGCATCTCAACTCTGTTAAAATGGCTAATATAAAACAAACAAAAAATAACAGTTGCTGGGTACGGATGTGAAGGAAGGAGAATCCTTGTACACTGTTGGGAATGTAAATTAGTACAGCTATTATGGAAGACAGTATGGAGGTTCCTCAAAATACTAAAAATAAAACTACCATATGATCCAGCAATCCCACTACTGGGTATATATCCAAAAGAAAGGAAATCAGCATATCAAAGAGATATCTGCATTCTCATGTTTACTGCAGCACTATTCACAATAGCCGTGATATGGAATCAACCTAAGTGTCCATCAACAAATGAACGAATAAAGAAAATGTGGTACATATACACAATGCAATATTATTCAGCCACAAAAAAGAATAAAATCATGTCATTTGCAGCAACCTGGATGGAACTGGAGGTCATTATGCTAAGTGAAATAAGCCAGACACAGGGAGACAAATACTGCATGTTCTCACTCGCATATGGGAACTAAAAAATTGGATTTTTTTTTTTTTTTTGAGACGGAGTCTTGCTCTGTTGCCCAGACTGGAGTGCAGTGAGTGGCACGATGTCAGCTCACTGTAACCTCCACCTCCCGGGTTCAAGTAATTCTCCTGCCTCAGCCTCCCAAGTAGCTGGGACTACAGGTGCGTGCCACCATGCCCGGCTAATTTTTTGTATTTTTTTTTTTTTAGTAGAGACGGGATTTCACCATGTTAGCCAGGATGGTCTCGATCTCCTGACCTTGTGATCTGCCCACCTGGGCCTCTCAAAGTGCTGGGATTACAGGCATGAGCCACCTCGCCCGGCCCCAAAAATTGGATCTTATGGAGGTAGAGAGTAGAATGATGGTTACCAGAGTCTGGGAAAAGTAGGTGGGAGGGGGAATGCAGCAAAGTTGGTTCATGGGTACAAAAATACAGTTAGATAGAAGGAATACATTCTAGTATTTGACAGTACAGTAGGGAGATTATAGTTTACAAAAATTTATTGTATCTTTCAAAATAGCTAGAAGAAAAGATTTGAAACATTCCCAACACAAAGAATAGAGAAATGTCTGAAGTGACAGATGTCCCAGTTACCCTGATTTGATAATTACACATTGAATACATGTATTAAAATACCACGTGTACCCCCTAAATATGTACAATTATTACATATCAGTAAAAAACTTAAAAAAAAACCTACCCCAGTAACAATCAAATCTCATTTTGGTTCCAATTTTTAAACTAAGGCAGTTCACAATAATTCTGACAAGGACAAGTGTTTCCCCTTCAAAATGGAAAACTGACCATATAAAAAGAAGACTGCTCAAATGCTTCTATATTTACCATAAAAAATACTTTTTTCAAATATCCTAATAGAAAAATGCTAAATGAACAACAGGAGAATCTGACTTTTGGGTATGAAATCAAATCATTTAAAGCCTATTTGCATAGGTATGCATGTGAATATTAGCACAGATGGAGAGAAAATCAATGATAAGCATCTTTGAAAATATCTGTCATCATGTAATTTCCACTACTAAATAACTGAATTTACTCCTTTTTATACTGTATTTCTTACTACAGAGGTGATACAGAGATTACTGGGCATCTGGACCAAGAGCTCTCACACTGTTGAACCCTGAGGGCAGAGGCTAGTCAGAATTTCAGAGAATACTAAAAACCTTGTGGAAGAAACTGCCTTTCATTTTCATTTTGATTCCCTGAAACTCCCAAGAATGGTGCTCTGTCTGCCAAAAAGAAAGGTAGCTAAGTCTGAAATAAATCTAATTCAGAATTGTTTTACATTTCTGGAATTCTCATTTCTTTACTATTATTATCTCTCATTTATCTGCCAGCATCTTTTGAATGTTTTGATTTTACATAATTACAAAGCAACACTACTATCCAGGCAGTTTGTTGCAAAACAACTTTCTCCATGGGTCTACACCTACACTCACGCCCCAAGTGGCAGAGCCTTGCCTCTGACAGCAAGGACCATGAGTGGTTCCAGCAAACTGACAGGCATCACTAGAATGTGTTACAGATACTGAAAAACAAATGAACCAAACCAAACCAAACACCTCTCTTGATGCTGAAACTCCTAGTCTCACCAAGGCTTCTGAGGTTCAAGATAGCTGCCGCTGAGCAGAGGAGGCAAAAAGATGAGTTATAGAGAAGAAAAGTCTAACCTCAAAATCTGAAGAGAAAGCATACCTCAAGTAAGTAGGGTATTGGAAAAGAGAACATAAAATAAAATGCTGCTCTATTTGCTCTCCATGTGGACATTTAAGGCCGAGTTCCACAGCAAAGAAAATAACTCAGCAAAACCACCCATCATGGTTCTGTTGACACCCTATTTTCAAGTTTAATTATTTGTTTGAACAGTTTCATGCCTTGATCAGAGATAGCAGTTAAAGTGTCTGTTGAGTGTATTTTCTTATGTGAAATTTAATAATCGTTTGACTGAAATACCCTTGTAATGTACATGAGCTTTGATTTTTTGACAGCCCTACTGAAAGCAGAACTTTTTTGTTCAAGCAAATAATTATTTTTGGGACTAGAGGAGTACAGAGAAACATAATGAGTTGGCCAGGTCGCTTCCCTTACTGGTAAAGATATGAGGAACATAAATGTAATGAAGAGCTTTAATACATGTGTTTTGTATCCACTTATTGCTTCTAGTGTTAACCACCCATCTAATCACAGAGAAGGGGTAAATGAGTAATGGGGATCTCAAAGAAGGAGGAGATAGGAGGGTCAAAACTTTGCTCTTTCCTCATCACTCATGAAAGTCAATAGTAGAAAATGATAACTCTTTTTTTTAGAGAAATAAGCACTTTCTGTTCCTCAAAATATCAGGTGTTAATATATATTGCATGTTATAGCTTCAGGAAATTATATCTCTATGGGTCAGCATTGTTTCTCTTTGTTATGCCTACTATTGGAACTTGAAATTATAGAAAAATGGAGGGAAATATATCCCTGTGTCATTGGCCAAACATGTGAGGTGGACTTTGATACATCTAAAAGCTTTGGTTGGTTGAATCTACTGTAATCCACTTGTGCTGGGCAAGTGGGAGCCTTTTTTTTTTCTGAGTCACACATATATAAAAATTTTAAAGCATTTTATCCTACATCATTTCTTGATATAATTGAAAACCATTGTCCAGTGTATTCAATTTTACCTCCTCATGGCATAGAAGCATGATCTTAGTGTGATCTGCTAAAGTCTGTGGTGCCAAGCAACCAATATATATTGTTTGATATAACTGGTAAATTTCCATAATGATGCACTCTCACCCACCCCCATCCCAAGGCATTCAAATTGTTTCCCTATATGGAATCTTCTTACAGTGAGTTCTGGGCTAAAAATAGCATTGCCAAGCTGCAGAAGTCAGGATGAAACAGTTTATGCTGATCCTGTAGTAGATCAACTATTAACAATTACAGATCTGAATTTGGGATGAATCTCCTTATGTATACTATAAATTCCAGACATTGACAGTATGAATGGATCAACATGATCATGGTTTGGGGTGCCTAGTATCTTATGGATATTCAACAGGTATATGCTAATCAATTGGTTGGCAAAGCTTGTGGACCATTTTATGCTTCGACTTCCCTGGGAGATTAGATGTGTGACTGGGCTCTCTGAGACTTGAAGAGCAATGAAGGGAGTTTTCAGGAAATTTCTGCTTCAAAGGTTATGATACAATATAAAAGCTCTCAGCTTCAGGTCTCCCATAGGCTCTATCTTCCTCAGTGAAAATAACACTGCAAAGAGGCTCTTTCATTAACACGTTAATTACAGTGAATCACTGTTATGACATGGGAAGGAGCCCGGGAATACTTTAAATATTTTTAAGAAGTCTTTAATCAGATCAACCACCAAGCACTCTAAAGAGGACTTTTGTTGTTGTAGCCTTGCTGATTTTGTGGCCAGGATATAGCAGTAGATTTGTTACACACAGGCTTTTTTGTTATAGTATTTACTATACACAATGAAGTTTTTACCTTTTCGAATTTCATTTCTGAAAGCTATGACTTTCATTTCCTGGTATCTCATTGACAATTATGAAAGTATTATGGAATGACTCACATCTCTTTCTATCAGACATTTTTCACTCTTCGTATTATTACAGTCTAAGTTATAATACTTTGGGGTTGTTATTTACATTTGACTCTTCCAAATCTTTATAGGACATTTTTTCTTGGGTAAAAATGAACATCACACCTAATTTTAATTACTTTTGTTATATGATATGCCAGAATTCCTATACACATCTGAGGCCCTTTTAAAAGGAGGTGTTATATATCCAAGAAATCAATTGAGGTTTTCACAGTAGTTCTATTTCCAGAACTGTCAAAAGTAGTTAGCATCAGATTATCTGATGAATAACTTAATCAGAATGATAGCATAGATGTGTTATCTACTCACACATTCAGCTGGACAAAACATATTAACTGTATTATTCAGGGGCTTGCCCGTTATTAACCTTGGTTACAGCTATTATAATGATCAGAAAATGCTTTCATTCAAAACTTCCCTGTTCAGAAGTCACAATTCCCTTTAAGTGGTGTAGTCACTGAAACCAGTGCTGTAGCTTCCAATTTTTTTTCTTGTGTCTCAGTAATTCACTTTCTTATGTAATTTTGAAATGTTAACACTTCAGAGGACCCACAAAAGTTCATAATTGGTCTCTGTAACTTATTTAAAATATTCAATAGGCCTGACAGAAACAATATCATCAGTCTTTATGCTTTATTATATACATCTCTATTAATTATTTCAATAAATATGTGTTAAAAACATACTTTTGCTAGGCTGCTCTATGACTAAGGGGGAAGTAGAGAGAAAACAAATCAGTTACTAATTAATGAGCATAGGATTTTGTAGGCAAACTATTTCAATGCACAAGGTTGATGGGGAAAAATGTTTTGTTGAGCTGTTTTTTTTTTTTTTTCTATCATGTTGTGGATTAACATTATACAAACGAGGAGATAGAGACTAAAAACAACGTCTTCACCAAGACATGAGAATCACTGGGTAATCACATAAAATAAAGCTAAAAAGTCATATTTGCTCTCTTTCATAAAGGTACTTAGCATTACCAAATATGTTGCTAGAGCAATTTCCAAATGTTCAGTGTAGGTTATGTATTTAAAACTTAGAATTATTTTAGGAATTCCAAAATAACTAGTGCCGTTATAGCAACAGAGCAATGAATATAACATTACATTTTTCCATTTGTCTTTCTTATATGTGTGTGTGCATGTGTGTATGTGTGTGTGTGTGTGTAAATCCCCTTACATCTGGCTTTACTTGCTAAAATTCCTCTTAGTCTTTCTTGCCAATTATTTTATTGTTTAGCTTCAAGAGTCTGGCTTTTTCCCACAAATATGAATTTAGCTTCAGAGTTAAAATCATGAAACACTCTGTTAAATATGTGCTCCATGACCTCTAATTTGGATTTTTTTTGTCAACTTGGCCTCAAAAACAGAATACAGAGCCAGTCACATTCTATTTAGCTACAACCAATAGTCTCCCTGATTTCCCAGAAAGTACCATTCTCAGTCATTCTTACACCTAAAACACTAGACCATCACCCTGAATACTTTACCCATTTTTGTTATTTTCTTAGAGTCCATAAAGAGAAAATAGGTACAAGCAACCAGACTTATGCAATTTCACATACAAATAATGCCAAGCTAGGTTTTCTTCATATTTTAGTGAAACTTACATTAATTGCAAAGAATAATAAACGTGAAATAATCTGTGATGTAGGAAATGTTTTTTGGCCTTGAAAATTAAGCTGATTTACTTGTGTTTGGAAGTAAAATCTAAGATGAATACTGCTACTTCTGTATATTTTTCACTGCAATAATTTTAAAGACTTTCATCTTAATAACACCAACTCAATAGCTGGACACCTCTTTAAAACATAAAATCTAGCTCTTTGAGCTAGCAGATCCATTTGGTAATAAATAAAATTTGCTTATTTTCTCTGCTTTTTTCCTGTAAAAATTTAACTTTCTATATTTTCCATTTCTAGTGATAGCATTCAGAAATATATGTGTTTGTATAATTACCCATACAAACCATTAGTGTGAACTGAAAACATTCATCAGAAATGTTTAATCCCATAAAACTAAATGATTCATCAAAAAAGTTTATCAAATGTATACTACACACCAAAATTAGGAACCTAAGTTTTGATAGTAAACACTTTTCCAATTTTAAATAAACCAAATTCAACAATTTGTTAATTAACTGATATATATCAATAAGCAAAAGTTTTAATCTGAAGTTAAAATACCTTTGTGCCTATGCTTTTTGATTTTATTTGATAATGATCATTTTCTTCAATATTGGATGTGATGCTGCTTGTGTTTATTTTAGATCAATTTCCTTCAATAATTGAGTCCATATCACTTTCCTAAAGAGTTTTCATTATTAAACAAAGCTCTCCATTTAATTCTATTAGATTTTTAAGCCTCTAAAAAGTAACCCTAGAATTTAAATTAGATGTACTTGCTGATATACCATCTAATATAATTCAAACATTTTACATGCTACAAATATTTGCTAGAAGTACATTCATCACTGTAAATTGATCAATGAGTTCATCTAAAGTTTGACATCCTTTCTGTATTAGAATAAGAGCTAAAGATGCAAAGCCATACCATTGAAAATTAGGTCTTCGATTGTCACACATTAAAATCACAGGAAGTAAACAAATCAGCAAAAGTGTAACCCTGCATTTGACAGGTAAACATACTGAACATCTGAGGCATCTTAACATGAACCAACCCCCTACTCATGGTATGAAATTAAAACATATATCAGAATCGATTTTATTGCACCTAAACAATGCAAACAACCTTTCCATTAATTGTATTTAAGCCCAGTGACTAGAATGCGGAATCCAGAAATTGCTGCCAGATCATATTTTTTATGACATTTTTTATTTTTTGGAAATACATGTTAATTTTTTCTTTTTTCTTTTCTTTTCTTTTTTTTTTTTTTTTTGAGATGGAGTCTCGCTCTGTCACCCAGGCTGGAGTGCAGTGGCGCAATCTTGGCTCACTGCAAGCTCCGCCTCCTGGGTTCATGCCATTCTCCTGCCTCAGCCTCCCCAGTAGCTGGGACTACAGGCGCCTGCCACCAAGCCCGGCTAATTTTTTTTTTATTTATTTTTATTTTTTTAAATTTTTTATCAGTAGAGACAAGGTTTCACCGTGTTAGCCAGGATGGTCTCGATCTCCTGACCTGGTGATCCACCCACCTTGGCCTCCCATAGTGCTGGGATTACAGGCGTGAGCCCACGTGCCCGGCCATGTTAATTTTTTCTACCTCAGTTTAGCTATCAGTAAACTTATATGACATATCTGGGAATCACTGGTTATTTCTCAATTTATGGACTAATTATTTTACTTTTCTAAAGAGGTTTGGGATTGCTGAAAACATAACATTAAAAACTGGGATCTTAGGAGTAGGATATTTACATGGTCTCAAAGTGTCTCCCAGTGGATTATTTACTAGTTGAAACACACACACACACACACACACACACACACACACACACACACACACAAACCCAGAAAACCAAGAGTTATACAGGGGAAAATGAGAAAACACCTTGATTTTATCATCAAAATTAACGTCCAATGAGGGGCAAATGGATACTGCATACCTCCAGATGTGATACCCTAAGAAGGACATACTATCACCTAAGCAGTACTCTGGCTAAAATGCTTAATCTCAATTGAATTAAGAAAAACCATCAAGCAAACCCAAAATTGTGAATGCTTATTTTAAAATTAGAAAGTGGACTCTTGTCTTCAAAAATTCTAATGTCATAAAACACAAAGAAAGTCTCTGGAAATGTTCTAGATTAAAAGAGACTAAGAAGACATGCCAATGCTGTAACTGACCCTAGACTGGATTCTCTACGGAAGGAAAAAATGAACATATTTTTTACTTAAAAAATTGGAATATGGACAGTAGATTAGCTAAAGTATTGTATTAATGTTACATTTACTGCAGTTCATTACTGTCAGTATATAAGAAAATATCCCTATTCTTAGGAAATAGGTGTAAAGTGCCAGGGTACATACTCTCAAATGGCTCAGAAAACTGTGTGTGTGTGGGAAAGAAAGAACAAATGATAAAGCAAATGGAGCAAAATGAATCGGAGGATAGGATATATGGAGTCATTTGTACTAGTGTTATTCTTGCAAACTTTCTATAAGTTTGAAGTTGTTTCCAAATAAAAAATTTTAAGCAACGCAACTAAAATCGGACTATAAGTACATATTTGCTTTCCCTTTTGAAGACAACAAAGTCAGTAAATATGTATTGAGAAAACAACAGCATGCATTAATCAAGGCACTGGGGATATAGTAGTGTATAAGAAAAATGGAATATATGCTGTCAACATGTTAAATTCTAGTTGGGGAAGATGAAAAACACACAAAATAATAATTTTAAATAGTGATAATGCCTTGAAGAAGATAAATGTGGATAATACAGATAGTGAATGTACTGCTTTAGTTAAGGTGGTCAGAGATGGCCTTTCTAAAGAATGTCATTCCAGTTGAGACGTGAACAAAGAAGGAAGCAGCTATGCAGGTATTTGGGGGAAACAATCCAAATGTCCATCAACTGACAATGAATAAACCAATGTAGGAACATACAATGGAATATTACTCAGCCATCAGATGGAATGAAGTACTGATTCATGCTACAACATGTAAGAGTCTTCTAAACTTTATGCTAAGTGAAAGGAGACAGTCATAAAAGGCCATATATTGTATTCCTTTTGTATGAAATGTTCCAAATAGGCAAATCCATAGAGAGACAAAGTAAATTAGTGCTTGCCTGAGACTGGGGAACGGGATAAGGTGTGTCTACTAATTGGTATAATTTCTTCATTTAGCGTGATAAAAGTATTCTAGAATTACACAGTGGTGATGGTTGGACAGCCTTGTGAAATATACTAAAAACAACTGAATTGTACACACTTTAAATGGATAAATTTAAGATCTGTGAACTATATCTCATTCAAGCTGTTTAAAAAAAGAAGGAGGTAATAGATAATGGAAAAGCGGTCAATAGTCTGGAATATGAAAAGGTCCAAGAGTATGGCCATGAGATTGATAAGGCTGAGGAATAGAAAAATATCCTTACAGCTAAAAAAGGTCACAGAACTTGAGACCAGTTTTGTTGGACGGGTCATCTCAGGGATTCTGAAGTTACCAAGAATGTTAACATATGACTGACAAACTCAATGTCAGTGTCTTTGAGAACAAGGAAAATGACAAAACACTTACTAATTGAATTATCTGTAGCAAATGCTGCATCTTGGGCTGCCATCTCGGGCTTTTCCCTATTCATCAGCAAAAGCATTCTAAGAATATTTATGCATGTATTCATATATCACACACCTCAGTAATCAAATGCATCTCTCTAAATGTAACGTGTTTAGAGGCATGGTCAAATGAAGAATTTTTCCATTTAATATTTATATTTCTCATATTTAGTTTGTTTAAAACAGTAATTCTTAACTGATTTTACAATGGCCAAAAATTTGCAATATGTGTTGAAAAATTATAAAATTTTAAAAACCAAGCTAAATGCATTAAATATAACCTAAATATTAACTTAGGCATGTAACATTCTTAAAGGAAAGCAAATCTAAGTTGTCAAAGAATAAAACAAGTGAAGCTAAGGTGTCACAACTGCTAAGGGGCTGGTATTGTTTCATTTGTCACTATTTCTGATAGTGACTCCTTCAAAGGAGATTGTATTATGAGATGTTCTGAGTGATAGGTAAGAACAACTCTATGTAATGAGAGAAGAAACGGTAAATTTAAGGTATGTGAAAATAATCCAGTAGAGAAGAAAAATATGTCCCCTTAGTTCAGATTGCAATCTGACTGAGCCGTTGGGATCAGTAACACAAGCTGTCTCATTCCCATGGCATCAAGCTGACTCTCAGAAAGAGGACTGCTTTCTGGTCTTGCATCTAGTTTGCTATGGTAGTCCCAGGACTACAAAACGTGACAGTAAAATCACTCCTACAAGTTTTCCCTGGAAATCCATGAATGAAAAAGGCTTGTCAAAGGATTTCTACTTGTCTATACGTTTTGTCTGCCCCAACTTCAACCCAAGCAATACTGTGTATTGTGAAAAAGGAAAACTAGAATTTTTTGAAAGGTAAGTAATTATATGGGTAGAACTGCTGCTAATGAGTTCTAGAACATTCCAAAATAAAAAAAATAATAGTAATGCTTTTGGTTTAACTTTGAGTTTTTGCTATCCTGTTTCTAATATCTGTTATTTCTTATTAAAGTAGACATAGAACGGGAATTTTTTTTATATTTAAGACACTTGACTTTCTATAGTCAATGATTATTTATTTCAAGCAGTTTTAAAACATTTATTACAAATAGCTTTATGTTATTAAATATTCATACTGTGAAGTTTTGAGGAACTCTCAAAAGCTTGTGTACAACTCCTTATTATTGCTAAAGAAAACCAAAGGTAAGAACAAAATTATCTCTGCACAACAAATAACAACTTTCTTGCAGTCCCAGAAAGACTCAGCATATATCATGGACAAAAGTAAATATGTTATGAAATAATGGCTAATTATGATTCTCTGTGCCACAGATGTGCCTACATCAAGTCTGTCCCCCATGGCAACAAGAAAAAAAAAGGGCGGGGAAGGGAGGGTGCAGTGCAAGAATTCTGAGATTAATCATGGAAAGTAAATTGCTATCTCTGTAACAATAACAATGTGGAGGTGTCGTTTCTTTATTTAATGGACAAAAGGGAGAAAATAAATGGCAAAAACTATAAAGTTGAATTCAACCCCCCCAAAATTGAGGGATATAGAAGTAGAAATGCAAAAGAAGGTAGAATAAAGAAAAAGAGATAAAATAAGAACGCTCTTCCAGGGATCAGCATTTTCCATCATCTCAAGAAATATTCCTTCAAAAATGTAAAGGCAATTTGCTTGCAAGAACAGAAAAACATTGGTATCAGGAATTTGGAACAAATGATTAAGTGCATATAAACTCATGGTTTCTGACTTCAGTGGCGTGTCCTCAGTGCCTCAGTGCTATTCAACAACCATTTTTCTTAAGCTCAGATCAGTGGTTTTCATAAGCATTAGCTGGGGAGCTTTCGAAAATATTCATGCGTAGATCCCACCCTTGGATATTGATATAATTGGTCCAAATGTAACA
Organism: Homo sapiens; assembly: GCF_000001405.40. Taxonomy (NCBI): domain Eukaryota; kingdom Metazoa; phylum Chordata; class Mammalia; order Primates; family Hominidae; genus Homo; species Homo sapiens. The sequence continues at coordinate 138,698,692 of NC_000023.11, forward strand.
CAAAGAATGGAATTTCTTAAAGTTCCTCAGGTAATTCTGATGGGTACCTAAGGCTGAGAATCATTATCTGATTACAATCTAGGGGTCAGCAAACTTTCTGGGAGGTAAAGGGGACAAGTTATTTAGTAAATAATTTAGGCTTTGTGGGCCATAAGGGCTCTGTTGCAACTATTCAACTCTGCTGTTGCAGTGCAAAAGCAGCCGTAGACAATAAGTAAATGAATGGGTGTGGCTGCGTTCCAATAAAACTTTATTTTCATAAACAGGTAGTGGGCTGGATTTGACCCACGGCCTTAGCTTACCTACTCCTGTTTATTAAACTGTTTCCATTCCCCTTGCCCAAAACAGTTGTTCCCACCCCTGTTTACCTGTGGTTACCCCCATACCTTTGACTTTCAGTAGGTGACCTCTTATTCTACTTTAATGGAAAAATGCAGATCATCTGGTAGAAAATTCTTCTACTTCCTTGTCTATTACTTGCAGACTCAGTAAACCTATGTCTGCATCTGTCCTCATCTCTTTGTCTCCTATTAGAGATTCAGTGTCCCTTCTTTTCAAGATGAATGTAATTCTTTCACTTATACTTAATTCCATCACCCTTCCATCTCTTCTGCAGCTCGACTCCATAAAGAATACCATTTCTTATGTCTGTAATCACTCCCTTTCTATTTGTTCATTTCTTTTACTTAACAAATATGTTCAAGTGACATCCTTAACCAAAGAATCCTCAGTCTTCCTCAACCCTGTGTTCTGCCCTAAATACACACCCACCCTTCCCTTCCCTTCCCTTAGAAATTCTATACCTGTTGCCTCTACTTCCTCTCATCCCATTTACTCCTCAAGCCACTAGAATCTGGCTTCTGTTCCCAATATTCCACCAAAACTGTTTTTGTTAAGATCACCCACAACATATGAAACATTTCACATTGCTGACTCTTCTTAAAACTCCTTCCCCATTTAGCTTTTGCAATACCACTATATCTGCCATAATTAGTTATTCTTCCTCTGCTGGTCACTTTCATGCTGTTATTTTCTAACATTATTTGACAAGCTCTCTCCTCTTCTTATGCTACATATTTTCATAACTATTTCCATGGCATGGACTGCTACCTACATGTGATAACTCCCGAGTTTTATTTCTAGTTCATGTCCCTTTCTCAAGTGCTAGGTTCATATTTTCAAATATCCCTTGAAAGCTATACTCAGGTAACTTCCTCAAATCTGCTTTTTCCCGCTTTATTCAGCCTAAATGCCAGAGGCAAAATTCCCCCTCTCCCTCATGACGCCTGATAATCCACTGAGCACTTCTGACTTCTGTGAAGGTTTTTTTTTTAATTCTTACCTGAAGACACCTCATTCTCATCTGTGCAGTGAATGGCAACCATACATGTTTAACCATGTATGGTGGTCCTGCTTTCCTTCCAAATCCAATCAGCCACCAAATCCTGATGATTCTACCTCTAAAATATCTCAGCAATCCATCTCCTTTTAGCCATTCCCACTGCAACTGCTTTTTAAGCAGACTGTAGTCATCCCTCACCAATTTTTTTTAACTTGCCCACATCAGTAGCCCCTTACCTCCTTTGCTTACTTTTGCTTTCTCTTTAGGTCATTGTCCTGTTCTGTCTTCTCTTTGCTAAGAGGCACTTTGCAAAATTGCATATAGCATTTTGTAGTAGAAGTGCCATGGTTTTACGCAAGGGAAGAGTGATCCTTCCTCTTTGGTTGCTGTCTCTTCTTGATGAAACATGATATTTCATTAAGCTTTTGATCTCAGCAATATAAGTTGCTGAAGTTATTAGGATAGAACTCCATCCTAAGTAATCTGGGCACCACACTTTAAATAAGATGACAACAAAATGAAGTGCCCACTGAGGATGGTGATCAACTTGGTGAATGGATTCCCAGCCACAATTAATAAGGAGTAATTGGAAGAATTGGAAAATTAATTCTAAAGAGGATTCTGATTTATTTCCTGGAGCAGACTAATTTGGATATTCTTTCCATATATGAACTCCAGGATCATCAAGCAGGCATATTTCCTCCTTAACAAAAACATAGTTCCTTTTCTCTAATAGAAACACTTACTTAAGGCTTCTTTTTTCTTAATAGGAAATACATACAAGATGTGCCACATTTGGATGTATATTGGCCCACCCATCACGGAAAGGAAGTTCACCAATCTACAGTCCTCATTTCCCTGGGAAGCCTTTCTAGAAATGAGCTCACATTGACATTTACCAGTTTGCTGGAATAATGATTAATTTGAATGGTAGGCTATGCATTTTCAACGCTGGTTCCTTAAGTGTAATGCTGAGTGCCCTAATTTTCTTGAGTGGGGGCACCTGACATATAACCCAAGTTAAATAATTTTCCACATTCTTACTTAAATATTATTTCCAAAGTACGTTCTTCAATTGTGATGTTGCAAAATTTATATTTAGTTAGCTTTTCTCATCAGGGCACCATAACGGTGACTGCAACCCATTGAAATTCTGGATGATTTATCAGTAATTATTTCATATGATATCTGGCATGTGCTTTCTCAAAAGTATGCCCAGTATATTCCGTTTCCTTATCATGCCTTCACAATATTTTCAGAAAGCGTCTATTTTATTAAAAAACCTACCTTTGTATCTGGTCCTGCTGAGGCAGTCTGTTGATCTAAAGGAAATTACTTAAAATCCTTCATTATTAAATTATCTTACCTTAGTACACAAATCTAAAATAAAATCCCCTTTCCTATCTTTTATAGTAGCACTCTAGTAATAAAATGACGTATTTCATGAACTTTGCCATAAAATCACATTTTTCATTTAGTAAAAAGAGCAAACCCCCATATTTATTAAGCAACCAGACCACTGAAATTGCCTGATAGGAAAACTGATAGTGACCAGGGTTTGAGGTATATGCTGATAATTCTCTTTTTTTCATAATCTTTTCTCATCATATGAAACAAACTACCTGATTTACCAAATAAACAGGCCCTCTGGGGCCTTACTCTATTCCCACCTCTTTCCCATCTTGGCCTCTGCAAAACAGGGTTATCATATGGTTTCCACCATATCTGCCAAGAGTCTTCCTGCACACCTGGCTTTGAAAGAAATTCAGGAAACAAGCAAGCAAGAGTGGTTAAAGGTAGTGTTTCACCTGAAGTTTGAGGAACAGATTTTTATTGTTATACTAACAACCTGCTTCAAGACTTGCTAGTAAGAAGTTCGACAAGCAATTTTCTCCATTTTAAACATTCTTTTCCTTTATTAAAATACATGAATTCAAAACAAAGATTTAAAAAATACTCATATATTACGCTGGGCACGGTGGCTCACGCCTGTAATCCCAGCAACTTGGGAGGCCATGGCAGGCGGATCATTCGAGACCAGGAGTTCGAGACTAGCCTGGCCAACGTGGTGAAACCCATCTCTGCTAAAAATATGGAGTGTCACCACGGCACTCCAGCCTGGGCCACAGAGCAAGATTCTATCTCAAATAAATAAATAAATAAATTAATTAATTAATTAAGTTAAAATAAAAATTCATATATCAAATAGTCTCTTATAATCTGAAACTAGATCTGCCAATAAGAATAAAATCTTAACCCTAATACTGTATCATTTTGCTTATATCTAAATGTTAACTTTTTTTAAAGTTTAATTTGGCCCCATGTTCCATATTGAATTGTAATCTACATTGTTTATACATTCATCTGAGAAAAAGTTCCATTTTTCATTCTGTTCACTCCAAAGTTACAAGAAAAAGACAAGCAGGAATTTATAGGTAAGGAAAGGTTAAATAGTGCTTATATTTAAAGCAGAAGCAATCAGGAATCCTGTTCAATTAAACTGAAGATAAGAAATAGAACTCTAGAAACCCTTCAAGAACTGGTTTTCATGTCCTCGAGCTGATCTGAGGGAGAGATCTCATGTTTTTTTAGGAGTAAACCTGGATAAATATATGTTCAACTGAGTTATAGAAATGACTTTGTTTCCCACAGCTGCAAAGCAAGGCAGCAAGACAGACCATTATATGCTACATAAGATGACCCAAATGACACTGTATTAAAAAATGTTCAGTGAATCTTTGATTATATACTAAAATGCTTGCTTCAAATAACTGATTAGTAATAGATATATTTTTCACAGAAAGTTAATCTGTCCTTTCAATGAAATATTTCCATCAACATTCTTCTCCTCATCACAGAAATCTGTAATGATAACACATATAAAGCACATTTTCTTTCATATTGGATGAAAACTAGAATAGTCAAAACATGCACACAGTCAAAAGCTTACCGAGGTGTACAAGTATCCCTCACTGTTCATTGCCAAGTACAGCTTGGTTTGAACTCCTTGGATAGCCACCACTCGCAGACCCACAGGGATGAGGTTAAACAGAGCTGAAATTAAAAAAGAAAATGAAAACAGTGTTACAATTCTGAATTTCAGAACTTTTCAATGTTTCCAGCAGGACTGCCTGGTCCTCCAAAAGTAGTGTGTAGTTGGTGAGGGTATGCATATATGTCTGTTTATGTAGACATGCATACACATACAGACCCCCACAAACACACCCACACATACCCCGAGGCAGACAGATAGGTCTCATTCTACCTTTTAGTGTATTTAATTTCATGGTTGCAGCCAGGTAACTGGAGCTGTAACTACATATTATTTAACAGCCTGGAGAAAATGGAAGGCTTTTGGTCACAATTTCATGGTTTTTACAGTGTTGGAGGTGGGGAATCTTGATGCTTCTGGAAAGATACAGTCCCAAGAATTGTTCTGTACATTAAATAGTGTCATTCTCAACAAATTAAGGTTTTAAACTGCTCCCCAAGATAACTGCTGAAATTCTCACAGTCATATTTAAAATCTACCTGTTGGGTAGAGAGTCCTAGACTTTTAGAAGAGTCCAATGCCCTCATCTAAATTATCTGTGTTATTCCAAATACAAGAACTCCAAAATAAATTCAGGTCTTGTAAAAAGAAAAAGTCATTTTGTAGTCCTATGTTTCCAGAGTAGTATTTCCTTTTTTCATTTTTTGAGACAGAGTTTCGCTCTTGTTTCCCAGGCTGGAGTGCAATGGCCCGATCTCGGCTCACCACAACCTCCACCTCCTGGGTTCAAGTGATTCTCCTGTCTTAGCCTCCCTAGTGGCTGGGATTACAAGCATGTGCCACCACGCCCGGCTAATTTTGTATTTTTAGTAGAGACGGGGTTTCTCCATGTTGGTCAGGCTGGTCTCGAACTCCTGACCTCAGGTGATCTGCCTGCCTCGGCCTCCCAAAGTGCTGGGATTACAGGCGTGAGCCACCATGCCCGGCTTCAGAGTAGTATTTCTTAAAGGACCAACATTTTCCAAGATTAGAGTTGAGAGGGCTCCTAGCTTTTAGTCTCCAAGAACAAAGGACATAGGAATAAAAATAATGAACTTGAAAGAGGTTTATTTTATTATTTTATTATTATTATTTTAGCAAAATAGTTGCAAGTGGGCAGCCAGTTGGTGCCAGTGAGGACTTCATTTCTCCATTTGAAGATCTGACTGCGTGAAACTTACACCCAGGCTTTCCTCACAACCACACACCACTCACTGGAGACAACTAGTGGGTGTCCTCCCACTACCAGCTGTCTACTCCCTCCCACACTGTGAATAAAAATAAAACAGTACATTTTTAAAACGTAGTGCTTGCCACACACATCTTTTGAAAATAGCCTGTGCACCTTTCTCTCAGGAGTCGTAGACCAATGTTGATGATTTTGCCTTGTTTTGTAAGTTTATTGAGGATAATAAATCAGTCTGTTATGGTTTCTGTGAACAAGAATGTAAAGGAGTCACCCTGTGGGTAAGAATAGTTTTTCTGGGATCGTTTATCTCTGTGCATATACATTCTGCTGCAGTAGGTGGGGTAATATGGATGAGAAATACTAATGAAGACCTAAATATTCCTTGGTGAGCCTACAACGTATCGTTCCTTTAAAACCAGGGTGTTACCAAAGAGGAGCTAGGACATATTGTACGGTTCAAAAGACAAGTGTTCCTACCACATGCCACTGATGGCACTTCATTCAATACTCATCAAATTAAAAGCTGTGCCCTTCTGTTATGTGAGGTAAAGGAATGTAATTGCACAGATTGCAAGCCAAGATCTCATGCTATATTTGACAATGCAATACACAGGCAAGAAGTCTGACATCTCTGAGCATGTCATGTTTGTCATATCCCTTTCTGTTGACGATGTCTTGTTCACAGCAGGTGTTCAACACCCATTTGTGGATTGATAGCAATCTGTATGGTGAAAATATGATACTATGTTTTTGAAAAGTAAGAGACCACAATCCCATTTATATAAAAGCTCATACTTCAAAAAATCTGAGATCTAAAAAACTAAAGCAAAACTTCCAACATGGGGTTGGTTTAAAAGCCATATCACTACATACCACTTGACAACTATAATATCAGTATATGCTTGACACCTAGTTTAGTCATAGTAATAAATGACAGAGAATGATAAATGAAATTCAGAATTATTTATAGAACTTCAGTTTTTAAAATAATATTATGAACTTTCTTAGTTCTCTTAATGCAGCTTATAACAAGCACAAGAAAGAAACAGAGAGAGACTAAAAAAAACTGATTTGATTTTCACCGTGTTCTCCAATCACTCTGACTCAGGTTTTAATGAGCAATGAAATGTCTAAATTTCAAACATCAGAAAACAGAAGGAGGAATAGAAGAAAAAAACATCAGCAGTACATTCCTGTGATTATTTAATCTTGAATAATGGTATTAACTATATAGCAAAACTATGTACTTTTCACTATGTACTTTAAATTTCCATGAAGCCTGATTAAAAAACAAAAAACATCACCCCAAAATAAAAACTTGTTGAGAGTAGCGAATCTAGGGATTGACTGATCATACTACTACGATCTTTTCATTTCTTTAAACATTCAAGATAGATCATAAACCGGGTTTGTTTAAAATATGTCTAAAGGGACAGTCTGCCCAGATAAAAATGCAAAGAAATTATATCAGGGGTGAGCTTAAACCAAATAAATATCCTCCTATGTGCTTTTGTTTCTCTATATCTGGTACCTTTCCTCATGGATTTAATATATTATTTTGATCAGGATAAAAATACTATAAACATGAGAAGAAAACAGTTGACTTCATTTATGGATTTAAAACACATTCATTAAATACCTAAAATCTCTTCTTCCATTTCAGTGAAAGTTTTGAAGAAGCTTTTAAAACATAAATGTGCCTGTGTTTCTTGTTTGTTCTCTGTTATGTCTGCATAAAAACAAACACCTTCTATTTGAAGGGCCACTTAATCAGAGCCATGTACCTAGTTGGCACCCAGTGTTTGCTGAAGGCAACACTGAAGCCATGCTTCTTCATCAGTTGGCCAAGGTCAATTTCTCAAAAGAGAATAATTAATGAAAGTATATATTAACGTAGGTTGGAAAGGCAACATGTTGAACTGATAATGCTACCGTGAGTTTGAAGAGAAAGGGAAAACTAGTCTTTTAAAATGTCCTTCCTTGCACCCAGGGCAGACATAATAAAATTACTGCCATGGAATGTCTATCATCTTTTCCTTTTCAAGGGAAAATACATAATTTACAATGGCTGATTTCCTCATGATGAGATTTTATTGAACTGACATTTATCATTGTAATAAATCTACGTAAGGTAAGGTGAAATGCATAATATCAAACATATGTTTTCAGAAATGGATATATCTGGATAAATGTGAACTGATTTATCAGGACATTGCTTACTATGTCTGAATAAAAATAACGCAATTCAATCAAATTAAACTAAATGAGAAAATATGCTGAAAATAATGAAGGTTAATAAAAATAAGAAGAGTAAGAAAAATATAAACATAGTATCACGAATACATATTAGGGAAATATTATATACATGAGTGATAGTTGAAAAAAACAACTTGTATTCTCGTTATGCACAATTAAACAATTAATACCAATAAAACGGCTTGGTTTTAAGGAAAAAAAAAGAATACATTTGGATAGCTGGCCTTCATGATATACCAGTTTAATCATTAAACCTTCTTGTTTCATGATGGCTTATGCCCCACAATATCCTCAATGGCAAAGCTGAGCTAGCTCACTAGCTTCTGGTCACTCTTAACATCAGGAGCAGATCCAAGCTCTACTGACTTGCTATTTCTATTGAGATACTTTCCATTTGTATGCATCAGGTTATGACAATACTTACCTTTAGTTGACTTACCTCTCTATTTTAATCTGCCTAAATACAGATTCCTGTTATCAGGCTATGTTCTTTAATGGTCTTTCAATATCATTAGTAGTACACAGAAATGCCATGCGTATCAGTCAGTTATAAGACAACCAAAGGCAGAAGCTATGCATATGTAGGAACTGAAGAGTAAAACCTACTGTATGATTTAAAGCTCCACAGTAAGAAATGGAGCCTTGATATATGCGTGTGTGGTGTGTGTGTGTGTATCTCTTAAAATGATTACTTAGAATGTGATCTCGATGAATTTGGTATATTGCTGTTCATAGGACACAGCACATGAATTATCTACTTTTTTTTTATTTCTTTTCAGGAAACACATGTGAACACCAGATCCAAAATATTTCTTCTCTGATTTGTACCCGGAGATGTTAAAAAGGGGAAAGAAACGTGACTGGATAGGCTCACTGGCAGCTAATCATGAACTTGCCTTCAATAATGCTCAACAGACCCATTTTCCTGAGGCACTCTGGAAAGCAGGGCAGCTTACATCCCCTAATTCCTTCCCCAAATATCAATTTGCACAATAACTTATGGGAATGTTTTATTGCAGATGATCACTATACACTAATGTCTGTTATTTGATTACAGTAAAGCCCTCTAGTTACACTTGCCTAATAGTTTCAAATAGAAGACTATGCATAAAAGAACAACTAGGATTTACTATAAAACTTTAATATCACAACAGTGACATAGAACTTTTGCAAAACAGTGAAGAACCATTCAGTATGAGGTTTTTTCATCCTCCATACCAACAAAGCTTTCTTCAATGGTAATTAAAAGTGACTTCCTCTCGAGGTTATAGATCGGCCATCAGCCCACGAAGCATTCCTAAAAGGTGGGAAACTCTTTACACTTATTGAGACCCTCGTCAATGGCATTGCTGTAGCCATACAACTCTTAAAAAGCTGCAGAGTATACTGCTTAGCATTCAGACCTAGTTTCCTTGGTTATTTTCTCAGCCGACAATTGGAATATTAATGCGAAATTATCAAAGGGTTTGAGAGAAATTCAGTAGAAATTGGAGAAAACAAAAAAAATTGTGAGAACTAAGTGTTTTAGCCTTGTGGAACATTTAGTAAGTCTCCAGAAATCTGTAAATTGCAAGAAAACATCAATCATCATTGAGGAGAAGCCTGCACTATTTGTGAGTTTATATTTTTATTACTCCTAATAAATAAAACATGTAATTAAAGGTTACGTAACATCTTGGAATCACCTTCTTTCAGTAATTGGAAATAAAACCTAATTATTTTTTATGTGTTTCTTTTTTAGGCTCACCATTATAGTCTCCAATTTGGTCTGAAACCATGGTTAAAAAGAAAGAACTAAAAGAAATCCCTTTACCCACCTGCGGAGGTATCTCAATGTTAAAATTCCACTAGTCTCAGAGTTATCAGTGTGTGTGTGGAGCAGGGAGCAGAAGTGAAAGCTTGTAATGATGAATTTTCATGGTATGAAACCACTCCTCTCTCTTGGGTTAAGACCGGTTCTTAAGAGTAGAGATAACATGCTATTTCTGGATCAGTGTGTGGGTGAGTAAATTTTCTGTGGGAAAAAAGTAATAAAATCCAAAGGATAGCCATAAATCTATCTAGATTTCCATGGAGATGACATTTGGATTATTCTTCAGATGGTGTCAACATTATTTGCCCTAGTTTACTATCTTAGACAGACTCATATTCAACTTCCTTTAGGTTAACCTGTGTAAACAGGATTATGTAGTGTGAATATATTTTGCATTTAATTCAGGATTTAGGAAAGCGTATTTATTTTTAAAATAAATAAAAACAGAATGTTAACAACATGCTGGCATATACTATTTATTTTGCAGTCACTTACTGTAAGTGCTGTCCTCATCTTTGGTGCCATCAATGGTTCCATCCGCCTGCAGCTGCAAGTGGTAGCCTTGTCGGCTGTATAGCTTGGTAACTATACCCTTAAGCTGAGGCTCTGCAAAGAGAACAATGATTTGGATCAATTGATAAATTGTGCCTATGTAGTTGAAAAGACTAGGAATTTCAATTTCTAATTTCATTTACAAATCTTAATGGAAAAAGTCAAACTACACTTTTAAGGTGTCTGGAAGAAAGAAAACAAACTCTGAGTTTCAGAATAAATTTTCAAACTAAAGAAACATTTTATTTCTATCTGGAAACATTGGTAAAGCTTCTGAAAGTGTCTATAGTTTCTGATAACCTGTCCTTTGGTTTACAGAGTGGAACTCTATCTCACTGAGTATTTGTAATGGGTTGGCAAATGGCTATTCTGCCTTTTGAAATTGTGCTACTTTTCATGTGAAAGGAAAAGGAGAAATAGAAAGATAATTCAGAGTTGTCTGCCAACCGACCAAGGACCAAAAACCCACTAGCAAAGATTTCCTTCAGAATGACCACAATTTGAATAAATAATCTCCTTTATTCTAAGAAGGTAGAAAATGCATAAATAACGTGGAACCCCATTAAGGAAACTGTATTTGGAAAATTGAGCCTTTTATACCAAAAAAGGGAGGAGGGAGATACAACCACCATTAACAAATCTTGTCATATTAATTATCATTAGTGAAAATGTGTGTGAAAAGAGCAGGGTTTTTGTTGGTAGGAAGGAAAAAATCAGTGCATACTAATTTTTCAAATTTCATATCAGAAGTATGATTATCAAAAATATGAGTTCTTAATTAAAATGATTTTCAATTATGAATAACCATAGATCAATCAAGTGTCTCATTTACCAATAACAGCCATGTTATCCAAAATTTTCTTTTACTGAATATAGACTCCTGCGCTGAAATAATATTTATGTGATTATTCGAGCCACATAAGCATGCTTTGCAACCACTTAAGCCTTTTTGAAACAAGCCTAATTTACAGTTAATGCATTAAAAACTTTGTGCAAACAGAAAACGTTATGTCTGCTTTTCCATCCCAGGGTGTAGCACACATAAATGGAGAAATAACAGATCGGTGACTCTTATTTTTTTTGTAATATTTATCTAGTAAAAGGCAGAAAAGAGTGTAAAAGATTCATTTGGTTAAGAATGGCAAATAAACTGCATGCTCGCCTGAAGGTCTGCCTTGACGCAACCTGACACCTAGAGCTGAATTTCCAGTCGCTGGAATATCGCGCTACTCCTACCACTGAAAATGTTCAAAAGCACCACAGTCTGGGTATGAGCTTAAATCCCCTCTTCAACACCGCATTTTAGTAGCATGTAACCGATTACACTAAGTCTAACCAAATCTCTCAGCTCTTTGCAACAAGGTTCTAGAAATCCCCCCTCCCCCCGCCCCAGCAAACATTTCGAAGCTGCACCACAAGTCAAGTCTGTCCCAAAAAGCTTAAAAGTCATCAAAGAAACGCAATGCCTAGACAGCAGAAGCCCACATCCCTTGGAGGTGGAAGCTGGAGGGGAAGGGTCTGAGGCAGAGATAAAAGCAAGAGAGGGATTCCCCAGGCTCTCCTGGGGACGGGAGGATGGTGTCTGCCCAGCTCTGCGCCTGCAATTTCCACGCCATACATATCACAGCCATGTCTGGGTCACGCCTGCCCAGAGCCCACCGGGCATGCACATATGTGACATGTCCGAAGCTGAGGGCAAGCCACCCAGGGCAGAGTATGCCCCCAGGCTCTGCGCCTGTCCCAGGGCAGTTGCAATGCAGCAAGCGTGTTACTGTTACGGAGGCAAGAAAGCCAGCGCCTTCCCACGCACGCACACAGGCTAGGTGGCCTCTTCTGCACAAGATGGGCCACCAACAAACTCACCTATGCTACATACCTGCTCCCCACCGCCCCCACCTCACTCGTAAAGTATGGGGAAAAGAAAGCAAAAGCCCTTTCCGACCTGGTCTTCTTCTGCGCCTCTTCTTGGAGCCGAAGAGTTTGACCCGGGAAAAGACATTTAACTTGTTTTTGTCGCAGCTGGTCTTGCCTTTGCTGGGGCTGCTGACACACTTGCAGGCGTTGGATTTCTCGCGCTCGCGGGCTTGCCTCTTCTGACGGATGAGCGAGCTGGCGATAGCCGCCGCCATGGCCACGACGCCCACCACCACCGCTTCTTTTGCTGCCCCTCTCTGGGTTCGCCTCCTCCTCCTTCTCCTCCGCTGCTTGTCCGCTGTCTCGCGACTTCGCCGCTTTGGTCTCCTTAGCCTGCGTTTGCCCGGGCTTCTCCGCACTCGGGCTTCAGCCAAGGAGGGGGCTCAGCATGCCGTCCGAGCTCCTCCGGCGGCGGTCCGGCTCCCGCGCGGGCTGCTGGCTGCCTGGGTCGGAGTCGACGCCACAGCCCCGGGCCCGGGATCGCGGGCGAGACTGGCACGCGGATGCTGAACTGCGCGACTGCGTGTGGTCGGCCCCTGCGCCCGGCGGACACCGTGCATGTCCAGCTGCTCCGGTCCGAATTTCGCCGGACCCCCTCGCCCTGTTGCCCTTCTGATGGGGGCCAGAGGAGGGAGGCGGGCGGAGGGAGTGAGCGCGGGCGGGAGAGAGGCCGGGAGCTCGGGCGGCCGGACGGAGGAGGGACGAGGCAGCGCGCGGGGGAGCGCGCCCTCGCCCTGGCCCCTCCGAGTCTTCGACTAGTCCTTGCAACTTCTTGGCGTGATAATCGGGAAAAGTTGGCCCGTGCCAGGTTTCCGACAGGGATCAAACAGGTAATGGCCTCGCATCTTCGCTGTTGCTGCTGCTCTGGGCGCGGCACAGTCGCAGCACAGGAATTCAGCCGCCGCAGGCACCCTCCGGAACAGCGCGACAGCCTCCTTGCAGCCCCCTCCCGCGACGGCCCCTCCCTCCCGGGGCTGAGCCCGTAGGCTCGGAGCCGCAGGCCGCCCCTCCCACCCCCACCCCCACCCCCACCCCCCCAAGTCCCCGGCCGCCCGTTCCGGCTAACACCTGTAGGGGCTTCCGCACTGCCCCAGTCGTCCAAATCCTTCTCCCCTCCTTTTCCCGAAAGGAGCTTCGGGAGGAAACAGTGATGGAGGAGGAACTGAGATGAGGTAGTTGGGCTGACGGAGCGGGGGTTTGCTCGGCATTGGGGGATGGAGTGGTGGGGGTGTTTCCTCAGTGTTTGAGCTGACCAGATTGTGCTCGGGCTGGAGCCCCTCAGAAGTTCGCCAGATCCCTGCCTCAGGCTTGGACGCACCAACAACCCGGAGAACCCTCACCCACCCGCGCAGAGGTATTTTGCTTGGCGACACTTGTAGCCATTCAGGGGAGGAGGCCAGAGTCCCCAGACGGGTTCAGCCCCAGCGGTAGCAGCAGAAGCAGACACTGCAGAGCTGCGCCCGCACACCACGCTGCCACCCAGTGGTTTTTGCTGACTTTTCATTTCAAGCCAATTTGTAGGGTCCAAAACCTGTTTTTCCTCTGCGCCCCCTCATCTGTCCGCTCAGATTTGGGATTCAAGCAGAGAGCTTGGGTCGTGTACCGTAAGCATTACGTATTTGGGAAATGCAGAGTCGAACCTCTCTATTTAAGCTGTGGCCCATCTCTAATCTCCTAACTTATTTTTTTCTGCTCCTCCAAAGTCAGGCAGCCTCCTTCCCTCCAATTCAGGAACCAGTCTGGCTTTTTGCTGGCCTCAGTCTATTAACAAGTTCTGTCCTCTCCCTGTGTTATATTTTATTCTGGAGGAAAAGAAAGAAGAGGTTTTGAGGCCAGAAATGCAGCAAAGAGAAATGGCCTGTCTACATCCCTACCTTCAAACAGACACAATTATTTGACTATTTTACTTGATTTCTGAGGCCAACTAGGAAGCAAAATAGAGCAGCTCTACTACCTGGCAGCCCTACACCGTCTTTACTGGACTCCTACATGGCACCCCCATCACCTCTTTTCAGAACTAATGTAGATGCAAAACCAGATGCTCAGCTTATCTTCAGACTCTAGCCCTTTTTTCCTTGCCTGACTACCCAACAAACAAGCTCGGACTCAGCAACACTGAAATGCTTTCAGGCTTCTTAGCCCATAAGAGCTGAATCACCGGACCCTTCTGTAGATTCCATTGCTTCACAGGGGAAGCTGTTGCTACCCCTCCTTCCACTTCTCTGCAATCTTGAAATGTCTCTTGCTCCATCAGAAGCACCACTGTGTGTCTGCAAGGCAGACTGGGGTAAAGGTTGCAGTGGGTTGAGACTGATAGTTACAGGAGAATGATGCCAAAGGGTCTGACATTTTCTACCTACTCTTTTGTGCTTTTGGCTTTCCCAAATGAAAAGGGAGGACAAGGTAGACGAGAGTTTTAACACCTCAAGTCTATTCAAGTATCCACTTCTTTAAAATTTGATTCATAGGGAAAAATAAATCCCTGAGGAATGACTGATTGATATTGATTCTGAAGAGTAGGAGGCTATTTCCTAGTTCAAAATGTTTGTGATTGTTGTTTAAATTCCAGATACCATGAAGGGAAATATCTTACATAAAGAGGGGTCAGGAGAAGCTTTGATCAAGCCCAAATATTTGGGGTGGGTGATGAACAGGTACAAGGTCTCTGCTTATTCTCTGCATGTTTTTACCTTCTGCCAAGCACCAACCCCAAGGGCCTTTTGTTCCTACTCTCATTTCTCTCTTGGGATCCTGACCCAGAGCAGGCATGCAAAAGCTAAAGAAGGATGAAGTTCTGATTCAGGAAGGGGATAGACCTTAGAAGAAGAGATGGTATTGAGAAAATCATAAGGGCTTTCCCACACCGTTTTTCCTCCACTTCTCCTCTCAGATAGCTCTCACTGTTTGCTTCTGCAAACACCATTCATAAGGTATTTTCAGGACGCCTGTAGAATTATTGGTGTGGACACTCTGTGGTACATATTAGAGGTAAACAGACTCAGAGAAGACTTCAGGAATATATAATAAGAATGGCGGGGGCATTTATTACAAATTTGCAAACACAAACTGTAAATACATCCTTTTGTTTCTAACTCCTGTCTACCATCCACATAAGCTCATGGAACCACTGGGCCAAGGCTGATAACCAGGTGATTCTACACGTGTTTGTAGATGTCCTTCTTGCTCTAATCCTTCTCTCCCTGATTAAATTGTATAATATTGAAAAATGAAGAGTATGGGGGAGGGGGAACGAGACTCTCCCTCTGTCACATGTTCCTGCCAACCCACAAAAGATATTTCTGTCTTTTTATATCCTGACCCCCTTGAATCTTTTGTTTTCATGAACAGGAAAATGCATGGCACATTATTAATGAGACTTGAGAAGGGGGCATCTCTCTGTGATCTGTCTGTCTACGGACCTCATTCATTCTCCTCTCTCTTCCACAAAGAGAACTCACAAAGGCCTGTGACCAGAGGGTAAATTCAATCTGGGGCAGAAAGTGAAAGAAAACCATTTTGAAATTGGGTCCAAATCATATTGCTCAATGAACTTAACCATTAATAATGCAGATATTGGCCAGGCGTAGTGCCTCACGCCTGTTATCCCAGAATTTTGGGAGGCTGAGGCAAGCAGATCACCTGAGGTCAGGAGTTTGAGACCAGCCTGGCCAACATGGTGAAACCCTGTCTCTACTAAAAATACAAAATTAGCCAGGCATGGTGGCGCCTGCCTGTAGTCCCAGCTTCTTGGGAGCCTGAGGCATGAGAATCGCTTGAACCCGGGAGGCGGAGGTTGCAGTGAGCCAAGATCAGGCCACCACACTCCAGCCTGGGCGATAAGAGCGAAACTCCACACACGCACACACGCGCGCGCACACACACACACACAAAGCAGATATGTTCGCGTTTTCCTAACTCTCATGTCTATTTCCCAGGTGCTTAAAATTTCAGAGACGAATGTGAATATTACTTTCAAATCTCCAACAGGAAACTATGCCAAAGTCACATCCATCTTGAGAAGGTATAATGAAAGAATTGCAGCCAATCCTAGAGAAGCATATTTTGCTTGTCTTTGCTGTCCCACTGCCATCCTGGGCCAATAGTACGACATTTGTGTAGGGGAAGTAATAAAGAATTCTCTTTTGACACCTATTTCCAAATCCCTTTTTCTCCAGTTTTGATTTGTTCCTAGCAGTTCACATTGTGGCCTTGCTATGGAACTTCCTGGATCTCCTCCATATTTGTAAATTTCAGTTATCTCTGCTTATCCCTGGTGGTTCAAACTCTTCTATGCTCTATTCTAAGGTAGGGTCTATTCTCCGTTGTTTCTCCCACGTGTCCGCTCTCCCATTGCATTGTCCACCAACCTCTCTTTTTGACCATGTTCAGAAAGAAAGCATTCTTAGCTTTTTTTTCTAACTCAACTCCCAAAGAGTTCTAGCCTGGCAGGCTGGAAACATATGTTTTAATCCTATCTCTGCCACTAATTGGCTGTGTGACCTTGAGTATGTCATTTCTCCATATTACAGGCCTCAATTTTCCCATCTTTAAAGTAATACTTAGACAAGATTGGCAGTTTTCACTTTGTATTCTTCAGCAATCTAAAAGTAATGAAAAGTAATAAAAGTTCCCTCGCCAATGTTTCAACAGTAGATTTCATCTATTTTAACTGTTTTCATTCAACTGTTTATTTCTCTTTCTCTTTTCATCTGTTTTATATAGTGGAGCTCATTGTATGATTTCTTACGTAAAAAATAAAAATGAAAAGATTCTGGTACTAAAAACAAAACGTTTGGAAACCTCCAGATGACATGTTCCTTAAAGTCCTTTTGGCTCTGGGAGCCTATGATTATTTTTCCCATATGTTCCTGTTCCTACTTCTTTATCTTCCCCTCTTCATACTTCCCATCTCTCTGTTCTCTTCCCACCCCATGAGAACATAAATTCTAAATTGGATTCCAAGGAAAAAATGCAAAAGTCCCTTTGATTCCACTCCTCGTGGGTTCACTTGAGAACTAGGTTTTAGCATTCTTTTCAGAGAGAGTTATGTGAGTTATCTGGGCATAGAATGCTGATCGTTCTCTGCCAATCTCTTTTGGCAGGCCTCAGAGGAGCTGTAAGGAAGCTGAGGGGACCTGCTCTCAAGAGGCATCTCCAGGAGAGAGACAGAAACCCAAACAGATGTGACTGTGATGAGTAAAAATGAGAGAACTCAGACAGCCTAATCGGGAGCAGCCTCAGTCCATTCTGAGCAGAAAGGAATTGGCTGTCTTTCTGAAATTCTGAAAATGAGAAATTTCAAACACCCTTCCTATGTGAAGATAAGCTCACTCAGAATCACTTGCCAGTTTGTTCTCCTTCTACACTAACAGTTCACCAAAATATCTGAGTGGGAAGTTACCTGGTCAAGGACTGATGATGAGCTCAAAGAAAGGAAATGTTGGCAGATTCAAATGCACCAACGTCGAGTAACACTGGGATCTCCCCATTCACTAAGTAAGGCAGCAGAGAGAGTATTTACGAGATGAGGTAGCCAAGTACCACCTTTTGTGGTCTAATTATGTACAAAGGCTCAGAGAAACAACTGGATAGAAATACAAATGAGGAGTTTAGAGAAAAGCTAACAGAATAGGCTCTTTTCAGCCAGCCAGGCACAGTGGCTCACACCTGTAATCCCAGCATTTTGGGAAGCTGAGGCAGAAGGATCCCTTGAGCCCAGGAGTTCCAGGCTGCAGCAAGCTATGATCCTGCCACTGCATTCCACCCTGGGTGACAGAGTAAGACCCTGCCTCTAAAAAAAAGAAAAATAAGAAAAAAGAAAGAAAAGAAATAGACACTTAACTCCAGGAAGAAAAATGCAATTTAAGGAAATCTTGTTAGTGTCACACTAGAATGCCAGGTAAAGAAAGAGTGACTACTGTATTCTGTTACATACCCTGACACATATATTAGCTGGCAAAGATTAGATCATTTAGGGGAGTTATACTTCAGAAACAAAGGTCTCCAGAACCATCCTTTTAGAAACTGATTGGCCTTCCTGAATTGCATTTAGAATGAAAATCCACAAGACCTTAGGCTTGCATCACACTAGGATGGTGGCTTGGTTTTCATTATGTCCTGTTTCTGAGATCATTCTCTAAATACTTAAGCTATAGAATTTACTGATGCTACCTCTGATTTATATTTAAAATCAATTGAGAAAACACTGATTAATTCTGATCCTTAAGAAGAAAAATCCTATAACCCACATACAAATTTCATTGTTCAGTCATAATTTATGAACATTAAAGCCATAAAACGCCCTGATGGTATTAATCATGTCTGTGAATTCAGCACTTCACCATTTAATTAGCCATGGCAGCTGCAACATCGAGAGTTCAAGGCCTCTGATTACCTGCTTGGCCATTTAATCAAGAAAACCTGGAGAGAAATAGCAGCTTTCTGGGGCGGAGGTTTCTCCCTTAATCTTGAGGAGAGAATACAAGGAAATGAGCTTAAGCTTTAATATGTGGGGATTTAAGTTTTGTACAAGGAAAACATTCTTTTCAGTGAGCGTTGTTAAATACTATGATTGATTGCTGATTTTTCTTCTATAAAACCTTTTATGAATACAACAAAAACCTTTTCTATCTAGCTAGGTATGTGGGTTGGTTTCCATTAAGACTATCATTCTGTCATAAAATCTACACGACTATTTGTATAACCATGACCTGCCACCAAGAAGTAATCACTAGGAGAGTGGAAAGGGGCAGTAACACCATTATGAGAAGGCAAAGGTCCCCTCTGATAGGGCATGGGGATTGCTAGTGTTTTTGTTGTTGTTGTTGTTGGTTTGTTTTGTTTTGTTTTGAGATCTGGTCTCTCTGTCACCCAGTCAGGAGTGCAGTGGCGTGATCAGCTCTCTGTAACCTCTAACTCCTGGGCTCAAGCCATGTCCCATCTCAGTCCCCAAGTAGCTGGGACTACGGGCACGTGCCACCACATTTAACTATTTTTTTTTTCTAAGGCTAAGGTCTCACTTTGTTGCCCAGGCTTGTCTCTATCTATCTCCTGGCTTCAAGTGATCCTCCCGCCTTGGCCTCCCAACGTGCTGGGAATTACAGGTGTGAGCCATAACACAAAGCTAATTGTTAGTGCTTTTGCCTTTGGAAGATCATACTGGATGAACTTGGAGCATGTGGATCAAGGCAGTCACATTCATTTCCTGAAGTTTCTCTCATCCAACTTGCAGAAAACACTTTGTAGACACAATAAATGTATTATTAATCAAATGGGTTGCTTCAGTGGTGACAGAGTGTCTAGAGCCAAGAAAAGCATCAGGTTCTCTAAGTGAATTTGATTCTGTTTTACTCAATAATATTTGAAGATCTTGAAGGAACAATTTCTATTTTATGAACTAAGTGATGGCTAACAAACATTAAGTGAGGTGCTTCTATGGTGAGACATTTATGGCAGGCTAAAAATGTACAAGAATCAGAGGCAAAATATCTGTAACACTGGGTTCATTTCTTGCCCAGTGAACTAGGTAACCTAAATGAAAAGCTAGGGGAAAAAATGATGGAGGATTTGAGGCAATGGCAGACAACCTAATTTTTCTGGATTTAAGCCAATTCAGGAAATAAAGTTACTGGAAGGTGACCTAAACTCAGTATTTGAGGAAAGGAATGCAGTGTGGGCAAATGATCTAGTGTCTGTTATTATTTAGCATATGGAGGCAAGATTCACAACCAGCATTAAGGAACACTGGATGGATTTCCTACTTGCCAATGGCACTGTTTGCTCCAATTTCCTATCAAGAATTTATATTTTTTAAAGCAACAGAGAGGTAATGGGAAAATACTTTAGTGTTCCCTCAGGATTAAGAGTCTTAACACATCTCTTTTCAGACACTGACCAAGATTTGGGGAGAAGAACCTGGTATATTCAGAGAAAATACTATCCTCCATATTCTAAGGAGGAGATGAAAGACAGGTTGATAACCCACCTGAGAACTGTGCAGATGCCCTAGATGATTTTTAAGCTCTCCCTTCTGCTTTAGATTTGTTTTTCCCAAAACTGGGGTTGGAAATGGTGATAACACTCAATAAATACTATGGTTATAGTTGGACAAGCAACTTGTTAAGTGCTATAACCTTAATCCCTTTAATCCTTACAACAACATGTAAGGTAGGTATTATCATTATTGCCATTGCAAAGGTGAGAAAAGTGAAGCCTGGAAAGACTAAGTGATATGACTCTGGTTTCCTGGCTAGTACATAAGTGGAAGTGCAAGTATTTAAGCTAAGGATCCTGAGCCAAAAAGCACATTTATGTATACAAGGCCAGACCTTTAAATACTACTTCTTTCCTCATTGGCAGTGGGTCTGGAATTTGGGTTGCTCAACAGTGGTGCCTGGATGTGACTATGTTTTGGCTTGGGGGACTGAACGAGATGAAATATAGCATGATTTTTCTAATCAGTTTTTTTTTCTTTAACAAAAGTGAATTATGAAATAAAAATAATACATATGATCTATGCCTAGTTATAAGCACAGTTCATAACACTCAATAACTTCTTATAGCAATATTTAAAGAAAACATTGCTAACTTTCTCATGAAAATTATAGGATTATAAAGCACTACTTAATGTTATTCTATGTTTCCTAGCCCAAGAAATAGTTTAACACTAGAACCTGTTTTGACTCAGGTAATCTGGGACTTTGGAATGCTATGAGACCCAAAGGACACTTCCCGGCCTTTCTCTCCATCACTACTTAGCAGAGACAAGAAGTTAAAGCACTCCAAACACTCAGTTCTTTTCGTACAGGAAAAACTGGCTTTCCACACTGTAAGCTTTTTTGTGCCATCTGTTTTTAGCTACAGGAAGCTTGAGTTCAGCCAAAAGAGAGAAAAATATTATACACAGTGTATTCACTTCCATACTCGGAAGCCCATGACTATCCTTTTGCAATTAGGAGCTTCTCCAATATCTATTCTAGCTAATTTGCTCTAACTTTTCTCTTCTGACAAACAGTTAAAAGTACAGTCAACAGACTGAAATTATTTAGTAACTTTTCGTGCAACCACTGAAGGCCTCAAGCAATTTTAGAAACTGATTTCCTAACAGAAGCCTTGATGCTTACCTAATGATTTCATTTTAGAGAAGAGATCTGAGGCAAGAGAAGTTGAATACATTTGGCTTGGGCCATTTGTTCATTTGTTCATTCATTAATTTATTCATTCAACATTTACTGATAACTGTTTGACAAGTACTGAGCTAAGACCTGAAGGATGCAAAAATACTAATAGCTCTAATGTATTGAGCACCAACTCTACTCCGGGCACTATTCAAAGTACAATAAATCATTACTTATGTCATTGATATGTTCTTGAAAACTGCAATTTTAAGCGAAATGACATAACGAAACCAAATTTTTTTCTCATCAACATTATAAGGAAACAATATTGAAAGAAATGACATTATTTGAAGACCTGCTGTATGTCATCTCACTTAAAGTTGCAATTTCCAAGAACTTATTTATGACATTTAAGCGAGGACTTATTGTACTTTGTTTACTCTTTTAATACTTATAATAACCTTATGAACTTATCTCCATTTTACAGATTAAGAAGCTGAGATGAAGAAAGGCTAATGCATTCATTAGTGTAGGGAGTGGTGGAGTCAGAATTTAAATTTGTGCATACTGCCTTTATATTTCATGTTTTAAAAAATGACTCTACTGCCTCTCCAGTGACTGTCCCTGGCCTCAAGTGGAGGAGAAAGAGAAGTAAATAGTTAACTAAAACACAAGTGTGGTAAGCACTTTAAGAATGATACTAAATATCCAGTGTTTTCAGAGCCCAAAGAGGGTGCAGCTAACTCCGTGGGCAGGAGGGCAGGAGGGCAGGAATTGAATCCAGCTTCAGAAAACAAAACCTGTCACTGAAGATGAATGTGGGAGGATGGGAAGAAGCTCAGAAGTTGGGGAACGAAATTAGGTAAAGCCAGACTTCAAACCTGGATTTCAACTGACTACTGGTACTATATTCTTCTTACTAGGCCATATTACTTTCCCTCAGGTAAAGAATTTGCAAAACCTTAGATTTTTATATCACTACCCTTTGAACATCAACCACTGGGGACTGGGAGAAATCGACTATGCTATGTGGATATTCTGATGAACATTTGTAAGTTTTTATTCCTTGCTTTAAAGAGATCGTCTTCTTTTTCCTACTGATCGCATTCAGTACATATTGTCAACATTGATGTTCAAGTATACAGTTGTTACTGATTTCTGACTGGCAACAGCAGAGGGTGTAGTAGAAGTAATCCCTTTAGAAAGATGCCAATAAAAATGAAAATTACATTGGCATGTATGTCATGGTAAGTCAGCCATTCTCCTGATATAACTGGCGTGAGGTTGGAGACCAGAGATTTTTCACATGGGCAGTCAATAAATAATTTTTATGATGATAAAACTTTAAGGTAACAAATTAAAGATTGTGTGAAAAGACTGTCCAAGCCAGGTAATGCCAGTAATTCATCTATATAGATTTCAGTATTCCTATAGGAGAGGAACAACTAGGATTTGGTTGGTATTTGAATATATTGAAAACATATTGAAAATTTCCCTGCTCACTGTATTCCTCTTCAATTGTGCTTAATCAGTTTTTCTATTGCTGTGCTTCAATTCTGGAAATTTAGCTATCAACTCTTTACTTATTGCCTCTCTTTAAATCTCTGTTGTTCTACTGAAACTTCTGTTAGGTGCATCCTACCTATTCTTCCATAAAACATAGAAATAACGGATAAAATATTCATTTTATTTAGTCTCTCCCTCATGATTCCTTACTTCTCTTTCCTAGTTCCATCTCTGTATCTTTCTTTGCAAAATCTGGGTGCTTCACTGATCCCCTCTTTAGCTGGATTTATCTGTTGATTTTGTTTTTATTTCATTGGTAGAAATACTATATATTATACAATAATATTTTATGAATGGCATACAAAATCATATCTATACACACAAATGTTATATATAAAATATATATACACACATATATTAAATACATATATATATTTACAATTTCTGTTTGGTGTTTGATAATATGTCTATTTTTTCATAACGTTCTGATCATATCTTAAGAGTTTTATTCCTTTATCTTACTGAACATTTTGATCACACTTATGCACTTATGTTAAAGCCTCTTTCATATTGCCTTATTTCTGGAATATGAATTACTCTGGTTATTGTCACTGCTGACCTACCTCATTCCAAAGAAGAATTGAAGTGGCTTACAAAAAGGTGCACAAGAAAATAAAATTGAAACACAAATAAAGAAACATGAGAGTGAACGACCAAGAGTCAGATGGTAGAGGAGGCCAGCAGGGTTTCCAACCAAGGTTTCTAACTCTTAGTCTCACTCCCTTTCAGCTCCATTAGGCTGCCTCCAAAAGCTTTTGAACCACTGGGTGGTGACTGGCAAGAGATTTGTTGGCATTAATAAAAAAGTAGCAACAATTTTGACCTCACAAAGCAAACAGCCCAGTATCTATTTGAATAATCTCCCATCAAATGTAAGCACTGAAAATTGAATCCAAACTTGAATTACGGCAATTATCCTGCTTGGATTAGAAGCCTAATCAACCAACAGACACAAGTAAGGTGAAATGAGCTGAAACCACAGAGAAAATTGGTCCATGAGAGGACAGGGGCCTGGGTTTAATTTTCAGAGCTACATATATGTTTAAAAAGGTAGCTCTATTTCTGAGATAATCTAATTCAATTTTGATCACATCACATTTTATAGATATCCACCTGCTCCCGGGTTTTGATGAGAGTTTAAATAATAAAGTGGCTTTACTTGGATCCTATGCTTCAACTAGTATCACAGCTATCATTTTCTTAAGTGTTGTACTGAAATTGAAAATGATAATATCTATAAAACCTCTCTAGTGCTGACATTTCCAAGTCTCTTTTCCAGCACAAACAAAATTAGAAAATGAAAAATATAACCTTTCCCACTCTGTAGTTTCTTTACAGGGTATAAAATAGAAAGGTAGTCTATATTCAAGAATTATGGCCAACTAACAGGAATAATAATAACAGTGATAATAATAATAGCAGCTAACATTTTCCCAAGCATTTACTCTGAGCCAACCATTGTTCCAAATGTTTTACATGTGTTAACTTATCCAAATCTCATAACAACCTTCTGAGGTAGGTACTGTTATTAGCTTTATGTTATAGGTGAGGAGAAAAGATACGACGAGATTAAAAATTTTGCCTAAGGTCACACAGCTAATGGATGGTGGAAGTAGGATACTAACTCAGACAGTCCTGCTACACACAGATATGCAAATAATCCTGATTTATAGTTATTTGGTCAGAGGGATGGATTGTATATTTTATGAATGATTTCAGACCCTCTTCTACTCCCTCTTACTTTCTTTCTGTTTATATCACTGTCAATTAACTTTCCAGTAGTAGAGGCTCAGAGATGGTAAAACTACCACTAAATTTATAGAAAGTTGTATGAATTTCTTTAAGAAGTGGGAATACTTCTCCTTTCCTCAGTTTTTTCCTATTTATGGTCATTGCAGTAATTTCTATCATCCTTTGCAGCTTTGAAATCACTTCTTCACATGTAAACAGCTCACCCTGGTGTTGCCATGGAGATTTATATCAATGCCATGAGCCAGGGCCTAATTTGCGCATTCTGCTGATTAACAGGAGTATTTGCTAATCCCTGCCAAGCTCTCTCATCCACTGCCATGACTAATCTCACCGGTTGGCGATGCGTGGAATTCATGAATGCTAGAAACCCATCATCTTAGGTTATTTAACACTTCAATTCTGTTCAGTAACAACTTAATTAAGTCTCGAGGGGAAAAAAAGGTCAACAGAAAAATAAAATTAAACCTTTTAAGAAATTAGTTAACAAGAAGGGAACGTTACAATTCACTGCTGTGAAGCAGAACTAATAACACAATAATGCAATATAACATAAATGGTACATTTCATCTTGGGTACTCAGGGGGTGATCATCTGACCAAAAGGTAACTATCATTTGTTAAGAGAATTCTCTGAGCTTGTCAGTGTGCTAGGTGCTTCAACATATGTTATTTCTTTCATTTTCACAACACTCCTATGAGGTAGGGTGTTTTTATGTTTGTTTTGTTTTTATCAGGTAAGAAAATTAAGGCCCAGAGAAGTTGAGTCATTAGCCCAAATTCACACAACCAGCAAGTGACACTATGTGAACAAAGCTGGGACCACCCAATCGTGTCCGACTCCTTGCATACCACTTGAGTGGAACTGTACACGGAGCTTACTTTCCATCCAATATTTTGATTTTCTGGAAGACAGAAATAAGACAAAGGAAGAGAAGCTGCACGGAAATAGATTAGGGCTCATTTTGATGAAGACATTTCCAACAATAGGGATTGTATAAAAATAGGTAGCATGGACTATCTTGAAAGGTAATCAATGTCTTGTCACTGGCAATGTTCATAGAAGGGCCATGGGATCACACAGACCTATTCCAGTACCAATCAGATGTTGTGGAAGGGATTCTTGCATTTAGTAGATGATTGAATGGTATCATCATAGACCCTTTTGTCAAAGCCCTCACACAAAGACTACCAGAGAAACCTGCTGATCATACAAAGCTGGGTATGTGAAACACACTAAGCAAGAGAAAGTCCCCCTTGACAGAGTCTCAGTACTATGTTAAAAAGGAGGAGTTAGCAAAGAGTACTTACAGGGTTTTCAAGGCTGGGGTTAGTCAAAGGTAATTCATTTTAGGACAGAAGTTTTTAAGTATAGTGCTTAACAACGCAGGTTAGAATTTGTAAACTAGGCGAATTGCTGGAATAGTCAGTGGTCTTATCTTTAGGACACATAAGCCATGTGGAATTACTATTAAAACAGTCTGAGCTAAAAACCAATAAAAAGCAAAGAAACTCTCACAAACCAGAGGAGATTGAGGAGATATAATGACTAAATGCACTGTGCTATCCTGGATTGAATCCTGGAACAGAAAAAGGGCCTTAGTGGAAAACCTGGTGAAATCCAAATAAAGTCTGGGGTTTAGTTGATAATAATGTACCAGTGTTGATTTCTTAGTTTTGACAGATGTACCATAGTATGTTAACTTTAGGGAAACCTAGATGAAGGGTATATATGAATTCTCTGTACTATATTTGCAACTTTTCTGTAAACTTAAAATTATTCAAAACATTTTTATAAGTTTATTAAAAATATTTGGAGTTTCATTTGTCTTTCACATCATAGTTGGCTTCAATTTATCTATTTTGCGAGCTATGGTTCAATATGTTTTACAACTTACAGTTTACTTCATTTCTTACCTTGATCTGGAAACCACCTCAGAGAACCATCTGGTCTGAACAGAGTTTCTACTTAATTCGAACTATGGGGAAATAAGTAATGCGGTATTATGGGACTGGAAAAGATGTATGTAAAATAAGGCCTATTTTTCACTCAGTCTTTTTTTCCCTCTAACTTTATAATTTCTGGAGTTAAGGGGACCATCTTGAGTACACGAATAATACTGCACCAACAGGTCTGTAGGAGAAGCATGCACATCCTTCGTCACTGCTAATAGAAAAGCAACAAGTAAAGACTACTGAAGGCCATGATATGGTTATTTACCCAGGGGATAAAACTCCCTGGATCTAAGAGCCAGTGCACGAGAAGTCAAAATGGGTCAAGAACAGTTCCTTTATGTCTCATTCAATCAGAAACTGCACACTTGTTCTTCCTAAGCAGTACGGTAAGATTTTTCAGCATTAAGAGTGCCAGCACCAGACATTATGAATTTCAAGTCTGTACTTCTTCAGGGAAGCTGGCTGCAGATGGTGTTCATGATTGCAGTAGAGAAATGCCATTTAGGGCAATGAGTATTGATAATATAATGGATTTTTTCCTAACGGTATTTGGCATGTATTTCTACTGATATTTACTTATAGGTACTCAGGAAGCTTGAAGTTCCTCCCCCCCACAACCCTCCTGTAAAAATATTATATTATTGGTAATGAACAAAGCATGACTTTGCATTTGCAAAAGTAAGGACTAGGCATTATAATAAGGCAACATTTGTTATGGGTTTGCACATAACTAGAAACAGCATCGAGTTGTATAAAAGTTGCATTGTCATTGCCATTTTTCAAACTACAGGCTTGGTGGAATGTCGGAAAAAAAACATCCTGGGGTTTGAGTATCAGTTTTCCTGCCAACTCGTCTTAAACTTCAGGAAAGCTCCATCTATACTCTGGGCATCTACTTCCACACCGATAAAATGACAGATCTAAGTTACATGACCTCCAAGGCCTATGGACATGAAAGTTCTTCGAATTTAGTTAGTCCACCACTAATCAAAAAGACAATAGTTTTGAGGGTTTTCATTTGCTACATCAAATTGAAAAAAAAAAATCATGCAGCACAGGAATCCTGAAGCCCTGGGGTAAGCTTCCCCCTTAGTGCAGAAGAGGACTATATGGCAGAGTGGTTAAGAGCATGGGCTTTATAACTAGGAAACTTAATTGCGAATCTTGATCCAGTAGCACATTAGATATGTGACTTTAGAATGCTATTTAACCTCTCTGATCTTCAATTTTTTCTATTGTGAAATTTAAATAACTTTAGTGTCTACCTCCTAGGGTAATTGGGAGAACTAAATGGTTAATATTTGTAAAGAGTTTAGCATGTGCTTCGCATGTAGTACAGACTCAATAAATTGTAGTTGCTGTTTTTGTTATTCTTCTTGTTGATGTACATACACTATTAAAGACAGCTTTATCTGCACATACATTTTGACAAAAAGTCATAATCTCTTATCTACTGTAGACCAACTGAGACGACTGATACTCAGTTGAGACCTCTAATGGCCTCCCATCTCCTCAGCTTGCCCTACTATGGGCTGTGTGAAATGGAGAAGAATAATAGCAAATACTTATATTGCACTTATTCTATGCACCAAACACTGGTCTTACACATGTATTAATTAACCTAATCCTACTGATGAGGTAGGTACTGTTATTACTCCTAACTTTTGGATGATAAAACTGAGAGGTAGGGAGGTTAAACAATTTGCCCAAATGGCAGCTAGTACATATCAGAATCAGGATTTGGTCACAAACAGTCTGGCTCTGGAGTCCCTACTTTTAACACTTCGCTCTGCTGCCATAATGACAGCTCATATTTGGTAAGTGCCTACCAAGTACCAAGCTCATTATAAACCATATCTGTAATCGTTACAATAATCCTTCGAAGTAGGTATTATGTGTATCTCATTTTTTTCTGATATGGAAAGTGATGCTCAGAAAGACTAACTTGCCCGACATCACATAATGAAAAGGAATAAGATTCATTTTTTTTTTTTTAACTCAGAGGCTTTAGGAAATAAGGCAAATTTTACTCTGTATCAAATATCTAGAAGGGTTAGTAACTGCAACACCAACATTCTGTCTGGGAAATATGCATAGCACCCCTATCAATGAGGCACAGGAAGCAGTAGCCTTCATTGAAGCCCCCCCTGCTGCTAGTTCAGGCCCCCCAGGCACTGGGGAGATCTGTAGATCTCTTCAACAAGAAGATTTTCTCTTATATAAAGGGAGAGAGTTACTGAAGCACATAAAGAAAGCTATCATATGAAATTCAAATTTGTTCAACCTTCCTGAGAATGAATCTTAAGTGAACAAAATAACATTCTGACTAAAGCCCATAATCACATTACTTTCTACACGATGAAATACAATGAGATGCATAGAGAAAATAACTGTGGAACAAATCCACCCTATTTAATTATATGGGAGAACAGTTCTAGATTTACCATAGAAATACATAGGATATCAATGTGAAGCTAATACATTCTTCATACTCTACTAAGAAAATATACCTAGGAAAAACGTGGAACTAGGCTAATGATTAATATTTTCTTGTCTTTAAATTAGGTGTTTGAATATATAGCCCATAAACAATGCTCCCCAAAGCATTACAGTGAACATGAACAATAAAGAGATGGAAAAACATATATGTTCTGCAATTTCATGCTTTCATCTTTGGACATTAATTTCATGTAACTCATTTCAATTTTGTGCAAAAAATGTCTCCCAAGTTCAAAAGGTTGTAACAATAAATATGAAAAAGAAGACAGATGGGAAAACTTATATGTTAACAGTGACTTTTATTCATCCAATATTTTCATATTATATTATCCTTTCCAAAGTCAAACTTAGCAAAAACTAAAGAAAAATGCGTGAATTAATACTCTGAAGAGGATCCTTACATGCAGTAAAATATAAACACATTTATATTAGATCAAAGCCTTTTATGAACCATAAGCCATCATGGAATGGCTTATTTGATAATATTTCACTCTAAGTGATATAATTTTTGCAACTTTCTTGTTTTGGCTCCGTGGGTTATAACTCCTGGTTCTCCAGAGTTTCAGAGTGGAATCCATCTCTCATCTAGCATTTAAATGGGGAGTATCTCCCATTCCCAAATACTCCATCCCTTGAGCCATTGCCCCTTGAAACTTTAAAGACTATTTTCATTTAAAATTTACCAAGAACAAACTCTGGTATCCAAATTGGAGACTGGGTTTAACCAGGCAATGTGTGTAATTATTGCTTACTCAAGTATGCACAGAGTTTTGGAATATTAGGTGGCTGGTGGATATTTTATTTACATTATATTGAGTTCACATACTTCTGCGATAATGGTCCTCAGGCACAAGTCTAATATATGCTAGTAAACAAATTTCAGAAAGTATGAGTTAAAACCCTCCCACACTCTAGGCTTTACAATGAGTGGGAAATAGTGACCATCTACTATTGGGAGAGGGGAAGGAGGGCTGAGAGAGACCTCCTCTCCCAGTCCTAGGTGCATAGTACAGGAAGGCTAGGAATAACATCTGAGAGACACCCCATGGGCATTGAGTACCTTCAGTACACTGATTACCACCCATTGACCCTCTACTGTTGTGAAGTGTAAAAAATATAAGAGAGAAAACACCCTCCTGCCTGTGTTATGGAACACAGAGCTTGCAGAAGTATGGCGTTAAGAGAACAGAGACAAACCATCCAGGTACTCAGAGCTAAAGCATTGCTGTAGATAAGATGGTGATCCTGCTCCTAAATAAGGTAAAGTCTGTGGTGAACTGAATGTCACTAAAGCTCAGATCTAGATCAATATAAGAGTAGATTGATCCCAAACAAAATACTAATGGCCTAATAGAAGAAAAGGTATTCTCATTTTTGGACATTGACATAATTTACTTCAGTTTCTGTTCTTTTACACATAGTGACTTGCCTTCAAGTAGAAATTAGATAAACAACAAGAAAAGACTTACAAAAAAAGGAAGAATATATGAAACATACTCAAGTGATAGATCTGAGTCTCAGAGATGGCCCAGATTATGGGATTATCAAACAGGGACCATAAAATAACTATGATACATATTTTAAAAGGTCTAGTGAGAAAAGCAAATGACATGCTTGAATAAATGTATTATTTACATATGGCGATGGAAAGTACAAATAGAGAAAAAATTGAAAAGCTAGAAATAAAATGTAGAATGTCAGAGATGAATTCTTTTTAAGAGCTAATCAGTTGACTGAATATAGTAGAGAAAGGAATTTGTGACTTGGATACATTTGAAAACAAAGTATCCAAATGCAACAGAAAGAAAGAAAACAGTCAAAAAAAATTGGAACAGTGTGTGATATCTGTGGGACAATAGGAAACCATCTGGCACATGAGTAATTTGGAGTCTCAGGAGAAGAGAGAATCAAGCAGAAGTATATGAGGGGATAATGGCCAAGAATTGTTCAAAATCAATGAAAGACAACATGTTATGTATCTAAGAATCTCAGAGAATATCAAATAAGCCTAATAAAACAAACAAACAAACAAACAAACAAACAAAAAACATCTAAGCATATCATAGTCAAACTGCTAAAAACCAAAGATAATGAGAAAATCTTGGAAGCTGGCAGAGAAAACAGAAACACTACCTACAGTGGGACTACAATAAGAGAGATATATAACTGCTGACCAAAACAATGAGGGAAAGAAGACAATGGAATATCTCATCTTTAAAGTGCTGAAAGAAAAATAAAATCTGCCAAACTTGAATTACATATCCAGCAAAAATATTCTTCAAAGATCAAGGTAAAATAAATAAGTTTTCAGAAAAAAAGAAACATAGAATTTTTCTCCAGCAGATAAACACTAAAAGAAATGAACAAAAAATGTTCTTTATAATGAAGGAAAATTATATCACATAAAAATCCAATTCTGCAGGAAGAAATGAAAAACACGAAGAGTAAATAAATTTGTAAAATATTAAAGATCTTTATTTTAAAAACAATGTGTGCATGTCCAGGCCTGTCGTGGGGTGGAGGAGGGGGGAAGGGATAGCATTAGGAGATATACCTAATGTAAATCATGAGCTAATGGGTGCAGCACACCAACATGGCACATGTATACCTATGTAACAAACCTGCACGTTGTGCACATGTACCCTAGAACTTAAAGTATAATAATAAAAAAATAATAATAATGTGTGCATGTATATAGAAATTACATCAATGAGTATTGACTGCTATTAAAAATAATAAAATTGTAATGAGAGGTTTATAGCACATACAGAATAAAATATGAGAAAACAATCATGAAGTTTGTAAGAAAATTGGAAGAATAATGTTGTAAATGTCTTACCTTGTTTGTGAAGTAATAGAATATGTTTTGAAAGTAGCAGAGATAATTTAAAGATGCATATTGTAATCTTGAGAAACTGCCAAAAATAATAAAAATAATGTAATACAAAAGTTATTTGATTCACTCCCAAAACATTAAAAAAGAAAAACAGAGGGACACAGAGAAGATGGGACAAATAGAACTCAAATACTAAAATGGAAGATTTATATCCAAACACATCAACAATTACAATAAAATGGACTGAAAAACGAAATAAAAGTCAGAATTTGGGAGCTAGAAGAAGAGAGACTCAATTACATATTGCTTACAAGAAACAGACATTAAACATAAAGGCACATAAACAATAACAGTCAAAAGATAGAAAACATACACATTGCAAACACTAATCCTAACAAAGATGGTGTGGCTGTATAACTATCAGATAAGGTGGACTTCATGGTGAAGGATATTATCAGAGATAATGGGGGAAATGTCATAATTATAAAATGGTCAATTAATCAATAATATACAAATTCCTATATGTGTGTGTACCTACTAACAAAGGCACTACATATTTGAAGCAAAAAATTGATAACACTAAAAGAAAACATAGGTAAATCCATAATCATAGTTGGAACTTGCAATACTCATCTTTCAAAAATTGACAGAAATTGTATACAAAGTCAGAATATGGAAGAATTGTACAACACTGTCAATCAATTTGACCTGATATAAACGTATAGAACTGACCAACAGCAAATAACACATTAATTCACGTGAAATATTCACCAAGTAAACCATAAGCTGAGCCATAACCCAAATTTAAATACATTCATAAGAAATCAGAGTATGTTATCTGACTGCCAAATATCAAGCTTGGAATTAACATCCAGAATGTACATAGACCACCCCCTCAATAAGAAATCAAACATTATATATCTAAATAAGTCATGAGTAAAAAAAAAAAAAATCAAAAAGAAGGTTAGAAAATAGGTTGAATTGAATGATAAAGTACAATATATCAAAACAATGAAGTTAATGTAAAGCTGTTATTATAGGAAAATTTGTAGCTTTAAATGCCTTCACTCAAACAGAAGAAAGTTATAAAATAAATGATTTATGTTTCCACCTTAAGAAACGAAAAAAACTAATTAAACCCCAAATAAGTAGGAAGAAAGAAGTAATAAAAATGAGAAAGGAAATCAGTGACAGAAAACAAATGGAGATAATCACGAAAGCCAAAAGTTGGTTCTTTGAAAAGATTAATACAATTTTAAACCGCTAGCAAGATAGACCAAGAAAAGAGAGAAAAAAATGAATCATTAATATAATAAATAGAAGTGGAGATATCACTAGAGATGCTACAGACATTAAAAAGATACTAAAGAGCTACTGTGAACAACTCAATAAGATAAGAAAATAAAGATTGGCAAAAGACTTGAACAAATACTTCCTTAAAGAATATGTACAAATTACCAATAAACACATGACAAAGCACTCAACATCATTAGTCATTAGGCAGATGCAAATTATTACCAAGATGCAATGCTACCATATACATGCAAGAATGAATAGAATGAAAATAATTGACAACCCTAAAAGCTGATGATTATGTAGAACAACCAGAACTCTCATACATCACTTGTGGGGATATAAAATGGTACAGCCATTTGGGAAAATTCTTAGGCAGTAGCTCAAAAAGTTAAACTTATATCAACTTTATGACCCAATAATTTCACTGCTAGGTTTTTGTCCAAAAGAAATAAAAACATTTGTCCACAAAAAGATTGGTAAAAAATGTTTATAGCAGCTTTACTCATTTAAGCTAAAAGCTAGAAACAATCCAGATATCTCTGAATGAGAGAATAGATACACAAACTGGCATATTCATGCAATGGATACTAGTCAGCCATAACATGTAGTGACTTACTGATATACACAGAAAAATAGGTGAATTTCACAAACAGTATTCTGGGTGAAAGTAGCCAGACACACAAAAAAGCACAAAATGTAATGCTTCCATTTCTATGAAGTTCTAAAATAGGAAAAACGAACCTATGGTGATAGAAGTAAATTAAGTGGTTTCTTCTGGTGGCAGAGAAATGTTGACTAGGAAAAGGCATGTGGAACCTTTTTGGGGTGATGAAAATATTCCAGATCTTGAAAGAGGAATAAATTGCACGAGTATGTGTATTTTGAAAAACTGATAAAAGTACTTAACATCTGAGCACTTTATTTTATATAAATTACACTTAAATTGAAAAAAAAACTTTAAAAGCAATACACAACTGCTTGTGTATGGATGGGCGAGGGGACGACAACAATGAAGACTAGTGAGTCACTGGTGCAGAAGAATACTTACAGAAGTGAGATGTGGATGGTCTTCCTGTATCAGAATCACATGGAGTGCTTATTAAAATGTAGATCCTTGGGTTCCAACCAACTCAGCTTGAAATCTTCAATTTTAGCCAGTTTCACAGAGGATATTGATGGCACACACTAAAGTTTGGGAACAGCTGGGCTGCAGAATTTTCAGCCCAGAATACAGAATTTTCCCATATAGAAATAATGTAGTTAGACAACATTGAAGCTAATGCTCAAAATGTGATTTTGGATATTTTCATGAGTTATGAGTGTTATGAGTCAGCTTTCATATGTCTATAAAATCAGATTATTTTATTTTATTGCAATGAGCTGACACTTATTTTTAGTTGGATCTTTGAAACTGGGCATCTTACAGAAACTGTAACTGGGATTCTAAATCTTTTTGTGTTATTTATACATGAATTATCAATATGTATTCATGTAAAAATGTTTAAAGAATGTTTAAGCATCAAAATAATAGCTTTGTTTCTATTAAGCATAAAGCATTCATGTAATTGCTATTAGGAACATAAACACACATGCCTGGGATTAATAGCTACCAAAGACTAACAACCTCTTATACTGTAATCTAAAATATATAAAGATCTTTCAATCAGAATGGTAACAATCAACCAATGAACAAACCAAAACTTGCTGAAAATCTACTATATCTGGGATAGGATGGCATTACATGAACCAAAGACTGGCTTCAGTGTTCATTAATCACAAATCTTGGTCATGTTATGTAACCTCTCTGAGCCTCAGTTCCCCTCAGTATTAAAATGAGGAAAACAATAATCTACATTGTGCAGTTACTGTATGAATGAGTTACACCTGTGCAGTGTACAAGCTGGGAAAGGGGCTGTAGTTGACACTTAACAAACGGTAGTTTTTATTTTTTGATCACACAGTCTAACCAGTAGGGTGGTTATTTAAGACTACTTTATTTAATGAAGAGGAGCCAAGAGACTGTTTAACAAGGATCAAGCAGATCACATACTCTGAGAATGAAATAGTATGGACAGGAAAAAAAAAATGAAAACCTGACATTTTGTCTTTGGACTGTTTTCCTTTGGAGTACTAAGATATATAGGATAGATGCTCAGCGCAAGGGGACAAAAAAATTTAGAAAAGCTATATAGGACAGGGTCATGATGTGACTTGGGGGAAAAGGACCAAAAGGCTGTTTGAACTGCTTCTAGACTATATATTCCATGTTCTATTCAGTACTGCATACCTAGAAGCTAGCACAGTGCCTGGACTATTATTGTAGGTTCTCACTGCATATTTGTTGAGTGAATGAAAGAAGGCAAAGGAATCTTCACAGCTTGTATGCAATCCAGTGCAGTTTCCCAGGAGACTATATTAAGGTTTGGAATGAAGTTCCCAGCCAGTAGTAGTAAATTTGAGTCATTTTGTCATCTGTCTTATTATCTTGGTATTCTACTGTATAGCAGTGGTTAACTAAGTCAAGGAATTCTCAGAACCCAATCAGGTTTTTTTTTCACATAAATGACATGTGTAGTTACTCTCATTAGTAGTTCTGTGCTATCAGTTAGGGAAATAAAGTGTTGAATATGGGCCTTGCCTCCTAGGAATATAATAATCTAGAGGGGAAAATGAGCACAAAGGTAAAAACAATGTAAGAAAGTTTTGGATGAGTGTCATATGATTGGTTTAGCCAGTAAGTACTGTGAGAGTTCTAGAGGTGAAGAAATCTCATTTGGTTGTCAGGAGAGGAAAGGTATCTCAGAGGACACAAACCAAATTTTCACATACATTTAAGTCCCTGGTTAATTTATACCTCCTCGATGAGGCTATCCCAAATCCAGCCAGCAGAAAGCATCTTTCCTAGTTCTAGTCCTCTGCTGCTTTTGTGTTATTTTGGTTATAGCATTCATCACAGAGTGTCTGATAGAAGCTAGCTGGGCAGCCAGCCTGTGCCTTCCTGGAAGGCAGGGTCCATGATTCTTTCATCTTGGCACCTTCCTTGGTGTCTAGCACATCACAGAGAGAGCACTGCATAGATTATACATTAATGAATTGGGCAAATTCCTCTAGGAGGCAATTGGATTGGCTGAAGTAGTTCTTGTAGGAAAGGAAGGAGATAAGACTAGAAAGGTATGTTGAGCCAGACTACTGTAGGCTTTGCTTACAGAATAACATCAAACACTGCCTCCAACTAGTTGGCATTCAAAGTGAAGCCAGTAAAAGTTTTGATATAAGGAAGGGACATAATGAATGTGGTATTTAGAGACTTTATTTAGATTTTATCATATTAGCTAGTATTAGAGCTGGAAAAATATCTTCTCATTCAGCTATGCAGTTAAGCATTAGTGGAACAATGAATACTACAAAGAACACTTATATTTTGTATTTACGCAGAGATGCATGCACTAACCAACCACAGAAAGAGTCCTAGTAAACACCTCCAAGGCTGACTGCTCTGGAGCCTTGGAATGTGCCTAAATAACACCTACTCTGTTGTACAAGGCGAAGTTCCTGTATCATAACTCTTCATTCTCTAAGAACAGAGTAAAGGATGGAGTACATTGGGAAACAGCCAATATTTAGACATTTCAGCGGCATGTTGAACTAAATATAGGGAATTGGCATGGTAACAGATTAGAGTTTTGGGTCCAGGAGATATGTGTATACCCTATTTACATAAGTAAGTGGCCATGCCAGTTATTCATGGCTCCTTTGGATGAAGTTTTTAAAAATTCTATTTTAGAAGGCAATAATATAATGTCATATCAGATAAAGCTGCTAAATAGTAAGAAACACCAATAAGCTCTTCAGAAACTTCCAAAGCAAAGTAAGCAGACTTAAATGTAACCATTTTTAACATACTCACAAATGAGGCATTATTACATTAAAGCATACATAAGCTTAGCAAGCTTTGGTCAAATAATTTCTTCTGAATAGAATGCAGATATCTTGTTTTCATTCTGACATTTTAGAACTCAGACTTTCAAATGGATAAATTAAAGAGTAATCATTTTAATACGTCTATTATAAGTCTTCGCTTTATAGAAACACTCACAAAAAGGCTCCTTTCTTTACTGCATATCCCATGTGGATTTCACGTGGGATTTGATTTACATATAATTTTCTGGAAACAATTTTATTTTATAAAACGAGAGACACTTATACTGCCAATTGAGATATGCCTAAATTTTTAGGCCATACCCAGTGGCCCTGCCGGAATGAAAATAAAAGTTATGGCACATTTTTCTCCCATGAGACTGGTACTCCCAAGGGGGACTTACAGAACTCCTTCTACCCAGGAGGCACTCACTTCCTTTTGAATACTCTCCTTCCTTCTCAAGAGCTTAGCTGCTGGGGTGAATTTTTCTACCACCCTGGATGTCTTCACTTGTAATAGTTTTCTCAGTTCAAATCTTCCAGTTTCTAAGGCAAATGGCAAAAGACAAATATAGACTACCGCTATACATTCTAGAAACCCAAATTGAAGATGGTCATTTATGCTTTGTTTTATAAGATCAGCTAGATTGTTTAATCATTTTCCCAAAGAAAATATAAAGAAATATTTTCTAGTGGTCTATACAGCCATTTTGGGCATATACAGTTACTCAACAAAAACTAAGTATATACTAAGCACAAGCCCAGGGCCAGGCAGTTGGAACTGCATATCATGAGAAAGCACTTTGAGGCACTGCCCAGGTGATAATGGACTCAATGTTTGGAATGAGTGATCTATAGAACAGCTGAAAGTACACATTTGCAACCCCTGAAAAATGGACAGGGGATTATTGATAAAAAAAAATTAGTAAACATATTGTTTCCTAAGTCCCTACAGCTAAGGAAATGATTAACAAATATACTGTTTTATATATATACACAAATATATATATGTAAATATATTGTTTTCTTCCCCGAGAGAAGAAAATCTGTCTTCATGTGCTGTTTGAGAAACTCTAAGTCAATATGATACATGGAGTACTAGGCAGGTGTAGGAATAGCCACTGAATAGAAAAACTCATAATTACTTAGAAAAGAACACGAAAGGACCTTAAAAAGCTGAAGAAGTAATTGTGGACAAGCAGAGGGGAACACAACAAGGACAAAAACATTTAGAGAAGTAAATGGGTGAGCTAAATAAGGTAGGTTAAAAACAAGATTGAAAGGGTAGACTAAAGAAACTAGGGTTCCTTAACTTAAATAAGCATAATCATGAGAGCTTCTGGGCTGGGAAGGGTTACACAGAGCACAGCTGCTGTCTATTCTTTAGCTTCCCTGAGGATCAAATGAGAGGCAGCAGACTTAACTGGAGATGGAGAACTTAGGATGGATGTTCTTGCCTTGAGAGCTTTTGAAATGAGTTCTTTAGAGAGCTTGTGGATGCGGTGGCTGGGACAGTCTCATCTGTGTACAAGGGTTGAAGTGTTTTCCCGTATGAAGGCTAAGAGATAAACCATGTGACCTTTCTTGCGACTCGCCATTCTTTGGCTGCATATCCTTTCTCCTGATTTCATTTGCATTGCATTGTTCTACCATGAACTCAGAGCCTATGCTATATCAGATATTTTAATATTTCTTTCAGAGGAGCAACTGCAGCATTTTCAATCACTACCAATCTGTCCCACAGCTTGCATTCATTTCTGCAAAGGGGCTCAGTTTCCCACAAACATACATTTATTAAAAATGGACATGTCTATTTATAACATTTCATCAATCAACCTATAAGTCTATTGTAAGCATAAAGTTAGTTTGTGCTTGAATCTAACCAAACAGCTTAGATGGCAATTTGACAGTCTCCAATTCATAGACTCACATGTCAATAAAATAATTGTTTGGTGAGAATTTCCTGTGTCACAGATCTTACTCAGCAAATAATTAGTGTGTGTGTTTCACTCAAATACTTTACAAGCAGAGTGATGAGTGTACTTGTTTCAGCCACATATACTGTATCCTGAGTAAAGAGGCATATAGTCTGTAGCTCCTGCCTTTAATGATGATTATAAGCTGTCCACCACCTGGAAGGTGAAAACTCTAACGGGTTTCTTAGAGACATGAATTGTGGAAATAATCAGAAAATTAAATGTTGAACTAATCTCACAAATTCTGTAACGATTTTCATCACTAATATTGCCCTTGATGTACTAATCTTTCAAATAAGCTTTTTTTCTCTCTCAATTTTATGGGGAAACCAATTAAAAACAATCAGATAAACAATGCTCATGCAACATGACAGATCAATCCAAATCTCCATTTGGGGATGCTCTAGGAGAACTCCAAATAGCTGAGGATATCCTGTGAAGTACTCAGAAGAGAAAGCCTATTAATCCCAGTTAATTACATGAATAAACACATGCTACTCAGCAGTTTCAGGACAGAGAGAAGGATTTTGAGGAAACAGAAAATCACCATGAATAATTACTCATCTGGACAAAATGTTCTAGCAAAATAAAACATTTAGCAAGGTTAAGAGTTCTCTGGGATTCTTTCAGGTTCAACAATAAAGCAAGTGCAAAGGGTTTCAATGAAAGTGTTTGCTTCATGAGGTTGCTTTATTCAGCTAATATGAAGATTGGCAAAACCATTTTTTTATTAGTTACATGTAAAAACTTCCCATTAAAAATGTAGCTGGAGGAGTGATTTCACTCCTCCAAAAGAATCCCTGTCCTGCTCTTTTCAAAGAGACTTGAAACTGGTCGCTCCGGCAACCTTCTCTCAGCTTGTTTTTCTCCGTGAGCTGGAAGCTCTTGGGCGTTGGTTCCATCAGCTATCTGCGGCATCTGCCTTGCCGCCATGGAGGAACAGATACTCTCCTAGTTTCGCTGAGACATTATAGAGTGCCTATCTTCTGTGATTTCCCTGAAGATACACCTAATAAGTTTGTCAAAATTAAAGTGTGATTGTGTCCACCTTCCCTTAGCTAAGTGTCATCTTCTCTTTCTTTCCTTTCTTTCACTAAGCTAAAAGAAAAATACATTAAAAGCCAATTATAATTACTTATTCTCTTTTTTCTTTAGAAATTAAAATTAATGTTTTGTGCTGTATGCATAGAATAAATGCAAATCTAGAAGTAGGAAATCTCTCTTGAATCAGTTAGTGCCACCATTTTCTAAATGTAAATAGAGTTTTAAATGGTCAGAAATACACATTCAGTTTCCTATAACAATTAATATTTTAAATTCCTCCCAGAAAAAAAAAAATGATGCATTTTTCCAAAAGAATCCATTCTTAACGTCAAACATCCCGGAGTAAAGGGAATCAAGAACCCCTGTCCCATCCAGAACGAAAAATATCTCAGCAGAAAGATCCCTGGTATAATTTTGTTAATTTCTACAAAGGCATTAATGTCCAGGATAAACATTCAAATCTATGTCCATCAAAAACATTGCAGAAATAAATCTTACCTGAATACGACTTCCTTAACAAAGCCATGCTTCTTTATAAGCTGGTCCTACCCAGACAATTGCTGTCTACATTTGGAGCAGACACAGAGAGAGAGGAGATCAGAGAAAGTTTAAGGCATATCTAAAGTATTCTCCAAGGTAATGGCCAGAAACATCAAGCCCATACTCTCAGTATAGAGAGATCATTAATGGGCATTAGTGACAGACCATTATGGCTCTCCCAGATCATTAATGATTCATCATGTAGCAGTATTGTTCTGGCAGTAATCAGACCATTGCTTGGACTCAGACATAAGCTTTGCCTATACTATTTGCTTAAACTTATTATTTCCAAGCATAAAATTTTATTTTGCCTTCTAGAATTATGAAAAACGGTCTGTAACAGGATCCCTCAGCACATTAGAGAAGTTTTTGGAGCTGGCTGCCTTATTTGGTAGACTTCTCCCACAGTCAGGAATCTGAAAGTCTCCCCGATAGTGTTTGGGATGTTGAAATGTGTCTTTTATTTTGAAATTGAATTATTGATGAATAGAAAACGCTACAAGCAAAATAGACATTTGTAAGAATTATAGTTGCTCAATCCTCTGTAACAATTACACGTAAAATGTTGAAATTCTACCAGAACTTTTAGTTCTGTGCCACAAAATTATATTTTCATATCAAAGTCCCTTGTTAAAAATTCAGAAAATCTATGAGCAGCCTATGAAAAGGCTTTTAGCTAATTATAACAAAGAGCAAGAAACAGACTATTTTAGCATTACACCATACTCGTTACTGAAGCACTCAATAGTGTTAATATAGGAATCAAAATTTTAAGAAAAAGCAAACCCTGAAACAAAATTGCCATGCTTTTTATTTTTGCTTTATGGAAGACCCACTATTTTTGTTAAAAATTCAAATAGAAATGGAAATGTAAGTTATTCTGGGATCAAATGAGTCTTTCCTTTTGAACAGACTGGATTCTCCTTCTGTGTGGCTCTGGGAAAACTGCCCTCGAGTCAGAGAGAAAGGAAATCTGTCTCAAGTTCTGAATATTGTCACTATCAATGAATATTGAAGAATTACCAACACCCACGAGGAGCTATATTTATTAAGCCCCAGTACCCATATTCAGTGCTATATGGAAAGGAAGATAATGTATATCCAAAAGCATTCCATAAACTTACATATTTTTTCATAAGCTTCTCTGCATAATCAAAATTGCCTTGTGCTCTCTCCCTCCACTTTTCCATCCAACACTAAGCGTGTAACAGACAACAGCTGCAAATGTTAGCCCCTCCCAAAGGGATCCAGCCTCAACAAAATTGCTTTAGCTCTGAGGATGGGATTTCAGCAGTAGGCAGAGGATGGAGAAAATTTGTTCTGCCCTGAAATCAAACACCGTCCCCTATACCCCAATAGCCATCCACAGCCCAGGGACCTGAACAACAGGAGCCTTTAGAACCCAAAAAGGCAAAATAGCTGTTCTTTGGTAGGGCTACCTCCTGGACACATGACCTATGCAGCGGCAAAGGGCCATGCTCTGAGAAGGGCCCTGCACTGGGTTTAATGATTTGCTGTCACCATTTTGAAACTAACAATTTTTTGAACAAGGATCTCTACATTTTCGTTTTGCACTAACCCCTGCAAATTCTGTAGCCAGTCCTGTTTCCCAGAAAACCATTATTTTAACTAGTCAATCATGCTTAGAAGCACAGATGATCAGATTCAGAATGTGGCCATGGGGTATTCCCCATTGTTCTCTGGTTGGGAAGCTGAGCAAGTGCTCAGGCCACCAGGTAAAAAGCTGCATATATTCAGATCCCTGTTTGCAAACCAAAATGGCTAATGGAAGAATTTAGGCTTCAGCAAACTCTTTACACAGGAGAGGTGCCAACTTCCTTCAAACAAAAATAGAAAAG
Source organism: Homo sapiens (assembly GCF_000001405.40). Lineage (NCBI taxonomy): Eukaryota > Metazoa > Chordata > Mammalia > Primates > Hominidae > Homo > Homo sapiens. Next base: position 138,741,143 of record NC_000023.11, read on the forward strand.
CTTAATATGGAGGCAGTCTCTCTTGGCCAATGTGGGAGCTCTTAAAAAGGCATTTCTCAAGGGACAAAATTAAGTCATCTTAATATGAGTGGTCTTATCAGGTCTAATCAAGAGACTCAGTCTTTCAGCTGTGCCATAGCTTCTTATAATGGCCCTGCAGGGGGCTGCACTGGTCAGTGTAGTGGGGAAGGGGGTCCCCAGGGATGGGAGCAGCTCAATCTGTTGATGTCTAGACAGCACAGAAATAAACAAAATGAGAGCCGACATGGAGCCAAATTGCAAGTCAGGTAAAATTTATTTCTGCTATCCTCTCTTTCCTTTCCCCTAAACTAATTCTCAGCCATGCAGGGCCTTTGTGCTGCTCCCTAGCTGCCTGTAATTCCACTGCAAGAGGAGCCCTCTCCACCCTCAGTACCCCATGCTCCTACCTTCTTTTGCATTCCACATCCCCCTATTCTCCTCGTCATCAGAGTGGCTGGTCTTGGTCAGGTGTTGTGGAAGAAAGCAATCTGATTAAGCTAATTCACACAAATTTGTCAATTTTCACAAAGGTATTCTCATTTTGGAAGCAAGTGTCTTGTTCTCCAATTGGCATACTTTTAAGAAGTATGACAAATGGAAGGATTTTAAGCAATAGAAAGGCACAGAGAATGGTAGTGCTCACCTGTTCTATTTAGCATTATGTGGTGATATATTTCAATAACGTCATCATTTATTGATTAAGTTTTTAAACCTGAGGACTAAGGTCACCCCATCCTTTAAAAAGTACCAGAGGACTCAGGTTCCACACTACCAGACTGGGTTCTTGGAATGTACTAGGCTTTTTCACACCTCCACAGGTTTGTTCAAGAACTTCCCTCAGTTTGAAGTGTCCTTGTCCCCTTGTCTGCCTACTAATCTTTCAAGTAGAACCTTCTCTAGAAAGAATTTTCTGCCAGCCCCTCCACATCTCTCAATTTGAATGTGACCTCCTTGGTCCCCTCACTGTAGCCAACAACATCTATCACTGTATTGGATTGTACCCAGCTGCTTACATGTTCCCTCATTTACTGGACTGTGAGTAGCTAGAGGGCAAGAACCACATGTGATCTGACCAGCACCTGTGAATAGATGAAATCAATAGAGAAGGTGAATACACTAGATGTTTGAGACTGCGTGTCCGTCATAACTGTGGCACACACATATTCACAGGTTAGAGTGCAGTTTGCATTAGTTGACTCAGGCAGTGACTACATGGGTGGCTTTCACTTGCTTTACAATGGTTTTAATCCAGATAGTGTAAATACTGAGGTCACCACATGGCGCTGTGTCATTCAGCCTTTTCTAATAGATGCCATCAGCAAGGGGCTCTCTCTCTCTCTCTCTCTCTCTCTGCCAATTGACGAATAATACCCCGGAGGTCATGATCTATCATCTGTTCCTACAGGCAGAGTCCAACTAAACAGAAGGTGACAAATCCAGTTAAATTTTTGGCTACTGGCCTTTAATTCCAGCCCAAGGAGTTACAGATCTCCAAGCTTTCACTGCATTGCGGTCAAGCAGCACAAGTAAGCTTCCTGCCTTCCTGGAGGCCTCAATCAATACTCTGCCCTCTTCTTAAAGCCTAGACACATCGAAGGCAATAATGCCTGAGATTTAATCATTTCCTATTAAAATGCAAAGCTCTTGTCTCCAGGCCCCCTTGACAGTTTAATTGTTTTAAAATGTCTGCAGAAGCCGCTGTAAACAGATTTGTAGTACGTTGTTTACTTGCTGTGCCACCGCAGCCTCTTGGCTAATTAATGAGCATTTTGCTGCAAATTGGGCCTCTTGTATGCACTGATCCCTCACCTTGGGAAGAATTGATGGAAAGGAGGAATTTATGGGAGTAAGGACAGATATATTTTTCATTTAAAAAATACTGAGTACCCATGAGTTGAAATCTAATATCCACACAAAAACCTGCACGCTAATGTTTATAGCAGCTTTATTCATAGTTGCCAAAACTTAGAAGCAACCAAGATGTCCTTCAGTAGGTGAATGAATAAGTAAACTGTGGTACATCGAGACAATGGCATAAAAGAGGGCTAAAAGAGATGAGCTATCAAGCCATGAAAATACATAGAACTTTAAGTGCATATTACTAAGTGAAAGAAGCCAATCTGAAAAGGTTACTCCATGTGACTCCAACTGTATGACATTCTGGAAAAGGCAAAACTATGGAGGCAGTAAAAGGATCAGTGGTTGCCAGGGGTTGGTGGGGAAGGAGGGATGAATTAGAGGAGCACAGAGGATTTTTTCAGCAGTGAAACTCCTCTGTATGATACTATAATGGCCTTTTATACATTTGTCCAAACCCAGACAATGTACAGCACCAAGAGCAAGCCCTTATGTAATCTATGGACTTTCGGTGATAAGGGCATGTCAATATAGGTTCATCAATTGTAACAAATGTACCACTCCAGTGGGTGGATATTTCTAGTGGGGAGGCCATCCAGGGAATCACAGGGTATATGTCAACTCTGTACCTTATGATCAGTTATGCTATGAACCTAAAACTGCTCTAAAAATAAAGTCTATTTTTAAAACTTGTACTGGGTACCTAATATATTCCAGGAGTACGTTCTCTCTGATCTTCACGACAACCCTAGAAGGTTTTGTTTAGTTTTTTTCATTTTTGTTTTTGTTTTTGCCTATGTGGAAACTCACTAAGAGAGGTGAAGTTTTTTGTTCAAGGTCACAGAGATGGCAATTTGGAATACTATCAGGGGATTCAAAAGCTTGCTTAGTGGTTAACGTGGATACCCTTGATGGTTTCTCTCAACCCAGAGCTTTCAAGATTTTGTGTTCCTCCTCCTCCTCCTCCATAAAATGTTCTTCAGTGAATCCAATTGCTTGAAGTCTATCGCAATTGCCCAAGTCACTCATTTCCTACAATACTAAAGAGTTCCAGGAAGGAGGGGAAATGCCACACAGGAAGCTCTCCAACCACAGTTAGAAGGTTGGAAACCTTCATTCCTGTCAACCACTATGTACTGTGCTTCCTTTCATTTTCACTGAGGGTAACAGGGGCAGACAGAACAGCCAGGAAGATTCCTGCCCTCCTGCATGAACACAAGAGTCAGCTTCAAATAACAACCCATGAACTATACTAACCCACAGTGCAAATCCTAGTCAAGCACCATTGAGGCCCTGATGTATGGAAGGCATAGGTAAAGACTATTATATACCTCCAAATACCATCTATTTGATTATTTTGATATCATGGCCACAATCATGCAAAAACAGGTGGTGGGACTGGGGTGATAATTATTTCTTTATTGGGCTTTTATAAGAATTAAATGAGATATTTATATAAAGTCCTCAGCACAGTGCGTGGCATTTCGTAAGCAGTCAATGGAAGTTAGTCCTCTTACTTTACCCTTAGTCTCTTCTTGCCCATTCACTTGTCTCTCTTGTAACCTCATCATTATCCTGCTTGACATTTTTTGGCAGCATTTTTGTGAAAACAGATCAATAAGGAAGCAATCCACAAACATTAACTGAGTCCTTACAATGTATCAGGACCTTTGTCATGTGCAGGAGTTATAAATATGGAAAACACACACATACACACAGAGCCCAGGGGTTAAAGGAACGAGTCTAAATGGGAAGACATACATGAGTACAGTTCAAAAATATTACTCAGAATCCAAGGCCATCAAAATATGCTGAAGGTAGAAACTGGAGATGAGATGTTGAAGACAAGATTTGATTTGCTTAAGCCACTGGTTACACAAAGTACAACTTTCCCAAATATTGACTGTGTTATGTGTGCTGCCCATCATGGTTTCATAAGAAACAAATCTAAACAAGTGTACACAGCTGGTACTACTATATCTACGTGTTATTACTGACAAGAGCTGACTGATATCTCTGACACCTGGATGAGTCTTCCTCTAAAATGGTCTATCCTATACGAGAGTTAAAAGCAGCATAGTGCATGCTTTTATTCTGTTCAGTTGTGTTTCTGACATCATACTACATAACATCTAAATCTGTCAATGAACAAATTCCAGATATACCACAAATCATACATCTTTAAACTTGATGCCTGAACCTTTTAAAGGAGTTAGGGGTATGTGTGTGAGTGTGAATCTTATTAGTAGGAAGCCTTGTCCGAGGCATACATAATTTTCTGGCAACGGTGGAGAGTTATTCCATTCTTGCACAATTGTATACAATGCAGGGAAAATAAAAAAGTTACTTGGTTTGTGCAGTTCCTCTCTCTCTCTGAGGAAGAATAAGAGAATGGCCTCGTATGTGTTCATAGCACCCCCTTGTGGAGAAATAACGTATTTCAGTTGCATGCTAATCCTCCCAACAACAAGGCACCAACCCCGGCTTCAACAATTTCTTTTTCCTCTCAGGAGTTTCATGGAAAGATAAATTAAATATTTAGATTTTTCCAGGTTAGCATCTCGCGACAATAGGGACAAAACAAATCAAATTACAATCCTTATTCATTTCATTTATCTTGAAGATTCTCTTGGCCAATTTCAAAATTAATGTCAAATTCTTACTCTATTTCAGGAAAACTTCCTTTCCATTCTTTTATTCAGCAAACATTTCCTGGGTTCCCATTATGGATTAGGCCTGTTCTGGGTGTTTGAGACACGAGAATAAATAATCCCAAGTCCCTGCTGGGGAAGGAGCTTGTCTGGAGATGAGAGATACCTGCAGAAGGCAATCAGTGCCATCTTAAAGAATATAAGGCTCTGAGGCTGTACCAGGCCTGGCAAGACTCAGAGAAGGTGAGAGGGAACCAGAAAAACTTCACACAGCAGGTGATAGTTGAACTGAGCATTGAAAATTGAACAGCTGTTCCCAAGGCAGATGAGGTTGGTGAGGGAGAATATTTAGAAGTGTGAAATTACCTGAAACTAAACAGGACACAGCTGAAACTGGAAGTTGTTTGGCATGTCCACAGACTAAGGGGTGAGATTTGGCACAGAGGAGAGGGTTTGGGAGGTACACACTGAAGAAATAGGCAGGGAATAATTTAGGAAGCCAGTTTAAGGAGTTTGGATTTATCTCAATGGTGACTAGGTTTTACACCAGAAAGGAATCAAATGACATTCAGAAAGGTGACCTGGGCTGCAGAGTGGAGAATATGAGGGGGAAAGAGGAAGATAGGATATAGGGAGCTCTCTTAAGAGACACAGGTGACAGTGATGAGGATCTAAGTTAGCACCTCGTTGTGAGGATGAAGACTGGAGTTGTAGGTTCCCTACCAGAACCTAGATCATTGTCTATAAAAAAAAAAATAGTTCTATTGACCACAGAGCTATTTCCTAAAAGTAATTGGCTCTTGCAGGAGGGGGCAGAAAGAGACTATTTCAAATAGCTATCTAAGGTACTCTTTGATTTGACCAACACAATGCAGATGGACCTCACCACCTCCCTAGATTCACCCGGAAGCAACAGAGAAAAGTAGTGAAAAGCAGGGACCCTAGAGCCACAAGGGCATAGACTGGAGTCCTGTGCTCTTCTGCTTATGCTAAGCTATGCTTCATTGGGCTTGTCTCCTCAGATTTTTGAAACTCAGTTTCCTGCTCTGTAAAGTGGATCCAAAAATTCTGTCTATCTCATAGGTTGGTTGTAAGAACTCGAATAATGTATGCAAAGCACTTATCACAGTGCCCAGCATACAGTAAGCAGTGGGGTGGTTTCCTTCTTATTATTCTTCCTTGGCCAGTGTGGCCAGGCAAATTAGCCTTTTGTAAGATGGCTAGTATGCAAGTCCCTTAGTATCTCCCTAGGGCACTCTACCCTGGGCTGTAAGCAAAGCCTCTATTTGAAAGGTATCAAGTGATTTCATCTGTTTCCCTCGTAACCAGGGCAGACTCTAAGCTCCCTGATAGAGTTAGGAACAAACCAGGTTCTGACACTCCCAAGGGCCTGATCTGTGTGCCCACCAATTCTCATCAGAAAGAATGGAACCTGGAAACAAGGCTGACAACAGAATCCTATGGAAATTCTAAGTCAGTCAAGAAAAAGGCATGCTAACAGGAGAAGGCAGCCCAGCCAAGATAGGAGGCCAAACGAATTTGGCATTACTGGGGGCCAATGTGTAGGTGGCTCAGGGAGGGAGAGAGCAGGGTAGGCCTGGAGGAATTATTTGAGTCAAAGTGCATCTCACAGCAATCGCTTTTTTCATGATTTTCTTCATTGTTACCCTTCCTAAAAGAGAGTCTTGGAGAATAATAATCTGATCAAGATTCTCTGACTGAAAAGGTCCTGTGATCAGTGAGTTTGTGAAAGACTGCACAGCACACCAAACTATTGGTAATTAGTATTATGTATTTGGCTTGCTAAAGGTTCAACTAAAGCCTACGGTAAATAAATCTATTTTATGTGAGAAACTCCGGAATAAACATACTAATTTGCCTTCAGAATCCTTTATTTCCCACAGTAGCTACTAAGGTCCCTTAATAATAGCATTGAGTGAAAAACACTTCAAGGGCACGCCAGGCTGATGTCTCCTGGGCACAGGCCTCTTTAGCCAGGACTGACAGAATCACTCAGAAAGGCCCTTCTTCATGGCCTCTCAAAGGTCTTAATCTCAGTTGGCACTGTATTCTCAACCCATCTATCAGATGGCCAGAGCGGGATGAGGTCATAAAGTTTCCAAGGATGAGGCCATCTCCACTGCTTCTAGTATTTTTGGTTCTCTTCTAGGCAAGGGTTCTTTGAGGGAGCTTTTGGAGGCCTGGTACCTTGGAAATGGTAAAATTAAAGTCCTTGAAGACGTCCGCTTGACCTGGAGAGAATGGAGCTTCTCTGCCTGCCAACGAGATTCTAGGCTTCAGGAATAGTAACCTGAAGGGATGGAATGGGAGAGAATTCAAATACCGTTTCTCAAGCCCAAAGGTTCTCTGGGACTTCCACTAGTCCCTGCACTGCTCCAGCAGCATAATCCCCCTCCTTTGAGATATAAGGTAAATGACACTCAGAACATTTGATCATTGGTTACAACTAATTCTGCTCCTTTGCTCCAAGGTGATTTAAATATATTGTTTCATATAATTGCACAAAATTTTGATAATCTTGGGATGCATACCTGTTATGAACTGAATTGCATCCCCCAAATGCATATACTAAAGCTCTAACCCCCAATGTGACTGTATTTGAAGACAGGACCTTAAGGGAGATAATTAAGGTTACATTAGGGCCCATAAGGCAGGGCTCTAATCTGATAGATCTGGTGTCCCTATAAGCTGAAGAAACACTAGAGCTCAATCTCTTTCCATGGAGAGGAAAGGCTATATATGAGTATAGCAAGAGGTGGCCATCTATAAGCCAGAAAGAGAGGCTTCTCCAGAAACCAACCTAACAGTACCTTGATTTTGGACTTCTAGCCTCCAGAACTGAGAGAAAAATCCATTTGTGTTGTTTAAGCCACTCAATCTGTGGTATTTTGTTATGTCAGTACTAGCAGACAAATACAGTACTCATTTATTTGAAAGCATATACAACTTTGCCATTTCTTTTTCAAACAACGCCACCTAGAGGACAAGGTAGCAGTCCAAACTTACAAAACTATATAATGCTTGGAAAAGTAACCAAAAAGTAACCAGGAGTGTTTTAAAAACGGAAATCCACTGTACAACATTGCGCTCATAGTTAACAATATTGTATTGTATACTTAAAAATTTAAGAGTAGATATCATGCTATGCTTCCTTACCACAATAAAAATATTTTTTAAAAAAATGGGAAAGCAATTTTAATGAAAGAAATAAGAGGCAAAATCACAATCTCCAAAAGAAAAGTGAAGCAGCAAATGTTTAACAAGTGTCTAATCTGTACTGCTCTCTGTGCTTGGCTATAGGAGGTTGCAGTGGGAAACATAATTGTGAACAAAACCTAGTCCCTTTCTTCAAGGAGTTCAGTGTTTACTGGAAGAGACAGACAATAAACAGGCACTTTCAATGCAAAGGAGAAGTTCTATGCTACAGAGGAGGGATATCTCACAGAACCTTCCATTGGTTGGGGGTTGGGAGGTTGAAGTCAGGGAAAGCATCCCAGAGAAGATGATATTAAGCTGAGAAACGAAGGAAGAGCAGGAGGCAACTAGGTGAAGAGAGTAGCTGCTCTAGAGAAATCATACAAAGCCTCTGGCCTAAATGAGCTTTTAGTCCCAGGGGGGAGAGACCAAAATACACACACACACACACACACACACACACACACACACACACACACACACGTACACATAATTATCTTAAAAGGTGATAAGTGTAATGACAGAAATGTGGCACAGGCATTGTAAAATCACAGGGGGGCGGGTACCCATGCCTACCTACCAAATCTAGCCTCAGGGATGATCAGGAAAGCCTGTCTCAGAGCAAGTGTTTGCAGCTGAGTTTTGAAGGCCAGTGGCCATTAGTCAAATCAATTGTTGGGAGGGTGAAAATGTGCTGGGCTGAGAAAATTGCAGGCAGAGTTCACAAGTACAAAGACATACAGGCTTGGGACAGTCTAGCACAGTTTAGAAATGCAGGCAGATTTCACAAGTACAAAGACATGCAGGCTTGGGACAGTCTAGCACAGTTTAGAAATGCAGGCAGTTTGGAATGGCTGGAGCACAGATTTCCAGAGATAGGATGAGGGATAAAACGATGGAAGGTGTTAGGAGTCAGATTATGTGTGACCCCCTGGATCACGGGATAGGATTTGACACAATCCTTTATGCCATGGGGAACCATGCTAGGCCTTTAAGCAAGGGAGAGACTTGGTCAGATTGGCATTTTAGAAAGATTTCAGTGGCTGCAGCATGAAGACTAGTATGGTGGTTGTAGCCACAAGACTAGAGGCAGAGAGAACTACGGAGAGCATGTCAATTGTGCAAGAGCAATGTTGATAGCCTCAATTAAGGCAATGACACTGTGACTAGAGAAAAGGCAACAGAACACAGGGCCACTGTGGATATACAATCTACAGACGTTGGTTATGGACTGCAATGGGGAGGGGAAGAGGAGGTAGGTTCCAAAGAGTATTCTAGGGCTTCTGATTGGGCAACAGGATGGTTGCGGTGTTAGAAACCTGGAGCGCATTTCCCCATTTTTTTAAATAAATAAAGGTTTATAATTATATGGGTGATTTAAATAACTATGGTTAGGTGAAAACAGTTGTTGGCTATTAGAGCAATAATTATTTCCAGCTATATTACAATGCTAAACTGTCAGAGTTTTAAATAATTCAAATTAATGGAGGGACATTTTAATTTTATTTCTTTCCAAAAGACAGCTTTAGTTAACATCTTTAAAAATTTAGATTCAGGGGGTACATGTGCTTGTTTGTTACATGGGTAATACATTTGTAAATGGGGGGGTGGGCTTCTAGTGAACCCATCACCGAAATGGATTTTTTTAACATTTTTATAGGTGAGGAAACTAAATGTGCACAACATCACTCAAAAAGTGACAGCTCATCCTACATACCATTTTTTTTTTGACTCTCTGCCAACTAATTGTTTTGCTGCATACATGTGAATGCGCACACATATACACATACATTCAGTGTTAGGTATGCCTGTAGGGGTAAGGCAGTGAAGATAATCTAAAAGTAGTAAGCCTGGAATATGGGAAAGGGACCTGGTCTAGAGATAAAGATTCTGTAGTGATGAGCAAAGAGATGGTGTTTACAGTCATGGCGGGGGTGTGGAGATGGATGAGCTGCTCTAGGAAGAATGCATAGAGCAAGATTAGAAGAAGGCTGAGGATGAAACCATGAGAAACACTAACATTTATGATAGAGGAAGAGGAGGCAGTGAAGGAGACTAGGGAAGACCAGACAAAAGGTAAAAGACAAAGTAGAAAATAGTGATATCACACAAACCAAGGAAGGAGAGAGTTTCAGGAAGGAAGAAGGGCCTCCTGAGAGTTCAAATAAAACACTCTTGAGAAGTCGAGTTAGTTCAGGATTGTATATATCCACTGGCTTTTGTCATTAGAAGATGACAACCTTGGTAGGACAACCTTGGTGAAAGTGGTGGAGACAGTGGGGTGAGGAAAGAAAAGGAGGTGAGGAAGTTATTTTTCCTTCCTTCTTTCCCTGCACCCTCTATTGCCCCATTGCCAACTCACAGTATAATCATGCACTATACGCCAGACTAGCAGAATCTGGGCTCTAAGGAGTCAGAAGAGAAATGAGAAATGTGAGTCCCTGCAGAACTTTTCCTGGCTTCATTCCTGCCTTACTTCAAAGTGATCCATGCTCAGAGGCATAGGCAGGTTCTGATGAGGGTGGGGAGGCAGGTGGAGGGTAACTCTATGTCTCATAGTTGATTAGATAGGGGAGTTACTACATAAGATGTCACCCTTCAACTCTTCTAAGTGTGTCTTGGTCTTGCTTTTATATCATTTCCACTAGCATCTTTCTTTCACAACTTATATCATTGAAAGGCACTACTTTTGGAGATATGCTTAAAGAGGGTAAATACCTCCTCCTTTTTTGCTTTTCTCTATGCCCATTACCAGAAAATTATGTTCACAGGCTGGAACAGATGTCCTGCAGGAACAGATCCTACTTCAAAATCCTGTGTATGGAATGCATCGTATCAACTGGAATATATGAGGTGTATCCATGGTCAAAAGTAATGACGTGATGAGGGCAAGACCTAAATCATTTCATCTAAGAAGTGGAGAATTAAACATGTTTTTCCATTGTTATCATCATCATCAATATCACAGCAATTATTATTAACATTTGCTATATTATTTAATTTATGCCTCACAACAACCCCCCAACACAGCTATTATTATTTATACCATTTTATGGATGACAAAACAAAGGCCTAGAATATGGATAGCAGAACCTACTCAGGTTCACACAGTAAGTAGAAAAACCTGGATTTAAACTCATTCAATAATTCAACAAATGTTATTAATTGAGCACCTATGATGGACTACATGCTAGACAAGTGTTCTCCAAAGCGGGATGCATGAGCCTCAGGAATGGGCAAGACAATTATATATGGACGGCCAGGCGCGGTGACTCACACCTGTAATCCCAACACTTTGGGAGGCGGAGGCGGGCAGATCACCTGAGGTCAGGAGTTGGACACCAGACTGACCAACATGGGGAAATCTCGTCTCTACTAAAAATACAAAAATTAGCTGAGCATGGTGGTGCATGCCTGTAATCTCAGCTACTTGAGAGGCTGAGGCAGGAGAATCGCTTGAAACCGGGGGCAGAGGTTGCAGTGAGCCAAGATTGTGCCACTGCACTCCAGCCTGTGCAACAGAGCAAGACTCCATCTCAAAAAAGAAAAAAAAATTAGATATGGAAAGAGCATATTGGAATATGTGTTTTTCTCAACTTTTAAACTGTGTATGTTTGCGTATACTCTATAATACAACAAATAAAAATATGAAATATATTAGTAGATATATACGTATGTATAATTTAGACATACATAAATATGCACACTCAGGCAGAGGTGTGTGATCAGAAAGTTTATAGATGGCTAGTCTAGTGATAGTGGGAAACAAGACCTCATTACCCCTGACCTCCTGGAGTTCACACATTCAGACATAGGACTGTCTGTCCTCTGAGCCTATGCTCCTGAGTCTCTCAATTTTATACTGCCTTGAAGTACACAAATCCTTCACATTGTTTGGACCAAAGCACAGACCATGGGTTTAATCTAAAATATATTTTTGTGAACAATTTATTTTCCAGACATTTATCTCTGAGGCCATTCCTCATTGTCAGAAAAAAATCAAAGGTATCTATGTTTGAATCTGCACCTTCCATAACTCATTTTTATTGATGATGAATTTTTTATAGTTGAAACATGAAATGAATCTTAAAATTTGAAATAGAAACCCAGATAACTAACCATATTACAGAATAGTTTCAATTTTTGCACACTCCCTAATTACTATTTTGTGTTTATATATTTAATTAATCCATTCTTTCAATAATTAATTCACCAGATATTTATTGAGAGCATGCTGATTTCTGGCCTCTGTTCTGTTGTTCTAGGCACTAAGGAATTCAAGCAGTGATTCAAGTTGTACGTCAGCATGTCTCGAAATTTTTGTCATTTCCAAGAGCTAAATGCTAGGAAAAGCTTTACTTATCTGGAGTGCTGTGTTTTTCTCCTTGCTGATTCTTAGCTACCTACAGCAGACAGGGAAGCACTGTCAGTTACTCAGCTTTGTCAGATAAAAACGTAGCAAATATATAGAAATTTATTGTACTGGTAGAAACAAAGTAACAGTTCCAAAAGTGGTTTCCCATTTTCATGGCTATGAGCTACACTTTGGATTTTTAGCGTACAGACATCAGGATAGATCTGATTAATCAACTTTCTACCTTATCAGTGTACTGGAGTTCTGAAAGAGACTAATTCAGTTGAAAATAAACAATGTCAATCTATAAGATTCATGAGATGAGTGTATAAATGCTGTAACCTTCCCAACCTCTTCAGTTTTGTGGCCAAATCTGGTAAATTTCTGAGTGTAAGACTGAACTCTGTGAAAGTAGATGTTTCTTTTATGAAATGCCTCAAGTTAAGCCAAGAGGAACTCTCAGTGGTATAATATGGAGACAGGATTGAGATGTGTCCTGGCTGACTACACTTGACAGTTAACAAGAATAGTTCTAGTCTACTAAATGGCAGCATTCTTGTTGACTTAATCAAAATTGATCTGATGCTAGGCTTCTAATGATGCTCTTTTGTTTGAATAAAGCTGATTGATCTCTTTACTGAACTGGTTGTGTCTTACTGCTCTCTAAATAGCTAACAGGTTGTTCTTCATTATGGTTATCAACAACAACAAAAAAATCACACTACCAGCACATAAATGGGTTTCTGATCATGGGACTCACAACTGACAAAATGCCAAGGCCTCTGATCATAGTGGTAACAAATAGTTTCCAAGTAGAATCAACTTTATCAGCATTTAATACACACAGGTTACTAATACACAGTCTTAACTGGAATTTTGAGTAGAAGGCATCTTCTTGTGTTTCTTCTTATCAAGGAGTGTGCGAAATATATGTAAATGTTGATGTTTTGCTCGAGACTGGAGAATTTCCAGTAAAATGGATGTGACATAATTCAGTGTATGCATATAAAGTGCACTAAAATGGAGGCTCCATAAGGACATGAATATTTGTTTGATTCCCTGTTATGTCCTCAGTTCCTTATATAACACCCAATGCACATTTTTTGAAAAAATAAATGGATATGAGTATCACAAAGAGTGTCCATTTGATTACCTTGACTCCCTCACCTTCTCTTGGGCATACCAAACTACTTTCAGCTTCATGAGTAAGTCAGGCTCTCTCTCCCACTAGGCTTTTGCATCTTTTGCTGCTGCCATTGGGAATCTTAATTTCCAGAATACTAGCCCCACTCACATTACTTCACCAGTCTCAGGACCTGAGACTTCTGTCCTTAGAAAGGACTGCTTCAACATTTGGCCCTTGGCTGGTGTCTGGGAACTTGGCTGGCAAAAGTTCTTTACACTGATACAAAACTTGCTAAATGGTAAAAGTGCCTCACTATGTTTAAATAGTTTTGCACAAACAATGTGGTTTATGCCAAACCCCTACCTGTTTCCCTTCTGGGCATCTAGAATTTTGGTACATCCCAGGCAGAAGATGCCTATGTGATCAGTCCCCAGCAAAAACCGTAGGCACTGATTCTCTAATGAGCTTCTCTGGTAGACAATATTTCATGTGTGCTGTCATACTTGTTGCTGGGGAAAATAAGCACGTCCTGTGTGATTGCACTGGGAGCGGACTCTTGGAAGTCTGTGTGTAGTTTCCTCCAGACTTCTCTCCATGCACCTTTCCCCTTTGTTAATTTTGCTGTGTGTCCTATTGCTGTAATAAATCTTAGCCAGGAGCATGACTATGTGCTGAGCCCAACAAGTTCCAGAGTGAATCATCAAACCTGGGGGTGATCTTAGAAGCCTCCAACATATCTTTTACTATACACTCATCACATTTCATGAAATAAACAAGTAGCCTCAGATTCAATCTAGACAGTAAGTTTTATGAGGGCAGTAATCTTCCTGGTTTCACTCACCACCATATCCCTAGCACCTAACTCCATGCCTTGCACATTGTGGATATTAAAAATACTATTGGAATTCAGGAATCAATCAATCAATAAACCAACCAGAGAATTCTCTATAGGGAATTAAGTTAATCAAAGTCTATACTTACAAACCAATTGTTAATAGTTAGAGGAATGGTTATAAACTCAATATTGGTTTTGATTTTTACACTTCAAGGTCCAACAATTTCTTGTGGAATACATGTCTAAACTTATAATAAGAACTAATTCAAAAATATGATCTAATGCATTCAGCTTTTTCTTTCTCACATTTAGCCTAGTATGTGGCCTGCATAAGGCAATAAACATGGTTATTAAATAACAAATACATGAAAATATATAGCAAGTTCAAACTCTATAATGAAATTACATTAGTTTATTCTCAGAATAAGAAATCACCCTGAACTGTGAAACACCATTCATTAGCAAGTCATCACAAACTTGCATTTCTTTTCTGCAAAACTTGTTGTTTGACAAGAACTCCAAGCTTCTTGCTCTAACCCATTATTGTAATGATGGGGAGACAAAGGTTCAGAGAGGAAAAGAATCAGGGCTCTCTGATAACTGTATGCAGTGTGTTATGGATTGAATTGTGTCCTCACAAAATTCATAGGTTGAAATACCCCCAATACCTCACAATGTGACTATATTTGGAGATAAGGTCTTTATAGAGGTGATTAAGTTAAAATGAGGCTGTTAGGATGGGCTCTACTTCAATCTGATTGGTGTCCTTATAAGAAGAAGATATTAGGACATACAAAGAGACACCAGGGATGCATGCACAAAGAAACGTCTGTCTGAGAACACAAGGAAAAGGTGTCCATCTGTAAGCCAAGGAGAGAGGCCTCAGAAGAAACCAAACCTTGAACTTGGACTTCTAGCCTCCAGAACTGTGAGAAAATAAGTTAGTGTTGTTTAAGTCACCCCGTATTTTGTTATGGCAGCTCTAGCAAACTAACAAAAGGAGTTTCTCATCCTCCAGATGAAAACCTTTGCTACAATTCCTGTCAAACCAGAGAAAAGAGAAGGCAGCTGGCAGTCAAGGATTCCAGAAGCCCTGGGCAGTTTCTCCCTCTCTCCAGCTGTCCAGTCAAATTTCAGGCTGGAGAAGCCAAACTAGTCACTGGGAACTGCGGTGGGGGTGGGAGGAGTCTGCCTGGGCAGCCAGTTTGAAGCAGGACTGCTGTGTGCTGGCTATTAGCAGGCAGGCTCCTGGAGATGGCAGCATTAGCTAATGATTGCTCCTTCAGGCAGGACAGCTGCCTTTCTGCTTTTTTCCATAGCAATTTGTGGCCAGGGAAGGCTAAGCAACGGGCCCAAATAAAGCAAGGACCCTTGCCAGTGCCATATGTTTCTAACTGAAATGGGGAGCCCTAGAAATGCTTTTAGAAATAACCATTTGCTCTTAGCTAATTGCAATTCCCCTACCCCAGCCCTTTGTCAGACCGCAGCCTTCAGGAATACCAGGCTGCCTGGGGGACAATTGTACATTACATTGTCAGTCTGGGGTGTAAATTTCCCACTCCAGTCATCCTGTTGAACTCACAGTTCTGTCCCTCCTCCTAATCCTCCTTCCCCAACATGCCATCCATATTTCTGGCTCCAGGTGATGTCCACTATATACTCCATCTGGAACACCCTCCTTCTTTCTCTTGATCTAATTCCAGTCCTTTACCTACTTCCAAGCTGAATTATACCTCTGTTATCTGTGAAGCCTTCCTTGGGCACCACAAGCTGCAGTAAGGCTTCTTTTCCTGAAGTGTAATGGTGCATAGTGACAAGGGACCTATACTGGAGCCACATCGAAGGAGTTGAGCAAAAGGTACACAGAGGCAGGGGATGGGTGCGATGAGAAACAACCCTGTCTGTGCACCTAGTATGCCATTTACTGGCTTGGTACCTAATCCCATGCTGCCTGAGGAACATACCTAGCATCCTGGTTTGACTCTTGGTCACATTACATATCATGTGCATTGATCACTACTGCCTCAGGGTTTTCCCTGCCAACCTCACCCCTTTCCCACCTCCCCACCCTTTGAGCATCACCTATAGTGTATGTCGCTGAATTCCAAGTGGCATGCAATTTTCTGCATGCCACTTGGCATATTCTCCCAAGTGGCTTGCAATTTTCTGAACTTGGTGCTGAATAGACATTTAGAGGTGAATTCAAATCCAGCATGGAACCTCTGTGAATTTCCAAGAAACTCTAAAAACAACTATTTTGCTGTGTTTTCTGCCATCCTTAAAATGTCAGTCAAAGGCCTGAAGGAAGAGCTAGCTGCTCTGTGAATTTTTTTTCTCTGTGAATTTTTTTTTCTGTGCCTAGAAATGTGTGTGAACCAATAGTGAGCTGGCAGTATATGAGACATGGCAACGGAGCACAGGAAGGAAGACACCAAAAAATGCCCAACACAGGATCTCTGACCTTGAATTGTTTAGACGAATAAGGAAGACAATATACTGAGTGCTACAATGAGGGACAGGCAAGGAGATGTGGGACCATCAGGAAGGCAGAAAGGAATAGAAAATGAGGAAAGTTTACTGAGAACCTACTATACACCAGATTCTGTGACAGCTGCTTTACATGGATGATCTACTTCAGTTCCTTTAGCAACCCTGTGAATTGGTAGTATTATTACATCCATGTCTGACAAAACGAAAATCAAGGATAATTGAGTTGCCCAGAGCTGCACATCAAAAAAGTAGTAAGGGTAGGAATTGAACTCAGGTCAATTGTACTTCAGGGACTGTACTGTTAGTCACTGTGCTGAACTAGCACATGCAGTACTGAAATTCAGCTCTAAATCTGTGGCAAGTTAACTTTTACTAGGCGGGAATAAGGAAGCTGTGTCTGCTCCTCAAAGTCAAGTTGGAAGGGGAGAAACAAATGCAGGGGAAGCCAGAGTGATCCCTAAATGTCCCTACTACTACACTTCTTCCTCCCATCTGAGCTCAGGGAACCTAGTCCTCTCCTCCTCCCTCAATGTACATACCGGGGGAATGTACTCTGGGGAAGAGAAAAGGACCTGTCATGTGTTCACACAGCATGTCTCCTGATGCTCAGTGCACTTCCCTTGCACCCAGGTTTTAGTCCCAGAATGTTACCTTCTCAAAGCAAGGACCGTACATTTCTATGCATGGTCTTTTCCAGACACATCCCAGCTAGAGCAATCAACAGCCAAGACCTCAGCAACCGGACCACTGAAACTGACAAGAAAAACACAGCAAGTTCCTAGGTCCTCATGCTTGGCATTGCAGCTCTCCACTCATCTCTGCTCTGGATCTTCGACCCTCTCTTCTCAGTGACCACTAGCTAGTGGTTGAGATGAGTCCAATCTGGCTCCTCTCACACAGGAAATGCAAGGCCCTTGGCATACCATGTGTCCCCTCCTTAAACTGCTTGGCTCCTGCAGCCTACCCTGAAGCTTTCTGGTCCCCCAGCTCTTTTTGCTTTTCAGCAAAAAAAGAGTTTTGATTACAAAAACTGTCAGAAGTAAGAAAATTTATCCTTGTTAAAGGACACAGCCAAAATCAATATATACATTCTATTCCATATAACAGTCATTTCATTTATGCTAATTAAATAACAGCTCCACAATCAATTATTTGGCTATTTACTAATGGAAAATAATGAAAGCGACTCATGTGAATAAATTCATGCTCCTCCTTTTAATCATTTTAGGATGGTCTGCACACATTTTAATACAAAAGTGCTCACATTCCAGGTTTGCCGGAACAGCAGGCAGGTCCTTTCCTTGAACGACAACTCCTTAAGGCCAACAGGGTAGCAAAAAGTAATGAGTGGAAGCTGAGAGCGTAAAAATATTTACTGCACATAGTCCACATTTGGTTTCCATTGCAGGTTGGTCTGAGTCATTGCTGGCTTTTGGTTCATAAATTAAAAAAGCAGATTTCTGGGTAATTGCAGATTCCCTGACCAAGGGCTTGGGATGGCATCACGTATCTGACAAAACCACTTTTGCTTCAAGAACTCAACACTCCTAACCTTCTGCAATAGATTGGGAACACTGCATACACCAAGCGAATATTGATGCCCCGACATCTCCTTAGGGCTTATTTCAAACTGGTTGCCTCCCCTGTAAAATGCCATTTATGGCAACTGGCTGAGAGGGAGCTATTTATAGTAAGCAAAGCAGGGCATTGCTCTCCAGACACCTCAAGTGTGCTTTTCTCATCACCTGTTTCTCTGAACAAGCAAACAAGGGAAGAATGAAGTTCTAATGCTGGCTGAGGAGAAAGAAAATATGTGGAGCAGCTACAAAAGATCAGCTTGCTGTTCTCAGGCCCTGGTTTCCAGGGGAGATGCAGTAATCTTTAACCTTCTCAGTGCAGTCCCGCCTGCCTTACTCTGTAGCTGAAGTCTGGCCACTGCATTGTCCCAACTGGCCTACTTCTCAAGTGCAGCATTGGAAAAGTGGAAGGGGTATGGGCTGTGGAATCCAAGAGACCTAAATCCACTCTGCCACTTAGAAGTCATGTGACTTTCGACAATTACATCACCTCTCTTAACTTTAGCTCCTCATCTGTAACTTGGAGCTGTGTAGGCTTGTTGTGAGGCTAGAGCAGTAAAGCAGCTGACACATCATAGGCCTTCTGTAAATGGCAATTGTTACTGTTAATAGTGAAGGTCAAGATCCTATATTTCACCTCTTCTCTATACCTAACGATTAGCACCAGTGATTTTATGAATGAAAACAGCCTTTAATAAACCCTTGCTATATGCCTGGAACTCTGCTGGATGCTATGCATGCCTTGTTGGGGTGTATGAGGATGTAGTGGGGGTAAGTGGGGAGATGATTGTTACAATGAAAGGAGTCCTCTGCTTTCTGAACTCCTGTCACCTTTAGCAACCATTATTAAGCTCAAAGATGTTTGTGCCAGAGTTCCTAAACAATGCACCGTTAACCCAGATCGATGTTATTTATATTGTCGTGCACCTAACACATATTTACCATCTTTCAACAATTCTTTGCAGTCATCCTAAACAGAATAAGTGGAAAGGCACCACTGTGTGGTTTGAATGTCTATGTGTGCATGTACCTGTGTGTGCATACTTGGACCAAAGAGAAAGCAAGGAATAAAATCCCTTTGCAAGTGCTTAAAAAGCAGTTTCTTTCCATTAACCCTCTTCCCCTTCGTTTGAGTTCCAGTGTTCATTCCTAGGGAAAAAGGACCACAAAGCTGACACAAGCCTGCCTCGGTGTTAGCCCCACTTTACAAAGTTAGAGAAGAGAGATTCTGGAACCCACCAAGGTGGGCAGGGGAGGGTGTTGTGGGGAATCTGGCCAAAACAAAGGAAAACATTTACAGACAATTAGTTGCAAGTTAGAAGACTGAGGGCTAGCAGGCTTGCCTTTGTCCATACCACTCCTCCTTATCCACAAAACCCTGTGAAGCTCAGCAAGTTTAACTACTTTGTCCAAGGTCATGTGGCTAGTAAGAGGCATAGCCAGGATTCCACTTCAATGTGAGCTTACTGTCAAGTCCTCCAGCTTTCTTTCCTCTTGTACCATAATGTACCATGAGGACTTTATTGACAGGTCACTGGGTCAACACAGAGCCAGATTAGAATCCATATCTAAACTGTTAACCTAGGTTCTCTAACATCTCACCATAAGAGGTGCCTAGAAAGCTACAAGTGAAAACAAACAAAAAAACAAACCTGGAACAATCAAGTAAGGACAGGTCAAAATGAAAGCTAAACTTTCTCCCAGCTTCTAAGAACATGTGTCTGGTCACAAATTGCATTACATCAGGTACTGGATCAAAATCCAATACTGTCATACTGGATGTAGATTTACATGGATGTAGATACTGGATGTAGATACTGTCATATCATGTAGATTTATGTTCCTCTCCGGCCCTGATCTCAGCAGAATCACCATGTTAAATGTGCCTGAAAGAACTTCAGGGGTTTAATTCAAGTCAACTTAAAAGGCCTTTGACGATACTTTTTTATGGTTCTTGAGATTTAATATTCTCTACAATGCTGCCTGCTCTTTCTCTTGCTTGCCATTCAGATCTTGTTAATGATTACTGATGAATTTCACAAAGGTCACAGACACAATTTTTTACTCTCATTACTATACTCAGTCAACACCCTTGAACTGAGTAGTACTGCTCTCCCGGAGCTCTGAGTGCTTCACCACTCCTGGAACTGCTTTGGGAATGTTTAAGGTCAAAGGCTTTGAAAGGACCACTGAGGCAGCAGATAGGTAAGGAGCCATGCTGCCATCCACAGGGTTAAAGCCAGTAGTAAGCCAGTGGCAAGTCAGTTGCTCAAAAAGCAAATCAATACTGCACTTCCTCATGATGTCTGCCCCATTGGACTTGAAAGCAGCGACTGTGACTAGGGACCTCCACTGTCCAGCACAGTGCCGGTTTAACAAAGCTGCCCCATCATCAGTGTCCATCATGTTTGCCCCATATGTCCACCTCCAGAGGATATTTTTGACCTTTAACTTCAAAAGACTGCTTGCCAGCACTGGACATTGAGAACCACACTTTATTCTTTGATATTCCCATACCTTGACTTTCCTGACTCTGCATTATCCTGGTTATCTTTCCACGAAATCCATCCCCTCCTTTGTCTCCTTTACTGCGTCGTTTTCCACTTTCTGACTCCTAATTGCAGGTGGTGACAGAGGTCTGTCAACACCTCTTTTTTCTTTCTCTTCTTGCCTTTTTTCTCTAGGTAAGTGCTATGCAATAGCACTTTCTGTGATAATAGAAAGGTTCTATACCTCTGCAGTCCAGTATAGTGGCCACTTTCTATATGTGACCATTGATAATTAAGTGTATCTAGTGTGACTGAAGAACTGAAATTTTAATTTCATTTAATTTTAATGTTTAAATTTAACTAGCTGCCTGTGGCAGGTGCCTATCTTATTGGCTAATGTAGCTCTAGACATTTGCATGTGGCAATCTCATCTCATCCTATGGTTTCAGGAGCAACTTTATTTATGACTCCTCAATGTCATTTGGCTTGATACCAACTTCCCAATGGTGCCTTTGACCTGATAACCACTGTATGTGGAAGAATTTCATAGCCGTTAACTCCACTGAAATCTCTACTTACTGCCCTAGCATATATAATAAATACTTATTTAATGAAAGGATGAACAAAGGATAGGTAATTTTAATTTCATCCATTTTTGTGAGAACTAGATTTTTTGGACTGAGAGGAAGACTGTTTAGACAAAGAAGAAATTAATTGGCTGGTTGTTCAAAGATAAAATTTACATCTTTCTTCAAATTTATTATATTTCTCCACCACATTTAGGACGTTATGGGCTTCAATTCTGTCTTATGAGGAGGAAGCATAGTGTTAGAGTTAAGATCTTGGTATTGACAGTCAAATTGTCTGGGTATGAACCCTGGCTGTACCACTAACAAGCTATGCAACAATAGGCAAGTCACTTACCCTCTCTGTGCCTAAGTTTTCTTATCTGTAAAATGGGAATAATAGTAGTACTTACTTGATAGGCATATTGCAAGAAGTAAATGAGATCATGCATAAAATTGCACCTAAAGCAATATCCAGCATATAATAATGATGATAATAATAGCTAATATTTACCTGAATCACAGTCTTCCTGTGTTCACTACATTTGGCTTGGATATGTGATCCATTGGGAAGCCCAGGAATGCTGGATCTCAGGTCCAAATGAAATACCCTTAAGGAGGTCCCCAAACTCCAGAATCTAAGTTAGCAGAACTGCTGAGTAGACACAGTCTTGTACATAATTTCCAAAATGGCTGAGTTTTGTTTTTACCATACTTGACTATAAGTAGAGAAAATGGAGACACCTGCTTAGCTCACAGCAAACTTGGGAAAAAATGTTTATGTTTATGTGTATGTATTATATCATATACACCAAGATAATACATAGTTTATATTATATATACATATATATATTTCAAAGCATGCTGTGAGTTAAGCAAAGGGATCCATTGTTTCAGTTACACTACACACATCTTATGTAAATATATAATATATTATGCAGATCACAAACTATATATATTTTATATATATACATGTTCTATATATATGGAGGGGTTTCCCCTATTTGGGTGGATACTTACTACCTACAAGTCCAGCTGGGAAATCATGTATGTCCTTGCTGGTTTGGGGACCGATAGAGAACACACTCCACAAGTGTTTGTAGTCCTTGCATTGTCACATCCAACACATTTGCCTGTGCACAAAAGCGTGGCTTGTTGTATATGCAAAGACACTGTGTCTCTTGCACTGCAAGCAAGATAATTAGATGCTAAGACCCTAAAGTCAACATTTGTTTTTGGATTGAGTGTTCTGGTAACAGTTAATTAGCATCTTCATGCACAGTATTATCCTCTACCCTAAATCATGAACCTCAACATGAGGGACTGCTTCAGTGGATACTAAAGAGTTGGCATTCTTCCCTTTGTGCACTACCCCCTGCCCGCCTTTAAGTCACCAGCTGTAAAACATGGCCTTTAGCTCTTTCTCCACATGGTATGTTGCAGTTATATGCTACATCCCGTGTTAATAATACATCTTCAGCAATGGGACAGCTGTCACTCTTGCATTTACATATCAGATAGTGAGAAAACAGAGCCAGGGAAATGGCTGGACCAGGGCAGCATGAGGACAATAAGTGCTCACACACCAGCTGGCTGCTCCTTAGAAAGAAGCAAGAGGTTGTCAACTAGATACCTTGCCAACTACCCTGTGCCTGAGGCGTAGTAGAAAGGTAAGCACTGGCAGTTCCACTGATCCAATCATTCCAAACCGGCTTTACTTCCCCCTGCATGAGTAGCCTTTGCTGACTGTGTTTCTAGCTTAGACCCTGAGCTGAGAAGCCCCTTCCATTCCTAAAGAACTTCAGATCCAGGGAACTATGAGAAGAATCCAGCATCTCAGGAACAAACTGTGATGAGGAAGCATGCCATCTCTGAACCTGGGCCATAGACTCTTGGCATAAACCTCAACACGAGGGGCTGCTTTTCCAGATGAAAGCATGTGTAATTAACCCTGTGATACTCTAGCTGAATAAAATCACATTCTATTTTTCTGCCCGAAATAAAGTTTGGATATGGAGCAATCCTCTAACCCCCGATGATGTAAACACTCAACTTTTTGCAAATAGTATAACAGCTATTAGGCATACACTCTAGTGTAGGCTGCTTAAAGGCAAACTGTGGCCGCAAGGTCAAATCTGGCCCAATGCCATCTATGTTTACACAGCAGCAAGTTTAGGGTGGCTTCCACATTTTAAAATGGTTTAAAGAAATAAAAATGAAGACTGTTTCATGATACATAAAATTATGTGAAATTCGAATGTCAAGGTCTGTAACTATAGTTATAGAACCTGCCATTAGTTACAGACACAATCATACTCATTTGTTTTATAGTCTATGGCTGTTTTCTAACCAGAAAGTTGAGTAGTTGGAACAGAGGCTGCAAACCCTAAAATATTAAGTACTTACTGTCTAGCACTTCACAGAAAAATTTGCCAACCCCTTTCTTAATGCTCCAGTAGCCTGTTTTATAAAATGTGGTTAACTTTACCTTTATTTTTAGACTTTTGTAAGGATCCAATTAGGTGATGCATATAAACATGCCTTCTTGGGGATTTGAAAGGCAACACAGAGGCAGGAAAGAAATCTGGGGTCATCAGAGAAATGGCTGTTATTTCTTCTTTTCAATAAGTTCCTCCACAATAATGGCAAGCATCTATTCAACACAATAAACATGTGCTAAGCCTCTGAATGGCAATAAAATGGTTAAGAACTCAGGAGTTGGAGGGATCTTGCTTTGGATATGAGTTCTATCATTTCCTTAATATGTATTTGGGAAAAGTCTTATGACCTCACTGAGCCTCTTTCTTCATCTGTGAAATGAGGCAATAATATATCATTCCATGTAATGTTCACAGCAGTCCAGTGAGAGAAGTAATTATTAATAAAGTGTTTTGTAATGCAAAAATGCTTTGCATGCAGCTGTGATTATTATTACATGTACTGTCTCTCCCTCATTCACTTGCTTAGTCACCCCTTCAGAAAATTCCAGATCTATTAGGCACGGCTTCTCTTTACAGAATCTAATGACACATACTGCCTTTCTTCAGATAGATTTCTGTGGTCCTGTTCTCTATTATAAATTCCACCAGCTTATTTGACATAGAAAGCTAGACTCACTTATCTCACTGGTACTATAACAGGCACTCTGTCCCAGTGCCCATTTGTTATGTAGTAGAAAACACCCAAGACATCTTTCAAAACAAATCAAGGCACAATTTGAATTAGAGATGGCCTGAAGTTTAAGGCCTGGAGGAGATTTCAGAAAAAGTGTAGTTGCATAAAAATGAACAGGAGCTATATTGTGATTGAAAGAGCTGTCTCAGCAGTCAGATGGCCTTGGGTTTGAATCACCACTGTGTCCTTTACAGCTGTGAGGCCTGGAACAAATTATACTCAATCTCTCCGAGCCCTTTGAGGTCTCCCCATTGCACTAGAGAAAACATCACCATCCTTCCCATGACTATCAAGGCCCTGCACAATCACACTTGTCGTGTGCAACTCTTCCTCTCTCTTTACTCTCAAGTCTTACTGGGCCTGTTTCAGTTCTCGAATGTTCCATGCTCTTTCCCACCAAAGGGACTGTGTACTTGCTATTTCCTCTGCTGGGAGTGAAGCCCCTATTTCCACTCTGCTCTCTCGCCCATCTTACCTAGTTGACACCCATTCATCTTTCAGACCTCACCTCAGCTTAAAAGTCATTTCTCTAAGAAAATCTTCTCTGACTCCATCCTCCATGTCTACATAACTGACTTAATTCTTTCTCACCGATCCCCACTGTAGCCTGTACCTTTGTGTACTAGCATTTGACACCAATACTTACATTTTTTAAAGTGTAAATTGAGCATTATTTGTTAAATGTCTGTCTCACCCAGAGAGCTCACCATTGAGTTTGGACTTCCTCACCATTTTATCTGTAGCACACAGATTTGCACCTGCTACATAGTAGGTGGTCAATAAATGCTTGTTGTATAAATGAATGAATGACTCTGTGATGTGCTCTTGCTAATGTGAAATTTTAGAGGACATCAACTTTACAGAGCTAACAAGTTCTGGAAGGCTATCAATTGCACAGTGGTCGTTCCACTAATGACAAAATGCCTTGGGAAGCAGGAAGAATGTTTTCAGAGTAGCAGTTACAACCTCCCTGCTGACATGATTTCAGTGCAAACCCATTTCTCTTTGCTATTGCTAGTCAGAATGCTATTAGAAGTCAAATAACGCAACCCATATTTAGGGAGCTTAAATATCTTTTTGATGTTGCACATGATTTATAATGTCTACAAAGGCATAGCTGAGATGGCTGATGTTTCCTTACCTTGCAGCAAATTAAGGAGTCTATTTTTCCCTAGCAGGTGTGTGAATACTGTAAACCTAATTAATGCTAACGATAGAACATGCCTGCAAAGAGACCAAAGTGAAGGAGAGAGATCCTTCCTGTTAGAATCTTCTCACCACTCCTCATGTTATAGTTTGAGGTCTTACATTTACATCTTTAATCCATTTTGAGTTAATTTTTGTATATGGTGAAGGGTAGTGGTCCAGCTTCAATCTTCTACATATAGCTAGCCAATTATCTCAGCACCATTTATTGACTAGGAAGTCCTTTTCCCATTGCTTGTCTTTGTCAACCTTGTCAACGATTAAATGGTTGTAGGTGAGGTTCCAAGGCCGGGAAAGCTCACCAGAGCATCCATGCCCAGATGATTCACAGGCCCAGGTGCTCAAGGACGAGGCTCTGTGGGCCAAGTTTTCAGAGTCTAAGCGGCTTCAGGGGAATCTACGTTTTCTGCTATATGATGTGAGGTGAGAGGGGACCAGAACTTGGAGAGCGATTATGGAAACAGGATTCAGGAATTGGGATTGCCAAGTTGAGTTTCTTGGCCTCAGCAAGGCACTGGTGCTGGCTTCTTCTTCTTGAAATAAAATAAATAATCTCACTCATATTTTTATGTCTTTTATCCAAGATATAAAATCCACATAGCCCATTTTGCAGAATATACTAAACTTTGTTTCCAGGCATTCAATGATGCATCTGAAATTTTAATGTGTGCACAAGTCCCATGGGGATCTTGTTAAAATTCAAATTCTTACCCAGGAGGTCTAGGATGTGGCCTGAGATCCTTCATTTTATTCTGCTGGTCCATGGATCAAACTTTGAGAAACAAGCAATACTTTAGTCTGGTTCTGATATCATCAGTAGTAACTGATGTGATTAATGATCATTCTGAGGCCCTGCAAATTCCTTCTGAATCATCTCAAAATAGTAGAAATTCAGGACATCTATCTGAAATTCTGGAGGCCATAGTCAAACTATCTCCAATGAAGCAACTCTTGGTGAAGCTATGGAGTGTTTCAAGCTTGATATATAACGGATACAGGCAGAAGTTCTAGTCAAAACAGACATGGCTTTTCATCCTGGCCAAGGAATTTACTAGCCATGTGACCTTGGTCAGGGCATTTAAACTTTCTGAACATCAGTGTTCCCATCTGTGAAAAGGGAATAACAATTCCATGGGGGAATTTGGAGAATTAGAAACCAGAGATATACTACAGAGTTTGGCAGGAATTACATCATCAGAGCAAAGTGTTGTCTGTTCCGCCACATAAAATCTGGTTGCAATTAAGACTCACACTACCTGGCCAATGAAACTTTGTCAGTGGCAGTTTTCTACTGTGGGAATATCTTCTCAGAAAAGAGAGCCCCGAAGGGACTGCAAAGTTACAGAGGTTTAGGACTTGGCCCTTAGCCCTTTTTGATCACTACTGTCATGAACCCATCCAGGGGGCAGCATCATGAAAGTCAGCCATCATCATGGGCTCCCCTCTCCACAGCCATGGTCACTCTTTCAGGCCTGGCTATTTAGAAACTCGTCATTTTAACTTCAAACATCGTGAAACATTTTTTGAACTAAAAATATTCTTCCCTCTATGAAATGTGGAAAGGCTTGTAGTTTTAAGCATGCATTGTCTGATGTATAAGCTCTGGAGTCAGATAGTCCAAGTATGTCTGTCATTTAGTAGCTAGACCACGGTTTCAGTTCTTCTAGCTTTTATGCTGTTCCAATTTAGGATAGAGGTTACCCTTAAGGGTTAGTGACCACAGTGGCTCTTTTTGGGGGTGCTGGTAATGTTCTACTTCTTCATCTGGGTGCTCATTATTTAGGTGAGTTCAGTTTGTAAATATTCATCATTAATTGTACATGCACTCTTTTGTATGTATGTTATATTTTACGACAAAATTAAAATATGTCATTCCTACCTATTAATGCAACTACAAGGACTATGCAATGATCTGAATGAATACTTTTAAATGCAAGTGCAAAATGTAAAGTCAAAAGTAGTATATATATATATCATACTTATATATAAGTATATATTATATATATATATATAAGTATATATTATATATATATGATATATATATATATATAATTTCACAAGTGGCCAGTCTCTGGGCCAACAGCCTAGGAGGAGACATTTCATTAAGCCTCACAACCAGCCTACTTCGTTTTATTTTGGTCTATGTGTGAGAAGATAGAAGAAGCAGATTCATGGATCCCTAGAGCCTCTGAGGGAAGAGTGGGGAACTCACTAGTTTGGGGTCCAGCACAGCATACTCTTGACTGCTTTTGTTCTGTTCTGGGGGTGTCTAATTGTGTTATGCTGTGAGTAGTTAATATCCTGCATCAAGTACAAGTTATGAATCAGGGTTTAACATGATTCGGTTGACTGTTCTAATAACACTGTAACACGCTTGACCTATTCACATATATAGCAATGATACATAACTGATCCATGACTACTTGGCAAGTAGGTATAAATGGATCCTATTTAATGGTAGTCATTGAGGTTAGGATTGTTTTCTTGAAGATATATTTGTATGGACATAGGAGTGAAATTGAACTTCTCTTTGATTATACACTGCAAAGGATTTATAGTAAGCTTAACAGTAACATGGCGGGGTGGTTAAACATGTAATATGTAAGCTTTGGCATCAGGCAGACCCAGGTCCACTTCCCTAATCTGCAAGTTACCAGCTGTGTAACTTTTTACAAGTTACTTAACCTCTCTGTGCTTCAGTATTGTTATAAATGAGTTGGGTTGTCACGAAGGACAAATGAGATAACAATTGTAAACTGTACTTAGCCCACTGCCTGGCAGAGAGTAAACATTCAATATGTAATTATTATTATACCATTATAACCATGACCATCATGGAAAATCAGTAAGTTAAAATGTGGAAAGTGTCTGGTGTAAAGTTAGCGCTTGATACATGTTTTTACCTTAAGACCACAGTTTCTGAGATTAGCGTTGGTGTGGGACCATTAGGCCCACAGGGAAAGTGAATATTTTTCTGATTAGCTATAGAACAATCTGAACGTGTAAACAAGGGAAAATAAAAAGTGAATACAAATTATTGTTGCCGAAGAGGACTTGCAAAGCCCCCTGGAATTTGGGCCAGCCCACCTTGTGTCCGGCCTCTCATGCTGCCCACTATCAATGAATCACCTAGTTCCAAGAAGACGATAGAGAAAAAATTGAGCACCATTTCATGTAAGCATAAGCCCTGAAACCTTATCATAGATTTCTCTCACTTTCTATTTATTCATGTAGTTTTACATTTTCATGTCTCCTTTAGAACATGATTTCCCCAAGTGTGTTTCAAAAATAATAGATTTTAGAAATGTATTATTCAGTGACAAAAACGGTTATGTGGTCAAATAAGGTGAGAATTCTGCATACTATGCCCCTCTCTTGAGATCTATAACACACATTGTTCTATCAAAGGCTCTGACAAGTCCTGCCATGTATTCAATCACTTGTTCATTCATTCATTTAATAAAACATATATTGAGTACTTACTATTAGCTAGTCAATATTTTCGGCACTGGGGGGAATATAGCAGGAGCAATGTTACCCCACAGGGCATTGTTTAATTCAGTGTTTCCCAAATCATTCTCTCTGTAAAGACCCTTTATAATTTGCCACACCCTCAGCCCCCCACTTTTACCCCAGCTAAAATGAGTTATCTTGAGGTTTCCCAAGCAGGGCACTCAATTTCAGATCTCTGTGAATTTGCTGGTGCTGCGTCACCCTCAACCTAGAATGCCTTTTCTCCCTCCCTTCCACCCCCTCTTGACTCACTAACCCCATTCTTTCATTTACATCCTGCTTAAGTTCCAACCCCTCTGAGAATCCCTCCTAGTTCCATGCTACTAGGCTGAGATAGCTTTCTGTCCTCTGTGCTCTCATCGTGTCCTATGCACACCTACTATCGTGGCACGTTTTTAAATGATTTCTTTGCTTGTCTGTCCCATGCCAGACTCTAATTTCCTAGAAAGAAGAGACCATGCCCCATCCATCTCTGCATTCCCAGAACTTAATGTGGTGCTTGGCTCTGGGTAGTGACTTTGCAAATGGGCATTAAATGTTTTTATGAATCAGGGCCAAGAGTCTACTGCCTTCATGCAAATTATATAAAAAGGCACCAGCTCGGAGGAGGCACAAACTGGGAGTGCATGATCTGGCAAGTGCAAGGCACGTATGTACATGTCTGGGTCGGTGTGGGGTGGAGAAGGTGGGAAGTGCCTTCTGTGGGTGCAAGGTTTGAAAAGCAGAATGTGGGTTGGTCTTTGGCCACGACTGACCCCTCTGGCCTGGTAACATTTTGTCAGCAACCCTACAGTGTAAAGAATGGGGTCCCAGGCCACGGTGGGGGATTTTGGAGGTGACATTACACCGATGGACCTCCACAGCTTTTTCAGACTCTGAAATACTATACATCTAAAATGAGTAAACTAAAGAAAAATTTCTATGCAAGCCTACATATAATTAGCATGCATCCTTGCTCCTGCTTAAATTATTATGTAAGTTGGTTGTACTCAGCTGATAACCCATTCACCAAATCAGACATCTGCTACTCATTTGTTTCTAAGGAAGTGAAGACAATTCGGCAGGATTCCCACTATGATGAAACAAGTTAAAATTGGTCTTACTGCTGTAACTCAATTATGTAATCTGGAAATTATAATTAGTATATAGGTTTGCCAGATGAAATATAGGGTGCCAATTTAAATTTGAATTTCAGATAAATGATACATTTTTTAGTACAAGTCTGTCCCATGCAATATTTGGGATCAACTTATACTAAAATTGTTTTGTTGTTGTTTCTCTGAAGTCAAATTTAACTGGCTGGCCTCTATTTTTGTTTGCTACATCTGAAAACCCAACATGTGATACCCCTGCAACAGCTAAACAGGGAAGATTTTCCTGGTACTTCCCCTCCAGAAAAAGGTATATTTGGGGTAGTAATTAATAGAGACACATGAGAACGCTCTCCGGTCATTCCCTGACTGCAAGATAGAGTATACAAGGAAAAGAATACAGTCATGATTCTGGAAGATAAAGAAGCTCTTCTTGCAGAAAAAAAAGGAGGAAACTCAGTTTAGAAGGATTTAGAACACCAAGGTGTCACTGCTAAATTCTGTACAGACTGTGATAACAAATCCATTTGAAGTGAAAAAGAGTGCCTTCATTTTTGCTGTTGATTTGTTAGGTTTTGTTCTCTCTGCTTTAAGAGAGCATATAAATTTATTTTTTCTTTAAAATGAAGTTTTTAAAATATTACATTGAGGAGAATAAAAATATTTATATACAAGGATTTCATAAAAGCAAATATTAAGATACATATGTGTATATATATATATATATATATATATATATATATATATATAGTAAAATCATCTCTATAGTGGGACAAATGAACATATCCATCACCATGTCGTATACCTTAAATATGCACAAAATTTATTTTAAAATTAATATACTGAATGTAAAAAATAAAATAAGATTTCAACTGGAAAAAAAGCAAGAATTAAACGTGATAATGCATATTAGGCATGTAAACATGCCTAAACATTAGGCTAAATGTTCCAGAAATTAGACTTGTTAATATTATCATCTTTATTGTTGTTATGATTTCTACATCTGGAGCAATCTAATATGAGCTTCCTTTCTTTTAGCACATAACAGGAGGACTGTTATGTGCTTATGTGTTATGTCCCCTTAGAAAAGGGGACACCCGTACCTTGAACTTTACCCTCAAGGCTGTGTTTGTGCTCTCAAATTATGGCACACTCAACAGCAAATGTTTTACCCAGATACAATTTTGATGCCATTTGTCTTCATTCCTTATATATTTTGTATGTGAGTTCTTCAATCCATGCTGTTTTCATCCATTTTTTTAAACATTGGCATTGGGCAAACTTTGCTGAGTTTTGTTAGTGAGTTGCAAAGATTGGCAGAGGTTGTACGTTACTTTCCATTCAAAGGCACGTTCTGCTAACAAGATTATGAATTAGAAACCTGAACTCTACCATAAGATGATTCACCATGGTTTAGGCCAAGCCACTTTTTCTTTTACCTCTGGGACCTATTTAATAGGCCATTAGCTTTGAAAACCGTCAAAATCCAGGAAGTACCCTAAGTATAAACAGATCCTACATAAAGCTGGTGTTACCTTTCATATGATTAGCTCCTGATAGCAATCTGGACAAGTATCATTCATTGAGTCTTGCTGGCATAACTAGCTATAAAAGTATCTATAGTGGGCTCAAATCATAGTAGCATAGAAGAATATTTCTGCACTATTGACCGAACTAACTGGTGTGTCAGTTTTTAAGTTCAAGTTGATGGCTGGTCTATATTTAGTAAAAAAAAAAAAATAAAAATATATAAATAATATATTTAAAAATGCCCTCATTGAGAAATGATAGAGGTGATTGAATGAATGATCAGCAAAAGCAAATGATAGTTGCCACATAAAATTAAAAGAGGCATCAGGATTCCAGGAGGGAAGTCAATTCAAATACAGCCATGAAATCAGTTAGTCCACCCATATGGCCTGTGACCCCACAATGTATAGTGTGCCTGGGAATCCATCCTGATGCACAGT
This sequence comes from Homo sapiens, assembly GCF_000001405.40. NCBI lineage: Eukaryota > Metazoa > Chordata > Mammalia > Primates > Hominidae > Homo > Homo sapiens. The sequence continues at coordinate 138,773,279 of NC_000023.11, forward strand.
GCTGCTCCTTCCAGTGGGGTCACTTGCAGCCCTTCCAGAAAAATGCTGATCTCACTGGGTCCTCAGAGGACAAAGGAGCAAAGGTGGACTTGACAATGGGTGAAGTTGATGAGCTTTCCAGATTTCAGTGATCAAGTCACAGGGAGTGCAAACATGTCATTATTCCCACTTGGACGTTTTTACAACATAGTAAACACTCATGACTACAGCCCATCATGATCCCACTCTGAAATACTGAATTTGGATCTCCAGACTCAAATGATGAATGTTATCCATGTTTCATAAAGTCATGCTACAATATGTTGTCAGGTGGTTAAGGCATTAAAAACAAAGTGAAATTTTAGCCGTTCTTAGTCCATAGCAGTTAATTTTACAGTTTTACTTCTTAGCTGTCAATACCTTTGCCATGGCACAAAATTAATTTATGATTAAAAAATTTATTAGAGAATAATTTTCAAGGAGGGGTGATTTTACAACTTGGGGACAAAGAGCATTCAGCATCAACCAAGTATCCACAGAATAGGCCTAAGGTACTATATGCCAGCAATGCAGCATGCCTTTGCCCTTACCTTATGTAGCTTCTGTCCAGCTATTTCAGCTGATTTTGTTAAAGCCAACCGAGAACAGGTTTTGCCTTCACAAATATACACGTGAATAGATACAAATAATCTAAGTCTTGGCTTATCTTCTCCATAACTTGATACAAGCCCCCATGAGCCATTCATTCCAATGACAACAGTCTTACTGTCCTCTGTCCTTTCATTGTCCCATGCTTTTGCCTGTAAAGCTCTTGCCTCAGGCCCAGATTTACAAAAATGATGATCTAGTAGAAAAAAGTAGGTAAGGGTATTCCTACCCATTCTTCACAGGAACTGGGAAAAATAGGAACTCAATAAATAAATTATTGGCAACGTTTTCAAAAGAAAAAACGAATAATGAAATTTAACTCAGCTTACAAAACACAACTCTAATACTTCTGCAGGAATAGAGGTGATGATGGTAATGATGATGATGATGATGACTGATGATGGTGACGAAGACAGCTAAAACTTATACACAACTTGCTATGCATGAGGAATTATTCCAAGTACTTTGGAACTCACTTAACCCTTGCTTCAATCATATGAGGTGGGCAGTATGTGATCTCACTTGATATATGAGGAAACTGAGGAATAGAAAAGCATAGCACTTTGGCCAAAGTCACCCATCTAGTAAGTAGTGAAATTAACATTCAAACTGAGAGAGTTTGGTGCCAGAGTCCTTGCTCTTACCCACCATTCCAAACCATTATGCTTTCCTAGACCTCTCATAGCACCTCCACAAAATTTGGCTTAACTCCACACTGTTGGCACTTAACAGAAATTATTAAAATAGAAGGCATGGTATCTAAGTGCCCACTTCCACACCAAATGGTAAGATTCCTAAAGGCAAGGCCCATGTATTATTTGTCCCTGTATCATCTAGGGCCTACTACAATATCCTGACCTATCATATACCCAGAATAAATTAAGTGAACTGATTTAAAATATTAGGCCAATCCATAAGAAACTGACATTGTTATAGGTCAAAATAGTTGATTGTCAGCAATTTATTTTCATTAAACTTAATAGAATATGGACAACACCCACCTGCTCCGAAGCTACCCATATTCTTCATGCTCTTTGTTTTTCTTATTTTTAAAATGTTTATTTATTTATTTGAGACAGGGTCTTGCTCTGCCACCCAGGCTGGGGTGCAGTGGTGCAATCTTGGCTCACTGCAACCTCCACCTCCAAGGTTCAAGTGATTCTTGTGCCTCAGCCTCCCAAGTAGCTGGGATTTCAGGCATGCGCCATCACGCTGGCTTATTTTTGTATTTTTTATAGAGATGGAGTTTTGCCATGTTGGCCAGGCTGGTCTTGAACTTCTGACCTCAAGTGATCCACCCTTTTTCTCCTCCCAAAGTGCTGGGATTACAGGCATGAGTCACTGTGCCCCAGCTCTTCGTGTTCTTTGAATGATTTATTAATTTGCAGCACATTGATAATCAGGAAGAGAAAAATACCATTAGAAAGTTTACTCACCTACTACTGATAAGGCCAGGACAAGAAAAAGTTCATAGTTCTTGATTTCTTAATGCAAATATTTTATTCTTCATTTTCCTTTATGGTAGGTACATAATAATGACTTGGGGTGTCTACAACACCATTTTTAAAGGTCTCCAAATCGCAATGGACAGTGCGTCAAACATTTTATCAAGGTGATGTTTAAATTAACAAAGTCTCCATCCAATTCTTATCTCGTCTCTCATTTATTCATTTAATTCTGCAAGTAATTTTCAAGCATTTCTTGCAGACCAGGACTCGGGAGATACTAAAAAAATATAACCCAGTTCTCACTGGCGACTCTTAAGTGGTAATGATATATCACTCCACAAGATGGCACTAATTCTTCTTTGTATTCCTTTCCCATCGTGATAGAAGATCCTACGATTTTTCTGCTGTCACAGAATACATAGAAGCATGACTTCTGTTTTGCAATTTATGCAGCTGACTGCCCATATTAACATATTCCAGACACTTGAGTCCATTTGGCTTTCTCAGGGACTTTCAAATGTTACTTTGGGAGAGGGTGTATATTATAGCATGGAGATATGTTGTGATGTGAGGGAGTTGAAACCTTTTCCTATTGCCGGTCTCTACCCTGGAGGAGCACTCAGACTTCAAGAAAAGGAGGGCAGAAAGCTGCATACAACATAGCAAAATGTATGCTAAGGCTGGAGAAGCTCAGTGGGCCTTGGGCACTTGCCTAAAGCTTCCCAGGGAAATAGATGCTCCAACTGCATCTTGGAGTTCCTCATATGCAGCTTCCCCATCCCTACTATTTCTACCAAGACTGATATTATGTATTTGTGCCCACTGTCACCTAGACCCTCTCTGACAAAAACATGGGATTGGCAAATTGTGACCTATGATTTTACTTCAAGAAAATATCCTAAGCCTGCAAAGAATACTTTTGAAAATCATAGTAACACTGAATGTTATATACCAGGCAGTTTGCTGCACACATTGTAGAGCTTATCTTATTTAATATCTCGTAAGAACCTTACGAGATATTTTTGCCTACATAACAAACACTTATACCATATTAAATGCATTTTCAAATATTAACTCACTTCAATTAACCATCATAACGGTCCTATGAGGATATATGCTGTTTTAATTTCCATTTTGTGGGAAACTGAGGCACACAGGGATTTAAGTGATATGCCAAAGGCCTCACAACTGGTAAGAAGTGCAACTGGGGTTCATAACCAAAAATGTAAAACATCGAGTTTGGGCTCTTATGTTGCCTCTCTGTTTCACAGGAAAGTAAGTAGATTCATCGGCTAAGAATGTCCTCAAATTCCTGCTACCAAACCTATAAACCTATCTGAATATGCATCTTCTTTCCTCTCTGTCCTTTGCTAATACTTATATCCTCATCTGTGTTCTGAGTTCTTTTCTCTAAGCACTTTTTGGGACCTCGCTCTGTTGACTCTCCTCTCCCTCTCTTTGCTTCCCATTTTAGGCCTTTAAACTACAATCAGATGTCTGGTCCAGACAAGATGGTGTAGATGTATTTCTCCCTGCTCCTCTGCCCAAAGTATTAATACAAATATGAACCCTGGGAATAATGCAAGCAACAACTAGAGGAAAACTCTGTAAGGTGGTAAAAGGCTGGCTAACTGGTTTAGGATCCCAGTATTGGATAAATAGCACAGTAGCAGGGTGTCTTATGATCCTCCCCCTATCCAACAGAACAAGGTGACACAGACCCAGCATTTCCTGATCCCTGACAGAACAGCAGATGGCAGCCCAGGTAGGCTTGCTTCTTTACTGGATCAAATGGTAATTCCTCTCACAATATCAGGTGAACCTGGGAATGGCAGCAAGGGGACATGATTGGGAGCCCTACTAATAATAAGTAGCCAGGGGAAGCACTCTCCTTCCCTGACAGCCCAGGACTCTCTTCCCTTACTGTGAAACACCAGGCAGCCAGGCAGTACTGGCAATGGGTATCCTGCCCCAACAAGCAGACCTTGTCCAAAAAGGTTTTTTGTTTCTACGGACCTGACACTCTCTCCCATTTTGAGAGACATCAGGTATCCAGGAAACAGCAACCAGGGGATTTCTACCACAAGAGGGTGCCCTGTACGTGAAGCATTTTTGTCCCAACAAAGGAGAAAAAAGGACCCAAGAATCCCTTCTTCTGCCAGAGGATGCTGGAGCAGGTGGGTGGAAATGATGGGAAAGGCCCAGCCACGACAAGTGGCCTACCAAGGAAGGTTCTTTATTTCTGTGGGCCTGGGAAAACCCTGTCTGCTCCCTCAGGCAGCACAAGCAAGGACCAGTGGGAGTTCCCAAGGCACCAGATAAACCATGCCGACCAAAATAGCACCGCGAAAGCTCTAAAAATATTAAACTGCCATTGTAGCCTCAACTCACAAAGTAGGCCAGAACCTTGACGCCAAATCTCAATGGAGTGACTTCTTGCTAAAAATACAAGATTTAGATAGGATCCATAGTCTCCCAATATATTAGCCAAAATGTCCAGGACACAAACAAAAATATCACCTGTCATACCAAGATCCAGGAAACGCAAAACATAAATGAAAAAAAAAAAGATACTCAGTTCATAATAACATTGAGATGACTTAGATGTTAGCATTACCTGATTGATAAGGATTTTAAAGCAGCTATCATAAAAATGTTTAAACAGCAATAACTTATTGAAAAGGTGGGGGTAGGAGCCAAGATGGCCGAATAGGAACAGCTCCGGTCTACAGCTCCCAGCCTGAGCGACGCAGAAGACAGGTGATTTCTGCATTTCCATCTGAGGTACCGGGTTCATCTCACTAGGGAGTGCCAGACAGTGGTATTTCTCAAAAGAAAACATACAAATGGCACAGATATATGAAAAGGTGCTTAACATAATTATCAGAGAAATGCTAATCAACACTATAATGAGATATTACCACATCCCAGTTAAAATGGCTTACATCCAAAGTGGAGACAAGATGGCCGAATAGGAACAGCTCCGGTCTACAGCTCCCAGCATGAGGGAGGCAGAAGACAGGTGATTTCTGCACTTCCATCTGAGGTACCGGGTTCATCTCACTAGGGAGTGCCAGAAAGTGGGTGCAGGACAGTGGGTGCAGCACACCGTGCGCGAGCCGAAGCAGGGCGAGGTATTGCCTCCCTCAGGAAGCTCAAGGGGTCAGGGAGTTCCCTTTCCTAGTCAAAGAAAGGGGTGACAGACCGCACCTGGAAAATCGGGTCTCTCCCACGCTAACACTGCGCTTTTCCGACAGGCTTAAAAAACGGCACACCGGGAGAATATATCCCGCACCTGGCTCGGAGGGTGCTAGGCCCACGGAGTCTCGCTGATTGCTAGCACAACACTCTGAGATCAAACAGCAAGGCGGCAGCCAGGCTGGGGGAGGGGCGCCCGCCATTGCCCAGGCTTGATTAGGTAAACAAAGCAGCCCGGAAGCTCGAACTGGGTGGAGCCCACCACAGCTCAAGGAGGCCTGCCTGCCTCTGTAGGCTCCACCTCTGGGGGCAGGGCACAGACAAACAAAAAGACAGCAGTAACCTCTGCAGACTTAAATGTCCCTGTCTGACAGCTTTGAAGAGAGTAGTGGTTCTTCCAGCACGAGCTGGAGATCTGAGAACAGGCAGACTGCCTCCTCAAGTGGGTCCCTGACTCCTGACCCCAGAGCAGCCTAACTGGGAGGCACCCCCAGCAGGGGCACACTGACACCTCACACTGCAGGGTACTCCAACAGACCTGCAGCTGAGGTTCCTGTCTGTTAGAAGGAAAACTAACAAACAGAAAGGACATCCACACCAAAAACCCATCTGTACATCACCATCATCAAAGACCAAAAGTAGATAAAACCACAAAGATGGGGAAAAAACAGAACAGAAAAACTGGAAACTCTAAAAAGCAGAGCACCTCTCCTCCTCCAAAGGAACCCAGCTCCTCACCAGCAACGAAACAAAGCTGGACGGAGAATGACTTTGACGAGCTGAGAGAAGAAGGCTTCAGATGATCAAACTACTCTGAGCTACGGAGGATATTCAAACCAAAGGCAAAGAAGTTGAAAACTTTGAAAAAAATTTAGAAGAATGTATAACTAGAATAACCAATACAGAGAAGTGCTGAAAGGAGCTGATGGAGCTGAAAACCAAGGCTCGAGAACTACGTGAAGAATGCAGAAGCCTCAGGAGCCGATGCGATCAACTGGAAGAAAGGGTATCAGCAATGGAAGATGAAATGAATGAAATGAAGCGAGAAGGGAAGTTTAGAGAAAAAAGAATAAAAAGAAACAAACAAAGCCTCCAAGAAATATGGGACTATGAGAAAAGACCAAATCTACGTCTGATTGGTATACCTGAAAGTGATGGGGAGAATGGAACCAAGTTGGAAAACACTCTGCAGGATATTATCCAGGAGAACTTCCCCAATCTAGCAAGGCAGGCCAACGTTCAGATTCAGGAAATACAGAGAACGCCACAAAGATACTCCCCGAGAAGAGCAACTCCAAGACACATAATTGTCAGATTCACCAAAGTTGAAATGAAGGAAAAAATGTTAAGGGCAACCAGAGAGAAAGGTCGGGTTACCCTCAAAGGGAAGCCCATCAGACTAACAGCGGATCTCTCGGCAGAAACCCTACAAGCCAGAAGAGAGTGGGGGCCAATATTCAACATTCTTAAAGAAAAGAATTTTCAACCCAGAATTTCATATCCAGCCAAACTAAGCTTCATAAGTGAAGGAGAAATAAAATACTTCACAGACAAGCAAATGCTGAGAGATTTTGTCACCACCAGGCCTTCCCTAAAAGAGCTCCTGAAGGAAGCACTAAACATGGAAAGGAACAACTGGTACCAGCCGCCGCAAAATCATGCCAAAATGAAACGACCATCGAGACTAGGAAGAAACTGCATCAACTAACGAGCAAAATAACCAGCTAACATCATAATGACAGGATCAAATTCACACATAACACTATTAACTTTAAATGTAAATGGACTAAATGCTCCAATTAAAAGACACAGACTGGCAAATTGGATAAAGAGTCAAGACCCATCAGTGTGCTGTATTCAGGAAACCCATCTCACCTGCAGAGACACACATAGGCTCAAAATAAAAGGATGGAGGAAGATCTACCAAGCAAATGGAAAACAAAAAAAGGCAGGGGTTGCAATCCTAGTCTCTGATAAAACAGACTTTAAACCAACAAAGATCAAAAGAGACAAAGAAGGCCATTACATAATGGTAAAGGGATCAATTCAACAAGAAGAGCTAACTATCCTAAATATATATGCACCCAATACAGGAGCACCCAGATTCATAAAGCAAGTCCTGAGTGACCTACAAAGAGACTTAGACTCCCACACATTAGTAATGGGAGACTTTAACACCCCACTGTCAACATTAGACAGATCCACGAGACGGAAAGTCAACAAGGATACCCAGGAATTGAACTCACCTCTGCACCAAGCGGACCGAATAGACATCTACAGAACTCTCCACCCCAAATCAACAGAATATACATTTTTTTTCAGCACCACACCACACCTATTCCAAAATTGACCACATACTTGGAAGTAAAGCTCTCCTCAGCAAATGTAAAAGAACAGAAATTATAACAAACTATCTCTCAGACCACAGTGCAATCAAACTAGAACTCAGGATTAATAATCGCACTCAAAACCGCTCAACTACATGGAAACTGAACAACCTGCTCCTGAATGACTACTGGGTACATAACGAAATGAAGGCAGAAATAAAGATGTTCTTTGAAACCAATGAGAACAAAGACACAACATACCAGAATCTCTGGGACGCATTCAAAGCAGCGTGTAGAGGGAAATTTATAGCACTAAATGCCTACAAGAGAAAGCAGGAAAGATCAAAAATTGACACCCTAACATCACAATTAAAAGAACTAGAAAAGCAAGAGCAAACACATTCAAAAGCTAGCAGAAGGCAAGAAATAACTAAAATCAGAGCAGAACTGAAGGAAATAGAGACACAAAAAACCCTTCAAAAAATTAATGAATCCGGGAGCTGGTTTTTTGAAAAGATCAACAAAATTGATAGACCACTAGCAAGACTAATAAAGAAAAAAAGAGAGAAGAATCAAATAGACACAATAAAAAATGATAAAGGGGATATCACCACCGATCCCACAGAAATACAAACTACCATCAGAGAATACTACAAACACCTCTACGCAAATAAACTAGAAAATCTAGAAGAAATGGATAAATTCCTTGACACATACACTCTCCCAAGACTAAACCAGGAAGAAGTTGAATCTCCAATAACAGGATCTGAAATTGTGGCAATAATCAATAGCTTACCAACCAAAAAGAGTCCAGGACCAGATGGATTCACAGCTGAATTCTACCAGAGGTACAAGGAGGAAGTGGTACCATTCCTTCTGAAACTATTCCAATCAATAGAAAAAGAGGGAATCCTCCCTAACTCATTTTACGAGGCCAGCATCACTCTGATACCAAAGCCGGGCAGAGACACAACGAAAAAAGAGAATTTTAGACCAATATCCTTGATGAACATTGATGCAAAAACCCTCAATAAAATACTGGCAAAACGAATCCAGCAGCACATCAAAAAGCTTATCCACCATGTTCAAGTGGGCTTCATCCCTGGGATGCAAGGCTGGTTCAATATACACAAATCAATAAATGTAATCCAGCATATAAACAGAACCAAAGACAAAAACCACATGATTATCTCAATAGATGCAGAAAAGGCCTTTGACAAAATTCAACAACCCTTCATGCTAAAAACTCTCAATAAATTAGGTATTGATGGGACATATTTGAAAATAATAAGAGCTATCTATGACAAACCCACAGCCAATATCATACTGCCTGGGCAAAAACTGGAAGCATTCCCTTTGAAAACTGGCACAAGACAGGGATGGCCTCTCTCACCACTCCTATTCAACAAAGTGTTGGAAGTTCTGGCCAGGGCAATTAGGCAGGAGAAGGAAATAAAGGGTATTCAATTAGGAAAAGAGGAAGGAAGTCAAATTGTCCCTGTTTGCAGATGACATGATTGTATATCTAGAAAACCCCATTGTCTCAGCCCAAAATCTCCTTAAGCTGATAAGCAACTTCAGCAAAGTCTCAGGATACAAAATCAATGTGCAAAAATCACAAGCATTCCTATACAACAACAACAGACAAACAGAGAGCCAAATCATGAGTGAACTCCCATTCACAATTGCTTCAAAGAGAATAAAATACCTAGGAATCCAACTTACAAGGGATGTGAAGGACCTCTTCAAGGAGAACTACAAACCACTGCTCAAGGAAATAAAAGAGGATACAAACAAATGGAAGAACATTCCATGCTCATGGGTAGGAAGAATCAATATCGTGAAAATGGCCATACTGCCCAAGGTAATTTACAGATTCAATGCCATCCCCATCAAGCTACCAATGCCTTTCTTCACACAATTGGAAAAAACTACTTTAAAGTTCATATGGAACCAAAAAAGAGCCCACATCGCCAAGTCAATCCTAAGCCAAAAGAACAAAGCTGGAGGCATCACACTACCTGACTTCAAACTATACTACAAGGCTACAGTAACCAAAACAGCATGGTACTGGTACCAAAACAGAGATATAGATCAATGGAACAGAACAGAGCCCTCAGAAATAACGCCGCATATCTACAACTATCTGATCTTTGACAAACCTGAGAAAAACAAGCAATGGGGAAAGGATTCCCTATTTAATAAATGGTACTGGGAAAACTGGCTAGCCATATGGAGAAAGCTGAAACTGGATCCCTTCCTTACACCTTATACAAAAATCAATTCAAGATGGATTAAAGACTTAAACGTTAGACCTAAAACCATAAAAACCCTAGAAGAAAACCTAGGCATTACCATTCAGGACATAGGCATGGGCAAGGACTTCATGTCTAAAACACCAAAAGCAATGGCAACAAAAGCCAAAATTGACAAATGGGATCTAATTAAACTAAAGAGCTTCTGCACAGCAAAAGAAACTACCATCAGAGTGAACAGGCAACCTACAAAATGGAAGAAAATTTTTGCAACCTACTCATCTGACAAAGGGCTAATATCCAGAATCTACAATGAACTCAAACAAATTTACAAGAAAAAAACAAACAACCCCATCAAAAAGTGGGCGAAGGACATGAACAGACACTTCTCAAAAGAAGACATTTATGCAGCCAAAAGACACATGAAAAAATGCTCATCATCACTGGCCATCAGAGAAATGCAAATCAAAACCACAATGAGATACCATCTCACACCACTTAGAATGGCAATCATTAAAAAGTCAGGAAACAACAGGTGCTGGAGAGGATGTGGAGAAATAGGAACACTTTTACACTGTTGGTGGGACTGTCAACTAGTTCAACCATTGTGGAAGTCAGTGTGGCGATTCCTCAGGGATCTAGAACTGGAAATACCATTTGACGCAGCCATCCCATTACTGGGTATATACCCAAAGGACTATAAATCATGCTGCTATAAAGACACATGCACATGTATGTCTATTGCGACATTATTCACGATAGCAAAGACTTGGAACCAACCCAAATGTCCAACAATGATAGACTGGATTAAGAAAATGTGGCACATATACACCATGGAATACTATGCAGCCATAAAAAATGATGAGTTCATGTCCTTTGTAGGGACATGGATGAAATTGGAAATCATCATTCTCAGTAAACTATCGCAAGAACAAAAAACCAAACACCGCATGTTCTCACTCATAGGTGGGAATTGAACAATGAGATCACATGGACACAGGAAGAGGAACATCACACTCTGGGGACTGTTGTGGGGTGGGGGGAGGGGGGAGGGATAGCACTGGGAGATATACCTAATGCTAGATGACGAGTTAGTGGGTGCAGCGCACCAGCATGGCACATGTATACGTATGTAACTAACCTGCACAATGTGCACATGTACCCTAAAACTTAAAGTATAATAATAAAAAAAAAATTAAAAAAAAAAAAAAAGAAAAGGTGTCCTGAGTTCTCTTGTGTCAGTTTCCTCATTGCCCACTCAATCTTTAATCCACTACAATGAATCCTACCATTCCATTGAAATGGCTCATGTTAAGGTCAACAATGATCTTCTTGTCATTATGTCTAATGTTTACCTTTCTATCCCTATTTTACTTGATATCTTGACTAGTTACCTGCTCTTTCCTTTTGGAAATACTTTCCACCTCCTATCTCATTGGCCAATCTTAATCTCATTTTTGGGCCCTTATTTCTCTATTAGCCTACTTCTTTTCCTTCCAGTTCATATGCCAGAGTAATCTCATTCTATTAATTCTCTAATTTTAGCAAGACCTGCAAGGTACTGACCTCACCACCTTCTCACAGTTCGTCATCTACCTCATGTATTCAAGTCTCTCTATCCAGACCTTATATTTGATAATCCATTATATTCACCATTTTCCAAATATTAACTCCCTAATTTCTCTTTCCCTCCATCACACACATCTGCCTTGCAAAGCCCCAACTCTAGTTAACTCTACTCTCTTCCTACTTCACTGCTGTATTTTAGCAGGTGAGTGTTGCTTGAGAAAAGCACACAGCAGTGTTAACAAGTTTCACTTTAAAATCATGGTTGGACATTTCAAATGAGCCCTCTGTGTTGCCTGAACAGTCTACTACACTTCCCTTTAATGTTCACACTTCCATTCTCCAACACAATGATGTTACAGTGTTTTTTCTATTCTCAAACCTACATGTACATCCAACATCCAGACCTTCAGTCACATATGATGACCTTTACTCAATTGACCAGGAGGAGCACTGTAGTGAAATGTCCTTACTTCGCTCCATGGCTAACTCCTCCAACTGTGCTCAGTATCCATCTCAACCCATCTAGCCTTCTCAAGGGCTTTCCTCTCTTTCTTGCATCTTAAGTTTTTCCCTCTTTACAGGATTGCCCACATCAGCAGATAGGCATACCCTATTTATCAAATATCTTAACTCACCTCTGCATTCCAGCTACCTCTCCATGTCTCTGTCCCCTTTCACAACCAAATCTCTTTCATAAGTAGTCTACCATCACTATTTTCAACCCTAAATTCTTTTTCTCCCCTTGACTCACTCTAATGTAGCTTTTCCTTCTCCACCACTATATAGACATCACTGTTATCAAAGTTATCAACAACCTTCAGGTAATCAAAGTCAGTGATCTCTGCTCTTCATTTACTTGAGCTCCCAGCAGGATTTGACACAGCCAACTAGCCAATCTTTTAAAAAAATCTGTTCTTCTCTGGGCTTCCAGGACATTTTATTCTCATAGTTCTATTTCTATGCCACTGGTCTTTGCTTCTAAATATTTTTTACAGCTCCTTTTCTTCTCACTCTAAATGACCTCGGCCTCATTCAGTCCTACAGATTTAAACACTATGTATGTGTTGATGACTCCCAAGTTTATATTTCTACTCATGTCCAACTGACTACTTGACATCTCTACTTGAATGTCTCATAGGGACCTCAAACCTAGGATTCCAGATGCAAACTCATGATTCTTACCCACAAATCATCTCTCCCAGCAATTTCTAGTTGCTCACATAAGAAAGCTAGGATTGATTCCACTCATTTTCAAACATCATGTTCAATTCTTTCTAAGTCCTTCTGACTTTGCTTTCAAATATACATACCAATTCTGTCTACTTTTGTCAGTCGCTACTATTACCATCTTAATCTGATCCACTATACCCATTTGTTCTAAAGCAATTGCTTCAGATGTTTTCTTTCTTAGCTTCGTTAACTTTGTAGCATCCATTCTTCACTCAGAACCAGAGTAATCTATTTAAAAAAATAAATCAAAGCATTCACTCCTTTTCTTAAGATCTTCTAGGAACTACCCAACAGACATAATAAAATCCAAACTCCTTTTTCTGCCTATTTTTCCAACTAGTCCTGTAGGAAAAGCCACAGAGGGATTTCCATCTTCACTCCCCAGAAAAAAAAAATTGGGCCAAGGTGGGATGGAACTAAAGTATAAATACCCACTCTGTATCTGCACCTGAAGAGGAGGAAGCTGCTTTACTGGCAGGAAATCAAAAGACCATGGCAGCTCTTTTCCAAGTAAGGATGACTCAGTCTGCCACCTCCAGAGCCTTCCTTGGGGGACTACTTTCCAAATTTCTCTAATATAAAGCCCCTGCTTCAAGCATGCTTATTTCTTCAAGGTGTCACAGTGAGTCAGACAACTTGTTGCCTCTCAGAGTTTGTCAGAATTCCCCCACCCATCTCTTTACTTCACCTCCTACTGTATCCTCACTTAGCCAAATCCAATGATCATTCACCAGCAAGCCAGAGGCAGCAATGACCCAAGGAAAGGCAACAGAAACTTTTTGGCCTCTCGACTTCAGGTCCCATGTAGATCTGCTAATAACTAGTGTGTGATGCTGGGCAAGGCACATAACCTTTCTGTGCCTTCATAGTGTTAAAGTGGTCCCTATTAACACCACAATTCCATCATTAGTTTCTACTTTTCAGGTCACAACATATCACCAGTTCTATTAGCACCAAGTCAAGGAGAGGAAATGCAATAGGTCATTTTGGAAAAACTGTAACTGGGCATTTTCCCTTCTTTTTGGGAAATCCTACATAGTGAAGCAACGCTTTAATCTTTCCCTTGTGAAACAGAGAAATCTTAAGCTCCTGGACCAAATTGTCACTATCTGCTCACTTACTAGTTTACAATTTGCAACAGTTTTAGACTAATTTCTTTAAAGTGGAGGGTTTTGTTTGACTTTTCAAAGCAGAATATTCTTCCTCATTATCTGCACTGTGAAAATGTTTTAAAAGAAATTAAATGAGGAACGATTAATTGATATTTGAATTAGCCCTTAATCAGCCAGATGGGGCTGTGGAAGCATCAGGGAAGTATTGGCTTTGGCAGCCCAGATTTTGCTGCACAGAGAAAGAGTGCTGCTCCCCATAACAGACACTGGATGTCTTAGTCATTTGGGGCAGCTATAACAAATTACCAGAGGCTGGATGGCTTAAAAACAAGCATTTATTTCTCATAGTTCTTGAGGCTAGAAATTCAAGATCAGGATGCCAGCATAGTTGGGTTCTGGTGAGAGTAGTCTTCTGCATTGCAAAGAGCCAACTTCCCTTTGTCTCTTCACATGGCAGAAAGACAGCCAGTTAGTTCTCTGGCTTCTTTTTGTTTATTTGTTTGTTTGTTTATTTTGCTCTAAGTTCCCAGATACATGTACAGAATGTGCAGGTTTGTTACATGGGTATACATGTGCCATGGTGGTTTGCTGCACCTATCAACCTGTCATCTAGGTTTTAAGTCCTGCATGCATTAGGTATTTGTCCTAATGCTCTCCCTCCCTTTGCCCCCCACCCCCCAACAGGCCCTGGTGTGTGTTGTTCCCCTCCCTGTGTCCATGTGTTCTCATTGTTCAACTCCCACTTATGAGTGAGAACACTGTCTTCTTCTTATAAGGTCACTAATCCCATCATTAGGGCTCCACCCTCATAACTTAATTACCTGCCAAAGACCACACCTCCTAATACCATCACATTGGGATTGGATTTCAACATATGGATTTTGGGAGGATGAAAACATTCAGTTCATTGCATTCCAATCTGGCTTCCCAAAATTCTTGTCCTTTCTAATAGCAAAATAATTCATTCCATTCAAACCAACCCCCAAATTCTTAATTTTCAACTCCAAAGTCTCATCTAAATGTCATCTAAATCAGATATGGATGAGATTCAAGGTACAATTCATCCTTAGGCAAAATTCTTCTCTATTTATAAACTTGTGAAACCAAGCAAGTCATGTCTTTCCAAAATACAGTGGTGAGATGGCCATATGATAGACATTCCCTTCCAAAATGAAGAAATAGGAAAGAAAGAAGGGGTGACCAGTTGCAAGCAAGTCTGAAACCTAGCAAGGCAAATTCCATGAGATCTTAAGGCTTGAGAATAATCCTTTTTGGCTTAATGCTCTGCCCTCTAGACCCATTGAGATGGAGGTCTCGTCTCCTGAACATGCTGGGGCAGAGGTCCCAACTTCTGGACCCACTGGGGTGGCCATCTTGCCCCTGCAACTCTGCTGGGCAGGGGTCAGGCCCCTAAGGCTCTGGGTATCCCATACGTCATGGCTATGGGTGGAGATTGTTTGACCTTTTGAAACTCAGGCAGTGGCACTAATGATCTCTGAATCACCTTTAGGATCCTTCTTGCCTTGTCTTCAGGAATAAAGCACATTTTCAAGCAAATAACTCTGTGGTCCTGTCCAATACAATCTAAGAAGTCTGACAGCCTTCCTCCATTCCTTCCCATCTCCATTCCCTTCAGTTCAAACTGTCAGTTTTTTCTATTGGGGTAGCTGATTATGTTTGTGGTTGACATCCATGCTAATCTCCCTGTCAAAGATTCCTTGGTCAAACATACTTTCACATTTTGTTTTTTTTTGCAATATGGACATACTGAGAAATTTCCAAATCTTTAAGTTCTAGTTCCTTTTTGCATAATTCCATCTTGAAGTCATTTCTCTCCTCTTGAATTTTACTATAAGCAGTGAGAAGGAACCAAACTGCTCATTCAACAGTTTGTGTAGAAATGTGCTCAGCTAAATAAATATCCAATTTCATCACAAGTTCCACCTTCCACAAAACACCAAAACATGAACATGACTCAGCTAAGTTCTTTGCAACTTCATAAAAAGGATCATCTTTTCTTCATTGTCTAGTAACATGTTCCTCATTTCCATCTGAAATTTCATCAGAATGGCCTTTATTCATATTTCTACCTGCATTCTATACAGGATTATTATTTATTCATTTGTTTATTTTTATTTTATTTTAGACAGAGTCTCCCTCTGTCGCCAGGCTGGAGTGCAATGGCGTGATCTCAGCTCACTGCAACCTCCGCCTCCCGGGTTCAAGCGATTCTGCTGCCTCAGCCTCCCAAGTAGCTGGGATTACAGGTGCCTGCCACTACCCTCAGCTAATTTCCGTATTTTTTTTTTTTTTTTTTAGTAGAGATGGGGTTTCACCATGTTGGCCAGGATGGTCTCGATCTCCTGACATCATGATCTGCCCGCCTCGGTCTCCCAAAATGCTGGGATTACAGGCGTCAGCCACCGCGCCCAGCCCAGGATTATTTATTTGTTCTCTAAGAAGATGGAAGTTTTGTCTACAGTGTTCTTCTTTCCTTTCTGAGCTCTCACCAGAATCATCTTTAAAAGTCCCTTCACCACCAGCTTCTTCCAAAATGCACTTCAAAATTCCTCCAGTTTCTGGTATCTAGTTCCAAAGCCACTTCCACATTTTAGGTATTTATTGTATCAGAACCCACCTCTTAGTACCAATTTCTGTCTTAGTTCAGGCTGCTGTAACAAAGGACCATAGATGGAGTGGCCTTAAAAAACAAACACACGGCCAGGCCCGGTGGCTCATGCCTGTAATCCCAGCACTGTGGGAGGCCGAGGCGGGTGGATCACGAGGCCAGGAGATCGAGACCATCCTGGCTAACACGGTGAAACCCTGTCTCTACTAAAAATACAAAAAATTAGCCGGGCGTAGTGGCAGGCGCCTGTAGTCTCAGGTACTCGGGAGGCTGAGGCAGAAGAATGGCGTGAACCTGGGAGCCGGAGGTTGCAGTGAGCCGAGATCACGCCACTTGACTCCAACCTGGGTGACAGAGCGAGACTCCATTCAAAAAAAAAAAAAAAAAAAAAAAAAAACAAACACACACACACATGCTGGCACCATGATCTTAGACTTCCAGCCTCCAGGACTATTTTTCACAGTCTTGGAGGCTGGACGTCTAAGATCACGATGCCAGCGTGGTTGGATCCTGGTGAAGCCTTCTTCCAGGTTGCAGAAAGCCAATTTCCCATTGTATCCTCACATGGGGGAAAGAGAACTAGCTATCTCTCTAGCCTCTTCTCATAAAGGCATTAATCACATCACGAGGACTCTACCCTCCCAAAATTACCTCCCAAAGGCACCACCTCCTAATATCATCACATTGGGATTAGAGTTTCAACATATGAATCTTGGGAGGACACAATATTTCATCCATGGCACTGGAGCAAACCTGAACTGCCCATCCAATATCCAACCCTAAAACCTCATGGCTTGCCTGCCTCCACAGTCTTTTTCCTTTTCAATAGCCTATCCATCACCTGGTCCTGGCGAACCCACCTCAGAAATGATTCCCACATAAGTTCAGACCTAAAGAGCCAACTCTTTCTCTCATCACCTTCATCTACCTTATGGTTTCTTTGTGTTTTCTCATCCTTATGCCTTTGGCCTCTGCCTTTAGTAAAATGTCTGCCTCTAATCCTATGTTTGCTTCTTATTCATCTTCTCAAATGCAGCTGAATTGTCCCCTCCTCTTGGAAGCCTCACCTGACTCTCTAAGACATAGGCATGCTTTACTTCCTCTGTACTTTCAAAGCTATTTGCCATACCCTTTCCAAAATGCACCATAGTGTACCAAAATATTTCAAATTTACCTGTTAAGGCTAAGTCATTGTTATCTATATATTGCCAGCACCTGACATAAGGCTGGTGTACTCAAGTACAGTCAACCTTCCTTATCTGTGAGTTCCATATCTGCAGATTCAACCAGCCACACATAAAACATATTCAGAAAAAACAATAAAAAACTGTGTAACAATAAAAAATACAAATAAAAATATGTCAAGAACCCCATAAATATATACAACTACTATGTACAGATAAAAATTTAACAAAAAGAAAACCAAAACTTTAAGAAAACCAATACAGCATAACAACTATGTCCATAGCATTTACATTGTATAAGGTATTTTAAGTAATCTAAAGCTGACTTAAAGTATGCCAGAGGATATGTGTAGGTCATATGTAAATACCACACCATCTTATATAGGGCACTATGGCATCCTCAGATTTTGGTATCCACATTGTGGAGGGGGGTTCTAGAACCAATCCTTCATAAGTACCAACTGATGGCTGTAGTTAGTCACTGTCTGTTGAATAAACGAACACAACAATGGATCCTCAAAACCTGGATTTGCCTATTCATGAAACCAAAAAGTTGTGCTTCCTTTACCTAATCTCTAGAATGATAGCTAGGCCCACCTTTTTATGTCAAACTGTTAATTGGCTGTTTTATTTGGAAAGTTCTTTCTTCTACCATTGGTTGTGCTGTTGCATTTGAACTGATCACAGAAGACTTAGCTACTGCTTTGTATGAAACTGCAATCAAAGGAAGAAGTAATAACTCCTAGATTGTTGTCCTGGAAGGCTCTCTCAGTGGCCTGAATGGTAGTATCTTAATGTCTGTACCAACACTTTAATTTCTGTACAAAGCAAGATATTTATGTACATTCAAGCTGGTTTTGTCACCCTAATGAACATCATTGGAAAAACTCCAGGAGCATTCAGCTAGAAAAGTAAATGCAATTTTAAAAGGTTCATTTGTTAGTCATCAACATTTCTCAACTTACCCCCAGGATATATTTAAAATCTACGAATTTTGACAGAAAAGACATTAGCTTTGATCTGTGGTCTTGATATCAAAATTTTAACCATAGTTAAAATGTTTGCCCATTAATATTTAATTCACCTCCAGCTTCTTCATTCCCTTCTAAATTCCTAAAATTTATGCAATTTTACCCAAGAGCAAAGATGACTTAACTGTATTCAAAGAAAATAATTTTAGTGGCCAAAAAGCTGAGTAGTGTTGCTAGCTTCTCACAATAATACTATCTTTCTCCCTTACGATCAATCTGCTCTATAGGAGGACTGAGATACATATCTGCATTGCTCCATCATGCATGGCAGAATGTCTAGCATAGACTAGGTACTCTGTAAGTTGTAGCTGACATCAACAACAATAACAACGATAAATTTAATAAACATGAATTGACACCAACTATATTTTCTGTACTTTTTAAAATTAAATCTTGACATCTCTTCAAGTTATTACGCCTATTCTTCAGATTAGGAAACTAAGGTTTAGAGAGTTTCAATGTCTTGCCCCAAATTGCATGGCTAGATAGTGGGTGGCAGAGCCAGGAAATAAACCCATGTCTCCTTGTCTCCAAAGCCTAGATATTTTTTTCTCCCTAGAGCATGTGACCAAAGTGATCTCATTTCTATTTTGCAGGTGAGCATTCTGAGTCCTAGAGAGGTTAAAATAACTTATCCAAGGCCATATCACCAAGAATTATTGGAGTAGCTTTTAACCAACTTCTGTCATATTCCTAAATTTATACTCTTTCTCTTATACTACTTTGTTTCAGTGAACAAATGGACCTAGGATGGCCTGAGACTGATCCCACAGGCTGTTAAGAGAATCTGGAGACTGATGGGGCATGATGAGTGAGGAGTGATATTTTAAAAAGTAGGAATGGAAGGCAGCCATAATTCTCTCTTCATATTCCTAGTGGTCCAATTTGGCCCTGTACATCCTGGTTTCCTGTATTTCAGAGCACAGTTGGGGATGTCAAGTCCCCTGTAGTGGGTTGAGTTATATTCCCCCAGAATACATGTCCCTGCCCTAACTCCTGTAACCTGTGAATGTTACCATGTTTGGAAAAGGGGTCTTTGTAGATGTAATTAAGAACTTTGAGATAAGATTATATTGGATTATCTGATAGGCTCTAAATTCAAAAACAGCAGTTTCTTTATAAAAGGAAGGCATAGGAATACTTAAGACAGAAGAGGAGAAGACACATAAGAAGAGGAAGTGATGCGAAGACAGGTAGAGACTGAAGTGCTACAGCCACAAGCCAAGGAACACCAATGCCTGGGGCCACTATAAGCTACAAGAAGCTTGAAACGAATTCTCCTCTAGACCTTCTAGAGAGAGTGCCCTGGTGAAAACTTGATTTTAAATTTCTTGCCTCCAGAAACTCAAGAGAATAAAACTCTATTAATTTAAGCCACCAGATTTGTGGTAATTTGTTACGGCAACCACAGGAAACTACTACGTGCTCTGAGCATGGTTTAAGGTACCTTCATTTCTAGATACACAAGAGGATAGTTCCATTTACCTCTAGGGCTGAGTACTTTAATTCTTACAAATCCCCAGCTACAGATTCCAGGATGGTCAGCATTCAGGGTGCAGGCCAAACTTCTTGGACTGCAAGGCATAGGGAATCAATGGGTGGCAGTCAGGACCTAGTAAATGCCCTGTGATTGGAAACATCTCCTGGTCTAATATGTGTGTCAGTAAATTCTTGATAATTCTGAATGTAAAAATTCTAACAGAGGAGGAATTAATACCGTACAACATGTATTAACCTATACGTGTGAGGGCTTCAGCTAGGCTTCAATTAGGTCAATTTGCCCTGCCTTTAAACTTCATCTGAAGATTCATGATGTAGTGAAGTCCACATGGGCTTTGGCCTAAAAACCTGGGTTAGAATTCTGGTCCTGTCCAAGGTCACAGTTATTTTGAGCTAACATGACTAGAAGCTTCTCAGTTTCCTTGTATGTAAAATTGGGATAGTGACAATAACTAACTCATTGAGATGCTGTCAGGATTAAATTCAATATTGCAATTTTACATGCAATATCATTGACACAAAATAAGTGCTCACTAAATGGTAGTTGCTGCTCCATTCAGTAATGAGACCTCAGGCTGCAGCTCTAACATTGCCATCCTCTCCTCCAGGTGGTTTGGGAGCAAGGGGCAGGGACTGTACTCCCATGCCCAATGCTCTAATTTAAGTGGAAGATGGCTCAGAACAACAGCCTCCCCTCCATCCTGGAACAAATTCTCAAAGTGGGGGAAATGGTGAAATCCAGTATATTTTATAACTCTGAAAATAGGTGATGGCTTCTCACCTTATCTGGTAATTGTTTCTCAGATCTTACGATAAAATTGTTTGGGTGAGTAATGCGATTGTCCCCAGCCAGTATTTTTTGCAACTCAGGATAAAATGTAGTCACATTTATGAAATGAATGATTCATAAGGATTAAATTTTTTTAATGAAGTCAGCAAAACTATACAAGTTGCCATCACAGCTAATAGGCTATACTCTAGAATGTCATGATGTTCAGTGAAGGCATGCACTTGAGTAGCTATGAAGATTGGATGATCCTAGTGACATGAGTACTTTCTATGAAGTCACACTTCATTTACATTGTGACATTTACATTGCGACATCATATGATTCAGCTCATCTGTTTCACTCAGTTAACAGGCCTTACCTCCAGTCTGATCTCTCATGTCCTTTTAGAGGTATTACAAGGAAGATCTGCCAACCTAATGGGTGGTCTTTTTAAAATTCTGACAAGTGAGAAAATACCTGTAACTTCTTATTTAGTCGCGGAGAACATCAAAGGTAAGGAAACTGACCTATCGTCCCAAAGGTAATAATTTGTTTTGAACTATTCTCTAGGGAAAGGAGAGGTCAGGATGCAGTGAGCAAAATTCGGTGTGCTTTTAACAGTCTCTATCACTGTTACCAAGTCACAGGTTAACTCCCTCTTCAGAATGTCAGTCATTTAAGAGAGAAAAAAACAGAATCATAAATAACTCTAGCCAGAAATAGTACAATGCCTGTGTTTGTCCTTAACTGAAGAGGTATTTTGACATTTTGTGCTGTGCCTGACATCTTATAGTTTCTCCATGAAAGTATGCAAGAAGTTAAACTCAGACAATCCAAGTGAGGTTTTATTCATTCTGTTGGGAGTTCTCTTTATAACTACGAACTCAGAGTATAGGAGGGGTCAAGTTATTCGCTCAAGAAGCTAAACTGTAGGTGGAATGGAGCCAAATTAATTAACTCCTACATAGGTTTAAGTTATTCATAAACCTGAGAAATAAGCACAGCCTGGATTCCCAAGTGCCTCTAGCTAACACTCTTAACTCTTTATTGACCAGCTAAAAATATCCTGAGTCTAGCTTCTATAGAGGAGAAATTTTAGTTTAACCAGGTCAGTTCTACTAGCCTTACTCATTCTTCACACTATATAATTTGGCAAAAAGTCCTACAATAAACACAATGACACAAAACAGTGCTAAAATACACAATTATTTTAGGATACTTTGTACTATAAGTTATTCCTGTAAGTGACAGAGTTACTCTGAATCATCAAGATCAATCCAAATTGAATGGCTGTCATGGTTGATTGGCAGATAACACATAGATAGCAGGTCTGGGACAGGTGAGTTCAGGAACACACAGCCTATGTTGGAAAGACAATGGTGTTGAAAATGGTTCTTTTCATAGACCACATGGCCAACATAGATGTTTCATTCCAGTCAAGTTCATGCTAAAAGAAATGTAGGACTGGACTGGCCCATAAGTAATAAATATAATTACATAAATATAATTTATTGTCCAAATCAGGATACTTTTGAAGATATAATGAAGAACTATGAAAAATTATACTAAGACCCAGCTATAAAGCAGGGAGCAGGCACTGCTAATATTATACCTCAGTGGCAACAGAGAGCTAATACCTTGCATGATGCCTGGCTTACAGTAAAGTCCAACAAAAGTTTATTAAAGGAATAAATTAAAGTTGAATCACTTTACTTCTCCAGTGTCCTTCAAGCACTGATCACTGAGGTTGGTGAAGTGAACCATTATTAAAGACTTGGTGGTGGCAGTATTGATGTTATAATAAAGGGAGAGAATGATGTTCTAACCATCAAATCCAATGACTTTGTTTCAGATGACACATTCTTCTTGAATTTTTTTTAGTAAGTTTTGTGTCTTTCTTTTTTTTTTAATTTTACTTTAAGTTCTGGGATACATGTGCTGAACATGCAGGTTTGTTACATGGGTATACATGTGCCATGGTGGTTTGCTGCACCTATCAATCCGTCATCTAGGTTTTAAGCCCCACATGCATTAGGTATTTGTCCCAAGGCTCTCCCTCCCCTTGTCCCCCACCCGCCGATAGGCCCGGTGTGTGATCTTCCCCTCCATGTGTCCATGTGTTCTTATTGTTCAACTCCCACTTATGAGTGAGAACATGAGGTATTTGGTTTTCCATTCCTGTGTTAGTTTGCTGAGAATGATGGTTTCCAGCTTCATCCATGTCCCTGCAAAGCACATGAACTCATTCTTTTTTTATGGCTTCATAGTATTCCATAGTGTGTATGTGCCACATTTTCTTTATCCAGTCTATCATTGATGGGCATTTGGGTTGGTTCCAAGTCTTTGCTATTGTAAATAGTTCCGTGATAAACATACGTGTGCATGTGTCTTTATAGTAGAATGATTTGTAATCCTTTGGGTATATACCCAGTAATGGGATTTCTGGGTCAAATGGTATTTCTGGTTCTAGATCCTTGAGGAGTGGCCACACTGTCTTCCACAATGGCTGAACTAATTTACACTCCCACCAACAGTGTATTTCTCTGCATCCTCGCCAGGATCTGTTGTTTCCTGACTTTTTAATGATCGTCATTCTAACTAGCATGAGATGGTATCTCATTGTGGTTTTGGTTTGCATTTCTCTAATGACCAGTGATGATGAGTTTTTTTCATATGTTTGTTGGCCGCATAAATGTCTTCTTTTGAGAATTGTCTGTTCATTTACGTTGCCCCCTTTATGATGGGGTTGTTTTTTTCTTGTAAATTTGTTTAAGTTCCTTGTAGATTCTGGATATTAGACCTTTGCCAGATGGATAGATTTCAAAAATGTTCTCCCATTCTGTAGGTTGCCTGTTCACTCTGATGATAGTTTATTTTGCTGTGCAGAAGCTATTAAGTTGAATTAGGTCCCATCTGTCAATTTTGGCTTTTGTTGCAATTGCTTTTGATGTTTTAGTCATGAAGTCTTTGCCCATGCCTGTGTCCTGAATGGTATTGCCTAGGTTTTCTGCTAGGGTTTTTATGGTATTACGTTTTATGTTTATGTCTTTAATCCATCTTGAGCCAATTTTTGTATAAGGTGTAAGAAAGGAATCCACTTTCTGTTTTCTGGATACGGCTAGCCAGTTTTCCCAACGCCATTTATTAAATAGGGAATCCTTTCCCTATTGCTTTTTTTTGGGTAAAGTTTACTGAAGACCAGATGATTGTAGATGTGTGCTGTTATTTCTCAAGCCTCTGTTCTGTTCCATTGGACTATATATCTATTTTGGTATCAGTACCATGCTGATTTGGTTACTGTAGCCTTGTAGTATAGTTTGAAGTCATGTAGCATCATGGCTCCAGCTTTGTTCTTTCTGCTTAGGATTGTCTTGACTATACGGGTTCTTTTTTGGTTCCATATGAAACTAAAGGTAGTTTTTTTTTTCTACTTCTGTGAAGAAAGTCAATGGTAGCTTAATGGAATAGCACTGAATCTATAAATTACTTTGGCCAGTGTGGCCATTTTCACGATATTGACTCTTCCTATCCATGAGCATGGATTTTTTTTTCCATTTGTTTCTGTCCTCTCTTATTTCCTTGAGCAGTGGTTTGTTATTCTCTTTGAAGAGGTCCTTCATGTACCTTGTAAGTTTTATTCCTAGGTATTTTATTCTCTTTGTAACAATTGTGAATGGGAGTTCATTCATGATTTGGCTCTCTACTTGTCTATTATTGGTGTATAGGAATGCTTGTGATTTTTGCACATTGATTTTGTAACCTGAGACTTTGCTGAAGTTGTTTATCAGCTTAAGGAGTTCTTGGGCTGAGATGATGAGGTTTTCTAAAGATACAATCACGTCGTCTGCAAATAGAGACAATTTGACTTCCTGTGTTCCAATTTGAGTACACTTTATTTCTTTTTCTTGCCTGATTGCCCTGAACAGAACTTCCAATACTATGTTGAATAGGAGTGGTGGGAGAGGGCATCCTTTTGTTGTTCCAGTTTTCAAAGGAATGCTTCCAGCCTTTGTCCATTTAGTATGATATTGGCTAGGGGTTTGTCATAAATAGCCCTTATTATTTTGAGATATGTTCCATAAATACCCAGTTTTTTTAGAGTTTTAGCATGAAGGGGTGCTGTATTTTATCAAAGGCCTTTTCTGCATCTATTGAGATAAACCATGAGGTTTTTGTCATTGGATCTGTTTATGTGATGGATTACATTGATTGATTTGCATATGTTGAACCTGCCTCGCATCCCAGGGATGAAGTTGACTTCATCGTGGTGGATAAGCTTTTTGATGTGTTGCTGGATTCGGTTTACCAGTATTTGATTGAGGAATTTCACATCGATGTTCATCAGGGATATTGGCCTGATTTTTTTTTCTTTTTCTGTTGTGTCTCTGCCAGGTTTTGGTATCAGGAGGATGCTGGCCTCATAAAATGAGTTCGGGAGGAGTCCCTCTTTTTTTATTGATTGGAATAGTTTCAGAAGGAATGGTACCAGCTCCTCTTTGTACCTCTGGTAAAATTCGTCTCTGAATCTGTCTTAACCTTTGCTTTTTTTGGTTGCTAGGCTAATAATTACTTCCTCAATTTCAGAACTTGTTATTGGTCTATTCAGGGATTCGACTTCTCCCTGGTTTAGTCTTGGGAGGGTGTATGTGTCCAGTAATTTATCCATTTCTTCTAGATTTTCTAGTTTATTTGTGTAGAGTTGTTTATAGTATTCTCTGATGGCAGTTTGTATTTCTGTGGGGTCAGTTGTGATATCCTCTTTATAATTTTTTTGTGTTTATTTGATTCTTCTCTCTGTTCTTTATTAGTCTGGCTAGCGGTCCATCTATTTTGTTATTCTTTTCAAAAAACCACCTCCTGGATTCATTGATTTTTGAAGGGTTTTTTGTGTCTCTATCTCCTTCAGTTCTGCTCTGATCTTAGTTATTTCTTGTCTTCTGCTAGCTTTTAAATTTGTTTGCTCTTGCTTCTCTAGTTCTTTTAATTGTGATCTTAGGGTGTCGATTTTAGATCTTTCCCACTTTCTGATGTGGGCATTTGGTGCTATAAATTTCCCTCTTAACACTGCTTTAGCTGTGTCCCAGAGATTCTGGAAGATTGTCTCTTTGTTCTCTTTGGTTTCAAAGAAGTTATTCATTTCTGCCTTCATTTCGTTATTTACCCAGTAGTCATTCAGGAGCAGGTTGTTCAGTTTCCATGTAGTTGTGCAGTTTTGAGTGAGTTTCTTAATCCTGAGTTCTAATTTGATTGCACTGTGGTCTGAGAGACTGTTTGTTATGATTTCCATTCTTTTGCATTTGCTGAACCGTGTTTTATTTCCAATTATGTGGTCAATTTTAGAGTAAGTGTTATGTGGTGCTGAGAAGAATGTATATTTTGTTGATCTGGGGTGGAGAGTTCTGTTGATGTCTATTAGGTCAGCTTGGTCCAGAGCTGAGTTCAAGTCCTGAATATCCTTTTTAATGTTCTGTCTCATTGATCTGTCTAATATTGACAATGGGGTGCTAAAGTCTCCCACTAATATTGTGTGGGAGTCTAAGTCTCTGTAGGTCTCTAAGAACTTGTTTTATGAAAGTGGGTGTGTATATATGCATATATATGCACCTATATTGGGTGCATATATATTTAGGATAGTTAGCTCTTCTTGTTGCATTGATCCCTTTACCATTATGTAATGGCCTTCTTTGTCTTTTTTTATCTTTGTTGGTTTAAATTTGTTTTATCAGAGACTAGGATTGCAACCCCTGCTTTTATTTGCTTTCCATTTGCTTGGTAATTATTCCTCCATCCCTTTATTTTGAGCCTGTTTCTTTGTACATGAGATGGGTCTCCTGAATACAGCACACTGATGGGTATTGACTCTTTATCCAATTTGCGAGTCTGTGTCTGTTAATTGGGGCATTTAGCCCATTTACATTTAAGATTAATATTGTTATGTGTGAATTTGATCCTGTCATCATGATGCTTGCTGGTTATTTTGCACATTAGTTGATGCAGTTTCTTCATATTGTCATTGATCTTTATATTTTGATATGTTTTTGCAGTGGCTGGTACCAGTTTTTCCTTTCCATATTTAGTGCTTCCTTCAGGAGCTCCTGTAAGGCAAGCCTGGCGGTGACAAAATCCCTCAGCATTTGCTTGTCTGTAAAGGATTTTATTTCTGCTTCGCTTATGAAGCCTAGATTGGGTGGATATGAAAGTCTGGGTTGAAAAGTCTTTTCTTTAACAATGTTGAATATTGGACCCCACTCTCTTCTGGCTTGTAGGGTTTCTGCACAGAGATCCGCTGTTAGTCTGATGGGCTCCTCTTTGTAAGTAACCTGACCTTTCTCTCTGGCTGCCCTTAACATGTTTTCCTTTGCTTTGACCTTGGAGAAACGGACGATTATGTGTCTTGGGGTTGCTCTTCTCGAGGAGTATCTTTGTGGTGTTCTCTGTATTTCCTGAATTTGAATGATGGCCTGTCTTGCTATGTTGGGGAAGTTCTCCTGGATAATATCCTGAAGTGTGTTTTCCAACTTGATTCCATTCTCCCCGTCACTTTCAGGTACACCAATCAATCGTACGTTTGGTCTTTTCACTTTTTCACTTAGTCCCATATTGCTTGGAGGCTTTGTTTGCTCCTTTTCATTCTTTTTTGTCTAATCTTATCCTCATGCTTTATTTCAGTAAGCTGATCTTCAAACTCTGATATCCTTTCTTCCACTTGATCAATTCAGCAACTGATACTTGTGTATGCATCACAAAGTTCTTGCTCTGTTTTTCAGCTCCATCAGGTCATTTTTGTTCTTCTCTAAACTGGCTATTCTAGTTAGCAGTTCCTGTAACCTTTTATCAAGGTTCTTAGCTTCCTTGCATTGGCAGAACATGCTCCCTTAGCTCAGAGGAGTTTGTTATTACCCATCTTCTGAAGCCTACTTTTGTCAATTTCTCAAACTCATTCTCTGTCCAATTTTGTGCCCTTGCTGAAGAGGAGTTACAATCATTTGGAGGAGAAGAGGCATTCTGGTTTTTGAAATTTTCAGCATTTTTGTGCTGGTTTTTCCTCATCTTTGTGGATTTATCTACCTTTGATCTTTGATGTTGATGACCTTCGAATGGGACTTTTTGTGTGGGCGTCCTTTTTGTTGATGTTGATGTTATTGCTTTTGTTTGTTAGTTTTTCTTCTTACAGTTAGGCCCCTCTTCTGCAGGTCTGCTGGAGTTTCGGGGAAGTCCATGCCAGGTCCTGTTTGCCTGGGTATCACCAGTGGAGGCTGCAGAACAGCAAAGATTGCTGCCTGCTCCTTCCTCTGGAAGTTTCACCCCAGAGGGGCACCCGCCTGATGCTAGCCACTGTTCTCTCGTATGTGGTGTCTGTTGACCCCTGCTGGGAGGTGTCTCCCAGTCAGGAGGCACGGGGTTCAGGGACCCACTTGAGGAGGCAGTCTGTCTCTTAGCAGAGCTCGAGCACTGTACTGGGAGATCTACTGCTCTCTTAGAGCTGGCAGGCAGGAACGTTTAAGTTTGCTGAACCTGCACCCAAAGCCGCCCCTTCCCCCAGGTGCTCTTTCCCAGGGAGATGGTAGTTTTATCTATAAGCCCCTGACTGGGGCTACTGCCTTTCTTTCAGAGATGCCCTGCCTAGTGAGGAGGAATCTAGAGAGGCAGTCTGTCCACAGCTGCTTTGCTGCACTGTGGTGCGTTCCACCCAGTCCGAACTTCCCAGCCTTCTTAGCACTGTCAGGGGAAAACCACCTACTCAAGCCTCAGTAATGGTGGATGCCCCTCCCCCTACCAAGCTTCATTGTCTCAGGTGGACTTCAGACTGCTGCGCTGGCAGCAGGAATTTCAAGCCAGTGGTTCTTAGCTTGCTGGGCTCCATGGGAGTGGCACCCACTGAGTGAGACCACTTGGCTCTCTGGCTTCAGCCCCCTTTCCAGGGGAGTAAACAGTTCTCTCTTTTCTCTCTTGCTGGGTTTCCAGGTATCACTGGGGTATGAAAACAAAAACAAAAACAAAAACAAACTACTGCAGCTAGCTCAGTGTCTGGCCAAACAGCCACCCAGATTTGTGCTTGAAACCCACGGCCCTGGTGGTGTAAGCACACGAGGGAATCTCCTGGCCTGTGGATTGCAAAAACCATGGGAAAAGCATAGTATGTCAGCCGGGTAGCACAGTCCCTCACGGCTTCCCTTGGCTGGGGGAGGTAGGGTCCCAGCTCCTTGTACTTCCCAGGTGAGGCAACTCCCCATCCTGCTTCTGCTCACCCTTGCTGGGCTGTACCCTCTACCTAACCAGTCCCAATGAGATGAACTGGGGACCTCAGTTGGAAATGCAGAAATCACCCATCTTCTGCATTGGTCTCACTGGGAGCTGCAGACTGGAGCTGTTCCTATTTGGCCAACTTGCCAGATGTCCTAAAAGGAACACTTCCTTGAATTTTTTTAAGTATCTGATATTATTGGCCAACTCCTCTTGTATCTTGGCTTCTATGACATTGTGCTGTCCTAGTTTTCTTCTTACCTTTCTGACCACTGTTCCCTGCCTCCTTTTCCTAGTTGCTCTTTGTCTTTTCCTTTCTCTGCACTAAAAGCAAGTATTCACAGGGATTCTATCCCTGACTCCCTTTCCTCTCTATCTACATGCTCTTCCTTGTTGGTCTCACATACTTTTATGTATTACTCACTCCATTCTCCTCAAATTTTCGCCCCCTCCAAAGCATCAATTGCAGAATGCCATGTTTTTTCAGCACCTCAGACTCTTAATATTTGAAACATGGCTAAACAACTTCCACTAACTCTTCCTTCTTATTTCTTTCTAGGAAAAGCACCTCTGTTTATTAAGGAACCAAGACTTGAAACCTCAGACTCATTGTTTTTTCTTCACTCTCTCTGAGCCACACATCCACGCCAACACCAAGTTCTCCTGGAACTTTTTACCCAATTATTCCTGCATTTCTCCAACTCTAATGGCAACTACTTTGGTTCAGGCTCACCACCTCTTTCTTATTATAGTGTATCTATCTCTTAATTAGCCTTTCTGCCACCATTTCTAGTCTACCAATTCAAATCACTAGGATTTGAAGTTCTCTCTATTTGGATGTGAAGGTATGACCTATCTTGGCTACATAATTGCTACTGCTGAAAGCACGTGAGGATGATTCAGAGGTGATCCAACCATTAGATAAAGAATTTGAGTAGAAATCTGTAAGATCCCTTCCATTAGCTAACAGGGCAGGTAAGAGGTACAGCTCTAGAAATTAGATCAAGATGAGCATCTAGACTGCTTGGAGTGGGCATCATCTCATGTTTATTGAAGTCCATTCCATGGTATTCATTTCTGCTTAGGCTAGTCTCTCTCACAATTTATTTTCCTGGGTGAGGGTCTTGGCAGTTCAGACTAAACCTTTAGGATTTCCATCCTCACAGCCTACTGGGTGAAGCCCAAAGGAGCATTACCCGCAGAATCTATATTAGAGGCCAAGCTTATGCATGACATCTGAGCCCCAGAGTGTGATGTTTTAGCTAAGAGTGTATGAAACTGGTAAGATACTACCTCAGTTATCTGACGATGTCATTGTAGGGAATCTCTTGGCTACTACAGCTATCCATTTCTATGTCCTTCATGACTAGCTGATAATGTTTTGGCCCAGAGTTCTGATGAGGCCTTCCTCTGTTCCACACAATTCCACAGCATTTCAGAAAAATAGCAACAGCACAGTTTTCACAAAAAGCACAACTTTGTGGTGACATTTCTTCCTGTGAAGCAGAGTTGGTCTTTTGATTTGATGCCAAATGCAGTGGCAGCATAGCGTGTGGCTTGAAAGTAAGAAGCAAATGAAAAAAAAATAAATTCATACTCTAACCAATAATGCTCACTTTGGTGCAGTCTGTGCCATCATTTCTGAAAGGAGTCAGCTCTCCAGGTGACCCCTCCAAAGTGAGGAATGCATTACCACATTTAGACTTAATATGCTTTAAAAACCTGACACACTTTGCTCCCACAGAATTTACATTTTCTTTTTCATTCACTTAAAATATCCTTAGCTCCCTAACAAGGAAAAGGCACTGAAGTTAAACAGCAAGCACTCTGCTTCTGATTTATCCTCTCAAACCCGTTTTCCTGACCTTATCAGAACCATTCACTTTATTCTCATGGACAGCTAAATTCTTCAAATGTGGCATTATATTTTCTCAGAAAATGCTCTCTATCTCATTGTCACAGCTCTTCCTGCCACCATCATTATCTGTCATATGTCACCTTCACCTGAACTGTGCAATTCACTGTGCACCAGTTTCCCAGGGTATGTGGCCACAATCATTATTTGGAGCCATTAATTGTTCAATGAATGCACTTTTAACCATAATTCTTCAGCATGAATTATTCCAATATTATGTATGTTTCTGTGGGATGTGTACACATTCACACAAACACACATACACTTGAAACCACATATAATATTGAGATCTTCCTGGTTTATAAATGGGGAATCATTAACATGATAGGTCACTATGCAATTTGACTTAGGTTATATTTGTGTAAGTACACACGTCCTATTTTTAGAAGGCCGCCTTGCGATTCAAGTCTGTGCTGTATAAGTATATTAAAAAACAGTTCACATTCAATCTTTCTTTGTACTATGTTGTGGTAAACTTGGAAACATATGATTATTTGATTTTTCAGACTGTCTTTTCCACTAAACTATACATTAAAACAATTTTAATATTAGAAACAGATTCTTTACAGTCTTATAACTTCATTTCAGAATGTGGGGTCTAAAAGATCCCATCTTATTTTAAATAAATATTGAAATATCAGATTGATCATAGGGTGAAGATGGATAATAGCAGTTAATACTAAATGGTATCATGATTCATTCAGGATAAAACTATCTTATAAAAATTATTTCTTGACACGAATCAAATTGAAAAGGCAGATGCTTTAAGCAGGTGAAATATTAATTGACCTGGGTTTATCCATGTTTTGTAAACACAAATTTGGAGATGTATAACTTCCTACACATTCAACTTTATATAAATACCCTCAGATACGGATAACAAAAATCATCTATATATGGTAACTTGGGGAAAATAAATATACAAGGTAATATCAGATGCTAAGATTGATGTCTGAGGAAATCTCATCATTTCCTTCCCTTAAACCCATTTAAAATACTTTGCCATATGTTCAGACAGTTGGCAGATTAACCTTGAAATTAACTGAATTGAGAAAATTGTGATAAACATAAGCACACCCATACTTTTAGGAAGGAATCTAACTACAAAAATGGCTGATGCTTTCATTAAATTGCCTGCATGGATTGTATTTTTTTTAAATGCAACATTTGATTGGACCTGTGCTCCAGCAATCTGAAGTCAAGGGTGAGAGTGGGGGAATATTTTAGGCTCTACAATCTAATCAATCATCTGCTAAGTAGTTGGAATGAGAAACAAAAATTGCATAATTCAAAAAAGCATAAAGGCCAGTTAAATTCTGTAAATTTTAGGATATAACCAATTCAAAAACATTTATTTTCTTCAAAAAATTTTATTTTATTGTAGTAAGAACACAACATGAAATCTGCCCTCTTAACAAATTTTTACACATACAATATATTATTGTTGACTATGGGTACAAGGTTGTACAGCAGATCTTTAGATCTTATTCATCTTGCTTAAATGAAACTTTATGCCCCTTGATTAACTCCCCCTTTTTTCACTCCCACTTTTAATCCTAAAGAGAAAGGGGAATGCTGGGTCACTACTCAAAACCTGGTATGGCTTATTATTTGATTAAAAAAGTCTACAACCCTTGCATCTAGTTCGTCTTTGTGACCCTAGGATGAAGCATGGCACTTGACTCAGTATGGGTGTTTAATAAATGGCTGTTAATGAATAACTAGGTTAATGAAAATAAGATCCTTATATAATAACATAGTTTTCCAAAATATTCTCTTAATCATTTAGTTCAGTGGCATCTTACTCTAGTCATTTTTGTTGTTAACTTTGAAGGTTTATTCTCCTTTTAAAATTCATATTTTTTCTGCTATATAACTTACCTAATCATAAAAATAAACTTTCTTATGTTTCAGAAGCAGCCAACAATTCTGAAAAAAAATCTCCCAACTTATTGAAAGACTTTAGTCATATTAGGAGCGTGAATCTCAGTCAGTGGAGCCAGCAAAATCTGCCCCATCCTCACTGCGTGCCAGGTGGCCCATCCACCACTGTAACCATGGACACTATCAATAAGAAAATTCAGACGCTAAAGGTGGAGAAGGATAATGCCACCAACCCCGTCGAGGAAGTCAAAGCCAATGAGAAGCAAACTGAAGACTGCTACAAACAGCTGGGTGAGGAGCAGCAGGGCCTCCAGAAGAATCTGAAGGGGACAGGAGATGACACAGAAGAGTATTTAAATTCATGAATGATATCTTGGAGAAACTGGAACAGGAAGATAAGGATACTGTTGCTGAGGCAAATGTGGTCTCTATAAAACGCCTCATTGAGCAGATAGAAGAGGAGCTTGACTGGCACAGGTGCATCTGGCTGTAGCCCTGCAAAAGCTGGAAGATACTCAGTAGGTAGCCAATGAGAGGGACAGAAGGATGAAGTTCATCAAATACCAGCCCATGAAGTATGAGGAGAAGATCTGGGGAGGAAAACTAGATCACTCAGGAGAGATAGCTCAGGTGACCAAGATCTGAGCCAGACAGCTGGAGGAGAAACTTCAAGCCATGGACTAGGCCATCAAGGCACTGAGGGCCTTAGAGAGGGAATATTCCATGAAAATGTGTAAATACGCAGAGGATATCAAATTGGTGGAGAAAAAGCTGAAGGGGGTTGAGACTCAAGCAGAATTTACAAAAAGGTCTACAGCAAAATTGGAGAAGGCCACCAATAAGCTAGAGAAGACCACGAATAGTCCCAAGGAAAAGAATGTGGAGACTCACCAGACCTTGAACCAGACCCTACTCTAACTATGTAATCTGTTGAGGGCCGGCCCTGCCTTCAGCCAGGCTTTATAGTCGATGCCCCAGTGATATAAAACTGATGTTACTAGCAAAAAAAAAATGAATGATTATTTTCTATTATTTTTACGTTTTACAACAGCAAATTTCAGTTTATGTAACTGAAACACTATGTGAAACTCAAGACAAAACAATTAAAAGCAGAGCTTGGATGTATGGGGAGGTAGGAAGCTAAGCTTCATAAGTGAAGGAGAAATAAAATCCTTTACAGACAAACAAATGCTAAGAGATTTTGTCACCACCAGGCCTGCCCTACAAGAGCTCCTGAAGGAAGCACTAAACATGGAAAGGAACAACTGGTACCAGCCACTGCAAAAACATGCCAAATTGTAAAGACTATCGATGCTAGGAAGAAACTGCATCAACTAACAAGCAAAATAATCAGCTAACATCATAATGACAGGATTAAATTCACACATAACAATATTAACATTAACTGTAAATGGGCTAAATGCTCCAATTAAAAGACACAGACTGGAAAACTGGATAAAGAGTCAAGACCCATCAGTGTGCTGTATTCAGGAGACCCATCTCATGTGCAGAGACACACATAGGCTCAAAATAAAAGGATGGAGGAAGATCTACCAATGAAATAGAAAACAAAAAAAAGCAGGGGTTGCAATCCTAGTCTCTGATAAAACAGACTTTAAACCAACAAAGATCAAAAGAGACAAAGGCCATTACATAATGGTAAAGGAATCAATTCAACAAGAAGAGCTAACTATCCTAAATATATATGCACCCAATACAGGAGCACCCAGATTCATAAAGCAAGTCCTTAGAGACCTACAAAGAGACTTAGACTCCCACACAATGACAAAGGGAGACTTTAACACCCCACTGTCAACATTAGACAGATCAACGAGACAGAAAGTTAACAAGGATATCCAGGAATTGAACTCAGCTCTGCACCAAGCGGACCTAATAGACATCTACGGAACTCTCCACCCCAAATCAACAGAATATACATTCTTCTCCGCACCACATCGCACTTATTCTAAAATTGACCACATAGTTGGAAGTAAAGCACTCCTCAGCAAATGTAAAAGAACAGAAATTATAACAAACTGTCTCTCAGACCACAGTGCAATCAAACTAGAATTCAGGATTAAGAAACTCACTCAAAACCGCTCAACTGCAAGGAAAGTGAACAACCTGCTCCTGAATGACTACTGGGTACATAATAAAATGAAGGCAGAAATAAAGATGTTCTTTGAAACAAATGAGAACAAAGACACAACATACCAGAATCTCTGGGACACATTTAAAGCAGTGTGCAGAGGGAAATTTAGAGCACTAAATGCCCGCATAAGAAAGGAGGAAAGATCTAAAATTGACACCCTAACATCACAATGGAAAGAACTAGAGAAGCAAGAGCAAACATATTCGAAAGCTAGCAGAAGGCAAGAAATTACTAAGATCAGAGCAGAACTGAAGGAGATAGAGACACAAAAAACCCTTAAAAAAATCAATGAATCCAGGAGCTGGGTTTTGACAAGATCAACAAAATCACTAACAAGATCACTAGCAAGACTAATAAAGAAGAAAAGAGAGAAGAATCAAATAGATGCAATAAAAAATGATAAAGGGGATATCACCACCAATGCCACAGAAATACAAACTACCATCAGAGAATGCTATAAACACCTCTATGCAAATAAACTAGAAAATCCAGAAGAAATGGATAAATTCCTGGACACATACACCATCCCAAGACTAAACCAGGAAGAAGTTGAATCCCTGAATAGAACAATAACAGTCTCTGAAATTGAGGCAATAATTAATAGCCTACCAAACAAAAAAAGTCCAGGACCTGATGGATTCACAGCCGAATTCTACCAGAGTTACAAGGAGGAGCTGGTACCATTCCTTCTGACACTATTCCAATCAATAGAAAAAGAGGGAATCCTCCCTAACTCATTTTATGAGGCCAGCATCATCCTGATACCAAAATCTGGCAGAGACACAACAAAAAAAGAGAATTTTAGACCAATATCCCTGATGAACATTGATGCAAAAATCTTCAATAAAATACTGGCAAACCGAATCCAGCAGTATATCAAAAAGCTTATCCATCACGATCAAGTTGGCTTCATCCCTGGGATGCAAGCCTGGTTCAACATATGCAAATCAATAAATGTAATCCATCACATAAACAGAACCAAAGACAAAAACCACATGATTATCTCAATAGATGCAGAAAAGGCCTTCGACAAAATTCTACAGCCCTTCATGCTAAAAACTCTCAATAAATTAGGTATTGATAGAACATATCTCAAAATAATAAGAGCTACTTATGACAAACCCACAGCCAATATCATACTGAATGGGCAAAACCTGGAAGCATTCCCTTTGAAAACTGGCACAAGGCAGGGAGGCCTTCTCTCACCACTCCTATTCAACATAGTGTTTGAAGTTCTGGCCAGGGCAATCAAGCATGAGAAAGAAATAAAGGGTGTTCAATTAAGAAAAGAGGAAGTCAAATTGTCCCCGTTTGCAGATGACATGATTGTGTATTTAGAAAACCCCATCTCAGCCCAAAATCTCCTTAAGCTGATAAGCAACTTCAGGAAAGTCTCAGGATACAAAATCAAAGTGCAAAAATCACAAGTATTCTTATACACCAATAACAGACAAACAGAGAGCCAAATCATGAGTGAACTCCCATTCACAACTGCTTCAAAGAGAATAAAATACCTAGGAATCCAACTTACAAGGGATGTGAAGGACCTCTTCAAGGAGAACTACAAACCCCTGCTCAACGAAATAAAAGAGGACACAAACAAACGGAAGAACATCCCATGCTCATGGATAGGAAGAATCAATATTGTGAAAATGGCCATACTGCCCAAGGTAACTTATAGATTCAATGCCATCCCCATCAAGCTACCAATGACTTTCTTCACAGAATTAGAAAAAACTACTTTAAAGTTCATATGGAGACAAAAAAGAGCCTGCATTGCCAAGACAATCCTAAGCCAAAAGAACAAAGCTGGAGGCATCATGCTACCTGACTTCAAACTATACTACAAGGCTACAATAACCAAAACAGCATGGTACTGGTGCCAAAACAGAGATATAGACCAATGGAACAAAACAGAGCCCTCAGAAATAATACCACACATCTATAAGCATCTGATCTTTGACAAACCTGAGAAAAACAAGCAATGGGGAAAGGATTCCCTATTTAATAAATGGTGCTGGGAAAACTGGCTAGCCATATGTAGAAAGCTGAAACTGGATCCCTTCCTTACACCTTATACAAAAATTAATTCAAGATGGATTAAAGACTTAAATGTTAGACCTAAAACCATAAAAACCCTAGAAGAAAACCTAGGCAATACCATTCAGGACATAGGGATGCGCAAAGACTTCATGACTAAAACACCAAAAGTAATGGCAACAAAAGACAAAATTGACAAATGGGATCTAATGAAACTAAAGAACTTCTGCACAGCTAAAGAAACTACCATCAGAGTGAACTGGCAACCTACAGAATGGGACAAAATGTTTACAATCTACCCATCTGACAAAGGGCTAATATCCAGAATCTACAAAGAACTTAAACAAGTTTACAGGAAAAAATCAAACAACCCCATCAACAAGTGGATGAAGGATATGAACAGACACTGCTCAGAAGAAGACACTTATGCAGCCAACAGACACATGAAAAAATGCTCATCATCACTGGCCATCAGAGAAATGCAAATCAAAACCACAATGAGATACCATCTCACACCAGTTAGAATGGCAATCATTAAAAAGTCAGGAAACAACAGGTGCTGGAGAGGATGTGGAGAAATAGGAACAGTTTTACACTGTTGGTGGGACTGTAAACTAGTTCAACCATTGTGGAAGACAGTGTGGCGATTCCTTAAGGATCTAGAACTAGAAATACCATTTGACGCAGCCATCCCATTACTGGGTATATACTCAAAGGATTATAAATCATGCTGCTATAAAGACACATGCACACATATGTTTATTACAGCACTATTCACAATAGCAAAGACTTGGAACCAACCCAAATGTCCATCAATGATAGACTGGATTAAGAAAATGTGGCACATATACACCATGGAATACTATGCAGCCATAAAAAAGGATGAGTTCATGTCCTTTGTAGGGACATGGATGAAGCTGGAAACCATCATTCTCAGCAAACTATCCCAAGGACAAAAAACCAAACACCACATGTTCTCACTTGTAGGTGGGAACTGAACAATGAGAACACTCGGACACAGGAAGGGGAACATCACAAACCGGGGCCTGTTGTGGGGTGGGGGGAGTGTGGAGGGATAGCATTAGGAGATATACCTAATGTAAATGACGAGTTAATGGGTGCAGCACACCAACATGGCGCACGTATCCATATGTAACAAACCTGCACATTGTGCACATGTACCCTAGAATTTAAAGTATAATAATAATAAAAAAGAATAAAAAAATAGTTTTCTGCCTCTGTAACAAGACTAGGGGCTCTTTTAAGATAGACACTGTATAGTAATTAACTGTGTAGCTCTATGTCAAACTTCTACATCTCAAAATGGACATGACTATAACAGGACTCTAGATTTCCAGTCCCACCTGTACCCTATCCTACTTTCCCTCCAGTATTTCCTATGTTAGTAAATGACACCACCATCCACCAGGTTGTTCAATCACAAAAACTAAACTTTACCCTTTATTTTTGTCGTTCCCTCATCCCCAATCCAATCCATCATTACATCTCATTAATTCTACCTATAAAATATATTACAAATCCAACCACTTTCTTTTTTTTTTTTACAGTTCAGTGGTTTTTAATGTGTTGACAAGGTTTGCAACCATCACCACAATCAATTTTAGAATGTTTTCAACACCCCAAAAAGAAACCCCATACCCATTAGCAATCACTCTCCATCCCTCCTCCTCCCAGCCCCTGCAAGCACTAACCTACCATCTGTCTCTAGATTTGCCTATTCTAAAACATTTCACATAAGTGGAATCATACAACATGTGGTCTTTTGTGATTGGTTCCTTTCACTTAGCATAATGTTTTCAAAGTTTATCCATTTGCGGCATGCATAATATTTCAGTTTTTATCATAATAGTAGTACAGACAGCCCACATTATCTTTACCCATTCATCAGGTGATGAACTTTGAGTCATTTCCACTTTTAAGCTATTATTAACAATGGTGCTATGAACATTCATGTACAAGATTTTGTGTGGACATGTTTTCATTTCTCTTGGATATGAGGCACTTGTTTTGAATAGTCTTTGGTTTTTGGTTCATCATCTAGTTATCATTTAAACTTTTTAAGTGGTTTACCTCCAAATTTTTCCACTTTTGATGGTATCTGTTAATGTCTCACTATGGAAAAAGGAGAATTTATGGCTCTTATACCACTTCCTACCTCTCCATTCCTGATGATCTTGGTTATACCTTGATTTTAGACCAATGTGATAATACATTCCATATGTAGAAAAGTTGGGAAATATAGTTACACATGTTTTTACATGAATAAGATTTGTAACATTTTCTTTTTAAAAATTTTTTGGATTTTAAAAAAATTTCTTCTAAAAAAAATGGGATACATGTGCAGAACGTGCGGGTTTCCAGGTTTGTTACATAGGTATACGTGTGCCATGGTGTTTTGCTGTACCTATTGACCCGTCTTCTAAGTTCCCTCCCCTCAACCCCACCCTGTAACAGGCCCTGGCGTGTATTGTTCCCCTATCTGTGTCCATGTGTTCTCAGTGTTCATCTCCCACTTATGAGTGAGAACATGCAGTGTTTGGTTTTCTGTTCCTGTGTTAGTTTGCTGAGAATGATGGCTTCCAGCTTCAGCCACATCCCTGCAAAGGACATGATCACATTCCCTTTTATGGCTGCATAGTATTTCATGGTGTATATGTGCCACATTTTCTTAATCCAGTCTATCACTGATGGGCATTTAAATAGTGTTGCAATAAACATACATGTTCATGTGTCTTTATAGTAGAATGATTTATATTCCTTTGAGTATATACCCAGTAATGGGATTGCTGGGTCAAATGGTATTTCTGGTTCTAGGTCTTTGAGGAATCACCATACTGTCTTCCACAATGCTGATAACTTTTCATAATCTCCACTATCATTGCGGAGTCTAGCCAGAGCACCTCATACTCTGCTTATTACTGCACCAACAGCTTCCTAACTGAGCTCTCTGCTTTTGTTGTTGCTCTATGATTGTCCATTCCTTCATTCTAATTCTCCCTCTCTTTCTTCTCTCCCTCAAATTCTTTGGTCAAATAAACTTTACTAGGAAATCCAAGTTGAAACAACACCTGCCTCCTTGTTTTACTTTTCTGCTGCTTCTTGATCCACCCTCTAGGGCAATGATGTGCTACTGATACCCATTTAATGAAGCTTGGATAAACATACCATTTTAACAGTTGCTACAGTGAAATACCGTGCTCTGTTAAGTTTGCAGTCAATCTAGATACCTCCTCCAGATGTCAAAAGTAATGCAGTTGAAGCAACTTTTTCCTGACTTTCACCTATGCAATTCCACTTTTAAGACTCAGTGCAGAATTTTCTCCACTTGTTGAGTTTAGGTTGATCATTCCAGACTGTTAAGATGGTTTTGAATTTTGAGTATTATCAGTCATGACTGTCATCTCTTATGAGTATTCTCATTGGTTTTGGTAAGTATGTTTTCTGGCTTCAGTGGAGTCACCAATGAGAATATATGAATGAATAAAGGAAGGACTAGGACATTTCTATCTTGGAATATAATTAGAATGGCAGTGGAGAAAATTTGTTCTTCTCTGCTTGTTACATATGCACATGTTCTGCTTGTTAAATATACTTTTCACATCCTGTATAAATTCAAAATCCCAAAACTATATTTTTCTTAATTTACATTTTCTCCATCCATAAAGGAAAGGAAAGTAGACTTGAAGAAATAGAAAGACATTTCTTGTTTTTTGATAGGATGACTCAATAGTATAAATATGTAAATTAATTCATAAATTTAATATAATCCCAATAAAAATAACAATAAGTTATTTTTAGAATTAGACAAGTTGTCACTGAACCTCACATGGAAAAATTAACAATAGCCAGTGAAACACACAAAAAATGATAAACTATGAGCAGGTACTAGCCCTACTAGACAGTAAAACATACTATAAATCATCTATAATTTAAAGGGTGTTGGGATTGCATCAAACTAAATAGCTTCTGCACAGCAAAAGAAACAATGAACAGAGTGAAGAGATAACCTATGGAATGGAAAAAAAAATTTCAAACCATACATTTAAGGGATTAGTATACAAAATATATAAGGAACTCAAACAACTCAATAGCAAGAAAACAAATAACCAAAAGAAAAAATGAGCAAAGCACTTAAGTAGACATTTCCCAAAAGAAGGCATACAAATGGCCAACAGGTATAAGAAAAAATGCTCGACATCCTAATTATCAGGGAAATGCAAATTAAAATCATAATGAGATACTACTTGATACCTCTTAGAATGACTATTATCACAAGATAACAAGTGTTGGGGAGGATGTAGGGAATATCATTGTGTTCTCATTCAGTGGGAATGTAAATTAGTACAGCTATCATGGAAAACAGTATGGAGGTTGCTCAAAAAATTAAAAATAGAACTATCATATGATCCAGTAATTCCATTTCTGGATACACGTTAAAAAAATAAAACCAGTATGCCAAAGAGATACTTGCACTCTCATGTTCATTGCAGCGTTATTTACAATACTCAAGATATGGAATCAACCTAAGTGTCCATCAGTGGGTGAATGGATACATAAAATGTGGTCTATATACACAATGAAACAATAATCAGTGTTAAAATAAAATGAATTCCTGTCATTTGCAGCAACATGGGTGAACCTGGAGGGCATCATGTTAAGTTAAATAAGCTAGACACAGAAAGATGAATACTGCTTGATATCACTTATATATGAAATCTAAAAATGTCAAACTCATAGAAGCAG
This sequence comes from Homo sapiens, assembly GCF_000001405.40. NCBI lineage: Eukaryota > Metazoa > Chordata > Mammalia > Primates > Hominidae > Homo > Homo sapiens. The sequence continues at coordinate 138,815,157 of NC_000023.11, forward strand.
AGAGTAGAATGCTGGTTGCCAGGGGCTGGGGAGGGGTGATGGGGTTGGTTAAAGAGTACAGAGTTTGGATTAGATAGGAGAAATAAGTTCAAAGAATCTTACATATAGCATGATGATTATAGTTAATAATACTACATTGTATACTTAAAAAGTGCTAAGAAAGTAAAACTTACATGTTCTTACCACAAAAAATAAGTATATAAGGTAATACATATGTTAATTAGCTTGACGTAATCATTTCACAATGTATACATATATCAAAATGTCACACCGTACATTGTAAATACGTAAAATTTTTATTGGTCAATTATATCCAAAAAAAGCTGCGGGAAAAAATGAAAAAAAATGCAGGTGTGGTACTGACACATCAATAGAGCCCAGTTAAATAGAGTAGAAAGTTCAGAAATAGACATAAGAAAATATGGAACTTTAGTATATAATAAAGGTGACATCTCAAATAACTTTAGAGAAGATGGAGTTTTCAAATGATACTGCAACAATGGACACCATTTAGGAAAAGATACATTACATCCATGATTACCAGCATGGCACATGTATACATATGTAACTAACCTGCACAATGTGCACATGTACCCTAAAACTTAAAGTATAATTTAAAAAAAAAAGAAGAAAAAAAGTAAAAATAAAAATAAATTCCAAATGGATCAGGGATCTAATTGTTCAATAAAACCAAACAAACACTAGGAGAAAACATGGGTGAATTCTTCTTAAACTGGGTGTAGAAAGAGTTCTCCTAATTAGAACTCCAAATCCAGGTACAATAAAACAAATGATTGTTAAATCTGACTACATAGCAACAACCAAAAACCTAATGCATGCCCAAAATTACCATAAAGAAATCAAAAGATACCATAAAGAAACCATAAAGAAATCAAAAGATAACTGGCAAAAGAGGAGGAATAATTGAAACACATATAACAGATAAATGGCTAATACCTCTAATATGCAAAGAATTCTTAAAATTCAAGGGGATAAAAAAACAAATCTCAGATAGAACAATGATCAAAAATATGAAAATAAGTCACAAGAGATATTAAAATGGCTTTTACGTTTATGAAAAAATATTCACCCTTACTCATAAAAAAGGACATGTAAATTAAAACTACACTGATAACTAGTTCTCACCTATCAGGCAAAAATTAAATAGTGCAACCTACTCTGTAGGTGAGGCTGTGAAGAAACAGGCACAATTCCTATTGCTGGTAGAAATATAAAATTTCTGAAGGGAATTTGGCAATATTTAACAAAAATATATGTATTTTGACCCAGCAATCGCACTCATCAGAATTTATCCTGAAAATGTATCACCAACAATATGAAAATATGTAAGCACAAGGCTACTTATTGCAGCATTTCTTGTAATTGCAAAAAATAGGAAACTGATGTACTATAGAGTACTGTTTTTGTGACTTTTCTGGAAGTCTGAAATCATGTCAAAATTAAAACTTTAACAAATGATTTGTTTTTCTCTAAGGCAAGCTTGTCCAACCCATGGCCCATGGGCCGCATGAGGCCCAGGACAGCTTCGAATGTGGCCCAACACAAATTCATAAACTTTCTTAAAACATTATGAGACCTTTTTTGCAATTTTTTTAAACCTCATCAGCTATTGTTACTGTTAGGGTATTTTAAGTGTGGCTCAAAGACAATTCTTCTTCTTCCAATATGGCCCAGGGAAGCCAAAAGATGGGACATCCCTGCTCTAAGGAGACCTTCATCTGCTTATTAGGAGAGCATTCAGGACCCCTATTGTCATAGTATCCATCTCACATTGCATTTTAAAAATAATTAGAGGATTAAGGCTTTGAATATGTAAGTGAAAAGAATATTTTACAAATCATTAATCACACTGTTGTAGTCCTCTCCAGATTGGTAGTAAATTTGGAAGAATACAGTCAATCAGTCAACAACATTTATCTTGAGAATTTCAACTGTGTGGATAGCACTTCAGGAGGCCCTGCAATGATAGGAGGGCAAATGTGATTATTATGGTTATTTTTCCATATCTGCCCTAAAACTGATTATTGAGAACTTGTGAGTCCTGCTTAATAGGACTTAGGTATACCGCCTTGTGGTAACAACAATGGCCACAGACACTGGGCTTCCATCCCTCTGTATGGGAAGGAGGATGGACCCTAGTCCTTTATTTCCTGAAGAGTTTCCTATAGATTGATGTCCTCAGCATGAACCAGATAAAGACCCTGAAATTGTTTGGTTTTAAATTAAAACAGTAACATGAACATAACTGGTTCTTAATTTATTTTAGAATGCAAAGGCAACCTATGGATGTTGCTGTCACTCCTGCATAAATTGGCAGGCTAAACTTTATATAATTTTGCCACTTATCTGTAGGGTGCATGTATGCTCTCCTTTTTAAGAAAATGTCAGTGGTGTGTCATGAATGCTATAGGGGCAATATGCAGAGATACTGATGGAAAATGAAGACAGTTATAACCTGTAATGTCTCTTCCCACTCAAAGACAGCACAATGATATGGTTTAATTCCTCTGAAAAATTTCTGATCCTTGTTCAAGAAGAAGTAATCATATGTGCTGCCTTTATGTTTTCTCCAGTTTCCCACTTAGGTCACTGGATTGAAGTTACAGATGTACATGTTTATCTACAACAAGGCCTGGCAAACTTTTGTTATAAAGAATCACATAGTAAATACTTTGGGTTTTGTGGGCCATATGGTCTCTGTTGCAACTGCTCAATTCTGTTGTAACGTAAATGTAGCCATAGATAATATGAAAGTGAATAAGTATGGATGCGTTCCAGTAAACTATTATTACCAAAACATACAGTGGGTGAGATCAGGCTTTTGGGCCACAGTTTGCACACTCCTGGTCTGTAACACTCAAGACAGAGGCAATGTCCTAAGTCTTGACATCTCCAGTTCTAGCACAGTACCTAGAATCCTCAAAGGTACTCAATAATCGACTGTTGAATGAGTGTGTAGTTGAGCACAGGGTTAAAATTTGTGGTTGTGCTTAGAGATTTCTACATATTTGATTTCTCAGAGTGTGAAGTATGGAATAACATTAATCATAATTGTAACCCAATCATCAATTTAATGTCTGAATGACTACTATGACATTTCCAACAAGTTGCTATCCATTTCTACTTGAATAACTTCAATGACAGGAAATTCACCACTACTTACGGTATCTCAGTCTACTTAAGGAAGGCTATGTCCATACGAAGGAATTTCTTATTTGAGCCCAAATCTATCTCCTTCAATTGGTCCTGGCACCTCCTAATCATACTCCTAAAGTTATCTAATCATACTCCTAAAGTTATATAAGGATATATATATGCACAGACACACACACACACACACACACACACACACACACACACACACACACTCATATGCTAGAAAGGACTTTATATTTCATCTAGTTCAAGTTCTTCATTTTACAGATGAGAATTAAGGCTCAGAGAAATTTAGAGATTTGCTCACAGCACCCCAGACTGTCAGCAGCAGAACTCTTAAACAAGCAATTCGGTATGTGCTGGCATCTCTGGCTGGATTCCCTAAAGATTTGGTAAAAAAGAATCATCCTTAGTTTACTTTGGGAGGGCTGTCATTTTTTTTCTTTCATTTTCTCAAAGCAGAAATACTTTTCTTTAAATGAATTTTAAAATAAAAATAAAATGGGTATGCACTTGGCTATTTTTATCCAGAAATGTGGATTGAAATGTAGTATACAGAGCAGTAGACCAGGTGTCAGGAGGCTAGAGAATTGTATGGGCCACTAATTTTGCTAAGTTAACTTGGGCAAGTCATTCAGCCTCTTAACAGGTGACTTCTCTGGCCTCTCCCAGCTCTAGGACTTCATTCTTCAGAGGAAAAAGGTAGAATATTTCAAAGCACCATATGGAAACTTTTTTTTCGGAAGCCCCATTGCTTTAATCTCAGAAAATCTTACAGTTTGTATGGTAGTTAAGAGTATGGGCTCTAGAGACTTAGGTAGAAAACCCAGATCTGCTACTTACTTCTTATGTAGCCTTTTTGAGGCTCAATATCCTTTTCTGTAAATTAAAAATATTAATACCTACCTCAGTGGGGTTTTTTTAGGACAAGATATCAATTATATAAACAAAATATATAAATGGTATATAGTAGTGCTCAGTAACTAGAATCTGTCATTAACCTAAGAATTCTGAGAAAAGGCAAGCTAGAAACATAAACTATAAGGCTGGAGGTTGGAGTGAATAATGAATGCTTCTAGCTACTAGTACATAGAAAGTCCTTATAGAAATGGAACTCCCCAGTGACAGCTCTTGTACTTTTTGCTTTCATATCATAAAGCCTCCAGATCCTTCTCTGAGATTTGTATGCTCTTGTTCTTCAAGTTCTCCATTCATAAATGTATGGCTCAAGTGTGGAAGCCATTTCCCAGGTTTGCTTTCAGAATTCCGCTTTTTAAATATGACATTAAAAGGGATGGCCAAATGGTCTTTTGGTGTTAATATGGAAGTATTGGTGGCCACCAGTTTCTTACCCAAAACAGAAAACTTTCAATAATGGAGGCTGACTCTAAGTAATGTTTAAAATCAGCACATATAATGTTTATTTCTCCATTTTTAGTGGAGAAAAATACCTTCTTTATTTAAAAAAATTATGTTCATAATACTTATTATGGAACTGCATATCACATTCACATGTACTTCAAACAATAACTTGAAGGTGGAATATTGTGATTTGCACTGAAGATTCAGAAAAAAACAACAAGTTAGGCCAAGTGGCTTATCTGAAGCAGCCAATTAGACCAAAGATCAAGCCAAGACTTGAGTTCACAGCTTCCATTATGTAATTGTGTATTGGAGGCACTCAACTTCTCAGGATTTAATCCATTTGCATCCTTGAGAAACAAGTAAAATCAAATAGAAATTACAGAAAAAATGGTAGGTGGTACATAGTATTAAACAAAAAGAATGAAGGTGGAAAAACAAAAATTCTTTTATTTAAGTGAACAGTTATAAAGTAACTAACAATAAGGTAAATATCATAAGGCATTCTAAAGAAATAGCAAGAACCATTCCTGTCCTCAAATAACTTACCAATTACAGACAGAAACATCAACTTTCATAAAACTCATCAATTCAATTTGATTCAATTTATCTATTGTTCGATTCCACAAACATGTACTGAAAACTTGCATGTACCTAGTGCAATGCTTAGCACTGAGGATGCATAAGACAGTGTCCTCATCCTCTAGGACATAGGTAGCCAAACTTTTTCTGCAAAAGGCAAGATAATCAATATTTTGGGTTTGGGGTCATTAAGTTTCTGTTGGAACTATTCAATTCTGCCACTGCAGCATGACAGCAGCAATAGATAATATGTAAATGAATGAGCATAGGTGTGCTCCAAAAAAAACCTATATTAATTAAAACACACAATTTGGCTCACGGGCTATAGTTTGCTAACCTCTGCTCTGAGCTCACAGACTAGTTCGTGAGACAAATCAACTTACATCTGAAGGTAACGCAGTGGAAAAAGTATTTTATTTGAGAGATACATGGGAAAGTTACCACTGTCTGATAGAAGGGCTTGTGGAAAGCTTCTTATAGTAAATGGCATTTGATCTGGGTTCTGAAGAAAGTGCAAAATTTGGGAGACATTAGTGAGAGTGAATTTGTGGAAGGTTGTTTGTGCATGGTGCTCCTAGATAATGGAGAATAGTCCAGTGCATTTAAAGTACAGGGAAATACATGAGGGGTGGCAGACTAAGACACTAGGAAGCTTGTCAGGGACCAGCTCAGAGAGGGTCCAGCAAGTCATATTCAGAAAATTGGGCATTGCATTTCACTCAACAGTGGGCAGTAAAGAATTCTTAAGCAGTAAAATTATGTGACCAGATATGTGATTTACCAAAATGCCTCAGGAATCAGGGAGCATGACAGCCTGAGGTAAGCTGGCAGAAAATGAAAGACAAAGAGGCTAGATAGGAGAATGTGGTAATAGGCCAAACAGCCAATGGTAAAGCCTTCATCTTAGGCTTTATTAGTGAAGTGAAAAAAGGAGATACATTCTAGAGATAGCTTATAACTGCATTGTCCAAGATGGTGTCCACTAGCAACATAAGGCTCTTGAACACCTAAAATGTAGCTAATGTGACCGAGCAACTGAATGTTTAACTTGTTTAAAATTTTAATAAACTTTTATTTCGATACAAAAACCTGTACGTGGTTCAGTTATCAGAAAACTTTTGAGTATGCCTGGAACGACTTGGGCAATGTCAATCTACTTTTTCAGCTATAAATGTGATGAAATTGAAATACAAAATATTTCTGATGAGTAGTTAGTATCTGCATTGAGATGTACTTTAAGTACAAAATCTATACAAGATTTTGAAGACTTCGTATTTAGAAAGTACACTATTTCACTAAATATTTTTATAATGATTAAATGTTGAAATAATATTTTGGACATATTGGGTTAAATAAGATACATGATCAAAATTACGTTCACCAGTTTCTTTTTAGTTTTTAAATGTGACTACTAGAAAATGTAAAATTACACATGTGGCTTACATTATGTTTCTATTGAATAATCCTGCTTTAAAAGAGATTTCTATGGTTCTGTGACTAAATACATGGAACAGAGTGGAGGGATCAATGGCGATAAAATTGAATGACAGGAGGAAGAGTATAAGAGAAAGTTAATTTCAAGCCTTTTAAAAAGAAAAATAATCAAATTATTCTCCCATAGCCTAGTTTCTTCAATATGGGAAGGAGAACCAAGGCTCATACCCTGCATTTTTGTGTCTAGCATTATAGGTCCTCACATATGAGAGGTACAAAATATCTGATGATGATGACATGATATGATTACACACCAAATCAAGATCAACCTCAGGTTTAGAAGTGACCTAAAAGATCAAGATCAAGTCAAGAAATGTGGTTTTTCCTCTGCCCAGGATTTCTATGCTTGGTTAGAATCAATCATTCTAAAGCATACAGAAGGCCTCTGTTTATCTCCTCCTGCAGAAATGAGGACAGGTTGTAGCACTATATTCTTCACAGTAAGAGAGTCAAAGCAATTTCTTACCTTTACATTGTTGCACATAGTAATGCTACGGATTGTCAACAACTTTCCCAGACTACAGTTATAGATAATGGGATAGAAATCTTTCGAGACACCTCAGGGGCAGTCAATAACCTGATGGAAACAAATTACCAAAAGCTACCTGGGTTCACTGAAAGAGAAGGGTCATTTCATATGGGCAGTGTCCTTGCAGAAAATAGATAGCACACTCAAGGGAATAACTGAAGAGTGTTTAATAAAGGGACCATTTAAAGAAGTATAGATAGCACTCACAAAACCCTTATGAGGTGGTGAAGCTCCCAGGGATGAGCAAGAGTATAAAGTTGTTATCACACTTAAACTTGGAAGGGCAAGTGGACAGAGTTATTACTGAAACTTACAAAGAGCTGCAGGCTTGAAAGAAGGGCAACAGATACAGGAATCCGAAATTTTAGGAAAGTGACATTGCTATTTAACTGCTCTAAAATTTCAAAAATAAAGAATCTCTAATAATGTAATCAAAATTTTTGTTAAACTGGCCATGCAGTTCCTTACCTGGCAGGCAGTGTCATGGTGCCACAGAAGTTGTCCATTACCACAATCATTATGCTTTTACTGAATGCCTAGGCAGTGGAGATACCAAGCTGAACTCATCCTTGTCCTCTGGGAGTTCCAAGTGTAGCAAATGGAAAACCAAGTCAGCTATGAACATACAGTGTGGTACAGTACATATAGAGACTGTGGGATAACCAACACTGCACAGAGTAGTGTGGAGATGAGGAAAGTGTCACATATCAGAGAACATCATTCGAGGTGTTATGGAGAAGGGGGAAAGGCGGGGAAGACTGAAGGAACAGCATGAACAGAGTCAGGAGGCGTGAAAGTTCACAGCCTCCTGATTTGGGGATTGTCAAGTGGTCCAATGTGTCTGGAACAAGAGAAGCTTTGAGAGGAGATGATAGAGGGTTGAGATACAGTTGTAATATATTAAACACTGTGAAAAAGGATTGGGCAGTGGGGCTATGGTGAGATAGCTAGGTGGGAAGGAGTCCCCAGAGAGACTCCAGCCCGCCTGCGCACTAGGAGGAGTGCATGATAGGGTGGGGCCACAGAAGTTCACAGTTTGCAGCAGGGAGGAGCCTGGCCTCTCCTCTTTCTGGGTGGAACCCAGAATTCAATCTGTAAGTTGGGAAGCCCGCTGGCAGGATAAACACACTCTCTCACTTCACTAAGAGTTTCTGTTTCCCCTTTTTTTTCCTTTTTACCCAATAAAACCCTGCCTTACTCACCCTTCAAATTGTCTGCAAGCCTAATCTTTCATGGCTATGTGACAAGAACCCTATCTGTAGCTGAGCTAAGGAAAAGTCCTGCAACAATGGGATTCAAGCTTCTACTTTTAGAAGCAAGGGGCACCTTGAATCTATTTCAGTTCAATTCCCCTATACAATTACTCCTGCTATTACTACTATAAGTACTGTAAATAACACCATGACTGCAATTGTTATCATTTCTGAGCACTTACTAGGTGCTAGTTTCTATGTTTGGTGATACATATTGTTCAGTGAGGTGACATGCACTGTTTCATCGGATCCTCAAAAGAACCATACCATGCCCATATTATTATATCCATTTAAGAGATCAGAACATTAAACTGATGGATTATTTTTATATAGGGAATAGGTGAAGCATGTGAGTGAACCTGTAACTCATTTTCTTGCATGTCCTATCCCTGCCAATTAGCACCAATAGTCATCCAGTCTCTAGAGCTCCTTTATCTGAGCATATTTATATTTTGAAAGACAGCATAGTCAATGAAGTGAGAAGGAAGAAGCTAGAAATGTAAGAGAGGGAAGACTGATTGAGATCAAGGTAATTGAAGGGGCAGGAAGAATGTGATCCACAGCACATACCAAAAAGGAAAGGAGGATTAACTTGGCACAGGAAGAAAGACATTTTCTCTAAGATGGGGAATGGGATGGAGGCTGACTACAAATGGGGTAAGTTTGAAGGTGCAGAAGAGGGAAGCTAAGGGAATTCCCCTGGACTTTCATCTGCAAAGTCAAGACAGTTCATCTGATGAGTAGGCTTCAGATGGGGCAAAGGCTTGAGCCCAGTTGCAGAGGTTTAGGACATCTGCTGTGGAAGATGAAAGAAGAAAACAATAAGATACATGACTGAATGACTGATGTGGTGACTTCAGTGGCAAAGCTGTATCCTAAATGCACTTGACCTACTCACTTGTCAGGGCAAAGAGCAAATAGGGAGAATTATTCTTTTTAAATAACCTAAAAAATTAGAACCTGACCAACTACGATACTTTTTGTTCAAAACTGACCTAATGCAGGTCAAAAGTTAAGGGATAACTGAACATATATAATGACAGTAATATGTTAGTCTTAAAGATAAAAAGTACATTTTAAGTGGAGCTATATATGATATTGGCCATAAATACAGGCCAAATTTTACTAAATTTTGCCTATATTCCTTCTAAGTATATTCAAAGAGCCCATGATATGTTAACATTTGGTCTTTGAAGAAAAGTGATTGGGCACGGCTAGGATTTTCTATGTTACAAAGTCTCTAACTCACCTCCTTTTCCTTCACTTAGCTATAGTTTCATGGCCCCTAAGGAAAAGGAACAATGTCTTTCTGCTTCAAGGGAATTATATGCCCTGTTCAATTCGTGCGTAAGAACAATATTCATGCTCAACCATTTTCTCCTCTGGGCATTTCCTCCACTACACAGGTAGCTTCCAATACATTTTTTATGCATACAGGACCAAGGACATGAGAAAAGTGTTCCTTTAAAGAGGATGACTCTAGGATCACTGAATAAGGCTACGGGATGTTTGGGCTGTTATTACACTGATCTTCTCTTCCTCTTACCTATCACTGTGACATCTTAGTTGTGAGAAATCCCCATACAGGTTGTGACAGTTTCAATGTTTTAGGAGTTGCTTACTGGGGAAATGTATACATAATAGTTAAAGAGCATTGTCTTTGGAGTCAGACAAATCTGGGTTCAAATTCCAGCTCCAATTTACTAGCCAGGTGACCTTGGGCAAGTAAACACAAATTCATACTCCACATCTCCATTTCTCATCCTGAAATTAAGGACAAACATTAAGATCAAACTCATGATATTCTTATGGCGATTACAAAAATAATGTGTATAAAGACTTATTATTGGTACCTGGCACATAATAGTCGTCCATAATGTGCAGCTACATAAAAATAACTCAGTGCTTTCTCTTGCTTTTACTTCAAAGGAAAAAGCAACTCTTTCATTCTTTACTTTTCCAGGCCCCCATGATAAGCACACAGACCCTCTGAAAATGAACTGCTATAGTTAAGAACTTGACCTCTGGACTCTGATTGCCTGGGTTTGAGTCTCTGTTCTGCTACTTACAAGCTGTGTGACCTCAGGCAAGTTACCTTTCTAAGCCTCAGTTTTCTCATTCGCAAAATGAGCAGTAAATGGAATCATGTATTTAAAGTGCAGCGACTAGCATATAATATGTTAAATATGTAAGCAAATGATATTAATAGGCAGCCTCACTCTTAGCTCATGAAGATAAGCTGATAGTTTTTTCAGTGGCAGTATGACAAAAATGGAATTTTAGGCTTCCTACCAATAGTGTACAAAATTCTGCACTATACTTGGTTCTGTGGTGGCAGCAAAACTCACCCTAGGATGGTTAATTACATGGCTTCTTAAATAGGGAGTTTCTAACTCCTTAGGCAATAAAGAAATAGTTCAGCTACACTGGGACAACCTATGAGGACGTCTAGACCTCCAATTATGGGTCTCACAATGTGGGCAAGGGCATTCAGAGATAGCATCTGACAGAAAAACTTTTCTGGATTGAATAGCCATCTATGCTCTCAGTCACCATCAGCTCAGCTTTCTGATTCATAAAGATCCTTTCTAGAAGATCATTACATCTATCCTTTCTGAAATATTTGGATGTGCTATTTTCCACAGAACCATGTGCCATGGTGCTGTAACTCTAGTTTTAGGATGCCTTGCCCAATGCATTAGGTTATTGCTATTTCCGGAAACCTCTTAATTCTTTTAGGCTAAGTGAATTCCATTAGACAACATATGTCTACAATATACTAATGGCACCCAGGTGGCCTAAAATTTGGCACACCCCTTAAATTCCTAACTCATTTCCATAAAAGTCATTTATAATTTTCAAACAAAATCTATCCAAAGTGAAACCAAATTATGATATCTTTCCACAGAATATAAAACACAGAAACACATGTTTAAAGTATGCATTTCTCAAGTGGTAAAGGAAAGATCTACATGGTAATATTTCACAATATATATTCCAGTTATGAAAGCCTCTTCATGATCTGCCGACTAAACGGAAACAGAAAATCAGATCCTAAGAATGCTGCTAAGGGATGGAATCAAATAAGGTAATCCCTTATTTTATCTAATAAAATGGTTTGATCTTAGAAAGGTGCATATGAATCAATGCTTATTTAAATATACTTTGGAACAGCATTACAAAGCAATCTTTCAGTGGATCTATTAGCAAATTGAATAATCACTCCCATTTACCTCTTTATAAATCCAAATACTCAAATAGTAATAAAGTGGCATTTACTTATGACCCAAGAGATCCTAGCTCAATAGCTACATACCTTAAGTAACTTTTATTCCAACAAGGATCTTATGGCACTACACTGGTACACAGGTATATTAAAGCACAGTAAACTGAAAGACAAGCCATAAGGCTTGTAACATCAGGAATTGTAACATGGGGGAGCATTTATGGCACATAGCCGCCTCTATATAGATTCCACTTCCTGTTCCATTGGCTACATTTTAAGATTCAATGGTATCAAAGGAAAAGTCTGCCAGCTACCAGAGCATGTTCTAATGCTAGAAGAGTTTGTATCCAAGATAGAAAAAGGCATTGAGAAGCAACTCCCTGGAAACTTCTAATGAACAGATCAGGTTGTTCTGCGGTGCTGTGGCTGGATCCCAGTGATTGCAACTTCATGCCCTTGCGTATTGAGGGACACTCCTGAAGTAGAAAGAGAGTGAAAGAATGTTGAGGGTCCTGAATATAGAAATTAAGACAGCAGCACAGAAGAGCTTTCATGGGGGGAGGCAGTACTTTGTAACTGTGGAAATGATTTTATATACATAAAATAAATCATATAGGACTGTTTAGATTATTTAATATTCTAATGTACAGTGAAAATTTCCAGGGCAGGGTTATGGCTAGTACCTGTTTCTCAAATAGTTTTTACTCTTGGGAACTTTCCTAGGTGAGTATTTCATTTGGGTAACATATTAGGAAATGCTGCTGTAAAGGCAATTTTAACAATAGTTAGAATAGCTAGAATTTATTAAGTGTTAGGAACAGAATATGTGAAACTCAGGAATCATTCTAGAAGCAAAGTATAAGATAGGTCCCAGTGAGCAGTTTGCGAGTGGCTAAAAACAGATGAGGACTCTGAAGGCCCATTTTTACATGTCAATGACTGTATAAGCTTAAGGATGGCAAGATAAGTTAAAAGAATCACTCAGAGCTAAATCATCATAATCATAAACAAAGGTAATAAAAATAATTTCCCTTTATTGATTACTTGCTATGTTATAGGCACTATGCTTAATCAATCCTCAAGACAACTCTGTAAGTTGAATCTTATCATTGTCTCTATTTTATGCTTGTTTTCCTCCAATCACACAGCTAATAAGTGGCAGAGGTGGGGTTAAAACCCGGGTTTGTTCAGCTACGAGTTCTTTGTTTTAATTCTAGTGGAATGTTCCCTCATGAATACACTGGTGACGACAAATTCTCAAGGACCTTCAGAATATCATGTACAGTGGTTTACATTATAGGTAATTGCAATCGGCAGAAGGCACTAGGAGAAAACGATATATATGAATGGACTCTCACAGCTCAGAATTAAAAATACAGGAAAATACAATCAGCAACCCAAATGTCTTTAACCCAAAGTAACTTGCAAAAAAATTCTATGTGGAGGCTAGTTGCCTCGATTAACTAATGAATCTATTGCTCACTCTGCATTTTAAAATCTCCATTAAGGGCCGGGCGCGGTGGTCACGCCTGTAATCCCAGCACTTTGGGAGGCCGAGGCGGGCGGATCACGAGGTCAGGAGATCGAGACCATCCTGGCTAACACGGTGAAACCCCGTCTCTACTAAAAATACAAAAAAAATTAGCCGGGCGTGGTGGCGGGCGCCTGTAGTCCCAGCTACTCGAGAGGCTGAGGCGGGAGAATGGCGTGAACCCGGGAGGCGGAGCTTGCAGTGAGCCGAGATCGCGCCACTGCACTCCAGCCTGGGCGACAGAGCGAGACTCCGTCTCAAAAAAAAAAAAAAAAAAATCTCCATTAAGGTAAAACAGCACTCAAGAGACAGATCTTATTGTGCAACACATTCTGTGAAAGCCACTTACTAGTAAGGCTAACATGCCCTTAACAATGGTGTGGAACAGTCAATATTTCCAATTATTAGAAGTATTTTTTTTTTTTGCATTGAGAGGTATCAGAAGGTTCCATTTACTTTGTATGCACCCCTCCCCCGCCATCTGCTTTATAAAACAGTAGCATTGTGGTCTTCAATTCAGAAACATGTATTGGGCACCTACTACGTGCCAGGAAAAAGACACAGGACATTCCCTCTATGGGAAGACAAAATCCTTTAATTTTTAGCAGGAAGTGATAAGAACTTAAATGGAGAGTACAATAGTTTCAATATCCCCTCTAAAACCAATACTGAAATTTAATTGCCATTGTGATGGTATTAAGAGGTGGAAACTTTAAGAGGTGATTATGTCATGTGTGCTATGGCCCCATAAATGAACTAATGCTGTTATAACAGGAATGGGTTACTTAAGGCAGAAGTGTGCTCCTGATAAAAGGATGAGTTTGGCCCAATTTCCTTTCTCTGTCTCACACACACGTTTTCTCAGCATGTGATGCTGCTATAGTTTGGGTATGGTTTGTTTGTCCCCACTAAATCTCATATTAAAATTTCATCCCCAGTATGGTGGTGTTGTAAGATGGGGCCTAGTAGAAGGTATTTGGGGTATGGAAGTAGATCCCTCTTGAATAGAGTAATGCTGTCCCTGGGGGGTGAGTTATTACTCTACTGGTTCCCAAGAGAGCTGGTTGTTATAAATAGCCTGGCACCTCTTCCCCTTCTCTTCCTTCCTCTCTCACCATGTGATCTCTGCAGACGCCTGTTCTGCTGCTTCTTCCATGAGTGGAAGCACTCTGAGACCTTCACCAGATGTAGATACCAGTGCCATGCTTCTTGTTCAGGCAGAACTCTGAGCCAAATAAACCTCTTTTCTTTACAAATTAACCAGCCTCAGGTATTCCATATAGCAACACAAAATGGACTAAGGCAGATGCTTTCTGCCATTTTTTGACTCAGCAAGAAGGTCCTCACAAGATGCAGCCACTCAATCTTTGACTTCACAGATTGCAGAACCCTGAGCCAAATAAGCTTCTATTCTATTTTTTTTTTAGACAGATTATTGCTCTGTCACCCAGGCTGGAGTGCAGTAGCATGATCTCAGCTCACTGCAACCTCTGCCTCCCAGGTTCAAGTGATTCTCCTGCCTCAGCCTCCCAAGTAGCTGGTATTACAGGTGTGTGCCACAATGCTTGGCTAATTTTTGTATATTTTTAGTAGAGACAGGGTTTCACCATGTTGGCCAGGCTGGTCTCAAACTCCTGATCTCAGGTGATCCACCCACCTTGGCCTCCCAAAGTGCTGGGATTACAGGCGTGAGCCATCGCGCCTGGCTTAAACTTCTATTCTTTATAAATGACCCAGTCTGTAGTAGTTTACTTTAACAACAGAAAACAAATAAAAACAGAAAATGGGTAATAAAGACGGGAATGTTGTTATAACAAATTCCTAAAACTGTGGAAGTAGCTTTGGAACTGGGTAATGGGCAGAGGCTGGAACAATTTGGAGGAACAGGCTAGAGAAAGCCTAGATGGCTGTGAATAGAATGTTAAGGGGGATTCTGGTGAAGGCTCAAAAGAAGAGGAGAGCTATAGGAGAAGTTCAAATCTTCTTAGAGATTACTTAAGTGATTATGATCAGAATGTTGACAGAAATAGGGAAAGTAAAGACCCTTCTGAGGATGTCTCAGAGAGAAATGAGAAACAAAGTACTGGAAACTGGAGTAAAGACCATCCTTGTTATATAATTTTAAAAAACTTGGCAGGATTGTGCACGTGTCCTAGAACTTTATAGAATGCATAATTTAAGAGTGGTGAATCTGGCTGAAGAAATATCTAAGCAGTATAGCATTCAAGCTATTGCTTGGCAACTTTTAACCACATACAGTGAGATGTAAGAGAAAAGAAATTACTTAAAGATAAAATTTATAATTAAAATAGAGAAGCAGAACAGAAAAGTTTGGAAAATTTGCAACCTGGCCATGTAAAGAGTGAAAAGGGGTGTTTGTGTGTGTGTGTGTGTGTGTGTGTGTGTGTGTGTGTGTGTGTTTTAAGCTATCTCCTACAGTAGGAGAAAAGGTGTGTTTAGGAGAGCAAATCAAAGGTATTGCCAAGCAACCATTTGCTAAAGAGATTATCATAAATGAAGGGAGCAGGTGCTACTTGTCAAGACAATGGGAGAAATATCCTGAAGGCATTTCAAAGATCTCGAAGATCTTTGAGGCTGCCCCTCTCATCAAAGTCCAAGAGCACCAGTGGGGCAGAATGGTTTTGGGTGAAGGGCTTAGGGCATCTTCCATGGACTCTCTGCCTAAGGATGCCTTGGGTCTATTCTCCCCACATTCCAGCACAGTGTCCCCTGGCCAACCCAGCTGTGGCCCAAGTGAGCTCAGGTGCAGCTCAACCTGTTGCTCCAGAACGTACAAGCCATACATGTTAGCAGCATCCATGTGACGCTAATTGTTCAGGTGTGTGGAAGGCAGGAGCTGTGTAGAGATGGCTTCCTCCACTTATATTTCAAAGGATGTTGTGGACTGCCTGGGGGCTTAATTAGAAACTTGTCACAGGGGTGGAGCCACCACAGAGAGACTACTAGGGCAATGACTAGAGGAGCCATGGGAGAAAGGCAACCTCAGAGAATCAAGAACTATGGGGCCACAAGTGGGCAACTCCATACTGGGAAAGCTACAGGCATGAGACTCCAAATTGTGAGAGCTGCTGGGTAGACTGGGCCCAGAAAAGCCATAGAGGCAGAACGTTCTGGGACCTTGGGGGCCCAATCCCAACCTCAGTGTATCCAAGAAGTGAGACATGGAGTCAAAGGAGATTATTCTCCAGCTTTAAATTTAATGATGTTTTCCCTGCTGGGTTTGGGAATTATTTGAAACAACTAACCCTTCCTGCCTATTTCTCCATTTTAGAATAGGAATATATATTCTATTCCTGTCCTTCCATTGTATGTTGTTATTTTTTCCTTGCTATTCCATTTCTTTTTTTTTTTAACTTTTATTTTAAGTTCAAGGGAACAATTGTAGGTTTTTTACGTAGGTAAATTTGTGTCATGAGGGTTTGTTTTACAGATTATTTCATCATTCAGGTACTAAGCCAAGTACCCATTAGTTATTTTTGCTGATCCTCTCCCTCCTCCTACCCTCCACCTTCTGAAATGCGCCAGTATGTGCTGTTCCCTCTATGTGTCCATGTGTTCTCATAATTTAGCTCCCACTTATAAGTGAGAACATGCAGTATTTAGTATTTGGTTTTCTGCTCCTGTGTTAGTTTGCTAAGGATAATGGCCTCCAGCTCCATCCATGTTCCTGCAAAGGAGAGGATCTCATTTTTTATGGTTGAATAGTATTCCATGGTGTATATATACCACATTTTCTTTATCCAGTCTATCATTCTGTCTTTGCTATTGTGAATAGTGCTGCAATGAACATACACATGAATGTGTCTTTATAATAGATTGATTTATACTCCTTTCAGTATATATCCAGTAATGGGATTGTTGAGTTGAATGGTATTTCTGTTTTAGGTCTCTGAGAAATTGCCACATTGTCTTCCACAGTGGCTAAACTAATTTACACTCCCACCAACAGTGCATAAGTGTTCCTTTTTCTCCACAACCTTGCCAGCATCAGGTATTTTTTGACTTTTTAATAATAGCCATTCTGACTGGTGTGACATGGTATCTCATTGTAGTTTTGATTTGCATTACTCTAATGACCAGTGATGTTGATTTTTTTTTCATTTGATTATTGGTCACATGTATGTCTTCTTTGGAAAAGTATCTGTTGATGTCCTTTACCCACTTTTTAATAGGGTTGTTTGTTTTTATTCTTGTAAATTTGTTTAAGTACCTTATAGATGCTGGATGTCGACCTTTGTCAGATGCATGTCTTGCCAAAATTGTCTCCCATTCTGTAGGTTGTCTGTTTAGTCTTTTGATAGCTTATTTTGCTGTGCAAAACCTCTTTAGTTTAATTAGATTCCATTTGTCAATTTTTGCTTCTGTCACTATTGCTTTTGGCATCTTCATAATAAAATCTTTGCCCATGCCTATATCCTGAATGATATTGCCTAGGTTTTCTTCTAGGGTTTTTATAGTTTTGGATTTTACATTTAAGTCTTTAATCCTTCTTCAGTTGATTTTTGTATATGGTGTAAGAAAAGGTTCCAGTTTCAAACTTCTGCATATGGCTAGTCATTTATCCCGGCACAATTTATTGAATAGTGACTCCTTCCTCCATTGCTTGTTTTAGTCAGGTTTGTCAATGATCAGATAGTTATAGGTGTGCAGACTTATTACTGGGCTCTCTATTCTGTTCCATTGGTCTACGTGTCTATTTTTGTACCAGTACCATGTGGTTTTGGTTACTGTAGTCCTGTAGTATATAGCTTGAAGTCAGGTAGCATGATGCCTCCTACTTTGTTCTTTTTGCTTAGGATTGCCTTGGCTATTCAAGATCTTTGTAGGTTCCATATGAATTTTAAAATAGTTTCTAGTTCTATAAATAATGTCAATGGTAGTTTAATAGGAATGGCACTGAATCTATAAATTGCTTTGGGCAATAAGGCCATTTTAACAATATTGATTCTTCCTGTCCATGAGCATGGAATGTTTCTCCCTTTGTTTGTGTCATCTCCGATTTCTTTGAGCAGTGTTTTGCGATTCTTATTGCAGAGATCTTTCACGTCAGTCATTAGCTATATTCCTAGATATTTTATTCTTTTTGTGGCAATTGTGAATGGGAGTTCATTCCTGATTTGGCTTTCGGCTTGACTGTTGGTGTACAGGAATGCTAGTGAATTTTGCACACTGATTTTGTATCCTGAGACTTTGCTGAAGTTTCTTATCAGCTTAAAAAGCTTTTGAGCTGAGACTAGGGTTTTCTAGATAAAGGATCATGTCATCTGCTAACAGGGATAATTTGACTTCCTCTCCTCCTATGTGGAGGTGCTTTATTTTTTCTCTCTTCACTGATTGCTCTGGCCGAGACGTCCAATACTACGTTGAATAAGAGTTGTGACAGAGGGCATCCTTGTCTTGTGCTGGTTATCAAGGGGAGTGTTTTTAGCTTTTGCCCATTCAGTATAATGTTGTCAGTGGCTTTGTTATAGATGGTTTTTATTATTTTGTGGTATATTCCTTTGATACCTAGGTTACTGAGAGTTTTTAACATAAATCAATGCTGAATTTTATTGAAAGCCTTTTATGCATCCATTGAGATAATCATGTGGTTTTTGTCTTTAGTTCTGTTTATGTGATGAATCACATTTATTGATTTGTGTATGCTGAACCAACCTTGCATCCCAGATATAAAGCCTACTTGATCATGGTGGATTAACTTTTTGATGTGCTTGCTGGATTTGGCTTGCCAGTATTTTCTTGAGGATTTTTGTGTTGAGGATATTGGCCTGAAGTTTTCTTTTTTGTTGTATCTCTGCCAGGTTTTGGTATCAGGATAATGCTGGCCTCACAGAATGAGTTAAGGATGAATCCCTTGTTTTCAATTTTTTGGAACATTTTCAGTAGGAATGGTACCAGCTCTTCTTTGTACAACTGGTAGAATTCAGCTGTGAATCCCTCTGGTCCTGGACTTTTATCAGTTGGTAGACTATCTATTAATGCCTCAATTTCGGAACCTGCTATTGGTCTGTTAAGGGATTCAGTTTCTTCCTAATTCAGTCTTGGGAGGGTGTATGTGTCCAGGAATTTATCCATTTCTTCTAGGGTTTCTGGTTTGTGTGCAAAGAAGTGTTCATCCTATTCTCTGATAGTTGTTTGCATTTCTATGGGGTCAGTGGTAATATCCCTCTTGTCATTTCTGATTGTGTTTATTTTAATCTTCTCTTTCCTTCTTTATTAGTCTAACTAGCAGTCTATTTTATTTACTTATTTTTTTTCAAAAAAAAAACAAAACAGCTCCTGGATGGAGTGATCGTTTGAATGGTTTTTCATGTTTCTATCTCCTTCAGTTAAGCTCTGATTTTGGTTATTTCTTGTCTTCTACTAGCTTCTGGATTTGTTTGCTCTTGGTTCTCTAGTTCTTTTAGTTGTGATGTTAGGCTGTTAACTAGAGATCTTTGTATCACTCTGATGTGGACATCTAATGCTATAAATTTACCTCTTACCACTGCTTTAGCTGTGTCCCAGAGATTCTGGTACATTGTATCTTTGTTCTCATTAGTTTCAATGAACTTCTTGATTTCTGCCTAAATTTTATTATTTACCCCAAAGTCATTCAGGATCAGGTTATTCAATTTCCATGTAATTATATGGTTTTCAGTGAATTTCTTAGTCTTGATTTCAAATTTGATTGTGCTATGGTCCAAGAGGCTGTTTGTTATAATTGCAGTTATTTTCCATTTGCTGAGGAGTGTTTCACTTCTGATTACGTGATCAATTTTAGACTAAGTGCCATGTAGTGATGAGAACGTATATTCTATTGTTTTGAGTTGGAGAGTTCTGTAGATATCTATTAGGTCCATTTGATCCAGTGATGATTTCAGGTCCTGAATATCTGTGTTAATTCTCTGTGCCAGTGATCTAATGTTGTCAGTGGGTTATTAAAGTCTCCCACTGTTATTGTGTGAGAGTCTAAGTCTCTTTGAAGGTCTCTAAGAACTTGTTTTATGAATCTGGGTCCTCCTGTGTTGGGTGCATAAATATTTAGGATAGTTAGATCTTCTTGTCCAACTGAACCCTTTACCATTATGCGATGCGGATTTTTGTTTTGTTTTGTTTTTTGATCTTCATTGGGTAAAGTCTGTTTTGTCAGAAACTAGGATTGCAACCTCTACTTTTTCTGTTTTCCATATCCTTGGTAGATTTTCCTCCATCCCTTTATTTTTGAGCCTGTGTATGTCACTGCATGTGAGATAGTTCTCTTGAAGACAGCATACCAATGGGTCTTTGATGTTTAGCTTGCCACTGTGTGTCTTTTAATTGGGGCATTTAGCCCATTTACATGTAAAGTTTGTATTGATATCTGTGGATTTCAACCTGTCATCATTATGTTTGCAGACTTGTTTATGTGGTGCTGTATAATGTCACTGGGCTGTGTACAGACTGTGTAATTCAGTGTGTTTTTGTAGTGGCTGGTAACAGTCTTTCCTTTCCACATTTAGTGCTTCTTTCAGGAGCTCTTGTGAGGCAGCTCTGGTGGTAACAAGCTCCCTCAGCATTTGCTTGTCTGGAAAGGATCTTATTTCTCTTTCACTTATGAAGCTTAGTTCGGCCAGATATGAAATTCTAGGTTGGAATTTGTTTTCTTTAAGATTGTTGAATGTTAAAAAAAAAAAGAGAGAGAATGTTGAATATTGGCCCCCAATGTCTTCTAGCTTACAGGGTTTCAAGTGAGAGGTCTGCTGTTAGTCTGATGGGCCTCCCTTTTTAGGTGACCTGGCCTTTCTCTCTAGCTGCCTGTAACATTTTTTCTTTCATTTAGACCTTGGATAATCTAATGATTATGTGTCTTGGGGATGATCTTATCGTAGAGTATCTTAGTGGTATCCTCTGCATTTCCTGAAATTTGAATGTTGGCCTCTCAAGCTAGGCTGGAGAAGTTCTCATGGATGATATCCTGAAATATGTTTTCTAAATTGGTTCCATTCTCCTCATCTCTTTCAGGTACATCAATCGGTTGCAGATTCAGTCTCTTTACATAATCCCATATTTCTCAAAGGGTTTGTTCATTCCTTTTCATTCTTTTTTTCTCTGTTCTTGTCTGCCTGTCTTATTTCAGAAAGCCAGTCTTCAAGCTCTGAGAGTCTTTCCTCCACTTGGTCTATTTGGCAATCAATAGCTGTGACTGCATTATGAAAGTCTTGTAGTGTATTTTTCAGCTCTATCAGGTTGGTTATGTTCTTCTCTATACTATCTATTTTGTCTGTCAGCTCCGGCAATGCTTTATCATAATTTTTAGCTTCCTTGCATTGGGTTACAATGTACTCCTTTAGCTCAGTGAACTTCATTCCTATCCATATTCTGAATTCTCCTTCTGTCATTTCAGACATCTCAGTCTCAGCCTCAGCCCAGTTCCGAACCCTTGTTGAAGAGGTGATGCACTCATTTAGAGGAAAGAGGGCACTCTAGCTTTTTGAGGTTTCAGGGTTCTTCTGCTGATTATTATTATTTCTCATCTTTGTGAAATTATCTACTTTCAATCTTTGAGGTTGCTGACCTTTTGGTGGTGGGTTTTTTTTTTTTTTTCTTTAACAGTCTGGCCCCTTTTCCATAGGGCTGTTGTGGTATTCTGGGGGTCTGCTCCAGTTTCTAGTAGACTTGGATTTGCCAGTACCTGGAGGTATCACCAGTGAAGGCTGTGAAACAGCAAATAAGGGAGCCAACCCCTTCCTCTGGTAGCTCCATCCCAGGGAGGTATGGACCTGTTGCCAGCCTAAACACATGTATAGGAGGTGGCGGGCAATCCCAGTTGGGTGGTCTTGCCCAGTTAGGAGGAATGAGATTGGGGGCATGCTTTAAAAAGTAGCCTGGCCACATTTTTGTAGAGCTGCTATGCTGTGCTGGGGGTCCACTTCATCCCCTGGTCACCATGGACACGCTGAAGCCTGAAGACTGGAATGGTTAAGTTTTCCTAAGAGCAAAGATGGCGGTCTGCCCCTACCATTGGGAGCTGCATCCCAGGGAGAGCTGAGACGTCTGTCAGCCAGAGAACACCATTAGGGGTAGCCAGAGACCCCAGGTGCGAGGCTCCACCTGGTGATGAGAAATGGGGTTGGGGACCCACTTTAAAAAGCAGTCTGACCACATTTTCGTGGGTCTACTCTGCTGTGCTGTGGTATTGCTTCCACTCCTGGTCAGCTTTGGCTCTGCAGAAGCTGGAGGCTAAGTTGTTTAAACAGCAAAGATGGCAGCCCACCCCTCCTTCTGGGAGTTTAATCTCAGGGAATTTTCAAAACTCTGTAGACCAGGGAACACCAGTCGGGGTGGCTGCAGGCCCTGGCTGGGAGGTTCTGCCCCATGAGGAGGAAGAGTACTGGGGACCTGCTTAAAGAAGAAGTCTGACCATGCTTTTGTAGAGCCGCTGCACTGTGCTGGGGTACTGCTTCTGTCCCCTGTCAGTTTGGACTCTCCAAAGCTCACAGGCTGGACTGGCTATGTCACCTAAACAGCAAAGATGGCAGCCTGCCCCTCACTCTGGGTTCTCTGTCCCAGGGAGTTTTCAAATCTCTGTTGGCCAGAGAAAACTGGCTTGAGTGGGTGGTGGCCCCAGTTGGGAGCTCCTGCCCAGTGAGGAGGAAAAGAGCAAGAACTCACTTAAAGAAACAGCCTGGCCATGTTTTGATAAGCAGCTGTGCTGTGCTGGGGGATCCCTTCAAACCTTGGTAGGTTTAGACTCTCCAAAGCTTACAGTCTGGATCAGCTAAGTTGCCCAAACAGCAAACATGGCGCCCCACCCTTCCCCCAGAAAGCTTTGTCCCAGGTAGGTGCAATACTGCTACTGGTGACTGGCTGGAATTCTAAACCAGTGGGTCTTATCCTGTGAGGCACAGTGGAAGTGGTGTCCACAGACTATCACTGCTTGGTCCCCTGGATTCAGCCTCTTTTCTAGGGGTATGTACAGGTGTCCAACCTCCCACTTTGCTGGAGTTGCAGTTACTTTTGCTGAGAAGCCTGAAATGCTGGCGTATCTAAAGCTCCTGGGTCTCCACATGTGCCTGAGTGGCTACTCTGCAGAAACTCCGTGTAGCTCTGTGTGTCAGGCTGAAGGTCCCAGTGGAGTGGATTCACGATGGGATCTCCCGACCTGAGGGTTGCAAAGATCCATGGGAGAATTGTGGTTTCCCAGGGTCACACATTCACTCAACTGCTTCCTTGGGTGGGGGAGGTTCACTTGGTTCTGTGTCACTCTCAGGTGGGCTGTCATTCTTTGTTCTCCATGGGTTGAGTTGTTTCCTTCGTTAGTCCCAATGCGAGTACCTGAATGTTTCAGTTGAAGGTGCTGTGTTTACTGTCCTTTCCATTCCTCTCTTTGAGAGCTATGGAGCTTCTAGTCAGCCTTCTTGGCCATTCCCCATTCCCTCCATTGTATTTTGAAAGTAGACAGTTTGTTTTGATTTCACAGTCTCACAGCTGGAGAGAAACTGCCTGAGGAATTTGCCTCCCTGAGTCTCACCCATATATGACTTAGATGAGACTTTGAACATTTGAGTTGGTATTGAAATAAGATTGCTGGGGCTACTGGGATGGAATGAATCTATTTTACATGTGAGAAATACATGAATTTTGAGGGACTAGGAGAAGAATGCTATGGTTTGAATATGTCCCCCAAAACTCATGTTGAAATTTAATTGCCAATGTGATGGTATTTATGGGTGACACCTTTAAAAGGTAATTAGGGCGTGAAGGCTCTACCCTCATGAATGAATTAATACCATTATTGTAGGAGTAGGTTAGTTAAGGTAGGAGTGGGCTCCTGATAAAAGGATGGGTTTGGTTCAATTTCCTCTATCTTTCATCCCTCCACACTTCTTTGTCATATGATACCTTTCATTATCTTATGACACAGCAAGAAAGCCCTCACTAGATGTGGCCTTTCGGTCTTGGACTTCCCATCTCCCAGAATGGTAAGCCAAATAAATCATTAAAAAAAAATTTTCCACTCTATGGTATTCTTTTATAGCAGCAGAAAACAGACTAAGACAGAGGGGGTCAGAAAAGTGCTGAGAAATTGAGAAGGAAGGGTTATTCCACGAATCTATCAAGATGACAGTTTCGGGAATAGATCTGGGAAGGCAAAGGGCGAGGTTATGGTTTGTGCAAGGTTTTTAAGAGTTATGAACTTGACAAACTTTGAACTTACAGAGATGAGCCGTGCTGTTCACAGAAAAAGGAAAGTGAAAAATCTCAAGTTAAAATGTCAGATATGAAAATCTTTAATAAATCAGGTCTTCTATTTATGAACAAGCAGATTTGAATGCATACATATGCAGCTACCATCTTTACAGCTAACAAAAGATTTACCAATGCAGTGTTTTTGTATCTAGTACAGCAATTACTCTAGAATAAAATGTTTTGTCAATAGAGAATATAAATTTAAGTTTAGTCACATCTTAAACAACAGTTCAAGTCAGTAACCCAGGTAACACCCCAGATGTAAAAGCCATCTGGCTTAGAAAACTTATAGTTCAAAATTCAAATCACATTATATTTTTTAACACCTACTGGGGTTTTCAGTTCTGCCTTACCTAAAGTCTTTGAGGCTCAATTTCCTTCTGTATAAAAATGGGATAAAATATCTACATTCTAGCATTTCTATCGAGATTATAGAAACTTGAGGTGATATCTGGCCCAGATTGCACTTTAGCAATGGTGGCTATGGTGTTGCTGCTCTTAATCCAATGTCAGATGCTGGGGACAAGGGTAAAGAAAGGTGAAATGAAAACCTGACTTGAGGCAATATTCTACAAGTTTCTCTAGTTTCCACTGAAACTGGAACATCTGTATGTTTCTCTAGCTATTCATTAAATTCCTCCATTATCTAAACTACTGGAATTTGGAATAGCTGTAGAAATATTAGAGATCTGAGCAGCTATGGTGCTCATAAATCAGCAGTGCTGATTCTATGAATAGGCTACCACCTAAAAGAGAACTGGGGAGTTTGAAAACCTTTAGACTTTCAGTTGGATAAACAAACATCCCGCCATGGTACCTAATGCTTATCCAGAAACAGTTTACACACAGGGAGAATATGGATTGCTGTTCAGCTTCTAGCAGAAATAGGCAAACATTGGAGTAAATGAAGGGTAAAATTCAATATGCACAACAGGTCGCCCTGCCACTGTATACTTCTCTACAGGGGAAATCATAATAAAACAATAATAAAACAGTGGATATCTAAATGAAAAAGGGAAAGTGAAAACAGATGTGGTTCCTTTCAGAATAAAGCCTCCCCATACCTGACTCTCATTGTGTTATCTGGAAGGGAAGGAAGGAAATATAGGTAGAAGATGAATGCCAGGGAAGCCCCAAGACAGGGGCTGGTGAATTGAGGAGTGATGTTAAAATTGATATCTACCATTTTGAATCAGGATATAAAGGTACGAAGTCCAGTGGCCAGGGTGGTGGTCTACCAACCAAGCATTTTCTCTTGCTTCCAGTTTCTGACTTTCTGCCTATGGTGAGGGGATTTTCTTTGCTCCAAATTATTCTTCCACAAAATAACACAAAGCAAGGGGTTCTTTGCATTAGGTTCATGAAAGCATTAGGTCCCTGAAGTCAAGATTTGAGGCACTAAAAGGAAGAGTTAACAGGTCACAGAGTTAACAGGAAAAGTATGCTTACCTCCTAATCCATATGGCAGGTCTTGAGAGTCTCCCTTTTGGAAGAAACAGAGTGTGGCTTGGAAAGAGAATATAGTTTTGTACTTCGATCTCCCCATTTTCTAATGGTGAGATGTTGGGTAAGTTACTTAGCTAATTCGATCATATTACCTAATTTTCAAAAGGAAGACAGGCAAGTACTTACAAAATGTTACTTTTCCTTCTCCCTGTGCCCATACCAGGTCATGCCTAGGCTTTAATCTTCTCAAAGTCCAGAATTAAGATCACGAGTTTCAGCAAAAATGTGAAAAAGGAGAAGCCCACGGCCATCATTATATGGCCAGGAAACC
The DNA here is from genome assembly GCF_000001405.40 of Homo sapiens. Classification (NCBI taxonomy): domain Eukaryota; kingdom Metazoa; phylum Chordata; class Mammalia; order Primates; family Hominidae; genus Homo; species Homo sapiens. Next base: position 138,841,320 of record NC_000023.11, read on the forward strand.
TCCCCTCAAGCTCAACCAACGCAGCAAAAACTTGAAACAATTATGAAGTCAGACTTCAACCATATCTATTAGTTGAATTTCCATTTTAACTATGCATAAAGTTGTCAGGAAACATAATAACAAATTGAGTCTTATTTTAAACTATCTTGAGATATACAAAATAAGAGAATTCAGTACCTATCCAATCCTTTTTAAAAATTTTTTTTATTTATATATATATAAGGATATGGAGACTCAAGGAAGGAACGGACCTTATCCAAAGTAACATGAGTCACTGAGGACACTTTACTACGATAAAGGAACAAAATCAAAGCTAAGAAACAGGAACCAGATAAACCACAATTGCTTTTGAAAAAATAAATCAAAATACATTAAATTAGCTAAGAGGTAAACTTAATTCTATTCTTTGATAGTCTTTTGGAGTATTAATTTCTCTGAATTTTAATGAGTTTAGTTACTGCATGTCCCCCAAAATATTATGTGAAAATTCCAAAATTCCTTCTTTCCTGATCTCATAGACTTGCTGACAGTGTAAAGGAACCAGGATGAGGTAAGGAAAAAGTGATGCTTCATTTTGGCAGTTATTTTAAAGATTAAATACTGAGTGAAGCAACTAGCCCAGTGCCTGGCACCATTATAGGTACCCAATGTTAGTCGAGTCTGAATAGTTAGCTTGAATGTTCTAAGTTTTTCAATGTTGAACTAGATATGAAAACATGAAAAATAAAATCTTGAGGAATACCTTCACCTCTGCTCATCATCAGCCCTGCTGAAGAAAGGCTAGACTGAGCAGAAGCCTTCTAAAAGGACAGCAATGAAAAGATTTTTCTGAATGAGCTTATATTTGAGCCTGAGCCCATGATATAACTGACTTACATTCCTTTTCATATACAGAGTTTTCATGTCAAGCTCCTAAAAGGCAGGGACTCTGTCATATTTCTCCAGATCTCCTATAGTAGACACAGGGAACAAACCAAGTTGTAACTCATTCAATGACAGTGGAATTTAACCCGAAGCAGCCTCAGTTTTCTTATACCAAATCACTGCATTGAGCTCTACTGGAGAGCCTTATATAATATAAATATATTTATATTTGTATAAATAGCTGAGATAAGTTAAAGGTTTGAGAAGGGCAGGGGAAGGATCAGGAAGAGTAAGGCGGAGTTTGAATTAAGTTGAAACTACTACCTTAGTAACCCAAGGATGGAGAACCTTGGTTATGATGAAACAGAAGTATTTTGACTGGCTCTCAAAGAAGCAGAGTAATTTTCAGAATATATGTGTTTTGTTTGTATAGGTATTACACAGCCCAGTGGTTCTTAACAAGGTGATTTTGCTCCTTATGGGATATTTGGCAATATTTGGACATATTTTGAGTTGTCACAACTAGGATGGGGTGCTACTGGCATCTAGTGGGTAGAGTCAAGGGATGCTGCTCAATATCCTTCAATATATAGGACAGCCCTTGACAACAGAATTATCTAGCCCCAAATGTCAACAGCACCAAAGTTGAGAAATCCTGCTCTAGCTCAACACAGAGCCTGGCACTACTGACTGAAGGAAAAATAAATATCTCAACTAATTTTTACAGCTGAAAAGAATCACTAACAGATTTGCTCACTGGGTTTTAGGTCTCACTTGTGCTTCTCATGATAATTTGGTGTAATTTTTAAGCCAATGTTATTCATTATCAAGTATGAGAATGTGTTGCTTGATTTGTTAAAACCTTCTATGTAGAAAAAAAATAGGTAACATTCCATAAATGTAATAAATACTAAAGCTCTGGAGCACTGTAGGGGCACAGGTTGGCTTCTGATTTTCCCAGTGTCCACTCCCTGCTCCTCCAACCAGCAGTGATTTTACTAAACAAGAGAGAAGATAAAGTTCAGTTCGCATGTTAAATGTAACCTTCTTCCATCTACCTACAGAGATATTTCTCCTTCTTCTTCAAAGTCCTTTCTCTAGGTTACCACATAGGTGAGAAAAGGATGACAGGATATCAAAGGGGTTCACAAGCTCCCTGGTTAGCTCACATGTTCCACTATTGAGATTCCAACCTATAATCAAAGCACAAGATCCTGTCTCAGCACAGATTTAATTTAAACAAATTCAGGGAGAAAAGTAGTATTGGATATGCTAAGGAAAAAATGGAATGCTGCTAGAGGTAGGTCCATGAATGCAGTATTTTCTTTCTACATTTTTTTTATTTCAATAGATGTTTTGGGAATGCAGTATTTTCTGTCATGACATTCTCCTGTCTTAGGAAAAAGGGCAGTCAGCAAAAAGTGTCTAAAAGCTCTAGTCTCTCATGTTAGTTTAGAAATGGGTAGTATCCTAATACAGTCTGAATTAAGGGACAATCCAAGTGCAAGGGAAAAAAACCTTCAAATACATAGGACAGACCTTCAAAAAGAATTTTTTTCCCAAACACTCTACCTTACACTATGAAAAATGAATTCATTTAATTTCTTATTTTTTTAATCCCAAAAACACATAGCCTATTTCCTCCCTTGAGGCTACTAAGGAAGTAGCATTTGACCTTGGTGAGTGGGACACTCTGTACAGAAAACTTTCATCATATTTTGCATAGGAAGTTATCATTTCCTTAGGATCAACATTCACAAATCCTAGATAAAAACTTAGCCTAATTACATAGACTCTATATCATATTGTTAACAGTTCTTCACCACAAAACTGTGTATTTGTTCTTTTTAAACACTACTTCTTTCATTCAGCAAGAAACGTTCACTGCTAGACAAGGAATCAATTTCTAGCAAAAGTGCACGTTTGTAAAGTTGGCAGAAAACTTGCTTTATTGGAAACACATGTAATGTCATCTTGATTGTATCATATTAATGTGGCTTCAAAGTTTGTCAGTTTTAAAATACCAAACTCAAGGGGTGATTTAATTTTAATTCTCAGTGATCCAATATTTTTAGATTACAGAAAAAATTACCGAGCAAGCTTAACTACATTCAAAAGGATAAACAACAAAAGAATAAATTGGTCTTGCCAAAGCCTTAAACTTTACAGGCATTATAGAGAAGAAAAATCGATGACATCTTTACAAAGACCTACTCTTTCCTTAGCAGTTAGACAACATCTAATTCCTCATCACTCTATCTATCAAGGGTCAGTTTAACTATTTCAGTGATTTATGCCATTTATTCCCAAGAGCGTGAGAGGCAGAGACATCTGTTCTACATTGAAAGGAACTGGATTACAAAGCCTAGATGCTAAAAGGGATATATGAAAGGATTGTATTAAATTAGCAACGATTTACCGCATTCAGCTCTACTGATCCATTCCTCCTTCCTGAAGCCGAGTCCTTCCTTGGCTTCCTTAGACCTCATTCTTTTGGTTTTCCTTCTTTTTCTTCTGGAGTCCTTTCTTCTCTATAACATCTTACAATGTTTCTATGCCCCAGGCCTTGCTTCTCTAGTCTCTCTCCCTATGTGTCTCATCTGCTTTCATGGTTTTAATACTGGCCAGAGGCTAACAATACTGAATGTGTGTTACCAGCATAGAACTCATTCCTGAGCAATTGAAATGCAAGGCCATATAGTGCCTGACACACAGAAAAGTTGCTCAGTAAATGTTCAATGAAAAAAATTAATAAATGAATATTAAAATAGATAAATAAGACTTGAAAAACACATGGAGAGCTGAGGTGTCCTGTACAAACTCATCATAGAACAGTCAATGCCACCCTGCCTTACCAGCTGACCACAAATATATTGTTGAGCCCAGGAAGGATAAGCAATGCCCAGCTTAGATCAGCAGAACCACAGAGCCAACCTATAGCCCAAGAGAAATAAAATATATTTAGCGGGTTTAAGCCACTATGTATTAGAGTGTTTTTGAATGCAACACAATCTTGATAATCAAGTAGTTCTAAGTCTGCTTTCCTGCTAGTCTTTAATTCCTCCTTGAGGGCAGAGATGTAATCTGTCTTATCATGCTGTGCCTACCCACCATAATGCCTGGCTTGTGCAAGACACTCAATAAACACCTATTAACAAATATATCAATTCTGCTAATGGTGATGAGAAGCACTCAGTCATTTGCCACCTGGAATTAGAGCAAATGGCCGTTGAACACAGAATATCAAAATGTGTTAGATAAATAAGTTATTTGTAATAATAAATATTCATTGAGCACTTACTGTTGACAGACACTGTGCTATGCTTATGGTATCCATTTAATAAAGCTCTATTAAGTAGGGATGCAATGGAGGTTGTATATTTAAATGGAGTCCTGACTGGGAAGGGAGAGAGACCACTTTTAAGCACCAGTAGCCATTCACAAAGAAAAAGCGGCACTAGAGGAAAAGGTTCCTAAACTATGCTGATTTGCTTTGGGGATTTTTTTTCTCCCTCACTAAATATTCTGGGTACATTTAACCAATTATCCACTAAGTGAACAGCTTACCATGTATGCCAATTAGAGATTTACTGAATTAGTTCATGAATCTTCTAACATGGATTCTAAATGCTATCTTCTCAGAGAAAAATCAAGTAAGTACAGAGGGGAAATGGCTGAAGAAGGAACATAAGAGAAAAGTTACTTGCTGGCAGCTTCTATAATCCCCACTTTTTGAAATGCCCTTTGTTCCTTCCTTGTTGCTTAAAAAGAACCCGATTTTGTTCACAGCCTGAGGCAGTTTGCTAGACAAATGTCCTCGCTGTATGAATGGCTTGCTTGAGCCCATATTATCCCATAGAGGGCTGTGATTAATCTGGGCTTTGTTGGGCTGGATGTATCGTAGAAAGGACTCCAGTAGAGGAACCATGTGAGCTGTACTATTCTGCTTTTAAGTGTTTTTTCCCCCAAATAAACTATTTTAAATAGTAATATGTGTCCATTTGTGTGTGTGTGTGTGTGTGTGTGTGTGTGTGTGTGTATTCAAACCCTCTTTGAATGGCAACTAGCGACCACAAAGGGGCATGTTTCCCTTGTCCCAGTGTTTTGTGCTTTTGGAAGGGACAGAATCAACTGTGCCATTATGAGAGCAATGGCAGGTCTCTGGTGGAGCTCAACTGAGACAGCTCCTGCCCCATTGAAGTCCTCTGTGAAGGTTTTACACCCAATTCAGGGCAAGTCACCTGTGCTCATGCACGGAAAGAGAGAGAAGAAGCAAATAATTTCAATATGGATGTGTCATTTCCTCGAGTCTCCCTGTATTTGTGGACAGACTATCGTAAAAAGGATGCCACCTCTCTCAGTGCTGGCTCCAGCATTGCCTTCTGCCATGATTAAATGTCTCCTGAGGCCTCCCCAGAAGCTAAGCAGATGCCAGCATCATGCTTCTTGTACAGCCTGCAGAACTGTGAGCCACTTAAACCTATTTTCTTTATAAATTACCCAGTCTCAAGTATTTCTTTATAGCAGTGTGAGAACTGACTAACACATAGGTGGAAAGGCACATTCCCTAGCCTAAAGAAAGCAGAGTAGACAAGTGAGCTTTTAATATCTTTTATCTAGGAACAGATCTATTGCATTCAAATCGAATTTAAGTATTCATTAATCACTCCATTATTTCTTTGTATGCCGGGACCAAGTCATCAGTTCCTTAAAGGTAAGGGTCATTTCATCTCTTCCTTTTGAGTGCTGCACTCTACCTAATCTTAGGCCTACAGAATGAGCAAGTACCTCCTGAGTCGAGTCCCTTCTGCTTATGACAAACTCTTGCTGTCACAAAGCTGAGGAAGGACTGTAGACAGAATTTTATTCCTTTACACTTAAGATCACTTTTTAGCACTACAGTTTGTTTTAGATAACAAATGCACTTATGGAGCAAGAGGGGGGAAACTGAGCATATGGAGAAGCCATGGAGGGGAGAAGGCATGGCTTTTAGAAGCCAGAAAAATTAGGTTCAAATCAAGTCCTCTCATTTACTGGTGAAGTGACTTACTCTTTCTGCATCTTAGTTTGCTGATCTGTGAAATGGTAGTAGCAACCCTATCTGACAGGGTTTTCGTGATCATGCTTCTAAGGGGCTATGCACAGTGTTGTCACTGAAGATGTGGCCCAGTGGAAGTACGCTCTCTTCCCTTTCCCTTTTGTAGATATAGTCTTGGGGCCATTGTACACTTGCTGCTTCCAAAGCTGGACATGCTTCTGAGAATATATATCTTAAAATAGCTAGGGCTCATAAGTAAAAATTTGCTAGCACATGGGTGGAAGTGGACAAGTGATTTTCATGTGCTGGAGTGAGTGTGGATATTGGCTGTGAGGCAAGACAAGGGCAAGTGCTGATAAAATGCAGAATATAATGTCTCTTGTTTAACGCTTTCACAGTGGTCATTATTGAAGGTGCTATTCTTAAGCACACTAAAAAATGCCGTAGAGTATAAGAAATGAATATCAGAATCCACGTAGTTTAAAATGCTAGGAATGATTTATAAACATGGATAGCAATTAAAGCCTCCTAATCATGTCAGAGTCAAGTTTCACATATGGGCTGCTGTAATCCTTTTATGCTGCAGTAGCCGATTACATTTAGATGATAAGAGGGCAATGCCTCGATGACAGCCTCTGGTGTAACACAGAGACAGATACACAGGCTACAAGCTGCTTGAGTCAAGCTTTGCAATCTTACTCTAGAGCAGTAGCAATCAAGTAAAGAATTGTCAGTACTTTTCTGGCATATCGTGACACCCTTTTCTCCTTCTCCATCTTCTTGTTTAAGTACAGTCTGAGAAACTCTTTGACCCATACTTGCAAGCTGCATCAGATTCTGAGAGCAGAACAAGTGTTTCAACAATTGCTTGCAAGAAAGAATGTTGGTCACAAGGTGGCAGATTACCACACGCTTATGGAGAATCCTAATTATTTTTCTAAAAGCACAGAGTGGCAAACAAGTAAGGGAACTTCAGAAAGGTGTGTGTGCACATGGTGGGAAAGACGGATACCTTACATGGCCATAAGTTCTAAAGGTCATATAAGGGCTGCCTCTCCAGCTGAGCCCTCTATCACAGGGCACCTTTTGAAGAGGCCCATGCAATCAGCATGATAAGATTCCTGGATTGACAGCTGACATCACTCAGCAGACCTTATGCCAAGGTGATTATTTCCTAAGGCAGTGATTCCAACCCTGTTAGCACATTAGAATCACTTAGATAGATTTTAAAAAAAAGTACCCCTGTTGAGCCGCTACCACAATAAATTTTTTTCCAGTTATAAAGTCCTTTTTACTTAATTATTTCTTCTCAAGAAATATTTCTTCTCAAGAAAAAATATACAATGAGGACATAGAATGAAATGTTTTATCCATATAAAAACTAGTAACTAAAAGTTGAGTATCTCTTATTTGAAATGCTTGGGACCAGAAGCACGACAAGAGATTTTGCAGGTTTTCTTTGTTTGTTTGTTTGATTGTCAGTTTTTGGTTTGATGTTGAGCTCAGGCGTCAGTAGTATTTAAATATCCTCAGTTGATTCCAATGTACAGCCAAGTTTGAGAATCACTAATCTAAAGCAGTGTTACTCAATGTATGGTACACAAACATAGCACTAGTCTGTGAACTATGTTACTTAATACAGTTCTTATTTAGTTCAGCTGACATTACTTTTCACAGCAAGACAGCAATATTTTCTTCATGAAGGAAGCAGTGATTTACCTTCTGGCATAAGATCCTTATCTAGTCATGGATTGGTAACAAAGAACTTGAGACACATGAAGAACATTTGAGTAGCCTTTCTCTAACGATAGTAGGTGGGAATCGAGAGGAAGGGAACAGCAATCATTTTCAAAAGTGTGCTACTTGACAAAGCTCATGTTTGATGAGAACACACTGCTTAGTAGAGCCAGCAGAGCCTTTCCCAAAGTGTTACTTGGAAGATGTTCATCTGTATTATCAGTAAAAGGGTCCAGTAGCTAGAAGATGCTGTTTACCACTGAACTGCCTAAGGTAGACAGCTTCCTAATCTGCAAGACTCTTTAAAATCTTTCATATACTCATATGCATTGTGACTCTCTAGGAATGGCGTGTAATTTGGGAAACATATTTGACCACAAATGCTGTCTTTTTACATAAATATATGATCAGTGTTGCATGAAATATTATTGGAAAACATTGATCTGATAACTATGTAAGAATCTGTGAAAAAGATTATAGTTCACTCCTGTATTCTCTTCAACCAGGCAAGTGAATTGTCATTTAAAACAAAAGACAGGGTGAAAATTGGAGCAGAGGGAGCAGAACATTCTTGTGCATCTCCTTAATAGACGTAGACTTCTAATATCAGGATTGGGCTTGATTTGGGGAATCAACCAGTCTTTCAGGCTATGCCTTTATGGACATGGAACATAGCCTAGCTGGGTCATACCATGCTGGGTCCAGAAGGCAGAATTTCTTAAGTGGTTTACCAACTGGCTGGGAAGAGAAAAAAACTCCAGAAAAGTTGGCAAGACATCATCCCAAGAGCATGTTGCCAACACAATCCCTGATGTCTTGGCCTTGAAAGGGGAAGCACCCATATGGATGTATAACTTCCAGATGTTTTCAAGTATCTTTGATTTTGACTTTTTAAAATCAAAATCACCAGCATACACTGTCATTCATCTAGTAGAACTTTCAAAGCACTTTCGCAGATAAGTGTCACTTTAAACATAAATGCCTGAAACGGGTCATCAGTGCTGGCTTCATACAGGAGAAATGTCTGCTCCAAGTATTAACTAAGGAAGACTTCAGCCAAGAGAGTTACAAAGGAGAAACAACTTTGTCTCAAGGAAACCACCACCATGATTGGAACACATAAGCTCAAGGGAGAGGGGAGGTCAGTTGCTTTAAAAAGTGAATGATATTTTAAAGAACGAACGGTTATTAGTTTGTACTCTAAAAGCCAGCCTCCAGCCTAGAGACTGAATGGAGATGCATATATTCAATAAGAGAATGATAAATGTCCATCTTATCATGAAAGTGAATTACTGGCTACTATACATACTCCTTGATTAGACTGTAAGTTTTCCAGAGAGTAGAAACTATCCCCAAAATATGACTTCATTTTGTGTTTGCTGCCATAAGGTAGGGGAAATAAGGGGGAAGAAAGAATGGGTTTCATTGCCATTGCTGGTTTACTAATGTTATCAGGACATAAGCTGTAAGAGAAATAGAATTAAATACTTTGTGGGGAGAGGATAGTGTTTACTCACTGCTAATGACCAAGGCCACCAGATTTCTGGCATTAATTTGGACTAATATTTTTTTATCTTTCTTGTGACTCTGCAATTAAGCTGCCATTTGCTTCAATGAGCAAAGAAAATTGTCTTGTGTCATTTTGTGATCCTTCAGGTCATAAATCAAAGGCAGGGTGGCCCTAAGTCATGAAAGAAAAAAGTGACTTTGAAATAAAAAGGTTGAGAACAAAGTCTTCTTATCTCTTCAGAGTCACCAGAACACATGGTCCCATGCTTTTCTTTTTAAGTTCCGGTGTACATGTGTGGGATGTGCAAGTTTGTTACATAGGTAAATGTGTGCCATGGTGGTTTGCTGCACCTATCAAACCATCACCGAAATATTAAGCCCAGCATGCATTAGCTATTTTTCCTGATGCTCTCCCTCCCCCGATACCTCTCACCTCAACATGCTCCGGTGTGTGTTGTTCCACTCCCTGTGTCTATGTGTTCTCATTGTTCAGCTCCCACTTACATGTGAGAACATGTGGTGTTTGGTTTTCTGTTCCTGTGTTAGTTTGCTGAGGATAATGGCCTCTGGATCCATCCATGTCCCTGCAAAGGACATGATCTCGTTCCTTTTTATGGCTGCATAGTATTCTACAGTGTATATATACCACATTTTCTTTATCCAGCCTATCATTGATGGGCATTTGGGTTCATTCCATGTCTTTGCTACTGTGAATAGTGCTGCAGTGAACATATGTATGCATGTATTTTTATAACAGAATGATTTATATTCCTTTAAGTATACACCCAGTAATGGGATAGCTGGGTCAAATGGTATTTCTGGTTCTAGGTCTTTGAGGAATTGCCACACTGTCTTCCACAATGGTTGAACTAATTTACATTCCCACCAACAGTGGAAAAGCATTCCTATTTCTCCACAGCCTTACCACCATCTGTTGTTTCTTAACATTTTAATAATCACTATTCTGACTGGCATGAGATGGTACCTCATTGTGGCTTTGATTTGCATTTCTCTAATGACGCAGCAAAGGTCTTCAATAAAATTCAACTCCCCTTCATGTTAAAAACTCTCAATAAACTAGTTATGGAAGGAACATACCTCAAAATAATAAGAGCCATTTATGACAAACCCACAGCCAATATCATTCTGAATGGGCAAAAGCTGGGGGCATTCCCCTTGAAAACCGGCACAAGACAAGGATGCCGTCTCTCACCACTCCTATTCAACACAGTATTGGAAGTTCTGGCCAGGGCAATCAGGCAAGAGAAAGAAATAAAGTGTATTCAAATAGGAAGAGAGGAAGTCAAATTGTCTTTCTTTGCAGATGATGTGATCCTATATCTAGAAAACCCCATTGTCTCAGCCCAAAAGCTTCTTAAGCTGGTAAGCAACTTCAGCAAAGTCTCAGGATCCAAAGTCAATGTGCAAAAATTACGAGCATTCCTACACACCAACAACAGACAAGCAGACAGCCAAATCATGAATGAACTCCCATTCACAATTGCTACAAAGAGAATAAAATACCTAGGAATACAGCTAACAAGGGAAGTGAAACACCTCTTCAAGGGAACTATAAACCACTGCTCAAAATAAATCAGAGGACACAAACCAATGGAAAAACATTCCATGCTCATGGATAGAAAAAATAAATATGTTTAAAATGGCCATACTGCCCAAAGTAATTTATAGATTCAATGCTATTCCTGTTAAACTACCATTTACATTATTCACAGAATTAGAAAAAAACAATTTTACAATTCATATGAGACCAAAAAGAGCCTGCATAGCCAAGACAATCCTAAGCAAAAAGAACAAAGCTGGAGGCATCACACTACCTGACTTCAAAGTATACTGTAACGGTACAGCATGGTACTGGTACAAAAGCAGACACATACAACAATGGAACAGAATAGAGAACTCAGAAATAAGACCGCACACCTACAACCATCTGATCTTTGACAAACTTGACAAAAACAAGGAGTTGGGAAAGGATTCCCTACTTAATAAATGGTGCTGGGTGAACTGGCTAGCCATATGCAGAAAATTGGAACTGGACCTCTTCCTTGTACCTTATACAAAACTTAATTCAAGATGGATTAAAGACTTAAATATAAAACCCAAAACTACAAAAACCCTAGAAGAAAATCTAGGCAATGCCATTCAGGACATAGGCATGGGCAAAGATTCCATAATGAAAACATCAAAAGCAATTGCAACAAAAGCAAAAATTGACAAATGGGATTTAATTAAACTAAAGAGCTTCTGCACAGCAAAAGAAACTATCATCAGAGTGAACAAACAGCCTATAAAATGGGAGAAAATGTTTGCAATCTGTCTATCTGGCAAAGGTCTAATATCCAGAGCCTAAAAGGAACTTAAACAAATTTACAAGGGAAAAACTAAACAACCCCATTAAAAAGTGGGCAAAGGACATGAACAGACACTTCTCAAAAGAAGACATTCATGCAGCCAACAAACACATTAGAAAAAAAAAAGCTCATTATCACTGATAATTAAAGAAATGCAAACCAAGGCCCCATGCTTTTCTAACAGAATAGGAATGTCCCCTCAATTATTCTAAAGGAGACAGACATGGAACCTAGTTATGTCTTTCCTGAAAGTCAAGATATTTTCAGCTGACAAGCATCAGAGGTTATTACCCAACTCTAGCTTAGTGACAAAATGATTTAATAACCATAGTTTAGTTTTATTCAACTATTAATTCAAATTAATGCTGACACATTTTTCTCGAAAGGAAAATTAGCATTAAGATGAGGAAGGCACAACAGGAAAACAACAATGTTGAAAAAACATGAAGATGAAAAACATTTCCCTCAGCATGTTCCTCAGCATTCCTCTGACTTCTTCCTCTCCCATCATTAAGGTAAGACTGATATTCATGGTGATGTATGCTCTTTCTGGAATAACCCAACGCATTATCAGAGTAACAGACATGGTAGTTACAAATATACCCCCTTACCATTTAGCATGTAATTTTGCTTTCTCTTGGTTGGTGGAAGCTGCCATACTTTATCATCAATCTCCAGCACAGATTCTCTTCTCCAACCAAAGCCGCAATGGTTGGATGGCTCTCTGAATAAAAAGGTTACGAATGCCCTAAGGAAGACAGAATGTGTGTGTGTGTGCGTGTGCGTGTGTGTGTGTGTGTGTGTGTGTGTGTGTAATCACATGAAAACAGGACTATAGCAAAGAGCTCAAATGCCTGATAAAAAGATGGTGACAAATCACCAAGCTCTGTAGTACTTTCCTATGTTGCATTAATTTCTTCACATTTACTATCGTAATCAGAATTTTAAACCCTAAAAGCAAACACTGGGAATCCATGATTTATTTTTCCCTGTAGATTTCCAACACTATCTACTTGCAAGCATATTTATCTTGGTGTGATTCTCTTTAACAATCTTCGAACATCAGTAAAAGTCCAAGGAGTGGCATTTAGGAAATGACAACTATGCTAATATTAGATTGGCTTCCAGGAGTTACTCTAAATTAGTGATTTCATTTTGGCACAAATGCCATAGGAAGATAAAGTGAACAAAAGAATAAAGCTATGAAGCTTATACTTTCTTTTGCCAAAAGGCTCCTGGAGCGGTAAGAAAAAGATTTTGGTAATGATCTCCACTCTCCATGTGGCTTTCTTTTAACAAAGAACATTGCTGGTACTGGGCCAAATTAGACTCTCAGATACTTGTGTGCACTTCTTCAGCCAAATTCCAGCACTCACATAATATTATATCATAAGTGGTTTTTATAGAAATAATCATGTCACTGAAAATCGCAAATGTTTGGAACAGATTAAAAATTTTTTTGGAATTGGATATTCATAAATAGAAACCTGGTATTGGCAAAGTGTAATTTGGCCTTCGTGTATCCTGAAAAGCCAGTGAGATATTTCAGTCCCTTTGTGTATTATTTTATATGGATTCTGAGGGCCCTGGACGTAAGACAAAAATATCTATAAAAAGATGGGTGACTATAAACAATGTTAAATTATCTGTAGCAAATCTTAAGAGGTCATAAACTATGAAAACAGCCCAGCCCTTATAAACCACTGCCAAACAAAAGAAACAGCAAGACTTTATCTATACTAATTAAAAAAGAGTTGGGTAATTTTTATCAATTTAGTAATTCCAACTGTATCACAATACACATAAACCTGTTTAATTAATCATTTCTAAAGCTTACGCAATTCAAACATTTATTTCCCCAAAAGGCTTAAAAATTTTTTTTTAATTTTTCATTTGGGGGTTTTAACATTGCATAAAAAAATAATCTCATTAGAAGAGGTTATACTAGCATACGGGCATTGCATAGATCAAACAATGTATGGTTTAACCACCCTGTCCATTGCCTTCACCTGCTGTAGAATTGGTGAGCATCCACAGCCAAGGTCAATTAAGGTCTCATGTTTTGGCACGGAGGCCATGACAGGGAGTATCTCTTCAAAATGTTTCACGTAACAATAAAATGTTTCAAGGTATAGACATAGTTTAAATGCAAAACACTATCCATTTGTTAAAAAAAAAAAAAGAGGTCTTTTATTTCTACTAATTATAACAAAATGTCACAACAACCTTAAGAGGGAACCGAACACTATAACTTACGGCAATTAAAAAACAGTCCTGCAAAAATCTTCCAGGTTGCCAGAATGACCAGTGAACCCTTCCAAACCCATAGTTACTTCGCCTCCTGGAAATGATGAGCTTCGATATCCTACATGAAGTAAGCATGTTAAGTTCTTGGCAATGTTTCCTTATTTATCCAAGATCAGCTCCACAGCATGTTTTCTTTCGCCCCCATCTAAAGCCTTCTGGATCCTGTTAACTTGTGTAGAGATCAAGTGTTTTCATTTTAAGGTCTGAGTTCATCATTAGATTCTGGGATCTTGTTTGAGGGGGTACAGTAAGATTGCAAATAGTATTTAAATGTCATCCCAGAAAACCTCTGACTTTAATACTAGTTACAAATCATTCATAAGAATAAAGACAGAAATATTAGCTTTGATATCGTGGCAGGAGGACCTGGAAGGAGGGCAAGACTGAGGAAAATCTCCAATCTGAAAGAAGACAATGCCCATCATCACAGTACACAAGTGAAAGGATGGCAGCCCCATTAAACACAATGGCAACAGCTCAATATGTGGATTAAATGACAGATCAAAAACTACCTAACTTTGCAGAAGAGAGTCTAACTGCTACCTATTCTCTTAAGAATTCTCTATATCTGAAAATATTCATAACAGTATTTACAATACACTCCAGATGGTACTTGAAAATAACAGATTCTGTCAAAATTATATGTAATAATAAAAGGAATGGGGTCTTAACTGTTTTTTAAAATCTGAAATATTGTTAAAAATATTTTAATTATGTAACTGATTGCTTGAGCGAATTTAACCAGCTGCTTCTTAACTGGCTTATTTTTCTTAACGAAACCAAATTTTGATTTTTAGGCTGATTTGCAAGTACAAAAACTGTGTGTGTGTGTGTGTGTGTGTGTGTGTGTTTATAATTTTTAGAGTAAAGAAAGCAGAAAATATTGGAATGTAGTATATATAGTAAAGTAATTGTCACTGGTTAAAATTTTTTTGTTTCATTAAAGTACAAAATAAAGTTAGTTATCTTCTCCACTAAACAACCAAATGATTGCTTTTACTCACTGTAAAAGTTCACCATTTATACCTCCAGATGAATATATGTGGAAGTCGGTGGTCACACTCAACGTGAATAGTTTAGACACCAAAAGTATGGGTAGAATATAAATATGAGTGCTCTATTCTATGGCTGAATTAAACACAGATACATGTAGGCTTCTCATTTTCTGCCAATGATTGTCTTAAACTCTATTTGGAAAGAAGAAAAGGGGAAACTTTGAGTTGTGAAGTTTTGCTTCCAAAACTACGGACTAGAGTGCATTTGGAGAAATTTATTTACTCACCGAATTTTAACCCACATGCCAGTCTCTCCCATATCAGAAAGACAATTATCATAAGGATTCCCATAATGATGCAAAAGGGCAACTTGAAATAGAAACAAGGTCGCTTTTAGAAATTATACAAAAACCACTAATGCAAAAGTATACACCAACTGCCAAAGAACAGGTGAATTTTGTCACTTCCAAATGTTATTCATTGGTAAACTGCCTCAGTGATATTTAATGTGAGGGGAAAATGGGCTGTTTAACAAGTATTAGCATTTACATTATAATTCTCAGAAGTTATTTTGGAAGCTGGAATGTAAACAGATGGCAATAAATTTACCACATTTTATTTGTAATGTGAAAAATATTTCTCTTTGATAGATGCAAAAATGTTGGAAACAATGAATAAATACCATTTCTGGCCAGATGAAATACTTTGAAGATATATTTGTGATATGGATTGCAATGAGTACCTTATTAACCTCAGTTTAAGTAACAGCAAGTAGAGTTGTCCAAACCTGTACTTGAGCTGAAAAGAAAAAACAAACTACTCATAGTTTCCTTGAGGCATGCATTTTACCATGGCAAAGTGCAACGGGGCGTGCATTATACAGGTAATCTGGGCCTGCTTCAGCAAACTAAGTAGATCATGAGCATTCTTCAAGTGCAATGCAAAAGCTTTATGGAGTGAAGGAGAGTTGAAAATTTTTGAAACAATCTTCTCATTATTTCATTTTAGAAGTTTCATTCCTCAGCTGACTGCTGCTTCAGGAATGCAAGGTGATGGGAACAGAATTGGCCAGATGTTGGCTACAGAAGCAAGCAACTTTGCCAGCCCAAATGGGGCAGTAAAATGACAGCAACTGAAAATGTTTCAGCTGTGAAAAGCAGGGTGACGCTGTGCGCTGTGCCAGAGATGACCATATTATACAGCGTCCCATCTGAGACTGTATAACACTTTCACCAGCCAGCCAGGGGGCCTCCTAGCTATGGCAGGGCCTGAACAACACACAGCACACCAGAGGGCAATGCACAATCCAAAAGAAAGAGAAAGAAAGAAGAATGAGAGAAAACAAGCAAAACACGCGTCTGTCGTGCACAAACCTTCCGGCTCTGTGTTCTCTTTGTGGTGTACTTGCTTCAGCGGGCAGCAGAAGATTTCGTGACACTTAGCACGAAAGGGGGACTCTTTTTTCTTTAATTCCGCAGATTGGATGGAATCTTGTCGTAACATAATGTATTCCTGTGTGCCAGGGGGGGCGTCATCCAGAACTGTGGTCACCACATAACAAAATGAACTCAAGTTAGAGCCTCAGAAAAGCAGCGAATGTCTTAAATCAAATATACTCCCAGGGAAGACTAAAGAAACAACAGCCCTAAGAAAAGTTTCAAAGAAAAACATCTAATAGCTTGGCGATTTTATTTTAATGGGCTTAGTTTAAAATACTAAAGCCGTGGAAATAGCTACTCGACTATATATACCTCTGTTGCTAGTACAATGAAAACAGTGTTAAATCATACCCAAAGTGCAAAAACGTATTTTAATATGGATGCTCATGTTGTATCTAAATAAACACCATGTAGAACTTATAGGTTTCAGATTGAGTACAATATAAGTATTCATAGGTTAAACTGGCTAATATCCACCAATTATCAGTAAATTTGCTTCTGTTTCTTTTCTTGGTCTGCTCCTGGTGAGGGCCTTACTTCCAAGCAGTATACACGGAGACAGACAGAAGAATCAGTCACTGCTCTTTACTCTTTTGATTTCCAAAGAGAACTGAAGCTGTTGCAAACATTCTTCAGATGTTCAAAACCCCTTAATGAAGACAAGAGATTCCAGCTGAGAGCCTACGAAACAACGCTTGGTCAAAGGACTACCTTGTTGGATTGTAAAAGAGCCAGGCCTGGTTTAATAATTTTGGCCTTAGGTATACACCAGGATCCTCTCAGTCCACATTTTTCTTTCTAGGCTCTTTATATGCTTCCTAAGTGTATCACTAGTGTTTTTGTATCACTATTATTTTTATTCCCTGCAAAAGCAAGATATTTGCCTTTATAGGGTTCACTGCTACATTCTCTATTCTGAAAACCTTCCATGAAAATAGGTGCAAATTTGATCTGCATTTTCAGAAACAGGGAACTGACCCCAGCATGAATTGTTTTCTTTCACACCCTTCCCAATGAGGCCATTCCATTTCACCAGAAGTGAGTCAGTGCCTCCAAAGCTTTGATTAATGACGAGCTGACTCATTCTACTACCCGAAATGCATACACTTAACACGCATGTAGGAGGACTGATACTACTAGCAAATTTCTTGTGGGGTGAATAATGCCGTGGTGTTTGTAAAAAAAAAAATAAATAAATAAACAAATGGTGGCTGAATTTAGATGGGATATGAAGCTTCTGTGTTGGGTAAAACATTCCTAGCTCATTGGCTGGGATCTTAAGGGGCTTTAAGAATTTCCTTTCATGTCAAGGAAAAAATAGTATAAAAACCAACATAACTTTTAAATTAGTATTATGAGTTTAGAACAAGTTCTTAATAGATTGACTCTATGAGGGATTGTTGTCTTCCTTTATAACTCATTAAATTATGCAAGATGGTGATGCTGATATTTTAGTCAGTTCTCTATTTCCCTCTAGCATTCAGCAGCAGCAATCAAAAATATTACATAGACACACCACGATAGCTTTTTCCGTAGAGAGTTCCCTTCATCTACTAGGAATGCGACTATAACTTCTTAGAATCTCGTTGTTGAATGCACATCTTTGCTAGCAACAGCTGCTATTCAAAACATTTGTAACCATTTCCTGCCATGAGCAGATAGTTATGATAATATAGACACTCATCAAATTCCAGCATCACAGCTGAAGACAAATTCTAGTTTTACCATCCAAAATATTTAAATAAAACTCCCCAAATTGGAACTCTTTAAAAAAAGAAGCACCCATGATTATATGGAAACTGAGAAATTCCATTTTCACCCACTGCTGTATAGAAAACATATTATAAGACTGAAGGACAATTGGAGGATAAAAGAGAAAAAATGACTTTTTGACAATGCATAAGGAATTTGTTATTCAGAAGTACGTGACAGATAACAGTAAACTGTCTTCCATTTTCATTGCTCAGTACCAACAATGATGTCACAAATTGACATTTCTGGAGATTAATAGTGGACTGAAGCTAATAGCCTTTGGCTGACTCTCCAGCCATCAGCTTTTCCCAGCTGGTCATTAATTCCCAGAAAATGCCTTGTACTGGCATCATTATTGTTTAATTAGATACGACTGGTTATCTGTAACACACAACAAAATTCTAGTGAAAGCTACATGCTGA
This sequence comes from Homo sapiens, assembly GCF_000001405.40. Taxonomy (NCBI): domain Eukaryota; kingdom Metazoa; phylum Chordata; class Mammalia; order Primates; family Hominidae; genus Homo; species Homo sapiens. The sequence goes on from NC_000023.11 coordinate 138,859,752, forward strand.
CTGATACAAGTGCTAACCCCAAAATTCATCATGATGGGAAAAACATGAAGGTCATAAAAGTGCAGGATAATTGCTTTCCACAAAATTTTCCCTGTCTTTTGTTCTTTCTTCAAATTGAATTTAGCAAGTGCAAAAGGTGCCAAGATGAGAGTGTTCAAGGAGTCATCAGAACAGTAACCATAGGCACAGAACATTTCCTCGGAAATCGTGAACATCTGGGAGTTAATGGGTCAGCTTTGGGTCTCAGGCTGTCTCTCCTCAATACCTCAAATGTCAGTCAATTCAAGCAAAACAGAAAAAAAAAGAGTAGTCAACCAACAGTAGCTTGATGTTATGTTGGCAAAAGAGCTAGAAACACTGATTTTTTTAAACCAGAAGTGGCACTGTATAGGCAACACATTACGCTGGCTTATAAAATCTCTTTAATTTGAGATATTTTGGATGGAAAATTAAAACTGTTATATCAAATGCACTTATTCCCAGGGCTCCCTCAAGTAGGATGGTGGCTGTATGTGCAGTTGACAGCAGAAAGAATGAAAGATGACTTCCCACAGGACTCCAGCAGTAAGATAGGTGGGTAGCTTTGTTCTGATTCCCTAAGAAAGTGATGAGGATGCAATGCGTCCATGGGGTACCAGCTTTATGAAGGGAAAAGGAGACCTGCAAAGAATCCAGCCCATTAAGATAGGAAAAGGGAATGGGTTTCTTTTTTCCCTGGCTTAATGCAATGTTTTCTGCCATTTTACCCAATCTGGTACATTCCCTTCTTGCACATGACCTCTATCCTCTGACAACCACTCTTGCCACTGTTCATCTGAACCATTTGTCCACCTTTCATTCAGTGACTCCTGCTGCCCTACCCAAAAATAGATTTATCCAGTCTTGGAGGTGGACAAAAAATTCCAGTGATTAGGTAGACATTAGATTTATACAAAGCTTCCTCCGATTTCAGAAATTCAACTTGACTCTTCAAGACAGATAAGGTGGTAAAAGTGGCTCCTGGTTTATTTCTGGATCTGGAAGCCCCATGCTTTTTGAAAGGCTGCTGAGCCCCATGAGAATAGCTGCCAAAGAACAGGCCTTTGGGGGGAAATTTTGCCCATATAGGCAGTGCCCCCAGCCTCGAAAACACAGCCCTCCCATTCAGGACTCCGAAGTCTCACAGGAGTAGTGCAGAGTAGGAGGACACAAGTGCACATGTGCAAATCCACACATCCACAGACACACAGACACTGACAGGTGGCATACTCAGACACAGAGGTGATAAGAATAAGTGACTTTAGTGGTGGGATGATGGTTATAAGCAACTTTTATAAAAGAGCTAGTTCCCATTGCAAATGTTTTTCCATTGACTAACCATCAGGTGGGCAAGCTTGCATCTAGGTTTGGTTTCTCAGCAGCAGCAGTGCTGTTCTGCCATTGTCAAGGTTAAGGACACAGTCAGGGAGCAGTCATGGTAAGAGGAGAGAGTTTAACAGAGTCTAAGCCTGCTGACCTGGCCTAACGTACTCATGTTCACAGAAATACAGTATTCCCATTTCAAACTAGAGGTAAAGAAAGAACCAATCTTATAGTAAACCTTAATCTCTGATAGAATAAAAAAATTCCAATGCAATGTATCCTTTAAATATATTTGAAGCTAAATAAGTTAATCATTTATCTTTCCTATATTTAGAATGTTTTGGTTTACTCTATAAAAGTTGTATCAATAGACATAACATTGGCCTCAGAAAACAGCTACCTAAATATTTAGTACGTGACAAACACTATGATGAAATCCTCTATGTCATTTCAAACAAAATTTCTTTAGAGATAATTTAATGCCACTCCTTTGTTTTAAAACATAAGGAAAATAAAACTCAGGAGGGGAAGCAACTTCTTAAAAGTCACATAGTAAGTTATTGAAAAAGCCTATCATGTAGCCAGGATTCCAGTGTGTTTGTCAACAAGTCTAAAGTAAGACAGCTTTTGTCGGGTGTGGTGGCTCACGCCTGTAATCTCAGCATTTTGGGAGGCCAAGGCAGGTGGATCACCTGAGGTCATGAGTTCGAGACTAGACTGGCCAACATGGCAAAACCCTATCTCTACTAAAAATACAAAAATTAGCCAGGCATGGTGGCACACGCCTGTAATCCCAGCTACTCGGGAGGCTGAGACAGGAGAATTGCTCGAACCCAGGAGGCGAAGGTTGCAGTGAGCCAAGATGGCACCACTACACACCAACCTGGGCGACAGAGTGAGACGCCATCTCAAAAAAATTAAATAAATAAATAAAGTAAGACAACTTTGTAAAAGCATCAATATATTAGATAGCTATTGGGTTCTTCAGTATTTTTTACTTTTCAAGACTACCCCTGTCTCCAAAAAACTTTTTCCCTTATTCAAAGACAGAAAAGCAACCAGAGACAGCCTAGGAAACTGTTTTGACAATGCCACAGAGGCATCTGCCCCCTCAGCAGGCCACTGTAATTCGCAAGGTTTGCTGGCTTCAAGCTGGAAGCAGTTAACAAGCCCTCAATTATTTGATGATGATGCTGTTTGCCTTTAAATTAACTCTTCCGAAAGATAACAGAACATAATTAATGATACATGATTTTAAATCAAAGCAAATCTGAGATCACCAAGGCCACAGCAATGTAGACAGCAATGGGACTACCAATCAAAATTATTAGACACATATTAGTGACTCCAACAATAAAATACTTAAAAAATCTATGAAACAGAAAATATGGCAAAACATACAGATTATCAGACATCCTTACCTAATCAGAAAGAGAGAAAAAAAAATGGGGTAATTAGAGCAATGACTCTTCCATGTCACTGAGCACCTGTCATGCTGAAAAGTGCATTCAACCACAGGATGTGTTAGCTCAAGACCTCCATTTTTCCTCCCAGCTAACCATCTACTTATCTCTATATAAGATTTAAGCTTTACTGCCACCATGGACACTATGAAGTTAGCAGGTTTAAATGTGCATGAGTAACTTAAGTAAATAATTCACTGAATGGAACAGATCAATGCTAATGGTCTTTCAATTTGTTCAAGGTAGAAACAACTTTTCAATGTTTGGAAATTTCAGTTACCTTCTCCTTTGCAACCTCCCTCATTCTCCAAGCATTACTAGGTCTTCATCCATCCTATGTTTCTTCAGGCTAACTTGCTCTTTTCATGGTAGAATGAAATGCAAACTCCCTACCATGCTGGCCCCTCACCTCCTCAATTTTATTATATGCCTCTCTTCTGGCTCACGTTAGCTTTCCATTAGTATCTAGAATATGCCAGGCTTTCTCCTGCCTCAAGGCCTTGTACCCCTTTATGTCCTTCAAGTGGCCCCTTTATGTCCTTCAGGGTTCCACTAAAATGTCACCTCCTCAGAGATGCCCTTTTAGCCACGTTAGGGAGGTTTCAATTTGTCACAGTCTATAATTACTTATATATGTATGTATTTCTCTCTTGTCTGGCTTTCCCTACAAGAATATAAGCCCCCTGAGGCAGAGACATTATATGTCTCATTGACCATTTATATGTGGGATCTAGGATAGTGCTTACTCATAATACACACAAATAATTCTCTTTGACCTATGTAGCCTTCCCATGATGCTAAGGCATACAGTCAGCTCCCTCTCCTAACTCTCAATTTCCACATACGTTTTAAGAAATTTATCTTGTGGTGCCTCGGGACAGGTTTTTGGTTATTATCATGGGCCTTAAGTAAAAAGCTAGATGATCACTATTTTGACATATATCTTTTCTCCACTACTTGAATGTAAGCTCCCAGGACAAGAACCATGTCTCAGTCTCTTTTGCAATCATTTTTGCTTTCTTAATGGCCTATAACACTTTTCATACAGTTGTTTTGCATGCACAAAATGAGCCACTTCTAGGGATAGTCATGCCTACATTGAAGGTGTGTGCTATGAAGCGGTAATAAATGAAGAGTCTAGCCCATTGCCTGGCACCTAGTAGGCACAAAGTAAATGGTATCTGCAATGGAGGAAACACTGTCCCTGCCAGAGATGAAACTGTTGAGCAATGCACTCTGGTAGTTGGAAAACCAGGAGCCTCACCCTGACTTGATGCTTTCTGTGTAACCTTTAGAATGTAATTTCACCTCTGTGAGCCTCAGCTGCCTCATTTCAAAAATAAGGGGTTTAGACTAGGTCAGGGTTTCTCAACACTGGAACTTTTGATATTCGAAGCCTGATAATTCTTTGTTGTGAAGGGCTGTTTTGTCCATTGTAGGATGTTGAGCTGTATCCCTAGCCTCTACTCACTAGATGCCAGTGGCACTGCTCCCCAAAGTTGTGACAACAAAAAATGCCTCCGGACATTGTCAAATCCCCCCAATCCCCGCCCTGACAACTGAAGGCAAAATTGCCTTATTTGAGAATCACTGGACTTGATGGGTAAAGTCCCTTTGTCCTACAAACCTCTTTGTGAAGAGTTAGCTCCAATCCTGGAAACACTTTTTTGACCCTCAAAGATGCTCAGCATCCTGCAAGGACTCAGCTATTCCATTTTGGAGAGTTTGGCCCATACAATGCAGACCAGGAAGAGAGGGGAATGCACTGGTGTGCACATCAACCTCCCAGGTAAAAGAAAGCCTCTGACTGGCAAAACATAAAGCACCACTGCTACACATCAGTGGGGTCTTTACTCAGCATAGGACAAAGACTTTCTCTACTGAGTGGCATCACTTGGCATTCTGTGAGTAGCCTCAGGGGCCTGCTGTGAATGGCAGGTGGGGCCCAGCCAACCGAAGTCCTGGCCCAGGTGGGAACGAGAAGCAAAAAGGGGAGGTTGGGGGACCCTCTTTCACCTTACCTATGCAGCTTCCTCAAAGCCCAGCCTTTCCATCAGCCAAAGGCCCATGTGGCCAGGGAGGATAGATCCCCCTGCTGAAGACAGAAATAGGTCCACTAAGAAGAAAAGTGCAGCTTCTACCAGAAAAGCAGAGTCTTCTTCCAGAAGTATTCTGCCCCTGCATGAATGACATATACTTTTTTCTGTGCTACAGTTTCAAACAGATAAGAAAGATATGGTAAGACTAGAGAGGAGTACATTCCACCTTAGAACACTGGTTATTGCTGTACATCTCAATGGTACCATCAGGAGAGTTGACATCAGCTTGTTAGGTTCAAGTCTTATAGCTTTAGCTCATTGCACTCCCTTTCCATAAACGTTCATGTCCAAGTCGAACTTAAGTGAGCCTCACAGTCACCTAGAGGGCTTATTGAGACTGACTGTGGACCCCCACCCAGGAGTTTCTAATTGAGGTGGTTTGGGCTGGAACTTGAGAATTGGCATTTATAACAAGTTCCCAGGTGGTGCTGATGCTGCTGGTCAAGGATCATACTTAGATTGGAGAACGACTCTCCCAAGCTACTTGTCTCTCCCAGGTTTCTCTGCCTGTATGCATTCTCCTCTGCCCAGTACGAACGCAATCTAAACCAGTGGTTCTCAGTTGTGGTTTAGCATTAGCATCACCTGGAGGACTTTTAAAAACCAAAACACCCATGTTGCCACACCAGATCAATTAAAACAGAAACACCTGGCTGGGGCCTGAGCACTGGTAGGTTTCAATGCTCCTCAGATGATTTGACTACAGAGCCAAGGTTGAAAATTACTGCTCTAAGTAAAGCCTTTCTTTACTCTCTCCAGTGAAAATTCCTCTCTCTCTTCTCTCTCTCTCTCTCTCCTCTCTCTCTCTCTCTCTCTCTCCTCTCTCTCTCTCCTCTCTCTCTCCTCTCTCTCTCCTCTCTCTTCCCTGAGGGCAGGCTCTGGCTCATGATTATCCAATTATTTGCGTTTCTTCCCACACCTCAGGCTAGAGTATGTACTCTTGTGCAGTGGCGCTGTTCACTGTGTAAAATTGCACAGCAGCACACGTCTCTACACAGAAGCCCTGTTCCAGCCTCACCCACCAAGGTGGTCTGCTCAGAGTTCTATAGCATTAATCCAACCCTGCACTGTGTTCTCATTTTTAAAAATGACCATCTCTTGACTAGCCAGTTTTGTTGAATTGAATAAAATCAAATTCAGTTTTTCAAAATACCCCCCCAAGAACTTAGGTTAGCAAGAAAATCAGGACCTACAACATGTGTCTTTGCCCTGGAGCTGGTCTATGATGTTGTATCTTTCTACTCTCATCCCTCCTTACCAGCTCCCCACCCTTAGGGTCTGTACAGAATCATTTCAAACTTTATATAGGCTGCAATCTCAGAGCAGTCCAAGCTCGCAGTCACAAAATAAAATGGTACCAAGAACTAATTGGAAATCTTGTTGGTGAATGTCTAGTTAAATACACTGGACCTTCTTTAATGACATCCACGAGAAAGGGGACTGAGGCTACATTTTTCCAGAAATTGTTTCCTTGAATCTGTAATTCAGTGGTTCTTTATCCTAGCTGCACATCAGAATCACCTGGGGAGCTTTAATAACATGCCCATGTTTGGGCCCCACCTCCAGAGATTCTGGTTTAATTGGCCTATGAGTGGGGCTTGGGCCTTAGTAGTTTAGAGTTCCCAAGGTGAAGCAAGGGTGGCAAACCAAAGTGTCTATCTGAAGAAGCCAAGAGAAAAAACATAAACGTATGCACAATTAACTGCAAAGACCATGTTTTTCTGAGCTTAGAAGAAAGAGCTTTAGAAGAAACTAGGACTTTAAAGTGCCAGGCCCCTTCATCAAGCCTGGAATTCAAATGGATTTTCTCCTCTCTTAAGAAGAAGGTTTCAAAAACCTTGGGCGATGTGGCAGATTGCACTGTACCAGCAACGGCCTTATAATCAACCTATCCTGCTTTCAAATCACAGTTCCGCTCCCACCCCCACCACCACTTACCACCAGTGTGACCTTGGGCAAGTCCTGTATACTCCTTGAGGCTTAGTTTCCTCAACCATAAGATGAGATGATAGCTAGGGTTAAGTGTAAATCCTGGCCCAGCATCCTGGGTTTCACCTGGGAGCTTGTTAGAAATGCAGACTTGCAGGACTGCTAACTCCAGATCAGCAGAATCAGAATCTATTTTCACGAGGTTCTGAAGCGACTGCTATGCACATTAAAGTTGGAGATGCACATTGCACAATAGCTGGCACACAGTCACATAGTCAGTACTAAGTATGGGTCAATTCTCTTCTCTTCTGAGGCCAAGCATTATTTGGGCATCAGTTAAATATATACACATGGAAACACAACTAAAGGTTGGGGAAAGAACATCACCTACAACATGACCTTGTGCAAGTCAATTTCCTATCTCTTACAGATGACCAAACTGAATCTCGACGTTTAATTCCTAACAAGGTCACTTTAACAATTAAACAAGATAATGTGGGTGGGAGCATCCAGCATAGTGCCTACCCCATGATAGCTATTCCCTATGTATTAAGTACTCCCTGGTGGGTGCAATGGCTCACACCTGTAATCCAAGGGCTTTGAGAGGCTGATGCAGGAGTTTGAGACCAGCCTGGGCAACATAGTGAGACCACATCTCTACAAAAAAAATTTTAATGTAAAAAATATTAGCCAGACATAGTGACACACACCTGTAGTCATGGCTACTCAGGAGGCTGAGGTGGGAGGCTTGCTTGAGCCCACGAGTTCGAGGCTGCAGTGACCTATGATTGTGCCACCCTACTCAAACCTGGGTGACAAAGCAAGACTCTGTCTGTATTAGTCCATTTTCATGCTGCTGATAAAGACATACCCCAGACTGGAAAGGAGGTTTAATGGACTCACAGTTCCACTTGGTTGGGGAGGCCTCACATCACGGTGGAAGGCAAGGAGGAGCAAATCACATGTTACATGGCATCAGGGAAGAGAAAGAATGAGAACCAAGCAAAAGGGCTTTTCCCCTATAAAACCATCAGATCTTCTGAGACTTATTCACTACCACAAGAACAGTATGGGGGCACTACCCCCATGATTCAATTATCTCCCACCGGGTCTCTCCCACAATATGTGGGAATTATGGGAACTATAATTCAAGATGAGATTTGGGTGGGAACACAGCCAAACCGTATCACTGTCTCTAAATCTATCTATCTATCTATCTATCTATCTATCTATCTATCTATCTATCTATCATCTATCTATCTATCCTCCCTAAGTAGTAACTGAAGCTGAATTCAAGTTAACGTGAAGGTGTCTTCCACTCCCACCACGCACAAAAAATTTTCAACCACTTATAACTGCTGGTCCAGAGAAGGCCTCACACGAACTTCACTTTAGTTTTCTAACCAAAGTAGGAGAGATGACTCAGTGGAGAAAAAGATGGCTGTACTGCTTATGGATTATCAAATTGACTAATAGTATTTCTTTCAAAATGCTGTCTGAAATTTCATGAAAATGTTCAATATGTGACTGGCTTCATTGAAAAATGTTTGGTCTCACTCACTTTGCTTTAAATGTAAAGTGCCTCTGGCCACAGTGTCCCAGGAACTGAATTATCTAGGCAGCCTTTAAAGATTATTTACATATCGATTCCAGGCATTGTTTTTGCACTAAATTTTGCCTCTTCCTCCATGCATACTTATGGAGGTCACTGCCAACATTTCAGGCAAAGTTTCTAGAAAACTCACTGCCCTATGCATGTTGTTCCAGCCAGCGGGGCCCAGTGTGTGTGTGTGTGCGTGTGTGTGTGTGTTTGCATGCACGTGTGTGTGAGGCTGGACATATGTCTTTGACATTAGTAACAATTAGTAGAGAAACTCCAGTTAGGCTCACAGAGTGATGTCATAGTTACTCATATAAACTTTCTTGCCCGAAATCTTCTCAGCCTTTGATCTTAACACCTTTCTCAGGCAATATTATAGGCTAAATTGCTAGAGAAAGCCTATTTTCTTCTCTCAATCTTTTCAATTTTTGGAGTATTAAAGCTCAGAGGACTGAGGTTTCCTCACCAATATACTATAGAGTGCATTCTCAGGCATTACACTCCTGTCTTCCTAGAAAATGTGCTCATCAACACCACACCTCTTCACATGGCATGCTGGAAGAGCCCTGCACTATGCATCATCACTATCCCCTTCACACTTTTATTTGGTGTTTGGAAACCTAATCTCTGATCCAAATTTCATGGGTCAAGCGAGAAATTTGGTCCTGATGGTTGCCCGAAATTTCCAGGGATGTGTCCAGAGCTCCCTGCCTCACGAAGACCCCACCCCAGGCTCAGTTGACCGCTAGGAATTCCTTGGTTCTAGTGCTAGCGGCAAAAAAAATTATAGTGCAAATGTTGCTGGAAAATTATATGATTGGAAGAATGATCAATGCCATCATGTGCACCTCCATCTTTCCATAACCACCCCCCAAAAGTATCTAAGTAGCAAACTCATTTTACCTTATTAGTCAGGAAATACTTTTATTTTCAAGCAGGTAGGGTGCTCTTCTTTTCCTTCCTGCCAACGTTCTGTGATCATATATGCTTCTGTCACCTATTGATGCTTTTCTCCATGCCCAGGAACAATGGTGAAAATTCACTCAAGTACATTAACAACCCATCTTGACTGACCTTTTGGCAAAAACCATGAAGCAGATACCAATAGGTGGGCTGATCTACAGAACCATTTCTGAAATATGAAGTATGTGTATGACATTTTGGCTTTGTGCTACCTGGCTTTCCATATGATGTGGCTGTGCCACTGATGAGAGTAGTAGCAAAAGCAGGGAGGAAGTACAGGAAGGGATGTAGGAGAAGCTCTTCCAATTGATCAAGACATGAGTCCTTGGATCCTCTTGTTTCATTTAAAGAATGCACTGGTAAAATCCTCTCCCTAGTTAGTCACAAGCTGCACTCAAGCTCATCAAAAGGCAGTTAGTTCAATTTGGCCCCAACATTGTATTCATCAATTTGCAAGCTCAAACGGTCAACACCTCCAGGAAATGCATTTCTCTACCTATTTGCTGTGGAGGAATTTGTCCTCCTTAGATACTTAAAAGAAGCACATTTTTAGCTAATGGAAAACACTAGAACATAACTCTCAATTACGATAGTTGAAATCCATTAAACAATTCTAATAGAGAAATAAATATTCCAACTAAATGGGTGCTTTTCTTTGCATTCTTGCCTGCCACAGATTCTAATTCCCCATTCAGTAAATAGCGCTGGTGTTTATTTTCAGGGGGGCTGTCCTTGCAGGGATTACAGATGGAAGAATATATTGTGCCAGGTTAGAACCCGCTCCAAATTTGTTTGAGAAGAATTTCAAAGCAAATGGTATTTTAGTTTGCTTACTCTTGGCAGCATTACTATTTAAGAAAAAGGCATTACGACTTCTTTGAAAGCCTCAAGTCATCAAATGTCCTTAAAATAGCGTTTAACGATTTAGGTATAAATGAATTATCAACACTTATATGTAACTCCCCTCTCATTCCCTATAAACCTAGCTGGTTAATTGAGGTTTTAGCAAAAGAGCACTTGGCCTACTTTGTTTTATTAAAGGCAATGTCCTCCACATTGAGCTCTAAGCTGCATTTGATGCTTAGATTCAGAACATTAGGAATTGTCACATTATTTTTTTAAGTAGTAAAGTAGAGTTCTTGATATATACCATACACTTTTACATATCATTTTTAATATTCATAGCAACCCATGTTCACATTTAACAGAGAGAAAACTGAATGTCAAAGAGGTTACAACATATCCCGATTAACCCAGCTATCAAGATGAAGAGCTGATTCAAAGCAAGGTCTGCATGCCTCCCAAACCTACATTCTTACCAACTATCCCATACCTTCTATTTGTCTGCGTATCTCTGAAAGGCTGAATAATGGTCCTCAAAAATGCCCATGTCCTAAATCCCTGGAACCTATGACTATGTTACCTTAAGACTGCAGATGAAATTAAGGTTGCTATTCAATTTACCCTTAGATGGGGGATATTAGCCTGGATTATCCAGGTAGGCCCAATGTAGTCACATGAACTCTTAAAATAAAATGAGGAAGGTAGAATAGTGGAGCAGAGAGATGAAAGGAAAGAAGAGGCAGGAGGGATCAAAAGTTTGAAGAGACTCAGCTTGCCATTGCTGGCTTTGGAGATGTAGGAAGGAAGCCATGTGCCAAAGAGTACACATAGTCTCTAGAAGCCAGGGATGGCCCTCAGTTGACAGCCAACAATAAAGCAGAGATCTCCATTCCGCAAGGAATTGAATCGTGCTGAGGATCAAAAGGAGCAAGGAAACAGATCCTGCCTAGAGTCTCCAAAAAGGAATGCAGCCCTGCCAAGACCTTAATTTTGGCCTAGGGAGATGGGTGTCTGATTTCTGACCTACAGAAATGTAGGATAATCAATTTGTGTTGTTTGAGCCCCTAAGTTTGTGGTAATATGTTATGGCAGCAATAGAAAACAAATGAAATGTTCAAATCTTGATACTGAAAACCTAAGTAGGTTTTAAAGTCCACATGCCTTCTATAGTTATAACAATAACCAAATATTGTATGCAGAATTGACACAGCTTCACTGTATTTAACCTGAGAAGAAAACATACACACAAAGAAGCTTCCTTTGAGGTTTTTATTTTCCATTCCTTCTCATCTCACTACCTTTCAACATTCTTCCAACAAATATTTATTGGAAATCTACTGTATGCCAGGCACTATTCAAAGCATACAGTATATAGAAGATGGGGGGGGAACAGACAAAAATTCTTGCTTTCATATAGTTTACACATTTGAGGGTGGTGAGGAGTAAAGAGACAGTAAACAAATTGTTAAGCTGAGACCTCCAAGGGTATCTGAGTCACTGATTGGAAAGAAGCTGCTCCAAATTGCTGCTAGATCCACCTAAGTGAGAAATAACTATTTATGAGTTAAGTTCCTAATGTGTCAATTAGCTTTCTGCTATTGCAGTATAATTCAGCCTAATCTACATAATATAGAAGTCCTCACTAAGAAGAAGACATTGGCGCAGAGGCTGGAGGAAGTGCGGAAGGGAGTGAGCCACAGAGATACCCAGGAGAAAAGAGTTTCCAGTAGAAGTATCAAAAATGTAAAGGTCCTGAGATAGGAGTGTGAATTGCTGTTTTTGTAGAAAATGAAGGAGACCAGTATGGCAGGAACTGAGAGATTGAAGAGGAGAGAGGTAGGAGATGAGGCCAGAAGGGTAAAAGGAAGTCTGCTCATGTAGGCCATTGTAACAGCTCTGGCTTTAATTCTGACTGGCGGGCAGCCACTGGATAGTGTCAGGCAGAAGAATGATGTGAGCTGGCTTATGTGTTCAAAGGCTCACTCTTGCTGCTATGTAGAGAACAGACTGCAGGGCGCAAAGATGGAAGCAGGGAGACTGGTTAGGAGGCTACGGCTATAATCTAAGCAACAGGTGACAGTAGTTAGGACCAGTGGCAGTTGTGTAGTTGGGAAGAAGTAGTTAGATTCTGGTTATACACACTAGGAATATAAAACTCTGATGAACAGAAGTAATGGCTGATGGCAGGCAGCATCTAATGACACTATTTAATATAGATACCCTTTGATAATAATAACTCCCTGGGATATACATTTCACAAACGGAAAATAATTACTGTGGATTAGCTAACTCTACTCTTTGGGCAAGGAGGAGAGACATCCCACAGTTAGCTCTCTCCTGTGGTGTCTCATTGCACTAAATCTATCTATGTAGAATGTGATCAAATAGGTACCCGGCAAATATTAACATTGCAGGAGAGTACTGATGGCAGTGATGGAAATGATGATGGGCAGTTTGCAAAACAACATCCTTGAAAAACTGATTCTCTAGAACTCCTACACCATTCTTGTTTCTGTCCTCTAGATCAGCCTAAATCAGCCTAAGCTCTACTCCTTATTGAATAAGCCACATCATCTGTGTGAATCCAGATTTCCTCAACTGGAGTTGACCAGATGACCTCTAATTTTTTTCAGAGCTTACATGGGGCAGGGGGTTCTTCCCTCTTCTTGATACTGTTTTTGATATGAATCGCATTAGCATAACAGTGCTGGCTTCCCTCTGGCCCATGATTCACTCTTTTATGGAAGTGGTAGACTGACTGGTGAGGTTTCAAAAGATAAACTAGCATTCCTAGCTCAGCTCCTTCCTTTTTACTTTCTCCTTGGGAGTCAGCTCACTGGAGAAAGCATTCATTCTTCTCTGCTCCTTTATGCCTTAAGTTTGTAGGGGGAGGGCCTTTGTGACAAGTGAGGGGTGGAAGAGGGGGACAAGGGTCTACTGTCACTCAGGATTTTCTGTGGCCAAGTGATTACGTCTATCCAATTGCTTTTTATACACTGTTCTCATTTTACTTCTTAATTTGTTTGCAACTTAGACAGGGGGAGAAAAAGAACGTTTTGAGGTTTTTTTGTGCTCCGCTGCCACAACTCCCAGCAATATTTGTGAATGCTCAGAATCATGGCCTTCATAGTATTGGAGAAGCCTAAATCCTCTACAAAACGTGAAGCTTTGCTGGCCAATTTGGCTCTGGCTTCCTGTGTTTCATGGTCCAGATCAGTACCAGGAGACCTGCACTATAAGGCCAGAAAAAAATTGGAAGGAGGAATGGTAAAAACACCAGGTAGAAGGAAAGAGAGAGGTGAGGGAGTGCCGGTTTGGTCCTTCACAGATGGAAGGTACAGACTGCCACATTAATTTAAAAACCTTCTGCTGCCATGGAAATCACTAGTTATTGACTGAAGTTCTTGTAGTCCCACAGGAAGCTCTGTCAAAATCTCTATTTCAAAGCAGCAATAAGGACGTGGGAAAGATAATGTAGGTCATACATGGGAACAGGAAAACTAACGCAAAGGGGAAATAAAGCTGTGAATTCATTCTTCTTGAATGGCATTGGAGTAATGTCCACACTGGGAGGCAGCACAAGCTTCCCAAATCTTACCTCCCTGTCTTTTCCAGTGGCCCCTGTCAGTGAGTCTCTCCTGACGTGCCTCCGATTTTCCCATTAATTAAATTCATGTTGAGAAACTGGTCATTTGGGGAGTGTTTATTGGTGTCTTCTAGAAATTGAAACATGCCAGTTTTCACAAGCTTCAAAAATGTCAGCCAGAGTAAAACCATTTCCCGACTGGATTAAGAAAATGTGGCACATATACACCATGGAATACTATGTAGCCATAAAAAAGGATGAATTCACGTCCTTTGTAGGGACGTGGATGAAAGTGGAAACCATCATTCTCAGCAAACTATGGCAAGGACAAAAAACCAAACACCGCATGTTCTCACTCATAGGTGGGAATTGAACAATGAGGACACTTGGACACAGGAAGGGGCACATCACACACCGGGGCCTGTTGTGGGGTGGGGGGGAGGGGGGAGGGGTAGCATTAGGAGATATACCTAATGAAAATGATGAGTTAATGGGTGCAGCACACCAACATGGTACATGTATACATATGTAACAAACCTGCACGTCGTGCACACATACCCTAGAACTTAAAGTATAATAAATATATATATATATATATATAAAGTAAAATTAAAAAAAAAAAACCATTTCCCAATTCTCATACTAAGGACAGCTCTCTGCGTCTTCCTTAATGGACAGTTAAGTAGAATTTAAGATTAGACTCAAGAAAGACAGGGCAAAAAGTTCCACGTAAATTATCTCCCAGCCAATTTAGATGCTTACTTGCTGAGTGGTAAAAGAGATACTTTTAGAGTTCCTATGAAATGCAGAATAATCACAATCCTTTAAGAGTTGCCTAGAGGGCAATTCTTTCTTCTCTTTTTTTTCCCCAACGGCTTTTTGTAACACCTGTTTAACTGACAGCCTCTCAAAGACAAGCTTACTATATATGAGATATTCTAAGCTACTCAAGACATCACTTGACGCAAGTCTCTATCTGGCAAAGCGATCATTAGGTGAAGTTATGGCAAGCTTGAAAAAGATGTTTTGGGCAAGAGAGCAGGATGGGTCACACTCAAATCTAAGAAGCAGCAATGATCATGGACTGACTTACATGCAAATTTGGGTTGTCAGCCTTTTTCAGCAGGCCATTTCTCTGTAAGTTCCTCTTCTCTGCAGGGAACATTGGGAGCTCCTTACCAAATTCCTGGTCAGCAGAAGAGTAACTTGGTTCTCTTTTTGATATCTATACTTAGGTCAGTCCTAATGAATGGAGAATGTGGCAAAGGCAAATAGACAGAGGAGGCAATAGGCATGCCTAGCTGGGAAACTACAAGCAGCCTCGGGCCTCTCTCTGTACTTAGCTTCATATTAGCCTCTCTGCTCCTGAGAAAGTGCAGCTTGTGACTGGGCGAGGTGGCTCATGCCTGTAATCCCAGCACTTTGGGAGGCCGAGGCGGGCGGATCATGAGGTCAGGAGTTTGAGACCAGCCTGACCAACATGGTGAAACCCCGTCTCTACTAAAAATTAGCTGGGTATGGTGGCACGTGCCTGCAATCCCAGCTACTCAGGAGGCTGAGGCAGGAGAATCACTTGAACCCGGGAGGCGAAGGTTGCAGTGAGCCAAGATTGCACCACTGCACTCCAGCCTCGGTGACAGAGCGAGACTCTGTCTCAAAAAAAAAAAAAAAAACAGAAAAGAAAAGAAAGAAAGTGCAGCTTACTTCTCTTCTCCCAGCAGTCCAGCAGTTCACTGGAGACACACAGCTTAAAACCTTGTAACCACACCTGTAATGTACTCCAGCAACAGATGCAGGAAACAGCCTGATGGAGGCCACTCATCCTTGACTGGTTTATTGGAATAGCAGAAACTGGTTGAGTCCATTTGTCATAATAACTGAATTAGTGTCACTTGTTAGGGGAAATGACATGCGATTACTGAAGGACAATGTGATGGCTAATTTTATGTGTTAACTTGACTGGGCCATGTGGTGCCCAGATAGTTGGTCAAACATTATTCTAGGTATGCCTATGAGTGTTTTTTTTCTTAATCGGTAGACTGAGTAAAGCAGATTACTCTCCATAATGTGGGTGGGCCTCACCCAATCAGTTGAAGGCCTGAATAGAACAAGAGGACTGATCCTCTCCTAAGTAAGAAATAATTCTTCATGCCTGGTGACCTTTGAACTGAGTCATCAGCTTTTCTCTTGCCTTCAAACTTAAGCTGAAACACTGGCACTTCCTGTGTCTCAGCACTGCCAGCCAATGGACTAGAATTACATCATCAGCTCTCCCGGTTCTCAGGCGTTTGGACTTGGATTAGATATATAAATCAGCTCTTCTGCATCTCTAGCTTGTTGACTAACCTTGCAGATCTTGGGACTTGCATACCTGCATAACCATGAAAGTCTGATTTATTATTATCTCCCTATCGGCTTGTACACACACACACACACACACACACACACACACACACACTTTATTGGTTCTGTTTCTCTGGAGAACCCTGATTGAAGCAAACGCACACTATGGGAAGCTGAAACACATAAAGGGACCACTTGCCCATTTCTTTTACCAAGTTTGACATGGCTGCTTTGGTTTTTCATTGTAAAAATCAGTTCTCTTCTTTCCATCTCTCAACAATACAGGGTGATAGTTCCACATTGTGGTGGACACACCCTAGAATGATGCCCAATGGATTACACCCTTGTATAACCCTCTCACCTTAAAATGTAGGCAGAACCTCTGATATGCTTTTAGCCAATAGAATATAGTAAAGGTAAAGTGATTTTTAAGATGTAATTCATGCCCCTGATCAGTTGATTTTGAGTTCATCAAAAGGCACACTAATCTGGGTGGGTCTGACTTAATCAAGTGAAAGCATTAAAAGAGAGATTTACCTTCAGGCCTTAAAAAAGTAAGCTGCCATGTGAGCAGGCCTACGAGGGGGCCACATGGCAAGGGACTTTGGGAAGTCTCTAGGAGCTCGGAATAGGCCCTGTGTGACAGCCAGCAATAAATGGGGATGTTGGTCCTATTGCCACAAACAACTGAAGTCTGCCAACAATCACATGAGCTTAGAAGAGGATGCTGACCTCCAGAAAAGAGCACAGCCGTAGGCCTTGTGAGATACTGAGCTACCTATGCTACGTCCTCTAAGCATTCACTGGCAGAGAGTTTACTAGCCCCAAATGTGCTGTCATTTTGAGACTTTGAGTGTTAAGTTTGAAGAAACAAACTATGGTGATGGACCAGAATATTTAAGATGGATCTCTCTATGTGGTCTATAAAGATTACCATGATAAAGATAAACAATTATCTCAATACTTAGTTACCTCAGAAAGGATACAACAAAAGAAAAATTTCTTAATAGAATCTAAGTAAAGCAAATAAAGTGTCGGTACTATTTCTTCCATCAAAAAGTCATTTTAAATATGAAATATAAAAGCTTCCTTTTAACAGAAAACCAAGCACCGCTTGTTCTCACTTATAACTGGGAGTTGAACAATGAGAACACATGGACACCAGGTGGGGAACAACACACACCAGGGCCTGTCAGGGGGTGGTGGGGGGTGAGGGACGGGAACTTAGAGGACAAGTCAGTAGGTGCAGCAAACCACCATGGCACACGTATACCTATGTAACAAACTGCACGTTCTGCACATGTATTCTGTTTTTTTTTTAAGAAGAAATGAAGAAAAAAAAAGGAAAAAAGCCTCCTTTTAATGAACATTTCATTTTTATTCATAGAAGGGACACATTTGTGATCATCTTTATTTTCTCTATTAGAGAAAAAGACGTGAAAACACTTTTGCTTCATTTTAAATAATGAAACCACTTTTGAATAACTTTATTTTTAATGGGAATTTTTTATTGTGGTAAAATATATACAGCGTGAAACCAGCCATTTAAATAGTTTTTAAGTGTACAATTCAGTGGCATAGATTATAATCACCATGCTATGAAGCCATCACCACTATTTCGAAAATCTTTTCATCACCACAAACAAATTCTGTAACCATTAAACAACAACTTTCTATCCTTCTCTTCCCCCAGCCCCTAGTAGCATAAAATCTACTTTTTATCTCTATGAATTTGCCTAAGTGGAATCACATAGTATTTATCCTTTGGTAACTAGCTTCTTTTAC
Organism: Homo sapiens; assembly: GCF_000001405.40. Taxonomy (NCBI): domain Eukaryota; kingdom Metazoa; phylum Chordata; class Mammalia; order Primates; family Hominidae; genus Homo; species Homo sapiens. The sequence goes on from NC_000023.11 coordinate 138,877,704, forward strand.
TTAGCATAATGTCTTCAAGCTTTATTCATGTTGTAGCATGTATCAGAACTTAATTCCTTTTTATGGTTGAATAATATTCGATTGTGCATATATACAGCACATTTTTATTTATCTTTTCATCTATTGATGGATTCTCAGGTTGTTTCCACCTTTGAGCTAATCGTGAGTAACACTACAGTGAACTTTGGCATACATATATCTGTTTGAGTCCCTGTTTTAAATTATTTTGTGTATATACACCTGGGAATGGAATTGCTGAATCAGATGATGAGTCTCTATTTAGCAATTTGAAGAGCTGCCAAACTATTGTCCACAGTGACTGTACCATTTTACATTTCCACCAACACCACATAAGGGTTCCAGTTTCTCCACATCCTCATCTTCACTTATTTTCCTTTAAAAAAGTATACACCCTAATGAGTGTGAAGTGGTATCTCATTTTTTTTTTAATTTTATTATCATTACACTTTAAGTTTTAGGGTACATGTGCACAATGTGCAGGTTTGTTACATATGTATACATGTGCCATGTTGGTGTGCTGCACCCATTAATTCGTCATTTAACATTAGGTATATCTCCTAATGCTATCCCTCCCCCCTCCCCCCACCCCACAACAGTCCCCAGAGTGTGATGTTCCCCTTCCTGTGTCCATGTGTTCTCATTGTTCAATTCCCACCTATGAGTGAGAACATGCGGTGTTTGGTTTTTTGTCCTTGCGATAGTTTGCTGAGAATGATGGTTTCCAGTTTCATCCCTGCCCCTACAAAGGACATGAACTCATCATTTTTTATGGCTGCATAGTATTCCATGGTGTATATGTGCCACATTTTCTTAATCCAGTCTATCGTTGTTGGACATTTGGGTTGGTTCCAAGTCTTTGCTATTGTGAATAGTGCCGCAATAAACATACGTGTGCATGTGTCTTTATAGCAGCATGATTTATAATCCTTTGGGTATATACCCAGTAATGGGATGGCTGGGTCAAATGGTATTTCTAGTTCTAGATCCCTGAGGAATCGCCACGCTGACTTCACAATGGTTGAACTAGTTTACAGTCCCACCAACAGTGTAAAAGTGTTCCTATTTCTCCACGTCCTCTCCAGCACCTGTTGTTTCCTGACTTTTTAATGATTGCCATTCTAACTGGTGTGCGATGGTATCTCATTGTGGTTTTTATTTGCGTTTCTCTGATGGCCAGTGATGATGAGCATTTTTTCATGTGTTTTTTTGGCTGCATAAATGTCTTCTTTTGAGAAGTGTCTGTTCATATCCTTCGCCCACTTTTTGATGGGGTTGTTTGTTTTTTTCTTGTACATTTGTTTGAGTTCATTGTAGATTCTGGACATCTTTGTCACATGAGTAGGTTGCGAAAATTTTCTCTCATTTTGTTTTTTATTTGCTTTGCCCTAATGATTAATGATATTGAGTATATTGTCATGTTCTTATTGGACATTTGTATATCTTCATTGGAGAAATATCTATTTAAGTCCTTTGTCCATTCAATTTTCTTTTGTCTTTTTGTTGTTGACTGTTAGGAGTTCTTTCTATATTCTATATATCAAGCCTTTATCAGATAAACAACTCACAAATATTTTCATCCACTGTGTAAATTGTCTTTTTCACTTTCTTGATAATGTTCTTTGATACACAACGATTTTTAATTTTGATATAATCCAATTTTACTTCCGTTGCTCATGCTTTTGCTGTAATATCTAAGAACCCACTGCCAAATCCAAATTCATGAAGAGTTACCCTTATGTTTTCTAAGAGTTTTATGGTTTTAGATCTTATATTTAGATATTGGTTAACGTTAGTTAATTTTTTTATTAAGTTCGGGGGTACATGTGCAGAATGTGCAGGTTTGTTACATAGGTATACACGTGCCATGGTGGTTTGCTGCACCCATCAACCCGTCATCTACATTAGGCATTTCTCCTAATGCTATCCCTCCCCTAGCCCCCCACCCCCTGACAGTCCCCAGTGTGTGATGTTCCCTTCCCTGTGTCCATGTGTTCTCATTGTTCAACTCCCACTACCTAGTCAATGCCATTCAGCACATAGGCATGGGCAAAGACTTCATGACTAAAACACCAAAAGCAATGGCAGCAAAGCCCAAATTGACAAATGGGATCTAATTAAACTAAAGAGCTTCTGCACAGCAAAATAAACTATCATCAGAGTGAACAGGCAACCTACGGAATGGGAAAACATTTTTGCAGTCTATCCATCTGACAAAGGGTTAATATCCAGAATGCACAAATAACTTAAACAAATTTACAAGAAAAAAACAAACAACCCCATCAAAAAGTGGTGGAAGGATATAAACAGACACTTCTTAAAAGAAGACATTCATGTGACCAACAAACGTATGAAAAAAAGCTCATCATCACTGGTCATTAGAGAAATGCAGATCAAAACCACAGTGAGATACCATCTCATGCCAGTTAGAATGGCGATTGTTAAAAAGTCAGGAAACAACAGAAGCTGGAGAGGATGTGAAGAAATAGGAACGCTTTTACACTGTTGATGGGAGTGTAAATTAGTTCAACCATTGTGGAAGACAGTGTGGCCATTCCTCAAGGATCTAGAATCAGAAATACCATTTGACCCAGCAATCCCACTACTGGGTATATACCCAAAGGATTATAAATCATGCTGCTATAAGGACACATGCACACGTATGTTTACTGTGGCACTATTTACAATAGCAAAGACTTGGAACCAACCCAAATGCCCACCAATGATAGACTGGATAAAGAAAATATGGCACATATACACTAAGGAATACTATACAGCCATAAACAAGGATGAGTTCACGTCCTTTACAGGGACATGGATGAAGCTGGAAACCATCATTCTCAGCAAACTAACACAAGAACAGAAAACCAAACACTAGATGAGTTTATTTTTGCATATGGTATGAGATATGGGTTCAACTTGCATGTGGAAATCCAGTCGACTCCGCAGCACCTGTTAAAGAAACTGTTTCTCCATTGAATTGACTTAGCACTCTTTCAAAAATCAATTTATCTTAGATGTATAGGCTTATTTTTGAAACCTCAATTCTACGCTATTAGTCTATATGTATATCCTTATGCCAGTATCATACTGTTTTGATTACTGTACTTTATAGAAAATTTTGAAATCTATTAGTGTGAGTCCTCCAACTTTGTTCTTCTTTTTCATGATAGGGGTCTATATAGGAGGCCCTTGTAATTCCATATTGTTTTGAGGATGAGCTTTTACATTTCTGTAAAAAATGCTATTGGAATTTTGATAGGGATTGCACTGAATCTGTAGATCACTTTGAGTAGTACTGACATCTTAACATTATTAAGTCTTTCTATTCATGAACACAGGATGCCTTTCCACTAATTTAGGTTATTAATCTCTTTCAGCAATGTTTTATAGTTTTTAGTGTGTGCAAGTCTTTTACCTCCTTTGTTAAATTTATTCCTAGGTACGTTATTCTTTTAGATGTTATAATAAATGGAACTGTTGTCTTAATTTCCTTTTCGGATTTTTCATTATTGGTGTTTAGAGATACAACCAAATTTACATGTTGTTTTTGCACCCTGCAATTTTGCTCTATTTGTTTATTATCTCTAGTAGCTTTCTTGTGGATTCCTTGGGATTTTCTGTACATAGTATTATGTCACATGCAAAAAAAACAGTTTTATTCTTCCTCTCCAATTTTGTAGCAGGGTAATCTTGGCCTCAGTGAATGAATTAGGAAGTGTTCCCTTCTCTTCTATGTTATGGAAGTGTTTGAGCAGGATCATTGTTAATTCTTCTTTAAATGTTTGGTAGAATTCACTAGCAGAGTCATCTGGTCCTGGACTCTTTATTGGGTAGTTTCAAATTACGGATTCCATCTCCTTACTTGTTGTCAGTCTATTTAGATATTCTGTTTCTTCATCATTCAGTCTTGGCAGATTGTGTGTTTCTAAAAGTTTGAACATTTTGTCTAGGTTATCTGATTTGTTTGTATATAGTTGTTTATATTATCCTCTTTATATTTATATTTCTGTAAGGTTGGTAGTAATGTCTCCACTTACATTCTCATTTTTGTTATTTGTATCTTCTCTGTTCTTTGTCAATCTAAACAAAGTTTTCTCAATTGTTCTGATCTTTTCAAACGACCAACTTCTGATTTCATTGATTCTCCATATTGTTTTTCTCTATTCTCTATTTCAAAAATCTCTGCTCTAATCTTTATTATTTCCTTCCTCTGCTTGCTTTATGTCTAGTTAGTTCTTCTTTCTATAGTTTCTCAAGGTGTAAAGTTAGGTTATTGATTTGATATCTTTATTCTTTCTTAATTTAGGTATTTACAGTTTTAATTTCACTCTGAGTAGTCCCTTTGCTATATCCCATAAGTTTTGGTATGTGGCTCTGTGTTTTCATTAATCTCAATGTATTTTCTAATTTCTATTGTGATTTCTGTTTTGGCTATTGGTTGTTCAAAATTCCTGAATTTTCCAGGTTTCCTTCTATTATTGATTTCTAGTTTCATTCTATTGTGGTTGGAGAAGATACTTTGGATGACTTAGATCTTTTTTAAACTTCTGAGACTTATTTTGTAACCTAACATATGGTCTATCCTAGATAACTTTCCATGTGCACTTGAGAAAAAATGTTTATTCTGCTGTTGTTGGATGGAGTGTTCTATATATGCCTGTTAGGTCTAGTTGATGTACAGCGTGATTCTATTTAACAGTCATTTTATGAGAAGAAGTTTGGCATTATCAGGTTGGAATCAAATAACTTTCTCAAAATAATTAACTTTCTTCTATCATCCATCCTCAAAGGAGCCCCAAATTATTCAGGATAACCAACAAAACCTTTAGCTCCCCACTATGTAAGCTGTTACATCAAGGGAAGCATGGTTTCATTTTACACCTCAGGAAACTCAAGCCATCCAGGGTAAACTAGCTGTTAGCCTCAGCTCTCATTTTGTAGGACTCAGTTGGGCTGGTTTCAGTACAGAAGTTAACCTGTTTAGTGCAGTAGACCAGTGATTCCCAAACTTTCTTCAACAGCCGAACCCTTTGTTCAAACAAACTCTTGCATGGAAACTCAATACATAAACTTGTTTGAGGAAGGGTTAAAGAGGAATCCCTGCTAGATTTCCTCCTTCCCCTTCCCTCCCTCAAGCCTCCCTCTTCATCCCAGAGGTTTGAAAACCTCTGCCCTAGATCACAGGCTTTGAGGCTAGGAGAAAAGATAGAGAAACCTGCCCCCCAAAACTTGTCTATCCTCTCTGCCTCTAGGATAGTGGCAGCCACCACTGGCCTATGGAATACTGTCAGGCACAGAAGTAGATATGATGTAAAGAAGAAGCACAGACACATGGATCAAGCAAATTACAGTGTTGTCATCTTTGGCATCAGCTGTCCAAGCCTTGCATCAGCTTCAACAAAGAAGTTTTCTGCTGCAGTGTCAGCACTCATTTCACTGCAACTTTTCCATGCACCAAACAAATAAATTCAGCCTAGTGTGAACATTTCCTCTCTATTCCTGAGATTGCAGAAGTAATCGCCTCTGATTTGGAGGTAAAGCCCAACTTCATCTCTGTCAGCCAGAATTGTATACAGCAGCATCTTAGCCAACATATGGGAATTAGATATTGGGTAGAGGACCAGAGACGAGTACATGTGATCCTACCTCATAAAAGAAAGCTTTTCTTCAGGTCATAAGGTGAGCTCATGTCCAAACTGGGATACCAAGTTTGAATTTAGAAGAGCAAGCACAGGCTAATGGAGGGAAGATCAATCACTTTAAGGGGATGGAAGGCATGCCACCACGAAGCGGAGGTATAGAGTCATGGTTACTGAAAATCTCATACAATGGTGTATGGGATTAATTGATGATATGTCTCAATAATAGTCAACCAGGAGCCAAGACAATAAAAAGAAGGTGGCAAATATGCTAGCAGATAACAGAGATAGACAAAGAAATAGGTGTCTTACATCTGATGAAAAGCAATGTAAAATGAGATCCAGGAATAATACAGCCACAATCCAGAATATCAGAGCTCACAGAACCACTCTGTGGGAATCACAGCCAATCTTCAGGGGGCTTTAATGAGAAGAGCACTACCTCAGCAAATTATTTGGAGAAAACAAAGATTTGGCTTGAATAAATGGAAATTCATTGGCATCCCCACACAAAGAAGAAGTAAAATGATCATATTAACAAGCAAAATGCTAAAAAATAAGTCATTATCTTTCCCTGACACTTTCTCCAGAAGGGTATAGCAGTTAGAAGACGTGGGGTCTATTTCTGACTTAGCCACTTGCTAGCTTTGTGATCTTGGGTAAGTCACTTAAATCTCTGAGTCTTTATTTCTTCATCTGCAAACTGGAAAAAATTGTGACTCCATTTCCTAATTCACAGGATAGTATTAATTAAGGCAAGAGACAGGGCAATTCACACCATTTGGACTACTACAGGTGTTGGAGAAATAGAGAGCCAGACAAAAGGAGTATATTATACAATATGAGTTTCCCTGGTCTTATACCTTAGAAGTGGTTTTGTGAAAGGGAGAATCAAATGTCCTCAGGACCATGGTCAAATCACATGCCAAAGATGGGTAGTGGAGAACCTCAAAGAGTTGGAGCAGCTTTTCCCAATCTTGGATTTGCTCATTCAGAGCCCATGCAAGGGAGAGGGCCTCCTGTTGGAATTTTCTCACACTGCTTGCTAAAGTTCATACTTATAAGCAGACACCTGTTACCCAAAGTATTTGTTCTCTAAACCTTGTCCCCAATAACAAAGTCCATTTGCCCAAACTAGTGAGAAGTGGAGAAAAGTCAAATTTGTTACTTGGTATTATTGAGATTAGTTCAGATTTTCCAGCCACAGCTTATTTCCCCTTCTTAAAGTTGATACAAGGAATATCTTTTTATTGTCTTGGCTCCTGGTTGGCTATTATTGAGAAATATCATCAATTAAATGACGTAAAGACAAAGTGACATAAAGCACTAGGGTATCTCAGAAAAGGACAAATACTACATTCACACACACAATTGCAAGAGGACAGGAAGGAAGTCGATATTTATTGACTAGGATTTCAAATAACTAAAAGGAGGCATCTAATGGGACCTTCCTGTGGATTCACTTATCAATGTAAAAATGAATCAATCGCTGCAACACCATGCCATTGAGACCCTAGTTAAAATGCTCCCCTTTACTGAGTGACAGAATTAGAAAGACATTCACAGATGTCGAAAATGGCACCATTAGCCATCTAGTTCAAAAATATCTTTCCTAGCTCCTTTAGACTGGCAAGAATGATCTGCCTTACCATCAGGGTGCCTAGTTTAATAAAATATAACTCAAAGTTGACACTTGCAGAGAAAAATACAGCATATTAGCTTCTAAAATTATGTTGTTGAAAGTTTGTTGTTTTAGGTCAGGTTCCTTAGGTAGAAGCAGATCCTGAGATGGATTATTTGGGGTAGAATGGGATTAAGAAGGAAGGGGAAATGAAGGAACTAAAAAAGCAAGGCTGTGGTCTCACCTGGAGTCTAGCTCTAACTGACCCCAGGAGAAGCTCAGGACCATGAATGGAACCATAGGATTGGTCTCACCTTGAGGCCAAGGGGTTGAGCCAGTCATTGGCTGTGGGCTGCCCCCAGTGCTTCTGCTATAGAGAAGGGGGTGACTATAAGCTTTAGCAAACAACGCTCCAAGTAGCTAAGGGATAGGTACCTCTGCCTGGTAAAGGGGATCAACAGTGTCCACTACACAGTTGAATATCACCAGTTACTTTGTAAACTTCTTTCCATGGGTCAGCCAACTCCTGGCCACTTCTTTGACTTCATCTCCCATTATTCTCTGTCTTGCTCACTCTACTTCAGCCACATTGGAGTATATCATCATTGCAAGGTCTCTGCTTGGAGCTCTCTGTGAGCATGTATCTGCGTTACATCCTCCCTTAACTCCTTTAGTTCATTATTCAGATGTCATCTTCTCCATGAGGGCTTCTCTAACCCCCCCCGCCAATACTACCACCCATTACGGCCCCTCTTGAATGTTAACTCCAACAGGGCATGAATTTTCATCTTTATTATTATTCTTCACCAATGTATCTCCAGTGTCTAGAGCAATGCCTTGTTCATTAAATATGTGTTAAATAGATGAATAAATATTTCCTTAATTTTAATTTCTTCTACCCTAAGCTTGAGCTAACTGGAATATAATTCCAATGTTCATATATTTCCCTGTACTTCATCTACACCACTTCCAGTGCATTCGTTTCCCTTTAAAAAAATAACTACGGTAATGGTATTGTTTATTCCCACTTCGTATTTTCAAATGTTCACCAAATCAAGTACAGTCATTGCATCCACATGGGTTATGAGTCATGTTTGTTTTGAGAATGAAAATACTTAAAGCTACCAATTCTGCCGGTCATGAGGGACAAGGCACTATAAGAAAGAATGTACTTTCACTTACGAAGTGCAAAAATGACATTCAAATGGAATGAAGGTGCGTTCTACATTCTAAAAAAGACCAAAGCCCCTACCCCCACCCCAATGAGCTGCATCTGAACAGAAATCCAAGTAGCTTTTATTAACTAAAGACATCCATTATGTACTATTTATTTTGAAACCTAGAAAATAATGCATGCTACTTTTGTATTCCTATTTATAATACAGTGTTTTATGAACAAAGTCAATACTTACGGAGTCAGTCTTTTGAATCTGGAATGAAAAAGAAATCCTAGTATTTTGAAAAGCCAAATGTTTTACTAACTGATTCATTTCAATTGGGACACAAAAACAGAATTGCAAGCTCTGGTAGATTTCACCCATTTCCCATAGTAAAGGTGCACAGCAATGGCTCCAAAACCTTAGTAGTTTCATGACCTTGGGCTTTCTCAGCTTTGTTTTCTCAGCTATAAAATGTGAATAACCCTCCTCAGGGTTGTTGTGAGCATCTCATGAGATCATGGATGTGAAAGTACTCTGTAAACAATAATACACATGGTTTGAGGTAAATCTGGCCTCTCAGTAGGCCTCTAAAATTCAGCAAGTATAAGCGTTGTGTTTCATAGTTTTAATTACTTGGAAAAAAAAACTCCACCACACTAGGCAGATATAAAGTCCTTGTAAATTATGACCACAAAGTACTATGGATACGATGGTAGGAAACCTGGATTCAATAGTCACTTTTAAGTCCAGTCCTGTGCTTTTGTACCTGTTAAACAACTATGACTGGGAGTCCTGCCAGGAAGAGCAAACTTTGGCCTTTATCCCAGACTGCTCCTTTGTCTCTGGGATAGTGTCATCTACTTTGTTCTAGTCTGGCAAGTAGATCCAATGTTGCATGGTGGTTAAGATCATGGGTTGTGGCATCAGATTGAATGAGTTTGCATCCTATAACCCTAAATTACTAACTGAGCAAGCTTAATAATGCTGCATAATTATCTCCCTGAGTCTCAGCATTCTCATTCGGAAAGTGGGCAAATCAGTACAAGTATTTACCTCACTTATAGGATTGTTATTAGGATTAAATAAATATATGAAATGTGTACAATGTCTAGCTCACAGCAAACTCCAGAAGGGCTAGCTATGATTGTCACACAGATGAGCTATACCCAAATTCTGTTTTTGTTTCAATTTTACTTTAATAGAATCAAGTTCCCACCGTGCTAAGTTAGCACTATGGAAATCCTTATCAGCTATTAGAACAAAAGCTAAGCTACCTCATCCGGCCAAGTCATCATGGATGTAACTAACCAGGCCTCTTCCTTGTTGAGCTGCAATGTGACACCATGAAAAGAGCACTGGACTTGAAGTCAAAAGACTTCAAGTTTTGGCCCTACCACTTACCAGCATTGTGACACAGATAAACTCCCGCTACTTCCCCACTAGAATGAAAGCTCCTAGAGGGGAGAGACAATATATAAATGTGTTCATCCAGCCCCAGCACAATGATTTGAAACTAGTAGGGGCTTGACAATGACTCATTAAATAAATTAAATAAATCAATATGTCTGAGTCCCAACTTATGCATTCAAGGGGATGATGATAGTTACCCTGCCTCCCTGTCAAGGTTATTTAAAGACTGAGCAGTGGCTCCTGTAGTAACCTCTCTTTTCCTTCCCTAGCATTTATCCCACTTAAATGTGACTGCCTTTTTATGTTGGCTTCCTCTGCCTAATAGAATGTCTCTCATGATTTCTCTCCTCCTTCTTCTCCCTTCTAGTTTAATACCTATTCATCCATCAGTTCTCAGCTCAAAAGGCCCTTTCTCTCCTCAGAGCTTCTCCTGCCGTTATAGTTTTTCCCATATCTCCTTCATGGAACTTGAATTATGTTACATTTGTATGGTTGTTTCATTCTTCCTACTAGACTATAAAGACTGTCAGGGCAGGGCCCATGTCTACCTTGCTCACCACTCTATTTTTTGTGCCTTGGCCATTTGCTAATCTACATTTGTTAACCTTGGCCATTTGCTAACCTACATCAATAATAATACGCCATTGAGTTGTATCATTCCATTCCAATGCTCTTGGGAATATCACTTTGCAAGTCCTATTATTTATCAGGAAAAATGCACTATAAAATATTCTCAGATACTGAAATTGAGAAGGCCAGAACTCCACCTCAGTCTTTGTGAGCACCCATCTGTTTCATTATGATCCCAAGAGACTAACTTTCTTGTCTTTGGACTCTCACTATCTCTTCTACTTCTAGGATTTGAGCCCCCAGCCACCTATATCTATAGCTTAGCATGGAACCTGGCTTAGTGCTCTACTGTTGGGTCTTCTAAGACCCATGCTCACCAGGTCTTTATCTGTGATGGTGATTCTCAGGCTCCCTAAGGTTGGCAGCTGACATTTAGCACTCCTTTTGGCTTATCAAGGGTGGCGGGGAGGGGATGGAGGTGAGGAGAGAGAAGAGGTGTTGTCTTTGCTTGCTTCCCAAGTTACTGCCATTTTTCCTTCTTCTTCCTTCTACCTGCTCATAGGACCAAGAAAAAGAAAAAAAAAAAAATTCCACCTGCTACCATAAAAGTCATGAGTCAGCAGCACCCTTTAAAAGATCTTCCTGCTGAATCTCTACAACCTTCCTGCAATTCAGTATTATCATGCCTACGTTCCAAATGAAGAAACTCTATCGTCAACCATTCTGTTAGCAGCAATCTCATGAATGCCATCATTCTTCTGATATCTTTGTCCACAAGAAGTCCTTAGTGCAATATAAATATGATGCATGACACTGTAATTATTTTTGCTGTCTTCCATGGGCATTAGAATCATTCATTCAACTAATATTTTTTGAGCACCAACCATGTCCATGTGCTCAGCACTGTCAGACACAGAGCCCCAGGAATAGGAGTGGGAACAGAAAGACAGGCGAAAACAAATATCACAGTATCGTGAGTGCTCTAATGGTGGATACAAAGTATGTCTGTTGGTGCAGAAGAGAGCAGGATAATCCAGGGTTGGGGTGTAGGGGGAGAGAAAAGGCCTTCTTTGCTGAACTACAGAAGAGAATGGCCAAATCCAAATAGGCTAGTAACACAAAGCATTTCTTCCCTCTGCAAAATATTTATGTAATCAACACATGTCTGTTGCATAACAACTCTATGCCAAGCACAGTGATGTGCACTAGAGATACAAAAGGAAATAAGGCAAACATGGTCCCCACCCTTAGATGGGAATTTGGACCAGATGTACTAAAAAGACCTCCCAGCAAGAATATTTGATTGTTTTTCCTTTCAAGCAAATAAAAATCCTTTGATTTGGTGTCACCATGGCAAACCCCAAGGGTAACAACAGGCAGTCTGTCCAAGATAAAAACATCTCCTTAGAATCTTAGAAAATGAAAACCCATCAAATCTCCCTGGTGTCTTAGAGAAGACAACACAGGTGGCTTTCACAACCCATCCCATAGCCTGGCTCTCTTGAAATGGCCCATAAAAGAAATGACAAATAACTCTAAGCAGCAGGCATGGAGAGAGCTCCATGAAAAATCATTCTCATTCATATGCCAGAGCAAAGAGTTATTACGGTGGCATCCTTGTTTAGAACTGTATATCAAGGCTAGAACAGAGAAAAGTCTGCCATGAAAAGGAAGCAATAAGCACTACTGAGCCAGAAATCGGGCTTTCGGAGCTCAGAATGGAGAGAGAGGCTAGATGTTAGTGTATATTGGAAACCCATTCATTTTAACATGAGAGGAATATGTTACCCAACCTCTCCCTTTTGAACTTTTTTTTTTTTTTGAGATGCAGTCTTACTCTATCGCCCAGGCTGGAGTTCAGTGGTACAGTCTTGGCTCACTGCAACCTCCACCTCCCGGGTTCAAGCGATTCTCCTGCCTCGGCCTCCCAAGTAGCTGGGATTACAGGCACCTGCCACCACACCCAGCTAATTTTTGTATTTTTGGTAGAGATATGGTTTCACCATGTTGGTGAGGCTGGTCTCAAACTCCTGACCTCAGGTGATCCACCTGCCTCAGCCTCCCAAAGTGCTAGGATTACAGGTGTGAGCCACCACGCCCGGCCTGAACTTTTTCTATGTAGATACTTGAGCACTGTGAGGGTTTGACATCATTCCATGACTTTTTCATTCTACAAATATTTTTGTAGTACCTGTTATGTGGCAAGTACAGTGCCGAGTTACATATAAGATAGTGATAGTGCTTCTCTTTCCTTGAGATATATGAATCATTGGTGTCATTATTAACACTAGCCCTCTCCATTTTGTACCAAGTTGCACACATTAACAGCAATGGCAACAGCAATGATACCAATGACAAAAAAAAATAGGTCTTTCTCTTTGCCAGGTATTGAGTATTGTACATACATTAATTCACTTATTCCCCATAATAACCTTGTGAGGAAGGTACTATTATTATTCTTATTTTACTGATAATTAAAGTACAGAGAGCTTAAGCCACTTGAAGAAGTTTTAGCATTCTTTTTGCTTACTCACTCAGTCTGGTGTTGAAATACACCATTTCAGGAATGCTTTCAGTACCCTTACCATGTGCCAAACTAAGATACACTATGCTAGCCTTTACTAAGGTTCAGCAGCCCCTCACTTATTAACCAATCAATTGGGCTTTGGGATCAACTCACAAATACTGAGCATAAAACAAGTTCCTAGGTCCATTCTAAGGTCCTAAGGGGAGATCCTTCAATGGATGTATGTTTCTGTGATTGGTATTATTGCTGTTGTCATTTCTGTTAATGTGTGCAACTTGATACAAAATGGAGAGGCATGTCTTAGCTGGAGCTGCTATAATAAAATACCATAGACTGAGTGGCTTAAAAAAACATTTGTGGCCGGGAGCGGTGGCTCACGCCTGTAATCCCAGCACTTTGGGAGGCTGAGGTGAGCAGATCACGAGGTCAGGAGATCGAGACCATCCTGGCTAACACGGTGAAACCCCGTCTCTACTAAAAATACAAAAAAATTTGTGGTGTCGGGCACCTGTAGTTCCAGCTACTCCGGAGGCTGAGGCAGGAGAATGCCGTGAACTCGGGAGGCGGAGCTTGCAGTGAGCCGAGATTGCGCCACTGCATTCCAGCCTGGGCAACAGAGTGGGACTCCGACTCAAAAAACAGAAAAAAAAATTGTTCCTCACAGTTCTGGAGGCTGAATATCCAAAGTCAGGGTGTCAGCATGTTCGGCTTCTGGTGAGGGCTCACTTCCTGGTTCAGATGGCCACCTTATTTCTGTATCCTCATGTTGTGAAGAGAGGAAGCTCTGGTTTCTCTTCTTATAAGAACACTAATCCCATCACTGGGGCTCACCCCTCATGAACTCATCTAAGCCTAATTACCTCCCAAAGGCCCCACCTCCTAACACCTTCACGTTAGAGGTTAGGACCTCAATGCATGAAATGTATGAATTTGTCAGAAACACATTCAGTCCATGTGATGGTTAATTCTGCGTGTCAACTTGATTGAATTGAAGGATACAAAGTATTGATCCTGGGTGTGTCTGTGAGGGTGTTGCCAAAAGAGATTAACATTTAAGTCAGTGGGCTGGGGAAGGCAGTTCCACCCTTAATCTGGTATGCACAATCTAATCAGCTGCCAGCGAATATAAAGCAGGCAGAAAAACATGAAAAGGAGAGACAGGCCTAGCTTCCCTCTTTCTTCCGTGCTGGATGCTTCCTGCCCCCAAACATCTAACTCGAAGTTCTTCAGTTTTGGGACTCGGACTGACTCTCCTTGCTCCCCAGCTTGCAGATGGCCTATTGTGAGATCTTGTGATCGTGTAAGTTAATACTTAAACTCCAATCTCTGTCTCTCTCTCTATATATACATATGTGTGTGTGTGTGTGTGTGTGTGTGTGTGTATTATCTCCTACTAGTTCTGTCCCTCTAAGAGAACCCTGACTAATACAGTCTATAACAGGGAAATAAGAGTTGATGTCCAAGTCTTATCTTCCCATCTAGAGTGCAAGCACTTTTAGGGCAGAGATTATTACCCAAATATGTGGTAGTTATACAGTGCTGAATTCATACAATAACTGAGTTTAAACCTCAGTTTCACCACCTACAAACCATGTGTCCTTGGGAAAGTTACTCAACCCCTCTGAACCTTATAAAATGGGCAAATGGATAACACTGAATGGTAGGGATTAAGTTGTGTTATTGATGTAAAATATTAAGTACAGTGTCTGACACAAAGCAAACAATTCATACTAGCAATACATATATGTATATCACAAGAAGCAGAGAAAGATTAAGTAGGGAATTAGTGGTACAGAGGGTAAAGTGCTACAGAAGGTCAGCAGAGACAAGTAATATACAGACAAGATCTGTATAAACTGTGTCAATGAAGGTTTTTTGCAGGAGGTAAGGGCTAAAGGATTCTTAACAATAAGTGAAGCAGAGGAGGCAGAGTGTTTCAGATGGGGAAACAACTTGAGCTAATATAGAGGTCTGGGAGTGGGAATGAGTAGAAGCCTCCAAAGGAGTGACCAGGGATCAGGCTGCCAAGAATAGCTGGTGCTTAGTGGGGAGCCTCTAGTTATAAGTTTGGCTGATTTAGATGAGCCCTCGAATGCCAGGAAGAGGAGATGGGGGCTCATATATAGTGGGTTCTAGAGAACCTAGTTGAGAATTCAAGGGGAGCATATATGGGTGGTAGACATACTTAGCTACATGAATGTTTGTCTCCTCTAAGGTTTAAAGTGCCCTAAGAATGCACCCATCCAATATTTAGTGACTACCCACCAAGACCCAGGAATACATAGATACAAGTGGGGAGGAAGCAAAGGGGGGTGGGCAGAAAGGGAGGGAGGGAGGGAGAGAGAGGAAGATGAAGGTGATGTTGTAAGAAGCTACAAAGCAGACTACAAAAGGTAGCTACCGAGGCAGCTCAAAAAATCCATGCAACATTTGAAGCACAGGGATTAGAAGAGAAAGGGGACAATTAAGAGACTCCCAGGGATATGAGAAGGACCTCGGAGGTAACTGAGAAGGCTGAAAAGGTCAGATGGTATGAGTGACTGGCTTTCCCTGGTGACATCTATCTTCCCTTCACCCTGTACCCACACCCAGATCCTTTGCTTTTTGAGATATCCTTCTCACTCCATTTTGGCCATTTGCCTCATAGCAAATTGATACACGAGGCTTGTCCTTGCGCTTATAATTTTTCCACCTTATGTTGAAGTGGTGCCTCGGAGATTACAAGGTGCCCTCACGTTTATTTATTATCTATCAAAATCCTCACAGCTCTCTTGTCAGGTGGGCTCGGAAGGGATTACCACCCCCATTTTAAAGATAGGGAAGCTGATGCCTAGAGAGATGAAATGACTTGCCCAAGAGTCACCTAATAAATGACAAGTCAGGTATGACCACTCAGATGCTTCCTTCACCCTGCTATGCTGCCTCCTGCAAGGAGTTGAGCTTTTTGTCCGAGAATGATTTCATGTCATCAATCACTTAAGGGTAAGGAAAAAAAAACAGGTATTAGAGAAAAGCTTCACCTGAAGCCTATATTGGTAACACTTCACTAGGTGGATAACGTGAAATAAGTCTGAATTACTTGTGCAACCTGTAAGGTGAGCCACCTTGTATAGTGCCCAGCATAGACACCCACATATTGCTCAAAAATAGGAGCTATTATGGGTAAACAGACTCACAATTGTAATGCTGACTCCAGCCTGTCCACAAAATGCTCCTCAATGCACTAATCAGAGTCATGATCTGAATGAGCCAAGCAGAGAGCTCATATTTTTCTATTCATGATGTTTACATTCATTATTATTGGTATAATACAGGTCTACCATACCTTACGAGGTTATTAGTAATTCCAAACTCCAAAAAGTTCTACATAGAAAAGACATATTTCTGTGGTATTATATGAGCCGAATGGACTTATTGGGCAGCAAAATTTTATCTGAACTGCCAGGAGGAAACTTACTGTCTTTATTAATCCAACTTTTTTACCATTCTAATACACAAAAGTGTTCTCTATTTCAAAATGCCCCGGGTCTCGGGGGATTCGGAGGAAAGACTAAAGGACCTGTAGTATCTTCTCTTTCCATCACAATGGAAAGAACTAGAGAAGCAAGAGCAAACACATTCAAAAGCTAGCAGAAGGCAAGAAATAACTAAGATCAGAGCAGAACTGAAGGAGATAGAGACACAAAAAACCCTTCAAAAAAAATCAATGAATCAAGGAGCTGGTTTTTTGAAAAGATCAACAAAATTGATAGACCGCTAGCAAGACTAATAAAGAAGAAAAGAGAGAAAAATCCAATAGATGCAATAAAAAATGATAAAGGGGATATAACCACCAATCCCACAGAAATACAAACTATGATCAGAGAATACTATAAACAACTCTATGCAAATAAACTAGAAAATCCAGAAGAAATGGATAAATTCCTGGACACATACACCATCCCAAGACTAAACCAGGAAGAAGTTGAATCCCTGAATAGACCAATAACAGGTTCTGAAACTGAAGCAATAATTAATAGCCTACCAACCAAAAAAAAAAGTCCAGGACCAGATGGATTCACAGCCGAATTCTACCAGAGGTACAAGGAGGAGCTGGTACCATTCCTTCTGAAACTATTCCAATCAATAGAAAAAGAGGGAATCCTCCCTAACTCATTTTATGAGGCCAGCAACATCCTGATACCAAAGCCTGGCAGAGACACAACAAAAAAAGAGAATTTTAGACCAATATCCCTGATGAACACTGATGCAAAAATCCTCAATAAAATACTGGCAAACCGAATCCAGCAGCACATCAAATGCTTATCCACCATGATCGAGTGGGCTTCTTCCCTCGGATACAAGGCAGGTTCAACATACGCAAATCAATAAATGTAACCCAGAGTATAAACATGCTACACATCCATACTGGGAATGTGAAACACCTGATTTGGCTCTGTAAATATACCTGATACTTTTCTTGGGCTCCCTTACTTGACAACCTATTTTTTCCAGCTTTATTGATGTATACTTGACAAATGAAACAGGATATATTCAAGGTGTACAACTTGATGATGTGATATATGTATACATGGTGTAATTATTACACCAATCAAATCAGCACATCCATCACCATCCACAGTTACCATGTATGTGTGTGTTGGGAGGAAGGGTGAGGACACTTTTATCTGATGGGTTAATATCTAAAATGTATAGGGAATTCATACAAACAAAAAAGGAAACCCCAAATCATCTAATTAAAAAATGGGCAAAGGATTCAAATAGACATTTTCCCAAAGGAGACATAAAATTGGCCAATAAGTATATGAAAAGGTATTCAACAAATCAAAACCATAATGAGGTAATCACCTCACATCTGTTAGGATGGTCATTATCACATAGATAAGAGATTTGTACAGTGTTAGTGGGAATGTACATTGGTACAGCCATAATGAAAAATAGTATGGAGGTACCTGAGAAACTAAAAATAGTACTACCATATGATCCAGCAATTTCACACGGGTATATATCCAAAGGAAATAAAATTAGTATGTTGAAAAGATATCTTCAGTCCCAAGTTCATTGCAGTTTTATTCACAATAGGCAAGATAAGGAGTCAATGAATGTCCATCAATGGATGAATAGATGAAGAAAATGTGACATATATACACAGTGGAATACTATTCAGCCACAAAATATAAGGAAATTTTATCACATGCTACAACATTCATGAACCTGAAAAACTTAGGCTAAGTGAAATAAGCCAGGCACACAAGGTCAAATACTGCATGATATCACATACATGTGAAATTTTAAAATGTTGAACTCATAGAAATAGAGAGAAGAATTATCAGAGGTTGGGGATGGAAGAAGGTCTTGAACTCCTGGGCTCAAAGGGTACAAAGATTAAAGGGTACAGCATTTCAATTAGGAGGAATACATTTGTGAGATTTATTGCACAGCATGCTGACTATAATAATAATGTAGTGTACTTTTCACAATTGCTAATAGTAAATTTCAAATATTCTCACTATAAAAATGGTAAGTATATGAGATGATGGATATGTTAATTAGCTTGATTAATCATTCCACAATTTGTGTGTGTGTGTATATATATTTTTATTTATATCTCAAAACGTCACATTGTACCCCATAAATATGTACCAATACTACTTGTCAATTTAAAATAAAAGTTAAAAAATATACTTGAGATAAATACTATGATAGGGGAATTAAATATCAATAGCTCAGTACACAATAATGAGTCATAAATCATTTTCACCTATACTTTTCTTTCACCAACCAGTCTCTATTCTAGCCTCTCACTTTCCTAATCCATCCTGCACATGGCCGCCAAATTAATCTTCATAAAACATTGATTTCATCATCTAAGTCTCCTCTCTAACCATTCAATGGCTCCCGACTTCTTATAAGATATATCCAAACTCCTCACCCTATCCTTCATAAGACAGCATATGTACAAATAAACAGGCTTTGGAGTTAGGCAGACTTGAGCTTGAATCTTGGCTGTGCTTTTAGCTATGTTAACTTAAGCAGGATGTCTAACTTCTCTAAACATCAGTGTCCTTGTTTGTTAAATGGGAAAATAATTGCCCTTCGACATCTGACACTTTTACATGCCATTCCTCCTTCCTGGAATGCCTCCCTCAACCTTACCTGTGCCACTCTGTCTGAATGTGCCCTACCTATCCCTCAGGACACCACTGCAGTAGCTATGGCATATTTGACAGAAAAGTAATGAGATCACGTAGATGATGGCAGATGACGGTGAGCACCTAAATCCTGGATCCAGTCTAAAGTTCCGGGGGTGGGAACACGGGACGTGTAGCATGTACATGTTGGGGCCACTTCAGAGGCAAGACAGAAAATGCACCTTGAGACAGGGTCTGGCTCTGTCACCTAGGCTGGGGTGCAGTGGTATGATCTTGGCTCACTGCAACCTCCGCCTCCCAGGCTCAAGACATTCTTCCACCTCAGCCTCCAGAGTAGCTGGGACTACAGGTGCACACTACCATGCCCAGCTAATTTTTGTATTTTTTGTAGAGATGGGGTTTCGCCATGTTGCCCAGGCTGGTCTCCAATTCCTGGGCTCAAGTGATCTGCCCGCTTTGGCCTACGAAAGTGCTGGGATTACAGAGGTGAGCCACCACGCCCAGCTTATTTTCAGTTTTTTTTTTCTTTATTCAAGGCTAAGTCTGTTGCTCCTTTGGCTTGCATATTGGAAGGGCCTGGGACTCTATTCAGCCTTGCTTGGCTAAGTGAATATGGATCTCAGTCTTGGAATGGTTCACATTCTGTTGATCACTAACTGCTATGAACAATTATGTGAGCAAGTTCTAAGGCCACATGACATCAGGTAGAGTTGTTGAGAATCTAGAAGAAAAACCTACCAGTGAAGCATCAGGGAAGCAGAGCCAGCCACAGCAGATGCTACACACTTGTCATATCTCTGTCTGCTGGGCCAGCACTATTTCCATCGTGTTGGATCTGGAAGACTTTAAGGGTCCGTCTGAGGCTGGGCACACTTGCTGATTAAGCTGAGCACAGCAGGCACAGAACCAAAGAGTTCACACCACCAAACTACTATGAGGTTGATGAGTCTCAGCCCTCACACCACATCTAGGGCTTGCATGATCAGCCATGGCAATTTGTCATAAGAATGCACTTCACAGCCTGGGCACTGGTCCAGATTCAGATCTGAATCAGAATTATTATCTCTGTGATAAAGGAACCCAAAAGCCCATACCTTTGTTTTATCTTGATGAGGTCAAATATTCATAGGACTCTCACAAACACCTCATGGATCAGGGAACACCCTCTCAGGCTTTCAGTAGCACTGCTGACAAATCACACCACATGTACAAAGCTTAGACAGAACATCAGCTGCCTCTGAAGTTAAATCCCACTTGCCTAAATAAATGCCATGGGATCTTTCTCCCGCTACAAGAGGCATATTTGCTCTTCTATTTAAAAATGCATCCTCTGACATTAACAACAACAATACAAATTATGACTTCCTAGTAGAGCTGCAAACAAGCAGGAGAAAGGGAGGGGGTATGAACAGCATTCCATTGCACACCCTTTAACTACCTAAAATGTATGAGTTGTTTGAGTGCAAGCACTACCTATATTATTTACTTATGCGTCATCAGTGACTAGTACAGGGTCAAAGCTAAAAGTAGTTGGTTCATAAATATTTCTTGAACATCTAGTGGGGGCCAGGCCAGGCAATTTACCACGTGCTAAGTAGACGCTTGGTATATGTGGATTCAATGGATGCTTTTGTCTCATTTCCTTCTACTCACTCACTGAGGCAAACATGTAAGTGCAAGGACCATGAAAGGCCCAGCACCCACTTTATGTCCCAGTTCTTTGAAAAAGAAACACAAAGAATTATTTCACCTTCAGTCAATGTGTCCAGACTCCCTTTTTTCCCCTCTGTGTCCTTTTACTATTTTGAAGCATTCATAGATTTTTTTTCATAGAAGGTTTAAATAATATTGAGAGGTGATTAAATGCCCCAAGTTTGTTGGGAAGGGGGAGATTCGTGAGAGGGAGAGGATAAAAAAGAGAATCATTTCTTTTAACATCTTCATAAAATATTAGAGCAATTTTATAGATGGAAAGGAGAGAATTTGCGTCATCTGCCTTTCCTGTGCAATTGGCAGTTTGAGGGAGAAATAATTGACAAAAGCTCTTTGGTGATTTATTGTTGCCTCCCTTCTCTTCTCTCTTATTCTCTCTTCTATGCCCCTATCAAAGGCTCAGAAGGAGGTTGTCACACTAAAATGCTTGGAACATCTCCTTTTACTGAGGAAAAATCTTTCTGGTGTTTACTTTCACACTGGTGGGACTGGCCTCCCCTCCCTGCTCCATCACGATTCCAGCCGTCAAGTCCATGGAATTAGAAACCAGATTCAATGCTGTGTCTCTCATGTTTTCTCAGGTTCTCTAGCTTTTATTTAGTCTTTTATTCAAGGCTAAGTCAGTTGCTGCTTTGGCTTGCATATTGGAAAGACTCAGATGAGAAAAAAAGCTTGTGTTTTTTGGGGGGGTTGGGTTATAAGAACATGTAGAAACTCAACAGTTACTGGCTATAGGCTAAGGTTGATATGCATGAGTAGGAGAAACATGGGGAAATGGAAGCTTGTATTTAAATACAAATTTCAATGTCATGGTTGTTAAGCCAATTACAATCCCCCTGTCATGTGCAGCATAGCACCCTGTCCAGACTATACCCTGCACTCATATCCCATGGGGCATCCTTCCAGGTGCTGGGTAAGGTCACTTTATCATCCCTTTCCTTAGCACAAAAAGCCAGCCATATCGGCACAATTCTCTCCATTTCTTGGGGAGAATGCTTGCCAAAGTTGACATTCTTGAAATGCTTGCAAGATTTCATGAGAAACTGAGGCTACTTGGTCCACGATACACATACCCAGAAAAGCTTTCTGGATCTCAAACCAGGAAGCTGCCAGAATTAGAGAAAGAAGTTTCAAAACTATGTACATGATGGGCCAAGACAAGAATGAACTGAATGATACCAGCTCAGGATGCCCTCCATCTTGGATTTCTCCAAAAAAGAACCTTCTATGCAGTGTATTTACCCCAAAAAGAATATTTTTAGCTTTTCTTAAGGTAATTAATAAATGGATAACTAGTTCCCACCGCCCTCAAGAAATTGCCTGCAATTAGAAGCATGAAGCAGACAACTAGCTAGTCCACCTCCCTAAGTGAGGTCACTCATTTTTGGTCAGAAAATTAGAAATAGCACAGTTATGTACGTATATGAATATGTAAGTGTCTATGCGTGTGAGTATATGTGCATATGCCCTGGGTTTATTCTCATGAAAGGAGCTCGGTTTTGGAGATAAAAAAAATGGGAGAAGAGAAAAGGAAGGAGAATTAAAGCTAAAAATGATGAGATGTCCTACCAGGCCTGGTAAGTCAGTCAGGTTCTTTTTACTAATTGAAAATGTAATGTGATTCAAGAGCACCAGTCAATATTTTGAGGCTCCCACTGGACTCTCAGCTGCATTTACATACCATAAGCTGACCATGTCACTTACTAATGTCTAAAACTCCACTAACTCAGGGATCCAGACAGGATCATGTCCAAACTCCTCAACAAACCATTCTTACACAGTATCTCCATTCTCATCCCTCCATCCCTCAAAACTGCAACTCTTTATACTCATCCTTCCACCTCTGTTCCTTCTCTTAATCTTCTCCATCTCAATAAAAGGTACTATCCAGGAACACAGTAGAGAATCTGGGTATCTCTCCTTCCCACACACCCTCAATTCCAATCCACCAGCAGTTCCCATGAGCTCTATGTCAAAAACAGGTCCCAAATCTGATCACTCTCATCATCCTCACAGCCACAACCCTAGTCCAAGATGCCACTACTCCTCTGCTAGATTCTAATAGCTTCCCAATATATCTCCCCTTCTGCATTTTCAGCCCCTTCTACTCAATTATTCATATAATCATCAGAGCAAGCCTTTAAAAACTGAAATCTGATTGTGTTGCCTCTCACTTAAAACTGTCCAATGGCTTCCCATGTCATGCAGAAGAAAACCCAAACCCCTTGGCATGGCCTACAAGGCTTTATATGACATTACCCCTGGCCACTTCCCTGGCCTTATCTCCTCTGACTCTTCCCCTAGTTCACTGCTTTTTTTCTGCCCTTTGAACATAATCAACATGTCCCTGCCATAGAGGCTTTGCAATTCCTCTGCCCTTGGCCTGGATCACTCATTAACCTCTTTCCTTGATGAGGCTAGCCCCTTCTTATCATTTGGGTCTCATTCTTAATACCAACTCGACCCCACCTTAAGTAAAGAAGTGCTCTCCAATTATTCCCTGTCCACTCACCTTGCTGTGTTTCTTTAGAACATTGATGACTTTTAGACATTAGGTGTATATTGGCTTCCACATTTATTCTGTCTCCTCACTTTGGCACATAAGATACACATGAATAGGGATGTGGTCTGTGCACTGCTGTATCCTCAGCATATTTTCTGGCACATAATCAGTAAGTATGTGCTAAAAGGCATGCTAGAACTGCTTTTGTTTTTTTAAGTTGGTTATTCCTCTTTCCTCTCCAGTTTCAGAATTTAGCATCTGGACTGATACGCATTTATGAAATGATGAAGCGCACGGTGGGGCTGTTTGCTGGAACTTTACCCAAGCCTGGTAGTTCTGTCACAGACCCTAAGCCCATAGGTCCTGCATCTCTTTGTAATCATCAGGAAACTTGCATGGGAAAGTGGGGAGCTCAGTGTGTTGAGGGCACAAGTGCCTGTGCAAGAGGCCAGGGCAGAGGATTACCTATTCCTTTGATGTTTATAGCATTCCACTTGACAGGAGCTATTGATATGGTCGTCCCCAGGCACCTAGACTCTCTTGAATCTCTGAGCCTTTGGATATAAAGTGTTTCCTTTCTCTCTTCCATGATTTATCCCCCTGGCAAACTTGTATTAATAGACTTCTCATCAGCACCAAATGGAGTAGTATTTTTAAAGTACTGAGGTTGTTGGTGGGGACTGAGATATCTCCATCCAGCTAACCCATCATTAAACCAGTGAAAGTGAAATTTCAATCTCAGAAAAAAATAAAACTGAGAGAGTTCATTGCTTATAAAAACTTCACTAAAAGGATACACTGTAGTTTAAACAAAAGGCATGGAGTAGGATGTAAGAAAAAAACGGCAAGCAAAGAAGTTGCTAGTGAATTTAAATAAACACTAACTGTAAATATTAAAAGAAATAATGGCTAATGGAGGAATTGTGGAAGTAAGGTAGAACTAAATACTGACAGACAATAATTTGGTATGTAGTAATTGGGAGATCAAAGTTAAAACACTCTAAGTTCCTTACAAGTATTGGGAGGAGAGTAGAGAAACTGAATAGTTTAAGATTTGTGAAGCTAATCATACTTCCTGACATTTTAAGAAAAACCAGTAAAATAACAGAAAGGGAAAGTTTGATTATGGTTCTGAGTGTTTGACTGGTAATGCAGAAATCTATTTTCCGGTCTTTTAGCCTGTTGAGTTGCAGATTTAAGGATGTCAGATATTTCTGTTAGACTGCTAGAGCAAAGCACTCAACACAGGTTATTTTGATGGTTATAGCAAGGGATAAATGTTGCACCCATTTTGTATAATACAGAAATGTTCTTAATGTGGCCTATAAGCTTGAAAACAAAGTGAGGGTATATTTCACTTATTTGAGTAATTCAATCTTGTTCTCATATGATCTTCTTGTTCTCTGAAGGAAACCATCCCTCCTTTTCTAACAGTTTGATCACCCCTTAACGTTTTCCTTTCCACAGATACTCTCACAGTCTCATTTTAACTAATAATTTTAACATTCTCTCCATCAACTTTTTAGCTATTTTGGGGGTAGGAACAAAATCTAAATTGGAGTTTTACTTCCTCATTTTTTTTCTATCACTGTGATAACAACAAGTAGAAAGGATAAAAGAGGAGGAATACAAAATCATATTGATTAAAACTCTGCAAAGAAAACTCTTGGTAGGAATATTTAAATACCAAAAATACATTTATTTGGGTAATGGTTTTTTGAAATCTATGAAGGAAGTCTATATATGTTTGCTAATGGCCTCTCTTTAATACAAATTATATGCAGCATCACCTAAATGCCTAAGTAAAACCACAAAATCATGTATAAGTGCCTTTAAGGAACCCATTACCACATTTGACTAAACATTCTTAGTTTTAAATAAAGATCAATTTCATAGAAGCTGAGATTAGCTATTGTTTTAGAGCATAGTGAAAAGAACAAGGAGAAAAAAAGATCTAAAGTTTAAAAGCCAGTTGACAATTAAAAATGAAAAAAAAATACTAATTACTAGATTTTGTCCATCATCAAAGGACAAGCTTAATGATTCTTCCTTGCATACAAACTTCTAGGACATCAATAAAAAGTGGATTTCTAAATTCCCATTACTGAATATGCCAACAATCAAATTTTAAGGTTGATATACTACTGGATAAATGTTATTGTAGAAAGGAAGACAAGAAAACTGACAAGTCTATAAAAATATAAAATGGCAAAATGAGTAGGAACCAATAAAACTATACTCTATCAGCTGAAAGCAATCAATCTGGTCCAGGAAAATGATTTCTTATGGCGTCGAGATGTCTACAACTGTTTAACAGGGCATAACCCAGCACTCTCCCCAAGCATCTCTACCACATTGCAGGTCAGGCTGAGAATGAGTTTCTCTTGAGTATTCAAAGCATCTTATTTTCACTGGTGGTTGGTATCTTTGTTTCTCAAAACAGAAAGGAGTGGTTCAAGTGGACCTTAGGCTGCATCATGATCACTGCTCCTTCCAAATAAGAAGTCTCCAAACCCCAACAAGTAGATTAAACGGACACAACTACCATTATATTTGAGACAAACTTTTCCCAAATATCCACCTCATTTCTAGCTCCACACCCATGATCTTGCTTTCCACTTATCCAAGATGCCTTCCCAGGCCTCTATGCCCATCTTAGTTCTATTATAGTAGAGTCAAGGTATCTGCTCCCTCTATTAAAACTTGAGAAAATTCTTGCCTCTTATGACTACTGTAGCATTTATTTTAAACTAAATTACCTTGCATATTTGCTCTGTTTATTTCACATATTCTTTCTCCCCCAAAATAGAGTATTCTATGCTGCTCAATAGCAGAATGATACAATTCTGGGCACCTCAAGTCTCAAATACTGGCCCAACAATGCTTCTGTGAGCAGGTGTATATGCATGGTAGGTAGGAAGGGGAAACAAAGGAAGGCCACAGTGGCAGTTATGATTGACTATGTATAAATGGATAGAGATTGATTCTCTAGGTGAAAGTTTCTAGCTATATATATATTTTAAAGTCTTCTTTCCATTTGGCAGATATGATTGTTCTGCCTCTCTTTCTCCCAGAGCTTTAGAAAAGAGATATATGAACAAAAACCTAGTAAATACTAATGTCAAAGTAAAATATGTTAAAGACAATTTCAAGCACAAAAAGACAGTGGCTCGTGTCAAGATACTTTAAGTATGGATACACAGAAGCAGCACAAATAAGATTTCAAAGAAGCACTTTGCAACTCCCAGGATGACATTTAGAATTTGTGTGTGTATCGTGGTTGTGTGGGGTGGGCGAGGGGGGCAGTATCTTTTAAATGAAATGTAGTTGGAACTGTGTTGATGTTTCTGGCAATGACATAAGGTGTTTGACACAAATTGAATTGCTTCGAATAGCTGTTATCTTCCACATATGAGGCTGAGCACCTACCAGGGTCCAAGCCCTTTGCTAGGCACTGGGAAAACAGATAAAATATAGGGCCTTCCCTTAAGACACTTCCATTCTAGATAAGTGGTGCTCAACTTGCACTGGCTGCACAAATAAACTCTGGTGGTGGACAGCATTAGAAATTCTGTAATTCAGTGGTTCTCACTCTTGGGTGCACATTTAAATCCTCCTAGGCCTTACCCTGAGACATTCTAAGTTGCTTGGCCTGTGGTAGAACCTGGAGGCTGGACACTGGTAATTTTTAGAAGCCCTCTCAAATGAGTTTCATATGCAGCCAGGATGAGAACCTCTGAGTTAGTTGGGAAAAGGGACATGCGCGCTCCAAGAGAACAAATCACATGGGCCTTTTTTCTTCCTTGACAATTTATGACTTGAACTAGTAGAATATGTTGAAAGTGAAACTTGGTAAAAAATAGATTTTTCTCTAATGTGACAGGAATCTAAGTGTCAGGACTCTTTCTATTAGAGATTTAGTCGTTACCTGCAAATCAATATGAAATATTGAAAAGGATTTTGAAATCTCAGTTAACTCACAGTAAACGTAAGTACAATTATGACCAAACCTGACGGAAAGAAAGAAGAATGACTTAAGAAATCTGGCAGTGGTCTGTACACTGAGATGGACTCTATGTCCAGATTGGGTTGAGTGGCGTAGAATTCCCCTAAAATCTGGGATTCTTGGGACAGGGACCTTACTGAGCACAGAACCCATGGAGTAGACGGTCCTAGAGCTTGCCTGTTCTTTGAAAACAGAGCAGTGACCCCTTGAATTTTGCATGAAAACAGAGCCTCTCACTCAAATGTAGGTCTCCTCTAAAAGGAATAATAAAACTATTTAATTAGGTAATTATAATACAAACACATAATAGAGACTTTAATTTTTATAAGCACAAGATAATGTGACTACTCTGACAATGGAATATACCAGATATTGCCATGTGGATAAACTATGCTCAGGATAAAAATGAGACTCCATATACTCCCTAAGCCACGTGGTTGACAGTGCATGGGAGACCCCAGAAGGCAATAAGACTCTAAGGGGACCTTGACAACTTTTGGATGCACGTATAAATGAATATGCACTGCCCTAGAGAGCTCAGTGGGCAGCTTTTACTAGGTGTGATTTTGTGGTCTGATGTATTTTTGTTGCATTTTATTTGGGGAGAAGGGAGTACAAACAAATTTCACTTTTGTGAATGAAAGTGACTAAAAACATGACCAGGAAGCCCTGACATGCTCTGGCTTTGCAAAACACTTTAAGTTGGGAAACGTGGTTGTTTAGGTCGTGGATCCAGTGGGAGAAAGTCCACATTAGAGCATGTCAGAATAGCCATTAATCCTTATTCTTAAACCTTTAAGGAAGAAACCACCATTCTCTATCTGATCTAGCTTCACCAATGAACCACAGCTAAGCCAAAAAATGTTCAATGGGTTCTTTTTGTCACAGAACAATGAGGCATATCCTGCTCTTCTGGTTGGAGTTTATAATGACAAGTCCATGGATGCTATAGGTTAAGCAGATGGAAATGAAACATCCATCTCATATGGTCATTTTATCGAAAGAGTTTTACAGGGCCAGGTAAGAATCATGGAAGGAAATTCCAAAAAACCAATGCAAAATACTATTAAGTGAATGCTCAGTCTGATATGTCTGGAATCATTGTCCCCAGGCTGATGATCAAACCCTGGCTGTATTATTTATTCATGCTGTGACCCAAAGGCCACGGAGGCAAGTCACTTAACCCCCAAGTCTAATTTTCCTTAAATGTAAAATGAAAATAAGGACAGTATGTACCATGCAGAGTTACTGTGAGGATTAAGTGAGTTAATGTGCAGCATGCAATAATTATTAATTGCTCTTGTCATTTTTATTGGCATACTCATTGTCTATTGGATACTAAGTTTATTCATTCACATGTTCATTCATTAATTCATTCAACATATATTTCCTGAGCACCTATCATGTGCTGGGCATAGTTCTAGGCCGTGGGGACATAGCAGTGAACAAAGGCAAGCCTCTGTCTTTTTGAGCCCTACATTCCAGTGGCTGAGACAGAAAATAGAAAAATTAATAAACAGATAAAAAGCAATGTCAGGTAGCGATACGTACAGGAAAGAACAATAATGCAGGCTAAAAGAAGCGTCATCGGCAAGCGTTACTTTTAATAGAATGCCAAGGAAAACCTCACTGAGTGTAACATTTGAGCAGAGATCTGAGGTTTCAATACTCCTGGTGACTAGGCCACCTATTTTTTTTCTAATTAAATCAATCAGGCTATTGGTATAGCATGCACCCTCAGCCTTCAGTTCTGTGACATGGAGTCCTATATCTCCTTTCCCCAGCGTTCATGTTTTAGTTGCCCAGGGATGTGCGATTACACTGACAGCATTGCACTGAGGCAGGCACAAAAGTCTGTCTCATTTGTAGCCCAGCTAAAAAATCTTGAATGTTAAAATTTGGCAGATCATTATTCCACCTGCTGATCCCAAAAGAGTAAGCTACTACTTTTTCCCCCTCTTCTAAAAATAGATAGCTGCTTCACTAACGTGCTGTGTAACAAAGAGGCTGCCTGGCTCTCCATCCCATTTATTTCCTATTATTCAAGTTGGCTAGGACGGTAGAGTTAGCTCCTGCCTCCCCAAGGAATTGTGGCCAGCCAGCAAGACACAGAGAATGTAGATTCCCTGTTAGGAAAAGCTTGGAGGGATCATCTTAGCTCAGCTTAACTAAGGGAATGCGGACAAGGAGGCAGGGGTTCTCCTACTCTCTCCCCAGTGCAGCAATGGTTTAGCAAAACCTTCACTAAGACAGAATATACTGCAAGGCCATTCTGACCTATCTCAATTGCCCTTAGTCACATCTCTGCTAGCTCCCCCTCCCCTCTCCCTAACAGATCAGAATCAGACTGATAACAAGATTGTGGGTTGGGAAGAGAACAGGGAGTTAAAGTTCAGGCTGCAGCTGGAGTTCTAGTAATTCAGCCTTGGGAGAGAGAACTGAAGCTGAGTCAAAATGCCTAGGGCCTAGGCATTGCACTCCTGACATTAACAGGACTGTAGGAAGCATCCCATGTGGCCTTTTCATTTTCTGCTTCATTTCTGAGCTGGGATGAGCACAGGCAGACAGCCCTTGTTTCAGATAGAGGTCATGCCACTGAGCATGCTCCTTGAGGGCAGGGATGTGGCTGTGCTTTTTGAGACACCTCTGTCTAGCATCATGCTTGGCTCTCTGATCTAGGCCATTTTGGTGATCTATTTATTCATGATTTCATTATTACACCTGTTTTCTTAATGAGCCATATACACATGGGGTTTCACTGGCAGCTTTACTTGGTTTTGAGAATTTAAAACCTAACTCTTGGTTACTAAATATCAAATAAGAATGCTGATTAGAAAGGCAGCCTGATATGCTAAGAGAAAGCACTGAGCGTGAAGTCAGAAGACCTGAGTTTTAATGTTTCTGAACAGGTGAAAGAAAATGAACACACAGAGAAGACAGAAAGAGAGGTATTTGCTATTTGGTGCATCAAATACACCAAAATGTTAATGATGTATATGTCTGTAGAGTAGGATTATTGGTGATCTTTTTCTTCTTAATCATTTTCTTTTTTTTTTTTTTTTTGAGACGGAGACTCGTTCTTTCACCCAGGTTGGACTGCAGTGGCGCTATCTCGGCTCACTGCAAGCTCTGCCTCCAAGGTTCATGCCATTCTCCTGCCTCAGCCTCCCGAGTAACTGGGACAACAGGCACCCGCCACTGCGCCCGGCTAAATTTTTTTTTTTTTGTATTTTTAGTAGAAACGGGGTTTCACCGTGTTAGCCAGGATGGTCTCGATCTCCTGACCTCATGATCCGCCCACCTTGGCTCCCAAAGTGCTGGGATTACAGGCGTGAGCCACCGTGCCTGGCCATCATTTTCTTTTTTTTTTTTTTCAATTTTATCTAATGAGCATGTAAAATCAGAATATTGACATTATACAAGAGATCAAGTTAGAATCTCATTTTTGTCATCTATTACTTCTGTCACTTTGAAGCCAGGTACAGTCCCTTTTGAGGGTCCTTAGTTTTCCCATCTGTAAAAGGAGAGGCAGGGATAAGGAAGATCCTTCAGTTCTAACATTCTGTGCTGCTAATGAAGTTTTTAAAAATTATATTAGTTAAAAAAACACACAATTTAAAGAGCTGAGACATTACTACTTCTTCAAGTCACCATTACCAGAGTTGCCATGTGCTGCGGGCGCTAATCCTTTCAGCAGGGTTCTGACTGCCAGTCTGAGAGCTCACAGGTATTGCTATTATTCTGAATTCATTTGTGAGTCACAGTCAGCCTGATACTGGATGTTGAAATGTCTTTGTTGCCAAAGGGTGGGATTAACAACAAACTATTCCTAACATCTGCCTTCAGCTGAAGCAATGTCTTTATTTCAAATTCTGCCTTAGAGTGTCCATCAGACATACACAGAACATAGTACATCAATTATCTCCTTGAATCACACTATGAAATGGAAACAAGTATTATTATCCCCATTTTATGAATGCTGAAACTGAGGCTCAGAGAAACACAGCAATGTACCAGAATTTGAACCTAAGGCTGCTTAGACATGCTAAATGTGCATAGCTAGGTTTGCTGGGGGTTACTGAGCTTCTAGTTGTCTTTATGTGGTTTTCCTCTGTGACTTAGGGACAGGAAATCTTATAGCCAAAAGGATTTTGCTATTGTGCTGTTTTCCTGTTTCCCGGGGATGGAGATAATGATCAGCACTACAAAAGCCTCTACCATTGCTCTCACCCGGAGTGGGAGACTTGAGGGTAGATGT
Source organism: Homo sapiens (assembly GCF_000001405.40). Classification (NCBI taxonomy): domain Eukaryota; kingdom Metazoa; phylum Chordata; class Mammalia; order Primates; family Hominidae; genus Homo; species Homo sapiens. The sequence continues at coordinate 138,909,284 of NC_000023.11, forward strand.
AGAAGCCGACAGAGTACCCAAATGGAGCAGGTGGTAATTATGCCACGATCTCGGCTCCTTCCATGTGAGAATGTCCCAAAACCCAGAGAGAGGTAAATGTGGCAGCAGACCCAATGGAAAGCTCCTGGATGTGAGACTAAATGACACACCCATGGAGCCTTCTCAATTTGGTTTTATGGTCTCAGTTCAATTAGACCTGAAGTAGAGCCCATTCATGCTTTAAGATTAAGAGAGGTAACATTGGCTTCTGATTGGCATGGCCACCCTATGGAAGGGTATTGTTTCCCAACTTTGTGCTAGCATGACATTTTTATCACAAGGGCCAATAGCAGGGCTAATGCATGCAGGCACAGTGAGTGTGGTCAAAGAGCAGCGGGATTACTAATTAGTGTGTACAACTCTGCAACTTACAGTTAGGTGATGTTGGACAAATCCTGTAAGTTCTTTAAACTCCATTTCTGCATCCATAAAAGGGAGATAATAAATCCATTTCACAGCATGTTTATGAGGATTAAACTAGGACATTTTTCCAAAGTGAGAGAAAAACATTATCTGAATATGTTAGCAGGCATTTGGTGGGTATATATGTGAATTGGCATGCACATGAGCAGGAGTGTGCCATAATCTAATGAGTCTGGGAAACACAGGAGCAAAAAAAAATTAAGTTAGTGTATCATAGCTCTTATATCACAAACTTCCCATTCCATCATGGAGTCCAGAGGCTGCTCAAAAGCCCCAGAGACAGTTCAAAGAAAAGCCAGAGAGTCAGGATGGCCTGAAGAAGTTAATCTAGCCCACCAGCTTGTTTAGAGTATAAAGAGACAAGATCAAGCTATGTACCACAGGTCTTCCTGCATTTGGCTAAAGGACATAAGGACATCATGTTAGGAGTCTTCAAGGTTAAGGAGTCCACCTCAAGCTCAAGAAATACTCACACTGGCCCCAGACTGGTGCCCAATACCCTCCGTCATGATCAGGTTGGTCATTTTTGATCACAAAGAGCAACCCATAAGATTGGCAAGATGTGCCATATGAAAAGACCAAGTTACAAGAAGACATTAGTTTAGCCTAGAGGTGACATTGGTACCTTGGTACTGTTGTGGTCAAATTCCCAAGCAGATAGGGCAAAACCAGCAAGATTAGAAAGTTCAAAGTAGAGGCCAAAGCATAGGAAGATGGCAGCATCAACTTAAAGAAGTCCCAAATGAATCTAATGTCAACAAAGGAAGCCACTGCAAGTTCTGAAAGGCTGGTCTTTCTGCTAGATCAGAAATATTTAAGGGAACATTCCAATCTTGGCTAGAGCCAAGCAAAAAGCTGAGATTTGAAGGAGACAGAGTATGCTATAAAACAGCAAGAGAAATATACTTTGGCTCTATGGAAACCCAGGTGAGCATCTACCATCCCTCCTTGAAACATGGTCTCTACACACAGGACCCAGGTAATTAATTTATTGAAAATTTATAATATACCAACTGTATCAGCTACATGACAGACATTATATTTAATGATTAAATAATGTGCCTAGGAAAACATTAATAGCAAGAACCAGGATTGAAATCCAGGCTGATCTGATTTCCAAAGCCCAGGCTTTTTCATTTATACTGTGAGGTAAGCAGGTTGTTTGGCTTTCCTAAACCTATTGGCCTCTATGTCAGTATCCCAGTGCAGGATACTTACCAGTGTCCTACAATTTGGTCCCATGCCTATTCATTCACTCCCACAGCTCAAAGGCCCCAGCACTAAGGATTTTTTTCAAGCAAAGGAGGTGCTGGGATGCTGGGATAACTAACATATCCTCAGGTGACTAAATAGTAAAATGAACCCCAACTTATGTCAATAAAGGAGCAATTATCTCATTTCCAGGGAAATCTGAAAGTCTTGCAGTAGATTTTGAAGACAATTTCATACATACTTTGCCTGAGCGCACCTCCAGGCCATTGTTCCAGCTTTTTTCTGTAGTGAGAATGCCTGTGTCTGGTCAAATCCTGTGTGTTTTTCAAAGTCTATCTCATCATGTCCTTTGCAGGGACATGGATGGAGCTGGAGGCCATCATCCCTAGCAAACTAATGCAGGAACAGAAAACTAAATACCACATGTTCTCACTTATAAGTGGGAGCTAAACGATGAGGACACATGGACACACAGAGGGGGGCAACACACACTGGGGCCTACCAGAGAGTGGTGGGGGGAGGCAGGGAGAAGATTAGGAAAAATAATTAATGGATACTAGGCTTAATACCTGAGTGATGAAATAATACGTACAACAAACTCCCACAACACAAGTTTACCTATATAACAAACCTGCACATGTACCCCTGAAATTAAAATAAAAGTTAAAAAAAAACAGTCTATCTCAAATCTAATTTCCCACTTGGAAGTATTTGCTCGTTCTCCCAACATGCAAGGGCCTTCACTGCTCTGAATCTCCATGGCAAATATTTTATCTTGTATCACAGGCAGCTAATAATTTACCTTTACCCAAAACTTTGCAACCATCTGTAAACTTGTCAAAGTGGAGACTGCATATTCCTCACATCTATATGTTCCGAAACACCCAGAATAACACCCTGTCTCAGAAGATACTCAGGAATAATTCCTTGACTTAAATGCATATGGAAATGTCCAATACATATCGTAACAGAATAGCTCCTTCCAGCTTCCTGGTTTGAAGTAAAAGGGAGTAACACCCTTGGTCTCTGAGCAAACAGCTTTCCTACTATCTTGGAGACTGGTATTTTTATATATCCCAGAAGTAGCATGGCACATTTTATAAAAATGTTTGGAGTTGAAATAAAAAATACTAAACCAGACAAATTCTGACCTGAAATCCATAATTCCTTTAAAATCCTTCTGTTTAAGATGACAAGCAGAGATTGATTAATCCAAGGTTGATGAATGGATAGCTTCATTCACCCCAATCTGTCTTCCCCTTTATCTACTGAGAATACATGTTTTACCAGTGCTATAATGTTTCCATGGCAATTTACATTTTGAACTTTTCACAATCGTTTTCTGTCGGCATTCAGCATGCTAAAAAAGAGTGGTTAGGTCCACATAGGAAACAGGGAAAGACTCAACCATTGAGATGTTAAAGGTCATCCTTCAAATCAGAGGCAGTGCTGAGAAGAGAACACTGACTTCAGAGACTTGGGCTCTGAAGGCATATTAACAAGCCAGTTGTCCATACAAAGGAAATAAAGAAAAATGCTACTGAATTAGAGTTAGAAACTTCTATAAATATATCACTATTTAATCAACTTAGAGTAAAAGATTGATGGAAGTTGATCAAAATTGGGTGGCCTAACGAGCAGATTAAAGAACACAGATTCCAAGCCCTACCCAAAACCCACTGAATCAATAGCTTGGCAAAACTACCCAGTTATTTGCATTTTAGTAGGCTCCCAAGAGATTCTGTTGGGCAGCTATGATTAACATCATGGATTTATGTAACTGCAAAGATGTAGGATTCGAACTCTCACTCCCAGATTCTGTTCTGCTTTGCCATGAAGTTGCCATTCAAAATGGCAGTGGGGGTTGGGGAATGATGTGGATAGTTTTCAGTCTGCATCCAGGGAAAATGAACCCCTTTAAAGAGTCCTGAACAAGTCTCTGGAAGAGAGCATCCTGACCCTTCCTCTATTTGCACGCAGTGTTTGGCCCTGACATTTCCTCAAAGCCAGGTTTTCACTCTTGTGTTGTCCTGGTATGAAAAGAAAACAAACCCCTAGCAAAGACAGCTCATTTAAACCCAAGATATCATTCCACAGCAATAAACTGTAAACAAAATTTCACTACATCTCAAACCCATTTGTAACCAGACAGCATCATTTTACTTTTAAGGGAAGGACCTTGTTATGATTTTCTTCTCTTGCACCTGGAAAGAAAAAGCATCTACTTTTTTTTTTTTTTTTTTTTTTTTTTGAGATGGAGTCTCACTCTGTTGATCTTGGCTCACTGCAACCTCCGCCTCCCGAGTTCAAGCAATTCTTCTGCCTCAGCCTCCCGAGTAGCTGGGACTACAGGCGTGTGCCACTACACCTGGCTAATTTTTGTATTTTTAGTAGAGACGGGGTTTCACCATACTGGCCAGGCCGGCCTCAAACTCCTGACCTTGTGATCTGCCTGCCTCGGCCTCCCAAAGTGCTGGATTACAGGCGTGAGCCACCGCACCCGGCCACATCTACTATTTAGAAGTCCCAATTGTAGTTGGGTTACTGTTAGACTTGTGAAAACTTGGTGAATTAGATTACTCAGAATCACAGCAATAAACAAGTCAGGAAGGGGAAAGAAAAGAAAAGAGAAGAGAAGAGAAGAAAAAGAGAGAGAGAGGGAGGGAGGGAAGGAGGGATGGAGGAAGGAAGGAAGGAAGGAAGGAAGGAAGGAAGGAAGGAAGGAAGGAAGGAAGGAAGGAAGGAAGGAAAGAAAACTATCAGGGCGAACAAGGAGTATTTTAACATCAATCTTAGAACATAATAATATGACTTGACTGTTTTTTCCAATCCTTATGATTAGAAGAATTTTTTGTTTTGGGTTTCTGGTGCAAAGATAAGACTCCAGGATGAAATAACTTAATAGAAACAACATGTCTCCACCCCAGGATTACATCCAGACCAACCCTCAGGGAAGGCTCTCACTGTTATTCTGTTAGTATTCTTTGTACTGTGCTTGAACCAGGTGAGCTAATGCCTCATTAATGAGGGCAAGGCCACCACTGAGATAATTCCTCCCCTTCCGGGCCTTAAAAATAAAGAAAATGCAAAACATCATGGAAAATTTTCATAAGACTTTGACAAAATCCATTCACTAATTACAAATCAATCATCAGTCTTCTCAGAGATCCTACGCTCAAGGCTCCTACTGAGAGAGCACCTTATCCTCACCTCTTACCACTCCCCTGGACAGCAAGTAGCTCATGGCCAATAAAGTATTGAGATCCAGGCAACAGGATACTAGATGGGATGGTTCCTCCTACTTGTGCCCCCCGAGCTGCCATTGCCTTTCACACAAATACCATTACAATCCTTCTGGCCCCATCCCATTTTCATGAATCCTTCTCCTACCATTATTTTGCAGCTATCCCACACTGTATGTTACTCCAACTTTGTGGTCTCAGCCTGCTCTTTCTGAAACCATTTGCAAAAAGTGAAAGTCTAGCCCTTCATGCTGCCTTCCTTCTCAGATTCCCCAGACAGCAGGGTTGGGGTATTCATGGCATGGGAAACATTCATCTCTGCGTTTTTCTTTAGATTCAATCTGCCTGACAGCACATTGGCAGCTTCCAAAACCACCAATGGTTTCCAAAGGTTTTGTACAGCCAAGACCTCACTAGTTTCGAAGCTTGTGTTGGACTTTTTTTTTTTTTTTTTTGCCTTACAAACAGAAAAATATAAGAAATAAGGAAAAATAATCTTTTTTATTTGTACAAAAAGACCTCCCATGCTTATGTTGGAAAGGCCCTGCTGAGAATTCCTTGCAGAGAAAAGGAAGTAGTAGGAAAACTGCTCCAAGTTTAGTTTAGTTAGTTTTAGTTTATCTTAGAAAATCCACTGGGTTGTTTCAGGTCCCATGACAAATGTATCACCATCTATACTCCACTGGTAACCACTTGGCACTGCCTGCTCCTGTGCACATGGACAATTCTTTATGGCAATTATTTGCAATTTCTGCCTGCCAGAGTGCATTCTCTGGCCCCAGAAGCTTGATCAGCCTGGGCATAGAGTAAGCTAGAGAGTTAGTAATTTCCAGGGAGTTGACATTCCTAGGAGGAGCCCTTAGCCATGACTGATAGCAGTTAGTGAATGGCTACTCCAGTTTTTTCAACTCAGAGGCATGTTCTGCACAATTCCTAGGGTTCCCAGGATGACTGAGCTCCAGTTGCTCATTAATATACTTTATATTGGCTTAAATAAATTCCTTTCTTCCCTGTTTCATTTCCCTACTCCATTACTGGTGCTCTGGAAATCACCTCCCAAAGAAACCACTGGAACTCAGATCCTGTCTCAGGGCCTACTTTAGGAAGAAGCTGACTTAAGACACTTATCCTCATTATCAGATCCAATAAACTTGGAAGAAGAAATTGGACATATTCGATTGAGTTCCTTTCTCATTCTTGCTAACTGCTTGCTTGAAGGAGCATGCATTCTTGTTTGCTTGGCCACCGACCTAATCTATGTTCTACAAGCAGCTTTACCAAAAATTGAGGTGATATTTTCACCTTTATCTACCTCACACTTTCCCTCATTTTTTCAAGACTCAAATGGGGAATGAAGGGGTGTTATTTATTGATCCACTAAAGCTTCAACAGGTATTTGTGTCTTATCAACATCTGTTGTCAGATGGGATCTACAGATGAGTAATCCCAAATCTTCAAGAGTTCAGGCTGACGGGTCCATGGTCTTCTCTTCATCATTGTCACCAATTTTTATACCCCCTCTTCAGAGATGTAAAAATGCTCATTTCTTGAGATATGAACTTTGGAAAACTACTTAAACCTCTCCATTTCCATCACAGAATTTTTGAAGGATTAGATGTGAACTAAAGTGTCTTTAAAAATGCCTGGCTTATAGTATTTATTGAACAAATGGTAGGTAAATTTAAATGGTGAACTCTGTTGGCTTCTCTAAGTTCTTCTGGTCCTAGTACCTTCACTGATCACATTTAATTCTTACCCATTCCATAGCAAATAAATTATATAAATACATCTTTGTTTTGGGTCATTAGAAGCTGCAAGATATGAACAGCAAGCAGCTCTGTAATGTTTGGGTAATTTCTTTTTCAATTGGTCCTGCTGGTGTTGCATAAAGGTGCCTCCAGAGCTTTGGGAGACCTGTTGATCACAGAGCAACATCTGTTCCATAATTCGCAGTGAGTCGATTGCAAGACAGCAGGAGATGACTTGAAAATCTCACTCTCCAAGTCTAGGATAGCAAACTCCTGACATATGGGACACTCTGACAATTCTTAGTGCACAGTGCCCAAAACACTTTTCACAATACTTCTAAATACGGACTCCTGTTATATTTCCACAATTGATTGGAGTTGACAAGTGAAATGAGCTCATTTGCAATCCCTGATCTGTTTAAACTAGATCAAAGAAGAAACAGTCTTCATTTAATGTGGGAAAGCTTACAGGTATGTCTGATTATGATGCAAAGAAAGGGTCTGCATTTTGATAGACCACCATCAGACAGGGACAGCAATGAATCAGAAAAAGGCCAGCTTTCAAGACATCATATTGATTATAAACTCATTATCTATTTCTGATGTTGACAAAGATATCATTCAGTGAAATATTAATATGAAACTGGCAGAGCAAGTTAACTGCTTTATAACAAATTAAATTCTCTAAAAAAAGCTGCTTCGCCTAAGAGACTGATCACATTCTACATGCTATTCAGGTATCACATCAATATTCAACTGAGTACTGATCATATTTCAGTGAGACCAATATGAGCAGAAGCAAATGAAACTTTAGAGACCAAGTTATCCAACCTACTCTTGGTACAGATTAGAACACTGATTTCTACAAAGAAAAAGAAATGTGCCCAAGTTCACATAGTGAGTTAGTGGCACAGTCAAGGTGTCCCGGCTTCTGGACCAAAGCTGTTTTTACTAAATCAGATTATCCCTAAATTACCCAAACAAAACCAAATGGATGGAGGGAGCACGAGTGAAGGGAAAAGAGGGAAAGAGAGGGAACAGCAAGATAGTAGAAGACGTGAAAGTTTTGTTTTAAAGCTGACCCTGACTATAACTATGTAAGTGGGTTCATATAATACTATTAATTATGCAAAAAAAATGAGAAATAAAGAAAAAGAGAGCAGCATTATATTGAATTACTAAGTGGCCTAACACTTAGGAAAATGCACGTTTAGTTTTTGCCTCCTGCACTGTTATGGACTGAATGTCTGTATCCCTCCCAAATTCATATGTTGAAGCCCTAACCTGCAATGTGATGATACTAGGAGCTGAGTCCTTTGAGAGGTAATTAAGGTTAAATGGGTTTGTGAGGAAAAGCCCCTATAATTACTGTTCTCACAAGAAGAGGAAGAGATACCAGACTATCCTCTATTCACCATGTGAAGGTACAGCAAGAAGGTAGCGATCTGCAACCAAGAAGGCAGCCCTCACCAGAACTCAACAATTCTGGCACCCTGACCTTGGACTTTCAGCCTCCAGAAATGTGGGAGATAAATGCCTATTCTTTAATCCACTCAGTCTGTGGTATTTTGTTACAGTAGCCCCAGCTAACTAAGACACCCACACTTCACTTTACTTTTTGAGCAGCAAGTCCCACTCAAGGTATTTTATTTTCCTATCATTTACAATAAATTCTAAATGATAGCTCACTTTTGGACAATTGCTTCAAGTTCACTAAAGATTATCAAAGTGTGTTCTTTATATCTTCTGCTTCCTTGGAGTTATGCTTTATTTTTCCTTTTTTTACTTTTAAGTTGCCTTTGCTATGAACATATTTTGCTACAGGCAACATCTGGGGGTGTGTATTTCAGATCCCACAGGTTACCATGGCATAAAATTAGGCTTTCAGGTCTCTAATTAAAAACAGACTTTTTGCTTCATAATGGCAAAGTCCAGAAGCAGCAGGAATTGACTCGAAAGGAGGTTCTATTTTCCCTCACTTACCATCAGAACAATCTTCCTGAGTTATGATGAATCTGAAAGGAATGTCCATTATTACTTCATCTGACATAAGGAGGTACTAGGAATTTTATAGAGTCTGATCCATCTCCCTTGGAAAGAACATGTGTCTGTGCCTATGATGGGGAGACGAATCATACCAACAGATAGTTTAACCATTTTGGACTAAAACCTTTCCAAAACAATTGACACAATTCTCTGCTTCTTTAAACAGAAGACAAAAAAAAAAATAGGATTTCCTGTTTTCTTGTGCTTCAGTATTATTTTAATGCAGCTCTTGGCTTTTGACACTGAGCCTTGTTATTCGTACATACTCTGGGAATTGGACTTTGGTTTTCCTTCACTCTGTCATGATTAAACAACCCCTTTTATTACCAAGGTCTTCACTGCCTTGAGCACAAATCCCCCACACTGCATCCTGTGGCCCCCAGACCCTTATTCACTGTTCTAAGCAGGTCAGACTACAGAGCTCTGGCCAGTCCTGCTTCTCTCATGAGGAATGGACCCATGGACTATAAGGGAATTTGCCTTTGAACTAAGCACACTAAGGCTGCTTTGCTCTGTGAGGTCTTAGGTCTGCTTATTTTGAATGCATCTCTTTCATCCCCACATTTGATAAAGGGTCACTGATCACTTACTATCCATCAGACACTGCACTGAGGGATACAACTATTAAACAAGTCACAGTCTCTTCTCTCATGCAATCTACAGTTGGTTGGGGGACACAGGTGAGTAAACATACAGCTACACTGCAGTGTGAGAAGTACAATAAGGAGGGTAGCACAAGATGATGATTAAACATAAAGCAGGAGCTCAAAACAAGTCTTGAGGAATGTAATGAAAGGCTTCGCAGAGGAGTTAATATTTGAGCACTGAAGGATGACCAAAAGTAGATGACCAACTGGAAGAAAGTAGAATTAATTGAGATGGCCTGAAAAATCATCATTTGTTGCCATCAGAGTATCTGTCTGTAGAATTTCCCTTATGCCTTCCAGTGTAATTCTAACTTATGAGGTGCTTCCAAATTAGATCAGCAGAAGTATTAATACTGTGTATCAATTAAGAGCAAAGAGGCTGTTTGGTCCCTAGGGGCTTACCTATGGAAAAAAATGCAAAGGAATTTATTATGTAAGATCACAAAAACCACAAACCATAAAGGAAATGACTGATAAACATTGCTACATTAAAATTTAAAATGTATGCATGAAAAAATACACCACGTACAAACTAACAGGTCACAGACAGGACAACATTTGTGGTATATTTAACGAGGATTAGTGCTAATAATTTAAAAAAGAACTCTAACAAATCAGCAAGAAAGAGGCCAAAAATCTCATTAGAAAAAGACGGGCAAATTATATAAATGGAAATTTCAAGGAAGAGAAAGCTCTAATGACTTTATCACATATAATCTCGAAAGTGTAAATTAATAAGAGGAAGATGGTACAAAAACTCAGAAAAATAGTTTGGCAGTGCCTTTCAAAACTAAATATGAACTTATCATACGACTCAACAACTGCACTCTTGGGCATTTATCCTAGAAAAATAAATAAATTTTGTAAATTGTAAATTATTCAAACGTCTTTCAATGGGTAAACCGACACAACTGCATGCAACAACTTGGATACATCTGAAGGAAATTGTTGCTGAGTTAAAAAGGTCAATTTCAAAAGGTTACATACTATATAATTTCTTTTATCTAGTACTTGTGAAATAATAATTGTAGATATGTAGGACAACTTAGTTGCCAGGGATTAGGGAGAAGAGAGAGGAGATGAATATGGCTGTAAAGGAGTAGCACAGAACAGTCTTCTGTATAGTGGAGTATGTTAACTGTCACGGTGGTTACATGAGACAACACATATGATAAAATTACATAAAACAACACACAGAAAAACACAAAGGGGCTCATGTTTAACTGGTGAAATCTGGGAAAGCTCTAAAGATTTTACCAATGGTTTTGATATTGTACTATAATTATGTTATATGCTAATACTGGAGGAGGCTGGGGAATGTTGTATAGGACTTTTCTGTGTATTTGTTTGCAATCTTCTGTGAATTTATAGTTATTTCAAAATAAAAATTTTTTAAAAATTAAGAAGAGGGGAGAGTAGATTTGAGGCAAAGTAGGCCAAATGACATTTGTTTATCTTGTCAGCAGGCAAGTGAGAGTAGGTAATATTTCTGCACCAACACTGTATGTTTAAATTATTTTGTGATCATAGTTAAATAATAATAGTAATAGAAAAAACAGGTTTGAAGTCAAGCATAACTCATTTAAATCATATGACTGTCACTAATTAGCTATATGATCATGGGACTGTCAATCTCTCAGAGTATCTATTTCCTCTTTTATGAAGTCAGCATAAAAATCCCTGTTTTTAGAGAGTTTTTTTCGTAAGATTGATTAAAATAATGAACATAACTCACCTGGCATATACTATGAATGGAATAATGACTGGTATGAATTTATGATAATGATGATGATAAAGGTTGTTCCTTCCTATACAGCATCAGCTGAAATTAATTTGACATGGTCCCACAAGACAAGCTGAAGATTATTCAAGTTAACCTATGGAGGCTTTTTCTTAAATGAGAACAAGTCTACCTTTGGTGGTTTTCTTCACTTTAGCAACATCAAATCATATCATCCTTTAGATAATTTCATATAATACCATGAAATGCTATCACACAGAAGGTAAATGGGGATAACTGATGTGCTATCAACTCTGCCACAGAGTTGTATTACTAGTGTTCAATGTTGTAATGATAGAGAAAGGACTGGACGAGCGAGGTGAGAGTAACTGCTGGGAAATATGGTCCAAGTGCTCCTGGTCTTCTCTACTGTCTACCTTATCTCTGTAGATAAAGGTTTCAACAGTTCTTGGCAAGTCTCTATGAACTCGGCCAACTATGCACAAAAGAACTGGTATCAATTTTAATGTAGTTAATATATTATGTAAGCAGTTTAGCCTAGTTCTCTTAAGAGCATGGATTTTAGGTTTAGCTGACCACTAGCTCTGCCACTTACTTCATGTATACCCTCAGACAAATTACATGGCCTCTCTAAGCCTTTACTTTCTTATCTATAAAAATACAAATGATAAAACCTACTTCAGAGGGCCATTATCAGCATTAAATAAAATAATCTATGTAAAAGTCTCAGTCTGGTGCCAGGTACATAGTTAGCACTCAAAAATTAGCTAATATTTACCTACCAAACCACTAAGTATTACTTACATCAAAAGCAATCTCTACTGAGCATGACATTTTTTTCACAAAAGTTCCTAGAGGGAATTAAGAGGTCATAGAAAACGAATTGGGTTAGAACATTCATGCACTCATCACTACCACCATGCAGAAGTTGTGCAATGTGAACTCCAAAGTGTGTAAAGGCTTCATTTCACTGTGTGAATTCAGGTGGTAAATACTACGGATATTTTTCAGGTTATTTGCATATTTATTATTTCTTTTAATAGTATTAATTCTTACTCCAATGTAGCCCTGACCGTGTTACTGACAATGTTGATTGAATAGGTATTATAAGAAATGCTACCAAGTTCCTTAGTGTGAGTCCTACATGTACCCTTTCCTGTCACTATTACTTCCAACTTTCGTGGTATTTCTGACTTCCAGCTGTAAAGAGCCCATGAAACTATGGTTTCTCTACTTGTCCTTTTTGCCTCAGCCTAAGAAACATATCTTGTGATTTACAAGAAGACAGTCAATATTATGGGGCAGCTTGATTGCTATCCTGCACAGAGGCGTGAGAACAGACTTGACTGCATTTCAAGGACCTTTGAATCTAACCTTGTAATTCTACTTGTTGTGATGTATTTTTTTCCACAAGAGATATCTGAGTGTGTGATACACTAGTTCTGCACTGTGCTAGGCACTGCAGGGAGATCCAAAAATTATGAGGTAGAACCCATGCTTCAGAAAAGATGAAAATTAACTGAGGAGACAGAACTCGCAAACATAAAACAATCAGAAGAATAGGCTAATCATGTTCTCCTTATGGAACTCAAAAAAAAAAAAAAAAACAACAAAACAACAACAACAAAAAAAACGACCTCTCTATCATTGTTTTTCATCTTAAGTCTGTAGCTTAAGGTGTCAATAGCTGATTTTGCTACTGGCTATGCTCCAAATAAATCTCTCTAAGAAATGACTTCCCATTTCTGAAAATGTTTCCACTGCCATATTTTCTCACACAAAAAAAATGAAACTAAATTGGGGATTTCTAACTAATATCCTGAGTGTAAGCAATGTTTTTTCTCAAAATAACATGTCCATTATCCAGATACCACACTGGCTTTCAATGGCAGAATTTGAATGTCTTCATAAATTTTCCTATTCTATAGCACAAGGCTTATATCCGAAATCAAAATGGCCCCAAGGGTGCCAATCACACTCATGGGGAAAGGTATGGTGAGTTATGTCAAGGTGGCCTGCATAGGGCTCTGCACGCCTCAATCTGTGGGGAGTCTCTCTCTACATTGACCTACTGGATGAGCTTATCCATTTCCATAGCTTTAGTCATCATCTTTAGGGGGGTGATCTAAAAATGTCCATCTTCAGGACTTAATTTGCTGCTCAGCTCTAGGCCTGCCTTCCAATTGTCCACTAGACATCATCTTCCCAAACTAGAGTTCCTCAAGAATTCCCACTTCTATCAAGAACACCACAATATTTCCAGTTGACTTCATAGACATATACTTGATTCCTGTCCTTCTCTATTTCTTCACCTCTAATCTGTCACCAAGCCCTGATGGTTTTGCTTTTAAATATCTGTATTTGCCTATTCCTCATTTCCACTGTCACTTTCGTAGTTCATGGTAGAATTTCACTTAACCCATGGTACTAGAAACATTTCTTTGTAAGATGCCCCGCTTCATCTCTAGCCTGCATCCATTCATTCTCCTTACAAAAAGCAGTCTACTTTCAACACCATAAATCCACATCAAACAGTCCATATATATTTGTTGAAATGAGATGAATTAAATTGCATTACAAAATATTCCTATATGACAGACAGTTTCCTTATTTGGAACATGTGCATATTAATGATTTAGGGATGCTATGAATGCTAGAGAATAAACACGATTTCAAGGTATTTTGCAAGCATAATGTCCCAGGACTTTGAAATAAAAATACATTTCTATCTACTATATTCACATTCTATGAAACCATCAGAATTTTTGCAGTATGATGTGCTTCATAATACCAGCTTATTAACATTGTGTGTTCATATCTATGGTGCTGCCTTTTGGAAACTGAGCAAAATTCTCAGAGTAAGGTACTCACAGTGAGATGGGTCATACTACTGGCCCATCTAGGGCAATAAGGAGGCAATCACTAAATTAAGCTCTGATGAATGTGAGAGGTTAACTTATTTCTCCAACCTAATCCATTTATTTTCAGCTCCACTAACTTACTAAAGGATCAAACGGAATATATTTAACTATATGATCAAAATATAAGGATGATTCACTGACTTTTCTAGGTTGGTAGTACAGCAATTGATTTGCTGGTACAACCCTGCAGACACCATCTTGTACAGCTACACTGCGTGAAACAGTGCCAGGCAAGCCACCCTGCATTTTCACTGAATGAATGCAGGCCTTCTTTGCTGCCCTTGTTGCCGCCCATTTGACTCCTGTCCCAAGTCAGACAATCTTGAATTCATGCATTCTCCTGAAAAGTGCACATGGCCCTTGGCTTCTTCTCCATTCCTATATGTCTCCTCCTCTTTCACAAAGATCCAGCCACATGAACCTTCTGTGGAGTTCTTAAACCAACAATCAGCTTCTTCTTTCCTGTCTCTGGGCCTCTGTGCTTGCTGTTTCCTCTACTTAGAATGCTTTTCCTCTAGATAAGCATATGTATGGCTGCTTCTCATCATCCATGTGTTAGCTCAAATGCTTATTCCTTTATTTAAAGGAGCAACCCTTACCACCACATCAGGTGCTCTTCAGCCCATTACCAAGGAAATCTCTCTCTAGTGGCATCATTATTGGTGCATTCCTGAATTGAGTAAGGCAGGAAAGGATAACCATGTTGAAACTTTGATACTAGAATGAATAACTTGTTGCAAATGGAAAGTTCCTTTTGATTTTCATGAAGCTTTATGAGGTACTGAGGAGAGGATGTATTAGTCAGTTTGCTTTTTATTGCAAATGGCAGAAACCCCACTCAAATTAGCTTTAGCAATGATGGGAATTTATTGGCTCACATATGGGATGTCCAAGGGGGTATGTTCACTTCAGGCATGCCAGGATCTTATGGTTTGAACAATATCAGCAGCACTCTGCCTTTTTTCTCCATCTCTCAGCTTTGCTTTTCTCTGTGTTGGCTCTATTGTCAGACAGGTTTTTCCCACAGTTGGAAAAGATGGCCACTAGAAGCACCAGGCTCTGGTCTGGAGACATAACCATGAATAGGAAAGATACAGTTCCTGCTCTCTTAGAGGTATGACTTGAGGAATGATGAGCTGTCTGGACATCTACCTCTTGTGACATGATACAGGAGTAAAATGGACAATAATGAAGGCAGCAAGGACATATAGATATGCAAATAATGAAATAAATAAGGTAATTTTAGATGGTGACAACCACTATTTAATATGCCTTTAGGACGTCTTGGTCACAGCTTCCCATATACTTCAATTCTAGCCAGTCTTTATAGAGCACCTATACTGTGCTTCCCTGTGTCAAGGGGTTGGGGTGCAGAATTGAGTAACTGAGTCCATAACCCTGAATGACATACAGTAGTATGCTATGCTCACTCAACTGCCACACAGTAAGCAGAATAGGAAGGAAACCGTAAGGGACATCCTAACCAAGGGACCACCCTAGTAGGTGAACTCCCAGGTGTTTGAGGTAGGGGGAAAGTTAAAAAAAAAAAAAAAAACCTGGTAAAATATTCTATGTATGAAGTGGTGAAGGGCAGAATTAAAGTCCTGGTAGTGGTAATTGAGAAGTGATCAGCCATCAATATATCAATATGCCTGGGTGAATGATGGTTTCCTGAGAGCTACAATGAATTCAAGTAGCAGCAGGTCTCAATGAAAACAGCAGGGCAGAGAGTGATAAGCTTGCTTTGAGACATGTTAGTTTGAAGAATATGTGGAAAGCAGTGATCAATATCATTTCTGTTCCCATTTGTTGAGGGACTTTATGTGCCAAGAAGTATGCTTCATATACATTGCTCCACTTAATTACACATCTATTGTCTCTCGGCAAAGCAGATGTTGGTAGCCCCACTTTTTACTTTTGGGACACTTGAAACTCTGAAAAGTTATGATACTCATGCAAGGTCACACAGCAAGTTACGCCACAGCCAACATTTGACCCCCTACCACTGTCTGACACTTTCTGCCTTACCACCCTGTGTTATCACAATGATACCTTCAAAATCGGCAACCAAAAAGATCTTACTGGCTTACCTTCCCATTAAAATCATTTCCAGTTGAAGAAAGAAGGGGATGACTCAACCCCAACAGGAAGGTTGATTTATTTTGGAAGACTTTTCACAAGACTCTTTACGGAGCTCTCTGACAGTGCTAATTTTAACCAAGTCATTGTGAAGCAACCTTGGATTCCTCTATGCAAGGCAAAGTACAAACACAAGCGTATGACTCAGCACAAAGCAGCTGTGGCTCTCCCTCCACTCCATTACCCACACCCCAAAAGGGATGAGTAACAGGTTCACTAATAAATTCAAAACTTTTTCAGAAAGCCCATCCACATCCCCCACTGCTCCAAGTTTTTAATACTGAGGCTTCAGCATCACTTCCCCAAAAGTCTACCCTGGTGAATATTCTTCCCATAATTCCCTCTTGCTCTGGTGTTGAAGGCAGAATGAGCTTCGTTGTGGGACATGTCCTACAATTGGTAAATGTTAGTATGCATCTGCTTTCTGACACCACTGATCAAAGGGAAAAGAGGGCATGGAAGAGCTCAGATGTAGTAAGAACAGCAACAGCAATGGTCATGGAAATCTGGTCTCGATTTTTGGATGAGGGCCTTTGCATAAAGAGCTCTGAGATGCTTCCCTACCTTACTGTTATTGTGAGAGAGCTGCCCAGGACCCTCTAAACTCAAAGTCTCCCCATGATTTTCTCCTATCTCTCTTGTTGATCTCACTCTCCACTGCCAAGAAATGGAGGTGAGTGGTTCCTCAGACTTTGATCTGGAGTCCACAGCCAACAGCTCAGCAGGTGAGGGGAGTTCTCCCTTGCTCTTCTGAAAAATCTGAAGATCCTCTTTAATGTTGCCTGCCAAGCACATGATGAGTTATTCATTCCACAAAAATATAATAATGCACTACTGTGTTTAAGACACTCCTTTAGGGTTCAGTGACACAGCATGACCCAAACAAAGATTCTTGCTTTCATGAAGTGGGAGAAAACAGACAGTATGCAATCAGCATAACATATAAGTAAATTATGTAGCATAATTAAAAGTATGGTATAATTTGATGAAAAAAGAAAAATGTGAGCAGAATAAGGAGAACAAGGAGTGCCAGAGTGGGAGGTAGGTTGTGGTATTAAATAGGATGATCAATGTGGGCCTCATTGACATTGTGAGCGATAAGCAAAGACTTGAATGAGATGAAGGATTTGGTCCAATAGACATCTAAGAAAAGCCCATTCCATGTTGAACAAACAACCAGTGCAAAGGCTCTAATGTAGGAGCATGCCTAGTATATTTTTAAAACAAGGGGCTGGGCACGGTGGCTCACACCTGTAATCCCAGCACTTTGGGAGGCCGAGGTGGGCACATCCCTTGAGATCAGGAGTTCAAGACCAACCTGGCCAACGTGGCAAAACCCCACTTCTACTGAAAATACAAAAATTAGTAGGGTGTGGTGTGGCGGGCTCCTGTAATCCCAGCTACTTGGGAGGCTGAGGCAGAAAGAATTGCTTGAATCCGGGAGGCAGAGGTTGTAGTGAGCTGAGATCACGCCACTGCACTCCAGCCTGGGCGACAAAGCAAGACTCAGTCTCAAGAAAGAAAAACAAAAACAAAAATACAACAACTAAGCCTATATGGCCAGAGCAGAGTAAGTGAGTCTTATTCAGTCACCTCTTAGAAAGCCAAGATGATTTATTTAGGGCCAGAGTACAAACCTTGCACCAACCGACCTAACGCATTTGAACAAACCACCCAAATGAAAGCTCTAGTACTATCTTCATAGCTCCATCGTCACTACAGAAACAGGCCAAATTCAAAAACAATGTGTTAAATGGATGAATGAAAGAATGAATAAATGAATGTAGAACTGTAACTTTTATTGTTACAACCTAATCTCCCTGCACAGTTCACACTTAGTCGGAGGCCCATCCAACTGTGCTCCATAGACCCATCCATAGACCCATCCAACTGGGCTCTAGGGTTCAACCCACTGGTTTTTACATTGAAACAATCCATGATCTACTCTGCAGTCACCTATGCTGTGCTCCATGAAATAGACCACACTTCATTTTTAACAAGTTTCTCTCCTTGGCCCCATTTGCTTATTTGAAGTTTCAATGCATTTAACAGTATCATTGTTCACTGGCCCTTCGCTTCTCAATCCCACCTCTCTACTGCATCCTCCTACACAAGCTTAAACTAATTTCTTCTTGAATTCCCCACAGACTTAGAACAAAAAAACATGTCTTCGTAATAGATCTTACCACCTTCTCCTTTGACTATGATTTATTTAACAAACTTGCATAGTGTGCCTGATATGTGCTGAACACCATTAAAGGAGAAAATGCCATGGTCTTTACCATGGAGAAGCGTTCCACCTACCAAGCTGATATAAACTACAAGCCATGCTATTACTTAGTACCAGCAAGGATGAGGTAGTCAGCCGCTACCATAGACTGGGGGTCTATATAAATTGGAACTATATAACAAGACCTTAAAATTTCACATCATTTTCCCTAATAATTTCAAGCCTTGAAAGCTGGACTAAAGAAATAAAGATGTGATCAAATATTTACATATAAAGCTATTTATCGGAATAATTATTTAGGACAATTAAATTCCCCTAAATTAGTAAATATTAAAATATATTACAGTAAAACTATATAGCTACCAGGAATATTTAATGACATGGAGAAATGTTCACTAAGACAAAATGGATACAAAACTGTATGTATAGTATTGTAATCATTTTATTTTGTATAACATACATGCATAAAACATTGAAAAAGAATACAATAAAATACCAATTTGATCTTCTTTGGATGTTTAGGGTTACATGTACTTTGTAATATGCCAAATTTGTGTGCTTTCCTGAATCCTCCAGACTGAGCAAATATTTTAATTTATATATTAAATTTTAATAAATACATAATTTATAAATTTTAAAATTAAATAATTTAAATATTTTAAAGTAAGCAATAGGCATTACACAAAAATATATATCTTATTTTTGGAAATTTTCTCCAAGAAAAAGGGCATGTATATTCTATATGTGTATTGCATTATATCTAGAGAGGTGAGAGTTAGAGATTTTTGAATCTTTTCCATTTCGGCCTTTGAGGGACACACTCCTCTTGCAGGAAGATGTTATCGCGGTGCTCTCAGAAAGAAAAAGACCCCACCCAGGGGTGCCCTCACATCCCAGGAATCTCCCAATCCCCAGAGGGCAGCATAATCCCTACAGCAAAAGAGTAATAAACAAAGTTCCTCTCAGAAAGGAATCTGCAGGAGCCTCAAACCAAATAACTATAGGCTGGGAAACAATCTTAGAAAATGCTCACTCCAGTCCCACACCTCCTCACTGATGACAAGAATTTTGTCTACAGTTTCTCTGCAACTTAGCCAGTCAGAATGTGCCTCAATATCAATGAGACATGAAGACTTCCCTTTTCCACACTTAAAATGACGTCCTAAAATATAGACCCACCATATCTTTCCAGTTTTCATTCTCACCATGCCCCTCCATGGAAAGCCTGGTTTTCAGTGATACAAGTCTCACTACTGTTTACCAAACACATGTGTTCAGGTCAGATATTAAGCCCCTGCTTGGGATTTGCTCTTTCTCTCAACAATGACTGACTGTACTTGAAATGACAATCATTTATTTCTCTTGTTCTCTTCTCAAAGTCATACAACTTGCCCAAATAGGCATCACTGATTGGATAAGAATGGACAACTGACCAAAGCTGGGTGACTTTGGCATCAGGACACAGGAATTCAAGTCAATCTCTGTTGGATCCTCAAACTAGGAAGTAGTTTTAAAGTGGAAGCTGATGTGACTACAAGTGTGTGAAAGCAGAAGAGGAAAACTCTGTGTGTGTGTGTGTGTGTGTGTGTGTGTGTCTCTCTGTGTGTGTGTGTTTAGTGTGGAGAAGAGATAAGCTTGAAGTGGTCTTTGAAGCAGCAACAAAAGTTTATATGACCCAAGATGATGAAACAAGTAATCTTGGGTTCTCAAACTTTCAGTTGTTGAATCCTACCACAAGATCTAGGGGCAGGCTGTAATCATGGACTCTTCCAATATAATCTCCTTTTTTTATTTGAGCAGTTCAAATGGGTTCTCAACTTACTTACAGAAATTTGCACATAAGTTAGCCAGTAAAAAAGAATGAAAATAATTGTGTTCATACTAAAAAGCTCCATTAAAGGCCAGATGATGCCTGGCTCATTCCTCACTCTGTCCCTAGCACTTAGCAAATAAGAGGCCCTCAACAACTATTTGCCTCACTTTGACAGCATCCTGAATCCCTGTCCCTTGTGCCTAAAATATACCCCCATTTCTACTTAGTCCAGTTCAAACTCCTCTATTTTTTCCACAGCTCCTTTGTTGGCTGCATGAGTCCACAGATAAGACATCCTTTCCCTGTATTACTCTAGAGCAACTGCAGTCCACAGCATTCACCCTGGTCCATTGTTGTGAACTGCCTTAGCTGTGTGTGTGTGTGTGTGTGTGTGTGTGTGTGTGTGTGTGTGTGTGTGCTTGATATCAAAAGATTATAAAATCTTGGAAGGAAGGGGCCACCCTTTCTCCCACTTCTCAGTATATTTCTAGTACTATCTTTGCCAGAGAAGACATTTAATAAAGATTTGCCTAAAAAGCGCAGCATGCATTCAAAATTTACTTTTTCAAAAGTCCTCAAGTCAGTCTGGCAGGAAACTGATAATTTTTAAAACCATGGACTCAAGCCAGCAGGGTATTGGTTGCCTAGCAGCAAGTGGCCTGAAAGAGTTAACAAGCCTCAAGTCTGAAAAAAATATATAACTTGTTCACATTGAGGCCAACATATTTGTTAAATTCCTAGCAAAACATGCACTGTGCTAGGGTGTCTGATTTCTTTCCACTGTGTTTATACTGTAATAAAGTAATGATTCTATTTGAAAGCTGACTGAATTCAATTAATAACTGCTGTGTTCATTTATTTAGTAAAAGCAAAGTTTAGATTGTAAGGTTTTATTTATTTTAATGTTCACATAAACAAGGCAGATAGCAAAATGCATACAGAATGGAAAATATGATCCGGTGCTTTCTGGATGGGCCAACTTTCCCCTTCAAAACAGACTCCAAATCCGGAGAAATCGCAAAAATGAAGATGTATGAACAAAAACCTAGGAGAACAGATCTGAAAGTCTTTTAATCTCTTCTATTTAAAGTCAAAAATAGTCATTTGTTCAGTGTCATTTCTCATCATGAATCTAAGACCCTATGCTGTAAAACTCTACCCGTTTTCACTTGCTGTATCACCGTCCCCATGCAGTTATATGGCGGCTTAGTAGAGATGGTAACAAATAAGCCCAGCTGCTTCTGTACTGCAGCTGTTTACCAAAAGTGCATCACAGGGGACACACACAGTTCAAACCACAACTTGACCAAATGGATTTATAATTGAAGTTGAAAAGTCAAGAGCTGTAGAGACACCCCAAACCTCCCTTGGCTGCTATGGGCTGAAGCACTTGATGTATCCCTAGCAACTTGGGTCACTGAGGTACACACGTATCCTACATTTACTAATTGATTGTCTGTAGGAAATGAAAAATGAACAGAAAGGATGGAAGAAATGAGCAGGAATACAGCTCTGAAATCAATTCTCTTCTGAAGTCTATTTCTTATGAATTATAATACATTAAAAAGGATTTTCTACCATAATCAGAATTCCAATCTTATTTGGCCCTTATGGCCAATCTTTGGGACTACTGACTCTAACTACCCAAAATGTTTAGCAATAGTGACTATGTGCTGTAGGAGATACCAGAATACCTGTGCACTGGATACAGCCCATTTGCAATAGCAGACTTGGTCCTTTACTGAAGTGAATATGACAGAAAAGGGCTGTTTTTTTTTTTTAATAACTGTCAACTTTTCCCTAGGCAGCAGGGCTGTGGGCCCATCTACAGCTAGGGAGTAGAGACTGACAGGGACTCTTCCAGCTACAGATGCTTCTGGGAAACCTTCAAGTGAACACTGTCTAGGATAGTATGAATCCCCTTTGCTTTAGCGCAGATGTTTTTGTGAAACTCCAACCCACCAGGGAGCTGAGAGTCTAAGCAGAATCCTTTTGTCAAGAATCAAAACGATGAACTAACACCTCCAAGCTGAAACAAGAAAATAAACTCATTAAAAATAGAACATGTCACATTATCTAGTTTGGGGGCTGAGTGTTCTTCCAATCCTAAAAACAACTCTCTGTGGCCAAATTGCTCCAGGCCTCCAACATATCCAACATAGCTATATGTGAATAGAGTCATCAGCTTCTGCTGTTCGTATACAAAAGCCTGTGTATTTCTAGTTTTATCCAAGAATATGGAGATGGCAGAATTTATCATTTGCAAAACCTCAAATGTACTGTACTCAGCTGTACCCTAAATACATATGTGTCTACTAAGAAGAGTGTAACAAAGGGTGATTTGCAGCATTCAAATATAGATTTATGTGCTCAGATAAAAACAAATAAGTATATAAATAAGAAAAAATGACCAAAACTCAGTTTGTAACAAATGGGCCCTTTAGCTAGTGTGTTTCCCATGTCCATTCCCCAACAGCTTAGGTGGCTACAGGGAATGAAAAGCCAGCAGCAAACTATCCCCCCACCCCCCATTTTAAAGGTCACTCCTCCATGGAGTTTGCAGCAGTTTGCAGCAGTTCACTCCTGCAATGCATCTTTTTTAAAAAGAGTTGAAGGCCATTTACTGTTCCTGAGATTGGATCCAATGGAGTCGTCACTCCCAGCAACGTCCTTAAAAGCTTAAATATCGCCACGAAGATAAAAGGTGCAGAGTATAAAGCTGGAAGAGCTTAGTACCATTTGCAGCAAAAGAGCCCATTAATCCCATCCTTTTGTACCAGATCACAGTTTACTGAGCCATTAAAACGAAACCCCAGCCGAGTGCAATGGCTCACGCCTGTAATCCCAACACTTTGGGAGGCCGAGGCGGGTGGATCATGAGGTCAGGAGCTTAAGACCAGCCTGCCCAACATGGTGAAAACCCGTGTCTACTAAAAATACAAAAATTAGCCGGGCCTGGTGGCACACGCCTGTAATCCCAGCTACTCTGGAGGCTGAGGTGGCAGAGTCGCTTGAACCCGGCGCGGGAGGGCGGGGGGTGGGGGTGTGCAGAGGTTGCAGTGAGCTGAGATCGCACCATTGCGCTCCAGCTTGGGCGACAGAGACCGGAGAGGGACTCCGTCTCAACCACAACGACAAAAAAAGAAACCCCTTCCCAGAACTAAACTGAAAGATAACCCCAACTGAAAATAGAAAGGGGAAAAACATGTCAGGAGTGTAGTGTGTGTGTGTGTGTGTGTGTGTGTGTGTGTGTGTGTGTCTGTTAACTTTTAAGTTGGTTTGCTTCTTGGTTGTTTTTACATTATAGAACTGTGTCTGCTAGGATCAGTAGCCATCCTGGGCTGTTGTCTGGTCTTTATGGCTAGTGCCCCTGCTCTACAGGCCCTGGCTTATAGAGACACCTATATCTCCTCCAGCCTAGAAGCAATTTGTGTTTCATGGAGGACCAGTGTTAGTTGTCTAACGCTAAATTTTAGGCCCACCTCTGCCACTTAATATGTGAGACCTAGGGCAAGTATAACCAGGAGACTAGCTGTTCTGTCTGTAAAAGAGAGGTCACCGGCTTTCTTTACACCATGCTGCCTTTAGATAAAAATTTCAGAAATATTTTCATCATGTCAATGTCCAGCTCAAAACTTGTACTGGCTCCCCACTGCCTGCAGGACTAAGTTCATGTATTTGTCTTCCCTACCAGTCTGTGAGGTTACTGAGGGCATTGACCATGTCATAGTCATCCTTAGGTTTGCAGAAGCAAACATCTTTGGTTCTATACCTTTCTGACCAAGGGCATACTAATTTTTTAAGAAAACCAAAAATATTTGGAGGAGAACAGCAACAGACTTGTGGAAGATTCCCTAAGATATTTCTTAACATGGACACCCAGTGGCATGACTTGGGGTTAAATATCTGTCTCCTAAGACTCAGGTTCTGTAGTGTAGACTGGGAGCTCAGCCAATCAGATGGAGAGAGAAAAAGTTGTGTCCCCCACTCTAAACACAAACAGTGAGAGGCTGTCAAAGTGCCTTGTTGCTCAGTAAATGTGATGAGGGCAAAGCTAATCTCTAAGTTTCACTTTTGGAAGTCCCAAGGGTAACTAACTTGAGAAGGAGGTCACTCTGGTTGAATAACATTGTGTTTACCTTAAGGCCAAACAGTAAAATGTGTGGCCTTTTAGCATTGGCTTCCGAATTGGTCTTTATGCGAATTGGTCTTTATGCTTCAGGCCCAGCTTTCTCCACACCATGCTGCCTTTAGATAAAAATTCCAGAAATATTTTCATCATGTCAATGTCCAGCTCAAAACTTGTACTGGCTCCCCATTGCCTGCAGGACTAAGTTCACGTATCTGTCTTCCCTACCAGTCTGTGAGGTTACTGAGGGCATTGACCATGTCATAGTCATCTTTCGATTTGCAGAACCAGCCATAGTAACTGTATACATTAAACTGGATTAAGTTATGAACCCAGTATCCTAAGTTGAAAACTACAGATGATTTTAATTTTCTATGTCTTACTAACCAATATTTCAAAATCTTCTATAATCAACAGATACAATTTTACTTTTCTAAATGAAAAAAATAGGTTACTTAGAATTTCGGTGTAACCTCTTTTGCTTTAACTTTCAAGAGCTAAATCCCAGATTCCAGCAATCCACAAAGAACTCTGCAAAGTTCTCTGAGCAAGACTTGGCTGCTGTGGAGGGGCTCCTACACTACTCAGATATGTGGCAAGTAGAGGAACAATTATACCATGAGGCAAAATGTGGCAACAGCTGTAAAAGTGGTCCTAGCAAAATGCCATAGGAGTTCAGTGGAGGAAGCGGACCCATAACCAAGAGGAAGATGAGGATGCCTTCTCCTTAAAAAGCTGATCAAGATAAGGAGGAGGAACATTCTTCCCCATATGATCACATCTAAAAAGTGCTTGGTTTGGCCATTTCATGGGCAAGCAGAAATGACCTGCCATCATGCTAAAAACTGCTTTTCAATCCTGCCTAATAAGTCTGAAGCACAGTAACAATTTGGCATCTTGTCTAACATGTCAGAATATCTTGATGGGAACTTGTATTTTATTTCAAATGTGTGCTGCTCATGGAGGATGGCTCTCTGCTTACAGCTTTGAAAATAAACGAGATGAAATGTGCTGTAGGTTGCAAAACTGCATCTGTGATTTGGTTGCTTAGTAGGTTGGAAATCAAAACATATGCTCTAATGGGAATAAATCGTAGGGGCCCAAGCCAGTCCATCATAAATCCTATTCAATTGATCCTCATCCTCATACAAATGTACCCAGCATTTTGACATTTGACTCAGTCCTTCTGGGAGTTAAGCAAGGCAGTAGTCATTAGCCATATATCCAGGATGTGAAAAGAATCTAAAAGTTTTAAATGTCTGGCCAAAGGTCCCACATCCAGTAAGGAGAGGAGTTTGGAAAAAAAAAAAATACTATGCATATTACTAAACATAATCTAGTGAGAATAGAATTTGTGATAAAATTTTCTCCCTCTTCTCCCCCTGCCCTCAGGAGGGCACCCCAAAGATTTCAGGAGGAGGAAAAGAGTGAAAGGGGAGATGGACACCTCCCTGATTTGGTAAAGATGAGTGGTCCTCCTGTCCTATAGCATCAGAATCGAAGTTTCAGAGTCTTTACTCTTTGCAGGAAACTTTGTTGGGCGGCCCCTTCAATGGGTCAGGGCCTCTGGAAGTCAAGGTCTGCTTGCTCTGTGCTGCAAGTACAAACAAGAACTACAGTCATGTCAAATACTGTGAGAAAGCTGGGACGCTGAGCGTTTGAGGATTGCGGGCCACAGTTTGGGGAAAAAATGAAAAAAAAAATGCTCTTTCACACAGCTTCACACTAGTTTCCTGGAGAGCGGACTGTGATCATGCACCATCCTATTTTGCCCACAGGGCATTTCTCAAATAAGGGCACTCAGTAGCTTAACAACAGAGATGGTACAAGGGAGGATAAATTAGCTTCTCATGACTTGAAAAGAATCAGGTGCCAAGTTCAAGTAATCTCCCCACTTATTACCCTTCTTCCAACTCTGCCAAATCATTAAAGGCTTTGAATGCTCACATTTTGTACAGCCTGAGAGGTGAAAAATAGAGCACACGAGATGATGTGTGCTTTATTTCTTTTATATTTGGACTTTTAAAATTGACATACAGTAAACTTGACTTTTCTTGGTGTATAGTTCTATGAGTTTTAACACATGTGTAGATCTGTGGAACCTCCATTGCAATCAATCACTCCCACAAAGTCCCTCATGCTATACTTTTTAAGTCACACAAACCCTCTTCTATATTCTGACAACCACTGCTTTGTTCTCCATCATTATAGTTGGGTCTTTTCAAGAATGTCGTAAAAATGTGAAAATGGAATCTATGTGGTATGTGTTTTATTTTGATGTGCATGAGGCACACTTACAAGCCCTGCTGCTTCCAAATGCCAGTGGTTAAATGTACAGCCTGGCTGGGCTGTGGGATCAGGAAGTTCTTGTAAAAACTTCATCTCTCCATTGCTTCTTCAGGGTCACTTAGGCATCCTTAGTATCAGAGACAAAGACAAGGCATATTGGGTGATTCCAAGGTCCCAAAGTTGTACTTGAGCAAAGGGGAATTATCTCAAAATTCTTGATAAGGCTCAATCATCTCTTGGGGCGAAGGCCCCACAGTCTACACTGGTTGTGCTCCCACAGACCAAAGAGCCTACAATGTTCTACTGCTTCTTCCTAAACCTCTATCCCTCGGATGCTTCTTTCTCCACAAAAAGAGCTCTCCCTTAGTAATCTTACTGATGGCTGTCAAAACTCCCCCAAGCTTCAGCCCAGACCCAAGCCAACATCAAAAGCACTTTGGATGACTCCGAGAAAATTATTTAACTTCATTGTGACTATCTGGAGAGTAGAAAATAACAAAATATATCAAGTAGAGTAATTGTAAGGATAAAATGAGATAATGCACATGAAGCATTACCTAGACATAGTAAGGGCTCACTAAGCATTAGCTATTGTTATAATAAGTATAACACCAAATGGTAATTACTTGTTAGCATATCAGTTTCTTGCATCAGACTGGGAGCTGAGTTCCTTGACAGCAGGGACCTGATGTCATTCACCTGTGTACCCCAAACATCCATCATAATGGCTGACCAGAATAAGTTCTGGCTAACTCCTGCTCACTCTATAATTCATTAACTCATTCAATAAATACTAATTGAGCACCTATTATGCATTCCTTTCTACGGAAGCACACCTTCTGTGGGAAAATTTCTGTGAAAACTTACATATTGTGGTCTCCAGGGAAAGCATTAATGTTTCCCCATTCTCCCTCATCCCTCCACACTGGGGACCGCAAGGCCACAGTGAGGGGAGCGGTCAGAATGTTATAGGGTAAAGATTATACTTCATTGAGAAAAGGGATTAAAGGTCTGGGCATATGTGGCACAAAAATGAGGATGAGTGTGACTTTGGCTTTTTTCTTTTATATCTGTTTGTGAGAATATCTCCCTGCAGTGCCAGGCCATCTCTCTCAAGTGGTGCTCTTAGATAGCTAGTATGACAAAAGCAGGCCCGGACCCCCTTTCTTCTTGAGAAGAAGTTTCCTCTTTTCTCTCCAGTCCATCTCTACCCCCTCCTTTATAGAGCTTAGTAGAAACCCAGAGAGACTGAGTTTAGACAAAATGAGCCCTTCTGGTCTTACAAGTCAAATTCAGCTCACTAGGGCTAGAGTTACACAGTATGTTGAGAACGAAAGACCCAGAGAGTGTTCCTTTGTGTATATCATGGGGCGAGATGGCAAGGATGTAGCAAATATCAATATTTTCAATACAACTTATAATAACACACACAGAAATACACACAGGCTAGATATGAACCCTCATCTGTACTCATTTCTGCACCCAAATTATCTCTATATGACACTTCCTGCTGCCTTTTGATTGCCTTCTGACTTTAACTAAACCACTAGCTGCATGTAAGCAGGAGCTATGCCCTTGTCCTCATGGTATTTCTAGTGTGTGGCATAGCACCCAGTACATTGGCATTCTCCATTAGCATTTGCTGAATGAATATTTGTATGTAGCTATGTACGTATGACTGCATGAATGTATACACATTTTTCTAGTATCACATGGAATCCTATATCCCAGTACCTGTAACTTCCTAATCCCCAGTCTATACTGCAGCTAGCACTGTGTCTGACACAGTATAGATTATCTTTTAATATTTGTGGAAAGAGTAACTCTAGGTGAACAATTTAGAAACAAAAAATCGAAGGCCAAAAAGAAAAAGAGAAGGCTATTAATCAGTTGACTGCCCTTTAGTATTCTGCTTTAGAGAGAAGATTTAGCACAATACATGTGGCTAAAAGGATTAGGATTGGAGATAGAAATATAGACGTCAACTGCATAAAGATTAAAGCATGGGGAGTAGATAATCTCACTGGAGCAGGATGTAGATGAAGGCAAGAAAGCCCAGAGGCAAATCTTAAGGAAACTACCATTTAGAGAATGGTAAGTGGGAAGAAGCCAATTAAAGAGACTGAGAAGGAGTGGCCATTGAGGAAGAAGAACAAGGAGAACATAAATGAGGATGAGGGTGACAACATAGGCATATTACTAAACATAGTGTAGTTCAGAATAGAATTTGTGATAACATTTTCTCCCTCTTCTCCTCCTGCCCTGGACTACACCACACCCAACAGCAGTCAACAGATGGATGGTGCTAGGAGACCAAACGGATGTGAAAAGAGAAGACTGATTGGGTGACACAGGAGTTCACTGGTGATCTTGACAAGAGCAGTCTCAATGGAGGGATGGCTGAAATAGCATGAAAAGATAATGGGAAAAGTAGAGGCTGTCAGTATAGACACAAAGAGTAAGTCCTTCTTCCAGCTTTTGGGGGAAACTTAGTCTGCCTGCCAAATACCTTTAGAACTTCATTCCTTGCCTACTACTTGAAAAAACATTTCTCCTGGCCAAATCAGAGCAGTTGTAGGATGTAGATAACAGGCATATATAAAAGGAAGCCAGAGTGGCGAGCTCTTGGCCTGGGATTCACGGGATTCTGCCGCCCCAAAGAACTATGACTTAACTGCTTATGCTACCCTCTGTTTGCTACTTAGCCCCTGGCATAGTCTCACCCATGCCCCCACCCATTCCATCCATTATTAATAACATAATTGTAATTAAAAGACAGAGAGAATTT
Source organism: Homo sapiens (assembly GCF_000001405.40). Taxonomy (NCBI): domain Eukaryota; kingdom Metazoa; phylum Chordata; class Mammalia; order Primates; family Hominidae; genus Homo; species Homo sapiens. The sequence goes on from NC_000023.11 coordinate 138,938,691, forward strand.
GGAATGCATCAAGTAGGAGTTGCAACAAAATATTTTGTTATTCAATGATGAATTTTTAAATGAAACATCTAAATACAGATTGCTCCCCAAGAGATGTTCTGATTTGAGGCTGAGCTTGATGTACTTCCAAGAAACTGTCTAATTACAAACTAGGCCCTAAACCTAGATGCTTAGGTACGTTTCTCATGCAGAGCACAATGCAGTTTTTTCTACTCAGCTTCTTGTGCGGGACTGGGGTGCAATGCAAGGCAAGGGTTAGACAAGCTCTGCTAAGGAACTTGTCCATTTAGCCCAAGGAAAGAGTCCATTAGGCGTTGAGAGGCATTTGCCATGTTGAGGTGGTTGGCTTTAAATGTAATGTTAATTTTACTTTGCTTTTAAAGTACTTGGAGAATAGAAATTGGTATTTAAAGCCATTTCCTAAAACAACAACAACAAAATCTGAAACTTGATTTGTCCCAAGATTTTCACTCTTGGTTGAGATAGTGCCAGGACATAGTGAAACCAGGCATAGTCTGGCCTCCTGCTGGCATTGCCAAAGCTGCTAGTAAGGGTTTATTTATGGAAACAAGGCCAAAGATCAACTGACCCAGAACAAGCCCTAAGTCAAATGATTTCTCCCTGTATTCATAAGCTAAAACTAAGACAACACAAATATTGCTTCATATTCCATGAATTGCAAATCCTCAGCTTTTTAAATTTAATTTTCATATGTTAGAGTTTATTTATTTTAACTTTTATTTTAGGTTTAGGAGTGTACATCTGCAGGATCATTATACAGGTAAACTGTGTGTCGGGAGGGTTTGGTGTACAAATTATTTAGTCATCCAGGTAATAAGCAAGTACCTGATAGGTATTTTTTTATCCTCTCCCTCCTCCCAACCCCCACCCTCAGGTAGGCTCCGGTGACTGTTATTCCCCTGTCTGTGTCCATGTGCTCTCATTGTTTAGCTCCCACTTATAAGTGAGAACATACGTTATTATTTTTCTGTTCCTGCATTAGTCTGCTAAGGATAATGGTCTCTAGCTTCATCCATGTTGCTGCAAAGAACATGACCTCATTCTTTTTTATGACTACATAGTATTCTGTGGTGTATATCTACCACATTTTCTTTATCCAGTCTACCACTGATGGGCATTTAGGTTGATTCCATGTCTTTGCTCTTGTGAATACTGATGCAATAAACATACACATGCGTGTGTCTTTATGGTAAAACAAATTATATTCTTTTGGGTATATACCCAACAATGGAATTGCTGGGTCAAATGGTAATTCTGTTTTAAGTTCTTTGAGACATCGCCATACTGCTTTCCACAACAGCTGAACTAATTTACACTCCTACCAGAATTGTATAAGCATTCCCTTTTCTCTGCAACCTCACCAGGATCTGTTATTTTTTTACTTTTTAATAATGGCCATTCTTACTAGTGTGAGATGCTACGTTATTGTGGTTTTGATTTGCATTTCTCTAATGATTAGTGATGGTGAGCTTTTTTTTATATCCTTATTGGCCACATTTATGTCTTCTTTTGAAAAGTGTCCTTTTCAAAACTGTTCATGTCCTCTGCCTAGTTTCTAATGGGGTCATTTTGTTTTTCTTGTAAATTTGTTTAAGTTACTTATAGATTCTGGATATTAAACCTTTGTCAGATGCATAGTTTGCAAATAATTTCTCCCACTCTGTTGATTGTCTGTTTACTTTGTTGATAGTTTCTTTTGCTGTGCAGAAGCTCTTTAGTTTAATGATGTCTCATTTGTCAGTTTTTGTTTTTGTTGCAATTGCTTTTGGGGTGTTCGTCATGAAATCTTTGCCTGTGTCTATGTCCTGAATGGTATTTCCTAGGTTTTCCTCCAGGGTTTTTATAGTTTTAGGTTTTACATTTAAGTCTTTAATCCATCTTGAGATGATTTTTGTATATGGTGTAAGGAAGGGGTCAAGTTTCAATCTTCTCCCTGTGGCTAGCCAGTTATCCCAGCACCATTTATTGAACAGGGAGTCCTTTCCTTATTGCTTGTTTTTGTTGGCTTTGTTGAAGATCAGATGATTATAGCTTTGTGGTATTATTTCTGGGCCCTCTATTCTGTTCCATTGGTCTATGTGTCTGTTTTTGTACCAGTATCATGTTGGTTTGCTTACTGTAGCCTTGTAGTATAAAGTCGGGTAACGTCATGCCTCCAGCTTTGTCCTTTTTGCTCAGGATTGCCATGACTATTTGGGCACTTTTTTGATTTCCTATGAATTTTAAAGGAGTTGTAATTGTGAATAATGTCATTGTTTTATCTCAACGCATGCAGAGAAGGCCTTCAATAAAATTTAACATCTCTTCATGTTAAAAACCCTCAATAAACTAGGCATTGAAGGAACATACCTCCAAATAATGAGAACCATCTATGACAAACCCACAGCCCACATCCCACTGAATGGGCAAAAGCTGGAAGCATTCCTCTTGAAAACCAGACAAGAAAGGATGCACTCTCTCACCACTCCTATTCAACATAGTACTAGAAGTTCCGGCCAGAGCAATCAGGGAAGAGAAAGAAATAAAAGACATCCAAATAGGAAGAGAGGAAGTCAGACTATTCCTGTTTGCAGACAATATGATTCTATACCTATAAAACCCCACAGTTTCTGCCTAAAAGCACCTTGATCTGATAAACAACTTTAGCAAACTTTCAGGATGCAAAATCAATGCACAAAAATCAGTAGCATTCCTATACACCAACGATGTCCAAGCTGAGAGCCAATGCAATCTCATTCACAATTGCCACAAAAAGAACAAAATACCCAGGAATGCAGCTAGCCAGGGAGGTGAAAGATTTCTACCAGAATTACAAAACACTGCTAAAAGAAATCAGAGATGACACAAACAAATGGAAAACATTCCATGCTCATGGATAGGAAGAATCAATATTATTAAAATGGCCACACTGTTCTAAGCAATTTGCAGATTCAAGGCTATTCCTTTCAAAATCCTCAGTCTTACACAGAAAGAAAGTCCTCAAACCTCATGGGATGATATTTAAGTGGAAAGTCCCTGCTTCTGAAATTTGAAGCCAGATTAGGTTGTATGTATGGCATCTCATTCCTCTGAAAAAAAAGTAGCATTTCTGCTGATCTACAGGCACCTGATGCTCCCTCTCCACTAGTGTGTCTATGATCAAGTCCCCTTATTCCTGGAGTTCCTCAAAACCAAGGCCATAATCTGGAAGAGCACCAGATAGAGCTTAAATGTGCAGTCTATGTACTTGTGTCAGAATTCTTCCCTGAGTGAGACTTACTGGCCCAAGAGAAAAAGACCTCTCATTGGCATTATTTTCAAATAAACAGAGTCTATAGTCCCAGCCTTTCCTTGTCCTACAAAATGCTGTCGTGCTCATCTATCTTTTATTGAGCCACTATGTAAGGATATGTCTCGCATGGGGAGATGGGTTTTCCATGGATTATCTCATTTGATCCATACAACAAGCCTTGGAAGTTGGTATTATTATTCTCCCCATGTCTTAGGTAAGCAAACAGAGGCTGAGGGTGAACCATTTGCCCCAGGTCATATACATAATAAATGACAGAACTTAGCCTCCATATCTTATGTTCCTACTCCTGCATTACTGTCTACTCTGGAACAAAGTGCCTGCTGACTCAATAAGCACATTGTATCACCTCCATTAGGAAAGATGCCCTCCAAACAACCAGGGCTGGAGTGTGTTTTTAACACATCACATCTGCATAACAATTTGGCAAAGAAAGGGATGCCTTAGAGGCAGCCTACAAACCTTGACCCTAGGTTAGCTGTGTATGAGCTACAGTTCTGGGTCCAAGAAATCTGGTCATTTGAGCAATAAGAGAATGTCCTTTTCGGTTTTTCTCTCCTTCCCCACTTCCTTGGAAAAGCCATTAGGAAGAAATGGGCCCTTTTTATGCTTGCTACAGAGCTAATTCTTCCTGTCCATACAAAGAACCCTTCCCAGAATTTTACCTCTAACAACAAATCTCTGGACAGTTAATTAAGAATCCATTTTCAACTAGACACAAAGGTATTTTCTATCTCTTTAGTTCACAACAGGGGGAAAAACAACGTCAATATTACAAGAAAAATACAACTGGGGAAATTCTCATTATGCCGACTCCTTGTATACTGTGTTCTTCAAGTATCTTGTTGTTTTTTTTGTTTGTTTGTTTGTTTTGCCATTTAACACATAACTTCTCATCTTAGAGATTGCTCTAGGCCATTTACAAGACCGAAAAATTTTATTTGGGCCTGACAAATAGTTTCTGAAAGCATTAGACTATCCAAGATTCTACTTTGCTCATGTAATTTATATCAACTCCACTAAAATCCCCCCAAAAACCCACCTGTTGTCTCACATTGACTATAAACTCTTCATCAGAATGAAATACTGTGCATATATATATACTTTTTTGTACCATGGGAAATATGGAAGGGGACTGTTGATCAGGGACTGGGCAATCTGTTCCTCTCCTGGGCATCACAGTGGGTGGGCCCCAGGGCTGTGCCTGAGAATATCACTGGCTCACTCCCACTGCCCATGGTCTGTGATGAGGGTTTGCAGAGGCCCCTTGTGAGATCCAGTGTCCAATGTGTAGTAACTCAACATTTAGTCTTGCAGGCTATGCAGAACTCATTCTGGTTGATGTGAAGTGCACCCTGCATGTAGGACAGTACACGGCAACTAAAGCCCTGCAATTGAGCCCATATTTCAACATTTCACTGAGAGAATATGAGCTAGCTAGGAGCTCCCAAATATGAATTCCTATGAAAATCACATAAAGCATGCACTGCTGAAGCTCTAATATCTGACCTACTTGGAAGTAGGTATCCTGTCTGTCAAAAATGTCATTCACTAAATGTCATTCACTAAAATGTGCCCCACATGGATAATTATAGGACATTTGAACAGTAATAGAAAGGAAGAAAAATTGAATAGCTAAGTGGATCTTCATCTAGAAGGACTGAGAATGAACTATCCTGGAGTAGAGGTATTCAAATTCTCATCATTTTAGCAAGGATCACCACTGTAAAGGGGATGAAAGCAAAAGAGGAGGGTGAATTTCACTGCTGAGAATAATTCCATGCTATTTTCACCTCTCGGAGACAGGGTATAACAGGATAAGTGGACACTATTTGACTTCCTGAGTAAACCTTTTCAAGAGCAACAGCAGCTGAAATACGCTATAGGGAGATGTCTGAAATCATTCATGAAAAGGAAAGCAAAGGAGGCTGGGTACGAATTCAGAACTGGGAACTGGATATTTGTACTATTTTACTGGTTGTTTAATGAATTCATCATGGATTTTTTTTGTATCTCCTATACTTAAGTATTAGTGCCCCTGTTCTACCAACTCATCGAGCAAAGATTTATGGAATGCCTATACAATATTAAGCTCTTAGACCTAAGGCACATGAAAATTGGGTGTGTAGAGAAAGAAGATTGAGACTCAGGAAACACAAATTCTGGTCCTCCTTGCCATTAAGGTGCTGTGTGACCTTGGGCCAATCACTTTGCTTTTTAAATCTGATTCCCCTCCATTCTTCCCTACAGAAGGATAAGATAAATGGCTGTCCACAAAGATTATAAGAAGGTCATCATGGGAATCCATGAGCTATTTTTAACATTTCAATAAGCCTAAGGGAGATGGTTTGTAAAGATTGCTAAGATCAAGCTGACCCTAGACCAACTCAACCATCTACTGCCTTCACTTTGGGAAGGAATTATATCATCTTATTGTGGTTACACTGGTTATTTCATGCTGACCAGATTCTCTACTGAGAGATCATTAATGGCTCTGAGCAAAAAAAAAGAAAAAAAAAATGAGAGAAGGAATTATTATGTGATAAAGGTAATTTGTTTAGTAGGCCTGATATTTCAAAACACAGTATGCAGGGGAAAATTAATTAAAGATGCCTTAGATAATGAAAACTTTTGGAATCACTAGACTAGATCATTTCTAAGGGCCCCTCAAGTTCGAAAATCCTCTAAAGCACTCTTGAGCAGCCAATAGATCATAGGATGCATCTTACAACCAGGCAGGCTAATTTCAGGCTGAAAGATTAAAAAGCAGGTTCTGTATTGCCATTTCTCAAATATGACTAGATATTAAATTTTTTTTAGTTGCTAAACAGAAGTGGCAATTCTCTCACTGGTATTTTTCTATTTAGAAAAAAGATGATATAAAATTTGAATAATAAGCTACCCATCCTTCCTTCCTTCTCTCTAAACTTATGTATTGAGTGTCCACTATTTGTCTCATACAGTTTTCTTTTTACCAGTTTGACCTTCCACAAAAGCTGTTGGTCACCATTGCTCTAAGGACTCTGTTCTTCTTGGTGGTAGAAGGAGTGAGGTGAGGTGTCGAGCATATAAAAGCAGTCTACACTAGGAGGAGGTCAAAGTGCAACTACAAGGAGCAGCCTAGTAAAAGGTAGATACTATAATTAGAATCTGCAGGATCCCATGATAGACATGTAGTATAATGGAGGGCTTGAATTTTTGTTTCCTACATCTTTATAAACCAAAATGGTATTCTTCATTGCTATGAAGACTACGTGCGACATGCATTTATCCCCTTGTGGTGCAAAGTTCTAAGTCCTAAACGCATGGGAAATCATTAAGATGATTTATCTTAGGACTGCTCCTCTACTCCTCAAGCACAGTTGCTGTCCTCCACAATCTTGAGTAATGAGGGTGAGTCACAGGCAGCAACAAAAAAAGGTAGTCAAATGTCTACTCGACAGATGAAACAGATAGCAGGACTGGTTAGTTCGGCACTCCTGCCTGCTCCAATGAACAGTGGGGGGGTCATTCCTAGAAGAAAGGATCTACTGCCCCAGGGCTTTTTAGTATTAACAGGGGTTGCCAACAGAACGAATTAACCCTTTGTCAGGGAAGTAGCCAATAATTGTTAATTATCTTGGTGAGTATGTGTTCAATTAAGTGACTATGCATGAACTAAAAAGAATAGGTACATGGAAAAACGATTCAGTGGATTAGAGACATAGGAGAACAGAAATAGTTTTGTATTAGAAATGAGCAAAGAAGGCATCCTCTGTGCACTTACAGTGACTGTAGGTTACCCTCAGAGAAGCTTGTCTTATACCACAAGCTTTCCAATCAACTGTAGAAAACTATTACCAAATTAGATGATATAGATAAATTAACAATTTAGTTTTTTTAGTTTTTTGCATTTTTTTAACTTTATGATTTTTTTTGTCAACCTATTTCCTAAGGAATGGATTCCTCCAAGCTGTAACTTCCAAATAACTCAGTTAAAAAGTCAATGTACTGAATTTAAAGAGTTATGGTGGTTTAAAGCAATGGTCTGAAGCCAGACTGGATAAGCTGAAGTTCTGGCTCTGCCACTCACCATCTCTGTGATGTTAAGAAAGTTACCTAACAGCTCCAAGCCTCAGTTTCCCTATTTGTAAGGTAGGTATGATAATACCTCTCTTGCAGAGTTATCAATTGTGACAATTAGAAATAACACATAGCCAGTATCTAGCACATGATTGATTTCCAATAAATGGGGGCTCTTTGTTAGGAAGTACAAGCAGCAGGAGGAAAGCACTGCGCATTGAATTCACTGTGTGTTCTCTTAAAGAGGCTGGGGAGAAAAGAGCCGCTGGATCTCAATTGACATCCCACTGGACATTTGAAACTAGTAAGCAATTATTAATGGTCCCAATTCGACATAATGTTTTTCCAGGAGGACAAAATGTGCACCAATTTAAAGTGAATGAACTCAGTGTACTGGACTTACAAAGAATAATTTAGCAAGGGAGTTGTTGGTGATCAAAGATGTGGGAGTTTGTCCTGCCTCCATTTAACCTCTTTGAATCTCAATTATTGCATATGGAAAGTGGATATAACAATCCCTGACTGATCACTTCAATATGTTTTTGTGAAAATCAAGTGAGATATAGAAGATCCATGTAAACTCTAAATGATGCAACAGCAGGAAGCATTGCTATTATCAACACCATCATCATTTTTAAATGGCCCTCCAATACTCTGAAATATATTTCCTCTGTCACAGGACCCAATACCCACTTTCTCAGCAAATAATCTATCCTTACAAACTGCACCATTCACTAGGTAGAAAGAGCATCCTAAAATGTGTCACAATCATAGAAAATGTTCAGAAAACTGGGATGTTCCTGGCTCTTCTGTCAGTCTCCAACAACTTCCAAAGTTTGGGAACAAAACTGCAAAAGAAACAATGAACATAAATAGACCATTTCAGTACTGTAAAGCAATTTGTTGTAACAAAACAAACAAGAGGTCGATTGCAGAGGCCACAGGACAAATCTAAACTACTTCATTACGCCAGTGTGGCTAAAAGGGCTCTCTGCACCATCATCCCCCAAATTGTTTTTTCAATGTATAATTAATCACTTTGCTGTCATCATTTCCTGATTCTTCAGTTGTTTAAGTTTCCATGGCAAGCTCAAAAACAAAGTGAAGCAATGCTAGTCCAGTATGAGTATATGATAAATGGACATATGAATAAACGATGACTGTGAACATCTAGAAACTCTTTCATATAATTGTTTTTTCATTTTAATGTCACAGCTTAAAATGAGCAAAAAAAAACTTTTTTTTCAATTCCAGATAAAGGATGCATGAGGAAAGGGCATGAATTTATAGTCAGACAGATTTATATTCAATTCTTAACTCCAATACTTACTAGTTTTATGCCTTTGAGCAAATCACTTTAGCCCCTCTGAATCTTAATTTTCTCATATGAAAATGGGGGTGTAAATATTTATTTTTGCTAACTGATTGTGAAGAAAAAATAAAAAATCCTATTACCATGCCTGTCACATGGTAGGTGTTTACCAAGTGGTGACTTCCATGATTCTTTTGCCTCTCCTGTCATGAGGAAGACCTGTGAATTGTGCTTGAGTTAATTTCTCTGTGTATACTACGAGGCTAACGTCTCAGCTATCAGAGCCCAAGACCAAATAACAAACAAATCCATCACCAAGTGATTGCAAAATAATTTGATCCTAATCACAAAACTACGGGGCTGAACTGTCACTACCCAAAGTTCTTATGTTCAAGTTCTAAACCCCAGTACCTCGGAGGGTGACTGTATTTGGAGATAGGCCTTTAAATTACAGTAATTTCAGTAAAATGAGGCCATATGTGGGTGGGGCCCTAATCCATTCTCACTCCTGTCCTTAAAAGAAGAAATTTGGAAACAGATAAATATGTGCACAGAGGAAAGACCATGTGAAGACAAAGGAAGAAGTCAAGCCGGCCATCTACAAGCCAAGGAAAGGGGCCTCAAAAAGAAGCCAACTCTGCCAACAACTTGATCTCAGATTTCTAGCATCAAGAACTGTGAGGTAATATATTTCTGTTGTTTCAGCCATCCAGTCTGTTGTATTTTTGTTATGTCAGCCCATGCAAACTAATACAAGGGCTTACCCACACAGAAGGGGCAGGTGTGTTGTGCTTACTACCTTCCCCACGTTATCCAGGGTAGAGGTCAACACCTATAAACCCTCCAGTATGCTTTGATAAAAAGGGTCTCAGATGATTCTGATGATATGCCTGGAAAAGAAGATGATGAACATAAGGGGATGATGTTACTTGTTGACCTTTTTTAAAAAGATTGGTGGGCATAGAGCCTGGGGATTCAGACAAAGAAAACTCAGGAAGGATAAAGAGCACATGCTAAATCCCTACTTTTGGCCAGGCAGTGTAGGCTGCAAGAGTGAAAAAACAGATTTCCTCTAGAGCTGAGGCCTTTGGGAAGATGCCCTAGAGGAAGAGAGACCAGAATGCCATGTGGTGAACTTTTGGCTTTATCAAAATGTGCAGCCAAGTATAAGCATGTTCCAGTGTCATATACAGGAGCTGTGAAATCAGTAGAGGGCTCTAACATTTCCAGAATTTTTGCTCCATTTTTAGGCATTAAGACAAAATCTACCTTGGATATTACAATTCTGGAATTCAGGGACTAAAAGGAGGCTTCTCCATTTCAATTTTATAAATCAGTTTCCTAGCTTATAGTTGGAACTCCTAGTGTAGACAACTGAATTCCTGAGACTGTCAATGTGAACAATACTTGTCTCTACCCTTGTTAGATAGCACATTTTGTTTTATTGTGTACAAAGCTGATTGCTTACCTATCTATGCTCCCTCCAGCCTCTGAACTGGAAAAAAACAGAACTATATTGTCTTATTACAAAATTATTGCAATCTGAGGCAGAATGGGTGAATTAGAGAGGTAAGGAACAGTCATATTTATTGACACAACAACTCTATTAGGTAGGTATTATTATTTCCATTGTACAGGTGAAGAAATCCAGTCAGTAGCTGGGCCAGGATTACAGCCAAAAATTCTCTGGCACCAAAGTTTGTGATCTTTTTTTCTGCTACAGCATTGCTACAGAGGTGAAGAAGAGAAATTACATCTAGTTGAAGAAATCTGGAAAAGACATTATATTTGAGCTTGACCTTGAAGAAGGATGTAAAAAACATTCCTAAGGCTGCCATAACAAATTACCAGAAACTGGGTAACATAAAACAACAGAAATTTGTTCTCTTACAGTACAGTAGGCTAGACATTTAAAATCAAGCTGTTGTTTTGGCCATTCTTCCTCTGAAGGCTCTAGAGAAGAATCCTTCCTTGCCTCTTCTTAGCTTCTGGTGGTTGCCAACAATCCTTGGTGTTCTTGGCTTGTTGCTGCATCACTTCAATCTCTGCCTCCATCACTACATGGCCTTCTCACCTGTGTGCCCGTGTCTCTGTTATTTCACGTGACTTCTTATAAGTCTTATATAATCCAGTCATTGGATTACAGCCCATTCTAATACAGTATGTTCTCATGTTAACTAATTACATCTGCAAAGACCCTATTTCCAAATAAGATCACATGCTGGTGTTCCAAGCGGATGTGAATTTAGGGGGAATCACTTCAACTCAGTAAAGATGGATATATGTTTAGCAGACAGATATGGGAGGAAAGGCTTCTCAAGATAACAGAATAAATGGAACAGCATGAATAAAGAGGCAGAAACAGTAAAACATTGGAATTATTTGAAAAATAGTAAATGGTTTGCTGTGGCAAGAAAAGAGGTAAGGGTATATAATCAGGTTGAGACCAGAGCACAAAGGGCCTAGAATAATTTGCATTGGGAGAACACCAGTAGATGTAGTTCTAAACACTTGGTTAGAGACTTTGATGCATAAGGCAAAAGGAATACTCAGTTTTTTGTGCTTCTGTCCATGTATTGACTCTGAAAACAGCAGTGGTAGCATTAGCAGAAAACAACTTACATACACAATCCTCTCCCTCCCCATCCCCTACAACAGAAGGATGTTAAAAATGGAAATGTATGGAGCAAGTTCCACATTCTTCTCTATTACTAGAATCATTCAAATATGTGTTTCCATCATTCAGACATGACAAATAGCCAGGGATCCTCCTCTATGATTCAGAAATGCATTGAATCAATGAGTGAGCTGCAAAATGACCTCACATATCAAACAGATATATTCTGTGAGTACCATTCCTGAACACAGAAGAGAAATCTATCAAAAAATAAACCCACAAAACTATCTTTCACCTTTTTAAGGATGTAACTCATTTGAAATTGGATATCTCACTTTAGTTTACTATTACATATATGTCATTACAAATATGAGGTTAACCAATAAGTACCATTTTGAGTGCCTATGATGTTAGCTAGTGCGTTCATATTCTTTGAAGCACTCATATTCTCCAATATTTATGTAAACCTCTTTCGATAGATGATAGGAGTGAGCCTCACAGCAATCAAGTCATATGTCCTTGTATTCAAGTTCTATGTTTGTTTTATGTCAAAGTCCCTGCTCTTTTCACTGTACACTGACTTAAAAACCTCTTCAACATCTGCATTTACCCACATTTAATGAGCACATTGTGTTTCTGGAAAAGCATTACATGTATTCCTTCATATAATTTCAGTTTTCAATGATAAAATTGTCCTTTATGCCAGGGAGTTTTATAATCATATCTGTCATGTCTGTGCTTGGAGATTCAGTTATTAGTATTACTCAAAATAATAAAGATGCGATTTTAGACATACAGAAAGAACTGTTTGTAACTATAGCCTACCCCTTCTTAATGGGTCATCTCTATTTCAATGGTTCTGTTTGAAGTCTAGTAGGGGAAGAAAAGGTAACCCTTCCTATATTTGCTTCTGGCACTAAAAACTCTTGGTGAAACTGGTATAATATGAATGAAAAGTATTGTAAGTACAACAGACACCACTCGTTGAGGGCTTACTATGTGCTATGCCCTGTGTTAAGAAGTGATCATATACTTGCTTATTTAATAATGATCCTGTGACATAAGTTGGTGTTATTATCTCCTTTACACAAATGAGAGAATTGATACACAGAAAGATCAAGTGACTTGCCTAAGGTCACGCTGCTGGGACTGGAGTCAGAAATTGAACAAAGATCTGTTGAACTTCAAAGCTGTCTTGTTGAATTCTATAGTACTCCGCCTCCCATCAGCTTACTCTGATAACAATTATCTCATGGACTAATGCATCCTCTATAACAAGTAAGGCAAAGCCAGATGCATGCTGTAGTCGTTAAAATGTAGGCTCTCGAAGAAAACAAAGAAGAATATCTTCATGACCTTGGAGTTGGCAAATATTTCTTAGACAGGATATAGTATAAACAATAAAACATTGATAAATTAGGCATCATCAAAATTGAAATATTCTGTACATCAAAAGAACAGAAAAAGATTAAGTAAGCCACAGTCAGGAAAAAATATTCAAAAAAAATATACCAGACAAAGAACTTATATTCATAACTCCTATGATACAATAAGAATACAAACAACCCAATTTAAAAAATAGGTAAAAGACTTGAACAGATGCTTCACAAAGCAAGATATATGAGTGGCCAATAGGACATGAAACAATACTTACCATGGAAATATCAGGAAATACACATTAAAACCACAATAATACAGCAACATACCCGCTAGAATGGCTAAAATTTAAAAAACTACATATATCAAGGCTGGCAAAGATGTGGTGCATACACAACTCTCATATATTGCTAGTACCCTGTTAGGTATAGCCTGTTTAGAAATATGCTTTGTAGTTCCTTGAAATGGTAAACATACTTTTTCCATTATCACCCAGGAAATCCACATCTAGGTAAATAAACAAGAGAAATGACAAACCACTGCTCAATGAAATAAAAGAGGATACAAACAAATGGAAGAACATTCCATGCTCATAGGTAGGAAGAATCAATATTGTGAAAATGGCCATACTGCCCAAGGTAATTTATAGATTCAATGCAACCCCCATCAAGCTACCAATGACTTTCTTCACAGAATTGGAAAAAACTACTTTAAAGTCCATATGGAACCAAAAAAGAGCCCGCATTGCCAAGTCAATCCTAAGCCAAAAGAACAAAGCTAGAGGCATCATGCTACCTGACTTCAAACTATACTACAGGGCTACAGCAACCAAAACAGCATGGTACTGGTACCAAAACAGAGATATACACCAACGGAGCAGAACAGAGCCCTCAGAAATAATGCCACATATCTACAACCATCTGATCTTTGACAAACCTGACAAAAACAAGAAATGGGGAAATGATTCCCTATTTAATAAATGGTGCTGGGAAAACTGGCTAGCATATATAGAAAGCTGAAACTGGATCCCTTCCTTACACCTTATACAAAAATTAATTCAAGATGGATTAAAGACTTAAATGTTAGACCTGAAACTATAAAAACTCTAGAAGAAAACCTAGGCAATACCATTCAGGACATAGGCATGGGCAAGGACTTCATGTCTAAAACACCAAAAGCAATGGCAACACAAGCCAAAATTGACAAATGGGATCTAATTAAACTAAAGAGCTTCTGCACAGCAAAAGAAACTACCATCAGAGTGAACAGGCAACCTACAGAATGGGAGAAAATTTTTGCAACCTACTCATCTGACAAAGGGCTAATATCCAGAATCTACATTGAACATAAACAAATTTACAAGAAAAAAACAAACAACCCCATCAACAAGTGGGCGAAGGATATGAACAGACACTTCTCAAAAGAAGACATTTATGCAGCCAAAAGACACATGAAAAAATGCTCATCATCACTGGCCATCAGAGAAATGCAAATCAAAACCACAATGAGATACCACCTCACACCAGTTAGAATGGTGATCATTAAAAAGTCAGGAAACAACAGGTGCTGGAGAGGACGTGGAGAAATAGGAACACTTTTACACTATTGGTGGGACTGTCAACTAGTTCAACCATTGTGGAAGTCATTGTGGTGATTCCTCAGGGATCTAGAACTAGAAATACCATTTGACTCAGCAATCCCATTACGGGGTATATACCCAAAGGATTATAAATCATGCTGCTATAAAGACACATGCACACGTATGTTTATTGCGGCACTATTCACAATAGCAAAGACTTGGAACCAACCCAAATGTCCAACAATGATAGACTGGATTAAGAAAATGTGGCACATAGACACCATGGAATACTATGCAGCCATAAAAAGGGATGAGTTCATGTCCTGTGCAGGGACATGGATGAAGCTGGAAATCATCATTCTGAGCAAACTATCGCAAGGACAGAAAACCAAACACCGCCTGTTCTGACCCATAGGTGGGAATTGAACAATGAGAACACTTGGACACAGGGCAGGGAACATCACACCCCGGGGCCTGTGGTGGGGTGGGTGGAGGGGGGAGGGATAGCATTAGGAGATATACCTAATGTTAAATGACGAGTTGATGGGTGCAGCATACCACTGGCACATGTATACATATGTAACAATCCTGCACGTTGTGCACATGTACCCTAAAACTTAAAGTATAATAATAATAAAAAAAGAAAACATCTGTCTGCAAAAATACCTGAAAACAAACAACCACGGCAACTTTATATATAATAGCCAAAAACTGAAAACAATTCACATGCCCATCAACAGTAGAATGATAAGCAAATTATGATATATTCATACATTGCAACACTACTTAGCAATAAAAAGAAACCACTGATACACATAACACTATGGACAGATCTTAAATCACCATCTGAATGAAAAACAGCTAGATACAAAGGAGTTCATAGTATATAATTCCACTTATATGAAATTCTAAAAAAGACAAAACTAACCAACATGTGGTAAAAAAAAAATAAATAAACATAGAAAAGCCTTTGTCTCTGGAAAGGGTGAGGCAGTTGACTTAAAGAAACAAAGAGAAACTTTCTAGGATGAAGGAAATATCTTTATCTTGTTAGGGATGTGATGTGTGTTATACAGTTATAAACATTTGTCAAAGTTCATAAAATTTTACACCAAATATTGGTGCATTTCATAGTATGTAAATTTAACGAGAGAGAGAGAGAGAGAGAGAGAGAGGAGAGAGCATACAAATTACTGAAGAGCAAGCTTTAAAATCAAACAGACTTGGGTTGAATCCAGGCTTCATCACTTAATTTATTCCATGAATATTTATTTACTGAGTCTCTGTTGTATGACAAACGCTGTTCTTATTGCTGAGGATACAGCACTGACCAAAACGGACAAGTATTACTGCCCACACAAAGTTGTTTAGATAATTTTTTAAGCATAATGAATAAGTCACTGAAAATTTTTAAGACAGAAAGTGATTCAAGTTGCATTTTTTAAATACCATTTTCATCCCTGTTCAACACTAAAAAAATCCCTTACCAGTTGTGTGGCCTTAGGTAAGTCACTTTATCTCTTTAAGTTTTATCTTCTTTGTTTTAAAATTAGGGAAAATATTAATGCCTGTTTCAAATATTGTCATAAGGATTATGGAAATATAGGTAGCAACTGACACTGAGAAGTTACTCAGTATCTATTATTGTGATCTATTGTGAGATAATTCTACTTTATTACATATATTGCTAAACTTCATTACTTAGAATTCAATCATAAAATAGAGAGAATGCATTTTTTAAAATGATCTGAGAGATCAGCTGGGGAAACTAATTAAAAGCAGATCCCTCAACGTTCACCCTATTCTGTATTACATGCCTTGTGGATCTGATATCAAGCCACTAAAGCAAAACAAAATGAATTTTCTGTGGGGAAAAATACCGTCTTTGAGGACCACTAGCAACGTTTTCTTATTTTCTCTGTGTGAAAATCACCATGTTTGAATGATGTAGGAAGTCATAGGCCTCATTAATGGAAAGACACTTTCAAACTATAAGAAGTTCCAAGACTGAAAGCAGGGAGGAAAGGGAGAATCTTTACAACTCCCTGCATCAGTGGTTCCCACACTTGACTGCTGATCAGAATCACCTGGGCGACTGGACATATAGTATAGATCCTGTGACTATCCCCTAGATCTCCTCAATCAGACTGTCTGGGAATTGCAACTGCACATCTACACTTAAAAAATAACTTTTAAGATAATTTTGACACACTCAGGTCCTGAGTCAGCATAAAGAACACGTGCTCAAGCACAAACTCTTCATTGCCTAGTGGGGAAAATTAGTCCATAGAGACGGGAGGGAACTAAATCATGTTTCACACAACAGTTATCGGCTAAACCAATGCTCCTTAACCCATTCCCTGCCATGTTTCCTGTGTTCCCTCCGTTCAACAGGGATACAGATAATTGGTGGTGAATACAACATTCAGAATACAGAGTCTTCTGTGGGGTCCTGATGAAGATAGGCAAAATAGCAAACGTTTGGTAGTCTCTCTTTTAGTCCTCAAAAGACTCTCCTAATGTGGGTATTATTTTCTCCAATTTGATTGATGAAAGCATGGAGGCCCAACAAGAATAAGTTAACTCGACCAAGGTTACACAGGTAGTAAGTGGCAGAGCCATGATTCAAATTCATGTCCGACAGGATACAAAGTGTGTGCTCTTAACCACAACACCACACCACTCTCCTGGTTTGAAACTCTGGCCTGGCAATTTTTAATTAGTTTTTAGTTCCCTGGATAGGCTGAAGTTATCTCTAAGTAGGTCTCTGGTTTGTCAGATGAACTATCTTTGTTTCTGAGGTAGCACAGAGAAATTCCACCCAAAGAAACATCAGTCTTCAACTCAGGAAGTCTAAAGACCACCTTGCCTCTAACCCTAAGAAAGGGGTCTGTGCACTGCCTTTCTACTTTCTTGAGTTTGTTGGTTTGTTTCTTCCTCTCCACTTTGGTACTCTGAAGCAATGTCCTCATCCTGCACCAATACACAAGAAAGAGAGACCAGGAAAGACTAGGCTTGGCTCGCCCATAGTCAGGTCAATAACAGGTAGATACTTCAGCTGAGGCTCAGTTGGGTTTCTTGACAATTACAAAGAAGGTTGGAAGACTGGGATGGAGACAAGCCCAATAATAGCTTAGGTCGTTTTGCCAGTGGCCTGAAGCCAAACAAGCACCATACCAGGGCGAGCACCAGATACTGCTTCTTTAAGAATTAGGGGCAGAGAGTGTGTCTGTGGGAGGCCAACAGGATGGCACTTTGTCGAGGAAAAAGAGGATGCTTTTGACTATGATGTATATTTGAATAAAATACATGTTGTAAAATGGAAACAGTTCACAAAGACACGAGAACCAGCAGAAATAAGACAGAAAGAAGGAAGGCCTTGACGGAGTGACAAAACACAAATCAGCTGTATTTCCTTTGCCTGTTGCTCAAATGGGGGTGATTATTTATAATTGTGGGTTTAAATTACATTTGTCCAGGATCTTTGAGAAGTTACTGTGGTATGAATGTAGGAGGTTTACAATTAGAAGAGAAGTGAGGGTTGGCTGAGACTCTGTCCTAGGGATCAAGGGCATGGGTTCCAGTCTCAGCTGTGCACTGACTGGATGCATGGCCTTGAGTTAGTCAACTCTGCTCTTTTTGGATCAATTTTCTCATATAAAGAAATACAGGAATTAGACCTAGATCATGAGCTTTCAAACTGTGTTCCTCAGAACCTCCTCAGGAACCACTCTGAGCGACGTAGGGGTGTGCATGACTCAGTCTCTCCCTTCTTTTTACCCACCCTTTTCAACCAGGGATTCTCTGGTTAAAATAGTTTTCAAAAACCAGTGAATTCGATGATCTGTAGGGTTGTCCAAGCACTGAAATTCTGTGGTCTTCACATACTATGGACATGCATCCAAGACTTGGCTAAACCCTTGAGAC
The DNA here is from genome assembly GCF_000001405.40 of Homo sapiens. Lineage (NCBI taxonomy): Eukaryota > Metazoa > Chordata > Mammalia > Primates > Hominidae > Homo > Homo sapiens. Next base: position 138,956,875 of record NC_000023.11, read on the forward strand.
TCCTGTAACTGGATGATAAATTATATATGTAAAAGTACACATTTCTGGAAGAAGTGTTCATAGCTTTCGTCAGATTATCAAGAGTCAATGATCCCTCCTAAAAGGGATTTCAAAAGTCCCCATATGCTCTAAATCAATTACACTGTAATCAAGATTCAGTACACGTTAGGACATTAGTATATGCCTACGGGGAAAGAAGAGAAGAAAGGAAAAGGAAAAAAGAGCGAGAGAAAGATCAGCCCACATCTAACCTATCAAATCAGAATTAGAGAAATCATCAAAAGCCACACACAGTCTCTTCAAACAGGAGACTGGAAGTATTGTCCAAGCTAATTAGACCATGTTGTAGTGAGAAGAAACAATTAATATATCCATGACACAGTATCAAAACATATAAATGATTTCATGGTATTCAGAGAAGCTTGGCACAGCTGCTGGGTGCATTTTGTGAAAAGATGGATGAAGAATGAAGAGACACAGGAATATATTTACTTTTCATCTCCAAATCAGACATATGTGCAAATCAAGATGAAGAAAGCAGATGGGAGTTAAAAGTTCAGACATCAGAAGCCAGGTAGCGTGATGCCTCCAGCTTTGTTCTTTTGGCTTAGGATTGTCTTGGCAATGCAGGCTCTTTTTTGGTTCCATACGAACTTTAGTTTTTTCCAATTCTGTGAAGAAAGTCATTGGTAGCTTGATGGGGATGGCATTGAATCTATAAATTACCTTGGGCAGTATGGCCATTTTCACGATATTGATTCTTCCTATCCATGAGCATGGAATGTTCTTCCATTTGTTTGTGTCTTCTTTTATTTCATTGAGCAGGGGTTTGTAGTTCTCCTTGAAGAGGTCCTTCACATCCCTTGTAAATAGGATTCCTAGGTATTTTATTCTCTTTGAAGCAATTGTGAATAGGAGTTCACTCATGATTTGGCTCTCTGTCTGTTATAAGAATGCTTGTGTGTGTATAAGAATGCTTGTGATGTTTGCACATTGATTTTGTATTCTGAGACTTTGCTGAAGTTGCTTATCAGCTTAAGGAGATTTTGTGCTGAGACGATGGGGTTTTCTAAATATCCAATCATGTCATCTGCAAACAGGGACAATTTGACTTCCTCTTTTCCTAACTGAATATGCTTTATTTCTTTCTCCTGCCTGATTGCCCTGGCCAGAACTTCCAACACTATGTTGAATAGGAGTGGTGAGAGAAGGCCTCCCTGCCTTGTGCCAGTTTTCAAAGGGAATGCTTCCAGTTTTTGCCCATTCAGTATGATATTGGCTGTGGGTTTGTCATAAATAGCTCTTATTATTTTGAGATACGTCCCATTGATACCTAGTTTATTGAGAGTTTTTAGCAGGAAGGGCTGTTGAATTTTGTCAAAGGCCTTTTCTGCATCGATTGAGATAATCATGTGGTTTTTGTCTTTGGTTCTGTTTATATGATGGACTACGTTTATTGATTTGGGTATGTTGAACCAGCCTTGCATCCCAGGGATGAAGCCAACTTGATTGTGGTGGATGAGCTTTTTGATGTGCTGCTGGATTCAGTTTGCCAGGATTTTATTGAGGATTTTTGCATCGATGTTCATCAGGGATATTGGTTTAAATTCTCTTTGTTGTGTCTCTGCCAGGCTTTGGTATCAGGATTATGCTGGCCTCATAAAAAGAGTTAGGGAGGATTCCTTCTTTTTCTATTGATTGGAATAGTTTCAGAAGGAATGGTATCAGCTCCTCCATGTACCTCTGGTAGAATTCAGCTGTGAATCCGTCTGGTCCTGGACTTTTTTTAGTTGGTAGGCTATTAATTAGTGCCTCAATTTCAGAGCCTGTTATTGGTCTATTCAAGGATTCAACTTCTTCCTGGTTTAGTCTTGGGAGGGTGTATGTGTCCAGGAATTTATCCATTTCTTCTAGATTTTCTAGTTTATTTGTGTAGAGGTGTTTATAGTATTCTCTGATGGTAGTTTGTATTTCTGTGGGATCGGTGGTGATATCCCCTTTATCATTTTTTATTGCGACTATTTGATTCTTCTCTCTTTTCCTCTTTATTAGTCTTGCTAGTGATCTATCCGTTTTGTTGATCTTTTCAAAAACCCAGCTCCTGGATTCACTGATTTTTTGAAAGGATTTTTGTGTCTCTATCTCCTTCAGTTCTGCTCTGATCTTAGTAATTTCTTGCCTTCTGCTAGCTTTTAAATGTGTTTGCTCTTGCTTCTCTAGCTCTTTTAATTGTGATGTTAGGGTGTCGATTTTAGATCTTTCCTGCTTTCTCTTGTGGGCATTTAGTGCTCTAAATTTCCCTCTACACACTGTTTTAAATGTGTCCCAGAGATTCTGGCATGTTGTGTCCTTGTTCTCACTGGTTCGAAGCACATCTTTATTTCTGCCTTCATTTCGTTATGTACCCAGGAGTCATTCAGGAGCAGGTTGTTCAGATTCCACGTAGTTGTGCGGTTTTGAGTGAGTTTCTTAATTCTGAGTTCTAATTTGATTGCACTAGGATCTGAGAGACAGTTTGTTATTATTTGTGTTCTTTTACATTTGCTGAGGAGTGCTTTACTTCTAACTATGTGGTCAATTTTGGAATAAATGTGATGTGGTGCTGAGAACAATGTATATTCTGTTGATTTGGGGTGGAGAGTTCTATAGCTGTCTATTAGGTCTGGTTGGTGCAGAGCTGAGTTCACGTCCTGGATATTCTTGTTAATCTTCTGTCTCTGTGATGTGTCTAATGTTGACAGTGGGGTGTTAAAGTCTCCCATTATTATTGTGTGGGAGTCTAAGTCTCTTTGTAAGTCTCTAAGGACTTGCTTTATGAATCTGGGTGCTCCTATATTGGGTGCATATATATTTAGGATAGTTAGCTCTTCTTGTTGAATTGATCCCTTTACTATTATGTAATGGCCTTCTTTGTCTCTTTTGATCTTTGTTGGTTTAAAGTCTGTTTTATCAGAGACTAGAATTGCAACCCCTGCTTTTTTTTGTTTTCCATTTGCTTGGTAGATCTTCCTCCATCCTTTTATTTTGAGCCTATGTGTGTCTCTGCACATGAAATGGGTCTCCTGAATACAGCACACTGATGAGTCTTGATTCTTTATCCAATTTGCCAGTCTGTGTCTTTTAATTGGGGCATTTAGCCCATTTACATTTAAGGTTAATATTGTTATGTGTGAATTTGATCCTGTCATTTTGATGTTAGCTGCTTATTTTGCTCGTTAGTTGATGCAGTTTCTTCCTAGCTTCAATGGTCTTTACAATTCGGCATGTTTTTGCAGTGGCTGGTACTGGTTGTTCCTTTCCATGTTTAGTGCTTCCTTCAGGAGCTCTTGTAAGGCAGGCCTGGTGGTGACAAAATCTCTCAGCATTTGCTTGTCTGTAAAGGATTTTATTTCTCCATCACTTATGAAACTTAGTTTGGCTGGATATGAAATTCTGGGTTGAAAATTCTTTTCTTTAAGAATGTTGAATATTGGCCCCCACTCTCTTCTGTCTTGAGAGTTTCTGCTGAGAGACCCGCTGTTAGTCTGATGGGCTTCCCTTTGTGGGTAACCCAACCTTTCTCTCTGGCTGCCCTTAACATTTTTTCCTTCATTTCAACCTTGGTGAAGCTGACAGTTATGTGTCTTGGGGTTGCTCTTCTTGAAGAGTATCTTTGTATTTCCTGAATTTGAATGTTGGCCTGCCTTGCTAGGTTGGGGAAGTTCTCTTGGATAATATCCTGAAGAGTGTTTTCCAACTTCGTTCCATTCTCCCCGTCACTTTCAGGTACACCAATCAAACGTAGATTTGGTATTTTCGATAGTCCCATATTTCTTGGAGGCTTTGTTTGTTTCGTTTTACTCTTTTTTCTCTAAACTTCTCTTCTCACTTCATTTCATTCATTTGATCTTCAATCACTGATACCCTTTCTTCCACTTAATCGAATCAGCTACTGAAGCTTGTGCATGCATCAAATAGTTCTCGTGCCATAGTTTTCAACTCCATCAGGTCATTTAAGGTCTTCTCTATGCTGTTTATTCTAGTTAGCCATTTGTCTAACCTTTTTTCAAGGTTTTTAGCTTCCTGGCGATGAGTTCGAACATCCTCCTTTAGCTCGGAGAAGTTTGTTATTACCGATCTTCTGAAGCCTACTTCTGTCAACTCGTCAAGGTCATTCTCCGTGCAGCTCTGTTCCATTGCTGGTGAGGAGCTGCAATCCTTTGGATGAGAAGAGGTGCTCGGTTTTTAGAATTTTCAGCTTTTCTGCTCTGGTTTCTCCCCATCTCTGTGGTTTTATCTACCTTTGGTCTTTGATGATGGTGACCTACAGATGGGGTTTTGGTGTGGATGTACTTTTTGTTGATGTTAATGCTATTCCTTTCTGTTTGTTAGTTTTCCTTCTAACAGTCAGGACCCTCAGCTGTAGGTCTGTTGGAGTTTGCTGGAGGTCCACTCCAGACCCTGTTTGCCTAGGTATCACCAGCGGAGGCTGCAGAACAGCAAATACTGCAGAACACGATCCTTCCTCTGGTAGCTTTGTCTCTGAGGGGCACCTACTGGGAGGTGTCTCTCAGTTAGGCTACTCGGGGGTCAAGGACCCACTTGAGGAGGCAGTCTGTCTCTTCTCTGATCTCAAACTCTGTGCTTGGAGAACCACTGCTCTCTTCAAAGCTGTCAGACAGGGACGTTAAAGTCTGCAGAAGTTTCTGCCGCCTTTTGTTCAGCTATGCCCTGCCATATACTACAAGGCTACAGTAAGCAAAACAGCATGGTACTGGTACCAAAACAGAGATATAGACCAATGGAACAGAACAGAGCCCTCAGAAATAATACCACACGTCTACAAACATCTGATCCTTGAAAAACCTGACAAAAACAAGAAATGGGGAAATGATTCCCTATTTAATAAATGGTTCTGGGAAAACTGGCTAGCCACAGGTAGAAAGCTGAAACTGGATCCCTTCCTTACACCTTATACAAAAATTAATTCAAGATGGATTAAAGACTTAAATGTCAGACCTAAAAACCATAAAAACCCTAGAAGAAAACCTAGGCATTACCATTCAGGACATAGGCATGGGCAAGGACTTCATGTCTAAAACACCAAAAGCAATGGCAACACAAGCCAAAATTGACAAATGGGATCTAATTAAACTAAAGAGCTTCTGCACAGCAAAAGAAACTACCATCAGAGTGAATAGGCAACCAACAGAATGGGAGAAAATGTTTGCAATCTACCCATTTGAAAAAGGGTTAATATGCAGAATCTACAAAGAACTTAAACAAATTTACAAGAATAAAACAAACAACCCCATCAAAAAGTGGGCGAAGGATATGAACAGACTCTTCTCAAAAGAAGACATTTATGCAGCCAACAGACACATGAAAAAATGCTCATCATCACTGGTCCTCAGAGAAATGCAAATCAAAACTACAGTGAGATACCAGCTTACACCAGTTAGAATGGTGATCATTAAAAAGTCAGGAAACAACAGGTGCTGGAGAGGATGTGGAGAAATAGGAACACTTTTACACTGTTGGTGGAACTGTAAACTGGTTCAACCATTGTGGGAATCAGTGTGGCGATTCCTCAAGGATCTAGAACTAGAAACACCATTTGACCCAGCCATCCCATTACTGGGTATATATCCAAAGGATTATAAATCATGCTATCATAAAGACACATGCACACATATGTTTACTGCAGCACTATTCACAATAGCAAAGACTTGGAACCAAGCCAAATGTCCAACAATGATAGACTGGATTAAGAAAATGTGGCACATATACACCAAGGAATACTATGCAGCCATAAAAACGGATGAGTTCATGTCATTTGTAGGGACATGGATGAAGCTGGAAACCATCATTCTGAGCAAACTATCTCAAGGACAGAAAACCAAACACCGCCATGTTTTCACTCATAGGTGGGAATTGAACAATGAGAACACTTGGACACAGGGTGGGGAACATCACACACCGGGGCCTGTGATGGGGTTGTGGGACGGGGAGGGATAGCATTAGGAGAAATACCTAGTGTAAATGATGAGTTAATGGGTGCAGCACACCAACATGGCACATGTATACATACGTAACAAACCTGCACGTTGTGCACATGTACCCAAGAACTTAAAGTATAATAAAAAACAAAAAAGAAAAAAAAAAGTGCAGCCATCAGAAATAGAATCCCCATTTGACTTTCTTGGTACATAGTAAGGACCTCAAGAAACACTTGCTGATGGATTAGGAGACTGTCCCAAATCACCCACTGGTAGGAAAATTAAACTCTTTCAGGTTCCTAGAGTCTTTTCTCATGAGTCAGAAAAACCCTTATCTAACTTCTTGAGCATCTGTTAGAACGCCACTCCTGGCAAGACCCTCTGACCATTCCCACAGGTGGACAGCTCTCAGCATTCTGCAGTTGCAGCAGTTTGAGGAACATATCACCTGGGAAAAAGTTCATGAGTGTCCCTTCACACCTGCTCTAGAGGTTACTGTTTGCTTTGCATTGACTAGCCAATGTCCACAGAAGTGAATCCTGAAGGGATGTGGCCTATGTGACTCCCCTGGCTTGGCTTAGGACTTGCCTCTGACTTTCTCTTTGACCCCACCTTGCCACAGCAACACATGCCCCACATAAACCTTCTTGGTACTTGCCACCTACTAACTTGGGCTGTCAGACTTATTTGCTATGCAGTTATCTGACCTCCCCTATTATATTGCATATGCCATGAGAGCAAGGAGAACATAAACCAAACACAATCTTTTTCGGTTTTAGACAGTCTCACTATGTTGCCCAGGCTAGTCTTGAATTCCTGGGCTCAAGAAGTACTTCCGCCTCAGCCTACTGAGTAGCAAAATATAATCTTCATGGTTAGTGTTTTGCTTACTGAAAGTCCTATTTAATTTGTCTTCTTTGTCCTATTTCTAAGCATCCTATTTGAATGTTTAAAAAAGCAGTGTAGTTAACTGGAAAATTATTTCTATTCTACTATCTAATAGCTTTTAGTGTGGTCCCAATCAGCTAGCTATGCCTCAGTTTCATCATCTGAAAAATGGGGACAGTAATACTGCACTCATATGTACACTTAACAAATACTTGTTGAGCAGCTACACTCAGCCAGGCAGTGGGCTAGGAGACTGACTTGAACTGTTCAAATAATAGGCAACTGTAAATTTTTCTTCCATTAAGTCTTCAGTGTATAAAGAGACTTAAACATTAAGCAAACAATGTAGGAGTTGATAAGAAAGTCCCAAGGATACTACAGAGACATACAGCAGCAGAAAAATCAGTTTAGGCAAGTCTGTAGAGAAAGAAGGATTCACTGAGAGAAGAGGCCTACAACAGAAACAGGTTGAGGGAGAGTTTTCCAAGCAGAGGGAAAGCCAATGCAAATAAAGGATCTGTGGCCTGAGGCAACTTAATTCTAAATCAGAAATCAGCAAACAATGGCTTATGGTACAAATCTGACCCCCCACTATTTTTCTATGTCCTGCAAGCTAAAAATAGTGGCTAGGTCTTCCAGGGATCACAGAAATTTTGGTAGAGTAAAAGTCTATTTGAAATCTAGGATTTTTAAAATATCCAGAGGGGGTGATCAGGTGTCTTAGAGATAAGGGGCACAGTGGATATTTATCCTTTCTTCTTCCATAGGACATTTCAGACATCAAACAGTATGTAATTCCAGCTGTCTTAGTCGACTTGTGCTGCTATAAAGGAATACCCAAAGCTGGGTAATTTGTAAAGAAAATAGGTTTATTTGGCTCACAGTTCTGCAGCTGTACAAGAAGCGTAGTGCCAGCATCTGATTCTGGCAAGGACTGCAGGAAGTTTCCACTCATGGTGGAAGGTGAAGGGAAGCTGGTGTATCACATGGTAAGAGAGGGAGCCAGAGAGACGGGAGGGGTGCCAGGCTCCTTTCAACAACCAGCTCTTGCAGGTAGCTAATAGAGTGAGAACTCACTAATTTATGGGGCTGGGGGGTACCACAAAGCCATTCATGAGAGATCCACTCCCATGGCCCAAACATGTCCCACCAGGCCTCGCCTCCAACACTGAGGATCACATTTCAACATGAGATTTGGAGGGAACAAACATCCAAACTACATCACCACCTATTCCAGGAGACAAGTACAATAGGTAGCTTGGAATGGGCATAAACTTCCCGAGAAGAGGCCAGCCAGCTGTTCCATACACACCTGACCCTTAACCTGATGAATTCCCAGGGCAGGTTAAGATCCTTGCCCTGCTGATGAAAGAATGATGAAAGAACAAAAGGAGGACATGCTGTTTCCTTGGCCTAAATGGCCTCCCCAGGATATGCCTCTCACCTCCACTTCCTTTACCCCTTCAGTTCGTTTAGATGTCAACTCCCTTACTCATCTCTCAGGCTGTGTTAGGGGCCCCTGCTCTGGGCTCCTACACTTTCTATCATGTGGTATTGCCATCTATTCACCTACAACCTTGCCTCCTTTAGAGCACTGACTGAATCCATCTTGTGCACCACTGTATCCCCAATGCTTAGCACAGTGCTTGACACAAAGGATGGACTTGAAAAATGTTTGCTAAATTAATGAAGGAATAAGTGAATGGATATCAGGGTATCTGGTACACTGACAAGGTAATGAACATCCAGGTGCCCGTCTATATTCTCATTTAAGTCCAATGTTATTGAGCAAGTGGTTTCTTGCATTCTTTCACCAAGCATCATTCAAATGGGCCTGTCATTAAAAATTTCACTATGAGCAGGGAGGTTCCAGAATGATTCAAGAGACTCAGGACTGGCTACACAATTTGTGGGGCCCAGTACAAAATAAAAAAATGAAATGTCCCTTGTTCCAAAATTATGAATGTCAAGATGGATACAACAGAGCATTGAACCAATCACAGGATCCTTCCATGTGTGGTGGCCTGTGCGACTACACAGGCCAAACACCCATGATGCTGGCCCTGAATAAAATCCAGAAGTCCCTTTGATATCTATAGCCCATGAAAGGGAGTGGTAAAGAAAATGTTTTTATTTTTGATGTTTTGATGAATGAAAGCTTTGGTTTTTATTTTTGTTTTACATTTTGATATATCAAATCTATCAGTCATTTTCTTTGTGATTTCTGCTTTGGCTTTAAATGCCCCTGTGATCGTTAATACTGAGTGTCAACTTCATTGGATTAAAGGATGCAAAGTATTGTTCCTGGGTGTGTCCATGAGGGTGTTGCTAAAGGAGATTAACATTTGAGTGAGTGGACTGGGAGAAGCAGACCCACTCATGGAGAATCTCTTCTAGGGCAGTGCAGAAGGGAAATGTGGGGTCGGAGCCTCCCCCCACCCCCACAGAGTTCCCACTGGGGTATTGCCTAGGGGAGCTGTGAGAAGAGGGCTACTGTCCTTCAGACCCCAGAATGGTAGATCCACAGACAGCTTGTACTGTGCACGTGGAAAAGCCACAGACACTCAATGCCAGCTGTGAAAGCAGCCAGGGCAGGGGGCTGTACCCTGCAAAGCCACAGGGACAGAGCTGCCCAAGGATGTAGGAGCCCACCTCTTGTATCAGCATAACCTGGATGTGAGATGAGAGACTAAGGAGATCATTTCAGAGCTTTAAGATTTGACTGCCCCACTGGATTTCGAACTTGTGTGGAGCCTGTAGGCCCTTTGTTTTGGCCAATTTCTCCCATTTGGAAGGGGTGTATTTACCCAATGCCTGTATGCCCATTGTAACTGGAAGTAAGTAACTTGCTTTTGATTTTACAGGCTCATAGGCAGAAAGGACTTGCCTTGTCTCAGATAAGACTTTGGACTTGGAGTTTTGGTTAATGCTAGAATGGATTACGACTCTGGGGGACTGTTGGAAGGGCATGATTGTGTTTTGAAATGTGAGGACATGAGATCTGGGAGTGGCCAGGGGTGAAATGATATGGTTTGGCTCTGTGCTCCCACCCAAATCTCACCTTGAATTGTAATAATCTTCTTCTGTCAAGGGAGGGACAAAGTGGAGATAACTGAATCATGGGGGGTGGTTTCCCCCATACTACTCTTGTGATAGCCAAGTTCTCATGAGATCTGACATTTTTATAAGGGGCTTCCCCCTTTGCTCAGCAGTCATCATTCTCTCTCCTGTTGCCCTGTGAAGAGGTGCCTTCCACCATGATTTTAAGTTTCCTGAGGTCTCCCCAGGCACGTGGAACTGTGAGTCAATTAAACCTCTTTTCTTTATAAATTATCCAGTCTTGGGTATGTCCTTATAGCAGCCTGAGAACAGACTAATACAACCCCCCAAAATTGCTCCCTGCCCCCCAAAATTGTTAAATATTCCACATTATTCTGATATTTACTATTTCATTTTCTTTTATATTTAACTCTTTAATACAGCAGGAATTCACTTTGTCTATGTTGTAGGATAAGAATTTAATTAGATTATGTCCCTTAATGGGCAGAAAATTAACGAATACCATTTGTTGAAGACTCCATCCCTTACCCTTTGCGGTTCTTCCTGATTTTCTTGGCTTACAAAAAATCATTGCACACTAAGCTCAATGCACACAATTTAAACGTAAATTTCTCATCTTCTAAAAAGGAGAGCCATTAAGAAAAAACAATGTTTTGTGACACAGAAGTCACAGGTGGCAGGTCTTCCAATGTTACAGAAACCTTAGGGAAGTAAAGTAAAACTGGACAAGGAGGCTACAGCAAAGAAAGGCAGTGGATAAAGGGAAAGAGGCCTAAAGAAGATGGAAAGTCCTGCGGGGAGGGTGGATTAAGACACCAGGGAAATCAACATCCATGACATCTGGGTGGAGAGACTCAAGCCACAATTTTGAATACAAGCCATTTGATCCAACTGCATAATGCCTTCAGAATCTATCCCTTGGTAAAGGTCAAGACAAAATACAGTAAACAGAATATAAGGCTATGATGGGATTTATTTATAGCCACAGGAGAATACAAGGCTGTACCTTGTGGAGGAGATGAAATGGAAACTAAGGCAGTCTATAACTGATCATCACTCAATTAGTATGTTTGTAAAGTTTCCTGCAAGCAGGAAACTAAAATGAGAAGAGGCAAACTGGAAACAGTACAGTGAGCAGTCATTCTGGTTCCTTCCTTTTCCAGACGACAAAACTAAAGCTCCCCACAGTGAAAATGCTTCCCCTAATTCGGCCAGCTACTAGGTTGCAGAACCCAAACTCGACTTCATATCTCCTAACTCTGCTCTTTCTATTTCACCTTGATGCCCCTCAGGAACATGATTAAAATAACATAAAAATATACCTCTTGCAAGTTCTGACAATTATTACATAGCAAGAAGATATGAAGGCAAAGATTAATTCACCTGTGTGTGATGGAGATTTCATTTAATTTGTTAGTTTAATATTAACTTGTAGGATAATGATTAATAAACCAAACCGCAAAGGGAAATATTCATTTCTCCCATACTTTTAAGGAAATATAAGTTGCAAAATTTAGTGGCACTTTCTTGACTATGCAATCCTACTGGGTCATAATACAAAACTAGTTATACCTTTTCCAAACCAAGGAGAAATGAAACTAAATTGACTTTTCTCCCTCCCTCACTTTCTCCCTTCTTCTCCCCATCCCTCTCTCCTTTTTATTTCCTTTTTTCTGTCTTCCTCCTTTCTTCTTCCCTGCCTTCCAGGCTTTCATGGACTCAAACATCTTTTCTGTTTCCTGACTAAGTGCTACAACAGTGCCAAGTACTGTGAAGACAGAGTAGAAAAGATATAGTCCTGTTAAATAGAGAATGCCACGAGGGAGGGTTCTGACATGCAAATAATGAGAAACAACAGCAAAGCAGAAGCTATAGTGAAACTCTGAAAAGATACAGAGAAAAGATGAAAGCAGGCTGAAATCTCTCTTAGATGTCATACTTGCAAGCTGATTTTCTGAAAGAGGACTAGGCAATTTTTAGAGAAATGGGGAGTGAGAAAATTACTTCAGGCAGAGGAAATGGCATATGTAAAGACAAAAAAGTTGTAGAAATAATGTATCCATTTAGTTTGTTTCTCTCACAGAATGTAAAGTCTATGAAGAAAGGGCCTTTTGTCTGTATTGCTCACAGCAATATACCCAGTATCTAAACAAGTACCTGGCACATAAATATCCACTGAATGAGTAAATGCCTTATTCTGGAGCTATACATATTTTGGATTACTAGAAAATAAATACAGTTGATGAGAGTTGAAACTGGAGGGAGAGGGGCAAATTAGGCTGACCTTTGTATGTCACGCACAGGAGTTTGGGCTTTATTCTGCACAGACAATGGAGAGTGACTGAAAAACTCGAAAAACAGAAAAGTGACACAGTCAACTGTGTGTCAGAAGACTTATTCTGTAGTATAGGTAGTAGGAAAGATGGAGGAGAGGGATTGATTGGAGGTAAGGAATTCTGTTAAGTTATTGCTGTAACCTTGAGATAACTGGAGCATGAACTGAGGTAGTGGCAGTGGGGATGGGGATACATTTATGGAGCAAACTCAAGGGAACTTTGGGATAGGACATATCTAGAGAGATGGGTGACAGAGAATGAAACATCTAGGCTGGTTTCTAGGTTTTGGATTTATCTGGTGGTATCACTTACAAAAATTTGGAATACACAGGGCAAAGCAGTTTGTGGAGAAGAATCGAATAGGACATAAAATTGCAATATAGCTTGTATAATGTCTGAAAAATAAAATAAGGTTGTGGGGTGTCACATTTATGAAATTTCTCATAAGATAGTATGGTGCATTTTTCTTACTAGTGTTATAGTTTTATAAGAACACTGGCTCTGAATCCAAAACGGAATGTATTAGGAATGTGTTTTAATTAGCACACCACTACAGCAAATTAGAGAGTTGAGAGCTTGTCATTGCCTCCCGTGTATAACAGGCAGCAAGAAACTAAATTTAAAAGTCTAACACCAATGGAAATCCATAAAGCCACCTGACTCAATGACTATATCCATACAGCCATTGTCGTTTGTTGGCAGGCAAGTAGCTCAAAGCAAATCAATCAAATCTGTTTTTGATTGGCTGACTCACCTACCATAATAGCTGTGCATGAAAATGGCAACAATCTTAGACTAAAATAAGTGAAGCTATAGAGAATTGAGTGTGCGTGTCTGTGTGTGTGCATGTACACACCCCGGATGCTATGCTGCATGTACATGCCATCTACAGCTAACGTTATAATGCCAAAATGAAGAAAAGGAAAGGAAATTCACACTTTGTGAACACAGTAAATATGTTTTGGGCACTTTACATCCACCACGCCTATTTATTCCTCATGGTAGGCTTACTGATCAGAAGGCAGATATAATCTATTAAATTTTTAGTTTCAGGAGTGCATGAATGATGTCTGTTTTATTCGCCATTGCAGCTACAGTGCCTAACACAATGTCTGGCACATGGTTGGCACTCAATAAGTATTTTTAAAAATAATTAAGCGGAGGAAGAGGAGGGCGGGCATCAAGACCTATTTTACAGTGAGTCACGCAGCTACTAAGGGACATAGCTGGGACTGATATGCACTTTGTTCTCAGACTCTATGCTATGTCTGCACTGCCATATTGTTCTCCACAATGACATAGGAGGGGGAGAAAGAAGAAAAACAATATGTCACTCTGTTTGGAGATTGGTAGGCTACAGAAACAGTATCAATTCAGACGCTCCTAAAAACAGCCTTGCTGAAAAGCTTTTGACCCAGAGCGCGTCAGGATGCTTCTAGTCCAATTGTTTCCAATTATACCTAATTCACCTACAGGAGAAATTTATCTTCTCACAAAGCACCAGGGGGACCCACGATATTTGCTAGTGACTAACAAAAAATGCATTTAGGAGTTAATACATCACTTCCAAACTGGTCTTCGTCTGCTTGAGTTTCCAACAAGCCTTGCAGATTCTCCTAAATTCCCACTTATTCTCCATACTTTTTTCAGCAACCAAATCCTATTTTCGAATATGACAAGAAATAAAATGATTTTAGGCACTAGAGTTGAGAATTTATAGATAAATGTTACACTTCGATGCTTAATTCAAATAACCACACAACGGTAGCACTTAGTCTTTTAATCTTTCAGCAAACTCATTGGCAACTTGAGTTAAGAGTAAAATTCAAAAACCTGGTCTCCGCAGTTAACAAAGATTAAGTGGGTTCATGATGAACTGTATTTCCTAAACTTCAGAAGTTGAGTGTTTCTAAGTTATGAAAAAGAATATATGCAAATCTGGGGAGCACTGACCAAAGTGGCCCACAACACCAAGGGTTCCCTGGTGAGAAATAGGACAGGGTATTGCCAGGGGCCTGGAGTCAAAAATAGATTGAATTCCTGGCTCCTCTACCTATTAGCTGTATGGCTTTTGGCAAGTTAACTATCCTTTCTAGATCTCAGTTTCCTCTGTTAAATGGGAACAGTATCTACCTCAAAGGAATACTGTTAGAATTAAATATAATGTTACATGTAAAGCAGTTAACTCAGTATCATGTACATAGTAAGTGCTAATAATTGCTAGGGTTTTTGTTTTTCAGTTTTATTTTGTTTTTAACGGACAAATAATAATTGCACATATTTATGTAAAACTGTCTACAGATTCTCCAATTTAAAAATTTGGTTGTCTTTTTTAATTGAGTTGTAATAGTTTTTCATAAGTCCCTTGTCAGACATATGGTAAACAAATATACTTTTTTCATTGTGTGGGATTTCTTTTTACTTTTGTTTTATTTTTAAGGTATATTTTCTTTTTATTTGTCATATAATAATTGTACATGTGTATTGGGTACAGTGTGATGCTTTGATACATACATATATATTGTGTAAAAGTCAAATCAGGGTCAATAGTATGTTCATCACCTCAAACAGGTGATTTCTTTGTGGTATGAACTCAAAATCCGCTATTTTGAAGTATACAATACATTATTGTTCACTGAGCACTCTGCTGCGCAATAGAACACAAACATTTTATTACTTCTAACTGTAACTTCATACCCATCGATCAACCTCTCCCCAGTAGTGGTTACCCAAGTCTTGGTAACCACTGTTGTACTCTCTACTTCTATGAGATCAATTTTTTTAGATTCCACATGTAAGTGAGATCACATCATATTTGCCCTTCTGCGCCTGGCTTATTTCACTTAACATAATGTCCTCTAGGTTCATCCATGTCATAAATGACAGAATTTTATCTTTTTATGGCTCACTAGTATTCTATTGTGTGTGTGTGTGTGTGTGTGTATATCACATTTTTCTCTATTCATCCATTGATGGACATTTAAGTGGATTCCATATCTTGTCTATTGTGAATAGTGCTGCAATGAACATGGGAGTGCAGATATCTCTTCAACGTGCTTATTTCAATTCCTTTGGATATATACCTAGTCATGGGATTGTTGGATCATATGGTAGTTCTATTTTTTTTTTTTTGAGAAGTTTCCATACTGTTGACTTATACTAATTTACATTACGACCAATAGTTTATAAGGATTTCCCTTTCTACACATCTTCACCAGAATTTTTTTTTTTTTTTTTTGAATCAGAGTCTTGCTTTGTCGCCCAGGCTGGAGTGCAGTGGCGCGACCTCGGCTCACTACAAGCTCTGCCTCCCGGGTTCACGCCATTCTCCTGCCTCAGCCTTCCGAGTAGCTGGGACTACAGGCGCCGGCCACCATGCCCGGCTAATTTTTTCGTATTTTTAGTACACACGGGGTTTCACCATGTTAGCCAGGATGGTCTCGATCTCCTGACCTCGCAATCCACCTGCCTCAGCCTCCCAAAGTGCTGGGATTACAGGTGTGAGCCACCGTGCCGGGCCCTCACCATCATTTTTTATTTTTTGTCTTTTTCATAATAGCCATTTTAATGGGCGTGAGATGATATTTCATTGTAGTTTTGATTTGCATTTACGTGATGATTAGCGATATCGAGCATTTTTTTAAATGCCTGCTAGCCACTTGTATGTCTTCTTTTGAGAAAGTCTATTTAGATCTTTTGTCCACTTTTTAAATCAAGTTTTATTTTTGCTATTGAGTTGAGTTTCTTATAGATCCTGAATAATTTACTTCATTATTTTTTTTTTCTAGGTAGAAGCCTTGTCAGTTTTGTTTAGTTTTTCAAAAAGCTCTTAATTTTGTTGAGCTTTATAATTTATTTAGGACCTTTTTGTTAGTTTTGCTTTGATATTTAGTATTTCTTTTCTTCTACTCATTTTGGGTTTAGTTTGCTTTTGTTTCTCTAGCTCCTTGAGGTGTAATGTTAGGCTGTTTACTTCAAATATTTCTACTTTTTAATGCAAGCATTTATTGCTATAAAATTCTCTCTTGGAGCTGCCTTTGCTGTATTCCATAGGCTTTTGTATGTTGTGTTTCCATTTTCATTTGTCTCAAGAAATATTTAAATTTCTTCATTGACTCATTGGTTGTTCAGGAATATGTTGTTTAATTTCTATGTATTTGTACAATTTCCAGAGCTTCTCCTGTTATTGATTTCTAATTTCATTCCATTGTGGTCAGAAAATATAGTTAATATGATTTTGGTTTTTTAAAATATTTTTAAAACTTGCTTGGCAGCCTAATATATGACCTATCCTGGAGAATGTTCCCTGTGCTGTTAAGAATGTATATTCTGGTGCTGTTAAATAGAATGTTCTGTAAATGTCTGTTAGGTCCATTTAATCTGGAATGTGGTTTAACTCTAATGTTTGTTTGTTGATTTTCTGTCTAGATGATCTATCCATCGCTGAAAGTGAGGTGTTTAAGTCCCTTACTATTATATTGCAGTCTATCTTCCCTTTTAGGTCTATTAATTTTTGCTTGATACAGTTTGATGCTCTGATGTTGGGTGCATGTATATTTGCAATTATTGTATCTTCTTTCTGTATTCCCCTTTATCATTATATAATTGCCTTCCTGGTCTCTTTTCACAGTTTTTGACTTAAAGTTTATCTTGTATCATATGAGTTTAGCTACTCATGTTCTATTTTGTTTTCTATTTGCAAAAAATATCTTTTCTCCTTCCTTTACTTTCAGTCTACGCATGTTCTTACAGGCGAACTTGAGTCTCTTGTAGGCAGTATATAGTTGGGAGGCAATTAGGATTAGATAAGGTCATCAGGGTGGAGCCCCCATGATATGACTGGTAGCTTTATAAGAAGAAGAGAGATCTGAGTTGAAGCACTCTTGACCTCTCAACATGTAATGTCCTCTGCCATGTTGTGATACACCAAAAAGGCCCTTACCAAATGACATAACCATGCCCTTGGACTTCCCAGCACAGAAAACTCTAATAAATATATTGCTATTGTTTATAAATTACCCAGTCTGCAGCATTCTGTTATAGCAGCAGAAAACAAAATAAGACAAGGGGTCAGAGGCCAGGAGTCAGGTGAATGCAGAATTGGATAATAAGGAACAGAGCAAATTTGGGGAAAATAAAGGAAACTAAGGAAACTATAATGTTAACAGAACTGGGTTACCTGTGACTCTTCACTATTGGGTGCTTGGTACATGAGGAGTTGATTAAAAGGATATAAGCAGGAAATATAGTGGAGCTCTCTGGCTGGTGTGATTTTATTCATTTTATAATACAGCCTACAAGGATCCCCTGACCCTGGAAACAAGGGCTCAGGCAAGACTGCCACCCTGCAGAAGACTCATCTCTACAGTTCAGCCAAGTAGCTACTATGTGACCTGATTGTTACCTTTCAACAGCCTTTTCACTGAATCATTATCTCCTCTTTCTGGTTCTAAGTCTTCTATTCTTGAATATTTAAAGAAAGTTAGGAGAATTCAACTCCATAGGAAAAGAAAGGAAAGAGAAAAAGTCTAACAGCATATCAAATGGGCACAATACGTGTTTTGTAATCTAACAACTAGGATTTCAGTTACATATATTACATCCGTAGATACTTACATTCATCACAGCTCAGTAAAGGAGACTGTGAGAATTAGCATATTCTATGGATTGGCATCAGCATGGTGCTAAGCAATGGAGAAGACACAGAGATGAATCATATGCGGTACCTGTTTTCATGAAACTCATATCTAGTGCAATCAAGTGCTGTAATTACAGGCACCCTAATTTTTAAACCCTAAATCAGAACACATAGTGAGACTGAGGATTTCAATTTCTTTTGTGGTGCCAGAGGCAGTCTGGAGAGTAAAGTTTGGAGGCTGAAATACTGAAGTTTCTGGGACACTTTGATGGTTGTGCTCAGGGACTGACTGACAAACTTCATCCTTCTGTGCCATTCAAGCAAATTGCTTCAAGCAGCCTTGGCTGATTTTTCAATGGAAAAACAATAATGAAAGCAATAATACTCCCCATGTGCATGGCACTTCACTGTATATAGAAAGCTTTCACATGCATTATCTCCTTTGAGTTTCACAGCAAGCCTGTGACATGTGCAGGAAAGGCATTATTATCTCCATTTTCCAGTTGATGGCACAGGCTCAGAAAGTGAGGTTGACTATCTTGTCCAAGATCATGTACATAGAAAATGGCAGAACTGGAATCCAAACTCAGGATTTCTGATTCCCAGCTCTTCTACTACACCAGAGTGTTAGAGAACCAGAGAACTGTAAAGAAGAAAGGCCTTAATCCAGTCTATCATTGATGGACATTTGGAACATGTATACATATGTAACAAACCTGCACGTTGTGCACATGTACCCTAGAACTTAAAGTATAATAAAAAAAAAAAAGAAGAAGAAAGGCCTTCAGTATTACTGGGGGCTCTAAGAAGGTTCCTTGGAGTAGATAGGATTTGAACTTCAATTAGAAGAATGGGTAGTTCTTTTGTCACAGATCCAGAGGAAAGAAAGGGCCTTGGAGGAAGAATGGTGTGAGCAAAAGATGGCAAAAAAGTGTGGGGAATGACATCAGGACTGAGAGCAGTTCACTGGGGCTGCAGGGGAACAAAATAAAAGCAATGTTGAGAATGAGGGTAAGAGCAAATTGTGAAGGACTTTGATGAATATGGAAGGTTTGAGATTATCAGAGTTCAAGGTCACTATGTTGTGTTTTAGGAAGCCTAAGCTGGCAGCAATGTGAATATACTGGGAAGGTGGCAGTTTGGCCTATATAGGAAATGGAGCTTGAGGGAGTTGCCTAAGACCAAGCGTATTAGATTTTGAGCCACTGTTCATTGGACACTTCTCACTTTCTCTTAATAGAAAAACAAATTAAAAATCTGAATTGCATTAGTGTCCATTCATTGACAACTGCTGTTTTCAGTCTGGTCTTCTGACACTGCATTACTTTTGTTATGCGCTGGACTCGGGAATGCTCCTGGCCCCTTGTGACCACCGGAAACAAGGCTCACATTCCTCTGACCTTTCAAATAAATCATTGTTAATAAATACGTTTACGCTGGAAACATGTGAGAGCTTTCAACAGCTCTATTTTAAAGAATATTTTTTAAAAATTGTGAATTGCAAAGACATACAACAAACCTACGTGTCCATCAACCAATGAGTGGATAAAGAAAATGTAGTATATATACACCATGGAATACTACTCAGCCATAAAAAAGGAACAGAATAATGTCTTTGGCAGCAACTTGGATGGAGCTGGAGGCCATTATTCTAAGTGAAGTAACTCAGGAATGGAAAACCAAATACCATATGTTCTTGCTTATAAGTTAAAACTAAGTTATGAGCATACAAAGGCATACAGAGCAATATAATGAGCTATAAAGACTCAGAAGGGGGATGGTAAAAGGGGGACAAGAGATAAAAAATGATATATTGGGTACAATGTACACTACTCAGGTGATGGGGGCACTAAAGTTTCAGACTTCACCACTATAAAATTCACCCATGTAACCAAAAACCATTTGTACCCCAAAAGCTATTGAAATAGAGAAATTTTAAAATATTTGTGCAAATTTTCTGCAAAAAAGCCCATTGAAAATGGATTAAGGTGAGCTGTTAGCATGATAGATGGAATGACATTTTACAAAAAGAAAATAGGCACAATAACACATTTGAGATTTGATTGTTGAAATTATAGTCCTTTTCTCAGTGGTCAGATGGAATAAAAGGTCAGAGTCACCATTTTCTCCACAGAAAGCTGCTGAAGTTATAATTTTAATATGGATGCATTCCATAAATAAAAAGAGGTTTTACAGTGCTCTATAAACTAGCCTCTGTTAGAATAGCAAATGTTCAAGTCATTTAAGATATTAACTATGACTCAGTGCACATTTAAGATAATCAAAATACTAACAATGAACTCTTTGAATCTGAATATTAGGAATGTAGAGAAGGGTAGTTTTGGAAGGTCCAGAAACTTTGTTCACATGATGAACACTGGCCCAAAGCAGTGCCTGGATAGCAACATGAGTGATGCTCACTTCATGTGGTCTGGCCGGTACTTCTTCACATTAAATGCAATTCGTTTTCTTGACGTATATTAAGTGTTTCTCTTTCCCTTAAAGGACTATTTAAGCTTTCAAAATATAGTGTGTTATAACATGAGGAAGGCATTGAAATGTCATCTTTATATAGCTCTGGTAAATAGTGGGAGCTTTTGCCATCAGTCTACAAAATCTTAAATGATCTTGCCTATGATCTACTACTTAATAGGTGAGTGGAATCAATACTAACTTGATGGACAGTAATTCCTCACATGAAAATAATGTGGGAAAAGGTTTCTTTTTGCCACAGCTTGCAACTTCCTCACAATCACATTCCATTCCTAAGAAATTGGCCTTTGCACCATAAGTGTCTTCATATACTTGCTCATGAATATCTGACCTTAATTGGTAAGAACATACCTATACATGCACAGGTATCAAAATATATTTGGCTGAGGAGCCTGGCTTTAAAGAAACATGGAGTAATGAAGGAGGATACCACAGATGAAGTGTGAGAAATGGGAGCAGAGCTAGAGAAAAAGAGATGAAGGAGTAACAAAGAGATGGACAGAGCTGGAAGAGACAGTCTTACCGTCACTGTTCTCATGAATTATTTAAGCTGGTTTACTATTCAAAGATTTAAGGTAATTGACAAAAGCAAAGCTGAAGTCTTGGATCTGTGCTGGCCAAAATGTTAGCCACTAACTATATGTCGTCATATAAATTTAACTGTACATTAATTAATATCAAATACGATGAAAAACTCCATTTTTTATTCAGATTAGCCGGATTTCAAGTGCTCAAGAGCCATATGTGACAACTGGCTATCATATCAAATAGCAGCTATCATAGCAGAAAGTGTGGATGTAGAACATTTCTATCATTGTAGAAAGCTCCAGTGGACAGCATTGTTCTAAACCATTATTTCAGACATGACTTGATGGACCGTCCATAACACTGCCAGGCCACTTCCTTCTGCAGGTCTGTTCTCTCTGCCTCATAACTTGCCTCTGTGTAAATTTAATCTACTTTCCAACCTGTTTAATCTCTATGGGCTAGCTGCCCTGGTTTTTTTTTTTTTTGAGATGGAGTCTCGCTCTGTCGCCCAGGCTGGAGTGCAGTGGCGCGATCTCGGCTCACTGCAAGCTCCACCTCCCGGGTTCACGCCATTCTCCTGCCTCAGCCTCCCGAGTAGCTGGGATCACAGGCGCCCTCCACCACGCCTGGCTAATTTTTTGTATTTTTAGTAGAGACGGGGTTTCACCGTGTTAGCCAAGATGGTCTCGATCTCCTGACCTCGTGATCCGCCCGCCGCGGCCTCCCAAAGTGCTGGGATTACAGGCGCGAGCCACCGCGCCCGGCCCCTGGTGTTCTTAATGTTAGATTACTTGATGGTTTCAATCAACAATGATGATAACAATAGTTAACATTTACTGAAGACTTATTATGTTTGTACCAGGTACTTCAAAGCATTAGATTTATATAATATATTCAATCATCACAACTCATTTTACAGAGGGGGAAACTGAAGTAACAAGAGGTTAACACTGCCTCCAAAGTCATACTGCTAGCAGGTGGCAGATCAATATCTGAACTGAGGCAGTTTGACCAAATTACTGAATGTTTTACAGGATTTTGAGATAATGGAGTAAAAAACAGAGTTATGTACTTTGAGACCTTACAACTAAATCTACAAAAATAGCAAAATTAAGTAAATAGTAAACTATTCCAAAAAAAATGATAAGCATCAAGAGATTTAGGCCCCATGATGAAAAGTGCATTTTCCACTAATATGGAGCAAGCTTCTCAAATTACAGGTTTTTGAATGAAGACTTGTTAAGTAGTCACCTTACCTGCTTCAACTGCAAGTAATGTAAGAGAACATACAAACAAACAACTACCATCTTGGCATTCTCTATGTACACACACCTCCCTGTAAAGAAATGTAAAGGTCAGACCTCTTCTATGAGAAAAACCCCACTGTGACTGGATAAAGAAATTACAATCGTTTGAATATAGGACAGATTAAGGAGACACCATGAGGCAGGAAGCACATTAGTTGGGAAATGAAAATACCTATATTCCAGTACTGGCTTTGCCACTGGTTAACAAGCATTGGTACCTGGGATTAGTCCATTCTTTTTTCGAGGTATCAGTTGGCCCAACAACAAAATAAGGGAGGAGTAGATAAGATCAGAGATTTTCTTTTTTTTTTTATATTATTATTATACTTTAAGTTTTAGGGTACATGTAAACAATGTGCAGGCAAATTTGGTTATCTGACTTTCCAAAGAGTGAGTAGCCTGGTATATCTTCCTACCATTTGTATATTCCTTTTTTTTTCCATTTCAATTTCCACAATGACCTTTTTCCCATTTGACAAAAGAGAGACAGACATACTTCTCATCCTGAATTTTAGTATGGAGCATTGTACCAGAGGGCAAGATCCTCTGGGGTACCAAACAACAAAGAAGGGATTCAAGGACACAGAGACTCCTGAAAAAGAGTCCCTGGAGAGCAAAGCAGAGTGTTTGGGTAAGAAATATTGATGAGGCAGTGCCTTTATCTCATCCAAGTGACAAACCATGGCAAGGCTCTGTACCTTAGCTACCTATCTTTATGTTAGAATTCAGTAGCGAGATGCTTGTCACAGGGGAATATAATGAAATCAGACTCTTTCAAACAGAAAGCCAGTCTGAGTTGGCAGGCTGGTTTGACAATGAGGACTGGTTTCACTATTGAGGTTACATGGCAGACATTTCCCATAAACTGAATGAGTTAATTGAGTAATGCCAAGGCTGTGATAAAAATGTACTTAAAATGTATAATCAATATGCAATATGCTGAAAGTTATTTCCTTCATAACCATTTAAACTCATGATTAAAATGTATATACATATATCTCAATATAAAGATGTATGAACAGTTATGTAGTTTTTCAAAATGTTTTTTTTCCTTTTAGAGGGGATATAAGCAAAAAGAGAAATTGAGGATCACCAAAATAGATATTCTGAAAAGTCTGTCCATCTCTATCAGTCTGGGCTTCTCTAATGTTCAGAAGCACTTTTTACCCATTCCTTTTAATCCCCGAGCCAAACCTTACCTGATTTTCAGTCTTCAGAATTTGTATTACTGGATTCTGCAAATCTCCTTGAAACATGTAGCATCCTACCTTTCAAATTCTTAAGTAGAAATCAAAAAGAATATACTACTTCATCTCTCTCCTGGCTCATGAGTGATGATCAATAATAATTTCATGTTGTCTTTACCATGAGGACTTGATTAGGGAGAGAATGTTTTCTTTTAAAAACCAAATTTTGCATTAGTTGACACTTTGTTCCTGCAATTAGCTACAAAATGCAATACAATTGCTAACACTCTTCCCATGAAACAGCTGCTTGATAAATTCTAATAATCTTCAGAGAATACAGAGAATAGTAATGATCGTCATCACTATGGATGCTTCCAGAAGTGTGGTTTTTTTTTTTTTTTTTTTTTTGCATTAATGGCAAGGAAAGCATAGAAGAAATTTGTGTTTAGGAGAAATACAGGTTGTTTTCTGGATGATAAGAATGAATAGGGTTTGCTTGTAGATGCCCATTCATTTTGGTGACTTCTTAATGTATGTATTCAGTTTACAGACAAAAAAATGAAAGTGAACAAAAAAGTCAAATAGAACAGAGAAGATAAATAGGAGGAAGGTTTCCATTCACATATTAGGAAACATACATTGAAATCCTAATATGTACAAGGCCTTGGGTTAAGCACTAGGAGTAGAAAAATACAAATAAGATGCAGTCCCTGCCCTCTACAAGCTCATGGTTCAATATGGGATGAAATCAGAAACAAAACTGTCAAGTTTTGTTTATTTCATTCTTATGGCAATGATGCCTTAAGAGTGGAATGCTATGAGAACACAGAAAAGGGACATCTGAGGAGATTCTAGGGCCAATAAGAAAAGCTTTTTGGACAAAGTAGTGCTTGTGATAAGACTGGAAGACTGAGCAAAAAATAGAGGAAAAGGGTACTCTAGGTAGAGAAACAACAGGTACAATGGCAACAGGATGTGAAAGAACTTGGCCCCGTTGGATAAACACAGCTGGAACAAAATTGTGTGCTTACACACACACACACACACACACACACACACACACACACATGCGAACACAAGGGAGGAGGGTTATCCTGATGAGAAATGAGGCAGTTGAGAATCAGGGCTCTATATGCCATACTAAGGAATGCAAGAATTATTCTGAAGAAATGATCCTATTTTGAGCAACCATGATATGTCAGGTATATACCAACATGCTAGGAGTGAATGGGAAGAAATGAGGATGGATAGGACATATTCTGTACATCATCATTCACCCACACAGCGTTCCAGAAAATGCTCAATCAGCCTGCTCCATCAGGCTCAGGTGATACAGTCCAACAGCCCAGCCCATTTGGACCACAGTTCACAGAGAGGTAAAAATTGGGAACCAGCCTACCTTATTAAACTCATTCTCAATACCCACCCACAAGCAAAAGACATTTAATTCTAGACTTGGTGGCCATGCCATGAAGCCCTTCTCATACTCAGTCCCCTTACCCTTTTTCTCACATCTTATTTCTCTCTCTCTCCCACATATCTCTTGGTTCATCCAATTCCTTTGCTCTTACCGCCTGCCTTAATCTGGCTCCCAGAATCAGTCACCAGTTGGTGTTCAGAATCAAGGATCACACTGGACATCTGATCAGAGCCAAGCAGTTTGACAAGGCTTGGAAGAAGAGTCAGAAAGGGTGTGTTAAATACTATTGCTGTGTGGCCACTTTAGCGAGCATGAGGATAGAAGTATAACTAACAGCGGAGGACATGATTAATGTGGTAGAATGGCCTCAGCTCAAGTGGCTTTTTATGGTTGAAGGATATAATCAAGGTTGGGAGAAGGTCGTTAAGGTCAGGAATGCAGGTGTGACCAGAGAGAGGTTGGGAACAGGTCTGGGAAATTTATCTGAGTTGTTGGGTATCATCAGGATTCAGGGATATGATTTTGTTAAGGGACGTAGTTGTGCTTGGAATATGGTGAGAGCTGAAAGATGGAATGCTACAAGGGACAGGGAGCCATTATACTGTATTTTTTTTCTCTGATTTCAAGCTCCACCATTGTCTGTGCTTTAACAATATTCTCAGCCCTTCTCCTGTGAAACGTTATTTTCCTTTTCCAGTCCCTCCACATAGTCAGGACACATCTATGTTAAAGAAAACAAAAGAGGACAAAACCCCAGCTCAGAAGGTGTGTATTTGAATGAGGAACAGATTATTACTAGTGGGGGAAAACGGCTTCTGCATTTCAGTAACGCATTTCTGCATGCAGACTCAGGGATTCATAGAGGAAGTTGCACAAGAAAGGCTGAAGAAATAATCATTTCAGCTAAATATGATAGAATCCATGCCCTCACAGACTGGTAGAAGAGAAACTTTAATACACATGATTTAGTGGCAGAGCAGTCATCAGCACAAACTGGAGTGGGAAAAGTACGCCCAAGGAATCAGAAGGCCAAGGTTCTCATCCAGGCTCTGCCACCAGATAGTTTAGAGTCTTTGGGCAAATAACATTCTTCTTTGACCCTCAATTTCTCCATCTCTAAAATGGGATTTGATTTGCCTTTCCCTGTTGATTAGTGATGGTGAACATCTTTTCATATGCCTGTTGGCCATTCGTATGTCTTTTTCTTTGGAGAAATGTCTATTTAAGCAATTTACCAATTTTTAAATGGCAATATTTGTTTTTTGCTATTCAGTTGTAGGAGTTCTCTACATATTTTGGATATTAACCTCGTATCAGATATATAGTTTGCAAATATTTTCTCTCATTCTGTACGTTGCCTTTTCACTCTATTATTTCCTTTGCTGTACAGATGCTTTTTACTTCGATGCAATCCCACTTGTTTATTTCTGCTTTTGTAGCCTGTACTTTTAGTGTAATATCTAAGAAATCATTGCCAAGATCAATGTCAAGAGGCATTTTCCCCATGTTATCTTCTGGGAGTTTTACAGTTTCATATTTTACATTTAAGACTCTTTTTGTAGTTGATTTTTGCAAGTGGTGGGAGACGGGGTCTAATTTTATTCTTTTGCATGTGGCTATCCAGTATTTCCAGCACCATTCATAGAAGAGGCTATTCTTTCCCCATTGTGTATTCTTGGCACCCTTATCAAAGATAAGTTGATCTTATATATATATATATATATGAGTTTATTTCTGGGGAAATGTAAATCAAGACCACAGTGAGAGATCATCCCATACCTGTTAGGATGGCTACTATCAAAACAAAACAAAAACTACCAGGTGTTAGTGAGAATGCTGAGAAATTGGAACCTATATACACTGTTGGTAGGAACGTAAAATGGGGCAGCTGCTATGGAAATCAGTATTGAGGTTCCTTAGAAAATTAAAAATAGAACTACCATATGATCTAGCAATACCATTTTTGAGTATTTACACAAAAGAATTAAAATCAGGATCTTGAAAAGATATTTGGATTCACATGTTCATTATAGTATTATTCACAACAGCCAAGATATGGAAACAACCAAAATGCCCATTGATAAATGAATGAATACAGAAAACTTGGTGTAGACGTACAATGGGATAGTGTTCAGCATTCGACTGGTATAAAGTTTCAGTTATGAAAGATGATTAAGTTCTAGAGATCTGTTTAACATTTTGCCTATAGTTATACGACATTTTGCCTATAGTTATCAATACAGTAGAATGCACTTAAAATGTGTTTAAAAAGAAAGGTCTCATGGTAAGTATTCTTACCAAAATTGCAAAAAATGAGGAGCTTTGACTAGTGAGCAATAAAGACCAGTGCTAGAAGAAACCTCAGCATTTTGTTTATGGTTTTGTTTTGCTTTGTTTTTTAAGAAGAAGCAAGGTAGGGTGGGCACAGTGGCTCACACCTGTAATCACAGGACTTTGGCAGGCCAAGGCGGGCAGATCACTTGAGCCCAGGAGTTTGAGATCAGTCTGGCCAACATGGCAAAACCTCATCTTTACTAAAAATACAAAAATTAGCCGGGCATGGTGGCACATGCCTGTAGTACAAAGTACTCAGGAGTTTGAGGCAGAAGAATCGCTTGAACCCGGGAGGCGGAGGTTGTAGTGAACCGAGATTGCACCACTGCACTCCAGCCTCCAGCCTGGGCGGCAGAGTGAGACTCTGTCAAACAAAGGAAGAAGAAGAAAGAAGAAGAATAAGGAGGAGAAAGAGGAGAAGGAGAAGAAGGAGAAGGAGAAGAAGGAGAAGGAGAAGGAGAAGAAGAGGAAGAAGAAGAGGAAGAAGAAGAAGAAGAAGAAGAAGAAGAAGAAGAAGAAGAAGAAGAAGAAGAAGAAGAAGAAGAAGGAGGAGGAGGAGGAGGAGGAGGAGGATGAGGAAGAGGAGGAGGAGGAGGAGGAGAAGAAGAAGAAGGAGAAGGAGGAGAAGGTGAAGGAGAAGAAGAAGGAGGAGAAGAAGAAGAAGAGAAGGAGGAGGAGAACAAGAAGAAGAGAAGGAGGAGGAGGAGAAGGAGGAGAAAAGCAGCAGCAGCAAGGTAAAGGTAAAAATGTACTGAGGTCCTATGTCAGTTCTGTGTGTGTGTGTGTGTGTGTGTGTGTTTTAATTTTTGTATTTTTTAAGAGCAATGAGGCAACACTGTCATCATTTCTCATTAAAATGAAAATACAACTGGGGATGTTCCCCAGTCACAAAAATTACCTACAGTACAAATAGGATAAAGGCAGTTTGGGGGAATATTAATGACATCACACTTAATCATACTAATGTCTCTTACTTAGGTAGTAGCTTCCTCCTGAAGAACTCAAATGATGCATCCCTACTTTTTTCATGCTTGTCCTCATGACACCTCTGTGAAGTAAGGAAACAAAACATCAACATCCTCCATTAGGCCTATGTGGAAGGAAAAGTTTAGGCTGTGTCTAGATCACACTGAATATGTTGTGACAAGCAACTAAATGTTTCGCAGATTTACAGAAAGGAACTGATGTCCTGGATTTTGGTTTTGGTTTCTGTTTGTTTTTAACCAGCTAAGTTAACAAGGTTCATAGAATCACAGAGTTTTACAGAAACACACAGAGAGGAGAGGACAGTGAATAGTGGCAGAGATGGGAAGAGGATTCAAGTCAGCTGTCTCTATCTATGGCTTTCCACCATGCCCCTGCCTACCTAATATTCCTGTTAAACAGGATGGAGTCTCCTGTGACAACACCTCTTCAATCATTCTTGTTTATTACAGAGATTAAAAATAAAAGTGATCCTTAATCTAAATACCCTACCAACCTCTGTGAGTACAATTGAGAAGATGAGATATATCAGTAGTCCAACAGGCTGGAAGAGCCTGAAAGTGCTTCCAGGTTTTGCACAAGGTCACACTGGACTATTCTCAAACCCCAAGACAATGGTTACCTAACAAATATGAGTGATTACTGAATGTGGTTCCTAATTTGCCTAAGTGTCTTATCACTTAGTCTTAAAGAAATGGGTTATTACTCAAACTATTGTTGTTAGAAAATAAGTAAATAGTAAATAAAAATATTATTTTCTCAGCAGAATGCCTAGCATTGGAATAATTTTATTAGGAGAGACTATCATTTTTGATAAATAAAAGCCATCTGGTAATAAAATTAAACGTGACTTTTTTTCTACAAGATGCCTTGAAAGGTGAAAAGACTGCTGGCATATGTGGTCTATATAAATATCATATAACTTGGCTACTTGAAGAAAAAAACAGCAAACAGCACACTGTTTATAATCGACTGTTGAATCTGACGGTTTTACATGCATTACTTCATTTTATTTTTACAACCAGACAACTTGGCATTATTATTACACTCATTTGACAGATGAAGAACTGGGGCATAGGGAAGTTAACAAAGCCAACTAAGGTCACATAGTTTGTAAATGATAGAGATAAAACTCAAACCCAAATAGACTAGCTCCTATGTCTATGTGCCTGGAAATGTACCAATGGTAGGATTGTTTGTTTTTAATTTTTTGCCCTATAAGAGCAATGGAGTTCAGCTCCATCTCCATGTCTGATCATGGTAATTACGACTAAAGCAGCACTTTGAACTCATCTATCACAATTTCTTTCATTTTGCTCATGAGAACACTGAGGACTAAGCCAGGTCTAAGATCGAACAATGAGTGAATAGCAGAGCCAGGAATTGAAACTATGTGCCATTACCTCACACTTCCCCAGCCTGAATTTCTTCCACTACACTATGCACTTGCCCTCTACTGGGCTTCAGCAGCAGCATGTATTACCCCAACATGGGAGGAAGGAGGGTACATTTTCCCACAAAATGGCAACATTTTAAAAATTGTTTTAAAGACGGGGTCTTACTATGTTGCCTAGGCTGAATTTGAACTCCTGGGCTCAAGCAATCCTTTTGCCTCAGCCTCACAGGTAGCTGGGAGTTCAGGGGCACAGCACTGCATCCAGCTGGAAACATTTTTTAAAGAGTAGGCTGACATACCAACTAAATAAATTTGCTCTAGAATAAATTTCTATAAAGCAACCTGATTTTCCCATTGAATCCATTTTAAAAATAGAAATGTGTTATTAGATTATCTTGTCACATGATATTATAAAAATTATATCAAAATAGTCATAGGAAGGAAACAGAAATTTAACAGAAATAGAACATTCTTAATAATCATCTATTACCTCACCATCTCTTCATACCAAATATTTAATACTGTTATAATGTTGCTTGTGCAACAAATATTTAAAATAAACAAAACCTGAAAAACCTTCAGAAGAAAGAAGACTGACATAGCTTTGTAAATGTATGAATCATTCTGAAGGCATGTATGGAGTTAAATGGCCCAGCCACACTTCAGTTCCTCTACATACTGAAGAACTGGAGATACTGGCAAGAGACAGAAAATGTCTCTAAGATTTCTCTGAAGTATAGCACAAATGTTGTGTCACATCCATAAAGGTAGCAGCAGTGTTGGCAGATGTGAGAGTAAGCATTCAGTTTTTCTAGAAATCTAATTATTTTAAGTATTCCGATCTCCCTGGGTCACTGTTTGCTCTGCCCCATCCTTTCCCTTTCCTTATAGTATTCACTCTTAGACTCTGTTCCTACTCTACTAATAAGCCTCTGGGTTATTCTGAATACTCTGCCAGAACTGCTGCAACCAGCATAAGCAGCAAAATGGAAGGTGCAAATCCTGCAAGTAGCTCCAGATGTGCAGTTCCACAGAGGGAATTCATGGCTTAAATTCATTTAATTAAATTTTAAAATTCAAAATTGGATAATTTTCAGCTAAAGTAAAGCTTTGGCTGATGTTCATTTTGTTGAATAATCTTAATACTGACCAAAATGACTTCTTAATGACTCAGATAGTAGATAAAGTTCTGATCCAAATGATGTATAAAAAATGTTAACACTGGAAAATTAGCTGATGATAATGTTAGTCAGATATATCAGGGAAAATCAGTGAATTATTGAACTCATATTGGAAATTTCTTAGGGATCATGGTGAAGTTAACATTTGTTTTCTTAACGGCTATTATGCAGCTTTTGGCTATAAAATACATGTACATTTTGATGATAAACTAAGCATATATAAAACACGCTATTCATTTGTGAGTTCATTCTCAATGTTGATGAGGGGACAAAAACATAATCTATATGACTTCCTTTGTAACCTACAATACCTTGGAGGATAGGAATGAATTTTATCATTACAATAATAAAAACAGCCCATTGTTTTATTGTTACACATAAAAATAATAGTTTGATTTGTACAGCTTAGTTATGCTCTCTCTGGTTTTCACCTGTTCCCTAGTTTCCAACAACAAGCAGAATCATTTTCCACCTAACTCACTATATTATCTTTCACAGTTTCCTTGGTGGACTCTTTTACATCTACACTCCTTGCCTAAATCTTGGTCTTCCAAAATCTCCTTTGTTAACACCTTCCTCTTCTTTCTCTATACTCACTCCTGCTGTGAATATCATCTGCTCCCTGGCTCCAACTAGCCATATGCTAACATCTCTCTCTAATCACCTTATTTTCTGTAGCAAATGCATTTGGCACTTAAGTCAGAAAATCCGATTTCTAATTTTTATTACAGGTGAAAAGGCATATACCATGTGTTTCATAAATATTTGTTGAATGAACAAATGAATAACTGAATGCAATCTATGCTATATAATGATGAGCTATTATCATAGGCTCCTCAGCTGGGATCTCTAAATCATGTTCTATAAAAATGTAGGAAAGCCCACAGATTGAAAATTTATCAAAATTTGTTACTATTTTTCTAAAAGGCTCCAGGTTCTGAATGTAAATATTCTCATTCAAAATAGCTTTTCTCTGCCATTAGTATGCAGAGGGAGTATGCAGGCATTAGTATATATGATTGCAACATGTGCATCACACAGAAAGCCCAAACTTCCTCTAGCTCTGGAACACACAAACATCATTTACTACTTAGGTGAATGGGACAGTCAATCTACCTAGCTGCCTCATTTTAAAATACAATCAAAGAAAGCAGGAGCTGAAACTAGCATAGAGTTTTGAGGTTTAAGTAGAGTGGAAGAGACAAATGCACACCATTGCACCATTCTGAGCATGCTTGCTGGCATCTTCCTTATTGTGGCTCATCTCTTAATAAATTTTTATACTTCATTTTCTCAACACTAGGAAATATATACAAATATCCTGAAGATTGCTGAGAACAGAAATTAAGAATGACTAAGTATTCATTTTAGAAGGATGAGGGCTAAGGTTTTTATACTCTTAAAATGTATCCTTGGCTGTCGGCTACCACTTATAGATGAGTAAAATATATGCCACAGTGAGTTGGGAAATACGTTTCTTCTCTTATGCTAATGATATGTTTTTAATATCTGCAACCAGGAACAATGAAAAGAAGAAACTAAGAGAGAAACGGCATGTGCATTTAACTACCAGAAAGGACTCTTTACAAACTGGATCAAAATGAAAACTACCCTCCCTAGAAGAAGAACTCCATTTTGAAACTGATTTGGTATCCTGGGATTTTATGTTACTGCTGAGTTGTACTGGCCAGAATACCAGGAGGCTATGGCGATCACAACCACACTTCCTACTGGATTTCCCTACAGTTGAAGTGAACAGCTGGTGAGGCCCATCTTGAAACATTTCCTAACCCAAAATATTCATTTAGAAGGGATCCAGCGCCTGGTAGATACTCAATAAACAGTAACTATTGTTACTAATTTTTCCATATTTAGAAATTCCCGAGCTAAATAAATTTCTTGGTATTGTCATAGATATCTAGAGTAGGCAGATTTCATCTGAAAAATAACACTCAGAATTAGAGGCCTTGCAGAGATAAAGCTATAAGAGAAATTATCACAGTTATGGGAAATAGCACAGACATCTAACCATAATAGGAGATTGATTACTTTTGATAGTTGAGCCACACAATGATACTATGCAGACATAAAAATAATTATATAACACGATAATGACATGGAAAAACAATCATAATTTACTATTAACTGAAAAAAAAAAATAGGTAATACATCTTTGTGGAGTTAAATGGCCAGCCCAGAGTTATAAAACTACTTCGAAAAAGCACCAGGAAATAACCAAGATTCATCCATACCCAAACCGTGTTCACACTATTGTGTCACATTAAAACCCCAAAATTCAAGTTTGGAGTCCCCAAATAAGCTATAATATCCACTGCCTTGAATTAAGTGAAGACTTAGTATAAATTTCCAGGCAGATATTTTTAAAGGCTTTATAAAAACAAAGGAATGCTGAAAGTATGTTTTTGGCATCTTAAAAGAATCCTGCCTGAACAGTATGTCTCAAGGCCTAGAGACTTCCTAATATTTGAAAAATTAAAGACTTCCTTTTTTTCCAGAAATACACTGAATGATACCTTCAGAGCAAGGTATATGTACTGTGGGATTATGTGCAGGGCACTTAATCATAAGGGGCCAAAATTATAGTCTATAAAGGGTAAGATTTGGAGCAGATATTCTATAAAATCTTCTAGCTTCCTGGGTTAAGATTTAAAAATACAGCCCTTACACCTATGTACCCATAAAAATTAAATTATTAAAAAATAAAAATAATAAATAAAAACATAGCTTTCTGAGTAAAGATGGAGAAACACAGGCTTTATATTTAGACAGACTTGGTTTTTAATTCTAACCAGAGCCCCTGTATTAGTCCATTTTCATGCTGTTGATAAAGACATACCCGAGACTGGGCAACTTACAAAAGAAAGAGGTTTAATAGGACTCACAGTTCCACGTGGCTGGGGAGGCCTCACAATCATGGAGGAAGGCAAGCAGGAGCAAGTCACATCTTATGTGGACGACAGCAGGCAAACAGAGAGCTTGTGCAGAGAAACTCCTGTTTTCGAAACCATCAGATCTCGTGAGACCCATTCAGTATCACCAGAACAGCACGGGAAAGACCCGCCCCCATGATTCAATCATCTCCCACCGGGTTCCTCCCACAACACTTGGGAATTATGGGAGCTACAAGATGAGACTTGGGTGGAGACACACAGCCAAACCATATCAGCCTCCATTACCTTATACAGCACCTCTGTGTGAATTAATAAGCTCTCCCCTCAAGGTAGACACAACTCTGTAGGCACATGTAGACAGCCTTTGGGAGAACAAAGTCCCCCTTCCTTGGGAAAAGACAGTCCCAAGCAAGGGCTCCAGGTTTAGTTAGCAGATCATACGCTGGATTCTAGCTCCCATTACCTCCCTCGGTATGCATCCTTGTGCACTGTGCAACCACAAGCCTCCTTTGAAATGGAGGCTCCAGGCCCAGTGCAGGCCCACAGTTACTAAAGCTCGAAGTCAAACTATCAAGAGGAAAAGATAATAGAGCTGGACTGAAATTTAGTAGTCACTACTCCGTTGATGCCTTCTCATGATGTTATAGCTGTTAAGTGCTAATGGATGCCTGCTACTTGAGAACCCTGGGAGAAATATTATTAATGATTACAGAAATAGAGTGTATGCTTTCCTCAATTTGATACTTAAAACACAAATTCCTCTCATGGAATGAAATTGGGAACCCTTGCACCCTTTGAAATAAATGGTTGTTATTGCTCTCATATATTGCATGCCTACTGTGTGTCTGGTAATTTACACATATCTTGCAAGAGATATGGAGCATTCTGGTCAGGACCCTTTTCTTCCAGTCTTGGCTCAGTGTGTGACCCTGGACAAGTCATTGCCCCTCTCTGGGCCTCATTTACTCCTCTAAATCATTCAGGCATGGGCTAGATCATCTCTAAAGGTCTTTTCAGCTCTGAGTTATATGACTCTATAGCTCTATTTTCTTGTAGAAAGTAAGTCAGATCTCTGAATCAGGTGGAGAGTAGGAGGGAAGCAGAAATAGTTTCAGTAACAATGGAGATGGCTGGCATTTTGACACTCCCTGAACATGACTATATTTCCTTAAAGACAATCAATAAGGGAAAGTTTGGGAAAGTATTTCAAGTAGCTATAAATGTCAGTTGTATAATCTTATGTAATATAACTTACATTACCAGTGACCTCCAGAAACATCATCGTAACGCAGCCTTCTCCCAAATATCACCAGAAAATAAATACATTTCTGTTTCATCTGTATAACATCTGTGCTAGATAGTTGAAAAAGTCCCCTTTTGCACTGGTTTGCATTCCCATCAGCAATAAGGAGGAGTAATTCCCCACAGCCTTGCCAAAAGAATATGTTGTCATATTTTTAAATTTTCACCAGTTTCATAGGAAGAAAACAGCATCTTGCTATTGTTTTAATGTGCATTTCTCTAATTATAAGTGAGCTTAGGCATTTTTCCTATATTTATGGGACATCTTTACATATACACATATATATACATGTGTGTGTGTGTGTTTGTGTGTAAGTGTGTGGGTGAATTTCCTGTTCATGTCTTTTTTTCCCTTTTCTATCAGGTTTTTAGTCATTTAGCTGTCGATTTAGGAGTTCTTTATATTTGGGGGATATTAGTCTTTTGTGATATGGTGCAAACATTTTCTTCCTGTTTATCAGTTGTCTTTCAATTTTGTTTATCGTGTTTTATAGTGCAATTGTTTTAGTTTCATGTAGTCTAATTTATCAATATTTTATGTATTTAGTTATTTTTGCATATGGAATTTCATGTAAATTGAAAAGTTGTAGTTGGAAAGCCTTAAACAACAAACCTTAAGAGGAAATCACCCATATTTTCTTCTAGCATTTCTGTGGTTTCATTTTTACACTTATTTAGCTGTTCCTTTTGGAGTTCATTATTTTATATAGCATGAGATATAGGGATAATTAAATGATGATAATAATAGAGCCCAATCCATATAATAAAATAAATACCTTGGAGTATATACTAATAAAAATAAATAATTGAATAAATAAATAAATGGAGAAGAAGGGCAGATCTTTTTACAGTAGAATTCAAATTAATAAATGTAGAATGAATGATATAGATAGAACATTGCTATTGGGCAAACACCACAAAAGTGATTATTGTAGTTAAGAAATGTTGATGAGTGCTAAAATTAGTGAGCAAAACATATGATGAATAAACAGGTATTCATGGTATTTACATAATCTCAAAGTATTTCCTAATAAAATACTAATTAATACAAAGGGAAAACTGTATCATCCTTATAATGGAATGACCTGGTGACACCACATTTCCTAAGTGATCAAGGTTAACATCACCAGTAAGGAGACATAGAGAAATTATGTACCTCTTGATATCATGCACTGGGAAAGACACACTTCTGTGTTATCCCCACCAAAAATTCCTAATCTGAATTTAACCATGAGGAAACTTCAGAAAAACTCACATTGAGAAACATACTGAAAAATATCTTACCAGTATACCTCAAAAATGTCAAGGTCATGAAAGACAAGAAAAGACAGAACTGTCACAGACTAGAAGAGACTAAGGAGAATGGCAACTAATTGAAACATGAGATACTGGATGAGATCCTTGACCAGGAAAGGAACATTAGTGGAATAACTGGTGAAATCTAAATAAAATCTGTAGTGCAGTTAATAGTATTGTATCAATGAGTGTCTCCTAGTTTCAATAATTATACTATGGGAATAGAAGAAGTTAAAATGAGGGGAAACTAAGTATGCAGAAAATCTGTACTGATGTTGCCATTTTTCAGTAAGTCTAAAATTATTTCAAAATAAAAAGTTAAAAATGTCCCTTTTTGCAATCCAACCTATTTCATCCAAAGTGAACAGTGTAAGAACTAAAGCAGCTTTCATCATCAATGCTTAATGAAAACGTATCTCTAAGACAACAGAGTACTCAAACCTAAACTCTAGCTATTGGTTAACTATCATAGCTGAATACCATCCCTTCTAAAAACTCTTCCCTCATTACACCCAGTTGGCATAGTGATCATCAAAATAACAGATACATAGGAACCAGACAAACGAAATTCTCGCTGCTTTCTGCACATGATAGCTATATGATCTTAAGTGCCTTAATCTCTTAGAGATGTACTTTCCATATCTGTGAAATTGAGATAATCCCCACCTTCCCATGAAGCATAATAAAAATTAAGTGACACACTGTGTTGTCATAAAGATTAAATGAGTTAAGGTGTAAAAGTGCCTCTTACAGTGTCAAAAACCTAGTAGACACCAAGTAGTAACTACTCTTTCCATCAATTTTATTATCATGCTAATTGATCCAACCTTTCCTCTTGGGATCTATGCTTTTAAAATTACTGGAACAATTTCTGGTCATTAGAGATATATATTTTACCTCCTGTATAGTACTAGAGACTACTGGATCCTTGAAATAGAAAGCCTCCAGTTTTGCTGTTGTCATTTTGTTTTAGTCTGATCAGACTGCTATAACAAAACACCATATTCTGAGTGGCTTAACAGAGACATTTATTTCTCATAGTCTGGAGCCTGAAAGTCCAAGCTCAAGGTACCAGCATAGTCAGGTTCTGGTGAGGGCTCCCTTCCTGGTTGCAGATAACCACCTACTTGCTGTATCCTCTGACAACAGAGAGAGGAAGCTCTGGTCTCTCTTCCTCTTCTTATGAGGGCACTAATCACATCACAGGTGCCCCAACCTTATGAACTCATCTATACCTAAGTGTCTCTTAAAAGCCTTACCTCCGAATATCATCATGTTGGGGGTTAGGGCTTCAATATGAATTTTGTGGGCAAACATCTAGTCCATAATTTTGTTGATAGTCATTTTACTTGGTAGACTTAATTTCAAATTTAAAAATAAATACATTTTAAACAAATAATTCCCCTACTATAAAAGTTGACTAATTATTATTTCAGGATATAATCCCTTATATTTTCCTATACATATAGGTTACAGATATTATAAATTATACTGAACATATAGTGTGTG
Source organism: Homo sapiens (assembly GCF_000001405.40). NCBI lineage: Eukaryota > Metazoa > Chordata > Mammalia > Primates > Hominidae > Homo > Homo sapiens. The sequence goes on from NC_000023.11 coordinate 138,994,624, forward strand.
TTTTCATTTAGCATTTGCATCAATATTCATACAGGCTTAGAAAACACCCCAAATTCATGATTTTTAACCATGCTTTATATTTAATCAGAGTATGTATTATAGTACTAATTAATCCTCTATCATTTGATATTTTATGGTTTGCTTCACCCAATATTATTCTTATAAACAATGTTACGTGTTGAAAAGCATGTAAACAAGCATCTACACTTTTGAGAGCATTTATCTATGCCAATAAATATTCTTTCATAATATTCTTTTTAACAACTGCATTCAGAGAGGGGTGTAGCTACAAGGCCAAACAGAAGGCTCCACTGCTTGTCCCACCCCAACTCAAGGACACCAATTCAACAACTATGTAACCAAAAAAAAAAAAAAAAAAGCATCTTCAGTCAGGTAAACACTCACAGTACCTCGTGTTAACATTGTATCACTGAAAGAGGCAATGAAGAGGGCAGGAAAGACAGTCTTAAATTGCCAGCATTACCCCTCCCCCATCCCCTAGCAATGGTCACATGGCATGGAGAGAGAATCTGTGCACTTGGGAGAGGAAGAGTACAGCAATTGTGAAACATTGCATTGACCTCGGTGCTGCCCTGACTCAGCAGAAAGTAAAACTGGGATAATTTCAGCTGATGCCCACCTGTGGATTGAGTACTTATTTTATTTATTTTTTAATTTTGATTTTTATTTATTTTTTAATTTTTATTTTACGTTTAGGAGTACACGTGAAGGTTTGTTACATAAGTAAACACGTGTCACAGGGGTTTGTTGTAGGTATTATTTCATCACCCAGGTACTAAACCCAGTATCCAATAGTTATATTTTCTGCTCCTTTCTCTCTTCCCAACAGCCCTCCCCCAACTAGTGTCTGTTGTTTGTTCTTTGTATTCATATCTTCTTACCATTTAGTTCCCACAAACAAATGAGAACATACAGTGTTTGGTTTTCTGTTCCTGCTTTAGTTTGCTAAGTATGATAGCCTCCAGCTCCATCCATGTTCCCACAAAAGACATGATCGCATTTTTTATGGCTGCATAGTAGTCCATGGTGTATATCTACCACATTTTCTTTATCCAATCTGTCATTGATGGGCATGTAGGTTAATTCCATGTCTTTGGTATTGTGAATAGTGCTGCAATGAACATCTGTGTGCATGTGTCTTTATGGTAAAATGCTTTATATTCCTCTGCATATGCACCCAGTAATGGGATTGCTGGGTCGAATGGTAGTTCTGCTTTTAGCTTTTTGAGAAATCACCATACTGCTTTCCACAATGGATGAACTAATTTACACTTGGAGGGAGTATTTAAACCACCCCTAGTTAGAGGGGAATCGCCCATCCCAGCAGTTGGAACATCAGTTCTGGCAAGCCTCACCAGGGTAAGCTAAAGTGTACAGGTACCCCAAATAAACTTGAAAAGCAGTCTGGAGAGGGTCTGGCAAGATGGCCAAATAGGAAGAGCTCTGGTCTGCTGCTCCCAGTGAGATACCCACAGAAGGCAGGTAATTTCTGCATTTCCAATTGAGGAACCTGGCTCATCTCACTGGGACTGGTTGGACAGTGGGCGCAACCCACAGAGGGCAAGCCGATGCAGGGCACGGCATCACCTCACCCGGGAAGTGCAAGCAGTTGGGGGATTTCCCTTTCCTACCCAAGGGAAGCCGTGAGAGACTTCCAGGAGGAACGGTACACTCCTGCCCAGATACTGCGCTTTTCCCACGGTCTTTGCAACCAGCAGACCAGGAGATTCCCTCCAGTGCCTGGCTCGGCATGTCCCACTCCCACGGAGCCCAGCAAGCCAAGATCCATTGGTGTGAAATCCTCGCTGCTAGCGCAGCAGTCTGAAATCGACCTGGGGTGCTCAAGCTTGGTGGGGGGAGGGGCGTCCACCATTGCTTAGGCTTGAGTAGGCAGTTTTATGCTCACAGTGTAAACAAAGCTGCTGGGAAGTTCAAACTGGGTGGAGCCCACCACAGCTCAGCAAGGCCGACTGCCTCTCTAGATTCTACCTCTAGATGTTCAGGGCATCTCTGAACAAAAGGCAGCAGCCCCAGTCAGGGACTTATAGATAAAACCCCCATCTCCCTGGGACAGAGCACCTGGGGGAAGGGGCCGCTGTGGGCGCAGCTTCAGCAGACTTAAACATCCCTGCCTGACAGCTCTGAAGAGAGCAGTGGTTCTCCCAGCACAGCGTTCGAGCTCTGATAACAGACAGACTGCCTCCTCAAGTGGGTCCCTGACCCACATGTAGCCTGACTGGGATACACCTCCCAGTAGGGGCCAACAGAAACCTAATACAGAAGAGCTTTGGCTGGCATCTGGCGGGTGCCTCTCTGGGACAAAACTTCCAGAGGAAGTATCAGGCAGCAATAGTTGCTGTTCTGCAGCCTCTGCTGGTGATACCCAGGCAAACAGGGTTGGGAGTGGACCTCCAGCAAACTGCAATAGACCTGCAGCTGAGGAGCCTGACTGTTAGAAGGAAAACTAACAAACAGAAAGGAATAGCATCAAATCAACAAAAAGGACATCCACACCAAAACCCCATCTTGTAGGATACCAACATCAAACACCAAAGGTAGATGAAACCACAAAGATGGGGAGGAACCAGCGCAGAAAGGCTGAAAATTCCCAAAACAAGACCGCCTCTTCTCCTACAAAGGATCACAACCCTTCGCCAGCAAGGGAACAAAACTGGACGGAGAATGATTTTGATGAACTGAGAGAAGTACGCTTCAGAAGGTGGGTAATATCAAACTCCTCTGAGCTAAATAAGCATCTTCTAACCCAACGCAAGGAAGCTAAGAACTTGAAAAAAGGTTAGACAAAATGCTAATGAGAATAACCAGTATAGAGAAGAACATAAAAGAACTGATGAAGCTGAAAAACGCAGCACGAGAACTTCGAGAACCATACACAAGTTTCAATGGTCGAATCGATCAAGTGGAAGAAAGGGTATCAGTGATTGAAGATCAAATGAATGAAATAAAGCGAGAAGACAAGACTAGAGAAAAAAGAGTAAAAAGAAATAAACAAAGCCTCCAGGAAATATGGGACTATGTGAAAAGACCAAATATATGTTTGATTGGTATACCTGAAAGTGACAAGGAGAATGGAACCAAATTGGAAAACACTCTTCAGGATATTATCCAAGAGAACTTCCCCAACCTAGCAAGGCAGGCCAACATTCAAATTCAGGAAACACAGAGAATACCACAAAGATATTCCTCGAGAAGAGCAACCCAAAGACACATAACCATCAGATTTTCACCAAAGTTGAAATGAAGGAAAAAATGTTAAGGGCAGCCAGAGAGAAAGGTCGGGTTACCCACAAAGGGAAGCCCATTGGACTAACAGCAGACCTCTCTGCAGAAACCCTACAAGCCAGAAGAGGGGGGGCCAATATTCAACATTCTTAAAGAAAAGAATTTTCAACCCAGAATTTAGTATCCAGCCAAACTAAGCTTCATAAGTGAAGAAGAAATAAAATCATTTACAGACAAGCAAATGCTGAGAGATTTTGTCACCACCAGGCCTGCCTTACAAGAGCTCCTGAAGGAAGCACTAAATATGGAAAGGAACGACCAGTACCAGCCACTGCAAAAACATGCCAAATTGTGAGGACCATCGACGCTATGAAGAAACTGCATCAACTAACAGGAAAAATAACCAGTTAGCATCATAATGACAGGATCAAATTCACACATAACAATATTAACTTGAAATGTCCCAATTAAAATGCCCCAATTAAAAGACACAGAAGGCAAACTGGATAAAGAGTCAAGATCAGTTGGTGTGCTGTATTCAGTAGACTCATCTCACGTGCAAAGACACACATAGGCTCAAAATAAAGGCATGGAGGATGATTTACCAAGCAAATGGAAAGAAAAAAAAAAAAGCAGGGGTTGCAATTCTGGTCTCTGATAAAACAGACTTTAAGCCAACAAAGGTCAAAAGAAACAAAGAAAGGCATTACCTAATGGTAAAGGAATCAATGCAATAAGAAGAGCTAACTATCCTAAATATATATGCACCCAATACAGGAACACCCAGATTCATAAGGCAAATCCTTAGAGACCTACAAAGAGACTTAGACTCCCACACAATAATAATGGGAGACTTTAACACCCCACTGTCAACATTAGACAGATCAACGAGACAGAAAATTAACAAGGATATCCAGGACTTGAACTCAGTTCTGGACCAAGCAGATCTAATAGAAATCTACAGAACTCTCCACCCCAAATCAACAGAATATACATTCTTCTCAGCACCACATTGCACTTATTCCAAAATTGATCACATAGTTGGAAGTAAAGCATTCCTCAGCAAATGTAAAAGAAGAGACATCACAACAAACTGTTTCTCAGACCACAGTGCAATCAAATTAGAACTCAGGATTAAGAAACAGACTAAAAACTGCACAACTACATGGAAACTGAACAACCTGCTCCTGAATGACTACTGGGTAAATAACAAAATGAAGACAGAAGTAAAGATGTTCTTTGAAACCAATGAGAACAAAGACAAAATGTATCAGAATCTCTGGGACACATTTAAAGCAATGTGTAGAGGGAAATTTATAGCACTAAATGTCCACAAGAAAAAGCAGGAAAGATCTAAAATTGATACTCTCACATCACAATTAAAAGAACTAGAGAAAGAAGAGCAAACACATTCAAAAGCTAGCAGCAGATAATAAATACCTAAGATCAGAGCAGAACTGAAGGAGATAGAGACACGAAAAACCCTTCAAAAAATCAATGAATCCAGGAGCTGGTTTTTGGAAAAGATCAACAAAATAAATGGACCACTAGCTATACAAATAAAGAAGAAAAGAGAGAAGAATCAAGTAGACGCAATAAAAAATGATAAAGGGGATATCATCACCAATCCCACAGAAATACAAACTACCATCAGATAATAATATAAACACCTCTACACAAATAAACTAGAAAAACTAGAAGAAATGGATAAATTCCTGGACACATACACCCTCCCAAGACTAAATCAGGAAGAAGTCAAATCTCTGAATAGACCAATAATAGGTTTTGAAATTGAGGCAGTAATTAATAGCCTACCAACCAAAAAAAGTCCAGGACCAGACACATTCACAACCGAATTCCACCAGAGGTAGAAAGAGGAGCTGGTACCATTCCTTCTGAAACTATTCCAATCAATAGAAAAAGAGGGAATCTTCCCTAACTCATTTTATGAGGCCAGCATGATCCTGATAACAAAACCTGGCAGAGACACAACAAAAAAAGAAAATTGTAGGCCAATATCCACGATGAACATCGATGCAAAATTCTCAATAAAATACCGGCAAACTGAATCCAGCAGCACATCAAAAAGCTTATCCACCACGATCAAGTAGGCTTCATTCCTGGGATGCAAGGCTGGTTCAACATACACAAATCAATAAACATAATCTATCACATAAACAGAACCAACAACAAAAACCACATGATTATCTCAATAGATGCATAAAAGGCCTTCTATAAAATTCAACAGCCCTTCATGCTAAAAACTCTCAATAAACTAGTTATTTTTGGAATGTATCTCAAAATAATAAGACCTATTTATGACAAACCCACAGCCAATATCATATGGAATGGGTAAAAACTGGAAGCATTTCCTTTGAAAACCAGCACAAGACAAGGATGCCCTCTGTCACCACTCCTATTCAACATAGTATTGTAAGTTCTGGTCAGAGCAATAAGGCAAGAGAAAGAGATAAAGGGTATTCAAACAGGAAAAGAGGAAATCAAATTGTTTCTGTTTGCAGATGGTATGATTGTATATTTAGATAACCTCATCATTTCAGCCCCAAATATCCTTAATCTGATAAGCAACTTCAGCAAAGTCTCAGGATACAAAATCAATGTGCAAAAATCACAAGCATTCCTATACACCAATAACAGACAAACAGAGAGCAAAATCACCAGTGAACTCCAATGCACAATTGCTACAAAGAGAATAAAATACCTAGGAATCCAACTTACAAGGGATGTGAAGGACCTCTTCAAGGAGAACTACAAACCACTGCTCAAGGAAATAAGAGGGCACAAATAAATGGAACAACATTCCATGCTCATGGATAGGAAGAATCAATATTGTAAAAATGGCCATACTGCCCAAGGTAATTTACAGATTCAATGCCATCACCATCAAGCTACCAATGACTTTCTTCACAGAATTGGAAAAAAACAACTTTAAATTTCATATGGAACCAAAAAGAGCCCACATAGCCAAGACAATCCTAAGCCAAAAGAACAAAGCTGGAGGCATCACACTACCTGACTTCAAACTATACTACAAGGCTACAGCAACCAAAACAGCATGGTACTGGTACCAAAACAGAGATATAGATCAATGGAACAGAACAGAGCCCTCAGAAATAACATCACAAATCTACAACCATCTGATCTTTGACAAATCTGATAAAAACAAGCAATGGGGAAAGGGTTCCCTGTTTAATAAATGGTGCTGGGAAAACTGGCTAGCCATATGCAGAAAGCTGAAACTGTTTCCCTTCCTTACACCTTATACAAAAATTAACACCAGATGGATTAAAGACTTAACTGTAAGACCTAAAAACCATAAAAACCCTAGAAGAAAACCTAGGCAATACCATTCAGGACTTAGGGATGTGCAAAGACTTCATGACTAAAACACCAAAAACAATGGCAAGAAAAGCCAAAATTGACAAGTGGGATCTAATTAAACTAAAGAGCTTTTGCATAGCAAAAGAAACTATCATCGGACTGAAAAGGCAACCTACAGAATAGGAGAAAATTTTTGCAATCTGTCCATCTGACAAAGGGCTAATATCCAGAATCTACAAAGAACTTAAACAAATTTACAAGAAAAAAACAAACAACCCCTTGAAAAAAAAATGAGTGAAGGATATGAACAGACTCTTCTCAAAAGAAGACATTTATGTAGCCAACAAAGTTAGGAAAAAATTCTCATCATCACTGGTCATTGGAAAATACAAATCAAATCCACAATGAGATACCATCTCACACCAGTTAGAATGGTGATCATCAAAAAGTCAGGAAACAACAGATGCTGGAGAGGATGTGGAGAAATAGGAATGCTTTTACACTGTTGGTGGGAGTGTAAATTAGTTCAACCATTGTGGAAGACAGTGTGGCAATTCCTCAAGGATCTAGAACTAGAAATATCATTTGACCCAGCAACCCCATTACTGAGTATATACCCAAAGGATTATAAATCATTCTACTGTAAAGACACATGCACACATATGTTTATTGCAGCACTGTTCACAATAGCAAAGTCTTGGAACCAACCCAAATGCCCATCAATGATAGACTGGATAAAGAAAATGTGGCACAAATGCACCAAGGAATACTATGCAGCCATAAAAAAAGGATGAGTTCATGTCCTTTGCAGGGACATGGATGAAACTGGAAACCATCATTCTCAGCAAAGCAACACAAGAAGAGAAGACCAAACACCACATGTTCTCACTCATAAGTGGGAGATGAGCAATGAGAACACATGGACACAGGGAGGGGAACATCACATGCCAGGGCCTGTTGGGGGTAGGGGGCTTGGGGAGGGATAGCATTAGGAGAAATACCTAATGTAAATGACAAGTTGATGGGTGTAGCAAACTCACATGTCACATGTATACCTATGTAAACAAACATGCACGTTGTACACATATATCCCAGAACTTAAAGTATAATTTTAAAAAAAAGATGAACACAAAAGCTTAAAGATGTATTGCGTTTTTAAATATGGAACTTTAATAAATCTAATATTGCCGTCAAAAAAATAGAAAAGCAGTCTGGGCCACAAGGACTGCAAATTCAAGGCAAGTCCTAGTGCTAAACTTGGCTAAGAGCCAGTAGACTCAGGGGGATATGTGAGCTACTGAGACTCCAGCTGGGGAAGCTAAGGAAATGCTTGTACCACTTGTCCCCCAACCCCAAGCTGTACAGCTTGCAGTTCCAAAATAAATCCCTTCCTTCCACTTGAAGAGAGGAGAGGGGAGAGTAAAGACATCTCTGTCTTGCATCACGGATACCAGCTCAGTCACAGTAAAATAGGACACCAATCAGAGTTGTGAGTTCTCATTTCCAGGCCCTAGATCCTGAATGACATTTCTAGACACACCCTGGGCCAGAAGGAAATCCATTGCCTTGAAGTGAAAAACCCAGTCCTGCCAGGACTTACCATGTGCTGACTAAAGAGCCCTTGGGCCCTGAATAACCAGTAGTGATACCCAGGAAGTATACTATAGGCCTTGCGTGAGACTCTAAGACTTATTGACTTCAGGTAATATACAGCAAATTCCCAGCTGTGCTGGCTATGAGAAGAGACTCCTTCTGTTTGGGAAAAGTGGAGGGACAAGCAAAAGGGACTTTGTCTTGCACTTTAGGTACCAGTGTGTCCGGAATTGGTGGGTTCTTGGTCTCACTGACTTCAAGAATGAAGCCGCGGACCCTCGCGGTGAGTGTTACAGCTCTTAAGATGGCGCGTCTGGAGTCTGTCCCTTCTGATGTTCATATGTGTTCGCAGTTTCTTCCTTCTGGTGGGTTCGTGGTCTCGCTGGCTCAGGAGTGAAGCTGCAGACCTTCGCGGTGAGTGTTACAGCTCTTAAGGCAGCGCGTCTGGAGTTGTTCGTTCCTCCCGGTGGGCTTGTGGTCTCGCTGGGCTCAGGAGTGAAGCTGCAGATCTTCGCCGTGAGTGTTACAGCTCATAAAAGCAGCGTGGACCCAAAGAGTGAGCAGTAGTAAGATTTATTGCAAAGAGCGAAAGAACAAAGCCTCTACAGTGTGGAAGGGGACCCGAACGTGTTGCCAATGCTGGCTCGGGCAGCCTGCTTTTATTCTCTTATCTGGCCCCACCCACATCCTGCTGATTGGTAGAGCTGAGTGGCCTGTTTTAACAGGGCGCTGATTGGTGTGTTTACAATCCCTGAGCTAGATAAAAAGGTTCTCCAAGTCCCCATCAGATTAGTTAGATACAGAGTTTCCACACACAGGTTCTCCAAGGCCTCACCAGAGCAGCTAGATACAGAGTGTCGATTGGTGCATTCACAAACCCTGAGCTAGACACAGGGTGCTGATTGGTGTGTTTACAAACCTTGAGCTAGATACAGAGTGCCGATTGGTGTATTTACAATCCCTGAGCTAGACATAAACGTTCTCCAAGGCCCCACCAGAGCAGCTAGATACAGAATGTCGATTGGTGCACTCACAAACCTTGAGCTAAACACAGGGTGCTGATTGGTGTGTTTACAATCCCTGAGCTAGACATAAAGACTCTCCACGTCCCCACCAGACTCAGGAGCCCAGGTGGCTTCACCGAGTGGATCCTGCACCGGGGCTGCAGGTGGAGCTGCCTGCCAGTACTGCGCCGTGCACTCGCATTCCTTGGCCCTTGGGTGGTAGATGGGACTGGGCGCTGTGGAGCAGGGGGTGGTGCTCGTCGGGGAGGCTTGGGCAGCACAGGAGCCCATGGAGTGGGTGGGAGACTCAGGCATGGCGGGCTGCAGGTCCCGAGCCCTGCCCCGCAGGAAGGCAGCTAAGGCTCGGTGAGAAATCGAGCGCAGCGCCGGTGGGCTGGCACTGCTGGGGGACCCAGTACACCCTCCGCAGCCACTGGCCCGGGTGATAAGTCCCTCATTGCCCGGAGCCAGCAGGGCCGGCCGGCTGTTCTGAGTGCGGGGCCCGCCAAGCCCACGCCCACCCGGAACTCCAGCTGGCCGGCAAGCGCCGCACGCAGCCCTGGTTCCTGCTCGCGCCTCTCCCTCCACACCTCCCTGCAAGCTGAGGGAGTGGGCTCCAGCCTTGGCCAGCCCAGAAAGCGGCTCCCACAGTGCAGTGGTGGGCTGAAGGGCTCCTCAAATGCCGCCAAAGTGGGAGCCCAGGCAGAGGAGGTGCCGAGAGCAAGCGAGGGCTCTGAGGACTGCCAGCACGCTGTCACGTCTCACCAGCTCAGCCACAAAGGGACAGAACACCAAGAGCGCTTTTGAGGTACTCAATTCCAGGCCTTGGCTCTTCAATGACATTTCTGGATGTGCCCTGGGCCAGAGAGGAGCCCACTACCATGAAGGGTGAGTCCCAGACTAGGCAGAATTCACCACAAACCAACTAAAGAGCTCTTGAGCTTTAGGGGACATTGGCTACCCTCTGTGGGCCTGTAGTGGTGGCAACAGGGTGAGGCTTCTCTGCCTGTGGAATGGGGAGGAAAGCGTGGGAAGGACCACATCTCACAGTTTGAGTGCCAGCTCAGCTGCAGTACAACAGAACACCAGGTAGACTTCTAGAGTGTTTTGACTCCAGGCTCTAGATCCCAGACAGCACCTCTGGACCTGACCAGGGCCTAGGGGAGGTCACTGCCCTGAAGGGAAGGACGCAAGCCTGGCAGGCTTAAGCACCTGCTGATTGTAGAGCCCCAGGGCCCTGAACAAACATAGATGGAAGACAGGTAGTGGTTACAGTGGGCCTTCAGCAAGATCCAGGGCTGTGCTGGCTTTAGGTCTAACTCAGGAGAAGCCCACTGGCGTTGACCACAGGGTTGCTTGTGTCACTGCCCCCCCCCCCCCCCCAGCTCCAGGTGGTACAGAACAGACAGACAGACTCCATTTCTTTGGAAGAAATAAGGGAAGAGAACAAAAGTTTTTGTTTAATAATCCAAGGAATTATTCTGGATATAATCCAAGATCATCACAGTTGTACTTCTAGAAGTTGGCAAGAACTACAGTGTTACTTGGCTTGGGGTGCCTCCTAATGCAGACAAGGCTTAGATCCTAATACTTAAGTCCTTTTGAATACCAGGAAAGGCTTCTCAAGGAGGATGCATACAAACAAGCCCAGACTATAAAGACTAGTAAATATCTAACTTTCCAACACCCAGATCAGATACAGGTGGATTTCCACAAGCATCAACACCATCCTGAAAAACATGACCTCACTAAATGAACTCAATAAGGCACCAGAGGCCAAGCCTGAAGAAAGAGATATGTGACCTTCTTTCAGAAAGAGAATTCAAAATAGCTGCTTTGAGAAAACTCAAAGAAATTCAAGAAAACACAGAGAAGGAATTCAGAATGCTATCAGATAAATTAAAAATATTGAAATAAACAAAAAAAAACCAGAAATTCTAAAGTTTAAAAATGGAGTTGACATAGTGAAAAATGCAGAGTCTAATAGCAGAATGGATCAAGCAGAAGACAAAATTAGTGAACTTGAAGACAGCTATTTGAAAATACATGGTCAGAGGAGACAAAAGATAAAAGAATAAAAGACAATGAAGCATACCTATAAGATGTAGAAAATAGTCTCTAAAGGGCAAAGCTAAGAGTTACTGGCCTTAAAGAGGAAGTAGAGAAAGAAATAGGAGTAGAAAGTTTATTCAAAGGGATAAAAACAGAGAACTTCCCAAATTTAGAGATAGATGTCAATATCCAACTACAAAAAAGTTATAGAACACAAAGCAGATTTAACCCAAAGAAGACTATCTCAAGGCATTTAATAATCAGACTCCCAAAGGTGAAGGATAAAGAAAGAACCCTAAAAGCAGCATGAGAAAAGAAACAACATAAAATGGAGCTCCAATACGTCTGGCAGCAGACTTTTCAGTGAAAAACATACAGGCCAGGAGAGAGAGGCATAGCATATTTGAAGTGCTGAAGAAAACAAACCTTTACCCCAGAGTAGTATATCTGGTGAAAATATCCTTCAAACATGAAGGAGAAATAAAAACTTTCCCAGACAAACAAAAGCTGTGGGTTTTCATCAACATTAGACCTGTCCCACAAGAAATGCTAAAGAGAGAACTTCAGTAAAAAAGAAAAGAATGTTAATGAGCAATAAGAAATCAACTGAAGGTACAAAACTCACTACTAATAGTAAGTATACAGAGAGACACAAAATATCATAACACTGTAAGTGTGGTGTGTAAACTAATTTTATACTAAATAGAAAAATTAAATGATGAATCAATCAAAGATAATAACTATAACAACTTTCCAAGACATAGACATTACAATAAAATATAAATCAAAACATCAAAAAGTTAAAAAGTGGGGGGATGAAATTGACGTGTAGAATTGTTGTTACTTTTCTTTTTGCTTGTTTCTTTGTTTATGCAAACAGTGTTAATTTATTATCAAGTAAAAATAATGGGTTAAAGACAGTATTGACAAGCCGCATGGTAACCCCAAATCAAAAAACATGAAACAAATCCATGAAAATTAAAAAGCAAGAAATTAAGTCATATTACTAGAGAAAATCATCTTCCCTAAAAGGAAGACAAAAAGGAAAGAAAGAAGCAAACACTACAAAACAACCAGAAAACAAATAACCAAATGCCAGGAGTAAGTCCTTAGTTATCAATAATAACATTGAATGTAAATGAACTAAACTCTCCAATTAAAAGACATAGACTGGCTGAATGGATTTTAAAAAACAGAAAAAAAGATCTTTTGCTTACAAGAAACATATTTAACCTATAGAAATACACATAGACTGAAAATGAAAGGACAGAAAAAGATATTCCACGCCAATGGAAACCAAAAAAAGAGCAGTAGTAGCTATGCTTATATGAGACAAAATGGATTTCAAGACAAAAACTAGAAAAAGACAAAAAGAAAGTCACTGTATAATGATAAAGAGGTCAATTTGGCAAGAGGATACAATAATTATAAATATATACATATAGAACACTGGACCACCCAGATATATAAAGCAAATATTATCAGAGCTAAAGGGAGACAGACCCCAATACAATAATAGCTGGGAGGCTTCAATGCCCTACATTCAGCACTGGACAAATATTCCAGACAGAAAATCAACAAACAAACATTGGACTTAATCTGAACTATAGACCAAATGGGCCTAATAGATATTTACAGAACATTTCATCCAACAGCTACAGAACACACATTCTTTTCCTCATCACTTAGATCTTTCTCAAGGATAAACCATATGTTAGGTCACAAAACAGTTATAAAACATTCAAAAAATTGAAATAATATCAAGCATTGTGGTGGTCTATAGAGATTAAGGTGGCAGATAGGAAACAGGACAAGCTTGCAGCTCCTCCTTGGACTGACAAAGCAGTGTGTAGAGACTCACATCGTGAACTTTTGCTCCAAGAACAACTGCAGGAAAATACTAGGAAAGCCAAAGGAATCCACAGACCCTTTGAAGGAACTGGATCACCACTGCAGGCTCCGTGAAACACCGAAAAACTGTGTCTGCTTGCTTTCTCAATGGGGAGGTTTGTGATCTGGGGTAAGTTCTCAGTGCTGGTCACTGGCTATCTGGAAATAGACTCAGTGCTGTTGTGGGGGCATAGTGGGAGTGAGACTGGCCTTTAGGACTGCAGGCTGCAAGGCAGCGGGATGAGGCCTGTGACTCCTGTCTTTCCCCCACTTCTCTGGTGAACTGTATGACCGAGCAGATGCAGCTATAATCACCCAGGGAATATAACTCCAATGGACTGGGAACCACACCCCCTTCCCAAAGGCAGCCACAGGAAGCCCTGCCCAAAGAGAATCTGAGCTCAGATATGCCTATCCCTGCCCCCACCTGGTGGTTTTTCTCCACCCACCCTGGTACCAAAGACAAAGATCATAATCTCTCTGGAGCTCTATGGCCCTGCCCACCACCTGAGAAACCTGAATATTTAACCAGGTGACCCTAGGGCAAGTTTGCATCCTTCCTATAGGACTGCAGCTGATGCACTCTTGAAAGCGTCACCTCCTGGCTGGAGGCCAACAAACACAAAACCAGCACACTAAACAAAAACAACCAAGGACCATCACAGAGTCCACTTCACTTCCCTGCTACCTCTACCTTCACCGGAGCAGGTGCTGTTATCTACAGCTGCAAGACCTGAAGACAGATCACATCACGGGACTCTTTGCAGACACTCCCCAGTACCAACCCGGAGCCTGGTAGCTCCACTGGGTGGCTAGACCCAGAAAGGCAAAAACAATCACTACAGTTCAGCTCTCAGGAAGCCCCATTCCTAGGGGAAGGGGGAGAACACCATATCAAGGGACCACCCCATGGGACAAAAGAATGTGAACAGCAGCCTTTGAATCCCAGATCTTCCCCTGACATAGTCTACACAAATGAGAATGAACCAGAAAAACAATTCTGGTAATATGACAAAACAAGGTTCTTTAACACCCCCAAAACATCATACCAGCTAACCAGCAATGAACCCAAGCCAAGATAAAAATCTCTGAATTGCCAGAAAAAGAATTCAGAAGGTCAATTATTAAGCTAATCAAGGAGGCACCAGAGAAAGGTGAAGTCCAGCTTAAAGGAATCAAAAACATGATCCAGAAAATGAAAGGAAAATTCTTCAGTGAAATAGAATAACTAAAAGCAGAATCACAACTTCTGGTAATCAAGGACACACTTAGAGAAATGCAAATTCACTGGAAAATCTCAGCAATAGAATCGAACAAGCAGAACCAAATCCATCAAAGACAAAGAAAAAAGAATTTTAAAAAATTAACAAAGCCTCCAAGAAGTTTGGGACTATGGTAAACCTAACAATAATTGGTGTTCCTGAGGAAGAAGAGAAATCTCACAGTTTGGAAAACATATTGGAAGGAATAATCAAGGAAAACTTCCCTGACCTTGCTAGAGATCTAGAAATCAAAATACAAGAAGCTCAAAGAACACCTGGGAAATTCATCATAAAAAGATCATCACCTAGGCACACAGTCATCAGGTTATCTAAAGTCAAGACAAAGGAAAGAATCTTAAGAGCTATCAGGCAAAAGCATCAGCTAACCTATGAAGAAAAACTTATCAGATGAACGCAGATTTCTCAGCAGAAACCCTACAAGCTCAAAGGGACTGGGGCCTTATTTTTAGCTTCCTTAAACAAAATAATTATCAGCCAAAAATTTTGTATCCAGCAAAACTAAGCTTCATAAATGAAGGATAGATACACTCTTTTCCAGACAAACAAATGTTAAAATAATTTGCCACTACCAAGCCAGCACTACAAGAAATGCTAAAAGGAGGTCTAAATCTTGAAACAAATCCTCAAAAAACCCCAAAATAGAACCTCATTAAAGCATAAATCTCACAGGACCTATATAACAATAACACAATGAAAGAAAACAAGGTATTTAGGCAACAAATAGCATGTTGAATAGAATACCACCTCATATCTCAATACTAACATTGAATGTAATGGGCCTAAATACTCCACTTAAAAAACACAGAATGTCAGAATGGATAATAATTTACCAACCAAGTTTCTGCTGTCTTCAGGAGACTCACCTAACACGTAAGGACCCACATAAACTTAAGGTAAAGGAGTGGAAAAAGATACTCCATGTAAATGCACACCAAAACCAGCAGGAGTAGTTATTCTTATATCAGACTAAACAAACTTTAAAGCAACAGCAATCTTAAAAGATAAAGAGGAACATTATATAATGATAAAAGGACTAGTGCAAGAGGAAAATATCAGTCCTAAATATATATGTGCCTAACACTGGAGCTTCCAAATTTATAAAACAATTACTACTAGACCTAAAAATGAGATAGATGGCAACACAATAATAGTGGGTGACTTCAGTAATCCACTGAGAGCACTAGATAGGTCATCAATACAAAAAGTCAACAAAGGAATGATGGACTTAAACTATAGCCTATAACAAATGGACTCAACAGATACTTGCAGGACATTCTACCCAACAACTGTAGAATATACATTCCATTCATAAGGACATGAAACGTTCTCCAAAATGGACCATATGATAGGCCACAAAACAAATCTCAGTAAATTTAAGAAAACCAAATTTATATCAAGTATTCTCTCAGACCTCAGTGGAATAAAATTGGAAATCATATCTAAAAGGAACCCTCAAAACCATGCAAATAACATGGAAATTAAATAATCTGCTCCTGAATGATGGTTGGGTCAACAATGAAATCAAGATGGCTATTAAAAAATTCTTTGAATTGAAATATAATAGTGACACAACCTCTCAAAACCTCTGGGAAACAGCAAATGCGGTGCTAAGAGGAAAGTTCATAGCATTAAATGCCTTCACCAAAAAGTCTGAAAGGGCACAAACAGACAATCTAAGGTCACACCGCACAGAAGTGGAGCAACAAGAACAATCCAAACCCAAACCCCGCAGAAGAAAAGAAATAATGAAGATCAGAGCAGAACTAAATGAAATTGAAACAAAAAAAAAATACAAAAGATAATGAAACAAAAAGCTGGTTCTTGGAAAATATAAGTAAAATTGATAGACAATTAGTGAGATTAACCAAGTAAAGAAGAGAGAAGATCCAAATAAACTCAATTACAAAAGAAACGGGAGATATTACCACTGATACCAAGGAAATACAAAAGATTATTCAACACTACTGTGAACCCCTTTATGCACATAAACTATAAAACTTAGAGGAGATGGATACATTCCTGGAAATATACAACTCTCCTAGATTAAACCAGGAAGATACAGAATCTCTGAACAGACCAATAGCAAGCAGTGAGGTTGAAATGGTAATTTAAAAATTGTCAGCAAAATAATGTCCAGGATTAGATGGACTCACAGCTGAATTCTATCAGACATTCAAAGAAGAATTGGTACCAATCCTATTGACACTATTACACAAGACAGAGAAAGAGGAAATCCTCCCTAAATCATTCTATGATGCCAGTATCACCCTAATACCAAAAACCAGGGAAGGACCTAACAAACAAACAAACAAAAAAAAAAAAAAAAAAAGAAGAAGAAGAAAACTACAGACCAATATCCCTGATGAAAATAGATGCAAAAATCCTCAACAAAATACTAGCAAACCTAATACAACAGCATATCAAAAAGACAATCCACCATGATCAAGTAGGTTTCATACTTGGGATGCAGGGATAGTTTAACATACGTAAGTCAACAGATGTTACACACCACATAAACAGAATTTAAAACAAAAATCACATGATTATTTCAATAGATGCAGAAAAAGCATTTGACAAAACCCAGCATCCGTTTATGATTAAAACCCTCAGCAAAATCGGCATAGAAGCAACATACCTTAACAAATAAAAGCCATCTAAAACAAACTCACAGCCAACATTATACCGAACGGGCAAAAGTTGAAAGCATTTTCCCCTGAGAATTGGAACAATAAAAAGATGCTCATTCTCACCACTTCTATTCAACATAGTATTGGAAGACCAAGCCAGAGCAGTCAGACAAGAGAAAGAAATAAAGGGCATCCAAAGAGGTAAAAAGAGGAAGGCAAACTATTGCTGTTTGCTGATGATATGATCGTATACCTAGAAAATCCTAAAGACTCATCCAAAAAGCTCCTAGAACTGGTAAATGGATTCAACAAAGTTTCAGGATACAAAATTAATGTACACAAATCAGTAGCTCTGCTATACAGCAACAGTGGCCAAGCTGAGAATCAACTCAAGAACTCAACTCCTTTCACAATAGCTGAAAAAAATAAAATAAAATACTTAGGAATATACCTAACCAAGGAGGTGAAAGACCTCTACAAGAAAAACTACAAAATACTGCTGAAATAAATTATAGATGACACAAACAAATAGAAACACATCCCATTCTCATAAATGGGTAGAATCAATATTGTTTAAATGACCATACCACCAAAAGCAATCTACAAATTTAATGCAATTCCCATTAAAATATCACCGTCATTCTTCACAGAACTAGAAAATAAACAATCCTAAAATTCAGATGGGACCAAAAAAAGAGCCCACATAGCCAAAGCAAGACTAAGCAAATAGAACAAATCTGGAGGTATCAGATTACCTGACTTCAAACTATACTATAAGGCCATCGTCACCAAAACAGCATGGCACTGGTATAAAAATAGGCATCTAGACCAATTGAACAGAAAAGAGAACCCAGAAATAAACCCAAATACTTACAGCCAACTGATTTTCAACAAAGCAAAGAAAAACATAAAGTGGGGAAAGGACACCCTGTTCAACAAATGATGCTGGGATTATTGTCAAGCCACATATAGACAAATGAAACTGGATCCTCATCTCCTACCCTATACAAAAATCAACTCAAGATGGATCAAAAACTTAAATTTAAGACTGAAGCCATAAAGATTTTAGAATATAACATTGAAAAAACTCTTCTAGACATTGGCTTAGGCAAAGATTTCATGACCAAGAATGCAAAAGCAAATGCAACAAAAACAAAGATAAACAGATGGAACTTAATTAAACTAAAAAGCTTCTGCACAGCAAAAGAAATAATCAGCAGAGTTAACAGACAACCCACAGAGTGGGAGAAAATCTTCACAATTTACACATCCAACAAACAACTACTATTCAGAATGTACAAAAACTCAAATCAGCAAGGAAAAAACAAACAATCCCATCAAAAAGTGGGCTAAGAACATGAAAAGACAGTTCTCAAAAGAAGATATACAAATGGTCAACAAGCATATGGAAAATGCTGAACATCACTGATGATCAAAGAAATGCAAATCAAAATCAAAATGCAATAACACCTCACTCCTGCAAGAATGGCCATAATCAAAAAATCAAAAAGTAATAGATGTTGGCTGGAATGTGGCAAATAGGGAACACAATTACACCGTTGGAGGGAATGTAAACTAGTACAACCACTATGGAAAACAGTGTGAAAATTCCTTAAAGAACTAAAAGTAGATCTACCATTTGATCCAGCAATCCCACTACTAGGTATCTACCCAGAGGAAAGGAAGTCATTATATGAAAAAGATACTTGCACACACATGTTTGCAGCAGCATGATTTGCAATTGCAAAAATATGAAACCAGCCCAAATGCTCATCAATCAATGAATGGATAAAGAAAATTTTATATATATATATATATATATATATATATATATATATATATATATATATATAAAATGAAATACTATTCAGCCATAAAAAGGAATGAAATATTGGCATTCACAGCAACCTTGATGGAATTGGAGACTATTATTCTAAGTGAAGTAACTCAGAAATGGAAAACCAAACACTGTGTATTCTCACTCATATGTGGGAGCTAAGCTATGAGGACGCAAAGGTATACAAATGACATATTGGACTTTGGGGACTTGGGAAAGGGTGGGGGTAGCAAGGGATAAAAGACTATTCATTGGGTACAGTGTACACTGCTCGGGTGATGGGTGCACCAAAATCTCAGAAATCACAACTAAAGAACTTATTCGTGTAACCAAACACCACCTGTTCCCCAAAGACCTACTGAAATAAAAAAAATATTTTTTAAATCAAGCATCTTCTCTGAACACAACAGAATACAACTAGAAATCAATAGCACAAGGAACTGTGGAAACTGTGCAAATACACAGAAATTAAACAATATGCTCCTGAATGACCAGTAGGTTAATGAAAAAATTAAGAAAAAATTTAGAAAATGTATTGAAACAAATGGAAATTGAAATACAATATGCTAAATCTTATGGGATACAGCAAAAGCAGTACTAAGAGGGAAGTTTATAGCTATAAGTGCCTACATCAAAAAAGAAATAAAAAACTTAAAATAACCTAATGATGCATCTTAAAGAACTTGAAAAGCAAGCACAAACCAAACACAAAACTAGTGGAATAAACGAAATAATAAACAGCAAGAGCAGAAATAAATGAATCTGAAATGAAGGAAACAATACAAAAGATAAACAAAACTAAAAGTTGGTGTTTTGAAAAGACAGACAAAACTGACAAACCTTTAGCCAGATTAACCAAGGAAAAAAGCGAAAATAGCTGAATGAAAATCAGAGATGAAAAAAGAGATGTTACAAATGGTACCACATTAATTACTACTATGAGCAACTATATTCCAATAAATTGGAAAATCTAGAATAAATGAATCAATTCCTAGAAACATACAACCTATTAAGATTAAACCATGAAGAGATCCAAAACTTGTACAGACAAATAACAGGTAAAGAGATTTAAGCCATATTGAAAAGTGAATTTGGTAGAATTCACTGTTGAATTCTACCAAAGATTTCAAAAACTAACACCTATCCTACCCAAACTATTCTAAAAAATAGAGAATAACAGAATAATTCCAAACTCATTTTACAAGGCTGGTATTATCCTGATACCAAAGCCAGACAAAGATACATCAAAAAATGAAAACTATAGGCCACTATTGCTGATGAATATTGATGCAAAAATCCTCAACAAAATATTAGCAAACCAAATTCAACAATATATTAAAAAGATCATTCATCATGACCAACTGGGATTTATCTCAGGCATGCAAGGATGGTTGAACATACAAAATCAATTATTGTGATACATCATATCAACAGAATGAAAGACAAAAATCATATGATCATTTCAATTGATGCAGAAAAAGGATTTGATAAAATTCATCATCTCTTCATGACAAAAACCCTCAAAAAACTGGACATAGAAGGAACATATCTCAACATAATAAAAACCATATATGACCAACACATAGCTAATATTGTAATGAATGGGGAAAAAACTGATAGCTTTTCTTTCACGATCAGGTACATGATAAGGGTGTCCACTTTCACCAGTTATTCAACATAGTAGTGGAAGTCCTAGCTAGAGCAATCAGACGAGAGAAAGAAATAAAGGGCATCCAAGTTGAAAAGGAAGGAGTCAAATTATCCTTGTTTTCAGATGGTATAATCTTACATTTGGAAAAACCTACTAAAGACTTCATGAAAAAAATTGTTAGAAATGATACATAAATTCAGTAAAGTTGCAGGATACAAAGTCAACATACAAAAATCAGTAGCATTTCTATATGCCAACAGCAAACAATCAGAAAAAAAATTTCAAGAAAGTAATCCCATTTACAATAGCTACAAAAAAAACCCTAAGAATAACCAAAGAAGTAAAAGATCTCTATAATGAAAACTATAAAACATTAATGCAAGAAATTGAAGTGGACACCAAAAAATGTAAAGATATTCCATGTACATGGATTAGAAGAATCAATATTGTTAAAATGTCCATCCTACCCAAAGCAATCTACAGACTCAATGCAATCTCTATCAAAATACAAATGATATTATTCACAGAAATAGAAAAAAAATCCTAAAATCTATATGGAACCACTACAGACTCAGAATATCCAAATAAATCCTGGGCAAAAATAACAAAACTAGAAGAATCACATTTCCTTACATTAAATTATACTACAGAGCTATAGTAATCAAAACAGCATGGTACTGGCATAAAAACAGAAACATAAATCAGCAGAACAGAATGGAGAACCCAAAGACAAATCCACACATCTACAGCGAACTCATTTTTGACCAAAGTATCAGACACATACATTGGGGAAAGGACAGTCTCTTCAATCAATGGTGCTGGAAAACTGGATATCCATATGCAAAAGAATGAAACTAGATGCCTATCTCTCACCATATACCAAAATTTCAACCTTCACTAGAAGAATATGAAACTGCCCATCTCCTTGTACTCTTACCAATACATGTCATTATTTTTTAATCTCTGCTATTTTAATATGTAGAAAATATTTCACTTCTGCCAATTTTTTTCTTCTTTGAGTTTAGCTAAACATTTTAGTCTCATTTAAATGTGAATTATGTGAAACTAGGAAGGAGTTCAAAATAATATCTGTTTGCGCTTTATATGTTGATAACAAGCAATATGTGAAAAGAGGGGGGAAAGTACTATTATCTCTATTGCTATTTTTGCAAATAGTGAAGTTGATGCTCAGGATATCAAAGAAATTTTCCCAAAGTCAGTGAAAGATCAAATCTTCTAGCGCTCTTCCTAGTTCTCTCCCAATCTGAAGTAAACACAGGGCTGATAGGCAATCCAAGATTTTCTAAGTGCAAGTAAAAGTGTAACATATATAATTTAGTGATGGAGTTGTCCCAGCACTCTCCTCTCCTCTCGCCTTTTCCTTCTAGCATAATCTTGGCAAAATAAAGCAAAGGGAGGAGGAAAGTAAGGCAGCTGGACTCGGGAGGTCTCCCAAGCATAACTAGAACATATTTTATTCACTTCAGCATTTGGCTCCACAACAGTACTTGAGATGACAGTCTGTGAGGTGCCTCAGGGCCAATCACATGGCCTCCCTACTGATGTCCTATCTAGGTTGCTCCAGCCTCCCTGGTCTCCAGTTTGCCTTTTGCATGGAGATCCAAGAACAAATGGGCCACTTGAGGGACAGTTGCTTTCCCCCATACCACACAAATAGACTCATTTCCTAATTTATTTTCTGTGTTTTTAAAGAAAGATGGAAATGCACTGATCTCTTTCAGTCAAAGTAATATTTTATTTTTGTCTTTCTAAAATATTCATATCCTTCCTTCACACCGAATACTCAAAACAGATCTCTGTGGTAAATAGCTTCAGCATTCCTTCAAATGACTTAAATAACTACCCATTTTACTCCAGAATATATGTATATACAAACATACACATATACATGTGTGTATATATATATATACACACACACATATATGTAATGCATATACGCATACATATATATCAAAACATCCAGGCCAGGATGGTTTGTGTGGAGATGGGGGGATCAAACTTCTTACAAAATTTAGGCCCAAGTTATGTCCCCAACTCTGTTATATAGATTGCATTGAAAGTCCAGAATAAATCTATGTTGTTGGGAGTAATTCTAGGATGGTTCCAATGGCGATGAATAGATGTGTATATATGTATTACATATACATGTATGTATATATATATATACACACACACACACACAAATGTATATGTACACTCCTATATATGTAATAGATATGAATACATACACGAGTGTGTGTAAATACACATGATAAATATACCCATGTGGTTGTATGAATGGAGACAATAGAAATGGGTTCAGAGGCAGTGAGAACAAACATTGGTTAAGAGACTGCTGTGTGCCAAGTACTATAACTATATTATCTAGTTGAACCTTCAAAGGAATTCTTGAAGTGGGAAAAGATGGCACCAGGTTAGTCTGTCAGACCAACTGGACGTATTCACTCTTCAGGTTCCCTTATCATACAGAATGTCTCCAGTAAAATGCCTGACCACAGAGAATGCCTGCAGTAAATCTGCATGAAGTGATTTCACTCTGGGCGGTGTTAATTCAGGATTCTTTGTAATAGAGATAAGTAGGAGCAACTTCTTACAAAATTGCAGCCTGAGGTGTATCATCAACTCTTATATATTCCAGAAGTTATTGAAAAACTGGAGTAATTCAGCATGGGAGAGAGACAGGCCAGGGTTGTTTTTGTGGAGATGGGAAGATCCAACTTCTTACAAAATTTAGGTCCAAGTTATGTCCCCAACTCTGTTATATAGATTGCATTGAAAGTTCAGAATAAATCTATGTTGTTGGGAGTAATTCTAGAATGGTTCCAATGGGGATAAATAGATCCAACTTCTTATAAAATCAAAGTGCAAGTTGTGTCATTTCTTTCAGCTTCCTTTTAATGTGGATTGGCTCAGTGGAAGGTGAAAGGCAAGAATGGTTTGTTGTGAAGACTGATGCATGGAACCTCTTATAAAATGGAGACCCAGGGCATGTCTTCAACTCTTAAATCTTCCAGATTGTATCAAATGTCTCCAGTAAACCTGCACTGAGTAATCCACATTGGAGGATATTTCTCAGTGAGGACGATTAAAGCAGATTCCTTAAAACATATGCCCTTAACTCTATAAAATGTCTCAAGTAATTCAGCATTGGAATTACCAGGACTATCAGGCCAGTGCAGCTTGCATTAAAGACAAATGGATCAGACCTTTGAAAAAATTGAGGCCCGAGGTATGTCTCAACTCTTCAGCTGAGGATATTAAGAGGCGACTAAGTTCCATCTGCCATAAAGCCCCAGGTGGCAAATTATTTTTGCTCTGTGCTTACCTTAGGAAGCTGCCAAATGTAGCTTCCAAAATCCACAAAGGGATAGAGGTTTCCAAGCTGTGTTTCTAAAGGGAGGCAAGCCTGTTAAAATGGTCACTGTGATGCAGCTGAGGAGACTCTGTCCAGGTCCAAGACCACATACTTATGAGAGTTTCATTGGGCTACAAACCTGGATGGCCAAACTAGAACATGGGAAAAGGTTCATCTGGGCCTTTGAGGCAGAAGGGACTCCATCGTTGGCCATCTCAGGAAATTTCCCTCCTTTACTCTTTTTTTTTTTCTTTGTAAACAGCTTAATTGAAATATAGTTCATATGCCATATAACTCACCCTTTAAAGCTAACAATTAAATGGTTTTTAGTATCTTCACAGAATTGTCAAACTATCACCACAATCAATTTTAGAACATTTTCACTACCCCAAAAAGAAACCCCATACCCTTTAGCAGTCAATGCTCCCCACATTTCCCTCCTAGACCCTCTTATCACTAGGCAACCACTGATCTATTTTCTGTCTCTATAGATTTGCCTAAGCTGTACATTTCATAGAAATGAAGTCATAGAATGTTGTAAATGTATCTCTGAAATGTAGCTATCTTCATGTCTTATTTTAAAAATGAGCACTCAGAGAAGTCAAGTAATTTCCCCATGGATACACAGGTAGAAAGTGGTGGAGCCAGGATATAAACCAGGGTGTTCTAGAAAACCTGGGTTCCAGCCCTACCTTAGCCACTATTTTGCTTTGTGAAATGAAATGATTCAACGTATACTTTGGATGTATGTTAGAAAAGATACGGCATGGTTTTGTCTGTAAGAATTCAGACACAGAGAGCTCCTGGCTTGAGCAATTGGGTGGATGAAGGTTCCATTTATTGAAATATGGGAAAAAAGGAGGGAAAGGTAGGTCAAGAGAGGCACATTAAGTAAAAGCCAAACTAACACTACAGAAAATAAAACAAAATCCTCACATTCTGAAGGTCTCCAGAGTACAAAAGTCAAAAACTAAAACATGGAAAAGAAGAGAGAAAAGACTATAGATATGAAGGGCTGAACTGACTTAGCCATCACAGGCATTTCGATGAAGGTGACAGAAAAACAATTATTAAAAGTATAACTGAGGATAACTTTTCTGAGCTGAGGAGAAAGCTGAGGATATTGATAAAATGAGTCCCTCAAATTCCAGGCAAAAACAATGAAGAGATCCACACCTAGATAAATATGATGTGTATATGTGTGTGAGTGTTCATGTCTATGTGTGTGTGCATAAAATCCCACAATGAACCAGTCTAGAAAAAAAAAGGGCTTAATAAACAGTAACTATAATGCTGGACTTCTCTGGAAATTTTTTCCTTCTGATATTTAGTATTGCAGAATTTTGCTAGGAAAAATTAAGACCTTACAGACCTCAAAGGTGTGAAAAAAAAAAGGCTAGCAACCACTGTTATCATCATTAAATAGTATCACATTGAGCCCTGAAGAAGCAGTACAAAGTAATAGAAAACCTGTCAAACTAGCTGCCC
Source organism: Homo sapiens (assembly GCF_000001405.40). Classification (NCBI taxonomy): domain Eukaryota; kingdom Metazoa; phylum Chordata; class Mammalia; order Primates; family Hominidae; genus Homo; species Homo sapiens. The sequence goes on from NC_000023.11 coordinate 139,020,031, forward strand.
TAAGATCTAGCTTGTGGTGTTGGTCATATGAAATTACTCAACCCCCTTGAGATCTGGTTCCTTCCTATTTAATATCAGGATAATTATACTTTCTCATACTTTTATAAGAAGGACAAAAAATGATGATCTATGCTAACTTAGGGTTACAAATTCACCAGCAAAATCAGCCTAATGTTTTTCGCTTTCCTTTCTTAAAGCAGTTCTGCTTTGTCCTTCCCTTCTTCACAGACAGAAATTTGTAGTTGAGACTGCATAACCCATGGGGACATAAAAATTCCTCTTTCCTCATCTCAAACTACCAGCTTATCAATGTGGCAGCAACACAGCTAGAAGCATCTCTTTTGCACAGAGAGCAGCAACTTTTTTGACAGTCTAGGTCCTCCAGAATTTGGTCCCATGCTGCTTGGTAAATTGTATACCTGCCCCTCTCAAGAGTAAAGCTGACGGGTCTTCCTACTACATTACTGCTGTCTAATCTACTTTCCATCACCCACTCCGTATTATGGGGCCTGGTTCATACCTGCCCTAGTACCTTTGCTAAATGGAGTTGGCTTAGCATTGACGAAGAGATCAATGATCAGCTTAAATTCCACCTTTGCTATAAAGCTTTCCCCAAGAACTGCAACCATTGTAGACACTCGATAATTCAAGTTTCTAAACTGTGGTGCAAATAATGTGATTAATGGTCAAGTCACATTCTTTAGTTTCTGTTCTTCCCAATTTAGTTCTGTACTATTCACTATTTTAGGTGTATTTTATTGCATCCCAAGGTTCACTGTAATTCTCTTGGTTGTTAGGGGTGGAGAAGTAGGATGTATAAAAGAGTTAGTAATGACATGAGAAAATGTTTAAGCTATAACGAAAGTTAAAACAAATCAAGATAAAATATTGAATTGGATAATAACCTCAACCAGAAAAAAAATGTAGAGAAGGAAGAATGGAAGGCTGTATGATGAAATGTTGGCAGTGATTATGACCGGGTGATGAAATATATTGTAAAATATATTTCACTTCCTTTTTAGTACAAGTGAAATATATTCAACCACATTCAATTGCCAGAAGCATCTAAGACGTTCTCCACTAAGGCCAGCAACCAAAAATAATTAAAATGTATGTATAAATAAAAGAAGCCAATAATTCAAATTCCCACAATGAACAGTTAATTACATTTACAAGTTAACAAAATTAAGAGATATGCTTTTGGAGGTAAATTTTGGGCTGCCATCCCCTAAATCTTGTAACATTTCTAAGAGGTAAGTACTTGTTTAAGGTTTTATCTTTTATCAATTTTACCAGTAATAAACAGGTTTATTATATAAAGATTAAATGTAAAAATATTAATAAAGTAGCACTACAGTCTAAAAATAAGTGACACAAAATGGCATACTTATAAGGAAAAATAATAAATCCACAATTGCAGCAGCAGTTTTAACACACACCTGTCAAAAACTGCCAGACCAACCATGCAAAATTTAATACAATCATAGATTTGAACTACATAATTAACAAGCTTAATCTAATTAAACCATATAGAACCCTGCACCCAGTAATTAGAGAATACACATTTCTTTCAAGCACATGCAGAACATTAGAAAATCTGACCACACACTGGTTGTAAAGGAACTCCCCAAAATTCCAAAGAATTGCTTTAATAAAGAACACAAGCTCTTTCCAAAATCCCAAGATCCAATAATAAATTATTATGAAAGACAGGAAGGAAGGGAAAGAGAAAGAGACCTACCAGCCTGTGTGTTCAGAAACTGAAAATATAATCTAAATAATTTATAGGCTGAAGATGGATTTTCAAATATTTTGAACAAAGTATGCATGGTAAATACTTTAAAAGTGAATACTTAAATAAATAGCCACCACATCGACTTCACATTCGATCGGACTAGATGATTGAGAATTGATTATGTTAAGAGACGTCAGTGACCAGACTCTTTTATCCATATTAGATTCTTTCTTTGTGTTACTCCAAATACCAGAGAGAATTCTTTGATAAAATTTCTAGAGAAAGTATCACTTGGAATGGTTGAGGAGTAAGTGAGATGGAAAGGATAATTGATGAAGCAAGGTGGGAGATTTGCCAGGTAAGGATGGGACAGGAGCAAGAGGAGGAAGGGGAAGTAGGACTAATGGACTAGTCTTTGTAGGAAAAGAGGGATTATTTTCTTCTAAGATGAGAGAGGAAGAAAAAAGGGATGTATATGGAAAGAAGCACAGAAAAGACTTAAGTTACATAAAAGGGGCAATAACTCCAACCTTCGGTTACATAGCAGCATTGGGGTACTCAAGTCATTTATATTAATGCACTTAAAATCCTATGTTTTCTGTATTATTTTTAGGCACACAATACACAGGGCATTGTAAAAATAATTTTCCTACATTTATTTAAAGTTAAAAAGCAGTAATCACATCCAATATTTTTTCTTCCGTTGGCTTCCCTCTACTCCGTCAAGTCCCTTTTTTCTTTCTTTATATCTTCTTTATCCAACCCAGTTTTTATCTTTCCTTTGGTGAAATTGTTTGTTCCACGTGTATTTGCAATCCATGTGCTGCTGACAGTGACTTTGTAGAGCAAGTGAAATATATTCAACCACATTCGACCACCAGAAGCATCTAAGATGTACCCACCAAGGATAGCAACCCAAAGTTGCTACTTTATCAGGGAGACCAATTCCCACCCCAGCCACATGAAAGAGCCTCTGCAATCATTTTAAAAGGCAGATGTGGGTCAAACATATACAGTATGAGGTTCTCCAAAAGAAGCAAGCTCTGTCTTCCTTCCTTTGAAATGAATAGCACACTCTTCCAATGGGACACTTTGCAAGCAGCTGCATGTCCTCTAGTGATGTTACTTTTCAGTTCTGAGCCAAGCACTATTCAAATGCTTGAAATGTATTTCATTCACCCTTCACAAAAACCATTTGAAATTATCACTATTATTAGACCCATACTACAGACAAGGAAACTGGGGTTCTGATTCACAATATTAGTATATGGCATACAAGAAAATTGTTCTGGAATCAAGTTAAAGGATTTACATTATCTATAATAACTTTGTAAACTCCTCAGGTTTAAATCAGGACTCATCAATCATTTCCTGTAAAGAACCAAATACTAGATATTTTAGGCATTGTGGGTCATATAGTCTCTGTTGCAACTACTCAACTCTTCCATAGTAGTGTGAAAGCAGCTATAGATAGTATATAACCAAATGGGCATGGCTGTACAACAAACTGTATTAATGGATCCTGAAATAAAAATTTCATATAATTTTATATAATTTTCACATATCACAGAATATCATTCTTCTTTAGAATTTTTCAGCCATTTAAAAATCTAAAATGTATTCTTAGCTTGTAGGATAAAATTGGTTTCAAGTGTAAATTGTAGCAAAAAAAGAAAAGCAGACAAGAAAGCAGGAAGAGAAAAAGAAGCAAAGAGAGAGAAGGGAAGAGAGAGAGAGAGAGAAGAAAACACTGTGATCCAGTCATTACATTTCTAAGAATGCATCTTAAGTAATCATAAATGTATGCAAGATTAATTTCTCTTTAAGAAAGTTCATACCAGGGTGATTCATAATTCTACAAAGGTGAAAATAACCCAGATGAACAGCATGAGAAGATTGGTTAAGTATATACAGTAAGTCGATGAAATACTATACTGAATATCATGCGGTAGAAGATTATTGATGACGTCATCATGTTCATAAGACAATCAAGAAAATATAAAATATGTTGCTATGATCTCATTTTAGCTAAAAAGCATATTCAAAGACACAAAATATTGAACAATATGCATCCAAATGTTAACAGTGGATATCTGCAGCTGGTGAGATTTAATGTGATTTTTTCTTTTATCTTTTTCTATATTTTTAATATATTTTACAATGCATATATCTTACTTTCATAATCAGGAAAAAATTTCAACTTCTACCTGCTCCACACCAGTCAGTAGTGCTATAAAATTTCTGAAGAATTACTAAATGTTTCTCCGGGCTTAAAGCATTTTTGGCTTAGGTCCATTAAAACAATTTTTTTTTCCAGAAGGGCTGGGTCTTCTGTTCACAGGGGCAGTGAACCTACAGACAACTAGCAGGTGCATGGAAAGCAGGAATCAATGAAATCCACACATAGTGCCCCAAACATATTTTTGACCAAAAGTCTCCCCTGTAAGCCATTTTTTTAAAAAGTCTGTTGCAATGTAAATAACTTGAAAGCTGTATCTAAGCAAGCTCCCAGCTTGGTAAGAAAAACTGACATAAAGTACTATGTAAATTTAGGATCCTTATACAAACTCGAGCTCTGGACTCCAAGAGCTCTCACCCATGACTCGCTTTTATACAACTCATAGAATTGCAAGGAAGCTCCATAGGGCTTCCCATTGGCCTTATGCACCAACATGAGGCCAGCAAATCTCAATATTCCTCTATCCCATACTTGTCATCCTTGGTCCTTGCCCTGAATATAAGTCCCTTTGTCATCTACAGTCTCATTCTCACCCCATTGTGCTGCTTCTCTCTGCCTCAAGATTGTATTGCTGCCCTTGTCCATAAACATTCTCGTTGTGTGTTCTGGATCCTTAAGATCATAGTAGATTAATTCATATACTTCCTAAACTTGACAGAATGCTTCTCCAACTCAAACCTTTAATGGAACCTGGCTCTTCTCTGATGACACTGCTTTCCCTGAAGGGATTTCAAGTGAAGACTGCTTAGTCTTTCATCTACTCCTGCCATTGCAGGATCAGAGTATTGGTGATCTGGCCCTGTTGTTTCCTACCCAACATTATGATCATTATTCCCGGATCATTAATCTAAAGACCTCTGGTCTCTTGAAATGTTTGTTTCTCAACTATATACCTCTCTAGGCCTCCTAATAATTCTTCCACATTCAGGATGATCCTGGGGCATAGTTTACTGCTTCTTCTACCCCATCCTGTCATCACTCTCAAAGAGTCCTGCCATCCATAGGTCTCTGCATCTCCTCCCAGCCTAATAAATGCCTCCTATCTTCACTTTCTTTCCTGCCCTGCCTGGATATGATGGCTATGATTAAAAACCACTTGTCCTCCAGTCCCCTCAGTGTCTTTTCACCACTGTCCTTCTGCCAAAACCCTAAATCCCAAACCCTGGTCTAATTTTACAATCCACCCTTTCTGATTTACACAGCAAGAGAAAGACATGCAAATCTGGAAGTTTGGCATCATTACAAATTCCAACCTTTGCTGGATTTTCAGCTACACTCTTTTATACTTTTCTTCAGTCCATTTTCTATTCTGCTCAATGACCCTGTTCAGTCTTTACTCCCTTGCTCAAAAGTCCTTAGATCAATCCCCATTCCTTCCAATTTCAATATTTTGCTGGCCTCTCTGCTTCATCAAGACAATTGAAGCCATCAGCTATGATTTTCTTTAACTTTCCACCTCACAATATAAGCATTCAAGAGTGAGGACAGTGGGGTCTCTCATCCAGTTGAAGGTCAATCAGTTCCCTCTGTGCCCTGCCCCACATCTTTCTGTTCCTTCTGTGGCATTGGTCTTCAAGTCCCTTCCTATATCTCAAACCATTCTCTCCCTTTTCTTTCAGACTCCAGTAGTTATGCTAGAGATGCTCCATTTCCTTAAACTTGAAGAAATACCTCTTCCTTACAGATGTGTTCCCTCTAGAAACCACTCTTCTTCCCAGCACAACCTTTGGAAGGACTGGACTATTCACTAACAATCTTCTCTCTTCCTTCCCTTCCTACTCATCCCTCATTCTGCATTTCTGTTTGTTGCCCTTTCAATTTCATGGAAGGGGCTCTTGGTAAGGTCAGCATTGACCTCCCATCTGCAAAGTCCTATGGCTATTTTCAGTCTTTATCATTCTAGACCTCTCTTCTACATCTGACAATGTTGAACACTTCCTCCTCCTTTGCATCCACAACAATGCAAATTCCTGGTTCTATTTGCACCTCTCTGACTCATGGACTCTCTTGTAAGGCCTGCCACAGGATTCAGAACTAGACTTGACATGTGTATGCTTAATGTGGCTCATTATATTCCAATTCCCATTGCCCCAACTTCCCTGCCCTTACACCACTTCACTGGTGAAATGTCCTTGTTATAATTTTCAATACCTAATTAACATTTTTAACAATAATATATATCTATTAAAAGATGATGCCCTCATCTTTATGTCACATTATGTGATACAATTTTATTTTTTTTAACGTTAACATATTTCTCCTTGAATTCAGGAGAGCCACAGCATGAAATAGAGGGCCTTGGTTTAATAATTTTAAAATAAAAATATCAACTTATTTCTAAAATATTATGATTATTAAATGAGATAAAAAGTGCCAGAGTGACCAGAATACTGTCTGGCACAAAGTAAATCACATAAAAAATGTTTACTGAATTCAAATCTAAAGTCAGTGAGTCTCCTTGGCCACTAAACAATTGGCCAATTGGCAAAACACAATGTTAGTCAAGGCAAGTAAAGCATATCAGTTCAACCAATTGTCTGGTGTAGTGACATCAAGGCCCAAGGTCAGTATCCTCTGGTGTTTGTGCCAAAGTATGCAAATCATGCCGGGACAGTCCAGTTTCTCTGGTGGGAAACCCTGTGGCTTCCTCCCTGCTGCTCACTACCATTCTCGCCAGCAGAATGGTGACAAACCAGTAGCAATAAAGAGGTGGGAGGACTTGAGCCTGAGCTCCCATGGCTGGCAGGCACAGTATGCAAGGGAAACCTTTGTTGCTGCTCCAACCAGTGTTCATTCAGCATTCTCTTCCCCAAACTGTGACCCAGCACACCTTGGCACACTCCTTTATAAAACTGCCAAACGCCAGCATAAAGAAAACCAGTGGCAGATGGACTGGATACTAACTTTTACAAGCAGTCATTTTGGCATTATGCATCCAGTCTTTGAGTAATTCTCCTCCCCAAGATTAATGAGGTCACCATGGGAGTTTGTGAATAGACATAGGAGGTGAAACTGCCACATTCCTTTAACTCCTCTTTTTTGGCTGTCAAATGAAATTACTCAGTGTGGCTTTAGTAGTGCCCAAGGCAATCACAAATTTAGCACACATTACACATATCCATTGCATCTCCTCTACTGTGCCCCTTATTCAAAGTGGCATTTGATTGTATTGAGAAAATATTTGTTCTTATGTAAGCTTCCTTAGACCTTATAAAATGTACTGTCACTTGCAATATAACTGATACAAAGATGTTTACATAATGTGACACTGATCTTTTTGAATTTGGAAGTGGCATTAATGCATAACCTTTTTTCCAGAATGGCATGCAAGTTTTCATTCTACATTTTCCCCAAAACATAAATGTTCAAAAACTTATCTGTGCAGTTAATAAACTTTATCATATAGGAAACTTTCAGTGAAAAGTAATACAGCATGTCACCTATTTTCTTTCCTGAGTATAAGGACTCATTTGTAAGTTTTAAAATTCTCAAGCCATTTGTCTCCCTAAATATAATCTCATTCATACTTTGAAGTTACCACATGGATTCAGTTTATTTACATCCAAATGTATACACTGACAGTGACATTTAAAACATGTAACATGGATTAACATCTGTTCTTCTTTTGTTCAAAACACAGAGAGGTGTGTTTCCAGTCAAGTTTTCATTCAATACTGATAAGCTGTAAGTAGAGATACATCTGTAAACACGCTAAATAAAAGGTCAAAGGCCTTTTGTGCTCTCTCTTTAATGTCACTGCAAATAAAGAAACAGAAAAATTCAGGCAGACCAAAAAAAAATGAAAGGAAATTTCTAGACTCAGAGAGAAGGAATTCTGGGACGAAGATATGCCTGTTCTCTCAAGCCAGCCATTTCGTCTCAAATTTTTGAAACAATATCACAAAGTGTCACAAGTATACACAGATACTTATTTTTGGCAAATCATTTCTACATGCTTTCAAAAGAATGGACAATACAAAAAGTTCTAAGGCAGACAGTGTCAGTCACACAGAACCCCTCCACCCAGAGATCACTAACGGTATTTAAGCACAGGTTCCTCCAATTGTACTTGTCTAGGAGTAAGTAAGCTAACACATACTTCTCCACTTAAATACATCATGCAGGGAAAGCTGAGACTGCAGTATATACAGAGCTCTTTTATCAGCATTGCACTAAAAAGATTTCTGATTTCACTAAATATCTTTATAAACATATTTTTTAGTATTTGTATATAAAACTCCATCCACATGGAAGTGCCAAGCTAAAAATAAGTTTGTGAAAACAATGGTATTGAGACTACCTTGGATTTGATGGGAAAATCTGGAGCTTGGAAGTGATTAAAGCAGCCACACCTCACACAAACAAATAGAGTAATCCTTGATTTCTTATTTCAATTGTATGGAATGCCTTGGAAATTCCTGGAATTGAGGCAATAGAGCAATCAGGTGTTTGTGCTATGAGGAAAATAAAGACTGAATGATGATGGTCCAAACCTCATGTCATTCTATCTTTTGTTATAGGTCCTGAAAAGGTCCACCATATGTTTCAGTTAAGGCAGAAGAGAGAGGGAGAGAGAGCGTGTGTGTGTGTGTGTGTGTGTGTGTGTGTGTGTGAGAGAGAGAGAGAGAGAGTGTGTGTGTGTGTGTGAGAGAGAGAGAGAAAGAGAGAGTGTGTGTGAAAGACAGTGTGTGTGTGTGTGTGTGTGAGAGAGAGAGAGAGCGTGTGTGTGTGTGTTGCAAAGAAGAGGTGTATGATCACAGGAGCACTTTAATCAAATAAGTTCTGCTTTAATCTGTTTTATACACATTGGATAGAATCGTTGGTAGCTTTTTTTAAGTAAAATAAGATGCCCACTGCCAAATACATAAATTCTTACATAAATACATACATACAATAAAATAATGAGATAAAATTTTTTAAAGCACTAGTATAGAATAAAGAACCCAATACTGGGCCCATGGACTGGGTTCATGTCCTAGCCTAGCCATGTCAGTAGCTGTATGACCTTAAGGAAATCATTTTTTTCTCTCAAAGTCTCAAATTTCCTTACTGTTAAATGGAGACAGAAATATCAATCTCACAGGATTATTATATGTAGCAATGAATGGCATAAAAGAAAGCATATATCATGGTACTGAAGGAGTGCCACTCCAAAATATGCCAGATAAGTAAAGTGATTATTTCGAATTGAAAACACTGGAGAAATTGTAGTTTCAGAAACCTGGCTCTTCCTGCATTCAGCAAGCCGTGAAAGCCAAGAAGATTCCTCTGGAAGGTGTACCCTCTCTAAACCAGGGTGAGAAAACCGTCCTTATTACCAGACACTTGGAATTGATGGCTGCCATGGACATGAATAAACATACCTAATGAAGTAACTCATATCTTCCACCTGTTTTACACCCGTAATATATCTTCTAGTGACTCCTCTAGGAAATTTTACTGCCCTATCCAGATCTTCTTAGTCCTACCATTTCTTTTCAGATTTATTGCTCTTTGTCAGAAAATGTATAAGCATCTTGCTTTGGCCACTTGTTTAGACTTCACTCTCTTATGAAGATCCCCTGTACATGTAAAACTAATAAAATGTGTCTGTTTTTATCTTGTTAATCTGCCTGGTGTCAATTTAGTTTCTAGATCCAGCTGAAGAGCCCACTAAGAGCTAAAAGTAGGGCTGGAGGTGATGTGATCTCTGGCTCTCCTACAGTAACTATTGCATAGTAGGTACTTAACATACGTTATATGAGGCTCAATTTACCTGCTTGGTGATCCCCAGCAAAGATGAAATTAGAAGAACATTATCATGAAGTCAAGATCTCAGACTGACTCTATGATACTGCACAGAATCTCAAATATCATTAACCAGTTAGTTCAATAGTCAAGACCAGGGTTTGGCAAATTTTCTGTAAAGGTTAGATAGTAAATAATTTTAGTTTTGTACACCATACCATCTTTCTCACAACTATTCAACTCTGCAATTATAGTGCAAATCCAGAAATAGACCTATGTAAACAAATAAGCATGCGCCAATAAAACTTTACTTACAAAAACATGTGGACTGTCTGCAGGCCCTACTTTGCCAACCCCTAGTTTTCAAAGTTAGACAGAGTTAGCCTGGCAAGTAATTTGGGAGAACCATGGCAAAAATCCTCCATATAACTTAAGAATAAGAAATAAAGTGAAAATTTTGATGCCAAAGAGTCCAATGGGAAAGATAAAAGCTGGATTTTTGTCTCAGTGGCCTTGAACCTAATAACAAATGATTTTCTTGATCTGAGCAGCTAAGCCTTAACGACTTGAGTAAATGGCAACGAAAGCTGGCCTAATTACTAGGAAGCTCCAGGACCTCTAACAATCCTACCAGACACTGTGGTGGTAGCTTCAAATAATTCACCAGTATTTGTATTTATGTGTGCCTGCAAACGATGTGTAATTTAGGCATCTGTTTCAGTTATCTACTGCTGTGTAAAAACCACCCAGAACTAGTAATTCAAAACAACATTTTACTATATTACCTCACAGTTCTGTGGGTTAACTGGGCCAAACTAAGAGGTTCTTAGATAGATCTCTTCTGCAATTGCAGCCACCAGGGCTGCATGTCTAAAATGGCTATTTTACTCAAGTTTCTGGCACCTCAGCTGGGACGACTAGAGCAGCTAAGGGCTGGTCAGACATCTCTCTCCCTCCATGTGGCCTCTTCCTATTTAAGTTTCTCCAACATGGTGGAGTACACAGTCAGACTTCTTACCTGGTTCCCAGCTTCTCCCAGAATAAACATTCCAAAAAACACAGACTGAAGTTGCAAGTCTTCTTATGATTTAGCCTACAAAGTTGTGCATTGTCACTTCTGCCACATTCAATTAGTCAAATGCTAGCCCAGGTTAAAAGGAAGGGCTTGAATCCAGGGAAGCATAGTCCACCAGAGGCATGTTAAAAGGTATACGTTTTAAAGATCTGGTTTTTGGAACAGGCCTTGGCGGACTTATTTAAAAGCCTGAAGCCAAAGTACATCACAAACTCTAAGCGTACACTATCTACTATAAATGTGTATCTCCCTAGACAATTTGGCTACAAAGTGCAACATGTCAGCAATTTAGTCAAAAATCTCATCTTCCTCAGGGAAACTCAGAGCCACTTTACAATAAAGATGTAAAATCCCTTCAAAGCAGCTGAAGATATTTGTAAAACATTTTTAAGCTGGATTTTGAGGCAAAAAAATAATAATAATTTCCCAAGATTCTATACCTAAAACCCATTTGAAGGTAAATCCAAAGCAAAAAGGCAACAGCTTCTGGATTATTTGACAAAACAAAGCAGAAAGGATGAACCAACAGAGAATCTCAGCATTATAAGGGACCCAAGAGCATCTAATTCAATTTTCCACACAAGGCAGATTGTATTTTCTGTAATAAATTATAAGGAATTTTAGGGAACTGACATTTTTACCACCTACTCTGTGCCCACCTAATTAACTCCTCCCAACAACTTTATGAGGTCATTATAAAGTAGGCAATATCATTACTCCCATTTTACAGATAAGAAAACTGAGACTCTGATAAATTAAGTGATTTGCCCAAGGAAACATATGTAGAAATTGGAAACAATAGAATCTAAAATATGTTCTGGGTTGATGCAAAGGAATCAAGCATTGAGTCTGTCATGAAGTAGCCCATTCCAATTCCAATATTGGGCAGTTCTAAAGATCGGGGTCAAAAAAAAAAAAAACCAAACAAACATGCTCCAGAAGTTTGTATGGTAAATCAAGAAGCCTCTCCTGCCAGGTTTCTTATGCTCAAAGTGCATAGTTTGACTTCAGTGACACCAGAACTCCTTGAAATAATATGTAAATTGTGCTGTCTACAGATGTATTTTATAACAGTGGTTCTACAACTCTGGTTAGATTATTAAAAAAAGACAGCTCCAAAAACTTTAACAGCAGCCAATCCATAAGACAGAGTTATGCCCAATAAGAACAGACCAGGTGTCTATTCATAAAGACAGCAAACCTAGGCCGTGATCTTCATGGGTTCACGTTCCAGTTGAGCAAACAGAAGATGCATCTATGCAACCACAGCAGATACAAAATAATATTAACACTAAATGTTAACATTATTAACATTACTTAGGTCCTTACCCCTCTACAGATAAGTAACAGGGCTAAGCAGATGCTTTCCCCACTAATTGTTTTGGCCACAGAACTCTTTATCTAAACATTTGCTAATGCCAAATATAAGATACAGATTAAAGCGGAACTTCTTTGGTGGAAGTGATGATGGCTTGCCCATAGCCCTTTCTGTTTAGCTTTCCTTGGACACCAAACCACGCATCTTCCACCAACTTCCTTTTTATAAAACCTTTGGGATTCCTTCAGAATATACCTATAGGGTTCTTTTGAAGCACAGTTTGAAAACCACCAAGTATAACTGTTAGGATGGTCACTGAGAACCCATTTATCTCTATACTTCTAGCACTATGCCTCTGTATTATACCTAAGTAGTCATACAATGTGTTCCCAGCTAGATTACACAAAGAGTTGTTTGGGAATAAGAGTAAATGAGGAAAAGACATTCTGAGAAGGAAAGAGAAAAAACCCCAGAGACATAAACAAAGGGCAACTTTGCTTAGATATTGAAAGGCAAAGGTAGGAAGAAGGAAGGCATCAACCAAGTCACTGAGTGGCCTAAGGAGTTTTGATCCTTCAGTAGAAGCAAGGAAAAACCAATGTATGCACTTTCCAGCTCACTGCTTCCTGCTCTGCTGGGGTCTGAATGACAGAAGAACCACGACAACTGAGATGGATGGATATTTCTTTATTCAGTTCTCTACCACCTTCCTGATGCAAGTTAATAACCTTGCAGTCTCAGGAGGCAGATCACAAGCATTTCAAAGGAAACAAGAACTTCAATGGACTTTCGGTTCTTCTTTGAATTTTTTGGTGCCAAGGAAGAATCAGGCTTATTTGTCAGCTCTCCTTTCCTGGCCTGGTAAAATAATTAGAAGACCAAAGTCAGAATATCTGATTATCCAAAAAAAAAAAAAAAAAAAAAAAAAAAACTACAGCTCACATTCATGGGCTAATTTGGAGAGATTTTTTGGCTCTTCCTTTTCCCCTCAGCTCTGTGAGGAAACTCCTAGCTTGTACTGGATCATATCAAATCAGAGCAAAATTGGAGTTTCTGGCAACTATTGCTTTAACAAATCAATTTTCTTTGGAAAGGTAAGTTACATTTGACATTTTTCTTTTCATAACTGATTTGCAGAGGGGTAAATAAGTAATACTACTACTAATAAAAATGATTAAATGCATTCACAAACTTTGCAAAAGAGGAAAGCCAGAAAGTTCACACTTATTCCATCCAATGAGGTAAGTCTTTCCTTGACATTTGGATTTAATAGACCTTTATCGATCACTGACTTAGGTACAAGAGAATTTTCACCAGGTTAGTATGAAGCTTATGTCACTGCCCCCATTTTAGAGATAAGGAAATCAAAGCTCAGAGTGATGTATTGGCCTGTCCAAAGTAACACTGTTAGGAAGTAGAAAGATGAAAAAGTTTTTACTACAAATTCAGAGCTATTTTCAATATACTACAGGGTCTTGCTTACAAGGCAATAATCAAAATTGTACTGAGAAAAAAGCCATGTAAACATACGTGACATTTTATAACACCCGCCTCTGTGCTTCTAACCCCTAACTGTCTTATTTCAGGCACCTTCCACTTCTACACCAAATGACTGCAGCACAGGGCAGAGCTTCTGAAGCTTTGAAGCATTGAAATAGGCAATGGTCTTGGAAGCATTCAAGCTACCAACTAATATGACCTTTTCTTGCATAGAGCAAGTGTTAACTAAAAGTGAAAATCAGTTTGGGATGAGCTGATTTCTCTCCATTGCTACATGTCTTATTATAATCTCTAACATAATATCTGAAGAGAAAACCATCAGCAGGGAAAAGTAATGTCCAGCTACAGGGTCCACATACTGTCTGAGCATTCTGTGTTCTCTCACTGAATGATTATGGCGTCCTTCTCTAAAAATGACTTCTATCAGAATTATTGACATATTACAAGTGCCTTTCAAACATGAAAAACATAAACCTTATAATAACAACAGCAAAATATATGCTTTGAGTACTTACTCTGTCCCAGGCACTGTGCTAGGTGCTGGAAATACAGTGACAAAACCAGCGTCCACAGCCTATAGTCTAACAGAAGAGACGGATGTTCACTAAGTAATCACCATTCATTGGAACAAGTGGCTTAATAGGAAAAGTACCTACAGCAGGGAAGCAAGTCTGAAAACTCAAAGAAGCTCCAGTAGGAAATGGCATCTAAGGCAAAACATAGAAAGAATGAAGGGGAGTGAGTTAGCTGGGTGAATGGGGGAAGTGGGGAGATAATGTGATCCAGAGGTAACAACATGTATGAAGACCCAGAAGAAAGACCATGTTCTAGAAACTAAAATATGTTTATCCTGACTAGAGTTGTATGTGGGAATGGAGGGGAGGGGAAGTGGTGAATGGCTCGAAAGTTGAAAAAGTAAATAGGGGCCCAGTTTTAGAGATCTCATAGGCTATGGTGTCTGGAGCCCAGCAGGAAGTCACTAAAATAAGTGGCTTGTTCTTCTTATGTGACTTGCAAGTAGCAAATGCGGATTCCAAGCATCTTGAAGACTGGGCTTATTTTTCTTAAATACTTCACTTGTTGATTTTTCTACTCCTATTTATTTTCTTAAATAGAAGTCTTCTAAGGATAGATGAATGCTCTGAAAAAATCAAAGGTTTTGTGATGTTGGGGAATTGGAGTTAGGAATTACTTTTTAAATTTCCTTTTTCTTTACTTTCCAAAGCTATTGGTAATAATTCTTCATTTTTTATTAAAACATGAAAGAACTGTGGGAATGTTTTCATAATAACAACACAAAAGACAATGTTTTCTATAATTTCTGCAGCAGGATTGGCCCATATCATTCAATTTGCTGTATCTAATCGTTAGAAAAATGCCCTAGCAGTAACTAGACGCAGTATAAACATCGCTTGGCAATGATCTATCTTTCTATCATCTCTCCATCTACCAATCTATCTATTGCCTCACTTCAAAATCATTTGAAGCAGATCTAATAAATATATAATGAAAAATTGATTTAAAAAATAGGTAAAGAAATTAGGAGGAAGAGTAAATCAGAACATGTCACTATGATCAAGCCCAGATCAGAACCACACTCAGAAAGGCACATCCGGTACTGTATAACTGTTCAAAAATGCCCCAGGCTTGATTTTGAGTTTTCCAGTGACTAAATCACAGGGACTATTTTGTTATAATAGTGATCTTCAACGTTAGCTACATATTAGAATCAGGAGGAGCATTTTTGCAAAATTAGCCTCACCATTTGAAAAATTAAGTTCCTGAGAGTGGGGCCATGCATTCATGCATATCTAATATGCAGCTATGGTTTTGTTATTCAGTGGGTCTGGCCACTGACTGAATAACAAAATTCCAAATACTCATAAGCGTAAAAACACACTAGTTGCTGAAGAGAAACACAGCTTTTCCTGGCAATGAGGTCTGAGAGAACTTCTTTCCTTTCACGGGTTCTTCTAAAGTGTATTTGGGACATTCTGGACAATGCTCCCAATACCACCCCTACCATAAAGACAACGACAAGTCTGTGATGAAGAATTTTTGGAGTGTTCTCTATTGGAGGTCCAGCACCTAATACTGAAGTACAATTCAGAGAAGGTGGGCTTAGGAGGGTTGAGGAGCATTTCAGGGACATAGCTCTCTGATGTGCTCATTTCATTCAGAAAGACCATTTCTAGAGGAGCAGACAAAAAAAGAGGTTCTTCACCCACTCACCCACCTCCAAAAGAGAAGTCCTTTAAAACACAAGCACATTTCTCAGCAGCCAGTCAAAGTAACAGCTCAATGTGCAATAATTTCAGATGATTTATTTAAAGCATTAGAGATAGGAAGTGTTCTTAGTTTGCCAAGGGACCAGTAAGTAAACCTTAAAAGTCATTTTTATGTCAAACAAATGCTTAAAGATCACAGAGAAAGTCACTAGTGATCTATGGAATAATAGTGCACCTGACCTATGACATAGGGGAACATTTGCGAATTCTATTGATTTTGACCTTTGCCAATGCAACAGAAACATCCCGCCATCACAAATGTGTTTAAGCCTCATAGGATATGGAGTTCCAAATGTTATAATCTACTTTAAAAATCAAACAAGAGCCCAGATGCTGTCATATATATGATATTCTGCTGCTTCTCACAGCCAGCTTGTGCTTGGGGGTCTCCAAGAATTCTGCTCTACCTCATCCTCCTTTCTATGGAGTTTACTGAAAATCACCCTGGAGTTTCTACGTTTCTACTTCTTCTTATCATCTACAGTGAAAGTCTGCAGAATGTCCACCATTATGTTCAAACTTCTTTTTAGCCCCAGAATTGTTTTTGTAAATTGAAATGTGGCCTACATCAAAGTCAATTAGTTAAAAAATAGATGAGCATAGAGCTTCTCTGGTTGAAAGAACCCCATCACCCCACATCCTTTTCCTCAAAAGCCCTAGGTTTCTGGGGCTTGCTCCAAACATGGGTTTGAAAACCACTGCCTTGCATCAAGCATAGTGTATTAGTCCATTTTCACACTGCTGATAAAGACATACCCGAGACTGGGCAATTTACAAAAGAAAGAAGTTTAATGGACTTACAGTTCCACATGGCTGGGGAGGTGGCACAATCATAGCAGAAGGCAAGGAGGAGCAAGACACATCTTACATGGATGGCAGCAGACAAAGAGAGAGAACTTGTGCAGGGGAACTCTTTTTAAAACCATCAGATCTCATGAGACTTATTAGCTATCATGAGGAAAACCCACCCCCATTATTCAAGTACCTCCCACTGGGTCCCTCCCACAGCACGTGGGAATTGTGGGAGTTATAATTCAAGATGAGATCTGAGTGGGGACACAGCCAAACCATATCACACGGGTTTCAGTGAGCATTGATACTCTGAATCTGAAGGTAGGTCAGATCAAGCAATAGAATCTGTTAGCTCCAATGGAGACAACTCTTCTACCACAATACACTGAACCACCTATTTGTCCCACATCTCCCTGAAGCCTCGCTTTCTTCTGCTGCTTCTCTGCAGAAAAAAATTTAGTGTATTGAGGGAAAAGGACACTGCATTTGGAGTCAAAAAAGCTGAGTTTCATCTCTAGCTGCATCATGTGATAACTATAGGCAAGACTTTTCAAATCTCTGACCCTCACTTTCTCTCTCCATATACTAAAGAAAATAATTCCTTCCTCACAGAATTGCTGTGAATATTGAAAGAGGTAATGTTCATGAGCATGCTTGACAGTAGTAAAAAACAGTATAGAATTAGAAAGCTATTTTATTAGTTTCCTATTGGTGCTGTAAAAAAAAAAAAGATTACCATAAATTTAGTATCTGAAAACAACACAAATTTATTCTTGCAGTTCTGGAGGTCAGAATTCCAAAACAGGTCTCTGGGCTACAATCAAGGCGTTAGCAGTCTGTGTTTCTCCTGGAAGCTCTAGGGGAGAATCTATTTTCTCACCTTTTCCAGCTTGAAGAGGTTGTTTGCATTCCTTGGCTCATAGCTCTACAGCACTCTGCCCTCTGCATCCATGGGCACATCTCATTCTCTTGTCTGCCTCCCTTTTATAAAACCCTTACAATTACATAGGGCCTGCCCAAATATTCCAGAATAATCTCCCCATCTCAAAATCCTTAATCACATTTGCAAAGTCCATTTTACCATTTAAGGTAATATATTCACCTGTTCCAGGGATTAGGCTATGGACATCTTCGGGGAAGGCATTATTCAGCCTAGCACAATTATATATTAGATGTTGTGATGGATAGTTTGAATTTGTCTCTCTGGATCTATACTCCACCCCTCTCCACATTCTGTGTGCCCCAGAAGACTGATCTCTACAGGCTACATCAAACCAACTCCCTTTTCCCTCTGGCTTCCACTTGAGTATGCCCAATAGGAGGTACTGGCAAGAGAGTGAAAGAAGGGCAGGGTATGTGTCCCTACCACCAGATCCCTTGGTTCTGGACTACAGATTGATAGCAGTTATGTTCCTCTACCAAAAACCTTACCAGGCCTTCTCCATGCAGCTGCTGCCCTCTCCAAGCTCTGTAACCACCCCCACTCCTAGTTTCATCAACACACAGGGTGATAATCCACCCCTGCTGTTGCTTGTCCTGGGATGCTTCCTTCTCCTTTGTTGGCTTTCTTTAACTATTAACCTTAAACCCCGACCACAGCGTTGTATATATCCCTTTATTACATTATCCTCTAGCTACCCACTTTGCATGTACCACCTGTTTCCTGTCGGGACCCCCAACTGATAAAATATTGATATTATTTTGGAAAGTTTACCATGACCACCTTTTAAAACCTTCCTACCTGCCCTCACTCCCTTGACTCCTCTAGTTTATTTGATAATGTCAACAACTCTGCCTTACTTTTCTAAATAAAGGATAGGTATATTCTCTCAAAAAAATCGGGACATCAGGCTTCTTTTAGCTCATTGAACAGGCCAAGCTCTTTCCACTTCAGGATCTTTCTATATGCTGTTCCCTCTGGCTGAAATGTTCTTCCAATTGCTAGATTCTTATCATTTGGATCTGTTTGGATGTCATCTCTTAACGAAGTCCTCTCTTCTGATTTAAATTAAACAACCATTATTCTCTAGAACAGCACTGCTTATTTCCCTCATAAAATTTTCACATCATTTCTAATCATATAATACATAATTTGTCTTTCTCCAAAAGGGCAAGAGATCATGTCTATATTATTCTCCCAGGGCTGGATACAAGGCCTTGAAAAATTTGGTAGTGAGCAAAAGACATAAAAGTAGAAGGAATATATTCTGTACAATGTCATTACATTTTTCTCACTTAATCATTAGAACAATTATTCAGATAAGTAGATATTAAATTTCATTTTACAGAAAGGGAAGCCCATATTCAGTGAAGATGAGCAACTTGCTGAAGGTTAATCAGCTAGTAAGCTTGGAACAGAGATTTGAAACCAAGCCTTCTTTACTGGGTGGCTCTTGCTAAAAATAGTTAATGTTTATTGAGCACTTAATTTGTGCTAGGCTTGTACAAAGTGCTTTATAGACATTCTTTCATTTTAATGTTCATGACAGCCCCACAAAGTGGCATTCATTATCCTTACCTAAAAATGAGGAAACTAAGCCTCAGAAAGGTAAATGATTTGCCAGGGGTCACACACATTGCTAAGAAGCAATTAAGTTTAGATTTAAGTTCAGTTGAGCCTGAAGGCAAAGCCCTTTCCTTTGCATCAAGATTTTCTGAAGCCCTTGACACAGTGTCAGAAATATTAAAGCCTAGAATAAGGTGAGGCTTTCCTAAAAAGGATGTGTTTTATATTTTCCAGAAAAAAATAAAAGAGAAATTCGTAGGCTTGTTCTTGGGAACAACAGCATGCTATAACCAGAGGAGAAGGAAAACAGGTATTTTCAACTACTGTTTTGCTTATGTATTCTTCATTATAGGTAATGATCCAAAGATTGGAAAAGGTACAACTAAGGTAGTTTGTAACAGAATAATGGAGTGGGGTGGAATAAGGAAGACAAAGCTAGGCAAAGAGATTGGAAACGAACCCCTGGCTATTTAAGAGATTTCTAATTACCGGGATTGAAGCTTCATGAAGTCATGGATATTGTTTTTTTCACCCTATATCCCTAGAACGGCAACTGTCACATAGCAGGCATTCTATCAATATATTATGAATGAACTAAGTCTCCTGATACATTTAGATGGCATCCCAGGCAAAGAGAACACCTGCAGATCAGATTTCTGAATGACCCTTTATAATGCAAGGGAAGGTGAAAAATATGAGACGTGTCAGAAGACTAGAGATGGGAAAACGTTTTGAAAAGGTTGTATACTTCCATTTTCAAACAAATTAAAATAAATCAGTGAGATACTTTCTGAGTGGTTTGTTTAATAGTATGGCCTGAGAGAACTTATGGATGAGGAACCCTAATGTTCACCAACGTCTTTTGTTACATTAGTTGAGCACTTACCAGGGACTATATAAAGTGTTTAAGTGTTTTATCCCATTTAATCCTCACAATAGTCCTATCAGGTAAGTACTATCATTAGTCTGTTTTCACAGCTGAGGAAAGTGAAGCACAGAGAAGTTGAATAACTTGCCCTCTGGTCTGATTCCAATGCCTGGCCACATCATGGCCTCATCTAATCACTGTAGTAACTAAACCTGCCAAGGAATTTGGAAACAATATCCAGTCATAAAAGTGAATTGAGAGACTCACAAAATAAGGAATTGTGTTTCATTGAAGGATCACCTGTGTAAGGGGAGAGGAGGTTAAAGATGGAGGAAAACAGAGATGCACAGCAGCTAGAAATAGAACATAGATTCAATCTTCAACATCAAAAGACACTTAAAAACCAAAATCCTGGGAGGGGTAGGAGAAGATCAAGATTTGCCTAAGACTATTATTAAAAAGTCAAAAAACAACAGATGCTGGCGAGATTGTGGAGAAAAAGGAACACTTTTACACTGTTGGTGGGAGTGTAAATCAGTTCAACCATTGTGGAAGACAGTGTGGCAATTCCTCAAAGACCTAGATGCAGAAATACCATTTGACACAGTAATCCTATTACTAGGTATACACCTGGAGAAATATAAATTATCCTATTATAAAGATGCATGCACACGTATGTATGTTCATTGAAGCACCATTCACAATACCAAAAACATGGAATCAACCTAAATGCCCATCAATGATAGACTGGATAAAGAAAATGTGGTACATATACACCATGGAATACTATGAAGCTGTAAGAAGGAACGAGATCATGTCCTTTGCAGGGATATGGATGAAGTTGCAAGCCATTATCCTCAGAAAACCAATGCAGGAACAGAAAACCAAACATCACATATTCTCACTTGTAAGTGGGAGTTGAATGATAAGAACACATGGACACATCGGGGGAACAACACATACTGGGGCCTGTCGGAGGTGGGGGTGGGGGTGGGGAGCATCAGGAAGAATACCTAATGGATGCTGGGCTTACTATCTGGGTGATGGGATGATCTGTACAGTAAACCACCATGGCACACATTGATCTATGTAATAAACCTGCACATTCTACACATGTACCCCTGAACTTAAAATAGAAATTGAAGAAAAAAAAAGATTGTCTAAGAAAATAGAAGCTTAGACAACCTTCAGTAGAGCAATATAATATGTATGCTTAAACAACAAAGGATGTTGTTTTTTTAATTTCCTATTATGTAGAATAGAATGAGCAGATCCATTTTCTATTATAACCCATTTAAATGAATGAGATAGCACTCTTGAGAGGATTAGCTGAGATTATAACGTGCATACAAAAGCACTGATACTAATACATGGTTATCTAGGTTAGAAGTAGAATTTCTATCTGAATCTCTTCTGCAGGATGGACTCCTCCTATTGACACCTAAAATTATATTCTAGATGAATTTCCTTTTTTATTAATTACTACAGGTACTTATCCATTTAACTGGTATTAGTGTGTTTTAAGCATTGCACTTAGTCACATTTTAGCTTTGCTCTTCTACATAAACTCAGGTACTTTAATAGAACTCAGTTGCTTCCATAAGTCTGATTCTGTGTTCTAAATGCAATCACAGTTCCTAACATTTTTCAAGCAAGCCTAATAGGTATTTTCCAATAACATTAACCACACCAACTTGAATTTAATTTAATGTATAAGATGGCATTTGAACACAACATCACAACCCTTAATGATTGTTGGTGGAAGAACAATATGGAAAATCCACTATAAGAATGTGTTCAAATTCGGGTAATAAACCTCAAAAGCATGTTATTCCCTAGAAAGAAAATGATGTGCATTCTTCTGTCAAAAATACTCAAATTATGTATGGTATTTGGTAGCCTGTCATGGAGAGAAAGTAGTCTGAACATTCAATCACATGTGTAAAACTGCAGACCTGTCAGAATATTTCATCATGGTATTTGACAATACTGGGCTGTTAGCCATTAACTAGAAGAATGGGTATGTCTAAATTACCTAAGAGCTTAAATAAAAGTTACACAGAGCAATAAAGACGGCATGGTTACATGTG
The DNA here is from genome assembly GCF_000001405.40 of Homo sapiens. Classification (NCBI taxonomy): domain Eukaryota; kingdom Metazoa; phylum Chordata; class Mammalia; order Primates; family Hominidae; genus Homo; species Homo sapiens. Next base: position 139,042,169 of record NC_000023.11, read on the forward strand.
TTTCTTTCCATTTCAAAAGCCAGAGCTATGCTGTCTATAGAATAGTGCTGTTGTTCTTAGCAAGAGATGGGTGTTCTCTGTGGCCCACACTAATGTGATATCCAATGATACGGAACATGGGTTTTGGGTATGTGGAGGCAGATCCATGAGAAATGAATCATTTGGACCAGGAATCATCCCAAGAATGGAGTGCTGTGTTGGTATATAATATTTCAGGTAGTGCCTGACGATGGTTAAATGGAGTAGGTGGAGATATAATCAGCTCATTGGTAATGCCTGCACTCAGTTTAGGGACAGATTCATGTTTTACATGATGATGGTAAATTCAGTTGTAAATCGAAACTGACAAATATAATGCAATTATTGCAGTGTATGTTGTCTAGCTATTAACATGCATTTATGTAAAAAAAATTTGATTTTAATAATCAAGTTCAGCTAGTGATTAGTTTGGTTTCTTAATTTAAATATTATTTTAAAGACAGATGAACCACTGTAATTTATTCAATTTTGTGCAGTGCTCATCTTAGCTGAATTATGTGTAATTTTTTGGACATGGTCCTCTACATATTTTATGAACTGACGTAATGTGAGAGTGAGGTCACTTATCATTGAGCGACATCCCCGTATAATGTTAAATTTGTATTTCAGATAATTGGATTTTTAAATGTATCGTGGATTCTGATTAGTGCATTACGATTTCATTAAAAATTAGTGCTCAGCTTTTAGAATCTGAGCTTATGGAGGACCGAAAATTTTCCTTGTTTCTGGATCCACAATGTTTGCCACAATTTTTGGTACATTATAGGTCTTCAAGAAGTTTGTGTTTAATAGCTAGATGTCAGTTATTGCTCCCAGCTGTATGTCATCTGTTGAAGATGGCATGCTCTTTTTCCCTGCCCTATGTGCACATGTGAAGGAACTTCAGGTGTAGTAACATCCTGGCTTTATACCCACGTGTGACTTACCCCACCCCAAGGAGGAGGAAGTTATCTAATTAGTGGGGCACATCCACTGGGCTACACTTTTCAATTAGGGAAAGCTAATCAATATTTTTTGGGGTGGGGATGGAGTCTCACTCTGTCATGCAGGCTGGAGTGCAGTGGTACAATCTCGGCTCACTGCAACCCCCGCCTCCCAAGTTCAAGTGATTCTCCTGCCTCAGTCTCCTGAGTAGCTGGGATTACAGGCGACTGCCACCACACCCATCTAATTTTTGTATTTTTTTGTAGAGACGGAGATTCAGCATGTTGGCCAGGCTGGTCTCGAGCTTCTAACCTCAGGTAATCCGCCCGCCTCGGCTTCCCAAAGTGCTGGGATTACAGGTGTGAGCCACCGCACCTGGCTGCTTATCAATATTTTAAAGCCACAAGTGTGGAAAACAGTCTGGTGCTTTCTCAACAAGTTAAACATAGAATTACCATATGACCCAGAGATTCCACTGCTAGGTATCTACCCAAAATAATTGAGAGTAGGTATCCAAGCAAATACTAGAAAACAAAAGTTCATAGCAGCACTAGTCACAATAGCCAAAAAGTGGAAACGGCCTAAATGTCCATCAACAGATAAATGAATAAACAAAATGTGGTATATGCATACTATGGAATACTATGCAGTCCTAAAAATTAAGAAAGTTCTGTCACATGCTACATCACGGTTGAACTCTTGGAAACATTTTGCTAAATGGTGAAAGCCAGACACACAAGGCAACGTATTACATGATGCTATTCATATGAAATTTCCATAATAGGCAAATTCTCCACAGAGATAAAATAGATTAGAGCTTACCAGGATCTTAGGGGAAGGAAAGTTGCAGGGGGAGGTAATTGTTTTGTGGGTACTGGGTTTTCTTTTGGGGTAATAAACATGCTTAAAACTAGATAGATGTTGTGGTTATACAATATTGTGAATACACAAAATGCCACTTAATTGTATACTTCAAAATAGTTAAAAGGTAAATTTTATGTTGTGTATATTTTACTGTTTGTTAGGCCATTTTTGCATTGCTATAAATAAATACCTAAGACTGGGTAATTTACAAAGAAAACAGGTTTAACTGGCTCACAGTTCTACAGGTTTCACTGGAAGCATGGTGCTGGCATCTTCTCAGTTTCTAGGGAAGACTCAGGAAGCTTACAATCATGGTAGAAGCCAAAGTGGAAGCAGGCACATCACATGGCAAAAGCAGGAGCAAGGAAGAGAGAGAATGAGGTGTGAGGTGCCACACACTTTTAAATGACAAGATCTCAAGGGAATTCTATCACAATGACAGCACCAGTCCATGAGACATCTGCCCCCATGATCTATACACCCACCAGGTCCCGTCTCCAGCATTAGGGCTTACAATTCAACGTAAGATTTGGGTGGAAACAATTATCTAAACTATATCATTCCACCACTGGCCCCTCCCAAACCTCATGTCTTTCTCACATTGCAAAATACAATCATGCCTTCCGAACAGTCCCTCAAAATCTTAACTCATTCCAGCATTAAAAAAAAGGGGGCTATGTGTCCTATGCAAGTTCAAAATCCAGCAAGGAAGTCATTAAGTCTTAAAGCTCCAAAATAATCTCTTTGACTCCACGTCCCTCATCTAGGGCATGCTGGTGTGAGGAGTCGCCTCCAATGGCCCTGAGCAGCTCCAACTCTGTGGCTTTGCAGGATACAGCCGACATAGCTACTCTTTAGGTGTAGGGTGCAAGCTACTGATGGATTTGACATTCTCGGGTCTGGAGGACGGTGGCCCCCATCCCACAGCTCCACTAGGCAGCACCCCAGTGGGGACTCTGTGTGGGGCCTTCGACTCCACATTTTCCCTGTGCACTGTCCTAGTAGATGTTCTCTGTGGGGGCTCTGCCCCTGCAGCAGGCTTCTCCCTGGATACCCAGGCTTTTTTCATACATCCTCTGAAATCTAAGTGGAGGCTGCCAAGCATTCTTCACTCTTGCATTCTGCACACCTACAGGCTTAACACCACATGAAAACCACCTTGGCTTATGGTTTGCATTCTCCAAAGTGGTACCTCAAACTGTACCTGGGCCCCTTTGAGCCACAGCTGGAACTGGAGTGACCAGGATATGGGGTGCAGTGTCCTGAGGGTGTGCAGAGCAGTGAAGCCCTGGGCCTGGCCCATGAATCCATTCCATTCTCCCAGGCCTCTGGGCCTGTGATGGGACAGGCTGCTGGGAAAGTCTCTGAAGTGCCTTTGAGGCCTTTTCCCCATTGCCTTGGATATTATCACTTGGTTCACTTTTAGTTATGCAAATACCTCTAGCAAGTGGCCTGCTAGAATACCTCTCCCTAAAGAGCTTTTTCTTTCTCTGCCACAGGGCCAGGCTGCAAGGTTTCCAAACTTTTACACTCTGCTTCCCTTTTAAACATACGTTCTAACTTAAGTCATTCCTTTGCTCCTGCATCTGAGCATAGGCTATTAGAAGAAGCCAGGGTAGCTCTTGAATGCTTTGCTGCTTAGAAATTTCTTTCACCAGATGCACTAAATCATTACTCTTTAGTTCAAACTTCCACAGATTCCCTAAGGCATGAACAGAATGCAGCCAAGCTCTTTGTTAATGCATAACACACGTGACATTTGCTCCAGTTCCCAATAAGTTCCTCATTTCCATCTGAGACCTCAGCAGCCTGGACTTTATTGTCCATATCACTATCTGCATTTGGTCACAACCATTTAACCAGTCTCGAGGAAGTTCCAAACTTTCTCTCATCTACCTGTCTTCTTCTGAGCCCTCTAAACTCTTCCAACCTATGCTCGTTACCCAGTTCCAAAGTTGCTTCCACATTCTCAGTCATCTTTATAGCAATACCCCACTCGTGGTACCAATTTTCTGTGTTAGGCCATTCTTGCTTTGCTATAAAGAAATACCTGAGAATGGTTAATTTACAAAGAAAACAGGCTTAATTGGCTCATGGTTCTGCAGGCTTTACAGGAAGCATGGTTCTGGCATCTACTTGGCTTCTACGGGGGCCTCAGGAAGCTTACAATCACAGCAGAAAGCAAAGAGAGAACAGACACGTCATGCGGCAAGAGCAGGAGCAAGCAAGAGAGTGGGGTCGGAGGTGCCACACACTTTTAGATGACTAGATCTTGTGAGAACTCACTATAACAAAGTCAGAACTGAGCCACGAGGGATCCGCCCCCATAATCCAAACACCTTCCACGACGCCCCACCTCCATCATTGGGGATTATAATTCAACATGAGATTTTGGGGACAGGGTCAAGTATCCAAACTATATCACCTTGCAATAAAAAAGGTCAAAGGCACTGAGGATTCACACTTTTCTGTCACTATCTGCCTTGAATCAGTAAGAGGCAGCACCCTGGGTAAATGTAGTGGCTCCTATGGGCTCAACCTTTCCCTTGGGTTTGCTGTCCTGATGTCTGGACTTGAGAGAGTTGGGGGATGTGACAGAGTACAAATGTCAGAAAACCCTTTTCACTATAGATCTAAAACCAAATTCTTCTGCTGGATTTATTAGTAATAATTCTGGCATTCTGTCTCCATTTCTCCACCTCTTGAATTTTATTTCCCAATGAACTTTTAACTTGGAAAGGAATGAATGGAATAATATTTATTGGCATACACCCTCTCCATCATCAAAATTGAAAAACCTGACTAGCGTGGCTCCTGTGGGTTCCTCAAATTCGATATTTATAGGTTGAACAATAAAGGGTTAAAGACAGAGAAGAGCCTGCATGGCCCCCTCTACTACAGTGCACCCTCCAGGGTCTACTAAGCCAGGCTGAGTATCTGCTTTGATAATACAAGAATTAAGAAAATAACTGGTCTGTCCTCAAAACCCTGGAACAATGTAGACACAGAGCCCTCATTCAGCATTCTCCTGGTTCAATCATTCAAGCCTCTTATGTATCTACCTCATGGGATCTGAGAGCCTTGCTGAGGATTTCCCTGTGTGTTAGCAGTCAAGCCAGAATCAATAGACTGAATTCCCTGGCTACTTGAAGTCCTCTTTGAACTAGGAATGCATTATCAGCTCTAAGTCAACAATGTTGGGGTATATTTTCTTAATGACCTAAAAATTCATCTAACTATGCCACCAACTAGCACATTTTCCCAGGCTGTGGATAGTGCATGATGTTTTGATATATGTATACATTGTGGAATGAGTAAATCAATCTAATTAACACATCCATATCCATATCACCTCACATCCTTATTATTTTGGAGAATGAGAACATTTATTTTTTGGTTTTTTTTTTCTTTTTTTTATTATACTTTAAGTTTTAGGGTACATGTGCACATTGTGCAGGTTAGTTACATATGTATACATGTGCCATGCTGGTGCGCTGCACCCACTAACTCGTATACTCTCTTAGCACATTAATGTTAACTATAGTCACCATGCTGTACAATACATCTCCAGAAAATATGCTAGCTTTGCCACTTTTGGACTGCATGACTTTGGAAGAGTTAGTCAAACTCATTAAGCCTCAATTTCCTTATGTGTAAAATGGCTAAATTAGCATTAACTGCCTGTAAAATGAGTTTTGAGGCTTAAATGAGAAGATATATTCCACTTTTCATAGTACCTAGCATACAGTGGGTTTATCATATATGTTAATTTACTCCCTCTGTCAAATGGCAAAAGCACGATTATTTTTGCACCAACCTAATAATATTCCAAATGAATGTTTCAACAAATTTGTAATTTCTCCTTTAAATTGCCTATCCAAATCCTTTGTTCATTTATCTATTAGGTAGTTCTTTTCTCTTATGAATTTGTAGGAGTATTTTTATATTAGTAACATCAAGACTTTCTTCTATCAGATGTATGCAAATATTTTCTTCCAATAGATTAATTTTATATAATTAAATCTGTAGAGATTTTTTTTCTTTAAAGAACATGGATCTATGTCTTGTTTAAGGAACATCACCCCACAGACATATACATATTTTTATACCGTTTTCTAATACTTCAGTAGTTCTTTTTTACATTACTTTTAATATATCTAGAATTTACCTTTGTACATGTTGTGAAGAAGCAGTTCTATTTTTATTTTCTTCTAACACCATATATTGAAAAAGTCACAGTTTTGCTACTGATTTCAATAATACTTTTATCATGCAGCAGATTCCCACAAATACCTGGATCTGTATTCTCCATTCTGTTCCACTGATTTGCTTGTCCACATTTGGACCAATATTACTCTCATTTACATTAAATTTCATACCTAACGGGGCACTTTTCCTTCACTTTTCTTTTTTCCTAAGATTCCCTTAACAATTGCAGCACCTGTGTTCTTCCATAGAAACTTTAGAATCATGATCTTAAGTTTTAAAAAATATTATTAAGTGCTTAAGATAACATAATTCTTGCCATGCAGGGGGCATGGTATGTCTCTCACCTTCTACAGCTCTTGTTTTTTTTTTTTTTTCTATTGAATACAATGTTGTGATTAATCTCACATAGATTGTATTGTCATAATTGTATTGTCCTAATTAATTCTATTCCTGGGTAATTTTTTAAATTACTACCTTGTTTGTGAATGGGATTTTGTCCTGTTTCTAACTGGTTAGTGTCAGTATAATTAAAAGCAATTGTTTAATAATATATATTTTGCACCAAGCCACCCAGTTAAATTCTTATTCATTCAAATGATTTTATAGTTGAATCTCTTGGATTTTATAGATATATAGTGGTACTGTATGCAAATAATAATAATTTTGTCATTTTCCTATTTATAAAACTAATTTCTTTTCCATGGCACACAACACTAACGAGTACTTCTAAAACAGTGTTGAATAGTAGTAACAATGGGGAAATCCCTGTCTTGTTTCTGATTTTAATGAAAATGCCATTTATATTTCTCTATTTATTATGATGTTTACTATTGGTTTATGGTAAATGCACTTCGACGTGTTTAAGAGTTGGCATTATTTTCTTAATTTTTAAAATTTTTAATTATCCAGGTGCAGAGAGCCAAATATCACATATTCTCACTCATATGTGGAAGCTAAAAAAATTGAAATCGTGGAGATAGAGAGTAGAATAATGGTTACCAGGGGCTGAGAAGGGTAGTGGCAGGGGGAGGTAGACAGGGAATGGTTAATGGGTACAAACATACAGTTGGGTAGAATTAGCTTTTTTTCTGTTTCTACTGATGATATGGCCTATTTACTTCAAATCTCTCATACTGAGAGATCTATCATACTGATTACCAACTGTTGAGACAGGCTTGCATTTCTATAACGAACCTAACTTTGTAATTAAAATGTTTCTGTCACTCTTCCCCTCCAACTCTCCAACTTCTCTGCCCAACAGTCAACCTGACTCCATGGAGATAAATGAGTTAAAGGAAATCTATTTGTTCAGGAATGTCAGAAGACTGACTTGTGTGCTTCCCTGCCCTTTATGGTCTCCACTCTGGGTTAGGTACCTCTGCTTTTCAGTTCTTTGCTTTTTCAAGCTGGGAACTTGCCATGAGTCACAATGGCAGCTGGGCTTCAGAGGAAAGCTGGTCTGAGTCTGCTAAGTTGTCTGCCTATGCAGATGTTATTTCTATCTTGCTGACTGAATGACTTTTCATAGTTCAGCCACACATGGCCCAGATGGCAATAAGTTTCGGAATCCCATAGCATTCCTTTTGATTTCTGGGATATGTGCATTTTTGTAATAAGCAGTAAGGAGAACAATGTAGGCTACCTTTTAAATAAGACTGTCATGAACATTTGAGCGAGATCTAAATGTTTTCCTGCCACAGTCCAAAGCCAAGTCAATTAACATCTTCTTCCTAGATGTCAATGACAGTTTAAAACACTACATAGTAACATATATTCACCACATTTTACTTTTCTAGAACAGTCCCTCCCAAGTTATAGCTCAGACTCATGTCTGTCATTCACTGAGTAGGTGCATAACCAACTCTGTAGGAAGTGTGCTAGGTTCTAGCCATTCAAATTGAGTCAAAAGCCTGCTCTCAAGGCACTCTAATAGGGAAGAGACATATGTCAACAGATCAATGTGATACAATGAGATGAGGTGCAATAAAAAAAGAGGTATAGGATCCATGTCCTTCAAGTCTTCCCCCTTAGCCTCCATCTTGGATATGGTAATCAACTTTCTTTCTCCAGTCTTAATCAGGGGCTTCATCCAAGACAATAATCTATCTTCAAGACATTATCTTCTAAAATGCAATAACATACTAAGAAGAGTGGCTAATCATCTCTATATCCCCAACAGTGCCAAACGCAGAGCCTTGCTTTGAATCAGGAGGTGCTCTGTCTGCTTTGGATTGCATGAACACATAAATACAGCCAAATATCAAAAGCATTAAGGCCTACAGAGATAGAGTAAAAAGCAAAAATGAATGAATGAATAGGGAATAAAGAGGCTGATAAAAATGGATAAATGCACATAAAAGCATCACTAGTGCCACAAAGTTATCTCTCTCAAGTAAAATGACACTAACAGCACCACTTTCTCTCAAAGGGAGGCCACTATGTTTTAAAATAGAATGTGCTATATGCCTCCAGCTTATTTTCTTATAGATGTTGGGTGTATTCTGACAAAATCTAGATTTTGCTTTCATGCACGTGTTTTTTAGTCACTTGGAAATGTAATAGCTCAGAACAGCCATTTTTAGTCATAGTTAATTCAGATTGCCTGAAATAACACTATGCCTCAAATAAATCAGCCTTTACTATATGTGTATAAAAAATTGACCAATACTTCATACACACTCCTCCTCTCTGGTTCTTCCTCATGACATCTTTTATATAGGTGTGAGAAGCATTGCCTCAACTTCAAATTCTTCAGTCTGATTCGATAAACTTTCAACTGCCTGGCATAACTGGGGAATGGCATATATAGGTCAATGAAACATTCTAGTTACTGGAGACCCACCAAATATACTTAAAGCCTCACTAAATATACCACACACAGATAGAAATATACAATAGTAAAATGACAACTAAGCCAAATTTGATCTTTCTCTGATGATTCAGAAGCTCTTTTAAATTCAATAATCAAGGTGTAAGATGTCCTAGGTAGCATGGTAGGTCATTCATCACTGGGCATGTCTATTACCATCATCATTCCAGCCCTAGAACTGGCTAACATATCACAGACAGATAAGTTACAGAATGTCACAAACACCTACTTTGGTTATCCAGATATCACAGAACCTTAAAACCTGAAGAACCTTGATCAGGTTGTGTATCCTAAGTCAGGATCATTTAGCCTGGGAGTGCCCCATTTTACTCAGACCTTAGAACCTTTTATTCAAATGAAACCCCAAGAATAGCCCCTATATATAGACCAGTGGACAAAAGAACTACTTGGGTCATAGTTGGGGATTAAGGTCGCAGAGTCCCTCCTGCAGTGATCTCTGTGGCACCTCTGTGGAAGCCTATTACTACAGAACATAGTTTATAATTAATAGTTTTGACTAAACAAGTAGTTTTCAAATGAGGAAAGTAAGATCCACAACATTAAAGTGACTTGCTCAGGTCACCCTATAAAGCAGTGACTGATCTAGAACAAAAAGCCAAGTCTCCTGATTCCCAGTCAAAGGGCATTTTTCCACCCACTAGCAGTCTGCCTGTGCAGTTTCTCTTGTCCTATATTTGCCCTACAAAATATGAATTAGCACTGATATCTGAGAGTTCAAGGTTAAGCATTATGACGGATTTCAGCCATGTTCTAAAACTTCTTCTGAAAAAAATGATGTTTCTCTTATTTTAGGCCATCAATCCAACAATGGAATATCCCATATCCAGGAGTTGGTATAAATTACAAGTCTCTGAAGCTTTAGTTCTAACAATTACCAGTTTAGCAGAAGTTGCTTTATAGTTCATTCATCTGTTCATATCTTTATGTTATATATTGGTTTTTGTATGGAAACATTCTTTCCAACTTTGCCTTGTTTTAGTATCCTGGAACCTAGCACTGGTAATAATGGTTATTTATAAAAATCATAAGTTAAAAATAATAAAAATAGAATGTGACATGCTTTAATGTGAAAATTTTGTTTTCACACCACACACACACACACACACTCATTACACTAATATGAAGATATTTCAAAAAGTTAGTGGAAAAAATGGAAGTAAAAGATAAAAATAAAAAATATAAACTTTATTCCTCAATGTAAGCTCCATCAAGGTCAAGACAGTTTTGTAAGTGATGATCCCAGCCATTTAGTCCACCTCTAAAGAACTGAGCATCCTGGAAATTTAACCATGTCACTGCAGTCTTTTTTACATTATTAACTGGAGAAAAATGAGTGCCCTTTACAGATCTTTTTAAGATGAGGAAACAAAAAGAAGTCAGCAGCAGCCAAATAAGGACTTAAAGTAGATGCATAACAATTTCCCATTGAAACTCTTACAAAATTGCCCTTGTTTGATGAGATGAATGAGTGGGAGTATTGTTGTGGTGGAGAAGGACTCTCTGGTGAAGCTTTTCCAGGCATTTTTCTGCTAAAGCTGCGCCTTGCTTTCTCAAAACACTCCTGTCATAAGCAGATGTTATCATTCTTTGGCCCTCCATTCGAAAGTCAACAAGCAAAATGCCTTGAGCATGTCTTGACTGGCCTACTTTTGCTTTGACCGCTTCCACCTCTTAGTAGCCATTGCTTTTTGTTTGTTTTTGAAACACCAATTTTCTATATTTTATTTTATTTTTATTTATTTTCATGATTTTTATCTTTTGTTTTAATTTTTCCATAAGTTATTGGGGGTACAGGTGGTATTTGGTTACATGAGTAAGGTCTTCAGTGGTGATTTGTGAGATTTTGCTTGCACCCATCACACAAGCTGTATACACTGCACACTATTTGTAGTCTTTTATCCCTTGCCCCCCTCCCACCCTTCCCCCCAAGTCCCCAAAGTCCATTTTATCCTTCTTATGCTTTTGTGTCCTCATAGTTTAGCTCCCACATATTAGTGAGAACACACGATGTTTGGCTTCCCATTCCTGAGTTACTTTACTTAAGTCTCCAATCTCATCCAGGTCACTGCAAATGCCGTTAATTCATTCCTTTTTATGGCTGAGTAGTATTCCATCATAGATAGATATGTGTGTGTGTATATATCATATATCATTCCTCTGAGTACATATCCAGCAGTGGGATTGCTGGGTCAAACGGTAGTTCTACTTTTAGTTCTTTAAGGAATCTCCACACTGTTTTCCATAGTGGCTGTACTAGTTTACATTCCCACTAGCAGTGTAGAAGTGTTCCCTGATTGCTGCATCCATGCCAGCATCTACTGTTTTTTTTTTTTTTGGTTTTTATGGCCATTCTTGCAGGAGTAAGGAGGTATTGCATCGTGGTTTTGATTTGCATTTCCCTGATCATTAGTGATGTTGAGCATTTTTTCATGTTTGTTGGACATTTGTATATCTTCTTTTAAGAACTGTCTATTCATGTCTTTAGCCCACTTTTTGATGGGACTGTGTGGTTATTTTCTTACTGATTGGTTTGAGTTCCTTGTAGATTCTGGATATTAGTCCTTTGTCCGATGTACAGATTGTGAAGACTTTCTCTCACTCTGTGGGTTGTCTGTTTACTCTGTTGACTGTTCCTTTTGATGTCTAAAAAGCTCTTTAGTTTAAGTAAGTCCCAACTATTTATCTTTGTTTTTATTGCATTTGCTTTTGGGTTCTTGGTCATGAAATCCTTGCCTAAGCCAATGTCTGGAAGGGTTTTTCCAATGCTATCTTCTAGAATTTTTATAGTTTCAGGTCTTAGGTTTAAGTCCTTAATCCATTTTGAGTTGATTTTTGTATAAGGTGAGAGATGAGAATCCAGTTACATTCTCCTACATGTGGCCAGCCAATTATCCCAGCACCATTTGTTGAAAAGGGTGTCCTTTCCACACCTTATGTTTTTGTTTGCTTTTCAAAGATCAATTGGCTGAAGGTATTTGGGTTTATTTCTGGGTTCTCTGTTCTGTTCGATTGGTCTACGTGCCTTTTTTTTTTTTTTTTTTTTTTTTTGAGATGGAGTCTCGCTCTCGCCCAGTCTTGAGTGCAGTGGCGCGATCTCGGCTCACTGCAAACTCCGCCTCCCGGGTTCACGCCATTCTCCTGCCTCAGCCTCCCGAGTAGCTGGGACTACAGGCACCCACCACCATGCCCAGCTAATTTTTTTGTATTTTTAGTACAGACGGGGTTTCACCATGTTAGCCAGGATGTTCTCGATCTCCTGACCTCGTGATCCGCCCGCCTCAGCCTCCCAAAGTGCTGGGATTACAGGCGTGAGCCACCGCGCCCGGCTGGTCTACATGCCTATTTTTATACCAGTACCATGCTGTTTTGGTGACTATGGCCTTCTGGTATAGTTTGAAGTCAGGTAACCTGATGCCTCCAGATTTGTTCTATTTGCTTAGTCTTGTTTTGGCTATGTGTACTCTTTTTTTGGTCCCATATGAATTTTAGGATTGTTTATTTTCTAGTTCTGTGAAGAATGATGGTGGTATTTTAATGGGAATTGCATTAAATTTGTAGATTGCTTTTGGCAGTGTGGTCATTTAAACAATATTGATTCTACCCATTTATGAGAATGGGATGTGTTTCCATTTGTTTGTGTTGTCTATGATTTCTTTCAGCAGCATTTTGTAGTTTTCCTTGTAGTTTTCTTTCCAGCATTTTGTAGTCTTCCTTTGTAGTTTTCCTTCAAGGAGGTCTTTAACCTCCTTGGTTAGGTATATTCCTAAGTGTTGTGTTGTGTTGTGTTGTGTTGTGTTGTGTTGTGTTGTATTGTATTGTATTGTATTGTATTGTATTGTATTTTGCAGCTATTGTAAAAGGGGTTGAGTTCTTGATTTGATCCTCCGCTTGGTCGCTGTTGGTGTATAGAAGAGCTACTGATTTGTGTATGTTAATCTTGTATCCGGAAAGTTTGCTGAATTCTTTTATTAGTTCTAGGAGCTTTTTGGAGGAGTCTTTAGGGTTTTCGAGGTAAACAATCATATTGTCAGCAGTGACAGTCTGACTACCTCTTTACTAATTTGGATGCCCTTTATTTCTTTCTCTTGTCTGATTGCTCTGGCTAGGAATTCCAGTACTATGTAGAAGAGGAGTGGTGAGAGTGGGCATCCTTGTCTTGTTCCAGTTCTCAGAGGGAATGCTTTCAACTTTTCCCCATTCAGTATTATGTTGTAGTCATTGCTTTGATTGTACTTTGTCTTCAAGATTGTACTGGTCAAGCCAGGTTTTATCTCCTGTTATGCTTCTTTGAAGAAATGCTTCAGAATCTTGAATCTACTTGTTTAAAATTTCCATTGAAAGCTCTGCTCTTATCTGCAGCTGATCTGGATGCAATGGGTGTGGCACCCATGGAGTGGAGAGTTTGCTCAACTTTAATTTTTCACTCAGAATTGTGTAAAATGAACAAATTGAGATGTCTATGGTGTTAGCTATAGTTTCTGCTGTTAATCGTCAGTCCTCTTCAGTTAAGGCATGAATAAGATGATTTTTTTCCTCACAAATTGATATGGATGGTCTGCCGCTTCAGGCTTCATCTTCAACATCGTCTTATCCCTTCTTAAACAAGTTATCCATTTGTAAACTGCTGATTCCTTTGGGGCATTGCCCCATAAGCTTTTTATAAAGCATCAGTGATTTCACTATTTTTCCACCAATCTTCAAGATGAATTTTATGTTTATTTTTGCTTCAATTCTAGCAGAATTCATGTTGCTGTGATAAGGGCTCTTTTCAAACTAATGTCTTATCTTTCTTAGTGCCTCAAAACTAGGTCCTGTTCAGATATGTTATACCAAGTTAGTATGAGTTTATTTTGGTGCAAAAATAAATAGAAATTCATGTGCAATTTTTTATAATACATATTTTTCATGAACTTCTTGAAGTCCTCTCATACAGGGTTAGGAAGCAACCAATCTTTGCTTTCTCAATATATTAATGAATGAATATAAGTGTCTGGGGAATCCCCAAAGCCTGCCACTTTTGTTCCTAGACAACAGCCTTCTCCAGCAAAGAATCTAAAAGTACCAACCATATAAGGAACACCTACTAGTACTACGTGTTTTACACAAATTAATCCTCAGAAATGGGTATATAATCCTCATATTTTACAGCTCAGGAACTGAGGGTTAGATAATTACTGAAGAACTAAGGTTCTCCCACTTGAAGTAAATTCACAGTGAGCCAAGAGATCAAACCTTGAAACCTGGACAGCCACTCTGTGTTAGCATCTCCATCTGAGGACCAAGGATAGCAAGACCGGCCCAGGGCAGTCATCACAAAATAAGGATTAGGAAGTTCATGTTTACAGCATTTACCCTAATCTCCTTTGAAAAAATACAAACTCCATGAAATTACCAAGCATTGTTGTTATTACAAGGGATTTTGAAAACGGCTGAATGTACTTTCAACTCGAAAGACTGTGCTAGGAATCATTTTAATTCAGATTCTCATTTGGTATGAAAGCAATAAACATCCTTTTAAAAGATTTCCTTCTTTGCTCTAAGTGGTTATGAGTAATAATGTGGGTGTAAATCTCCTTAATTCTTCCTGAGCTATTTGAAATTCTTAATCATGATCAGAGTATAAAACAGAAGATATTATGTGTGTATTAAAAATGGTATTTGCTGAAAAGTCACTTTAAGTTTTCTTTCTCTGGCTTAAATGATAGTAGTTTTCAGTGATGGAGCATGCGAGCCTTCAATGGGAGGAGAGCTGCTTCTTTGATGTTCAATTTAAGCCCTAGAAACTTACAACTTTTTTCCTGTCAAAGATGAATTTCAATCTCTTCAAATTAGCAGCGAAGGAGAAGCAAAGATGAGTAGACAAAGCTGTCTGGGGAGACAGAAAGAACCATGGACTAAAGTCAGGAGACTTGCCCACTAGGCCCATGTTGCCTGGTCATGTCCATTCCCTTCCCTGAGCTTCAACTGTCTCATCTATAAAATGATGGGATTGGGTAGATGACCTCTAATGCCCTCCCAGAACTTGGATGCAAAGATTCTATAAGAAGGGGCATCTGAGCTAAATCTTGAAGGCCTTGTCCACATATTTTAGAAATGACAGGAAAATACTTGTCGCTCCAATTAAATCCCTGGATAGGAAATGACTTAAGATTAGTTAATTTATAGAAGTTGGTATCAGTATTATTTTCTGAGTATCACAACATTATATAAAAACCTGTCAAGAAGAAAAAAAAAAACAAACTTTTCCACCAGAATGGCTAAAATTAAAGACACTGACCATACGGAGTGTTGGCAAGGATGTGAAACAAGTGAAACACTTATACATTACTAATACAAATTTAAAATGGTGCCGTCACTTTGAAAACAGTTTTGCATATGACCCAGAAATTCCACTACCAGGTATATACCCAAAAGAAATGGAATGTATACCCAGAGAAAACGTGTACCCAAAATAATTGAAAACATATGTCCACACAGAAACTTGTACATAAATGTTCATAGCACAATTATTCATAACCACCACAAAGTAGAAAAAGCTGAAATCTCCATCAACTGATGAATGGGTACAAATATTTTGGTATATCCATACAATGAAATATTATTTGGCAGTAAGAATGAATGATTACCGATACATGTCACAACATGGATGAGCCTTGAAAACGATATGCTAACTGAAAGAAGAAAGTCACAAGAGCTGCATATTGTTTGATGCCATTTATATGAATATCCAGAATAGGGAAATCAAATTAATGATATTAAAAGTTATAGCACTTAACCTTTTGGTGAGAAATAAGGTTTAGAAGAAAAGGACAGAAGAAATTCTGGGGTGCTGTTAATGTTATCTTTCTTTATATGGGTGCTGATTACTATGGTTTCTCCAATTCGTGAAGATTTGATGAGATATACACTTAGGATCTGTGCACTTTTTTGTGTGAATGTCATTCTCCTAAAGAACTATACTAAAAAATCTAAAGAGGCTATTTATAATTCAGCTATTTTGATTTTCTGGGGGAATATTAACTCTGCACAATCAAATACCTGCATCGTCTTGAATGCTATGTTTGAACACAAAACCAGAAAAGGAAAAGGCGCAGTGTAGCTTTGATGTGATTTTCTTCCCTTACTCCCTGGAAGGGCTTCAAACATTTTCAAGATCATAAATAGCAAGCATCCTGTGGCTGGCACTCTGGGTATCCAAAGTAAGAGGACAGATATTTTAAATATAAAAGACAATGTTCCTATAAAGTGAATATCTTCTTCATGAAAGCTATTTTCAAGCAGATTTCTCCTTTCCATCTGTCTGTTCTGTCTGTTCTTCCTTTCTTCCTTCAATTCTTCCTTCCTTCTGCCCATCCATCAATCCATTTATTTAACAAATACTGACTCATAAACCTCCACAGTCACAATTTAGTCATATAAATGAGTAAAATGTCCTTTTTTAGACAGAGGACCAGGTCCAATTTTCTATATCAGTTGTTAGAATTGACCATTAACTCTATAATATTAAAATAGTATCTGTACACACTGATTCTCAACATAATGTGTGAACATACTAAAGTAAGATGAAAAAATCTGTAAATCAATAATTGCATCAGAACTGTTTATTAGCACAAAGTTACACATCAACAAATGTATTATAATAGTTGCAGGTTCCTGGAATGAAGAGAAAAAGTTCCAAATGAATACATAATTCAGCCATGCTCTTTCGTATATGCAGAGGAGATTTCAGATCAAACCCCAGGACCCATGAACCCTACCACCTAACTTTACCACCTACGTATGGTGACAGGAGCCTGGGTAGCCATGAGGTCCTGATTTGATCTCTGCTAGCCTTCCCTTTTTCTCTCTTTTAAAGTTACATTGCATTCAAGGGGATTACTCAACCAAAAAGTTAACTCTTCAAAACTGCCTTCATCTTTTGTGTTCTGAGATTGAAAGAAAAGGGGGTGGAGAAAGAAAAAAGTCTTTTAGTATCACTTTCATTATTATTATGGCCCAAAGCATGAAAATTGTGCTGAATTTTGAGAAGTGACGTTCTAATCTTTAACAAAAACCAACCAAAAGCTAGGTGATTAGAATAACCACTAAGAACTTTTTCTTTCAAAAAGTTTTCAGTGATGCGTAAAAAAGAGAGAGAAAAAAAAACACAATTTAAGTTCCTCTGGTTCAGCTTGTAAACTCGTCCTTTTAATCTAGAAACCTTAGTCATTTGACCCCTCAACTCTCTTTGGCAGAGAGCCACCAGACAGTATACCTGAGTCACTGCCACAATAATAGATGGTCTTAACACCAGGCTTTTCTCCAATGATAAAGTGAAGAATGTTCTTAAAAAAAAAAGAGAGAGAGAGAGAGAGAGAGAATATTCTCTAAGTAAAAAAGGCCAGGAGGACCTCTCTGCTTCACTGCTTCAGGTTTGTCAGGCACGAGGAGACAGTACTGAACTTTTCCAACAATCTCCTCAGAGAACTTTCCTCGGTTTTGTGGGGCCCAATACACAAAAGCCCTGAGAGACCCTCTAGGCATGACCAATTTTCCTGTCCTTTTGCATAAATGTATGGAACATAATGTTTTCTAAATTCTTTTGCACACTCAACACTATTTTCCAGATTCATTTTTGTAGAAGTATATGGATGTGATTAGCTACTTTAAACTGCCATATAGCCTTCCATTTTAAAACATGCTGCTATTGATAGTATTAATCCATTCCCATATGTTGGACATTAATTTTATACTGTGGAAATGAACATTCTTGTTTATGTCTCCTGTATACACATGCCAGGATTTCTCCATGGAAAATATCTAGAAGTGGGAGTTGGGATTATAATAAGGTGTGCATATCTTTGACTTTGCTAGGTGTTGCCACATGCTGTCCAAGGCAGGTGTATAAATTGATAGTCCCTCAAAAGTCCCAATTCCTTTCATCTTTGGGATATCACCACTTGGTATTATTCTGCTTTTTAATATATACTAATTTGATGGTTGTGAATTATTTTGAATTTAATGTACATTTCCCTCATTACTAGTAAGCTTGGGGACCTTGGATCATATGTTAATCTGTGGAGAATTAATTCCTTTATGACAATGAGCCTTCCAAATCACTAAAATGGCATATTTCTTCTATTATTTATATTTATATTATTGTTTATGTTCTTCAATAAAATCTCATAATATGTACTTACATATCTTGCATATCTTTTGTGAGGTATATTTCTAGATCTAATATGGGTTTTGCTGCTATAGTGAATGGGAGTTTTCCATCTTCAATTTAGCATTTTCTCTTGCAAATAAATTCTAATTCTAGTATATTTCTATAAATTAAATAACTAGCTAACGATACAGATCTTATGCTCTTGAAAGCAGCAGACACCCTGAGCTCACCAAATATTAGTCAATTTTGTCATTCCATTTAACAAAGTAGGGCAATTCCTAATGTGTTCACAGACTGCTTTTTGGTTTGTTTGACATTGTTTCTTCAATATATATATTTCAGAAATGATATTTTTCCTATAAAAGCTTCTACTTTTCCTGCATATGACTCCTCTCCATTGTGGTAATCATATATGCAAGTTTTTTCTTTTTATTCTTTAGAATATGTGTTGGTGCTTAATTTTCATTTAACGTATATACTTGTTCAAAGTAACTTTTTTCTCATTAGAAGGCTCTGGGTTTGGAGAACATATTATTTACACACAAAGACAGACACACACATGCACATGCAAACATACTTTTTCTGTTTTTTTTTCTATATAAAGTGCTTCTTCTTTTCACAATT
Source organism: Homo sapiens (assembly GCF_000001405.40). Taxonomy (NCBI): domain Eukaryota; kingdom Metazoa; phylum Chordata; class Mammalia; order Primates; family Hominidae; genus Homo; species Homo sapiens. The sequence goes on from NC_000023.11 coordinate 139,060,867, forward strand.
TACTTTGTTTTGCATTTGTATTCCCTTCCAACTATTCTATATTTCTAGTCCTTCTGTCCCTATTTTCCATTAAATTTTTCATTTTTTAAAATCTCTTCTTTATAGACAATGCAGCTTCTTCACCATTTTCCTCATTTTAGATATAGTTTCATATTCTTTAGTAATTCAGAACTTAATATATAAGAACTACCTTTCACAAACTTTGTATCACATTAATCTGCAGGTTCAAGATAACTGCTGTCCTCTACAATTGACTCTCCAACAGGCTCTGCAGCTACCTAAATATTTATGTCTACAATCATCCATGATCTTTTTCTAAATCTTCACCAATATTCCTGGGTGGCTGTACTAATTTACATTCCCACTGCTATGGTTTCAATATGGTTTGCTCCTACCAAAACTCATGTTGAGGATTGATGCCCAATGTAACTGTGTTAAGGGGTAGTGGGAGCTTCAAAAGGCATTTGGGTTATGAGGGATTCACCCTCATGAGGGGATTAATGCAGTCTCAAATGAGTGAGTGAGTTCTGACTCTTATGGCACTACATTAGTTACCCAGAGAGAATGCTGTTATAAAGCGAGGTCACTCCTCATGTTTTGTCTCTTTTGCACATGCCCACTCTCACATGCACTCCACCATGTGATGCCATCCACAATATTATGATGTAGCATGAGGCTCTCATTAGATGCAGCCCACCTACCTTGGACTTTCCAGCCTCCAGAATTGCAATAAATAAACTTATTTTTTTTTAAAATAAATTACTGAGTCTCAGGTATTCAGCCACAGAAACAGAAAATGAACTAAGATGCACAACCAACAGGGTACAAGGGTTCCCTTTTGCCCATATCCTTGCCAACTCTTATTAACTTTTGTTTTTTTGATAATAGCCACAGTAAAGGGTATGAAGTGGTATCTTATTGTGGTTTTAAGGTGCATTTCCCTGTTGATTAGTCATGTTGAGTGTTTTTTTCATATACCTGTTGGCCGTTTGTATGTCTTCACTTGAGAAATGACTATTCAAGTCCCTTGCCCATTTTAAAATCAGGTTACTTGTCTTCTTGCTATTGCGTTCTCTGAGCTCCTTATATATTTTGAACATTTACACCTTAATAAATGTATAGTTTGAAAATATTTCCCCCATATATAGTTTGTCTCTTCACCCTATTGTTTCTTTTGCTGTGCAGAAGCTTTTTAGTTTTATGTAATTCCATTTGTCTAGTTTTTCTTTTGCTGTCTGTTCTTTTTTGGTCTTATCCAAAAAAATCATTTCCCAGGCCAATGTCACGGAGCTTTCCCCCATGTTTTCCTCTAGTAGTTTCGTGGTTTGGAGTATTACATTTAAATCTTTAATCCATTTTGAGTTGTTTTTGTATAGGTGTAAGCTACAGATCTTGTTTCATTTTTTTGCATGTGGATACCCAGTTTTCCCAACAACATTTATTAAAGACTGTCCCTTCCTCATTGTGTGTTCTTGGCTCCTTTATCAAAAATGAATTGGTTGTAAATGCATGGATTTATTTCTAGGCTCTCTATTCTGTCCCACTAGTCTGTGTGTCAGGACAATGCTATTTTGATTACTGTAACTTTATAGTATATTTTGAAGTAAGGTAGTGTGATACCTCCAGCTTCCTTCTTTTTGCTCAAAATTTCTTTGGCTATCTGGGGTCTTCTATGATTCCGCACAAATTTTAGGATTGTTATTTCTACTTCAGTGAAGAATGCCACTGGTACTCTGACAGGGATTGCAATGAATCTGTAAATCATCTTAGGTAGCATGGACCTTTTAATATTAATTCTTCTAGTCCATGAACACTAGGTATCTTTCCATTTATTTTTACCTTTTTCAATTTCCTCAATGGGACTGGTTTTTAAAGGGAAAGTAACTAGATGGACTTCTTGCTTGAATACACTAAGAGGGGGGCACACAATCCCTAGTGGGGGATCCTTTACTTAGGTAGATAGGAATAAGTTGAATTTTGCTTAAGCCGGTACCAGAAAAATCAGCATTTTCACTTTGATATTCAATTTCCATAGCAGTAGCCAAATCAAAGCCACTAAATACTTGAAAGAGGAACTATGACTGAGGGATATTCTCTAAGTTCTTCTCAACTACCTTGTTCACCTTAATTTGTATTTTTTGCTTTAAATTGGTTAACTGCTATTTAGAGGGTCTGGAAAAAATAAGAGAAAACCTCATAGCTCAAGCATATTGTGGCAGGGAAGAAGGAGGTAACAAATCTTGCAGAAACAACTTAAAACCTGAAAGAAAGTCAGAAGTAAGATGAGAGACAGCAGTGCATGATTATGGATGCCATATCTGTTGTCAGAAAATGTTTTTATAACATTTTCTTCTTGTTTCTTGCTATTATAGAGGAGGACTATGGATTTTTACATATTGATCCCATACCCAGAAGACTGGTTGAACTCTATGTTAGTCTGTCTACATGCTCTCTTACATTATCTGTGTAGAAAACATACCATCTGTGAAAACTAACAATATATTTTTGACCTTACATTTTTCTTTGCCTTATAATTAGTTAGGACGGCAATTATAATGCCCAATAAAAATAGTGGTGAGAGGTTTTCTTATCAGTCTTCTTCCTGACTTGAAAGGGACATCTAGTATTTCAAGTTCAAGTATAATGTTGGCTATAGGATTTTGCTAGATAACCTTTATCAGGTGAAGGATCTATTTCCAGTTTGTCAGGTGGCTTAATGTTTATTTTTCGAAATTTATAGAGTGTTTTATGTACCTACTGAGTTGACAATAAGGTTTTGTTTTCTCCTATAATCTAGTTTATAGTTGTGGATTTCACACTATATTGCATCTTTATCAAATAATCTGGTCTATAGAATACTGGCTTTTGGTACTACAGATTTTCTTCAGGATGCAGTAAAAGGTAAATTTTTGAACATGTTCCCTATTTGTTAGAAAAGAATTTGTATTACCTTATTGTTGGGTGCAGGGCTGTATACAGGTCCATTGGATCAGATTTAACCATTTTGTTATTCAAATCTTCCATACCCTCAATACTTGTTTGCTTGATCTATCAGTTTATACGAGTACAGTATGTTAAAATTCCCCAGTATGACTGTGTACTCATCAACTTCTCCTTATAATTCTGTCAATTTCTGCTGCATATATTTTGAAGGTATGTTATTAGATGAACCAGGTTCAGGATGGTTATTTTGTGTATGAAATTATTCATTGTATCATTAAGTAATGTCCTTCTTTATTTTTAATGATGCTTTGGTCATTAATATATATTTTGTCAACTATTGCCTAAACCAAAATTTTTAAGTTAATATTTGTCTGGTGTTTATTTTTTCATCTATTTACTTTCAACATTTCTCTGTCATTATGTTTTAGTAATGTCCAGTTTAATAAGCATAGAGCAGAGTTCTTTTTTTTTCTTTTTTTTTTTTTTTTTTTTTTTTTTTTTTTTGAGACGGAGTCTCGCTCTGTCGCCCAGGCCGGACTGCAGACTGCAGTGGCGCAATCTCGGCTCACTGCAAGCTCCGCTTCCCGGGTTCACGCCATTCTCCTGCCTCAGCCTCCCGAGTAGCTGGGACTACAGGCGCCCGCCACCGCGCCCGGCTAATTTTTTGTATTTTTAGTAGAGACGGGGTTTCACCTTGTTAGCCAGGATGGTCTCGATCTCCTGACCATAGAGCAGAGTTCTTTATAAAATACAACACTGTGGGTAACCCGACCTTTCTCTCTGGCTGATCTTAACATTTTTTCCTTCATTTCAACCTTGGTGAATCTGATGATTATGTGTCTTGGGGTTGCTCTTCTCAAGGAATATCTTTGTGGTGTTCTCTGTATTTCCTGAATTTGAATGTTGGCCTGTCTTACTAGGTTGGGGAAGTTCTGGATAATATGCTGAAGAGTGTTTTCCAACTTGGTTCCATTCTCCCTGTCACTTTCAGGAACACCAATCAAATGTAGATTTGGTCTTTTCACATAGTCCCAAATTTATTTGAGGCTTTGTTCGTTTCTTTTCATTCTTTTTTCTCTAATCTTGTCTTCTCACTTTATTTCATTAAGTTGATCTTCAATCTCTCATATCCTTTCTTCCTCTTGATCAATTTGGCTATTGATACTTGTGTATGCTTCATGAAGTTCTCATGCAGTGTTTTTCAGATCCATCAGGTCATTTATGTTCTTCTCTAAACTGGTTATTCTAGTTAGCAATTCCTCTAACTTTTTTTCAAGGTTGTTAGCTTCCTTGCATTGAGATGTTATCACCAACAGGCCTGCCTTACAAGAGCTCCTGAAGGAAGCACTAAACATGGAAAGGAACAATCAGTTCCAGCCACTACAAAAACATACCAAACTGTAAAGATCATTGACACTATGAAGAAACTACATCAACTAATGGGCAAAATAACCAACTAACATCATAATGACAGGATCAAATTCACACATAACAATATTAACCTTAAATGTAAATGGGCTAAATGCCCCAATTAAAAGACACACACTGGAAAATTGGATAAAGAGTCAAGACCCATTGATGTGCTATACTCAGGAGACCCATCTCATGTGCAAAGACACACATAGGCTCAAAATAAAGGGATGGAGGAATATTTACCAAGCAAACGGAAAGCAAAAAAAAAAAAAAGAAAAAGAAAAAAGAAAGGGGGGTTGCAATCATCTCTCATAAAACAGACTTTAAACCAACAAAGATCAAAAGACACAAAGAAGGGCATTACATAATGGTAAAGGGATCAATACAACCAGAAGAGCTAACTATCCTAAATACATATGCACCCAAAACGGGAGTACCCAGATTCATAAAGCAAGTTCTTAGAGACCTACAAAGAGACTGAGACTCCCACACATTAATAATGGGGGACTTTAACACCCGACTCAATATTAGACAGATCAACGAGACAGAAAATTAACAAGGATATCCAGGACTTGAATTCAGCTCTGAACCAAGCAGACCTAACAGACATCTACAGAACTCTGCACCCTAACTCAACAGAATATACATTCTTCTCAGCACCACATCGCACTTATTCTAAAATTGCCCACATAATTGGAAGTAAAACACTCCTCAGGAAGTGCAAAAGAATGGAAGTCATAACAAACAGTCTCTCAGACAACAGTGCAATCAAATTAAAACTCAGGATTAAGAAACTCACCCAAAACCACACAACTACATGGAAACTGAACAACCAGCTCCTGAATGACTACTGGGTAAATAATGAAATGAAGACAGAAATAAAGATGTTCTTTGAAACCAATGAGAACAAAGACACAACATACTAGAATCTCTGGGACACATTTAAAACAGTGTTTAGAAGGAAATTTGTAGCACTAAATGCCCACGAGAGAAAGCAGGAAGGATCTAAAATCAACATCCGAAGATCACAATTAAAAGAACTAGAGAAGGAAGAGCAAACACATTCAAAAGCTAGCAGAAGAGAAGAAATAACTAAGATCAGAGCAGAACTGAAGGCGATAGAGACACAAAAAAACGAATCCAGGAGCTGGTTTTTTGAAAAGGTCAACAAAATATATAGACCACTACCCAGACTAATAAAGAAGGAAAGAGATAAGAATCAAATAGACACAACGAAAAATGATAAAGGGGTATCACCACTGATCCCACAGAAATACAAACTACCATCAGAGAATACTATAAACACCTCTACACGAATAAACTAGAAAATCTAGAAGAAATGGATAAATTCCTGGACACATATTGAATCCCTGAATAGACCAGTAACAACTTCTGAAGTCTAGGCAGTAACTAGTAGCCTACCAACCAAAACGTCGAGGGCCAGATGGATTCACAGCCGAATTCTACCAGAGGTACAAAAAGGAGCTGATACCATTCCTTCTGAAACTATTCCAAATGATAGAAAAAGAAGGACTCCTTCCTAAATCATTTTATGAGGCCAGCATCATCCTGATACCAAAGCCTGGCAGAGACACAACCAAAAAAAAAAAGCAAATTTCAGGCCAATATCCCTGATGAACATCCATGCGAAAATCCTCAATAAAATACTGGCAAACCAAATCCAGCAGCACATCAAAAAGCTTATCCATCACGATCAAGTCGGCTTCATCCCTCGGATGCAAGGCTGGTTCAACATACACAAATCAATAAACATAATCCATCACATAAACAGAACCAAGGACAAAAACCACACAATTATCTCAATAGATGCAGAAAAGGCCTTCGATAAAATTGAACACCTCTTCATGCTAAAAACTCTCAATAAACTAGGTACTGATGGAACATAATTGCAAAATAATAAGAGCTATTTATGACAAACCCACAGCCAATGTCATACTGAATGGGCAAAAACTGGAAGCATTCCCTTTGAAAACCAGCACAAGACAAGGATGCCCTCTCTCACCACTCCTATTCAACATAGTATTGGAAGTTCTGGCCAGGGCAATAAGGCAAGAGAAAGAAATAAAGGGTATTCAATTAGGAAAAGAGGAAGTCAAATTGTCCCTGTTTGCAGATGACATGATTGTATATTTAGACAATGCCATCGTCTCAGCCCAAAATCTCCTTAAGTTGATAAGCAAATTCAGCAAAGTGTCAGGATACAAAATCAATGTGCAAAAATCACAAACATTCCTACACACCAATAATAGACAAACAGAGAGCCAAATCATGAGTGAAGTCCCATTCACAATTGCTACTAAAAGAATAAAATACTTAGTAATACAACTTACAAGGGACAAGAAGGACCTCTTCAGGGAGAACTACAAACCACTGCTCAACGAAATAAAAGAGGACACAAACAAATGGAAAAACATTCCATGCTCATGGATAGGAAGAATCGATATCGTGAAAATGGCCATATATCCCAAAGTAATTTATAGATTAACTGCTATCCCCATCAAGCTACCATTGACTTTCTTCACAGAATTGAATAAAACTACTTTAGAGAAGTGTCTGTTCATTTCCTTTGCCCACTTTTTGATGGGGTTGTTTGTTTTTTTCTTGTAAATTTGTTGGAGTTCATTGTAGATTCTGGATATTAGCCCTTTGTCAGATGAGTAGGCTGTGAAAATTTTCTCCCATTTTGTAGGTTGCCTGTTCACTCTGATGGTAGTTTCTTTTGCTATGCAGAAGCTCTTTAGTTTAATTAGATCCCATTTGTCAATTTTGTCTTTTGTTGCCATTGCTTTTGGTGTTTTAGACATGAAGTCCTTGCCCATGCCTATGTCCTGAATGGTAATGCCTAGGTTTTCTTCTAGGGTTTTTATGGTTTTAGGTCTAACGTTTAAGTCTTTAATCCATCTTGAATTGATTTTTGTATAAGGTGTAAGGAAGGGATCCAGTTTCAGCTTTCTACATATGGCTAGCCAGTTTTCCCAGCACCATTTATTAAATAGGGAATCCTTTCCCCGTTGCTTGTTTTTCTCAGGTTTGTCAAAGATCAGATAGTTGTAGATATGCTGCGTTATTTCTGAGGGCTCTGTTCTGTTCCATGGATCTATATCTCTGTTTTGGTACCAGTACCATGCTGTTTTGGTTACTGTAGCCTTGTAGTATAGTTTGAAGTCAGGTAGTGTGATGCCTCCAGCTTTGTTCCTTTGGCTTAGGATTGACTTGGCGATGCGGGCTCTTTTTTGGTTCCATATGAACTTTAAAGTAGTTTTTTCCAATTCTGTGAAGAAAGGCATTGGTAGCTCGATGGGGATGGCATTGAATCTGTACATTACCTTGGGCAGTATGGCCATTTTCACGATGTTGATTCTTCCTACCCATGAGCATGGAATGTTCTTCCATTTGTTTGTATCCTCTTTTATTTCCTTGAGCAGTGGTTTGTAGTTCTCCTTGAAGAGGTCCTTCACATCCCTTGTAAGTTGGATTCCTAGGTATTTTATTCTCTTTGAAGCAATTGTGAATGGGAGTTCACTCATGATTTGACTCTCTGTTTGTCTGTTGTTGGTGTATAAGAATGCTTGTGATTTTTGTACATTGATTTTATGCAGCCAAAGAACACATGAAAAAATGCTCATCATCACTGGCCATCAGAGAAATGCAAATCAAAACCACAATGACATACCATCTCACACCAGTTAGAATGGCAATCATTAAAAAGTCAGGAAACAACAGGTGCTGGAGAGGATGTGGAGAAATAGGAACACTTTTACACTGTTGGTGGGACTGTCAACTAGTTCAACCATTGTGGAAGTCAGTGTGGCAATTCCTCAGGGATCTAGAACTGGAAATACCATTTGACCCAGCCATCCCATTACTGGGTATATACCCAAAGGACTATAAATCATGCTGCTATAAAGACACATGCACACATATGTTTATTGCGGCATTATTCACAATAGCAAAGACTTGGAACCAACCCAAATGTCCAACAATGATAGACTGGATTAAGAAAATGTGGCACATATACACCATGGAATACTATGCAGCCATAAAAAATGATGAGTTCATGTCCTTTGTAGGGACATGGATGAAATTGGAAATCATCATTCTCAGTAAACTATCGCAAGAACAAAAAACCAAACACCGCATATTCTCACTCATAGGTGGGAATTGAACAATGAGATCACATGGACACAGGAAGGGGAATATCACACTCTGGGGACTGGTGGGGGGTGGGGGGAGGGGGGAGGGATAGCATTGGGAGATATACCTAATGCTAGATGACGAGTTCGTGGGTGCAGCGCCCCAGCATGGCACATGTATACATAGGTAACTAACCTGCTCAATGCGCACATGTACCCTAAAACTTAAAGTATAATTTAAAAAAAAAAACTACTTTAAATTTCATATGGAACCAAAACAGTGCTTGTGTAGCCAAGACAATCCTAAGCCAAAAGAACAAAGCTGGAGGCATCACGCTACGTGACTTCACACTATACTACAAGGCTACAGTAACCAAAACAGCATGGTACTGGCACGAAAACAGAAATATAGACCAATGGAACAGAACAGAGGCCTCAGAAATAACAACACACATCTACAACCATCTGATCTTTGACAAACCTGACAACAACAAGAAATGGGGAAAGGATTCCCTATTTAATAAATGGCATTAGGAAAACTGGCTAGCCATATGCAGAAAACTGAAACTGGATCCCTTCCTTACACCTTATACAAAAAATAACTCAAAATGGATTAAAGACTTAAACATAAGACCTAAAACCATAAAAACTCTAGAAGAAAACCTAGGCAATACCATTCAGGACATAGGCATGGGCAAAGTCTTCATGACTAAAACACCAAAAGCAATGGCAACAAAAGCCAAAATTGACAAGTGGGATCTAATTAAACTAAAGAGCTTCTGCACAGCAAAAGAAACTATCATCAGAGTGAACAGGCAACCTACAATGGGAGAAAAAATTTGCAATCTATCCATCTGACAAAGGGCTAACATCCAGGATCTACAAAAAATTTAAACAAATTTACAAGAAAAAAACGAATAACCCCATCAAAAAGTGGATGAAGGATATGAACAGACAATTCTCAAAAGAAGAGATTTATGCAGCCAACAAACATGAAAAAAAGCTCATCATCACTGGTCATTAGAGAAACGCAAATCAAAACCACAATGAGATACCATCTCACGCCAGTTAGAATGGCGATCATTAAAAATTCAGGAAACAACAGAGGCTGGAGAGGATGTGAAGAAATAGGAATGCTTTTACACTGTTGGTGGGAGTGTAAATTAGTTCAATCATTGTGGAAGACAGTGTGGAGATTCCTCAAGGATCTAGAACCAGAAATACTATTTGACCCACCAATCCCATTACTGGGTGTATACCCAAAGGATTACAAATCATTCTGCTATAAAGACACATGCACACATATGTTTACTGTGGCACTGTTCACAATAGGAAAGACGTGAAACCAACACAAATGCCCATCAATGATAGAGTGGATAAAGAAAATGAAGAAAATGTGGCACATATACACTATGGAATACTATGCGGCCATATAAAAGGATGAGTTCATGTCCTTTACAGGGACATGGATGAAGCTGGAAACCATCATTCTCAGCAAACTAACACAAGAACAGAAAACCAAACACCACATGTTCTCACTCATAAGTGGGAGTTGAACAATGAGAACACATGGACACAGGGAGGGGAACATCACACACTGAGGCCTACTGGGGGGTGGAGGAGGGATAGCATTAGGAGAACTACCCAATGTAGATGACGAGTTGATGAGTGCAGCAAACCACCATGGCACGTATATACCTATGTAACAAACCTGCTCATTCTGCACATGTACCCCATAATTTAAAGTATAATAATAATAAAAAAGAAAATCCAACACTGAGAATCTTTATCTTTAAACCAAGTAATTTATCTATACTTATTATAATTCCTGATTATTCCTATGACCTAATTTTGAGTTTTGTATTTACCGTGTTGTCTCTACTTCTCTGTCTACCATTTTATTGACAATTTTCATTTTTTCGTTTATGCCTTCTATTGGTTTGGAAGTTTTATGTTTTATTACCATCCTTTTAGTGGTACACACAAGTTTTTTACATAATACTTAACTTTGAAAAGCATGAAGTTGACCAATATCTTCATCTTCCTCTTACAAAACGCAAAGATTCAGAATGTTTTAAATCTTATTACCTCTCTTCATCTTCCATGTTACTGTTGTCCAAGAGTTTTATTCCTTCTTATTTCAACCTTCTTAAAGTAATGATTATTGTTGTTTATGCAGCCCATGCTTATTAAGATTTATGTACTTTATCAATAACACTGGTCCCCATTGCTTCTTACAACTCACACTTTCTTTGTTTTAATAAATTTCCATTACAGTCCACCCTATAATAGTACTTTTTATTAAGGACCTGTTATTCATAGAATTTCTCCAGCTTTTTCATCTCAAAATGCCTTTATTGGCTGGATGCGGTGGCTCACCCCTGTAATCCCAGCACTTAGGGAGGCCGAGGCTGGCAGATCACAAGGTTAAGAGATCAAGACCATCCTGGCCAACATGGTGAAACCCCATCTCTACTAAAATTACAAAAATTAGCTGGGCGCAGTGACAGGCACCTGTAGTCTCAGCTACTCGGGAGGCTGAGGCAGGAGAATCACTTGAACCCAGGAGGTGGAGGTTGCAGTGAACCGAGATTGTGCCACTGCACTCCAGCCACAGAGCGAGATTCCATCTCAAAAAAAAAAAAAAAAAAAAAAGCCTTTATTTTTCTCTTTTCTCTCCTGCTTCAACAGTGATGTTTCGGAACCAATTGTGCCCCCTCCCCAAAATTCATATGCTGAAGCCCTAACTTGTAATGTAACTATTTTGGATATAGGCCCTTTGGGGAGGTAATTAAGGTTAAATGAGTTCATAAAAGTGGGGCCCTAATCCAATAGCACTGGTGTCCTTATAAGAAAAGGAAGAGAGAACAGAAATCAGAAATATCTCTCTCTCTCTCTCTACACACACACACACACACACACACACACACACGGAAGAAAGTCCATGTGAAGACACAGCAATAGGAAGCCTTCTGCAAGTCAGAAAGGGAGACTTTACCAGACACCCTCTCTGATGGCACCTTGATCTTGGACTTCTAGCCTCCAGAACTATGAGAAAATAAATTTCTGTTGTTTAAGCCACCCAAGATGTGGTATTTTGTTATGACAGCCTTAGAAGACTAATACAGTGACTTTAACTGGATATAAAGTTCTACGTTAATAACTATTTTTTCTCACCTATTGGAAGATAATTTTATTGTTGCTGATATCAGGTCCACTGTCTTCTAACTTACAATCTTCTAATAGGTCATCTCTTTTCTCTCTGACTTTTAAGATTTTCTTTTTCAGGGCTTTGCAGTTTCACTACAATATGTCTAGGTTTATTTGTTTTTGTTACTCTGCTTAGGATTTAATGGGCTCCTTTGAACTGAGTATCCAAGTCTTTCTTCAATTCTAGAAAATTTGGAGCTGTTATCTATTTGAATATTGACTTTCAAGATTTTCTTGATTCTTTCCTTCTGGAACATTTCTTAGATTTATACTGGGCCTCCTCATTCTACTTCCATGTCCTTGAACCTCTTTTGTATCTTTTTATGTTTCTGTGTTGCATTTTGCGTGATTTCTTCAAATATTATTTTGACCTTCCCTTTTAAAATTTCAATCATCATTTTTTTCTAGAAGTTATATTTATTTCTTTTCAAATCTACCTGTCATCGTATACTTTCTCTCATTAGCATTTCTAATCCTTCCTTTATCTAGTTAATCGTCTCAACGTTTCATTGTATTGTTTTATTTTTTCTAGTTTGGAGCTGTTTTTCCCCCCCCCCTTTTCTGTGTCTCACATTGCTCCCTCCATTTCCCCATGGGGTTTGTAATTTGAGTTTTCTATACTTTTCTCTACAAAACTCACGAACACTTGGCTTAGGCTTCCCAGTACAGTGCAAAGAGCATATCTTTTGAAATCAGATAGAGCAGGGAATGACTTTGGACAAGTCGCTTAAGCTTCACAACTAAGGAAACCCCAGTTTTCTCAGTTGTGAGTAAGGGATAATAATAAAAATAATAATATCATAAGAGCTGTTATGAAGCCCAAAGGATAAAATGAGGTTAAAGTAGGTGGTGTACAGAAGATTTTAATAAACATTAGCCTTTGAATCACCCCTATTTCACTCACTCTTTTCCCTTTCTTAAGGTGTTAAGGTAATTATATCTCTCTTTCTTGTGTTACAGATCCCTGGTTTCTAACTTTAGCCTTCCTATTAGACAAAAGGATTCTTGCTTAGTCAAGTGGGATAAGGAAGTGATTGGACAGCCCCATGACTACCTTCTTTGAAGATATCTAGCCCAAGCCCTTGCCCAGAGAACATGTACCACAACACGTATCAATCAAATGGAACTGAACCATTTGAAAGACATAGGCATCTAATTTCAGTGTTTTTCTCCTCTCCACTGGGAATGTTATTTGGATACCCAGAATAGAAATCTTCACTCACAGAGCTACTAGTTTCCTATCACAATTGGACACCGTGCAAAATTATTACAGGGTTTAGTGTGATGAGCTGGCAAGAAATGTTTGCCAAGTTTCAAAGTTGTATGGAAAGATGTTATAGCCCTGAAAGGCACTTTCTTTTTAATTCTGTTTGGAAGTGTTTGTAACTCTCAGAACAAAATGTAGTCCTTGGGCTGTCTTTTCTCAGATAGCTGGCGCTAAATTTCTCTTTCCTGTTACCAGTTTCCTAAATAAGTGTATCTGTATTTAATTACTGCTGAATGCTGGGGAGTCTTCTATTGGTCCTTTTGTTCAGTACTTTAGGATGAGAGGAATAACATGTGTGGTGGCATGTCAGTGTTCTTTTATTCATTTGAAAGCCAATTTTTATTACAAAAATGTATAACTCATCCAGACCAGCAGCCTAAAGGAAGTAATTTAATACAATTCTGAATAAATTCTAAAGACTCCAAGCTAGTTCTATGTTTCATTCATAAATCAAGTGTGGACATAAAACTTTTTTTTGAATAGTTAACACGTATAAGGGAGGTTATGCGCAGCAGATAATCTGAGAGGCAAAACCCAGTGTATTCATTAGATATGTTAGGCCAAACCTGAAAGAAAATAAGCTTAATTAGGCTCAGAGAGGTGAAGCTACTTGTTCAAGGTCACACAATCCATTCATTTTTCTCCTTGATTCTACCTTAGTCCAAGAAACCATCATACCTTGTCCAGACTGCTGCTAACAGCTGCCTAAATAGTCACCATGCCTTCAGTGTGGTGTCTACTTTAATCCATTGTCCACCTTACACTTCCAGAAACATCTATTTAAAACACCATCTTCCATAAAACCTGCCAATGGCTTCCCATTGTCCTTACACTAATGTTCAAGTGCTTTACCATGGACAGGTAGACCTGGAAGTCTCCGCCCCCTTCTCAACTCCTCAGCCTCAGCTTTCTCCACTTTTATGTGCTGTGCTCCAGACATGCTGGCTTTCATGCAGTGCATTAGAACATACTGTATTCTCTTGTTATGCCTTAGGAATCTTAAGCCTGCTCTTCCTTCCTTCAGGAATTTTCCCTTCACATACCCTTGTCTAAATAACTCTTCATTTTTCATATTCCTTGTTTATACCTCAACTCGAGTTTCACTGTCTCAGAATGTGAAGCTCCATCAGTGAAGTTCGCTGATGCCCCAGACTAGATCAGGTCTCTCGTGACATGTACTTTTTCCTCATAGCACCTACCATGTTTGTAATATAGTAAGTTCAATAGCTATTTGGTGAACATATGAATAACTTGATTAACAACTCACTTCCTGACTAGGTATTAAGCTACAAAATGATCGTTAGTTAAGTAGTAGTCCAGGATTTGAACCCAGGGATTCATCCCCGCCCTATTCTCTCCCATTACCCAGACTCTATCTTCCCATTCTGCTTTTCTCCACTCCTCTGTTCCTTTGTCCCCAACTTGTCTGGCCAGTGGTCTCCTCACAACAGGCACTACCCGATCCCACTGGTGGCTCAGTGGGGACTATTCTCAGTTTCATCTAAACACACATTGGCAACTGATCTTTGTCCAGGGAGAGCTTTCCTCATACACAGAAGAGGCAATTACCTGCTAATGCTTAAAATGTCACCATCAGGATATTGTTCCATCCAATAAGAATGGCTGTCTCCATATATCCCTCTCAAAATCCTTATAAGCCTATTGTGGGAAAGGTAACACTTGCCTTGTCCACACCTCAGAGTCAACATTTTTATGAGTCCATTCTCTTCACCTGGCTCAGAGTGGGCTTAGGCACAGATGAAAGAAGGAACTGAAATAAAAAGAAATGGAGGAGAAAAAGAAGGCTCTCAACTTGTCCACAGGCTAAACCTGCCTCTCTTTTCCCGTCTATTTTCCCATTTGCCATTAGTGCAGAATGGGTATTTTAATTTTTAAACCTGTATATTATCTGTACATTAATTTGTCCATACCAAACCAATAGCAAATTGTGTGTATGTGTGTCTGTGTATGTGTATTTCTTTTTTTTTTTTTTTTTTTTTGAGACGGAGTCTCGCTCTGTCGCCCAGGCCGGACTGCGGACTGCAGTGGCGCAATCTCGGCTCACTGCAAGCTCCGCTTCCCGGGTTCACGCCATTCTCCTGCCTCAGCCTCCCGAGTAGCTGGGACTACAGGCGCCCGCCACCGCGCCCGGCTAATTTTTTGTATTTCTTAAAGTACCTTCATTTATATAGCTTGAATCTATAACAATCATTCAACTCACCCACATGTAAAACTGCTCTCTGATGATTATACTGGTTCCCTTTTCTGGCCATTTAGAGCCTCCATGCATGACGATAGCCTTCCCCACATTTAAAGTTCCCCATTAGCAAGAACATCATATAAATGGTTTCTCTGATCACCTAACACTGAAGTACTCTGTAGGCCATTAGTGCATTCTGGTTTAAAAAAACTCAAAAAGTGTAAAATGGGAATTTGTGATTTGAATGTGCTCTAATTATCACATGGTCAAATAAAATCCATGCAATCACTGGAGTAAATACACTGGTATGGAAGTGCAATTTGCACTTATTTGGATACTTACTTACTTTCAAGAGTATCTGGTTTTCGCATTCACCAGATCTAAAAAGGTAAAAAAAACAAACACACACACACACAAAACAGGGAACCATAGCACCTTCTGCATGTATAGAGATTAATTTGCTTTAAAGCAATCAACATTAGTGGGTGGTGTCTTTTTAATTTTAATGAGCTGATATTTTCTCTTCTGTCATTTCATTGACCAGTGAAATAAGAATACTAAATAGAAATCTGAAAAAATGCAACGCTATACTACCATAATGTTTCTGAGTTATAATAATGCACACAACTAAACACTGGAAAACTGAAAAAAAAATCGCTCAACTGAGGCTGGAATCTGGCTATCACCTTGACGTTGGGAAAGAAGGAAAGTTTCATTTTTTCTCAGTGCCTTACCTTATGATTCTCTGATCTTTTGGTAGCTCTATTAGGGAACCCAATATCTTGAGGGCCATTTGGCCCATGCACAAATTATGTATCTGAGGTTTGCCCAGAAGTATAAGAGGAGGTATTTCAGTCTATCTCCCACTACACTACGGTCCAGGGAGAAACCAGCACCTAGTACAGGTGTGTTTATTTGATGACAAAGAAAAGAAAGAATGTTCTCTTCAGATTTGAAGAGGTGGGTTTTGGGGAACCGCAGGGCTGTTTGTCCTGTATCACTGCACCTGCACTGTTTTGGGGATCAATTCAGTGTTCTGCAAAAGAATGGGACAGTGTGATGCTGAATGGCACTTAGGGCACAGCTTCCGTTCAAGTGCATTGATTCAGTATTGATGTCACTGCTTTCTAGTAAACTCCACTTGCCATCAGACCCCTTGGTAGCATTCAATAAATGCCAGTTAAGCTTTAATAAAATGTATCGCTATTTGAAAAGCCAATGGAAGATAACTAAAATAAAGATTACCAGTGAAGTGTTTGTTATTGATTAGTTTCTAAGACAATTCTGTTTGGAGAAGCTTAGGTTTGTTTGAAATAAAATTCGCCTTTGAATGTCACAGGGAATTTTTGTTATACTCTATTTGCAATACTGTGCCACTTTATTACAGAGTAGAATGTGGTATTAGGCAATTTCATTCTTAGGGTTAGGGACAATGATTCATGATCTCTGGGTCCTCAGCACCTAGCACGGTGCCAGGCACAGCATAAATATCCAGTAGCTACACACATACATATATACTTTTATGAGGTGGCACCATAGCATAAAATTGGAACCAGCCCCTGAACACAGACTTGAAACAAGTGCTTCATATACTTAGCTTTTAAGAATCTTTTAAGTGTAGTGATTCTCAGTGGGGATTGACCTGCAGATAATGTGTAAACTTAAAATGCAGAAGCCTGATTGCCACATAAGAGTGAATCATAGGAAGCACTCAAATACTAAGTATATTTTTTAGTGATTACTAGTCACTTTGCATTTTCTCATTCACTCCTCCCATAACCTAATGAAAGCAGGGCTATCGTGTTACCCATTTGAAAAATGAAAAAAAAGTGATGAGGCTAGGAGAAAATAAATGATTGCCCAAGGGCACACGACTAGCAAGTGATGGAATCAGGAGTCAGACCAAAGTCCATTTGTCCTCCACTTTTCTACTGTCTTACACCTACTTGAGCTATTCAAGCAACATCTCCAGAGCCAGAGCTTAAGCTTGTGGTGGATTTTTGTTTGTTTGTTTGTTTAGTTTCCACAGTGATTCTGATTCATATGCCTACTTGAGTCAGAAATTCGGAATGATTTAAATGAGAGAGAGAGAAAGTGATGGGGAGGGAAGAAGGAAGCAAACTGCTCAGGCCATTAGCACAGTTCTCCAAATCTGAGTAAAGCTATGTGAAATAACCCATCCATGTGAATCAAGCAGAAGATACTGGGCCCTCACTTCGCTGCAAATCAAGCATGCTAACACTTCTGTTGCCAGCGGCTTGCCCTAAACAATCTGTCACCTCATAGCAGAGATGGTCCAGCCATTTATGGTACCATTGCACAGTGCTCACTAAGCCTGATAGATGGGAGTACAAGGACAATGACATGATCTACATGCTGTACTAACTTAATACAAAAGGGTAGATGCTATTTTCAGTTAACATTGCTGATTTTCCCCCACTGAATTTGTTAAGACTTTGAAAAATATTCTAAACTTCAGTGCTATTGCACAATCAAGAAGCAACTACTGTCCCAGTTCCATAACAAATGCAGATCAAATACATTTGAATTGGAAAAGTAAATTTAATTTGCAGGTTTCTGTCTACATCCTCTGCTTCTATTTTCTTTGATAAGATTAGTGAACAAAGTTCAGAGGACTTTTTCAGTTCAAACGTTCTCTCATAATGGCAAATCAATCTGCTCAGGCAAACAGAACATCAAAACGCTAACAATAAGGAACTATCATTGGAAGCTGATCCGATTTACACATAAATATACCCGCTAACGTTTAAATGAAACTTTACAGAGGAACAAAATTGGTGAAAGAATCTTTTTAGTCTTTTAAAGCAGCTACTACAATAATAACTGCAGAAGTATGCACAAATCGTGCCAACTCTAATCAATCTTGTGTATTTCTTCTGCACTGCTACAAAATACATTTCATAGAAGAGTAAAGCAAGTTCACAGCAGGCAAAATGTAGTAGCTGAATTCAAGCATAGCTAATTTGCTGCTTAGGACAGATGTGATCTACAGAATTCACCAATCCATCCTCATCAGCTCTGACATGGAGCACCGATTCGCAGCGTGTGTTGCTTCTGTGGATTTTATGTTGATGAAATAGGCCTCCTGGATCTAGATGGATATAGGAGATGATGACAGCATGTGAGCAGAAAGCATACCCTATTTTACAGGCTGGCATTAAGTATGATAAGAAGGCAATTTGTCACGCCAAGCCTGATGAAGTGGGAGCCAGGAGCAGGTCTCAGACAAAGGTGAGAGCTTATAGAGAGGGCAGGGGCAAGAGACGGGATCACAATATGGAGAACAAGACAGTTGCCTAATATCCATGGATCAAGAAAAAACAGAAGATAAAACTAGGTCTGAGAGATGAAGGAAGAAGAGGAATGGCCCCAAAGGCTTTGTCTTCAGAATATATATTATGAGCCCAGAACACAAGTCTCTGGAACAGCTTTGCAGGACAAACACCATCCTCCCTCTAGCTTCTTTCAGAATCCCTATATGAGCACAAAAATGATGAAGAATTTGGGGCTGAACTTCACCCACACCTTTGCCCCAACTAGCAACTAACACAATCACTTAGCAAAGAGACTGGACATTGGGACAGTTCTACTGAAGGGATAGGGAGATGGACAAGTGTACCAACTTTAACATGTAAAGTCTTTGGCACTGAAAGGCAATGCAGGAGTGGTTAAGAGTGTGGACTATGGAATCATAATGTTCTGGGTTCAAAATCTAATTTTGAATGTTGTTAGTCATACACTGGATAAATTACCTAACCTTATCTGAAAATGGGAGTAATGGTTCTGAATTCTTATGACTGTCATGAGGATTAAATAAATTACTGAATCAAATGAAGGCACTTAGTGAAGTGCCTTCTTCATGGTAAGTACTCAGCAAATGTTAGTTGCTTCTATCAACATCACCGTCATCATCACCATCATCATCATCATCATCATCATCAAATGATCAGGTTTTTACATTGACCAAAATAGAGAAAATATTACCACACACACACACACACACGCACACACACAAAGTAGAACCACAGTGAGTTTTTCCCCAAAATACATGTTATAAAGTTTCTTAATATTAAATATTCTACAAGGCCCCCATGCCCTGCCAAGAAATCTTTCATCCTCACTACACTACTAAAAATACTCTAACCAAGATCACCAACCTCCTTGCTGTGACATTTAGGCAAAAATTTTTATTCTTCCATGCCAATCTCTCTTGGTAACATACATGTGCTTCTTCTGGGACTGTGTCATTTCCTCACTCTCTCTTCCATACCTGTTTGTAACAAGTGGAACATACTCCACATTCAATACTTGTGTAGAAGTATTATCTGTCATGTTATAAAATAAGAGAAGGCACAAAAAGGTAAGGAGGAGACATTAATGAGGCTGAAGAAGATGAATCCAAGAAGAGGTTTGTATACATCCTCAATTCCCAGGCTCCTGTCTTCCTCTGTCACGTATCTTTGGCAAAACCCAAATTTGAGTTAAGTCCAACCCTTTGATGACTTCATGCCTGCTCCCAAGCAGCTTATTTTGGCTAGAAAAACACACAACCATGCTGTCTGTTCTCATTTAAACTGAAGGCCTCATACCCCAAGTGTGGGCCATCGGTGCTGTCTGCCATCTATTCTCTTGGATAGTTATTTCATAATTTCCCTTTTTTAATTATCCTTCCCTCTTCCTTTGTCTCAACTGATGTCCAAGCTTCTGATTTCAGTGAGGAAATAGAAGCAATTAGAAAAGACATTCTACATCCTCCCACTACCACATTTACCCAGCATCTGTACAATACAGTCTCCCATCCTTTCTTAATTATTCAAAGACTTTGCCCCTGTAATTACTCCCTCTCATGTCTATACCACTGCATCATCCTCATCACATTACAATAACTCCCATCTTTAAAAAATATAAACCTATTCCTTGACTACGCATTCTCCCTCCTCCAGCCACCACCTTATCCTTCCCTTCCACTTTAGAAAACAACTCTTTGAAAAAGTTGTCCATCCATGCTTACTGCTCCAATTCGTTTCCTCCCATTCTCTTTTGAAATGCCCCCCACGCCCTGCCAAGCAATCTTTCATCCCCACTACACTACTAAAAATACTCTAACCAAGATCACCAACCTCCCTGTTGTGATATCTAGGAGAAAATTTTTACCTTTATATTGTACAACTCTCTGCAGCATTCATAGAGTTGATTACTCCTTCACCCCTGAAATATTTTCTTGGTTTCTAGGATATCTCACTCTCTTAATTTTATATCTATACCCATCAGCCACTCCTTCTCATCTCTATGTTGGCTTCTTCTTAACACCTGACCTTTTAATGTTAGAGTAACCCAAAACAGAATGCTCAGACTTTATCACTTTTCCATCTACACTTCGTTATGATCTCATCCAGTCTCATATCTCTATGGATGGCTTCCAGATTTATATTCTCCATCCCAGTCTTTCCCTTGTACTCCAATCCTGTATATCCAATTACCTATTTGCCACCTGCATCTGCATTCTAATTTGCATCTCACTCTTTACTCATCTGAAACTGAAGTCTTGATTTTTTCCTGCAAACCCTCTCGCTTTGCAGTTTTCTCCAACTCAGTAAGTAACGCCACTGAGTGTGCTCAGACCAGAAACCTTGGAGCCATTCTTAATTCCTCTCTCTCTCTCTCTCTTATGTGTTGCACTAAATCCTTTCATCTCTATTTTCAAATGATGTAACTAATCTGACTACTTTTCATCACCTCTACTATGACTACACTACTTCAAGACACCATCATCTTTTGCCTAGATTTCTATAATAATCTCCAAATTTGCTCCTAGGACACTACCCTTGCTCTGTGACTGACTGTTGTCCACACAACAACTACAGTGATCATTTTCAAATTGAAGTCAGGTTACATCAATCTCCTGCTCAAAAGTTTCCAGTGGTTTCTTTCTGCCTTTGAAATAATACCCAGATTGCTTCCCCCGATCTTTAAGGTCCTGTATGATCTGATCTCTGGTTATTCCTCTGACCTCATTCCCTACCACTCTACTCCATGCCTTCACACCGCACTCTAGCTGTGCTGATCTCTGTTTCTCTTCTAGCACAACAAGCACACTTCAGATTGACAGCCACTGCATTTAGCCTTTCCTCTGTCTAGAGTGCTGTTCCCTCAGATATCCGCATGGCTGGCTCCACTTCTCTCAGTTCTCTCCTCAAATGTCCCCTCTTCAGAAAGGCCTTTCCTAACCATTCTATCTAAAGACCAACCATAATTATCCCTTCTCTTTCCCCATCTGCAGTGAGTTTATTAATGCCTCCCTCCACCCAAACTTCATGTCCACGTAGAACATCAGAATGTGATCTTATTTAGAAAATAGAGGGTCTTTTCAGAGGTAATCAAATTAAATGAGGTCATGCTGCATTAAAGTGGGCTCTATATCCAATGACTGGAGTCCTTGTAAGACGAGAGGAGGACGTACAGGCACACACAGAGAAGCCCATGTGAAGACAGAGACAGGGATTAGAGTGATGCAGACAAAAGTGAAAAAACATAAAGGATTACCAGTAACTACCAGAATCTAGGAAAAGTCAAGAAAGGATTCCTGAGAGCTTTGAGAGGGAAGATGGCCCTAATGATGCCTTGATTTCAGATTTCTAATCTCCAGTACCATGAACGAAAAAATTTCCATTATTTTAAGCCATCCAATTTGTGGTAATTTGTTATGGCCATCCTAGGAAATTACTACACCTGTTTCATTTTTCTTCATAGCATTATGGCATTATGGCAATTACATGATAATATAATATAGGTCTATTTGTTTACTGTCTGTCTCCCTCACTAGAATATAAATGTTTGAGGATAATGCTGTATCATGGAGATAAAAGCAGTGCTGGGCACTTATTAGGCACTCAATGAATGTCACCTGAGTGAATGAAAAAATGAACAAGGAAAGAAAAACATGAATTTCTCACTATGTGTGAAATTCTGTTTTGCATGCTTATAGTGCTCGCTTTCTGTCTCCCTCCCTCTCTCTCTCCTCCCCCTCTTACCTTTTGGAGAGAAATCTAATGCCCCAGGAGTCTAGGTTCTTAAAAGTTGATGTTCCCTTTCCCTGCTTTCCCTTTCTTTTTCTCCTCCTCCTATTTCATTTTATTTTTCTCCCGTCTCATATTCATAACATCTCTGGTATGTACCATGTATGCTATCCAATTAACAAGCTATTATTACATCCATTATCTCATTTGACTCTTCATGTATCGTGCCCCAGTGCTCAGAAACTGGGCTTCCATGTGAGTGATGATGCCTTAGATAGAACCTGGTCTTGACTAAAGAGTGCCGATGAGTGAGGCCTTTCCAACAGAGAAGTGCCAGCCAGGAAATATGGGAAGTATGCTTGTCAAGCAAAGCTTGATTTAAGACCTGGATCCAATGACAGGAAAGCTTCTTGACTTCCTTCCTTTTTTGCCACTGAGTCTGAGATTATGCCAGAGAATGTGGTAACCCTCAAACACCTATAGAAAGTATCCCAGGGAGGGCCGGGCACAGTGGCTCACGCCTATAATCCCAGCACTTTGGGAGGCCGAGGCAGGCAGATCAGGAGGTCAGGAGATTTGAGACCCTCCTGGCCAACATGGTGAAACCCCGTCTCTACTAAAAATACAAAAATTAGCTGGGCGTGGTGGCATGCGCCTGTAGTTCCAGCTACTCGGGAGGCTGAGGCAGGAGAACTGCTTGAACCAGGGAGTCAGAGGTTGCAGTAAGCCGAGATCCCGCCACTGCATTCCAGCCTGGCGACGGAGACTCCTTCTCAAATAAAAAAATAAATAAATAAAAAAGAAAGAAAGAAAGTATCCCAGGGAGAGAGTCCATGGCTTGTATACAGGATCTGCACAGTGCTCAGGAAGCCAGTCAGCCTTTTCAGTCGGGGGGTGCCGAGATGGGGGACTGGTGTGTTGGCTTGCACATTCTGCATCAGGGTAAGATTTTCAGTTTCTGAGCACTACAGCCATGATACATGAAGGATCAAATGAGATAATGGAGGTAACAGTAGCTTGTTAGTTAGCTAGCATACGTGATACATACCAGAGATGTTGTTATGAATATGATAATGGAGAAAAAGAAAATAAAACAGGAGGAGGAGAAAGAGAAAATGGGGAAGAGGAGAAGGAGTGGAGAAGGTAGAAGAGGGAAAGGAGGGAGAAAATGAGAAGGAAGAGAAATCGTTCATTTAGTCCTACATGTCATTGGTGAATATAACATACAGAAGATTGCAAATGTGACCACTAAACTTTTGACACTCTGGCAGTCACTTGTTTGGGCACCTTGGACAAGTCCCTTTCCTTGCCTAGGCCCTGGTTTCCCCACTAGTCAATTTGAGGAGTTCACTCCTTAGATGCTCTCCAAGGACCTGCACAACTCTGACCTCTTTAAGTCCATAATCTTTGCATTCGCCTGTTTAGCTCTGTGATCTGGGTCAGTGGAGCCGCGAAGCATCAAGGCCAACCGGGACACAGTTTGGGGACTTAGCAGATGTCCTTGAAAACAGGCAAAGATTCCCAGTGCCAAAATTACTTCAGTCCATGAATGGGAACCTTAGCTGCCTTCCCATAGTCCCCAGCTTTATTCCCAGAAAAACATTGGTCCTGGGGGCTTGCTGATGTGTATCTTATTTTACAGTTCTTTTTCCTAAAAAATAAATAGCACAAGCTATCATTTGTTCCTCTGCACAGAATAAAACGGTCCAATGAAATTCAGCCAATTTGTCCTTTAATACTTTTTATTGGCTCTTTAATGATAAATTCATTTGAGCACTTTGCCCCAGAACCTAATTCACAGTAACTCTTAATGTAAATGAGGCCTCTCCCAATCTCTGCTCCTGGCCCCTTTTGAACTTTCATAAATCACACCTCGCTGTCTTAGCCACAGCCACTCTAGTCTTACTTTGGGAAAGGATCCAGCATGACAAGAACTACACTTACAGTTCCACAGAAATTAACTATAGGCAGGTATCCCCAGAGGAAGCCAGCCTAGACTAGAAATGGAGGGGGCACAGTCTACGAACACCATGTTGCTTCCTTACTGTTAAATCTTTCCAAGATAACTGGTGCGGAATCTAAATCCCTTGCCCAAATGTAGGCTCAGAATACTTTACAATTCAAAAAAAGGACTTGTCATACACTAGGAATAATACTGGATCTAGAACCCAAAAGACCAAAGTAAAATTTTAGCTTTACCACTTACTGCGCTTTGGGCAATTTACATAATGTCTCTGAGCCTCCTGACTCTCCTCATCTCTAAAATGGAAATAATAATAGTACATAACAAATAACATTGAATAAGGTACCTTTCTCTAAAGCACATAGCACAATGCCTGGCACATATGTGTCCAATAAATATTAGCTATTAGCCACTGATAGTATTAAATGAAATGATGGGTGTGGGTATGCTATGTAAAATAAAAAGAGCCACCCAAAGTGTGTTTGCAAAATAGGTGACTCTAATGTGAGCAGCTACATTTTAGCCTTAGTTTCATTATATTGCATCATTATCATCATGAGCAAAGGTCACATATTCAAATTTGTTCAAAGGAAATAATCATAGATATAGGCACAAATTTAGGTGCAAGCTGTAGCATCATTATGATAGCTGACAAATGGTACCTACCTAAATGTCAAAAAAAAGCCTAGTTGAGGAAACTGTAACATCTACATACAATAGACTACTAGGCAGCAATTAAAATGATGCTCTGAAACTATATTTATTGACACAAAAATATGTCTGAAATGTACTCTCCATCAAAAAATAAGATTGGGAAACAGATGTTCTATTTTCTATTTTATAAACCTATCTTGTATTAATTTGAACAATTTTTTACCTTGTAAATAAAATAAGTGTGTACCATATGATCTTACTTTTGCAAATACATAGTATATATGTTAAAATGCAGAGGAAGATTCCCAAAGATATTACAGGAAATGGTGATTATGCCTGGATAACATGAACTTAGTTGACTTTTACTTCTTCTTTGAACTTAGTTGAAAAACTTTCAGGGTTTTGTTTTTAATAATTTGTTTAAAACAATGAACTTGTATCTGTTCAGTATCATGACAGATAGCATCCCTAGCCCTTAGTCTCTAAGTCTCTCAAAGTAGCCAAAACTTGGTTTCAGAGGCTGACGTGCTGGTTTCAGGGAGATTTGAGCTTCCCAGTAAGCACAGGCAGGCACCTACCTACTGCCCCCCAAACATACTGTGTCAGATAAATAAAGGCAAAATATAAATTTTAAAAATTATGCCATTCAGGAAGAAAGAGCACAAGGAGGAGTGATTACTTAAATGGGTATGAAGTTTCCTTTTGGTGTGATGAAAGTGTCTGGGAACTAGATAGAGCAGATGGTTGCACAACATTGTTAACGTATTAAATACCACTGAATTGCACATTTAGAAACAGTTAACACTATTTTATTATATATTGCAAAATAGCTAGAAGAGTTGAAATATTCCCAATGCAATAAAATAATAAATGCTTGAGATGATGGATACCGCAAGTACTCTGATTTGATCATTAACACACTACATGCTTATATCAAAATCACATGTGCCCCATTAATAAAATACAAGTATTATGTATCCATAATAATTAGAAATTTAAAAATGGAAAAAAATGTTTAATATGTGTTGCGTGAATTTCACTTTAATAAAAAAATAAAAATTAAGTCACCAACTAAGTGCAGGTAACTTGATTATTCATGTGAAAATTTTTGCCTCTTAAGTTTTTGTGTGGCCAACATGTAAACACCTGCACAACTAGACCAAAATTTTAACAGAAGCCTTTTCACTTTGCTGGGGAGAGATGTATGTTATTAACCAATATGCAGATTTCATCACGTTGTTATCATAGTCATAGAACGTCAGAACTGAAAAACAGCTCAGCCAGTTCATTTTAAAGAATAAGAAACTGGCTGGGCGCAGTGGCTCACGCCTGTAATCCCAGCACTTTGGGAGGCCAAGGCGGGTGGATCACCTGAAGTCGGGAGTTCGAGACCAGCCTGACCAACATGGAGAAACCCCGTCTCTAGTAAAAATACAAAATTAGCCGGGCGTGGCGGTGCACACCTGTAATCCCAGCTACTTGGGAAGCTGAGGCAGGAGAATCGCTTGAACCCGGGAGGCAGAGGTTGCAGTGAGCCGAGATCGCGCCATTGCATTCCAGCCTGGGCAACAAGAGTGAAAACTCCGTCAAAAAAAAAAAAGAATAAGAAACTTAGGTGAGAGAACAAAAAGCTTAAATACAGAAGTAAGTTAAAATAACAGATTTAGAATTCAAGTGTCCCTGTTCAGCATTCTTTCCACCATAATCTACAGCTAGTCTTTTCTTCATTTATTTTTCTGGGCCTCTTTAAGAATTATTTTTTAAATAAATATTTACTCTTTGATCAGATTCTCTGCCTTCATGCCATTTTCCAGAATTTGCTTTGTGAACCCAAAATCTTTCGATAAACTGTACATACGCCATGTGTTTTGATGGTTATATTGAGCAAAGTCATCCTTGTTTGATATAGTTATTTCAGTTGTGAGAAGCAGGTGATGGGTTTTGGATTGACTCAGTAATGCTCCACACCTTCTCGGCCCTACCACTTTATTCCTGGGAAAGCTGAAGACCTAGGTTTTATCTGGGTCTCAAAAGCACTATCATTAACACAGCAGTTTCTGTGTCTGTGCCCCTTACACTGCCCTGATTCCAAAACCCAGCTAGATTGTTTATTTGCTGGACAAAAACATATTTCCATCAACAGCCAAGAAAATTATACCTTACTTGATCTTTGTATAGATTAATTTCTGAGAAAGCCTATGATCATGTGGCTTTCAAATTTTTCTCCACAGTTGAACAGTACAGTTGCCAGTGAACTCTCCTATTTGGAATCAGAGGAGCATTGACATGAGGGAGGCAGCAAGGACCTTCTGGAACACCTTGTTAAGTTTCATGTCATTAATTTTCAGCTTTGCAACACATCCATGCGGCCATTTGGAGTCTGACGTGAAGTATGTTATTCCTGCAAAATGGCAGGTTTTCGAAAACATGCTGGGCAGCTATGACATTGTTAGGAGTTCTGATACATTTGGAGCGAATGATCTGATTTGAATCTGTATCCCAGCCTCTGGGGGTTTACCCATTGCACATCTTAGCAGTGAAACCCTATATAGTGATTCAAAATCACTTCCTAAGCTTTAGAACAAACAAGATTAAGGAGTTCAGTTTGTTTCTTGCCTATCAGAGAACGGTTGATGACTTGGTAAGTAATAACTTGAGCAGGAAAGAAAGGAGAAGGAATTCTATTTGTTAACATATCCCAATCTGTGCAAATAATCAATTTTGAACCAAGGCCAATTTTATGGTGGGGCTTCTGATGCAAGGGAACAAGAGTTTTCCCAGGCAGATTCAACAAAGTCAGCTACAGTTGGATTCACTCAGCATTACTTGCAAGAAAAAAAAAAAAAAAAACTCAAAACAAATGATCATTGACACTAAATTTGGCCACTATACATAGATAGATGTAGACCAAACTTTGAAAGGACTGCCAGTGATATGTCCCCTCTCACAATCTCCAATTCAGGGATAAAATGAGAAGGTTGACTGCTGTGATTTTCCACATTTTTTTTTCCACAGTGACACACAAGCAAGGAACACACTCCATCGAGGAGGCTACAGTCTGAATGTCTGCATCCCCACAAAACTCATATGTTGAAATCCTAGCCTCGAAGTTCATGGCTTTTGGGAAGTTATTAGGTCATGAGGTTGGAGGCCTTATGAACAGGATTAGTGTCCTTATAAAAGAGGCCACAGAGAACTCCCTCAATCCTTCCACCATGTGAGGACACAGTGAGAAGGCACCATCTATGAGCCAGAAAGTGGGGTCTCACCAGACATTAAATCTTCCAGTGCCTTGATCTTGGACTTTTCAGCCTCTGGAACAGTGAGAAACAAATTTCTGTTATTTCTAAACCACTCAATGTATGGTATTTTGTTATAGCAGCCCAAATGGACTAAGACAGGTGGTTACCCAGATTATGATAAATCATGTGTGCATGTGTGTGTGCACGCATGTGTGTTGGAGAGAAAGTGGGAGGAAGCAAGGCAATGAGGCAGCTGAGGACAGGTGGCTGAAGTACTCCAGGTAAATCTTGGCACACAGGAAATCAGGTGGCTCATAGACTCTAATTTATTTCAAAAGGTAAATCAAAGTTGGAAACTCCTGGACTGCATACATACTAAAGTCCTTTGCACTGTTTAAAATAACTGACTTGAATAAAAAATACTATTATCCTTATGAGATTTTTAAGTATCATAACTTTCTTGTGGCCACATTTATGTGGTACCCAACTGGACTCTTATGAAGGGGTGAAAACTATGCTTCAGATGTCATGTTTATGCCCATGTCAGCCTCCACATGATTAACTTCATTCAATGGTTATGGGCTGATATAAAGGATGGATTTTAGAGACAGAAGACCTGGACTCAATTTTTTTTTATCTGCCATTGACTAGCTTTATATGCCTCAGTTTCTTCATCTCAACTGAAATCCTGGAGCAACTATCTGAAATTTCCTCAATTTCTCTATGGTTTGCTCTCATCATCTATAAAATGAAGATAATAATAGTACTTCTCTCCTAGGCCTGTTAAGGATTTAAAGAAAAGATACTTGTAGAGCTCTTCAAGTTGCCTATGGCAGAGAAAATGCTCAATAAGTGTTACTGATAGGTAATAGTAACATCATCTTTGTGACCATCATTATTATTATTATTGATGGGATCTACCTCTGTCACCCAGGCTGGAATGCAATGGTGCAATCATAACTCACTGCGGCCTTGAACTCTTCTCCTCAAGCAATCCTCCCACCTCAGCCACCCAAGTAACTGAGACTACAGGCGTAAGCCGCTGCACCTGGCTTTTAACATTATTATTAAGGTGCTTTTCATAGCTCCCAGGATACAGTAGGCACTTAAAATTGGCTTTTGAATGAATTTATCAAGTTCCTATACCATAAAAATGCACATAAAACTACTACTAATAATAAGCTACATTTTTGAGCTATAATGTGTCAAGCACCATGACCACAGCAGCTGTTTTAACATAAAGTAACTTGCTTAACCCTAACAATGCATCTGCAAAGTAAGTTTCCAGTAGAGATTCCCATAGATCAAGAACCTGACATCACTAGTCACACACCACTAGTAAATCACAAAGTCAGGATTTGAACTCAGGTCTGTCTTACTGGAAAGTGACTATTAATAATGATAACAAAAATAGCAAAGACTCATGGAGTGCTTAGTACATAACAGGCATTAATACCTGTTACGTAGTAAGCAATACCCAATGTGTTTTTTTCAAACTCTTATTTTAAATTCACGGGTACATTTCAGGTCTGTTACATAGGTAAACTTGTGTCATGGGGGTTTGTTGTAGAGATTATCTCATCACTCAGGTAGTAAGCTTAATACCAATTAGTTATTAATATTTTCCTGATCCTCTCCCTCCTCCCACCCTCTGCCCTCCGATAGGCCCCAGTGTGTGCTGTTAAACGTGCATTGAGACTGCATCTAAGGCCGAGTGTGGTGGCTCACGCCTGTAATCCCAACACTTTGGGAGGCTGGGGTGGGGCAGATCACTTGAGCTCAGGAATTCAAGACCAGTCTTGGCAACATGGCAAAACCCCATCTCTACAAAAATTACAAAAATTAGCCGGGTGTGCTAGTGCACGGCTGCAGTCCCAGCAGGCTTGGGGAAGTGAGGCAGCAGGATTGTTTGAGCCCGGGAGGTTGAGGCTTCAGTGAGCCATGTTCATGTCACTGTACTCCAGCCTGGGTGAAAGAGGGAGACCCTGTCTCAAAAAAAAAAAAAAAAAAAAAAAGACTGTGTACAGTGTATTCTTGGTTTCCAGGGTTATAAATTAGAAAGGCACTGGAAATATTGAGAGAACTGGGGTGTCAAGATGCAAAAAAAGCAGAGGCTATCTCTTGCTCTCTCTCTTTGTCTAAAGAAGGAAGCAAAGGTAACAAAAGCCCATGCTGCAGAGGAACAATTTGGGATCTAAGTAGAGCACAAACAAACACAAACCCTTCCTGGAAACTTGGGTCAGAATCCTAGAACTAGCCAAGGCCTTGAAAAGCAAACTTGGCAAACCCCCTGATTTGTAGTCCAGAAAGCTGAAGTCCTGAGAAGGGGAGCAATGCAGTTTATCATCTCCCACAGGATCTCAAAGTATTTGCAAGCTCTGCAAGCAGAGGGTGGGAGGAGGGAGAGGATCAGGAAAATATTAATTTGGAGCAATGCAGTTTATCATCTCCCACAGGATCTCAAAGTATTTGCAAGCTTTGGAGTCTGGTGGGGTAAGGCCACTACAACATTTATCATGGGTTCTGTAGGGCCCAGAGGCAAAATGTGACAATCATGCATCTGGCACAGGTCCTGGCCCTCAAGGAGCTTACTGTCCACTGAGAGAGACAAACAAGTCATGAGCACATGAATTTAAGCCAGGAGAGAAGTTCAATCACACAGACAATGTGAGTTCTGAGGAAGTAAATCCCTTTCATTTGGTGTTAGGGTGTCAAAAGAAGCTTAGTAAAATAGATGATACTGACAAAAGACAAGTAAAATCACAAGAAGGAGAAATACATTTAGGTAAACTGCTATATATCAGAGGCAGAAAACTTCAGGGTGTGTTCAGCAAGAGGTAAGGGGTCTAGTTCTGCTGGAAATGAGCGCACATGAAGGAGAACAGAGGGGCATAGGCTGCTCAGTTTATTGGAAAGCCTATGGACAAGAAGCTAGGGAGGGGAGATTCTGTTCCTTAGCTGTCGTAGTCTGAGTACAGGACGAAGCTGATAGAACTAAGCCTTAGAAAGAGGTACCTGGCACCACTTTATGTTAAATGCTGGAAAGAGAAGAGGCCAGAGAAGGAAGGCATGGGAAGCTGAAGAACAGCTAGGAGGCTATCTGTTGCAATATACAGGCAAGAGGTATCGAGTGCCTGCCTAAATGAAATAGAGAAATGCCCTGGGAAGAGGAAAGGAGGGGTGGCTGCCAGCTACACTTTTGCTTCTCTTCCATTAAGGCTATGCTTAATTGCTGAATGGCACCCAGGTGACCTGAAGCAATACCTAGTCCCAACTCACACCCATCTTATTCCTTAGATACTTTTGCTCCCTAAAAGGATGTGACTCACTAAATAGCTTCTGATTATTCAGTCCTTCTATTCCAGCCTGCATTTGGTCAAACTCTGGCATAATTGAACACCTTTTAACATTCTCAAATCTTAAATTTTATGATCTCATCAACACATTCCTACTGATTGCTTTCTTTCTTGTCAGAGAAAAGTATCGAAGTGGGATGCACAGGCAGAAGCCAGCCAGTTCAAACAACAGCCCTTAAACTGTGATCACATCAACAACTGCATCCCATTGTCTGTGACCACTGCTTTTCTGGGTCTTAGCTTCTAGTTGGAGCTTCTTGCTGCACCAATCCTCAAACAACAAAAGGCATCTGCCTCTCAGGATCGGCGCTACTTGGCAATTTGATATGTGCATTCAGAAACTAGCATTTACCAATCGAAATGCTTCAAAAGTAGCTGGGAGGCAAAGGGCAGGAGATCCCTGATTAATTCTCCACCATGTTCTTAGACATTCCAAGAACCCCAAAAGCCCCACAAGAGAAATTAGTCCTTGGCACTGCATGTTTACTTTTGACCTACTCAGAGCAATCTGCACTATCCTCCCACCATTCAGTGAAGATATCTGCTAAAAATAAACTAGATGGATTTGACTTTCTCCACTAAGATAAGTTACTGATCTTAGGGTAAGGCAATAATACTCAGTAAAGCCATCTCTGTACCAACAGAACACATCTCAAATCTTACTACAACAAAGTCTGTTTAACAACTTTCACAAAGACTAAAAATGGAACCACCACAAGCAAGCAAAAGAGCTTGGAGTGATCAGCAGGGAAAAGAATAATAAAGAAGGAGGCATCAGCCTTACAGGGATGAGCACTGGGGCATGCTGCAAATACCTGTGGAGCACTATTTACTAGAACCAATGGCGAGCAAAATCATCCCTATGAAAAGAGATGTAAAATTAGTCAGTTGGTCAGCTTTCTGCAACACACCAGGTGGAGGGTATGGTTCTAGGAGACTGGGGATAGTTGTCACAATCACACCTCAGCTTTCGCAGCCATGTGATTTCCTGCCTTCAAATTTGTCCCATCCTGATTCTAATTTACTACCCTGCCTGTGCATGCAACTTTCAGACAGCTCCTCCTTGGAAGCTGCTTTCAGAGCTGGTCATACATACTTTGAAACATCTGCTATTGCGAGAAGAACCAAGGGTCAGTGGAGAAGCAAGCGACAGATGGAACTGACTCAAGAAAAAGAGATAAACTCAAACCTCCCACTAGAGAGCTAAAAACTTCCAGAGATAGTGAAGTGGGCTCTAAACTTACTTCAGGATTTGGTCATCTATTATTCTGGATGTTAAAGGAAGATGTGATCCCAGAATCTACACTGGGGTATTACTTTTACAAGCTGCTCTTCTTGGGCAGGACTACTAATGGCCTCAGTCTACTGGGGATGCTAGTGGTTCCAGCCTGCTGGATTTCCATGGAGCCAAGATGCACATGTTGGGTAGCACTCAGGACGCTGGGCTTAGGAACACGTGCAAGAGTACAACAGTATCTCTGCTGTCACAACACCCCCCATATAACTGAGCCCTCCAATAGCGAACAAGTGTAATGCTACTATTCAGAGAACTGAATACATCATGTCCAAGTGCTTTGGCAGACATTACTTTATTAGATTCTCCCAACATTTCATGGTCAGGGTTTTTATCTCTATCAACAGATGAAGGATCTGAGACTGGGAGCAATGAAATGACTTGACCAAAGTCACTTTGCTTGGTAGAGGACGCCAGGGATAGCACCTCAGCCTAATACAGAAATGTGAATGAAGAAAAGACTAGCAAATCTGATATGCCTTTCAGATATCACATTGTCATACAGGCCGTCTCTAGTGCCTTTTTGTTTTTTTAGATGAATATCCCAAGAGAGGATTCCTTTCTTAAAAATGTGGCAGGACCCAGAAAACTAAGATTGAGAAGTGAGTTACTCTGCATCTTATGAACATGGTAGACAGAGCTATATATCTCTGTTAATGGTGCTGCATGAAGAACTATCATGTAGTTCTAAAGTTCAGTGAAGAAAACTATACAAACTGTATGTACACAATGCAAAACCACTGTTTTCAAACCTACATGAATTAGAAACAGAGTTTGGAATGGACTTCAAGGAACTAGAGCTAATGGAGCTACTGGCTGTGGAAAAGCTGAGGTTCAGCACACTTAGGAGCCATATCCAGGTGAGAGGAGTTGCATACAGTTGAGGGCTGCATAGTGGCAAGGGCAAGGCCATACAGAGATAATAGGAGTCATGTTTAATAAGAGTCAGAAGAGGAGAGGGCTGACCTGACCAACAAACCCCTATATGTACAAATCATGGTAGAGAGCCAAAAATCAATTACAAAATATGTTTTCAGTCTTCAAGGCACTTAAGGACTAACTGAAAATAAAGAACATATTCCATAGAAAAGATAACTGATAAAAAGGGTAGTCTAAACTGAGGGCCAAATAAAGTTTCCCAGCCTGGGACGTTCCATCAAAAGTCCTGAGTCTTGATGCAGGCTTGACTCCCACTCTGCTATGTGACTCTGGATGAGACACTCCTCCTTTCTGGTCTTTAGCTTTTTATCTACACAGTGACGGGTCTGGACCACAAGATCTGTAAGACTGTTGCTGTGACAGCCCTAAATGGCGCTGCCAATTAGTGGAGTAAGGGAAGAAAAAATGTGCTCTCCTAGCCAGCAGAGCTCTGTCTTGAAACAGCAAAGTACAAATTGCCCCCAAATATATGCTGTCACCAAACATTCATGCCCTCTGGCTGGCCTCCTGAGCAATCTCCTGAGGATAACCTTTGTTCCCAGCTTCCTTTCAGATAGTTGTCTGCCTCTTCTTTAATTGAGGAAGCTGTTGTTTCCAACAGCTGGATGTTGGTGTGCTCAGCCTTCAGGAAGATCCTACAGATGGGGTTGGAACTACCTGACAAAGCAGAGACTTGTTTCTGAAAAAAAGTTCCAGATCCTTTCAAAACCCAAAAGCCCTCGCTCAGGGAGCAGAGTAAGATGCTGTAGGGACAAGAAGCAGCCAAAGGAATTGCACACATCACACATTCTTGCCTCATTCCAGCAGCTTCAGAGATCAATCAGCAGAGATGAGGTCACTTTTGACCACTAAAATAAATACCTGAAAAACTGACTGTGGAACAGTGTGGAGCCGGGCAGAGGTTACTCACATAACAGGTGTTTGACAAATAGCTGAGGTCTTGAGATGAGGTCATAGAGAAGAGATAGCTTGGGTAGTAGAATAATAGTCTATCAGACTTCACTTTGAATCTCAACTCCTCCATTTGCAGGCTGAGTGGCTTCGGCCTAATTGTTCTACCTATCTGAGTCTCAGTTTTCTCATCTTTAAAACTGGAGATGATAATGGAACCCAGCTCTTTGATTTGGTGTGAAGATTACATGTGACTTGGCACAATACTTGGAATACAGTAGATACTAAATTAAGAACAACAACCATATGTACCCACCACTTTCTGCATCTTTGTTCTCCCTTAGGGATGTTCCTTTTCCATGTCCTGCCTGTATATCTGCTCTCAGGAAAAGATCTAGGAAAGCTACCATTTGTTAGGTAACAGGGAAAACTGTGAGGGGTAGGGTGCAATGCCAGGGAGGGCCTCCTCTGCTTTCCAAGACCAGTTAGCATTTTTAACAAGAAAGAAACACAATAAGAAAAATTAGTGGAGTTCAAATAGTGGATTTTCAGACTTCAGCCAGATGGTGAAGGGGGAATTCTGGGGGGTAAGGAAATCTTCACATTACTCCAGTATGAATGCCTGTTCAATTCCACTTTAATTCATTCCAATTGAATTGAACAGATTCTGAGTAGTCCCCTGCTAAGTGTTTAGAATGTAGGCATGAAAAAGACAAGGATTTGCCTTCAAGAGGCTCACAACCTACTAGTTTGCAGTCATGTAAGCAACTCATTAAAATAAAACAACACAATACTTGCTATGAAAAAGTCTGAGGGAATGTGTGCTGGAAACACAGGAGAATGAGTTATCTATTCTGTCTGGGGGAAACTGGGGGAATTCATGGATCAGGTAGAATTTGCGATGAGCCTTGAGAAGCAATGAGTATTTCAAAGGATAAAGATATAGGAAAGGGTGGTCAAAATGGTGAGAAGGGTATAAACAAAGGTACCAGGTTATGAAAGTTAAGAATATATCAGGAGAAGTACACTAGTTTTGTGTGGCTGGAACTCAAAATCACAAGTAGAAAAATTGTGTTTTGTAAATGGAAAGCTAGGCTGGAGCTAGATCATAAAGGGCACTGAAAGTCCTCCTGTGATTTGTAAGTGAGGAAGATAATTATATGACTAATAACATGTTTAATAACATTGATTTAGCAATTATGTGGACTTTGAAATAAAAGGAGTAATACAAGAAGCAGAGGCACAAATAAACAATATTGAGAATTAAAAGGGTCATAACTACAGATGTAGCAGATAATAAAAAAGATCAGTCAATGCTATGAGTAACTTTACACCCATAAATTTAACAATTTCAATAAGATATCGACATTAGTAGAAAAAAAATTTTTTAATTGACTCAAGAACATTCTTATAAGCACTAAATTTTTTTAAACTTCCCATTAAGCAAACATCAGTCAAGTTTTACTAAATATTAAAGAAACAGATAATTCCAATCTTATACCAACTCTTCCAGAGAAAACAAGACAAGAATATTTCCCAACTCATTTTATGGAGCTATTCTCACCTTGTCACCCCAAAATAGACAATAACATGAGAAAGGAAAAATATATACTAGCATAACTTGTGATCATAAATATAAAAATACTAAATAAAATATTAAGAAATGAAATCCAGCAATGTATAGAAAACAAAATAAATCATGACCAACTCAGATTAAATCCAGGAATTTAAGTTTCACTTTAAAAGTTCTATGAATGTAAAGTGCCATATTGCTTTAATGCAGGGGTGTCCAGTCTTTTGGCTTTCCTGGGCCACATTGAAAGAAGAAGAATTGTCTTGGGACACACATAAAATACACTAAGACTAATGATTGCTGATGACCTAAAAAAAAAATCACAAAAAAAATCTCGTGTTTTAAGGAAGTTTACTAATTTGTGTTAGGCCACATTCAAAGCCATCCTGGGCCACATGTGGCTCATGGCCCACAGGCTGGACAAGCTTGCTTTAAAGGATTAAAGGATGAGATCGGGTGCATTCAGGATGGCCCAAACCCTCAGCATCCTACAATATACCCAGGTAACAAACCTACACATGTACTCCCTGAATTTAAAGGAAAAGGTGGCAAAAAAAAAGGGTTAAAGGAGAGAGAAAAATAAATAAATTACACTATATGATCATCTCAAAAGACGCAGAAGATGCATTTGATAAAAGTCAACATCCATTCACAGAATAAAATATTGTAGTATTCCATTTAAAAGTCTAGAAGAAAAGAAGAGTGTCTACTACTCTGATTCAACATTGGACTACAGGTCTTAACCAGTGCAGTAAGGCAAAACAATGGAGTAAATGGCATAGGGATCAGAAAGCAAGCAATAAAAGTGTCATTATTTGTAGATGATATCATTGACTATATAGAATAAAAGAATGTTACAAATTATTAGAATTTTATTAAGAGAATTTAACAAGGTTGCCAGAGCCAGGCTTTTAAGTATAGGTAACACTCTATTTCTCAAGCTATATGGTAAATACATGGGAGTTCATTTTATTTTTTCATTATAATTATTTTTAATCTTCATGGATGTGTCATATGCACTTTTTGAATGCATCTTTCACCATAAACATTAGAAACACACACACACACAAACAAAAAGTTTGGAGGCAGAAAGATGAGTGTTATGCTCTACTATTTCAGGCGAGGGAGAAAAGGGTGTGAAACAGATCAGTGACAGCGAGCATGGGCCAGGTTAGGGCTCTTAGAAGAAGCCCATGACCCCCACCTCTGAGCTCAGAAGGGGATGGAGAGAGCGAGAGGGATCTGAATAGGGTAGCACATCTGTTTTGTTTTGTTTTTTGACTTTTTAATAATGGTCATTCTGACTGGTGAGATTTCTGAAAGAACTAAAAATCGAACTACCATTTGACCCAGTAATCCCCCTACTGGGTATATACCCAAGGAAAAATAAATAATTCTACCAAAAAGACACATGCACTTGTATATTTCTCACAGCACTATTCATAATAGTAAAGACGTGGAATCAAACTAGATGCCCTTCAATGGTGGATTGGTACATATATATCATGTATATATTGGTACATATACACCATGGAATACTACACAACCGTAAAAAGAAATGAAATCATGCCTGTTGTAGCAACATGGATGCAGCTGGAGGCCATCATCCTAAGCAAATTAATGTCCAAACAGAAAACCAATACTGCATGTTGTCACTTGTAAGTGGAAGCTAAACGCTGGGTACGCAGAAACACAGAGATGGGAACAATAGGCACTGGAGACTCCAAAAGTAGGGGAGGAAGGGAGAGGGACAAAGATTGAAAAATTACCTATTAAGTACTATGTTCACTATTTGGGTGATGGGTTCAATAGAACCCCAAATCTCAACATCATGCAATATACCCATGTAACAAATCTGCACATGTACCCACTGAATCTAAAATTTAAAAAGAAAAGAATGAACAGCAAAAATAAACAAAAATAAGGCAAGACAGAGCCACTCTTCACCTATCTAGCAATGAGGACTCCCCTGAGTTAGCAACCTTTGCCACAGAGCGTCATTCCTGACAGCCTGCTCCCTCTGTACCCCTGCTAGGAGAAAATGGGAGCTGATCTCTTATGGCCCCCATGGCTACAAATGATGGTCTCATCTCACCTCGGTTTGCTTCCTCTGGCCACTCCCTGCCTATGGACACACGCATCTTAGCCATGGCCTAAAATAACGTAGCCAAATGAATCAAACAAATATGCATTTACTGGGTCTGACTAACCTAGCCTCACATAGAATAAAAGTTAGAAATAACAACCTAATTATAAGAACAGAACTTACTTAAACTATCTATTAAAAGCATGGCAACCTGTCGAGTTGCTATCCACAACTGGTTCTGTCTGAGGCTTGTGGCTGCAGAGAATAGTGGTGAAGAGGTTTCTATCTCAAAAAAAAAAAAAAAAAAAAAGAAAGAAAAGGAAAGAAAAAACAAAAACTCTACTTGCTAAGCCTCAATACTGGCTGGACAGTTGTTAGAGTACTGACAAACGTAGGTAGGATCAATGGTTGTCCTTTTGCTTCATGCAGGACCAATGACCAGGCCCTGGTCACAAGGTACTTCAACTTTCTGCCCTTGAGCCTTTATGTTACTGTCCTCTCCCCTGTCCTTGTCTCTGGTTCTCACCTATGAATTGAAAGAAAAGAGAACCAATCCAAGGGTATATCAAAGTCTGCTCCAAAGAACTGTAGCTGAGGTGGGGAGGAGGAAGGAAAACTCTGAATTCTCCATCAACATCTCAAGCACAGCAACTACAATTTGACCTGTTTGAAACACTAAACTTTACATAAGATTTCAGAGAGAATTTTTTTAATTACTGTTAGAAGAAAACAAAGCAAAACAAACCTTAAAAGGTGTGAAAACTGCTACATTAGTAGACTTCTGGTCATAAAAATGGCGATTTATTTTTAGATTAGTTAAGTCCAGAACCATAGCCTGAAATACTGGTGGCAGCAACTGAGAGGCAGAATTGAAAGTGATCAGGGCCCACCCACAACCCCAAAAATAATGCAATGGCCATGTGGGTCATCCTTCCCATTACTGGGGAAAGCAAACACACACACACACACACACACACACACACACACACACACACACACATAAACACATGTTCAGTAACCGCCAGGGAGGCAAAATAACTTCTCTGGGGCTGGAACTCATTGTAATAGTATGGCATCAGAAAGATTAGGTATGACCTGGAATTTGCAAAGCAGATGGCCCCAGCTTGGAACATTGCTTTACCATGTACAACAGGCCACAAACCAAGGACACACGAGCAGATTAAGGAGGCGAGGTAAAGCTATCAAATATGTACCTCAGGAAGAACATGTTAGCACTTAAAAGTGAGAGGAATGGAGAGATGGTGGGAGAGAGAGAGGAGGGAAGGATGGAGAAAGGGAAAGAGAGAGGGAAGGAGAAGAGTAGAGACGATAATAGGCAGATATGAACAAGAATGAGAGGCTCTGTGCAGCACTGACTATAAACAACACTAGGAATTTGATCTGAAGCCCAAACCCCAAAAGATGATCAACTCAGGGAAAGGCAGACTACCAACTGAAAAAAAAACTTACGTTTAAAGGACCATGATGAGAACTCTTCAGTGGAGCTACAATACAACAAAGACGATAAAAAGCGTTTTTCCTTTGAAAAATGTGGAAACCTGCAAATGATAGGATTCCTCCACTAGCCAAGAAAGGTGAAAAGCTTTGTAATAATTACCACTTTCTTGAAAAGTAAAAGCTCAGAAGCCAAGCATCACATTCAAGAAGACATCACAGCATTCCCAGGGCCTCGGTTCACGGATGCAATCTCTTGTATTCTAACAGGGAAAGCGGGATCACTAACCTTACGTGGTCCCGTAGGTGGTTTTCTATGTGGTCCACTTTCCATGGCCCAAGTATAAGAAATGGATATACTATTAATATCATCCATTATCTACTCTTCTCCTGTGATACCATGAATGAATAAAGGCAGTTGCTATGGCTTAGCATCTCAAAAAGACACAAAAAATCAAGCAAGAAGAGCAATCATTTGTAAGGGTGAGATGCTCTGAATGTGTCCAGTACTCAAATATGACTTATGCCCATTTAAATTGAACAAGTTCATCAGGGACTGATGGGCATAAGTCATATTTGAGTACTGAAAAAACTTTGCTGCTGAACCATTAATGCACTGGACTCAGAGACCCAATTCTGACTGCTGCTGAGAAGCTGCTATTAGTACCAAAGGCCATACTCTCCTCAAAGCCATTCTGGCAAAAAGCCAATAGTCTACTATCCCTCCACAGATTATTAATATTATGGTTTCGTTAGAAATCAATAAATCTACTTTTTAATCATCCTTGAAGCCAACAGCTACTGAATAGTCTGCTGCAAATACCTAAAAACCTGTGTGATTTATCTTACTGCTATTCCAACTACAGCATTTGTTTTTAAACACATTTTGTTGTTTGTGGTTTATAATCAGACTTGGTATTATATTTTTACGTGTGAAACAGATTTGCAATTTTGAAAAAGAATATTCGACGGATTGGGTATTATTTTGCCTTTCACAAAAACTAAAAGAACTATCATACTTGGAAAATAAAAATTTGAATTTGAGGAAGTATAAAATCTTTATAATAAATATTAAATATGTCTGCAATTAAACGAATAAATAAAGGCCTCAATCTATCCCCTTTCACACTGTAGTAAGTGAAAATACAGATTTTTAAATCAGGACTTCATCGAATTGTATAATGTCCTTGCCTTTCCCTTTGATAAATATAAACATATTACAAAGCCACACAACCATTTCAATATTATGCAACTATTTGTTTCCTTCTAACAGCTGTCCCAATGGTGGTTAAGACCAGCGTCTACACTCTTTCTTAGAGAATTTGAGTCGATGTGGAGGACTGGGCTGGGAGAATGGCTCCACAAGAAAACTTGAATGTCTTTGTCTCTCTCCTTCTCTTTGCCTCTCTCCTTTGTGCTTGGCTAACCTCACCCATCCTTTAAGGTCTAGCACCAGCCTTCCTTCATCTAAGAAGTTGTCATGACTTTTTTCAAAATTTCTATGACATTTATAATCCCCACCACAATACAGTATCTTATAGTTCTTCTAGTTGTTTGTGTATGTGAATCTTCTCCTCCCTATTGTTTTATAGCATGATAATTATTATAAAACAGCCTGCTGAGGCCCCAACATACACAAATATCATGGTAAGGAAAATAAATTTGTGCTTGGAGACAGAAGTTTTAATTTTAACATCCCTGCTTTATTACTTACTATGAACGTGGCTCTGGAAAAAATACCAAACTTGTACGAACCTTAATTTCCTCATCTGCAAAATGAGAATGATGCTGGGTGATGACAAAGGAGGAAGAGGAAGAGAAGGGACAGGATGAGCAAAAAAAAAGTCATTGTCAGCACAGCATTGTGGAAATTGCACTTTGGCATCAGATAGACCTAAGCTCTATTACTTACTTGCTGAGACACCAAATATAAGTTATTTAGGATCTCTGAGTCTGTTTCTTCTTTGATGAAACTGGAATAACAGCTCCTACCCTGACGTCTTTTCTTGTTAACAAATGTAAGGATGTAGTAAAAGACCCAGCACATAACAATGCCTAGGACAAATGATAGGGATTACTCTTATACTAATGATCATGATAATAAGTCATACTTGATCCCTGGCCTCAAGAGGTTCCCAATCCACCAAAGAAAATGAGATAGAAAAGCAGCCCCATCTCATTGTGCAGCCCCACATGCTGACGGCCAAATGGGCCGTACAGACGGTGAGAGGCTTAGGGGATGAAAGGGAAGGGAGAGCTAGCTGAAGGCCGCAGCAACGTGGAAAGGCTCCATGGACAAGCAGGGTTTAGAAGGGCCTGACTTAGCCATAAAACAGAAAGGCATTTCAAGGAGGAGAAACAGAGTCTAGATAAGACAATGAGAAACATATTTGAAGAATGATGCCTAGATCCATGTAAATATAAGAGAGAGTTTGTGTTGAGGATCTTGGGAGATAAGGCAGGGTAAGGACAAGGGCTCAGTAAAGCACAGTTCCCTTGCCATTCCTTCCCCAGTATAAGTGCTCACTCCATGCCTTGCACTTTCCCACAATAAAATCCAAACTCAAAAGTTTAAACAGTGTCCTAGAGGCAATAAGAAACCAGTGATGACTTCTAATTGGAGGGAAGACATAATGAGAGCTGTACTTTCAGAAAATTAATCTGAGAGTGCTGTGCAGAATCTAGTTAAGAGGCTGGTTAGTTCATAATGTCCAAAAGATGGAAACAACCCAAATGTCCATCAACTAATGGCTGGATAAACAAAATGTAGCATGTCCATACAATGGAATATTATTCAGTCATCAAACGGAATGAGGTACTGATACGTGCTACATGTGAGAATTATAAACAGTACTAAGGCTAAGTGAAAGAAGCCAATCACAAAAGGACACATATTATAAGTCTACCTATGAAAGTCCAGAATAAGCAAATTCATTCAAACAGAAAGCAGATTAGCAGTTGCTTAGGGCTGGTGGGGAGGGAAGTCACAGTGAACAGGGATAGTGGCATGATAGCTGAAGGGTTTGGGCTTCTTTTTTGACATGTTAATGTTCTAAAACTGACTGTGGTAATGGTGGCAAAATTCTGTGAATATACTAAAACCATTGAATTGTATGCCTTAAATGGGTGAATTGTATGGTACTATATGTGAATTATATCTCAATATAGTTGTTTTTAAAAGAAACAGTTAAGAGCTACTGCAGTTATCCAAGTGTGAATTACTGTAGGCCTGAGACTGAGAATTGAATAACATGGGAGAGGGAGAAGTGAGAACACATTCTCAGAACTAGACTGAAAGGAAGATGGAGATAATGTCTGCTTTAGAAAGGCAGGCTCCTTGTGCCTTCTAGAACCTTAAACAGGGATGATAGTGTGGCAGAGTGGTAAACAGCAGACTTTATTATCACCCAGCATGAGCTTCAGATCTGCCTCGGCCACTAAGTAACAGTGACCTGGAACAAGTCACTGAGCCTCTTTGAGCCTCAAGTTTCTCATCTGCAAAATGGCGGCAATGGTAGTATCTGCCTCATAGAGTTGTTGTAAGAATTGGATGATAAAAATGTATTAATGTTGGGTAAAATGCCTGACACATAGGAGATCTTCAATAAATGTTAGCCATAATGATCATCATTATCATTATTCATAAATACTTTTGAACAAACATGGACAATAATAGAGAGGGTGAAGCTTTAAATTCAGAGGAGCAGTCTGTAGGGCCTGGTATTTGATGAAACCTAGGCTGGGACTTCTTGTCATTGTCATTGGAATACATATTAGCTGATGGAACTTCACTGCCCAAAATAGCTTTTAAGCTGGGTTTCCAAGCAGAAGAGTGAAACTTAATAGCCAGTCTATCAGTAAGAAATACCCTCAGAGAAATGTGGCCTTTGGCTACCCAAAGGTAACCAGGAATATTGGGC
This sequence comes from Homo sapiens, assembly GCF_000001405.40. Taxonomy (NCBI): domain Eukaryota; kingdom Metazoa; phylum Chordata; class Mammalia; order Primates; family Hominidae; genus Homo; species Homo sapiens. The sequence goes on from NC_000023.11 coordinate 139,104,464, forward strand.
AGCACTGGACTACTCTGCCTTTACTCAGGCTTGGCCATTTCCTGCCTGCCAGATAAAAAGAGAATACATATCCCAAAGCAGTCATAAACAGGCTGTCTTAGTCTGTTCAGGCTGCTATAACATAGTACCATAGACTAAGTGGCTTATAAACACCATAAATGTATTTCGCACAGTTCTGGAGGCTTGAAGACGAAGATCAGGGTACCAACGTGATCAGATTCTGGTGAGGGCCCTCTTTTAGGTTGAAAACAAACAACTACCCCTTGTAACCTCACATGAAGGAAAGGCAGGGAGCTAGCTCTCTGCTCTATTCCTATAAGGGCACTTAATCCCATTCATGAGGGCTCAATCCACATGACTCAATCACCTCCCAAATGCCTCACTTCCTAATAATTTCACATTGAGGGTTAGATTTTAACATATGAATTTGTAGGGGAGACAAACATTCAGTCAAACTCCACTCCTTTTACAGAGAAAGTCTGTCAACCCCTAATTTAAGTTATATTGAGCCTGCAACTGTGTCCTTTATAATTTTCCATTTCTTTCAAGTTTTTTTTTTCATTTTAAAATCGTTATTCTTCTTCATTGTATTTTACCAAGACCATTGCTAATACCAACACTGGTTTTCAGTAGGACATAGGATCAATTCCCTATCTGGCCAACTCTCACCTCAGGTATAAAGAGTCGTGGAACTCAGGGCTGCTGGATGCTTTGAAAGATAAGGCCTGTTTACAATTCATTCCATACCCTCAATGGCCATGCTACAATTGACATCTATAGACCATGAGGTGCTGTGTGTAGCAGACACAATGTGGTATGGAGGAACAGGTGCTGAGTGGGAACCTAGGCCTTTCCACTAACTTTTTTAATAACTCAGGGAATTTTTTTTTCTTTCTAGACCACAGAGTCCTCTTCTGGTTGCAACCTAAGATTCTTTATGTTCTCGTCTGACCTCATGATGCAGGTTCCAAATTCTATAGAATATAAACTACCAGAATCTACCTTCATGCTCACGAACTCCTATCCTGAAGTCAGGCAGGCCTGGATGTAAACCATCACACTGGTATTTGGCCTGCTCTCAAACATCAGATACATGACTTAACCTCTTAAAGACATAGTTTCTTCATCTGTTAAATAGTGAGGATCCAATAAGATGGGGCATATAAAGCAACTAGCACAGGTTGGGACACATAGTAAGCAAACAATAAACAAGTAATTATCAGCACTATTACTAAATATTCACTATTTATTTAGTAGATATCTAAATGACATCATCATCTTTTTAGAATACATTATGTTAACACTACAATACTTTAGAATGCATTCCTGGCTGGCATGTCTAGAAAAAATTACATAAAAGAACCTAAACTTTTAGAATTGATAGATTAGAAGAGATTACAATAGGGCTTTTTTCTCTTACCAAATAATTCATCACAGGTTTCCTGCAAAAAGTAAACTTCCCTCAAGAAAATATTATTCAATTCTTTAAGATCACTTCCATTGTGTAAAAACATATGGTATGCTTGATACAGATTGTGGAGAGGCATTTGGTTGACTTCTGTTGGCAATAGCAGCATTCCAGAGATAGAGTGACACTGCATGGGAATGCTAATCCTGTACATTTGCAAACTGAGGCTAAAGCAAACCTGTGCTTCTAATGCAAAAATCTCTGAGTAGCCATCCTAAAATGAGTCCCTCCCATGTACATGACAGGCATCTTCCAGCTGACAGAGCACATTCCACACACAGAGGCGCCCTTAAGCCTCCTGGCAACTCCACAGAGGCAGTCAAGATTGATTATGCTCATTTGTCAAATGACTCAACAGAGCCACAGAAAAGTTGGGTGACTTACCCAAGGCCATCCAGCTGGGCAGCCACAGAGTTGGCGTTTAAAGTTCAGTGTTACTCTTGTCACTATACCTTCTGCATAGTTTTGTTCCATTCCAATGTCATGAATTTCTGAAGAAAAGTTGGGCTTTGCTTGCAGGAGCCCAGAGTTTTGCAATTTCCTGCTGACTATGGTCTTACTGACCCTGCATTTATAAATTTTTAGTGCTGGATAGAGTACCAGCCTTCACAGATGGAATGGGAGCACAGAATAATGGATTTGGGCCTCCGAGATGTTTATCCTCATTATTGTTTCTAGTAGCTGATTTAAATATTTTAATGAATCATTTTCTTGTGCTTAAGCTCAGAGAATATGTGAGCAAAGACAGTGACTTCTAAGATCTAGTTAGGATTCCAAATGTACCAATGAAAATACTACATAAAGTTCAAATGTAGTTTTGACATTCTTTACAAAGGGGTTTTAAACTCTTCATAGCCAAGTGTGTAAGAGTCTAGATTTGCCTATGCAACCAGTGCCATGAGGGCCAGAGAGGAGACCAAGAAGATTCTAAGAAACTAGGGGGAAGAAAGCAAGAGTGTCTGATCAGCATCTCTGTAAGGCCACTATTACCCCCACTGAACAGATGAGGAAAGCGAGCCTCCGGATATCTCCGGAAGGCTTCAGAAGCTTGTAATTATCCTTTGTGCCAAAGCTATGCTATTTTTTTTTCATTGTTTCATACTTTTAATATGTATGAGACCCTGGGGATATAAAAGTGATTAAGACACAGTCCTGTCCTTAAGGAGTACACAATAAAGTAGGGAGGAGGGGTGTGAACAAGTAAATTGACAAGTATGATAACGTGTGATGAAGAGTGGCAACATGCTAGCCACTATTATAAGAGGCACCTGGCCCCTGGTAATAATGCTTATAGAGTAAGTTAATGCCTAAAATTATGGTTGTGAGAGTAGAAGCATATTGTGACTTGCTCCTTTAAGATGGCTTTCCCTGAAACAAAAGCAACTGGTTATTTATCATGAATACACTACATGCAAGAAACCTTTTAAATAGCCCAGGCAACAAAATGAAGTAGACCCCACAGATGGAAAGTAATCAGAAAGCCTTAGGTCATTGATAAAATATGCTGATCCTGAAATATTCATCCTTCATTGCTGAAAAGAGAAGGATCAGGTTATGAAAGCTGACCTCTCAGGCCATCTGCCAGGGCTAAGTGAATATTGTGAAGAACAGTTCAAAATAAATATTTATGAAAGTAACTGAAGAATGAGAGAAATATGGAGGAAAGGAGGGAAAGGAGAGAGGGAGGAAAGGGAGAGAAGAAGATGCAAGAGGGATGACTTTGACCCCTCTTGGATTATGAGACTAGTTCATGATCGGATATTCAGACCCTCAAAATATAAAATATTAACTGACAGAAGGATATTGAACAGAAGGAAAAGATGATGGTGATGATCACAATGATGAGAAGGAAGAGGAGAGGAGAGGCAGCAGTGGCGGTAGTGATGGTTTTATTGGATATCTAGGATTATTTCAATTAATTCATGAAAATACTGTAGTGAAGCAGCAAAAGTAAAAAAAGAAAAAAAAAATGTGGATTCAAGTCTTGGCTCTGCCACTCCCTAGCTGTCCATATCAGGCTTCAGTTTTCTCACCTTTAAAATGAAATAATCCTATCCTACCCACCAGGAAGACTGTGAAGACCAAATGAGATGATGGAAGTGAAGAGCCCATGTAAACTCTAAAAAGTACCACTCAGAAGTTAGTTATCATTTTTCATAATTGTATTTTCAATGATGGAACACTGTTTGCCTTTGACATAATGCAGTTTTGAAGTCCCTCGTGAGTTATAGATCTCAGTAAGGTACGGATTTCTTGTTGTTTCCACATCAAATAAGACACAGAAACCTATGTAAGAAAATATATTCCAAAGGTCAACAGTCCCAAATTTAGAGGGTCCAGATCACTGGAAGTTCTAAGCTATGGGCAGTCTTATAAATGCCTTAGTCAGGCATCTGATGCAACCCTAATGTCTCGAAACCCCAGCTCTGCCCGGGCAGCTGACATAGAAGAGTGCTGTGTCTGATTGACTGGGAGGCAGAGGCACAGAGGAAAAAACGTAAGAGACTCAGCTATAAGAAGATACCAATTAAGACCATGGTCAACATTTTACTTTATCATTCTTACAAAAGTCATACAAGCCCATGACAGAAAAATCTCAGAATATACATGAGAAAATAAAATCAACTAAAATATGTCGTAGCTGTACTACCTATAGACAACCATGGTTAATACCCTCTAGTGTGTATTCGAAGTTCTCATTCTGTGTTGTATGCATGGATTTTTATATATATATTTTTTTTAATTTTAACTTTTATTTTAAGTTCTGGGGTACATGAGCAGGATGTGTAGGTTTGTTACATACGTAAATGTGTGCCATGGTGGTTTGCTGCACAGATCAACCCATCACCAAGGTATTATATTAAGCCCAGCATGCACTAGCTATTTTTCCAAATGCTCTCCCTCCCCCAACCCCACCCCCCAACAGGCCCCAGTGTGTGTTGTTCCCCTCCCTGTGTCCATGTGTTCTCATTGTTCCGCTCCCACTTATAAGTGAGCACATGCGATGTTTGATTTTCTGTTCCTGTGCTACTTTGCTGAGGATAATGGCTTCCAGCTCCATCCATGTACCTGCAAAGGACATGCTCTCGTTCCTTTTTATGGCTGCAAAGTACACATGGATTTTTAAAACAGCAATGACATATAGTTATGTTGTTTAAAGAGTGAGAATATTTTATCACAAAAATAAGCAAGTTTTATAAAATAAAAAGTATTAAATAATGAATGCAAGGAAGAACCAGGACAATATGGTGAGGGCACCACAATAAAGTTTTCTACTTTGTATTCTCTTGACAGGTATTAAAACCTGTTCCTGTGGTATCTGTCCTTGCTCTGGGAGATGCGACCAACTCATTAGTGTTTATTAACAACCAACTCAGCAACAAAAAATGCTCTCAGATGTCAACACATGTCACATGTGGAGTAAGCACTTTATTACCAGCAAAGGGGATGAGAATCATAAAATGTATGCCAAAGTATCTGCAGTATGTTTTTGGATGATGACGAAAATGAAAAAGAAGACATGGCAGGAGAAAAGGAAGGGAAGACAAATGCATGCCCTAGATGTCATTCTCTTTGAGAAAACTAGGGCTTTCTCGGCTATTAAGAGTATGGGCTTAAAGTCAGGCAGACACGATTTGGCATTTGAGCTCAGCCACTCACCAGCGGAGCGACCACAGACCAGCCATCACTTTTTTCTGAGCACCCATTTCTTCACATCTGAAACAGTAGTGAATAATGACCAAAACTTCTTCACCTGGCTGTTGAGAGGCTCAAGTGAAACAATGCATGTTAAATGCTTAGAACAGAGCCTGGCACATAATTAGAGAACCATAACAGTAGCTCTTCTTTAGGGTGCCCTATACAAATCAACCTAAGGAGACCTTAGGGATATAAACTGGAAAGAATTTAGAGATCATTGAGTCCAAGCCCTTCATTTCTCAAAGGAAGACCCAGCCTCGAAGAGGAAAAGATCATTTACCAATGGCACACACCTATTTTCAATTAATTCACCAAATACTTACTGAGCATCTGGGCAAAACACTGCTGGATGGAATAAAATGTGTCTCATAGAAGAAGATGCTTACAATCTGTGCAGGTTACTTAATTTCTCTGTGCCTCAGTTTCCTCATCTAAAAAATGGGAACAATTTTGTAGACCACTGCCTGGAACATAATAAGCTACATATATTTTTGTTTTTATGTAAATATATTTATATTTCAAATATTTATGTATTTTATATTCGTATACTATAAATAGATGTGTACATGCATCTTATGTACATATAATGTATATATAAATGTATATAAAATGTATATATATAAAACATAAAAAGATATATATATCTTTCATTTTTATATGCTGATATGGTTTGGCTGTGTCCCCACCCAAATGTCATCTTGAATTGTACTCCAATAATTCCCACGTGTACTCCAATAATTCCCACCGAGGGACCCGGTGGAAGATAATTGAATCACGGGGGCGGTTTCCCCTCATACTGCTCTTGTGGTAGTGAATAAGTCTCACGAGATCTGACGGTTTTATAAGCGGTTTCCACTTTGCTTCTCCCTCATTCTCTCTTGCTGCTGCCATGTAAGAAGTGCCTTTTGCCTTCTGCCATGATTGTGAGGCCTTCCCAGCCACGTGGAACTGTGAGTTCATTAAACCTATTTTTCTTCCCAGACCCGGGTATGTCTTTATCAGCAGCATGAAAATGGACTAATACATGTGCCTATATATTTTATAAACAAGAGTAAGGCAAAGATTATCTTCCCACGTCTCCAGCTGTTTAGCTTTTTACTCCTGGTAAGCAAAGTTGTGGAGACATGGAGTATTCACAGCAATATTTGAGCATCCAGTGACTTATTTTTGAGGTGTTGAGAGACAATTGCAGTAGCAGTGGTGGTGGCTTCTTCCCCTTGGACTGCGGCATCAGCTATGCGTCCTGAAATCTAGCGTTCCAGTGGTGGCTTCCCAACTCCCCACCTCTCTGCACGTAAAAGCAGCTGCAGCTCCCTTTGGAGGGCCAGTTTTGTGGTGGTGGTCTAGGTTTCATTCCTGGAGACACAGCCTAAAGCCCCCACTTCCACCCACCCCATAGATTTTGTAAGTACCTAATTAACAGCACTAAAATACCTATTTTAGCTTATGGTACCTACAGATGAATGTTGACTGCTACAGATGGCTAAGATCTCAAAAGGCAGAGATAGAGTGGAGGGAGAGTAAATGCATCCCAGCTGGTGGGAACAGCCAGATCAGGTATATGCAGCATACTTTCAGGCGACCATGAGGAGAAGCGGCCTCTGGCCAATCACAGCACGTCTGGCAAAGGTGTTCAATAGGAACTGATGCACCAAAATGAACTTCGTGATCATGTTATCAGACATGGAAGAGGACGGGATATAATTGCATACCACCCCGATGAGGCAAAGCTGGGAGATCCTCAGTAGCATCACAACTCCTAAGAGTTCTCTTTTAGAACTGGGGAAAGAAAATCTGGAGATATATAGTTATAGCAACATACTCTAAAGATGAAGATGTTTTAGCAGTAAGGATAAAGATAGAACCGAGGCTGCCTAATACTGAATAACTTTATTGCTTCTAAACAGAAATTTTTGATTAAAGCATATCAATATTAACTCTATTTTATAGGATTCCAGTATTTCTGCCAAGACAGTTCTGTTGCAGTGCCACAGAAAATGTCCCCAATGAAACTGTTTCAGTTTATGAATGCTATCTATTTCTAGAAAAAACACACGCTGCTGCTTCTCATAAACGGGGAAAGTTTACATAAGAGAAACAAAACATAACACCCAAAATGAACAGTACATTTAAAATAAAATGCTTCTGTACTGCCGGAAAATGAGCACAACGAATACCTAATATATTTTCCCTATTCTAAATTCCTTATACATGAAGCATTTTTTATTCCTTAGTTTTTGCCTAATAGATTAAAACTTAATCATTAAATTGCTGGATGAACAACCTCCTCCCCCAGCCTGGGCTGTTTCTATGTGGAAAAATAAAACATGTGGGTAGTGATGTGGCAGAAACATTGCAAAGTTTTATTCCATGACCATTTAGTAGTAGAAATGGTCATAAATTCTAAGACCAATAAAAACCAGGGCCATATTTATTTGATACCAAAAAGAAAATCAATCACTTTCCTATTTTACAAAGACAGAAAAAGCATAATCTTTAAAGTCAAACAAACATGGGATTGAGTCCTGGCTCCCACACTTACTATGTACATGATCCTGGGCAAGTCTCTCAATCTTTCTGAGTCCTTATTTCCTCATCCGTAAAATGGGGGTTATGATACACTTACTTCACAGGGCTGCTGTGAGATGAAATAAAATAGTATTTGTAAAACTCTTAGCACAGTGCCCAACATATAGTAGGCTCTCCATAATCATTAACCATCAAGTTACCCTGCTTTTTTTGTAATAACAACATTGAGATACCATTCATATACTATACAATTGACTCATTTAAAATATGCAATTCAATGATTTTTCATATTAAATAAAAAATCACAGCTGGGAAACCATCACCACAGTCTAACCTTAAGATATTATTGTCTCCCAGAAACAAAAGCTTGCACCCATTAGCAGTCCTTTTTAATCCCCATAAAATGTTGCCAAGACCTTAGGCCCTGGATCCAGTCACAACTGGGCTCAAATCCAAGCTCTACAACTTACTAGCTACATAACCCTTGGCAAGCTGCTTCGCTTTACCAGCTCTCAGTTTCTGCACTGTAAGAGGGAGATGATAATAATACCTGCCTTATAGGCCAGTTGTAAGAATCCAGTGACACAATGTATACACAGTACCGGCTAATGTCTGGCCCATAGGGAGCACCAGATAAATGGCAAGCATCTTCATTGCTATCCTCCTCTTCATACATTCTGCTTATTTTCCTCTTCCTTTTCTTTACCTGTGTTTCACATCATTCCATTAGAATGCATCTCCAGGACCTGGAACAGTGCCTCATACATAGTAAGCACAATATTTATTTAGTGAATTAATTACTTGATTATGTAGTGTGTGTGTGTGTGTGTGTGTGTGTGTGTGTGTGTGTGTGTGTGTGTTTTCATTTAGACCAGGTTCTATTCCAGAAAATAAAATTAAAGTGGCTTTTTGAGTAGTGCCAAGACACTAAGTCATGAAAACAAAAGGGTAAATGTTCACAACCAATGCCAACTGGAGGCTGTGTCTATCAACAGTGCTCCAAATTATCAAAATCCCTGTCTAGATTCAGCCACAGAGACCTCGTGGGATTCAGTCGCATTCAAGAGCTCCAGATCAACCCATCATCTGTCTCTCCACCACCCCTTCTCATATTCTTCAAGTGTATGTACCTACACCTGCCAGGTTCTCCAACAGCTCCAAGAAGGTTCTTACCAAAGGCTCACAAGGCTAGTAGACTGTGAAGCCATGACTTAAAAACAGGCCACCTGACACCAAAGCCTATGACCTCTTGGCTACAGCACATTCCCACCTTGCTAGAATTATTAATGTTTCTTCAGGAATTAAAAAGAAAAGTATACTCCCTCTTTGTGTATTCTGCAATGGTAGCAGGTAACACAAAGATAGAAAAACACTACTAAAAAATAATCATTCAATATTCAATCACAAATGTTGTTATTTCAAACCAGGTTGGGGGTGGATTATACTTGGCTTATCACTTAAAATACGTGGTTACATTTTAACAAATCACCTCTTTACCCTTTAGTAAAAGTCCGTTCACAATTCCTTATACATGATGAGAATACCTTTTAATTGTTGAATAAGTGGTAGCATGATAGAATAGAAAGAGCACTGGAGTGGGAGGCAGATGGTGAGGCCACTAAATGCTTGACTTGGCCAAGTGCCTGTTGCCACTCTGAATCTCTACTTCCTCTTCCGGAAAATGAGGAAGACTGAAACAAGGATGACTAAGCGCCCTTCTGGCTCCAATATTCTCAGATTCTGGCTCCAATATTCTCAGATTCTCCGGTGTCTCTAGGCAAAGCAAAAGTGACTTCGGATTCTCTTAACACCCACTTAATTTCAATAATTAATGTCTTTACAGCCTTCGATGGCAAGTCATCAAGTGACTTCATCATGAGCTACTCTGAGTAAAACAGAGAGCTCAGGTCTCCTTCTAAGGCCTCAGGGCCTGGTTAACCGGAAGCTGGCTTGCTAAAGGGAATGGGAAAATTCAAGCTCATGAAAAAATGCCCTTTGTTTAGAATGATTTGCCTTGGAGGATCTGAGTTATTTTGCCTTAAAGTAAGCAAGCTCCATTATGCAAAAAAGAGAACTGGTTCTGCTTCTGAAAATACAATTACCTAAAATCTAGATGTACAAAATACATGAATCAGGAGGCAACTGTTCAAACACACGGATAGACTCAAATCCTGGCTCTGACAAATAAACGCTAGGTGTGTAAACTAGGTAGGCCAGTTGTGTTCAACAATTGGACATTTACTGAGCATTGACTATATGCCAGGTTCCAGGTCAGGGGATAGGACTATCAAACTCAGTACAATCAGTAGCTGCCCATGAAGATCTCACTGGCTTGTGAGTGGAAGAAACACTTAAACAGGAAGCTTTCCTGGAGGAGATAACACATGGGCAAGGCATTGGACTTATCCAACTTCTCTGAGCCTGTTTCCTCATCTGTTCAACGAGGAAAAAAAAGTCTGCCTCATAGGACTGATATGAGAGTTCAATAAGGACATCAGTGAAGAAACTGAGCACAATAAAAATCCATAATGATAGTTAGTGCTCATGATGTTTTCTCAATATTATATAAATGATGACTTAACTAATCTATTTATTTTTATGTTAATTATTTCTTGTCTGTCTGCCTCACTAGAATGCTCTACATCAGGAAAGAGATCTTTATTTTGTTCTAAATATATATCCCCAAAACCTATAACAGTGCTTTACTTATACTAAATGCTTATTAGACAGTTCTGGAAGAAAGAAGAAACTATAGAAAACTTTGAGATTTTTAGAAATACCTAAAATACAATTTAAGATAAAAGTGTATGTATTATACAGATACATTTTCATGTTAAGTCTCTGAGCTCTCCCTTTCAATCATAAGTCCTTCTTTTATGAAAACCTGGGGTTGACAGGAGAAGTAAGGTAGTGGTATGTCAACCTGAAAACTCAACTGGAAGTCTCACAGCCATCTTAAAATTAATGTGTCCTAAATGGAACTCTTGCCGTTCCTCTAAACCCATTCCTCCCAGCCTTCCCCATCTCAGTAAATGTTACCATGCAGTCCTACTCTTTATATCCTTCCAGTCTGTTTCAAATCTGCTAGTTGATTATCCAACATCCATATCTGCCTTCTTTCTTACTAACAAAGCTCCCATTTTATTCAGTGTGACTACATATCTGGCTAACAGATAGCATGTCCTATCCTCTTTTCTAACTGATATGTAAAAGACAATCACTAGGTGAGGCTTCCAAGGATTGCTCTTCAAAAGGACTGAATTATATGGTAAGCAAGCCATTTTGCGTCCACATCGCCATCCTCCTCCTTCCTGACTGGAAGGCCAGCAGGCATCTTGGACCAAAAAGTGACTTTAAGGATGAGAGCCCCATTCCAACTCTGGAAAACAGAAAGCCAGAAGGAGCCTGTGTCCTGATATCCTGGAACTACCATATCTACCCTGGAATGCTCACCTCCAGACATCTTTCACTTGAAGGAAACATATTTAAGCTACTACTTCGAAAGATTTCTGTTATCTAGAGTTGAATGACTTTCTGATACAAATTCTCAGGTCAAATATTTATTTTCTTCATACATTTCTCAACAGCTTTCAATAATTGTTCATTTTCTTTCAGTGTTCTATTGTTCCGTTGTTTGTCTTCTCAACTAGAAACGTGAACTCCATGACTACAGAGACTGTATGTTTGGTTCACCATCTTGTAGCATGTGCCTGGCACATAATAGAAGCTTAATAAATATTTTCACATGAGTGATTCAAATGTCTTGGATAATACCTGATATATAATGGGTACACCAGGCCACTCCCGTTTTTGGAATCATGAAGGGCTCTTTAGCTCAATGAGTAAATACATAGATCTCCAGGATCACTTCTGTGAATACAGTTCAACAAATTTTATTGAGCACCTACTAGGCGCCAGACTCTATGCAGGAGACTAAAGGGAAGTGTTCCCAAATGTTCAGTTCAAGCATGTCATACAAAACCTATGTCTTGATTTCAATAGAAAACTAAAAGCAACCCGACCCTTATTGTGGGCTACTTTTAAATCTTACCAAGAAATATACAATGAGTGATCATTGCTAATTTTCATTAAAAATGTATAAATTCCAACATAGTGGGATGTTCATTTTATGACATCAGGTTTAGTATTCTTAATTTATTTTGCTCATTTCTGGCATACTTTATTTCCATTGGTATTTTTCCTTCTAAGTCAAAAAGAAATGCAGGAGCAAATATTTCTAATTTATCCCAAAGACCAACTTGTTTTGGGTAATTAACATATTACAGACTATAATAATTCTATTATAGCTTTGTCTTTTCTAGTAGTTGAATTCTTCCCATGAATATTGTTTTGGCATTTTTTGAATCTTGAGAAAATATGAATATTAATATGAAAAAAGCAAATATCCCTTCTCATTGCAAACCTAAAAGCTCATTTTAATTGTCTTTCCATGGAAACACTCTGGAAGTTGTGCTGAAGGTTGAATCCTGCTCCTTCAAGTTGGTGAAGAAAAGAAAAAGGAGAGCGGGGGGAAAAAAATCCATTTAGCACTGTGTCATGTTCACCAGAAAAAGAGAAAAGAACACCAGGGGGAATATTAGTGAGGGAAGGAAAGGCCAAATTGAAGAACATACAGCAGGAGGGAGAATGGTACAGGGTGACCATGTTCCCATCTCCGCCATAGCAACCACCTGATTACTGATGACTATACTTCCCTGGGGACTGCTAACAAGAAAGTAAAGCAGCCCACTTGGCTTTCTAAGATGCGCTGTGCTACCAAGTTGAACATTAAAAATATCAGTCACAGTATGACATGAGGAATAGCCAAGCTATCAATACTACTGAAGGGAAGCATATAACAGTATTATCAACTACCATTAACTGAGAACTTAAGATGTGCCAGACACTGTGCTAAAGGCCTTTTAGGAGTAATCACTCAAGTAAAAAAAAGGAAGGCACCAGAGACCACTTAACCCAGTGGTTCTCAACTGGGGGTAATTTTGTACCTCCCAACAGAAAACATATGGGCAATATCTGGAGGCATTTTTATTTGTCACAACTGGAAAGGGAGGTGCTGCTGGTGTAGAGTTGGTAGAGGCCAGGATTACTGCTAACCATCTTACAATGCACATGACGGTCCTACACAGCAAAAAAATTAACAAATCCAAAATATCAGCAGTTCAGAAATCTCAATTAAGCTCTATACTTTATGGTACAGAGGAGATCAAGGTCCAGGGATGTGTGTCTTATCCAAGGTCATTCTTATCTATCTGTCATCTATATATTGGACCTATCTTTTTATCTATCTATCCATCCATGCATGTAGGCATCTATTGGGCTTAGCTTAAAATTTCACTTAAAGGGTCCTGCTACATTAAAAGTGTGAAAATCACTGCTCCAGTCCCCAGGTATTCTCAGAGGAACTGATGCAGGTGTTCCTTCCATTTTCCAAGAAACCCACTACTATCCAGAAATACATATCACACTCTCCTGTTAATTCCTGTTACTATCATTAGTTTTAAATGAGAAGCACAGCTATCTAAACAAGAGAGGAGATCATCCACCTCACCACCCCACTCCCCACATACACATTACATCTCACAGATGCCTGGGGTAATACCTCCCTGTTGCTCAGGACTCATACAGTGAGTCCCCTGTCCTTCCTCAATCACTACCCACTTGTTTGCTCAATGAAGGATCCTCTTTCATGCTTCCTCACATATTCTATCCTCTTCATATTATCTCCTTGGTACAAGGCACTAAGCTGGGGCTAGGCGTAGGGGATAAGGAGATCTCAAGAACAAGGCACAGTCCAGGTCCACTAGGGACTCCAAGGCTGGTAGGGGATGGAGTGGGTAATGAATGAATTTTCCACCAGGTATGCTGTGATAAGAATCTCTGCAGTTCGCACAGTCCTATAGGGGAACACAGGAGAAGAGGAGTACATATGGCAGTTTAAATGATGAGAGAACACTTCATAGAAAAGGTAGCAGGCATTCTCCATGGCCAAAAGCAAGTAGCAGATTGCCCCTTTATAGAAATGTACATACAGATTCTCCTCTACTTACAATGGGGTTACAGCCCAATAAAGTCAACATAAGTCGAAAATATTGTAAGTCAAAAGTGCTTTTTCAAGTTATAATATTTTCAACTTACTATGGGTTTATGCAGACGTAACCTCATCATAAGTTAAGGAGCTTACTAAATGCGTATTGCTTTCACACCATTATAAAGTTGAAAAATTGTAAGTCAAACCATCATAAGTTAGGAACTCTCTGAATTAGGAAATGAGGAGACTCCACAAAAGAGGAAACAGACAGAAAAGGAGGCCCCAGATCCATCGTAGTTTTATAGCTTTTGACATTTAAGCAAAACAACAGAACCTTACTGTAACCCTTTATGCCTTCTACTCAATGGTTTATAGGCTATCACTAGAGAAATTAAAAAATAAATTCCCTACCTTGGAATCCAATGCCCTTCACTCCCTACCTTAAACCAAATCTCCCTCCTCAGAAACCTGTTAAAGGATACAAACTGGTCTGTTCATCACCACCAGAACTCCCTGAGAGCTTTTCACCTTCCTGCCTTTGCCAGTATCTAAACCTCTCCCTCTCAGCTTTGGGAGGCTAGGCGAGAAGAATCACTTAAGGCTACAAGTTCAAAACCAGCCTGGGCAACATATGGAGACCCCACCTCTACAAAAATAAAAATAAAAAAATAGCTAGGTGTGCTGGCTCATGCCTGTAATCCCGGTGCTGTGGGAGGCCAAGTCAGGAGGATCCCTTGAAGCCAGAAGTTCAAGACTACCCTGGGCAACACAGAGACCCCATCTTTACAAAACATAGAGACCACCAACACAAAACCCCATCTCTACAAAAAATAAAAATAAAAAATTAGCTGAGCATGCTGGCATGCACCTGTAGTCCCAGCTACTCTGGAGGCAGAGGTGGGAGGAGCTCAGAGGTTCAAGGTTGTAGTGAGCTATGATTGTGCCACTGCACTCCCGTCTGGACAACAGAGCAAGACTCTGTCTTTAATTAATTAATGAATTAAACCTCTCCTCCCAAGTCCTTATTTACCCAAATCCTTATTTACCTTTCGCACTGGGAGCTTGCAGTCCGCCAATAATAATGAGAGTTACTCCTTGTATTCATTACAACTATGAGGCTTAGTAGTAATTCGTGAATAACATCTTCATTTACTGAGTACTAACCATGTGCCAGGCACTATTCTAGGCCCTTTGTCTGTATTACTTTACATAATCCTCCCAAGGACGTGCTATCATCCTCTCCATTTTGTAGTCAGAGAAAGAGGCACAGCGAAGTGACATAAGTTGTCCAAGGTCACTCAGCTAACAAGTGGCTGAGCCGGTATTCAAACTTAGTTCTTGTAGGCTCATGGCTAAGGGCTTTCCATCATGCTATGCAAGGTTCCTAGGGCCTGCCTGCTCTGTGATGCCTCTCTTGAGTTCCCAGCTCTCTGAGCTCCCTTGTTTCTCTGAACTCTGAAATACACAGGGTCTGTAACTCTTGTGGTCCATGTTACCTTTGTTAATGATATAAATTAATAGTAATGACAGCAGACTTTAAATAGTCCTTCCATAAAGCAGGCACTCTTTTAATTGCTTAACATAGGTTAACTTATTTAATCCTAGCAACATCCCTATTATCATCATCATCCCCATTTTACAGATGAGGCAAGTGGAGCACAAAGAGGTGAAGGCACTTGACAAAGGTCCCACAACTAGTGATATGGTTTGGCTCTGTGTCCCCACCCAAATCTCATCTCAAATTGTAATTCCCAGAGGAAGAGACCTGGTGGGAGATGATCGGATCATGGGGGCAGTTTCCCCCATGCCGTTCTCATGATATTGAGGGAGTTCTCAGGAGATCTGGTTGTTTGATAAGTGTCTGCCATTTCCCCTGAGCTCACTCGCTGTCTCTCCTGCTGCCATGTAAGACATGCCTTGCTTCCCCATAGCCTTCTGCCAAGACTGTAAGTTTCTCGAGGCCTCCCCAGCCATGGGGAACTCTGAGTCAATTAAACTTCTTTCCTTTGTAAATTACCCAGTCTCAAGTAGTATCTTTATAGCAGTGTGAAACAGACTAATAACAACTAGTTAGTGGTTGAGCCAGTTTATGAACTTAAGCAATGTTGCTCCCATGCTGTCCCTTGTCTTCCTAATCACTGTATTGTATTACCTCTTGTATACTAACTCACTTAATCCATGCATCAACCCCATGGGGTAGGTACCATAATTTCTATTTTTATAGCTGAGGAAACTGAGGCTCAGAGATGTTAAATAACTTGCCCGAGGTCCCAAAGCCAAAAGGAAGAGGAGCTAGGATTGGAATCCACTCAGTCTGGCTCCACGGTCAGTGGTCTTAACCTCTACACTATGACCCCTAACCAGTGATAAGCTGTCTGGGGCCTCCCAAGCTGGGTCCATTATTAAACCACCCACCAGAAACAGTAGGTTTGAGCCCAAGGAAAAGTATTTTCAAGCCACACTGCTAAAGGCCCCCAACAGGTTTCCCCCCAGGTCTATATGGGAACTGACCTCAATTAGTTTGGGACATGTCCCATGGATAGCTTCAGAGCCTGGGCTTCCTACGCCTTCAGGCACTGTGGGCTGTGGGCCAGCCAGAGGACTTAAGTCCCTGCCTCCTTAGCCGCAGACTGAAGTCAGGCCTAAAGTGACAACCAGATTCACTATTGAAATACAGATGAATAATGAAGGCAGAGGAGGCAGAGAAAATAACAAGCATGTTACTCATTCTTAAACCATAAACGTACAATTATGACCTCACTCGCGAATAATTTCAGGTGGCACTCTGCTGACAAGTAAGGATGACTCTCTGCATGCAATAGGACCACTTAATATAGTAGAAAGTGGTATGGGGAGAAGCCTATAATCATTTATTGTTGTTTACATTTCCCCTAAGGGCTTCCAATGTTATGATTCTGACATCATTATAATTTATTACATTTCTTTCTATTCCTCAATAGAGCTTGTCACAAAATGTTAGCAATTCTCATTCTTTATGAAAAGATCAGACAGGATTTAAATGTTTATAGTGTTTTCTTGAGACCTGTATCTCCACACCATTTGTAAAATAAGCAAATTTTACAGGGTAAAAGAAAGAGCATGCATCTTAATTTTGGAGATTTGGATTTCAGAAGTTGCTCCATCACTACCTATACGATCGTGAGCAAAGTAGTCATCCTTCTAGTCATGTTTAATGGTACCAAATATTTGATTTAGGGTCTAACTCTGTCATCCAGGCTGGAGCACAGTGGCAAGATCATGGCTCACTGCAGCCTCCAACTCCTGTGCTCAAACTCTCTTCCTGCCAGCTTCCTGAGTAGCTGGGACAACAGGCATGTGCCACCATGCCTGGCTATTTTTTTTCTTTTTTATAGAGATGGGGCTATTTTGCTTAGGCTGGTCTCAAACTCCTGGGTGCAAGTGATCCTCCCGTCTTGGCCTACCAAAGTGCTAGGATTATAGATATGAGTCACCACCCCAAACTGAGGACTTGTTTTAATCAGGTATTTAATCGGGTATACAGACATGGAAATGACTGTCAGAAGAAAGGGGTTTAGTATACTACTCAAAGGTCCCTAGAAGCAGGAGGCACACCACACCACATAGGGCCATGTGGGGAAGCACCAAGGCCAGTCAGGAGACAGAGGATGTGAGAGAAAATGTGAGCAAGAGCATTTATTGTGGTTTCTGCAGGAAGACACGGGTAAGGCAAGGTAAGCAAGCTTAGGATCGGCTAGTTTGAATAATTTTGTGGACTCTGGGGTAAAAAGTCTGTCCCTAGTTATCTGGTACCTAGCCCTGCAGTGATTAGGCAAGAAGATAGTGACACAGACCATGAGATTCTGATAATGAAGGCAGCTGGGGTATAGGCTTTGTATTGCTTGGTTTGCATAAGAAAAGACACTCAAACTGAATTGTTTTCCATCTCTAACAAGTGGCTAACACCAGGAGGGGTGGTCCCTTCAGGGTCAGTAAGGCCCCAAGATGCCAAAGCATCAGAATACAGAAAATAAAAGACAGGATTAATACAAGACCTCAATTCCCTTCTCTATAATTGGGGATGGTAATCATGGTGTGAAGTTATTTTGAGGAGTAAATATCATATTTGTAAGTGCAAGTTTCTCTGTGCTATTCCAGAACACATAGAAGTAAAGCTGTTAGACAGAAATCATAAGGAGGTGGATTCTCATTCAAGAACCTGCTCCAAGCAGGTTTTCATCTCTACCACTCCACTGGCACCATACTTACCATGATTACCAATGATCTCCACATTGCCAAATCCAATAGGCAATTCTCACTCATCTTATTCAACCTTTCTGTGGCATTTGACACGTGAAATCTTTTCTATACATGGCTTCTGTAACCAGCACTCTTTTGATTCACATTCTTCCTCCTTGGCTACTCCTTCTTATTCTCCTCTAAGGAATCTTTAGATATATAACAGGCTTCTCAAAATTCAACATTGAATTCTTGATTACTCCCATCCAAACCTTTCCCCTAAGACTTCTTCATCTTAGTAAAAGGACTGGCATTTACTCAGTCCCTCAGACCAAACTTTTTGGGACCATTCTTGACTCCTCCTTACTCCCACACCTGCATCCAATCCATCAGCAAATCTTGCAAACTCTATCATCAAAATATGTGTGTATCTCTAGGGTAGGTTTGTCTAACTTAGGCACTATTGATATTTTGAGCCACATAATTCTTTGTTGTGAGAGGCCGTCCTGTGCACTGTAGAATGTTTAGCAACATCGCTGACCTACACCCACTAGACACCTGTAGCAACCCTGCACCCACATTATGACAATAAAAAATGCCTCCAGATATTGCCAAATGTTCCAGGGTGGCGGGAGCAAAATCACCCCCGTTGAGAACCACTGCCCTAAAGTAATAACTTCTCACCACCTCCACCCAAGTCCAAGCCACCACCAGCTTTCCCCTGGAGTAGGACAGTGTTCCTGTTCCCACCTCTGCCTCCCACAAGTTTATTCTCAAAAGAACATCGACTGATCCTTTAAAAACATAAGTCAAATCATGTCACTTCCTGGCTCAAAACCTTCTAAAAGCTTCTTATTGTATTTTTTTAAAAATGCTCGCGTTCTTACCATGGCTTACAAGACCCTACAAGATCTGGCCTCTGCCTATCTCTTAAACCTTGTCTCCTGCCACCTTCCCCCTCACTCCCGCCATGATGGCCTCCTTGCTGGTCCTCAGGTACAACAAGCAGATCTTGAGCACAGATGCTTTGTACTTACTCTTCTCTCTCCCAGGCATGCTCTTGTCCAGTTGTTCAATGGCTCACTCACCATATCTAGGTCTCAGTTTAAATGTCACCTCCTTGGAGAGGACTTCCATAACTAAAACAGCACTCTAGGCACTATTCCCTTCTTTTTTTCTTTTAAAGCACTTATCACAACTTGGTATTATATACTTGTTTATTGTGTGTCTTCTGTATTAGAATGTCAGCTCCATGAAGGCAGGCACTTTGTCTTGTTCACCACTGTATCCTCCCCACTAAGAATGGTACTAAGCACACAGCAGGTGTTGAATAACAATGTGTTGAATAACAATGTGTTGAATATATGTGATCTAAGTCCTAAATTAAGGCCCAGTATTATGTGCTGCCTTCGCAGGTGGTAAAATTAGGAGGGCCTTGAATGCCATAACCACAAGTTCTCTTTCCCACTCTACTCTTGTAGATAAGGTCCCCTAGCCAAACAATCCTCCTTAACAAGGGGACGAGGCACAATTGTTGCCTATATACGAGTAGGGAGTTTCAGTTCCCTGCCAGAGTGTGGAGTTATTCAAACCGACCAATCACATCTTCCCAGGGAACGGGGAACCCCACTCTCTTGACACTACAAAGCCTGCCTCCCACAGACCCTGCTGCTTCAATTTCTTCAGGAGTTTCTCTTTGTTCACCAGTGAACCCCCATGTGTCCTTGCATGAAATGTAGTGCCCTCGTCCCTGGGATGTGAGTATATGTGGCTAATAAACTGCTGTCAGTCTTGTCTGTTCAGTGACAGACGTCATGTGTTCAGCCATCCACATAACCCCATGACATGAATCTCTCCCTCAACAACGGGATAATAGGAGGCAAGTAAGACATTGTATGAATGAACGTAGAAATCTTTTCACAACTAAGGCCCATCAGATATGGGAATTTAGCTCTCACTTCCCTCTAAGTCTTTTCTTCTTCAGGATAAACATCATCCAGTCCCTTCAGTGCCCTCACAGGTCTTGACTCCCAGACCCTCTCCATCCTCATACACTACTTTTGATGTCCAGATCATACCCGCCTTGCAACACAGGGCCTACAAGTGAGCATAGGAACTTCTCTCCACATGTGGGCTGACCACTGAAATGAAAACAGCAGATCCTGGAATTAGACAATTCTGGGGTCTGATCAAAGCTCTCTAGCTTCCACTCTGAGTCAACCTAGACAGGTTACCTCACCTCAGTTTCCTCATCTGGAAAAGTGGAAATAACAATAAGTTCCCCGTAAGGTTTTTGTGAGGCTCAATCAAAAGCATCTCTATGGAGTGCAGTCCAGAGTTGGTACTCAATGAGCAGTTGCTATTATTAACATAATCAAGTAAGAAAGACAAATGTTCCACAGAAGTAAACCAGGATTTGGGGAAGAAAGCAGGCTGAGGGTGGCCTGAGGATGAGTACAACCAGCCTAGGCTTCCAAATGGGAGCTCTCTCACATGGTTCCCCTAGGAAGAGGGTGCGACTGCTAACTCCCATCCCAGCTGCATAGACAGCAAACATTCTCAGCCTCCAAAACAGGAGTCCAATTACCAAAATCACATAATATATGTTTTTTGCTTCTGTCCATGAAACCAAAAGAAAATCTTTTAATTTTTTTTCAAAATTATGAGTCCCAAATGTTCACGACATGGAACAAGGACCCAATCAATTAAAATCAATTATGGAAGTTAAGGGGGGAAGTCACAAAAATAGAAATTGATACACATCTGACTTCAGGAGTATTTTTAAGTCTCCTTAGAAGCAGTTTCCTTATGGGAATATTCATATTTAGGACTGATTTTTCATAAATGTCTTCAATCAGATCCAGAAAAAAACTGTTGTCACTAACACCAGCAATTTTTTTGGCAATAAAAAGACGTTCAGCTCTTTCTCAGCTTGCAAAATTATGGATGTTGTAGTGTTCCACCTGCCATTCACTTAAAAATAATTAGTTAAGAATGAAAACTATTTTTTTTCTCTTTGGGGAAGCTCCAGTATAATCTGGAAGAGTTCCCATTGTTGTGATGCAGTTCCTATGGTTGTGATGCAGTTCCATAAAGTTGTATGTCTTAGTTTTTATGAACATTAAGTTGCAGCAATTAAAACAAATGGAAATATCAAAAGAATCTGATACCAGTTATATTAAAAAGAGTTATTTAAAGGACCCATAGCCCTTAACTGAATGCTAGGTAAATCAGTTAAGCAGACGTGGTCTGGGCATCTGCTCAGTGCCTGGCCCTGTGTTAGGGGGACAGTAAGAATGAAGATTCATGGCTGACAAGCACACAGCTACAGCAGAGCCAAGGCCTTAGAAAGGGATAGTCTGGTAGGTGGAACGGACAAGGATAGAGGGTGAAAATAGATCCAGAGTGCTAGGACCATTCTAGATTCTCACAGCTCAGTCCATGCCCATCTACTGCAGCTCACCTACATGCCATATCCCATGTACACCCTCAACCCCTGCTACCAGTGCCTGGGTTTCATCTGTTCAGATGAGGTGCTTAACACACAATCAACTGGTTGGCCTTCAGCAAGTCACTTCACCGCTGTGAGACTCCATTTCTTCACAGTCAAATAGGGATGATAAATGTACCTATACTTTACATGACAGCAGTCAGCCATGGCTACAACAGTAAAGGTCATGTATTTATATATTGTCTGTTGTGGTTTTTGCACTACAAGGCCGAGTTGAGTCATTGTAACAGAGACTGTATGGCCCACAAAGCCTAACATATTTACTATTTGGCCCTTTACAGAAAATGTTCACTGACCCTTCCCATAGAACGTCCTCCCCTTTTGTTTCTACTTGGCTAAGCCTTACTCATTTTTAAAAATTCAGCTCAAGAGTCCCCTCCTTTAGGAAACCTTCCCAGACCTTTTGCCCTGTCAGTGCTCCAAAGAAATCGGGAATCTAACCCTTCCTCTCCACCTCCACTTTGCACTCAGTTCCTGCCCCTATCAAAGTACGAATCACACTGGGCTGGAAATATCTGTCTGAAACCCAAGACAGTGACTTCTCTGTGGGATGGCTCATTCATCTGTGGATTCTGAGTACCCAGAACACAGGGCATGGCCTGGAAAATGGTACCAAATAAATCCTGCTTCAATGAACAGGCTTGGCTGGCCTGTATTTTTAATGTCACACAAAGTCAGCATTCAATAATCCCCTTGGCACTTAGATGAGGTCACAGTCATGTCCCGTCGGCAAGAATAATGACCTCTAGAGGGAGCTGTGCTCCAGTAGACAGGTGTGGCTGAAGAAAGTCAGCAGGAGAGTACAACCTGCTCCTGCTGGGCAGTTTCATCCCTGCAAGCCTCAAGCCCAAAAGCTATTTCCAAATCTTTCTCCACTCAAATGTCAGCTCTGAGAATGGCTTCACCAGGGGTCTGTTGTCTGAGCCACATCCCAGTCCACTGGGTCCTCTTGCCTGTCCAAAGGGCTTACCTCCTTCATTTCAGCTCACCACACCCAACTTTGGCCAATCCCCAACTCGCGACACCACAACCAATGTGTCTTAGGTACTACTTCACTCACCATCTACTAGCATGGCTATGGACCTTGGCTTTTCACTTGATCATTTTCTTCTTAGGTATTAATCTTAGTACTAGGAATGGAGGGTGCAGTGCCGCAGAAAAAAAGCACCATACCCAGGTGTTACTACAGGTTCCTCCACTTTCTTACTGTGAGAACCTTGAGCAACTTAGGCCTCACCTTCCTTATTCACAATTTGGAGATGATATCACCACCTGGTCAGAGGAAGGGAGGCGATCATAGGAGTGAAAATGTTCTTCCATCTAAGATGTGTGATTCTCAATAGATAGGAGCATGACCCCCTTCCACAAGAAGGTTTTTCAGAGCCACCTGGAGTACTTTCTCCAACTATATCCAGCCCTGGGAAGATCTAGAACAAGGTCTTCACCTCTTGAGAATGAGAGCTGGGTGAGGTATCTTTACCTGTGGCGGATTAGTGTGTCTCAAAGGTCTGAGGCAGGAAAGGGGTTGACAACCACCACTCTGGTGTTGTACAAATGGAAGAGGACATTGTAGTGTAGTAATGAAGAGGCCAACAAGGAATGGGGCTCCAGTAATGTTTCCCAACTTTTTTCATGTATGGCACTTAGTACAGCATGCCAATCGTACATGGCATGCTGGGGGAAACAGCTGAGGCTGCTGGCCACCACAGGCAACTCAGGGCCAGCACTCTTGGCAGTCACAAGGGCTAAGGAGAATGACATGCCAAATACCCCTTAACTTATTTTTCAGCACATACTTAGGAAATTGTGCTTGAGCAGATGTTGGTAACTTTGACATATGACCACCTTTCAGGGGCAAGTAAGCCAATACAAGGGTTAAGAGTATACTTATAATCATTATCCCACCAACCCCTGGCATACCAGGAGTCAAAACCACATCCCATCACTAGGAAAACAGGCTGATGTCGCTTTAGAACCTCACCCTCCTTTGAGTTTAAGGGAGGTTCTTGGTTCACTGCATGAGTCTGCCTCTCTTTCCACTTCTGATGTTCCTTAGCCAGGACTCATAGGCATTATTCTACCTAAGCCTGAATCCTGGACTATGCTCAAATGGGGAAAACAATTTGCCCAGAAGCTTAAGAAACTCAAGAGCTTAAGAAACAGCATCAGTACCAGGATCACGCTCAGGACCAGGGATGCAGGTGCTGCCCTGGTCCTGGACTCTAGTTCTCATTACCGGGATTATCCTTCTTCCTTAGAGTGAGATCCCTGCCTCATCTTCCAAACCCAGTAACTTGTTTCTTGTTTTGTTTCTGTGTCCAAAGCTGTCTGTTTCCCAGTTCCTAAAGGCCTGGATACCTATCTTATTCTTTCCTAATCTCTAAAGGCCTAGAATGCATACTCTCGGCAGTAACTACGACACCAATCATTATATACTACCACAATCCCCTAGGCCCACTTGGTTCTCTGGATCTCATACTCTGAATTTTTTCCAAGACCTTGAGGCTAATTGTTCTCCCCAGTGCTTGTGCCATCCTGTCTGGGGTGCCTGCTGTCTACATCCATGCCCTTCCTGGTCTGGCCTCTGCCTAGTCAATGGAGTCCAAAGGCTCTTTCTCCTATATAGCCTCTGCTTTAGCATGACAAAGACATGGAGTAAAACTGCAGGTCAACTGCTCACTAGCTGTATGACCTTGAACAAGTCAGTCTGCTTCGACTTCCTCATTTATGAAATGATAATATGAAAATTGCCCACCTTATAATGTCATTGTGAAAATTAATGAAAACGTTGCATTCGTTCATTAAATAAATGGTTGAGTGCCTACTATGTGTGAGGCACTGTGCTAATCAGTCAATAGGAGATAGAGTGGTGCTCTCTGGTATTAACATTCTAATGGAAACTAGTAAATAATTATCTATAAATATTAGTTATAATAATGACAATGCTGGTCAGGGACCATTTCATTTTAAGTGTTTACTAGACCTTCTGCAGTCTATTTCAGCACCTGCAACAACGGTTGGCATAGCAACACTATAATCAGTCTGAACATTGTTCCTAATTTAATCCCTTCATTCAATAAATGTGGTGGTGGGGGAGGGGGGAGCTCCTCTGTGCAGCTACTCTGGCTGATGCTATGGAGGCATTCTTCCCAAACCTGGTTCTTCAGCAAAATAATCAGGGAAATATACACACACACATACACATACATACACACATACACACACACACACACACACACACACATGTGTGTGTGTGTAATTTATGTAATTAATATAATATGTAATAATATAATGAAATATTTAATATAATGTAATTTATAATATCATATGATATATTCATCACATATTACACTTTCAGTTCTACTAAATCTGAATCACCAGGGTCAAGAATATGTGTATTTTAAGGCTCCTCAAGTGATTCTGATAACCAGCCCAGCTCAGAAACTGATGCAGTGGAGAACAGGGAGAAGACAGCCTAAATCCCACCCTTGTTAGCATGGCCTTCTTTAGGCCCTTTGTAGAACAAATAAACTACTGCATGCATAAGTGCAGAGGAGGAAGAGGCATTTTTTGTAAGGGGCACTTGAGAAAGATTGCATATTAGAGACAGGCCCCAAAAGATGACAGATCTCTTGCGTCTGAAAAGACCCAAAGCAGCAAAAGAAAGCTAGGAGATACCAGACTGGGGCCCAAGTTCAAAATTCTCACATTTCTTTATGAAGATAATGATGAGTTCGAGCTCCCAAGTGTCATGATGGCCCTATCTGTAACACAAACACATGCTGAGAAAAAGTCCAGGCAGAGGGCTAGGAGGCAGATCCTTTATTTGCTTGAAAATGTCAGCAGACACACTACTAGACCCAGGAACAGTCTCTTCCTTTCTCACTGTGACCACTCCTGCCTTATTTGTTTAAAATGAGGGCAAGTCCCTGATGTTCCACCTTATCGATTCTCTGACATTTCGGAGAAAGCCACTTGTCCGTCTCAAGCCCATTTTCAAAGTCCTTCAATAAGGATTCCTTTCTGCTTTCAACCAATATTTATGGAGTACCTTTTATGAAGCGGGGACAGTAGTAAGAACTGAATGAATAGGGAACAAGGAACTAACAAAAGATTGAACAAATATGTGACAGAAGTATAACTTCAAATGAACAATTTTTAAACTATTTAGTATTTCTGCCTCCTTATTCTTCTATACAAATTTTGCTAGCAATTTGTCACATCTTATAAAATAACCCACTGGGACTTTAATTGGCATGTAGTGACACTATATATTAACTCAGGGAATATTGCATCTTTCTTATATTTTGTCTTTTCATCTGGAACAAGGCATCTCTCCATTCATTTATTTAATGTCTTTTATTCTTCCCATTATGATTGTATAATTTTATTTAAATAAATCTCATGTCCCAAATTAAATTAATGCCAAAGTATTTAATGTATTCTGTCTCCATTGCAAATGAATTATCTTACTCACTATATTCTTCAATTGTTTGCAACTAAAAACATGTGTTAATTTGCTTTGAATTACATGACATTGCTGAGCTCATTTATACCAACTAATATTTGATAGTCTTCTGTGTCCTAGACATGCACAGTCTTTCTGGAGTGTATCCCCAGTACCTATCACAATGCCTGGCATACGGTAGGTGCTAGACCTATTAAGAAAGGTTTGGCTTTCTTTGCTGATGGCATTACTTTTTCCTTATTAATGCCTATGGCTCAAATTTCTACTATACTGTTAAAAAATGGTAGAGCCTTAGTCCTATTTTTGTCATCTGTAATTTTTTCTATTTTCATAGGGACTTTCTCTTTTCCCCATGAAATAGTGTTAGATTTTATACCAAAATATATGAAAATCATACTCGTTTTTGGGTTGCCAAATAAATTATCCAAGAATAGTTGTTTCATTTATTGGATGCTTTTTCAACATCTATTTAAAAATATTATTTTAATTACGTTTTCGTATTAATATGATTATCATAATTTTTGTTTTATCATCGTATCCTGTGCTCCTAGATTAAATGCCACTTAAAGATAAATTTGTAAGTGGAATGATTTTTCTATTTATAATTCTTAATGAAGAATGAATATCCATAAATAAGGTTGGCCTATAATTTTCTTTTTTTTTGTACTTTTTCCCAATTTGAGGATTGAAATCATGTTTCCTCAAAATGTAAATTAGGAATTGGGTAAACTAGTGTCAATTCAACATTTAAAAACAGTTTATGAGAGAATTTTTTTATTCTGGTAGAAAGTATAGCATAGGAAAAGATAATAAACTTTGTAGCCAGATAAATCTGGGTTCAAATCCCCACTCTATCACTTATTTGCTGAGGGATTCAGGCAAGCCATTTAACCTTTCTGAGCCTATTAGATCAGCTGTAAACTGGTTTTACTAATGGTACCCATATATAATTGTTGTATGGATTAGAATATAGAGGGGTGTGTGTGTGTGTGTGTGTGTGTGTGTGTGTGTGTGTGTGCAAAGGATTAAATTTACAGTAGGCAGTCAAAAATGATGAACAGAGCTAGGTGCAGTGGCTCACACACTTCGGGAGGCCGAGATTGGAGGATCTCTTGAGACCAGGAGTTCAAGACCAACTGGGGCAATATAGGGAGACCCTGTCTCTACAGAAAATTTTAAAAATTAGCTGAGCATGGTGGCATATGCCTGTATTCCCAGCTACTCAGGAGGCTGAAGTAGGAGGACTGTTTGAGCCCAGGAGATCAAGACTGCGGTGAGCCATAATCATGCCAGTGCACTCCAGCCTGGGTGACAGAGCATGACCCTGTCTCAAAAAATAAAAATAAAAAAGATCAACGTTGCTCTAGAAGTCTGAATTCTTTCTATTAATCTATTGGAGCCAAAAACCCATGGTTTGTGTGGATTTTATGATAGGACTTTAATTATTTTTCTTATTCCTTCCTTTGCTACCAGTCTATTCATGTTTTCTGTTTAAGCTTGCACGAGTTTTATATAATTTTGCAGGAGGTCATTCATTTCTGCTCTGGTTCATCTGATTTATTAGCACATACAGAAGGTTATTGTTTCTCTGCAAATTTCTAAATCTTTCACATTCATCATCTGATCTCCTGTCTCAGTACTAATGTAATGAATTTGTGTTTTCTCTTTTTTTAGTTAGCTAAACAGTTGTTCATTTTTTTCAAAGACAAGATGTAGTATTTAATAGCTTTTTCTCTAGTTTATTTCTGGTTTTACGTTTACTACTTCCTCTGCCCACCATTTCTGGCTTCTGACATTCTTCCTATTAGAAAGCATCTAGGTGCAAGCTTAATTCATTATATTTGGCCTTCCTTTCTTTAAGACATAAACATCTAGAGTAATGTATCTTCCTCCAAGCACCACTTTGGCAACATACAACACTATTTTGTTATGTTCATATTTATGCTTGTTTTGCTTTTTAAAATGTCTAGGTTATTAGGATCTGCACTTCTATCAAAATCAAGGTGTTATGTAAGAGAGCATGTTGGTAATTTCCCTTAATTTTTTCTCATTTTATTGTAGTTTCACAAAATGCTTTCTTAGTACTTTTGTCTTTTAACATTTACAAAGTATGTATCTAAGTCCAAGTATGTCATTTTTATGAATGATATGCACACATCTGTGAAGAAATCTTATCACTACCTTAAGAGCAAATAATGTGATTAGTTTGAAATCTATGCTGTCATTTTTAATTAAAATAAGAGCAAGAGGACTTTGAAAAATGTATATTTTCATTTTAAGATTCTAATCTTGACTATGGGAATTCTTCCAAAGGAAAATGAAATGCTCTTAGTTAATTTCCTAATATTGCCACTTAAACATAAGAATGACAGACTAAACAAACTATTTTAATGTGTTAATTCTAACCAAATGTAGTAATTCTTGCTATTTAAACTCAGGAACATAGTAAGATCTCATTTTAGTAGAGTGAAAATACACCAGTGTTGCAATATGTACCTCTTCTATGGCCATAGGTCAAGGGAAATAAAATCCACATACTTCTTTTCTTATAATTGACCAGCACTTTCCAATGTATATCCACTGGGTATTGATGGAGAGTAAGTGGGAAAAAAGGCTTCAGTGGTAAAATACATTTGGGTAATGCTAGGTTACACAAAGGATTTCTTACTGCAAAATCTCTTAGGTTCTTTATATACTAATGTACCTTATGAATCTCTAAAAGAGGGACATATGTTCTCAGGATTTGACCATGGATTCTTTCATTGTTCAGCATGTTGAAAGACTAATATTTTCATGGAATGCACTCTGGGAAACACTATTGTAAGTAACAAAAGCAGCTCTCCAAAGGCAGGGCTGCTTGGCCTTTGGAAGCAGTTTCTCCAGGCAAGCACATATCTGAGCCTGGAGGAGGCTCAGTAAACTCAAGCTGGGACCACGTGAAAAAAAAAAAAAAAAAAATTCTCACCAGAAGACTGGTGAGAAACGCCCAAGATGAGGGGAAAGGAGTGAGAGGAATGTCCTGGTGGTTGTTGTACAGATTTCAAAGGGTATACATCCAAAGGCCAAAGCATAGACTGTCCCAAGTCAAACTCCACTTAACATAGCAAAGGAAGAAGAATGGCTTCATATTGTAAGAAATGTATCTTTTCTCCTTTGAGGTTCACAACTATGCAATTATAGTGCTCTCTCTCTCTCCTCATCACTGTCACCTTAGGCCTCACAGGCACCTTCTCATATTCACTGGGGGCTGTGGTACCTGACTCCCAAGTTTCCTCTTGGCCACAAGCCCCACCTTCACCCCAGGTGACTTCAACACACATGTGGACAACATATCCAACTTCCGGCCTCTGAGTTCCTTGCTCTCTTCATCTCCAAAGATATTTACCTTTACATACCCACTTTGACCACTAGAGTTTGTTCTCACCTGGAACAGTTCAACTCTGAAATCTTAAATTGAAGCAGCCTACTTTCTGAGCACTAGTTTCCTCGGCCTTTTATTCTCACTCTTCTGGAACTTAGAAACTAGAAGAGTCAGGAGGCTATGAAGTCTCCATTAAGTCTATCGATCAGGCCACACTTGTCTTCCATCTTGGATACCATGGTCCCTGACTTCAATAATTATTTTACGAATATTCTTAACAACTTTGCCTCTTCTTTCCATTTTTCCCACCTGGCAACCCCCTAACTCCAGATCAACATGGCAGAACATATGTCATGGAATCATATGGCCTGGCACTACTAGTTATATTGTCCAACCTCACTTGGGTCTTCAACCATGCTCAACAACATTATTGTGTACTAATACTATGTGTCCTAATCCAATTTCTTTCCCATTCCTCAATACAGCTCATTTAATCCTTTCATCTGTTTCCTCAAGCTTGATTTTACTACCTGTCAAAATATAGCACCTGTTTAAATCCCCTTCATCTGCCATTCTGCAGATCCACATAACTATTTATTATTCTCAGAAGAAATCAGGTCTCTCTTGCCAGTGGGACTTTGCACATGCTGTTTCCTCTTCATGGAACGCCTTTCTCCTGTGCTGGTAGAAAGTTACCTCCCCTTAAGCCTAGATAGCATCTCTCACAGAATGCTTTACCTTACACCCCGTCCCTTGCATCACCTTGCATCATGGTTTCCTCAAAATCCAACCATGTCAACCCATAAACTGCCAGACTCTCCTTGAAAGCAGGGACCATTCCTGTTCATTATTGGAGCCCGATACACAACGTAGAGTAGTTTAAGGCATAGTTCTCAACCCGTGTTTGATGAATGATTAAACATAGAGTCATTAAACCCTTGTAAAGAAAGCAGTGAGTTGCAACCTCTGCCTCCCGGGTTCAAACAGTTCTCCTGCCTCAGCCTCCCCAGTAGCTGGGATTACAGGCACCCATCCTCATGCCTGGCTAATTTTTGTATTGTTGTAGAGATGGGGCTTTGCCATGTTGTCCCGGCTGGTCTCAAACTCCTGATCTCAGGTGATCCTCCCACCTCAGCCTCCCAAAGTACTGGGATTACACGTGTAAGCCACTGCAACCGGCCTGTCAAGACAACTTCTGAGGTCTCTTCCTCCTTTTAACTGGGCAGAACCTTGATTGGAACTATTTCACAGGAGCTCAGATGAATGGCAGAAAAAAAAAACTGCTCATTCATTCTTTTTAAATTGTTAATTCATTACTTTATTTTTAAAAACTCTTTAATTCACTAAAATCATTTATCCTTGAGTCTTACTCTGGTAGAGAGCAGTGCACAGTGAGACTGACTTTAGAAAGCCAAAGATAGATTTGGCCAGTCCTGCTGTCCTTTCTATTTGCAATGTCTTGTAGGTATTAGTGGGAGTGAAAGAGCCTACCTGCAATTTTAGAGTGGCTATATATCCATTTGTTCAAGATTCTAGTATCCTGGGGCTGATCCTCACCTGTTTAGCTCCATAAGAAAGTGATGATTGTAAAAGTGACTGTCCAGGCAGGGTGTGGTCCACAGAAAGTGAAATGCTGCAAATTGCTTTAAAAACATTTTACTGCGGAGATCTGAATTGAAGGGTGATAGAGCAATTTGGTGTTGCTGAAAGAGATGATCATGTAAAAGCATAATATCTATGGTAATTCTTTTCAAAGCAGCATGGAGTGTGTCTTTGCTAATTTAGATCACATATCTGGTCTTGGTATCAATGATCAGTGCTTGGTTATGTGAGGCACCTACTGAATTTCTTGTGCTTGACACTAGGACAGTTACAGATTGCAAATATCTATACAACCTTAGTTTCCTGACTCTATGTGCCATGTTTCTGCAATGGGAGTCTTAGATGTTTAAAATGACTGATAGTATATGGAGGTGCTAAAAGCATCACTGCCAATTCCTAATATTTGGGGGCTCAAAGAATTGTTTTTACTTCCACTTTCATATCTGCACAGTGATCCACTCAACTGCCACCCTATGGGGGTTCTGTCTCTGTACGTCTTCATCAGTCCTATCACGTCCTTCATCATGTCAAAATTTCAAAATAAAATTAAATAATGCTAAAAAAAAGAAAGCGGTGAGTTAAATCTAAAATTATTTAGAAGAGCATGTTATACTTTAAAGGTATATAATCTCTTTTCTTCCCACTTCAGATAGTTAACTTCTAATTACCTTTCAAGATTTAACAAGTGTTAACTCTTCCAAAAACCTCTCCCAGATCCCCAGGGCTACTCTTCAGGGCTACCCTTGCCCTCTGCACTAACATCACTCATTGTATTGTAATTATATGCTTACATGTTGGGCTTTCTATCTGAAGTATGAGTGTTGTTTTTTCAATATATTTTTTTATTTAAATAGCTTTTGGTGTACACGTGGCTTTTGGTTACGTGGATGAATTCTATAGTGGTGAATTCTGAGATATTAGTGCACCTGTCACCTGAGTAGTGTACACTGTAACTAATGTATAGTTATTTATCCCTGCCCCCCCACCCTCCCCGTTCTGAGTCTCTAAAGTCCATTATATGACTCTGTATGCCTTTGCAGTAAAGTGTGAGTGTTCTGAAGGGCAACACATGTGTTCTACATTTAAATCTGTATCAATGTGTTAGGTTCTCAAGATCAAGCCCAGGTTCAATAATCTGCTAGGAAGACTCAGTGGATTTAACAAATTGTTGCACTCACAACTATAATTTATTACAACAAAAGGATACAAAGCAAAACCAGCCTAGGGAAAAAGCACATGAGGTAAAGTCCAGGAAGAACCAGGTGAGAGCCTCCAAGAGTCCTCTCCCAGTAAAGTCACGTAAAACATGCTAAATTCTCACAGCAACAAGTTGTGACAACACATGGGAAATGTCATCTACTAGGGAAGCTCATTAGACTCAGTGCCAAGGGTTTTTGGAGAGAGTTGGTCATGTAGACACTTTCTGCCAAGCACATACCAAAATGTCAAAAACCCCAGAGGAAAGCAGGTGTTTGGTAAAAATGACAGTGTTTGTACAAATGGCTTAGGCACCAAGAGACACTTTATCAATTAAAGAATGGTGGAAACCCTCCTGAAAGACGAATTCCCAGATGCCAGCCAAGGCCCAACCATGTCAACAGATAGCAGTCAGGCCTACTCTGCTAACTCTTTTCTGCACAATCCATTACACCTAGTATTAAGCCTGAGACTGCCAGACATTTAGATAGGTCATTCACCTATGTTATCCCATGACTTTTCACAATCACACTGGAACATAAGCATTATTATTCTAATTGTTAACAGACAGAAACAAGCTCAGAGAGGCTAAACAACATGCCCAGAATCACAGTCAATTAAACAGGGCTATGATTTGATATTTTAGCTGCCTAATCTAGATCTCACGCCTTTTACACTTTACCACAATTGCCTATTCAGGGGGATTATATAAGCAGCATATAAGTAAAACAAGGCAGCAGAAACTGCATGGTTAGGCAAACACACAAACAAGCAACTGAACTTGTAGAACACATACCAACCAAATTTCCAAAAGTTCTCAAGAGGCATTCTTGCAGTACCTTATGCAGAGATTTCTGGGCCCTTTTCTTGATTCCATCCACTCTCCAGAGGCAGCTACTTAACTGTGCAATTGCTAAGTTACAGACTTCTTCACCACTTAGAACTCAGGCATGTACCAGATGTACTGCCACACTCATTAGGGCTAAGCACACAGAAGCCCACCCAAGTATTCCACTTGGGATCCAGCCTAGTGATGAGTAGTTGGAAATAATCAAAGCACCAGAACCCTCAGGCCCTAATTGAGGAACACTCACTTTTGCTAATTATTCTTTCCTCAAGAAATATTTTGATTGTGTCAACTCTGGCACCCACTGATGGAGTTTTGAGACTGCAACAGCAGGCTAAACCCACTTCAACAACTCATCTAATGAGTTAGGTGTTGTGTGTATGTTTAGGGAAAGCATTTTAGATCACCGTGAAGCAATGGTCACACGGCCAGTTCAAGTTCTCTGCCCTGTATTCAGTGCCTGCTCACTGGCCAATGCACTAGCCTCAGCCCTGAGAATGCAGAAATGAACAAGATCCAATCATCATCTTTGCAGACAGAGTCCAGAGTAATGGTTAAAAAGTGGAATTTCCGTTGTTCCCATATCCTATGATTGACTAGGGACTATCCTTTGTCAATGCAAAGTTGAAAGGACCCACTGGAATCATCATAAACAATAATAACAATAGTACACACCATTTATGAAGCACTTACTGGGTACACCAGGAACTATGCTAAGCATATTACATGCTTCACTCATTTATTCCTCAAAATAGCCCTGTGAGGTAGATATTCTTATTATCCCCAAATTACAGATGGTAAAACGGAAGGTTAGAGGAACCAAGTAACTTTCTCAAGCCCAAACACCAAATATGTGCTAGCAGTGGGATTCAAACCCACTTCTGCTTTACTACAAAGCCCAAGTTCTTAACCATAGCACTCCCTACCTTAGAGAAGCTATTATAGAAACCAATTGAAGAAGTAAGACAGCAGGATTTGGCCACTCTGCCCCTCTCTCCCAAGTCAGAGGCTATTTCTGCACCAAGGACAAAAAGTCTGCTCATTGCAGGTCCACACTAGGCTCAAAGAGCAGGTCTGTGACCTACAGCCCATCAGTTATTTTCACATGAACAACTCCATCCACAGAGACCCAAGTACACAGAGGGCTTAAGGCAGCCACCAGAGCTCACTTAATAATACACCCATATCTTACAGACACACAGTACAGGGGAAACAACAGCATAGACTGGGTACAGATCATGTACCCCAGGCCTCAGAATGCTTGGATGGGTTTTCAATGGCAAGCTTCCCTACCACAGAGGAAGGATTTCCAGTTTACAAAGCACTTTCATATCTGATCCTCCTGGCAACCTTTTTAAAATGATTCTCACTTCTGATTTGAGGAAACTGAGGTTCAAGGATGTCCAATGACTTGCCAATATCACACAATCTGTACGAGACACAGCGTGGACTCTGACCCAGGTCTTTTGATTCTAAACCAGTTTGTCTATACCAGCTCACACTTGTTATTTATCTTTTTTTTTTTTTTTTTTTTGAGATAAGAGTCTCACTCTGTTGCCTAGGCTGGAGTGCAGTGGTGCAATGTCGGCTCACTGCAACCTCCTTCTCCCGGATCCAAGCTATTCTCCTGCCTCAGCCTCCCAAAGTAACTGAGATTGCAGGTGGGCACCACCATGACTGGCTAATTTTTTTGTATTTTTACTAAAGACGTGGTTTCACCATGTTGGTCAGGCTGGTCTCGAACTCCTGACCTCAAACGATCTGCCTGCCTCAGTCTCCCAAAGTGCTGGGAATAGAGGCACGAGCCACCATGCCCGACCTGTTATTAATTAATATAAACCCATCACTACACTGCTAAGCTAGTTAGGCAAAGACGTATTGAGTGCCTTACTATCTGCAGAGAACTGTATGAAATGCCCAAGAGTCCACAAAAATAGGTATGAGTTATGCATCTTCATGTGCACACAGAAATGCTTACCTGGGAATTAACAGATCACTCAAAGTCCAACAAAACATGAGCATATTTTTAAAGAAGTCTATTAAACAAAGTGTTAAATTCCTTACAGGCTTAAAAAGGAGACTACACAAAGGAAGGCATCCAGTTAAAGGTACCAAGAATGTTCAAGCTTTCAGGATTGCACAATGGTGATGGATTGAAAGCGGGGAAAATTTATTTGTTCTACTTATCTTAAAATGATTCAAATATACCTTAAAGAAAAAGGTAACCTAAATGTAGTAAGACCTGTCATCTTTATGGGTCCATTATAGATTCATCCATTCATTTACTCAACAAATACCTACTTAGAACTACATGCTAAGCAATATACTAGTTGCTAGGCATGAAAGGAAAAATAAAGCATACCGTAAGAGAAAAACACAGAGAAGGGTAGAAGGGAAGTCTAGGTACTGAGAAAAATGCGTACAAAGGCACAGAGGCAAGAGAGTATGGTGATTGCTATTGACAATTACTATTTGAAACACCCTATACATGGCTTGTCTGAAGCATGCCCTCTTGATTTTCCTTCTATGTCTTTAAATATTCTGTTTCTATGTCTCTTACTGATTCTACTCCTCTCAACCTTTAAAAGAGGTGTTACTCAACTTAGTTCATATCTTTTTCTCCTCTCACTCTACTCTTCAACAAGATCATCCATAATCCAGGACTTCATTTCCCATTCATATCTTCCTCCTCATTAACCTTTAAATCTACATCTCCAGCCTGGGTCAAACATCTGAAATCCAGACTCATATATCCAATGATCTACTCTGTTTCTCCCCTTTCACATTTCATAGGAATTTCCAAATCAAACCCAGTTCAAAGTGGAGTCATTCACTCACCTCACCACCAAACTAGTATGTGCCTAGTGGTCCCAATAAATGACATCACCCCAGTGCTCCAGCCAGACACCCAGAAGTCATCCTTGACTCCTCCCTCACCCTCATTCCTGACATGCTACCCATCGGCAAAGTCCTGTGGGTCAGCTCTGTGTTCTAACTAACTATCTGATATTCCCACACCTCTCCATCTCCAGGCCCATATTCATTTCCAGAACACCATCAGCTTTCTTCCAGTCTCCTAATGTATCTACTGCAACAGGCTGCTCCCTGCTTCTATTCTCACCCTCCTTCAAATGTGTTCTGTAGTAAGTCATTCCATCTTACCACCTTTACAAGAAGCCCCTGGTCCAAGTCATCATTTCCTTGCTTCCACTTTGTCCCTTAGGGTCTATTTCAACGGAGCATCCAGGCAGTATGGGGGAGGGGAGATGGGGCAGCAATCAGATCAATCCTTTTAACACTTCATGTGCATTTTATCATTCCCCCAATGTCTTCCCATCTCACTCAACATGAAAACTAAAATCCTTACACTGGCTAACAATGCTCTCCATGATCTGGGTCCCTACTATCTCAGAGATGTCATCTTCCACCGCATTTCCTTGCTCACTCCATTTCTGTCACATTGGCCTTGTTGCTGGGCCTTGAATACGCCAATTCTCCTTTCTCCTAAGGGCCTTGTGTCTGCTCTTCTCTCTGCCTGTAAAGCTCTTTTCCTTCATGGTCAATCTCTCACTTCCACCAGGCCTTTGCTGAAATGCCAGCTTTTCCTCGAGGTCTTTCCTCACCACTAGATAGATGATAGATAGATAGATAGATAGATAGATAGATAGATAGATAGATAGATAAGAGTGTACACACACACACACACACACACACACACACAATTGGCACCCTTTCCCCAAGGGCACACTCTTGGACCTTTGCTGCTTTCATAGCACTCCTCACCATGTGATATGTTCTACTTGTTGGTTTCTTTACTATCTCCAAACTCCACTCCACTAGAATATAAAATCCACAAAAGCAAGGAATTCACTGTCTAT
This sequence comes from Homo sapiens, assembly GCF_000001405.40. Taxonomy (NCBI): domain Eukaryota; kingdom Metazoa; phylum Chordata; class Mammalia; order Primates; family Hominidae; genus Homo; species Homo sapiens. The sequence continues at coordinate 139,141,291 of NC_000023.11, forward strand.
TTTATTATTTGGCTTATCCCTCAGAGCCGAGGACAATGCCTGGAATGTAGTAAATGTTCAATAATTACCTGTGAAATGAATAGTAACTGCATTGACCTTTTCAAAATGTAACTGAAAATTGAATCATGTCACCCTAGGTTTAAAATCCTTTAATGACTTCCCACTGCTGTTAGAAAAAGGTTCAAATCCAGCACCGTCTTATCCACCCTCCACTCACTCTGTCTGCTCCAGCCCTGCTGAATTTCTCTGTTTCTCTATCATGGTATTGTTTATTCTACTGATAAGCCTTCACACATGCTGGTCCCTCTAACCGCAAAGCTCTCCTCCCTTCTCATCATATAATGACCCCTCCACATTCTTCCATCCCAGCTGAAAAGTCAATTTCCTGGAAAAGTCCGTCAGGTTTGTACATCTCCTTTGCAGTTTCTTCCTACTTCTCTTATTAACTTATGTATATTTAGTTCTTCAATGTTCTGTTTCTCTGAATAAACCATTAACATGGAGACCATATATATTCTATTCAATACTCTGGTTTCCAGTAGGCACATAATAGGTACTCAGTGAATATTTCTTAACTAACTGCTAAGGGCAAGTGCCTTATAATACAGCTCAGATCACATTAACATCTATGAAAGTAGTAATGTCATGGGTTTTGTGTGCCCTAGGACCCACACACTGATTAGCCTAAGAAGCCGAAAAAGAGAACCTTGGAGCTCAGGCAGACTGAAGACATTGCCGGGCTCAAACACTTAAGGTACACATTCTGCCTGAAGAATACATAGGCAAGTGAAAAAAACCCCATTCCTCCTGTGAGATCTAAGTTGGTGCTGTAAACATCAGTTGTTTACAAGTGTGTCTGTCACCTGAATATAAAGACAGCTAGTTTCCAAAACTCAGTTATGATAAATGTGTCTCACTGCATTTTTTTCTAAGCTGCAAGCAATGACTGATGTTTATTGTCAATATTTTAGTTGTCAAGTGAGAAAATGGCACAGATAATTGGCCACAGGTTCTATAGGTAAAAATGACAGCTAACAGAAAGAAAAAGATAAAAATACCACCACATAAAAACATAAATGGCATCATCACAGACAATAAAAATAGGGAAGGTGTAAACTTTCAGAGAATAGCAAAGTACTCTCTTCAGGAAAACTTTAATTAAGTACACGGCTTTTCAAAATCTGCCAGTAAGTAGTACTGGCAGAGTACCAAATCTCTCTAATTCTTAACAGTTTGGGGGAAAAAGTGGTTTTCAATTTCTGGGTACAATGTAATGGTTAAGAAAGGCCACCAGCCTGCCTGAATTCAATTCCTGGCTTGGTCACTTTCAAGCCATATGACTTTGGCAAGTGGTGTTATTTCTTGGAGCCTTGGTTTCCTCCTCATCTGTAGAAGAGTAAAATTAATGCCTGTCTCAAAAGTTGTTGTGAGAATTAAATGCAATAACATAAGAAAAGAACAGAAAAAGCACTGATCAGTTTTTTCTTACTTTCATTGTGGTGGTGGTGGTTGTCATCATCCACATATCGCATGTAACTGAAAATTGAATCATGTTACCCTAGGCTTAAAATCCTTTAATGACTTCCCACTGCTATTAGAAAAAGGTTCAAATCCAGCACCATCTTGGATGGTTGATATGTCATCATCCACATATCACAAAAAGAAATATTTGCAAGTAGAGGTCCTGATAGACTTTTTAATGAAAAGACTCAGCATTTGGAGAATCATCTAAGGCCATACAAAATAAAATGTTATAACAGCACACTGTCAAAGATAGGGCTTAGCACTGTGAACACTATATATGCCCTAAGTTTGATAACCAGGATAAGCAATGCAAGGTACTCATGAGAATAAAAACCAGTGGGAAATATCCTGCCTCTGAAAATCAGGCTATAAAGATGTTGAAAGGGGAGCCAGAAGTCTCTAAGCTCATTTGTGTTTGGATATTTATGTGGTAATCTGGGTTACTGATTCCATATTACTCATGCCTATGGTAATAGTCCTAGTAGTCTGGAAGAGCCCCAGTGCTTCACAGTCATCAACAAGGTGCCTATCATCATTTACAGGTGTTCCACACTTTGCAAAAACTGATAAGCTTCCACACAGCAACCGCAACACAGGCCTGACTAAATGTTAAATGTTAACAAATATATAACATAATTACAAAAGTAAATATTATAGCCCTGGTTTTATCCGAATGGACATTATTTGGATTACTAGTATTCAAATTAGCGGAGGTTTAACAAAGTTCAAAAGGAAGTACTTCAGTACACTCTGTGTTGTCTGTCTTCCCCACGCTGTGGATGCGCTCTCACTGTTCAATTAGGGAAGATGTCCCCCATTCATCCCATTTTGGACCTGCTTGTCCCCCAAAATGTTCTCTGGACTTGAAGACAAACTAACCTAAATAAGGCGCTGCTGTTTTAGGTGATGAAGACTGCTTCCCTCCAAGGTGGGCTCCAACCAGACTCCACTAGGGCATTGCTGGAGCCTTTGAGCACAGATTGGGGATGCATCAAAATCTAGTCCCAAGGGACTTCCATGCACAGTGGACCTACATACTAGCTGATCACATAAATCAAACTCTCCAGTCTCCTAACTGCCTTCTAGTATGGTTCCAGGCCCAAATGACTGCCTTTCTCTTCTTGCTACCCTAATATGCACCTGCCACCCCCAAATTTCTGTTAGTTCACTTCCCTTCCCAGTGGCCAGCTCTGCAGACCACCAACATGCAAGCTGAAGCCCACACACACCAAAGCCAAGGAAAGGTAGCCCTGGCAGGGTGCAGCACTCCCCTCCTTCTCTCCCTTCCTGTTCTCACTGGCACTGCTAGCCTCAGGCCTGGGATGGCGTACTCACTGAGCTGTAACCCTCACCACAGTCTCACTCTATGCATTGAGTGCCCATTGAGCAGGGAAGCCTGAACCCCCTCCTGGCCTGTGTGAAAAGAACTCTGACCTTAAGTTCAGCCCAGCCCTTGCCAACCCTTTTCCTCTACTCTGATGGTGTTCTACCACAACCCAAGCCAGAAACCCTGGAGACAAGAAGTTGCTTCTCTCTTAACCACTGCCTGAGACACTCCCCTTTTGGGGAAGCCAGTTCACATTCACATCCTATGAGAAACAAAGCCCTGAGATTGTACCTCCTGTCCTGATTATTCCTCAAGCCATATCACTTTCTCCAGAAGACCCCCCTGACATGCACTGCAGTCAGGCACTCATTCTGCCTTGCCTGGACTCCTGCAATGGTCTCCTTCCTGGTCTCCCTGCCCAGTCTTCCCCCATCCTTATACTGCCAAAGTCCTCCTTCTAAAAGCAAGTCAGATCCCCTCATTCCTCTGCTGAAAAGATCTTCAACAGGTCCCCATTAGTTAAGGAAAGAAATTCCACAAATGTTAGCATGTTACCAAAGCCTCTAGAGCAACGATCATCAAGCTTTTCGATCTCAGAATCTTAAAAATAATTGAGATGTGGCAGAGAAAAAAAGGGTGATTTCTTGGGGGAAAAAAACAGTACTCCAAAGACCTTATATTTTGTGAGCTACATCTGTCAATATATATTGAATTATAAATAAAAACAAAAAATTTTTAAATATTCAGGTATCAATTCCCTTGAAATTCACAATAATAAACCAACAACATGTTCATATAAATAATATAATTACATGGTAACATAAGTAACATATTTTTAAGAAAAATAACTAAAGTTTTATGAAACATAACCATATTTTTCAAAACAACCAAAAATGTAGGTCAAAACAACACGGTTTTGTATTTTTGCAAATCTCTTTAATGTCTGGGTTAATGGAGGACAGCTGGATTCTTATGTTTGTTTCTGCATCTGATTTGTTATGGTAGTTTGTTTTAGCTGAGGTACATGAAGAAACTCCAGTATTACACAGATATGTAATTAGAAGAGGCAGGATTTTGCAGACCCCCTCAAAGGGACTCTAGTGAGGAGGAATCAAATCAGCATCAAATCAAATGGGCATCAAATCAGAGAGGCTGGGAGAGAGGGATAGCAAAAACGAACAAGTATACTTTTGAGAGTGATGGATGTTTTCATTACCTTGATTGTGGTGATGGTTTCATGGTATATACATATGTCAAAACTTATAAAATTGTATATTTTAAGTATATGCTATTTGTCATATGTCAATTAGTTCAATAAAGCTATTTAAAAATAGGAGAAAAAAGCTTCAAAAATGCTGTTCATCATGACGTCAACCTCCCTTTCTTCCCCCTCTGCCTCTACTCCCCTTCAAGCCATAAAACTTACACTCCAACTGTGTGTTACTAACAGTGGTGCCCCAGACCCACCAGCACCGGTCCCTTTCTGCACCTTTCCTCTCATCCCTTCCTCTACCTAAAATCCTTTCCCCACCAATGCCTCCACTCTCCACCTTCCCTCCTCTCCAACTGGATAAATTCCTCAAAATCTACCTCAAATGTCATCATCCCTAAAAAGCTTTCCTAGATCCCAACACCCTCTTCCAGGAAAATTAAGCTATTGTTTCTTCAACTTTAGTGGGTCAGGAAGGAATCAGGTGAGAGCAGCGGGGGCACATTTCTATCTGAATTTCCTCAGATTGACTTGTCTCCTGTTAATCTTCTTTGAATCAAGAAAAGACACTAAAAAAGGGATCCAACCTTTCCTTACACCTTATACAAAAATTAATTCAAGATGGATTAAAGACTTAAATGTTAGACCTAAAACCATAAAAACCCTAGAAGAAAACCTAGGCAATACCATTCAGGACATAGGCATGGGCAAGGACTTCATGACTAAAACACCAAAAGCAATGGCAACAAAAGCCAAAATTGACAAATGAGATCTAATTAAACTAAAGAGCTTCTGCACAGCAAAAGAAACTACCATCAGAGTGAACAGGCAACCTACAGAATGGGAGAAAATTTTTGCAATCTACCCATCTGACAAAGGGCTAATATCCAGAATCTACAAAGAACTTAAACAAATTTACAAGAAAAAATCAAACAACCCCATCAAAAAGTGGACAAAGGATATGAACAGACACTTCTCAAAAGAAGACATTTATGCAGCCAAAAGACACATGAAAAAATGCTCATCATCACCGGCCATCAGAGAAATGCAAATCAAAACCACAATGAGATACCATCTCACACCAGTTAGCATGGCGATCATTAAAAAGTCAGGAAACAGCAGGTGCTGGAGAGGATGTGGAGAAATAGGAACACTTTTACACTGTTGGTGGGACTGTAAACTAGTTAACCATTGTGGAAGACAGTGTGGCAATTCCTCAAGGATCTAGAACTAGAAATACCACTTGACCCTGCAATCCCATTACTGGGCATATACCCAAAGGACTATAAATCATGCTGCTATAAATACACATACACATGTATGTTTATAGCGGCACTACTCACAATAGCAAAGACTTGGAACCAACCCAAATGTCCACCAATGATAGACTGGATTAAGAAAATGTGGCACATATACCCCATGGAATACTATGCAGCCATAAAAAAGGATGAGTTCATGTCCTTTGTAGGGACATGGATGAAGCTGGAAACCATCATTCTGAGCAAACTATCTCAAGGACAGAAAACTAAACACCGCATGTTCTCACTCATAGGTGGGAATTGAACAATAAGAACACTTGGACACACGGTGGGGAACATCACACACCGGGGCCTGTCGTGGGGTGGGGGAGGGAGGAGGGATAGCATTAGGAGATATACCTAATGTAAATGACAAGTTAATGGGTATAGCACATCAACATGGCACATGTATACATATGTAACAAACCTGCACATTGTGCACATGTACCCTAGAACTTAAAGTATAATAATAATAAAATATAATAAAAATAAAGAACTTACTTGTGTAACTAAATACCACCTGTTTCCCAAAAATCTATGGAAATAAAAAATTTAAAAACAAGTTAAAAAAAAAAAAAGGGATCCAAAAGTCTATGAGCAGATGAAGACAGCCTAGGGCAAGCAGCCTAGTGCTACAGGGCCTATTGGAAAAGTCGATTTCCTCCGTGTTCCATCTCCCCACCACACACATCTGCAGGGAGCTTGCTGATAGCAAGGCCTACACTTAAGCCACCTATAATCCTTAAAGCACCAAGCCCATCACAGGTTCTTACCACATACCTGTGCTGCAAGGGAAGCAGGACTTCCTCAGTAAGACTCAGCTTCCTCAGTAAGACCTTCAGACATAAAAGGCATCTAAGAGTATCCACCTGTCAGGGTTGCCATAAGTCCTTATCAACAGAGTGTATTATTTTCCTAGGGCTGCCATAACAAAATCGCAAACTGGATGTCTGAAAACAACAGGAATGCATTCCCTCACAGATCTGGAGGCTAGAAGTCTGAAATCAAGTTGTCAACAGAGACATGCTTCCTTGGCTAGTAGCTGCATCATTTCAATCTCTGCCCTCGTCTTCATATGGCCTGGTATGTCTCCGTGCGTCTCCAAATCTCTTTCTCCTTATAAAGACACCACTGATTGGATTTAGGGTTGATCCTAATTAAGTATGACCTTGTATTAATTTGATTACTAGGTTCTTGCAAAAGTAACTCTGGGTTTTTTTTTTTTGCCATTGAAGGTAATGCATCTGCAAAAACAAAAACAAAAACAAACAAACAAACAAAAACCCTATTCCAAATAAGGCAACATTCTGAAATTCTGGGTAGACATGAATTTTGGTGGATGTATCACCACTCAGCACAGTATACAGAGCATGTGTGAAGGTACACAGTAAGTGACAGGCTCATGTGAACATCCTCCTTTCTTTCTACAAAGGTAGAAGAGTAGCAGAGGCCCCTTTCCCAGGAGGATAACCTGGGCTTATGGAGGGCTTTGTACTTAGACACTTACCAACCAAGTAGGAGCAACTGGAAGGAAAATGAGAGACAGAAGTGGATGATAACTGTTTTCCTTCTCAGCCATTGCCCTCCTCCCGTGACTGCTCTGCCTTCATTTTTTCCTGTTTCCTCACTCCACACCCACATGGGCAGTGCCATACAGAACACACACCTGCCTATTCAGAGTAGAACTTCATACACTACCCAGGAATTGCTTCCTTACACTTAGGGAATATAATTTATTGCTAAAATTTCTCAGTGATGAGTATAGAATATCCCAGTGAGGGAATGTTTGTTGTGTGCAGCCTACATAATAAATCATAAAGGCCAGCTTTTTAAAATGAATAAAAGGGAAAGAATGACTGAAAAAAACTACTCTAAAAATGCCTTCACAACTAGCTCTGATCCAAAATGCTATAATGTGATTTGGCTTTCTAATGCCAGGTAGCAGCCATTGGTTTAAAAAAAAAAAAAAAAAAAAGGAAAAACATGAAATATCATGGCAAAGTATCAAAAGCCTTCATGAAAAAACAGATACAAGTAAATATTCTATGTCCATCTTTAACACTGAAAGGCCAGGGATGTTCAACAAGCCCACATTTAGGAACCTGCACTTGATCTGTTAGCTGTACTGAGTGTGCTCCTAATGTCAGTTTTGCTGTAAGTGCATAACAAACCCTACCAGCTCACAGAGGCTTGGATGCCTGGGAAATATGGTGACAATAATGGGGGCAGGATGGGCAGGGTCCTGACCCCAGACCCAGAACATAGGAATTTGTCAGACAATGAGGTAGCAGGCCTGGAGTCCTTCTGTGATCCCCTTTTGCCCCCAATACCAAATCTTAAATTCAGTTTTGAGTTGCTCAAAACATCATTACTTCTCAAAGGCAACTTGAACTGAGTCTCCTGCAATTTTAAAATGACCTTGACCTTTTCTGCTGTCAGTCTTGGCGATTTGGTGAAGTATTTACACAACCCTATTATTTCCCTTGAGAATTCCTTTTCCCTCCCTGTTTTTCTTCTATTCTTTACTCTCCCTTTATTCTTTCAAGATATTCACACTGCTTTATTCAAATTGTGATACTTAACACATCATTAATTTGCACCATTTCAAAGGTTTTCCATTTCTAGACCTGTGCACATAATATGTACTATTGCAATACATTAGATTAAGGATTTAAAATCAGAAATATGGAATTGACATCAAAGGGAGGCCACATGCCATGTTACATTGGAAATACTTTGTTAAATGTACATAGGAACCTAATCTTCACATATGCTGAAAATTGGTACTGTTCACACTTATAAGAGCTACTGATATTATCTCTTACTAAAGTGTGTTTGGTGAAAGAAAACTGTGTTTAAGTTTAGAATGTCCTGAGAATAACAGGTAAGTATCTGGGTCAAAATTCCCATTCAAGTAATTACATTTCCCCAACCAAAAGTTAATTAGCACTTCTTGATAACACTGTTGGATAGTGCTACTGAATAAGATTATTTGAGCAGGTACCAGTCCACAATGTACAAAACAACCTAGATCCCCATAGGTTACTTTTTCTATTAATTGGAAATCTGTGGTCTCTTATTTAAAGGTGAGCCCCCATTAAAGGAATCTTGGACAGTCCATTAAGACAAAAATAAACTTCATGTACATACTCTCCATAAACTCTTCTGAGAAAATATGATACTAATCACTTGCTTATCCAGCACAAAACCTATCAGTGCATGTCACCCATCCAGAACTCAGGTGATAATGGGAAGAAGGGCAAAACAGATTCTGTAGAGGTGCACAATTGCACACACCCACACCCACACCTACACACAAAGTTTCAGAAATTGTTATTTACAGGAGAACTCCTCAACTCCTCACTAGGAACTTCCATTCTCCTACTTTACACAAAGTTTTTACAGGGTTGGCTAATTCTCTCCATCTGAATATCCTAGAACTACCAAATGAGAGGGAGGACAGTGAGCAAGTGCTACCAGTAGGCCTCTAACAACAACTCAAAGTGATAGCTGCTAGCCTGCCAGGGAAGAAGACAGAAAAACTCAGAAACTCCAGCCCAAGAACTCAAAAAGTTCTTGGTCTCAGACCATTTGTTGCAGGATAAAGTGATCCCCGTACCTCAAGAACTGATACTTATTAGGAAGATTCTAGGTTGCCAACAAAAGATAAAATATATTCAGCAGTATTTGCTTTAAAAAACCAAAGTAGTGACTAACACATTTTAAAAAGACACTACTAAAACTTTTCAAATTAAAACTGCTTTGCTATCTAAATGGCAAATGGTCAAACCCACCTATCCACAATGACTCCCTCCCTGGTGCTCAAAGAGATGAGGTGGTGTTAAAGAGAAGGCTTTGTTTGGAGGTGGTGGCTTGGGATTCTTTTCAAATAGTGAATCTTCTTTTTCCTGTTATTGTATCTAGCCCTCATCTAGCCTGTGAAGTAGGCTGAGTCCACCTGCAGTGCCTTCTCTCTATCCTATCAACAAATATTTACTGAGCCCTTTCTATGTGCCAGGCACTGTGCTAGATAACTGGCAATAGGAACAAGATAGAAACAGCCAATGCCTGCACAGAGCTGATAGACCAGACAACTTATAAAATACCAACTACTCATTGTATGATAAGCACTGAGATGCAGTGAACCTAAGAGATACAAGAACTCCAAGGAGCAGCCCCTAATTCTGCTTTGACTCCATTACTGTAGTAACCTCATGCTAGTAGCCTAGGCCACTTGTTTCAGCGGCCCACAAAGGGTGCTACACCCACAGCAATGTCTCATGACTGAATCTTTTCTCATACTCTGTCCATATCCTTTTAATACTTAGCTCTCCTGGGCCCCGTATGTTAGGAAGTTAAGACTCCTAAGAGGACACAATCAGATAAGCCACGCATTCTCAAAGGGTCAATACAGTCTCCAAAGGGTTGAAGTTGGTTCTTTGGGAGGGAAGAAAAAAAAAAAACTTACATATTACAATGGTTTTTGGCTCTCGAGAGCTCAACCTTACCCAACAAAATCTTACAGCTTGTTATTTAATTTCTCCTGTTGTGTTTTCTTGGGTATCATACTAGTAACACTGACCTTGACTTCATAGTAGACATACAAAATGTGTGCCAGATCAGTACTAGAAAACTACGGTGAATAGATGACTGTGATTGGAAACTTTCTCTCCATTGATCGCCCATTCTAAAAGTTAAATGGCAGAGGTGGCTGCCACTGGCTGCCTTGTCAATGTGGTTTATATTTGATCTTCAGTTTATATGTTATCATTTAATTCTAATAACATTATTCAGCCCATTATTAATTATGTCAAATATAAAGAAAAACTGTTAGCAAGATCTGAATGACTGTCTAGCAGCTAGTTAAATTAGAAGTTATTTTCCCATATCAAGCAGTAGTTAAATGTTAAGTTCAGTAAAATTTTTTAAGAAGCTAATTTAATTTTTTCAATTACTTTACTTTCGCCGGAAAAAGAGCAGATTTGGATGAATTTTTTAAACATTGAAGCACCTTGCTATTAAATATTACAAATTTATATAAATTGTTAATTTTTATATGTAGTTGATACACTGGAATTTTTAAGTAAATAAATTAAATTAAAATGTACTCAGCAAATACACACAAAGTTAATTGTTAATAGCTTTTTAATTTTTAACTTAATTGTTAACTGCAAACGTTAGTCATTCTTAATCCTTCATGTTATAAAAAGAGTAAGTAGGCCTTATACTTATCCTTGTTCTATATAAAGGACAGATATAGGTACAACACATAAATAGTATATCTCTGGTATTAAAATGTCATGGTATTAAAATGTCCTACAATTAGGAAAAATGTCCAGAAAGGCTCCTTAGGGGAGCAATAATGAAAAATAAAAAGCCTTGAGAAACATTAAGATAAGCTAATCTCCATTGCCTGAATGAGAGCTAACTGTAACACCATTAACAGAGACTGGGTAACAGGAGGGTGCCTCTGTGTACTAGAATTTGAGGAATTCCCTGAAGATGGAAAACACATGGGATCAGATCGACAAGAGAAGAGCAAACCATAGCTCAAATCATGTGCAGGAAAGGTAAAAGCAGATCCAGACAAACATTAAATTCAGAGCGAACTGTCATAAAAAAAAAACGGAGGAGGCCCCGGGGCGATTACCGATGTGATTAAGTTAAAAAAAAAAACAAAAAAAAAAACGACGAGGCCAGTATGTACTGGGCCTCCGATGTGGGCCCAGCACACAGGTGCACAAATATACATACTGAACAGTGGCCTTCAACCACAGACTAAAACCTGAAAACATTATAAAAGGGACTCTGGTTCTAGAGCCCGATCAAGCACTGTGGCTAATTGTGAATCAACAAATATGTGGGGGGAAAGGTTGGAAAGGTGGATCTACCCAGAATGGAGATCCCTGAAGCCTTATTTGTTTAGAATAAAGCTCCGTTAAATATCATATGGGACTTGGGATCCCCAGTCTGAATGCCTACTCCATGCCCAGAAACCTGAAATGACTTCCCACTGCCCAGGGGAAAAAAATCAAATCTCTTCAAAGTTTACAAAGCTCTTCTTGATGCCCCCCAGACCCTGTGCTTCAGGCAAACTGAATTTCGTGCTGTTTTTCCACCATGTGTTTCTCTCTCTCTCACCGCCAAGCCCTCACACAAAGCCTTCCCTTTGTCAGGAATACTCCTTCACCTGCAGCCTTTTGTACTGCTCCTTTACTGGGTAACTCTTACTCATGTTTTGGGATCTCAGCTCTTTGACCTTCCCCCACTCCTACCTCCCTTCCCCCAAGGTCAAAATGGATGCCCCTACTATGTCCTTCTCTTACTGCACTCAGAAAAATAAGTAGGCAATTGGAGTCTAGCACTGTTTAGGTGCTCACTGTACTGTGAGCTCCGTAAAGGCAGGGATAATCTCTACCCTTGTGATCAGTGAATCCTCAGGGCCTACTTCTGGTTATTAGCTCAATAAAAAGTATTGATCAGATTGAACTGAAATGGGTGGAAGAGAGATTTGGACCTTGGTAGGGCTTTTGGCTGTCAATTCACCCTCTACAGACAGCCAAGAATTCCAACTATTGGCAGGTCCAACCTGGCTTCCGCTTTCCCAGCTATTTCTGGTTTTATAGAAATTTGCCTCAATGTCTGTTGCCACATGGTTTTTCAACCACTATTGCCAGTACCTTTATGAAGAGATAATGAAAAAAAAAAAAAAGTCCTATCCTAATCTCAGAATCAGGAAATGAAGTCTGACGACTGGCTCTATCCCTTATCAGATTTCTGACCTTAGCCAAATAGCCCCCTCTCCCCTAGACCTCAGTTGGTGAAAGAAATGGGCTACAATTTCTTCTAGGACTTTCCTCCTCTTCTAACATCTATGACTTTTAATCCATATAAATCAACTCATTCCTGTGCCACTGGGTGGAAGGGAGTTTTCCCTTCTTTAAAATTTAAAAACTAGGAAAAATAAGAGAGACAAGGAAAAGCCACTGTTGTGAGTTAAATTATGTCCCCCAAAAAGATACGTTTAAATCCTAACTCCCAAGTACCTGTGAATGTGACTTTATTTGGAAATAAAGTCTCTACAGATATAATCAAGGTAAGATGATGTCATAGTGGACTAGGTTAATTGGGCCCTAATCCAATGACTGTTATCGTTATAAGTAGAGGAAAATTTGGACATAGAGAAAGGGGAAATACATGCACACACATGGGAAAAGGCCTTGAGAAGACAGAGGCAGAGACTGGAATGTCAAAGATTGTTAGCAACCAGCAGAAGCTAGAAGAGGCAAGGAAGCACTCTCCCCTAGAGTCCTACTAATACTTGGATTTCAGACTTCTAGCCTCCAGAACTATGAGACAATGATTTTCTGTTGTTTCAAGGAATCAAATTTGTAGTCATCTGTTACAACAATTCTAGGAAATAAACACAGATACCATCTTGAGAAAAGACCAAACACAAAAAAGTCTTCTGATTTTACCTGAAATCTAACACCCCATGACTACCCCCTTGTATATGCACACATAGGTCCCATTGGTGAGAAAATTTCCTATGACCACTATTAGCAAGATGAGGTTCTGGCTAAACAGAAGCAAGCATGTGTGCAGGAGTGGGCAAGGGGACAAAAAATAGCACTCCTGAGAGTCGCCATGAGTTTTTTCCACTCAGAACATTATGTGCTGATCACAAAGCATGCCATAACTCATTATTTTAAGAGCACTGATGAAGCGATGGATTGACCAACTCCAAATCAGCAACAGGGAGGTATCCAGGACAACATATCAATTGTCTAAAGAAAGGGCTGGATAAATACATAACATAACCACGGAAGCAATAATTATGAACAAGGGCTCTTCAGCAGATACTAAATGAGAGTCACGTGTCCAGAACAATTACCGCTTGTAAATTAGAAAAGTCTCCAATAGCAAAATGTAGCCATTAAATGACAATAAGCCCTTAATAACAACAAAAGGTGTGATTGCTTTTCATTAAGCAAAGAGACAAAACACGCAATCTGCAATAGTAAAAATGATGCGGCAAGTGTAGTCAGGAGCCCTAGGCCCTGTCCCTGGCTCTGCGCTCATTTAAGGAACACAGCAGCAGTTGTGCTTTCAATATATTTTGATTGAGAAAACAACAAACTGCAAGCAGCTACCATGTCTTGGGTAGTTCTTTTAATTTGTATATTAGTAGTAATAAAGGTTAATATATACAGCACTTACTTTGTACCAGGGACTGTTCTAAGGATTTTTAAAAAAATATTTAATATAAGGTAGACAACAACGTTTTGAGGTACATGCTATTATTATATTCATTTCCCAGACAAGGATGTTGAGGCTCAGAGAAGTTAAGCAATTTGTCTAGCATCATTATACATACATACAAAGCTTGTATGTTCTAGATGGAGAATCTCAAACCATGCAGTCTGGTTCCAGAGCTTATTACTTATCCTGCCATCACAAGAGTATGCATATACTTGTGAAAAACAGGAGCACATATACAGGCCATATTAATCATTTAGTCTATAGCTAAAACTAGGTGTGCATATTTAGTACCTTAAGCATTAATGACACCCCCATACCCTCAGGGTGCATGGCTCCTGTGTCTTGAAGCCTCTTCTTAATGAAAAGCAATTGCTTCTTAATGAAAAGGAATTGTCATGTAATAGCTACATTTTGATATTGGGGATCTCTAATTTACATGCAATAACATGAGACCCAGCACTGAAGACGCTTTAGAGCCTAATCCAGCTCTGTCTCTCTATAGGCCCTTCCAGGTCAGTGCTGGCCAACAAGTATCTACTAGAAAGAAAGTCTCCCAAGTCACCCACTTAAGCAAAGAAATCCCCCAACACTCAGATGACAGGTGGAGGGATACAACTTCTTTGACTTTTTAGTTTGTCTCCATGAGTTATCTTCAGGACACTGCAGCTAACCGTGGACTACTTTGACTCACCATTCTAGGGTAGGGACTGTAAGTTTCTGGGGACAGGAAGAAAGGCAGAAATGTGCAAAAGTTCTTACTGGCCACAACACAGGAGACTAGCTCCAGCAGTCTTCAGAGGCATGTTTGCCCTGGAGATGCAGATGCCTAGTGAACTGACGGTGGGTGCAGAAGAGTAGGGAAATGCTTGTCTGAGAAGTCAATTTTTCTCCTCTGCTTAACATGAGCTCCCAAAGAACAATAGACCTGATACAAAAGCAGTCTTCTGGAACTTGTCCTCCCCACTCTTCAGAAAGTGCTTGGGATCATGGTTTAGGGATTTCCATTGCTAATGGCCACCTCCTGGTAAAAGCTGCTAGGCCAGGGATATGCAAGCCACAGCTCGGGGCTGTTTTTCAGGGTGAGCCCTGGGCAGCAGAATATTCTCCAGACCCAGGAAGCTTTCCCACAGGCAGGGAAAGTCAATGTTTGGTGAGGCTTCAAGTTTATACAATTTCAGAGACTCTTTTTAGGAATGGAATACAAAATGATGAACATAAAATTGTTTTGTCAGGGTTGAGCCCTGGTCAGCAGAGTCTTCTCCTGTGAGAGAAAATAAATCACCCAAAACTTCTTTAGATTCATTATAAACCCACTTTTGCCCACAAGTTTTTTAAATGTCACATGCAGACAACTGAACTTACTACCTCCCCTCTCCCCTCACATTCTATGGGGACAGGCTTTAAGGTGGCCCCCATGATCTCTGCTTCCTGGTATTCACGCCCCTGTATAAACTCCTCCCTTTGATCCTGACTTGCTTCTAACCAACAGGACATTGCCAAGGTGATAAGACGAATTTGATTATGTGTACATGATTACAATGCATCAAAATGTAACCCTTATATTGCTAAGTGACTCCCTTACTGGCTTTGAATAAGCAAGGAGTCTTATTGGTAAGGCCCATGTGGCAAGAAACTGAGTGTGGTCTCTGGCCAACAGCCAGTTAGAAACCGAGGCGCTCAACCTTAAAGCCCACAGGCTTAAGTCGTTCTCCAACTTCAGTATGCACAAGAATAATCAAGGGAGCTTATGATAGTATTTATTCTAACATATTCTACCATTCTTAACAAAATCAGAGCCCACTCCCAGAAATTTTTATTCAGTAACTCTACCATGGGGCACATACTTAACATCTAAGGTGAGAAAAAGTACACTGCAGTCCACAAGCCAACATGTTTAAGCTTTATGGGCCACAATAAATGAAGGTGAGAAAAATGTACCTGGTCCTTACGTCATTGCTTTATGTCAAATTGAAATGAGAAGTAAAACGCTAAGGAAACTAAGTAAACATCAGAAAGTCATCTGAGGAAAACAAGAACCAAACAAGAGGCCGCTGAGAAAATCTAGGAGCACAACACACTATTCCAGGAACCATTAGAAGGGCAAACTGCCAATATAAGAAGAGAATGGAAAGGAAAGTGACATTTGCTGAGCATCTACCATATGCCAGCCACGTGAAATATGCTGTAAGTCTGATTATTATCATTATTATTATTATTTCCTTACCATAGCCCTGTAATGTAGGAATTGTCATCCTTATTTCACTGATAAGCAAACTAAACTCGGAAGCTATATCATTTGCCAAAGGTCACACGACTAATAAGTGGCAAAGCAAGGACTCAAACCCAGGTATTTCTGATTTAGACCCAGGCACTTTGTACTAGATCAGATTATAATGAGCCCCACCTTCCACTTCTATCTTGTTTAAATTTACTCCAAACTGCTATCTGAGAGACCTCTGCTATGGTTTAAATGTATCCTCCAAAAGTTCATGTGTTGGAAACTTAATACTTCTACCCTCATAAAGGGATTAATGTCACTATCAGGAGTGAGTTTGTTATCTCAGGAGTGGCTTTGTTATAAAAGCAAGCTCTCTCTAGCTCTCTTGTTCTTCCCTTCTTAACATGTGATGCCCTTCACCATGTTGTGATGCAGCAAGAAGGCCTTCACCCCATGCAGGTGTAATGGTTTTTAACTTCCCAGCCTCCAGAACCATGAGTTAAATTAACATCTTTGTTTTATAAATTACCCAGTCTGTGGTATTCTGTTTTAGCAATAGAAAACAAAGAAAGAAAATTAGTACCAGAAAGTGGTGTTGTTGCCACAACAAATATCTGAAAATGTGGAAGCAGCCTTAGAACTGGATGATGGGTAGGGGCTGGAAGAAGTTACAGGATGTGGCTGTCGGGGTGGCCGAATAGGAACAGCTGTGGTCTGCAGCTCCCAGTGAGATCAATGCAGAAGGCATGTGATTTATGCATTTCCAACTGAGGTACCCAGCTCATCTCAATGGGACTGGTTAGACAGTGGGTGCAGCCCATGGAGGGCAAGCTGAAGCAGGGTGGGGCGTTGCCTCACCCAGGAAGTGCAAGGGGGCGGGAAACTCCCTCCCCTAGCCAATGGAAGCCCTGAAGGAATGTGCCATGCGGAATGGTGCATTCCAGCCCAGATACTATGCCCTTCCCATGGTATTCACAGCCCACAGACTAGCAGATTCTCTCAGGTGCCAACACCACCAGGGCCCTGGGTTTCAAGCACAAAACGGTGCGGCCATTTGGGCAGACACCTAGCTAGCTGCAGCATTTTTTTTTTTTGATATCCCAGTGGTGCCTGGAACACCAGAGAGAGAAAACCGTTCACTCCCCTGGAAAGGGGGGTGCAGCCAGGGAGCCAAGTGGTCTAGCTCAGCAGAGCCCACCCCCATTGAGCCCAGCAAGCTAAAATTCAATGGCTTGAAATTCTTGCTGCCAGGAAAGCAGACTGAAGTAGACCTGGGACACTCCAGCTTGGTGGGGGGAGGGGCATCATACATTACTGAGGCTTGAGTAGGCAGGTTTCCCCTCACAGTGTAAAGAAAGCTGCCAAGAAGTTCAAACTGGGCGGAGCCAGGTACAGAATGGCTCTGTAGCCAGACTGCCTCTCTAGATTCCTCCTCTCTGGGCAGGGCATCTCTGAAAGAAAGTAATTGCTAACTAGAATAACCAGTTTAAAGAATAACATAAATGACCTGATGGAGGTGAAAAACACAGCGTAAGAACTTTGTGAAGCAGACAGAGGTATCAGTAGCCAAATCAGTCAAGCAAAAGAAAGGATATCAGAGATTGAAGATCAACTTAATGAAATAAAGCATGAAGAGAAGATTATTGAAACAAGAATGAAAAGGAACAAACAAAGCCTCCAAGAAATATGGGACTATGTGAAAAGACCAAACCTACATTTGACTGGTGTACCTGAAAGTGATGGGGAGAATGGAAGCAAGTTGGAAAAATACTCTTCAGGATATTATCCAGGAGAACTTCCCTAACCTAGCAAGACAGGCCAACATTCAAATTCAGGAAATACAGAGAACACCATAAAGATACTCCTCGAGAAGAGCAACCCCAAGACACATAATCATCAGATTCACTAAGGTTGAAACGAAGGAAAAAATGTTAAGGGCAGCCAGAGAGAAAGGTTGGGTTACCCACAAAGGGAAGCCCATCAGGCTAACAGCAGATCTCTCTGCAGAAACCCTACAAGCCAGAAGAGAGTGGGGGCCAATATTCAACATTCTTAAAGAAAAGAATTTTCGACCCAGAATTTCATATGCAGCCAAACTAAGCTTCATAAGTGAAGGAGAAATAAAATACTTTACAGACAGCCAAATGCTGAGAGATTTTGTCACCAGCAGGTCTGCCTTACAAGAGTTCCTGAAGGAAGCACTAAATATGGAAAGGAAAAACTGGTACCAGCCACTGCAAAAACATACCAAATTGTAAAGACCATCAACACTATGAAGAAACAGCATCAACAAATGGGCAAAATAACCAGTTAGCATCATAATGACAGGATCAAATTCACACATAACAGTATTAACCTTAAATGTAAATAGGCTAAATGCCCAAATTACAAGACACAGACTGGCAAATTGGATAAAGAGTCAAGACCCATCAGTGTGCTGTATTCAGGAGACTCATCTCACGTGCAAAGACGCACAGAGGCTCAAAGTGAAGGGATGGAGGAATATTTACCAAGCAAAGAGAAAGCAAAAAAAAAAAAAAAAACAGTGTGGGTTATAATCCTAGTCTCTGATAAAACAGAGTTTAAACCAACAAAGATCAAAAAAGACAAAGAAGGGCATTACATAATCGTAAAGGGATCAACACAACAAGAAGAGCTAACTATCCTAAATATATATGCACCCAATTAAGGAGCACCCAGATTCATAAAGCAAGCCCTTAGAGACCTACAAAGAGAATTAGACTCCCACACAATAATACTGGGAGACTTTAACACCTCACTGTCAATATCAGACAGATCAATGACACAGAAAATTAACAAGGATATTCACGACTTGAACTCAGCTCTGGACCAAGCAGACCTAAGAGACATCTACAGAACTCTCCACCCCAAATCAACAGAAGATACATTCTTCTTAGCACCACATCACACTTATTCTAAAATCGACCACATAATTGGAAGTAAAACACTCCTCAGCAAATGCAAAAGAATGGAAATCATAACAAACAGTCTCTCAGACCACAGTGCAATCAAATTAAAACTCAGGATTAAGAAACTCACTCAAAACCGCACAACCACATGGAAACTGAACAACCTGCTCCTGAATGACTAGTGGGTAAATAACGAAATGAAGGCAGAAATAAATAACTTCTTTGAAACCAATGAGAACAAAGACACAACGTAACACAATCTGTAGGACACAGCTAAAGCAGTGTTTAGAGGGAAATTTATAGCACTGAATGCCCACAGGAGAAAGTGGGAAAGATCTAAAATTGACACCCTGAAATCACAATTGAAAGAACTAGAGAAGCAAGAGCAAATGAATTCAAAAGCTAGCAGAGGGCAAGAAATAACTAAGATCAGAGCAGAACTGAAGGAGATAGAGACATGAAAAGACCGTTAAAAAAATCAAGGAATCCAGGAGCTGATTTTTGGAAAAGATTAACAAAATAGATAGACTGCTAGTCAGACTGACGAATAAAGAAGAAAAGAGAGAAGAATCAAATAGACACAATAAAAAATGATAAACGGGATATCACCACTGATCCCACAGAAACACAAACTACCATCAG
The DNA here is from genome assembly GCF_000001405.40 of Homo sapiens. Classification (NCBI taxonomy): domain Eukaryota; kingdom Metazoa; phylum Chordata; class Mammalia; order Primates; family Hominidae; genus Homo; species Homo sapiens. The sequence goes on from NC_000023.11 coordinate 139,160,702, forward strand.
AGAATACTATAAACACCTCTATGCAAATAAACTAGAAAATCTAGAAGAAATGGTTAAATTCCTGGACACATGCACCCTCCCAAGACTAAACCAGGAAGAAGTCAATTCCCTGAATAGACCAATGACAAGTTCTGAAATCGAGGCAGTAATTAATAGCCTACCAACCAAAAAAACCCAGGACCAGATGGATTCACAGCTGAATTCTACCATTGGTACAAAGAGGAGCTGGTACCATTCCTTCTGAAACTATTCCAAACAACGGAAAAAGAGGGACTCCTCCCTAACTCATTTTATGAGGCCAGCATCATCCTGCTACCAAAACCTGGCAGAGACACAACAACAACAAAAAAATTTCAGGCCAATATCCATGATGAACATAGATGCAAAAATCCTCAATAAAATACTGGCAAAATGAATCTAGCAGCACATTAAAAAGCTTATCCACCACGATCAAGTGGGCTTCATCCCTGGGATGCAAGGCTGGTTTAACATACACAAATCAATAAACATAATCTATCACATAAACAGAACCAATGACAAAAACCACATTATCTCAATAGATGCAGAAAAGGGCTTCAATAATATTCAACACTCCTTCATGCTAAAAACCCTCAATAAACTAGGTATTGATGGAACATATCTCAAAATAATAAGAGCTACTTATGACAAACCCACAGTCAATATCATAATGAATGGGCAAAAGCTGGAAGCATTCCCTTTGAAAACTGGCACAAGACAATATACTCTCTCTTAGCACTCCTATTCAATAAAGTATGGGAAGTCTGGCCACAAGACAATATACTCTCTCTTAGCCCTCCTATTCAATAAAGTATGGGAAGTCTGGCCACGGCACTCAGGCAAGAGAAAGAAATAAAGTGTATTTAAATAGGAAGAGAGGAAGTCAAATTGTCTCTGTATGCACATGACATGATTGTAAATTTAGACAATCCCATTGCCTCAGGCCAAAATCTCCTTAAGCTGATAAGCAACTTCAGCAAAGTCTCAGGATACAAAATCAATGAGCGCAAAAATCACAAGCATTCCTATACACCAATAATAGACAAACAGAGAGCCAAGTCATGAGTGAACTCCCATTCACAATTGCTACAAAGAGAATAAAATAGCTAGGAATACAACTTAAAGGGATGTGAAGGACCTCTTCAAGGAGAACTACAAACCACTGCTCAAGGAAATAAGAGAGGACACGAATGGAAAAACATTCCATGCTCATGGATAGGAAGAATCAATACCATGAAAATGGCCATACTGCCCATAGTAATTTATAGATTCAATGCTATTCCCATCAAGCTACCATTGACTTTCTTCACACAATTAGAAAAAACTACTTTAAATTTCATATAGAACCACAAAAAGAGCCTGTATAGGCAAGACAATCCTAAGCAAAAAGAACAAAGCTGGAGGCATCACGCTACCTGACTTCAAACTACACTACAAGGCTACAGTAAGCAAAACAGCATGGTGCTGGTACAAAAACAGATATAAAGACCAATGGAACAGAACACAGCCTCAGAAATAAAGCCACACATCTACAACCTTCTGATCTTTGACAAACCTGACAAAAACAAGCAATGGGGAAAGGATTCTCTATTCAATAAATGGTGTTGGGAAAACTGGCTAGCCATATGCAGAAAACTGAAACTGGACCCCTTCCTTACATCTTATACAAAAATTAACTCAAGATGGATTAAACGTTAAGACCTAAAACCATGAACACCCTAGAAGAAAACCTAGGCAATACCGTTCAGGACATAGGCACGGGCAAAGATGTCACGACTGAAATACCAAAAGCAATGGCAACAAAAGCCAAAATTGACAAATGGGATCTAATTCAACTAAAGAGCTTCTGAACAGCAAAAGAAACTATCATCAGAGTGAACAGGTACCCTACAGAATTGGAGAAAATTTTTGCATTCTATCCATCTGACAAAGAGCTAACATCCAGAATCTACAAGGAACTTAAATAAATTTACAAGATAAAAACAAACAACTCCATCAAAAAGTGGGCAAAAGATATGAACAGACACTTCTCAAAAGAAGACATTTATGTGACCAACAAACATATGAAAAAAAGTTCATCATCACTGGTCATTGGAGAAATGCAAATCAAAACCACAATGAGATACCATCTCATGCCAGTTAGAATGGCGATCATTAAAAAGTCAGGAAACAACAGATGCTACAGAGGATGTGGAGAAATAGGAATGCTTTTACACTGTTGGTGGGAGTGTAAATTAATTCAACCATTGTGGAAGACAGTGTGGTGATTCCTCAAGGGTCTAGAACCAGAAATACCATTTGACCCACCAATCCCATTACTGGGTATATACCCAAAGGATCATAAATCATGCTACTATAAAGACACATGCACACGTATGTTTATTGCAGCACTATTCACAATAGCAAAGTCTTGGAACCAACCCAAATGCCCATCAATGATAGACTGGATAAAGAAAATGTGGCACATATACACCATGGTATACTATGCAGCCATAAAAAAGGATGAGTTTATGTCCTTTGCAGGGATATGAATGAAGCTGGAAACCATCATTCTCAGCAAACTAACACAGGAACAGAAAACCAAACACTGCATTCTCTCACTCATAAGTGGGAGTTGAACACTGAGAACACATGGACACAGGAAGGGGAACATCACACACTGGGGCCTGTCAGGGGGTGGGGGCCTAGGGGAGGGATAGCATTAGGAGAAATACCTAATGTAGATGACAGGTTGATGGGTGCAGCAAACCACCATGGCACGTGTATACCTGTGTAACAAACCTGCATGTTCTGCCCATGTATCCCAGAACTTTAAGCATAATAATTTAAAAGAAGAAGAAGAAGAAGTTGTACACTGGAGAAATCAAACTCAAGGATAGTGAGGGAGTCCTGGTCACATTGTTGGAGGTCATTCAGCTTTGAAGCCAGGTCTACTTTTACTCCTTTCAGGTATGCAAATCAATATTATAATAACTACTACTACTACTATTATTACTGCCACCACTACTATCACCACCACCATTATTATTTCTATTATTATTTGGGTTAATGTCTGTTTCTATCAAATGAATTCAACAACTCTAAAATTTTCCTGAAGTTTTCTTAGGAAAATCCAGTCTAAGGATGCTGTGCATTAGAGATCCAAAAACAGTATGTTCAAGCAGCATCATGAATTTAAGTTGGAATAACTGAGCACAGCATGCTTATTTGGTATGCTTTTTTCCTCTAGAATATTCCCCCCAAATATTCCAAATAAGGAATCATATTTTGTGAACAACCAAAACCGAAGTATTTATGACAACGTTAAGGTGGGGGCTGACAGCTCTGAAATTTGCAGGGCAGGCTTGCAGGCTGGAAATTCAGGCTGAGTTTTCTTTTTTTTTTTTTTTATTATTATTATTATACTTTAAGTTTTAGGGTACATGTGCACAATGTGCAGGTCAGTTACATATGTATACATGTGACATGCTGGTGCGCTGCACCCACTAATTCGTCATCTAGCATTAGGTATATCTCCCAATGGGTTTTCATGTGGTAGTTCTGTGGATAATTCCTTCTATGTCGGGGAACCTCAGTTTTTGCTAATAAGGTTTCCAACTGATTGGATGAGGGCCATGTACATTATGGAGATTAATCTTTTTTTCTTAAGGTCTACTGATTTAAATGTCAAATCACATCTAAAAGTACCACTAGCCAGGTGCAGTGGCTCACGCCTGTAATCTCTGCACTTTTAGAGCCCAGGCGGGTGGATCACTTAAGCCCAGGAGTTCGAGAGCAGCTTGGGCAACATAGCAAGGCCTTGTCACTACAAAATAACAAATTTTGCCGGGCGTCATGAGATGTGCCTGTAGTCCTAGCTACTCAGGAAGCCGAGGTGGAAGGATTGCTTAAGCCCAGGAGGCTGAGGCTGCACTGAGCCAAAATGCACCACTGCACTCCAACCTGGGTGATAGAGTGAGACCTTGTCTCAAATAAATAAATAAATAAATAAATAAATAAATAAATGAATGGAGAATTCTATTAAAAAATACATTCACAGCAACATTTGGACTGATGTTTGAAGAACTGTTTACTTATAGCTTAGCCACATTGATAAATAAAGTTAATCATCACAATAGTAAATGAACTACTTAATATTATTTTCTCTTATCTGTACTTTAAATAAAATAAGAATGGTTGCCAAACTGAAAAAAAAAAGAATTTATAGGAGCAAGTTTAAAAACCCTAGATTGCTGTGAATAGGGCACTAAGGGAGACTCTGGGGAGGGCTCAGAAGAAAAGAAGACTAGAGAAAGTCTGGAACTTCTTAGGGATTACTTAAGTGGTTGTGATCACAATGCTGGTAGAAATATGGACGTTAAAGTCCATTCTGACAAACTCTCAGATGGAAATGAGAAACAACTTATTGGAAACTGTAGTAAATGGCATCCTTGTTACACAGTTGCAACGAACTTGGCAGAATTGTGTCCATGTCCTAGGATTTTATGGAATGCAGAAAATGATGAACTAGGATATCTGGCAGAAGAAATATCTAAGAAGCATAGCATTCAGGATGATGATTGGCTACTTTTAACCACATAAAGTGAGATGCAAAAGGAAAGAAATGACTTAAAGATGAAATTCATAATTAAAAGAGAGTAGCGGAACAGAAAGATTTGGAAAATCTGCAGCCTGCCACATAAAAACTGAAAAAGCTTGCAAGAGTGTGGCCAAGTGACCATTTGTTAAAGAGATTGGTAGGGCTAGAAGGGAGCCAGGTGCTAGCCATCAGAACAATGGGAGAAAAATCCCGAAAGCACTTTGGATATTTTTTACTCTGCCCCTTCCATCAGGGGCCCAGAGCTCTCAAGGGCAGAATGGTTTGGGGGAACAGGCCTGGGTGGCCTCCAAAAGTTCACTGCCCTGTGCAACCTCAGGATACTGCTCCCCACGTTCTGGAGCTTTGTCCCCTAGTTTGCCCCAGCTGGATTTCAAGCGGCCCAAGGTGTGCCTCAATCTCCCACTCTGGAAGTTACAAGCCATTAAGCTTGGCTACATCCACATGGTACTAATCCTGCAGGCCCAAAGAATGCAAGAACTGTGGGGGTATGAGGGTATGATAGTCTCCACTTAGATTTCAAAAGAAGTATCAAACAGCCTGGGCCCCTTTGTTTTGGCCATTTTCTCCCATTTGGAATGGGTGTATTTACCCAATGCCTGTACCTCCATTGTATCTAGGAAGTAACTAACTTGCTTTTGATTTTACAGTCTCATAGGAAGAAGGGACTTGCCTTGTCTCAGATAAAACTTTGGAGTTGGACTTTTGGGTTAATGCTGGAATGAGCTAAGACTCTGGAGGACTGTTGGAAGGGCATGATTGTGTTTTAAAATGTGAGGACATGAGATTTGGTAGGGGAAGGTCACAGAATGATATGGTTTGGCTGTGTCCCCACCCAAATCTCATCTTGTAGTTCCCATAATCCCCACGTGTCATGTGAGGGACCCACTGGGAGGTAATTGAATCATGGGGGCAGTTACCCCTATGCTATTCTCGTGATAGTAAGTTTTCACAGGATCTGATTGTTTTATAAGGGGTTTCCCCCTTTGCTTGGTTCTCGTTTTTCTCTCTCTAGCTGCCATGTGAAGAAGGACGTATTTGCTACCCTTTCTGCCATGATTGTAAGATTCCTGAGTCTTCCCCAGCCATACTGAGCTGTGAGTCAATTAAATCTCTTTCCTTTATAAATTACCCAGTATGTCTTTATTAGCAGTGTGAGAATGGACTAATATAGTGCTGAAATAAATTAAGGCTTTAAGGCTATTTGGATGGAATGAATGTCTTTTGTATGTAAAAAGGACATGATTTGGGGGTATCCAGGGGCAGAATTCTGTGGTTTGAATACCCCCACCCAAAACTCATGTTGACATTTAATTCTCAATGCAACAGTGTTGGGAAGTGAGGCCTAATTGGAGGTATTTAGGTCATGAGGGCCTTACAGATGCCAGACACCATGCCACTGGACTTCCTAGCCTCTAGAACCATTAGCTAAATAAACTTCTTTCCTTTATAAATCACTCAGTCTCTGATATTTTGTTATAATCACACAAAATAGACTAAGACAGCCTCCCTAAAACCTTTTCCATATGAAAATTTCACTTTTCCATATGAAACACTCCTTCAATTCCCCTTAAAAGATAACACCCAAGCTCCTTATCATGATACATGAGACCCTTCATGATCTGGCCCAATCTCAATTTCCAGCCTCCCTCTTACCCTCACATATGCTTCCCAAACTCATCGTCCTCTTTTATGCTTCTGTGCCTTTGCAAATGATATACCCTCTGCATTTCAATTTGGCAAACTCCTATTCACCCAGTAAGACTCACATCAAATATCACCTGCTCTGAGAAGCCTCCCTTGAGCAATTATTTTATATAAATGAATATCTCCTTCCTTTTCTGTTCCTCTAATACATTGTGCATAAGTCAACGGAAGCACCTGACAAAGTATACTGTCTCCCTTATTGGACTGTGAGCTCTTCAAGAGTAACTTGTATATACCCTGTACTTGGCATAGTAGCTGGCGTATAGGAACATTTGATAAATGATTATGGGAAAATGACAGGTTTAATTTAATCAAGAGAAGATATATTCTAATTACAGAGATAAAGATAAGCAAAAGTCAAGTCAGCAAATACATGTATGTAGGTACACACACATGTCAATGTCACTCATCTCAACTCACCCTAGGTAACTTTTTATTCCTGAAATCTGAGATATTAATGTTGGCAACATCTGAAAATGAGGACATCTCACTCAGTGATGTGGTAATAACATTGTGCCAGATGAGTTACATCCAACAAAGCCAAAACATTAAATACATGGCCAGGTGTCAAAACCTCAACTGACCCTGATCCTTTATGAGTGATACAGAATGATAAAGATCATCAATGTCTCTGGAGTCCCAGCTAAAAGTCTCAGATCACATAAGTGATAACTGCACTGATAAGCCATAAGATTGATTCAGAAATAAATATGGCATCATTCATCAGCCCACAAAGTCAGACACATTCCACTTAGCAAAAATGTGGGACAATGTGTTAATGTATATGCCACATTCTGCTTTAAAAGAAAAAAGCATAGGACTCCTTTCAAACAGTAAAGTATAAGTGCTGTGGATTAATAATTTGCAAACTATAACAATGCAACTTTACCAGAATATAAATGCCAATATCTATTCTTTCAAAAATCATACAATTGTAGTTAAAGAGAAGACATCATATTTCACAAATATAAGACTCTGGAGTTCAAAATGAAAACTAGGATACTACTTCACACTCAAATGGATAAATATGAGAGAATGGTTTATAGATGCATGCTATTTCATTTAAAACCTTTCATGAACCCAGTGATTTTTCAAGACAGTTTCATACTTAATAGTCAAGATGCCAAGTCTCCAAATCCAAGCAAGTGTTATGTAAACAGAATTGTGGATGTTTCATCAATACAACCATTCGATCAAGGTTTAATAAGGTGCAGGTTTGGGTACCCTATAATTATGAGTGGCCTGTAGGTATATCAGATAAAATTCCAAAACCTAACTCTCTTTCTACCTAGATCTTTCAGAAAGTCAATTTGAAATACATTTAGTATTTTTAAATATATCATTTTTTTATTTTACAACAAAAAGCTGACACTCTTCTCCATAATAAATAACAATTTTTATTACTTCCCTACCTTATGTATAGCAACAAGTATATGTTTATGTTAGGTAAATGTTGAGGGGGAAAAAGAGGGCTGTTGAAGAAAAAATACAGTAAAAGGTCTTCTACATAAAGCTAAAATAATTAAAACACAAATTATACATTCTTTACAGATAGCTACAAATGTAATAGCAATATTAAAACATTCATGAAAGTTATTCACGCCAAATTCAGAAACTTGGTCCCCTCCAGGCAAGAAGGAAGGGAATATCAGTGAGGGATACACAAGGAGCTTTAACTGCATCAGTAATGTTTTACTAAGCTAAGTGGTGGGTCCATGAGTACCCCCTGGATTATTCACCATAGCATCCAATTTTGTATCTGAAATACATCTAGTAATTTTTAAAATCCATGCTAGTAGTCATTCCTTGTATTTCTTTTATAGGACATAACTGAAAATATAAGATGCTCATGCCCATGTTGTTGAACTGAGAGGCATTCTTTCTTAGTAAAGAGAAATGTATCAAGATATGAAGTCTGAAGTTACTGCTGTAATGGAGTAGACAGTGTTCTGATTACAAATAAAGAATATTAACAGCCAAAATTTATCCAACACTTACTATGTACCAGGCACTGTGTTAAGCACTTTACACAAATTATCTTCTTTAATCTTCATAAAAGCCCACAACAGGAGGTACTAGTATCATTCATGTTTCATGGAGAATGAAGCTGATGATCCAAGAGATTAGGGAAGTTGTGCAAGGTCACACACCTCATAAGGGTTGAGCAGACATTTGATTCCAACCCCAACTCCCCATTTATCTCTTGCTCTTCACCACCTCTTCATGCTATCTTCCCAAATATCCAATGCTAGAGCATAAGGTGCCTTTCTATGAATTAGAAAAAGGTAATCCCTCTGGAAGAGTGCAGCTCCTCATCAGCTGCCAAAAGCACTGTCTGAATATCAGCCTCACTGACCCCGAGGGCCAGACATCCCTGTACAATGGCCCTGTCTCCAGCTCCCCTTGCTTATCTCTGGCCTAGGCACCTCTTTTATCCCCTGCTTGCTTGCTTGTATTTTTTAAAGAGACAGGATCTTGCTCTGTTGCCCAAGCTGGGGTACAGAGGTGCAATCACAGCTTGAACTCCTGGTCTCAAGGGATCCTCCTGCCTCAGCCTCCCAAAGAGCTAGGATTACAGGCATAAGCCACTGCGTCTGGCCCTGCTTTCTACCTAGAACCCAGAAATTCCTTTCATGAATTCGGCCTGATTGGACTACAAACGATTGTTCAAAATGCCTTGGGAACTACAATGTCCCTAGGTATCAAAGAATACTCCAGATGCCTCATCAGTGAGCCACCAGGATCAGTGAGAGCCTCTAAAAGAGATCAAGTTCATTGTCCCTAGATAAGCCTGCCTTTTTCGGTGCCCAACCATGACAGCAAGAGGCCAGTTTCCCTCTCCCAGCAGCATGGAGGGCAAAGGCCTGGGTTTTTGGTGGAGCACATGAATCTTTTCAGGGCAGTGGCTTTCAAACTGCATTTGCTGAACTACAAAGGGTTCAAAGAGGTACCTCAGGAGCCATCACGAAATTGCAGGATTTCAAGGGAACAAGCAGGCTTGGATCCAAGCCCAATTCCCACCTGAACTCCATGCAGCTTGGCCCTTATCTTTCATGGAGTTTGCGTAAGATTTCCTTTGAAACAAAGAGACCTATTGTGAAAACCACAGCATTAATTAAAGTATAAAAACCATTCCCCCTAAATCCTTTCAGTCCACCCTCTGTCTTGCCCAGACTCTCTCTAAGCCCCAAACACTGTTTCTTTACGTATTTTAGTTCCATTGCCACCCTACCACTCAGCAAGCTAAGCCTTTCTCATTTATGCTAATGCATCCTCCTCACCACTGCTAGCATGATATTTCTAAAAGCACACATCACAATTGTTTCCTGCATACAGCCCTTGAAGTTGAAACCACCCAGCCAGGCCTACTAGTTCTGCTGGGATCTGGTCTTTGCCCTCTTCCTAGCTTGGTCTCTTGCTACCCAATTCCCAGATACCTGCATTCTCTACATCACAGTAATTGCCATTCTTCAGCATAACATTCCCTCATAGACCACTGGGACTTTGCAGGTGCTATTCTTTCTGCCTGAAATGTCCTTTCCCAACCTATTCCCTGGGGAATTCATATCCATCCTTCAAGGTTCAGCAAAATGTCATCACTTTCATGCAAGCTTCCTTGACGATGCTCCAGCTTTCACACCTTGGCAGCTTAGCGGCTCCCTCCTCAAGGCCTCCAACCATCCTGCACTCATGTTTCTTGCCACAATATGCTATAAATATCTGTTCGTGACACTGCCTAGCTAATTCTCTGGATATGTCTTAGCACTACCTATAAAGTCCCAAAGACATTGGCCTGACATTCAAGGCTGTCCCTACCAATCTAGCTTCAACTTATATTGCTAACCTGACCTCCCGTCATTTCCCTTCCCAAGCCTCAGACTCCAAGAAAAAAGTGCGTTCTGTTAGCCAACACATCACATGATTTCTCAACTATGTGACAGCTGCCTCCATCTCCTCCCATCTCTTCATGTGCAGATCCTACCTATCTGCCAAAGTCCAGCTCTGATTGTCCTCTTCCAGGAAGCCTTCCCTGAGTCCCTTAGCAGGAATAAATTTCCTCCCTTCTGAATTCCCACAGGGCCTTGATAATGTCTTTATGCTTGACTTATCCTGAGCAGCCAACTGGATTATGAGAACCTAGCAAGTAAGGTTGTGCCCTATTCATCTTAGTGTCCCCAGAGCTGACAGCATATTCTTATGCTGAAAGAATAAGGATGCATTCTTGGGGCTACTTTTAAAAGAAGAATCCGTATTAGAAACATGAGAAATACAAATTCTACTTTTTTTTCCTTTTGCCTCCTTAAGAAAACTATTATTAGATGCCTAATTTATTTTAGGTTGTACAACAGAGTACCCAAAAATGCTGAAAAAACTTGTGAAAGAAACAAGTGCAAGAGAACAGGGGAAAGAGAATACCTCTTGATGGCTTCTGATGGGAGGTTCTAATCCAACCCTCTACTGTATGCTCTTAGGCTATAATCTTCCTTCAACAGAAATGGGATGTGAACAGATCCTATGCCCCAGTCAGGGCTCTGCCCTGCTGTCTTGTTTGTCTGCCTGCTTGTCTCCCTACCTCCTGTAGTAATGACTTTCATTTTGTAAAAAGAAAAAAAAATCAATTTAATTTCTAAATTGGATGCTTTTTCTAAAATATATAAGCATTAATAACAAATCAGCATGCCCATTTTCAACAGCTTCCTGAGTAGGCCTGAGGACTTATCACAGATATGTGAAAGAGTGTGCTAATTGTTTTCTTTTCAATGTGTGATTTACAAATGAATGAATAAGTTAGAATGCTAATGACTTTATACAAGAAAACAATGGATTATCTTCTCTACTTTGTGATTATGATATTGCTTTGACATGCAGCTTATTCATAAACTTTTCAAGAGTAAAGGATGTCCATTCTTCTATGATTTTCCTTTATAAACATTCAAGTTGCTTCGATGTGACTGGTTCTTTCTTTCCTGCAAAAATTTTAAAAACTGAAAAAAATACCTTGAATGTGTTTTGTCCCCAGTGGGTCCTCAGTAAATATAGTTGTTTAAAACTAACTTCATCAAGATATGATTTCAACATAAAAACTCAAATATGACTCTATATTTCTACTTTATTTGCATTAAATTCCCCGCTGCTCCATAAAATTCCCATATACTTTCACAAATATTTGAAATGATGTTAAGATGTTTTAACTCGTAAATATCAGGACCCAAAACCAATCTGAGTGAAAAGTTACATGTGATGAATTTGATAGCTCTTGAGCTATTCCTGCAGCAGGTTGTAAGGCCAGTTAACTCTTTCTGGCCAGCAGGTCATCTGGGGAGATGACAATCAGCCCTGCCAACAGCCTTGTTTCCTGATTCAAATATGGGGCTTGCGTCCAAACTCCTACTCACATTGGCTTACACTTTCCATTTCTTCCTTCCTCTTGCCCTCTCTTCATTTTCTACCCGTGCATAATCCAGCTTCCACTTTCCTAGCTCTTAGCACACACCAGGTATTCGATCCATCCTAGGATTCCGAGGTTCTGGTCAACCTTTGCACAAAGCTCTAAAGACAAAAATCTTTAAAGGAGAAACAAGATCAACTTTCCACTATTGATAGATATCAGAAAGCTCTGAGGACAGTTTAGGTAGTATTTCACCAAACCCTATGGCAGAACTCTGCAATCTCAAATTAATCTTTATATTCATGTTCCAACAGTCAGAACACACTGGCAGATACAGATTTTCTCAAATCAGGATACAAATTTTACATAATACCTGATTAGGCTAGAAAACTTGTAAATTTTATTACCCATGATGCTTTTTATATCCTGAGCCAAGAACCAAAAGAGACTTTAATTTCCAGATTTATATTAGACATACACCAACCTCCAGCTGACTTCCACTATCAGACACTAAACAAATATTTGTCAAGCATATATTACAAGCTAGGTACTAAGGAAGATTCAAAGGCAGTATAAAACCTGGCTGGCCCTCAATCCTCAGAGAGATTATAATATAGTTAGAGAAACAAAATATCTACAAATTTTAAAAGTTAATTACCAATCTAAGGCAATTTGCAAGTGCCAACGAATACCAGTGTCAAAAGAATAACATAGGAAGTGATTCCTTGACAAACCCAAAAGGACAGAAATATCTGTTTTGAAAGAAAAGAATTCAGAGGCAATATGGTGTGCTACAAGAAATCAGAAGATCTGGACTTTAGTCCCAGCTGAGCTGCTGGCTACGTCTTGGGCCATTAACCAGCATTTTAACCTCCCTGGCTCTAAACTGTCTCTTCTAGAAATTGATACAAAACAACCTGCCTCACCTGTCTCATCAGATAGCTCTTTTTTTAAAATATATGAATATAAATATAATATATATATATATGTAAATGTTTTTAAAATTATACTTTAAGTTCTGGGATACATGGGCAGAACGTGCAGGTTTGTTACACGGGTATATACGTGCCATGGTGGTTAGCTGCACCCATCAACCCGTCATCTACATTAGGTATTTCTCCTAATGCTATCCGTCCCCTAGTCCCCCATCCCCTGACAGGCCCCAGTGTGTGATGTTACCCTTGCTGTGTCCATGTGTTCTCATTGTTCAACTCCCACTTATGAGTGAGAACATGCAGTGTCTGGTTTTCTGTTCCTGTGTAAGTTTGCTAAGAATGATGGTTTCCAGCTTCATTCATATCCCTGCAAAGGCCATAAACTCATCCTTTTTTATGGCTGCATAGAATTCCATGGTGTATATGTGCCACATTTTCTTTATCCAGTCTATCATTGATGGGCATTTGGGTTGGTTCCAAGTCTTGTTATTGTGAATAGTGCTGAAATAAACATCCGTGTGCATGTGTCTTTATAGCAGAACGATTTATAAGCCATTGGGTATATACCCAGCAATGGGATTGGTGGGTCAAATGGTATTTCTGGTTCTAGATCCTTGAGGAATCACCACACTGTCTTCCACAATGGTTGAACTAGTTTACAGTCCCACCAACAGTGTAAAAGCATTCCTATTTCTCCACATCCTCTGCAGCATCTGTTGTTTCCTGACTTTTTAATGATTGCCATTCTAACTGGCATGAGATGGTATCTCATTGTGGTTTTGATTTGCATTTCTCCAATGACCAGTGATGATGAACTTTCTTTCATATGTTTGTTGGCCACATAAATGTCTTCTCTTGAGAAGTGTCTGTTCATATCCTTTGCCCACTTTTTGATGGAGTTGTTTGTTTTCATCTTGTAAATTTATTTAAGTTCCTTGTAGATTCTGGATGTTAGCTCTTTGTCAGATGGATAGAATGCAAAAATTTTCTCCCATTCTGTAGGTTGCCTGTTCAACCTGATGATAGTTTCTTTTGCTGTTCAGAAGCTCTTTAGTTGAATTAGATCCCATTTGTCAATTTTCGCTTTTGTTGCCATTGCTTTTGGTATTTTAGTCATGACATCTTTGCCCATGCCTATGTCCTGAATGGTATTGCCTAGGTTTTCTTCTAGGGTGTTCATGGTTTTAGGTCTTAACGTTTAATCCATCTTGAGTTAATTTTTGTATAAGATGTAAGGAAGGGGTCCAGTTTCAGTTTTCTGCATATGGCTAGCCAGTTTACCCAACACCATTTATTAAATAGGGAATCCTTTCCCCATTGCTTGTTTTTGTCAGGTTTGTCAAAGATCAGAAGGTTGTAGATGTGTGGCTTTATTTCTGAGGCCTCTGTTCTGTTCCATTGGTCTATAACTCTGTTTTGGTACCAGCACCATGCTGTTTTGCTTACTGTAGCCTTGTAGTATAGTTTGAAGTCAGGTAGTGTGATGCCTCCAGCTTTGTTCTTTTGGCTTAGGATTGACTTGGCTATACAGGCTCTTTTTTGATTCCATATGAAATTTAAAGTAGTTTTTTCTAATTCTGTGAAGAAAGTCAGTGGTAGCTTGATAGGGATAGCATTGAATCTATAAATTACTATGGGCAGTATGGCCATATTCATGATATTGTTTCTTCCTATCCAGGAGCATGGAATGTTTTTCCATTTGTTTGTGTCCTCTCTTATTTCCTTGAGCAGTGGTTTGTAGTTCTCCTTGAAGAGGTCCTTCACATCCCTTGTAAGTTGGATTCCTAGGTATTTTATTCTCTTTGTAGCAATTGTGAATGGGAGTTCACTCATGACTTGGCTCTCTGTTTGTCTATTATTGGTGTATAGGAATGCTTGTGATTTTTGTACATTGATTTTGTATCCTGAGACTTTGCTAAATTTGCTTATCAGCTTAAGGAGATTTGGGGCTGAAAGGATGGGGTTGTCTAATCTAAATATACAGTCATGTCATCTGCATACAGAGACAATTTGACTTCCTCTCTTTCTATTTAAATATGCTTTATTTCTTTTTCTTGCCTGATTGCCCTGGCCAGAACTTCCAATACAATGTTGAATAAGAGTTCTGAGAGAGAGCATATTGTCTTGTGCCAGTTTTCAAAGGGAATGCTTCCAGCTTTTGCCCATTCAGTATGATATTGGCTGTGGGTTTGTCATAAATAGCTCTTATTATTTTGAGATAGGTTCCATCAAACCTAGTTTATAGAGAGTTTTTAGCATGAAAGAGTGTTGAATATTACTGAAGCCCTTTTCTGAATCTATTGAGATAATCATGTGGTTTTTGTCACTGGTTCTGTTTATGTGATAGATTATGTTTATTGATTTGTGTATGTTAAACCAGCCTTGCATCCCAGGGATGAAGCCCACTTGATTGTAGTGGATAAGTTTTTTGATGTGCTGCTAGATCCAGTTTACTAGTATTTTATTGAGGATTTTTGCATCTATGTTCATCATGGATATTGGCCTGAAATTTTTTTGTTGTTGTTGTGTCTCTGCCAGGTTTTGGTAGCAGGATGATGCTGACCTCATAAAATTAGTTAGGGAGGAGTCCCTCTTTTTCTATTGTTTGGAATAGTTTCAGAAGGAATGGTACCAGCTCCTCTTTGTACCAATGGTAGAATTAGGCTGTGAATCTGTCTGGTCCTGGGCTTCTTTTGGTTGGTAGGCTATTAATTACTGCCTCGATTTCAGAACTTGTCATTGGTCTATTCAGGGAATCAGCTGCTTCTAGGTTTAGTCTTGGGAATGTTTATGTGTACAGGAATTTATCCCTTTCTTCTAGATTTTCTAGTTTATTTGTATAGAGGTGTTTATAGTATTCTCTTATGGTAGTTTATGTTTCTGTGGGATCAGTGGTGATATCCCGTTTATCATTTTTTATTGTGTCTATTTGATTCTTCTCTCTTTTCTTCTTCTTTAATCTGGCTAGTGGTCTATCTATCTTGTTAATCTTTTCAAAAAATCAGCTCCTGGATTCACTGATTTTTTGAAGGGTTTTTTTTTTTTTTTTGTCTCTATCTCCTTCAGTTCTGCTCTGATCCTATTCACTTCTTGTCTTCTGTCTTCTCCTGGCTTTTGAATTTGTTTGCTCTTGCTTCTCTAGTTCTTTTAATTGTAATGTTAGGGTGTCTATTTTAGATCTTTCCCAGTTTCTCCTGTGGGCATTTATTGCTATAAATTTCCCTCTAAACACTGCTTTAGCTATGTCCCAGAGATTCTGCTGCATTGTGTCTTTGTTCTCGTTGGTTTCAAAGAACTTATTTATTTCTGCCTTCATTTTGTTATTTACCCACTAGTCATTCAGGAGCAGGTTGTTCAGTTTCCATGTAGTTGTGCAGTTTTGAGTGAGTTTCTTAATCCTGAGTTCTTTGCACTGTGGTCTGAGAGACT
This sequence comes from Homo sapiens, assembly GCF_000001405.40. NCBI lineage: Eukaryota > Metazoa > Chordata > Mammalia > Primates > Hominidae > Homo > Homo sapiens. The sequence goes on from NC_000023.11 coordinate 139,176,777, forward strand.
GTTTGTTGTGATTTCCATTCTTTTGCATTTGCTGAGGAGTGTTTTACTTCCAATTATGTGATCGATTTTAGAATAAGTGCGATGTGTTGCTTTGAAGAATATATCTTCTGTTCATTTGGGGTGGAGAGTTCTGTAGATGTCTATTAGGTCTGCTTCGTCCAGAGCTGAGTTTGAGTCCTGAATATCCTTGTGAATTTTCTGTCTGATTGAGCTGTCTAATATTGACAGTGAGGTGTTAAAGTCTCCCAGTATTATTGTGTGGGAGTCTAAGTCTCTTTGTGGATCTCTAAGAATTTTCTTTATGAATCTGGGTGTTCCTGTATTGGGTGCATATATATTTAGGATAGTTAGCTCTTCTTGTTGTGTTGATCCCTTTACCATTATGTAATGCCCTTCTTTGTCTTTTTTGATCTTTGTTCGTTTAAACTCTGATTTATCAGAGACTAGGATTGCAACCCCTGCTTTTTTTTTTTTTTTTTTTGCTTTCTCTTTGCTTGATAAATATTCCTCCATCCCTTCACTTTGAGCCTCTGTGTGTCTTTGCACATGAGATGGGTCCCCTGAATACAGCACACTGATGGGTCTTGACTCTTTATCCAATTTGCCAGTCTGTGTCTTTTAATTGGGGCATTTAGCCCATTTACATTTAAGGTTAATATTGTTATGTGTGAATTTGATCCTGTCCTTATGATACTAACTGGTTATTCTGTCTGTTTGTTGATGCAGTTTCAGCACAGTGTTGATGGTCTTTACAATTTGGTATGTTTTTGCAGTGGCTGGTACCGGTTATTCCTTTCCATGTTTAGTGCTTCCTTCAGGAGCTCTTGTAAGGCAGGCCTGGTGCTGGCAGCAAGAATTTCAAGCCAGTGGATCTTAGCTTGCGGGGCTCCATGGGGGTGGGATCCGGGCAGCTAGACCACCTAGCTCCCTGGCTTCAGCCCTTTTCCAGGGGAGTGAACATTTCTCTCTCTCTTGCATTCCAGTTGCCACTGGGGTATGAAAAAGAACTCCTGCAGCTAGCTATGTGTTGGCCCAAACGGCCAGCCATTTTTGTGCTTCAAACCCAGGGCCCTGGTTGTTTAGGCACCCAAGGGAATCTCCTGGTCTGCGGGTTGCAAAGACCATGGGAAAAGCATAGTATCTGGTCCGGAATGCACTGTTCCTCACAGCACAGTCCCTCATGGGGAGGGACTTCCCCAGCTCCTTGTGCTTCCCAGGTGAGGTGACGTCCCACCCTGCTTCAGCTCGCCCTGCATGGGCTGCACACACACTCTAACCAGGCCCAATGAGATGAGCTGGGTACCTCAGTTGGAAATGCAGAAATCACCTGCCTTCTGCGTTGATCTCGCTGGGAGCTGCAGACTGGAGCTGTTCCTATTCGGCCATCTTGCCAGCCACCTCATTAGATAGTTCTGAAGAGCAAGCAATAAGATCAATGGAAATTACTTCTAGAAGCTATACTTGGCTATGCCAAAAAACCTTGAGCAGGTCCTTTACACTCTCCAGGACTGAGTTCATCAACTGTAGAAAGAATGGCCAGATGATCTCTGAGGTCACTGAGTGTAGGAAGATAGAAAATGGAAAGAAAGGATATGAATGATATCACTTGCACCATACTGCCAGAGGGAATTTGCAAACATCAGTATTTCTGTCCATTCAGGTCTAATAGCCTCAGAGAAAATGCTGCCAAGTATATGATTATTTCCATGCGAACACTACACCAATCCCATCACAAACTTAGAGCCAAAGCCCACACTCCACATCACCATGTCACATAAGGAATTTTTGCATTATTTCAGTTTGAAACTCTCCATGTAAACCTCAAGTGAGGGTAAGGCAGATTCAGATTGTGATTATGAGAGACAAGATATCTCAAGAGCCAGTTCTTCATCTAAGGTCTTTAAACAAACATCAAACAAGTTATGCGTAGAAAAACAATACACCATATGTTTCATGTGGTCTCAATCTGCATAATTTGGGAGTCAGGTCTATAATAATAATTTTGGTGTGAGGTTTGTAATCACAGTCAATTTCTTTTTTCCTCTCTGTCACAAACTGATTCCAGTTATCTTCCTACTTTATCTTTTGATTGCAGAAAAGAATAAGGGATTAAACTGGACATCAGTGTTCTATAATAGATCTTTTATATATTTCTTTTCTTATCTTAAAATTATTGACTCAGTGAAAGGAAAGAAGGAAAGAGAAAGAAAATCTACATAATGGACTCTTGCTTTTAAAAATACATTTATAAATTGCAAGCCGGCAAGATCAATAACTAACACATGAAGGTGATTCCATAACACAAGTGACTTTTTAACAATAGTTTCACCTTATAGAACATTTAACTCTATGGCCAATATTCCATGATACTGCCTATTACTTTTAATGGCAAAACCGCAATTAATTTTGCACCAACTTAATATCTCACAGTGGACTAGTAAAGCAACACACCCCAATGTGGTCCCTTCTTATTTTAGTACTTTGTTCACTCTCCCATTACATGTCTTCAAACTTTTCATAACTTCCCCTGAGTTGATGGCAATTTTCCCATTCGAAGAATCATTCTTTCATTTTCTTAGAAGATGCCTCTCTTTTCGCAAAAAATCAGTTTTCATTTTATTTCATTTTATTTCTGCTCCTACAGTATGAGTCAAATACTCTTGTGATTCCAGGACATTAAAAAAAAAAAACATGCAGAGGAATTGGATTCACTTCTCAGCTCAGCTACTTCTTAGCAGTATGAGCGTAGAGAAATTGCTTAACAGCTCTATGCCTTAGTTTATCAACTAAACTCATAATCTCACTTTCATAATCTCTTAGTTCATAATCTCACAAATTATGTGAGATGGGGAATATAACAGAAACAACCTCACAAGATTGCTATGAGGATTAAACCTGCCTCATATGAGAGAAGCACTTTGCAAATAGCAAATAGCTGATTGTATGTTTTAACACATGCATCTACCTGGAGTATGAGAGTATCTTGGACTGGTCTGACTCATTTCTGTATCCCCAGCATCCAATGCTGAGTAAGACCCAAAACAGACACTTAATAAATGTTTGTTGAAGGCATGAATGACTCGTCAGTCATTTAACTGTATGGTCAATAAAGGAAGGCACTCCTTGGGTGTCCCCATAGTATGCCAAAAGCAGGGACCATGTCCTGTGTATCTCTGTGTCCCTAGTATCCATCATAGTGTCTGGCCCAAGGTAGTCAGTTACATAAATTTCAACTGATGAATTAATGAATAATCCAGTGAGGATACACCATTACTAACACCTCAGGTTCACTTTTACTTTCATTCCCAGGTCCCCCTACCCTCCCACTTTGACTTTAATTTCCACTCACCTACTGCTTTTATCATAAAGCCTTCCTTGACATACCCCACCCTTGGCATGTCTCCTCTGAATGCCTCCCACACGCACAAAATAGACAGCTTAGCTTTATATTTTATACTCTTCCAAGCTGCTCACCACCACTGCAGATATAACATCTGAGATCATCAATTAGAATGCAAATTCTTTGGGGGCAAAGGCCATGCATCATCAATCTGTCAAATTTTCTACAATGACTGGCATCATACTGGGCACTAAGCTAAATGATGATCTTCTGGAACTTACATACCCTAAAGGTATTCCATGCACAAATTGCTCTGAGCTGGGTAGCTACTGTAAGAATTCTATCATCCAGAGTCCTCAAAAATTGAGTTTTCTGAAATATTACAAATTATTTTTTTCTTAGTTCTGTTTCTCTCTGTATGAAAAAAAACCCTCATTCTAACATATAACATATATTTCTTTTACTTTTCAAGTGGAGGCTCACAAACATGATTTGGCTACCTTATATGCCTCAGTAATTACAATTGGCTGTACACACAACTGAAGATGGAGATGATGATGTGCGCAATAGGGCTGCCTGATTTAACTGGTGACTGTGTGTGGTCACAGTCCCCGATCTAAACTGTACAGGTTGGCACACTGACCCCCTCCCCAAAGGACAACTGCACTATGGGTTGCTGACCTATATCCCTGCCTCCAAATACATCCAGAAAATAAAAGAACCCTACATCTGTGTTGCTCTCAGGTGCCATTCAGTTCAATAGTTATCTGCTGCACTATTCCTACGTGCCAGGTACTACATGAAAGAGAACAGTTCCACAGTTTACTGAAGGTTGAAACAAGCAGAAAAGATGACTGATAAACAAGTAACAAAATATGCCTCTTAACGGCATTTGGACAGATCACTGAAGTAGTATCAGAAAGACAAACCGATTCATTTGCTCATTCATCAACCATTTACCTAAAGCAGCTCTACAGAACCGAAACCTCACAGTTCCTGCCCTCATGTGACTCACAGTCTGGTGAGAAGCAGATGTGCAATAAAATCACTAGTCCTTTAATAGAGATGTTCAAATTGCAGTGAAGCACAGGAGTACTAGCAGTTAGGTGTGCCTGGGGGCATCTCAGAAGACCTCACAAAAGGGGTAACACAGGGCATGTTCTTGATCTCAGCCATGCTCTTGATCTCAGTCTAGCTGGAGTACTGAGTTATAGGGAACAGCTATGCCCAACACTGACCCCAACTAGCAAAGATGTACTGTCACTCTAGTTGCCTCTTCTCTTCACTTCTGCCATAGCAATCTCCAAAGCTCACCTTGGTTTTGATGACTACTTCATTCAGATGTTTAGCTCCCCACTGCAGAGAGTCCAGGCCTTTGGCCAAGTGGCAAATTGAGGGCGGTTGAGACTGACTCTAGTCTAGACCTGCAGGGAAGGAAATGAACACAAGGAAGGGCAACTCTGAAAGAGAAATCTGCCCAGCTATAGTCTGCCACTCCATGAGCATCAATGGCTTACTGCATACCATGACACTATGCTTGAATTACACTAGTCCCTGCCTTCAAGGAGCCCACAGCCTAGTGAGGGAGAGACCCATAAACAGATAATATAATGCAGTATGATAACAGCTATAATTCAGAAACTGACTGATATAATTCAGAAATAAAGTGCTGAGATAACAGTGGGAATTATCCACTGGGAGAAGGGTGGAGAAGGTGGAGAGGGTTGATGCTTGAACAGGGTCTTGAAGGGACTGGCGGGGCTTTTCCAGTTGGATGAGGTGGGGAAGAACCTTTGCAGCAGATATTGCTGGTTCTTTACTGAAAAAAATTCCTTCACCACCCTCTTCTCCCTCTCCAACACAACCCAGACTTTATGCAGACTATTGTTTTAGACAGAGACACTCTAGGCAGATAATCTTCATAATAAGAACTTAAGTAATAATAATAATAGCAAACACTTATATAGAGCTTACTCTGTGTCTGTCACTATTATATGTGTTGTATATATTAACTGATTTAATACACACAACAACCCAGTGAGGTAGGTACTACTCTTATCCCCATTTTACAGATGGGAAAACAAAGGCACAAGCTCTGCATGCTTAACCACTACACCATATTCTCTCTTTACTATGAGATGTTGAAGGTCCACACAGCAAAAGGGACTTTATAAGCAATCTTAGGTAGTACCCTGGATTAAATATGAAACAGTAAAGCTCAGGGAGAGCATTTCCTAAATAGTATAAATTGTCCTTCCTGAAAATTTTCCAAGCTTTGAACTTCAATAGGACCATCAGTCTTTTATGTTAAATAAATTGAAGTGTCATAAGGTGGCTTCTTCTGAAATTGCGTATTGTTCTAGTTCATATAGTATTAAACGTTCTGTAATATTTTCATCACTGAATGACAGCAAGGCAGGAGAACTGCAGGCTCTCCTGCTGATTCGGGCCTGTCACTTTCACAACACATTATCTTTTATCTGTCAATAGTAAATTGTTCACATATTCCCTCGGGATGGGGTGGGGAAGGTAGCAAAATAAAATAATCTGGGCCATGAAAACTTAGAAACCAAGTATGTAGTTTCAATTGTGAATAATGCTAATTTAGGAAAAATTCCTGATAAAAGGCCGTGTTTTTTGATAGCTGAACAATATTCTACCAGTAAAGGCCTTCTAGGGAAAAGCAAGTCCATTCATTAAAAAAGTACATTTACATGTATAATGCTAACCAAATGCTTTCACATATCATGTCTTTTTTATACTCCAACAAGCTTAGTGGGTGCTTAATGTTACTATTCTCACTGTAGCGTTTCACAAAACTGTGACCCATTGAGATTAAGAGGCTCACTCAAGGGCACCCAGTTCCTGTCTTCTTTCCACAAATACACACAGTTCCCTCCCTCCTCACCACCACATTCAAATATTTATATAACAGATGGGCACTTCACTGAAGACAAAGGGGAAGGGCAAATCTGCAGCCCCTTACTACAACAGCTAATTGTCCTGGCATGGATTCACTCCCCTGCTCTGTCTACTTGCACACCATTGGCTGGCAGGACACGCCAAAAACATGTCAAAAGTATCACATGTCCAAATTTTGTACAAGGGAGGCTGGAGCAATAATTTTTCACATTAGGTCTGTGACCTCCTCAATACAGAATCAACTCTGCCCTTCCAGACCTAGTGGGTCTTCACCACCTTATCCACCTAGAAGTGGCAAGAGTTACACAGAGCACTGTTCAGAGAGTGAAATGATTTGGATGTGTGTCCCCTACAAATCTCACGTTGAAACGCGACCTCCAGTGTTAGAGGAGGGCCTAGTGGGAGGTGTTTGGGTCATGTGGGCAGATGCCCCATGAATGCCTTGGTGCCATCCCCATGGTAATGAGTGAGTTCTCTCTCTGTGAGTTCACGTGAGATGTGAGTTCACGTGAGAAGGGCCTGGCACCTCCTCCCTCTCTCTTTTACTCCCTCTCATCATGTGATAAGGCAGCTTTCCCTTTGCCTTCCACCATAATTGTAAACTTCCCGAGGCCTTGCCAGCAGCAAATGCTGGTACTACACTTGTTGCACAGCCCACAGAACCATGAGCTAAATAAACCTCTTTTCTGTATAAATCTTCCAGTCTCAGGAATTCCTTTATAGCAATGCAAAATGACCAACACCAGGAAATAGGGAGAATATGGATCTACTAGTCCTAACAGTAATCCACAGCAAATACTGAACAACAACCACTCCTCTCCATGACTTTGACTCACATACTACTCAATGCAAGTGGCTCCACACTGTTCTTGCTTGCACTTTGCAGGTCCTCTGGAGAGGCTGATCTATCTAACTGATAATTTCTCCTACTTTCAGGAGTCAAATGGTCTAAAGTAGCTCAAGCAGAACCTATGTTCCTGAGAGGTGCTCATTCTTCCCAGACATCAGAACAGTTAATACTTTCTTTTGCATAAATGAAAATATGGTATGCTTGAATTTGCAAATCATCAAGTAGCTTCAACACCAAAGCAGGTATATCCATGGGTTCATACCAACTTAGTACATGTAAATGCTATCTGTATGCATATACAGAAATTTCAGAGAGTACAATTTAAAAAGCTGTTCATGAACTTTTAAGATTCAAATAACCAGAGACTACATTTGAAATTCTGCCTTGCAGAATTTACACAGGAATGCAGAAAGGGCTTTACCCTTGTTCAATAAAAAACACCTCTAACTGCCTGACTTGTGGGTAATACATTTTTATACTTGTGCACTTTTATTTTACCCAGGCAACATGCAAAAGTTGGTAACCCTCTTCCCCAAGACACCTGCATGGCTTTCTCTCAGAATTTTACTCAAATATCATCTTCTCAGTAAGTCCATACCTCATCATCATACTCAAAACTACAGCCATTTACCACCACCACTACCATACATACACATTCCCAGATTTATTTTCCTCCATAGCACTTGTCAGCAGATAACATATCTTTTTTACCTATATATATATTGCTTATTGTATGTCCCTACACACACACACATACACACATACACACACACACACGAATGTAAGCCCAGGAGGGCAAAGATCTTTGTTTTATTCATTGCTATATCACTTATACCTAGAACACTGCCTGGCACATAGTAGGTATTCAATAAATATTTGTTGAATTAATGTTAAATGAAAAATCTTTATTTTCAAAGTTGAAATAAAATTTTCCCATACAAGCCATGAGTGTTATTTCAGAATGAACAATCTTTTTCATTCCTTCTTTTGCTGATTCATTTCTGACTTAACATGGCTGTCTTCTTCTTTAGAGAAAACACTCAAATGCACATTCCAGGACACTTTATTGGGAGGACTCTCATTTTAGCCTCACATGTAAACGATTTAGTTCTAGTTCACATACAGATGAAACCAGACCTGGAAAGTACTTGTATTAAGTTTGTTTTGCACTGGAACAAAACTCATGAAATCAGACCCAACAATGCAGAATTCGTTTAGCTATCCATGGGAAAAGGGGGTGCTGAGTACATAGTAATACTTGCCAACCACACTCACAATAACTGCTTTCAAAAACAATAGGAAAATTTTAAAATATTTTTATTTCTTCATTATGGCAAATCATGAAATCCATAAAATTCTACTAGCTAGAAGTTCATGTTACTTTGTATACTTGAGCATAATAAGTGTCTCTTTTAACCCACTATATAATACTGGCTTTTGTTTCTATTGTTCAGAAAACACCTATACCCCATGCAATTATTGCAAATCTCTGTGCCTTTGAAATGTTGATCATATAATCTAACTTTTGTCAATAGCAGTTCCAATTCCTATACATTTCCCCTTTACTGCTAAGTGAGTTCTTGCCAGTTGTAGTTTTGGCTTTTACATTTGATGTTCTGAAACATGAGAAGACCATATTGCTACAAGACTATGCAGAGCAGGGAAGGTCCATAACAGCCGGAGTCCACCGTGCATGTCCACCAATGGGCCCCCACTGAAGCTGGTGTGGGGTAGAGTTAGGACCTAGATTCTCTGAAAAAGCTCTTCAGGGGCTTCTGTTCTCTGCCTTACACCACCTCCAATGACAAACATCAGGAAGTTCTTAGAGGAAAGGTCTATTATAAACACTAAATGATTATGCTTAAAAGCTATTATCTTGTTAATAATATCACCCCAAAACTAAAGTCAGGATCTGGCATTATCATAGACATTTTACAAATGGGAATACTGATATAAAGCACATAAGTGATTTTCTGTTGCACTAAATAAAGGCAAGATAACAGCAAAGTAAGGGGGAAAAATGTGAGTTCTTAAGGCCCAGTCCAGTACAGGGGACCATTATATCACACACAATCTATGGTTTGATTTCCACTTTAGATTATTCCCAGTAATAAGCTACAGATAAGAAAGACTAAATAGGCTAATCTGCACCTAACCAGGAAGTATACCTGCATAAGAATGTAGCTGCATAATGCCAGTTCATTTATTTGGGCAATATTTATAAATGGTCTGCTATGTACCTTAGAAGCAAAGGATATTAGGATCATTATGAATCACCACTGAAAATCAGGCTGCAATCACAGTGGGAAAATGTAAGAGATGAAAAAAAGAAGATGCAAAGAATAAGTGATACTGCTCAATCACACAGTTGTAAGTGCTAGAGATGGGACTGGATCCCAGAAACATAAGAGTCATCATTCATGACTCCTGTCTCCCGCTTAAGTAAATGAGATATCATTGTACCACTCATGTTATTATTTGCACAAAACCCAATCTACCCCAATTCCTGGATAGTGCTCTCAAATCTTTAGACATTGTCCATCTTCATTCTTACTCTACCAAGTCTCAGCCTGGACCCACCGCATCAGCTTTCTCACTGCCTTCCTAGCCAGACAGAGTTTTTAAAAATGTACATCAGATCACAGGGCTTCCCATCAGGAAACTCTCCAAAGGCTTTCCAATGCATTTGAAATGAAATCCAAACTCTTCATCCTCATACACAAAAGTACACCTCAATGCCTTTGTGTGCCAGCCCCTGCCTACCTATTCAGGTACACCTCATGCCTCTCTAGCCATAATGCATGTCATACAGTTATGCCCTTTTACATTTACATTTGCAATACCCTTCCCTCTCTCTCTCCCTTCCTTCCTGCCATTCTTCTCACTTCTTTGTCTTCAAATGAGCTGTTCTCTCTGCTTGAAATTCTCTTTGTCCTCCTCTTTGCCAGGCCAGGTCCTAATTCACTTTTCTGATCCCAGCCGATCTCTCTCCTCAGGGAGCATTCCCTGGTCCTTCAAGGCTGTGTTAGCTGCCCTCCTCTGAGCTTGCACAGTTTCCAGGGCATCTGCTATTACAGCACTGGTCACACTGTATTTGTCTCCATTGACTATTTGCTTGTCTGTCTTCCCCACTACACTGTGAGCCCTGCAAGGGCAGGGACACTCTGTAGCTTGGTCACATTTTTCCAACACCTACAATCAAGCTTGACAGAGAGCCAACACCCAATACGTGTTCCTTGAATGAATAAATGGTATGAATGGAACTATCCTGAAATTTCTGTGTGGCAACATCTGGGAAGTATCTGTGGCAGTACATTTACTTTCATGCAACTGCTGGAGACAAAGCAGAAAGTCAACATGAGTGATATAGTTGGAAGTCAGAAATGAGTTGTGTTCTGCCTGATTACACCCTACACTGCCAAGAATGGCATTATCTGTTAAATATCAATGTTCTTTTTGACTTAATAAAAATTCATGGCCTACTAATAATAGCCATAAAACTATGTACTTTCATATGAATAAAGTTGATTAAGCCACTTTCTGGAATAGTTGTGTCTTACTGCTAAATAATGCATATTCTGAATAGTTAAGAAGTTATCCCTCTTTCTTGTTACTAATAAAAAAATCATGGCTGCAGACACATATATGGATTTCTGATCATGGAGTCCACAATTAACAAAACCCTGAGGCCTCTAATCTTAGCAGAAAAAAAATAAGTCTTCTACTTAAAATCTAATGGGTTTCATTCATTTATAATGATAGTATCCTGAAGTTTTGTTCACAATCAGCATTTCATCAAGTGCATTAAGTTACCATTGAGCCTACTTGTTTTTCATGCATTTCTTCCTACCAGGGAACCTCCTTGTTAATGCACAGAAAAACTGCATTTTCAATATTTCTGCTTAAAAATTGGAATCAATGGGACTGTCCACTGAAATGAGAGTGGCATAATTCAGGATATGCCAGGACTATCCACGTAACTAAGGTGACTCACTACTCTAGGAATAATGTACTTCCTTCCGTTCTCTAAGTAAGCCATGTTCTTGCTCATCACCTAGCTTCTACATGTGCTGTCCCCACTTTCCAGGACACTCTTATTCCTCTTCATCAACTGACAAATTCTTACTCATCCTTCAGGTGTCAAGTTAACGATCGCACTTGCTACCACCACCCAACTATGTCAGCTCCCTCTCCTATGAGCTTCCTTAGTTCTCTGTGTTTCCCAGTCAAGGCACTGCTTCCTTTTTATTTCTCCCACTATCAGCTCTGTAAGAGCAAGAATAGAGACTCTTCCTCATTGGTGTTTCACCAGTGCCTGGGCCTGCCATAATGCTTGATGCTCTTTGAATGAATGGAGTCCAGATTCTTAAGCATGTGTCTCTAAAGTATTGTCTATCACCTGAAAATAAATATATCTGCAGGCTTTCTGCCCACCAATGGGAAATAATATATTAAGGATTGAGGGCGTTTATTACAAATGACAATCCCTTTGGGAGATTTCTATTTCTGGAACATTATAAAGAGGTTGGAGACAGTTCAGGAGAAGTTAGGGGGCATGAAAACAAAGCTTAGGAGCCAATACATGGAGTGGGAAATCTGTGCCCTGATACAGAAACAGCACTCACAGCACTAGCTGCACAACTCAAAGCCACACACAGCACTTCAGAGGTGGCAGGGAGGAGACAGAATTCACAGTGGAAATTCAGAGGGACTTACTCAAATCAAAACTAAAGTCAAGGCCTGGATATTTCCTCTATTTGATGCCAAGTATTCAACAAATGTTTCTCCCACTGCCCAAAAAGAGTTGAAAACAAAAAAAACTTGATTGCTTCATATTTAAAACTAATTTGTGCTCCTAAACATGAGCTATGTTTCAAATATAAAAGAAGCAGATAAAAACAAATAAAAATGTTGAATTATTCCAAGGCTAACTGTGAAGTTAAATTTTTCCAAATGACAGAGTGAGTCAAATTTCTCTTCAAACATTTATTGCATTTGCCTTATGAGCCAGGCTTTGTCCTAAGTACTATTCAGAAATTAATAACTTGGTCCCTGCACTCAACAAGTTTACAGTATAGTGGGGGACACATATAAACAGGAATGGAAATAAATGGTAAAGGGCAAAAATGCAAGGATGAAGGATCATAGAGGCTATCACAGAGGAAGTTCATTGTTTCCACACACACACACACACACACACACAAAATCACTATAAAAAAGTAACATAATAGACCCAAGAGGACCTAAAAAAGTCCTATTTACTCTACTCATGGTTCTCAAACTTGCAAGTCATTTGGATTGATGCCTCAATTCTCCAGTACCCTAAAAATTTGCATTCTTCCTTTATTTTATTCACCATGTTATTTTAATAATCTTAGACTAAAGACTGAGAAAATAAATTGAGTATTTTAAAACAATTTATCCCATCAATTGAAAAAAGATCTACACCCAAGTTCATAGCAGCATTATTCACAAGAGTCAGAAGATGAAAGCAACCCAAGTTTCCCTCCTTGGACGAATGGATAAGCCAAATGTGGTCTATATATACAATGTAATATTATTCAGCCTGAAAAAGGAAAGAAATTCCCACACACACTACAACATGGATGAGCCTCAAGGCTCATCTTTTCCTTATAAATTACCCAATCTCAGGGGTCTCTTTATAGCAATGCTAAATGAAATCAGTCAGTCACAAAATGACAAATAACTATAGTTCCACTTATACAAGGTAGCTAAAGTAGTCAAACCCATAGAGACAAAGTAGAATGGAGGTTGCAAGGGACTGGGGTAATGGGGAAATGGGGAATTGTTTAATGTGTACACGGTTTCACTTTTGTGAGATAACGTTCTGAAGACTGGTTGCACAAGCAGTCTTCAGATTATATACTTCAGTTAAATACTTAACACTACTGATCTGTACACATAAAAATGGTTAAGATGGTAAATTTTATGTTATGTGTATTTTACCACAATTAAAAGTAAAAATAAAATTTTCAAGAGGGATCATGTTATAATGTTACATGGTGTATTGTCCTGAAGCTCTACTCCAAGAAAACATGATTGGGGTACACAAAGGCCCCAAATGTGAGAAAATGCAATACTTCAGTTCTTTTAGTCATGAATAAATACATTGTGATGAGAGGGATGAACATAGTTTTAAAAGCTGTTCTTGCCTTTGTGGGGAAAACAATACAAGCAAACTTATTTAGGTCACAGCAGTCACTGTAAACATCCCAAGAAAAGCTTATTAATAACAGCCACCCACAAAGGACCTGGTTTCAACCAAAGAATGCCATGGAGTCAGTGAAAGGAAGGCTGGGGAAGAATTGTCCTGTATTTTAGAAATAAGAATGTTAGCATCTTTCTGTAGTTCAACTTGGATTTAGAAATCACAAATACGGCCAATTATTTTAAATAAGGAAATTGAACTAGACAGTGTCTGAAGGACCTTCTGGCTCTAAACCATAATAATTGGTTGCTTGCTTGATAAAAGAAAAAAAAAACAGAAAAATACCCTAAACATTTATGTCAATCCTTGATTCTGCTATCAGTAGAGTAACAGAGGCCACCTGCCTGAATCTGTTACTGTGTCAATGTGGAAATGTACTGGGCTAGGCCCCTGCCACTAACTTGTTCTATGACCTTGGGCAAGTCATTGCCTCTCTGTGGGCCTAATTCTTCTACTCTGTAGTGGGAAGGTTAGACCAAATGATGATGAAGGTCCCTTCCAGCCATTATAGCCTGTAATTAAGGATCTGTGGAGCATGGTGATTAAGGCTGCAGAACAATGTGAATATACTTAATACCATAGAACTGGATACCATAGAATTGACTATAAAATGGTCAGTTTTATGTTGTATATTTTGCCACAGTAAACATATTTAAAATAATTAAAATAAAAAAGATAATAATCCGAGAAGCAAGACAGCCACTCTGAGCAACAGTTTCTAATTAGAATAGCAGGAAACAAATGCCTCAACAAGAGGCCTCTAGGCTTGGTTTTGATTTCTTTCTTTTTAATCAAGTAGTCCTTCATGCCCAAAGAAACGTGCGAGTACACTAAAGATGATGCTATTAAAAGAAAAACTTTTCATAAAACAATAACTCTTTCAATATTGTAACTACCTCCACATTCGGCATTTGAGTTAGATTTGTATATATAGTTTTTATAAATTGAGTCTCCCCTATATACAATATGGTCAAGAGAGATGCACTCTGAACCAAATCTCACTCTCAGCAGAGCAACTACTCTCATTTCTTCCAGCCATGTAAAACAAGCAACTCAACTCTGGCTCAAAGGCAGGGAAATAAGTTTATTATCTTCTGCCAGGATTTTCAGATCCTGGGGAGATGCCTCTGCACTAAAAATCAATACAAGATTTTTCAAGGTATTCAGTTTTGTCACTTGTTTGGAGACAATGGCCTCAGAAAAGAAGATGAACTGCCTTACTTCTTTTTCCTCCCTTTTTCTGCATGCTGCCCTTTAAAGACATGCTCTTTGTGCCAGAAATTCAAAGGTTGCTTTTATGTCCAGTGGGGTGGAGGGAGGAAGCTCGGTGTGTTTTAAACGGTGAAATCTGTCAAAGTCCCAAAGGCTCTTGTGATACAAATCAGGTCATCCTATACAGCCTGAACCCCCAATTCCACAGAGGAAATAAAAACCATTTATAACTCAAAGTAACTAGCAGTAATAGGTCAATGCACTTGATTGGTCATGAACCAATTACAGAGACACTGCTTGGTGCCTCAAGGATGAGAAGGGGTGGGGGTGCACCTAGGCCCAGCCCAACACTCACACTCCTGCTTCCACCTCCCATCACCACCTGCTGCCAGATACAGGCAGAAAAATTATGTCCAAGGAAAAGCGGAATTACCTTGTCCACCCTGTGTCACCCTGCTCTAGACTGGCAGAGAAATGTCTTGGAAGTCCCACTCCCACCCCCTTATCCCACCAGTTTAAGATCCACTGAGGTTCAAGCTATCATAAGGGTCAAAATATTTGGACACTGACCTCTGCTATTCTAACAGCTGTGCTAGGATTGCCATCTCTGAATGGCATGCCCGAAGCTCCCTCCCAGCCCCGCCCTCTCTGCGAGAGCCGAGGCTTTGAAATTCTCCTGCTTCCCTACTTTCTCCTAAAGGGAGACCATCAAGGGAAACAATTGAGGCAGGACTGGCAATAAGATAGAAAAAAGCAGCAAAAAGAGAGAAAGAAGGCTTCCAAGCAGAACATTTATATGTGGAAGATGAATAGGGCCGAGAAGGTCTTTAAGGTTGCTTAATTCAACCCATGAGGACACTGAGAACTCAAAACATACAGTTGACAACAATGCTGGTCCTAGACATCAGGGCTCCACCTCATGTAATATTTTTGGAGTGGATGACTCCTTTGAGAATCTGTTCAAAGCAATGGAGCCTGCTCACCAGAAAAATTGACATTTATACATAATTTCTAGGGGAGTCCTGTGATTGTCTCTAGGACAATGTTTCCCCAACTAGCCTGATGATAAGAATCACCAGGACACCTGCTTACAAGTCAGATTACCATCTCTTTTCCTAAAATTCTAATTCAGTAGGTCAGCGGGAGGGTTTTTGTTTTGTTTTGTTTAGAAAAAACAAACAAACCCTACAGGTGATTCTTTAGGCAAGCTTGAGAAACACTGCCCAGAGGCAGTAGGTCCCTAAACCAGCTGTGCATTAGAACCACTTGAGGAGCTTAATAAAAAATGTGGCTTTCTAAGGCTCATGCCCAGATATACTGAATCAAATTCTCATGGTCGGGGGTATATGTGGTTAGACGTGATGCTGATGCCCAAGCTGGTCCAGGAACCACAGCTTCGGTGGTTCCTGAACCACAGATAAGCAACCCATGTATGACTCCATCCAGCTTGACTCATTAGTAATTTGGCTTGGCCAGAGCCTGATGGCTATGATGGGCACCAGATCACTCACTGCTTGACATACCACGAACATGAAACAGAGTGCTTCATGCACTGAAAGTCTGTTTCCCTAAGAAAACTTGCAAAATATGCTTGTATTATCCATGAAGGCAGGGATAGTTATCTGTTCCGCTCACTGCTGTATTCTCAGTGTCTAAGAAAGCAGATGGCACATAGAAGGTTCAATACATATTTATCGAGTAAATTAACAGATGAATTAATTTACACATGCATTAAAATAACTGAAATCACTTAAGTTGGGGTATGACTGTCCAATGCATGTGTGAATCTGTAGATTTATTTCTACCACCAAGAAACCCTCTATCAAGAGTCCTCTAACTTGAAAAATCAATATGAAAATCACTACTATTTCAGTAATATTATCAGTATCATCATTGACCAAATTCTACGTAGATAGCCCATTATGAAGTAGCAATTGTATCCTAAATTAAATTAGCAAAATTAAATCCAGCAGGATTATTGCTGTCAGTCTAAGGGCTTTTGGTATAGAGTTTCAAAGGTAAAGGAGCATTTACAGAAACCTACGATGGATGATAAGCATTGTCATTACGTAACACATTTAGTGAGCACTTGCTTTGTGAAAAGGATCCTTGAAGACATTCCAGTCTATTCAGAGAGATAAGACATAAGCAGATGAGAAGTTAACCATGAGATACACCCAAAGTAGCCCATGGAGATTGCCAGATGGGTGACATAGAAGCCCTGTACAGAAGTAAGCAGTCAGTGCCTGCTGGGAGGGCGGAAGAAAGGCTTCATGGAGGATGGAGATTTAGCTTGGACTTGAAGCATCATATAATATAAAAATAATAAGTAGGTCACGGTAGATCAAGGAATGAGGGAGCAGAAAACTCAGTTTGAAGACAATCAATAAGTAATATTTCATTAGTATTATTTTTATTATTATATCATTAATATAATTATGTATTTCCACTATAGATAAAAATAGAAAATATGACTAAACACTATAAATTTCTATAAGCCAACCACCCAGAGATTCCTTTTGGTGTATATTCTTTCAAGATTTATTCTTAGCATATTTGTTGTGTATCTATTTACATATGTGCATAGTTGTCTATGTGTGTTTAATTTGGTATTTACAGATTTATACACACATATACATAGCCCCATATGGGCACATATTCATATATGTACTTTTACAAAATACTAATCATGCTTGTGGTGTCCAGTGAGAAGGATCTCAAGGAGGTGCAGGAAAAATGTTCACACCCCAGGCACAAATCACCATCTCTCCTTGGTTACCCCTAAGTCCACACCTAGTATACACACTGAAAATGATGGTGCAAATTATTTAACGACATAAAATAACATTCTAAGACGTTGAGGGAAAAAAAGGAAGTTATCGTGTATGTGCCTGATCCCACATACACACTTAAAGATAATTAGCCATGTCTATGTATTATAATATGCAGAGAAAAAGGACTAGAAGCAAAGCCTCAAAAAGTTAACTTGGTAGTGGAACCTTGGGTGATATTTTCTTCTCTACGCTTTTATGATGTTCCAAATTGTCTCCGGTAAACATGCATTATTTTGTAATCTGAAAAAAATCAATGTAATAAAACATAAGCAATATAAAAACACACACATAAATTCAAATCTGCCTGTGAGCGTCCTGCTCAAGATGCATCTTCGGTTTTTGAGCAGCTAAAGTCAAATTAGCATTAACAAGAAGACAGAGAAAGCAAAGCTCTTGTGTTGGTCAAGCCCTGACTTCAAGGCTCTTGGCCTTCTATGCCTGCCTTTGAGGTGTCTAGTGGGTGGGTCAGGTGTACGGAAAGCAAGAAAGCCTTGATAGGTGTCGCTAAGGGAGGAGGGCGCGCCTCCCTGAGCCCCGCCCGGCCACCACCAGCGCTGCTCTGACCGCCACCATCTTAACGCTGCTTCCCCACAGGCTGCAACGTGCCCGCGGTCTAGACTGCGAGGCCGCGGGCTGCACCGGAGCGCGCAGTATCTTCCCCCGGACTGCGACCACCCGCACCGCCAGCCACGGAGCCCTGGCCCGGGCCCGCGGTTCCCTTTGCGACGCCTCCCCGTGAGTCGACTGGGCCGTGGGTATCGAGGACAAGCAAACAGAAACCCCCACTGCCCACCGCCGCTGCCGCCGCCAGGAAGGCGCTTTGTCATGCCCGGAGCCGGCGCCGGGCAGCTCTTTGCCAAGTTTCACCTTCGGTGACACAACTTTTCCGTGTTTCTTTTTTAGGCAGCTGCCACATCACGAGGCTAATGAGCACACTAAGGTTTGTAATAAACCTGCCTGCCAGATACACAGGAACTGAGGGAGGCTGGTTGACCAGACCTTTCAGCGCGATCGTCGGTTCCCAGCTAGCCGAAAAACAAATGTTCCCCGGAATGAGAGCATCTAGGAGCACCTTGTCCTGTTTCCAAGAGAATGGCTCACATTGTTCCCAGAGCTCCGAAAATCACTCACAAATTCAAGAGCTCTTGGAAGCCTTAATGTTCAATAAACCCCCCAAGGGGAGAGGCAAGCATACACACAGAGAATCAAAGGCAAAATAAGCAGGTCAATTCTCAATACTTTCAAAGTCACCATTGAAAGAAGTTTCTGAAAATATCTATGGGCATATTCAAGAAGTGCACTCAGCCTGTCTTCTTTAGGTTGTTTACTTCTACTTTTAAGAGCTAGATAAATATTTTAAGAACCCTAGCTATTTACTAACCCTCAACTCCAGAACAGTAACAAATGCTACCTACATTATTTGGAGCAAGTTTTGAGAACTGGGTTTCATGTTTGTTATTAAATTTACCTATAGCCATGCAATAGACCCATCACTGTTAATTATTACCATTGAGCAACAGTTCTACAATACAGATAAATACTACATGATTCCCAACTTCGAGAACTGTAATTAATATGCTTGTTCAAGGCGTTGTGTCTCTGTTAACAAGATATATTTTTGGAAATATTATCTAACTGAAGGCAGCATAAATAGTATACAAAATAAAGCTTGCACTTTTTTATTTTTCCATTTAAAATGAGTTACGTAAGTAGTGAAAAACCTCTTCTGTGGAGCTACGCTTTGTTGTGGGGGGTGGATTTCTTTCATCACGATTAATATAGCTATCAAAGGAAAAAATCCAGAAATGAAAATCTTTCAATGAGCTCAGCACACCCTGAGGAGCCCCATTCGGTTAATAAAAACCACTGACATTTGTTAACAAGAAAAGGAGGGAGGGAAAGAAGGAGAGTCGGAGGAAGAACGGGGTAGGGTTGAGAGACAAAGAGAAGGGAAATGAGACATATGATTCTGATGGGAGACAGACTGAAAGCATATACCATGTAATGAAAACTAAAATAAACAAGTGGAGTTTTTACTCAACAGTGAATTAAGAGGATGTATAATCTTGAAGACACAGGTGAAACAAGGTCTCAGATGCAGTTGCAAAAGAAAGTACCATTGTTTTTAAACCAATATGAAAGCCAAAGTCACCTGGCCAATGAAAGACACAGTCACCTGGCCAATGTCCTGTAGCAGTGGTTCAAGAGGATGGCCAAGTGAAGTGAGATGCACATCGGAAAGTTTAAAGTCAGAATGTCCCAGGCCAGAGAAGAAGGAAAGGGTACCCCGGCACAGCACCTGATAGAGAAAAGTCACTCAAAAAATGTTCAGATTTTGTTTAACTGAACAAAGACCACAGCCCTGGAGCAACCATGTATTTAGTATAGGCACACTCCTCCTAATTATGTCCAATTTGGTGAATGGAAGTAATTTCGTCTTTGTGCAAACCTGCATTAGAAAGACTCAGCTGTGCTGCCTAGGAAGGGAGTATGATATAGTGGTTAGTGGTTAGGAGGTAGATTTGGAGTCAATGAAATCTGGTCAAATCCTCACTTCACCATCTTGTTAGCTGAGTGACCTAAGGATGGCCTCGGTCTGTTTCTTCATCTGTCACATTGAAGACTAGTGTGGATATTCATTCTCCATACATTGAATGTCCATACATTGTTATGAAGATTTCATGAGATATTTCATGTCAACTCCCTGGCCTATAGTCAGTGCTCAGAAAATACTATTTTTAGGACACCAGTCAAAATTATTTCTGCCACGTATCTAGGTGTTGGAAAGTCAACCATTAACTATTGAATTCTTTGAGTGAAAGCTCTACCCCAGGCAATCTTTAGATAGAATGTAAATATCCCTAGGTATTTGTCAGATTAAGCCACCAGGAGGCTCTGAAAAAGTCTTTCTCTATCACAGTGCCTTCTGATATGACAACAAAACAGGAAGTGAGCAGGGCATAGGACCGATGAGTTTTCATAGGTGCATGGCATATGCATTCATCATTTATTGATTACTACAAGGCCAAGCACCGTGTTAGTAATTTGCAAACCACTAGTGGTGTGACTTCATATAAGCTACATGATCTCCATGAACTTCAATTTTCTCATCTCTAAAGTCTGTATGTACTAAGAGCTACTGTACTTCATTTGGCTGTCAGGATTAAATTAGATATATGTAAAAATAATGTTTGCCTAGTAAATAGTAACTGCTCAATAATTTAGAGGCTACTATTATAAAGACAGCAATGTTCATTATTGTTATTTGCTATTAAAGGATGAATGAAACATACCTCTGCTTAAAGGATTTCCCTATCTTTCCCAGGTCATTCAACAACTACTCCTAGAAGACTAACCATGTCTAAGATTCTATTGAATGCCCCAGTGTGGGGCACGGTGGGAGTCTTCCAAGAAACCAGAGGACAAGACAAGAAGGGTTATCAACAGGGGATGAAGAGTGTTGGATGGGGAGGTGGCTAGGTGTGTCAGAAACCAAAGAGTGCATACAGGAAAAACTAATAGATGATGATAGAAATAAAAATAGGAGGCCAGGTGCAGTGGCTCACGCCTGTAATCCCAGCACTTTGGGAGGCCGAGGCGGGTGGATCGTTTGAGGTCAGGAGTTCAAGACCAGCTTGGCCAACATGGTGAAACCCCATCTCTACTAAAAATACAAAAAATTGGCCGGGCGGTGGTGGCGTGTGCCTGTAATCCCAGCTACTAGGAAGGCTGGGGCAGGAGAATCACTTGAACCTGGGAGGCGGAGGTTGCAGTGAGCGGAGATTGTGCCACTGCACTCCAGTCTGGGTGACAGATTGAGACCCTACCTCAAAAAAAAAAAAAAAAAAAAAAAAAGAATAAAATAAGAGTTGTCTTTAGGTGAGGGGAATGACTAGAAAAGGGCATGAAAGAACTTTCTGGGGTGACAAGAATGTTCTGTATCTTGACTTTGGTGTTGATTTTACGGATGTAAATATTTCTCAAAAATCATTGAGATGCACACTTAAGATCTGTACATGTTACTACAGGTAAATTTCAATTACAAAAAAAGGAAATTGAGTTTTACTGTTTTTCTTTTCTAATTTGGCCTTTGACTGGCCTGCCTTTCACCAGAAGATTCTTTTCTTTCTTCCCAGCCCTACTTACAGGAACCACAAAATAAAGGACAGACATATACAACTAGGGATTCCTTTAGGCCAAAGAGTGATTGTCCAGACCAAATCTGATGTCTCTGCAGGCAGGCCAAGCAAGCAACTTAGCTCTGGACAGCCCTACTGTACTCCCTAGAATGTCAACCACAACCCTACACCAGCAGAAGCCTTTGCCTGTGGGGAAGGTCATTAGCCCGTGACACTAGTACTATTTCTATTTGAAAATCAATGCTAAAAGTAATTTCAAAGGGCAGAGGCAAGATCAGCCATGAGAACTGCTTTACAGTAATCACAATAAACAGTCATTGTAATTTAGACTTAATATTTATTACAACTCAGATCCCTTAATAGTCCTTCATATATCCATTGTGCCCTAAGAATCAAGAATTTATTTCTTTTCTAATAACCCCTCCCCCACCATTTTCAGAATTAATACTCTGGAAAACACTGCTTTAAAGGAAAAAAATGGCCATCCAATTCAAGGAGAAATCGGATCTAAGGCCTGGAGTGGTGGTCATAATGACTACTAAATATTATTTCACTTCTTTAGGAAATTAATGCATTTACCGGGAAACCCACACTCTTAGGAAATGTTTCATCAATATATGACATTCAAAAAAGTGATAAAATGCCATGTTAAAAAATGTCAGAAATAAGATTCAACTAAGTTTGTAGAGCTGGTATATTACAAATAGATAACCTACATTTCAAGTTGATGAAAACTAACTAAGATGACCCACATTACACAGGACAATGAGCCTGAAATCCACTCTTCAGCCTGTGCTGATATATCATGGTGATGATGTGTCTTCTTGATAGGGAAACATAAATCAGTGACTGCAGAAAATGAGTTATGCAGACATTTGTGTTCTGTACTAATTGCTAAAACTATATTATGTGCCTAGTCTTCACATTTCAAAGATAATGTTTAGCTGAGCAAGGTAATAGACATGTAGGATCCCCTTCATCTACTCTAATGCACATGGTTTTTCCCCCCTCCTTCAATTGCTTAATCTTGACAATTATTGTCCATTCTTTTCAAATTTCTCAACTCCAAAAATATAAGTCATACTGAAGCAGACACTAGAAAGCCTTTTTATTGGATATATTTGAAGAACTGCAACACATTCTGGTTGTTCTATGTTGATTGTAATTCCCAGAATAAGAAGTTGATTTGGACATAAAACAGCACAGCTGCAAAGAGACCTGGAACGCTGTTTCATATCCTTACTTACCGCCTTACAAATCAGCCCTCTGGCTTATCCAATTCTGATTCAAATTCTCTCCCTGATTCCAATTCTCTCCCCAGTCCTGACCCTGTCCTCAAAGCCACCCATAAAATCTCCCTGCTGTGGGCATAGACCTCAACTCCTTCCTTCGCCCCACAGCTCACCCTCTGCTTCTTACCCAGGCCCCAATTCAACATCCATTCCCACTCCAACCTCACCCACATCTCCAGACCTAGGACACATACTAAGCCCTTTAAATTATTTGAACTGTGCTGAAAAGAGGCTTAGAGGAAGCAGTACTAAGCTAGAGAAAAGATACAGTACCCCTAACCCATGCCTCAACTTGCTCCCCCTTCTAGCTTTAGCCTTTGTCAATAAAGAAGCTACACGCTGCTACAAATAATTATGAAGAGGATTTGGGTATAATGTGCACTCATTTTCTCCACCTATCCCCAAGAACAGACCAATATTTCTGATTAGAGATCTCCCTGGTCACACCTCCTTAGCAAGGCTATGATCACCTCCTTCAGCACAGAAAAGACCGTGTGGCTTATGACACTGTATGTAAAACCATGGGACCATGATGTCAGAGTGAAAAAAACAAGTCCCTACATGAGTAATAGACAGATGATCACTGTTACTTCTTAATAAGAGGTCACCAACCTCATAATTTCTTGTCGGTAAAATACCTCTAAACATCTGCTTTTGCCTGGCCCAAGTCTGAGAAAGACACTTGATGAAACCTATTATAGTAAACCACAATGATCAAGATGATCTTTTGGAAGGCATTCAGGACTCAAGCCTAGATATGCTGGCTGCATGACCACAGTGACCTGTCCTTCTTCAGTAGGATAGGATAGAAAGACTATTGGAAAGGGCCAGGAAGTGAACAAAAAACGAACTGTGGTGTAAATGCATGGGGCCACTACTACCCATTACAACAGCAGCTGTACAAGTGGCTGGCTTCTTGGGCTATGCATGGAATTGTCCTCCATTGTCCAGCAGCCAGCATGAGCCCAGCCTGACAACAGTGCTGTCTCACCAAGAGAACCCACAGCCCACAGAGCCTTGAAACTTGCCTGGATATGGTGGCTGTTAAGCTAAGCACAAAGGAAAGGGTTGTTGAAAAGAACACACCCAACTCCAAACATGTAGCCACAAACCTAAAGACAGTTTTGAAAGCGAGAATTAGCTAGCATTTTTACTTAATCCAAAAAAGATTTGGTTTTATCTATAGCAGCCTACAAGATTTCCGATGCCACAGGAAAACTGTTGCAACAAACCAGAAACAGCCTTAACTGAGTGCTTTTCCAACAGAAGACTGCTGAAAAGATCTTATGTGACAAGGTAGAGAAGAGTGAGTCAAAGCTAAGAGAATATCTGCTTGAACAAACAAATATTATGCTTTCTTCTTCCCTGAAATGGAAACAGATCCTCCGGTCCAAGAGCCGCGTGACTCAAACTATATACACATCTGCCAATTTTAAAGTTTATACAAAGCATAAATAAATACACAAAAGGCGACTGGCTGCACAAGAGGCCTTTTTAATAGTTTCAAACAGAATCAAGGTCCCCGCCCCCTTTCCAAACAGAACAGCCTATCTTGTCTGGCTACATTTTTGAAAAGGTTATGAAAAAGATCAGTGTCCATCACTGGTCTTAACCTCAGTGAGTTGAAGAAAATGTCATTTAAAAAGACAATCAGCAATTTATGTACTCTTAAGGCCATATTTCATTCAGCAGCACAAAATAATTTACTGGAAACCTACTACCTGTGCTTTAAAAGCTCTGGAAACACTGTACTCTATAATAATTGATGTAGTTATGATACACTGTGGGTATGAGCCCTAACTGATGGGGGTGGGAGGCTGAATTTAAATGAGCAGTAGACTCTGAAAACAGATTATGAAATTCATTCAAACTGTTACTAAATTATTTGATTTCATCCAATCATCTGTCACACCATTGTTCAAAATTAAATGTGTGTATATTCAAGGTATCTATGAAATGCTTGATCCTATATCTTGCTATGTTACAAAGAATATGCCAATTAGTTTTTCAGCTTAAAAAAATTAAAGATGACCTATATATAGGAAATTTGTAAGTAAGGAAAACTCTTCAGAAATATGGTCAACATATATAAACTCTATTGATTAAAAGATAAGTAGACCTTGTACCTTTCATCTCTAATATAAAAAGTAGTCTTTAAAATTTGGTCACATAAGACTTTTCATATACTTGAAAGAAGAAAATACTAATGGCTACTACACACTTAATATTTTGAAAATGCTCTAAATTCAACAACGAACAGAAAGGCTGAAATGGCAATCTTGCTCTTAGCAGCCAAAAGCTTCCCATCTTCTCGGGGAAGTAAACTCCCTTCTTAAAAGTTGCCTTGTAAAATTAATTTATTCTAATTACAGCCATAATTTCAAGTGCTAATTACTCAATTCCTACAGAGGTATGTGGTTTCAAATGTGGTGAGTCAACACAAGAAAATGTTATGACACATGCCTAGTACAAATTTGTATTATTGAATTACAGAAACCTGTCCTGTTTCCAGATGCGTTAATCCATTCTGGACAACTGCAAATTATAAACAGAACAGAAACTCATTTTCTGTGAATGAATTTGGTTTCAGGGTCTCCCAACGGTAGCCTGAAATAAACCTGAAGTAACCACCTGATGGAAATCAGGAACCAAAGTTCCAGAAACAAACGAGAAATACTCCCAGATTCAACAGGGGAATGACGTGCCTAGATCAATCTGGTGCTACATTCTTTAATTACATTTACTTCTCTGGGCCCTCAGTGGAAAACAAAACGATTTAATGACCCTGAAGTCATTTTCCTTTATCATATAAATGCCTGTTTGAGACTCAACAATTAGGGGAGCTCTGGAAACCTACAGCTGTCGTTCTACTTTCCAAAGTTACTCTTTCACTTGGGATTGAATGCTAGCCTTGAGCCAGACCGGGGGCAACAATGACCCGTATGACAACGGATCTAACCCCTCCACAAACTTCCGGAACCTTCAGTCACCCTTTCGCCTATTTGGGGGAGAAATGGCTCCACTTAGAAACAAGGATAAAGGCCTTGAGCTGAAGACTTTGACAACTTTCCGCGGGGGAGGGCTGGTGCTGCCCTA
This sequence comes from Homo sapiens, assembly GCF_000001405.40. Taxonomy (NCBI): domain Eukaryota; kingdom Metazoa; phylum Chordata; class Mammalia; order Primates; family Hominidae; genus Homo; species Homo sapiens. The sequence continues at coordinate 139,202,691 of NC_000023.11, forward strand.
GAATCTCCCGGGAAAGAAAGCTCTGAGAGATGGGGAGAGGCGAGAAGGAGGAGAGGAGAACAAGGAATAGAGAAAGGAGTGGGAGTGAAGGGGGCCTGAGGGCTCAGGAAGGAACTGGGGCCCCCATGAACAAAAGCTGGGACTCCCTGCGCTGCAACCTCACTTCTGCAGTGGGGACTCGGCGTGGGTCGCTGCGGTCCAGTGTGCTTGGGGCCCTCAGGGCTAGTCCAGCCCACTCCAGCGTCTGCTCCGTGGCCATTCGGACACTTGCACCTAAGGCACCTGCTGTTCCCCACTGCTCTTCCATATTCCCTCTCTGTGCCTCTCCGCACCCCGGTCTCCAAGGCTGCTGTCTCCAGTTTACATTCTGGAGCTAATCCCGGTCCTGAGAAAGGCAACGGCTAGAACCGGCAAAGGGTGGGGGGGCGTCCCCTGCCTTTGCCTTAGTTCTCCCCAGCCTGAGCACCGCTTTGCTGCGCCTCCCCAACCCGCCGATGGGAGGCCCTGGGCAGAGGCGCGCACTCCAGGGGGACCAGTGGTCGGGTGCCCCGGGCGCGGTGGCTGAACCCCAGCAAACAGAGGAAGAGGACTGCCCCCTCCCGCGGAGGCCCACTCACGCTGGGCACTAGTGACAAGGGGACATCAGCCTTTGTTCTCCTGGGGCTTGGCGAGGCTGCGCTGCCAAAGCGCAGCGCGGGCGGCGCCAGGGCACCAGGGTTGCTCACCTTTGCACGCGGCGTGTCGAAGGGTGCAAACTCCTGCCTTCCCGGAGGGTTGGGGTGGATAAGGAGTTTAGGATTAGGAGGTGTCGGGTGGCGGGGGGGGGGAAGGAGGTGGTGGGAAAGGAGGGGGGAGGGGTTCTGCGTCTCGACCAGGCTCTTTGTTTGCATTGGGGGCGGGGAGAGGGGGCTGAAGGTGGGTTCAAGCTTGGGTTCTGACAGCAGGGCAGATTCCTGAGTATGTCACCATGTTGCACGCGCGCAGCACACATATGCACACTCGCGCACACGCACACACATGCACTCATACAGACAGGCGGCCGGCTGTCAGCAGACAGCGCGGTTCCCGGCGCTCCAGGCTGCAGCAGCTTCGTCTGCCCGCAGCGCCACCACCGTGCGTCCAGAGGGGAAGTGGAGGAGGCTGGAGGCACTCGAGGGTCGACAATTCCGCGAGGAAGGAGGGAAAGTGGTGCAAACCTAGATCCACCCCCTAGCGACCTCTGCCCCCCCTTTTCTCCCGGGGTCGCAGAGGTCATGGGCAGCTTAGGCTCCGGGAAGGAGGCAAGGAGCCGCCGGAGGGCGGCGCGCACGCGAGGGGGCGAGGGAAACGAAGGAAAGGAAAGCAGGCGGACTCGGCGGGCGGGCTTACCCTTAGAAGCATCTTTCTCCTCTTTGGGCTTGGTCACCTTTCCACTCATAGATCCCAGCTTGCTTGACAAGGTTCGCTCAGAAGACGGAAGTCCTCGCCGAGCGGGTCGGACTTGGGAGAGTGCTTAGGGCGGCAAGTCTCGACCACGAGCTCCCCTCGGTGTGGTTCGGGGCGGAATCCGCTTTTCCCCACCGCTGCCGCCGCCGCCGCTGCCTACGAGAGAGTGGGGAGGAAAGGAAAGGGGTGAAGGAGGAGCCGCCGTCGCCGCCGCCGCCGCCGCGATCCCGAGCGGCCGGCCGCGGGAGGAGCCGCTCGCCGCGCTCAAGAAGTGAAGAGACAAAGCGGCGCGGCGCTTCCTCCGCGCCCCGCGCCCTCAGCTTCTGCCCGCCTGCGGAGAGCCACGCTCGCAACCCCCGGGGCGGCCGAGAGGAGCGGCCGGGACTCCCCGGCTTCACTGCCGGCCTCCCTGGGCTCCGCGCGGGCCGCTCGCTGGGAGTTGCCTGGGTGGGCTGCCCGCGCACTGGCAGGCTGCTTTCCCCCGCCTCTCCCAATCCGCTGCGGGCCGCCAACTCGATCAAAATAAAACCCCGAGGAAGGCTTTTTAAAAAATCAAAACAAAGATAAAAATATTCACTTAAAAATAACAAGCCTCCCTGAAAGGGAAATGTTTGAACATGTGATGAGCAACGTGTGAGCCTGTTACACCGCAGAGTCGCGCAGCTTCTCGCCCGCGGGGAATGGGGAGGAGAGGGTCGCCTCTTTTCTTTCTTTCTATTTAATCCATTTCCAGGTTCCTATTATTTTGCCAAAAAGGGGGCCGGAGTTGCTCGCCGGCGGAGGAGTGGGAGACGATGGCCCTTACCTGCTCTCTTTCTCTCTCTCCCTACACCCACACCCCCTCGGAGCTCGCCCGCTCCCTCGCTCGCGCTCTCCTTCCAAAGAACTCTCCGGTCCTAGAGAGCCACGAATCAACACCGCGGCGCATTCTATATAAACGGCAAGGTGTGGGCACGCGGAGGGTGGGGGCTGGCGAAGGCGGGGCCTCACAAAGCCGCCTGCCCGCTGTAGTAAAAGGAGAGCTCGGCAGGGGCGCGCCGACGTCAGCCGCCGGTTGGCAAAACCCCGGCGAGCCCCGCGTAGTGCGGGCGAGCGTGTCTGCTGGGCGTACCCTGGCCCCTCCGGGGCAGGGAGGGCCCGCGGGTGCCACTGTAGCGGGCTCCCACCGTTGGCCAAGGAGATGGAAGGCCGGCGCTCCCCCCACCCCGGCCCCTGTAACTCCTCTACTCCTAGCGCCTGCTTTCCCAGGCCCGTGCTGGTCGCCACCTACACTTTGGGGACTCCCCTGTTGGCAACTGCTCGCACCGAGCAGTGGAATCTCAGTCCGGGAGTCGACGACTTTTCGCTTCTGGCTAGCTGCTCAAGTTGAGACAGTCCGGCTCTCAGTGGGGAGAGAAGGGCTCTCTGGGATCTGGGTGTCAGTAGGTCAGAGAGTGAAACTGACCGCGGCGGCTGCCACCTCCCACCCCCACCCCCACACGCAGGCCCCTCCTCCTAGGGCTGGTCGCTCTTGTTGGTAAACTGGAAGCAAAGAGTGCCCACCGCCCAGGATGGCCAATCCCAGGCAAACGGGTGAGGTGGGACTGGGGGCGAGTGCTGAAGAGGAATAAGTAGGATTGAAACGTTGCCTGAGGAATACTTGTGACAAAACCCAGAGAAGGTCCCTGAAGATTAGAACTAGAAGGAAAACTGCTCAAGAATTGTTCTACAGAGGGCAGATGAGGAAGGAAAGAGAGAGAGAGAGAGAGAGAGAAAGAGAGAGAGAGAAAGAGAGAAAGAAAGAAAGAAAGGAAGAGAGAGAGAGAAAGAAAGAAAGAAAGAAAGAAAGAAAGAAAGAAAGAAAGAAAGAAAGAAAAGAGAGAAGGAGGGAGGGAGGGAAAGAAGAGAGAAAGAAAGAAAGAAAAAGAAAGAAAGAAAGAAAGAAAGAAAGAGAAATAAAGAAAAAGAAAGAGAAAGAAGGAAAAGAAAAAGGGAGAGAAAAGGAAGGAAGGGAGGGAGGGAAGGGAAGGGAAGGGAAGGGAAGGGAAGAAAATGAACGAACTAGGGAAGGAGGGTGAGATAGTAGTCAGGAAATAGCCCCTGGGGCGTCCTGGAAAACCTTTTCTGCGATGGCCTTTTTTTTGTGCATGCGAGTCCCTGGTAGCCTCGCGCTCTGTTGAGGGACTGGGGTGGTGACTAGCAGGACTTGGTCCTCAGAACAGTCCATTAATCAGACCTTAGGCTTCATCCTGGCCATGAAGGCGCGGTAGCGACTCCCATGCAGAAAATTCGTTTTCCCTCGTCCTACTCAGCTCCACCCCCTTCTTAATTCGGTTTTGTTAATGGCATTAAACCAGGCGAAGAAATCATATAGATGGATTAGTCTTACTGCATCCCAGGCGGTAACTCAATTACAAGAGCCTGCTGTGGCTTTCAAGACCAGGAGTGTGGGCTGCCCCTGCTCCCAGTCCAGGTCTAAAGGTCGGCAACCCTCTAAACTCAATTTGCAGCCTCCATCCTCAGTCTGAGAGGAACTCCAGGCCCATTTTTCTTGTAAATAATATCTAATAATCTGAGGCTTGATGACACGATGTGATTATCCAAGCCAATGTTAGACCATTAGTTCATATCAGTTGTCTGGGAAGGAAAACATTTCTCTTCAAATGATCGAATTCAAAAGGGTTGGAGGTTTAGATGGGTTTAGAGGAAAGGTCGAGGGGAAGGGGAGTCCTACCCCAAATCTCAGCATTATGCAGTATACCCATGTGATGAACCTGCACATGCACTTCCTGAATCTAAAATAAAAGTCAACATTTTTTAAATAATAACAATTTATACCCCAAAACAGTAAACATCAATTTAGCACCTAACCTGTGCCAAGCAGCATGCTAAATGCTTTTACATCATTATCTTATTCCATCTTCACAACAACCCCAAGGACGTGTTGGTTTTGTTATTTTCGTTTCACAAATGAGGAAAATGAAGCTCAGAGAGGTAAAGTAACTTGCCAGGAGGTCACACAGCTGGTACATGGTGCAGCATGGATCACAAAGATGGGCAGCAGGCTAGGATGCCAGGTGGGTCTGTCTCTAAAACCAGTGATCATCTGTTATACCACGTGGTCTCTCAAAACTCCTAGCAGCCTCTTAAAGAGAGGTGGGAGGCACATTTTCACTGGTCCTGTCTGCCAATTCTAAACTCCTAGGTCTTTTAAAACTTCCCTAGCTCAGCACATTCAATCAAAAGCATACACACACATACTCCTCCGTTGTGTACATACCATTTAATTTGTCCACATCCCTCCAGTAAGCAACAATACCTTATTTTGGGAAAAGGGTCAGTTTCTGTCTTGGAAGATATCAAGCATGGCATTGATGTGGACACTGGGTGTCTCAGCTTTCCTGCCACGTTAAGATTTCCAGGAAAGTTCTCTCCACAGATAAGACCCCTCTCTAAGCCCTATCAACAATGACACCTCTAGCAAGGGTAACTTCCAACTGGAAGCTAGATATCATTCTGTTCCTTAAAGGAGACTAATCTTCAATATATGACTAAACCTAGGTTAGTTAATATGATCAAGGTGAGTTGAGATGTCTGCTTTGGAAAATTAGTGGAGTCTGTCTGTCCATGAACACAAACAGGTAAAATACAGTGTTTTGCTTCACTGTAAACCACCTTGGAAAGGAAATATCAGAAGATAAAGGAAATACACACTTCATGCAAGAACAGTATGGTGGTTTGTGTCCATACAGAGACAAATCAATGACATCATAAGGACACTCATGTCAGAGACCAAGGATTATGAATAGTCAAGTGCAGGGACAAACATTCTTATCTAAACCAAGCTTCTGAAGATTCTGCTAAAGAGGTCACTGGCAGCTTGTTCTGTGAAAGGAATGGGGGACTTTCTCTCTTCAAAGCCCCATGACAAATTTAGTATGAAAAAAGTGTTGTTGCAATTGACTCAGAAAAAGGCATGGTCCAGTGTCCAGCCCCCAAGCTACTTGGTAATGCAGGATGGTCAGCTGGAAGATCTGACATCTGTGTGAGGATGGTCCGTAGGTCTTTTCCTGCCACCAAAGGGACTCAGTCTTCAAGCATCTCAAGGAAGACCTGGCTGAGCTTATAGTACTTCCCCTTTCCCACCCAGCCTTTCCCACACAGATCCATCTCCCTCATCCCACTGTAGTGGAAGTACGTTCAGTTTTCAGTGTAGCAATTTGCACTTAACTGGTCACTTCACCTCTCTGTGCCTTGTCACTTTGGTAAAATGTGTCCCATCCTGTCTCTGCTGCTCTTATGAGAGAAATTCCATTGACCCGGTAGAGTATGGGGTGCAGAGTTATTCTGTGTAGTAGAGTGAATTAGTCCTGGAATTAAAGCAATATTCTAAAACAAAATGTTGCATGGCCACGCCTCTAAATAGGGCTGGGCTGCTTTCTGGAATAAAGGACAGAGGCTTCACTACTTGGTAGTGAAGTGGAAAAGGTCCTAAGGAGGCTCACCCTCTTGGCCCTATTATCTCAGTGTCAGTTTCCTGCTAGTCTACAAATGCCTCAAGACACCAGACTCTGGATTCCAGGTTTGCTCATCCTACAGCAGCTCTGAGCAATGTTTCTGGGCAAGAGACCACATGGTTCCCTTGTCTGTGCTAACGGGTAAAGTTGGAGTGAGCAGGAGGGCAGAGGACACATACACTTAGGGCTTTTTTTTCTGGCAGTTTTGGACTACCTGGGTGTAGAGACATTGTCATCAGGCACCACCAAATTAGATGTTTTAGTGACAAGACTGCTTCTCACTGGATGAAACATGTTTTTCATTTGTGAAAACATTTCACAGCAGAAAGCTGGTTCAAAAGGAGGCAGCCTGGCAAAAGCTACACTTCCAGCCAGAGTGCTTGAGATAAAGAAAAGCCCACTGGGCCAAGATCTGGGAGTTGGAAGCCACTTTAATTTTTACGCTTAAGTCTCAACAATTTGAACGTTCAGATCCAAATGCCAGAGCTCTGAAAGGCATTCATTTCTGATTCAAACCCTGCAGTGTTTATCTATATCATGATTTAAGGTTCATTTCTATTGGAATCTCCAATGAGTTGGTGGATTTCTACAACAAAAGACCTGGAAAACATAATCTGCCGCTCCCCAACTCTTGGCCACTGTAGCAGTTTTAAAATGTGGCCATTGAAAGGTGGCCACTATGTCCTCCCTTCTTGATACTGACTGGGTTTGTAACTGCTTCAGCCCATACAGTATGGTAGAAGTGTTACTCTGTTACTTTTAGGCTAAGTGAGAAGAGGCCACGTAGCTTCTGCCTGGCACTCTTTGGAATGTTTGCTCCGGGAAAAGCCAGCTACCATGTATGAAGTTTGTCCACACTGAGGCTGCCATACTAGAGAGTTCACATTTAGGCTCACCAGTCAACCATGCTAGCTGAGCTCCCAGACGACAGCCAGCATTGCTGGCCGGCAAAGGGAGAGATCTGTCTTGGATGTCAAGTCCAATCATACCACGAGATAACTGCAGCCCCAGCTGACATGTGACTGCAGCTTTATGAGAGATCCCTCAGTGGAGAACTACTCAGTGGAGTCCTCCTCACATTCCTAACCCATAAAATTGTGAACAAAATTAAATGTCTTTAATTTCTAATTTGTTTTTAGCTACTAAATTTTAGGGTAATATGCTATGCAGCAATAGTTACTGGAGTCGTGACCAACAAGTTCTCCTAATCCTATATATATTTATATGCCTCTCCACCTTGCAGAGCTAATGTCTATTTCCCTCACCCTTGAATCCAGGCTGTCCTTGTGACTTGTAATGTGGCTAAAGTGATCCTATGCCAGCTTCAGTCCTCACCTTTAAGAAACTTGGCAGATGCAGTTCCCTCAAGGGGAAGCCAGACACCATGTAAGAAGTCAGACACCCTGAGACTCAAGTTGTAAGGAAGCCCGAGCTGGCCATATGAAGAGTCCATGTGAAAGGGAACTGAACAACTCAGCTGATGGCAAGAACCGAGGCTCCAGACATATCGCACCAATTAAGCCATCTCAGTCAGCTCCTAGCCATTCAAGCTGTGAGCCTCCAGATTTCATGGGAAACCAAAAAGCCATTCCTGCTCCACCCTGTCCCCATTTCCAACCCACAGACTTGTGAGCAAATTGGTGGTTGTTTTAGGCCACTCAGTTTGGGAGTGCTTTGTTACGCAGCAATGGATAACTGAAATGAGTAGTCCAGAAAGATTTTCAGATCAAGTCTTCTCTGTTCCCTATGTTTGTCTGTTACAAACCAGAATGGGTTTTAAAGTGAGAGAAAGTTACAAGACAGAGCGATGTCAATGATGCATCCCAAAACAGCTTAACACTAAGACCCTTCCAATCTACACGAAGCAGATGTGTGATTTTCTGCCTCCTGTAAAATTGACATTTGGGCCATTATAATGCGATGTTGGGATGCCTGTCAGGAATGAACATCTTTAAATGTTTGTCACTTTCTTCTCCAGTGAAGAAGGAAACAATGAGCTACAGCTTTTCCAAAGATTCCATCTCATTCCCAACCAATATCACCGGGCAGCCCTGGATCTTCACCCAGAATCCCTATCATTCCACAGCATTCAGAATCACCTGTGTCAAAGAGGAATGGGTAATCAAAGTTAGCCTTTTCCTCATAGCATGCTCCCAACATTCACTACATCTGAAACTGAGGACCTTGCCATTGTCTCTCCCAGGAAGTAACACACAAAAGACTTTGGCCTGGGTCAGTTTCCAGAAGATTTTCAGGTCTTGTTCTTGCCTTCATTCTAGCAGTCATACTGACAATGGTAAAATAAAACAGTTCGGGAGAGAAAATTTTATTTCACAAAAAAATTATTGGATATAGTAGTAAGTTGTTAGCCCTTCATATTTGCCTATATCTTGAATTCTCTCAACAAGATTGTAAATTCGTAGAAGAAAAGGACTGTGTGAAACTCCTCTAAGATTAACTTGTCCCATGCCCAACCTGTGGTATAACATAGTGCCTGGCACGTAAGAGGCACAATAAATATCCTCATCATTATAATGTTATTTGCTTAATATACTAGTATGTACTACATATTTATCCAGAATATGGCACTTTATACTGAAAGCAACCCTCTGAGTTAATGGTTATTATTATCTCCATTTTCCAGATGAGGAAACAAGCTCAGAGAGGTGAAGCAACATATCCAAGATTATACAGCTAGTAAGAGGTGCACCCAGGCAGGATTGAGATGCAGGTAGGTCCTTCTGCTTCCAAAGTCCCTGCTCTTTCCACAATATGACACTGAATATTTTGTTAATATTATGAAATAAAAAATACCTCTAAAATTTCTCTGAAGATAAAGTCAAACATTAGAGAAAGAGAAGAGATCTCAGGGCTTACTGGGCTCTCCTTTGTTTTCTGTCAGTGCCTTTGTTTTCTTTCTTTGTTTTCTGTCAATGCCTGACCCTTGCCCCTCCCCACATCCCGCTACCCCCCACCCCCACAGTGTGATAGACATAAAGGAGTGCTGTCCAGATTCTCCTCCCAAGAAAGGCTTGCTGCCCAGCTATGGGGAGTGCAGTCGCTAGGCAGCCTCCAGCTGTCAGCTCCCTCACGGTTTGTCTCTGCTGCGGAACTGCTTCACTTGAGGTCATTCCCTTCCTAGGTCAGCCCACATTCCATGAATGAGCAAAGCCTGGCCATTTTAGATCAACACAGGCACTCTGACAGACAATACTCACTCCAGAGCTCCCTGCCGGGTAGGCTAAGGCTTCGTTAGTCCTGCTTCACAGTTCAACTTCTCCCTCTGCCCAACTCAGCCTCCTCCCACTTCCTTTCACAGTTGTTGATCCCTAATGAAAACATCTTCCACCACAAACTCCATCTGCTTTCAGACATTCCCATCTGTGACACCTTCTCTCTCTGTTTCTCTCCAACCCTGTCTTATTGCCCACGATTTTGGTAAAGAAAGATTCTGGGAATCTTCCTCTTCCTCTGATAGTTTAAATGATCTTCACTGCATTGCCAGTCGTTTTGCTTCTGATCCTTTGTCTTCTTGGGTAGCTTCTTGGAGCCTTCTTTGGAGTGCTAGGGGTTGGGACATGTGAAGAGCCCTTATACACAGCTGGTACTGTATACAACTGTTACATTTTAGAGAAAGAGAAGTGACTCACAGATGGTCAAGAAATAACAAGCTGGGTTTCTCATGATGAGACACTTAGACCTATACTTTCCTTCACTTGAAACTGTAACCTACTTGGTATGATTTTACATGGTGTAGAATGGATGTGTCTGGCACATGGCTGAAGTGACTTTACCCATTACACTGTTGTCATAACTGTACCTGCCATACTGTAGCTAACTGTGGTCTTCTCTAAGGGACCTCCCTACTCATGTACTCTTCTCAGTATCCCACGTGTGGGATTCTTTATTCTTCCCCATTCTACTTCTCCCAGTGCAGTCTCTGCTGCTATTTCCCTTTCCATGTTCTCATCCCCTCTCCCACTATGAGGATCTTGCATGATTGTTTCTTATTACATTTTTTTCTGTATTTATTCCACTCTATTCTATAAGGCCTTTTCCCTCCCTACATCACCCAGCCTGCAAGGTAAGGAATCACTGTTGTCTGCTTTGGGGAGGCAACTCAGATCAATAATAGGAGCCTTACTGTTGCTTGGACAGCACAAGAGAATCTCCCTGGAGGGTCCCCACTTACTATAAAAGAAAAGAAACAACAGCATCATTTTCCTTTGTTTTAGGCATACACCAGAAGCATTGTCAAGGCAGCAAGACTAATGACCCAAAATAAATGAGGTAATTAATATATCGTGCTTTATATAAACTGTCATTTCGTCCTTGTACCTTTTCTCAGTATTACACAGTGTCAGCCTTGATTTACAAGTAATGAAAAGAGCTTGGAAAGGGTAATTACCAGCTCAGGTTCCCATATCTATGGAATAGCACTAGCAGTATTTGAACCCAGGTCTTTCTGTTGCAAAATCCAATACTTTTTGCATATCAGATGCTGACGTTGTCAAGAAGGCTGCGGTTGGCATGGGCCAGAGGATTCTGAAAGAATCCATGGATACTGAGTGATGCTCTGTCTTTTTTGGTAGTGAAGAGGACATTTCTGAGAACCACATCAAAGCACACCAATCAAGAAAGCTATGGCACTGTGACTAAGGACAGAGGAGTCCTCTCAGAGGCTTCCTTAGCCACACTCATAATCCTACACTGCTAGTCTTTGTTCTTTCTTCTGGGGTACTGTGCTGGATTGTCCGATGTCAACTCAGGGACCACTTCTGGTTAAGGCTGGGAAGTAGGTTTTCAGAAGCTCTTTCCTTATATGGTTCCAAGTTAGACTTTGCCACTGAGAGAAACTCACTCAAGGCTTGGAATGTGGGAGTGAAGCAGAAGTCATTGTTCTCAGGAGGCTGTGACAGTCAGATAGTGTGGCTTCACAGATCTCTCTATGACGTCCACTTCCGATTAGCCTTATGCAACTAGACCTGGTGACTTCTCAGAATTCCTGTGAGCTTTTGTTTCCTCACCTCCTCCAGTGTTTCAAGTTAAAGTCATTAGAGACATTTGTGTGATCCTCCAGCATGAATCTTCCAGACTTTCACTCTCTAGCTCCCACTTTTTATGAATCCAGTTTCTAAAATATATTAAATTCCTTATCATTGTTAACATTTTAGTGGCTCTATTTTCATGACTGTACCCAAACTGATGCAGGTACCCACCCTGAATTTCACCACTAGTTCTGTGTTATTATAAAGTGACGCCCTAGGAAGTAATGTAACTAAAATCCATTAAAAGGCCTTTTTTCTTCTTCTTTAGAAACCACAGAGGGCTCTGGGAAGATACCAACTAAGCATGTGTTGTTTCCCATTGTCAGCTCCAGGCTTCCTGCTTCTCCTCAACCTAATGGCTATTGAAGCCTAAGGAGAAGAACTGGATATGAGTAGGGTCCTAGACGTTGCAGAAGACTTAATAAAAATAAGTGTTATCAGGCTTTGCCCCTTGAGCAAAGCCTGGATCCAGCACTAGAAAGGCCCAGCACAAACAGACTAGGAGATTGGGAAAACAACATTATACTTGTGTTCCTGGTCTCCTAGACCTTCAAGAGGCCAAGAAGGAATGAACTAAAGGAACAGACAGGGTCAGTGTAGACCTGGGAAGACAGCAGCTTTCTCCAGGTACTAGTTTCTAGTATCCCACTACTCAATGGCTTACAACCCCTTGGGGAGCTCCCCTTCTAATATGAGCTGACCTCAATGTGCTGACAACAAAATGCTTTATAACCATTTCTGTGGGTTCAGCAATCACCAACCAGAGAGAGGTAAATTGAGCAATGTATACCTAAAAAAAATTAAACTGATGTGAGGAGAGACAAGTGACAACTTGAAAACCATCACTACCAATAACGATAACAAAATAGGAGCATATAAGGAGATACATGCACAGCATAAAAATAGACTTTCTAGAACTGCAAACAAAAATGTGATTTCCCAAATAAACAGTTCAGTAGATGCACTTAAGACGAAGAGGATTATTGCTGAGACCCAAAACAGTGGCCTGGAAGATAAAGTGGAAGAAGTATCACAAAGCACAAAGTCAAAAATATAAAGACAATGAAATGATGAAGAGAAACATAAGAACCTTTGAGGATAGATCCTGAAAAATAATAAGTCTCCTAGAAGGAGAAAAGAGAAGAAATATAGGAAAATCTGTGATTTTTTTTTTTGGTCAAAGATAATGGAAAATAGCTTTTCTGAGCATAACAATTATAAAATTTAAATGAATAATTTAAAATATGCAAAAAATAACTGTTTGGAGTATATACCCAAAGGAAAATGAATCAGTCTACCAAAAAGACACATGCTCTTGTATGTTCACTGCAGCTTTATTCACAATAGCAAAGACATGGAATCAACCTAAATGCCTATCAACAGCAGACTGGATACAGAAAATGGGGTACCTATACACTATGGAATATAATACCGCCATAAAAAATAATGAAGTCATGTTCTTTGCAGCAACATGGATGCAGCTGGAGGCCATTATCCTAAGTGAACTAATGCAGAAACATAAAACCAAATACCATAAGTTCTGACTTATAAGTGGGCGCTAAACATTAAATACATGTGGACACAAAGATGGGAACATGAGTTGGGAAGCTACCTGTCAGATAGTATGCTCACTACCTTGGTAGCAGAATCATTCTTACAACAAGCCTCAGTGAATGCAATTTACCCATGTAACAAACCTGCACATATACTCACTGAATCTAAAATAAAATAGAAAAGAAAAAGAGGAAATTACAAAATACACTCCTAGAACACCATTGATTCAAAAGTGAAATTATAAACTATGTAAACAGCAATTAAAAAGAACATTTTATTCCAAAACCTATGTGGCGCAAAGAATGTTGTACTCAGAAAAAAATTCCTTTTTTTTTTTTTTTTTTTTTTTTACTTTAAGTTATGGGATACATGTGGTGAACGTACAGGTTTGTCACATAGGTATACATGTGCCATGGTGGTTTGCTGCACCTATCAACCCGTCATCTAGGTTTTAAGCCCCACATGCATTAGGTATTTGTCCTAATGCTCTCCCTCCCCTTTCCCCACACCACCGACAGGCCCCGGTGTGTGATGTTCCCCTCTCTGTGTCCATGTGTTCTCATTGTTCAACTCCCACTTATGAGTGAGAAAAAATTCTATTCTTAAATGTTTTCAGTATTAATAAACAAAGGTGAGAAGGTAAATGAGCTTAAAATTCATCTTAAAATATTTGGAAAAGAACCACAAATAAAACTAAAAAGAACTAGGAAAGGCTTTGATAACATAAAAGCTGGAATTAATGAAATAGCCAAAAATTGTTCTTTGAGAAATAAAACAGATAATCATCTTGCAAGTCTAATTAAGAAAAAAATAATAAATATTTACAAGACTTGAAATGAAAAAACAGACATAACCACAGATGAGACAATTTTAAATAATTATATAAGAAAGTACATTAAACTCTGTAACAACACATTTGAAAACCTAGAGAAAAAGGATGATTTTTTAGAAAGCCAAATTAACCCCACAAGAATAAAAATTGAATAGGTCAATTATCAAATAAAAGAATTAAATCGTGAATAAACATCTACCACTGAAACAGTCATCATAGCAGAGAATCATTTGCTCCGATTCAACTTTTTTCTTTTAAAACAAGTAATTTTACTGTCATTTAAATTCTTATAGGCCATAAAAAATAAAGCCCCTTAATTCTTTTTTATAAAGCCAACCTAAATTTAATATCCAAACCTAGAAGGAAGACCACAAAAAAGAAATCTATAGACACTAATTCTTGGGTGTAAATGTTGACATTTTGAATAAAACATTAGCAAATACAATTCAGCAGTCTTTCTTTTTTTTTTTTTTGGAGACGGAGTCTCGCTCTGTCGCCCAGGCTGGAGTTCAGTGGCGCGATCTCGGCTCACTGCAAGCTCCACCTCCCAGGTTCACGCCATTCTCCTGCCTCAGCCTCCTGAGCGGCTGGGACCACAGGCGCCCGCCACTACGCCCGACTATTTCTTTTTTTTTATTTTTAGTAGAGACGGGGTTTCACCGTGTTAGCCAGGATGGTCTCGATCTCCTGACCTCGTGATCCGCCCGCCTCAGCCTCCCAAAGCGCTGGGACCACAGGCGTGAGCCACCGCACCCGGCCACAATCTTTCAATAAAGTATAATTATAACCAACTAGAGTGTGGTGGATTACAGTATTGGTTCCAGTTCTTCACTCCTCCCTGTGTCCAGGTATTTTTACATGGTGTACATTTCCCTGTCCCTTAACTTTGAAATCAGCCAAATGCCACTTCCCAGGCTAGGCCTTAAGAAACCTTGTGCATTTTCTCCTTCCCTCCTGTGTCTCTGCAGTCACCTCGAGACTAGCCTGGCTAGCCTACTTGCCTTGTCAGGAGGATAAGAGTTACTTAGGGCAGAGCTGCACTTGCCACTACAGCCTGAAGTAAAGCAGCTCCAACAGACCAACAGACCTACAGTGACAATCAGAGCCACTCAGCTCAACCCAAACTGGATCAGCCAGACCCCAGTTAACCTGAAGACACACAAGCAGTAACAAATGATTGTTGTTTTTAAAGCCACTGAGATTTTGGCTGGTTTGTTTCATAGATATTACTAACTGACATATAGAATTGAATTTGGAAATGCAAAGGAGGTTCAGTATCAGTAAATCTATCAACATAATTAATTACATCAATAACTTAAAGAGGAAAACCATATGAGTGATGATATCAAGAAAGGCTTAAAAGTCAATTAATAAAATTCAGCTACCTTCCTAATAAATTTCTAAGTTAAATAAGATTAAAATAAAACCTTTTAAAATAGTACAGTTTACCAAAAATGGATGTGAAATATAATCCCAAATGGCAAAGCACTGACCTGTTCAAATAAAATTCAGAACAAGACAAGAATGCCTCTTATCTTTGTTTATTATTCAACATTGCCTTGGATGGTCTAGTTAATAAAAAGACCAAAAAATAAATGAATACAAACATCAGAAATGCTATCTATTTCTTTGTCTGCTAATGGTATATTTGTATAGCTAGAAAACGAAACACTCTAGTAAAATCTATGAGACTTATTCAAAGAATGTGGTACCATAAAGGAATACAAGGTTACTATAAAACAAATAGTGTATCTCTATTCAGACAACAAACACCAAGAAATAGAAATGAGAAACGTTATATTCACAATAATGAAAATAACCTGTGTAATACACTGGACTGAATTTAACAAGAAAAGCATCAGACCAGTATGAAGAAAATTGCTCTACCTTATTGAAGGATGTAAAACGAAATCTGAAAATAAGGAATGAACGAATGAATAATAAAACTTTATATCATAAGACCTCAATTCTCCCAAAGTCAATATTATTTTTTAAATTCCAGTTGAAAATTGCCAGTGTGGTTTTTTAGGGGAAAAAAAGAGGGCATTTATACAATATAATCTTAATACTTATATAAAAGAATAAATACCCTAGAAAAGTAATGAAAAATAATAATAATGAGAGAGAAATATCTTAACCAGATACCAGAATATACTCTAAAGTCAATGTAATTAAATCAAAACATGGCAGTGGCATGGGAGTAATAGACAATTAGATCAAAGAAACAAAATAGATAATGCAAAATTGGAAAGCATATATAAGCATTTAATACATGACAAAGGTGATGTTTCATTTCAGTGGGGAAGAGATGGATTGTTAATGAACAGTGTGGATGCAGCTGGCTATTAACTTAAAATAAAGTTGGACCTCTATTTTATACCTAAAAGCAATATAGTTTCCAGATAAATACATATTTTAATGTAAAAACAGTAAAAGTCCTGCAAGAAAATCTAGGGAACAACATGCACAATCTAGAAATGGAGAGACCTTAAGATATTTGACTATATACAATTCTTCAAAATTTTGGCAGAAGACATAATAATTAAATCAACAGGTAAACAAGGAATTGGAAACATAGTCGCACCCAGAGAACAGATGAGGGGTTTATAGGACCTCTTAACAATTGACAAAGAAAAACAACCTATTCAAAAAACAGGCAAACAGTGGGAAGAACCACTTCATAGAGAAGCAAATTCAAATGGCCAATGATTTTTTTCAAAAGATACTCAGACTCATAAGTAAACAGAGAAACTTAAGTTAATGTAACAATGAGATGACTTATTTTTATCCATAAGACTTACAAAATTTAAAAAGAGCAGTAAGATAAACTGTTGGTGGGGTTGCAAGGGGGAAATTTGTACTCTCATAAATTACTAGTAGACTTGTAAATATGTTATATGCTTTTTAAAAAGCAATAAGTCAACATTTGATGAAATTAAAAACAATATGCATATACCCTTCAACCCAGCTATTTCATTCCTGGGAACCTGTTTCAGACTGAAAAAACCAACAGCATGTAAGGGTATATATATATATAAATGTGTTTATTGCTATGTTGCTTTTTAGTGGTAAAATATGAATTGGAAATAAAGTGAATGTCCACTAAAAGTGGAATGGTTGAATAAATTATTCTCCATCTATATCACAAAATGCTGTGCAGCCATTAAAAAGAATGAAATAGTGAGATTGCTGTTGACTTGTAGGTTTTATTGAATGGGAGTAATAGTAACGATGATAATAGCAAACATTCATATATGGTACTCTTTTAAGTGCTTTACATATTTTAACTAGTTGACTGCTCACAACAACTCTATGATATAGGTTCTATTATAATCCTCATTTTCTCGATGAGGAAACTGAAGCTCAGAGAATCTAAGGCCACATAACTAGTAAAAGACAAGAAGAGTAAGATACAAAAATGTGTGAGTAACATGACATAATTTCTGTAAAATAATCTATAGTAAAAGACAGGCATGGGCATATGTGTATATATATATATATATATATATATACACATGTTTTATATAATTATATGAGACTGGCAATATGGAAATATAATACTCAGCTGGTAGTATGGATTATTACATATATATTATATGTAAAGTATATTAAAAATAATTCAGGAGCCTCAGCATTTCAAAAACAATTTCAAAGAACTTGCAATTCCTGCTTCAGGTGAGACAAAGAAGGGAAGCCTGTCCCAAGGTAAGTCCATCCAGATCCTCATCACCAAATATCTCTTGCCCCTCCTCTGTACCCCTTGATACTGTGCTGATCCCTCCCTTATGGTGGGAGGGATCCGCATAGGGCAGAACTACTGTATTTAGAAGTGCCAGGTGCTTCCCATCCTATCTAAGCCAAGAGACTCCCTGGAATCCAGTCATCACTGTGCTCTGAGACTGCCCAACTGCAGAAGGCTTCTGAGATCCTACTCTTGTGCATAAATCTCAGATCTGGGACATGCAGACAGGGAAAAGACCTGCCTCATGTACACATCTCCTTGGGAAAATAAAGTCTCATCTTGGGACAGGTTCTATCCTCCCTCCCATCTACAGCAAAGAGATTTAAACTTTACCACCCCCATTGACACAGACCAGATTCATGCCTAAGTTTACAGCGACAAATAAGCAGAGATCTCCTATCTCAAAGAGTTTAAGTTCTTGAAGGAAAGATATGCCTTTGATATCCAATAAATATGTGTTGAGTGAGGAAAATGATGACATACATGAATAAATCAAATACAAGGTAAAGAGCGAAGTGTTAAATCATAGAGCTACAAACAAAATACTATAAGAGTTGTAGTAGGGAAGGGCAAACATTTCCAGAAATGGTTTTGTAAAGAGATGGCATTTGAGCTAAATGCAGTGTTTCTGAATGCGTGGTCAGCATCAGATTCTCTGAGGTTCTTAAGAGCTCCAGATCTACTGAATCAGAAACCCCAGAAGTGAAACCCAGGAGTTGGCATTTTAAAGAAGCCTTCCACATCAATCTTATGCACCCTATAGTATAGACCATGAGAAATGGGGTAGATTTGGGTGTGCAGAGAAGTGGGGAAGGACACGTAGTCAAGGGCAATAGCATGAGTAAAGTTTCCAGGCATAAAAGCAAAATAGAAGACAGTGGCCAGTTCAATTCGACCATGAGTGTTGGAAGTGGTGAAGAGGAACAATGAGGAATAAGATTTGAAAGATAGGTTAGGGCTAGATCATGGAGGGCTTGGGGGATGCTGAGTTAAAGAATTTGAACTTTATCCCAAAGGGAAAAAAAATTAAGAGATATGAGACAAAACAAAAATATGACAGCCTAGACTTTCACAGTGCTTCCCAAACTTAGCCATGCCTCAGAATGATTCCTGCTAAGTCTAGCTTCTGGGGCTCCACCCCAGACTTTCTGAATCAGAATTTCCAGGGATGTGGATCAGAAATGACATCTTTAAACAACCTTGTTAGGTGATTCCTGGATAGCCAGCCTGGCATTGGTTCATAAAATGGAGTTTGGGAACCACTCCTTTACTGACAAATGCATTCCTAAAAAGTTGTTTGTATGTAGAAATTTTATTAGTGGAGTCACTATGCAAAGTACTAAGCAAGTAGACTATTCAGAGGCAACCTCCTGCAAATCTCTTTGTTCAGCAGAAGAAAAAGAAGTCACTTTCTTTGGAGTGTTTCTATTAAATAAACACCCAATTTAAATGTAAAACCCCTGACAACTTTCCATAACATGTGACAAAACAATTTAATGCCGGTATTAGTGATGATATATGGTTGTACAAATAGAACATGGGAAAAATAATTCAAAATATTTAAGTTTCCTCTAGATTTATAGCAAAATGAATGACCGTAAGGTAATATTGGAAAAGAGATAGTGCTAGTAGGATGTGATGCTGATAGAGCATGGCTTCAGGATGGACATATCTACCAGGTAGCCCTTTTGAGGTTGCAGGGGAAATTGAGGCACCAATATAGGTAGAAACCAGATGGTCACTCATCTCAACTCAAGCTCCAATAAGGATTAGACTATATGACTTCCAAGATTTCTTCTAGCTTTAAGATTTTAAGTTTGTGTTATTTGCACACCATCTACCTTGAAGATGGGCAAAAGGAAAAAAGTGGGCAGGGGAAACGAAGTTCAAGGATCAGTCTAATTCATCTTTCTAAAAAATGCACAGACACAGATGATTCTGAGGCTGAAGGTTTGTTTCCTAAAGCCATGTGATATTTTAAGATTGTCATTTTCCTTTAAGTAAAGTATATCTGTTACTAAAGTGTCTCTTCATTTTCATGAAAACACCTCAGTTTGGCTAGTTGGAATGTTGGCATAGTAATTTGTTAGCAAATGCTCAAAAGTCAACTTTGAGCAAGAAATTGCTAGTGTTTAACCTTCCAACAGCCAAGCTTGCTTCTTTTCCTCTCAGAGGGTGTCTAACCTCACCCCCAGAAGTTTCTAGCTCCCCTTCAATTCCAACTCCTTCCCTAATGCCCACTGCTATAAACAGGCCAGAAATCAGAGATGAGTTCTGACAGCAATATTTCAGGAAGGAAATGGAATCCAAGCAAGTCTTTTGTGTACCTGGGTCGGAGTCTCTCTTTCACAAGGTCTGTCTGAACTATAGGAATTCCTGCCCTGTGCAGCTCTATATTACTCTCCACTACTGCACAGCAGACAAGGAAAACACAGATAACCAGTGCTCTGATCCAAATTCACATTCACACAGTAATGAGTCAGGAAGGACAAGGCACCTAGAATAGAGCAGCTCCAGGTAGAGTAGTTGATAAAGGGTTAAATTTAACATTGAGGTGCTTTCTTTTTAGCTAATTCCTTAGCTTTTGGGTGAGAGGGTACAAGGAAAGGAATTAATTCCCAAACATTACTGTGCCTTGATCAGTGTGTTGGGAGCATGGAGTTGTATTTTTATTTGTAGGCCATGTCCTGCCCAGACATTTGTCTCCCCACCCTAGGCCAAGGAAACCTGGGCCTGGGTTACCTAAGAGGATACCAATTCCCGTAGCATTTTCCCAATGAGTTTGGTTTCACCTACCTTAGAAGTGGAGACGCAATGGGCCTGGTGGTGAGAAACAAGCAAGATCCCACCATGGACCAAAATCTTAAAGGGCCCTGTTGTTATTAGCGCCCACGGTCACTTGCTCCCAGGCCAGGGGTAGGAAGCTTCTTGGTCATGTCGTCACTGTGAGTTTCTGCGGTTTGCAATAGTCTGCATCTGAGCCAAAGCACCCCCAACACCCTAATCCCCTCCTGGCTTCAAGGGCTCCAGGCTGGAAAAGCAAATAGTCCAGAGTGATTGCAGGGGCCAGTGGACCCTATGCAGTTCATATCAGACTGTTCTGAGGAGTGGTAAGTCACAGGGTCTATATTGCAGCTATTTTTAGTGAAACTGAATTCCTTCCCCAAGTTCTCTTGCTTCCAACTTGTTCTAAGTGTAGGAGACCAGCTGTGGTCAGATCATCTTACTGGACCAAGGCTCTGTCAAGGCGAAGGGACCAAACCAGGGAGGTGGAGCAAAGAGCTCACGGCTGTTGGTGCTTTGGCCCTTTCTCACTGTCTCAGACATCTCCAGAGCGGTAGGATCCTTTGGAAAGGAAAATGTCACTACCCAGGGGAGTGGGCATTCCCCTCCAATCTGGCAGAAACTTGATAGGTAGATGACATGAGAGGGAAATATCGAGAAATTGGCAAATCTTTCTGTTTTTTCCCCTCAATTTGTAAACACACACACACACACACACACACACACACACACGTCAGATTCTACAGGCCAAACCCAGGTCTTGGACAGACTTGCCAGAAGGGTCTAGAAAAGAATGTCATCATCCATGAGCCAGGCCAGAGGTGAAAGTATGAGGAGCACTGGTGCCTAGTCACTTTCCAGCTGTCATTTATTGTTCTAAGAGGGAGTTTTAATGGGGAAAAAAATTCCAGGAAGATTTATTTTGGCTTTGAACTTTGGCAAGAAGTGTTAATTCATAAGAGGCAGTTCTCTGGGCTCCTGAGGGTGCTAATTTCTTTCCCTGGCTTCATCTAGGTAAGTATTGTACCAGCTGTGGGCTATGACCCATTAGACAGTAATGAAATCTATCTAGTGGGGCATAATCAGCATTAAAAAATGAAAAGAAATAAAATGTATAAAATAATTTTTAAAAGTTTCACAGAAAATACTCACTGTTAGTATGTGCAATGGAGTGTATTCCACATAGTATGTTCTGTAAAACTTTTGTTTCTTCTATGTACATGTGTACTCAATCGCTGCATAAAATGTATTTTTTTACTCTTGGTCACCATAAAATTCTACTTTTTTGGAAAACACTGATTTCGATGATTTGGTAGAGAAGCGCATGAAGATAAATCATTTAGCACTCCCAATTTTATGAATACTACTACTGTTACTATAATCACTATTTTAGGGGTGTTCATTATATGTCAAGCATTATTCTAAGGGTTTCATTTTCATCATTTTCTTTAGTTGTTATCACAACCTTCTGTGATAAATTTATCTCAGTTTCACAGAAGCAACAGCAGAGGCTCAATATCAAGTTCAAGACCTATCAAGAGGAAGTGCTGGGGTATAAAGGTAGGTCTGTCTGTCTCCAAAGTTTGTGTTCTTAAAAATTCTAGACCACTTCTCTCCTTAATTGGCCAATACAGAGTTAATTCCGTTTGTTAAACAGATTTGAAAACCTTGGCTGTGCTGGTAGCTTTGTATAAAATCAAATGAAAATGTTTAGTAAAATAATTTCAGATCCCTAGAAACTTCTAGTAACCTCTTATTTAAAAAGATGGTTTAATTTTGAATTACTTACCTATTTTACTCAGAACCTCACACCCCAAACTGAGCCTCAAGATTCTCTAATGGACATCTGAAAGATCAGAGGAAGGAATATGATTTTAAGGTATTCTATTTTCATGGCCTTACCCCTCTAGTTACTTCCATTCTATTCCACACAGAAATCTTGTCCCAGGGCGCATTTGGTTTTTGTCTTTTTATAGTTTGAGCTAAATCAGTTCAACCACTTTTTGAGTTGATGAGGAAAAAAATCATAGTTATTCCACTTCCAAAATAAGCTTCTCTTTTTGGGTACACAGAAAGCTCAGAAAAGGCTGAAACTTTCAAACTTCCCACTTCACATATGGGGACTACTAGGTCCTCATTACTTTCAAATTTACTTTAAAAATTCCTAGTGATTTGCTCATTTTGCAAACTCCTATGTTCTGTTGTCATTTTTGTAATTTCATGGCACATACTCTGCGTGCATGCCCAATATGTTATAGACCAGAGGTACTGGTTTCCATGAACTGGTTTCATGTGGAAAGTGTGTTTGTGGGGAGAGGGAGAAAGGTTAAGTAAGAGGAAAATATTGAATACAGCCTCCTGCAGAGCCCCTGTGGGAGTGCAGGTTAGATGAACGATGCCCCAAAGGGAAGTGTTTCCTGGCTGCTTGTGTGGATCAGAGCTACACCACATGGCTACTGGCTTCAGAACGGTATTTTCTCCAAACCAGGGAAAGCTGAAACCTGACCTAACTGGTGATTAGCTTCTCTGTAGTAGATCCTGGCCTCTCATCAGAGCTTCTCTGATCTTCTTTGTTTGGAATGAAAACTAATTGACTCGTAAACACATGCGGAATTTCCAGGCAAGAAGTTCTCCATTGTTACCAGTGACATGGCCAGACGCTGGGGTCACAGGTGCTGTCAGGAATCCAGCCCAAATCTCAGCTCCCCACCATGCAGGCCCTGCAGCTTCCTGGCTGGGCTTGGCTCTTAGGGGCAGACATTAACCCCCACCTGTAGCCACATCCTTCCGATGCTTTTCAAAACAGGAACAGTTGTCTCAGTCCTCGCATTCTCCTGGCTATTCTATTTTTGCCGGGATGGAATAGGATATTGCAGGGCTTCTCCGGCCAGAGCTGGGCAGACTTGTCTAAAGGGAGCCCAGTACTCCCTGCCCCAGGGTTCCCCACCCCAGGGCATGCTCCTGGCTGTATCTGTTCCAGTCACCACATTCATGGAAGCAGTGTGGAAAGGGGCTCTACTTAGCAACCTCACCACTCTGCTGAAAGCTTCGATGAACAAAAGGACATTTAATAATAGAATTCCTCCTCTAGTATTTATAGCACCAATTGCTCAAAGCTGTTTTCGGTTTTATTTTTTAAATTCAAGCCTTTGTCACAACCTCCCCAGGAACTGCAGCAGAAGCCAGGTATTAGCAGCTCCACTTCGCAGACCAGGAGACTGAGGGATCAATGGAGAGAGACTCTTCCAAGTATGGACAACATGCAGAGACAGCTGAGAGCTGTCTATGTCTGAAAGCACACAGCCCGTTCAAACACTGTGCCAGGATGATGAGGCGGTGGTCCTTAACTCACTGACTCACTAACTTGATCATCCATTCACCTAACATTAAGTTCTGATTATTTCCTAGCCACTGCACTAGGCACCAGGGATGCAGAGATGAATATGTTATGCTCTCCTGTTTCTTCAACAAATAAATTTCAAGGAAACAAAAGGAGGGCAAACTTAATGATTGAAAGAGATTTGAAATATACATGAACCAAATGTAATGTGTGGACCTTGTTTGGATCCTGAATCAAACATACCAAATTCAAGAACACATTTATGAAACAAGAGGGAGTGGATATTTAGTCGTTAAGGAATTGTTCTTAATTTTTTAGATGTGATATAGTTACTGTGTTGAAATTACCTTACCATTTAGGGTTATATACCATAGCATTTATAGATGAAATGACATGATGGTTGAACTTAAAGGGAATGGGTAGGGATATAGAATAACCAAGAATGCCCTTGAGTTGATGATTGTTGCAGCTGAATAATGGGTATAGGGTAGTTAATTGTACATTTCTCTTTAGTTTTGTGTGTGCTTGAAAATTTCCACAATAGATGCATATTTTTAAAATAGAAGTCACGGTATGGTAGCTGCCTTCAAGGAATTCCCAGAGTCTACATTCCCCGGAGACCCTTACTGACAGCCATTTTTGATGAGCCCACCCTCTCCTGAGTTAGAGAGGTCAACATCAAGTAATGTGAGGCCCCAGCATAGAGCCACAAGTTCAGAAACAAGTTAGCTGGAGCACTGCAAGGCAGGACAGGAGTAACTCTGACTGATGTGGGTCTTGATGTCATTTCTCTCCCCATCAAAGACTCACCAGGTGATGTTTGAACTGGAAGGGTCCTAAGGTCCTCAGATAGGGAAACAGGCTGAGAGGCTGGAAGTGCTTTCCCAAAGCTACACAGCAAACAGTGATAAAATTAACAGTCTAAAACTGGGGCCTTTGACTTCCACAGCACGACCCTATTTTTCAAACATGTATAATATGCCCCCTACATGCCAGCAATCATGCTGGTACTATCATATAGTAATTTCATCATTAGATCCTCAAATACAGAGAAATCCATATTTATTCCTTTCGGCTGCACTTAGTCCAGTATCCCCCACACAGTAAACACTTGACTGGAGTTGGATTTAATTAGGGTTGGGTCCTGAAGAACAATTTTTGATTGTCATTAGGATGGTAGGCTTTAATCCAATACGACGGCTCTCTTTTTAAAAAGGGGAAATTTGGACACAGAAACAGAATTATATATAGGGAAGACAATGTGAAGAGAGATAAGGAGAAGACAGCCATCTACAAGCCAAGGAGAGAGGCCTGGGACATATCCTTCCCTCATAGCCCCCCTGAAGAAACCAACCTTGCTGACACCATGATCTTGAACTTTTAGCCTCCAGGTCTGTGACACAAAACATTTCTGCTGTTAAAACCACTCAGTCTGTGGTACTTTGTTATTGCAGACCTAGAAAACTAATACAGCATATATGAGTAGGCAGCTAAGTGGAGGAGGAGGAGGAGGCTGAAGGAGGATTGATGAAGAAATTCATTCCACAGATGCGTATTGTGCCCCTTTGATGTGGCAGGCACTGTGCAAGGTACCATGGCAGCTATAAAGATAGCCTTTTGCTCCCAGTGTCCTGATAAGTAGTCATCATAGAGATGACATGTTCATTCACAACTATAATATAGGAAGGAAGAAAGTAACTAGAACCATGAAGAAGTGCTGATAAAGTGCCAGTGAAGTTCAGAGCAGGAGAAAGAACTCTTTCAGCTAAGAGAAGGAGAGAATTAGAGAAGACTAAATACAGAGGGTGTCAGTTAAAATATATCTTAAAGATTGAATAAAATTTAGACAGGCTAAGATATCAGAAAAGGGCATTCCAGTGGAAAA
The DNA here is from genome assembly GCF_000001405.40 of Homo sapiens. NCBI lineage: Eukaryota > Metazoa > Chordata > Mammalia > Primates > Hominidae > Homo > Homo sapiens. The sequence continues at coordinate 139,227,797 of NC_000023.11, forward strand.
AATAGCATAGGCATAAGCATAGCAGTGACATAAAAAGAGGGGACTCCAGTGGGAACAGTGAGGAGTTTTTCAGATCAAGGTCTAAGGTGGGTGGAAGAGAATCTGAGGAGAAAAAGCTATCCAAAGGTACGCAGGAAACCAGTTAGAAGGCAGTTGTAGGAGTGTAGCTGAGATAGACGATGGTGGCCTGAAGTAGGATAGATATACAGCATAAGATTTGAGGCAGAAAAGGTAGCTCCCAATGGACTTATTGAAACTTTTTCTCAGGTTCACGGCTATGGCAAACAGAGGGGTTGAAGTCACTTGGTTTAGTAAACTAATAGCACTTAGATGAGTCAGAGTGCTCCTGCTTAGGGCCAAGCTCATGCTAGGCCCTGACTAGTTCTTCCAGACCCAGGAGTGGGCAACACCATGGTCAATACCCTCAGAAAGCTCAAGGTGGGAAAGATGGGGGCAGTATATACACAACTAATTGCACGTTCATCTCACTCCACTTTGAGAAATGCTAAGAAGGAGATATATGGGATACTGAGGGTGTGTGTGTGTGTGTGTGTGTGTGTGTGTGTGAGAGAGAGAGAGAGAGAGAGAGAGAGAGAGAGAGAGATCTTCCCAGTCTGAGCATTCATCAGTCTGAGCATTCATAGAGAGAAGGCTTCTAAGAGGAAGTAATATATCCATTGAAAACAGAAACTAAAGGAAATTTGTGGTGAAGTGGTGGGGATTGAAAGGAAATCCTCTCAAGTAAAAGGAAGACTCTGAATTGGGGAAAACCTCGAGAGAAGGTTAATGTAGTTGGAGCACAGAGAACTAGGGCAAGCATGGCATGAGATGAAGTTAGAAAGGCAGAGAAGGAATAGATTATACAGGGCCTTATGCGCCATGGTAAGGAGTAGACACTTTGTTCTGAAGGCAGTGGGAAGCCATTAAATTGTTCTAAGCAAAGTGTTGATATGCTCAGATTTGCATTTTTAAAATATCCTACTGACAACATTGTGGGAACTTGAATGGTGGAGATAGGAAAAGAAGCAGGGGACCAAATGACTGAGAGTTACAGAGCCAGGTGAGAGACTACAGTGGCCTGGAATAGGGGGATGGAATGAAGATGGAGGGAAGTGGACACTTTTGATAAAAATTTAGGAACTATAATAAACAGAATTAGGTGCCTATTTGGAAGCAGGGGTGGAGTGGGAGGAGTCAGGGATGACTCCTAGGTTTTGGCTGGAGCAGCCAAAAAATGGTAGCAGTAGGGATTGCAGCAAACACATTTAGGAGTGAGTGAAGGTCATGAGATAAATTTTGGAATTCCATGTCCAATTTTGCTGAGCAGTACAGTAAGGATGTAGTGGCTTCACCAGGCTGAAGGCTAAGTTTGTCTAACATCCTCTCATTTAGAGCAATCTGTAGGCTAAATCACTGAGCAACCTGGGGTGTCATGGTGCCCCACTCCTCATTCCTGCCCCTGTGAGTATATCTAAGGTGATCATGCTGGGTCTGTGCTCCCTGTGATCTCTGTTCTCCAGGAGTTCCTTATCTGGGACCTTGTATGGATAGGTTCAGCCCTTGGGCAGCATGAAACAGGTAGAGTCAAAAACAAGGAGACTCTGGATCAGTCTGGAAATTCTAAGACCGACTACCAGGCTACTCCCATTCCCACCTCCCACCTGGAGAAACTTGACGTATTTTCCCAGTCATGAGCCCATTTGTTCTCCACGACACTACTATGACAAAGACAGGAAATGAAACAGCTGACAGATGTGGAGACTGAGGCCAGAGAAGTTAAGTAACCTGTCCAAGTCATTTAACAAATACTCAATGTGTGTGCTTTGGGGACTGTATGTACCTTCTTTGTTCATCTCTCTCTCTTTTTCTACCTCTCAGTACCCCTAGCATTTAGCACATGGCTTGGCACAGAGAAGGGACACAGCGAGCACTTAGTGGAAGATATAAAGTGATATCACTTATTTTAAGTAAACAAAAGAAACAGCAGCACCTTCTAAATCTCTCTAGACATCACCTAAAGTTCCAATCTAAAGCTGTCTGGATGCCCTTTCCAGAAATACAAAACATGCCATACAAAACAAGTCGTCTTAGAGGAACTACTTTTATTTGTTATCATTTGTTATATATCTAAGCATTTCAAAGTGCCAGGTATAGTAAATGATGGGGCCTAGCCTTCTACAAGCCATATGATCCTTCATTTAAATAAATTTAATCAAATGCCTTCAATAGACACAGAAATTGCCATCTGGGAATATGAAATCTGCAAGGGAAGCAGCAGACGTTTGTTACTAGAAGCTTGGATCAGCAATAAAATTGGCAATGCTGGAGGTGGGGAGTACAGGTTAGGGGGTAAGGTAAAAGACGAAAACAGCTCTCTTGGTGGGAGAATCCATAAAGGCAGAGACAGAGGTGTACGGCATGGGCCTTAGGAGGAAACCAGCTTTGGAGCTGCTTAGGTTTCTCAGGCTGAGGTCTGCATGTCATCAGGGCAACTTATCAAAGGGCCAATGTATTTGTGGTTGGAAAGGTGAGGGAGAATAGCAGAGAGGGACTTCTCTCTGTTGATTGCGAATAACAGAAGCCCAATTTCAGCAGGCTTTCCCTGTCAGACTGGCCCCTTTCTGATAACCTCAGAGATATAAATCTACTAAAAAGAGATCTATTTTCCAATAATTCCAACCAAAACTCTAGAATTGAGTTCCATTGAGCTGGATTGAGTTCCATGTTTAATCCTAAACCATCAATGTGGAGAAGTGGCTGGAATTTATCAATAGGCCAGGCCAGGCCCACATGCCTATGCCTGAGGGATGGATGGGCATGAATCCCACCCAAACTAGTTGGAGTGAGAAGAGAGGCCAAATGACTCCTCAATGAAAAGTTAATGTCATCAGAAGATGGGGAGGTTAATGCTGGGTAGGCAGAAATAACCAAAGTGCGCTCACCAGCACTCACCAGAGGACAAGACTGGGGAAAATAACACACATGGAAAATTTTGAGGGGAATGAGTCAAGGCAGGAGATGAGGAAACAGCCTTGGATGTGGATGGGAGAGGAATATTGGTGGAGACCTCCTTGAGACGATCCGCATGTCCTTCAGGGATTATTGCTTTGTGTTTGGGACAGTGACAAAATTCTTCACAGAACTAAGAGAAAAATGCTCCTCTGCTGGGATACCCAAAACAGAAGCATCACTTGTGGGCAGGAATTTGAAAAACTTAGTAAGACCCTGTGTCCACAAAATTTTTTCTTAAAAATTAGCCAGGCATGATGGTGCATGCCTGTAGTCCCAGCTACTTGGGAGGCTGAGATGGGAGGATTGCTTGAGCCCAGGAATTCGAGGCCACAGTGAGCTGTGATCATGCCACTGCACTCCAGCCTGGTTGACAGGGTAAAACCTCGTCTCAAAAAATAATAATAAAAAAGCAGGGCCTGAAGCTGGTCATGTGCTGGGGAGCAGCAAAATGCATGTGTCATGAACTAAGCAAGTGTGCATAGTTTGTTTGTTTTTGTGTGTTTTGTTCTGCTGTTCCAAACTCCTTCATAAATATTTGCTATTACAAAGGATAAAATGTTCCACAGAGTACCACCAGGCAGAGTCTGGCTTCTCGTATTACTAGGGAAGTCAGAGAGTAGAAATGAGAAACTGAAAAGTTGTCTATCAGCCTGTTGGGGTCATTCCATCTCATTCAGCTTCAGATTTCTTGTCTGTAAAATGCAGATAATAATATTGTGTTTGTAAATACTTAGCATCCTACCTAGTTCATGGTAGACACTCAAAAGTGGTAGTTCCTTTTCTGCTCTACCCCCCTTCCCACAAGCATACACACCCCAAGGTGACAAGAAAAGCCAAGGCCTTTTTCTAAAAGCATCTGTTCACTCATTAGAACACCCTTAGCCGGAAAGCCTGTAAACAGAGGTAAACCATGCTATCTTTGTGCACCTCCTCACTGCTTGAGGTCACTTGTAATTGCCTGATGACCTTCTCCATCCTACTTGCCTAGGAATCTAGGACTGTTACTGGTCTTCTTGTTCTGATCACTCTGCCTTACCAGTAGATTCAGAGATTCATAGCATTTCCAAAACTCAAGTGAGCCACAGGGGTAATCTGGTCTGATTCTCTTCCCTGTCTTACAGATAAGAAGACTGAGGCCCAGAGGGGAGAAAGAGTTGGCTCAAAGTTTCATAGTGTCTTAGGAACAGAGTCAGGGATAGATATTGGGACTGAAAGACCAGTGTTCTTTCTACTATTACGCAGCTGTTACTAAGCTGATTTGTTGTTTTCACCAAATGTAATATATACTTTATCAGCTAAACCAACTTCTTCCAACATACATCTACAATAAGGGCTTTCAGGAATGAGGCAAAGGGATTAAATGGGGACTACTCCTCAAAGAAAAGAGTCATCCTTCTATTTAGCCAACCAGGGCTGATTAAATGTAGTGAGGAAGGCGAAAGAAGGAGGAATCTAGGTCTTACCCGCATATTCACAGAGGACCTCAAAATTAAATATTTGACTAGTCATTACCTGACAATAATGACAACAACAGCAAGAACAGCCACATGGTACTTGCTAGGTATGAGACCCTATTCTGAGCCCTTTATAGATAATAATACATTTAATCCAAATGATGTTATGAACTACAGTGATATTTTAAGTGCATGTTAAAATTGTTACTATGTTAATATTTTAAACATAATACAAGTGTTGTGACTCTATTTTGGCATCACTTGTTTTCTTAATGTATCATGAGCTTCAAACCATGAAAGAAGCCTGGATCTATTGACCTTGGAAAAACTCTGCCACCATCTCTCATCTATCACCCATCATCTATTCAGCTATCATTCATCAGCCATCATCCATCCATCCAACCATCCACCCACCAACCCATCCATCCACCCAACCATCCATCCATCTGACACTGCTGAGTTCTTCCCATAAACCAGGCCCTGTGGTTGATGCCAGTGATATGCAGATGGAGAGAATATAGTACCTGTGCTTGAGTTGTTCACAGTTTGTTTGGTAGAGGAAGAATAAGTATGAACAGACCATAAGGCATGGAAATCACTTGGAAACAGTGGCATAGAGTACAGAGAGGAGGCACCTTGTCCAACCTGTTTGCTTGATTGTTTTAGAGGGAAGTGTCAAGGAAGACTTGCCCAGGAAGGTGACACCTCAGAGGAGACCAGGATAATAAGAACAGAAGATTCCGGTGAGAATTCTTCAGCCAATAAGTCATAATATTCTTGGAATATCTGAGGAAAATTGTTATCACTCAGATAAATGCATTTATGTATCTGTAGATGTATTTCACCTTTTCAGAGGTGACTTTAAAATTCAGCTCCATCACTCAACAGCTGTGAGACTTTAGGTCTCAGTAACCTAATTGGTAAAATGAAAGTAACAATAATACTTGTTGTCCTCTCAGAGTAGTTGTCACCATCACATCCAAAATTGAGTGTCAGATGCCTGCAGAGACTTGACAATTAATAAGTTGTAGTTTTTTTTTTTCCTAAGTGGAATTTAACTTTCAAAAGTAGTGAGATGGCAACATAGCCAAGAGGGTAAATTGATCTTTTCTTGTTTCATATGGAGTCCATTTTTTTCTGCCTCTTCTATCACGCAGGTTATTCTATCTAGCCTCATTTTCCCAAGTGGCTTCTTATGGCCAACCTCTTAGATTATTTGGAACCCCTTAGGGTATCGAGAGATATGATTCCTGCTCAGGGTGGGAGGCAGTTCTTTCCCTTGTGGAAATCTTTTTTTCTACCTAAAATGACTTCAACCCCTTTTCTTGTAGGGCCCTTAGAAGTTTCTCAGCCACATTCCAATCCCCAATTCGAACAGAAAAATGGCATGGGCTGGAGGTGCTGTGTCAGACCTTTGGTAAAATATCTCCACCGCCCCAACTAATCTCTTAGCTTACCTTCTAGGGTCTGTATTAGTTTTCTAGGGTCACTGTACCACAAACTGATTGACTTAAAACAATAGAAATTTATTCTTTCACAGATCTGGAGGCCAGAAGTACCCACACTTGGAAATCCAAGTGTTGGTGGGGTGGTTCCTTCTGAAGGCTCTGAGGGAGAATCCATTGGCTGCTGCCTCCCTCCTAGCTTCTGATGGTTGCCTGTGATGCTTGATGTTCATAGATACATCACTCCAATCTCTGCTGTCATCTTCACACCCTCTTCTTCTTTATGTCTCTCTCAGTATCAAGTCACCCTTTCCTCCATCTAAAAAGGACACTTGTCTTGGGATTTAGAGCACATCCAGATAGTCCACAATAATTTCATGTCAAAATCCTTAACCTAATTACATCCACAAAGACCCTTTTTCCAAATAATGTCACAATCATAAGATCTAGGAATTAGGACTTGGACATACCTTTTAGAAGTCCATCATTCAAGCCACTACAGGTCTTATTTCTTTGACCAAATCAAGCCTTTTCAATCGTTGGGTTTAGGCTTTTTTTTTTTTATTGTGATGTCACTACCTTTGAATAAAAGAAGAAAAAAAAATAAGATCAGTTACAAGTTGGTGTCAGACACAGTGCTAGGAACTGTATATGCATTGTCTTATTGAGTCCTCACAACCTTTGTAGAAGGCAAATGTCATGATAATTCCTATTTTGCAGGTGAGGCTGAGAGTGATTCAGTAATTTGTCCCAGGTCACAAAGCTAGTGCATAGTGAAGTTGACATTCAAACTCATCTCTGCCTAATTCTGAAACTTAATTGATTGGGCATTGACCCTGGGCAAAGTACCCTTCTATGTGTTTTACAAATCAAAACACATCTGGCATTCACAAGAACCCTACACATTGAGTACATTATTAATAGCTCCTTACCACAGAAATAAGGAATTTGAGGCACAGTGAGATTTAGTAATTTGCCCAAGATAATATATCAAAAAGAGCAATCATGAACCTGGATGTCCTTCATCATCGAGGTTAAAAACAAAGGTTTACTGAACACTTACTACCTGTCACCTTGTTTTTTCACAATGAGTCTTCCCTGGAAACCTGTGAAACAGACACTATAATTATTCCATTTGATAGAAGGGAAAATGAGACTTGGAGGGGTGAAATGACTTGCCCATGCATGATAGAAGTGAAACACAAACCCAAGTCTTTGCAGTTGGCCAGCTATGTTATTTCCACTGGCCTTTATTGCCTTCCAGAGTCATCATGTGGATCTAGTGAGATAATGTGGTGACTGGGTCTCACTTTGAAAAGAAGGGTCCTGTGGAAAACTAAGTAATTCTCCGTATCGTTATAGTACTCCTCTTCATCATCATCATCATCATCATCATCATCATCACCATCATCGTTGTCATTATTGTCATCAACATCAAAGTATTACTGTAGTTGCCCAACCAGAAAAGTTCAAGGCCAGGGACAGCAGTGCCCAGGGGATGCTACTGGCTTGCACAGCTCTGATCTGACTCTGATACTTTTGAGAAAAAAATTACATAACCTGAGGAAGGGAGGATAAGTTGGCATAAAGCACACAGTTCAGTCACATTGTAGTCATGTTTGAAGTGTCTAAGTATTAAGCGTGTGCCTCTTGGCAACAGCTGAAAAGAGGGTCAGGACAGAACCACACACACCCTGCACAGAGGACTGCACAAGGAACTGAGAAAGTAGAACATGAAGGCGCAACAGAACCATGTGGTACCAACGGCTTCTCAAGGTAAGCCAGCTGTTAAAAATGCTGGGGCATGGTTGGGGATGGGGGAGGATAGAGTTAATGCCATCAGAAATACGGTCTGCATTTGCACCCTAGAAGTATGGGGCAGCAGGGATCCAAGCACACAGAGCATGTTCCCCATTACACTAGCTTTCCTTGGGTTTCTTTTTGAATGATACAACCAGTCCTGAACCATCAGGTGGCCTTGACTCCTTCTTCCCCTCTATTGACTCTGTGACTTGCATGGCGGTGGTGGCCCTGGTCCCAGAAGTCTCCACAGGTGCTATGTCTGTGGTCCCCACCTCTCTTTTGAGAAACTGTTCCTATTCCACCATGACTATGTGACCCTAGGAAGCCACCATTCCTAGCACCTCATCCCATCCCTGCTACTGTTGTGGAGGTAGGTCCAAATATAAAGTTCTCATAAGATATAAACCTGGCCAATTCACATTCTTTTGTGGAATTTTTCTCATTGGAGCTAGAGATGAAAACCCTTTTTGTTCTTGGATCAATGGCGTGGAAGGATGTGAACTTGAGGCAGCCCTGTAGTAAAGTTTCTCAGCACATGGAGAACGCCAGCCTCCAGCAGGAAAGAATACAGCTGACGCATAAACAGAAGACAGATGAGAGGAAGAAAGAATGCTTAAAAGCACTGTGTTTCTTTCTGATTTCCAGCTGTCCCCAAGGCCAGCGCTACTCTTGTCTTTTCCCTGGCTTGATCATGGGAACAAATATAGTCTGCCTTTTTGGGGAGTTTAAGCTCAATTGAATTGTGTTTCTGTGACTTGCAACCAAACAGCTCTTATACATCCACATGCCAATAAGAGTCATAGTAATTCTATGTAGTCCAAAACGTTGGTTGCCTCATAAGATTTTTTTCTGAGTCAGTTAGCTCCATTTTATAGATGAGGAAGCTGAGACACAGAAAAGTTAAATGAATTTCACTAAGTCCCACAGCTATTCAGTAGGAAAGCCTGGAATCTGTGTTTTCCCCTACCCCTTGCTACTAAATATTGTTAATTTCACCCCTACAATACATCTTGTAGCCTTCATTTCCTTTCTGTCCCTTCTGTCACCTACCTAGGGCAGGGCCCCTTCACCTCTTTCCTAGTGTATGACAGTAATATCCTCACTAGTTTCCCTGCCTCCCACCGTCTCCAATCTGTTGTTTCCCAATCAGTACTCCTAAAACATTCTCTCTGGTTGTGTAATTTACTCAACTAAAAAAATCTTTGAGGGCTTCCTATTGCCTACTCAATTAACTTGTTATCCTGGCATTCAAAATCTGAGCATAATCAACCTTTATATGTGTCTCTTCCTTTCCCTTGATCATCATTGTCCAGATTCCAGCTATATTCCTGCTTCCACTCCTTTGCTCAAGTACATTTTCCACCCAAACTGCCTTGGTGTCCACTTTGAAAATCCAACTGGTTGTTTAAGGCCCATCTCAGAGGCCATGATTTCATACATCCTTCACAGGGCCACTAATTATCCACAGGGCCACTAATGATCCCCTCTCAGATCCTGATGGATCCTTCCTTCCCCCTTGTTTAGGGCACTTTTCTCATTCTGTTGAATATTATAGCCATCCTGAAGTTTTTCTTAAAATTTTTACCAAGACAAGCGTGCCTGGAGGACAGAGTCTGTGCCTTCCTTCCTGTTTTCATTCAACACACATTTTTCAATATTGTTTGTATGCTTGGCCCTGTGCTTTGTGCTGAGTATAGTTAATATTATTAGATAATATGCAAAACACTGAAGACCTTAATGTACATTAGCTCATATGATTCTTAAAAGAATTCTACAAAGTAGGTATTGCTGTTCCCATTTTACAGATGAAGAAACAGAGGCACAGAGAAGTTAAGTAACTTGCCCAAAGTTACACAGCTAGTAAGTGGCATAGTTGGCATACAAACCCATGCAGTCTGGCCCCAGAGACTGTGCCCTTAAGCACTACACAAGGCTACCTTTGAAAGCCGTCTCCTCAGAGTGATTCAAGATGGCTGATTAGAGGCAGCTGTGGTCTGTAACACTCACAGAGAGGAATGAAAAGGGGCAAGTGAATTCAGCACTTTCAACTGAGATATCCAGGTTCTTGCATTGGGGCTGACTGGAGGAACAGCTCGACCCTTGGAGAATGAAGAAAAGCAGGGAGTTGGTGATGGCCCACCGGGGAGCAGCACAGAGCCAAGGGAAGCAATCCCAGCCCAGGGAAGCAGTGAGTGATTGTGTGACCTTGCCTGGGAAACCACACTTCTCCCACGGATCTTTGCAACCTGCAGATCAGGAGATCCCCCTTGTAAGTCCATGCTACCAGGGCCTTGGGTCTAATACCAAAGCTCTGTGGAGTTTCAGCACAGCAGCCACTTGGCCACACACAGAGGCCCAGAAGTCTTACATATTCTGGCCCTGAGTTTCCCAGCACAGTGGGAAATCCTTCTGTACATATCCCTAGGAAGGGAGCTGAATCCAGGGAGCCAGGAAGCATCTTTTTGTGGGCCCCATTTCCACAGCACATCACAAGTTAACATTTACTGGTTTGGAATCCCAGCCCCCAATGGCAGTGAGTTGGAGTCTACTTGAGATGGTCCAAGTTCCTGGGGGAAGGGACAGCCACCATCTCTGTGATTCAGTAGACTCAGCTGCTCCAGCCTGCCAGCTGTGGAGAATACAGAAGATCCAGACAAGGAAGGGTCCCCCACAGTGCAGCACAGCTGCCTTGCCAGATTGTGGCCAGACTGCTTCTTTAAGCAAGACCCTGATCCATTCCTCCTCACTGGGCATGACCTTCCTGTGGGGGCTTTAGCCACTCTAGCAAAGCTTTAGAGACAGAGCTTTGATCTCTACCTGGGACAGAGCTCCCTGGGGGAGGGGTGGCAGCCATTTATGTGGTTCTGTCAACTCAGCTGCTCCAGTCTGCTGGCTTTGGAGAATACAAGAAATCAGGACAAGGAAGTCCCCACACCCCGCCCCCCCAACTCCCTCGCCCCGGCCAGTGCAGCACACCTGCTCTACCAAAAAGCAGCCAGGCTGCATTTTGGGGCAGGTGCCTGATCCCATTCCTCCTGACTTGGTGAGACCTGCCAATGGGGAGCTTCAGCTACCTCCTACAGGTGCATGCAGGTCAGGAACAGGTCAGCAACCCCCGGCACAGAGCTTCCAGAGGAAGGAGCTGGCTGCTATGTTTGCTGTTTCACAGCCTTCACTTGTGATACCTCTGGGTACAGGAGAAATCGAAGTGACTGGGGTCTGGGGTGGACCCCTAGCAAACTGCAGCAGCCCTACAGTAGAGTGGCCTGACTTTTAAAAGAAAAACAAACAGAAAACAACAACAGCAACAAAAGACCTCACAAAAACCTCATTCAAAGGTCAGCAACCTCAAAGATAAAAGGTAGATAAGCCCCAAAAGATAAGAAAGAATCAACACAAGAACACTGAAAAGTCAAAAAGCCAGAATGCCTCTTCTCCTACAAATGACCACAACACTTCTCCAGCCAGGGCACAGAAGTGGGCTGAGGCTGAGATAGCTGATTTGACAGATGTAGGCTTCAGAAAGTGGGTAATAATGAACTTCACTGAGCTAAAAGAGCATGTTGTAACCCAATGCAAAGAAGCTAAGAATCATGATAAAACAATACAGAAGGTGATAACCAGAATAGCCAGTTTAGAGAGGAACATAACCTACCTGATGGAGCTGAAAAACACAACACAAGAACTTCACAATGCAATCACAGGTATCAATAGCAGAGTATATCAACTGGAGGAAAGAATCTCAGAGCTTTAAGACTACCTTTTTGAAATAAGACAGGTAGACAAAAATAGAGAAAAAAGAATGAAAAGGAATGAACAAAACCTCTGAGAAATATGGGATTACATAAAGAGGCCAAACCTAGGACTGACTGGGGTACTTCAAAGACACAGGGAGAATAGAACCAGGTTGGAAAACACACTTTAGGATATCATCCAGGAGAACTTTCCCAACATTCAAATTTAGAAAATGCAGAGAACCCCAGTAAGATACTTAATGAGAAGATCAACTCCAAGACCCACAATCATCAGATTCTCCAAGGTTGAAATGAAAGAAAAAATGTTAAGGGCAGCCAGAGAGAAAGGCCAGTCCATCCACAAAAGGAAGCCCATCAGACTAACAGCAGACCTCTCAGCAGAAACCCTACAAGCCAGAAGAGATTGGGAGCCAATATTCAACATTGTTAAAGAAAAGAATTTTCAATTCAGAATTCCATATCTGGCCAAACTAAGCTTCATAAGCGAAAGAGAAATAACATCCTTTTCAGACAGGCAAATGCTTAGGGAATTCATCACCACCAGACCTGCCTTGCAAGAGCTCTTGAAGGAAGCACTAAATATGGAAAGGAAAATACGTTACCAGCTTCTAGAAAAACACACTGAAATACACAGACCAGTAACGCTCTAAAGCAACCACACAAACAAGTCTGCAAAATAACCAGCTAACATCATGATGACAGGATCAAATCCACACATATCAATACTAACTTTAAATGTAAATAGGCTAAATGCCCCAATTAAAACAGAATGGCAAGCTGAATAAAAAGACAAGACCCATCGGTGTGCTGTATTAAAGAGACCCATCTCCCATGCAAATACACACATAGGCTCAAAATAAAGGGATGGAGGAAAATTTACCAAGCAAATGGAAAACAGAAAAAAGCAGGAGTTGCAAACCTAGTTTCTGGCAAAACAGACCTTAAACCAACAAAGATCAAAAAAGACAAAGAAGGGCACTACATAATGGTAAGGGGTTCAACTCAACAAGAAGAGCTAACTATCCTAAATATATATGCACCCAATACAGGAACACCCAGGTTCATAAAGCAAGTCCTTAGAGACCTACAAAGAGACTTAGACTCCCATACAATAACAGTGGGAGACTTGAACACCCCATTGACAATATTAGACAAATCATCAAGACAGAAAATTAACAAAATATTTAGGACCTAAACTCAGCTCTACATTAGGTGGACCTGATAGATATCTGCCAAACTCCCCACTTATTTAACAGAATATACATTCTTCTCATCACTACACAGCACTTACTCTAAAATTGATCACATAACCAGAAGTGAAACATTCGTCAGCAAATGCAAAATAACTGAAATTATAACAAAGTCTCTCAGATCACAGCACAATCAAATTAGAACTCAAGATTAAGAAATTCACTCAAAACCACACAATCACGTGGAAATTGAACAACCTGCTCCTGAATGACTTTTGGGTAAACAGTGAAATTAAGGCAGAAATCAATAAGTTCTTGAAACTGATGAGAACAAAGAGACAACATACCAGAATGTTTGGGATGCAACTAAGGTAGTGTTAAGAGGGAAATTTATAGCACTAAATGCCCACATTAATAAAGCTAAAATGATCTCAAGTTAACAACATAACATCTCAACTAAAATAACTAGAGAACCAAGAGCAGGCAAACCCCAAAGCTAGCAGAAAAGACAAGAAATAACCAAGATCAAAGCTGAACTGAAAGAGATAGAGACACAAAAAAACATTTAAAAAATCAGTGAATCCAGGAGCTGTTTTTTTGAGAAAATTAATAAAATGTATAGACCATTAGCTGGCAAGTAAAGAAGTAGCATCTCAATTAAAAGAACTAGAGAACCAAGAGCAAACAAATCCCAAAGTTAGCAGAGGACAAGAAATAACCAAGATCAAAGCTGAATGAAAGACATAGAGACACAAAAAAACACTTCAAAAAAATCAGTGAATCCAGGAGGTGTTTTTGTGAGAAAATTAATAAAATATATAGACCATTATCTTGGCTAGTAAAGAAGAAAAGAGAGAAGAATTAAATAAACACAATCAGAAATGATAAGGGGGATATCACCACTGACTCCACAGAAATACAAACAACCACCTGAGAATACTGTAAACACCTCTATGCACATAAACTAGAAAATCCAGAAGAAGTGGATAAATTCTTGGGCACATACACCCTCCCAAGACTGAATCAGGAAGAAATTGAATCTCTGAATAGACCAATAACGAGTTGTGAAATTGAGGCAGTAATAAATAACCTACCAACCAAAAAAAGCACAAGACCAAATGGATTCACAGCTGAATTCTACCAGTGGTACAAAGAAGAGCTGGTACTATTTCTATTGAAATGATTCCAAAAAACTGAAAAGAAGGGACTCCTCCCTAACTAATTCTGTGAGGCCAGCATCATTCTGATACCAAAACCTGGCAGAAATACAACAACAACAAAACTTCAGGCCAATATTCTTGATGAACATGATGCAAAATTCCTCAATAAAATACTGGCAAACCAAATCCAGCAGCACATCAAAAAGCTTATCCACCATGATCAAGTAGTCTTCATCCTCAGGATGCACGGTTGTTTCAACAAATGTAAATCGATAAACGTGATTCATCACATAAACAGAACTAAAGACAAAAACGACATGATTATCTCAATAGATGCGGAAAAGGTTTCGCTAAAATTCAACATCCATTCATGTTAAAAACTCTCAATAATCTAGGCAATGAAGGAACATAGCTCAAAATAATAAAAGCCATATATGACAAACGCACAGTCACCACCATACTGAATGGACAAAAGCTGAAAGCATTCCCATTGAAAACCAGCACAAGACAAACATACCCTGTCTCACCACTCCTATTCAATATAGTATTGGAAGTTCTGGCCAGGGCAATCAGGCAAGAGAAGAAATAAAGGGTGTTCAAATAGGAAGAGACGAAGTCAAATTGTGTGTATTTGCGGATGACATGATTCTATATCTAGAAAACCCTATCGTCTCAGCCCCAAAGCTTCCTAAGCTGATAAGCAACTTCAACAAAGTCTCTGGATGTAAAATCAATGTACAAAAATTGCTAGCATTTCTGTACACAAACAGGCAAGCAGAGAGTCAAATCATGAATTCACAACTGCTACCAACAGAATAAAATATCTAGGCATACAGCTAACACGGGAAGTGAAGGACCTCTTCAAGGAGAACTACAAACCACTGCTCAAAGAAATCAGAGAGGAAACAAACAAGTAGAGAAACATTTCATGCTCATGGTTAGGAAGAATCAATGTCATGAAAATGGCCATACTGCCCAAAGTAATTTATAGATTCAATGTTTTCCCCATTAAACTACCATTGACATTCTTTGCAGAATTAGAATAAACTATTTAAAAATTCATACAGAACCAAAAAATAGTCCAAATAGCCAAGACAAGTCTAAGCAAAAAGAATAATGCTGGAGGCATCATGCTACCTGACTTCGAACTATACCACTAATACAAGGTATAGTAACCAAAACAGCATGGTACTTGTACAAGAGCAGAGACATAGACCAATGGAACAGAATAAAGAACTCAGAAATAAGACTGCACACCTACAACCATCTGATCTTTGACACACTTGACAAAAACAAGCAGTGAAGAAAGGACTTCCTGTTCAATAAATGGTGCTAGGAGTGCTGGCTGGCCAAAAGCAGAAAATTTAAACTAGACTCCTTCCTTACAACATATACAAAAATTAACTCGAGATGGATTAAAGACTTAAAGTAAAACCCAAAACTATAAAAACTCAAGAAGAAAATCTATGCAATACCATTCAGGATATAGGCACGGGTAAAGATTTCATGATGAAAATGCCGAAAGCAATTGCAAGAAAAGCAAAAATTGACAAATGGAATCTAATCAAACTAAAGAATTTCTGCACAGCAAAAGAAACTATCATCAGAGTGAACAGACAAGCTACAGAAAGGGGGGAAATTTTTGCAATCTATCCATCTGACAAAAGTCTAATATCCAGAGTCTACAAGGAACTTAAACAAATTTACAATAAAAAAAAACATTAAAAAGTGGGCAAAGGACATGAACAGACACTTCTCAAAATAAAACATACATGCAGCCAACACACATATAAAAAAAAGTTCAATATCACTGATCATCAGAGAAATACAAATCAAAACCACAATGAGATACCATCTCACACCGGTCAGAATGGCTTTTATTAAAAAGTCAAAAAACAACAGATGCTGGTGAGGTTGCAGAGAAAAAGGAACACTTTTACACTGTTGGTGGGAGTATAAATTAGTTCAACCATTGTGGAAGACAGTGTGGGGATTTGTCAAAGACACAGAGGTAGAAATACCATTTGACCCAGCAATCTCATTACTGGGTATATACCCAAAGGAATATAAATCATTCTATATAAAAATACATACATGCATATGTTCACTGCAGCACTATTCACAATAGCAAAGACATGAAATCAACCCAAATGCCCACGGATGATAGACTGGATAAAGAAAATGCGATACAAATACACTATGGAATATTATGCAGCCATAAAAAGGAACAATATCACATTCTTTGCAAGGACATGGATGGTGTTGGAAGCCATTATCCTCAGCAAATTAACCCAGGAACAGAAAACCAAACACTACATGTTCTCACTTATAAGTGGGAGCTGAATGATGAGAACACATGCATACATGGGAGGAAATAACACACACTGGGGCTGCCAGGGCAGGTGGTGGGAGAGAGAGTATCAGGAAGAATAGCTAATGGAGGCTGCAATTAATACATAGGTGATGGGATGATCTGTGCAGCAAATTACGATGGCACACATTTACCTATGTAAAAAACCTGCACATCCTGCACATGTACCCCTGAACTTAAAAGTTGAAAAAATATATATATTATATATATATACACATATATATTTTATATATATACACACATATATTTTATATATATACACACACACATATATATATATAGATGTAGCCACCCCCGACCCCATACCACTCCCCCAACCAAAAAGAAAGCCATCTTCTCTCTCAGCACTCTTCCTAGATGATACCATCTACTCTTGCATCTTCATTTCTTTATTCTTTTATCCACTCATATCACACGGTTTTATTGGGGGCCTACTAAGAGCCAGGCAATCACAGTGATTCCGCAGTATAGTGAGCTGAATGGTGGCCCCAAATATATGTCCACGTCCTAATCCCTGAAACATGAAAATATTACCTTATATGGCAAGATGTGTGATTAAATTAAAGATCTTGAGGGGAGGGGCCTATACTGGGTCAAATTATCTGGGTGAGCCCAATGTAATCACACAGATCCTCATAAGAGGGAGTCAGGAGGGTCACAGTCAGTGGAGATGTTACAATGGCAGTAGAGACTGGCATGGTGCAACATAAACCAAAGAATTCTGGCAGCCATCAGAAGCTGAAAGAGGCAAAGAACAGATTTCTCCCCTAGAGCCTCTGGAGGAAGTGCAGCCCTGCTGGCACCTTCATTTTGTCCCAGTGATACTGATTTCAGATTTCTGGCCTCTAGAATTGCAAGAGAATACATTTCTGTATTCTCAACCACCTGACTTGTAATAATTTGTTATGGTAGCTCTAGGAAACTAATAAAAACAATGAGCAAGATGAATGTGATTTCTGCTCTCATGGAATGGGCAAGACAGACACTAATAAAAAAATTAGGAGATCACTGAGTATTAGAAGTTGGAGGTGCAGGGCACTATGAGAACTTCTATACTAGCAAGCCCACAGCTCTCCTGCATCATCATACACATGAGAGGGACAAAAGGATGAGAGGGATGGCTGAGGGCTGGAAGAGAGACTTGGTATATTGAACAAGCATAGCAGCAGTGCATTTTGACCACTGTCCTTGATAATGTGAATTTACCACGGCATTGCTTTATGAGACTAACAATGAAAGGATATAAATCTCATCCTAACAGCTATCAGTGTTTTCATGGAGGTTACACAGAGGCTTTTGTAGCCCGTGCCCAAAAGAGTACCTCTCTCTTTTGTTAATATATGTTCACAGGTTCCTGTTGAGGCATTTGTGTAGCCACTTATGCTGGGATGACAAAGAGATCTCCATTAAACTGGTAGAGACTGACTAGAGTGCCATTTTGAGAAACGCTCTGAAGCCATGTCCAGGTTCAATCAGAAAGGGTGTCATGATTGATTAGCCATACTTGCCATAGGCTACGTATCATGGAATGGGAGTATCATGCTTTTCTGTCCATGCTCTAGACAGTGGCTCTCAAACTTTAGCTCACATGAGAATCACCTTGAGGGCTAGTTAAAACACAGATGGCTGGGCACCACTCCCAGAGTTTCTGATTCAGTAGATTTGGAGTGAGGCCTGACGTTTTACACTACTGTCAAGTTCCCAGGTGATGCCAATGCTGCTGGTCCAGTGTAACACTTTGGAAACCATTGCTCTAGAGTGTTTCTGGAAATGTAATATAAGTACAAATCAGTTAAGGTCCTTGTTAAAAGGTAGATTTGGATTCAGCAGTTGTAAGTTGAGGCTCAACAGTCTGTATTTCTCGTCAGCTCCCAGGCAATGCTCATGCTCCATCATGGACTACACACACCTTGAAAAGAAGGGAGCTAAATAAATGGTTATCAATTGTGACAGGGCACACGAGTGTACCAAGGCCAATTTGAGGGGTCACAAATATTTACAGTTAACCTCCCTTATCCACAGGGAATATGTTCCAGGATGCCTAGCAGATGCCTGAAACTGCAGACAGTACTTAACTCAATTGCCATCAACTAGAACACGTTTCTTCATGTCTTCCACCCACAAATTTAATACCTTTTCCATTTTAGCTAAGTACTTATCACATACTGTGGTTGTAACTTTTGCAGTTTGAGATGTGACAGCAAAACTAGCACAATTTTTTTCCTTCTTCACAATTTAACAGATAGAAGATTTTTTCTTACTGTAGGTCTTAGCAACCTCAGCATGCAATTATTTTTCTTTATTTAAGTCAAGAACTTTCACCTCTTTACTTAATAGAAGCACTTTACAGCTTCTTTTTGTCATATTCGAATGGCCAGCATCACTTCTCTTGCACTCTGGGGCCATAATGAAGTAAAATAAGGTTATTTGAACACAAGCAGTGTGATACCATGACAGTCAGTCTGATCACCCAGACGCCTACTAAATGACTAACAGGAAGGGAGTGTCTACAGTCCTGAATATGATGGAGAGAAGGATGATTTGTGTCCTGGGTCAGATGAGGTAGAACAAGGAGAGATTTTTATCATGCTACTCAGAACAGTGTGCAACTTAGGAATTGTTTATTTCTGGAATTTTCTATTTAATACTTTAATACATTGGTTGACTGCTGATAATTAAACATCCAAAAGGGAAACGATGGATAAACAGGGGACTACTGTAAAACTAATTACTATCTCTAAAAGTAAACTAGGGGAGATTCATTTTTTCTCTGTTTAAAAAAGTCTGTCTTGCACTTGTGTACTTGTGCAGTATGAGAGAAAGGGATCCAATTATAGCGAATCACTAGGAATTGTGTGTAAATTCAGAGACCATCCCATCTGTGCAGTAGTTCTTAGTGCATGTCATGCCTCCAATGGTCATTTATTGTGTATAGCAGCAGAAAAAGGCTAAGACCACAGTGATAGAGATTTAGATACAATACTTTGGCAAAGAACACCCTAATTCTTCCCACTAAGCTGAATTACAAGAACACCATGAAGGGTGAGGAAAGAGAGAGTAAGTTCTCTAATTAAAAAGAGCAAGTGGGAGCACAGTAGGGTGACACACATGCTGGTTAGCCCAGGTCTGAGTGTCTGCTCAGAATGCAGAAATCTCAATGCAAAATCCTGGACGGTGTCAGGAAAACAGGGATGTTTGGTCACACTGGCACCCAGCGTCTTTCTTCTGCCCTCCTCACATCTTATGCTCCCATGTTACATAACGTCCTGCCCCTCGCCAAACATACCATATTCTCTGGAAAGTTTCTGATGCAGTTCTGGAACATCATAACTGTCTCCTGAATATTAGCCATTATTATTTCAACTGTGGACACTGCTGGAGACACACAGTATAACTTCCAGTTTCCTCACTTCTCTCCATCTCCAAAAAAAAAAAAAAAATAGGCAAAGGACAGGAAAGGAAGAGAGAAGAAACAGATTAGAGGCATAGGAAAAGGAAGAGAGGCTCTGATTTCGGAAGAGGCCACACAAGTGAGCAGGGAATTGTGTTTTCAGAGAGACAGAGAAGATATCACACACACACACACATTTCCTTTCCCTTCTTGTGTTCCCTTCTGGTTAGTTTTGTAGCTTTTCTTCTTTGCTCCCTACCCTGCTTGGTATAATGGGCCTATAAAGTGGGCCTGAGGCTGCCTTATTCAGGGATCTGGTTTATTACAAACAAGCTGGAATCTTTGTGGATAAAGACGGTTGGACAGACAAGGGAAAATCACCCACCCAAAAACCTGCTCATCTGGAGTCACGCATGAATGTGTCAAGCCCACACGTTCTCTAAAGATAATTGGTATGCCCTGGTCATTCTTGCATAATTCAGGAATTCCAGGCTTGTGTTTTCTCACACAACATTGTCAACGAAGGGAAATAGAAGAACAGGGGTCTCTCTTTTTTGGGGGGACTATCTTCTGGGGTTGCAAAAGAGGAGATAATAAAACTAAATTCAAACCAAGCTGTCATATTTAGAACCCTGATGCTTTAAAAACCCAAGTTCCTATCATGGTCTGCAGCTTTCTCAGAAACAGCAGAAGAACTTTTAGTCAGTACTTGGATGAATTGCAGCATGTGTTGCGGGAGAAAAAAGCTCTAAGTCATGTGGTGTGGCTATGAATTTTAGAAACAAATACATGTATGCAAAAATTAAGCTTCATTTCTCTAAAGCTTAACTTAGCTCTTATGCCTCCTATTTCTATTGAAGACAGAAAATGTAACCTTACCAATACAAGGTAAACTGTCGTTTCTGTGTTTTTCCAGTCTCTTTTAAGTAAATACTTCGACCAAGCTTGTCCAAACCACGGCCTGTGGGCCACATGCGGCCCAGGATGGCTTTGAATAAAGCCCAACACAAACTTTCTTAAAACATTATGATTTTTTAATGATTTTTGTAAAGCTCATCAGCTATCATTCGTGTTAGTGTATTTTATGTGTGGCCCAAGACAATTCCAATGTGGCCCAGGGAAGCCAAAATGTTGGACATCCCTGATACAGAGAATCCAGGACACTCCCTCTCCCCTTTCTTCTTTCCTTCATTCTGGGGGGTTAACATAGGGTCCACATATGTGTGATCTGCTTCTTGTCCTTGATCAGTTTCAGTCCTACACTGACATCCACTGTCCATGTAATTTAGCCAGTCTGTTCTTTGCTATGTTGCTATATCCATTGCTGAATTTGCCTGAGTCCTCCTCTAGTCATTATTCCCCTGGACCCTGCTGATTGTTTTGCATCATTCTTTTTGACCGTGCAACTTCCCCAAGCCAACTGGCCTACTTTTAGACACCATGCCCAAATCATAGGAGACAGGAGTGGGTGTAAGGCAATGTCTTGCTAATCATTCCATAATGCCCTTGATGTTGGCAAGGTGTTGTGGGGTAGAAGTAGATATCTTTACTGGCCCCAGAGTGTCTCCTGATCAAGGGATACCTCTGTCCTCAGAAGGAAAAAAAGAACCAGAGTAGCTCCAAGGGAAAAGAAGACAAAAAGCAGGCTGCTTAGCTTGTCTCTGGTCTGGGTAAAAAATGTCTTGGCCATGCAGAAAAGCTCACCAGAGAAGTGATCACACAGGGACCTGTGGTCAGAGTTCCGGCTACTAATTTGTTTTAAGATATGACTTCCACTTTCAGGAACCTATAGTAGTAGGAGAAAATGGCTTTAGGGTTAGTAGATTTGGAGATCTGGCCAAACCGCTTGTAACATCCAGAGACCAATTGAGCTTTATTTCCCCAACTATTGATTACACTTATTTCTGTTATGCTCTCCCATCTTCCAAGTAATATATTTTGGCATTAGCTCAGCTCAGTTATGTTGGCATTGCAAAGAAACACTTTTCTCCGTAAGGCAAGAGTTACTGTAAAGTGATCTTTACACAATCTCTCAGGTGTCTTCATTATTGAAACCCACAAAAAAACTAATTATCAAATGTTTTAATGATAACATCTTAGCATGTGTTCCTTCCTATTAGTTTAGAACAATGTATCTGGTTTTTTTAATAAAAGATGTAGTTCATTTTAGTTCAACAGAAAAAACATTTTTAATCAAATACACCTTAGTAAAGGGATCGTTTTATTTGATATAGAAATTATAATGCTGGACTACTATAGCAGTAGCTGAAGGAAGTAGATGTGCAAAATTTTCCTTACAGCAATTTGGCCATATGTACAAAGTAGTCTTAAAAACATGTTTATGCATATCCTTTGTTTCAATTGCACTTCTAGGAATTTATAGTAAGAAATAATTAAAGCTGTATGAGCAGACTGTGCTTCTACTTAGGATATAGAGAGATGCAATTGACTATCTCCTCCACCCTAACAATGAGAAAAAGCTGGATAATTTATAAAAATGTAACATTTATTTAACCCATCAAAAATCTGAAGGCATAGGATCTTAGTCCATTTAGTGTTGGTACAAAGAAATACCTGAGGTTGGGTAATTTATGAAGAGAAAAGATTTATTTGGCTCATAATTACGCTAGCTGAAAGGTCCAAGATTTTGTGTCTGGTGAGGGCCTCAGGCTGCTTCCTCTCATAGCAGAAGGTAAAGGGAAGTCAGTGTGTGCAGAGATTGCATGGTGAGAGAGGAACCAAGAGGTCGGGGAAAGAACTAGTTTGTTTGCTTTTTTTTTTTTTCAACCAGTTTCCTTCAACTAATACACCAAGAACTTACTCACCCTTTCCCCGAAGGAGGGGATTAATTTATTTTATTCCTGAGTGATCCATCTTCACTCCCCAAACACCACCCATTAGACCCCATCTCCAACACTGGGGATAAAATTTCAACATGAGATTTGGAGGGGACAAATATCCAAACTACAGACTAGGGAAAACAAGCAAAATGAGTTCCATGGTAACCAACCACTGTAAAAAGAGATGAGACACATAATATCTTTCATCTTTGGCAGAGCAGAAGGGAAAATGAGGGAGCCGCACAAGTGGTTAAGAAGAAATAAGCTAATTTTTTAATTAATTCTTAAAAGACAAGTGGGGATTGGCATATCAGTTTGGAACATATAAAAACCACAGACATAAGGAGAGCTCACACTCACTTCCACAGACCTCTACAGGATGTTCAATAAAAAGGTTGAGGAAAAGTCAGGAGACTGAGGAGAACTCCTCTCAATGCCACAGATATGCAGGAGGTGATTGGCTACTGCTGGAGAAAGACACAAGTCCCACTTGCTTCCCTCACCTTTCATTTCTCTGAATCAAATGCTTTAAGTTACTGGTGAAATGGCAGCAAATTATTTAGCTCCCAGGCCACTAGCAGAAATCTATTTCTTCAAGAGGAGAAGTAGACAGGGCATGGTGGTTCACGTCTGCAATCTCAGCACTTTGGGAGGCTGAGGTGGGTGGATTGCTTGATGTCAGGAGTTCAAGACCAGCCTGACCAATATGGTTAAACCCTGTCTCTACTAAAAATACAATAATTAGCTGAGCATGGTGGTGTGTGCCTGTAATCCCCACTTCTCGGGAGGGTGAGACAAAATAATTGCTTGAACCCAGGAGGCAAAGGTTGCAGTGAACCGAGATTGTGCCACTGCACTCTAGCCTGGGTGACAGAGAGAGATTGTGTCTCAAAAAAAAAAAAAAAAAAAAAAGAAACAAAAAGAAAAAAGAGAGGAGAGGTAAAAGCAGAAAGCTGCTCCTAAGAGAGAGGCAGGAATCCGCCTTGTACTCAGGATCCTGTAAGGATACAAAGAAAATCCACCTTGGGCTCAGGATCCTGAAAGGATATTATATTACCTAGGAGAGGGGAAGGAAACTCCCACACCAGATCAACCACAAAACAAATTAGAGTTTGACTGCCACACAAAAGAGGTAAGAACGCTGAGAAAGCCCTACGTTTGAGGCCCAAGTGCACAGGACTTATCTAAGGAAGAAGCTGCAGTAAGACAAAAGAAAATCATTCCATCCTCCACCATAAGCCCAGCATGGAGTAAGAAGCAACAGTAGTTTAGTAAGCATGTATAGAGAGTTCACTGCTGTAGTGCAGTTGTGAATGGACAAATAAAACTGAGGGGATGTGTTAGTCTGTTTGCATTGCTATAAAGAAATACCTGATGTTGGATAATTTACATAGAAAAGAGGTATATTTGGCTCGCAATTCTGCAGGCTCTACAAGAAGCATAGCACCAGCATCTGCTTCTGGTGAGGGCCTCAGAAAGCTTCCATTCCTAGAAGAAGACCAAGAGGGAACAGCTGTGTCACATGATGAGAGAGGAAGGAAGAGATATTTCAACAATTAGCTCCTGCATGAACTCATAGGATGAGAACTCACTCATTACCATGAGGATGGCAACAAGACATTCATAAGGGGTTTACCTCCATGACCCTAATGCCTTCTATTAGGCCCCACCTCCAACATTGGGGAACACAGTTCAACATGAGATTTAGAGCTGACAAAACACCTAAACCGTATCAGGGGGGTAATGGAAATACTGAGAAAAACCCACTCACACCCCAGTCCCATCCTAAGCACAAGGTAACAGCAACCAATATCTGGAGGAATTTAAAGTTCATGCCACACTTAAGGTAAAAACAGCAACAACAAAACCCAAATTCCATTCAATTTCTGACTACATTGATTCAACCCCTAACACTAATGGCCTGACTGAATAAGATACGTACTCATTGCCAGGATAAATACTATTTACTTCTATATCTAATGTTCTTCTATAAATGATGTCCAGCATTCAATCAAAAATTACAATAAACACCAAAAAAGTAAATTTAAGAAACATTGTCAGAGATAACGTAATCAAAAGAACCAGATTCAGTGATAACCTATTTGTTGGAATTTTTAAACAGGAATTTAAAACTAAATACTAACATATTAAAGGCAAAAGGAGTATGATGATAGATGGAAATTTGGACATATGTAAATAAATTAAGAGTGTCAGAAATGGTAAAGATTAAGGTAAACATAAAATATACTATTTTCACATTTCTAATCACTTTAAAAGATAATTCATAAGTTCAAGTTCTCAGTAATTTGGAGAAAACACACTCTATACTCTCTCCTACTGAATGTAGTTAAAAAACCTTGGTTAAGTGTGTGAGTTTCTATTCAAGGACTCTGAAAAGTAGATAGTAGCAGGAAGACTGGAGCAGTAGACCATAATTTAAAGTATTACCAATCCAGCAATGAGTTTACCATTTTGTACCTCCTCTGATATCCTCCAGCCTAGACTTAATGCAGCCCAAAACCTGCAAGTGGGAGTTGGCATGAACAGAGGAAGTTTTAGGAAAAACCCTCTAGTTATCACTTAAGAAGCAGGGAAGTAACTTTCAAATGCTCAAAATGAGGAAAATTAACATTTTTAAAATGTCTCAATTTTCTCACACTCTAGTCCCCAAGCAATACTGTATCAGTGGCAGCAGCAGCAACAGAAGCAGAAACAGGGGTTGGTAGGGGCCAAAAACTCCAAGAGAGTGGGACTGTCCTTTCAAATGAGAGGACCTGTGGTCCAGAAAAGGCAGACTGAACCTGCATTGCATTTCTTCCTCTGTCCTCCCAAAAGCTGGTGCCAAATGTGGGCATAGTCATGGGAAATGCACAGTAGTGTGGGGGTAAAGACAGCCTTAGCTACTGAGCCAGAGGACCAAAAAAGGGAGGAACAGGGAACCAAAAGTACCTGTAAGACTCTAGAAAGCAAGAGAGTATATCAGGATAGAAAACCCATAACATTGTTTATGAAATCATGCGCATGTGTGAATTAGACCCTGAAAAGCATAACGTAACTTTGAAAGCTGAGGAGAAGGTAGTCTGCATTCAAGTCCCAGATGGAACACTTGGTGGGACACACATGGGACCAATAACAATCATACTTCAAAAACTTTGAAAGTGGAACTAACATTGATATCACAACCCACAGAAGGATGGTTAAAACTTGGGACCTGAACCTGACAGAGGTGACTGCTTGTGAGAGCCAAAATATCAAGATTTTCCATTAGATTTAAACAAAACCCAGACTCTTGCGATATGATATTTTAAATGTTCAAGATGAAATCCATAACTTCTCGGTACATAAAGAACCAAGAAAAGGTAAACTTGCATAGGAAAAAATAATCCACAAACATCAATGACCAAATGACAGACATTGGAATGATCAGACAAAGCAGCTATTAAAAATTGTTTGTTTAAAGAAGCTGTTATAAAAATGTCTCAAAAACTAAGGATGAATGAATGAAAAGTATAAACCTTAGCAAAAAACGATACAAGAACATAATGTAATTTTTTGAATTGAGAAATACAATTAAAAAACATAATAAAAGGGCTCAGTAGCAGAATGGAGATGACAGAGAAAGAGGCAGGAGAACTTGAAGACAGACCAATCGACCAATAGAAATGATCCACTATGAAAAACAAAGGGAAAAAATTAAATTAAAAAACAGATCCTCAGACACACGGAGACAACCAAAAGGTCTAACTGTTAAGTCATTGAAGCTCGAGAGGAAGAAGGGTGCTTAAAAATTATTTGAGTAGGCCAGGCACGGTAGCTCACACCTATAATCCCAGCACTTTGGGAGCCCGAGGCGGGCGGATCATGAGATCAGGAGTTCGAGACCAGCCTGGCCAACATGGTGAAACCCCGTCTCTACTAAAAATACAAAAATTAGCCAGGCGTGGTGGCATGTGCCTGTAATCCCAGCTACTTGGGAGGCTGAGGCAGGAGAATCACTTGAACCCAGGAGGCAGAGGTTGCAGTGAGCCAGGAACATGCCATTGCACTCCAGCTTGGGTGACAGAGTGAGACTCCATCTCAAAACAAAAAATTATTTGAACAAATTATGGATGAACATTCCCCAAAGTTGGGGTAAAACATAAACCTATAACTTCAAGAAGCTCAATGAACCCCAGACCTCAAAAGATAAGCCTAAAGAAATCCATGCCCATCATAATCAAATTGCCAAAAACTAAAAACAAAGAAAAAACCTTATAAGCAGGCAGAAAGAAATAGCACATCACCTTTAGCGAATGACTAGATTTCTTGTAAATAACCATGGAGATCAGCATTTCAAAGGACTGAAAGAAAATAACTGTCAACCTGAAATTCTATATTCAGCATAAATATTCTTCAGAAATAAAGGTGAAATAAACACATTTTCAGATGAAGAAAAATGAAGAGAATCTGTTGTCAGCAGACCTGTCATAAAAGAACTGCTAAAAAAAGTTCTTTGAGGAGAAGAGAAATGATACCTAATAGAAACTTGGTAAATCAGGAATGAAGAAAGTACAACAGATGTAACAAGTATCCGGGTAAACATAACAGAACAATCTTCTCTTCTTGAATCCTTTAAAATATGTTTGATGGTTAACTATTCTTTAAACATTAGGTGGAATTCGGCAGCAAAACTCTCTGAGCCTAGAGATTTATTTTTATGGAGTTTTGAAATTAGGAATTCAGTTTTCTTAGGAGTTATAGGGCTATTTGAATTATTCATTTCATATCAAGGGAGTTGTAGTAGTTTTTGCTTTTTGAGGAATTGGTTTCTTTTATCTCAGTTGTCAAATTTATGTGTGTACAGCTTTTCATAGTTTCCTTTATTATCCTTTTGCTGTCTGCAGGATCTGTAGCAATATCTCCTGTTTCATTCCTGATATTGGTAATTTGTGTCTTCTGGCTTTCTTGTTTTTATTTTACAGACTTGTTACAAGTTTTTTTCCCCAATATTATTAATCTTTTCAAAGAGTCAACTCTTTACTTTGAAACAATGTTCTTCTCTATTGATGTTATAGTTTCAATTTCATTGATTTTTGCTGCTTATCTTTAAGATTTTCTTCCTTCTGCTTGCATTGGGTTTATCTTGCTCTTCTTTTTCTAGGTTTTTGAAGTTAGAGCTTAGATTATTAATTTAAGACTTTTATGCTTTTCTGTTGTATGTGTTTAGTGCTACAAAGTTCCCTCTCAGCACTAATTTAGCTGTGTCTCATGAAATTTGATATGTTTTATTTTTATTTTAATTCCATTCAATGTATTTTTTATTTCCTTGAGTCTTCTATTTTATCTGTAGATTCGTTAGAATAATGTTGTTTAGTTTTCAAGCGTTTGGAATTTTTCTGTTATTTTTCTGTTATTAGTGTCTAATTTGATTTCATTGTGGGTGCAGAACACACTCTATATGATTTCAATTTTTAAAAATTGGTTGAGGTTTATTATGTGGCCGAAGATACAGCCTCTCTTGGTAGATATTCTGTGTGTACTTGAAAAGAATGTTTATTCTGCCATTATTGGGTGGAGTGTTCTACAAATTTTGATTAAATCCTGTTGATTCATTGATTATATTGTTTATTTTATATGGCCTTGCTGATTTTCTGTCTAGTTTTTCCATCAAATGTTGAGAGAGTGTTGTTGAATTCCCCAACTGTAGTAGTGGATTTGTCTATTTCTCCTTTTTATTTTTTTATTTTTTTGCTTTGCATATTTTACCATTCTGTTGTTTCATGCATGTGCATTTAGGACTACCATGACTTCTTAGTGGATCAACCCACTGGTCATTATATAATGTTTCTTTCTTTCCTTCATGAATATATATTTTTTGGCTCTGAAGTCTACTTTGTCTGATATCAATAAAGGCACTCCTGATGTCTTTTTATCCCTCCTTTCATTTACAACGTGCTGCTATTGTTACATTTGAAGTGAGTTTCTTACACACAGTACATGCTTGGATTGTGATTTTAATCCATAATGGCAATCTCTGTTCTTAATCAGTATATTCAGACTATTTACATTTAATGTAACTATTACTTTGTTAAGACCCGTCAATTTATTTTTTGTTTTCTGTTTATCTTCTATATTTTTCTTCTCCATTTTCTTGTTCCTGTATTCTTGTGGGCTACTTGAACAATTTTCAGAACTCCATTTTGATTTATCTAGTGTGTTTGAGTTTTTCTATTTGCAGTTAACTTAAAGTAGTTTAAGATACTTTCACTATATATATCATTACACATGCATAACATATTGCAGTTTACAGGTGTCATCATCTAACCACTTGGAGTGAAGTGTAAAACCTTACCTCTATTTACATCCTTTCACTTTGTCACTTACAATATACTTTCCTTGTATAGTTCATCTATGTACAATTAGAATCATATGAGACTATTATAATTTTTGCTTCAACTGTGAAGCATAATTTAGAAAACTCAGCAGGAAAAGAACAATCCATTTTATTTACCCATATTCTTATTTACTGTGTTCTTTCTTTCTTCCTGATGCTGCAAGCTTCCTTTTTAATCATTTTATTTTTTTAAAGAACTGTCTTTAGTCTTTCTTTTAAGATAGGTCTGCTGGTGACAAATTCTTTTAGTTTTCCTTCATTTGAAAAGTTTTGATTGCCCCTTCATTCCTGAAGGATATTTTCAGTGGGTATAGGATTATGTGTTGACAGTTTTTTAGTTTCAGCACTTGGGAACATTGTGCCAGTGTTTTCTAGACTTCATGTTTCTTTTCTTTCTTTTTTTTTTTTTAATGAGAAATCGTCTCCATTCCAATTGTTGTTGTTGTTGTTTTTTCTCTATAGGAAAGGTGTTATTTTTTCTCTCACTACTTTGAAGATTTTTTCTTTACCTTTATTTTGCAAAAGTTTAATTATGATATGTCTTAGCATGGATTTATTTGAGTTTATTCTTTTCAGGTTTGTTTAGCTTCTTAAATCTGTAGGTTAATGTCTGACAAATTTGGGAAGTTTTCAGCTATTATTCTTAAAGTACTTTTTCAGCTCTACCTTCTTTCTTCTCTCCTCTAGGACTCCTACTAATGTTACATATTTTGTCTTAGTCCTACAGGTCTTTGAGGCTCTATTCCTTTTTCAATCTATTTTCTCTTTTGTTCACACTGGGTAATTTTTATTACTCGATCTTTCAGCTCACTGATTCTCTCCTCTGTCCCCTCCATTTTGCTGTTTAACCCATACACTGAGATGGTTATTTCAGTTATTGTGTTTTTCTGTTCTAAAATTTATAATTTTTTCTTCTTTACATTCTCTTTTTTTTGAGAATTTCTATTTCTTTTCTGAGGCTTTCTACTTTTCACTTTTTGGAAGCATGTTTGTAATTGCTTCTTGAAGTATTTTTTATGATGGATAACTTTACATAGTTGTAAATAATTCTAACAGCTATGTTATCTTGTTGTTGGTGTCTCCAGATTGCCTTTTCTCATTCAGTTTGAGATTTTCTTTTTTTTTTTTTTGTATGCCATATAATTTTTGAGGGAAACCTGGGGAATTCTGTATTATTTTATGAAATTCCAAATCTCATTATTTAAAAGCTCTGCTTTAGCCAGCTGTATCTGACATCAGTCTGGGAGGGGAAGGGTGATAGAGCCTTATTACTGACAAAAGGGGTTAGACATCCAGATCTCCCACTTGGCCTCTGTTGACACTTAAGAGAAGGCACCCCTTACTGTGAGAGGTGGGAGGGTTCTGGATCCCCATTAGGCTTCAGTTGATACCTCTCTGGCTGGGAGGGGTAGGAGTGCTTTGTTTTTGCTCTCTACATGACCACTACGGACACCTTGAGGTAGAAGAATGGCTTCATTACAACTGAGAGGTGCCAAAAGTCCTGACTTTTCACTAGGCCCTCTCTAACACCACCCCAGTAGAGAACTGGAGGAACACTCCATTAAAGCCATTTGGGAATAGAAGTCCAGGCTTCCCACTTGATCTACACTGACACCAGAAGCAGAGGGTCTCACTACCAACTGGTGAGGATGAAAGTAACTCCCTACTTGGTCTTCTCTGACACAATCCTGGTGACAGTTTGGGTCTATTTGTTACAAGCTACAAAGGTGGATGTCTAGCCTACCCACACTTTATTTGCTTATATGAATGGTTGTAGGACAATTGCTTTTTCTGTTGTATTTGGCTGGAGTACAACAGTTACTGTTTAAAAATTTCTGTCCTGCTATGCTTCCCCTTTACTGGTCCTTTGGTTAGAGAGGGAATGCTTTGACTGGAACACTTTTATTTTGTCTGTACCCATTAGTGTTTCTGAGTTGGTGATTTCTCTAGCTCTAAGTCTGAGATATATGAGACAAAGAGAAAACCCTGGGAACTCAGTACCATGTCCTATCTTTTCCAAAATCTTTTTATGTTTGTTTTGTATATAAGTTCCAGGGTTTTAGTTGTACTTAGCAGGGGAAACAGGATAAAGCATATCTGCTTCATCGTCTAAGAAATGAAAGTCTTCTGCAAATGTTTAAGAATTGAAATCATTCAAAGTATGTTCTCTGGTCACAAAAGAATAAAGCTAGAAATACATTATAAAAACATATCCAGAATATACACAAACATTTGAAAATCAAGAAATATACTTCTAAATAAATCATGATACAATAGAGACATCACAAGGAAAATTAAAATATTTTCAGTTTAATACAATTAAAAGCATAACATATCAAAATTTGTTAAAGGCAGCTAAAGCAGTGCTGCGAGAGAAATTTATAGCACTCAAATGCATAAATTAAAAGAAAGAAAAAGTCACAAATCAATAATCTAAGCACACACCCCCAAAATCTAGAAAGAGTAGAGGCAACTAAACACAAAATACCAAAAAGAATGAGATAATAAAAGTAAGAAAATTAATAAATAGTTTAATTTGGGTTTAACCCATTTAACCCAGGAATGTAAAGCTGGTTCAAAATTTGAAGACCATAGAATACTGATGAGAAACTTTGAGGTCTTAGTGTACTTCCTAGTTTCCCTAAAATCATCACCATAGGCAGCTTTCTACTCTGCTGAGGCAGGCTGGCTACCTTTTGTTTTTTTTTTTTGTTTTTTTGTTTTTTCCAAAAACAATCTCCTCCTCAGGCACTTTCATTGGTAAGCCTTGTTGCTAATTGAAAAAAAAAAAAAAAAAGAAAGAAAGAAGGAGCAAATCTTTCCTTTATTTCCAAGAAATAGGAGAGTTTATGAAGATGTGTGGTGTAGTAGATTATCAGAAAGGATAGACAGAGTTCCTGCTGAGCCCTATGTAATGGAACAGCCTATGAGGGTGGTGAAAAATGTGTTTTTGAGTGTTCCAAGACGGCCAAATAGGAACAGCTCTAGTCTACAACTCCCAGCATGAGCGACACAGAAGATGGGTGATTTCTGCATTTCCAACTGAGGTACTGGGTTCATCTCACTGGGGTTCATCGGACAGTAGGGGCAGGATAGTGGGTGAAGCCCACTGAGTGTGAGCCGAAGCAGGGTGAGGCATTGCCTCACCCTGGAAGGGCAAGGGGTCAGGGAATTCCCTTTCCTAGCCAAGGGAAGGGGTGACAGATGGCACCTGGAAAATCAGGTCACTCCCACCCTAATACTGCACTTTTCCAATGGTCTTAGCAAATGGCAGACCAGGAGATTATATCCCGTGCCTGGTTCAGAGGGTCCCATACCCACGAAGCCTCGCTCATTGCTAGCACAGCAGTCTGAGATCGAACTGCAAGGTGGCAGCAAGGTTGGGGGAGGGGCGCCTGCCATTGCTGAGGCTTGAGTAGGTAAACAAAGCTGCCAGGAAGCTCGAACTGGGTGAAGCCCACCGCAGCTCAAGGAGGCCTGCCCGCCTCTGTAGACTCCACCTCTGGGGTCAGGGCATAGCCGAACAGAAGGCAACAGAAACCTCTGCAGACTTAAATGTCCCTGTCTGACAGCTTTGAAGAGAGTAGTGGTTCTCCCAGCACACAGCTTGAGATCTGAGAATGGACAGACTGCCTCCTCAAGTGGGCCCCTGATCCCCAAGTAGCCTAACTGGGAGGCACCCTCCAGTAGGGGCAGACTGAAACCTCACACAGCTGGGTACCCCTCTGAGACGAAACTTCCAGAGGAACAATCAGGCAGCAACATTTGCTGTTCAGCAATATTGACTGTTCTGCAGCCTCCACTGCTGATACCCAGGCAAACAGAGTCTGGAGTGGACCTCCAGCAAACTCCAACAGACCTGTAGCTGAGGGTCCTGTTAGAAGAAAAACCAACAAACAGAAAGGACATCCACACCAAAACCCCATCTGTATGTCACCATCATCAAAGACCAAAAGTAGATAAAACCACAAATGCGGGGACAAAACAGGGCAGAAAAGCTGAAAATTCTAAAAATCAGAGCACCTCTCCCCCTCCAAAGGAATGCAGCTCCTCCCCATCAATGGAACAAAGCTGGATGGAGAATGACTTTGACGAGCTGAGAGAAGAAGGCTTCAGGTGATCAAACTTCTCCAAGCTAAAGGAGGAAGCTCAAACCCAATGCAAAGAAGTTAAAACCTTGAAAAAAGATTAGACGAATGGCTAACTAGAATAACCAGTGTAGAGAAGTCCTTAAATGACCTGATGGAGCTGAAAACCATGGCACAAGATCTACATGATGAATGCACAAGCTTCAGTAGCTGATTTGATCAACTGGAAGAAAGGCTATCAATGATTGAAGATCAAATGAATGAAATGAAGTGAGAAGAGAAGTTTAGAGAAAAAAGAATAAAAAGAAATGAACAAAGCCTCCAGGAAATATGCGACTATGTGAAAAGACCAAATCTACGTCTGATTGGTGTACCTGAAAGTGACGGGAGAAAGGAACCAAGTTGGAAAACACTCTTCAGGATATGATCCAGGAGAACTTCCCCAACCTAGGAAGGCAGGCCAACATTCAAATTCAGGAAATACAAAGAACGCCACAAATATCCTCCTCGAGAAGAGCAACTCCAAGACACATAATTGTCAGATTCACCAAAGTTGAAATGAAGGAAAAAATGTTAAGGGCAGACAGAGAGAAAGGTCAGGTTACCCACAAAGGGAAGCTCATCAGACTAACAGCAGATCTCTCAGCAGAAACTCTACAAGTCAGAAGAGAGTGGAGGCCAATATTCACTGTTCTTAAAGAAAAGAATTTTCAACCCAGAATTTCATATCCAGCCAAACTAAGCTTCATAAGTGAAGGATAAATAAAATCCTTTACAGACAAGCAAATGCTGACAGATTTTGTCACAACCAGGCCTGCCCTATAAGAGCTCCTGAAGGAAGCACTAAACATGGAAAGGAACAACCAATATCAGCCACTGCAAAAACATGCCAAATTGTAAAGACCTTCGAGGCTAGGAAGAAACTGCATCAACTAAAGAGCAAAATAACCAGCTAACATCATAACGACAGGATCAAATTCACACTTAACAATATTAACCTTAAATGTAAATGGGCTAAATGCTCCAATTAAAAGACACAGACTGGCAAATTGGATAAAGAATCAAGACCCATCAGTGTGCTGTATTCTGGAGACCCATCTTACATGCAGAGACACACATAGGCTCAAAGTAAAGGGATGGAGGAAGATCTACCAAGCCAATGGAAAACAAAAAAAGGCAGGGGTTGCAATCCTAGTCTCTGATAAAACAGACTTTAAACCAACAAAGCTCAAAAGAGACAAAGAAGGCCATTACATAATGGTAAAGGGATCAATTCAACAAGAAGAGCTAACTATCTTAATTATATATGCACCCAATACAGGAGCACCCAGATTCATAAAGCAAGTCCTTAGAGATCTACAAAGATACTTAGACTCCCACACAATAATAATGGGAGACTTTAACA
The DNA here is from genome assembly GCF_000001405.40 of Homo sapiens. Taxonomy (NCBI): domain Eukaryota; kingdom Metazoa; phylum Chordata; class Mammalia; order Primates; family Hominidae; genus Homo; species Homo sapiens. Next base: position 139,262,084 of record NC_000023.11, read on the forward strand.
CCACACTATCAACATTAGACAGATCAACGAGACAGAAAGTTAACAAGTATATCCAGGAATTGAACTCAGCTCTGCACCAAGCAGACCTAATAGACAGCTACAGAACTCTCTACCCCAAATCAACAGAATGTACATTCTTCTCAGCACCACATCACACTTATTCCAAAACTGACCACATAGTTAGAAGTAAAGCACTCCTCAGCAAATGTAAAAGAACAGAAATTATAACAAACTTGTCTCTCAGACCACAGTGCAATCAAACTAGAACTCAGGATTAAGAAACTCACTCAAAACCACTCAACTACATGAAACTGAACAACCTGCTCCTGAATGACTACTGGATACAAAACAAAATGAAGGCAGAAATAAAGACGTTCTTCGAAACCAATGAGAACAAAAACACAACATACCAGACTCTCTGGGACACATTTAAAGCAGTGTGCAGAGGGAAATTTATAGCACTAAATGCCCACAAGAGAAAGCAGGAAAGATCTAAAATTGACACCCTAACATCACAATTAAAAGAACTAGAGAAGCAAGGGCAAACACATTCAAAAGCTAGCAGGAGGCAAGAAATAACTAAGATCAGAGTAGAACTGAAGGAGATAGAGACACAAAAAACCCTTCAAAAAGTCAATGAATCCAGGAGCTGGTTTTTGAAAAGATCAACAAAATTGATAGACCGCTAGCAAGACTAATAAAGAAGAAAAGAGAGAAGAATCAAATAGACACAATAAAAAGTGATAAAGGGGATATCACCACCGATCCCACAGAAATACAAACTACCATCAGAGAATGCTATAAACACCACTATGCAAATAAACTAGAAAATCTAGAAGAAATGAAAAAATTTCTGGACACATAAACCCTCCCAAGACTAAACCAGGAAGAAGTTGAATCCCTGAATAGATCAATAACAGGCTCTGAAATTGAAGCAATAATTAATAGCCTACCAACCAAAAAAAGTCCAGGACCAGATGGATTCACAGCCGAATTCTACCATAGGTACAAGGAGGAGCCGGTACCATTCCTTCTGAAACTATTCCAATCAATAGAAAAAGAGGGAATCCTCCCTAACTCATTTTATGAGGCCAGCATCATCCTGATACCAAAGCCGGGCAGAGATACAACAAAAAAAGAGAATTTTAGACCAATATCCCTGATGAACATCAATGCAAAAATCCTCAATAAGATACTGGCAAACCAAATCCAGCAGCACATCAAAAAGCTTATCCACCATGATCAAGTGGGCTTCATCCCTGGGATGCAAGGCTTGTTCAACATACGCAAATCAATAAACATAACATATAAACAGAACCAGTGACAAAACCACGTGATTATCTCAATAGATGCAGAAAAGGCTTTTTGACAAAATTCAACAGCCCTTCATGCTAAAAATTCTCAATAAATTAAGTATTGATGGATGTATCTCAAAATAATAAGAGCTATTTATGACAAACCCACAGCCAATATCATACTGAATGGGCAAAAACTGGAAGCATTCCCTTTGAAAACAGACAAAAGGCAGGGATGCCCTCTCTCACCACTCCTATTCAACATAGTGTTGGAAGTTCTGGCCAGGGCAATCAGGCAGGAGAAAGAAATAAAGGGTATTCAATTAGGAAAAGAGGAAGTCAAATTGTCCCTGTTTGCAGATGATATGATTGGATATTTAGAAAACCCCATCATCTGAGCCCAAAATCTCCTTAATCTGATAGGCAACTTCAGCAAAGTCTCAGGATACAAAATCAATGTGCAAAAATCACAAGCATTCTTATACACCAATAACAGACAAACAGAGCCAAATCATGAGTGAACTCCCATTCACAATTGCTTCAAAGAGAATAAAATACCTAGGAATCCAACTTACAAGGGACGTGAAGGACCTCTTCAAGGAGAACTACAAACCACTGCTCAATGAAATAAAAGAGGATACAAACAAATGGAAGAACATTCCATGCTCATGGGTAGGAAGAATCAATATCGTGAAAATGGCCATACTGCCCAAGGTAATTTATAGATTCAATGCCATCCCCATCAAGCTACCAATGACTTTCTTCACAGAATTGGAAAAAAACTACTTTAAAGTTCATATAGAACCAAAAAAGAGCCTGCATTGGCAAGACAATCCTAAACCAAAAGAACAAAGGTGGAGGCATCACACTACCTGACTTCAAACTATACTACAAAGCTACAGTAACCAAAACAGCATGGTACTGGTACCAAAACAGAGATATAGACTAATGGAACAGAACAGAGCCCTCAGAAATAATTCCACACATCTACAAACATCTGATCTTTGACAAACCTGACAAAAACAAGAAATGGGGAAAGGATTCCCTATTTAATAAATGGTGCTGGGAAAACTGGCTAGCCATATGTAGAAAGCTGAAACTGGATCCCTTCCTTACACCTTATACAAAAATCAATTCAAGATGGATTAAAGACTTAAATGTTAGACCTAAAACCATAAAAACCCTAGAAGAAAACCTAGGCAATACCATTCAGGACATAGGCATGGGCAAAGACTTCATGTCTAAAACACCAAAAGCAATGGCAACAAAAGCCAAAATTGACAAATGGGATCTAATTAAACTAAAGAGCTTCTGCACAGCAAAAGAAACTACCATCAGAGTGAACAGGCAACCTACAGAATGGAAGAAAATTTTTGCAATCTACTCATCTGACAAAGGGCTAATATCCAGAATCTACAATGAACTCAAACAAATTTACAAGAAAAAAACAAACAACCCCATCAACAAGTCAGCAAAGATATGAACAGACTCTTCTCAAAAGAAGACATTTATGCAGCCAAAAAACACATGAAAAAATGCTCATCATCACTGGCCATCAGAGAAATGCAAATCAAAACCACAATGAGATACCATCTCACACCAGTTAGAATGGCAATCATTAAAAAGTCAGGAAACAACAGGTGCTGGAGAGGATGTGGAGAAATAGGAACAGTTTTACACTGTTGGTGGGACTGTAAACTAGTTCAACCATTGTGGAATACAGTGTGGCGATTCCTCAGGGATCTAGAACTAGAAATACCATTTGACCCAGCCATCCCATTACTGGGTATATACCCAAAGGATTATAAATCATGCTGCTATAAAGACACTTGCACACGTATGTTTATTGCGGCACTATTCACAATAGTAAAGACTTGGAACCAACCCAAATGTCCAACAATGATAGACTGGATTAAGAAAATGTGGCACATATATACCATGGAATACTATTCAGCCATAAAAAAGGATGAGTTCATGCCCTTTGTAGGGACATAGATGAAGCTGGAAACCATCATTCTCAGCAAACTATCGCAAGGACAAAAAACCAAACACCGCATGTTCTCACTCATAGGCGGGAATTGAACAATGAGAACACTTGGACACAGGAAGGGCAACATCACACACCGGGGCCTGTTGTGGAGTGGGGTGGAGGGGGAGGGATAGCATTAGGAGATATACCTAATGTAAATGACGAGTTACTGGGTGCAGCACACCAACATGGCACATGTATACATATGTAACAAACCTGCACGTTGTGCACATGTACCGTAGAACTTAAAGTATATTAAAAATATATATATTAAAAAATAAATAAATATATAAAACTTTTTTATCTATTTGCTTACTTGTTTTTCCTCATTTTTATACATGGATATATGTAGCTTGTCATAAAAATAAACAGTATTTATATACATTACATTTTGCCTCCATCAGCTCTCTTGTATGGTTTAGAAGAAATGTGAGAGTGAGATATATGTACCATCTTTCTAAATTTCTCTTCATCCTTCCTATCTTCATCTAAGTAGCTCTCTAGATAAATTTGGCCCCAAGCTTATCACTAAACTAAGTTGAGATTTGGACAATTTCATTTGACCTTCATATTTTCAATATTCTAGAATCTCAATTACATTTCCTGTTTCTCTGAAACACTTTAAGATCCCTTTATATTTTGACATTCATATGGAATTTTGCCTTTTTTAATTTCTTTTTTTTCCCTCATTACATTTGGTGTGATAATGTGACACATCACTAATTTCAACAGTAGTTTTAATCAAACAATAGTATAAATGCTCACATTTTCATCTGCATTTTAAAATATCACTAAGTATTCATATCATGTATATATATTTATTCTGATAGTGCTAAGGAATGTAATTTCTGTTTTACTTGTACAGTCTGCTTTGGAGAAAATAACTAATTTACATCTTGAAATTATTATTATGTTAAAATGTTCCTGAGCAGAAATCAGATCCTGAATCATCAACAAAGTCTTTTGCCTGATCCTTTTTCTAAAAGTCACCTATCCTCCCATCCCCTTTAAAGGACTGTAGAAATCATTACACACTAGTAAGTTGCTGACCCAGGATTCTAGCTTGTGATGCTGAAATTGAGTAAAAAATCAAGTACTGATAACTGAGTTAATCATAGCATATCTGCAGCATAGCATAGTGTTTAGGACAACAGGCACTAGCATCATACTGCTTGATTTCCTAATCCTGACTTATGGGCCAGGGGTCCTTGGAAACGTTACTTAATCTCTCTCAGCCTCCATTTCTCCTCCTATAAAATAGAGATAATGCCAGTACATTTTTCAGAGGAATGATATGAAGATAAGTTGAATCATTGCTTGAAATATATTAAGGACTCAATAAATATTATCAATTATTATTTAATGAACTGGTGGTTTGGGGTGTGGAGTTTTCAGGATATAGTTTAATAAACATTAGATTAAGAGGCCCTAATTAATCTAATGACAGCTACATGACTGACAAAATGCTCTGACATTTACTTAACTGAGTACTGGATTCCACATATCAGTGCTAAATGCTACTGCATAGGCCGGGCGCGGTGGCTCACGCCTGTAATCCCAGCACTTCGGGAGGCTGAGGTGGGCAGATCATCAGGTGAGGAGTTTGAGGCCAGCCTGTCCAACATGGTGAAATCCCATCTCTACTAAAAATACAAAAAAATTAGCCAGGCATGGTGGCACGTGCCTGTAATCCCAGCTACTCAGGAGGCTGAGGCAGGAGAATCGCTTGAACCCAGGAGGCAGAGGTTGCAGTGAGCCGAGATTGAGCCACTGTACTCCAGCTTGGGCGACAGAGCAAGACTCCGTCTCAAATAAAAAAATAAAATAAAATAAAAAGAATGCTATTGCATAATGTTATCTGGTTCAGTGTTACCCCCCCCGCCACACATGATCCTATGGGATAAGTATTAGCATGTCTATTTCATAAGCAGCATAGCATAGCAGTTAAGAACTCAGGCCCAGAATCAGACTTCCAGGATTTTAATTCTGGCTTTACCAGTTATTAGCCATGAAAGTTGGAGCAGGTCATTGAAATATTCAGAGCTTCAGTTCCTCCATCTATAAGGTGAGGAGCACTTTAAGAAAAAGCCTATGTCATATGATAACTATGAAGATTAAATGAGCTACTGCATATTAAGCTCTTAGCACAATGCCTGGAACAGAAGTGATCAAAAACTCTTAGCTGTTATTATTGCTACTAGAATAGATGATAACAAGTATCTTGTCCTAGGCACAATGTTCCCTAATTTTCTATTTTATGTTTTTTGCATATTTCTGCTTAGGATGGTAATTCAATTATTTTTGCTTCATTTCAGTGAAGATTCTCATTGTTAAAATGTGTTGTGATCTCTGGCTGCTCTGTAAGGTCCTTGCTACTCAAAAAGACAATAATTTTTGGACAGATTTACATAGTTTAAGTTAAAAGTTGAACAAAGAGCAGGAGGGGATTCTTTCCCGGCATCACACAACATGTCAGCATATATGCAAGACTGAAAGGGAGATACCAGTAATTGGCTCTGTCGTTTACAGGAAGGGTATTTGCATGATTTGTGAACTATCTTGTCTGTTTTTCTTTTTCTTTTTTTTTTCTTTGTTTTGTTTTGTTTTGAGACAGTCTCACTCTGTCACCCAGACTGGAGTGCAGTGATGCAATCAATCTCTGCTCACTGCAACCTCCACCTCCCAGCCTCAAGCCATCTTCCCACCTCAGCCTCCTGAATAGCAAGTAGCTGGGACCACAGGCATGTGCCACCACACTTGGCTAATTTGTGTGTGTGTGTGTGTATTTTTGGTAGAGATGGGGTTTCACCATGTTGCCGAGGTTGGTTTCAAACTCCTGACCTCAGGTGATCCACCCACCTTGGCCTCCCAAAGTGCTGGGATTACAGGCATGAGCCACCACTCCCAGCCTGTGTTTTTCTAACAGTTATGAGTATAGAGCATATATGGTCCAATATTCTGGCTAACCTTACTGAAAAGTGCAGTAAACTAGGAATGTGTTTTGTCCAACCCAGAGATGAGATGAACTTGATTCTTGGCAGTCCTCTGTGAAAAAATGGGAAGGTGACACGTAAATGGAAAAAGGCAAGCATCAAAATCCACATTCATGTGAAAATCTTTATTTTTATAATGTTAAACTATTTGTTTGTTTGTTTGTTTGTTTATTTATTTATTTATTGAGACAGAGTCTCACTCTGTCACTCAAGCTGGAGTGCAGATCTCGGCTTACTGCAACCTCTGCGTCCCAGGTTCAAGTGATTCTCCTGCCTCAGCCTCCCGAGTAGCTGGGACTACAAGCATGTGCCACCACGCCTGGCTAATTTTTTATTTTTGGTAGAGATGAGGTTTCACCATGTTGGCCAGGCTGGTCTTCAACTCCTGACCACAGGTGATCTGCCTGCCTTGGCCTCCCAAAGTGCTGGGATTACAGGTGTGAGCCACCACGCCCGTCATGAGAAAATATTTCTATGGAGATAACAAAGGAGCTCCAAGCAAAGATCTCCTCTGAACAGCCTTGAATACCCTTGATGAGATATACCCTCTAAATTTGACAGACAAAATTTTTTTAAATTTATTTTGATGAGAAAAAAAGATCATTTGAATCCTGAGATTTCACTTCAGTAGTAAAGTGGTACCAAACCAACGTGAGTTTTTGTTTTATGTAGGCTATATGATTGAATGATCTTTTAAAAAACTTTGAGGATTGGACAGTTGCGGTGACTCACACCTGTAATCCCAGCACTTTGGGAGGCCAAGGCAGGCATACCACTTGAAGTCAGGAGTTCGAGACCAGCCTGGCCAACATGGTGAAACCCCATCTCTACCAAAAATATAAAAAATTAGCTGGGTGTGGTGGCACACGCCTATAATCCCAGCTACTCGGGAGGCTGAGGCAGGAGAATCACTTGAACCCATGAGGTGGAGGTTGCAGTGAGCCGAGATCGTGCCACTGCACTCCAGCCTGGGTGACAGAATGAGACTCTGAAAAACAACAACAAAAACACACCTTTGAGGATCAAGATTCAGAAGTCAAAAAGGTCATGACAGACATCTTAGCAAGAATACTAAATTTTGTGAAACATCCCCGGAAAACAATATGAGAGAAAGTGGCTAAGCATAATGCCTCTTTACTGTATTCTAAACCTTGCACCATTTACATTGTATTTAAATTGTCCTGGGAGAAAGCTGTATAAAAGTTTCCACACTAAATAAAAATGCAGATAATTAGTTTATATTTGTGTTTGAAGAAAGTTATTTGAAGCAACTTATACATCAAGAGTATAGCTTCAAATAAGTAATACTAAGTACTGTAAAGCACAATGCACATTAACAAAAGTACTTTTATCGTTACATCCTTGATCTAGGATCAGTTGTATGACAACACTCCCTTACCAAGTTTTTGGTTCTGACAAATGTAAAACCAGAGGGATTTCTTGTCAAGGTAGTGTACTAAGATATCAGTAAAAACAAACACAAACTTCTTGCTCCAAACACAAATAAATACTAGATAAAACATTACAAAATCATTTTTAAATGCATAATCAAGGTTAAAAATAAAAAGAATAAGTCCCCATGTCCCAAAAAACAAGAAGAATCTCAAAGTCAGAATGGCAAATGGCTGTTGAAATAGAGCAGCTTATGGAGATCTAAGGAATAGAGTTGCATCTGGGAGTTTGGATTTTAACATCTACTAAGGAATAGCAAATAAGGACTCAGGCCTATGTAGAAAACTAGAATTGAGCCCACTGCATAAAGCCACATGCCACAAAAAGTGTCCCTTATATAAAACGGGCAATAGGAAAACTCTGCCTACTAGCCAAGGGAAGCAGCAAAGTATTTCATCATCTTCTTGGCACTGTGGATTATTATAATAATAATACAGAGAATTGACTGCACATACAGGCCCCCAAATCTGAATCATCCACGATGTGAGTTTCAATTCACAATACTTGCATGTTATAGAAACCTGAGGCCATATAATAATCATAAAAATAAGTCTGAAGAAAGCTAATTCTGTAGAGATCTCAAAAAAAGCCAAATTGACATACAGGATTGGCTCTCTACAACCAAATGATCTAGGATGCCTACTGAAAATAACTCCTTTGAAGACTGGTTGACATTCAAAAATTTCAAGAAAAAAACATATGGTGAGAATTTGGACCCCCAGAACAATAAATAATTCAGAATTTAAAATGTACTTAGTTTAGCATCTTTTGAAGTCAACTAAAAGAATAAAAGATAAAGGAAGGAATAAACAATATAGTAAGAATAGGTAGGTTTTGAAAATATATAAATAAGAATGTACATTGAAAAACGTAATTATGGAAATTAAAACTCAACGTATTAGTTAAACAATATATTAGAGATAGCTGAAGAGAGTTAAATGAACTGGAAGATAAATCTGAGGGCATCACTGAAAACGCAGCAAAAAGAGATAGAGAGATGGAAAATATGAAAGAGGTTAAGAGACATGAAACATAGATTCAGAAGAGACAACACAAGGCAATCAGGAGTTTTAGAAGATTACAATATAAATGCAATCTTTAAGGTAATAACTGCCAGAAATTTTTCAGAATTAAAAAAATCTAGCGTCCCCAGATTCAAGTAGCATCTTGAATCTTTAGGAGGATAAGTTACAGCAAACCACACCTAGACACACTGTGGTGAAATTTCAGAACAAATAGCAGCCAGAAAGAAAATAACGATTAACTGCAAAGGAAAGAAATGCATGTTGGCTGTAGATATTGCATTACCAATGAGATCTCAGAAAACAGTGAGATAATGTATTCATAGTACTAAGAAAAAAATTAACAATCTAATAAGCTATACGCAGCTAAACTATCATCCTAAAGTGAACATAATATAAAAACTTTAATAGACATATAAATCCTGAATTTGTTACTGACAAACTAACAGAATTACTAAATGATATGTCACCATGAGAATAAAATAGAAGCTAGAAGAAAAGTGTTAAATGCAAAAAGCACTGTAAATAAAGTGCTAAACACTTTGATAAATCTAAACATTATTTCCACTACTAGTACATAATACTTATAAAGCAATATGAGGCAGACACTGTCATAAACATTTTACAACAATCCTGTGAGACAGTTTCCTATTTAATCCTATTTTATAAATGAGAAAACAGAGAGGTTAAGTAACTTGCTCATGGTCTCACAGCTAGTAAATGGCACAGTCTGACTACATAGATTGTGCTCATAATCATTTTGCTCTATTGCCTCTTCAGTAAATGTCAACTATAAAAATGTCCTAATAAAAGTGATCATTATAAGGTGAAATTAAACATCTAAACAATAGTAACATGGAAAATGGAAAGTGTGAACTCAGAATTAAAGCAGCTTAAAGTCATTGTGTTGTTTAGAAGGATTGAAATATTGATTAACTTTGGTTTGTGTTAAGTATAAAGAGTAAAAATTTAAGGATAATGACTAAAATAATAGAAATAAAATGTATAACAAACCAAGAGAGGGGGGAAAGGAATAAAGAATCCTTGATTGTTCCAATAAGCAGGTAAAGAGAAAAAATGAATTAAATAAATAGCAGAGTAAAAAGAAAAGACAAACTGAAGAGGAGAAATACCTCAAGATACTTAAATGATAAATGTGAACAGGTTAAATACAACTATTAAAAGAAAGATTCTCATACTGCATTAAAAGTAGCGAGCCATCTGATACTTACAAGAGATACATCTAAAACATAATAATACACAAAGTAAAAAGATTGAAAAATATATACTACAAAAATACTAAAAAAAGTTGATTTAATTATATTAGTATCAGATGAAATAGATTATAAAATGCAAAGGATTACTAGAAATAAGAAGACATTTAGTAACAACAAAAAGAAAAATCCACCAAGAATAATCACAGTGATGTACCTCTATGTACTTGACAACATAGCATCAATATATATAAAGCAAAACATTAACCAAATGACAAAATTTTATAAATCCACAATTAGAGTGGAAGACTTTTAATATACCTTACTAAGAAACTGATGGCTCAAGCAAACAAAGATTAGCAAACCTATGGAAGATTTGAATAACACTTGACAGGTACTCTCTGGTAGACTCACATGGAACTTTGAACTCAAATAATAGAGAATTCACATTCTTTTCAAATACATACGTAGGATGCCACAAAGGACTGATTTGAGTTTACTTTTGAGAGAAGGAGGCAGTAAACTCTTTATTTCAGTTGGCCTTCGTGTATTTTTATTCTAATTCTCCCCAAACTTTTAACAACAATGTGCTCCTTTGCACATTTTAAAGTTGACATTTTTTGTGATATGTGCAAATAGGTACAAGGAGTATTATTTTCCACACAGTGTAAAGAAAATAAAACTGCTAAACCATTCTTTATTGCTCACCATTGTCTACTTTAAATATACATAGTTCCTGTTTTTCCTCGACCTCATTCATCCATTCCATTCCATCCCCGGATTTTTATGCTTGAATATCTATAATTTATCCACATTAAAATGTGTACATAAATTAAAATTAATTTCTTTTTTATTAACATAAGGCTCTATGTGTTTTTTTTTCCGGACTGGGCTGTCGTTACAATGATCCATATTAAGCAATTTTTAAAAACAATATACATGTATTAAATCTTTTGATGAAAAATTCCTAAACCCAAAATTAAATTTTATTGCAAACGCATCTCTTAATGCATTGGTTGAAAATGGGTTTTTAATTAATTCATGTATCTCAGGGTGAATATTACTTTTTGCTAGAGATAGAGTTTAGTATCAATTCTATTCTTCTTTTAACATTTTTGTATTTGCCAGGACTAAGAAATTTGGTTTATATAAACAAGTACTAGAAAGAGTTTGGTATAACAATGTCACTCTATTCCTTGAACTCTTTCTGAGTTACATGCCAAAATCACTTAAGATATTTTATCACAAATTATTTTTTGTACACTCTTGATGATAGTATAAATTAATGCAGTCATTATGGAAAATAGCATAATATATAGTATAGAGGTTTCTTTAAAGATTAAAAATAGTACTACTATATGCTCCAGTAATCCCACTACTGCGTATATACCCAAAGGATTTAAAATCAATAGGTTGAGACACCTGCCCTCCCACATTCTTTGCAGCATTATTCACAATAGGCAAGAAATAGAATCAACCTGTGTCCATCAATGGATGAATGGATAAGGAAAATGTGGTACATATCCACAATGGAACAGTATTCAGCCTTAAGAAAGAAAGAGTGTCGTTTTTGACAATATAGATGAACCTGAAGGACCACATATTAAGTGAAATAAGCCAAAGACAGAAAAATAAATACCACATGACCTTACTTAAATGTGGAGTGTAAAAAGTCAAACTCATAGAAATAGAGTAAAATGGTGGTTACCAGAGGCTAGAGGGTTGGCAGTGGGGGACTTAGGAGATGTTGGTCAAAGGACATAAAATTTCAGTTAGACAGAAGGAGTAAGTCCAGAAGATGTATTGTATATCATAGTGGCTATAGTTGATGACAACATATTGTGTATTTAAAAATATACAATTTAAACATTTTAAGTGTCTCACCACAAAACATAATAAGTATGTAGGGTAATGCGCACGTTAATTATCTCAAAGTATACATTTTCAAAACATCATGTTGTACACAATAAATATATATCTTTTTTTGTTCATTTTTGAGACAGTGTCTCACTCTGTTGCCCAGGCTGGAGTGCAGTGGCCCCATCATGGCTCACTGCAGCCTCAACCTCTTCGGTTCAAGCGATCCTCCCACCTCTGCCTCCTGAGTAGCTGGGACTACAGGTGCGCACCACTATGCCCGGCTAATTTTTGTATTTTTTGTAGAGACGAGGTCTCACTATATTGCCCAGGCTGGTCTTGAACTCCTGGGCTCAAGCCATCCACCCATCTCAGCCATCTAAAGTGCTGGTATTACAGGTATGAGCCACCACCCCGAGCTTCAATAAATATATATCAATTTTGTCAATTAAAAATTAATTAATTAAAATTATTTTTAGTGATCTGTGGGCAACTTTATTAAGTCTTCCTGAAATCTTTTCTCAGGCAAATCAATTTCAGGAGAGAATGCATAAGGAGGGGATATAGAAATAAACACAAAGTGCCTATGTAGTCCCATGAGTAAATTCACCCAAATTCAAAAATCACTGTTTTACTTCACCATCTTAAAACTTAAAGTTTCTGCAACATAATTTTTTAATTAAAAAAATTAAAAAAAAACCTGAGCAAAATGTCAACTTTTATTAATTTGGGATGTGGGCATACGGGTGTGTCAATTCTAGTACGTTCTATACTTTTCTGTGTATTTAAAATATCTCATTTAACATAATATAAGAATACCTTGGAGATACTGTGAGTTTGGTTTTAGACCACCAAAAAATTCACAAGTCACATGAATTTTTGGTTTCCCAGTTCACATAAAAGCTATGTTTACACTATACTGTAGTCTATTAAGTGTGCAATAGTATTATGTATTTAAAAACAATGTACCCACCCTAATTTAAAAATACTTTATTCCTCAAAAATGCTAACAATCATCTGAGCCTTCAACAAGTCTTAATCATTTTGCTGGTGGAGGGTCTTTCCTCCATGTTGATGGCTGCTGACTGATCTGAGTTGGGTGGTTGCTGAAGGTTTGGGTGGCTATGGCAATTTTTAAAAATAAGACAAAAATGGCATTTGCCACATTGATGGACTCTTCATGAAAGATTTCTCTGTAGCATGTGCTGCTGTTTGATATCATTTTACCTACAGTAAATCTTTCAAAATTGGAGGCAATCCTCTCAAACCCTGCTGCAGTTTTATCAATTAAGTTGATATAATATTCTAAATCCTTTGTTGTCATTTCAACAATCTTCACAGCTCTTCACCAGTAGTAGATTCCATCTAAAGTAAACACTTTCTTCTCTCATCCATAAGAAATAAGGCCTCATCTGTTAAAGTGTTATAAGATTGCAGCAACTCAGTTACATCTTAAGGCTCCACTTCTAGTTCTCTTGCCATTTCCACAACATATTCAGTTATTTCCTTCATTGTAGTCTTGAACTCTCAAAGTCATTCATGAGGGTTGAAATCCACTTCTTTCAAACTCCTGTTAATGCTGATATTTTGAGCTCTTCCCATGAATCACAAATGTTCTTAATGGCTATGGAATAGCCATCTGGAATGGTGAATTCTTTCCAGAAGGTTTTCAGTTTACTTTGCCCAGATTCATCCAAAGAATCTCTATGTCAGCTATAGCCTCATAAAATGATTTTCTTAAATAGTAAGACTTGAAAGTAAAAATTACTTTTTGATCCATAGGCTACGGAATTGTTGTGTTAAAAAGCATGAAAACAACATTCATCTCCTTGTACATCTCCATCAGAGTTTCTGGGTGACCAGCTGCATTGCCCATGAGCAGTAGTATTTTGAAAGGAATCTTTTTTTTTCTGAGTAGTGTGTCTCAACAGTGGGTTTAAAATATTCACTAAATTATGCTATTAACACCTGTGCTGTCATTCCTGCTCTGTTGTTCCATTTATAGAACACAGGCAGAGTACATTTAGCATAATTCTTAAGAGCCCTAGAATTTTAGGAATGGTAAGTTAGCATTGGCTTCAACTTAAAGTCACTAGCTGTATTAGCACCTAAGAGAGTCAGCTTGTCCTTTGAAACTTTGAAATCAGGTATTGACTTCTCCTCTCTATTTATGAAAGTCCTAGGTGATATCTTCTAAGAGGCTGTTTCATCTACACTGAAAATCTATCGTTTAGTGTAGCCATCTTTGCTAATGATCTGATCTAGATCTTCTGGATAAATTGATGCAGCTTCTACCTCAGCACTTTCAGCTTTGTCTTGCAATGTGTTATGTAGACAACTTCTTTCCTTAAACCTCATAAACCAACCTATGCTAACTTCAAGCTTTTCTTCTGAAACTTTCTCAGCTGTCTCGTCCTTTATAGAATTGAAGATAATTTGGGACTTGCTCTCAATTAGGCTTTGGCTTAAGGGAATGTTGTAGTTGGTTTAATCTTCTATCCAGACCATTAAAACTTTCTCCATATCATCAATAAGGCTATTTCACTTTCTTATCATTTGTGTGTTCACTGGGGTAGCACTTTAAATTTCCTTCAAGAACTTTTTCTTTGCATTTAAAACTTTGCTGACTCTTTGGTACAAGAGGCCTAGCTTTCTGCCAGTGTTGGCTTTCAACATACCTTCCTCACTAAGCTTAATCATTTCTGGCTTTCTAAAATGAGAATCATGCAACTCTTCCTTTCACTTGAACACCTAGAGGCCATTTTAGCATTATCAATTGGCCTAAATTCAATATTGCTGTGTCTCAGGGAATAGAGAAGCCTAAGGAGAAGGAGAGAGACAAAAGAACGGACTGTTGGTTGGTGAAGTCAGAACACACACAAGTTTTGTCATTTTATATCGGCACAGTTCATGGTACGCCAAAACAATTACAATAGTAACATCAAAAATCACTGATCACAGATCATCGTAACAGATATAATAATAATGAAAAAAATTGAATTATTTTGACATAACCAAAATGTAGTACAGACATGACGTGAACACATGCCATTGAAAAAAAAATAGCATCAGAGACGTGCTCAAAGAAAAGTTTCCACAAACCTTCAATTTGTAAAACAAAACAAAAAAATGCAACATCTGCAAAGTGCAATAAAGTGAAGTGCAATAAAATGGGGGTATGCCTATAATTCATTCCAACTTGATAATGGTTAAGAGGTACAAATGAGAACATTTTGCTCAAGTCTTAGTACAAGCCCCACTCATTGTGTAGCACATCTGTTTTTTTCTTTGTGACATTCTGTTGCTTTGATTTCTCAGATTTCACTGTAAATTTCAAAATGTATTATTTAAAATAATCACAGGCAACCAAAGCAAAAATCCACTGAATTGTGTATAGAGAATGTGGAGGCTTTTTAAGTTTGGAAGCCCCAGATATGGCTGATGTTCATTTATGTTTGCTAGCCTCCACCACTCCATATCCATCCACTCATACCTACACTCACACACTCTGAAAATACTCTTTGGGAAGGACCTTTGAGAACAAGACTATAGTCAAAGTTTGGTAACCAGGATATCTGGATTAGGATGTGAAAGGGTTGAGACAGAGTGTAGTATGTCACTGAAACTATCTAGCCTGAAGGTGGTAGCATAAACAGTAAATGCTAAATTTGATCACACAGGTTAGACTACTAAAATATAGTCAAGTAAAGAAGCGTTCATTGAGTAGCTACAACCTCAAGACTGTATGAATATCACTGCAAAATCAGCCTATTCAGTGGGAAAATGTACAGACCTAGGAGTCTGAATGACTTGGGTTCAAATTCTGATTATCCTGACATACACTAGCTGAGTAAGCTCGAACACATTGCTTAATTTCTGCAAAGCTTAGTTTCATCACTTGTAAAATGGGGGTTACAGCATCTATGTGAGAAGTTTGTTGCAAGGATTAAATTAAATGAGATTATTTTATGTAATAGGTCCTGGTCAAGTCTAGCACAGAGTAAGCATTCACTCAAAACATGTTTCTTACACCTACAGTCAACTCATTTTTGACATAGGTGCCAAGAACATACACTAGGGAAAAGACAGTCTCGTCAATAAATGATGCTGGGAAAGCTGGGCATCGATATGCAGAAGAATGAAACTAGACCCCTATTTCTTGCCATATACGAAAATCAAATCAAAATGGATTAAAGACTTACATCTAAGACCTCAAACTATGAAACTACTACAAGAAAATATTGGTGAGATTCTCTCGTACATTGGTCTGGGCAAAGATTTCTTGAGTAATACCCAATAAGCACAGGCAACCAAAGCAAAAATGGACAAGTGAGATCACATCAAGTTAAAAAGGCTTCTGCACAGCAAAGAAAATTATCAACAAAGTGAAGAGACAATCCACAGAATAGGAAACAATATGTGCAAACTACCCATCTGACAAGGGATTAATAACCAGAATATATAAGGAGCTCAAACAAATCTATAGAAAAAATCTAATAAATAAATTAAAATGGGTGAAAGATCTGAATAGAATTTCTTAAAAGAAGATACACTAATGGCAAACAGACATGTGAAAAGGTGCCCAACATCATTGATCATTAGAGAAATACAAATTAAAACTACAATGAGATATCATCTCACCCCAGTGAAAATGGCTTTTACCCAAATGTCAGGCAATAACAAATGCTGGTGATGATGATGCGGAGTAAAGGGAACCCTCGTAACTGTTGATAGGAATGTAAATTAGTACAACTACTTTTGGGAACAGTTTTGAGGTTCCTCAAAAAAAACCTAAACATTGAACTATATGATTGAACTATTCGATCCAGCCATTCCACTGCTGGGTATATACCCAAAAGAAAGGAAATCAGTATAACGAAGAGATATCTGTACTGCCTTGTTTGTTGCAGCACTGTTCACAGTAGCCAAGATTTGGAAGCAACCTGTGTCCATCAACAGATGAATGGATAAAGAAAATGTGGTACACATACGTAATCGAGTATTGTTAACCCATTAAAAGGATGAGATTCTGTCATTTGCAACAACATGGATGGAACTGAAGATCATTATGTTAAGCGAAATGAGCCAGGAACAGAAAGACAAAGACTGCAAGTTCTCACTTATTTGTGGACTCTAAAAATCAAAACAATTGACCTCATGAAGAGGCTTGGAAGGGTAGTGAGAGGGAGGTGGGAATGGTTAATGGATACAGAAAAATAGAAAGAATAAATAAGAGCTACTATTTGATACCACAGCATGTGACTATAGTCAATAATAATTGTACATTTAAAAATAACTAAAAGAGTATAATTTGATTGTTTGTAACACAAAAGATACATGCTTAAGGGGATGGATACCCCATTCTCCACGATGTGATTATTATGCATTGCATGCCTATAAGAAAACATCTCATGTACCCCATAAATATATATACCTACTATGTATCCACAAAAAATAAACATAAAATAAAAACAAAACTAAAAAAGTTTATTTTGTCATTTTATAAAGACATTTTTTCATCATTTTAGGTATTGGAGCTAGAGAAGGTCACACAGATAAATTTTGCCATTGGGGAATTTATGAGTTCTGGGTGAATGGTCATATGCAGGCTTGGTATAGTGCACTGGTTAAAGAGCTCTGTTGTCCAACTCTCTGGGCACAATTCCTGTCTCTGCCACTTTTTAGATGTATAAACGTGGACAACTTTACCTTCTTGTCCTCCATCCCTCAGCTGTAATAGTGTCCCTCGTGGGATTGTTACAAGAATTAAAAAGGAATAATCCATATGAGGCTTTAGCATTGTGCCTGGCACACATACTAAACATTCAGTTTAGTTATTTTACAGACACACACACACACACACACACACAACTTTATGCAAGACCTCAAACCCAACAAACCATGCCTACATGGCCTTCTATTATAGTTGTTTCTTTAAAAAAAAAACTGCTGAATGAATGGTTTAATTGACAACAAGTCAGACAATCTTTTTTGGTTTTGCTTCTCAAAGTAAGTTCTGCAGAGATCAGCAACATCAGTGTTACCTGGGAGCCTGTTAGAATTGCAGAATCTCAAGCCCCACTTCAGACCTACTGCATCAGAATCTGCACTTTAACAAGATGCTCAGGTGTTTCCTATGCCTATTAACAGATGCTCAGGTGTTTCCTATGCCTATCACAGTTTGAGAGTTGCTGAGCTACACCTCCACCTGCACTCTTGTTCTTACCACTAATTGCCTCACTGGCCTGTAGCAGACAGAATGTCTTCTAGTATTTCCATGAAACCTACCATTGTGACCTTGGTCTCTTCCGGAAGTTCTTGGTGTCCTCTTTGGTCTGTCCAGCCCTTCCAGTATAGAGACTGCAAGATTTATATCTGGTTCCCCTCCAGCATTAAGCAAGCAAGGCCCTTGGCGTTAGTGTGGTCTCCCCAGCTAGATTGTAGACTCCTTGAAGGCAAGGACTATGATTTTATGTTTCATCTGTATCCTACCATTTCCCTCAGATATTCAGTGTAAATTATGTATCATAGTCTACCTTGGTGTCTTCATTATGATAATTTCAGCAGACCTTGGAGAGAGAGACTATAACTGCTGTGGCTCAGGAGAGCATTTCAGAGGGGGAATAAGGAAGAGTAGTTGCTCTGTCCCTAGCACTCCTGATTCCAGTCCAGAAAGCTGTCTTCCAAAGTGAGTAATGGCCCTAACAGAGCTGAGTGTGTCCTTGATGATTTGCTTGTTAAACACACTGTCAGCAGGCCTGTTGGACCACCGGCCCTTGAGATCCAGAAATCCTCAGAATAACAAAAGCGGAGGCAGCCAGGACACCAGTGGCTGGCATAAGTAGAAAGACTGAATAATTTGGAGAAAAATGCCTCTTCTTATTCTCTTCAGGTCCTGATAAAGCAGAGTGACAGAAGTGGGGGTAAGGGAGCTCTGCTTGGTTGAACATTGTGCTAAGCACTTATATAAATTCTGATTTATTTTATCTAATTTGTTTCATTTAAATTTGATGTGATTTCTAACTTAGAGTTGGAAGAAACAAAGAACTTCTGTATACTTATTCCTGAATTCACCGACTGTTTACATTTACCCTCGTTTTATGGTTTTATTATTCATTCTCATTCTCTCTTTGCATTTTATATATATATATATACACACACACACACACATATACGTATGCATACAGCGATTCAGAAAAAGGATTATATGTGTGTGTATGTATGTATACGTATTTGTGTACATGTATATGATTTCTTTTTCTGAACCATTGTAAGCTGGACACATTGTGCCACTCAACCCTTAAATGCTTCAATGTGCAGTTCTTAAGAACATTCTCTTTTTTTATTGTGGCAAATATACATAACATAAAATGTGCTATTTTAGCTAGTTTAAGTGTCCAATTCAGAATGTGGTTTGTGACATTACCACCACCAATTTCTAGAACTTTTTCATCATCCAAAACTGAAACTCTGTACCCATTAAATAATAACTCCCCACTCTGCTCTCTACATAGTCTCTGGCGACCACCATTCTACTTTCTGTCTCTATGAATTTGACTACACTAGGTCTTCATATATGTGACATCATACAGTATTTGTTTTTTGGGGACTGGCTTATTTCACTTAGAACAATGTATTCAAGGTTTATCCATGTCGTAGCATATGTCAGAATTTCCTTCCTTTTTAAGGCTGAATAATATCCATTGTGTGTATATACCACATTTGGTTTATTCATTTATTTGTCAATAGATACTTGAGTGGAATTGCTGGATCATATGGTAGTTTTTTTTTTGAGATGCAGTCTCACTCTGTTGCCAGGCTGGAGTGCAGTGGCGCGATCTCGGCTCACTGCAACCTCTGCCTCCCGGGTTCAAGCGATTCTCCTAGCTCAGCCTCCTGAGTAGCTGGGACTACAGGTGCCCGCCACCACGCCCAGCTAATTTTTGTATTTTTAGTAGAGACGGGGTTTCACCATGTCGGCCAGGAAGTTCGATCTCTTGACCTTGTGATCCGCCCACCTCGGCCTCCCAAAGTGCTGGGATTAAAGGCATGAGCCACTGTGCCCGGCCCTATTTTTAATTTTTTTGGGAAGTCACCATACTGTTTTCCATAAGAGCTGCACCATTTTACATTCCCACCAGCAGTGTATAAGGACTCCAATCTGCCCACATCCCTGTCAACACTTCTTATTTTCTGTTATTTTGATAATAATCATCATAATGGGTATAAAGTGGTATCTCATTGTGGTTTTGTTATGTATTTCCCAAATGATAGTGATATTTAACATCTTTTTATGTGCTCATTGACAATTTATATATATTATTTAAATTATATCATTTTCTTTAGATTTATAAATTTTATTTTATTTTTCCTAAGAGTTTTATCATTTTAACTCTTATGTTTAGGTCATTAATCCACTTTGAGCTAATTTTTGTCAGTTGTCCCTCAGTATCCACAGGGGATTTGTTCCAGGACCACTTGTAGATATCTAAATCCACAGATGCTCAAGTTCTTCTTTTTATTTTATTTTATTTTTTTTGAGATGGAGTCTCGCTCTGTCGCCCAGGCTGGAGTGCAGTGGTGCAATCTCGGCTCACTGCAAACTCCGCCTCCCGGGTTCACGCACCATTCTCCTGCCTCAGCCTCCCGAGTAGCTGGGACTACAGGCGCCCGCCACCACGCCCAGCTAATTTTTTTGTATTTTTAGTAGAGACGGAGTTTCACCGTGTTAGCCAGGATGGTCTCCTTCTCCTGACCTCGTGATCGGCCTGCCTCGGCCTCCCAAAGTGCTGGGATTACAGGCGTGAGCCACCGCGCCCGGCCTCCAGTTCTTTACCTAAAATGGTATAGTATACCCCTGAGCCCACGGAATCCATGTACTGTACGTGCTGTAAGGTAAAGGTTCAACTTCATTGTTTTGCTTGTGGATATACAGTTTTCTCAGGTTCTCACTTGTATGTGGGAGCTAAAAAGTTTATTTCACTCAAGTGGAGAGTAGAATGATGATTACCAGAGGCTGGGAAGGGGGCGCTAAAGAGAGGTTGGTTAATGAGTATAAACATACAGTTAGATAAAAGGAATAAGTTCTAGTGTTTAACAGCAGAGTAGGGTAACTATAGTTAACAACAATTTATTGTATACTTCAAAATAGCTGGAGGAGAAGTTTCGAAATGTTCCCAGCACAAAGAAACGATCAATGTTTGAAGTAATGGATGCCCTAAATACCCTTATTTGATCATTACACCTTGTATATATGTATCAAAACATCAGACATACCTCATAAATATGTATGATTATTATGTATTAACAAAAGACTGTACTTTACCCATGGAATAGTCTTGGCATTTCTATCAAAATTCAATTGACTATAGATATGTGGGTTTATTTATGAACACTTTTTATGATTTTACCACACTTTTTTTTATTACTGTAGCTTTTTAGTAAACTTTTAAAATGGTAAGTGTGACCCCTCCATCTTTGTTCTTTATTAAGATTGTTTTGCCTATTTGAGGTCTCTTTAAATTCCATATTAATTTTAGGATCAAAATTTCTATTTATGCACAAAAATATTACTGGGATTTATCTCTTTGAGACAGAGTCCAGGCTGGAGTGCTGTGGCGTAATCGTAGCTCACTGTAACCTCAAACTCCCGGCCTCAAGTAATCCTCCTGTCTCAACCATCTGAGTAGCTAGGACTACAGGTGTGTGCCACTACACTCAATTATTGGGATTTTGATAGAGATTGCATTTAACCTTTAGATCAATTTGGAGAGTTTTGCTGTCTTGACGATATTCTTTCAGTTCATGAATGCCAATGTCTTTTCATTTGTTTAATTCTTCTTTAATTTCTTTTAACAATGTTTGCAGTTTTTAGTGTACAAGTCTTGCACCACCTTGGTTAAATCTATTGTTAAGTGTTTCTTTTTTTGATGCTATTATGAGTGAAATTATTTTCTTGAGTTTCTTTATGGATTGTTCATTTTTAGTGCACAGAAATGCAACTGATCTTTTAATGATGATCTTGTATCCTGGAACTTTTCTTAATTTATTAGCACTAAATTTTTGTGGATACTGTAGGATATGTAAGACCATGTTATCTGTATTAGTCCATTTTCACTCTGCTATAAAGAAGTGCCCAAGACTGGGTAATTCATAAAGGAAAGAGGTTTAATTGACTCACAGTTCTGCATGGCTGGGGAGGCCTCAGGAAACTGACAATCATGGTGGAAGGGGAAGTCAGCACCTTCTTCACAAGGCAGCAGGAGAGAGAAGAGTGAGGATCAAAGGGGGAAGAGCCCCATATAAAACCGTCAGATCTCATGAGAACTTACTATCACGAGAACAGCTTGGGGGAACCACCCCCAGATTCAATTACCTCCCACCAGGTCTCTCCCTAGACACATGAGGATTATGGGGATTACAATTCAAGATGAGATTTGGGTGGGGACACAGCCAAACCATATCATTATCTGAGAATAGAGATCATTTTACTTCTTCCCTTCCAGTTTGGATTCTTTTTTTCTTTTTCTTGTCTAATTGCTCTAACTAGAATCTCTAGTACAATATTGAATAAAAGTGACAATAGAAAGCATCCTTGTATTGTTCTTGATCTTAGGTGAAGAGCTTTTAGTCTTCTACCATTGAGTGTGATGTTCATTGTGGGTTTCTCATAAATGTTCTTTATCACGTTGAAGAAGTTCTCTTCTATCCCTCCTAGTTTCGTTTTTATTATGAAAGGGCATTGAATTGTATCAAATGTTTTTCTGCATCAACTGAGCTAATCATGTGGGTTTTAAAATTTATTCTATTAACGTGGTTATTACATTGTGTAACGGACTGAATTGTGTGCCCCAAATCCACATAGTGAAGCCTTAACCTCCAATGTGAGTGCATTTGAATATAGGGCCTTTAAGGAGGTAATTATAGTTAAATGAGGTCATAAGGGTGGGACCCTAATTCAATGCTACTGGTGTCTTATTAGAAAACGCAAATACTCTCGGAATGCCTGTTCACAGAAGAAAAGTCATGTGAGGACACAGCAAGAAGGTGGCCATCTGCAAGTCAAGGAGAGGGGCCTTACAAGAAACAAAAACCAACCCTCTCAATATCTTGTTCATGAACTTTCAGCCTTAAATTTCTTCTGTTTAAGCCAACCAGTCTGTAGTATTCTCTTACGGTAGCCTTAGCTGACTAATAACCATTGATTAATTTATTTTTATAATGAAACCCTTGCATTCATTAGACAAATCTCAATTGTTCATGACGTATAATCTTTTTGATATGCTGCTAGATTTGGTTTGCTAGTATTTTGTTGAAGATTTTAGCATGTATATTCATAAGGGATATTGGTCTATAGTTTAGTTTTTTGAAGCATGTTTATAATGGCTAAGTTTTAGTTTCTGGAGAATAAATCTGTCATCTGGGCTCCCTCAGGGTAAATGTCTATTGACTGCTTTCCCCCTCCCTGTATGTGGGCCATATATTTTTGTTTCTTCAGACATCTTAATTTTTGATTCTAAACTGAACCTTTATAATAATATAATATGGTAACTATGAAAATCAGATTCCTTCTCTCCAGAATTTATTGCTATTACTGTTTATTGGTGTTTTGCTTTTGTTCATGTTCATCTGTTTAGTGGCTTTCCTAGACAAGTTCTATAAAGTTTCTATTATCTTTCATGGGCAGCAATTGAAGTCTCTGTTTCATCACTGTAGTGGTAAGCTAATAAGTCAACAAAGATTTTTCTTAAATGTTGTGAACCAAATCAACAACTCTTCCACCCTTTGCTTAGAGCAAGCTTGTCCAACCCATGGCCTGTGTGCTGCATGCAGCCCAGGACAGTTTTGAATGTAGCCCAACACAAATTCATAAGCTTTCTTAAAACATTATGAGATATTTTTGTGTGTTTTTTTTTTTCTTAGCTCATCAGCTGTTGTTAGTGTTAGTGTATTTTACATGTGGTCCAAGACAATTCTTCTTCTTCCAGTGTGGTGCAGGGAAGCCAAAAGATTGGCTACCACTGCTCTTGAACGTGTGTGTGTGTGTGTGTGTGTGTGTGTGTGTGTGTGTGTGTGTGTGTTTTAGGGTACCTGTTTAAACGTTCCAGCAGTTGGCAACTCTGCCTTAGCTTTTACTTCCTGCTTGTGCAGGGCTTCCATATTAGCCCTAGGTGATATATTAGTGCTCTCTGAGGACTTTCCTTGGCATGTTCACATTTCTATGTACATGCATGGCCTTCTAGATACCCAGGACTTTGTTGGAGTTTTTCAAAACACCCCACGGGCATCCCATTTCCCAGTTTTGCCTCTAAAGGTTTTGGCTGGCTTCTTTTTTCTCAAATTGATATTTCTGTATCAGGCAGCTGCACTATTAAGCAATTGTTGCTGATCGTTTTTACCAAACACCTTGTGGATAGGGTTATTTGCCGTGGACAAGATGTGAGTCAGGTCAAAGAAAGAAAAGCCCTGAGAATGGCACTTTTCTGCATGCTGCCAACTAACTAGGTCCAATAGTGACACTTCTCTAGGGATGGGCTTTGGGGGAGCTCCAATCCATTCTTCCCTTTCCACTGGCTGCTGGGCAGCTGATTTTCAAGGCTGCTGTTGAGGAAAGAAAGATGTGAATAGGGAAAGTGAAAGCGCCACAAAGCTCTCTGTTCTTATCAAGATTCAGCTGTTTTACTTGAATAAAATGCTCCATGGATTTTTGCAAGCCTTTAGTTAATTTCCAGAGTTCTGAAAAAGTTGATTTTGACAACTTTTGCCAGTGATTTCCTTGCCTTCACAGAGGGGTGTGTTTTTGGAGATTTTTACCCTGCCATTGTGCAAATACTTTTCTTTTTCTATTGCATTTTGGTTCTAGATCCATATTGTCTCTGTGGCCTTGGGAAACTCACATTACTTCCTTGGTCCCTCTTCCCCTGTACAACATAAAGGAGTCTGGAGGTGTAAAGGGTAGATAATCTCAAGATTATTTTTCTTACTGAGTAAGAAATTTTAGCAACACTGAATTGGAATGCATGTCATAATTGAATCGTAAGACAGAATTGTATCACAGTTGAATTTTCAGTGTTAAAAAAATTCTTATTGGTATGTAACATAAGAGAGTATCTTACATATGTGGCATCTTAGATTCTATAAGGTACATTAAGTTAGTCCTAGTCAGAAGGCTTTAAAGCATGAAATTACGGCAAGCTAATTCAACCTTTTTGATTAGGGTGATCAGATTATATTATATTTTTTCCCTTCAGGTCTTGGACCCAGGCTGAAGTATTGTTAGACTATACAAGACACTTCCTTCTCTAAAAACCTCATAGCTTGGAAAAAGAGGTGGAGATGAATTGTAAACCTCAACCTGTTGGTTTTGTAGTCTTAGATCATTACAACTGGCAGGAATCCTAAAGATCAATGTCCATCCACCTTTTTGTGTACACTGAAACACTGAGGCCCAGCTTGGCAAAAGGTCTTCTCAAGGTTGCTCAGAGAGTTAGTGGCAGAATGGATTTGAAACTGTGGTATATATGGCAGGCTGCCTCTCTTTTTATTCCTTCCCTCTCAACTTCACATTTATCTGCATATCATTTTTCAAACCATTCTAAAGGCATTCACCCCACCTTAATGGGCAGTTAGAATGGAGACAGCTACATATTTTTAAAAGTCATTAAATTATGTTTGTATTTCAAGTAATGTGATTCCCATTTAGAAATGAGTAAATATGCCAAGATAAGCCAGAGCCTTTTTGCAGACCAGGTTCTCCACCTTTCAGGCCCCAGCCAGATCACTGCTGATGAGTAGGGGTGGGGCGGGTGAGCTGGCAGCAGCCTTTGTTAACTCTTAGCAGTAACCCAAATGTTTACCAGTCATTGGGTTAGGAGATATGGAATACAGAAATACTGCATATTTCAGTGAAAAAACTAGAAATAATATTCAGTACGATGTGATTATTTAAGTAAATAAATGATAATACCCCTTTACAGTGAAATGTGATTCAAGTCATCAAAAATAAAAGTAAAACATGTATTTATGGTGATGGAAAAATTTTCACAGTTGATCAAAAGGCAGGTTATAAAATAGTGTGTGGGCTGGGTGTTGTGGCTCATGCCTATAATCCCACAGCACGTTAGGAAGCCAAAGCAGGAGGATCACTTGAGACCAGGAATCCGAGACCAGCCTGGTCAACAAGGCGAAACCATATATATATTAAAAATACAAAAATTAGCCGGGCATGGTATAATATGCCTGTAGCTCCAGAAACTTGGGAGGCTAAGGCAAGATAATTGCTTGAACCTGGGGGGCGGAGGTTGCAATGAGCCAAGATCATACCACTGTACCTCAGCCTGGGCAACAGAGCAAGACTCTGTCAAAGAAAAAAAAAATAGAAAAAGGAAATAGTGCGTGAATTATAATCCCATGTTGATAAATCAGAAATATATGCATCTCTATATGTAGACTGGTAGCTCTGGAAGACCGGAAGGATGTCCACCAAATGTCAGCAGTGTTTTACTCTGGTCAGTGGAATTAACGCATTTTTTCTTCTTTTGCTTGTCTATATTTTGTATACCTCCTACAAAGAATATATAATTTTTGCATAATTAAAAAATGTAGTGCTTAAGAAAAGCAGGACAACAGACCTTTAAACGCAGAAGAGGCTAAGTAGCAATAAAGACTATGGGAATGAATCCACGAAGAGAAAAATATGAGAGCCTGGACAAACTGAGCAGTGCTGACCAGGGGAAGGTAGAATGTCACTCTGTGATGAAAGCTCCTCTGGCTTTCTTGAAGGCTCCTGTGCAAGAATATGGGGTGGGTCTTGAAAGCTTAAGGGCCAGTACCCCAGAAGAGGGCACTGTCTTTTGCCCATACATTGGCACACTCCCGCAAGCAACACCTAGCATGGTGCCCCCAATAAATGCTCTGTAAATGTTTAATGACTAAATAATGATAAACAGACATGCAGCTATTAGTCATTCATTAAGAAACACGTTTTTCACATAACACAGCAGAGGCAAAAACTGCATGATGTCAGGCAAATCTCCAAATTAATATTTCAGAAAGAAACACTTCATTTACAACACTATGATATCATCAAATAAATATATACTCAAAGATATTACTCGCTCAGCTATATTTCCACAACTTCCCCTGAGTTTGGGGGAAGATTTGCCTCCAAGCTCAGTACACTCTAAAAGATTTATCACGTTAAAATTACTTCTCATCTTTATGAAATGATGAAACCCAAATTTACATTGAAAGAGTCTGGAGCAGTCAGCCTTAATCTAGTTCTCGCTCTGGCACTGACCAGCCATAGGATGCTGAACAAGTCTAGTCTACTTCACTCTCCGAAGCCTCCATCTGTACAATCCATACAAAATCTCTTCCAGATTTAAGAGTAATGCCTCCACAGGTTGATGAGAGCTACAATAAGCCTCTGTGTTACCTGTTAAAAATATAGATTCTTTGCATTCCTGCCCAGGGCCCTCTCTCCACTGAGGTATCTGGTATTGAATACGCAAATCACCATTCCCCAATAGTGATTCTGCTTGTATTGACCCTCATGGGTCAGAGTCACTGCAGAAGGGTTAGGAGGACAGATTTACCTTTAGATAGATGCACCAGGACTGGTGGTGGGGACAGAAGACCTCCCTCAGGTCAGTAGTGACTGCCACACATTAGAACCCTCCTCAAAAATATCTCCCCCATATTCCACCAATTGGAGAGATACTGAGGTTGATCAATGTGTTTGCACGTACATGGAAGTCATTAACTCATTGGCGTCTGCTGCTTTAATCAACTCTACATGGAAAGTAATGCTCTCACTCGGTCAAAGTTCTGTTGATTTCTTTTCAGAAAGGAGAAGACAGTAATAAGATAAAGAATACAAGGAGGTGGAGAAAGAGGGTTGTTCATTCCAGCATATATCAGTTCCTCCTCATCAGTGTTTCTGCTTTTCTTGACTTGTTTCACCTCCTTCCTTTCAATCTAAGTTATGGACACCCCAAAATTATATTTTCCTCTATATTAGTTAGAGAAAATAAAGCTAGCTTCTGTATCTCAAATTTCAATGACTTAACACAAAAAGGCTATTTCTAACTCATGTCACCATCCAATGCAAATATTCCTGGTTGAGCAGTTCCCACATTGTCATCCAGGACCCAGGCTCCTCTAAGTCCTCAGAGTTCTATGCACTAATCTAATACATAGGAAAAGGGAGTGAGGATCAAAGACTCATTATGAGCTAAGTCTAGACACAGTGCACATCATTTCCTCTCACATTTTATGTGGCATAATCATGTGGCCGTACCTTATTGCAGCCTGGGAACTATAGTCAAGTGTGCCTAATATGATTAGAACATGAATGTTGGTGAGTGCTAAGGGTCTCTGCCACATCCTCCAGAGTCAAGGGCCTCCATTCATTGGTCTTCAGTCAGGATTGCAAATCACCAAGTCATTGAAATAAATCTGAAGATGAGTAAAAACTTAGGGAGAACATGTGGGGATCCTGAAACTGACCACAGCATGACTAATACCTCCTCTAAATAACCGAAAAGGAAATATTCAGGCCACAAATTAGAGGTTATTTGAATGAAGACAGAACTTTCTACTGACAGGAGCTGCTCTCTGACAGTAAAGTACTCAATAGCTGAGTCACATAATTAGAGGTGAATGACAGGTGATACAAGTCATGTACTCCTCCTCTCAGCCTATAAAATTATGCTGCTGCTTAGGGGAAGTTAAGAAATGAGACCACTGTGAGATGTGGGAGAGGTTGTAGCATTCCTCATGTGTCTGCAGACATATTTCTAGGCTTTGGGAGGCAGTGGGTTTAATGAAAAGAGAGCAGGTAGACAGTTTGGTTTTAAGCTTTTGGCTTGTCTTACACCAGATATACGGCCTTAAGAAAGTAACTCAGCCTCTCCAAGCCTTGGTTCTCTCATCACTAAGATGGGTATAATAACAATACTTTTCTCACAGAGTGGCTGAGAAAGGTCAATAATTTGTGTAAAAGTGATTGGCTTGAAACTTGGCATAGAGTAGGTGCCCAATAAAGGGTCTCTTTTAAAAAATATTGGCAGGCTAATTTCTAAATGTGGGGCCTGCTGTTCTAGCCTGTCCTCATCTCTCATATACTCCACCAGGTAAAGGCAAAGAGAGGAGGCAATGAGTTTGAGAGCTAACAGGGACTTGCAGGCTATTGCAAGGGCTTTGGCTGTTATTCTGAGTGAAGTGGAGGAACTCTTGGGGATAATATTAGCACTTACCTCACAGGTTTGTTTAGAAGATTAAATGAAATAATATATGTCAATGCTTAATCCAGTGACTGGCACATGCACATCAGCTATTATCATACACAACACTGATATTATTTATTACTCCTCTTTTGAAGAGATGAAAGTGGTAATGGCTGGGTGAGGAGAAACGGAAAGGAAATTGTGGAGTCCCTCTGGCTGACCTCAGTCTTCTCAGTCATGTAGAGGGTGGGGTAGGGGTGCAATGGAAGGCTTGAGGCCAGTCACAAAGGCCTGTCAATGCTGCCATAGTCAATGCTGTTTTCCTGAGTCCAGCCTCATAGGAAGATAGTTGAAGACAGGATGAGATCATGCCTTGAAAGTTCCTTGTGCTCCAGCAGAGAAAGATGTCCTGCACATTTAAGTCACTATTATTCTGAAAGCCAAATGCCAGGCTTTGAAATGCAGCCTGCCTCTCTTCAATATCTAGTTATGTTTCCACAGCACAGGAAGAAAGAAAAAAATACCAACTGTTTATATGCAGTAGTATTTCTGGTAACTGAACTTATTAGTTTAAAAGGCAATATTTACAGAGCTCACAAAATAGCATGCTTTCTGTCCACAGAGACCTGTTTTAATTAAAGCTCTACCTTTAAAATTCATTAAAGTAATCAGTTCTAAGAGACTAGGAGCCTGCATATTAGATTTCAACATATGACTGCCACATATTCCCTTCCACAGGTGCAGGAGGCAGTGATTTAAGCAATTGTAAAGATCTCTTTTTTCATCTGATTTCAGTTTTATTTAAAGGCACTGACTGGCTAGCCTCAGGAAGTTCACTTTTTTATTAGGCACGAATAGCTCAGTTGCCTATTATGTAGATTACCTCACTATTATTGTCACCTGGGCAGAGCCATGACTCAGAAACTGGTCCAGGGGAAGAGGGAATGGAAAGGGGGCAGCTGACTGTTGAGAGACAAAACATCACCATATTCCCCTGCCACAAAGAGGTTTTGCTCTTATACCATAGATCCCTGGTTGTGCATGGAAGAGGGATGGCTGGAAGAGCTTAGTGGGATAGCTTAAAGTAGTGATGTTATAATAACTCTAACAATAGCAATTACAACAACTATTATTAATGCAATGCATGGAACATTTACTATGTGTTAGGTATCCACATTACGTTTTGTGAGTCTTATGGCAACCCTATGGGGTGGACCGTTTTGTCATCCTCATTTCTTACATGAGACTCAGAGAGGATAGGTCACTTGCCAAAACCCACATAAAGATTAAGTGACAGGGAAACAGTGTAGGAGGAAAATGATTGGCTTTGGAATTCAGTTATGTCCACTTTCTAGATGTGAGCTCTTGGGCTTCATTTTTCTAGGCTTTTGTTTGCTTGTATGTAAAATGGGCATGACTATATCTGCTTTTACAGGGTTGTGGCAAGAATCAAATCAGGTAACACAAGTAAAACATTTAGCACAGAGCCAGGCACAGAAGACACGCCCTGTATGGGGTAGCAATTACCATTATGAGACGGTGAATCATGAAGCTAGGCCTCCAACTGCCTGAGAACCAGTACCCTGGGCCTCAGTTCCCTCCCTGGCAACCCTGACTGGGAGACCAGAGTGGAGGGCTGGAATGGCGCCCCGTAAAGGGAAGATAGGGATTTAAATCAGCTTGTGCTAGAGACATAGAAGAGCCCTGAGGGTGAGGAAGCTGTGGCAGCAGATAACAGTCAGCTCTTCTACTCACAGAGGAAGTGGAACAAAGCTTTCATGGAAGGCACTAAGGCAGGTATCCTAGGTCCAGGCTGACAGCAGAGAACAATGAGACCAGGAAGAGGACAACTGGGCTTTGAAAGGGGCCCCAGCCACTTCTCCCAGGGAAACAACTTGTTGCTGCCAGGTGGAAAGATTAAGAAAGGTCCTTGATGGCAATCTTGTCCAGCCTCCTCAGTTTCCACATGGGGGTACCAAGGCCCCGTGGTTGTAATTCACATAGTTGTAAGTCTATTCCATTTTCTTTAATGTCCAGAGAGCAAATCTCCACACCGGAGTTCAAGATGACTCTGCCACCTTACTAGGTGTATGACCTTGATAAAAATAACCTAATCCCTTTATGCTTCAGTTCCCTCATGTATAACGTACATTACATTATGCATTATTCTTCATGTATACATTATCCCTCAATATACATTATTCCTCATGTATAATGAAGCACATACTTCACAAAGTTTTTCAAGGATTACATTAGACAATGTCTGTAAAACCCTTAGCACAGTGCTTGGCGTCTGGTAAGCATTCAATATATAGGAGCTTCCTCTTACTTTTCTCAAATTCTGTGAAACTTTACTTCCTATTATAGCTATCATAGTCACCTTCTCTGGTGTTCCTTACCTCTGCTGTTCCTAAAAGCTATCAGTCAAAGCTTGCCTAGATGCCTGCTGTGCTCAGTCCTGTTACCTGTGGCAGTTAGGTCTTCACTACTAATGTCCACAATGGGGAGGTGCTTATTCTGTGAGCCTCTGGCAAATGGAGGGCCTGCCTCAGTGTTTTTGTTCTGGGAGCCCATCTGTGACAGAGATGAGCTTCAGAAGTCCCCTCTGGATAGGCCTGCCTTGCCAGCTATGGCTTCTCTTGCTGAGAATATGGAATGTACCTCTTGCAGGCTTGGCATTCAGTTGCAGGCTTCTACCTACCTTTCTCATTGTCCCTGAGGCAAGGCTGGTGCCTATTCCTGAACCCAACTCACAAACTCCTTCACTGGGCACTGAGGTTGGCACTGAAACTACAGTGGTAAGAAAAATAGACACTGTTTCTGCCCTCAGTGATCTGGAATGATAATTGATTAAACAAGAAATAAACACAAGGTGATTAGAGCTATTCATTTATTTATTTAACCAATATGGATTGGAACCCATATTTTGTACTAAGTGCTATGCTAGGTGTTAGAAATATGATGTGAATCAAAAGCAGACACTGTCCCTGGCAATATGATACTTAGTCTAGTAAAGGCGACTGCGTAATTGTAATTATATATACTTCATGTCGTAATTTCTTGCTTGACAACTAGGTGACAGAAAAAAAGGAACAGGTTGCTAAGACAGCAGATCCTGACCCAGCCTGGAGTTTCAGGGGGCCTTCTCTATGGAAGTAACGTTTGACTTGAGCTCTAAAGAATGCAGAGTTATCCAGGCAAAGGCAGTAGGAGGCAGGATTGTGGGTTGGAGAAACTATTAGAGGCAGAGGAAACATGAGGGAAGGCCTTAAGGAAGAAAAGCATGTGGCATATTTAAGAAATTGAGATATGATTAGTGCGTCTGAGGCTAAATTAGCAAAAGAAGGAACGGTACAAAATGAGGTGATGAGGTTAATGGGCTCAGATCACACGAGGCCTTGTGTTCGTAATAAGGAGTTCAGACTTTCTTTTAGTGGCAATGGGGAGCTGTTGATGGATTTTAAGCCAGAGAGTGTCAAGATTGGACTTATGTTTTTTAAAGAACTAGCTACTATGCAAAGAATGGATTGCGGGAAGGCAAATCAGAGGGAAAATTGCAGAGACGAGTTCAGATGCTATTATCCAGTGAGAGATGATGGTAGCTTAGACAAAGGGGGGTGTTTAGAGGGAATGACAGAAGTGGGTTGATTTGAGAAGATATTAGAGTTATAATTGAAAACACTTGATGATGAATTGGATGTGGAGTGTGAAGGAGAGGCAGGTGTTGAGAATGACTCCTTGCTTTCAGGCTTGCACACTGGGTGGATGGTGGTGACATTCACTGAGATGGGAAACATGGGAGGAAAAGCAGTGGAGCAGGGTGAGAGGAAGATGTGTTCATTTTGAGATATGTTGAACTGAGGTGTCTTTAAGACATGGAAGTGAACAGGTCCATATATAGATCTAGAGCTCAGAAGAAAGGTGCAGACTAGAAATAAAAATCTTGTTGCTGTCATTTCAGCACCAAGGTGATAACTGAAACCAGGGAGTGAATGAATTCACCTAGGGAGAATGGAAAGTGAGCACAAAAGAGGACCAAAGGCAGAACTCTGATCATCTCCAATAGTTAAGTCAGGTAAAGGGGGATAAACTGAGAAGACTGAGCAGAAGCCACCAGAAATAGAGCTAGGATAGAGAATGCTTCAAGGAAGGCCTGGTCAAGGGTAGTTCCTGGGACAGATGTCAAGTAAAATGAAGACTGAAAAATATCCATTAGATTTAGCAACATAAAGATAATAGGGCACGCTGAAGAACCAGGCCAGCCCCTCCCATTCTCCCCTTTTGCTGAAAGGCATTCTTCTGGCAACTGGCCTTAGGCTGTGGAATCCAACCTCAAGTTTTCCACATGTCCCTTTGCCCTTTGCCCAGGCCCACCCACATGTTGGGGAAAACTCCAGTGGCTGAGCAAGACCCCCTTCAATACAGTTCATTCAGTCCTTCAGATCTCTGGGTTACTCCCAACTGAGTGGTGTTCCAGGCATCATTTTTATAACTACCACTTATCACTAATTTGTTCTTAATTCTAGCTTCATGTTGTTTTCCTTTTAAGCCCTAATAGTCATGCATTAGCTACAATTTATTCCTACAATTACTTTTGAAGGACTCATAGTGGTTTTTAGTCCTATACTATAAATTGTGTTTTTGATACTATTATGATTACATACTTGTATAAATAAGTAAATGAACAAATTATTCAAAGCAAAATTCTCTTAGACTCCCAGCATCCCATTTTATTCTTTAGTATGTCAGGTACATTCCCTTTCAAATACTTCTCAGTAATCTTCCTCATCCCTGTATGGATATGTGAAAATTAAGCACAAGGCTGGATTACTAAAGCAGCAGACAAAAATTTCCAGGTCCATCTTAGGGAGGAAATTTGATGATGCAGAAGTCACTGAGAAATGGGCAGTTATCTAAAATCACAGAAATTCATAATCGAATAAATAAAATGCAGGATCACAATTCAATTTCTGTTTCAAAATTAGTTATTATTTTTTCTTATATAAGAAAGTAGAACATATTGAGGGTGGATTTTCCTCATATTGTACAAGTTCATCCATTAACATCTCCTTTGAGGCTTATCATCAGGCTTGGTTTCAAAGATGCCATTACTGACTACTTAACATTTGGACAAAATGGTTCCCTTTTACTCTGTAGTTGTGTTTGAATCTGTTGGGAATGTAATTGAATGCTATCTACCCAGGTTAGCATCTCAAAAATACCATACAATTGTGGGTAAGGAAGATAAGACCAAATGTGATGTGTGCATATCCTATATTGTGCACATGTGGTGTGAAGTCTGCCAGCTTCTTCTGGGACTTTTGCCCATTGTTCTGGGCTTCAGGCCCCACTCAGAAACTTGGGGAATATACCTTCTCAGTCAGCTGAGCACTTCCTACCAACAACCCTTTAGCTCAATTCATAGATAACTTTAAAAACAATCACTATGTAACACTGTGCCCTTACAACAATCTACTTGGTCTCCATTCTCTTTGCTGGGACCCAGTCTCTTAACTCCAATAAGGATCCGCTTCTGCAAGTCTTCCTTTTCACTGCCTGGTCTCCCTGGTTCTCCTGAGGTTTGCTGGTTTATGTCCTTGCTACTTCTAGTTATCTTTAAAAATGCCCTCTCATTTATGAAAAATGCCAACTTCACGGGAATCACTAGCTCACTTATAATGTCTACTCATGAAGAGACATACCCCTTTCTTTATAAAATCCCTCTTACTCTGCTATTACTGGCATTCAATGAAACATACCTCTAATCAGTTAGAGTGGCCAATGCTGTAGGCCAGACTTACTGTATTTCCAATCCCACTTGAAAATTGAGAACATTCTTTTTCAGAAGACTGCACCGTAAATCTCCACAGGCTTCTCCAGCCCCTTGTTTATGTCTCGGTTATCTGGAAGAGACCATGGAAGCATAAGAAAATTAGCCAAGTAATAATCAAAGAGGCCCCAACAACAGTCAAAGGTTTAAAGGTATTTTTAAACGGCAGACTTTCTGATTTTGACCAATTTCTTTATTAAAAGATTTCAGTGCCCTAACTCCAGTTTAAGAAATGAAAAAGAGGAAACTCTTCTCACACTATTTGGAAAGCACAGGGCCAACTCTTTATTTTAGAAAGAACAAAACAAGTGTCATTATCTTGATATTTGACACGTGGCTTCCCTTTTATTTCAAGGTCCACTTGATTTTTATCATTATTAGTTTTAAAGATCTTCTGCAAATTTTCCAGAGCTTGATGGTATAAGGTTCAGTGGCTCTAAAGTCAAGTCAGTAATTCCCAAGACTCATTAACAATGAAGAGAAACAATGGGATATGAATTTCTAGGTGAGCTGTGCTCTAAAATGAGTAGCTTATAAATAAGCAATATGCTTGTGATTTATGGCATTACTAATACACCCTCTTTAAGAAAATCCTACCCACAGAACTTAGAAACAATAAAGATAAATTAGGGAAAGACTATTTACATTACAAAAGGCCTCTTCACTTTACAAAAAGATTCACCACAAGGCCTCTTTAACTAATGAGAGAGCATTGGTATGAGATTTTTGTTTACAAAAATGAAAACATCAGTTGGTACCAGAGTTACAGGAACTCTCAAATGGGTAATATGAGATCCACCCTCTGTTAGATGATTTATCTTGGGGCAGCTGGAATCGAAGGCCACACTGGGGAATGTGCTGGCTGACTCCTTCAGGACCCTGAAATCCACTGAGTAACTCTAAACTTGTATTTCCCAAATGCCCCACTCTCCTTATCTGTTTTCTGAGTGCACCTATGTGGAAGAATGCCCCAAGAAAACAAACTTTGGAGACATTTCAACTCAGAGTTAAAATCTGCCCT
This sequence comes from Homo sapiens, assembly GCF_000001405.40. Lineage (NCBI taxonomy): Eukaryota > Metazoa > Chordata > Mammalia > Primates > Hominidae > Homo > Homo sapiens. Next base: position 139,298,025 of record NC_000023.11, read on the forward strand.
GATCCTGTGTTATCTATCCCAAGCTTGAGGAATTATACCACTATTATCTTCCCACTTTCCAGCTTTCTGACCACCAAAAATCGGGAAGTTTGGTAGTCAGGTGCCCCCTAGATCCATGAGGCTTGACCTTAATTCCTATCTGCAGAGACAGGGCTCTTTATTCTCTGCTCTGATGTTGAACTTGGATGAAACTGCTTTAAGTCTCCATTTAGAAAAATTTTGTTAATGATTGGCTTAAAACATCCATGAAGGTTCTTTTCTAGCATAAGCCCCAATTTGAGACTGGAAGCTTTGCAAAACAAGGACAGGTGTTCATTTAAACAATTATTTAAGGAAGCTCTAGAGCATATTTTAATGATGTTACATCGCTTTAAACTTTGTAGTTCCAGAGAAAGAAGGAAATGGCATAAAAAGAGGACATTCTGTAGTCCCCAGAAAAAGATATCAGTGAAAAACCTTTACCATTCAGGGACATATCCTACTGTGATGGGACAGCTTCTCCTTCCATTTCAACTCAGGGGGAAACAGGAAGAAACAAAGTGAGCATCACATAAATGTGGAATGCTTCTCCTGTCTGGAGATGAGCTGGAAAGGCAGCTGGAAGCAGTTGAGCATATTATTAGAAAGAGCCTGTGGAGCTTGGCAGCTCAGCAGACTTGGGTGTGAATCCTAACTCCACCATTTATTCTCTGTGGAACTTGGGCAAGTGAATGTATCTCACTAATGATATGATTCCTAATCTGGGAAATTGGGAGAATACCATCATCCTTTCAGGGTTGTTGTAAGTGTTAGATGTTGTTTATGTAAATGGTGTAAAGGGCACAGAACCTGGCACATGGCAGGCTCCCAAGAAATGTTAAATTAATGAATGACTACATATAAATATTGAAACTAAAGCTGCCCCTTTAATTCATTCTAAAACTTAAGCAAGGTCAAGGGAACCCCTAAGGTTGATACATAATGAAAACTAGACAGGTCATTAGGCATTTAAAGCAAATCTTAGACCCAGGAAGGATTTGATTCTCAGGTAATATTTATAGTAAGTTAACAAGAATGATCTCATCAAAGCCTATAAGCAGAAAGAGTCAGATGAAATGTCAATATTACAGTACTTTGTCTCAAATAACCAGTGTACATAGTAATAGTATGACTGCTTTACATATAACTTACCTGTGTGGAAAAATAGTGCCAGTGAAAAAACCTGCCAGTCTTATTACCTCAAAAGTGCGGTACCCATGATAACAGCCCATTCAAATCACTGTCAGTTACTGAACTAGGTTCTTTAGGGAAAAGAAGGATCAAATGTTTTTCCCTTTCAAGCCTGTGACTCCCAGTCATGGAGGTTGCAAGAACAAGGTAACACAGAGGTAAGAAGGAAAAAGGAGGTAAGAACACTGAGGTAAGAACTTCTGAAGTTCTCCTTCTTATAGCATCAGGCTCCTTGGCTCTTCTTGTTGTTGTCTTGGATGAGTTTGATGAGAAACACATGGCTAGAAAAAGAGTGACACTAACAGGTGTTCTACAAAGCAAAGCAAAGCAAAACAGAGCATGAAACTTGCTTTGGCTTAATGAATCTGTTTTTCTTTACCCAGCTTGATATTGGATAAAATGTTAGCTGATCTCTCTTATTCAAGCTGTACCAGCCACCCTCTATCCTGTCCCCCAGTTGAATTCACCTTATCTGAGGGGTGAATGCCTTTGTTTTCCCGCGACTCCCTCTCCAGAAGTCAAAGGCAGCCTTTCTCTTCCCTTATCTGAGTGTGAGGGGATCTACAGCCTAGTGCCATAGAAAAGTGTTGTGAGCTCCAAAGTACTCTTTACACAAGGGCCCCATTCTGGCTATCCCAGCTCCTTAGGCTATAGATTACCACAGGTGGTATTTCTGACCTTCTTTAGTTCATTCATTCATGTATGCCTTTATTGAGTATATATTGAGCACAATGAGGAACACTTATTTGATTGGTAAATTGGGGTAGATTACCTGGACATTCTCAAGTCAGTTCATCCTCTTTTCTCTTGGGAGCAATCGTATTCATGAGAGTGGGTGTTCTACTCTGCTCCTTCAGTGGGCAATCTATCCTGCTCCTGCACTGCCTTTATTTAGGTGAAGTCCTCCTAACTTTTGCAATCCATTGAGTAGACACTTTGACTTTCTCATTAATTTAGATCATCAAGCCTGGCCTCCATCAGTAATGAAGTGATATTTTTAAGTTCATATTTACTGTTTTGTGTATTTATCAACTTCAGAATCTGGATGATAAGATGAAGTGCTACTTAGTGAGGTTTTTGGGAGACCCCCACAAGTACCAACTATGTGCCAGGCATGTAGTCTAAGTTGCAGGGATAAATGGTGAGCATCATAAACAGAGGTCTTGTCTTCATGCAACTTATATGTCTAAGTCTCGCAGGAGACATTTCTGGTGTGAATAGCATTTCTCTCCCCATCACTTGTGTAACATGTTATCTCTATGGAGTAGACTGTTGGGGAGGTCTCCCAGCCATATGACATCAGTGGCAGAGCCAGGGTAGATGATCTGCCCTGCCTTTCTGCTCATGCCTTTTCTTAAAATGGCTTTGCTTGGAGTTGTGTTCATAAGAGACAAGACTGTTGCTGAAATAGAGACAGACTCCTGCTTATAAGACCTAATGTGGAAACTTAGCACTTTTTTCCTTTTCAAATATTGTTCTCTTCTTGTTTATAGATCATCAATTCAATGCCCTATGGTAGAGTCAAAGCTTTTGAAGGTTCACTATTTAGGACTCAGCAATACTTCAAAGTCCTGGAAACTTTAAGCCTTGACCAAATATCAGATATAAATTTCCAAATAAAACCAGAGAGTTTCCAAAAATGTTATATGTGGTGCATTGTGCTTAAAGTTCTAAGATTGTTTCAGTGTTCCTAGGTGTGCAAGTCCAGAACCATGACTTAGGACCAATTATAATTTTACTGGATAGATTGGCATTACTTCCAATAAGTAATGCACCTGTCCCTAGGCCCATCCTCCTCTGTGGTAAGGGCACTAGTTCAACGCACCCTCAGCCCGGGCCCCTCCCTCTCCTGGCGCACTCCTCCCTTGCCCCCCATGGCACTGTGCTCTCCAGATTTTCACTCTCCCAGGCTCTGGCCTTGTTGCATTAGCCAGCTCTCTTTCTGCATATTCCACTCTTTTTTTTTTTAAATAAGTAGTCTCAGTCGACATGCTTTGACCAAATGCCAAGGATGGTGCCCAAAAGTATGGTAATTGTCAACCCCTACTTGCCTAGTCACCATTTGTGTGTGTGTGTGTGTGTGTGTGTGTGGTGAGAACACTTAGGATCTACTTTCTCAGCAAATTTCAAGTTTTACAGTTCAGAACTTAGTTTCCTCATCTGTAAAACTGCCTGCCCTAGATGTTCTTTAACATTCTTTGTTCCATTTCTAATCTTGCCCTCAGGAACGAGGTTCTGGCAAAGAGGCAAAGAAAGATATTATAATACCATTATCTAATTTCCTGCTATGCAAATAAAATGTCCGTGATAGGGATTTGAAAGAATACATTCTATTAAGGCTCATGAAAAGCAGTGAAATGCATATGTTTATATGTGTAAAAATGGTTTGACACTGCATATTGTGAGAGAAGGCACGTGGCAGGTATCCATTTTGATCTTTTTCTAATAATGCTAATATATATGTCTGAATCATGAATAATTGTGAGTGGGGAAACAGAATATAGACACTGGCTAAGCATTTTTCATTCACCACTAATTGACTATTCACTCATTTATTCAACAAACGTTGAGCACCTCAGCTTCTGGAAATGCAAGGCTACCTGAGCAGGGTCTCTTGTCTCACAGTTAACTAGCATTAAGAGGTGTCACATTTCACTGAAGAATATAACAGTGGGAATGTGGTGGCTGAGGTGTTTCCAAATGGTGTCCTCCCTTCACATATAAATCAGTTGTATTCAATGGATTTTGGAGCTACAAGGATCAGTCACTGTCATGGGAAAGAAGTCATAGAGGCTAGATGGATGAGACATTTAATATAGCAACCCTGCTTTTCTGCAATTTATATATTTGATTCTTTACATTTTTTCACTTAAAAACAAGTTTTACTGGTTGTGGAAAGCTGAATATTGCCCTCTCCCAATAGACATATAATATCCTAATTCCTGGAACCTGTGGATGTTACCTTATAAGGCAAAAGGGACTTGCCAGTTGTGTTTAAATTAAGAATCTTGAAATGGGCAGAATATTCTGGATTGTATGGGTGAGACCAAAGTAATCACAAAGGTTCTCATAAGGAGAAAGGAAGGTCAGAGTCAGAAAGAGAGAAGGCAATATGACAATGGAAGCAGAGGTTTGAGTGATGCAACAAGAAATGTGGGAGGCCTCTAGAAGCCAGAATAACCAAGGAATGGATTCTACCCTAGAGCCTCCAGAAGGAACACAGCCCTGTGAACACCTTGATTTTAGCCCAGTAAGACCCAATTTGGATGTCTGACATTCATAATTATAACATAATAAATTTCTGTTGTTTTAAACCACAAAGATTGTGGTTATTTGTTACAGCAAAAATAGGAATTCAGTAATATATATACAACACATATGATATTTAAAGGTCTTTCTAATCAAAACCAGGCCTCCTTTAACCTACAGGTAGAGAGTTTTCCCAGAGCAGTGCCTCTCCATAACTCTTCCTAGGGCCCGTCTAATCCTGACACTGCAGGTAGAATTCTAGGTGCAAGGCCGGGCGCGGTGGCTCACGCCTGTAATCCCAGCACTTTGGGAGGCCGAGGCGGGCGGATCACGAGGTCAGGAGATCGAGACCATCCTGGCTAACACGGTGAAACCCCGTCTCTACTAAAAATACAAAAAATTAGCCGGGCGAGGTGGCGGGCGCCTGTAGTCCCAGCTACTCGGGAGGCTGAGGCAGGAGAATGGCGTGAACCCCAGGGGGCGGAGCCTGCAGTGAGCCGAGATTGCGCCACTGCACTCCAGCCTGGGCGACAGCGAGACTCCGTCTCAAAAAAAAAAAAAAAAAAAAAAAAAAAAAAAGAATTCTAGGTGCAAGCTACCCAAAGGCTGCCATTTTGAGATGATTCTGCCCCCACCAGTTTCTCCAGGCCAGAAGCTGATTGTCTGTTGTTTTAGGTGCAGCTCAAAACCTCCAGTTTTGCCTTCTGTAAGAGCACTGACCCAACTCTGCAAACCATTGCTAGTTAGTAACAATCAGAAAAGGATATGTGAATGCTTATTCTTCTCCATGCTATTTTCTAACCTGGCTGTATTAACAGCTAATCAGAAATTAACGCTATGAGTAGGCACTCTTCTGACTTAAGAGGGAGCAAGTCAGCGAAATATTTAAGTGACCATTTCATTGCCCGCCTCCATTCCAACAGGGTTAATGATCATGAGGCCTGGAACTTAGTCGTCATCATTTCCCATTGGGATTTTGGCTGTTCTTTTAGTTCTTGAATTTAGAACAAAACAGAAAATAAACAGTGCATGGCAAAAACTTGTTACATAGTGAGGTTAAGGAAGGTTTTCTTCAGTGCCTTTTTCCATTTGGGGTGGCAGGGCAGGTGAGAGGAGGGTTCAGTTAGCCTGAGTATCAGGTGATTGGAGTTCTAGTCTTGGTTCTGCTCCCAACATGCTTTGTGAGTTTAAGTCCCTCAGTTCACTTATCTGCAAAATTGGGATGAGGAGCTTAATGGTGAAGAATCCTTTTATATCTTTGGCAGTCTGAATCAAAGGCTGTCAGATTTTTTTAGATTTCATGGACCAATATAATTTCCCACAAGCATTTTAACAACCATTATACATAAACAAATATATAAATCTTATATATATATATACACATACACACACACACACACATATATATATATAGACTTTATAGATAAGTATGTGTAAATCCTATTCTGTAGGATATTTATATTTAGGATTTATATATATGCTCATATATATACATAGGATTTCTACATACATGTGTGTATATATGTACATGCACACATATTTATATATACACAGATATATAGGATTCACAAAGTTTGACTCCCAACTGAATGTATTTTAAAAAGCTACCACCATCATTTTATGAAAGAAAAGACATTTTATCACCAGAAACGTTGGAAGGGCATAATCTCAAAATAGAGGGCAGTTCATTATGTTGAATCTTTTTAACTTGATGAAAAACTCTCACTACCTTGTATTTATTTTTTCTCATTTAGATACACATATGAAAAACGTTGTTCAAGACTGGTAAAGTTCCACAGACCCACCTTTAGAGTCCAATGTTCTGCAGTACCAAAACTTTATCCTTTCTCTCCTTAAGTCACCCTAGGTGGGGACAGTGATCACTTCCATCAGGTCTGCTCATTACTGCTCCAGTCAGAACCACATCCAGGGGGATAGCAATGGGTTTTTCCCTCTCCCAAAGGGGAAAAAAAACCACCCTCTGTTTAAAAGCCTCAGAAAGCAAGAAAGAGAATAAAGTGACAAAAGAAGCTGGGTTTGATGAGCTGGAAGAAATCAAACAAACAAATCAAATAAACATGCGTGGGTGTGCCCACACACATATTTCAAAAGAAGAATCCAGGAAATTTGAAGTCTGGCTTCAGGTATCTGAAGCCAGACCTCATTTGTGGGATTGTGGTTTACAGTGGAAAAATGCCATGCTCCAGGTCACTCCGCCCATTAGGGCAGGCTGAGCAGCTATTTTAAAGTCAGGCCTCTTTAAGCATTTCAGAAATGGCACTCAAATAGTCCCAGCCCAGAAACGTTGTGGCTGTTTATTGGCTCACAGGATTGAATCCCTAACCAATGTTGCTGCACTATGCTGACTTTTTATTTCATAGACTCAGAAATTTAGGTGACTTACCCAAAGTCACAATTCAGTCAGCGGAGAAGCTGAGATCCCATCAAGAACTGTTGAAAAACAATGCCTATGTTCTTAACCACAGTGATATGCTGCCTTCAAACAGTCCATTTTTATGGTAGCATAGGCTATATGATGGCTTTGTTTGCCCATCCATCAAGAAGTATTCTTAAATTCCAAATAGTAGAATGACAATAATAAAGGCATTGTGATAAAAGCTGCATGAGGAGTAACTGGGAGTTCTTTGTAACTATCTCTGTAAGTATGAAATTATTTCAAAATGAAATGTTACCAAAAGAAATAAAAGATTAACAAAGAGTCCAAATCTGGCAGGAAATGATCACAAAGGCCAGAACGTGTTGAGTGCTTATTATGTGTCAGGCACTGTGCAAAACACTTTACATATGCTATTTCATATTATTCTCACAATACCACTTTACCACTTTAAGTACTGCAATTATCCCAAACTTACAGATGAAGAAACTGAGGTACTAAGAACTTAAGTAACCTGACAGGTCACAAAGTAGTAAAGCCTGGACTTATCCATGATCTAGATTGGTGCTTGTCCACTAGAGCACATTGCTTGAATATGGAGTATTAATATTTCAAGCATATAGATGTGAATAGATAATAATATAATAAATACCCACTTACTCACATTCGGTGTTATCAAATCTTAACTTTAGGACATATTTGTTTCAGACTTCATTTTTTTTAAGAAATGGCATTTCAGTTAGAGTTGTGAACCCCATTGTACCCTCCCAATTCCATTCTACAATTTTCTCTTCTTCCTGTTAGGAAATCAGTATGAAAGTTCCCATGCATATTTTAAATAAATTTACACCATACATATAAATCCATAAACAATATACACTATTTGTTTGTGTGTTTTTCAGCATTTAACAAACATGGTCATACTGTATCAAGAGGCAAATTGTTCTTTTCACTCAATATTATGTTTTCAAGATATTGCATAGTATCTCTGTACTGATTTTTTTAAATGCAGAATCAAATATATCAAGGGATCCTTTTATGATTGATGCTTTTTTGTTTTATTTTGTTTTGTCTTGCTTTGTTTAAGAAAAATTTCCCTGTCCTATGTCTGAGTCCATTTTGTGCTGCTATGATAGAATATCTGAGACTGGGTAATTTACAAAGAACAGAAATTTATTTCTCACAGTTCTAGAGTCTGGAAAGTCCAAGATCAAGGTACTGGCAAGTTGATTGTCTGGGGAAGCCTACTCTCTGCTTCCAAAATGGTGCCTTGATACTGCATCATCCAGAGGGGAGGAACACTATGTTCTAACATGGAGGAAGGTAAAAGGACAAAAGATATGAACTCCCTTCATCAAGCCCTTTTATAAGGACACCTGATCCAACTAAAGGAAGAGGAGCCCTCAAGGCCAAGTCACCTGTTAAAGCCTCCACCTATAACACTATCACATAGGCAACACTTGAATTTTGAAGGGGACACATTCAAACCATAGCAGCTATGGTCATAAAGATTTTCTCTTGTGTTTGTTTTTGTATTATGTATGTTAGGGGCTTAATTTTACTTTTCTCTGCATGTATAACTATTCTATTAGAATCACATATTGAATATACTTTCTCTTCCTGACTCATCTGAAATGCTATCCTTGACATACATCTGACATGGTTTTGCTCTGTGTCCCCACTCAAATCTCATCTCAAATTGTAATCCCTACATGTGGAGGGAGGGAGGTGATTGGATCATAGAGGCAGTTTTCTCCATGCTGTTCTTGTGATAGTGAGTTCTCAAGAGATCCAATGGTTTTATAAGCATCTGGCATTTCCCCTGCTTGCCTGTCTCTTTCTTGCCACCATGTGAAGAAGGTACTTACTTCTCCTTCAGCTGCCACCATGGCTGGAAGTTTCCTGAGGCCTCCCCAGCTGTCTGGAACTGTGAGTCAATTAAACCTCTTTCCTTTATAAATTACCCAGTCTTGGGTAGTATCTTTATAGCAGTGTCAAAATGGACTAATACATTACATTGGTACCAGGAGTGGGGTATTGAAATAAAGATACTTGAAAATGTGGAAGTGACTTTGGAACTGGGTAACAAGCAGAGGTTGGAACAGTTTGGAGGGCTCAGAAGAAGAGAGGAAGATGTGGGAAAGTTTGGAACTTCCTAAAGACTTGTTGAATGGTTTTGACCAACATGCTGATAGTGATATGGACAATGAAGTCCAGGCTGAGGTGGTCTCAGATGGAGATAGGAATATTTGGGAACTGGAGCAAATGTCACTCTTGCTGTGCATAGCAAAGAGACTGGTGGCATTTTGTCCCTGCCCTAGAGATCTGTGGAACTTTGAACTTGAGAGACATGATCTGAAATTGGAACTTATATTTAAAACAGAAGCAGAGCACACAAGTTTGAAAAATTTGCAGGCTGATGATGCGATAAAAAAGAAAAGCCAATGTTTCTGGGGAGAAATTCAAGCCAGCTGCAGAAATTTGAGTAAGTAATGAGAAGCCAAAGGTTAATCAGGAAGACAATGGGAAAAATGTCTCCAGGGCATGTCAGAGACCTTCACAGTAGCCCCTCCCATCACAGACCTGGAGGCCTAGGAGGGAAAAATCATTTCCTGGGCTGGGCCTAGGGCCCAGATGCTGCTCTGTGCAGCCTTGGGAGTTGGCACTCTGTTTCCCAGCCATGGCTAAAAGGGGCCAAAGTACAACTCAGGCCATTGCTTCAGAGGGTGTAAGCCTCATGGATTGGTGGCTTCCATGTGGTGTTGGGCCTGCTGGTGCATAGAAGAATTGAGGTTTGGGAACCTCCACCTAGATTTCAGAGGATATATGGAAATGCCTGGATGTCCAGGCAGAAGTTTGCTGCAGGGGTGGAGCCCTCATGGAGAATCTCTGCTAGAGCAGTACAGAAAGAAAATATGAGGTTGGAGCCCCCACACAGAATCCCCACTTGGGGACTGCCTAGTGGACCTGTGAGGAGAGGGTCACTGTCCTCCATTTAAGATTTAATGACTGCCCTGCTAGTTTTGAATTTGCATGGGGACTGTAGTCCCTTCATTTTGGCCAATTTCTCCCATTTGGAATGGGAGGATTTATCCAGAGCCTGTACCCCCATTGTATCTTGGAAGGAACTAATTTGCTTTTGATTTTACAGGCTCACTGGTGGAAGGGACTTGCCTGTCTCAGATGAGACTTTGGACTTTTGGACTTTTGAGATAATGCTGGAATGACTTAAGACTTTGGGGGATTGTTGGGAAGGCATGATTGGTTTTGAAAACTTGCCTTGTCTTGGATGAGACTTTGGACTTGGACTTTTGAGTTAATGCTGTAATGAGTTAAGACTTTGAGGGACTGTTGGGAAGGCATGATTGGTTTTGAAATGTATAAAGGACATGAGATTTGGGAGGAGCCAGGGACAGAATGATATGGTTTGACTCTATGTCCCCACCCAAGTCTCATCTCAAATTGTAATCCTCATGTGTTGAGGAGGGTGACCTATAATTTCCACATGTAGGGGGAGGGAGGTGATTAGATCATGGGGGCAATTTCCCTCATGTTGTTCTTGTGATAATGAGTGAGTTCTCATGGGATCTGATGATTTTATAAGTGTCTGGCATTTTCTGTCCTTGCACTTCTCTCTCCTGACACCATGTGAAGTAGGTGCCTTGCTTCCCCTTTGCCTTCTGCCATGATTCTAAGTTTCCTGATGCCTCCCCAGCCATGTGGAACCGTGGGTCAATTAAACCTCTTTCCTTTATAAAGTACCCAGTATCAGGTGTACGTTTATAGCAGTGTGAGAATGGACTAATACAACATCCAAGTTTCATTCATGCATATATGGCTAAATTTCTCAGCACTCTATACTAGTTCATTGGCATTTTTGCCTCTCCCTACACCAAACATAGCATCATTATTACTTTAGCTTTACAGGTAGTTTTGATATCAGGTAGAGCAGGATCATATGCTTAGTTCTCCCCATGTCTCTCAGCTATTTCTTTCCTATTTTTATATTTTCTGAAACAGTTTGTAAAAGGCAAGAATTATCCGATCCTTCAAGATTTGGTAAAACTTTTCTATAAAACTGCCTGAGGCTAGTGTCTTTGAAGGTAGAAAACTTTTGAATACAGTTCAATGTTACTGATGTTTATTGGTTTGTGGAGGTTTGTGGTTTCTTCAGTCACTTTTGACACATGTTCTAAGAAAATATTGACTTATAAGTTTTCAAGATTATTGGCATAAAGTTTATTGTAGTTCTATTTTATGATCTTGAAATCTTTAATTTACCTATACAATCACTGCATTCCCTTTTTTGTTGCTAAATTTTTTTGTCTTTTCTTGACCATTGTTGATATTTTCTCATTGTATTCATTCTATTTTTTTCCGAAGAACCAACTTTTGATTTTGTTGATCCTCTCTATAGTTTATTTGTTTTCTTCCAAACTCATTAATTTCTGCTCTTATTTTTACAATTTTCTTCTTTCTAGATTACTTTATTGTTCTTTTTTCTGGTTTCTTGAGTTGAACACAACTCATTTTTATTCAGTCTTCCTTAATTTTATAATTAATTGTGATTAAGATTGTACAATTACCTTGAACGATTACTTTAGCTAGATAACACTAGATTTTGTAATATAGTATTTTTACATAGTATTTTATGATATAAGTTTTTGTTTTACTTTTAAATAATTTGATAGAAAAGATGCAAAAGTAGTAAAACAATTCCCATTTATCACAAACTAATTCTACAAATGTTGGCATTTTATCCTTTTTGATTTAACTTTCTCATTTTCTATCTTCCACACACACATATACACACATAAACACACACAGCTGTGTATGTCTATATGTATGTCCTAAATTGCTTTATTGAAAGAAAGTTCCTAACATAAACCTCCTTTATGCCTTATAATGTAGTGTGTATTTTCTAAAAACAAGGTCAATCGTTTATATAATTAAAGTACAATGATCAAATATCAGAAAACTGTCCCTGAAACAGTATTATAATCTACAGCTCTCATTTATACTTCATCAATTGTCCCACTAATACGTTTTGTAGCAAAAGGCTCCTATCCAGAATCATGCATTGCATTTAGTTTTCATGTTTCTTTAGTCTACTATAACTGGGAACACTCCCTTGGCATTGCTTTATCTTTCATGATCTTGACAATTTTGAAGAGTACAAGCCACTTATTTTGTAGAATGTCCATCAATCTGAGTTTGTTTGATGTTTCCTCATGGTCATATTTAGGTAGGTTATATAATTTTGGCAGATATATCACAGAAATTATGTTGTGTTCTACTTGTATTATATCAGAAGATACATGATGTATATTGGTCTTAACTGGTGATGTTAATTTTGATCACTTGGTTATGGTGGTGTCTTCCAAGTTTCTCCACTGTAAAGTACTACTTTCCTCTTTGTTATTAATATGTGTCTTATAGAGGGAATATTTTGAAAATATGTAAATATGATATTTCTGATTCAACTTTAACCAACTAATTTTAGCATCAATTGATAATATTTGCAAGTGGTGATTTTCTGTATTATTCCTACTAAATTTATTAGTTAATTTTCTTGTGAACAAGTAAAAGATTTCACTCATTCTTCATTTATTTAGTATTTATTTATATTTGTTTGAACTTGTAGATTCTTAGCAGGGCCCAGTAAGGAGAATTGGGCAGCTGGGGTGCAAAATTTATGGAGGCCCTCACTCTCAGTGTCATTCAAGTGTCTTCTTAAGAGTGATGTGCCTAGGGCCCCTTTTTTTCTGTGTTCGCTTCTATTTTCAGCCATTCCAATCTAGCAGTTTTATAGTTGTCTCCACCTAGACCTGCAGGTCCTTGTTCCAGAACCAGGTCTCACAGGGTCAATTTGGAGTTTCTGCCCAGGGGTAATATTGAGGATGTGAAAGATCCTTTCACTGAACAAATGGACAACTTGGCTTATTTTTAAGTATGGGACTGTGTTCTCCTACCTCCTTATGCCATATCTTGATGGGGGATGATCTTAGCTAACATTTTGCCGCTTCCTTGCATGAGACAAGATGAAGTATTCTGTCTCCCATTCCCAGTTTTTTATTATAAGCATTCAGTCAGTCCTGTTCAATGTCAAATACTTTAGCCATCTTACCCATAGAGGACCTAATTCCATAACCTTCATTGTCTGTTATTAGACTGGGAGTCCAGTAACACTCAGCCTTGCTTAAATTTGAATTTTCTCTTCTATATTTAATCCATGGAGATGCTTGTATGCTATCTAAGATAAGCTATGTCTTTTTGTTTATCTTTTCTATATTTCACCCATTAACATTGTTGTCTGTAGCAGAGGAGAGAAAGTATATGCCTTCTCAAAATATGTGTTATTTATCTTATTTTTTATTCAGAGATAATTAACCTATGAGTATAGAGACACATTATAAATGATTGATCTATCATATTAATTATAATTTTAAAGCCTCCTAAAGAAATGTATATGCTTTCTCTTTATTTTATTTAGGTATTTAAAATCCAGCTAATAATATATTACAGTGTTAAATAAGGCTTTATATTTCAAATAAGAGAAGCTGGAAAACCAAGCACAAACAAGGTAGAAGAGCTCCATAAGAAAGCTTGATTAGCATTGTAAAGTGAAAAAGAAGAAAAGAGTGAAGTGAAATAGTTCTGCTAGGTATTACAAATAGAGCTTGGAGCTTCTGTGATAAACACCTAAGAAAGAGAAAGAGGTTATTTTTGTCTTACGTATGCATGCAAATTTTGTTTTCATTAGCAATTATGATAACAGATCTCTTTCAGAGGAGAGGCTAATTGTCCATTTATCCAGGTTCTAGCCAACTTTACTATAAAATTAATTATGTGGCATGTGCAGTATATTAGTCATCTAATAAGCTCATTTTAAGAAAAAACTGGAGGTTGGCATTTTAGACCTTCAAATTTTTTTTTGTTGTGGGCTCAATATTGAAATTAAAGGCATGTTCAATGTTTTAAATTCCTAAGCTCTCATTTTTTCCAAGGCCTGATTTATGTATCACATAGCTAACATAGTTTTGTGGTGGAAATGTGCAGCTTTAGCTACCTAAGACATGTGACTAATTACTCTGGACAGCAATTACATGGACAGATAATCTCCCTTTAATTAAATATCAGACTTAATATCTATAACATTAATGTCGCTTCAGAAAATGTAGTGGAAATAATGCAAATGCAAGTATTGTAGAATCATAGATTAGAAAACTATAAATATGAAGCTCAATCTTATTTTAGGACTTATTATCATATATTCTCACATCCCTTGCTTTTATCTCAAAGCATTTCACTTCAGTAGTTATAGAATGGCAAGACTTTGAGAGATATGAAATCAACACACTGAATGCCTAAAAATGATAAATATAGATATTGTACAACTGGAGTCAATGTCTTGCAGTCTAACAAGAGCCCTACAAATACTACAATGCACATGATAGATACATTTTATTTTGAAATCTGTTCTGCATTTGATGGCAAATTATTCTGGCTAAAGTAAGATTCCTTTTGTTCAAAAATCTAGCCATGCAAGGAACAGTCACTGTCTTCCACTTAACATGGTTACTTTCTCTCTTCCCATTCTCTTTTGCCACTATCTTGGTAGGCCCTTATCATCTGATGCCAGGATTATGATAACCTCTAAGCTAGTCTCACTACTTTTCCTTTTTACAAAAGGGGTTCTGCTATGGTTTGAGTGTTTGTGTCCTCCCAAAATTCATGTTGAAACTTTATCCTCAATGCAATATTATTAAGACGTGGGGCCTTCAGGAAGTGATAAAGTCATGAGGGCTCCACCCTTGTGAATGAGTTTAGTGCCCTTATAAAAGGACTTGGAACAAGTTCATCCTTTTTTGTCTTTTCCATCATGCGATGACACAGCAAGAAGGTACCATATTTGAAGCAGACAGCAAGCCTTCACCAGATGCGGAATCTTCCGCTGCCTTAATCTCAGAATTACCTGCTTCCAGAATTATGAGCGAAAAATTTATGTTGTTTATACATTACACAGTCTAAGGTAATTTGGCAGAGAAACTTGAGCTGGCTAAGACAGGCTCCCATTTACTGTACGATTACCATGGGTCAGGCACTGGGTAGAGCATTTTACATATTTTGTCTTGTTTAATCCTCACAGCATCCCTGTGAAGCAAGCAGGTTGAGTAAACTTTATCAGAAATGCCTGAGACCAGAAGCATTTCAAGTTTCAGATTTTTGTTCCTGATTTTGTAATACATGCATTATACTTACCCACTGAGGGTTGAGCATTTCAAATAAAAAAATCTGAAATCTGAAATGCTCCCATGAGCATTTCCTTTGAGTATCATGTTGGCACTCGAAACGTTTCAGATTTAGGAACATTTTGGATTTCAGATTTGGAATGTTCAATCTGTACATTCTATTATCATCTTTATTCTAAAGCTGAAACAATTGAGGGCAAAGAATGAGAGCATATCTTGACTAACGTCACACAGCTAATCAATGACAGGGCCTGGCACTGGCTTCAGACTCAAGTCTCTGGGGCCTGTGCCTATTCCCCCATTCTTGGGCTATAGAAATAGCATCTTAACTCACCCAATTTCTGCCATTTAATTCGTCCTTGTTTTCTAATGCCTGAGAATCTTCCTAAAATACAGCTCTCATTATCTCAATTCTGCCTTCTCATGAAATTTGACTAACTCCCCAATGTCAATAGGCTAGAATCTCAGAATACTTGCAATCTGGGCCCAGTGGACCTTTTCAATACTACTGTAAATTCTCTGTTCCAGCCACACATCTATTCATGGTCCCTGGGCCAGGCCTTATGCTTGTCTACCTCCGCATGTTTGGTCATGCTACTCACCCACATCTGGCTATATTATCTTGCTTAGTTTCTGTTTCCTAATCTACAAACTGGGAATAATGATATTGCTCTGGTAAGACCCAGTCATAACTAATTTAAAGTACCTAGTGCAATGCCTGGCACATAGCAGCCTCTAAGTGAAAGAAGGTTCTGTGTATTCAAGTTTTAGGTATCCCTCAATGATGCACTTAATCACTTCCTCTTCCATGGAGCCATTCATGGACATCCCAGTCAGAAATGGTATCTCCTTCTTCCACAGGACTACTTCTTCTCCTTCCTCTTCTTCCTCCTCTGTCCTTACTCTAGTCCTCCTCTTTCTCTCCTTTCCACCTGCTTCTTTTTCATTGCTCACATGGCACTTATTGCACTAGGCTTTGTATTTTAGTGATTCATATCTAGGGCCCCTTCCCCACAGATTAGAACACAAATTCATAATGAGCAAGGATGCCGTTTTGTTCATCTTTGTAGCTTCCTTGAAGGCTAGTGTTTTAGAATCAGAAAAATTGGTATTTGAGTTTCAGCTCTGCACCATACAAGTTAGATGACCTTGGGGGAAGTTATTCCGCACACCAGTTTCTCAATCTTGATGACAGGTGATAACAGTACTTACCTCTTAAGGCTTCTGTGAGATTATTTTTTTAAATGAAGCACTCCACACAGAACTGGACACAATATTTTCAGGAATATACTGTAAAATTTCCGTAGTGATCTGATATATCCACAACAATGCACCTAACTTTTTAGGTTGATCCATAACTGGGTTTAATGGCTAAGAGCACTGGCTCTGGAATTAAACTACTTAGATTCAGTCTCAGCATTGCCTCCTACTGTCTGTCCTTGAGAAAATTAGTTTCTCTGAACCTCAATTTCCTCTTCTGTTAAATAGGTAGGATGATAATAATACTTTATTTCCCACATGACTGTTTTGAGGTTTGACACTACTGCCAGCAAAGCATCTACAACAATATTCCAGCACATTGCAGATGCTTGATCCTGTCACTTAATTGATGCTCAGTAAAAATCAGTATACGTGTGCATGTGCGTGTGTGTGTGTGTGTGTGTATTGGTAGTGGGAGTGGGTTTGCAGTGTCTGCCATACTCTCTTGTCTTTCTCAGGGTAATGGTTGGCCCTGAGCATGTCAATATGGAGCACTTAGTAATTTGGGGGGAGGTAATGACATAAAACTACTTTTGCCATTATGCTTCTTTGAGAAGCATGGCTTTCTCTGTTTTCCCGCTTCCCAAGGTGAAAACTAACGCACACAGCAGCTGTCTGATCCCCAGTACTATCATAGTCAGAACTCCAAACCAAAGCCATGTGTGGTTTTAGCCTCATTAGCATATATGGCTTTGATATCAGAGGACTAGAGAGTCTATTTGCATTCACTGTTCCTAAGAAGAATCAAGCTATAATCCACATACCATGTGTTTTAGTTGTAAAGAGAAAAACACGCCAGGAAACTATTAATTTCTCCCAGCCAAAATGACCTCTTATTTCAAAACAGGGGCCCACTAATGCTTCTTGGAAAATTATAGTTCTGTTGCTAGACTGCCCCTTCATCTGGAAGCAAAATTGCCCATTCATATGGTTGAGCAAGGATGAATAAAACATGCTGGTAGTGAAATTCACTAGGTATGAGGTTCTATTTAATTTCATTCCACTGTGTCAGCACATTGTGTGGAGATAAGTTTCCCAGACTGCCACAGGGTTTTGCTATTAAATACTTAAAATAGCAGAGATTTGGTAGCTTGTTGCTTCCTATCATGTTGAAGCAGGCTTGTATCCAAGTATAGTGTGTAAAAGTAGAAGTGCCCCTGCTTATCAAGAGTATGTGTAAGGTTGAAACATTGAAAATAATGCCTCTCTACTTAGAAGCCTCTGTAGTTTTGGTACAAATCTAAGGATCTCAGGTTTAGGTCAGCTTCTCAGCATATCAGCTACTTCCTGAAAGGCATTCTTTGTACAAAGTAGAATCATTATTTGCAAATCTCTCAGGTAGTATTTTGTCCAGTAAGACAATAAATTACTCCTCCAATAGTCCCCATTTGATGATACAAAAATTAACAAGGCAGAAGAACTCACTACCCTATCATAGCAACAGGATAATTGTCATCATCATTCTGACTATTTGCTATTATTTACTGAATGCTGATTTTTCTTGACAGGCACTTTTCAACATGCAACTCTGGGAGACGGGTATTATGAGTTCTACTTTCGTTACCAGCTACTTGACCTTGGATAAGTTATTTTACCTCTCACTTCTTCTACCTACTCATTGGTAAAACGGTGTTTGTGATAACTTTTTGTCCCCACAGTTACAAACATACACAGGGATATACACAGATGTCAGAGAATTAAACCAATTATTTGCCACTCTGCTTGTGAGCAAACTTGATCTATTACTGAAAGCCTTTTGACAGTGCTAGGCACTCCAAAATTAGGGCCGAAATTGCCAACTGTATGCACATTCCTACAGTGGATTCTTAGTTTAACTGCTTTGCCTCCTGAAGACTTGAAACAAGGTACTTAACCTCTCTGGGATGGCTCTGGAGACACACTAACTGGGTTTGAATCCTAGTTCTGCCATTTACTAAACTTGTGACTTTAAATAGACTATTTAAAATTGTTGTGTCTCATTCATATCTTACTGTCTTTATCTATGAAATGTAGTATCTATCTCATAGTGTTCTTTGGAGGATAAAGGAGAATACACACTAAGCACTTAGCACAATGCTTGTCCTGTAGCATGTGCTTAATAAGTTTCCATTGGCCAGGTGCAGCAGCTCACGCCTGTAATCTCAGCACTTTGGGAGGGCAAGGTGGGAAGAACGCTTGAGGCCAGAAGTTTGAGTCCAGCCTAGGCAACACAGAAAGACATGGTCTCTACAAAAAATTTAAAAATTAGCCGGGTGTGGTGACATGCTCCTGTAGTTCTAGCTACTCAGGAGGCTGAGGCTAAGAGGATCACTTGAGCTCACAAGTTCAAGGTTACAGGGAGCTATGATCCTGCCACTGCATTCTACCATGGGCAACAGAGCCAGCATCTGTCTTCTAAAACAAAACAAAACAAAGAATAAATTTCCATTGTCACTGTTGTGATTTTCTGTACAATGTGGATAAAAGTACTTAATCTGTGTGCCTTATTGGGTTGTTGCAAGGGCATTGCATGGAGGATATCATGACAGTTTCAAATAGACAGTATTTAAAATTCAGTCTCCAAGCCAGAAGATACTCTAAGTGCTCAGTTACTTTTACTTCTCTTCCCTACTCAAGCATGCCAATCCCACAAATGGAATATAGCTGCAAATATTGCATCCATGTAAAAACCTTGTAGTAGGCAGACACCCCTTGATGTCTGTCCTGCAGGTCATCCCTCATGGTAGCCATGTATTGTTGTAGATGGCATCTAGCCCCACCTCAGGTTTCCTGAGATGCCCACACCCCTTCTGATTTAGTAGGGTTGAAGCCTACCCCTTTATTACTCCCCTTATTCCCAAGACACAGCTCTTAAAATACTTAAAAAAATTTCAAATCTATTTTGTATTCAATGACCATATAAGAAAGATGCCTCGGTTGGGTGCAGTGGCTCTTGCCTGTAAACCCAGCACTTTGGGAGGCTGAGGCAGAAGGATTGCTTGAGCCCAGGAGTTTGAGACCAGCCTGGGCAACATAGAGAGACCCCGTCTCTAAAATAAAAAAGAAAAAGAAAAAAGAAAAATGCCTCTAGTATTTGGTTCAACCAATTATAAAGTATATTAAAGTCAATTATGGCTAATTAAAATAGATATTCTCAAGAATCCATTAAATTTGACAATATTTGTGAAGGGCCTTAAACATGTATATATGTTTCAAACAGTAATTCTACTAGGAATTTATGATGAGGAAATAGTTGATCAAAATATAGTCAAATGAATTCATAGTAGAATTATTTGGAATTGTTTTTTGTAATAGCAAGAAATGAAACCAGAAAAATGTCCGGTAATAAAGGACTGGTTAAATAAATTATGGTACAATTGAATGACATGCCACCACGAAAATGTTTTTAACAAAACTGAATGACTTGAAAATATGCTTATAATAAGACGTTAAATGTTAAAAACCAGAGTAAAAAACCATGAATAAAACCTGTCCATTTAAAAAATATATATCTATGTATCCCTCAGGGATGACAATTTGGAGAAGATATCAAATGCAATAGATATCTCTAGGTTAAGAAATTATAGATCATTTTTATTCTTTTTGGTTTTTTCATTATACTTTATCTTCCTCAAGTTTGTTCTAATGGTCATGCATGGAAACAGGATTTGGAGGCAGTAGTGCACAGGCTCCAGAGTCAGAAGACCCAGGCCCTGATTCTAGTACTGCCATTTCCTAGTTATGTAACTTTGAACAGGATGCTGAATTTCTTTGTACCTCAGTTTCTTTCTATGTTAAATGGAAATCATAATATTTACCACCGAAAGTTGCGGTCCATGCATGCAAAACACTGAGCCCAGCACTAGCTGGTAGTATAGACTCAAAAGTATGCCATTATTATCATAATCAGAAAGAAAAAGTTATTTTAAAAATAGCTCTGGACTTCAATACCTAAAGTTGGCCATAGGCACTAGGCGTTTTGTTTGCCTGGAAGTTTATTGGGTAAGAAAACATGAGCAAAGCAAAGAACGTGCTTAAATTAAGGCCTCATTTAAAACACATCACTTAAGAGTTGCCTTGGATGAAAATGAAGTTACACTCTGATTCTCCTATGGGAAGAAAAACCAGTTTCTTTCAGTTTGAGCATAGAGCACGGAAAACCAGATCCAAGTTCCCTGGGATATTCATTGAGAATGTGTACTTTATGAACACATGGCATGTTTTCACCATATCCTCCATTCAGATATTTTATGAGATGGTGATGGTGTGAATTGTCTCTGCATTGTGCCAGATAGACTCCACATCTCTCCTCAGTAATCCTTTTCAGATAAGCCATGCCAGGCTGCACTATGCATGTCTAACAGCTTCCTTATACAAACTCAGAGTACCAAAAGACACCGGACATGTGACAGCACAACCTGGACTGTAAGTAGCTCATCAATCACTCTCCAAAAACCTGGGCAAGGACAATAATTTCCTTCTTCTCCAGGAAGTAATCAACTGTGGGTAAGATAATCCAGAGTCCTTTTGAGACGCCAATTTCAAAACCCAGTGTCAGGTCAGAAAGAAGAAGATGGATTGAGTTTACACATGGGTGGAAATGTAGACAGTTCACCAAAGCATTGTAGATAGAGAAAGCAGTATCCAACATAGACTAAGGTCATAGTGAAGTAAATGACCGAAGATAACATGCCAGACCAGATGTAAGGCGAAGAATCAGAGACTGAGGATTCACTCTAAGATTGGAGATAGCTCGATGCACACAAAAAAAGGCTAGACAAACAAAAAAGATACTAAGAAATTTGTGTGAAAATTGGTAGGGCACAGTAGTGCACATTTCTGCTTGTTTTATTCAGGAACAAGCTGAGTATCCTCAACAACTTCAAGAAAGCCCCCTGGGAAGAAAACTCCCAAACCCAAATAACTGCCCTACAAAATGATGCAAAAACACAATGCAACTGTAAGTGCTCACTAGACTTACTAATGGCTGTGAGTAATCACCGGTATCCATGGTCTTTTCTTCTTGGGTACACAGCTAGATTACATTTTGTAGCCACTCTTGCAGCTAGATATGGCCATGTGACTGAGTGATGGCAAATAGAATGTGGGTGGAAGTGACACATCACTTCCAAGCTGTCCCCCAAAACCTACAAATGCAGCAGCTCCCCCACCCTAGTCCCTGTGGAAGTTCATTAGACTATCAGAGAAAAACTAACTTTTATTCCATTCAGCCACTGGGTCTTTGAGGGTAGTTTTTTTATAGCAGTTAGTCTACCCTGATTATGCAACTGATCATATTGTTCCCTTCCTCCATATTTGAGCACCACAATTATATTCCAAAGTTATGTCTCTTAACTATGCTTTGACTATCTTTTCCTTTTAAAATTTTCTTCTTATTATTGATATAAAACAATACATGCTCAGTGCAAGAAATATGAGAAGCACTGGACAAAACAAAGAAGACAACAAAGATCATTCATAATTATCATCTACCATTCAGAGATAATTAAGGCTGACATTTTGGTTCATGTCCTGCCAATATATTTTCAGGATTGTTTATATATGTATATATTTCAAAACTGGAACCAGTGCGCACATCATGTACATTCAATACATATACTTCCCCATCATAATTTTACAGCTATGTAGGAAATTATTTAATAAAAATAACATTAACCTTTCCATTTATGACAAACAACCAGTTAGGAAATATAATCAAAGAAAACAACCCATCTAAAAAATAGCAACAGAAATGATTCTTACTAAAACAATTCTGGCAAGAATATTTATAAATTTCGACAATCCAAATAAAATACAGTAGGGCTTCATTTTCAATCAGCCACACTATAAAGTTCAAATTGAAATATAACTTGTCAGAAACCTAAGGGAAATTCTGAAAAAGAAGTGTATTGAGAGTATGCTAGCAATAACACCTATTAAAATACCATAAATCTTATGTAATTAAAGTTTGATATCAGTATATAAATAGACAAATCAAGGAAACAGAACAGAGAGCCTAGGAATAGGCACACACACACACGCACACACACACACACACATATATATAAAATATATGTAATTTAGTTTATTATGAGGGAAGCATTTCAAATCAACAAGGAGAAATAAATTATTCAACAAGTAGTATTGGGCCAACTGCCTAACCACTTGAAAAAAAATAAAGTTAAATACTTGCTTCACTTCTTATACCAAAATAAATACCAGATGGGTAAAAATTATAAATGTTTGTTTTAAAAATGATACTGAGAGGTGACAGCGTGCTGGCAGTCCTCACAGCCCTCGCTCACTCTCGGCGCCTCCTCTGCCTGGGCTCCCACTTTGGCGGCACTTGAGGAGCCCTTCAGCCCGCCACTGCACTGTGGGAGCCCCTTCCTGGGCTGGCCGAGCCCAGAGCCGGCTTGCTGGGAGGTGTGGAGGGAGAGGTGCGAGCGGGAACCAGGGCTATGCGCGGCGCTTGCGGGCCAGCTGGAGTTCTGGGTGGACATGGGCTTGGCGGCCCCGTACTTGGAGAGGCCCGCCGGCCCTGCCAGCCCCGGGCAATGAGGGGCTTAGCACCTGGGCCAGCGGCTGCGGAGGATGTGCTGGGTCCCCCAGCAGTGCTGGCCCACTGGCTCTGCGCTCCATTTCTCTCTGGGCCTTAGCTGCCTCCCCGTGGGGCAGGGCTCGGGACCTGCAGCCCACCATGCCTGAGCCTCCCCCTCCGCCGTGGGCTCCTGTGCGGCCCAAGCCTCCCGGATGAGCGCTCCGCCCCCTGCTCGACGGCGCCCAGTCCCATCGACCACCCAAGGGCTGAGGAGTGCGGGTGCACCGTGCGGGACTGGCAGGCAGCTCCACCTGCGGCCCCGGTGGGGGATCCACTGGGTGAAGCTAGCTGGGCTCCTGAGTCTGGTGGGGACTTGGAGAACCTTTATGTCTAGCTAAGGGATTGTAAATACACCAATTGGCACTCTGTATCTAGCTCAAGGTTTGTAAACACACCAATCAGCACCCTGTGTCTAGCTCAGGGTTTGTGAATGCACCAATCAACACTGTATCTAGCTACTCTGGTGGGGACTTGGAGAACCTTTGTGTCCACACTCTGTATCTAGCTAATCTAGTGGGGAAGTGGAGAACCTTTGTGTCTAGCTCAGGGATTGTAAACACACCAATCAGCACCCTGTCAAAACAGACCACTCTGCTGTCTGTAAAATGGACCAATCAGCAGGATGTGAGTGGGGCCAGATAAGAGAATAAAAGCAGGCTGCTTGAGCCAGCAGCGGCAACGCGCTCGGGTCCCCTTCCACACTGTGGAAGCTTTGTTCTTTCGCTCTTTGCAATAAATCTTGCTGCTGCTCACTCTTTGGGTCCACACTGCCTTTATGAGCTGTAACACTCACCGCGAAGGTCTGCAGCTTCACTCCTGAAGCCACCCACCTGGAGGAAGAAACTCCAGACGCGCCACCTTAAGAGCTGTAACACTCACTAGGAAGGTCCGCAGCTTCACTCCTGAGCCAGCGAGACCACGAACCCACCAGAAGGAAGAAACTCTGAACACATCCGAACATCAGAAGGAACAAACTCCAGATATGCCACCTTTAAGAACTGTAACACTGACCGCGAGGGTCTGTGGCTTCATTCTTGAAGTCAGTGAGACCAAGAACCCACCAACTCCGGACACAATACCACTAAGGTAACAAAAGAAAACAGAAAAAACTGATTTTTAAAATATTCTTAGGAGTGTTTTGTAAGCATGATGCATACTCGCAGAGTCATTAAACAAGAGACAGAGACAACTGACTCAATTAAAATTTAAAATTTTCCATGTATCAAAATACCATTAACGAAGCCAAAAGATAAGTGGCAGACAAACTACTTCCAAACATATATGGCAAATAATAGAAATACTCGATATATAGAGAGGTTTTACAAACAAGTAAAATAAATTTAGTAACACATAAGATAAATGGGCAAGGAACATCTATGTAAAAAATGCAAATTACTTCTAAATATATTAAAAGATGATCAATTTATCCATAGAAACAGAGATACAAAATTAAAGTAAAAGAAATGATCATTATTTAACTATGACTGCAAAGGATTATAAAAAACTATACTGTGTTAGTTCCGGATGTGAAAAGACTCTCTCATTCATTCTTGGTGGTAGTTAAACCATGACACTCTCTATGAAGGAAAATTTGGCAATGTTTATCAACATTGTAAATGTACAAACATGTGATCAGTGATTCTACTAACAGCCATTTATCCTATGACTTTACATGTACATGAGCAATAATGTGTATATGAAGATAATGCCTTCAAAATTACTTGTAATAGCAAAAGACGGCAAACAACTTTGGGACTATTTACATAAATTGTGAGATATCCATATATTTGAATATCATGCAGCTATTAAAAATAATGAGTGAAAGCTATTCATGCTGAAATGGAAAGATCACCAAGAGACATTGTTAAATAATAAAACCAAAGTTAAAAACAGTGTGTAGAATATGAGATCATGTGTGGGAGAAAAGGCAGAAGGATAAAAATATACAAATATGCTCTATACAAACAGAACAGCTCTTGAAAGACACACAAAATAATTGCAGTAGTTACTTCTAAGAAGGATGAATTGGGGGCTGGGGTAGTGAGAAAGGGCAATTTATTCTTCAGTGTATAACCTTTGATAGCTTTTCCTTTTTAATTCATGTGCACATATTATTAAATTCTAGTGTTCTGCACCTCATAGGATGACTATAGTTAGCAACAAGTTATTATATAGTTTCAAATAGCTAGAAAAAGGATATTGAATGTTCCCAACACAAAGAAATGATCAATGTTTGAGATGATGAATATGCTAATTACCCTGATTTTATCACTATACATTAAATGCATTGAAACATCTCTAGGTACCCCGTGAATACATACAATTGTTATTTGTCAATTAAAAAAATAAAATCTAAAAAGAAAAGTAGAGAAATTAGTTAATGGATACAGTGTACATTATTTGGGTGATGGACACCCTAAAAGCCCTGACTTGACCACTACGAAACTTATGCATGTAACAAAATTGCACGTGTATTTCATACATTTATATCAAAAATAAAAAATAAAAACAAAAGCAGGATAGTCTGGAGAAATACAAAATGTATATAAAGTAAGAAAAAGGTCAAATTTTGGAAACTTCTGTGATGTACATTCTTTGAAAGGTTAGCATTTCCACGTAAACACCAAGAGGACAGAAAGCTTGGATGTTAAGGGGAAAAAAATAAAGTACAAAATTGTTCCAGCCTAGTTTTCCAATTTATTCAAATTCTGATGAAAAAAATACATACTCCTAATGAGAAAATAGTAGAGCTAAATTTTAACTATGACTCCTGTAAAGCACAAACTGAAAGTTGCCAACTGTCCATAGAAAGGCAAGATCTACAATTATAGGGAAGGGAGAAGTAATGAACAAATAGATTCTGGACTAGACCTTCTGTATACTTTCTCTTTTAATCTTAATGGCAAATGTGTATAGATGAAGAATCAAACTTATAGAGAATAACAGATTTGCTCAAGGTGACATGGCTGGTGACTCTGAGAAAGCAAAAAGATAACAGTTCAATCTCCATGTTATTTCACAGAGGGCTACTGATTAAAAAGAACAGGAAGAATGAGGATGAAGAGCAGGATGGTGATATAGAAGGCTCCACCGATTGTTCCCCCAGCAAGGACACCAAGTTAACAACTATCTACACAGAAAAAACACATTCATAAGAACAAAAAATCACGTGAGTACTCATAGTACCTGGTTTTAACTTCATATCACTGAAACAGGCACTGAAGAGATAGAAAAAAAAGAGTCCAGAATTGATGACATTACCCCTCCCCCACCTGCTGCAGCAGCTGCATGGTGCCAACAGCATCTCTGGGCACTGAGGGAGAGAGAGCGTAGCAATCGTGATGGATTGAACTCGGTGCTGTTCTGTTAGAACACAAAGGAAAACCAGACCAAACTCAGCTAATGTCCGCCCACAGAGGGAGCATTTAAACCAGCCCTAGCCAGAGGGGAATCACCCATCCCAGTGGTCCAAATTTGAGTGCTTGTTAACCTTGCCACCAAGGGCTACAGCATTCTGTGCCTCCAAGTAAACTTGAAAGGCAGTCTAGGCCATGAGGACAGCAAATTTTAGGCAAGACCTAGGGCTGGACTAGGCCTAGAGACAGTGGACTTGGGGGGCATGTGAAATACTGTGACATCAGCTGGGATCAGCCAAGGGAGTGCTTGCATCACCCCTTCCCTAACCTCAGGCAGCACAGTTTGTGTCTCCAAAAGACACCCCTTCCTTCTGCTTGAGGAGAAGAGAGTGAAGAGTAAGGAGGACTTTGTCTGGCATCTAGGATACCAGTCTAACCACATCAGATAGGGCACCAGTCAGAATTGTGAGGTCCCCATTCCAGGCTCTAGCTCCCAGACAACATTTCTAGACATATCCTGGTCAAGAAGGGAACCCACTGCCTTGAAGGAAAGGATCCAGTCCTGGCAGCATTCTTCACCTGCTAACTGAAGAGCCCTTGAGCCCTGAATAAGCAGCAGTGATACTCAAGTACTACATCGAGGACCTTGGTGAGCCTCTAAGACTTGCTGGCTTCAGATGAGACTCAGCACATTACCAGCTGTGACAGCTATTAGGCAAAACTCCTTCTGCTTGAGAAAAGCAGAGAGAAAAGTAAAGTGGACTGTCTTGCACCTTAGGTACTAGCACAACCACAGGGGAATAGGGCACCAAGAGGGCTCTTGGAGTCCGTAATTCCAGGACTTGATTCTTGGATGGCATTTCTGGACCTGCCCTGGGACATAGGGGAGCCCACAGCCCTGAAGAATGAGTCCCAAGCCAGGCAGCATTCACAACAAGCTTACTTAAGAGACCTTGGGCCTTAAGGGAACATCA
Organism: Homo sapiens; assembly: GCF_000001405.40. NCBI lineage: Eukaryota > Metazoa > Chordata > Mammalia > Primates > Hominidae > Homo > Homo sapiens. The sequence goes on from NC_000023.11 coordinate 139,325,300, forward strand.
GGAGTGGTCTGGCAGTACTCCTCATGGCCTGAGGTGGGGGTGCCTATGGGGTGAGAACTCCTCTGCCTTTGGAAAGGGGAGAGAAGAATGGGAAGGACTACCAGACTGTTATCTTGTGGTTTGAGTGCCAGCTCAGCTGAAATACAATAGAACACCAGGTATACTTCTAAGGCTTTTGACTGTAGCCCCTGACTCTTGGACAGCACTTCCGAACCCAGCTGAGGCCTGGGGAACTTCTCTGCTCTGAAGGAAAGGACACAGGCCTGGTTGGCTTTAACATCTGCTGATTGTAGAGCTCCAGGGTCATGAGGAAACACAGGCAGTGGACAGGGAGTGGTTATAGCAGGTCTTGGGTGAGACCCAGAACTCTACTGGCTTCAGACCTGACTCAGTGCAGTCATAGTGGTGGTGACCACAGGTACTTATGTCACTCCACCCCAGCCCCAGGTGGCTTTGAACACAAAGAAAAACTATGCGTAGGAGAAACTAAGGGAAGAGAAAAAGTCTCTGCCGGCTAATCCAGAGAATTCTGGATCTTGTCCAAGACCGCAAAGGTGGTACCTCTACAAGTCTGCAAAAACCATGGCATTATAGGGCTTGGGGTGCCCCCAAAAGCAGATATAGCTTAGAGCACAATACCCAGGTTCTTTTAAATATTTGGAAAGCCTTCCCAAGAAGGACAGCTGCAAATAAACCCAGACAGTGAAGACTACAATAAATACCTAACTCTTCAGTGCCTAGACACCAAAGAAAATCTACTAGCTTCAACACCATCCAGGAAAACATGTCCGCACCAGATAAACTAAATAAGCCACCAGGGACCAATCCTGAAGAAACAGAGATATGCGACCTTTCAGACAGATAATTCAAAATAGCTGTGTTTGTTGAGAAAACTCAAAGAAATTTAAGAGACACAGAGAAGGAATTCAAAATTCTATCAGATAAATTTAACAAAGAAATTGAAATACCTAAAAAGAATCAAGGAGAAATTCTGGAGATGAAAAATGCAACTGGCATACTCAAAATGCATGAGAGTCCTTCAATAGCAGAAGTGATCAAGCAGAAGAAAGAATTAGCAACCTTCAAGACAGGCTATTTGAAAATACAGTCAATGGAGAAAAAAAAGAATAAAAAACAATGAAGCAAGCCTACAAGATCTAGAAAATAGCCTCAAAAGGGAAAATCCAGGGTTACTGGCTTTAAAGAGGAAGTAGAGAATGAGATAGGGAGAGAAAGTTTATTCAACAGGATAATAAGAGAGATGTTCCCAAACTTAGAGAAAGATATCAATATCCAGGTACAAGAAAGTTATAGAGCACCAAGCAGATTTAATCAAAAGAAGATTACATCAAAAGATTTAATAAGCAAACTCTCAAAGGTCAAGATTAAAGAAGGGATCCCAAAAGCAGCAACAGAAAGTAAACACATAACATACAATGGAGCTCCAGTATATCTGGCAGCAGACTTTTCAGTGGAAACTTTATAGGTCAGGAGAGAGTGGCATGACATAATTAAAGTGCCGAAGGGAGGAAAAAAAACGTTTTACCCCAGAATAGTATATCTGGTGAAAATGTCCTTCAAACATAAAGGAGAAATAGTCTTTCCTAGACAGAGGATAGCTGAGGGATTTCATCAACACCAGACCTGTCCTACAAGGAATGATTAATGAAATACTTCAGTCAGAAAGAAAAGGACATTAATGAGCAATAAGAAATCACTTGAAGGTTCAAAACTCACAGGTAATAGTAAATACACAGAAAAACACAGAATATTATAACAATGTAACTGGGCATGTAAACTATTCTTATACTAAGTAAAAAGACTAAACAATAAACAAATCAAAAATAATAACTAGAACAACTTTTCAAGACATAGTACAACAAGATAGAAATAGAAACAACAAAAGCTTAAGACATGGGGAAACAAAGTTAAGGTGTAGAATTTCTATTAGTTTTTTTTCCTTGTTTATTTATGCAAATAATGTTAACTTGTCATCAGTTTAAAATAATAGGTTACACGATAGTATTTGCAAGCCTCATGGTAACCTCAAACCAAAAAACATACAATGGATACACAAAAAAATGAAAAGCAAGAAACCAAATTATATCTCCAGAAAAAAATTACATTCACTATAGAAAGACAGGAAGGAAAGAATGAAGGAAGAGAAGACCATAAAATCACTAGTAAACAAATTAAAAAATGACAGAAGTAAGTCCTTATTTATCAATAATAACAATGAATGTAAATTGACTAAACTCTCCAATCAAAAGACATGGACTGGCTGAATGAATAACAAAACAAGATCCAATGATCTGTTGCCTACAAAAAACATATTTCACCTATAAAGACACACATAGACTGAAAATAAAGGAATGGAAAAAGATATACCATGCCAACAGGGATCAAAAAAGAGCAGGAGTCTCTATACTTATATCAGACAAAATAGATTTCAAGACACAAACTATAAGAAGAAACAAAGAAGGTCACTATATAATGATAAAGGGGTCAATTCAGCAAGAGGATAAAACAATTTTAAATATATATGCACCCAACACTGGAGCACCCAGATATAACAAGGAAATATTAGCACTAAAGACAGAGATAGACCCCAATACAATAATAAGAGCTAGAGACTTCAACACCCCACTTCCAGCATTGGACAAATCTTCCAGTCAGAAAATCAACAAGGAAACATCAGACTTAATCTGCACTATAAACTATATGGCTCTAACAGATATTTACAGAACATTTCATCCAAAAGCTGCAGACTACACATTCTTTCCTCAGCACATGGATCATTCTCAAGGATAGACCATATGTTGAGTCACAGAAAAGTCTTAAAACATTCAAAAAATTAAAATAATCAAGCATCTTCTTGGACCACAATGGAATAAAACTAGAAATCAATAAGAGGAATTTTGGAAACTATACAAATACATGGAAATTAAACAATATAAACCTGAATGACCAGTGGGTCAATGAAGAAATTAGGCAGGAAAACAAAAACTTTCTTGAAACAAATAATAATGGAAACACAACATACCAAAACCTCTGTGATACAGCAAAAGCAGTAATCAGAGGGAAGTTTATAGCTGTAAGTGCCTACATCAAAAAAGAGAAAAAATTTCACATGAGCAATCTAATCATGCATCTTAAAGAATTAGAAAAACCCAAAATAAGTAGAAGAAAAAAACAATAAAGATCAGAGGAGAAACCAACAGAATTGAAATGAACAAAACAACACAAAAGATTAATGAAACAAAAAGTTGGTTTTTTGAAAAGTTAAATAAAATAGACAAACCTTTAGCCAGACTACCTAAGAAAAAAGAGAGAAGATATAAATAAAATCAGAAATGGAAAAGGGAATATTACAACTGATACTGCAGAAATTCCAAGGATAATTAATGGCTACTATGAGCAACTATATGACAATAAATTAGAAAATCTAGAAAAAAAATGGACACACTTTTAGATATATACAACCTACCAAGATTGAACCAGGAAGAATAAAAAACCTGAACAGAGCAACAAGAAGTAACAAGATTGAAGCCATAATTAAAAGTCTGTCAGTAAAGCAAAGCCTCAGACCCAGTGATGTCACTGCTGAATTCTACAAAATATTTAAAGAAATAATACCAATCATACTGAAACTATTCTGGAGGAAGGAATACTTCCAAAAGATTCTACAAGGCCAGTATTACCCTGATACCTAAAACATACCGAAAACACAAAGACACACCAAAAAAAAGAAAAAAGAAAACTACAGGCCAATATCTCTGTGAATATTGAGGCAAAAGTCTTCAAAAAATACTAGCAAAACAAATTTAACAATATATTAGAAAGATTATTCATCATGATGAAATGGGGTTTATCCCTGGGATGCAAGGATCATTCAATGTGCACGAATCAATCAATTTGATACACCATATCCACAGAATAAAGGATAAAACCATATAATCATTTCAATTGAGGTTATAAAATCATTTGATAAAATTCAACAACCTTTATGATAAAAGCCCTAAAAAAACTGGATATAGAAGGAACATACCCCAATGTAATAAAAGCCATATATGACAGACCCACAGCTAGTCTCATACAGAATGCAGAAAAACTGAAAGGCTTTCCTCTAAGATCTGGAACTCAACATGGATGCCCACTGTCACCACCGTTATTCAACATAGTACTAAAAGTCCTAGCTAGAGCAAGGACTTTTCTTGCTCTGTTTTATAGAGAAAGAAATAAAAGTCATCCAAAGTGTAAAGTTAGAAGTTAAATTATGCTTGTTTGCAAATAATATAATCTTATATTTGGAAAAACCTAACGAGTCCATAAGAAAACTATTAGAACTGGTAAAAAAAAAAAAATTGAGTAAAATTGCAAGATACAAAAGCCACATATAAAAATCAGTAGCATTTTTATATGCCAACAGTGAACAAGGTGAAAAAGAAATAAAAAATTTAATCCCATTTACAATAGTCACACATAAAAGTAAATACCTAACAATTAACTTAAAAAAGAAGTTAGAGATCTTTATAATGAAAACTATAAAACATTGATGAAAGAAATTGAAAAGAACACCAAAACATGGAAAGATATTCCATGTTCATATTCTGGAAGAATCAATGTTGTTAAAAATGTTCAAACTACACAAAGCAATCTACAGATTCAATGTAATCCCTATCAAAATATCAATGACATTCTTCGTAAAAACACAAAAAACAATCCTAAATTTATATGGAAACATGAAAGATCAAGAATAGCCAAAGCTATCCTGAGCAAAAAGGAAAAGACTAGATGAATCACATTACCTGACTTCAAACCATACTACAGAGCTATGGTAACCAAAGCTGCACATTACCTGACTTCAAATCATACTACAGAGCTATAGTAAACAAAGCAGCATGGTGCTGGTGTAAATACAGACACATAGAACAATGGAACAGAATAGAGAACCCAGAAACAAATCCAAACATCTACAGTGAACTGATTTTTGACAAAGATGCCAAGAACATACATTGGAGGAAAAGAGAGTCTCTTCAATAAATGGTGCTGGGAAAGCTGGTTATCCATATGCAAAGGAATTAAACTAGAACCTTATCTCTCACCATATCCAAAAATCAACTCAAAGTGGATTTATGACTTAAATCTAAGACCTCACTCTATGAAACTACTGCAAGAAAACATTAGGGAAAATCTCCAGGATATTGATCTGGGCAAAAGTTTCTTGAGCGATAACCCATAGGCACAGGCAACCAAAGCAAAAATGGACAAAAGGAATTACATCAAACTAAAAAATCTTCTTTACAGCAAAGAAAATAATTAACAAAATGAAGAGACAAACCCCAGAATAGGATAAAATGTTTGCCAACTACCCATCTGACAAGGGATTAATAACAAGAATATATAAGGAGCTCAAACAAATCTATAGGAAAAAATCTGTTAACCCGATTAAAAAATGGGCAAATATTTGAATAGACATTTCTCAAAAGAAGACATACAAATGGCAAGCAGGCATGTTAAAATGTATTCACCATCATTGGTCATCAGATTCAGCAATCCCACTGTTGGGTATATACCCAAAACAACAGAAATCAGTATATGGAAGAGATAGCTGCACTCCCATGTTTGTTGTAGCACTGTTTACAATAGCAAAGATTTGGAAGCAACCTAAGTGTCCATCAACAAATGAATGGATAAAGAAAATGTGGTACTTATACATAATGGAGTACTATTCAGCCATAAAAAGAATGAGATCCAGTCATTTGCAACAACATGAATGGAACTGGAGATCATCATGTTAAATGAAATAAGTCAGGCACAGAAAGACAAACATTGAATGTTCTCACTTATTTGTGAAATAAAAAAAAATCAAAACAATTGAACTCATGGACATAGAGAGTGGAAGGATGGTTACCAGTGTCTGGGAAGGGGGTTGTGGGGGAGGTGAGGATAGTTAATGGATACACACAAAATATAAAGAATGAATAACATCTACTATTTGATAGAACAATACAGTGACTATTGTCAATAATAATTGTACATTTTAAAACAACTTACAGTGTAATTGATTTGTTTGTAACTCAAAGGATAAATGCGTGAGGGGATGGATACCCCATTCTCCGTGAGGTACTTATTTCACATTGCATTCCTGTATCAGAACATTCATGTATCCCATAAATATATTCATCTGCCATGTACCCACACAAATTAAAAATAAAAATAATTTAAAAAGAAAAAAGAACAGTTTTGACCCTTCTTACCTGCTCAGGATATGTTTAATGAAATCCAGTAACATACGTCTCTTTTGCCCCTCATAGGCAATCTTATATTCACCATTCTTCCCCCCTCAAAGAATATGAAGTTCACAATTAGGAGAAGAGGCTTCATCTCTACAAATTCCAATTCCTTATCCAATAAAATGGGAAGCACCTATTTAGTAGGGCTGTCATGAGGATTTAAAATAAATTCTGTAAATTGCCTGGCACATCATAGATAATCAATACATGGCAAGCCTTACCACTATTACCATGATCAATTGAAAGTGAAATTTGCATGGGCAACAGTGGGATTCTGATTCCAGATTATGAAAATTTCTGGTAGCAAAATAATGAAGGATTTAAGAATGTGAGCTCTGGAGTCACACTGACCTCTGTCCAAATCCATTTTTTTTTTTTTTTTTTTTTGAGACGGAGTCTCCCTCTGTTGCCCAGACTGGAGTGCAGTGGCGCGATCTCGGCTCACGGCAAGCTCCGCCTCCTGGGTTCATGCCATTCTCCCGCCTCAGCCTTCCGAGTAGCTGGAACTATAGGCGCCCGCCACCGCGCCCGGCTAATTATTATTATTTTTTATTTTTTAGTAGAGACGGGGTTTCACCGTGTTAGCCAGGATGGTCTCGATCTCCTGACCTCGTGATCCGCCCGCCTCGGCCTCCCAAAGTGCTGGGATTACAGGCGTGAGCCACCGCGCCTGGCTCCAAATCCTGACTTTATCACTTCCTAACTGTGTGACCCAGAAAAAGTAATTTAACATTTCTTCTCCTATAGAAAGGGGATAATAGTTTGCAGGCACTATCTCATAGATTTGTATGTCAATATTTTTTGCACTTGTATTCTCTAATAAATTGTGAGCCTCTTGAAGTGAATAAACCAGGTTTTAATTACTTTTACACTTCTCCAGTACTTCATTTACATGACGCCTGGATAACTTTAGGTGCTTGTAGAACTGTTGGGCAAATGAAACCTGTCACCACCTCCATGTGAGGTGTCCCACTGCATGGAGGATAGCAAATAACAAAACAATGCCTGACACCAGAAGCAGCTGTTAACATGCTCCAGCATGTGAACTTACTCCATGGTTTGGGGAGGCATCATCAAGAAAGACATGACTCACACAGGCACTAGGCAAAATGACTCCTTGTTCACATGGAGAAGAGACAGAGCAACACTAGCTTCAATTGTGGGCATTGGTAACGCATAGGCATAAGGTCCCATTCCATTACCAATACAGGGAGAGGGTCTGCACCCACCATTCTCAAGCTGCAAGAGAAAGGACCCTGTTTCTTCACCACCAGGAACAGATATAGCAGTGTGTTTGGCCAGATGCTGTATGATGCACACACTTAAGCAGAACAAAGGAATATACACTGAGTCTGAAGCAGGGAAAGATATTCCTGCCTGTCCAGGCTCTTTATCTTTTGGCAAGGAATTCCTCTAGGCCCAAGATCCATTGTTGTATGAAAGCCTTTTGTTGTCAAAAGACTGTTCTTGCTCATGAGACTGACTTTCCCAAGAGTGCTTAATGAGTATTTATTGACTAAGTAAATTGAAGTAATATTATATTTTTTTTTGTCTGAAGTCTACATTCCTAACTAAGCCTTCCAGGGTTGTTTGAGAGGGAGGATCAAGTGTCACCAACTAGGCGCTGAGAATGGGAATGTCAGAAAGCATTAAGGGACTCATGGTAAGATACTGATTGATATATTAATTAATATTCCAACATTTGTCAAATGCTTGCTACTTGCTAGGCACTAGATAAAAGGGTGACTAAGACTCATCCCTGTCCTCATGAAGCTCACTGGATATGAAGAATATAGGCAAGGGAACTAGTGATTATAGCAGAGCATAACAAACACTCTGGTAGAAGTAGACCCAGAAGGTGGTACTTATATATAGACCTGGAGAGCCAAATCTAAATTCTAAAATTGCAGAATTTTAGAGCTAGGAAGGATCTCAGAGAGGAACTGTTTAAACTGTTGCACCAATAATAAAAATTGACCATCGTTATTTGAATCCTTACTATCAGCTCTACATGCCCTTAATCTCACAATAGTCCCTTGAAATATGTATAATGATTTTCATCATTTTAGAGACGATAAAACTGAGAATCAGAGAGGTTAGATGGCTCTCTCAAGGTCACATGGCTAGGAGGTGGCAGATCTGGGCTTTATCTAACGCATGCCTGTCTGGATTCCAAGCCGGGGCCCTTTTTGCTATGGAGTATTCCCTCCCTTTGTGGCAAAGCTTCCTGCTCCTAACACCCCTGAGTTCTAGACTCACAGACCTGTGCCCTTGGGACTTTATCAGTGCTATAAAAACAGGATTCTGTGAGTGCTGAGCTTCAGAAACCATTTCCAGAGTCAGAATCCTGGTCTATATATTGAAACTCCATTCAGCCTCTCTTTTTTCCTTTTTGCTCAAAAAATAAAATTTATTATTTTTTAAAAAAATTATTGAATACAGTTAAATGCCCAGAACTTAAGTGTACAAGTTTTGATTAATGTATATACCCATGTAATCACCACCTGAATTCACAATGAAGAATATTTTCATCACCCCAGAAAGTTCCCCTCTGTGCCCCACTTCCCTTGACGGTTACTGTTTTGTCTGTTCTTGATGTTAATATAAGATGAATCATACAGAATATACTTTGTCTACTTTCTTTCACTTGTAATATTTTTGAGATTCAGCCATTGTTTTGCAAGTATTAGTACTTTATTCTGTTTTTTTAGTAGAATTGCATTGCATGAATATATCACATTTTGTTTATCCATACTTCTGTTGATAAACATTTTGGTTATTTCCAAATTTTGCTTTATATGTAAAGCAGCTATGACATTCTTATGCAAGAGTTTTTAGACGCATGTTTTCATCTCTCTTGGATCAATAGCTAGGAGTAGAATTACTGACTAGATCATAGGGGTAGTTCTATAAAAACTGTAAATCTACTTCCCAAAGTGATTTCCATTTTACACTGCAACCAAGAAGATATGAGATTTTAGTTTGCTCCATATTCTCACCAACATTGATGCTGTCAGTGTTTTCAATTATAGAAATTATAGTGAGTGTAAAATGGTACCTCAATGAATTTACTTTGCATTTACTTTAGGACTAACGATATTGAAAAATTTTATTGGCCACTTGTCTGTTTTACTTTCTGAAATGTCTGTATACTTTTTTTCACTATATTTTTCGGGGTTGTCTTTGTCATTGATTTGTAGAAGTAATTTATATATTCTTCTTATGAGTCATTTGTCAGCTGCATGTACTAAGAATATTTTTTTCCTAGTCTGTGGCTTACCATTTCATTTTATTTCCTTTTCTTAATAATTTCAACTTTTATTTTAGATTCAGGAAGTACATGTGCAGGTTTAATATACGAGTATATTGCATGATGCTGAGTTTTAGAGTACAATTGCTCTCATGACCCAGGTAGGGAGCATAGTATCCAATAGTTAGTTTTTAAATTTTTTCTTATTTTTAAAAATTTCAATAGGTTTTTGGAGAACAGGTAGTTTTTGGTTACATGAGTAAGTTATTTAGTGGCGATTTATGAGATTATCGTGCACCCATGACCCGAGCAGTGTACACTGTACTCAATGTGTAGTCTTTTATCCTTCACCCCCCTTCCACACTTCCCCCCAAGTCCCCAAAGTCCATTGTATCATTATTATGCCTTTGTGTCCTCATAGCTTAGCTCCCACTTATAAATGAAAACATACAATGTTTGGATTTGCATTTTTGAGTTACTTCACTTAGAATAATGGTCTCCAACTCCATCCACATTGCTGTGAATGCCATTATTTTGTTCCTTTTTATGGCTTAGTAGTATTCCATGGTATATATATATACTTTTTTTTCGAGACGGAATCTTACTGTTGCCCCGACTGGAGTGCAGTGGCATGATCTCCATTCACTGCAACCTCTGCCTCCCGGGTTCAAGCGATCCTCCCACCTCAGCCCCCCAAGTAGCTGGGAGTACAGGTGTGCACCACCAAATCCAGCTAATTTTTGTATTTTTAGTAGAGACAAGGTTTTGCCATGTTGGCCAGGATGGTCTTGAACTCCTGACCTCAGGTGGTTCGCCTGCCTCAGCCCCATATTTTCTTTACCCACTCGTTGACTGATGGGCATTTGGGCTGGTTCCATATTTTTGCAACTGCAAATTGTGCTGCTATAAACATGCATGTGCAAGTATCTTTTTCGTATAATGACTTCTTTTCCTCTGGGTAGATACCCAGTAGTAGGATTGCTAAATCAAACGGTAGTTCTACTTTTAGTTCTTTAAGGAATCTCCACACTGTTTTCCATAGTGTTTGTACTAGTTTATATTCTCTCCAGCATTGTAAAAGTGTTCTCTTTTCACCACATCCATGGCAACATCTATTATTTTTTAATTATGGTCATTCTTGCAGGAATAAAGTGGTATCACATTGTAGTTTTGATTTGCATTTCCCTGATAATTAGTGATGTTGGGCATTTTTTCATATGTTTGTTGGACATTTGGATATCTTCTTTTGAAAGCTGTCTATTAATGTCCTTTGCCCACTTTTTTATGAGATTTTTTTTTTCTTGCTGATTTATTTGAGTTCCTTGTAGATTCTGGATATTAGTCCTTTAAATGAAATGTAGGTTGCAGAGATTTTCTCCCACTCTGTGGGTTGTCTGTTTACTCTGCTAATTATTTATTTTGCTCTGCAGAAAGTTTTCAGTTTAATTAAGTTCCATCTATTTATCTGTTTTTGTTGTATTTGCTTTTGGTTTCTTGGTCATGAAGTCTTTGCCTAAGCCAATATCTAGAAAGGTTTTTCCAGTGTTATCTTCTAAAATTCTTATGGTTTCAGGTCTTAGATTTAAGTCTTTGATCCATCTTGAGTTGACTTTTGTATAAGGTGAGAGAAGAGGATCCACTTTTATTCTTCTACATGTAGCTTGCCAATTATCCTAGCACCATTTGTTGAATAAGGTGTCCTTCCCCACTTTATATTTTTGTTTGCTTTGTCAAAGATCAGTTGGCTGTTAGTATTTGGCTTCATTTCTACATTCTCTATTGTGTTCCATTGGTCTCTGTGCCTATTTTCATAGCAGTACCATGCTGTTTTTGTGACTATAGCCTTATAGTTAGAAGTCGAGTAATATGATGCCTCTAGATTTGTTCCTTTTGATAAGCCTTCTTTGGCTATGCCAGCTCTTGTTTGATTCCATATTAATTTTAGGATTGTTTTTTCTAGTACTGTGAAGAATGATGGTGGTATTTTGATGAGAATTGCATTGAATTTATAAATTGCTTTTGGTAGTATGTTAACTTTCACAATATTGATTCTACCTATTTATAAGCATGGGATGTGTTCCCATTTGTTTGTGTCATCTATGATTTCTTTCAGCAGTGTTCTGTAGTTTTCCTTGTAGAGGTCTTTCGTGTCCTTGGTTAAGTATATTCTTAATTTTTTTTTCAGCTATTGTAAAACGGTTTGAGTTCTTCATTTGATTCTCAGCTTGGTTGCTGTTGGTGTATAGCAGTGCTGCTTAATTGTGTACATAGATTTTGTATCCTGAAACTTTACTGAATTCATTTATCAGATATAGGAGCTTTATGGATGAGTCTTTATGGTTTTCTAGGTATATCATCTTATCATCAGTGAACAATAACAGTTTAACTTCTTCTTTACCAATTTGGATGTCCTTTATTTATTTCTCTTGTCTGATTGCTCTGGCTCAAAATTCCAGTATGATGTTGAATATAAGAGGTGAAAGTGGGCATTCTTGTGTTGTTTCAGTTCTCAAGGGGAATGCTTTCAACCTTTCCCAGTTCAGTATAATGTTGACTGTGGGTTTGTCACACATGACATTTATCACCTTAAGGTATGTCCCTTCTATGTTGATTTTGCTGAGGGTTTTAATCATAAAGAGATGCCGAATTTTGTCAAATGCTTTTTCTGCATCTATTGAGATGATCATATGATATTTGTTTTTAATTCTGTTTATGTGGTGTATCACATTTATTGACTTGTGTATGTTAAGCCATCTTTGCATCCCTGGTATAAAACCCATTTGATCATCGTTGATTATCTTTTTCATATGCTGTTGGATTTGGTTAGCTAGTATTTTGTTGAGGATTTTTGCATCTATGTTCATCAGGGATATTGGTCTGTAGTTTTCTTTTTTTGTTATGTCCTTTCCTGGTTTGGGTATTAGGGTGATATTGGCTTCATAGAATGATTTTGGAAGGATTCCCTCTTTCTCTATCTTTTGGAATAGTTTCAATAGGATTAGTACCAATTCTTCTTTGAATGCCTGCTAGAATTCAGCTGTGAATCCATCTGGTCCTAGATCTTTTTTTGTTGGCAACTTAAAAATTACCATTTCAATCTCGCTGCTTGTTATTGGTCTGTTCAGAGTTTCTATTTCTTTCTGGTTTAATCTAGGAGGGTTGTGTATTTCCAGGAATTTATCCATCTTCTCTAGGTTTTCTAATTTGTGCACATAAGGGTATTCATAGTAGCCTTGAATGTCCCTTTGTATGTCTATGGTGTTGGTTGTAATATCTACCATTTCATTTCTAATTTGAGCTTATTTGGACCTTCTCTCTTCTTTTATTTGTTAATCTTGCTAATGGTCTATCAATTTGGTTTATCTTTTCAAAGAACCAGCTTTTTGTTTCATTTTTGTTGTTGTTGTTTGTTTATTTTAATTTCATTTAGTTCTCCTTTGATCTTTGTTATTTCTTTTCTTCTGCCGGCTTTGGGTTTGGTTTGTTCTTATTTTTCTGGTTCCTTGAGGTGTGACCTTAGATTGTCTATTTGTGCTCTTTCAGTCTTTTTGATGTGGGCATTTAATGCTATTAACTTTCCTCTTAGCACTGCTTTTGCTATATTCCAGAGGTTTTGATAGGATGTGTCACTATTATCGGTCAGTTCAAAGATTTTTTTAAATTTTCCATCTTGATTTCATTATTGACCCAATGTTCACTCAAGAGCAGATTATTTAATTTCCATGTATTTGCATGGTTTTGAGGGTTCCTTTTGGAATTGATTTCCAATTTTATTCCACTGTGGTCTGAGAGAGTACTTAATATAAAATGTAGATATTCTTACATTTATTGAGACTTGTTTTGTAGCCTATCATATGGTCTATCTAGGAGAATGTTCCATGTGCTGATGAATAGAATGTATATTCTTCATTTGTTGAGTAGAAAGCTGTGTAAATTTCTGTTAAGTCAATTTGTTCTAGGGTGTATTTAAGTCCATTGTTTCTTTCTTGACTTTCTGTCTTGATGACCTGTCTAGAGCTGTCGGTGGAGTATTGAAATCCCCCACTGTTATTGTGTTGCCATCTATCTCATTTCTCAGGTCTAGTAGTAATTGTTTTATAAATTGGAGGCTCCAGAGTTAGGTGCATATATATTTAGGATTGTAGTATTTTCCTGTTGGACTAGTCCTTTTATCATTATGTAATGTTCCTCTTTTTCAGGGCTGGTACTGGAGAGCATCTGCAAAGAGTCCTGTGATGTGATCTGTCCTTAGGTCTCTCAGCTGTGGATACCAGCACCTGCTCTAGTGGAAGTAGCAGGGGAGTGAAGTGGACTGTGTGAAGGCCCTTGGTTGTAGTTTTGTTTAGTGTGCTGTTTTTCTCGATTGCTGGTTGTGCTAGCAGTGAAGCTGTGATGTTGACAGACTCAGGACCTCTGGTTAGCTAGGATGTTACAGGTGGTGGAATTAGCTGTTGTTTTCTCTTTTCTTGGAGCAGGCTTGTTCTTTTATAGGTTGCTTTAGTGGATTAAGTTGCTTGGACTCCAGCCAGGAGGTGGTGGTTTCAAGAGAACATTAGCTGTAGTAGTAGAGCGGGAATACAAGCTTGCCCTAATATCACCTGGATAAGTATTTGGGTTGCCTTAAAGTCTGTTTTGTCCAAGAATAGCTACTCCTGCTTGCTTTTAGTGTCCATTTGTATGGAATATCTTTTTCTACCCCTTTACCTTAAGTTTATGTGAGTCCTTATGCATTAGGTAAGTCTTTTGAAGACGGCGGATACTTGGTTGGTGAATTTTTATCCATTCTGCCATTCTGTATCTTTTAAGTGGAGCAATTTAGGCAATTTACATTCAATGATAGTATTGAGATGTGAGGTGCAATTCTGCTCATTGTTCTAATTGTTGCCTGAATACCTTGTGTTTTTTCCATTGTGTTATTGTTTTATAGGCCCTGTGAGATTTATGCTTTCAGGAGGTTCTATTTTGGTGTACTTCAAAGTTTTGTTTCAAGATTTAGAACTCCTTTTTGCAGTTCTTGCAGTGCTGGCTTGGTAGTGGCAAATTCTCTCAGCATGTTTGTCAGAAAAAGACTTTCTCTTTTCAACGCTTCCTGCACCAAAATTATGTGCAGTTCATTTAAGTGTTTCTATCTGGAGCTTGAAACACTTTCATGTTCTCATCAATGTGAAAAAAACAACTTTGAATCCATTATAAAGTGCTGGGCTTTGCCATACTCCAAACCAAACAATTTGCTGTGAAATTTGGCACAATTTCAATTGAGTGACCAGCTAAGCATAACTCAAGGAACAATACAAGACTAAAAAAGTGATTCCATTTCTTTGTTACTAAAAAACATTGAATTCCACTTTGTGAGGCACAAAAATGGAGAAAAGACATCTCAAGCTACCAACAATAGAAAATACCAAAGTAAATCCAGCCTGAGCTGTGAAAGGTACAGTTAGAGCCTTCATTTTAGTTGCCTAATTGGATAATGCCAACCTCATCCAATGAATACAGTTCCTGCCTCTCCTAGATCAATGCATGAATAGTATTTATTCTTTCAATAAATATTTATTGAGCACCTACTGGGTACAATGAGCTAGAAACTGGTAGCAAACCCTGCCCTCGTGAGAATTGCATTTCCATGGGAGAGACACTAAACAAATAAGCAAATGGATGATTATTATAATAAATGGCAAAACAGAAAAAGTAGGGAGCTATAATAAAGAATAATGGAGTTGGCCAGGCACAGTGGCTCATGCCTGTAATCCCAGCACTTTGGGAGGATGAGGGCGGATTACGTGGTCGGGAGTTCGACACCAGCCTGGCCAATATGGTGAAACCCCATCTCTACTAAAAATACAAAATACAAAAATTAGCCAGGCATGGTGGCGCACACCTGTGGTCCAAGCTACTCAAGAGGCTGAGGCAGAAGAATTGCTTGAACCCAGGAGGCAGAAGGTGCAGTGAGCCGAGATCACGCCACTGCACTCCAGCCTGGGTGACAGAGCAAGACTCCATCTCAAAACAAACAAACAAAAAAATGGAGTCGGGGGAAACATAGTGTTCTTCCTTTTCACTATGCTTAATATGTTTTTTGTGACTATTTTCTCCCAGTACTTGGCTTGCATATTCATTTTCTTAATGGCATCTTTTTGATAAACAGAAGTTCTATATTTTTGTTAGGTCTAATTTGTCAATATTTTTTCTTTAATATTTATCTCTTTCTGTGTTCTGTCTACAAAACGTTGTCCTCCCCCAGATTGCAAATATTTTCACTTATATTTTCTTCTAGAAACTTTGCAGCTTGAGCATTATATTTATTTCATGATCCATCTTTAATTACATTTTATGTATGTTGTGAGGTATGGGTAAAGATTTATTTATTTCTTCTATATGGTTATCCAGTCACTCCAGCACCATTTACTGAAAAGACTTTATTTTCCCAACTGAGCTACTTTGGCACATTTGTTAAAAATCAACTGACTTTAGAAGTCTGAGTTTATTTCTAGAACGTCTATTCTCCATTGATCTGTTTTTCTATCCTTTTGCTTCTACCACACTGTCTGAATTACTGAAACCTTACAGTTAGACTTGGAGTCATATAAATAGGCCACTAACTTTGTTCTTTGTTTTTAATGTTTGGCTGTTAGAGGTCCTTTGAAGTTCCCCATAAATTTTAGAAACAGCTTTTCAATTTTTACAAAAAAAACCTGCCAAGACTTTTATTTTATTGCATGAGCCTAGTAATTACTTTGAGGAGAATGGGCATCTTAATAATATGTAGTCTTTATCCAGCAATTTTTGTGCTTTCAATATAAGAATCATGTGTTGTGGATATTTTTCCTGAATCATATTATGTTTTGATGCTATGATAAACAGAATTCTTTGCTTAAATTTTTCCAATAGTTTTGTGCCATTATAAAGGTGTACAATTGCTTTTTGTATATTAAATTATGCCACTTTGGTAGATTTACCTATTACTTTGAATATTTGTTTTGTAGATGTTTTAGAATCTTTGACATAAACAATCATGTTGTGTATGAATAGATATGCTTTTACATATTCCTTTCCAATATTTATGCCTTGGTGAAGGGATGGGTTGCCCCTCCACACCTGTGGGCGTTTCTCGTCAGGTGGAAGGAGAGACTTGGAAAAGAAAGAGACACAGAGACAAAGTATAGAGAAAGAAAAATGGGCCCAGGGGACCGGCGTTCAGCACATGGAAGACCCGCGCCGGCACCGGCCTCTGAGTTCCCTTAGTATTTGTTGATCATTATCGGGCGTTTCCCGGAGAGGGGGATGTGGCAGGACAATAGGATAATAGTGGAGAGAAGGTCAGCAGGTAAACACGTGAACAAATGTCTCTGCATCTTAAACAAGGTAAAGAAAAAAGTGCTGTGCTTTTGATGTGCATATACATAAACATCTCAATGCCTTAAAGAGCAGTATTGCTGCCAGCATGTCCCACCTCCAGCCCTAAGGCGGTTTTCCCCTATCTCAGTAGATGAAATATACAATCGGGCTTTACACGGAGACATTCCATTGCCCAGGGACGAGCAGGAGACAGATGCCTTCCTCTTAACTCAACTGCCAAGAGGCGTTCCTTCCTCTTTTACTAATCTTCCTCAGCACAGACCCTTTACGGGTGTCGGGCTGGGGGACAGTCAGGTCTTTCCCTTCCCACGAGGCCAAATTTCAGACTATCACATGGGGAGAAACCTTGGACAATACCTGGCTTTCCTAGGCAGAGGTCCCTGCGGCCTTCCGCAGTGTTTTGTGTCCCTGGGTACTTGAGATTAGGGAGTGGTGATGACTCTTAACGAGCATGCTGCCTTCAAGCATTTGTTTAACAAAGCACATCCTGCACAGCCCTTAATCCGTTTAACCCTGAGTTGACACAGCACATGTCTCAGGGAGCGCAGGGTTGGGGGTAGGGTTACAGATTAACAGCATCTCAAGGCAGAAGAATTTTTCTTAGTACAGAACAAAATGGAGTCTCTTATGTCTACTTCTTTCTACACAGACACAGTAACAATCTGATCTCTCTTGCTTTTCCCCACATCTTGGATTTATTTTCTTGCCTTATTGCACTTGTTAATATTTCCAGAACAATGTTCAATATAAATCGTTGGAATGAACATCCTTGCCTAATTCCCAACTTAGGGGAAAGTTTGTAGTTTATCATTAAATATCATGAGATGTAGCTTATCAGTTGAAGGAAGTTTCCTTCTTTTGGTAGTCTGTTGAGGATTTTTTAAAAAGTCATAAACAGGTGTTGAATTTTGTTTTACATTTATTGAAATGATCATACATTTTCCTCTCTTCCTTTAATATGATGAATTACAGATTGAGCTGCAAATGTTAAACCAACCTTGCGTCCCTGGAATAAACACCATTAGGCCATGTTGTAGTATCCTTTTTATAGATCACTGACTTTAGCTAAATGTTCCGTTAAATAATTTTACATCAATGTACATGAAGTATATTGGTTTGTAGTTCTTTTCTGTAATATTTTGAAATATTTTGGAATCAAGTTTTTGTTGCTTCATGGAAAAATTAATGAAGTGGCCTGCCCCTTCCATTTCTAAAAATGGTTTGTATCTGATTAGTGATGTTTCCTCCTTAAATAGTTTATTCAATTCACCAATAAAAATATGGACCTGGAATTTTCTTTGTGGGAAAATATTTGATTACTTTAATAGATACAGGGCTTTTGAGAATTTCTACTTCACTTTGGGTTATCTTGATCATCTGTTTTTTGAAGGACTCTGTCCACAGCAGTAATGTTGAATTTACGGGCCTACGATTTTAAATTATATTCCCTTATTATCTTTTTAATATGTGTAGCATGTGGAGTGATATCTCACATTATTTCTAATATAGGTAATTTGTATTGTTTTGTAGTTCTTGAACACTCTAGGTGTTTATCAAATTTTAAATCTTGTTAAATGAAAAACTTTTGGTTTTCTTAGCTTCCTCTGTTGCTTGTCTTTCTTTTTATTACTTTCATTCTATTGATTTCTGTACAATTTTAAATAATTATTTCCTTCTTTGTGTTTACTTATGTTTCATTTGCTTCTCTTCCTCAGAATTCTTATGGAGAATAATGAGATCATTGATTTTAAATCTCTTCTTTGCACTGCTTTAGCTGCATTCCATATATAATGATAAGTTGTAATTTAATTATCCTTCTGTTTGAAATATTTTCTAATTTCACTTGTGATTTCTTCCTTGACCCATGGGTTACTCAAAACTTTACTTGTATTTTTTGCAGTTTAAAAATATCTGGGGCTTTTCTAGCTATCCATGTTACTGATTTCAACATATTATGTATGGTTCCAATGTTTTGTAATGTTTGATACTTATTTTTCACCCGGTATAAGATCTATTTTGTTTAACATTCTATATTCACAGGATTTAATTCTGTGTATTCTGCAATTGTTGTCTGTAGTGTTCTGTTTATTTCATTTGTATCAACAATGTTCATAGCCACTATTTATTCAAATACCCTTTATACCCTATGCTATCTCTTCTCTCCTAAGACTCCAAAAACTTTTATAACCTTTGATGTTTTGCTATAGTTCACAGTTCATTGTTTCCTTCGTAATGGGTTTGTTTTATTTATCTAATCTTCAAGTTTACCTATCCATTACACTGTCACTTCTAATCTGCTCTTAAGTCCAGTCAGTGATTTTTAAAATTTCAGATATTTATTTTTAGTTCTAATCTTTCCATTTAGTTTTATTTTTTATGGTTTCCATTTTTCTGCAGAGATTTTCCATCTGAAACTTCAATGTGAGTATATATAATATTATACATTTTCACCTTAGAAGAACCTAACACTGTCCCATAAATTTTAATGTGAGGGAATTATTCTTTTCATTACTTTGTAGATACATGATAATTTAAAATTTTCAGGTCACTTTTGTGCTAGGGGTGTATTTAAGAACATGATTCTTAATTTACAAATTACTAAGATACTTTTGGCCATCTTTTTATTGGTTCATTCAAGATTTAATTTCATGATAATCAGAAAATATGATTTGTTAAATCCATTTGTCTGACTTCTTGTTTGTCTTCTCATCAATTTTTGTAAATATTCCATAGATATAAGTGAATGTATACTCCGTGTTTATAGGATATAAGATTCTGAGGATATCCATTAAATCAAGTAAGTTGATTGGATTATGTGTATATGCAATGATTTGTTTAGGTTTTGTTTTTCTATTTGACAAAAATTTGAAAGTGGTATAATAAACTCCCTTCCAATAATTTTATTTTATCAAGTTTGCATTAAAATTTGAGGAATATTTTTGTACCTTTAGCTACTATTTTGAGAATACCTAATAAGTTATGATTACTAAACTTCTTTTTTAATTTTAACTTTTTTCATTGAATGATGTCCTTTAAAAACATGTTTAATATTCTTGAAGTTAAATTTCATTTAGCCTAACAGACATTGTTCTATTTCTACTCCTTTTTTCTTCCTGTCTACCTGTTATTTCTTTACCATTAATTAATTTTTATCCTTATTTTATCGCATCATTTTAGATATGTTCTTTTCAATAACATATAGCTGGACTTCTCTCCCTTTCAATGAGGGAATTCATCTTGTTTTTATTAAAACTGATATGCTTAGCTTTTTTTTCTTTCATCTTGTTTTGTGTCAACAATATAAGATACATTCTCTCTGGTTCTCTTATTTGTTTTCTTGACTTTTGCTGGTCAAGTTATTCTTTGTTCCTTTATATTGTCTTGTTGGTTTGGACTGTGTTTTCAGTTCTGCTTATGGGCACTATTTCATTTCTAATCATCCCAATTATACTTCTATTAGCCTGTGATTAAGTGAAAAAAATATCTACTGCTTTTCTGCTTCTTTGCTGTACCTTTTTCTTATCTTCTCTATATATTTAGAACAATTTTATGTCATCACTCCCCTTTCTAAATTTTAATTCCAAAATATTAATAGACTTTCCCTTATAGTATGTCTCACATTTCAACAATTGCTATTTTACATTTAGAGTAGAAATGTACTAATCACCCTATGATCATTTATTAAGATTTGACTAAATATAATATAAAAGTTACTGTTCCCTATGGTTTTCTGTCTGCTTTATCTTTTATTATGCTGAATCCTCCAATTTATTATCTTTTGTCTGTAATCCTCCTTATGAAATCTACCTTCTCAAATAAATTCTTCATTTATAGTATATGCATAGTGATATATTTACTATATTTGATTAATATGCCTGTCTTTTCCTCACTCTGAAATATGAATATCTTAATGAGTAAAAATTTTGTTGTAAGAGTATTTTTCCTTCATTAGGTTGTAACTATTGATTCAGTCTCCTATGTCTTCTGGATTCCTGAATTACAGTTGAAAAGTCTAATACTGGTATGATTCTCCTTCCATTACAAATAACTTGCTCATGAATTTGATGACTCTTTTGGATCTTGAGATTCAAATTTTTTTTCAAGTCAGGGTTTTTTTGTCTTGTTTTGTTTTGTCTGAGACTGAGTTTTGCTCTTGTCGCCCAGGCTGGAGTGCAAAGGTGCGATCTCGGTTGACTGCAACTTCTGCCTCCTGGGTTCAAGCAATTCTCCTGCCGCAGCCTCTCTAGTAACTGGGATTACAGGCACCCACCCCCAGCCCAGCTAATTGTATTTTTAGTAGAGACAGGGTTTCACCATGTTGGCCAGGCTGGTCTTGAACTCCTGACCTCAGGTGATCCACCCACCTCAACCTCCCAAAGTGCTGGGATTACAGGCATGAGCCACCCTGCCCAGCCAAAATCAGGGTCTTCTTTCCTTATTACCTGTTTAAATATGTCCTCTCTTACACAATTTTCCCCATCTTTCTGGAACTCTTAATATTCTCCCATTCAGCCTCCTGGATCTGTTCTTCAAGTGTCACTTCCCCCAACTATTTCTTTGTATTTTGCTCTGGTTCTGAATTATTTCTTCCATTAGAGTTTTCAGGTCACGAATATGACATTTAACAGTGACCATCTTCCTTTTCAGTTCATCTATCAAATTAGTACCAAATCATATTATTTTAATTCCACTCAGTATATTTCAATGTTCCCATTGCATTATTTATTTAATAATTTGTACTTTTTTTTTTTTTTACTAAAACCCTTTCCTGACAATTTTAATTCTACATAAATAGGGAACGCTGAAAAAGTTGTTCAACAAAATTTACCTCTCATTGTAGCTGAATCTCATTAAGTGCATTATTATTTGTCTTAACCATTTCATGTTTGGTTTATCCTCAGTCTTCAGTTAAGGCTGTTTGGGTTTCTTGAACAGTGGCAGTTTTCCACTGTGTGTGCACAACCTTGAAAGCCATTATTCCTCTGAAGAAGATCCAAAGCTTCACTGATCCCAGAATTCACAAAATACAAGAGAAATTTATCACCTCAAGGACTGTACAACTCAAACCACCGGTTTGTTTTCACATCAAACACTGATAGAGAACAAGATTATGCAGCATTGCAGAATCACAAGCAAACAAGAAGAGGAAGCTCTTCCCTGATTCTTGCCCAAGACCTCTCTGCTACTGATTCCTGGGTTTCCAGTCAGCACAAAGTGCCTCAAGGTTCCGTATCTTCTTTACTATCCAGAGATACTTGTAGAGTGTGTAGACTCAAACGTACCATCCAGGTTTGACAGCTTGCCTGCTAACATCTCATTCAAAAAGAGAGTTGAGGAAAATTCGATATGGATAAGGATTTAGGCATGTTGCTCTCATGCCATCATCTTTTCTGAATTCTCCGTACATAGATCAGTTGTTAGCAAACTGTGGACCTTGGGCCAAATCTGGCTCACCAACACTTTTGTATTCCTTGTGAGCTAGGAATTGTTTTAATGTCTTCAAATGGTTGGAAAAAATAAAAAGATCAATATTTCATGACATATGAAAGTTACATGAAATTCAAACTTCAGGGTCCTTAAATATACATCCATTCATTAACATGCTGTTTATAGCTGCTTTCATACTACAAGAGTTGAATAGTTACAACAAAAATGTAAGACTTAAAAACTTTATCTGACCCTTCACAGAAAAAGATGATTAATATCTTATATACATCTTGAAAATTATTTTATAATAATTTGTGAATTTGTATCAAAAAGTAAAAAGTACAGTTGAAAAAAGTAAAGCATACTAAGAAAGAAACTCTGTATAATTATTAACTCTAGATGCTATTAGAAAAGTGTAAGCTGAAGTACTGGTATTTGTTATCTATTGATGTATAACAAATTACTCCAAAAGTTAGTGGCTTCAGAAACACTTATTTTCTATTGTTCCAAAATTGCTGTTGGCTAAAAATACAGAAGTAACTCAAGGTGACTCTAGCTCAGGTTCAATACATGGTCAAGGCTAAAGTCACCTTAAAGCTTGAGCGATCTTGAAGATCCTTCTTTAAGATAGATCATGCACGTGACTGTTGCCAGAAGGCCTCAATTTCTTGCTAGCTCTATGCAGGAGTTCTTTGTTTCTCACCACATGGATCACTTCATAGGATGCTTGAATGTCCTCACAACATGGCAGATAGATCTCCAAAGTGAGAAAATGGAGAGAAATGGCAATGATGAAGCTGTAATGCCTTTTCTTTAAAATACAGGCGTGCAATGTTTAATAATAAATGGGATAACAATCATCTCAAGTATTTATCCTTTGTGTTAAAAACTATCTATCCAATTATACTGTTTTATTTATTTTTAAATATACAATTAAATTATTATTCACTACAGTCAAGCTGTTGTGCTATCAAATATGAGGTCTTATTTATTCTTTCTAACTCCTTTTTAGAACCCATGAACTATCTTCACACCTCCAAACCCACCACTCTTCCCAGCTTCTGGTAATTATCATTTTACTGTCTAGTTCAATAAGTTCAATTGTAGTAATTTTTAGCTCCCAAAAGTAAGTGAGAACATGTGAAGGTTGTCTTTCTGTGCCTGGCATATTTCACTTAACATAATGACCACCACGTCCATTCATGTGGTTGCAAATGACAGGATCTCATTCTTTTTTATGGCTGAATAATACTCCATTATGTATATGTACCCCATTTTCTTTATCCATTTATCTGTTGATGGACACTTAGGTAGCTTCCAAATCTTGGAATTGTGTAACAGTGCTGCAACAAACATGGGAGTGCAGATATATCTTCCATATACTCATTTCCTTTCTTTTGCATACATACTTAGCAGTGGGATTGCTGGATCATATGGTAGCTCTATTTTATGTTTTCTGAGGGGCCTCCACTGTGTTCTTCATGGTGGTTGTACTAATTTACATTCCCACCAACAGCATATGAGTTTCCTTTTCTCCACATCCTTGCCAGCATTTGTTATTGCCTGTCTTTTGAATATAAGTCATTTTAATGGAGGTGAGATGATATCTCATTGTAGTTTTGACTTGCTTTTCTCTGATGATCATTGATGGTTAGCACCTTTTCATATACCTGCTTACAATTTGTATGTCTTCTTTTCAGAAATGTCTATTCAGGTCTTTTGATCATTTTTAAATTGAATTATTAGGTTTTTTCCTATAGAGTTGTTTGATCTCCTTATATATTATTGTTATTAATCCTTTGTCAGATGATTCCTTTGCAAATATTTTCTTCCATTCTGTAGGTTGTCTCTCCACTTGGTTGATTGTTGCCTTTACTGTGCAGAAGCTTTTAACTTAATGTGATCCCATTTGTCCACATTTACTTTTGTTGTCTGTGCTTGTATTGCTCAAAAAATCTTTGCCCAGAGCAATATCCTGGAGATTTTCCCCAAAGTTTCCTTGTAGTAGTTTCATAGTGTGAGTCTTACATTTAAGTCTTTAATCCATTTTGATTTGATTTTTGTATACAGCAAGAGATAGGGGTCTAGTTTCATTCTTCTGCATATGGATATCCAGTTTTCCCTACACCATTTATTGAAGAGACTGTCCTTTCCCCAATGTTGTTCTTGGTGACTTTGTTGAAAATGAGTTCACTTTAGATGTATGGATTTGTTTCTAGGTTCTCTATTCTGTTCCACTGATCTGTGTGTCTGCATTTATGCCAGTACCATGCTGTTTTGGTTACTATAGCTTTGTATTATAATTTGAAGTCCAGTAATGCAATTCCTCCACTTTTGCTTTTTGTGCTCAGTATAGCTTTGGGTATTCTGTGACTTTTGTGGTTCTACATAAATTTTAGGATTGTTTCTCTATTTCTGTGAAGAAAGTTATTGCTATTTTGACAGGGATTGCATTGAATCTGTAAAGTGCTTTGGGTAGTATGGACATTTTAATATTGATTCTTCCAATCTATATATATGGAATATCTTTCTTTTTTGTTTCTAATTCAATTTCTTGCATCAATTTTTATAGTTTTCATTGTAGAGATCTTTCACTTCTTTGGTTAAGTTAATTTCTAGGTATTCAATTTTATTTTTAGGAATCATAAATGGGATTACTTTCCTGATTTCCTTTCCAAATTTTTGCTGTTGGAATATAGAAATGCTACTGATTTTTTAATGTTGATTTTGTATTCTACAACTTTACTGAATCTGTTGATCAGTTCTAAGCTTTTTGGTGGAGTCTTTAGGTTTTTCCTAATATAAGAACATATCATCTGAAAGCTAGCATAATATGACTTCTAACTTTCCAGTTTGGATGCCCCTAATTTCTTTCTCTTGTCTAATTGCTCTAGCTAGGACTCCCAGTACTATGTTGAATAACAGTGGTGAAAGTGAGCATCTTTGTTATGCTCCTGATCTTAGAGGAAAGGATTTTGGCTTTTCTGCATTCTGTATGACACTAGCTATGGGTCTGTCATATATAGTTTTTATTATATTGACGTATGTTCCTTGTATACTCAGTTTTTTAGGGCTTTTTATCACGAAAAGATGTTGAATTTTATCAAATGCTTTATCAGCCTCAATCGAAATGATCATACAGTGTTTGCCCTTCATTCTGCTGCTATTGTGTATCATATTGGTTGATTTGTGTATGTTAAACCATTATTGCATACCTGGGATAAATCCCATTTGGTCAAGATGAATGATCTTTGCAAGGTGTTGTTGAATTCAGTTAGCTAGTGTTTTGTTTAGGATTTTTGCATCAATATTTATGAAGGATATGGATTTGGAGCTTTCCTTTTTTGATTTGTCTGTATCTGGTTTTGGTATTGGGATAATATTGGTCTTGTAAAATGGGTTTAGAAGTATTCTCTCCTCCTCTATTTTTTGGAATATCTTGGGTAGGATTGGTGTTAGTTCTTCTTTAAATGTTTGGTAGAATTCATCAGTGAAGCAACTGGGTACCAGGCTTTTCTTTGCTGGGCAACTTTTTATTATGGCTTTGATCTTCTTACATATTATTGGTCTGTTCAGAATTTGGATTTCTTCACAGTTCAATATTGTTAAGTTGTGTTTGTCTACGAATTTATCCACTTCTTCTATATTTTCCAATGTACTGGCGTATAGTTGCTCATAGTAGCCACTAACGATCATTTGAATTTCTGTGGTATCTATCATAATGCCTCCTTTTTCATGTCTGATTTTATCTATTTGACTCTTCTCTCTCTTTTTCTTATTCTGGCTTAAGGGTTTTCCATTTTATTTATCTTTTCAAAATACAGACTATTTGTTTAATTAATTGATTGCATTGTTTTCTTTATTTCTATTTCATGTATTTCTGCTCTGATTTTTCTTATTTCTTTTCTTCTACTAATTTTGGGTTAGGTATACCCTTGTTTTTCTAGTTCTTTAAGATGCTTCATTACATTGTTAATTTAAATTTTTTATTCTTTTTTCACATATGCACTTATAGCTATAAACTTCCCTCTTAGTACTGCTTTCGCTGTATCCCATGGGTTTTGGTACATTGTGTTTCCATTATCATTTGTTTCAAGACATTTTTCAATTTCATTCTTAATCTCATCATTTACTCACTGATCATTCAGGACCATATGGTTTAATTTCCATGTATTTTTATAGTTTCCAAAATTATTCTTATTGATTTCTACTTTTATTCCACAGTGGTCAGAGAAGATGCTTGATATTAGTTCAATTTTTCAAAATGTTTTTAAGACTCATTTTGTGTCCTAACATATGGTCTATCCTTGAGAATAATCCATGTGCTGAGGAAAAAATATCCATTCTGCAGCCCTTGGATGAGGTGTCTACAAATATCTATTAGGTACATTTGGTGTATAATACAGATTAAGTCTGATCTTTCTGTGTGGATTTTCCATCTAGATTATCTGTCCAGTGCCGAAAGTGGAGTGTTGAAATCTCCATCTATTATTGTATTTGGGTCTATCTCTTTTTAACTCTGATAATATTTGCTTTGTATATCTGTGTGCTCCAGTGTTGGAAACACATATGTTTATAATTTCCATATCCTCTTACTGAACTGACTCCTTTATTATTATGTTGTGACCTTCTTTGCCTCTTCTTATAGTTTCTGTCTTGAAATCTCTTTTGTCTAAAATAAGTATAGCTACTCCTGCTTTTTTTTTGCTTTCCGTTGGCATGGGATACCTTTTTCCACCCCTTTATTTTCAGTCTATGTGTGCTTCTATAGGTGAAGTGTGTTTCTTGTGAGTGACAAACCATTGGTTCTTTTTTTTATCCATTCAGCCACTCTGTCTTTTGATTTGAGAGTTTTATCCATTTACATTCAATGTTATTATTGATAAGCAGGAAGCAGGGAATTTCTTCTGCCATTTTGTTATTTGTTTTCTGGTTGTTTTTGTGGTCTTGCTTTCTGTCTTGTCTTCCTTCCTGTCTTCCTTTTAGAGAAGGTAATTTTCTCTGGTATTGTAATTTAGTTTCTTTGTTTTTATTTTTATTTTTATTTTTTGTATATCTGTTGTAGGTTTTTTGATTTGAAGTTACCATGAGGCTTGCAAATACTATCTTGTAACCCATTATTTTAAACTAATTGCAACTTAACACTGATTGCATAAACAAACAAGCAAACAAGCAAAAAGAAAACCAATAAAAACTCTGTACTTCAAATTCTTTCCTCTATCTTTCAACTTTTTGTTATTTCTATCTTGTACTGTTTACATCTAGAAATGTTTCAGTTATTATATTTGATTGTTTCGTCTTTTAATCTTTCTTATTAAGATGAGAGTAGTTTACACACTACAATTATGACCTTATCATATTCTGTTTTTATGTGTACTTACTATTACCAGTAAGTTTAGTACCTTCAGATGATTTCTTATTGCTCATTAATGTCCTTTTATTTCTGGTCAAAATATCCCTTTTAGCGTTTTTTGTACGACAGGTCTGGTGTTGATAAAGTCCCTCAGCTTTTGTTTGCCTGGGAGTCTTATTTCTCCTTCATGTTTGAAGGATATTTTTGCCAGATATACTATTCTAGGGTAAAAGGTTTGTTTTTTTACAGCACTTTAAATATGTCATACCACTTTCTCCTAGCCTGTAAAGGACCTTCTTTGTCTCTTTTGAAAAAAGAAAAGTCTGCTGCCAGATGTATTGGAGCTCCATTTTATGTTACTTGCTTTTTTTCTCTTGCTGCTTTTAAGATACTTTCTTTATATTTGACCCTTGAGATTTTGATTATTAAATGCCTTGAGGTATTCTTTGGGTTAAATCTGTTTGGTGTTCTATAACCTTCTTGTACTTGAATGCTGATAATTTTCTCTAGGTTTGGGAAGCTCTCTTTTATTATCCCTTTTAATAAACTTTCCATCCCATCTCTCTTTATACCTACACTTTAAGGCCAATAACTCTTAGATTTGCCCCTTGGAGGCTATTTTTTACATCTTGAAGGTATGCTTCATTTTTAAAATTTTTTGTCCTTTGTCTCCTCTGACTGTGTATTTTCAAATAGCCTATCTTAAGCTTACTAATTCTTTCTTCTGCTTGGTCAATTCTGCTACTAAGACACTCTGATGCATTCTTCAGTGTGTCAGTTGCATTTTTCAACTCCAGAATTTCTACTTGATTCCTTTTAATTATTTCCATCTCTTTGTTAAATTTGTCTGATAGGATTCTGAA
This sequence comes from Homo sapiens, assembly GCF_000001405.40. NCBI lineage: Eukaryota > Metazoa > Chordata > Mammalia > Primates > Hominidae > Homo > Homo sapiens. The sequence continues at coordinate 139,353,845 of NC_000023.11, forward strand.
TTCGTTCTCTGTGTTATTTTGAATTTCTTTGAGTTTCTTCAAAATAACTATTTTGAAGTCCCTGTCTGAAAGGTTACATATCTCTGTCTCTCTGGGATTGGTCATTGGTGGCTTATTTATTTCATTAGTGAAGTAATGTTTACTTGGATATTCTTGATACTTGTGGATGTTCGTTGGTGTCTGGACATTGCAGAGTTATGTATTCATTGTAGTCTTAATAGTCTGGGGTTTATATCCATCCTTCTTGGGAAGGCTTTCCAGGTATTTGAAGAGACTTGAGCATTGCCATCTAAGCCATATCTCCATTAAGGGGCACTTCAAGCCCAGTAACCTTGTGATCCTTACAGAGTTGTGGAGGTATCACCTCAGTGATCTCGGGTAAGTTTTGGAAGGATTCTCTGTATTAGCAGGCAGAAACTCTTGTCCTCTTCCCTTATTTTTCCTAAATAAATGGAGTCTCTTCCTCTCTGCTGAGATGCCTGGAGCTGGGGGTAGGGTGACATCAGCACCCCTGTGGCCACCACCACTAAAACTGCACTGGACCATACCTGAAACCAACACAGCACTGGGTCTCACCCAAGGCCCACTGTAACCACTACCTTATTACCTCCTATGTTTGTTCAAGATTCTAGTACTCTACAATAAGCAGGTGGCAAAGTCAGCCAGGCTTTTTTCCTTCCATTCAGGGTGGTGAGTTCCCCCAAGCCCCAGGCAGGTCCAGAAATGACATTCAGAAGCCAGGGACTGGAGTCAAAAACCTTGGAGATCCACCTGGTGCTTCATTTAATTATGGCTAAGCTGGCAGTGAAATCAAGAGGCACAGTCCTTCCCACCCTTCCTTCTAATTTCCACAGGCAGAGAGGCTTCTCCCCATGGCCACCACCACCATAGGGCCATGGGGAGTAGTGTCAGGCTCCTGCTGATGTTTACTTAAGACCCAAAGCCTCTTAAGTCAGCCTGTGTTGAATGCTGCCAGGTTTGGGACTCACCCTTCATGGAAGTGGGCTCCTCTCTTCCCCAGGGAGCCAGAAATGCCATCCATGTGCCAAGGCCTGGAATCAGGGACCCCAAAAGCCTGCTTGGTGCTCTACCCCACTGTAGCTGAGCAGGTACCTAAGGTGCAAAACAAAGTCCCCTTTACTTTTCCCTTGACTTTTCTCAAGCAGAAGAAGTATCTCATTGTAGCCACCACATCTGGGAATGTGCTGGGTCTTGTTTGATGTCAACATATCTCGGAATCTCCCCCAAGGCCCATAGCAAGTACTGCCTGGCTACCATTGCTGATTATTCAGGGCCCAAGGGCTCTTTAGTCAGCAGGTGATGTATCCTGTCAGGATTTGGTCCTTCCCTTCAAGGCAGTGGGTTCTCTTTTGTCCCAGGGTTTGTGTAGAAATGTCATCCAGGAGCTAGGGCCTGGAATGGGGGCCTCGTGACTCTGACTGGTACCCTAGCCTTCTGTGGCTGAGCTGGTATCCAAGATGCAAGACAGATCCTTCCCACTCTTCCCTCTCCTTACCTAAAGCAGAAGGAAAAGGTCTTTTTTGGAGTCACAGCTGGGCAGCGTGGGGTTAGGGGAGGGGTGATGCCATCACTCCCTTAGCTGTCCCAATTGATGTCTCACTAGGTTGTGTGTGCCTCAGTTCCACTGACTCTGAATCCAACACTGCACCAGGTCTCACCTAGGAGTTGCAGTGTTTGTGGCCTAGACTGCCTTTCAAGTTTATTTAGGACCCTAGAGTGCTTTAGCCTGCAGTGGTGAGGCTTGCCAAAACTCAACTTCCAACTGCTGGGATGGGTGATTCCCCTCTGGCTAGAGCTGTTCTCAATGTTTCCTTCAAGAGCAGGAGTCTTGTGAGGGAGCTGAGTTCAGCCCGGCTTTGCTTTCCACTATGGCAGGGCAGCACTGAGTTCAATGCAAATCCCACAATCACTGTGCTTTTCTCCGGCAAGTGCACAGATTGTTTATCAGTGCCACACAGCTGCTGCCAAGGGATGCAGGATGGGTGGCATCAGTGATATAAGACTATCTTTCCTACCTGCTCCAATGCCTCTTTCAAAGATATGAAGATAAAGCCAGGTACTATGATTGCTCACCTTATTTTTAGTTTCTATTAAGGTGATTTTTTCGTGTGGATAGTTACTACATTTGGTCTTCCTGCTGGGTGGGGGATCAGTAGAGTCTTCTATTTGTCCACCTTGCACCTTGTAGCACCTTTCATGACCCAGTCTCCAAAGTTACATATCATCATTTCCACTTTTTTTATTCTTTAGAAGAAAGTCAGTAAGTCCAACCTGTACTCAAGGGACAGGCAATTAAACTCTACTTCTTGAAGGGAGGCATGTCAAAAAATTAATGACCATTTTAAAAATCCACTATAATGCAGAAATCAAAATTTTGAAGGTCACAATATTCCATTAGAAATTACATGCATAACCTTCAAAGCAATAGAGCAGAAAAGAGGTAACAAGAAAAAAAGATGACTCAAAAAATAGCATGAAATATGACAGGAGAAATAACTACACAATTTAATATATAGTAAATAGAAAATAAAGTGGTTGGAATGATTCCAAGCATATCATTAATCACAATACATTTTTAAAGGGTTATGTTCTCTAATTTATAAAAAGATTCTCAGACTAAATTTTTAAAAATTGAATGCAATTTTTTAAAGAAAGAAACCTAAAACAAAATGAACAAGACAGGTCAAAACAAAAAAAAAAAAAAGGAAAAAGAAAGGATACAGAGTATTTGAAGAACATGTAACAGAAATGATCTAATACTGATTTAGAGAAACTTTTACTCAAAGATAATCTACCTATGAAACAGTCTTAAAAATTAACTATGCTCTATTTCATACACACACACACACACACACACACACACACACACACGTGCTTGCATACACACATCTCAGGAAATTATAAAAGTACATGTCATTGAGGCAAAAATCTATTGATAATGCGATAAACTTAGGCATCAACCAGAAGATGCTGACTGTAAAACAGAACAAAACAAAAACTACAAACAAACAGAGATTCAAAAAACTATTAGAGGTAGTTTCTTAAATTAGACATTTGAAACTCTGGAATTAAAATTATTTCCTTCTTCTTGGGGTTTGCTTATTTTTGTTATTGCTGCTGGTTCTACTGTTTGTTTAGTTACTTTCCTGGACTAAGTCTGCAAATTCTGTACTCTGTCATGGGTGGCCACTGAAGTCTCTGATTGGTTAGCTTAGTTGTCAGCTAATAATTGGATAGAGTTTTCAATAAATGCCTTGAGCCATCTGCTACCTGCCCATTAGTCACTTAGTAACTATGTCGGTTCTTGGTTCAACTGCCATAATATCATAGTGCTTATGTTCAAGTAGTCCTTATTTTACTTCGTAATGACCCCAAAGTGCAAGAGGAGTGATACTAGCAATTCAGACATGTCAAAGAGAAGCCATAAAGTGCTTCCTTTAAGTTAAATGGTAAAAAATTTTTGACTTTATAAGGAAAGAAAAAATATATATGCTGAAGTTGCTAAGATGTACAGTAAGAATGAATCTTCTATCCATAAAATTGTGAAGAAAAAAATAAATTTATGCTAGTTTTGCTATTGTACCTCAAGCTGCAGATATTATAACCAAAGTAGATAAGTACTTAGCTAAGATGAAAAAGGCATTAAATTTGTGGGTGGAAGACATGAATAGAAACATGTTCCAATTGATGGCAACATATTGCACCAGAAAGCATTAAGCCTATATGAAAACTTCAGCAAGGGATCACCTGAAATGAGTGACATGAAGTCATTTGCTGCAAATAGGGGATGATTACACAGATTCAGGAATAGGTTTGGAATAAAAATGTAAAAATTACTGCAGAATCTACATCTGCTAATGAAGAAGCTACTGCCACATTTCCAGAAGAGTTGAAGAAGTTGATTAAGGAGAAAGGATACCATGAAAAGCAAGACTTCAATTGTGATAAAACTAGACTTTTCTGGGAAATCTCCAATAGAGCTTAAAAATTCATGAACATGCAAAGAAGGCACCAGGGTATAAACAAGGACAGATGAACTCTGGTACTAGTGGCAATGATGCAGGGCATATGCTAAAGCCAGGAGGAGTGTGCAGAGCAATGAACCCATGCACTTTCAAAAACAAAAATGAAAATTATCTGCCTATGTTCTGGCAACATAATCAGAAAATATAGGTGAGAGTCATGTTGTTTATGGAATAGCTCTACTAACGCTTCTTCCTAGAAGTAAGAAAATATTTGGAAGAATGGTTGGAATTTAAAGTTGTATTAATAATAGACAATGCACATGGCCATCTTGAATCTGTTTGCTATGACAATAAAAATGTCCACGTTGTATTTTTACCTGAAAATACAACCTCATTGCTTCAGCCCCTTGACCAAGGCATCACTTGATTTGTCAAGGCCACATATGCATGTCTGGTATTTAATAACATTCAACAAGAATTTGATGCCGACCTTAATCTGGACATAAAACAGTGCTGGAAATCATTCACTATTGCTGGTGCAATAACATTCATCAAAGCTGCAATTGATGAATTAAAACCAGAAACTATAATGCCTGCTGGAAAAATTTGTGAAGTCATGAATGATTTTAGTCTTCCCAAGGATCAATGGAGAAGTTAGAAAATTCATTCATGCAGCAAGACAAGTTGGTGGAGAAGTATTTGTTGACATGCTTGATGAAGAAACGGAAGAACATATTGAAGGCCAGTGAGAAGTGTTAACACAGAGGAACTAGAAAAACTTGTTGAGTCATCTACAGAGGAAGAGGAAGATGAAGAAACTGAAGCAGAACTGGATTACCGAAATTTGTTAAAGTGTTTCAAATTGCATAGACGTTAACAAATAAAATTATGAATGCAATCCTCTGGTAGAACAAAACATTTAAATCACCCACATGACAACAGAAACATTTTAACCTCCGCAACAACACTTTGATGAGTTAAATAGAAAGAGACAACCTCCCATTACAATGTTCTTCCAAACTGTTTCCGCACACACCCCAAAAAACCTTTGACTATCGAGCATCCCTGTGTTAGTCCGTTTTCATGCTGCTGTTAAAGACATACCCAAAACTTGGTAATTTACAAAGAAAAAGAGGTTTAATGGACTCACAGTTCCACGTGGCTGAGGTAGCCTCATCATCATGGTGGAAAGTGAGGGGCATGTTTTACATGGCGGCAGACAAGGGAGAAAATGAGAACCAAGCAAAAGAATTTCCCCTTATAAAACCATCAGATCTCGTGAGACTTATTCACTACCCATGGGAACAGTATGGGGGAAACCACCCCCATGATTCAATTAACTCCACTAGGTCCTTCCCACAATACATAGAAATTATGAGAGCTACAATTCAAGATGAAATTTGACTGGGGACACAGCCAAACCATATCAATCCCTAACCATCCACATCATCTATTCCTGGCATCCAACCATGGACATTATCATGGCTTGATGATCTAGGATCACCCAAGGTAGAAGATCCTCCTTCTGATGTATTGTCAGAAGGTCTGTATTAGCCTAGTGATACGTCACAATGCCTACATCATTCACCTCACATGATTCTCATCACATAGGCATTGTATCATCTCATATCATCACAAGAAGAAAGGTGAGTACAGTACAATAAGATATTTTGAGAGAGACCACATTTATGTAACTGCTATTACAGTATACTGTTATAAGTGTTATATTTAATTATTAGTTATTGTTGTTAATCTCTTGGTGTGCATAATTCATAAATTATACTCTATCATAGGTATGTATGCATAGGAAAAAACAGTGTATATAGGGTTTACTACTATCTGAGGTTTCAGGCATCCACTGGGGGCCTTAGAACATATCCCTCACAGATAAGGAAGATAATTGTTATGAAGAGCTGGAAGGGGGACGGGAATAGGCTAGTTAAAATATCACAAAGCTTATGGTTCTTACCATGATTTAAACATGTTTTAAAAATAAACACTCCTCAAATTACTGCAAGTCTTTTTTGGTTAATTTCTATAATTCTGAAAATTTAATTTGGGCAATTTTAGCTAGAGTTTTTATATATTTTATAAAGAAGTAGAATTTTGGAGGTTTTTACTGCACCATTCTGGAAGTGCTTCTCCTAGATTATTTCTGAGTTAAAGACAAATTTATAATGGAAATTATAGATAGTTTTAAAGCTAACAAAGAATTAAAAATTACATATCTACCTCTGTGGAATGCAGCCAACATTTATTCAGTATAGAATTTACACCACAGAGTGCATTAACTAGAAAAAATAAAGGCCAACAACAAATAAATTTCATTTATAATTCAGGAAACAATGAAAAGAATCAACATAAATAAAGCCAAATAAAGTTTAAGAAAGGAATTAAAGATATAACAAGGAAACCTTGAAATGTAACAAAACAATTCCTATGGAATTCAAAAGTCATTCAATATATTTTAATGAAGCCTTAATAAGTACTTTCAATGCTCTAGAGCAGAACTGTTCAATAGAGCTTTCTGTAGTGATGGAAAATCTGCACTATAATCTGCACTGTCTAATTTGGTAACCACCATTTACACTTGAGCCTACTGAGCACTTGAAATGCAACTGTGGAACTGAATTTTACATTTTATTTATATTTAATTAGTTAAATAAAAATAAATAAATAAATTTAAATATGTTTAATTGCTATCATATATTATACTATTAAATTAATATAATACAATATTAAATTATATAATGCAATTACATTTAATTAACATAAAATAATAAGCTATAGTAATTAAAATGTTATTAATTTAAATTAATTAAATACAAATAATTAAAAATAGTCACTCAGTCACATTGCTGAGTCCTGACTGATGACAGGGAGCCAGCCAAATAAAGAATGAAAAGAATGACATTCTGTGAGAGGACATAGCAATTGAAAAGGCTTTAAAGTAGCAACAAGAAAGGCCTTTTTAAAAAAGTGAACAAGAGCCAGTGTAGCTGGAGAGCCAGGAACCAGGGGGAAGAATAGCCAGAGATGGCATCAGAAAAGTAAGTGAGGATGAGTGCATGCAGTCCTAATACACCAAAGGAAGGTGCTCGAATTTTTTTCCCATTGCAATGGGAAACTACTAAAATTATAATTTTTATTTTAATATGATCAATCAAATGCAATATAGAAAATGAATTGGGTGTGGGTGAGAAAAACAGCAAGACCAATTCAGAGACGATAGCAATAACCTAGACCAGATATTATGATATTTTTGACTAAGGCTTTAGTGTTGAGGATGATACAAAGTGATTATATACAGAATATATTTTATTGGTAGAAGGAGCAGGACTTGCTGCTAAAGGTAAATTAAAAAAAAAAAACAAGGTTTTTTAAAAGACTAAAGGAAAATGAACAGACATTTGGCAATTTTGACTAAGAAAAAAATAGAGAAATCACAGCATTTAAATGAAAAAGAGAATATAACCACAGATACAGAAGAGATGTTTTAAGTATAAGTGTAAAGCATAATGATATGTACAATTTCAATCAAAACATTAAAACCTATATTAAGTGGATAATTAAAGCTATATAAATTGTCAAAAATAGAACACCCCAATAGACAATAAGCAACAAAATAAATTGAAATTTAGTCAAAATTTATATCCTTAATAGGTATAGGCACAAGGCCCAAATGGCTTTATGTGTGAGTTCTAATAATCTCCAAGGCATAAGTAGTGTCTAACTTGAACTGTTTGAAAGTATAAAAAGGTTATAAAACTAACCATTTATTTTACCAGAAAAATATATCACAGGAAAGGAAAAGTGAAGCAAATTTCACAAATGAAAACAGATGCAAAAGTTCTAAATAAAGTGTTAGGAAATCAATCCACCACTGTGTCAAAAAAATAACATATGACCAAGTAAGTTTCATTCTAGACATACTAACATGGTAACACACTGGAAATTCTATCATTATAATTCTTCATATTATCAGATTAAAAGGAAAAGATTATCTCAAGAAGAATTTTAATTGGTAACATTTAGTATTCATTTATGATTATAAAAATCCTCTTCTCATTTCAAGAGTAGAAAAAAGCATATTAATTTAATAAAGGGTATCTCACAAAACCATACTGTAGGATAACTGCTTCAGACCATTTTTGATTGACTTGTAGCAGACCAAACCTATTGCCAAGAAGAACTTAAAAAGTTGGATGAAGAGTGGAGTGGCTGTCAGAGATGCCTGATGTTTTGGCCTAAGGACCAGTCAGTGAGGCAATGGAGCAAGCAAGGGATCACTTACACCTGAGATGGACTACAGAACAGCACATGCCCGAGGTGGAAGTTCAAGTCAAATACAGAACAGCTGCACTGAGCAACCAAGAGTGTCAATTGTACCTGAGGCATTCTCAGCAGCAGCAAGTGCTTGTGGTGGATTTCCAGGCCAAACTGAGACAGGTATTCATAACTGAGACACCAAGATGTGGTAAAAAGCCGTACTGGAACAATGAGGAAGCTGAATCCAAGCAAAATCCAGGCTCCATCTACTGTTTGCTTCTGCTTATTCGGGGAGGAATGAGTGATAGCCTAATAAAAAGAGAAATTAGCAACTTTGAAATCGTAAGTAAGAATAAAAAGAATTGAGGCCTTCATCATGTTTTTATTTTTGCTGCTGTGGAAGCTGTATCTTTAGGTAAATACATAATATAAACATTTCTGGATACAGAGTTGGTGTTCAGAGAAAAATATTTCATTTTCTAGAAGAATATTTATGTTGCCAAACATAAGGACAAGGGAAACGGTCCATCAGAGGACTTCATTGCCCATGTGACCTATTTTTACCTCTCTTCTCCCAAACAAAGGCAAAATATGGGAGGCCAAGGCGCGCGGATCACCTGAGGTCGGGAGTTCGAGATCAGCCTGACCAACATGGAGAAACCCCATCTCTACTGAAAATACAAAATATTAGCCAGGCATGGTGGTGCATGCCTGTAATTCCAGCTACTTGGGAGGCTGAGGCAGGAGAATTGCTTGAACTAGGGAGGCGGAGGTTGCAGTGAGCCGAAATTGTGCCACTGTACTCCAGCCTGGGCAACAAGAGTGAAACTCTGTCTCAAAAAAAAAAAAAAAAAGAAAAGAAAAGAAAAAAGAAAAATCCAAAGTGGAATTGGATAGGAATAGTAAATCAAGGAACTCTCACAGAAATCATAACAAAAAGTCAAGACATAGAAAATCTAAGATAATTTCTTTTTAAAATTTTCCTACTCGATTGACACCAAATGACCACAATATAAAACAAAATGGAATTTACCTCAGAAACTCAAATCCCATCTGAGCATACTTCAATACTTGGTTGTGTTCCTAGGTCAGTGACAAAATAAAGATCATCAGGAATAACTCTGGACTTCATGCTTCTCTGTGCAAATATTTCTCTTACACCCTGTTGCCTTCCCCATTGATGATTCCTCCCTTTTCCCCTTTTATATCTTCTGCCTCACTTTCCATGTTGACCCTTCCTACTCATAAATATCGAAATGCTTAAATCATTCCTAATTTTAAAAACTCATTCCATAACCCCCAAATACCATTGCATTTTTTTCCTTCACAACTAATCTTCCTGAAAGAATTATCCACATACAGAATCCTTTATCTTCCACTACTGAATTCACGGCAATCTGCCTTCTGACTCGCCACTTAGAGGTAACTGTTCTCACCAAAGCCATCAATGTCCTTCTAGTTTCTAAGTTCAAGAGATAATTTTCAGTCACTCATACTTGACCTGGTTGCATCGTTTGTCACTGTTGACCAACTTCTCCTTTCTAGACTTGGTTTCTGATATACCACTCTCTATTTGTGTGTTTCCTTTCTCTCCCTCTCTGGCTCTTTCTCAGCTCTTTTTCTAGTTTCTCATCTTTTAAAGGATCCTAAATATTAATGTTTCCCAGGTTTCTATCTTCAGCACTCCCTTCTTCTCAATCTACCAATATTTTTCAGGTAATCTTATCCACTCTTATGTCTTTAAATTGACGATTTCTAAATCAATTTAGAAATTGGCCCATACCACCCATACCACCTTTGGGGATACACATCTCATTCATTCATTCAAACTAATTCATACAACATTATTTTAGGCGCTGAGGATCCAGCAGTGAACAAAACAATTCTTCCCTGTAGAGCTCACATTCTAGTGGGGAAAATGTACAGTAAACAATCAAATATGCAATGCGCCAGATAGTGATAAGTTCTATAGAGAAAACTTAAGCAGTAATTGGGGAGATAAAGTTGTTCTTTGGAGGGTCCAATCTAAAATAAAGTGGTCAGAGGATAGTAGGCTCATAGAGAGGATGTACATATGAGCATAGGCCTGAAGGAGTTGAGGGAGTGACTCAGGCAGATATCTAGGGAATGAGTGCTATAGGCAGAGGAATAAACAAGGGCAAGAGTCATGAAATGAGACTATGCCTGTTGTGTTTGAAGACCATTAAGGAGGACAATGTGACTGTAATGCAGTGAAAAGGGCAGTAGCAGTATGAGATGAGAACATAAAAGTAACAACTAGCTTAGAATAAGACAATATCAATTTCTGGTTTCATGGAGCTTACAGCCTCATCTATCCAAATTCCTACTGGACATCTCTATTTTGGATGTCCCACAGACACATCAAATTAAACATGCCAAAAACAATTCAGGCCCCCTTCCATCACATTTCTTCCCCTTTCTATGTTTCCCTCTTGGGGTGAACAACATCATCATCCAATTGGTTTCTCAAATTCAGAAGTCATCTGAGATCCTTCATACTCCCCCTTGCGTATAATCAATCACCCAAGTTGTCAATTTGCCAACTGTATCGGTGAGACTCTAGTCAAGAAACAGATACCACTCCAGAAATTGCAAACATAGGGAATTTAAGAAGGTAATTGGCTTAATATGTGATTAAATTGCTGGGAAGCCCAACAGCAGCCATAAGGTAACCCAGAGATTAGCTACTACCTGCCTACCAGGGACTGGAGACAACAAATGTAGTTAGTGTTATCAGATCCCTGAAATTGTAGCTGCCCAGTGGTAGCTAAAACTATCGTGGGGATTCCTGGTAGAAGCTGAGCTCATATAGGCAGGGGCTATCAGGAACAACAGAGGGGGCACAACCACTGTGGAACATGCTTCCCAAAGTAGAGCAAAAAAAGGAGCAATACCTGGACTTTTCCCTTCAGTTTCTACCATTCATTCTCTATACTGCTCAGATTTCTAACATGTATATAATGTCATTATCCTGCTCAGTATCCTTCACTATTTCCCAATCACCTATGGGCAAAATCTAAATTATTTTGCGTGGTATATGTGCTAGTTTTCTATTGTCATATAACAAATTGCCACAGACATAACACTTTAAAACAACACAAATTTATAATCTCAGCGTTTTCGTGGGACAGTCCAGGTACAGGTTAACTGAGTCCTCTTCTCTGGGTCTCAACAGGCTGAAATTAAGGTGTGGCCCAGGGCTACAATTCTCACAGAAGGCTCGGGGTCCTCTTCCACACTCATTCAAGTTGTTGGAAGTATTCATCTTCTTGCATTTGTAAGGTTGAGGGTCCCATTTTATTGCTGTTTGCTGGAGACCATCCTCAGCATCTAGAGACCACAGCTAGTTCCTTGCCACATGCTTCCCAAAGGCAGTTCACAACATGGCTATTTGCTATCTTGCTAGCCAGGAGGAGTACATCTCTGACTTTTTAATACCCATTTAAGAGCTCATACAGTATCATCTCCCTTTTTATGAACTCTAAGTCAATTGATTAGTAACCTAAACACTGAAGTGATATCCTATTATATTCACAGCAAAATCAGTGTAGTTAACACTGGGAATTTGGGGGCCTCTTAGATTTCTGTATCCCTTAGTGGATAGGTCTCTAGCTTCAACTCTGATAACTACTCTCTCACTCTTTTACAATTTCATTCTAGAATTACAGAACTATGTATAGATTCTGGAATATGAATTTCTATACTTCTATACATGCTGTATCTCTCTACTTAGACTACTCTTTCTTCTATTTGTCTACCTGGTAAACTTCTCTTCATCCTTTAAGTGTCAGCTTAAATGCTACTTCCACAATGACACCTTTGTTGACTCCCAGGTAGACTTAAGTGTTCCTTATCCTCTGTTTTTATTGTATTTTGTATATGTCTCTTTAAAATTACTCTCTCCTGGACTAAGTTTCTCAAGGGCAGGTGCCCTATCTTTTTGGCTGTATCTCCACATCTAGTATAGTGCCAAGTATGAGTAAAAACTCTGTCAATGGTGGTTAGGTAAATGAATACATTAATGAATAGCTGAGGAATTATAAGAAATCTGGTATGGGGAGGAGAGGTTGAAAATAAGGTTGTAGAGATTGTTAGAAGCTGCTTTGTGGAGGGTTTTGTATGCCATACCAAAGAATTTGGACTTTATCCTAAAAGCAATAGGGACATCAGCAGGTTTTTAAGCAGGTAATAAAAATATGAGATTTGTGGTTTTAGTAATTTTACTCTGAAAGTTGTAGACCAGTGTTTCTCATAGTGTATTCCTTGGTACACCTCCATCAGAATCAGTGGTGTTTGGATAATGCAGATCACCAGTCAAACTCCTGACCTATTGCATCAGTGAGTGTCAAAGGGTAGAGTCCAGGAATCTGTATTTTAACATACCTTCTCCTCCAGAACTCTTATGTTCCATAAAGCATGAGAATCATTGCAATACAGATGAATTTGGGCACTCACTGTATGTGTGTAAACCTGGACAAGTTTCTTCACTTCTCTCTGCCTCAGTTTCCTCATCTGTAATATGTCAACAATAATGGCACTTATGGAATGGTTATAAAAATTAAGCAAGGTAATGAATATAAAGCTCTTAGAAAATACTCAGCATACAGGAAGAACTCTATGGTAACTATTATTATCATTATTTCCAGAAAGAGTGAGAGTGGGAACAAAAGAATCTTTTGCACCAATTTGTGTCAGTGATGATAAGGACATGACTTAAGGCACTGGCAATCGGAATAGAAAGAAGGGTATTAAAGGACATTTTGGAGGGATTATCCACAAGGCTTTTTCATTGTATAGGAATGGGGAGAGCAAGAATTTGGAGTTGAAATTACAGGGAATGAGGGGGAATCTTAAGTTTTGGAAGGAAAATCCTAAATTCATTTTGGAATATGGTGAATCTGAGATGCCTGCAAGTCTTCTAAGTGAAGCTATCCTGATAGATTGGCAATACCCTGGAGAGGAGAGGAATATATTGTGAAAAAAAACATCAAACACATGGTTATCAGGACTTGCTCAGTCAAAACATAGCCGTTTTCTCAAGTCACTCACCAGTCAGTCACCCAGCTCTATTAGGAGTTCTTCTGCAAGTCAGACATCAGAGTGGATGTAGGGGGTTGGCATCTTACCTTAACTCTTGGGGCCTACCTAGAGACTAGCTTCAGTTAAAAACCAACTCATAAGAAATGCTCTTCTAGAACCACATGTTGTGAGGTTGAATTAAACCAAGATCAGAAGTTTTTATCTACATTTGCAAAGGTCTCTGGAATAAGTCTGAAGTGTTACTAGGTGGAGTATGGTAGCCATTCAAGATGAAACATAACTGTGACCACTTAACAAAACCAAGGTGGTGGAGGGGTACTGCAAACGAATGCTGTTCAGCCCTTGATGTCTGTGGAAGAGGGAGTCACAGGTCCAGGGTGTGTGTTTGCTTGTTTTCCCAGCTTTATTAAGGTATACTTGACAAATAGAACAATTAAATATTTATGGTGTACAACAGCATATTTTGAGATACACATTCTTTGTGAAATGCTTAAATCAAGCTAATTAACATATCCATTACCTCACATTCTTGTAATTTTCTTTGGGTTGAGAACATTTAAGATCTGTCTTAGCAATTTTCAAGCATACATTATTAATGACTATATTCACCAAGCTATACCACAGATCTCCAGAACTAATTCCTCCTATCTAACTGAAACTTAGTACCCTTTGACTAACGTCTGTCTCCCTATCCTTGTCTCCCAACCCCTGCCAACAATTATTCTATTCTCTGCTTCTGTGAATTTAACCTTTATAAGATTCCACATATAAGTGAGGTCATGCAGTATTTTTCTCTTTATTCCTTTATTTATTTCATTTAACATAATGTCTTCTTGTCACAAATGCCTGCTTTTTTAAGGCTGAATAGTATTCCATTGTGCATATATAACACATTTTCTTTATTCGTTTATCTGTTGATGGATGCTTAGGGTGATTCCATGTCTTGGCTATTGTAAATAGTGCTGCAATGAACATGGGAGTGCAGATGTCCATTTCACATGCTGATTTCATTTCCTATGGATATATACCCAGAAGTGGTATTGCTGGATGATATAATAGTTCTATTTTTTAACTTTTGAGGAAACTTCATACTGTTTTCCATAATGGCTGTAATTTCCATAATTTACATTATTCCCAAGAGTGTACCAGGGTTCTCTTTTCTCCACATCCTCAACAACACATATCTTTTATCTTTTTGATAATAGCCATTTTTAACAGGTGTGAGGTGATAGCTCATTGTGGTTTTAATTTGCGTTTTCCTGATGATCAGTGATGATGAACATTTTTTAATATACCTGTTGGCCAGTTGTATGTCTTCTTTTGAATAATTTCTATTCAGGTCTTCTGCCCATTTTTAAAAATTGGGTCATTTTCTTGCTGTACAGTTGTTTCAAAAGCTGTTAGAGCAAGACAGCTGCTTGTCAACTCCCTCCTAGGATGTGAAACAGGATGTAAGAATAAAAATGAAGGGATAAACAGATAATTTTTTAAAATGGAGTCAAGATCTCATTCTTGTTGCCCAGGTTGGAATGGGGTGGTGTGATCATGGCTCACTGAAACCTCAAACTCCACAGATAGGTTTTATGGTAAAAATGTTGCTGTGGGGGTATTGATTTATCAGACATCTCTCATCAGTGTAAAAAAAAAAAATGAACATTTTCAAAATCACATTGGCCCTGGGTAATCTAAGTGTGACCTACTCCTTTGCTGTTTACAGACTCTTTTGTTTGTGCAGTCTTTCCTCTGTATGTGGCTAAGGCTTACATTTAGCTCAAAAGGTCTCAGAGAATTTATGTATTAATTAATTGTACTGAAGACCTGTTCCCTAGCTGTTTCTCGTTTAGTCAAAATGTATCAAGTCTTTTCAGAAATTCTGATACTCTCTGAATTAGGCCCAGCTGATTTATATTATCTGACATCAGTTCCTCTCTTTTCTGCTGGTAGGCTATAGAAAATATTCGCCACCTACTGCTGTCAATATTATTGATATTTATAACCAAGCATTAGAAGGATTCTAACTGTAAAATTATATATGCCTGTTTTCATGCACCTATTTGCAATGTAATCAATGAGACAGTATAAATGACAAAACACAAGCACAAAGAATTTGCTTCCTCCATAAAGTTTGGCATCAAAATACAGGGCCCTAGGAACCATATTTTTGAAAAACTACCATTGGCTGTTGCCTGGAGTCTGGGGGTTTGTAGTGTCAGAGTGATGGGAATTATTTTTTGATGAAAATTTCTTCCTCCAATTTTAACCACCCAATGGGTCCTTCTTGCCCATTGCCCTGGTAGACCTGATTTATCAAGACAGGAAAACTGCAATAAAGAGCTTTACACACATAGAGTTGGCTAAACAGAATACCACAGTTATATTACTACTCAAATCAGCCTTCTTGAAAATTTAGAGGCTAGGGTTTTTCAAAGATAGTTTGGCAGGGAGAGGAGTGGCTAGGGAATAGATGCTGCTGATTGATTGGGGATGCAATCACAGCAGTGTGGAAAGTGGTCCTCCTTCTCTCAGTTCACTTCTGGGTGGGGGCTACAGGACTGGTTGGCAGGTCCAGGTGAAGCCATCCTATCATTAGAAATGCAAAAGCCTGAAAAAACATCACAAAAGGCCAATCTTAGGCTCCAGAATAGTGATGTTATCTACAGGAGTAATTGAGGAAGTCACAAATCTTCTGACTTCCAGGATAATGGCTGTTTATCATTTATGTCTGCATATTAACAGAATTCAGGCTCCTCTCAGTCTCCTAACCTGGTGGTCTTTCAATTAGTTTTACAAAGGTGGTTTAGTTTTAGAGAATGGCTAATATGATTTAAACTATAAAGTAAATTTCTCCCAAAGTTAGCTTGGCTCAAGCCCGGGCATCACTAAGTGCAGGTTGGAGGTTAAAGGTAAGATGGGGGTTGGTTAGATCAGGTCTCTTTCACTGTCATAATTTTCTCATTGTTATAATTTTTGCAAAGGCAGTTTCACAAAGACACCAGTAAACTCGTTTGCACCCTGTAAGATATTTCTTATAGAATCCTTTACTTCATGTAGTAATTATGATAGCATTGAAGATAAAAATTCATATTGTAACGCACTAAAGTTTATATTTTACCTAAGATATTCTATGTGTTTTAAAATATAAATTAACACAAGTAGTACATGCACGTGGTTTAAGAAAATCAAGTGCCACAAAAGGGCATATTTTTTAAAGTGAGTCTTCTCCCACTTGCGACTTTCCAAAGGTCACTACTTCAATAATTTCTTATGTTTCCTTCCAGCAATTTCCCATGCCAATATACAACTATGTAGATATGCATCCATTCAAATAATAAATGAGAACATACTGTACAAATTATCCTGCATCTTGTTTTACCAAAGTCAAATTTCCTCATCTGTTCTCTAGACTTCTGTAGTAACATGTTTAATTGAAACTTTCATTGAGATAACTAAAGATTCACGTGCAGTTCAGAAATAATACAGAAGTTCACTTGCTCACTTTTCCCACTTTACCTGAGTGGTAACATTATGGAAAACTATAGTATAATATCAGAATCAGGATACTAATGATACCATCCACCAACATTATTCAGGTTTCCCCACTTTTACTGGTACTCATTAGTGTGCACTTAGTTCTATACTTTTTTTTTTCTCTCATGCAGGTTTATGTATCCACCACGAACTCAAAACACTGAACAGTTCCAACAACACAAATATCTTTCCTGTTGCCCTTTTATAACCACATATATCAACCTCTGGGTGTTCTCTCCCCCAACCCTGACCCCTGGCAACCACTAATCTGTCCTCCATTTCTAAAATTCTGTCACTTCAAAAATGTTATATAAATTGAATCATATATTGTTTAACCTTTTGGTATTGGCTTTTTCCAATCAGCAAAATTTCCTGGGGATTTCTCCAAGTTCTTGGTCTATCAATAGTTTGTTTCTTTTTATTTCTGAGTAGTAGCATTCCATGAAATGAATGTATCACAGGTTTTTTGTTTTTGTTTTTGTTTTTAACCATTCATTTGTTGAAGGACATCTGGACTCTTTCCAGTTTGGGGCTACTAAGAATAAAACTGCTATGAACATTTGTGTACAGGATTTTGTGTGAATATAAATTTCCATTTCTTTGGGATAAACACCCAATAGGATGCTACTTGTGTCATTTGGTAACTGCATGTTTAGTTTTGTAAGACTGTGAAACTGTTTCCAGAGTGGCTGTACCATTTTACATTCCTACAGCAATTTATGAATGATCCAATTTTTTCTGAATCCTCACCAACATTTGGTGTGGTCACTGTATTGTATTTTAGCCATTCCAATAGATGTGTAGTAATATTTTCTTGTGGTTTCAATTTGCACCTCCGTGATGACTAATGATGTTGAACATCTCATGTACATATTTCCCATCTCTATACCCACTTTGGTGAAACGTCACTTATTATGTCTCTTGATCATTTTATAATTGAATTGCTTTTGTTTTTACTGCTGAGTCTTGAGCGACCTTTATATTTTTTATACTCAAAAACATATATCAGATGTATTGTTTGCAAATATTTTCTCCAAGTCTGTTGTTTATCTTTCATCCTTTTCACATGGAATTTCAAAGAACAAAAGCTTTTAATTGTGTTTAGGTTCATTTTTCTATTTTTCCTTTTATGGATGATACTTTTGGTGCCAAATCTAAGAACTCTTTGCCTAGTCCTAGATTCCAAAGATTGCCTCAAGTTTTTTTCTAAAAGCTTCATGGTTTCATGTTTTACAGTTAAGCCTCTGATCCATTTTGAGTTAATTTTTGTATGAAGTATGAGGTTCAGAAGAATTCTTAATTTTTTGGCCTATGGATATGCAATTGCTCCAGCACTATTTGCTGAGAAGGCCATCTCTCCTCTATTGAATTGCTTTTGTACATTTGTCAAAAATAGTTGAGCATATTTGTCATATTTGTGAAGGTCTACTTCTAGATTCTTTTTCTTTTTTTGAGACGGAGTCTCGCTCTGTCGTCCAGACTGGAATAGATTCTTTATATTATTTGATTGACCAATCTGTCTATCCCTCTACTGATACCACATTGTCTTGATTATTGTAGCTATATAGTAAGACTTGTTAGGTAGAGTGATTCCTCCCACTTTGTTTGGTCAAGATTATTTTATTTATCCTAGGGCCTATGCCTTCCTATATAAATCAAAAATGCAAAGAAAACCCATTTGCTGAGATTTATATTAAACATACAGATTAATTTGGAGAGAATTGACATCTTTATTATGTTGGGTCTTTCAATCAATGAATGTGGTCTATGTCTCCATTTATTTGGGTCATTTTGGATTTCTTTCATCAGCACTTTGTAATTTTCAGCATACAGATAAAATACATGTTTTGGCACATGTATTCCTGATTTTGTTACATTTGGAGTGATTATATATTGCACTGTTTTAATTGCTATTTCCACAGGTTCATTGTTAATATATAGAAATGCGATTGATTTTTGTGTCTTGCTCTTATATCTGCAACCTTACTGAATTCACTTATTAATTCCAGGAGATTTTTGTAGACTCCTTGGATTTTCTATATGTGCAACAATATCATTTGCAAATAGAGATTTATTTCTTCCTAATACATATAAAATTATTTTTTTGCTTTAACACAGGTATTAAACTTATAGTACTATGTTTAATAAGTGTACTGAGGGCAGATATCCTTGCTGATATTAGAAGGAAATCATTCTGTCATCATTTAGAATAATGTTAGCTTTTTTCTTTTAAATTTAAGTTCCTTGTACATTCTGGATATCAGCCCTTTGTCAGATGGATAGATTGCAAAAATGTTCTCCCATTTTGTAGGTTGCCTGTTCACTCTGATGATAGTTTTTTTTGCTGTGCAGAAGCTCCTTAGTTTAATTAGATCCCATTTGTCAATTTTGGCTTTTGTTGACATTGCTTTTGGTGTTTTAGACATGAAGTCTTTGCCCATGCCTATGTCCTGAATGGTATTGCCTTTGTTTTCTTTTAGAGCTTTTATGGTGTTAGGTCTTATGTTTAAGTCTTTTTTTTTTTTAATACTTTAAGTTTTAGGGTACATGTGCACAATGTGCAGGTTAGTTACATATGTATACATGTGCCATGTTGGTGTGCTGCACCCATCAACTCGTCATTTAACATTAGGTATATCTCCTAATGCTATCCCTCCCCCCTCCCCCCACCCCACAACAGGCCCTGGTGTGTGATGTTCCCCTTCCTGTGTCCATGTGTTCTCATTGTTCAATTCCCACCTATGAGTGAGAACATGCGGTGTTTGGTTTTTTTGTCCTTGCGATAGTTTGCTGAGAATGATGGTTTCCAGCTTCATCCATGTCCCTACAAAGGACATGAATTCATCATTTTTTATACAAACATTTTTACACTGTTGGTGGGACTGTAAACTAGTTCAACTATTGTGAAAGTCAGTGTGGCGATTCTTCAGGGATCTTGAACTAGAAATACCATTGGACCCAGAAATTCCATTACTGGGTATATACCCAAAGGATTATAAATCATGCTGCTATAAAGACACATGCACACGTATGTTTATTGCAGCACTATTCACAATAGCAAAGACTTGGAACCAAGCTAAATGTCCAGCAATGATAGACTGGATTAAGAAAATGTGGCACATATACACCATGGAATACTATGCAGCCATAAAAAATGTTTAAGTCTTTAATCCATCTTGAGTTAATTTTTGTATAAGGTGTAAGGAAGGGGTCCAGTTTCAGTTTTCTGCATATGGTTAGCCAGTTTTCCCAACATCATTTATTAAATAGGGAATCTTTTCCCCATTGCTTGTCTTTGTCAGGTTTGTCAAAGATCAGATGGTTGTAGATGTGTGGTGTTATTTCTGAGACCTCTGTTCTGTTCCATTGGTCTATATATCTATTTTGGTACCAGTACCATGCTGTTTTGGTTACTCTAGCCTTGTAGTATAGCTTGAAGTCAGAAAGCGCGCTGCCTCCCACTTTGTTCTTTTTGCTTAGGACTGTCTTGGATATACGAGCTATTTTTTGGTTCCATATATAATTTGAAGTATTTTTTCTAATTCTCTGAAGAAAGTCAATGGTAGCTTGATGGGAATAGCATTAAATCTATAAATTACTTTGGGCAGTATGGCCGTTTTCACGATATTGATTCTTCCTATCCATGAGCATGGAATGTTTTTCCATTTGTTTGTGTCCTCTTTTATTTCGTTGAGCAGTGGTTTGTAGTTCTCCTTGAAGAGGTCCTTCACATCCCTTATAAGCTGGATTCCTAGGTATTTTATTCTCTTTGTAGCAATTGTGAATGGGAGTTCACTCATGATTTGGCTGTCTGTTTGTCTATTACTGGTGTATAGGAATGCTTATTTTCGCACATTGATTTTGTATCCTGAGACTTCACTGAAGTTGCTTATCAGCTTAAAGAGTTTTTGGGGTGAGATGATGAAGTTTTCTAAATATACAATCATGTCATCTGCAAACAGAGATAACTTGACTTCTTCTCTTCCTATTTGAATACCTTTATTTCTTTCTCTTGCCTGATTGCCCTGGCCAGAACTCCAACACTATGTTGAATAGGAGTGGTGAGAGAGGGCATCCTTATCTTGTGCTGGTTTTCAAAGGGAATGCTTCCAGTTTTTGCCCATTCAGTATGATATTGACTGTGGGTCTCTCATAAATAGCTCTTATTATTTTGAGATACGTTCCATCAATACCTAGTTTATTGAGTCTTTTTAGCATGAAGGGGTGTTGAATTCTATTGAAGGTCTTTTCTGCATCTATTGAGATAATCATGTGGTTATGGTCATTGATTCTGTTTATGTGATGGATTATGTTTATTGATTTGCATATGTTGAACCAGCCTTGCATCCCAGGGATGAAGCCAACTTGATTGTGGTGGATAAGTGTTTTAATGTGCTGCTGGATTCGGTTTGCCAGTATTTTATTGAGGATTTTTGCATCGATGTTCATCAGGGATATTGGCCTGACATTTTCGTTTTTTGTTGTGTCTCTGCCAGGTTTTGGTATCAGGATGATGCTGGCCTCATAAAATGAGTTAGGGAGGAGTTCCTCTTTTTCTATTGTTTGTAATAATTTTAGAAGGAATGGTACCAGCTCCTCTTTGTACCTCCGGTAGAATTCGGCTGTGAATCCGTCTGGTCCTGGGCTGTTTTTGGTTGGTAGACTATTAATTACTGCCTCAACTTCAGAACTTGTTATTGGTCTATTCAGGGATTCAATTTCTCCCTGGTTTAGTCTTGGGAGGGTGTATGTGTCCAGGAATTTATCCATTTCTTCTAGATTTTCTAGTTTATTTGCATAGAGGTATTTATACTATTCTCTGATGGTAGTTCGTATTTCTGTGGAATCAGTGGTAATATCCCCTTTATCATTTTTTATTTTGTCTATTTGATTCTTCTCTCTTCTTTATTAGTCTGGCTAGCGTTCTACCTATTTTGTTAATCTTTTCAAAAAAAAAAAAAAGCTCCTGGATTCATTGATTTTTTGAAGGGTTTTCATGTCTCTATCTCCTTCAGTTCTGCTCTGATCTTAGTTATTTCTTGTCTTCTGCTAGCTTTTGAATTTGTTTGCTCTTGCTTCTCTAGTTCTTTTAGTTGTGATGTTAAGGTGTCGATTTTAGATCTTTCTTGCTTTCTCTTGTGGGCATTTAGTGCTTTAAATTTCCCTCTAAACACCGCTTTAGCTGTGTCCCAAAGATTCTTGTACGTTGTGTTTTTGTTCTCATTGGTTTCAAAGAACTTATTTATTTTTGCCTTAATTCTGTTATTTACTCAGTAGTCATTCCAGAACAGGTTATTCAGTTTCCATGTAGTTGTGCAGTTTTGAGTGAGTTTCTTAGTCCTGAGTTCTAATTTGATTGTACTGTGGTCTGAGAGACGGTTTGTTATGATTTCCATTCTTCTGCATTTGCTGAGGAGTCTTTGACTTCCAATTATGTGGTCAATTTTAGAATAAGTGCGATATGGTGCTGAGAAGAACATATGTTCTGTTGATTTGGGGTGGAGAGTTCTGTCGATGTCTATTAGGTCCACTTGGTCCAGAGCCGAGTTCACGTCCTGAATATCCTTGTTAATTTTCTGTCTTGTTGATCTGGCGAAGGATATGAACAGACACTTTTCAAAAGAAGACATTTATGTGGCCAACAAACATATGAAAAAAAGCTCATCATCACTGGTCATTAGAAAAATGCAAATCAAAACCACAGTGAGATACCATCTCACGCCAGTTAGAATGGCAATCATTAAAAAATCAGGAAACGACAGATGCTGGAGAGGATGTGGAGAAATAGGAACGCTTTTACACTGTTGGTGGGAGTGTAAATTAGTTCAACCATTGTGGAAGAGACAGTGTGGCGATTCCTCAAGGATCTAGAACCAGAAATACCATTTGACCCAGCAATCCCACTACTGGGGATATACCCAAAGGATTATAAATCATTCTGCTATAAAGACACATGCACACGTATGTTTATTGTGGCACTGTTCACAACAGCAAAGACTTGGAACCAACCCAAATGTACATCAATGATAGACTGGATAAAGAAAATATGGCACATATACACCATGGAATACTATGCAGCCATAAAAAAGGATGAGTTCATGTCCTTTGCAGGGACATGAATGAAGCAGGAAACCATCATTCTCAGCAAACTAACGCAAGAACAGAAAACCAACACCACATGTTCTCACTCATAAGTGGGAGTTGAACAACGAGAACACATGGACACAGGGAGGGGAACATCACACACCAAGGCCTGTCAGGGGTTTGGGGGCTGCAGGGGGAAATAACATTAGGATAAATACCTAACGTAGATGACGGGTTGATGGGTGCAGCAAACCACCGTGGCATGTGTATACCTATGTAACAAACCTGCATGTTCTGCACATGTATCCCAGAACTTAGAGTATAATAATAATAATAATAATAATAATAAAGATATTAGGCTGTTATCATCCTGCTAGATTTCTGAGCTCATCTACTGGTGTCTGCTCCGTGCATATGCCCTTTGTTGAAAGACATTAGTAAGAATTTATATTTCCATGGTGTTTGTGTGAAAAAAATATGATGTTAGCTACAAGGTTTTTGTTGATGCACTGTATTAAGTTGAGGCAATTCTCTTCCATTCCTAACTTGCTGAGAGTTTTTTCATGATTGGGTGTTAGATTCCATCAAATAACTTTTCCTGTATCAGTTGATATGATCATGTTTATCTTCCTTTAGCTTCTTCATATGGTAGATTACATTAATTGTTTCTCAAATGTTGATCAAACCTTGCAACCTGTAATTAATCCCATTTGGCTATAGTGTAAAACATTTTTATACATTGCTGGATTCAATTTTCTAATATTTTGTTGAGAATTCTGGCATCTAAACTCAGGTGAGATATTGATCTATCATTTTCTTTTCCTTCCTTCCTTCCTTCCTGCCTTCCTGCCTTCTTTCCTTCCTGTACTGTCTTTGTTTGGTTTTGGTATCAGGGTAATAGTAATATTGGCCTCATAAAATGTGCTGGCAATTGTTCCCTCCTCTTCTATATTTTTCTTTAAATGTTTGGTAGAATTCTCCAGAAAAAAACAGAAAATTTCTTTTCAGGAGCTTTTACGTTATTAACTCAATTTCCTTAGTAGTTACAGGCCCATTCAGATTACATATGTCACCTTTTGTGTCTATAAACTTTTGGTTTTCAGGGAATTGGTCCATTTCTTCTAAGTTTTCAAATTTATTTGTGTAAAGTTGTTCCCAGTATTTTCTTATTATCTTCTTAATGGCTGTAGGATGTATAGTGATATCTCCTAGTTTAGTACTGATCTTGGTGATTTGTATCTTTTCTTTATATTTTTGCCAGTTTTGCCACAGATTTAGCAATTATTTTGAGGTTTATCAGTATTATTGATTTGTTCAAAGAGTTAGCCTTTTGTTTCACTCATTTTCTCTGTTTCCCTATTGTCAATTTCATTAATTTTGGATCTTATTATTTCCTTTCTTCTGCTTGATTTGGGATTATTTTGTTCTTCATTTTTTAGTTTCTTGAGGTAGAAACTTAGGTTGTTGATTTGAAACCTGTCTTTATTTCTAATTTTAAAATTTTATATTGCAAATATCCTTCTCACTCTAGTATATTCCACATATTTTGAGATGTTCTATTTTTACTTTTATTCAATTCTATGTATCTTTTATTTCCACTGAGACTTATTCTGACTAAGGGATTATCTTAGAAGGATGTTGTTTAATTTTCATATGTTTAGATATATGGTGTTGTATTTTTGTTACTGATTACCAGTTTCATTCCATCATTGTCAGAGCACACACTTTATAATTTTAATTCTTTTAAATTTCTTGAGGCTTGTTTTATGGACCACAAAATGCTGTATCTGTGAGAAATTCTCTGGGCACTTAAAGATATCCATTCTGCTGTTTGGGGGTGAACTTTTCTATATATGTCAATTAGTTCCCATTGGTTGGTTGCTCAGCTCTTCCATAATTTTGTTGATTTTCTGTGTAGTAGTTCTATCAGTTGCTGAGAGGGGAGGTTTTGAAGTCTCCAACTATAGTTGTGGATTTCTTTATTTCTACTTTCAGTTCCATCAGTTTTTGTTTCATATATTTTGAGATTCTGATTTTTGGTGTGCACACACTCTGGATTGCAACATTTTCCCTGAGTGATTGGTCCTTCTATAACTATATAATGACTCTCTTTGCAGTGATTTTTTTTCTCTAATGAGAAGTCTATTTTATCAGATATTTGTATAGCCACACCTGCTTTACTAAATTAATGTTTGCATATATCTTTTCCCATCCTTTTACTTGCAACTTATTTATGTCATTAAATTTACATATGTCATCAAAAAATAGTGTTGAGAAGGAAATTTAAAGCACCAAATGCTTACATTAGAAATGAGGACAGTTCTAAAAAGAATAACCTAAGTTGCTACACAAAAAAAAAAAATCTAGAAAAAGCATTGATGTTTTGGTAAGGAGCATACAGTTGGGTCCTGTTTTTTTTATTTACTAGTCTTTGTCTTATGATTATTGATTTACACCAATTTAATACAATTATTGACATTTTATCACTTGAATTTGGTATTTGTTTTACTTTTTTGCCTCTGGTGATTCTTATTCCTCTGTTTCTCTTTTCTTGTCTTACTGTGGCTTGCTTAGACAATGTTTGATATTTCACCTTGATTCATTTATATAGTGTTTTTGAATCTCTCTCTTCATATGGTTTTCATAGTGGTTGCTTTGTGTATTACAATATAAATATGTGCCTTATAATAGTCTACTCGTATCAACCAACTTTATTTTTCTTTAGAAATGAAACTTGTTTAATGACAGATGGCAGGAACTAGCATAGTAGGTTGTACAAGTTCAATAACTGTTTGCTGAATAATGATTATATTGAAGCTTTGGATAATAATGACACCATTCTAAACAACTTTATAACACGTTTTACCTTATACTTCCCTCAGCATTGTATGAGTGTCCATTGCACTGCACCTCACTCACCCTCAGAATGAATACTACATTTAAAAATTTTTGCAGCTATGGCAAATGAAAGTTGGTCTTTCATTTTAGTGCATATTTCCTTTTAGATTTTTTTAAATTGTTAATGTTTATTTTTTATTTTGAAAAATAAGTTTCATTGTGTATATTTGATATTTACAACATGATGTAATGGAATTCACATAAATAGTAAAATGGTTACTATAGTGAAGCAAATTAACATATTGGTCATCTCACCTAATTACTTTTTTTGTGACAAGAGCAGCTAAGATATACTTATTTAACAAAAATTGCTAATACAATAGAATTTTATTAACTATAGTGGTCATGTTGTACATTAGATCTCTAGACTTGTTCATTGTACGTATCTGCTACTTTGTATCTTTTGACCTACATCTTTGTATTTCTTTCCCTCACCCCTACCCCCGGTAACCACTGTTTTATTTTTTATCTCTGTATATTTGACCCTTTTTGATTTTTCCTTTTAAAAAATATTCCACATACTAGTTAAATCATGCAATCTTTGTCTTTCTGTGCCTGGCTTGTTTCTTTTAACATAATATCCTCTAGGTCCATCCATGTTGTGGCAAATGGAAAGATCTCCTTTTTTAGGCTAATATTTCATTGTGTGTGTGTGTCTGTCTGTCTCTCTGTGTGTGTATCATGTTGTTGTCCTCTGTTTGTCCAGCAACAGACACTCAGATTGTTTCTATATCTTGGCTAGTATAAATAATGTTGCAACGAACATGGTAAAAATACCATTTTACCAGATGGTGATTTCATCTCCTTTAGGTATATATTCAGAAGAGGAATTGCTAGGTCACATGCTGGTTCTATTTGTAATTTCTTTAGAAACCTCCATACTCGTTTCCATAATGGGTGCACCAATCTGCCTTTACACCAACAGTATATTAAGGTACCCTTTTCTACACATGCTCACCAACATTTGTTATCTCTTCTTTTTCTTTTTCAATTTTACTTTAGGTTATAGGATACATGTGCAGAACGTGCAGGTTTGTTACATAGGTATACATGTGCCATGGTGGTTTGCTGCACCTATCAACCTGTCATCTAGGTTTTAAGCCCCACAGGCATTAGGTATTTGTCCTAATGCTCTCCCTCCCCTTGCCCCCCACCCCCCCGACAGGCCCTGCTGTGTGATGTTCCCCTCCCTGTGTCCATATGTTTTTCTTTTATTTCTTTTTTTTATAATAGCCATCTTAATGGCCAGGAACTTATGGATAGCTAGGACTTTTCTCTGGTCTCTCCTTAGAATTCTTGGAGCCTTGAGCATGTACACCTTTCTACACTTCCAGAGACATGTGGGAGCCTATCCAGGTCCATCATGGCTATCACATTCCTTGAGTTTTCTTTAGCTTAAGGCTAGTCTGCCAGTCTGTTGCTTTCTAACCAGGATCACATCAGGTAAGCTGTGATGTTGTCTTACTCCCATTTGTTTGTCACCAAGATCACTCTGTTTCGCACAATTCTCAGGGTTGTGGGTTTTTTTTCTGCTGCACTCCAGATCAATTCAGCCACCTCTAGTAGCAAAATTGGTTTTGCAGCTTTCCTATTGTAGTAGAACTGCTGCACTGATCATTGTAGGGTGAACAGGAGGAGCTTCAGGCTAAAACACATCAGATTCTTGCTATTCTTACATGAGGTTTGGTAATTTTGTTTTTTTAAAAAATAAACAATGCTCACATTGTTATATGCCCTTAATTAATTTCAGAGTCCAGAGATTCTTTTGTCAATTTTGACCAGCTTGATGGTTATTTTGGGGGAGAATATTTGCTGATCTTCTCTTTTGGCATAATCCATAGTAGTCTGTAACTGTTCTCCTTGCTGCTCCTCTTGTCCTGCTGTATTTCAACCCAGAGGAGCACACCAGTTATTTTCTGTAGCACTAAAAATAAAATCCCAGACTTCTTAGAGTGGCCTACAGGTCCCAATGTTACAAGATGTCTGGGTGTCGATTTTTCTGGCCAGAAACCTCTGTGGCTGTGGCACCTTTGCCTGAGTTCTCGTCCTGTGTCCAGGAAGGAGGTATGCAGACAAGTGAAGGGTGAAGAAGAAGAGTTTTATTTAGTGTTAGAACCACTCAGAGGAATAGGTAGCTCCTCACTGCAGGCAGGTCGTCCTGTCCAGAGATTTGGCTCTCAGCAGAGAGGAGGCCCTGGAGAGGGTGGCTCCTCTCTGCAGACAAGTCATTCGGGCATCTCTGCAGGTCTCTGAAGCTCTCAGCACAGAGGGTAGCTCGTCTCTGCTGGCAGGTCATCTCTGCAGCTCTCAGCAGAGAGGGTACTCCTCTCTGTAGCTGGTCATCCCCGCAGCTGGTCATCCCATCATTTCCAGCTATCAGCAGAGAAGGTAGGTACTCCTCTCTACAGCTGGTCATCCCCTCCCAGCATCTCTCTGCCCATTTTGTCCTCTGGCCATCCTCTGCCCTGCTCTGGCTGAGTTCAGGGCTTTCATGGACCTCAGAGGGGAGGAAGTGCCTGCTGATTAGTCCATGGGCAGCCATAGGCTGCCCAGAAGAGGGACCATGAGTCACTCACTACTCTGGTCTGCAGGACTGGCAGCCCAGCCCCCAGTCTTCAGGCCCTCCCTGGCCCAAAGGTAGGGCCTTACGGCGGGCCCACCCCCTTCCACTCAGGAATCAATCTGCCTCCCGCTGCTATTCATGGCCCCAGGCTTGGCCCCACCCCCCACTCTGAGATCGGAGCAGGCACCAGGAGTGGAAAGAAGCCAGGCAGTGGGAGAAGACACCCCTGAGCCTGCAGGAACTGGGGTCCTTCCTGGGCCATCCTAGGGTACAGGCTGTAGAGACACCTGGCTCCTACGCCCACAGCCACAGCCGGGAAGGCAGATCCTGCCTGCTCGCGGCCCTCCCCCAAGAGCACAGGGAGGCTCGGATCCACAGCTGCATTTTGGGTGACTATAGCCCCACCCAGGAGGGTGGGGCTCCTGCCTGCTCCGCAGAGCAGGAGGCCTGGGTCTGCAGCTGTGGTTTAGGCGGCTGCAGCGGTAACCAGGTAACCAGCAACCGGGGAGCGCCAGTCCCAACTCAGAAGGGGCGAGGCTCCCACAGGCTCTTTGGAGTGTGCAGCCGCAGCGGCGCCTCCCTGCTGCAGCCAGAATGATGGCAGCAGCCTCTGCCATCACTGACATGACCTCAAACTGCACCCCCTACCCAGTAAATCCACTATGCCTGGGCCCCAGGCCCCTTCTTTCTCTTTCTGCAACATAGATGCTCTTTCCTTCTCTGTTCTCTTGTACTTGCTGTTCCCTCTGCCTCAAATGCAGAACTGTCTTCTTCTCATCACTTAGATCTCACCACCTCAGAGAGGCCTTCCCTGAACACCCAACCTAAAACATACTCTCTGGTCCCATTATTCCATTTAATTTTGTTCATAGCGCTAGTTTATTATCTGTGCCAACCCCCACTTATACATGCTCCGTGAAGGCAGGGACTTTGTATTCATTGGTACCTCATACTGTGCCCAGCATGTAACAGGTGACTATTGGGCATTTTTGCATGTATAAATAAACAAAAGTAGATGTATTTCTACACCTTTACCATTCTTTGTACTGGCTGAGTATTTTCTCATTGTAAAATGTACTATAATTCATGTCCTTGAACATCTTATTACTATAATAACTCAGTATCGGCTGGGTGTGGTGGCTCACGCCTGTAATCCCAGCACTTTGGGAGGCCAAGGTGGGTGGAGTCAGGAATTCGAGATCAGCCTGGCCAACATAGTGAAACCCCATCTCTACTAAAAATATCTGTTGTATGTGTAGATGGGGGTGGGGGTAGCTGGAAGTGATGGGGCAAAGAGATATTTATAAAATTTACATTTATTTGGTAGAAAATGAACTTTGCCAGAAAATGAAATTTTAAACCTCAAATTTTTCTTAATTAGAATCATACAAACCAAAAACAATGGTCTATTTGATATGTAGTAATATTATTGATAGAAGGTTACATCCAGATTTTAAAAATCTGAGGAGGCTAGGCATGGTGGCTCACACCTGTAATTCAGGAGGCTGAGGTGGGTGGATCACCTGAGGTCAGGAGTTCAAGACCAGCCTGGCCAACATGGCGAAACCATGTCTCTACTAAAAATACAAAAAATTAGCCAGGCGTGGTGGTGAGCACCTGTAATCCCAGCTACTTGGGAGGCTAAGGTGGGAGAATTGCTTGAACCCAGGAAGCAGATGTTGCAGTGAGCCAAGATGGCGCCATTGCACTCCAGTCTGGGTGACAGAGCAAGACTCTCTAAAAAAAAATAAAATATATATATATATATATATATATATATATCTGAGTAAATTTGGCTTCCTGTTATGCAACCTAGGTGTGGTAGGGGCTTTCCCTTTTGACTTAAGAGGCATTGTTGACAACCACGGGATGCAATTTGAATTTCTCTTGCACTTGGAGGCTCGTCTGTGAGGTCTTCTGTTTCAGGTAACTAGTGGAGACTCCCCCTAATAAACCAGTTGGCAGAGGACTGCCTTTCCACTACCATCTTATTCTGAGCAGTATGTATGCCATTTGCAGGCTTATAACCATCCCTTCTCGACAGCCTCACCATTATTTCACAAGCATTTACCAGATTACAATGAGGGGGGATATAAAATTCTTTAATAAAGAGTGAGAGAAAGCAAGAGTAAATGGAAGTCACAGTCTTTTAGAAACGGTCTACTACATTTGCTATCCAGTGAAGGGGCTGCTGCAATCCAGTGAGAGAAGCATGGTCTTTTCAATATATGGCACTGGATCAATTGCATATTCATGTGGAAAATTAACCATGGCACTCAAACGGTATGCAAAAAGTAACCTGATGGCCGGGCGCAGTGGCTCATGCCTGTAATCCCAGCACTTTGGGAGGCAGAGGTGGGTAGATCACTTTAGGTCAGTAGTTCAAGACCAGCCTGGTCAACATGGTGAAACCTTGTCTCTACTAAAAGTACAAAAATTGGCCAGGCATGATGACAGGTGCCTGTAATCCCAGCTGCTCAGGAGCCTGAGGCAGGAGAATTGCTTAAACCCAGGAGGCGGAGGTTGCAGTGAGTCGAGATCGCACCACTGCACTCCAGCATGGGCTGGACTGTGTCTCAAAAGGAAAAAAAAAAGGAACTTGAGATAGATTGTAGTAGATCTAAATGTGAAAGGTAAAACAATAACACTTCTAGGCAAAAATATCAGAAAACACCTTCATGACATTGGGTTAGGCAAAAATATCTTAAACAGGGCATAAAAAGCACCAAGTCTAGATGAAAAGATTTAATAAGTGAATTCACTACAGTTATGAACTTATTAATGAATTTTAATTAAAATACTGTGTAAAATAATATATTAGCTTAATTAGCACTAGCTACTGAAACAAACCATGCAACAGTGGTTTATTTCTCATTCACATTATAGTAAAATGTGGATTAACTCTTTTCTAAGAAGTGACTCAAGAACTCAGGCTGCTTCTATCTAGTGGCTACAAGGTCACCCTGGTATTATTCAGATAGAGGGCAGGGAAAAGAGTGTGATATTCTGAATGTTTGTGTCCCCCTAAAATTTCCTTGTTGAAATCTTAGGCCCCGAGGTGATTGTATTAGGAGGCAAGGCCTTTGGAAGAATTATAGAAGAGACCCCAGAGAGCTAGCTAGATCCTTCCATCATGCCACAGCAAGAAGGTGTCACCTATGAACCAAGAAAGGCACCCTCATCAGAGAGTGAATCTACTGACACCTTGATCTCAGACTTCCTGCTTCCAGAACTGCGCAAAAATAAATTTCTGTTCTTTATAAGCCACCCCAGTCTATGGTACTTTGTTATAGCAGCCCAAATGAACTAAAAGAGTTTAGAAAAGGCAAACTGCATATTTAACCACCTAGGTGCAAAAGTGATTCATGTCACTTTCACTCACATTCTATAGATGAGAACTAGTCTCAGGGCCAATCCAACTGCAAAGGGATGCCAGGAAGTGCAGAGTAGTTTAGGGATACCCATAAGCACCAATAGTCTCTGCCAAGATCAGCCAATGGAAAGTGAAGTATCAAACACTGTTATTACTTTTAGTCAAAAGAATTTTGAAATGATCACATGCCAAAAATAAGTGTGAAAGGAAAAAATATACTTGAAAATGACCATATTCCAAAAGTAAGTCTGAAAGGAAAAATAAACTTGAAATTTAGATATTCTGGGCATGTCCTGCTATTCCTGATTTACAAAGACCATTTTTCTGCCTGCCTGCTTCTTGAGACCACTTGGAGGATTTACACTGGACAGAGCAGAAAGGTACTGGTAAGAAAGAGATAAATAGATCCTAAAGACAGGAGGAAATAACAAGACAAACAAGAGCCAGCAGCACAAGCTAGACTTGGAGAAAATTTGAGAGAAATTGAGTGAAAAATGAGAGAGGTGTGGGGACATCTGCACTGTGGGTAGGCTTCTGAGAGAGAATGACTTGGAAAAGGAAGTTTTAGAAAGAACTTTATGAAAGTTTGGCTTACTGTGATATCGAAATCCCCTTTAGTGCTTTCTGAGACAATATCTATAATGCTAATTATAATTGTTTTTCATATTTTTCTTGATATTTAGAATAATGTTTCTTCAAATGTGACCATGTGCCAAGACTGAGTCTTGGGGTACTTTAAATTTATAGAGGTTACATAGAAGTTCATAGTAGATGCTACCAAATGCTTGCATAAAATTCTCACTTTAAAGGAATATAGCAAAGTAGAATGTTCTGTGTACAAACCTCTTTTCCTGGAATGACTGCACCTAGTTCCTTTGAAATACAACAGTATTATGACTGTGAATGGGACTCCTATGTCTAAGAACTTAGAACTCCCATGTTATCCAATTGATACCAGCAATTGATATGTTTCAATTGCTAACCTTAATATCAACATAAGTATGGCCACAACATTTCTCCTGGGAAGTTAATGAACAACTTGAAAGGCAGATAGAAGCACCTAGCTTTATGAGAAAGAGCAGAATCTCTGGAGTCATGGAAAACTGAGTTTCTTTCTCGGCTTATTAGTTTATCTATGTCACCTTGGTTGAACTCATTAAGATTTCTGAGTTCAAATTTCATCCTCTGTAAGATGGAAGAAATGGTATTACCTCATGGTGTTATGATGGGGGCTAAATATTATAAATATAAAGAATTTAGCACTGTGCTTGGTGCATAACAGGTACTTAATGTACGTTAGGAGCTAGTTTCTCTTCATCCACACTCCCTAGATGCCAAAATTCAGGGAATGAGAAGATGAGTAAGACTTTGTGTAGGAGATGGATGATGAGAAGGGGGAAGCATTCCTGAGGAAAATAAAAATACAAGTAAAGAACTGAATGTGGGTAGCAAAGCAGGTCATGGCATTTGCTGAAAAGAACAAAGACTTTGTGAGGGGAAGTGCAGAAGATAAAATTGTACAGGTCTTCCCACAGACTGCCATATTCCTCATGTATTGGCCTAATGATGTCTCCAGCTTCATTTTGTATTGCAGAACTCCTTAGCTCTGAATTTCACCCACAGTGGCTCTCTCAGGTTTTTTTGTTGATGTTGTTGTTAATATTCTGTGCTTCTTCATATACCTGCCTTGCATGGGGAGGCAAGGTATTTTGCATTTGCTGTTCTCTTTATCTGGAATGCATTTCCCATCTTCACTTTTTTTACTTAGTTAACTCTTATTCATCCTTTATATGTTAACTCAAATGTCAGGCAAGTCTTCCTTAAGATCAGACCTATTACATGCTCTGAAAATAATCTGTATTTTCCCTTTGTATCACAAATCGTCATTTGAAATTATATATTACCTTGTGTGATGATTTGTCTAATGTGTATATCCCACAGTTGACCCTTTTTATTTTACTTGTCATTGTATTCCTAACAGCTAGAGCATAGAAGGACCTCAATAACTACTCTTTTTTGACTGGATGAATGAATGAGTACATGTCTTTGGGAGGGATTAAAATATAATCCTGTTAAAGTTTTACCCCTAGGCCCTCAGAATAAGAAATGACAGGTTGGTCTAGACTCCCTCATTAATATCTCCAAACATCCAGCCCCATGGCAGAAGCCCATTGCAATGTTATTTGCAGGCTGAAGATTGATGGATACCCTCCTAGTAGCCCTGGTTGTATCCTCCAGCTGTGTGCTATGTGTGAAACATGTCTCAAGAGCTAGAAGGGAATTTAGACTCCTTTCCCAAATGCTATACTCCAAGTCCTTTATGTAAAAGAATTGAAGATTCTGCTTAAATTATTGTTACCAGGATCTCTAAGTAAGAGCTCTTTCTGCTGACAAAACCAGTAAGGATGGCAATGTGCAGGTAAAGCTGGAAGCCCCTATTTCAACTCTGTTGCTGTTTTCCAGCCTATAAAGAGTTGGCTTACAGCCATTCTGTTGATTCCACAAGGCAGGCCTAGGTCCGATTTACAGAATGATGGACACTTGTAATTCACATAAGAAAAAGTTATCAGAGTTGTTTCAAGATTAAGTGGGTGACACTGAGAGACAATGAATTCTCTGTACCTGGAGATAGTCCAGAAGAGACAGGATAACCTTTTAACAGAATTATTGTACATTATATGGGGAACAAAATGAGAAAACCTCTGGAGTTCTTTCCACTACTGCCGTTGGAAGATTCTGAGATGTGTGTTCTTTGAGTTTTCTCTCTAGTCATGGGGGATGGGTTACACTGAGTCATCTCCTCTCTCCCCTGGATTCCTTTAGCCCCAAGAGTCTTCTGGCTAGGGTTGGGGCACGGCCTGTGGCCAGGGAACATAACTGAGTTAACACCCTCACAGAGACTGAACCCAGGACCTTGTCCTCATTAGCTCTGTCCTCTAATCCCCCAACTTCACAGGCACACTTCTGATACACAGCAGTGAAATTAACTCCGGAGTTTTACACCATGCAAAGTGATGTAATCCAAAGACATCTATTTCAGCATGACAACATTATGCTCCATTTAAAAATGAAATTTTCAGGGTGATAAAAATTAAAATGATGGTTTTGAAGTATTTGAGTGAGGAATTTTCTGTCAAAGCAAGAGGAAATGTTATGCATAAGGATTTGCAGTTTCAACCATGCAGAGACATAAATATCACATATTAATAGACGTGACCTAGTTGCAATCATAGTCGGCCTCATTCTCATCTTGTCTCCCTCACATGTTTATTCTCTATTTGGATAGCTTACTCTGAAAGCTCATGGGATATCTGTGGATATGCAAAAAGAATGAGAAGTTGACAGTGTGATAATAAACAACACAGAAAATGAAGTGAGCTTAAAGAAATATTTTATTATTACTAACTTGACTTAAAATTATTGGGATTTGCTGGTTGTTGGTCCTTATTACTTTTGCTATCTCTAATTTAAAATCATATATTAGATAAACTCCTTACATAGTTAGATTTTCAATTATACTTACCAATGGCAAATATAATACAGCCTTCACTGAACTACCTGTTGAGTTTCCTATCACTCTGCGCTCTGCTAAGGAAGAGCTGTAATAAAACTGCTTAGCCAATCTCTTTGAAATTTAGAGCTACACAGGAACTTAAAAAGTACCTAGCTCAGAAATTCTTCATTTTCTGGGGTTATATGAACATCTGAGAATCTGATGAAAGCCATAGGCTCTATCCTTAGCACACTACATGTAAGTATTTACATACACATATACATGCAATTTTGCATAGTTCCTGGGCTTTACAGTCCCCTCCATAAAACCTGTCCATCGAGCCCAGATTAAGAATCTGTGTTCCAATGCAGTTTTTTCCTTTTAAAGATAACAAAGCTGAGGATCAGGACCTATCTAAAAAGCAGAAAACTTAAAAAAGAAACTAAAGATATAAGATTTAAGAGAAGACCTTACCTGAGGAAAAAAACACTATGAATAAACTTTGAGATAGTAACCATTTTACAATCTATACGTATCTCATAACATCATGTTGTAAACCTCAAATATACACAACAAAATGTATCTACAACACAGGAAATCAAAGTAATAAAAACTCTGACATACAAAAAATAATTCTATGGAAATTAATAAGAGAATCTGAAGATTTCTAGTTCAACAAACTTGGCTCCTGGCTTTTCTAGAATCATGTGTAGGCAACAATTATTACTGTTATTGCTGTAGACTCAGTTGTTTAGTCTGAAAACATATGATCTTATGTTTTTGGGTCCCATATTTCTGCAATAAATATTTATTGAGCTCCTAAAAATAATTATATAAAAACTTCAGATAATATTATGAGTAAAATAGTTAAAAATAAATAAGTAAAATAAACTTTGAGAGTCAAGAGTCATTACTAAAATGTGGGACTTGCATCTGTAAATGGAATATTTTAAGGGATATATCTAGAGAAGAACAAAGACCTTTCTACCTGCTAAATTTATTATAAGTTCTCTTACTTCACACAGTCATATATATTTTAATAAATCTACACCTGCCTTTCTGTTAGTGTTTTGAAACTGCACACATCAGTCAAATAATATTTTTTCCCATTCTAAGGAAAGCTTACAAAGGAACTGTTTCTTTTCTTGTCTGTCCGTCTGTTTGCTTGTGGAAATAAATTTAGTGTGGACCCACTAATACATAGAAAGATTCTCCTAACTCTTGCAGTTAAGCATCTTGAAATGCCAAATGAAGATTTTCACGTTGACCAAACCCTGGCCGTTTCCACATTGTCTGCTTTGGAATGGTTTCCCTTGGGTATCATTTTTTTTTTTTTAGAGTTAGCTTAGGAGTGTTTCCTGCAGTGACTGATATAGAACCATGTAGCTTGAGACCAAGCAGTTACTGTAAATATATCATCTGTAATTCTCTCAAATCCCATTTATCCACAGAGTCATGTGAAGACTAGAACTAAACATTGACACCCGGAAGACGCATACCCTATAGGTTTCCACAAATCTCTTTTTCCTTCAGTACAATAAATCCACCGAGCTATGATATGTCCTGTAAACCTTAAACCAAACGTTGTCATCCTGAAGGGTGAGCACAGTTCCCAGTGAGAATATTGATGCTAACAGATTGAATGCCATGGAAACTGAGAAAGACCTAATTTAAACAGAAACCATTGCTATTTATTTATTTATTTAGATCAGTCTTCTAAACTCAGAGTGAGCAAGAGTTTGAGGGCTTCCAAAAATAAGATTCATAATATTTAAAACCAGTTGTGTTTTTCTGAATGTAGGGCAATGAATACTAAATTTTCTTTGCCATTTACTTCTTCCTTGCAGTGAATCAAGAAAAGACTTCATGACTATAAAATTCTTGAGGTTGGGCTTGAAAATTTTGTAGCAATTGGCAAAAATGTGTAGAGTTCCCAATCTTCACCTGCAGAATCATATACTTGTACAGCTGAAAGTCTTCTTGGAACCAGTTCAGAGATTATTTAATCAAGTTAAAGATTATTTTACTATACTACTGATAAACATGCCTGCTCACTTTTCTCCAGGGGTATGACATAGCCAGATGAATGTTGGTTTCACTTTCATTCATTTGAACAAAAGGGTGATTTGGTCCACAACATAATTAGCAAGAGTAGAATCAGTTGACTGGGGGGAAAATGGCTCAATTTTCACCTGGGGAAATGATAAATTACTAGGGGGCAATAGGCTGTGAAACCCAGAGTGCCGTGGAGATGAGAGCCAAACTCCTCCTGCTACTTCATGGGGTCCATGGTAAGGCCTGGTTGCCAGTCAAAGGATAGTTCTTAGATGCCACCTACTGAGTCTCCCCACAAAAATGGACAAACAACAATCAGACTGGTGAAGAAGCAAATCTAGGCATCTTCTGGGATCTTCTGAGAGTCTTATATTGTGGCCAAGCAGTCTCCACATAGCTTAGTGTTTAACATATGAACTATGAAGCTAGACAAAGCTAGGTGTGAATCCTGAGTCTGCAACTACTTGCCATGTGACCCTGGACAAGTTATTTAATATACCTGTGCCTCAGTTTACTCGTCTTTAAAATAAGATAGTGAAACCTACCTTGGAAGACTGCATTGAGAATTAAATAAAATAATATAACTGTGGCAATGAATCCTTAGTTGCCTCAAAAGTTGAGCATGTA
Organism: Homo sapiens; assembly: GCF_000001405.40. Lineage (NCBI taxonomy): Eukaryota > Metazoa > Chordata > Mammalia > Primates > Hominidae > Homo > Homo sapiens. The sequence goes on from NC_000023.11 coordinate 139,391,782, forward strand.
AGCATATATCATGTTACAATGGCTGACCTGGAATAGGGAACTCAAAGTACCTATTATTTTTTCTGCTTTTTAGCACTGGGTTTCAAACTTTTCTTAGCAGCTAAGAACACTTAACAGATCATGGGACACAAGTCAAAGCTCAGTAGCGGTTTTACTCACTTCCACTTCCAGGTAACAACCTTACAATAAATTACCCTTTCCCAAGCCTCAGTTTCCTCATTTATATGATGAAGGGGTTAGATCATCTCTAGGGGCCCTTTCAGCTTTGGTATTCTAGGTTCCTGTGGTTTTATATCTAGAGACATAAACATGTAGAAACATTGTGTTCTTGAGATTTTTAAAGAAGTGATAGAGACAAAGATGAGGGGGAGAATTATTGGGAGTAGTGACGAGTTCAACCCTTAGGAATTCAAAGTGAAAGAGAAAAGAGTTACAGAATTCCCATAGGCTCTTCTAGGCAGGGAGTAAGGAAGCAGGTGTATGAGAGTTAATGACCTGACCTCGATCAGTTTCAGTGAAGACAAGAGATGATTGTTGGAGTGGGATATTTACCTCTCTCCCCTCCTCTCACCCACAGACATGGGAGACTCCTACAACTCATAGCCCTGGGGCCACTTGTGCCCTACTGAACATTTATAGACTAGGACCATGGACTAATGAAATCTGGCTATGGCCAGGTGTTTGTTACAGAAGAAACTGTGATCCATGCACCAGGGCCAATTTGAATGCAAATTTACCCACTGTAGGTCTTGGCATGAAGTAAGAAACAGATTTGTTTCAATCGAACAGTCTTTCTATTTGCAATCATACCACTGTGTGCTGTGATCCTATTAGTTATGACAAGCAAAGCAGCTCTGTGGGGCTGACTGCCTCCTTCCATGTGCACACACACATGCAACCTCCACGGAACACTCAGACTGGTATCATGGAGGCAGTAGGTGGCAGTCCTCTACTTTGTAACTCAGAAAGAGTTCAGGGATTGGAGGCTGTCTTCTGCTGAAGCAAAACTGTGGTCCTGAATATTTCTTGAAAAACCACTGTCTATTTTAAGGTTGATGGAAGGAATCAGATCTGCTCTTCACCAAGAGTAGGGCAGAAACCCTAGTTAATCCGCTAATGGGAGGCAACATAGTATGGTGGATAAGAGCATGGTTTCTGGAGACAAATTGCCTGAGTTTTCTTCCCAACTCTGCCATTTATCAGCTGTGTGACACTGGGCAAATTATTTAACATCACTGTGCCTCAGTTTCCTCCTAATGTAAAGTGAAAGTAATAGTAGAGCCTACCTCACAGGGTTGTTGAGAAAATCAAATGAATTAATATATATAAAGAAGTTATGACAGTGCCTAGCAGAATAAGTGCTATATAATTGTTTATTAAACAAAATAATCTTTATATGTTTGGCACTGTCTAAATTATCTCAAAGTCAATATTAATTTAGCTGTTTTTCTCCTTTATTAAAAATCTGCAGCCTACTTACAGAGCACAAGTACTAATGGCCAAAATCAGTAGAGAGGGTTTTAAATAGCTTCACATTACTTTGAAATCCAAATTATAAATCCAGAAAGATGCATCTCACATAAGACACTTGTGTTAGTTAGGGTAGGATAACTTCCAGGACAAAAAGATCCAATATATACAACTGGCTCAAACACAATAGTTTACTTCTCACTCATTAGAAGCCCACATGGATGCTCCTGTTAGGCAGACAGCTGTCTTCTAAATGGAGAATTAGGGACCCAGGCTCCTTCTACCGATGGTTCCATCATCTTCAACACGTGGTTTCCCAGGTCAATATGCTCCTCTGCAGCAGGTCAGTAAAAAGGAAAACTTTGGGACTTCTCTACATGTATGTTTTTGTGATAGGTTTAATTCATACAAATTCCCCTTCCCTTTCTCCTTGAATTCTAGTTAGGGATCAGCCATTCCAAAATAGGTCAGATGAAACAATTCCCGGCAGCACTTGTCAGTCCCATGGAGCCAGGCTTTGATGATGTGAGCCAATTCCAGCATCTCTTGGAAGCTGAGAATTTAAGCATGAACTGTTGATGTCACCCACTCTTTACTGAGTGGCAAATGGCCAAGCTCAGTAACTCCAAAAATTATCCTTTCCTGGATGAAGAGCAACAGTTTCTGATGCTTTGTGTTTCTTCTTATAAAGATTCAAAAGTAAGGCTGGAAATGAATTCAAAGCAAAGCTCTTTTCAGATCTTCACTTTGATAGATAATATGAATATAAATTGTTTAAAAGCAGAAATGAAATCTTCCAATAATGATTTTAAAATTCTCCTGGTGTGATAAGATGTGTTTCACCATTAGGTATGCTGTGGGTTTGAGGACTGATCTAGTTTGAACATAGATCAGAGGCATGGGCACATCTGAAATGTAGAGCCTGGTTCTCATGCAAAACAGAACAATGATGTGAATGTGTGTGTGTGTGTGTGTGTGTGTGTGTGTGTGTGTGTGTGTTTGCATATGTGTATGAATGTGTGTAGGTATGTATGTTTATGTGTTTGTACATATGTATATGAGTATGTATGTATATTGTGTAGGTATATGTATAGGCATGTGCCTGTATCTGTGTATGTGTATATATGTGTATATGTATATGTGTTTATACGAGCACGTGCATCAGCATGTGTGAACATGCATTTGTGTCTGTATGTTGGCATACGTATGTGCATGTGTGTATGCCAATGTATGCCTATGCATCTGTGTATGCATGTTTGTTGTGTGTGTGTTTGTATATACATATATACGTATGTATATTTTGGCATGTACGTATGTATATGTGTATACGTATGTATGTATGTATATGTTAATATGTGTGTATTTGTATATGTATTTGTATATGTGTGTATTTTATGTTAGTGCATTGCATGTTTACATATGCATATGTGCATGTGTATATGTGTGTGTGCATAGGTATACATGTATTTAAATGTATTTGTAAGTTTGTATGCATGTTTCCTTGTGTATGTGTGTTTGCATACCTGTGAATATGTGTGCAAGTATATATATGTGTATATGCTGTGAATGTGTGTATATTTATAGGTTTGTGTTTGCTTGTATAAATGGATCTACATATTTTCATGTGTAAGTATGCATGTTTTCATGTGTACTCATCTGTGTATGTGTATATGTATGTGAGCATTTATGTGTATACATATGTATATATTATATATACATGCACACACAAACACATGGAACAAGTTTCAAAAACAATATTTCCATCTCCAACATTCAATGCATTCACATTTTTTTATTCATTGCTGTCTCATTAATAAAATATCCAGGTCATGACTACATATTTATCATCATCTATTAATGGGTTGCAACCACAGTGTGGAAAATACTGGTAGGATATAGTAATAGCAAATGTTTGTTAAGCACTGGCTATATGCCAAGCATTTTGCATATATTATTTCATTTAACACTCATAAAAATCTGATGAGGTAGGCACTGTTATTAGTTCCACTTTATGGATGAAACAGCAAAGTCATAAAAGGGTTGATTAACATGCCACAGCCAGAATTAACAAGTTCATCGTGGTTCCTAAGCAGAGCCAGAATTTGAAGAAAACAGTGTGGTTCCAATGCCCTAGCTCATAACCAATAGCCTACAATGTTCTGCCATCCATTTGTAAAGAGGCCTCTCTAATCCCCTTGTCTATGGTCCTTGTTAAAAGCATATTCCTCCCCCACACCTCCCTACTCTATTTTCCCACCTCCAGTGCCTGCTACAGGGGCCATAGCTGCCAGCCTCCATAACTTTGGCTACAATTACTCAAGAGAATGTGGCACTGCTTTCTGAGTCGATGGGCACAGATGTCATGGAACCAGATGCAGCTGTAAGATATAGTCATTAATCTTCAGCAAGTTTCATTACTATGATTTTTCCAGTAATAATGCTTCCCAAGTCTTTGGGCCCTAGTCAATCACAGGAATTGGGAGATGGGCCCCAGCAAATCAAATTGACTGAAATTTCCTGGCATGTCTGAATGAATTATGGGCATAAATCTATGGCTTTCATCACCTTTATGAGTCTTGTTTTGACATCTACTAAATGAAGATAACAATAACTGCAACCTTTATTAAGCCCTCCTTGCTGATTTCTGTTAATTTTCATACTTGACAACTGTCAACTGTTCTTTTTGTTCTTGTCTTTGTTGTTGTTGTTGTTTTGTTGTTGTTGTTGTGTGTGTGTGCATGATTGCTTTCTGCTTTTCATCTCCCTAACTAGATCATAAGCAACTCAAGGCCTAAATCATCCATCTCATTTCCTGATTGTTCCCCAGCCAGCTGAGGGAAGTGCTCTGCATACAAATGCTCCAGTGCAGCTGTGCCTCCTTTGCTCATGTACTGAGCTCCTATCCTGTGCCTGGCACTGTGCTAGAACCTGTGGATACAGAGAGCCAAAAACACATAGCCCCTGCTATTAAGGAGCTGTGATGGTTAATACTGAGTGCCAACTTGATTGGATTGAAGGATACAAAGTATTGATCCTGGGTGTGTCTGTGAGAGTGTTGCCAAAGGAGATTAACATTTGAGTTAACGGGCTGGGAAAGGCAGACCTACCCTTAATCTGGGTGGGCAAAATCTAATCAGCTGCCAGCACAGCTAGAATATAAGCAAGTAGAAAAATGTGAAAAGGGAGATTGGCCTAGCTTCCCAGCCTACATCTTTCTCCCATGCTGGTTGCTTCCTGCCCTTGAACATCAGACTCCAAATTCTTCAGTGTTGGAGCTCAGACTGGTTCTCCTTGTTTCTCAACTTGCAGACAGCCTATTGTGGGACCCTGTGATCATGTGAGTTAATACTTTATATATATATATACACACATATATATATTCCATTAGTTCTGTCTCTCTAAGAACTCTGACTAATACAGATTTTGGTACCAGGAGTGGTTCTAGACGAACAGAATATTAAGGATGGTTTTAGGGTTTCTGGAGTTGGTTGCTTAATATGATTATACCCCAAAATGCAAAGGACTCTACTTCTCATAGTATGGAAAATACTGATAGTCCTTGGTGTGAACTGTTTAGAGAGTTATGCAAAATAAATGCATTTGACACTCCTGATTCATCGCTCATGAGAGGCAAGGAGTTTACTGACTCTTTTCATAATACCTTTGACCACATGTGTTCAGTGGACAACATGATGAAAGAAAATGATGAACTCAGGGATTTTATCTCCCGGCTTTAGAAGCAGATACTGAGCCTCACATCTGCTAAGATTGCCCTGAGTGAGAGTCTTATCTCCTGTAGAGAAAGCACTGAAGTTGTGGAAAAGCAGACACAAGCTCTTATCATGCGAGTGGCTGACCTGCAACGAAAGGTGCATGCACAGCCTTGCCAGGTGCCTACTGTTAAAGTGAGGGCATTGATTGGAAAAGAATGGGACCATGCAACTTGGAATGGGGATGTCTGGGAGGACTCTGATGAAGCTGGGGATGCTGAGTTTGTAAACTCTGATGAAACTTTTTTTTGCCGGAAGAAGCAGCTTCCCCATCCCCAGTAGTAGTAACACCCCCTCCCCGACCCATGCTGCCATCAGCTTTTCCACCTTTGTCTGAGGAGATAAACCCTGCGCTGCCTGAGGCAACAGTGATAGTGTACCCTGAGGCAGTTGCCAGGCAAAATAATGTTGATTCTCCTCAGGAGCCACCCTCAACACCCCTGTTTACTTCTAGACCTATAACTAGACTAAAGTCCAGGTGGGCCCCTAGAGGAGAGGTTGAGAGTGTGACCCATGAGGAGGCGCACTACACTAGAAAAGAACTGCTTCAGTTTTCTAATTTATATAAACAGAAATCTAGAGAACAGGTATGAGACTGGATATTAAGCATGAGGGATAATGATGGAAGAAACACAGAGTTGGATCAGGCTGAATTTATTAATTTGGGCCCACTAAGTAGGGACTTTGCATTTAATGTTGCAGCTCGGGGAGTTAAAAAAGGTTCTAATAGTTCATTTGCTTGGTTAGCTGAAATGTGGATTAAAAGATGGCCCATTGTTGGTACATATACACCATGGAATACTATGCAGCCATAAAAAATGATGAGTTCATGTCCTTTGTGGGGACATGGATGAAGCTGGAAACCATCATTCTCAGCAAACTATCACAAGGACAAAAAACCAAACACTGCATGTTCTCACTCATAGGTGGGAATTGAACAGAGAGAACACTTGGACACAGGAAGGGGAACATCACACACTGGGGCCTGTTGTGGGGTCAGGGGAGGGGAGAGGGATAGCATTAGGAGATATACCTAATGTAAATGACGAGTTAATGGGTGTAGCACACCAACATGGCACATGTATACATATGTAACAAACCTGCACATTTTGCACATGTACCCTAGAACTTAAAGTATAATAATAATAAAAAAAAAGATGGCCCATTGTGAGTGAGCTGGAAATGCCTGATCTCCCTTGGTTTAACGTAGAGGAAGGGATCCAAAGGCTTATAGAGATTGGGATTGTGGAGTGGATCAGTCACTTTAGATCTACTCATCCAGCTGAGGGATCCAGAAGTTACACCCTTGACCAATACCTTGTGAAACAGATTTGTGAGGGCAGCACCTGCATCTTTGAAGAGCCCTGTAATTGCTCTTCTCTGTATGTCAGATCTAACAGTGGGAACCACAGTCACTCAACTACAAAATTTAAATACAATGGGAATAATTGGATCCTGAGGTGGCAGGGGCCAAGTGACGGCACTCAACTGTCAAAGGCAAGGTGGCCATAGCAACCGTAATGGACAGCAGAGACAAAGCAGCAATCAGAATAGTTTGACTCATGTAGAGGTCTGGCATTGGCTAATTAATCACAGTGTTCCTAGAAGTGAAATTGATAGGAAGCCTACTGCATTTCTACTTAATTTATACAAGCAGAAAACTTCTAGGTTGAATGGATACATGACTAATTTTAATTATAAAAACAGAGAATCACGGCCCCTCAATCAATTTCCAGACTTGACCCACTTTACAGACCCAGAACCCCTTGAATGAAGGGGAGGCTGGGTCCCCTTGAGGAAGGACCTCACTACACTACTGACAATTTATGCAGTGAATCTTTCTCCCATCCTTCCCCAAGGAGACTACTGGCCTTTTACCAAGGTAACTGTGCATTGGGGAAAGGGATATGATCAGACATTTTGGGGACTACTGGTCACTGGCTCTTTGCTGACGTTGATTCCAGGGGACCCAAAACATCATGTGGTCCTCCAGTTAAAGTAGGGGCTATGGAGATCAGGTAATTAATGAAGTTTTAGCTCAGGTCTGACTTATAGTGGGTCCAGTGTGTCCCCAGACTCATTCTGTGGTCATTTCCCCAGTGCCAGAATGCATAATTGGCATAGACATACTTAGCAGCTGGTAGAACCCCCATATTGGCTCCTTGACTGGTAGGGTGAGGGCTAATTATGGTGAGAAAAGCCAAATGGAAGCCATTACAGCTGCCTCTACCTAGAAAAATAGTAAATCAAAAACAGCATCGCATCCCTGGAGGGACTGTGGAGATTAGTGCCATCACCAAGGACTTGAAAGACGCAGGGGTGGTGATTCCCACCACATCCCCGTTCAACTCTCCCATTTGGTCTGTGCAGAAGACAGATGGATGTTGGAGAATGACAGTGGATTATTGTAAGCTTACCCAAGTGATGACTCCAATTGCAGCTGTTGTACCAGATGTGGTTTCATTGCTTAAGCAAATTAACACATATCCTGGTACCTGGTATGCAGCCATTGACTTAGCAAATGCCTTTTTTTTTCATTTCTGTCCATAAGGCCTACCAGAAGCAATTTGCCTTCAGCTGGAAAGGCCAGCAATATACTTTTACTGTCCTACCTCAGGGGTATATTAACTCTCCGGCTCTGTGTCATAATCTTATTAAGAGAGACCTTGATCACTTTTTGCTTCTGCAAGATATCACACTGGTCCATTACATTGATGACATTATGCTGACTGGATCCAGTGAGCAAGAAATACCAAACACACTGGACTTATCAGTGAGACATTTGCATGCCAGAGGATGGGAAATAAATCTGACTAAAATTCAGAGACCTTCTACCTCAGTAAAATTTCTAGGAGTCCAGTGGTGTGGGGCCTGTCGAGATATTCCTCTAAGGTGAAGGATAAGTTGCTGCATTTGGCCCCTCCTACAACCAAGAAAGAGGCCCAACACCTAGTGGGCCTATTTGGATTTTGGAGGGAACACATTCCTCATTTGGGTGTGTTACTCCAGCCCATGTATCAAGTGACCCGAAAGGCTGCCAGTTTTGAGTGGGGTCTGGAACAGGAGAAGGCTCTGCAACAGGTCCAGGCTGCTGTGCAAGCTGCTCTGCCATTTGGGCCATATGACTCGGCAGATCCAACGGTGCTTGAGATGTCAGTGGCAGATAGGGTTGCTGTTTGGAGCCTTTGGCAGGCCCCCATAGGTGAATCACAATGGAGGCCTCTAGGACTTTGGAGCAAGGCCCTTCCATTTTCTGCAGATAACTACTCTCCTTTTGAGAGACGGCTCTTGGCCTGTTACTGGGCTTTGATGGAAACTGAAGGTTTGACTATGGGTCATCAAGTCACCATGCAACCTGAACTGCCTATCATGAACTGGGTGCTTTCTGACCCATCTAGACATAAAGTGGGTCATGCACAACAGCATTCCATCATCAAATTGAAGTGGTATATATGTGATCAGGCTCGAGCAGTTCCTGAAGGCACTTGTTTAACTAAACAAGGAAGTGGCTCAAATGCCCATGGTCTCCACTCCTGCCACCCCGCCTTCTCTCTCCCAGCCTACACCAATGGCCTCATGGAGAGTTCCTTATGATCAGTTGACAGAGGAAGAGAAGACTAGGGCCTGGTTCACAGATGGTTCTGCATGATATGCAGGCACCACCCGAAAGTGGACAGCTGCAGCACTACAATCCCTTTCTGGGATATCCCTGAAGGATAGCGGTGAAGGGAAATCTTCCCAGTGGACAGAACTTCAAGCAGTGCACCTGGTTGTGCACTTTGCATGGAAGGAGAAATGGCCAGGTGTGCGATTATATACTGATTAATGGGCATAGCCAATGGTTTGGCTGGATGGTCAGGAACTTGGAAGAAGCATGATTGGAAAACTGGTGACAACGAAATCTGGGGAAGAGGTATATGGATGGACTGCTCTGAGTGGTCAAAAACTGTGAAGATATTTGTATCCCATGTGAGTGCTCACCAACGAGTGATGTCAGCAGAGGAGGATTTTAATAATCAAGTGGACAGGATGACCCGTTCTGTGGACACCACTCAGCCTCTTTCCTCAGCCACCCCTGTCATCGCCCAATAGGCCCATGAACCAAGTGGCCATGGTGGCAGGGATGGAGGTTACGCATGGGCTCAGGAACATGAACTTTCATTCACCAAGGCTGACCTGGCTACGGGCATTGTTGAGTGCCCAATTTGCCAGCAGCAGAGACCAACACTGAGCCCTCGATACGGCACCATTCCTCAGGGTGATCAGCCAGCTACCTGGTAGCAGGTTGACTATATCAGAGCTCTTTCATCATGGAAAGGGCAGACATTTATCCTCACTGGAATAAACACTTACTCCATATATGGGTTTGCCTATCCTGCACACAATGCTTCTGCCAAGATTACCATCCGTGGACTCACAGAATGCCTTATCCACCATCATGGTATTCCACACAGCATGTCTCTGACTAAGGCACTCACTTTACGGCCAAAGATGTGTGAAAGTGAGCCCATGCTCATGGAATTCACTGGTCTTACCATGTTCACCATCATTCTAAAGCAGCTGGACTGACAGAATGGTGGAATGGCCTTTTGAAGTCATAATTACAATGTCAACTAGGTGACAATACTTTGCAGGGCTAGGGCAAAGTTCTCCAGAAACCATGTATGCTCTGAATCAGCATCCAATATATGGTACTGTTTCTCCCATAGCCAGAATTCACAGGCCCAGGAATCAAGGGGTGGAAGTGGAAGTGGCACCACTCACCATCACCCGTAGTGATACACTAGCAAAATTTTTGCTTCCTGTTCCCACGACATTCCGTTCTGCTAACCTAGAAGTCTTACTTCTAGAGGGAGGAACACTGCCACCAGGAGACCCAACAACAATTCCATTAAACTGGAAGTTAAGATTGCCACGTGGACACTTTGGGCTCCCCCTACCTTTAAGTCAACAAGCTAAGAAGGGAGTTTCAGTGTTGGCTGGGGTGACTGACCTGGACTATCAAGATGAATTCAGTCTACTACTCCACAACAGAGGTAAGGAAGAGTATGCATGGAATACAGGAGATCCATTAGGGCATCTCTTCCTCTGTGATTAAGGTCAATGGGAAACTGTAACAGCCCAATACAGGCAGGACTACAAATGACCCAGACCCTTCAGGAATGAAGGTTTGGGTCACTCCACTAGGAGAAAAACCACAACCTGCTGAGGTGCTTGCTGAAGGTAAAGGGAATACAGAATGAGTAGTAGAAGAAGGTACTCATCAATACCAGCTATGACCATGTGACCAGCTGCAGAAACGAGGACTGTAATTGTCATGAGTATTTCCTCCATCTTTTGCTAAAACCATGTTTGTGCATGCATACACTTGTACTAAGAAGATATCTTCATTTTATTTTCTTTCTCCTTTATCATGTGACATAAGATTTATTGACTTCACATCAGTATTTAAGTATTGTTAACTTTATGTATAGTATTTGGGTTGGGGATTGGTGGATTTCCGGTTATATGAAGGATAGTTGTATTATGTTAGGCATAATTATGGCCTTCTTATTGTCCTTATTTGAAGATTATGTATGATCTCAGGGGATGTGTATGGGTTCAAGGTGACAAGCAGTGCACTCCTGAGGCAGGAGAATCACTTGAACCTGCAAGGCAAAGGTTGCAGTGAGCCAAGATTGTGCCCTTGCACTCTGGGCAACAGAGCAAGACTCTGTCTCAAAAAAAAAAAAAAAAAAAAAAAGCGGTTGGAAACTTCTAAGAAGGAGGGTGACATGACCTGATTTACATTTATAAAGGATCATTCAGGCTGCTATTGTAGAAAAAAAATGGATTGTAGGCACAAGAGTGACCATGTAGACTGACCAGAGAGACGACCAGTTAGGAGGCTATTGGCTGTGGTCCAGGTTAGAGGTTATATGTACAAAAATTGTATGAGTATATACAACATACATACATGTAATCACATTCTGTATATGTTTTCAAGATGGGGACAATTTGGTTTTCTTTGTGAGAGTAAGAATTGAAGAAAAGAGACATATGCCATCCCAAAAGAACATAATATCACTGAACTTTGAGTGAATCATGGCAATTAACCATCAGACTAAACAATTCTGAAGTGGTTTAGAAAGAAAGTCCTGAAACAAACAGGCTTGAGGAGGGGATATTAAGATAGAGGTATGATCATGTTCTACAATGATATTTGATGATGCTGAGGATGATGGTGATAATGATGATAATGGATAGAGTTTGTAAATAGTGAAGTAATGATCTGGCAGTGGCTTACTGGAAAAAGCTACCCCTCATGTGAGAAAATGAAGAACATGAAGAATATGGTGAATACTCTCAATCCTGCCCAAACCTCAATTACTAAGAGTAAGATCATACCCATTCTCATTATTTTTTAAGCATGGAGCCATAGAGCTGGTAAGTCTTCTTACAGTGTAGGACAGCTAAAATTAACAACAACAACAAAATTCTTGTTTTTAAGCTTCTTACACTTCCTAGCATGTGTGGTATTGTACTGCTGCCAGTTCAAAGATTTTGATATTTAGCAATTGCCTTTAGATTTGAAAGGTTCATTCATCAAAGAAGGTTTAATCCCAGCTGTGAGCCAACACTAAATTGAGTATTGTATAACATGCTTTATACGCTTAAACAAGCACATGAGATCCTGGTCCCAAGATTAAAGATGAAGATGCAGGGCTAGCTGTGTATTCAAGAGCCCTGGGCAAGGCTAATTATGGCCTATTTTCACCTGGTCAGAAAGAGAAACATTTTGCTGGATTCAGGGTTCTAAGGACACAGGACAAAGAAAACAAAGAGCTCCACACTGGCTCTTTGAATATCTTGAAATCATTATCTTAACAAAAATTATTTAGTGGACTTGAGCTTGGTGAATGGCACATACTGATGGGATTGGGGCAATTCCCTTCAGAGGGGTCATGCCCAAGCCCAATAGCACACTTAATTTACCAAGCCACTAGCAAACATCAGTAGAAGAATAAGGAAGACAGGAAGAAAAACTTGCAGCAGCAAAAAAAAAAAAAAAATGCTTTTAAAGTGTGTAATATATGTTGTATAATGTTCATTTTAGCATTGGCTCACAGCTGAGATAAAACCTTGACTAATGAATGAATCTTCTTTCTTAACTTTCTATGGATGCTTGCCCCATTGTCAAAAGTCTGTATGTTGGGGAACTGCTCTTTGAAAATATGGAAAAGTGGGTTGGTACTTGAAAGTAAAGCATGTATTCTTAACAGAACCTAAAGAATTCTCAAATTGTCAGCACCCTCAGCCATTGAAAATGAGAACACCTTCCTCTGAAAAGGTTGACCTTCTATCAGAAAATCCACCACCTGGCTGATGTCAATATGATGGTAGAGATGATAGAAAGCAGTAAGTTGCATGGGAAAAAGAGCACAGGTTCTTAAGGCACAGAAATCTGGGCTCTGATTCTGGCTCATTTAATAATTATTAGCAATATAACTTTACCTTTTCTGAGCCTGTTTTCTCACCTGTAAAATGGTAAAGACACAACAATTATAGGATTGTTCAAAGATTACAGGAGATATACATGTAATACGTTTAGTGTGTAATAATCATAAAAGTTAGTATTTATTACACACCAAATGTATTGATTCATCTATGCATTCATTCATTCAAATATTTGAGTGCTACATAAGGGCCAGATACTCTTATTGGTGCTGGAGATGTACCAGTGGACAATTTTTCATAGTTACATTATTTGATTTAATTATCAGAATAATCCTGTGTGGTAGGTATTTATTATCCCCATTCTACAGAGAAGGAAAGAGGCTTAACGATCTTAAGTAACTTTAAATCACTTCAAAACAGTTTTCACCAGTGTTTATGGACAATCAAATGTGTGCTGGTCACAGAGCAAGTAATGGCAGGACAGAGATTCCCACCGATCTCATCCTGACTCCAATACCATATCCTTCCCACTGTATACCACTTCAGTAACTGCTGCTTTTCCTTCCCTTCTCCACAGTAGCTTTGCATATTTGGATAATATGATTGAAAAAGCAAACAAATGCCATGTTGAGGGTGTGGACCATGTATCAGATCCTGCTCAAAGGAGGTGCTGGTTGCAGGGCACTGTGTGCTAATGACAGAGTCCCTTGGGGCAATACTGTGTTCTTCTCTGAACCTTTCCATTAGTGAGATCGTTCACAAACGGTAACCGGTACTGACACAGGTGACCAGAATGGTGGGGTATGTGATATACATGGACTTGCTGCACCCCTGCAGGGAGTGTGATCGGCACACAGGCTCCAGCTGTCACCTCCTTCGTGGTCCACCTCAATTGCAGAGCCAGTTGGTCTCAGGTAATGCCTACAAAGAGCAATGTGATGCAATATAATGACTTTCTCAAGGCTGTCATCATCTGATGACTGAGCAAAGTTGGTGAGGGGTGGTAAGTTAAAAGGCCTGGCCATTTCAGCCTGTCTGGGAGCAACTGTGAAGGGCAACATTTGTTCCAGAGTTCCTCATTAGGTTGGCCAAGGTTTTTCAGGACTACATTACATGTCGACTCCTCCATCAACTCAATCATGCTTCCTTTCAAAGGTGTTGGTCCATAAACAATATCGTGTACTCTAAACTCCATCTCAGTGTCTGCTTCCAGAACATGCAGCATGTGGAAAATAGTGCCAAGAATGATCAGCATTAGCAGGTAATAAGATTGGCCTTCGGAGATGGATCACTTACTGCCAGGCTGGCAGTGAGAAGCCCCTCACCAGTGACAGGTGGAACACAGACAGCTCCTGGCCCAAAGTGTTGGTCCAACTGTTAAAACTTTCACCAAAATTGGGAGAGTGGTCCCACAGGAAGGAAGGTACTGATGGGAAAAATGTATCAGACTTTTATGGAGGAAGTAGTAGACACTACTAAACCTCGGGAGTCTACAGATGTAGCTCATCTAGTAAGAGTTAGTTCTCCATACCATTGCAGGAAGACAATACAGAATTCTCTACCCAAAAGGCAACAGGTACCCACCTCAATATCTGCCTCACAACACTTCTCCTGGCAACTAAGCCTATGATTAGGGATAAAGTGAATCATAACCCAGCTGGAAAGGTGTTGGGCTTGATGAGGGAGGAAAGGAATTATACCCCAAAGAAGTTCTAAGAACCAGTCAGCATGTCCCAGCACATGCTCAGAGAGGAACACATGAGACTGGATTCTGAGGGTGTTTGATAAAAGGGATGTATATCATAAAATTGGATACAGAGTCTATGGACTTGTGAGTGTTCTCCAGAGGTACAGGATTTAACATCCTGGTGAGGACTCCAAGATATAGTGTGAACTTCTAATGGAACAACTCCTAAAAGCAGGGAAAAAGTGATGGCCCATACTGAATGAAGTTGAAATGCCAGAGCACATGGTGGAAAAAAAGATGTAAAGGCTCAGAGAAATAGGCATGGTAGAGTGATCTACTTTGTACAGCTGAGAGAGACTCATCAGATGATTATGTTCCCCAGGATGGATCTGGATACACACAATACACCAAGGCCATAAAGAACGCTCTGATAAGAGAGGCACCAGCTTCACTTAAGAAGTTCAGTTATGTATCTGCTCTGCAGACTAGGGCTTACAGCAGGACAGTCAGTAAATAATTTAGCTTGCTGATAGTAATGTGTATGAGAAGATGCCAAAACTATAGAGGTCAAGTAGTGAAGCTTAAATGCCCAAAGCCACAAGGACACAATTGCCACAATGCCTGACAACGTTAGAGTGGCGGTCAATAGAGTCTGATCTATAAGAATGTTATGGAGATGGCTAACAGAATATAAGATCTTACAGGCAAAATAGATGAGCATGGAACAAGAAATTAAGACTGGATGACTGGGACAATAAAAGAAGCAACTCCAATAAAAATATGATTCCTGGCACAATTTCTAAACCTAAGCCAATTTTATGACCTGGATTAATGGGTTAAAGTGGCTGGATCCACAAGAGGAAGGTCTCTGCAAAATCATGGCAAGTATACACAATAATAGTTCCCTCAGTCCTTTCTCAAAGAGTATTACAGTCATTTACTCAGATATAGGTATGCTGGGGTGAAAGAATGCCTGAACATTTCAAGGACTCCTGGACCATGGGACTGAATCAACATTATTATCCAGAGATCAGAAGGGTCATTATCATCTCCCTGCTACAGTGAAAAAATAAAAGGGCTAGGTAATAATATAGATTCCTGGCCAGAGTCTAGCTTACAGTAGATCCACTAGATTTGTGGACACACTTGATGATCATTCCCACCTTGTCCAAATGTATAAGACTGACATATTTAGCAGTTCAAGCAATGGCCATGTTGGATCCTTGGACTATGGAGCAAGAACCATCACAGTGAGGAAGGGCACATGGGAGCATCTGAAACTGCCTCTTAATCAAGATAGTAATTAAAAAACAATCTTGCATCCTGGAACAGGAAGGAAGACGACAGAAATTCGTGCCACCCTTAAAAATCTAACAAATGCAAGTGTGGTGGTCCCCATCAAATCTCCATTGAGTTTACCAGTCTGGCCCTGCAGAAACCCAATGGTCCCTGAAGGGTAACTATAGACTACACCAAGTTTAACCAAGTAGTAGTTCTGAATCATAACCACTTTCCCAGATGTGGATCTTTTGTTTTGTTGATTTTTGATTTTGCTTTAATAATTTTGTTTATTCATTTGTTAATTTTTATTTAAAGTTTAGTGGGTACATAGCAGGTGTATATATTTATGAGTTCATGAGATGTTTTAATACAGGTATGCAAAGTGTAATAATCACATCATGTAAAATGGAGTATCCGTCCCCTCAGGTATTTATCCTGTGTTATAAACAATTCAATTATACTCTTTTAGTTATTTTTAAATATACAATTAAATTGTAATTGACTATAGTCACCCTGTTGTGCTGTCAAATAGTAGGTCTTATTCATTCTTCCAAACTACTTTTTGTACCCATTAATCATCTCCACCTCCCCCAACCCACCCACTACCCTTACCAGCCACTGGTAACCATCCTTCTGCTCTCTACCTTCACGAGTTCTATTGTTTTGATCTTTAGATCTCACAAATAAGTGAGAACATGCAATATTTGTCCTTCTGTGCCAGGCTTATTTCACTTAGCATAATGACCTCCAATTCTATCCATGTTTTTGCAAATGACAGAATCTCATTTTTTTTTATGGCTGAATAGTACTCCATTGTGTACATATACCACATTTTCTTTATCCATTCATCTGTTATGGACACTTAGGTTGCTTCCAAATCTTAGCTATTGTAAACAGTGCTGCAACAAATATGAGAGTGCAGATATCTCTTCCATATACTGATTTCTATTCTTTTGGGTATATGCCCAGCACTGGGATTGCTGGATAATATGGTAGCTCGATTTTTAGTTTTTCGAAAAACCTCCAAACTGTTCTCCATAGTAGTTGTACTAATTTACATCTTCACTTTGTTGATTGTTTTCTTTGCTGTGCAGAAGCTTTTTAATTTGTTGTACTCCTATTTGTCCGTTTTGGTTTGGTTGCCTGTGCTTGTGGGGTAATATCCAAGAAGTTTTTGTCTAGACCAATGTCCTAGAGTTTCCCTGATATTTTCTTGTAGTAGTTTCATAGTGTGAGGCCTTAGATTTAAGTCTTTAACCCATTATACTTGATTTTTGCATATGGCAAGAGATAGGGGTCTAGTTTGATTCTTCTGCATATGGATATCCAGTTTTCCCAGCACCATTTATTGAAGAGATTCTCTTTTCCCCAATGTATGTTCTTGGCATCTTTGCCAAAAATGAGTTCACTAAAGGTATATGGATTTGTTTCTGGGTTCTCTATTCTGTTCCATTGGTCTCTGTGTCGATGTTTATGCCAGTACCATGCTATTTAGTTACTATAGCTCTGTATTATAATTTGAAGTCAGGTAAGGTGTTTCCTCTAGCTTTGTTCTTTTTGCTTAGGATAGTTTTGGCTATTCTGGGTCTTTGGTGGTTCCATATGAATTTTAACATTGTTTTTCTATTTCTGTGAAGAATGTCTTTGGTATTTTGACAGGAATTGCATAAAATCTGTAGGTTGCTTTGGGTAGTGTGAACATTTGAACAATATTTATTCTTCCAATCTATGAACAGAATATATTTCCATTTTTGGTGTCCTCTTTACTTTTTTTATCAGTGTTTCATAATTTTCATCATAGAGGTCTTTCATTTCTTTGGTTAAGTTAATTCCTAGGTATGTAATTTTACGTGTGGCTATTGTAAATATGATTACTTTCTTGATTTCTTTTTCAGATTATTCACTATTGGCATATAGAAATGCTGCTGACTTTTGTATGTTGATTTTATATCCTGCTACTTTAGTGAATTTGTTTATAAGTTCTAATAGTTTTCCTGTGGAGTCTTTAGGTTTTTCCAAATAGCCATATCATCTACAAACAAAGATAATTTGGCTTCTTTCTTTCCAATTTTGATGCCATTCATTTGTTTCTCTTGCCTGATTGCTCTAGCTAGGATTTCCAGTACTATGTTGAATACCAGTAGCAAAGGTGGGCATCCTTGTCATGTGCCAGGTCTTAGAGAAAAGGCTTTCAGTTTTTTTCCCCTTCAGTATGTTACTAGCTGTGAGTCTGTTGTATATGGCTTGTATTATGTTGAGGTATGTTCCTTCTACCCTCAGTTTTTAAGGGTTTTTATCATAAATGGATGTTGAATTTTATCAAATGTTTTTTCAGCATCAATCAAAATAATCATGTTTTTTGTTCTTCATTCTGTTAATATAAAGTGTCACATTGATTGATTTGCATATGTTGAACCATTCTTGCATACTTAGGATAAATCCCACTTGGTCATGATGAATGATCTTTTTAATGTATTGCTGAACTCAGTTTGCTAGTATTTTGTTGAGGATTTTTGCATCAATATTCATCAAGATACTGCCATGTAGTTTTTGGGTTTTGAGGTGTCTTTCTTTGGTTTTGGTATCAGGATAATACTGTCCTCGTAGAATGAGTTTGGAAGTATTCCCTCCTACTCCATTTTTTCAGAATACTTAGAATATGATTGGTTCTTCTTTAAATGTTTGGTAAAATTCAGCAGTGAAGCCATCTTTTCCAGGACTTTTCTTTGCTGGGAGACTTTTTATTATGGCTTCAATTTCATTATTTTTTATTGATAGGTTCAGATTTTAGATTTCTTCCCAGTTTAATCTTGGCAGGTTGTATGTCTCTAGGAATTTGTCCATTTCTTCTAGATTTTCCAATTTGTTGGCATGTAGTTGTTCATAGTAGCAACTAATGATCCTTTGAATTTTTGTCATATCTGTTGTAATGTCTCCTTTTTCATCTCTAATTTCATCAATTTGGATCTTCTCTCCTTTTCTCAGTTTGGCTGAAGGTTTGTTGATTTTGTTTCACAATTTAAAACAACAATTTTTTGTTTCATTTCTCTTTTGTATTGTTTTTTGTTTCAGATTTATTTATTTCTGCTCTCATCTTTATTATATATTTTCTTCTACTAATTTTAAGTTTGGCTTGCTCTCGTTTTTCTAGTTCTTTAAGATGCATTATTAGATCATTCATTTGAAGTTTTTCCTCTTTTTTGATGTAGGGACTTATAGCTTTAAACTTCCCTCTGAGTACTGCATTTGCTGTATCCCATAGGTTTTGATACACTGTGTTTCCATTATCATTTGTATCTAGACATTTTTCATTTTCCTGCTTAATTTCTTCATTGACCCACTGGTCACTCCGGAGCATATTGTTTAATTTCCATGCATTTGTATAGTTTCCAAAATCCCTCTTGTTATTGGTTTCCAGTTTTATTCCACTGTGGTAAGAGAAGATGCTTGATATTAGTTCAATTTTTTGAATGTTTTAAGACCTATTTTGTGACAACCTATGGTCTGTCCTTGAGAATAATCCATGTGTTGAGGAGGAGAATGTGTATTCGGCAGCTGTTGGATGAAATGTTCTTTAAATATTTATTAGGTCCATTTAGTCTATAGTGCAGACTAAGTCCAATGTTTCTTTGTTGATTTTGTGTCTGGAAGAACTGTTCAGTGCTTAAAGTGGGATACTGAAATCTCCAGCTCTTATTGTATTGGGTGTCCTATCTCTCTCTTTAGCTCTAATAATAGTTCCTTCACATATCTGGGTGCTCTAGTGTTGTGTGCATATATACTTACAATTCTACATCCTCTTGCTGAATTGACCCCTTTATCATTTTATAGTGACCTTCTTTGTCTCTTCTTACAGTTTTTGTCTTGAAATCTATTTTGTCTAATATAAATGTAGCTACTCCTGCTCTTTTTAGTTTTCCGTCCTCATGGAATATCTTTTTCCATCCCTTTATTTTCTATCTATTGGTGTCTTTATAGGTGAAGTGTTTCTTGTGAGTAACAAATCAATGAGTCTTGTTTTTTCATCCATTCAGCAAGTCTTTGTCTTTCAATTGGAGAGTTTCAACAATCTACATTCAATGTTATTAATGATAAGTAAGGACTTACTTCTGTCATTTTGTTATTTGTTTTCTGGTTTTGTGGTCTTCTTTTCTTTCTTTCCTTCCTGTCTCCTTTTTAGTGAACGTGATTTTCTCTGGGGATGTGGTTTTGTTTCTTGATTTTTATTTTTTGTGTATTCATTGTATGATTTTTGGTTTGAGATTACTATGATGCTTGCAAATACTATCTTGTAATCTATTATTTTAAGCTGATAACTTAACCCTGTTTGCATAAACAAGCAAAAAGAAAGCTCACAAAGACTCTGTCACTTAACTTTGACCCCCTACTTTTTCACTTTTTGTTGTTTCTATTTATATGTTATTATACTGTCTATGTCTGCAAACGTTATTGTGTTTATTATTTTTGGCTGGCTCATAATTTAGTCTTTCTACTTAATAGTAGTTTACACAACACAGTTACAGTGGTATAGTAATCTGTGTTTTTCTGTGTATTTACTATTAGCAGTGAGTTTCATACCTTCAGGTGACTTCTTATTGCTCATTAACATCTTTCTCTTTCTGATTGAAGTATTCCCTTTAGCATTTCTTGTAGGACAGGTCTGGTATTAATGAAATCCCCCAGCTTTTGTTTGTCTGGGAAAGTTTTTATTTCTTCTTCATGTTTGAGGACATTTTCACCAGATACACTATTCTAGGGTAAAAGTTCTTTTTCCTTCAGCACTTTATATCATGCTACTCTCTCCTGGCCTATAAGGTTTCCACTGAAAAGTCTGCTTCCAGATGTAGTGGAGCTCCATTGTATGTTATTTGTTTCTTTTCTCTTACTGCTTTTAGGATTCCTTCTTTATCCTTAACCTTTGAGAGTACTACTCCCAAAGTTCTACTTTCTACTCCTATCTCTTTCTCCACCTCCTCTTTAAGGCCAATAACTCTTAGATGTACCCTTTTGAGGCTGTTTTCTAAATCCTGTAGGAGTGTGTCATTGTTTTTTATTATTTTTTCTTTTGTCGCTTGTGTATTTTCAAATAGCCTAACTTCAAGCTAATTCTTCTGCTTAATCAATTCTGCTATTAAAAGACTCTGATGCATTCTTCATTATAGCAATTACATTTTTCAGCTTCAGAATTTCTGCTTGAATCTCTTTGTTAAATTTATCTGATAGAATTTTTAATTCCTTCTCTGTGTTCTCTTGAATTTTTTTGAGTTTGCTAAACACAACTGTTTTGAATTCTCAGTCTGAAGGGTCATATTTCTGTTTCTCCAGAATTTCTCCCTGGCTTCTTATTTAGTTTATTTTGTGAGGTCAAATTTTACTGGATTGTGTTGATCCTTGTAGATGTTCTTTGGTGTATGAGCATTGATGAGTTAGGTATTCATTGTAGTGTTCTCAGTCTTATTTGTAGTTGTCCTTCTTGGGAAGACTTTCCAGATATTCAAAAGGACTTGGGTGTTGCGATTAAGCTGTATCTGCTTTAGGGGGCACCCCAGCCCAGTAATGCTGTGGTTCTTAGAGGCTTCTTGAGGTACTGCCTTGATGGTCTTGGACAAGTTCCAGAATAATTACCTGGATTACTAGGCAGAGACTCTTGTTCTCTTCCAGTACTTTCTTCCAAAGGAACAGAGTCTCTCTCTCTCTCTCTCTCTTTCTGTTCTGAGCTACCTGGAGCTGGAGGTGGTGTGACACAAGAACCCCTGTGGCCACCACCACTAGGACAGCACTGGGCCAGACCTGAAACCAGCACAGCACTGGGTCTTGCCCAAGGCCTACTGTAATGAATCCCTGGCTATGGCTTATGTTCACTCAAAGCCCTGAGGCTCTACAATCAACAGGTGGCAAAGCCAGCCAGGCCTGTGTCCTTCCCTTCAGAGTGATGATTTCCTCCAGGCCCTGAACTTGTCCAGGGTTGCTGTCCAGAAACCAGGGACTAGAGTCAAAAACCTTACAAGTCTACCTGGTGTTCTATTGTACTGCTGCTGAGCTGACACTGAAACCACAACACACAGTCCTTCCCATTCTTCTCTTACTTTTCCAAGGGAAGAGAAGCCCCACCCCATGGCCACCAGTACCACAAGCCTATAGGGAGTACTGCCAGACTAACCCCAATGTTCCCTTAAGGCCCAAGATCTCCTAAGTCAGATTCTGGTGAAAGTTGCCTGGCCTGGGACCCAACCTTCAAAGCTGAAGTCTCCCCTCTGGCACAGGGCAGCCCCAGAAATTCTGTCCAAGAACCAAGTCCTAGAACTGGGAGCCCCAAAAGCCTGCTTGGTGCTCTTATAGCCCTGTGGCCAAGCTGGTACCTAAGGTGCAAGACAAAGTCCGCTTTGCTTTTCCCTCTGCTTTTCTCAAGCAGAAGGAGTCTTGCTCCATAGCCACCATAGCTGGGAATGTGCTGAGTCTCACCTGAAGCCAGCAAGTCTCAGAGGCTCACCCAAGGCCCTCAACATAATACCTGGGTATTACTGCTTCTTATTCTGGATCCAAGGGCTCTTCAGTTAGCAGATGATGAATCCTGCCAGGACTGAGTCCTTCCCTTCAAGGTAACAGGTTCCCTTCTGGACCAGAGTGTGTCTAGAAATGTTGTCCTGGAGCTAGGGCCTGGAAAGGGGGCCTCACAACTCTAACCAGTGCCCTAGTTTGCTGTGGCTGAGCTAGTATCCAAGATGCAAGACAAAATCTTACCCACTCTTCCCTCTCTTACCTTCAAGCGGATGGAAGGAGTCTCTTTTGGAGCTGCAAGCTGTGTAGCCTGGGGTTAGGGGAAAAGTAATGACAGCACTTCCTTTGCTGCACTGGCTGGTGTCTTAGTATGTTGCATGCCCCTCAGTCCAAAACACTAGAACTCACCTAGGAGTCGCAGTCCTTGTGGCCTAGACTGCCTTTCAACTTTATTTGGGACCCCAGAACACTTTAGCCTGCAGTGACAAGGGTTGCAGGAACTCAAGTTTGGATGGCTGGGATTGGTGAGTCCCCTTCGGCTAGGGCTGGTTTAAATGCTCCCTTCATGGGTAGTCATCAGCTGAGTTTGGTCTGGTTTTGTTTTCTGTTATAATAAGGCAGCACTGATTTCAATGCCTCACAAATGCTGCGATCGCCCCCTCCTCACCACAACAAAACTCTCCACACGATGCTGCCACTGCCAAAGGATGGGAGATTGGTGGCATTGGTAATTCAAGACTATTTTTCCTACCTCTTAATGCCTCTTTCAGTAATATGAGATTAAAACCAGGTACTATGAGTGTTCACCTGATGTTTGGTTCTTATAAAGGTGCTTTTTGTGTGTGTAGA
Source organism: Homo sapiens (assembly GCF_000001405.40). Taxonomy (NCBI): domain Eukaryota; kingdom Metazoa; phylum Chordata; class Mammalia; order Primates; family Hominidae; genus Homo; species Homo sapiens. The sequence continues at coordinate 139,414,774 of NC_000023.11, forward strand.
TGGCTGTTAAATTGGTGTCCTAGGTTGTGGGGGTATGATCAGTGAAACCTTATATTCTGCCATCTTGCTCCTCCCAACCTGATGTGGATCTTTTTTAGAACAGATTTACATGGCTTCAGTACACAGGTTGTAGCTGTTGATTTGACAAATACATTCTTTCCCAATCAGAAAAGAGGATCACAATAATCTTGAATTCACATGGAAATGTCAAATATGTGTGTGTGTGTGTGTGTGTGTGTGTGTGTGTGTGTGTGTGTGTGTAGTTTTGATGCAGGGCAGGGCTAGTTAACTCTCTTGCTATTTGTCATAACATAGCACAAAAAAAGTCTAGACCATTTGGGCATCCCATAGAATACTGTGCTGATTTATTATGTCAGTAATATTACATTAATTAGGATGGACGAGGAAGAGATACCAAGTGTGTTGGAGGCCTTGGTAAAACACATATGCTCCAGAGGGTGAGAGATAAACTCAATGAAGAGTCAAGGCCTGCTACATCTGTAAAACTGTTTAGAGGTCCAGTGGTAAGGAGCATGTTTGGACATCCCCTCCAAAGTAAAAGACAAATTGTTCTATCTTGCACCTGCAGCCACGAAGAAAATAAAACATATAACAGATCTCTTCAGGTTTTAGGGCACCATATTCCACACCTAGGAATATATCTCCAGTTCATATGTTAGGTGATATGAAAATCTACCACCTTTGAGAGGGAGGCTTAGAGTAAGGAAAGCATTTTGCAACTATTAGTGAAAGCAGTACTGCCTCTTGGGTCATAAGATTCAGCAGATCTATGGTGTTGGAGGTATCAGTGGTGAGAAACAATGCCATGGACAGGTTCTAGCAAGCCCCAGTGGGAAAATTACAAAACAAGCCACTGAGATTCTGGAGCAAGCCCATTGGCCACGGTAGTGTAGATCTTTAAACTTTAAAACAAACAAACAAAAACCTCATGGTGTGCTACTGGGCCCTGGTAGAGAAAGGATGTCTGAATATTAAATGCCAAGAGACTAAGAGCCTAGAATTTCTCCTATGGGCTGGGTTCTGTCAGATATACCAAGTTACAAGATTAGGTGGGCCTACCAACGATTCATCCGAAGAAGGAAGAGGTATGCTTTTGATTAAGCATGAGTAGGGCTGGTGTACCAGTGTGATGCATGAGCAGGTAGCACTGATCCCAATGGCATCTGCCACTGTTGCCCCAGACCTCTTAGCTGCCATTTATGATTGTATCACCACCTGAGAGAGGAGGAAAAAACCTGAGCACATCCATATGTGAGTGTATGTGGGTGCTAGCCAAAAATGGGCAACACCTGTGATACAGCCTCGCTCAATGATGGCCTTGAAAGACATTGGCAAGGAAAAACACTTTGGTTTTGGACAGAGTTTTGGACCATGTACCTGGCTGTCCACTTTCTATGGAAGAAGAAATAGTAGATGGTCAGGCCGTCTACTTAGTTAGAGGCCTGGAAAGAGAAAGACTGGCATATAGGGGACAAGGAGACAGAAGCATATGAATGGGTACATGGGAGTGAGGACAAAGTGTGAAGATATTTGTATCACACATTAATATCCACCAGACCACCAGAAAGCATCTACCATGGAAGAGGCACCGAAGAACCAAGTTGACAAAATGACTGAGCCAGTTGACCTTAGTCAGCCTTCAGTATCAGACATTCCCCAAACTGGCACAATGAGCACATGAATGGAGTAGACATGGTGACAGAGATGAAGGTTGCTGATATGGTTTGGCTGTGTCCCTACCTAAATCTCATCTTGAATTGTAGCTCCCATAATTCCTATGTGTCGTGGGAGGGACCTGGTGGGAGGTAATTGAATCATGGGGTGGGTCTTTCCCATGCTGTTCTTGTGATAGTGAATAAGTCTCATGAGATCTGATGGTTTATAAAAGGGAGTTCCCCTGCACATATTCTCTTGCCTGCCATCATGTAAGATGTCCTCTTGCTTCTCCTTTGCCCTCTGCCATGATTGTGAGGCCTCCCCAGCCATGTGGAACAGTGACTCCATTAAACCTCTTTCCTTTATAAATTACCCAGTTTTGGGTGTGTCTTTTTTAGCAGCATGAGAACAGACTAATACCGTTACACATGGGCCCAACAGCATAGACTCCCACTTAAGAAGGTTGATCTAACTCTTGCTGCCTCCTAATATTCAATTTATCAGCAACAGAGACAAACACTGAGCCCCTACTATGGCACTATTTCTTAAAGAGTTCTATTGGCCAATTGGTGGCAAGTTAACTGTAGTAAGCCCTCATTACCTGGGAAAATCAGTGGTTTATTCTTACAAGAATAGTATGAGTTCACCTTTCCTGTCCACAGGACCACAGTTAGCACTACCCTCTAAGGGCTTTGGAGTATTTGATTCATCAACATGAGGTTTCACACAACATCCTATTAGACCAGGAGACCCACTTTACAGCACAATATGTGTGGGAGTGGGACAATGACCATAGGATCCACTGGTTGTATAACATCCACAACCTGCTGACCTAACAGCATTGGAATAACCTGCAGAAGGCACAGCTAAAGCACCAGCTCAGGGCAACATTTAGTGAGGAGTGGGAAACTTCCTTCAGGATGCCATAGATTGAACGGAATCAGAGGCTTCTATTTGGTGCTGTGACCCCAACAGAAAGAATACACAAGTCTGGGAACCAAGAAGTAGAAGCAAATGTGACCCCACTTATTATGGAATAAATAGTGTCCCTCCACAATTCATATGTGGAATTCCTAATCCACAGTACATTGGATGTGACCATATTTGGAGATACAATCTTTACAAAAGCAATTGGCCATAATTTAATATGACTGGTAGCTTTGTAAGAAGAGGAAATTTGGATACAGATACACACAGAGGAATAATGATGTAAAGACACAGAGAGAAGATGGCCATCTACCAAGGAGAGCAGCCTGGAGCAGATCCTTCCCTCACTGCCCTCAGAAGGAACCAACCTGCTGACTAAGGCTTCTAGCCTTGATCTAAGACTTTCAGCCTCCAGAACTGTTAAAAAAATAAATTCATGTTCTTTGACTCACCCAGTCTATTGTACTTTGTTACAGAAGCCCTAGCAATCTAAGATACCACTTATCACTCACAAGACCCAGTGGAGGACTTCGCGTTTCCATCCCTGAAAGTCTGGGCTCTGCTGGGTTAGAGGCTTTGATTCCCCAGATGGGAACACCTTCTCCAGGGGACAGAACAAGAGTTGAATTATAAGCTACAGCTTCCACCTGGGCACTTTGGACTTCTTACTTCCAGAAACAGGTAGGAAGTGTAATTGCCTTGACAGAGGCACTTGACCCTGGTTATCAGGAAGAAATAGGGCTACTGTCAAACAGCAGCATAGAACCCAAGTAATCTACTGTGACATCTCTTGGTGGTCCCTTGCCCATTTGTGACTATAAATGAACAGATAGGGCAACCTCTGCTTGAGAAGGTGTCAAACCCCTCAGGGATGAGGGTCACAGAGATGGTGACTGAGAGTGGGGAGACTCTAGACTGGATAGTGGAGGAGGGAAATGGCATCAATTGTGGTCCTGAAACCAACTGTCATAGCAGAAGCTATCATTTGTCCAGTTAACTTCCTTCACCTGCCTTTTTTAAGGTTCCCCTCAGGAAGAGAGGCCCACTGACTCCACTGGTTCCTAGGAGACCCGTGTCTTGTATTTGTCTGAAGTGAATCCACATGGCACAGCGGACAGGCCGATAGACAGGGGAGTGTGCTAACCCAGATACCTCTCCAAGGAAGGACATGCCTAGATTTATGAAGTACAGTCAGCAGACAGACTCAGCTGCAGAGGGCTGCCTCATGCGATGTGACACTCTTCCCATATCTGGGGACTGAGAGAGAGGTTGGGCATAATAGCTGGTCATTCCAGCTTGTTGCTGGGCAACTCTAACAGGCAAGACTCTCTCCAGAGCTCCTTGCCAAATTAGTTGCAACTCTGTTGAGCCTCACGTGTAGTTCAACTTCTTCCTCTCCATTGTGCTGCTTTGCCCCCCATTCCTTTTATAAGCATTGATCCATAATAGACACCTTGCACCCAAAAGTCCATTTCAATGTCTACTTCCACAGAACCAGCCTGTGACAGAGTGAGGAAGCTATATCCTCTGAGGCACAGCTGAAGCTTTGGGTGATTTTCTGAATAGATCTAATTTCAAAATGTCAGGAAAGCTCTTTTTAAACATATCAAGGCATGTCATAAGGTATCAGGTGTAGTAGAATCTATTAAGCTTACTCTAGGAGGCTCTACAAAGCAAAACTAGATAGGCCCAATGGAAGGGTATCACAGGCAGACAGATTTGGGCTCAATATAGAAAGAGAATTTCCTGGCATTTCAGATTGCATAAAAAATAAAATAAAACTTCCTTGACATCAAATCCTATCCTGGAGAATGTGCAGAGGAAACTGAATGCACCTTGGCAGGGCAATGGTAGCAGAGTTTCCGGCAATTGTAGGGGGAACAGGCTGGATGACCTCTGAACTTGTGGCCAACGTGGAGACTCTCTGGGAACATGACATGGCAGTTGATTTCTTTTGTCTTTTTTTGGCACACAAAAGTTACAACGGTAGCCTATGCCATCTATAAATTTAAAACAATATAGAAGGGTATAAAGTAAAACATCAAAGTCTTCCATTTCCTCCACCATCCCAAATCCACTGCTCAGAAGTGACCACTCAGAGTATTTTACATGCAACCCTCCAGACATTCATCTGATTACCTACTATGTTTCAGGCACTGTGCTGTACTTTACATTTATTGATTATTTAACCCCAATCTTCAACAATCCTGTAAAGTAGGTACAAGCATCCCTGTTTTATAGATGATAAAACTGAGGCTTAGAGAATGGTGCATGGTTAGGACATGCGATAAAGCCAGGAGTTAAAACAGAGTCAGCTCTGTCTGATTCTAACTCTGGGCTCCTATACATAACTGCTGCAGATGAAATGGAGATGGGGGTAGACATAGGCAAACATTACTATGACGGTTATTTCTTAGTGAAAGATCAATGATCCTGAAACTTTTCAAATTACCAATGGCCATACACAACTTACTGAAAATCAAAATATTTATCACATTCCAGTGACTTATCAGGTTCCAGGAAGCCACCAGGAATTTCTGCCACCCTGACCCTCAGGGATCTATTTCCAACAGCAGTGACCCTGATCCTCAGGGATCCAATTCCAGAAATCTGGAGATTTCTGCTTGTCAGAAGTACTTAAGCCCAGCTTTTGGAAATTCAGATTATTCTACAGCAGAAGATTTCAACTCTGACTACACTTTAAAATCACCTGGTGAACATCTGCAAATTACCTAGGCCAGACCTCATCTCAGCAGTTCTGAATTAATTGGACTAGGAGAGGGTGTGGACACTGGGATTTTATAAAAAAGTCTCCTCCAATTCGTTTAATGTACAGCCATATTGAGAACCACTGGTTTAAAGCAATAACAAGGCTCTCAAACATGGAAATCACCCTGAGGATAAATCAATGCTATAGGCATCTGGATAACCTTGGGAAAACAGGATTCATATAAAAAGTAGTACAGGTGCTGCCATCCTCTACTAATAAGCCAGGCACAGAAAGACAAACTTTGCATTTTCTTACTTATATGCGGAAGCTAAAAAAGTGGATCTCATGAAAACAGAGAGTAGTTTCGTGGTTACCAGAAACCAGGACTTCTGTGTGTGTGGGGGTGGGGGGTGGGGCGTGGATGAAGAGAGGTTGATTAATGGGTACAATAATACAGTTAGGTAGAAGAAATGAGACCTAGTGTTTGATAAATCAGTAGAGTGACATAGTAAACAATCATCTACTGTACATTTCAAAATAACTAGTAGGGAACAATTTGAATATTCCCAGCATAAAGAAAAGCTAAATGTTTAAGGTGATAGATATCCCAACTATCATGATTTGATTATGACACATTACACAAATGTATTAAAGTATCACATGTACCTTGAAAATATGCAAATTTATTATGTTTCAATAAAAATGTAAATTTGCAATCCCCACCTCAGAACACAAACTTCAGAAATGGGACTCACACATGTGTGTTTTATCAAGCTCTCCAAGCAATTAGTAAGCACTCTAAAGTTTGAGAACCACTGATCTATAGAAGAGATTTCAACTCCTTAGGAGGCGCTATAAAACCCTTTACCCTCTAATCCCAATTTCCCTTCCTAGCCTCATCTCCTCATCTCCTACAGGCAGCCAGTGCACCAAATACTCTCTCTCCAGAGCACAGCATGTTCTTTCCATGAAAATTTAACTCATTTTTAATAACCTACACAAATATCTCTCATGTGGAATTTTCTTCCCTGTTTCTTCATTCTTCTATTCATTCAATTATTTATTCATTCAGTCAGCAAACATGCAGTAAGCTCATAGTTGCTAGGTTATGGGGATACAAAGATAAAGAAGCTTACAGTCTAGTGGGAGAGATTAAAACAAAAATGAAAGGTTAAAATATAATGTGGTGAGTGATACAATAGAGGCAATAGTAGAGTCCTATGGAAGTTGAGTTGAGGCATCCCTAACTCTGCCTGGATGCAGGCAGAGTATTGTTCTGGAAGTCTCAGAAAGGAGGTGACACCAACAGAGTCCTGAAGGACAGTAAGAAATCTTGAAAGGCATACCAAGGTTTCCCAGACCTTCCTTAAACAGAGTTGGTTCCCTCATCTAAGCTCACCGTTCTTGCCACTCCTTGACCCATTGCTCACTGGATACCATACTCAACCTGCCACATAAGCCATCTCCTACTTGAGGACCTGGGTGTGCCCCTCCAATCACCTGAACTGCTCTGGCGTTCTTTTCTGGTAGTTAGTTCCAATGTCTTCCTAATGTGGCTCTTCTACTATGGCCTAGAGTTCTTAATAGTCATGTCCCTGTTTTGCTACTGAATAAAGTTCTTACAGGCCCCCAGAAAGGCTGGACACCATGACACTGTCCCCGTTATAAGAACATTGCATTCGCAACATAGAAGGCAGAGGGAGAGTTGCAATATGGAGGCACAAAAAAAGAGCTTTCATCTTCTGTTTAAAGTTAAATGGCCCATTTGAAATTCAGTCTATGACCTTGGCCTCCTCAGCACTGGGCCCTAGCTAACAGAGAGCTGATTACCCCAGTGCAGGTTTGCTACAAATAATATTTTCAAGGTGCTTCTGTATTAGGGGTAAAACTGTCCTTTGGAAAAATAGTGTCAGATACTCACTGGTAGCCATGTTGTGTACAATAAACAAGCAGCATATGCATTTACCTCTTTAGAATCACTTGAAATCTGTCAGAAGGAAACTTTTTAGAAACTGCTTCATAGGCAGTGTTTAAGACCAACACGATCAAGCTGAGTGGAGGCACTGAACACCTCAGGACTCCAGAGGATATATTTCCTGCTCACTTAGTCTCTGGTTGTTTAACAAAAGCAATGTCTTATAATCCTCAGTGCAACGATCTGCAACTTGAAAGCATCTTAGTTTTCCAACTGTGGGGAACTAAAGGTATTTCAAGAAGTGATTTTTAAATATTCCTAGACTTGAACCAACTAAAGATAGCCAATGCAAATAAACACAACATTGAAAGTCAAAACGTAATTTACCTTCTGTTGCTACACAACTAGGCCAAGAATACAGCAGCTTACCTCCCTTCTGCCTTGCTGAAGTAGGCATTAGTCCCTGGAAGCTCACTCAGCAGGCAAATGGAATGGAAAATAACTGCTGTGTGGTGGCAAGAAGGCCCTTGAAGGATCCCATTTGCCCTCTGCCCCTAAGTAAATTCCTTTTTACCATGCCTGAGAATCTTCCATTCTAACTTCATTCTTCTGAGTTCCATAAAGCTTTTCAGCCTTCCAGAGTCCTCTGTGAATTAAACATGAGAATCCTGGGAAGGCATCAAAGCACAAACCCTTCCAGTTATCATGTACCAGGAAGCGGGTAAATGAGGACCACAAAGGATCTTCTGGCACTGTATTCTAGTGAGGAGGTACTGAGAGGAGAAGCAAGATACTGCAGAAGATATGACTATTGAGCTAATCTGGGCATAGCTGAGCCAGAATAAGATTGCATAAAAGATTTCATTGAGCCTACTTGTGTTTGCCATTTCCAGGAGAGGACTTTTTTTAAGTTGTCTTGAAGTCCAAATTTGAAGGCTGGGTAATGACAACTCCAGAGTTTTTGGCCCCATGCCTAACTTGTGGCTCCCCAGATCTGTTGGGATTTTTCAGACCCTCTGTGTGGTTCCTTTGTGCCTATCTCAAATAGCTCCTTTTTTCTAAGCTCAGTTGTAAGGTTGCAACTCTGAGTCTACATGGATTCTGCCAAATTCTGCCCTGATTCCAAGAAGGAAATGCACATCCGGAAAGGGCTAAGAAGAGCAGCAAGATTTTGCTCACAAAATCAGGATCTATTTCTTCATGTCTGAAATCCCAAGCTTTTCTCTCCTTATTTAGCAAAAATAGTAACTGGGTCAAATATAGAAAACTCACCACCTCTCCCTTTTATTTACTTCTCCATCTGTGTACAGGCTTCATCAATGATGACAGTGGGAATCGGCTTGGCTTTTGAGCTCTGGTTTGTTAGCTATTTGATATGAGGAAGCAGCTGGGAGAATATATACACATGTCATTCCTGGGCCACATTCCAGGGGGGCCCGCCATTGGGCTTTTCCTCATTTGCAGAAGCGAGAGACTGTTCTGGAAGTTGGTTACAGAACCCTTAGAAAAGATGCCTTCCCTCTTTTGCTTTTTTTAAAAAAAAAAAAAAAAACATACATGGAAGCATTTTAATAATATGTATTGTGTCTTTCTTCTAAATACAAAAGTAATAAATGCCCACTCCAGATCACAGTGCTGCGAAAACACAGTAAAACAAAGTAAAATAAAAGTAATCCATAATGCCACTACCATAAATTAACCATAATGATTATTTTTGTTTATGTCTTTCTGGGATTTTTCTCTGCATACCTATGAAAATAAAGAAAATTATTAGTTATTCATAATCTTCCCATGCTTTTCAGTAATTTCTAAGCAAGGTGGATGCCGAGAAAAAGTCATTGAGTCATTTCTTCCATTTCCTGTACACAACAAAGCAAAGTTGAAGATGAAGAGGAGACTTAGCTTGTTCTGCCTAAGAACAGACTAGAGCTGTGTTGTCCAATACAATGGCCACGAACCACATAGGGGTAACTTAGGATCTCTATTATTAAATAAAATGTTAAAAATACATTTCTTCAGTTACACCAGCCACATTTCAAGTGCTTAATTGCCTTGTGTGGTTAATTTAAATCAGTTAAAATTAAATACAATTAAAAATATATTTTCTCAGTTAGACCAGCCACACTTCAAGTGCTCAATAGCCACATGTGGCTAGTGGCTGCCACACTGGGCAGAGCAGTTCATAGTACCTTTTGATCACTGCAGAAAATTCTATTGGATATGCTAGACTAGAGAAGCACAGAAGGCTGTATGGTGGTGATGGTGGTGATGGTGGTGGTGATGATGTTAGAGGCGGAAAAAGAGGAGATGATTCTGCCAGTAGAAAGGGAGTCACTGAACGTGTTTGAGACAAAGAGAAGGGAGAACAGCAGCTTCAGAAGGACATTGGTGGGAAAGAGAAACGTTTAAAGGGAAGGCTGTCTGACATATGAAATAACTTCATCCCTATGACATTTTCTTATAAAATCTTTGAGAAAACCTATGTCATTTATTTATATTTAGATTTGGATTTGTGGGTGTGTGTTTTTACATGTGATATATGTTACTGACCTCAAAGCGGACATCTAGAAAAAGCAAGTTTGGCCTACATTCGGGTTATGTAAGATATACATGGGTATATAAAACAAATGAGACATGAGATTTTAGAAGAATGTATTGTCTTGTTTCTTGCTCTTATTCACTTAGCAATGTAAGAAACATTTCTCATGTTCATCTTTTATATACACATACAATCAATTAAATACATATATAATTATATATACAACAAACACATATTCCTTTAAGAAATATTTCTAGACGTCAAATAGGTTGGGATAGAAGATATACACAATTTTAATACTCTCAACATATTATTTTGACATTGTTCTCCAGAGCAGATACAACAACATAATTGCCCACAGTAATGTATGCACATTCCCATTTCTTCACATGCTCATCAAAACTATATATTTTTATTCTTTTTATTTTTTGAAGTTTTCAGAGGCAAAAACATAGTATTTGTTTTAATTAGAAGTATTTTTGAGGTTTCTCTAATCACGTGCGGAAAGAACAATGTCAATGCTAACACTAATATCATCTTTAGTCTCTCAAAGCATCATGGGGAAACCTCTCCATGAAATCTGAAAGAGGTACCCTAAACCAAACAACCTCTTATAATTCAATTCAAACAAATCTCTTCTGACTTAAATCTCCAAATCACTTGGTGCCTCTATGAGAACACTTAGTAATCTGCTTGTACTAAATATATTTATATACATCTCCATTTATCCCCACTGGATCAGGATTATATTTCATTCCCTTGTGAACAACTTTGGGACTTAGCACAATGTTTTATATACAAAGACAGTGAAGGACGTATATATTAAGTTGAAGAGCTTTTGCTCTTCTTTGAAACCTTGAGCTTCTGATGGGGAAATACAGAGACATGGTGCTGACGGTACCAGAACTGTTTTTAATCCTAATTCTTCTCTTTTGAGCTTCGGTTTCTCTCTATATAAAATGAGAGAGTTAACCCAGCTGATGTTTCTGATCTGTTACAGATCTAAAACAATTGTATTCCAAGGCCCCAAGTGTGTGTAGGGATTGAGTGGGATAGGGTGAGAGAGGTGTGTGTCTTCACATGAGTCTATGCATGCAAGTGTGTGTGTAGGAAGAGGAGAGGAGTGATTAATTGATGTTCCCTCCTCTCTGCTGGGAGCCCTTAGAGATAAGGGAAAAGAAGAGACAGCAACAGGTTTGAACACCAATTAGATAAGACTTCATGATATACAAGCACACCCTAATAAATTGTTTTGTGATGCCTGCTCTGGGCCTTGGGGAGAAAAGTTCCCATGATTCTTTTAGAAGCTGAAGGTCATATCAAAGTGCCAACGTTTGCATTGTTCTTTCTGTACTGAAGTTGCAACCAAAAAAGGAACTCTGTGTAGCTTAGTTCTTGATTAAAAGCAGCAAGATCATTTCCAACATGAGTTAGTAGCCCCCTGAGGCTGACATTGAATAGTTCTAATATTTTGGAGTCTCTATTCTAATTATCATTCTGAACAAGTTTTATGCCAAGGACAGAACATTTCATCGGTGGAATATCTGGGTGCTATGGCCTCACGAATAAATGACTGCCTGGCTGGTTGTTGGAGATTTTGTGTGGTAATAAGGGTTTTCAGAAGGGCATGTCTTTATCCTAATAAGGAGATAGTTATTCTTCAAATAATACACCACGAGCATCCCACATCCCAGTCACAGACAAGGCTGTTTTAAGGCATGAACACAACATCAGGTTTGTACCTTATACTGTAGCCTGAAGGAATCTATTTTTCTGCCTTTTTCTTGGGTCAAATAGAGAGTTCATTGAATTGGGGAGACTTTCTGCAGATTCATTGTGAAGAGTCACACTTATTCCTGCAAGATGCAGAACTTGAGAACACAAAGAACATTGAAAATTATTGTTCAGATGGGTTAACTGAGGTCCTGGAGGCAGAAAAGATTTTTCCAAGGTCTCAGAGATGGTAAAGGGGCAGACCAGGACTCGAAACCAAGTATTGACTCTCAGTTCAGTAGCAAATGCTGAGGAGCTCCCCTGCCCCTATTTCATCCATGCCACCCATACTGATTGGTTACTTACTGTGTGCCTGGCACAGTGATAGGTATTAGGGAGACCTATGGGAACAGGGCAGATCTGTCTCTCTGGATGCTTTCTGGCATGGGTGCTTCCTGAATTACTAAGATACTACTTGGCTGAGCTCTGAACTCACATTTGAGGACCATTTGCACCAGGACCAAAAATATCAGTATTTTCTTACTATCAAGAGTCCATAGGCCTTTGTATTGGTGACTGAGTGACTTCCAGTTGTCCCTTTATTTGTTCCATCCACTCAGCGAAGTACAAAGGACTAGGAGACATTTACATTCTTCTTTGCTGAGAAATTTCAAAAAATACAGTGTCTTTATAAACTGCATTATGGGAACACTAAAATAAAACTAGCATTCATTCTGTCAGGGACATCAGTGCCAAACATGGATTTTACCAAATTCACAGTGCCTTCGAGGTCACATTTTTATTAGTTGAAAAATGCTTAGTATGTTTCAGGAGGAAGGAGAAAAACCAAATTATTCCATCAAGTCAGAAGCTCTAAGTGACTGAGCAAAGACCAGAACTTTAGGCCTGCTTGACTCCACAGAGTCCACACGAGAAATGTCAGCAGGAACTTGGGCAATGGCTGTGGGAAGAAGAAGAACAAACATCTCCAAGATAGGATCATCAGGACTAATGGGTCTGTGTTAACTCAGTAGTCATGCATCCCTCAGATATTTATTGAGCCCTTGCTATGGGCCAAGCCTGTGCATTCCAGTAATATTTACTTCTGTAGCACCCCTTAAATTGTGATTTGTCTGTAGTTCTACAGATATGCCTCATCTCTTAAACTAGAAAGTAAGCTCTTTGAAGTCAGATGCTATGGTTTATATGTCTTTGTACCCACCTCCCACAATGACTGTGGAGAAAAAGTTCTAAAATACTGGAGAGGGAGGGGTTAAGTGATGTACAGAAGAGCCACGTTTTTTCCAGCTGTCCTGAAGAATTATTGAGTACAGAACATGGCAATGCTGTCCAGAACATCCCAACTGGAAAACTTCCTACTGACTATTCCTATGTTTATCTCACACTCAGCATTCTGTTTGTTCCCACTCACCCCAACAGTCACCTCATCGTTGCCTTGATCTGCTCCCTTGTATATTACTTATATTAAAATAAGTTAGTTCCCTGAGGATTGTTAGCTCCTTGGGGACTATGTGTCATTAATCTGTGTTCACTCTTCCCCATAGAACCTAGTGCACTTGCACATACTATGTGAACAATAAATATTTTTTAAATAAAACATAATAACAGTGACAGGTTAATAGCAGATATGCCACAGGCCATGGATCTTCATTGTGCTGGTTTGCCTTTTTTCCAAATGGACCATATCCTAAATGGAGTTCTTCATTTACCAAATCCAATCTCACTGCAATCTCCTTTATATTTGTCCTTGGCATCAATAGCACAAAGAATCTTCCAGTCTCCCCAGCTGGGTACTTTGGGGGTGTCTTTGATGAAAATAAGATGTGAATAGCAATACATCAAAACTGAACTATTTAACAGACATTTGGAAACTGATGCAGAGGTGGAAGAGTCCTGCTCTTCCTCTGAGACTGGAGAGAAGAATGAGATAACATGTATAGAGATGAGTTGAGGTAGAGATAAGAGGATATATAAAGGACTCAATCTCAGCAAAGTAGGAGAGGTAATCTGCTAAGGCTGGCGGTGGGTGGAGGCTTGAGGAAGGAAGGGGAACTCTGGAATAACTGGTGTCAGGAACTCCCTTGCGTATTGACAAGATTGAAATTCTGCATCAAGGATCCTGAATCAACATGACATCCTCAAATAAAGGTCCCAGTGTTTGTAGTTCTTGAAAAATGACTGTAGGAACTGACTAAATTAAGTATTCTTCTTAGACAATTCATGGGTATAAGATGGATGTTCCTTGTGTAGAGTGGCCCATTTAAACAGGTCCCATTTAAAGTTAAGTTAGGACACAGCTATTCTAGATACAGTATAAGATGATTTTCTTTTGCAATTCCTCCATTTGAGTTTTAGGATGGGATAGAAAGTCAATTTCTAAACATTAACCTTTTTTATCATTAATTTTACTTGCTGAAATATGCTAACTCATATTATTGTTCTGACCTCTTCCAACCTTTGGCTTTATGTAGGTCATTTTTACCCTCTTATTTTTAAGACAAAGACACGGCCACACAAAAAAAGGTAGAGCTTAGTAAATTATTATATGAATAATACCCTTATAAACACTACCAGCTTAAAAAATGACCGGTCACCCCACAAGTTTCTCCAAATGCCCAGTCATGAATACAGCCTCTTCTCTCCCTCAAGATGTAAATAGTATCCTGAACTTTATACTAATCATTTCACTGCACTCTTTATGGTTCCATCACCCAAAGGTGAATTGCTAGACACTATAATATAATCTTAACCATTTAAAAAAACCTGATATGTCCTGTAAACTTATGTTAATCTATAGGTTCTTCCTCTGTCCATTTCTTTTCCCTAACATTTATATGCTACAGAACCCAGGCTATTTTACCCATAGAGGCTCCCACAGTCTGCATGTTGCTGATTACATACTCATGGTGCACTTCAATATGCTCCTCTGTATTTACTGGTGGATCCTGGTCTTGTTCAGTCTCAGGTTTTCACTTTTTTTGTTGTCTGCAGACATTGATGTTCAGTTGCAAAATGAACACATTCTATAATTTTATTTTCATTTATTGGTTGGAATGATATTTTTATTGAGATATAATTTATATACCATAAAAGTAACCATTTTAAAATATACAATTCCATGATTTTTAGTATATTTACAAAGTTGTGCCATCATCACTCTGTTTATTGTTGTTATTGCTCTTTGTTTAATCACTTTTCTGAACTAATTTTGTAAAATCTGCATTCTTTGCTGTGTGTGGTCAAGTGGTCACGAAAGTCTGCTGCGTTAGTTTGGTGATCAGTTAATGATTAGACAGAGATTTCCTTAAATGCCTGGAAATAATAAGCCTTCCGGTCTTTTCCTAGAGGCTCTGTGTGTGTGTGCTGGGACATGCTTTCAATTCCCAGTCAGGCGGTTTTCAACTATGCCTTAGCCTCCCCTTCCTCCTTGTGCAATGTTAGCTAGCATGGACAGTGCGAGGCTTTCTTACTGAGCATGTGCACAGTTTTACAAATGTGTGCATCCTTCTAGATTCTCAGGAATATGTTGTAGCTTTTCAAAGTTCCTACTGACATCTCATTCCCCCGCTTTTCCTTTTAAGCTTTTTGGTTAGCCAATTGTTTACCCCATTTGTCATCCACTACTTCAGGAAGATTCAAACTTAAACAATTGTCTTCCAATATTTTCAACACACTTCTCCAGGGAAGGGGCATTTTGCACTAGGTGATCTCTATTCCAGGTCTAATAAAGACACTCTTGCAAGTGAAGTCTTCCAGGAAACCACCAGACACTTCAAATAACCACAATTCTCTAGGAAAGGAACTTTGATGGAGCACCAACTCTGTTCTGCCCCATCTAGTGGCTGTCAAGATGCTAGTTTCCACTGTGATTGGAGGCTGTTTGCTTTCAAGGCTACCACGAAAATGAAGACGGGGGATAGACATAAGAATGGGAAAATGCCACAAAGCTCACTGTTCTTACTGAGATTAAGCCATTTTCTTGAACAAAGCTTCCTTTTTTCTAGTTGCTTGTTAATTTCCAGAGTTCTAAAAGCATCAATTCTGACATTTCTTTTGCTAATTTTCTTCTATCAAGAAGGAAGAGAGACTTTTCAGAGGTCTTTACCATTTTTGCTGATATCTGATGATGGAAATGATTTTATTAAAAAAAAAAGCTTTCTCTCATCCTATATAGGAAAGATAATAAATGCTGGATTCCTTTTTTTTTTGCCCATTTCCTATCATCCTTAAAAGACCATCAATTATTATTTTTTAAAACAATTATGAACTTATTAAATAATCCTATTTGATGGTTTTCAACTCATTGAAATTCTTGTAATTATTGTAGCACAATCTGTAACTTTGGCCAGAGAGAATTTATTTAAGTGGGCTCCCAAGTCTTTTTGGCATGACACTGGCATTACTTAATAGTTTCCTATCAAGGATATTAGGATGTTTGGGTTTTATCTTGTTCATTTCCTGCCTCAGACCTGCAATCAACTATTTTTTTCCCAAGAGCTCTGGATTCTTTTGGGCACCAGGGATGCTCACTGCTAATAGATTCATCATTGTTTCTAAACCTTTTTAGTGTACCAAGCAAGGGAATATATATTTAAAGACAAAATATCTCATGTTTTCATACTGATATCTCTAATTTAAATTCAGGATGACATGGTTTTTAATCTCTTTTATATTCCATTTGTATTTCCTTTCTTCCACATTAAGAATCAATTTTCTCACTGACACAGAGATGATAGACTTGAAACACTGTTTCTCAATATTTTATTCATTAATGACCCCCCAAATAGCCTTTGATATATGTTTTTCCTAATAGCCCTCCACCATTAAATTTTAATACCATAGACATACTGTATATTTGTTACCATACTATATGTATATCTGCACTTTGTATATATCTGCACTTTATGCACTTCCTTGTTTATATATAACAACTTGATGACTTTTTTCACTCCCCAAGAATCATTCTTTGACCTCTTGAGAGTAATATTAGTCCCATTGAGAATACATGACTTAGGACATTCTGTATTTACTCATTTGCTTTTTTCCATGTACACACACAATAATATCTGTATAACAATACTATTATGGTCTCTGCCAATATGGTTATTGAAAATAATTTAAGCATTTTGCATGTGCTAACCCCTTTCTTCTCCAATTTTTTTTCTATTGTACTATATCTAAAATGCCTCATCATATAGCCATACTATACTCTCTCCTAACTCTCATTTAGACTTAATTCTAGGAGTAATTATATATTTAATGCATGTCACCAATACTTATGTTAATATCTATCTAGAGATGTCTAATAAATTTTACTTGTTTAACATTCACTTTCCATTATTTTCCTCAGAAAGCACTTACGCAAACAAGTATTTTAGCTCCAATACATTGCCGACAATTTGTTCATCGTATACAGGAAGACCTGTTTTCGTGGACATAAAATTCCTGGTTCACATGTTATTTTCCTTACATACCTTAAAAATATTATTCAATTATCTTGTGGCATAAATCATTGCTGTTGAAAAGTCTAATGACAGTCTGATTTTATTTTTCCTTATAAGCCTTGCTTTATTTAGGATGCTTGAAGTTTTTATCAATTTCTTTAACACCCAGTAACTTTAGTAGAACATATTCCTTGTTTGTCATTCTCAGTCAGTATTCTCAGGTATGCAATGAGTGTGCTTTTTCAATGTGTAGTTTAATTTTATATATATATATATATATATATAATAAGTATGTGTGTGTACATGTATTTTTTGTGAGTATCTGTTCTGTTCACTTGCTTCAGTTTCCTTTCACGGATTTCTATTATCTGTATGTTGGATCATTTTTCTTACCTTCCATTCTTATAATTTTCTTTCAAGTTATTTCATATTTTCACTTATGTTTATTTTTTTAAAGTTTTACCTTTTAATTTTGTGTTTCTGGTAAGACATTATTTATTGTACTTATTCTCTTTTGTATTTCTTCTAGTTTAGTCTTCATTTCTATTTTTTTTTTTTTAATTCTTGAGTTTGGCTACCCAATTTTTGAGTTTTTCTAATTATTATTTGTTCAGATACTCCTTGACTTACAATAGGGTTATGTCCGAATAAACCCATCATAAAGTTGAAAAACTGTAAGTCAAACCATTATAAGTTGGGGGCTGTCTGTATTGTTTTTCCGTATCTTGTATCACCTTCTTAGTATGTTTAATTTGTTTCAAAATAATATAAATTTGATCTGTTTTTTAAGCACGCCTTTCTGATACATTTTCATGGTATTTAGGGATATTACTTTGCTCCTTATTCTCTTTTCTTGTAGTTACTTCTTATGAGATTTTACCTTAACACGTTTTTGTTGCTCATTTTAATGTGAATTGGCTTTGACTCATCTTTTAGAAAGAGGCATGATTCAGATGGATTTTCTAACTTCAAAAGACACCCTGTCGTTATTTTTGTGTAATGTTAAACAATATGGCCACTTGTTTTCTGAGATTTCTTTTATCTTTTTCCCTCCCTGTCTTTGATTTAGACCTTCCTTTTCCCTCCTCTCCACTGTTTCTAACATGTTCTAATTGTACTCAACTGCCAGGAGTTCCTCCTCAATACGGGGCTCCATCCTGGAAAGGGAGTCCTAGTGGGTCAATCTTATAGGTCATAGAGAATACACAGCTCCAAGCCCCTTTAGACCTCCTTAAGCTAGGCTCCTATATTTTATTTTATTTTTAATTATTTAATTTAATTTTTGTATATATCCTTCCATGTATCCCAATGCTTTTCATATTTATCATTTTCATCGGTTGCAAACATTTTCATTAAGTTTAAAATGCCATAATTTTATAACCATTCTCTGTTAATGGCTGTTTGGGATATGTCCAGTTTTCCATAATAATACATAATACATAATGCTTTCTTTCTTCTGAATTATACCTTTAAAACATATCCAAGAGTGAGATTATTTATTAAAAAGGTATGAACATTTTATGGCTCTTGCTAAAAAGTACCAAATTGATCATCAAATTGACCAAAATCATTTACAATGCCACTAAAAATCTATAAATGTGTTAATTTCCCCAATAGCCTCATCGCTGGTTTTAATAATGTTCCTTTATTGTTGCTAATTTTGGAGGTATAAAGTGACATGTCATTGCTGTTCTAATTTGCACTTCTTTGCTAGTTGCCAAGAATGCAGTTTCCTATGTTAATATATTAATGGTGTTTCATCTTATGTAATCATTCTTCCCATCTTTTGACCACTGTCCACAGGGAACTTAATGTAAATTATAAAAACTCTTAGTATATTTTAGAAATGCATCTGCCATTATATATATTAAATATAGTTTTCTCTTTTGTCACTTAACTTTTATCGTGGTTTTGTTGCATTTTAGTAGTACTAATTTTTGTGCAATCACACTGCCTATCTTTTCCTTTGTAATTTATTTTCCTACTTTAATCAAATATTATCTCCCTCTCTAGACTGAATAAGTGCTCTATTTTCTCCTGTTTTTTTTAGCAATGTAATCACATTTTTGTGAATATTTCACACTTTAATTTTTGTGTTCTTGATTGGGATATGTCACATGAGGTATAGGTTTAAGTTAATTTTTCTCCATAGTAATCTCAAATTATCCCACTATCATTTAAGTAAATGAACTCATTCCTTGTTGCTTTGCTAAATGTAGCTGGACATATATTGAACTTGTAAGTTGGATTCCTGGGTATTTTATTCTCTTTGAAGCAATTGTGAATGGGAGTTCACTCATGATTTGGCTCTCTGTTTGTCTGCTATTGGTGTATAAGAATGCTTGTGATTTCTGCACATTGATTTTGTATCCTGAGACACTGCTGAAGTTGCCTATCAGATTAAGGAGATTTTGGGCTGAGACGATGGGGTTTTCTAGATATACAATCATGTCATCTGCAAACAGGGACAATTTGACTTCCTCTTTTCCTAATTGAATACCCTTTATTTCCTTCTCCTGCCTGATTGCCCTGGCCAGAACTTCCAACACTATGTTGAATAGGAGTGGTGAGAGAGGCCATCCCTGTCTTGTGCCAGTTTTCAAAGGGAATGCTTCCAGTTTTTGCCCATTCAGTATGATATTGGCTGTGGGTATGTCGTAGATAGCTCTTATGATTTTGAGATACATCCCATCAATACCTAATTTATTGAGAGTTTTTAGCATGAAGGTTGTTGAATTTTGTCAAAGGCCTTTTCTGCATCTATTGAGATAATCATGTGGTTTTTGTCATTGGTTCTGTTTATATGCTGGATTACGTTTATTGATTTGTGTATGTTGAACCAGCCTTGCATCCCAGGGATGAAGCCCACTTGATCATCGTGGATAAGCTTTTTGATGTGCTGCTGGATTTGGTTTGCCAGTATTTTATTGAGGATTTTTGCATCAATGTTCATCAGGGATATTGGTCTAAAATTCTCTTTTTTTGTTGTGTCTCTGCCAGGCTTTGGTATCAGGATGATGCTGGCCTCATAAAATGAGTTAGGGAGGATTCCCTCTTTTTCTACTGATTGGAATAGTTTCAGAAGGAATGGTACCAGCTCCTCCTTGTACCTCTGGTAGAATTCGGCTGTGAATCCATCTGGTCCTGGACTTTCTTTGGTTGGTAAGCTATTAATTATTGCCTCAATTTCAGAGCCTGTTATTGGTCTATTCAGAGATTCATCTTCCTGGTTTAGCCTTGGGAGGGTGTATGTGTCCAGGAATTTATCCATTTCTTCCAGATTTTCTACTTTATTTGCGTGGAGGTGTTTATAGTATTCTCTGATGGTAGTTTCTATTTCTGTGGGATCAGTGGTGATATCCCTTTATCATTTTTTATTGTGTCTATTTGATTCTTCTCTCTTTTCTTCTTTATTAGTCTTGCTAGGGGTCTATCAATTTTGTTGATCTTTTCAAAAAACCAGCTCCTGGGTTCATTGCTTTTTTGAAGGGTTTTTTGTGTCTCTATTTCCTTCAGTTCTGCTGTGATCTTAGTTATTTCTTGCCTTCTGCTAGCTTTTGAATGTGTTTGCTCTTGCTTCTCTAGTTCTTTTAATTGTGATGTTAGGGTATCCATTTTAGATCTGTCCTGCTTTCTCTTGTGGGCATTTAGTGCTATAAATTTCCCTCTACACACTGCTTTGAATGCGTCCCAGAGATTCTGGTATGTTGTGTCTTTGCTCTCATTGGTTTCAAAGAACATCTTTATTTCTGCCTTCATTTCATTATGTACCCAGTAGTCATTCAGGAGCAGGTTGTTCAGTTTCCATGTACTTGAGTGGTTTCGAGTGACTTTCTTAATCCTGAGTTCTAGTTTGATTGCACTGTGGTCTGAGAGACAGTTTGTTATAATTTCTGTTCTTTTACATTTGCTGAAAAGTGCTTTACTTCCAACTATGTGGTCAATTTTGGAATAGGTGTGGTGTGGTGCTGAGACTAGAGGGTGGAGCCAAGATGGCTGAATAGGAACAGCTCCAGTCTACAGCTCCCAGTGTGAGCGACACAGAAGATGGGTGATTTCTGCATTTCCAACTGAGGTACCGGGTTCATCTCACTGGGCAGTGTCGGACAGTGGGTGCAGGACAGTGGGTGCAGCGCACCAAGCATGAGCCGAAGCAGGGCAAGTCATCGCCTCACCTGGGAAGCACAAGGGGTCAGGGAATTCCCTTTCCTAGTCAAAGAAAGGGGTGACAGACGGCACCTGGAAAATAAGGTCACTCCCACCCTAATATTGCACTTTTCCAATGGTCTTAGCAAATGGCACACCAGGAGATTATATCCCGCGCATGGCTCGGAGGGTCCTATGCCCATGGAGCCTTGCTCATTGCTAGCACAGCAGTCTGAGATCAAACTGCAAGGCAGCAGTGAGGCTGGGGGAGGGGCACTCACCATTGCCGAGGCTTGAGTAGGTAAACAAAGTGGCCAGGAAGCTCGAACTGGGTAGAGCCCACCTCAGCTCAAGGAGGCCTGCCTGCCTCTGTAGACTCCACCTCCAGGGGCAGGGCATAGCCAAACAAAAGGCAGCAGAAACCTCTGCAGACTTAAATGTACCTGTCTGATAGCTTTGAAGAGAGTAGTGGTTCTCCCAGCACGCAGCTGGAGATCTGAGAACAGTCAGACTGCCTCCTCAAGTTGGTCCCTGACCCCCGAATAGCCTAACTGGGAGGTCCCCCAGTAGGGGCAGACTGACACCTCACATGGCCGGTTACTCCTCTGAGACAAAACTTCCAGAGGAATGATCAGGCAGCAACATTTGCTGTTCACCAATATCCGCTCTTCTGCAGCCTCTGCTGCTGATACCCAGGCAAACAGGGTCTGCAGTGGACCTCCAGCAAACTCCAACAGACCTGTAGCTGAGGGTCCTGACTGTTAGAAGGAAAACTAACAAACAGATAGGATATCCACACCAAAACCCCATCTGTACGTCACCATCATCAAAGACCAAAGGTAGATAAAACCACAAAGATGGGGAAAAAACAGAGCAGAAAAACTGGAAACTCTAAAAATCAGAGCGCCTCTCCTCCTCCAAAGGAATGCAGCAATGGAACAAAGCTGGATGGAGAATCACTTTGACGAGTTGAGAGAAGAAGGCTTCAGATGATCAAACTACTCTGAGCTAAAGGAGGAAGTTCGAACCCACGGCAAAGAAGTTAAAAACCTTGAAAAAAAATTAGACGAATGGCTAACTAGAATAACCAATGCAGAGAAGTCTTTAAAAAACCTGATGGAGCTGAAAACCACGGCACAAGAACTACGTGACGAATGCACAAGCCTCAGTACCCGATTCAATCAACTGGAAGAAAGGGTATCAGTGATGGAAGATCAAATGAATGGAATGAAGTGAGAAGAGAAGTTTAGAAAAAAAAGAATAAAAAGAAACGAACAAAGCCTCCAAGAAATATAGGACTATGTGAAAAGACCAAATCTACATCTGATTGGTGTACCTGAAAGTGATGGGGAGAATGGAACCAAGTTGCAAAACACCCTGCAGGATATTATGCAGGAGAACGTCCCCAATCTAGCAAGGCAGGCCAACATTCAAATTCAGGAAATACAGACAATGCCACAAAGATAGTCCTCGAGAAGAGCAACTCCAAGACACATAATTGTCAGATTCACCAAAGTTGAAATGAAGGAAAAAATGTTAAGTGCAGACAGAGAGAAAGATCGGGTTACCCACAGAGGGAAGGCCAACAGACTAACAGCTGATCTCTTGGCAGAAACTCTACAAGCCAGAAGAGAGTGGAGGCCAATATTCAACATTCTTAAAGAAAAGAATTTTCAACCCAGAATTTCATATCCAGCCAAACTAAGCTTCATAAGTGAAGGATAAATAAAATCCTTTACAGACAAGCAAATGCTGAGAGATTTTGTCACCACCAGGCCTGCCCTAAAAGAGTTCCTGAAGGAAGCACTAAACATGGAAAGGAACATCTGGTACCAGCCACTGCAAAAACATGCCAAATTGTAAAGACCATTGAGGCTAGGAAGAAACTGCATCAACTAATGAGCAAAATAACCAGCCAATATCATAATGACAGGATCAAATTCACACATAACAATATTAACCTTAAATGTAAATGGGCTAAATTTTCCAATTAAAAGACACAGACTGGCAAATTGGATAAAGAGTCAAGACCCATCAGTGTGCTGTATTCAGGAAACCCATCTCATGTGTAGAGACACACATAGGCTCAAAATAAAGGGATGGAGGAAGATCTACCAAGCAAATGGAAAACAAAAAAAGGCAGGGGTTGCAATCCTAGTCTCTGATAAAACAGGCTTTAAACCAACAAATATCAAAACAGACAAAGAAGACCATTACATAATGGTAAAGGGATCAATTCAACAAGAAGAGCTAACTATCCTAAATATATATGCACCCAATACAGGAGCACCCAGATTCATAAAGCAAGTCATGAGTGACCTACAAAGAGACTTAGACTCCCACACATTAATAATGGGAGACTTTCACACCCCACTGTCAACATTAGACAGATCAATGAGACAGAAAGTTAACAAGTATATCCAGGAATTGAACTCACCTCTGCACCACGCGGACCTAATAGACATCTACAGAAGTCTCCACCCCAAATCAACAGAATATATATTCTTTTCAGCACCACACCACACCACACCTATTCCAAAACTGACCACATAGTTGGAAGTAAAGCTCTCCTCAACAAATGTAAAAGAAAAGAAATTATAACAAACTGTCTCTCAGACCACAGTGCAATCAAACTAGAACTCAGGATTAAGAAACTCACACAAAACCACTCAACTACATGGAAACTGAACAACCTGCTCCTGAATGACTACTGGGTACATAACGAAATGAAGGCAGAAATAAAGATGTTCTTTGAAACCAACAAGAACAAAGACACAACATACCAGAATCTCTGGGACACATTCAAAGCAGTGTATAAAGGGAATTTATAGCACTAAATGCCCACAAGAGAAAGCAGGATGGATCTAAAATGGATACCCTAACATCACAATTAAAAGAACTAGAGAAGCAAGAGCAAACACATTCAAAAGCTAGCAGAAGGCAAGAAATAACTAAGATCACAGCAGAACTGAAGGAGATAGAGACACAAAAAACCCTTCAAAAAAGCAATGAATCCAGGAGCTGGTTTTTTGAAAAGATCAACAAAATTGATAGACCAGTAGCAAGACTAATAAAGAAGAAAAGAGAGAAGAATCAAAAAGATGTAATAAAAAATGATAAAGGGGATATCACCACTGATCCCACAGAAATACAAACTACAATCAGAGAATACTATAAACAACTCTACACAAATAAACTAGAAAATCTGGAAGAAATGGATAAATTCCTGGACACATACACCCTCCCAAGACTGAACCAGGAAGAAGTTGAATCTCTGAATAGACCAATAACAGGCTCTGAAATTGAGGCAATAATTAATAGCTTACCAACCAAAAAAAGTCCAGGACCAGATGGATTCACAGCCGAATTCTACCAGAGGTACAAGGAGGAACTGGTACCATTCCTTCTGAAACTATTCCAATCAATAGAAAAAGAGGGAATCCTCCCTAACTCATTTTATGAGGCCAGCATCATTCTGATACCAAAGCCTGGCAGAGACACAACAAAAAAAGAGAATTTTAGACCAATATCCCTGATGAACATTGATGCAAAAATCCTCAATAAAATACTGGCAAACCGAATCCAGCAGCACATCAAAAAGCTCATCCACCATGATCAAGTGGGCTTCATCCCTGGGATGCAAGGCTGGTTCAACATACACAAATCAATAAACGTAATCCAGCATATAAACAGAACCAATGACAAAAACCACATGATTATCTCAATAGATGCAGAAAAGGCCTTTGACAAAATTCAGCAACCTTCATGCCAAAAACTCTCAATAAATTAGGTATTGATGGGATGTATCTCAAAATCATAAGAGCTATCTATGACATACCCACAGCCAATATCATACTGAATGGGCAAAAACTGGAAGCATTCCCTTTGAAAACTGGCACAAGACAGGGATGGCCTCTCTCACCACTCCTATTCAACATAGTGTTGGAAGTTCTGGCCAGGGCAATCAGGCAGGAGAAGGAAATAAAGGGTATTCAATTAGGAAAAGAGGAAGTCAAATTGTCCCTGTTTGCAGATGACATGATTGTATATCTAGAAAACCCCATTGTCTCAGCCCAAAATCTCCTTAAGCTGATAGGCAACTTCAGCAAAGTCTCAGGATACAAAATCAATGTGCAAAAATCACAAGCATTCTTATACACCAATAGCAGACAAACAGACAGCCAAATCATGAATGAATTCCCATTCACAATTGGTTCAAAGAGAATAAAACACCTAGGAATCCAACTTACAAGGGATGTGAACGACCTCTTCAGTGAGAACTACAAACCACTGCTCAATGAAATAAAAGAGGATACAAAGAAATGGAAGAACATTCCATGCTCATGGGTAGGAAGAATCAATATCGTGAAAATGGCAATACTGCCCAAGGTAATTTATACATTCAATGCCATCCCCATCAAGCTACCAATGACTTTCTTCACAGAATTGGGAAAAACTACTTTAAAGTTCATATGGAACCAAAAAAGAGCCTGCATTGCCAAGTCAATCCTAAGCCAAAAAAACAAAGCTGGAGGCATCACGCTACCTGACTTCAAACTATACTACAAGGCTACAGTAACCAATACAGCATGGTACTGGTACCAAAACAGAGATATAGATCAATGGAACAGAACAGAGCCCTCAGAAGTAATGCCACACATCTACAACTATCTGATCTTTGATAAACTTGACAAAAACAAGAAATGGGGAAAGGATTCCCTATTTAATAAGTGGTGCTGGGAAAATTGGCTAGCCATATGTAGAAAGCTGAAACTGGATCCCTTCCTTACACCTTATACAAAAATTAATTCAAGATGGATTAAGTACTTAAATGTTAGACCTAAAACCAGAAAAACCCTAGAAGAAAACCTAGGCAATACCATTCAGGACATAGGCATGGGCAAGGACTTCATGTCTGAAACACCAAAAGCAATGGCAACAAAAGCCAAAATTGACAAATGGGATCTAATTAAACTAAAGAGCTTCTGCACAGCAAAAGAAACTATCATCAGAGTGAACAGGCAACCTACAGAATGGGAGAAAATTTTTGCAACCTACTCATCTGACAAAGGGCTAATATCCAGAATCTACAATGAACTCCAACAAATTTATAAGAAAAAAACAAACAACCCCATCAAAAAGTGGGCCAAGGATATGAACAGACACTTCTTAAAAGAAGACACTTATGCAGCCAAAAGACACATTAAAAAATGCTCATCATCACTGGTCATCAGAGAAATGCAAATCAAAACCACAATGAGATACCATCGCACACCAGTTAGAATGGTGATCATTAAAAAGTCAGGAAATGACAGGTGCTGGAGAGGATATGGAGAAATAGGAACACTTTTACACTGTTGGTGGGACTGTCAACTAGTTCAACCATTGTGGAAGTCAGTGTGGCGATTCCTCAGGGATCTAGAACTAGAAATACCATTTGACCTAGCAATCCCATTACTGGATATATACCCAAAGCATTAAAAAACATGCTGCTATAAAGACACATGCACACATATGTTTATTGCGGCACTATTCACAATAGTAAAGACTTGGAATCAAGTCAAATGTCCAACAATTATAGACTGGATTAAGAAAATGTGGCACATATACACCATGGAATACTATGCAGCCATAAGAAATGATGAGTTCATGTCCTTTGTAGGGACATGGATGAAGCTGGAAACCATCATTCTCAGCAAACTATTGCAAGGACAAGAAGCCAAACACTGCATGTTCTCACTCATAGGTGGGAATTGAACAATGAGAACACTTGGACACAGGAAGGGGAACATCACACACCAGGGCCTGTTGTGGGGTGGCGGGAGGGGGAAGGGATAGCATTAGGAGATATACCTAGTGTTAAATGACGAGTTAATGGGTGCAGCACACCAACATGGCACATGTATACATATGTAACAAACCTGCACGTTGTGCACATGTACCCTAAAACTTAAAGTGTAATAAAAATAAATAAATAAATAAATAAAAAATAGCTTTATTGAGATATAATTTACATACAATTCATGCATTTAAAGTATACCATTCAATGGGTTTTAATATATTCACAGAGTTGTGCAATCATCACCACATTCAATTTCAGAACATTTTCATCACTCCAAAAAAAAATCCTGCACCTCTTAGCTGTTACCCCAAGCACATCAGTCATGGCCCTTTCCCTGCATCCCTGCTAATAATCTACTTTTAATCTCTATAGATTTTCCTATTCTGGATATTTCATATAAGTGGTATCACAAAATATGTGGTCTTTTGTGACTAGCATCTTTCATTTAGCATAATGTTTCCAAAGTTAACTTACCAAAATATGAGAGTTTGAATTTCTCTACATCCTCACCAATATTGTTATAATCTGTATTTTTTATTATGACCGTCTTAGGGGGTGTGAAGTGATATATCCTCCAACTGTGTAACTGTTCCTTGTTTATTTTTTTCCAAGATTGTTCTGGCTATTCTGGATCCCTTGAATTTCCATATGTTGAACCCTTATAGCAAAACACATTATAATCAAATTGTAAAAATTCAAAGACAAAGAAAAAATTTTGAAAGCAGCAAGAGAAAAGCAACTCCTTATGTACAAGTGATCCTGCATCATATTATGAGTGAATTTTTCAGCAGAAATATTACAGGCCAGAAGGGAAGGGGGTAATATATTCAAAGTGCTTAAAGAAAGCAATTGTCAACCAAGAATATTGTACTTGGCAAAACTATCTTTCAGAAATTAAGGACAAATTAAGATTTCTCCAGACTAAAAAAAAAACTTAGCTGGAGTGGTTTGTCACCACTAGGCCTGCCTTAGAAGAAATACTAAAGAGAGTTCTTCAGGTTAAAATAAAAGAGGTTAAACAGTAACACAAAAAGCATATGAAAGCATAAAACTCACTGTTAAAATTAAATATATAAGCAAATAGAGAATGGCTGATTGGAAGCAGCTAGTGCATGACTCTCATGGAGAGGAATGAAAGGAGCAAGTAAATACAGCACGTTGAAATGAAACATCCAGGCACTTGCATTGGGACTAATCAAGGCAACAACTCGACGCACGGAGGATGGAGAAAACAAGGCAAGACAATGGCCCACCCAGAAGTGATATGGAACCAGAAGAACCTCTGCCAAGGAAGTGGTGAGTGAATGTGCTACCCCAGGAAATGATGCTTCTCCCACAGATCTTTGCAACTCTCAGGTCAGGAGATCCCCTTGTGAACCCACTTCACCAGAGCCTTCAGTCTGACACACAGAAATACCTGGAGTCTCAGCAGAGCAGTCACTTGGGCACGAGCAGAGACTTGGGAACAGCTCTGGGCAAAGTGGGAGAATCAATCCCTGTACATACCCCTAGCAAAGAGGCTGAATCCAGGGGGCCAAGCAGTGATGGTCTGCGGGCCCTACTTCTATGGCACCTCACAAAATAAGACCCACTGGCTTGGAATTCCAACCAGCCACTAGCAGCAGTGTTGTGCCTACCTGGGACAGAGCTCCCGGGGGAGGGGTGGGCTGCCATCTTTGCTGTTTGGGCGACTTAGCAATTCCAGCCTGCAGGCTTTGGAGAGTCCAAACCAACTGGGTGCAGAAGGGATCCCGCAGCAGAGCACAGCTGCTCTATCCAAATGTGGCCAGACAACTTCATTAAGTGGGTCCCCAATCCCACTCCTCATCACTAGGCGGGACCCCGCAACTGAAGCCTCCAGCCACCCTCACTGGTGTTCTCTGGCTAAAAGAGATTTGAAAACTCCCTGGGACAGAGCTCCCAGAGGGAAGGGCAGGCTGTCGACTTTGCTGTTTGGGCAACTTATCCATTCCAGCCTCCAGGCTTTGGAGAGCCCAAGCTGACTGGGGATGGAAGTGGCACAGATGCTCTATGAAAGTGTGGTCAGACTTCTTCTTTAAGCAGGTCCCTGATCCTGTTTCTCATGACTTGGTAAGACATCCCAATCGGGTCTCCAGCCACCTCCTACAGGTGCGTTTGGGCCAGCAACAGATCCATACCTCCTGGGCCAGAAGAAGGAACAGATTGTTCTGTTCCCAGAAGAAGGAACAGATTGCTGTCTTTGCTGTTTCACAGCCTTTACTGGGGATACTTTAGGATACTAGAAGATCCAAGGCAACTAGGGATTGAAGTGGACCCCAAGCAAACCACAGCAGCCCTACAGAAAAGTGGCCAGACTGCTAAAAGAAAAAAAAAAAAAAAACTAAAGGTCAGCAACTTCAAAGATTGAAGGTAGAAGCCCACAAAGATGAGAAAGAATCAGAAAAAGAACACTGAAAACTCAAAAAGCCAGAGTGTCCTCTTTCCTCCAAATGAGTGCATCAACTTTTCAGCAAGAGTTCAGAACTAGGTTGAGGCTGAGATGGCTGACATGACAGAAGTAGAATTCAGGATATGGATAGGAACGAACTTCATTCAGCAAAAGGATTACATTGTAATGCAATGCAAGGAAGCTAAAAATCATGATAAAACATTGCAAGAGCTGACAGACAAAATAGCCAGTATAGAAAGGAATGCAGTCAACCTGATAGAGCTGAAAAGCACACTGCAAGAACTTCAGAATGCAATCACATGTATTAATAGCAGAATAGATAAAGCAGAGGAAGGAATTTGAGAGCGTAAAGACTGACTTTCTGAAATAAGACAGACAAGAATACAGAAAAAAGAATGAAAAGGAATGAACAAAAGCTCTAAGAAATATGAGATTGTGTGAACGAACTGAATATATGACTGACTGGTGTACTGGAAAGAGATAAGGAAAATAGAACCAAGTTGGAAAACATGTTTCAGGATGTCATTCATGAGAACTTCCCCAACGTAGCTAGAGAGGCTAACATTCAAATTCAGGAAATGCAGAGAACCCCAGTAAGATACTCCATGAGAAGATCGTCCCCAAGACATTTAATCATCAGATTCTCCCAGTCTATTCTCAGAGTATTTGCTTTAATAGGACACTCCCTTACCCAAAACTCTACAATGGTACCACACTTTAATCAGGGTAAAAGTAAAAGTTCTTATAATGGCCCACAAGGTTATCTATGATCTGGCTTTTTGTTGCCTCTCTTACCTCATATTTTACTTTTCTTCCCCTCAATCATTCCATGCCAGCCTCTTTAGCCTCCTCACTCTTTCTCAAACGTGCAGCAACACTCCCACCCATGGCTTGCCATTGCTGTATACTTGGAATATCCCTACATATGTTAAGTGTGCCTAGAACTACTGGGCACTCAAAAGTGTTGAATTGAATTTACAAAGTGCATAAATTAAACAACAGATTTTCTGAATGTAGGAGGTATAAGAGCACCTAATGGAGTCAAACAATCTCTTCATTGTACATTGCATTTTGTCTTCATTCTTTCTCTTGACTCTTCTTTCATGTGTTCAGCAGGCAGAGGAGGTAAGACGCTAGCCAATCCTAAGCCAAAAGAACAAAGCTGGAGGCATCACGCTACCTGACGTCAAACTATACTACAAGGCTACAGTAACCAAAACAGCATGGTACTGGTACCAAAACAGAGATATAGACCAATGGAACAGAACAGAGCCCTCAGAAATAATGCCACATATCTACAACTATCTGATCTTTGACAAACCTGACAAAAACAAGAAATGGGGAAAGGATTCCCTATTTAATAAATGGTGCTGGGAAAACTGGCTAGCCATATGTAGAAAGCTGAAACTGGATCCCTTCCTTACACCTTATACAAAAATTAATTCAAGATGGATTAAAGACTTAAACGTTAGACCTAAAACCATAAAAACCCTAGAAGAAAACCTAGGCATTACCATTCAGGACATAGGCATGGGCAAGGACTTCATGTCAAAAACACCAAAAGCAATGGCAACAAAAGCCAAAATTGACAAATGGGATCTAATTAAACTAAAGAGCTTCTGCACAGCAAAAGAAACTACCATCAGAGTGAACAGGCAACCTACAAAATGGGAGAAAATTTTTGCAACCTACTCATCTGACAAAGGGCTAATATCCAGAATCTACAATGAACTCAAACAAATTTACAAGAAGAAAACAAACAACCCCATCAAAAAGTGGGCGAAGGATATGAACAGACACTTCTCAAAAGAAGACATTTATGCATCCAACAGACACATGAAAAAATGCTCATCATCACCGGCCATCAGAGAAATGCAAATCAAAACCACAATGAGATACCAGCTCACACCAGTTAGAATGGCAATCATTAAAAAGTCAGGAAACAACAGGTGCTGGAGAGGATGTGGAGAAATAGGAACACTTTTACACTGTTGGTGGGATTGTAAACTAGTTCAACCATTGTGGAAGTCAGTGTGGTGATTCCTCAGGGATCTAGAACTGGAAATACCATTTGACCCAGCCATCCCATTACTGGGTATATACCCAAAGGACTATAAATCATGCTGCTATAAAGACACATGCACACGTATGTTTATTGTGGCACTATTCACAATAGCAAAGACTTGGAAACAACCCAAATGTCCAACAATGATAGACTGGATTAAGAAAATGTGGCACATATACACCATGGAATACTATGCAGTCATAAAAAATGATGAGTTCATGTCCTTTGTAGGGACATGGATGAAATTGGAAATCATCATTCTCAGCAAACTATCACAAGGACAAAAAAACCAAACACCGCATGTTCTCACTCATAGATGGGAACTGAACAATGAGAACACATGGACACAGGAAGGGGAACATCACACTCTGGGGACTGTTGTGGGGTGGGGGGAGGGGGGAGGGTTAGCATTAGGAGATATACCTAATGCTAAATGACGAGTTAATGGGTGCAGCACACCAGCA
Source organism: Homo sapiens (assembly GCF_000001405.40). NCBI lineage: Eukaryota > Metazoa > Chordata > Mammalia > Primates > Hominidae > Homo > Homo sapiens. Next base: position 139,446,668 of record NC_000023.11, read on the forward strand.
TGGCACATGTATACATATATAACTAACCTGCACATTGTGCACATGTACCCTAAAACTTAAAGTATAATAATAATTAAAAAAAGAAAAAAAAAGAATAAAGAATATCTCTACATACTGCCAAAAAAAAAAAAAAAAAAGATTCAGATCACTCCCCTCCCGCCCCCGCCCTATATGTTGCCTGCCTCGGCCTCTGGGGCATGGAGCACGCGGCCCAGCCCTGGCGATGGCGACGGCGACGGCGACGGCGGTGGTGGAGGAGCGCCTGCTGGCTGCGTTCGCCTACCTTCAGTGCGCCGTGGGCTGCGCGGTCTTCGCTCGGAATCGTCAGACGAACTCAGTGTACAGCCGCCACGCGCCACCCAGCCGCAGGCTCCGAGTGCCGGCGCGGGCCACCCGGGTGGTGCAGAAGCTGCCCTCACTGGCCCTGCCGCTCTACCAGTACACCAGTGAGTCCACCCCGCGCCTCCGCAGCGCGCCCAGCTGCATCCTCCTGGCCATGTTCCTCGTCCACTACTGGCATCGGTGCTTAATTTACCCATTTCTGATGCGAGGAGGAAAGCCTGTGCCACTGTTGGCGTGCACAATGGCGATTATGTTCTGTACCTGTAATGGCTATTTGCAAAGCAGATACTTGAGCCATTGTGCAGTGTATGCTGATGACTGAGTAAAAGATCCCCGTTTTCTAATAAATTTTGGCTTGTGGTTAACGGGCATGTTGATAAACATCCATTCAGATCATATCCTAAGGAATCTCAGAAAAGCAGGAGATACTGGATACAAAATACCAAGGGGAGGCTTATTTGAATACATAACTGCAGGCAACTATTTTGGAGAAATCATGGAGTGGCGTGGCTATGCCCTGGCCAGCTGGTCTGTCCAAGGCGCGACTTTTGCTTTCTTCACATTTTGTTTTTTATCTGGTAGAGCAAAAGAGCATCATGAGCGGTACCTCCGGAAATTTGAAGAGTATCCAAAGTTCAGAAAAATTATAATTCCATTTTTGTTTTAAGTGCATTTTCAACGAATTACCTTCAACTTGAAGCTTTCCAATGGTATTTTTCAATGGACTTTGTAAATAAGTTATATCTTTGTAATTTTCCTGCTACTTCATCATTTTCAAGATGTCCTCTAGGAATTTTTTTTCTAGTAATTTTGCAAGCTACCTAATAAGTACCTAAATAAACTGAAACGGAGGTTGAGGTATCCTACTGTGTAACAGGTCAGAATTTCAAACTCCGGGTAATAACTGCTGACATTTTTTCTAATTTCAAATTTACCTCTTTTGGCTATGTCTTGCCAAGGGTGTACAAGACTAGAATTTGCAACTGTCTGATGGCATTTTCAGTCAAACTCCAGGTAATAACTGCTGACATTTTTTCTAATTTCGAATTTACCTCTTTTGGCTATGTCTTGCCAAGTGTGTATAAGACTAGACTTTACGACTATCTTTGATGGCATTTTCAGAACAATAAATGTCACAATCCCTTCTATAGCCCCCTACGGTGATCCCTTCAAGGTCAACGGCAGTGTTGCTTCCCTTTCCCTGTAGGGCTGGGATCTGTCTTGGAGTCCTCTCTCGGAGGCCACAGAGGCCGGGGGTAGCCATTGTGAAGTCATGGCCTGGGGGAAAGTTGCCAAACTTCGTGTCAGGTGCTGTGTGTAAGTGGAGAACTTGGGGATAGAGGAGGAAGCTCCTTGTGGCCCTTCTAAGGCGGGGCAAAGGCATCTGGACTTGTTCCAGCCCAGCCCACCGGGTGACATCACCGGGCAGGGAGGGGTGCTGGTGGTGGTTCATAGGGAGTAAGCTGCTCTGCCTGTGTGAGTGGCTCCTGGGCCCTAAACAAGCACCTTTAGGCCATGGGTCACTCACCATGAGCCATCAATATGCTCTGGTCTGACATGGTTTCTCTCTGTCTTCTAGTCTAGACCTAGTCTTTTGTTCTGTTCCCCAGGTATGGATATACTAGAGATTGTTGTCTGTGAAATTTCTCCTTTGTAGAGTTTGAGTTTTCCCTTGTAGTGTAAAGAATGATCACCTTCTGTAACGATAGCAAGACCACTTTTTAAGATTTATCCTCTTTGTTCTTTGTTGATTGAAACATAATAATTACATTGTTAAAATTCTCTACAGCCTTCTTTTTCTTCCATAGCTAATCTTCCAATAGTTTTTGCTTTCTGTTTCGCTGTTGTTGCTTTGCAAAGCTTTCCCCTCATAGCCTGTATCTGTTATCAATATAAAATAATCTTCCTGTTGAATGCTTCATGACTTGAATTCTACTTTGATAAAAACATTGCCATACTGCTTTAAAAAAAAGATTCAGATCACAGCTTCTTTCTTCATTGGGAGAACGGGCACTCAGTCTGCTCTGCATGGAAACCAACGTCTTTGCTCATTCACATGTGCATTCTTGGGCATCTTTGAAATATGAGTATCATCTTCCTTTCCAGTTTGCAGAGTAACAAATGTGTTTAGAGAGCACATTCAGTGAGTTTTCTGTCTGAACATTCTTTCTGAACATAATCAGCTATTTAGAACATGACTCACTCATCAAAAACATTGGTGTAGTTTGGAGAAACAATGTTCAGATTGCAGTTTCCCTCATCCTGCTGGGTAAAACCATTGCCTTTGGTCTGGCACATGTGTACTTGCATTACATTTAATTTAATAAATACTCATAGCTGAATGCTGATTTAAAACCTGGGAAGACACACTTGGGTGTTTACAGTTAAAAACATTGCATACAACTAATTAAACTCATTCTTAACCTTTTTTTCTCAATTGACTTTTCCTCATTGAACATTTATGTGCTTACAGGGTCATTCTATTATAATCCTCTGTAATCTTCTGATGCCAGATCTGACATTCAAATACGACTGTCCTTTCTGTTGGTTACCTTTTAACATTGCAATGAAATTCAGTGGATATTTAGTTTTAGACCCCAAGCTGCATTAATCTAATGGATCTCCACATTTTAGAATATCCTTCATGTATATATCATAAGTGAGAGAAATAAGTGATAAAGAATGAAGAGGGCAGATTTGTCAGAGTATCAATGCCTTGGGGTTATAAAAATGAATTTTTAAGGACACTGCTCATATTCATCATGTCTAAGAGAAAGTGACTTCGTGTCAAATAGCTATTGGTAGTACTTTGGAATCAAAGATGTCAGTGGGGATGTAACAACTTATATAAAAAATTTCTTCTGTAAACACTCGTATTGGTGCAATCATCACTTTTTTTTTAACCTTTCAATTTTTTATCTTATTTGACTAGCCTGTAAAAAGTGTTCAGATAGGGGCAACCTCATTTATCCTGAAGAAAAAGCATTTACTATTAAAGAGTTTATTAGGCAACGAGCCCTGGGACTTTTAAAATGGAAGAACTGATGACACGTTCTTATTTTCTGGGTAATTTGTTTTCTCTTTGCTGTGTTCTAACCTCTATCTCAGAAGTGTTTTCTTAGTAAGCTAAAAAGATCGTAGGTCTCTATGTGGTTGTGGCACTTCATTATAGTTGTAAACACTTTTAAAGACTCCAAACTCTTTCACATACACAAGAAATATTTCTCTCTGAAAACTCAAGGAAAATGCCATGATCATGTTAAATAGGAATCAGGTTAGAGAATTATGATCTATTTTTCTCAGCAAAGAGTTGCAAGCATATATGTGTTAGTCTTGGAAGATTCCATGATTACTTCCTTTCCTATGCTCCTTCGTTCCACTCCCAAATCCAGTAAGTCATCTATCCAAAATCTTTCCTAATGATAGCTTTTACACAAATCAACTCCTTTTTGTTCCTAATACCTTATTCTTATGGGTTGAATTGTGTCCTACCCCGCAAAAAGATATGTTTAAGTCCTAACCCCCAGTACTTTTGAATGTGACCTTATTTGAAAATAGGGTCTTTTCAGATTTAATGAAGTTAAGATAACGTTCTTGTAAGAAAAGAGACACAGACATACATAGAGGAAAGACAGTCATGTGAAGACAGAGGCAGAGATTGGAGTTATGCTGCCACATAACTCCAGGGGACAGGGGCGGAAGATGGGAGAACAGTGGGGAATCTAGTGCAATAAAATATAAATAAAAGATGATGGTGGCTTAGACTAGGATGGTAGTGATGGGTGATAAAAAGTCAGATTCTAGAAGGAAAGAAAAAGGAGGAGAGGGAAGGAGGGAAGGAGGAAAGACGGGTAGATATTATGGTAGAGTCAAACTAATTTTCTGGTGGATTGCATGTGAGGTATAAGAAGATAAGTAGCAGAGAAGAATCAAGAAGCGCTCCAAGGTTTTGGGCCTGAGCTAATAAAAAGGAAGGATGGAGTTGGTATTAAATAATATATGGAAGACTGTTAGTGGAGCAGGTCTGAGGGATGGGTGAAGCTCAGGAGTTCTGTTTTCATCATGTTAGTTTTGAGACGATTATGAGATATCCAGGTAGATATGTCAAGTAAGAAGTTGGATATACAAATATTGAGTTTAGTGGAGAAATTTAGGCAAGAGCTATACATTTGGCAGTTAGAAGCACATATAAGGTATTTGAAACAAACAAGATAATGACCTTCAGAAGAACAGTTTAGTAGAATGGTGAGGGTGAATGCCTGTTTGGAGTGGGTTCAAAAAAGAATGGGAAAAGATGAATTGGAGACAGTTAGTGTAGACAACTCCATGAATTCTTATGTAAAGGGAAGACAGGAAATGGGATTATAAGTGGGGTCAACAAAAAATTACTTTAAGCTGAGAGGACTAATAGCATGTGTTTATGCTGAAGAAAAATTTATCCAGGAGAAAGGCAAAAACACCTGAGGGAGAAAGGAAAATTGCTGAAGTGATGTCTTTGAGTAGGCAAGAGGAGGATCTAATGTAGAGTTGGAAGGGTTGGCCTTGGATAGGCAGAAGCAATAAGAGTTCATCTTTTGCGATAGGATAGACAGCAAAGAATATGGGTTCACACAAATGCATGTGGGTAGATGTTTTAGTAGGAGTCTGCAGAAGTTTTCTTCTAACCATTTCAGTTTTCTCAATGAAGTAAAAAATATGAACACTAACTGACAGAGAAGTTGAGAGAGGAGGTGTTGGGTGCTTGAGGAGAGAGAAGAATGTGTGAAATAGTCATCTGGGAGAGTGAGTGTACAAACTAGACTAGAAAAAAGTGGTGGGATTTGCTAGATGGTACTAAGGGCCCACTTGCAGTTCAGGAAACCAGTCAACAAGGCTGTGGGTTGTCTCCAGTTATTTTCAGTTGCACAGTTGAATACACAGAGAAGTTGGATTTAGCCAGGATTGTAGTTTTGCCATATAAGAGATGGAGGCAATTGATTAGAGGGTATGTTTTACAAAGGATCCATATAATGATTGGCCATGCAATTTAAACTGGGAAAGGAAGAAGAAGAGGATATGAGACAGGCGAAGGACAGCGAACCATGGTAGAGCATACCATGGCTAGACTCTTAATTCCATCTCCAGTGCTGAGAAGAACTAAAAAAAAAAAAAAAGAAGAGGGGTCCAGTAAATCATGGGAATTGTATTAATGCCCTTTAGCTTGTAGAGAATGTGCCAGTACATAGGTCCCCATGGGACCTCAGCAATATGATGATCCATCAGAATTCACCACCTTTTCCAAAGGAATGTGTTGAGTTGAGGAGATGAGTTAATACTCACACAAGTGAAATGCAACCCTGGCTTGGTAGAGGGGTCCTGATATGTTTAACAGGACTTTAGGAGAGAAAATCTTCAACATAGATTTTTCTGCAAATACCCATGTAGCACCAACTGAATCTCCACCAATAATACCAATTCACCTAATAGAACTTCAGCACTGAGACTACAGAAACAATACCCAGAGCTCATACTGCATGCAACTGGGGTTAAAAAGATGAACCTAGAAAAAGTGGTAATAATGTCAAAGTTCATTGTCATGCATTAATAAAGAGCAAATAGAAGGTTCAGCCAAAGCTGCCAATAATAAGCAAGGGCAAAATGTAAAATTATAAAGTAACTATGCAAACATACAATTACAGAAAAGTAGGGAGGGAGGGGAAGGAAGAAGAGTGGAATAAAGGGAAAACTTAATCATTCTGGAGAAAAATATAACTAAACAAACAGAAACAACTTTTTTTTTCTGGAAGGGTTTCATGCTACAACAACAAAAAGGAAATAAAACACAAGTTAAAATAGAATATAATAAAACCAGAGAATGAAAAGAGAGATGATGGAGCTAAGAAAATGAAGTGATATGTTCTTAATACAGGCTGTAATATATAAATTGGAAACAGGAGGAAAATAGAGTCAATCTAATAAAGGAAATTTTTTTAAATGAATGCAAATGTACAGAAAAAAGGTATTAAACAACTAGGTGAAAGATAAGGAAGACAGATAAAGGTGATCCTATGATTGGGTCCCTGAAATAAGGAACATTTCCATGAAGGAAGAATTGGATCGTCTAATCAAAAGGGCACACCATATATTAAGGAACACTCACACAATGCAAACATCATCAAAACATATTCTGGTTATTAAAACTGGAGTATGAATAACAATTATTTAAGTAGTCAGGCAGAAAAAGCAAGTTATGTGCAATGGGGGAAATTCTCCCTAGCCTCAGACTCTTCTGTAGAAGCTTTCCATGCTAGAAGATAGAGCAAAGTCATAAGGGAAAGTAAATGTGACTCCAAAATACTTTACCCAGACAAGTTGTTCAAGTGTAAAAGCAACAGGTAGATATTCTCAGATATGAATAAATTAAAATTTCAGGAAATATAGCCCTAATGAGCTCCTCTTTAAAAAATACTACTTGAGGCCAGGCACGGTGGCTCACGCTTGTAATCCCAGCACTTTGGGAGGCCGAGGAGGGTGGTTCACAAGGTCAGGAGATTGAGACCATCCTGGCCAACATGGTGAAACCCCGTCTCTACTAAAAATACAAAAATTAGCTGGGCTTGGTGGTATGCGCCTGTAGTCCCAGCTATTTGGGAGGCTGAGGCAGGAGAATCGCTTGAACCCGGGAGGCAGAGGTTGCAGTGAGCCAAGATCATGCCACTGCACTCCAGCCTGGGCGACAGAGCAAGACTGTGTCTCAAAAAAAAAAAAAAAATTACTACTTGATAATGAAATCCAGCCAACCAAGAGGGAAGTCCAATAAGGAACTCAGAACAAGATAAAATAAAATAATGGGACAGTAAGTATTGAATCCAATTAAATATAGAACTTCAACAACTGAAAGAACTGTGATTGCAGAACAGCTTGTAAATAGTATAAGCCCTGATGAAATAAAACCAAAACAAGCCAAAAAAATAAAAAATGAAAGCTAGAGGGGAGGGAAACGGAACAAGTGGCAAGATAACTAAGTAGCTGATTTTATAAGGTCGTGAGCTCAGTCATGTTGTTTAAAATTGAGATATGGAAAAAAGTAATTCACTAAAATAAATAAATAAAATAAAATTGAGATATGGAGCCCTACAAGAAAGCATTACTTCAGTCTCCTAGTGCATCTTTATACTGTGTCTGCTTGCCTTAAAGGGATATTTTAGGAACCAATATCTCTTATGGCAAATACAGGAAAAAAAATTTAATAGGTTTTATTATTAAAATAACATGCTTCTGTATCATCTTTTTCTTTTTTAAATTTTTTATTTTACTTTAAGTTCTGGGATACATGTGCAGAACGTGCAGGTTTGTTACATAGGTATACATGTGCCATGGTGGTTTGCTGCACCTATCAACCCATCATCTAGGTGATCCTTTTCTTTTAAATTTGTTTCTATCTCTGCACACCTACACATCCATTCATCCTTCTATCTGTATATAGATCACTATCTATAATTATGTCCACAATGTATGCTATCATCACTCACCTCTAAACATTGTGATTTGATATTTTTAAAAATATATTCTTTGTACTGTTTTATATTGCTTGCTTGTGTCATTTTTAAAAATTCCTGCCTATTAAAACGAATTAGAGGGTCACTGATGGTCGAGAGGAAAAGGAGAAAGACAGTTGGCAAACTATTTATTTTTGACTCTAACATGAGACTTTATAAGTTTCCCATGTCAGAACTCTTTACAAGGTCATCACTTTGGTCAATTTCAAATTGATTTGTTATTAAACATGTGCTGCCTATACTGTTCCAACATGTAATTCTTTCTCCTTCTGCTTGTAGTAAAACAAACCCTTGCCAAGAGAACACTGACAGAAGACATAAATTATCCTGTGAGTTAAAGGGGCAACCAAGGTTTCTATTGTTTGCAGCAGTGGTTAAGGAGCTGTTCAGAGGTAGAAAACAAAAGGATCCTGGTGACATGATAATAGCTCTGTGATACTCTGTTGCAGGCTGCTGGATGGTAACTGTCCTGGCCTTCTACCATTCAACATACATGATCATACCACGTGTCATCATCCATAGTCCAAAGTAGAGGCTGAGAGAGATAATGCCTATTTTTGAAGTATATATAAAACAGCACAATTCTGAGGCTGTAGGTCAAGTGACTCAGGATCATTTTTTACAGACTTATAAATCTGTAGATTACTAGCCCACTGTAGATATAACTAATAAAGGCATGTGCCTATGGAAATGTTCACTAGACTGGGAACTAAGTCCCTCCCTTTGCAAACCGGTTGGATCTTGCCCTTAGAGATAAGACCAAAGATCTGCAGAAGGGAAGTTTCCCAGCAGACAAATTGCAAAAATAGTAGAGAGTTCACATATACCCATCACTGTTTCCCTTAATATTAATGTTAATCTTACATAACCATAGCACAATAATCAAAACCAGGAAATTAGGATTGGTAAAATACTATTAACTACATATCTTATTCAAATTTCCCCAGTCTCCCCACTAATGTCCTTTTCCTGTTCCGGAGTCTCACCTTGCATTCAGTTGTTACTTCTCTTTAGTCCTCTCTGATATGCAACAATTCCTCAGTCTCTATTTGTCTTTCATGACCTGAAGACCTTTAAAGACTACTGAGCAGTTATTTTGCAGAATGAGCTTCAATTTGGATTTTTCTGATGTTTCCTCATGACCAGATTGAGGTTATGTAGTTTGAGCATGAATAATAAGAAGGCACGTTGTACCCTTCTCAGTGTATCATATCAGGAGGTACATCATGCCCATATGTCTGATTACCATTGGTATTAATCCTGATTACATGATTAAGGTGGTATTTTGTTTCTCCACTATAAAGTCAACATTTTTTCCCTTTGTAACTGGTAAATATTTTTGACACTATGCCAATGTCTTGCTTCTCCTCAAATGATCACCTACTGGCTTTGTTATCCATTGGTGGATCTTACCTGTAAATAATTATTACCGTGGTATTTTCCTAATGGTGATTTTGTATTTTACTCCTTCCTTCTACGTGAATTGGAATCCTTCAGTAAGGAAAACTACCTTCTTATATTCTATTTATTTATTCATTTAATTGATATCAGTATGGACAAATAAATATTTATTTTATCCTATGGGTTAAAATCCATTAATATTGTTATTTATTTTGTTGCTCAACTTGCCCCAGATTTGGCCACTGGGAGCTCTGGCAGCTTGGATCCTGTCTCCTTTTGACATGCTCCTATCTATTTGTGTAAGTATTTTCTTATTTTCTGGCACCACAAGATGTTCCAGGTTCATTTTATATTTTCCGTGCCCCAACTCTGGAATCAGTCACTTCTCTAAGAAGCCCTTTGAGTTCCTTTTATTGGAGAATTGTGTTTAGAGAACAAAGTCTGAATACTAATTATATTCACTGTTAGTGAGCTGTCATTAGTTCTAGTCTTTTCAAAGGATCAAGCTGGGAAATACAGGTATGTATGTTAACCTACATGGTAGACAAACATCAACGTCTATTTCCATGTCTATATATCTCTATACTAAACACTATGAGTTCATACTAGTACATCTGAGTCTAATCCAACACCTCAAAGTTCATTTCAGCCTTCCTTCTTCTCTTACTTGTAAATTATTTCTCCACCAATAAGAAAACTAGCTTTTATCTACAATAGATTCATTTATTTGTTCAATCTTGATCACATAAATTTGTCACAGAATTGCTAAACAATACCCCTGTGAATAATGGTGTTACAAATAAGTATAGTGTTAGTGTATTTTTTGTCATTAACCTTAAAATATCCAGTTAGAATACTGTTTTCCAATGTTACTATATTAGTTATTTATTGCTAAATAACAAAATTCCCCTAGAACTTAGCAATTGAACACAACAAAAAGTTTTTTCACAATTTCTGTGGGTCAGGAATCTGGGCATGGCTATGCTGCATGCCTTTAGCTCCTGGTCTCTCACAAGGCTCCAATCAAGGTGTCAGCCAAGGCAGCATTTATCTCAAGGCTCAATTGGGAGAAGACCATCCTAAGCTCATTCATATGGCTCTGGGCAGGCATCAGTTCGTCATGTCTTTTACCTGGAAACATCACTGCCTTGTCCCATACACCTCTCCAAAAGGCAGCTCACAACATAGAAGCCAGATTCTGTGTAAGTGGGCATACCAGCAGGAAAGGATACCCAAGACAGAAGGCACAGTCTTTTCATAATCTAATTTCAGAAGTAACATGCCACCATTCCTGCCACATTCTTTTCACTAAAAGAAATAATCAAATCCATCTCAAATTTAAGGAGAAGGGATTGCACAAGGGCATGAAAGCCAGGAGGTAAGGATCATTAAGGACCATCTTACAGGGTACCTACCATAGTTATTTAGGTCCATTTTCTTCCCCAGTACCCTTCAGGGTGACTATGTTGTTCATTTGAAATACAATTAGGTTCATTTGTTACTGCTTATTTCCCAATTAGGTTCTCCTTCACCTCATCTTGCTTGATTTTAATTATTGATTCATTTTTGGCTGGTTGTGTGAAACATTACCATGGTTCTAAGAGTCAGCACTATATACAAAGATAAACTCTGAGAAGTGTCACTGCCTCCTTATCCCTATTACCTCATTCCCATTCTTCCCTTTTTCCCATACATTTATCACTTAGACCTCGTAGGCAACCAGTCTCTTCAGTTTCTGCTTTCCTTCCTATATCTTTTGTACAAATGAGCAGATACATGGTTATTTTCTTATATCCCTTTCTTTCTTACATGAAGAGTAGCATATTACAGATAGTCTCTTATACTTTGTTTATTCACTCAACAGTATATCCTGGAAATTATTCCAAATGCATTCATTAGAGATCTCCCTTATTTTTGACAGGTTCATAACACCCTATTGTGTGTATATACCATGGTTAATTCAACCATTCAGGAGAGAAATTTTTGACTACGCTTTTTTGACCAAGAAATACTCCTGCAAATATTTAAAGACAATTTTTCAAGTGACAACTGGGGAAAAAGAGTGCATCTTCTAAGCATCTCTGCAGATTAGAAAAGCAATGTATTAATTCTCATTACTTGGTAGGTATAATTAGAATCTTCACACTCCACTGGTAGTCTTGTGAATTGAAACATCATTTTGAAAGCAGCACAGCAATATCTAAGGGTCTCCTCCTTTGACTCACTAATTCAACTCATGAGAATTTATTCAAAGAAAATAATTTAACAGGGGAAAATCTTGACACAGAAAGATGTTCATAGAAAAAATGTATCATCCTCAAAACCAGAAAATAATCTAAATGTCCAAAAAATGGCCTAATAAATATTTATCAATACAATAAAATATCATGTGATGACTAAAAACTATTATGCAAACTATGCAGATAGGAAAGGTTTTGATACAATATTAAGTGAACAAGCAGGACATAAGATGATATATTATGATTGCAAAGATGCCAAATAGAAAACAGTAGCTGTGTGTAGCCTCACCAAAGTGAGATGATGCTAGTGAAAGTGGCTGCCTTGCCACATAGTACATTTCCAAGTTCTTCTTACATACTTGTGGAGCCATGTGATTGTGTTCTGGCCAATAGAACTGTGTTAAATTTATGTGAGCAACTTTCCTTCCTGGTCCATAAACATCTTCTTTGTGGTTTCTTTCTTTGTCTGCTAATTGGATGTCAACACCAGGAAACCCTGTTTTGAAGATGGCAGAATCTCTGTTAGTTTGAGTCTCTGAGTCCCAGAACCTCACACATACCATTGCTGATTTGGCTTTAATAAGCAAGACGTAACTATCCACTGCAATAAGCCACTGAGATATCATGGTCTATCTGTTGTAGCAGCAAGCATTACTTTAACACCCTATACTATAGTGATAGAATTAGCAAATAATTTTACTTTCAGACTTTTCTTTAATGCCAATATTCTACCATTTGTTGATAATGAAAAATAATGTAACACTTCGATCTGTAGGAAATCATTAAAAATAAGCAAGTGAGTCATTAGTACTCCTTCATCAGGAAGATGGTTAATGGAAGCCTGATGTCTACTGTACAGCAAATTATTCTAAGCAGAGTTTCAGAATACTCCTGAATAAGGGCTAGAAATATTCCTTCGAATCTCAAAATGCTGTATTCACAGGACTACCATGGCTAGCAGGAATACAATAATCTAGGAAACCAAGAGCATCAGAGATTTGGGGCCGTAAAAATGACTAGCAATATATCAAAGCATCACCTTAATTTAATTGTTGACGCAAAGATATATTAGACTGAACAGCTGCTTTGTGCCTGTCAGAAATTGGCTGACCTAACCCTCTAGACCCTGACAAAAGGAGGCAATGGGACTGTACATCATTGGCCTTAATATTTGCAGCTACATCTACAAACAGCATTGCTTCTTGTTAGAACTCCTGCTACCAGTTTGCCACCTGTGGCTTTGTGCTGACAGCGCTGGTGGCTTACTACATCATTCAGAAGTCAGAACTTGGACAAGCTAAATGAACAGCTAAAGGGGCTCACGCCTTTTAAAAACCCAGATGAAAGCCCACGCTCTCCAGAAAGCCACCCTTACCTCTCTTCCACAACTACAGCAAGAAAAAACCTCTGACTCCTATAAGCTCTTAGAATTTATTCACTATGTGTTATGCTCATTGTAGCTATTTAAATATACATCTCATCTTCCCTCTTGCAATCTTCTTCAGAATAGGAACCATGTCTTTTTTATTTACGATCCACCCCCTCCACCGTCTCATTTTAGGGCCTAGAAAAGGATCAGACAAGTCCTCCCTAATCATTTATTGAATTTGAAATATATTTGTGAACATTTAAATAGTGTTTCAACTAGAAAATGTTTTCACATTAGTAAGCCATTGATCTAAATAGGCTGGTGTGTTGATGAACCCAATATATTATTTATTTGTTTTAATTTAGGAAAATTTTCCATGCAAATGTCTTTCCTGATTAAACTGATTATACTGGCCAATTCAGCCTTTCCGATAAATAGGACACTTCTTTTTTTATATTCAGTACCAAATAGTTGGTTTGAATGCTTTTCTTTCCCCTTGAGGAAATCAATTGTGCAAATAATTAATTGTTCAGGCTCATTCCCTGCCTTATACAATAAGAGTTTTCTTTTATTGAATCTATAATAGCTCTGACAACCCATTAAGTGTTGCTAAACTTTCAAGTTACATAGTCTTTGCAAAACTCTGATATATAGATATCATATCCATTTGACAGATAGAAAACCCCCAGAGACATTAACTGATTTTCCCTATCCCATGCAGTACATAAATAACAGTGCCACGATCTAAACTCAATTCTGTCTGATTCCAAAACCCACTAGGCCAACACTTGTCCAGAAGGAGAAAAATAAAACCTGTGTCTGAGTAGATTCTCTGGGTGAAGCAGGTTCTCTCCTTTAAATGTAGCAACTGGAGCATCAGAGAACATAATCTGGCAGGCTTAAATTAGCACAGCGAATTACGTTTAATGGAGGAGTTGTTGAGCAGATGGGGAAGAAATCTGATCAGGTCCTAGGAGAAGCTGAAAATGGTGTGTGTTGGGAGAATTCTAGTTGTGGCAAACTGAACCACACAGGGTTATATGTTTCCTTCCCAAACACCATAAAGTGAGAGTAAAGGAATAAAAATAGAAAAAGTCTACAAGAATGAAACACTATTAAGGAAAGGAACATTCAGAAAGCAAAATACACTCTTCTAGATTGAGAATTTAGCAGCATATTGGCCAGGCCTGGTGGCTCATGCCTATAATCACTGCACTTTAGAAACCTGAAACAGGAGGATCACTTGAGCCCAGGAGTTCAAGACCAGCCTGGGCAACATAGTGAGACCTCGTCTCTACTTTAAAAAATCAAAAAATTAGCCAGGTATTACGGTTTGGCTCTGTGTCCCTATCCAAATATCTTAAATTGTACTCTCATAATTCCCACATGTTGTGGGAGGGACCCAGTGGGAAATAATTGAATCATGGGGGCAGTTTCCCTCCTACTGTTCTCGTGGTAGTGAATAAGACTCACGAGATCTGATGGTTTTAAAACAGGTTTCCACTTTTGCTTCTGTCTCATTCTCTCTTGTCATGGACATGTAAGAAGTGCCTTTTGCCTTCAACCACAATTGTGAGTGATATGGCTTGGGTATGTGTTCCCACCCAAATGTCATCTTGAATTGTACCCCCATAATTCCCACATGTTGTGGGAGGGACCCGGTGGGAGATAATTTGCATCATGGGGGTGGTTCCCCCATACTGTTCTCATGGTAGTGAATAAGTCTCACAAGATCTGATGATTTTATCAAGGGTTTCTGCTCTTGCATCTTCCTTAGTTTCTCTTGCCACCATCATGTAAGAAGTGGCTTTCACCTCCTGCCATGATCCTGAGGCCTCCCCAGCCATGTGGAAGTATAAGTCCAATTAAACCTCTTTTTCTTCCCAGTCTTGGGTATGTCTTTATCAGCAGCATGAAAATGAACTAATACAGTAAATTAGTACCAGTAGAGTGGCGTGTTGCTGAAAAAATACCTGAAAATGTGGAACTGACTTTGGAACTGGGTAGCAGAGAACAGTTTGGAGGGATCAGAAGAAGACAGGAAAATGTAGGAAAGTTTGGAATCTTCTAGAGACTTGTTGCATGGCTTTGACCAAAATGTTGGTAATGATATGGACAATAAAATCCAGGCTGAGGTGGTCTCAGATGGAGATGAGGAACTTGTTGGGAACTGGAGCAAAGGTGACTCTTGTTATGTTTTAGCAAAGAGACTGGCGGCATTTTGCCCCTGCTCCAGAGATTTGTGGAACTTTGAACTTGAGAGAGATGATACAGGGTATCTGGCAGAAGAAATTTCTAAGCAGCAAAGCATTCAGGAGGTGACTTGGGCTCTGTTAAAGGCATTCAGTTTTAAAAGGGAAACAGAGCATAAAAGATTGGAAATTTTTCAGACTGACAATGCAGTAAAAGAAATGCCCATTTTCCGAGGAGAAAGTCAAGCTGGCTGCAGAAATTTGCATAAGTAACAAGGAGCCCAATGTTAATCACCAAGACAATAGGGAAAATGTCTCCAGGGCATGTCAGAGACCTTTGTGGCAGCCCCCTCCCATCACAGGCCCAGAGGCCTAGGAGGAAAAAATGGTTTCATAGGCCAGGCCCAGTGTCCCTCTGCCATGTGCAGTTTAGGGACTTGGCATCCTGTTTCCCAGCTGCTCCAGCTGTGACTAAAAGGAGTCAAGGTACAGCTCAGGCCATGCCATCAGATGGTGCAAGCCCCAAGCCTTGGCAGCTTCCATGTGGTGTTGAGTCTGTGGGTGCAAGGAAGTCAAGAATTGAGGCTTGGGAACCTCCATCTAGATTTCAGAGGATGTATGGAAACGCCTGAATACCCAAGCAAAAGTTTGCTGCAGGGGTAGGGCCCTCATGGAGAACCTCTGCTAGGGCAGTGCAGAAGGGAAATGTGGGGTTGGAGCCCCCACACAGAGTCCCAACTGGGGCACTGCCTAGTGGAGCTGTGAGAAGAGGGCCACTGCTGTCCTCCAGACCCCAGAATGGTAGATCCACCAACAGCTTGGATTGTATGCCTGGAAAAGTGGCAGACACTCAATGCCAGCCCATGAAAGTGACCAGAAAGGAGGGTATACCCTGCAAAGCCACAGAGGCAGAGCTGCCCAAGGCCATAGGAGCCCATCTTTTGCATCAGCATGACCTGGATGTGAGATGTGGCATCAAAGGAGATCATTTTGGAACTTTAAGATTTGACTGCCCTGCTGGATTTTGAACTTGCATGGGGCCTGTATCCCTTTTGTTTTGGCCAATTTCTCCCATTTGGAATGGCTGTATTTACCCAATTACTGTACCCCCATTGTATCTAGGAAGTAACTAGCTTGCTTTTGATTTTACAGGCTCATAGGTGGAGGGGACTTGCCTTGTCTCAGATGAGACTTTGGACTGTGGACTTTTGAGTTAATGCTGAAATGAGTTAAGACTTTGGGGGACTGTTGGGAAGACATGATTTGTTTTGAAATATAAAGACATGAGATTTGGCAGGGGCCAGGGGCAGAATGATACGGTTTGACTCTGTGTCCCCACCCAAATCTCATCTTGAATTGTACTCTCATAATTCCCATGTGTTGTGGGAGGGACCTGGTGGGAGATAATTGAATCACAGGGGCAGTTTCCCCATACTGTTCTCATGGTAGTGAATAACTCTCACAAGATCTGATAGTTTTATCAAGGGTTTCCCCTTTTGCTTCTTTCTCATTCTCACTTGCCACAGCCATGTGAGAAGTGCTTTTCACCTTCCACCATGAGTGTGAGGCCTCCCCAGTCAGGTGGAACCATAAGTCCATTAAACCTATTTTTCGTCCCAGTCTCAAGTATGTCTTTATCAGCAGTGTGAAAACACACTAATACACCGGGTGCTGTGGCACATGCCTGTAGTCCCAGCTACTCAGGAGTTTGAGGCTGCAGGGAAGTATGATAGCACCATTGCACTCCAGCCTGACTGACAGAGTGAGACCCTATCTCAAAAAATAAAAAAAAGAACTTAATAGCATATGGAAGCTAAATTTGAGACAATCTGATCTCCTTAGTTGCAGATTGGCAGGCTAGGTAAACTGAGGAGGAGATGTAAAATCGTCCCCCTTTAAAAATAAAAGAATTCAGGTAGCTGTCCAAACAAATAACTACAGTCATAGACCTTTCCAGGCTGCAAGCACAATAGACTCTAGAGACCAATACTACACTAACTCTATATCTACAGTGTCGAATACTGCTTTGTTAACTCCCCACACACTCAACTCCCCAACTTCAGATGTTCCAAAAAATGATATCTCTTCTCCCAGCTCAATATCTGGTTTCACCTTGACCAGCTCAGTCTAACCACTGCCTAAATGCCTTGATTTTGGTGAAGAACTTCTTAAGGCATGGACCAGCAGTCTTTGGTATCTGATATGGTTTGGCTATGTCCCCACCCAAATCTCAACTTGAATTGTATCTTCCAGAATTTCCATGTATTGTGGGAGGGACCTATGGGGGGGGTAATTGAATCATGGGGGCTGGTCTTTCCTGTGCTATTCTCATGGTAGTGAATAAGTCTCATGAGATCTGATGGGTTTATCAGGGATTTCTGCTTTTTCTTCCTCCTCATTTTCCTCTTGCCACCACCATGTAAGAAGTGCTTTTCACCTCCCTCCATGATTCTGAGGCCTCCCCAGCCATGTGGAACTGTAAGACCAATTAGACCTCTTTTTGTTTCCAGTTTCAGGTATGTCTTTATCAGCAGTGTGAAAACAAACTAATACAGCATCACTAACTTTCTAGGCAAGGCAAAATACAAATCCATCACCTACAAAAAACACATCCTTCCAAAATGGACATTTAAAATCCCTGCATAATGCTAGCCTTGCAGGACAGAACTGGTGCCAGTTTCAATGGCTTATCGTATATAAAGTTGTTCTATTTGGGGTGCATGGTTTGGCCTGCAATATAACTGAACATATGTTATAGTAGAGTTGGGTGTCATAGAGTTCTACTACATTTATTCCTGCAGAGGCAAGGAAATCTGGTCCTTTACTGTCCCTCTAGGGTTGAGACTAGAAGATAAATTTATAGTCCAGATATTTTAATTTTAAGGGCTTGGGTTAGGCAAAAATTATTTTTGGAGAATATTCCACATTATGTCACACATAGATCAATTCAAGGAAGATTTATGTCTCTCCTTTTTGTTACAATTATAACTAAGCAACTAAGCTTTCAAATTGAAATGCATAGGAACTTGGATGATATTCCAAGAACTGAGTGCTTCAGAATGTTAGATCATTTCACTGATCTTGCTTTGCAATGTCGTAATGGTAGCAGACCATGTGCATGCACATACACAGAGGCTTTGTGTAGAGTTTATTTGTGTAGAATTCCTTCAGTCTGTGGTTTTATTCCTAAAATTCCACCCAGGGAATTAGTAAAGAAGGTTGTGGAAAGTGTTATGTGTTTGTTTTTAGCTTTTTGTTTCTTTGTTTTGGTGAGATACATTTTGCATCTCTTAGAAATGAAAATGAAAACGAGAAATTCCCCCTGTTAGTGTTCATGATGTCCTCCTCCACAAAGATGCTTTCCAAGGATCACAGCAGGTGCACTCATCAACACTGTCCTGAACACACAGCTGTCCCAGGAATGGATTTGCAAAGTGTAAAGAGGAATAAGAAGCATTTTATCATCAACTTAACATTTACTGCAAATATTCTCTCACTTTTCAAGGCTTCAATGTTAGTACTCAGTTGGCTATCATGATATTTTTTTCTTCAGCAGTATAGGAGATATATGACCTCTCTTGGTCTTTATTTGACTAGAACCAGGTATAAAATTCAAAGTATTTAACAATCAATACCCATACGTACTGAACAATCAGAGAAGATGCAGGCCTGAGGGCTGGAGGTAGTTGCTGAAGATCCCTTCTTTACCATAATTTAACCCCCCTTAATTGCTAGCTGGGCAGAGGGCGGTAGAAAAGGTCTGTCCTGTCCATGCAAAGCAGCTGAATATAGCCCTGACTGGAACTGAAAATTAGGCTAAAGCAATAAAACTGACCCACCAACGTCAGTATAGCTAGATAGTACAGTGGTACCATTGCCACTGGTAAAGGGGAAGCTCATGATCATAGCAGTGGTAATGGTAATAATTATAGTACCAGCAGGAGAAGCAGCAGCAGCAATCAAGCTATTGTCAATTGAGGATTTGGCAGTGAGCTAGCAATGAAAGAGATATCATTCTCTGGAACATCTGAGGTTGGAGAGTTGAGTGTCTGGGGAGTTGACAGAGAAGTATTAGAAACTTTGGACATTTATTATTTCTAATTGTCAAAGAAACTTGCCAGGCAGGAAATACCTACAACCTGTAGATACAGACACAAAGTTTCAGAAACTTTAAGTAACTGGCTCCAAGTCACATAGCTAGTACACCACAGAGCCAAGACTGGAACCAAGGACACTCCAAAGCCTGTGCTATTTCTCTTATGCAATACCAGCCTTCTCCCATGCAAAAGTAAACCAAGGACTACTGCCATCTACCTGGAGGCTACAATTTCATGACTTAATTCTTACACGTTCTTATAAACTTATAATTCTACAATAAACTTTTAGAAATGTTTACTACAAGGACTAATAAATTTCAGCAGTAAAATTTAAGAATGACCAAAAAAGTGATATAACCAGTGTTTTCAATGTTAGGTCACTCTACATGTTTCTTATTTAAAGATAGAGGTTTCAACCATTTAAGACAGCCAAACTTCCCCCTTTCTTCCAACCTTTAGTAATTTTCATGAGAATGTTTAGATGCTGAACTTGATTGACAGTGTAGTGACTGATATTCTTCTCATAAGTAATTCATGCTCATATTTAAACTTTGGAAAACACAGAGAAATATAAAGAATATAAAAGTCACCCACAATCCCATTGCCCGGAGATAACAACAGTTAAAATTTTGATCTCTTTTTTTCCAATCATTTTACTATGCCTATATCAGCACATATACACATATAGACACATGCAAATTGAGATCATATAAATATTGTCAAATGAAATGTCATATTATGAGCATTTTCTAATGGCCATTAAAATTCTGAGAAACACAATTTAAAGCTTTCTTAATATTCTAACATATAGATGTAGCATAATTTATTTAACCATTCCCCTATCTTTGGAGAACAGCAGGCCTTGGTCAGTAAATAAATGGTTGTATAAATAACAGGATCTGAATTAAATGCAGAAGATTAAGAACCCCAGGTTATTCCTTGGTCTCTGCAAGTTAATGGAATCCAGAGAGGCAGGACAATCAAATGCAATATTTTTAGCCTTTTGAAGGATCCATCCATATACATATATATTTAGCCTTTGTTGCCGACGTGTTATGCTGAAAGCTTCCCCAGAGCAAGGTGTTTAATGCAGAGGCTTATTGCCAGAATGGTAAGAGTCACTCTCACATCTGTATGGGTCCAAAACCAGCACTAGAGAACACAAGGGGGGGAACTCCATTGGTCCCATCAAAATCCAGCTCTATGAAAAGTACATCATGGTTTTTAAATAATTCCCTTCAAATCCATGATATGTAACAAACCTGGAAATTTGAGCTAAAATTGTCAATGATTTCATTTGTTTTTTCTATGCTCTAAGTAATGGGCCATTTTTTTGTTTTGCTTCCAGCTTTATTGAAGTATAATTGACAAATCAAAATTGCATGTATTTAAGATATACTATGTAATGTTTTGATATACATATACATTGTGAAATGATTACCACAATCAAGCTAATTAACACATCCATCACCTCACATAGTTACTGTTGTGTGTGTGTGTGTGTGTGTTGAGAATACTTAAAATCTACTCTCTTAGCAAATTTCAAGTATGTAATAGATTTTTTCTTTTTTTTTTTTTTGAGACAGAGTCTTGCTCTGTCACTCAGGCTGGATGCAGTGACACGATCTCGGCTCACTGCAACCTCTGCCCCCTGGGTTCAAGCAATTCTCCTGCCTCAGCCTCCCTAGTAGCTGGGATTACAGGCATGCACTGCCCACCTGATCTTTGTATTTTTAGTAGAAACGGGGTATCGCCACGTTGGCTAGGCTGGTCTCGAACTCCTGACCTCAAGTGATCTGCCTGCCTCGGCCTCCCAAAGTGCTGAGATTACAGGCGTGAGCCACCATGCTCAGCCGAATTATTATTAACTATAGACACCATGCTGTACATAACTGCAACTTTGTACCCTTTGACCAACATCTCCCCATTTCCCCCACCCGTGCCCCGGTAACAGCCATTCCACTCATGTTTCTATGAACTTGACATTTTTAGATTTCACATATAAGTGAGATCATGCAATATTTGACTTTCTGTAGTAATGGTCTGGTTTTAATGGGGGGATTTCTGGCTCCAGAAAGCATAAACAGTAATTTCTTGCAGCTATTGACATACAGAGGTGACTCACTCTTCTCCAGATACATTATTAAAATTAAGAAAGGATTATATTTCTTACTGGTGGCTTTGAATTGAGGAGGATTTTGTGATCAAACACAGTTCAGGTAGAATAGACATGGGATCAGAATCACCTAGGACTCAGAAAACAGCTGAGACACTCTTATGGAACAATGTTTTCAAAGGATGGTGAGCCAGAAACAGCTAGAAGTACACCAAAGCATAGTGATGTCATTGAGAAATGACAGCCTAGCCAGTGGCTACATTTCACAGTTCTTTTTGCATCTATGTGGGGCCATGTGACTAGTTCTGGCCAGTAGAATGAAAGCAGAAGTGAAGTACGTACCACTTCAAAACCAAGTGTCAAGTATTCTGTTCTTGCACTTTCCCATCTGAAATGACCATGAAGACTCATTATTGAAGATGATGGCATTGTAAGATGGAAGGAAGCAGCATCCTTGAGTCAGCATTTAGAAGATAGCCACCCAAGACAAATGCCTGACCAAGAACATCAACACTGGATTTTGTGCAACTGAGAAATAAATGTTTATTGTGTCAAGTCATTGACATTGGAGGGTTGTTTGTGAAAGTAGTCTGCATAGCTTGACAGGGACTCATTAAAAAGGCCTCTGCCATCTGAGCACCTGATTTGGAAGAGATAGAGCATGGGAAAAAGATAAGTGTGGAGCACTTCTTCAAGATGAAGAACACAAATCATGCAAACACAGGGCAAAGAGAAGACAAAGCACCAAGGGTAATAGTAACAGGAAATCAAAGGCTAATCAAAGGTTAAGTCCACCAAAAAATAAAGGTGGTGGAAGGAAGTCTAAAATCAAAAAGGGTTGTTATATGACTTGGGCTTTTGATTTTTTCCATGGCCTACATGACCAATTAAACAATAGTTACAAATGTATATTTCTGTCAACAAGTGGCTTTTTTACTTTGGTATCTGAATCATTTCCGTTCCCCTAAATAATCTCTTTTTTTTTTGGTTGATGACTCTTCACTGTTGATTTTAGGTCACACTGTAATTCATTGTGTTCTCCTGAAATTTTGGTTACTGGTACAAGCAACAATAAAGACATGAAAAATAATTTGAGATTTTGTTACATAGATTAAAGATGTTAATGAAAGCTTTTTTGATCCTAAGCAAGAGCACTCAGGATTTTTCAGTTAGCTATAGACTTTTTAGACATCTGCTATCGTTCACCATGACACAAAGCTGCACCATTCTGTTTACTGATATCTCGAGTGTTAAATGCTCCTTATATTACTCTCTGAGGATAAAAGAATGTTGAACTGAAATAAAGTGTTAGCCCTTGCCTTCTGCTGAATTACTGAGCCTCATTTCCGCCTATCTATCTGTCTATCTGTCTGTCTGATTGTCTGTCTCTCAGTTTTAAGCCCTAATAATGACCTGGGCAGGGAATATACTAGACACTAAAATAAATCCTGATTAGGACACAGTCTTATGGGAGCCCCAGTCATGCCAAAAGGTGGGATCTAGAGTGTATCTTGCTGCCCTCATATGGTCCTGGGTCTGCTTGATGTTTACTATATCCAGTGCTCTCTCAGTTCTTTACAGCCTGGGGGCATTTTTTCCTCAACATCTGGGTCAAAACCTGGTACACAGTAAATAGTCAACAAACGTACATTGAGTAGAACTAAGCTCTGGAATGCTCAGTCATGATTGTCATGGAACACTTTATGAATTATTAAAGTCTGTTTGTGTGGGCATCTGCCTCACTTTCTGCCTAGGGCTAAATATCAGCCCTGCAAACCAGCCATACCCAACCCCAGCACTGATCAGGCCCCTCTTATGGGAAGTTGGACCCTGTTTTCAGTACCTACTTTTTAATTTTTTAATTATTTTATTTATTTATTTATTTATTTATTTATTTATTTATTTATTTATTTATTTATTTTGAGACAGAGTCTCACTCAGTTGCCCAGGTTGGAGTACAATGGCGCAATCTCAGCTCACTGCAACCTCCGCCTCCTGGATTCTAGTGATTTTCCTGCCTTAGCCTCCTGAGTAGCTGGGATTACAGGCGCCCACAACTACGCCTGGCTAATTTTTGTATTTTCAGTAGAGACAGGGTTTCACCATGTTAGTCAGGCTGGTCTCGAACTCCTGACCTCAGGTGATCTACCTGCCTCGGCCTCCCAAAGTGCTGGGATTACAGGCATGAGCCACCACGCCCGGCCATCAGTAACTACATTTATCGCTTTAGCACCTTCTCCAAAGAACCAAAAGAAATTATCTACTTGATTTAAAAGCATCACTCACTTCTGCCACATGACCCTCTCTCGCCCACCCACACACATACAGACTGGAACCTTGAAGGTTTCCACGCAGGCTTTACTCAAGGAAAAGTTTACCCGACTCCATTAAGTCTTCCATTTTCCATTATTGGATAGCCATGCCTCTAGAACATGGTCTATAACTCTGCTTTTCCTGTTAACTTTTCCCACTATTTCCACAGCTTTTCCTTCAATACCTGCTCACTGCAAAGGCTCTAGTAAGTCCCTTATAGAGTCCCCTCTCCTCTGCTCCCCAACTCCAAGGAATGACCTAAGGCTAGCTGGAGAAACTTTTCAAATGATCTCGGCTACCTATCAGACCTGAGGTTTGCACTATGCAAATAACTACACACATAATTAGAAACCCATAGAATATGGTTGTTTTCTACCGAAAACTCATTTGATCCAGGATTTACTGAAGGTAGAACAACTGCAAGGAATTAAGGTAACACATACCTGTGAATATAAATAAAATGAACGAGAGAGGGAGGTGGACATGGTTATAAAACAACAACATGAGAGATCCTTATAAGGACATAACTGTTCTGTATGTTAACAGTATCAGTGTCAATTTCCTAATCATGATATTGTACTACAGTTCTTTCAAGATGTCAACACTGGGGAAAGTGGGTACAATCTCTATTATTTCTTACAACTGTATGTGAATCTATAATTTTGTCAAAATAAAAAGTTTTCTTAAAATTAATGAATGGGAGTAAAAGAAATTAGCCACTTTTAGAATTTGCTCTTAAAGGTTCTGTGTAGATATGCAAAAAAGCAAAAAACTTTAGCTGAAAATGACTGAATTGATTTGCTGGTAAGGAAAATTTCTATAAGATTCAGGTTAGGCAATTCTGAGTAAAGAAAATGAAGAATGAGTAGAAAAAAACATAGTGGCAGAACCTTCTGGAACTCACCAGGATTTGAACCATGCAACTTCTGATAATAATACAAATAAAACTCTCCAAAGCAAAACATTTAATCATGTCAGTTCCTACATTGTGCATGTCATAATGATAGCTACAAGTGTAAAAGAATAGCCTTTCCATTCTACCTTATTCCATTTAAAAGTCTAGCATATGAAATAGTAAAATGAACCTCACATTCTCTGTTATAAGTTAGGTGAGATAAACCACAATTAAAAATTGAGATGCCTGATAACCAGAGAAAGAAGTGTTAGGCTGCAACCCAAGAGTCAACTAAATAAATCCCTGGCATTAACTTGGAACTGTCTCTAACAGTTGCAATATAATTCAAATTATTAATGACATGATAGCTGATGTGTTGCAATCCTCTCAGTAGTGATGCTAAGTTATACTCGCCACATGTACATTCACTAGAAAATCATCATAATTAATTTTAGTACAGCCCCGAGCTATCATTAGTGATAAATCATGATAATGATTACATTCAAGTTTAATGTTATTGACTACATGAATTATAATGTTATTAACAAATTAGATTGAACGTCTTATCTAAAACTAATGTTCTAATGGGGAGAAGTAAACCCCTTTCCATCTGAAGCCCAGAGTAACTTACTGGTTGCCAGTCCTGTCTCCCTATTAACTCTGGTGGTGTAAGGTGGATAAAATAAGAAGTAATAAGTCTCCAATTCAACAGATAATCAGGCCCTTCTTCATAGTAAAAATGAAGGATAACCTTGCATTTCCCACTTGCAGAGTCATTAGCCAAGGCTTCCAGCTTCCTGGAGAGAGATCCAGAGAGCTGACATTATGGGCACCTAATAAACTGAAATATCCAGGTCTCCAAGTCGATATTACAAGAGTAGAGATATTGCCAGAAATTAAAAGTTTCAGGGTAAGTCAGAACAGGAAGAACATGTGCTCACCCAGCTGCAATCAGCCATCACTGCCAGGGAGGGCCTGGTAAAGAATCCATACCCCGGTTCACAGGATAGAACCAGGGACAGTCATGTGCACATTTCCCCTTCTTCATCTCTGGCCCCAAGGCTTTCACTTATTTTTTATCTTGGACTATCTGTTTCATTGCAAGTCACCTCAAGTCATTTTTTGAATGAAGTACAGATGAAAGGATAAAAATAAATGTCAACAGTACACTAGCCTTGCTTGCTGACCTTGTTTGCTGTTCTTGAAGGCCTATATCTGCCTTTTTTCATTGTGGCATGTTGGCAGCTTAAGTTGTGAGGTTGTGAATCGCCATTGATCAATTGCTGATTTGGACATGGGCATTTATGAAGAACTGTCCTGATCAGAAAATAACCCATCTAGTCCTTTCTGATCCCTTCAGTTCACCTTTTTTGATCCAGTTATTATGGTTCTTGATATACTCATAAACAATAATAGTTAACAAATATCCTCTGAGTAGATACTATATGCCACCAGGCATTATTCAAGTGCTTTACGTGAATTATCTCATTTAATCCTTACAATAAGCCTCCATAATAGGTACTGTTATTATTCCAATTTTACAGTTAAGAGAACCATGGTACATACACACAAAATTAATTGACTTACCTAGTGGAGCTGTATTCAAACCCAGTTCTGTCTATGTGACTCCATCCCTAAAGCTCATAGGTACTTCCTGGGTAGGGTTGCCCAGCTAAATTTGAATTTCAGATAAACTGTTTTTTTTAATCATTCTCAATACTTCATCATCTTTGCCTTGTTTTCTTTTTTAATTACAAAAGAAGCAGATCACCACTAAGGAGAGTAAGGACTGAAAATACAAAAGGGTTCATGAGCAATAGAGACACATCTATGGAGGGTGTGAAAATTGAAAGGTGGGCTTTCAGATGGAATGACACACACAAAGACACAGAGGAGATAAAAATGAGCTAAGTTTTCTCACTGCTCTTAGGAGTTCTTCTCCTTACTCTCCAGCTTCTATTTTCCCCACCAAAAAATGACTGAGCAGCCTATGTTTTGAATAATTTTTCCTTTTCATTAAATCAATTCAGTCATGGTAGTCTTTAGGCAAATGAGCCTTAAAAGCATTATCGCTAAAAACTCTTCTTCCACTGATTGCTGACAGACCAACTTCTACAACATATCAAATACAAAGTGTCCAAGGCAAATACAACATTTTCTCTAGAAGCTATAGCTCCTCAAGACAACTTTATGTCCAAATCTAACATTTTTTGCAACTATACCCTATACCAACACAGAATATCAATCCGTACACATACTCTTCATTGTGTACCTCCACACTTTTTTGATTTTTTTTCTTTTTCATTATTTTTTTTTGAGACAGGATCTCGCTCTGTCACCCAGGCTGGAGTGCAGTGGTGTGATCTCAGCTCACTGCAACCTCCGCCTCCTGGGTTCAAGCAATTCTCCTGCCTCAGCCTCCTGAGTAGCTGAGATTACAGTTGCATGCCACCACGCCTGGCTAATTTTTGTATTTTTGGTAGAGATGGGGTTTCACCATGTTGGCCAGGCTGGTCTTGAACTCCTGACCTCAGGTGATCCACCCATCTTGGCCTCCCAAAGTGCTGGGATTACAGGTGTGAGCCACCACAGCCAGCTGCTTCTTTGATTTTTGTTACTCCTTCACATTCACATTTTTGAGCCTGGCATCAGGTGTCATCCACATACCCTGTACCATTTCATCTAATCCTTATAACAAACCTGTCAAATGATCAGTATTATCATCCCTATTTTATACGTGATGGTAAGTCACTGGAGTGACTTACCAAAAAAACACACACTAGTGAGTGGCAAAGCTTGGTTGGATTTGAACTCAAATCTTCTGGCTCAAAGCCCCATATTCTTTCAACTATACACAGCTTCTCTTGGATGCCAAGTGCCTCCATTTGTACCCTACTCCAAATTTTCACCTAAGAAAAACACTTTGTAAGGTTCATTTCAAACAGTATCTGCTCCATAAACTCTTCACTGATCATCCAATAAAAAATGAACTCTCCTTACTTTGATTTCTTTACCATGTTCTTTGTCCACTCAGTCATTCAATAAACAACTGAGCACCTACTGTGTGCCAGCTTCTATGGCAGGTGCTAAAGGAACAGCAGTGAATGACACAATAAGGATGCTGATCTCATTGCATCATATATTTTATGGTATAAGTCAGAGAATCATAGTTTCCAATTTCATGTCATCTATAGCCCTTATTTTACAGATGAGTAAACTCACATACATGAAGTTCAGGTTCATGCCATTATAGGCAGGCCCCAGAATAGAGGCCTTCACCTATCCTTCCCATTAACGTTGTTTATCTCCATGGCTTCTTTTCCCTACTAGGCTGCCAATAACTTGAGGGCAGGAACTGTGTTTTAATCATCTCTGTACATTCCTCAGCATTAGCACAGACATTCAAAAAAATGGGTGCAATGTGTGATAATGGTGGCAAACAGGAAAGACAGATTATCTACACTCTTAGAGCTCCAATGGACAAAAGAGCTAGATATTTAACATTTAAAAGTATGTTACAATTTCAAGTATTCCCTCACATCACTTTTCAGCAAAAGAGCTTTCATAAATTACAGATATACACTGCTGAGTTAAACTTGTGGAAAGTATCACATATTTCCAAAATGGAAAATGTTGTTTTCTGCTATAATAGCCTTTAATCCCTCATTGTTTTCTCCCTTAATTCAAATCCCAATAATTATAAATAGCACATTAATACATAACTTATCTGGAGGCTACATAGCTATCAACTTCGACCATGAGGAAGTCATCTAAAACACAAAAAGACGCAGAGAATCCCTCTGAGCAGCCAAAATACATTTTAAAAAATACAGGCATTAAAGAAATGTATTGCTTCTTTAGTCAATATATTAGATCTTTACTGTTTTTATTCAATGCATACTTACCGAGTGTTCATGCTTTCTCTGTGTCTGAAAATCACCCTGGGACTCTTAACTCTTATTTGGGGCACAATTCTAATAGACATATACATCTAATTTTCATGACTCACAGCCAATGAAAAGCAGCAAGCAGAAGGTGGATAAGGTTGGCCAGAAGCAGGCTACTGTATCCCATTTTCCTACTTCATTGTAATTCCTACCACCACAGGCATATGTCAACAATACCAAAGAATGAACACAAGGCAGCGTCAGCCTATGGATTACTATATTTCACATTTAGGAAATAAGTTATATATAAATACACTGTGGAAGATAACTTGGGTTCCTTCTTCACTGCAGCCAGGTAATGATCAGGCAGTAATGGCTAATGAAAGAAATATTTATTTTTCTTTCTGTATTTAAAAGACAAAATCATCAACTATGCATAAGTGAAGGATTTTGTTTCCATGAGACTCAAATTCCCTCTCCTTAAATTGTTCTGCTTTTGAGCAGAATATACGTGGATTACTTTTTACCAGCAGAGGGAGGTGAAAAACAAGGAAGCTCTGAACATTTCTCTCTTCACCACAGAGGTTAAGTCTTTTTGTAATGTGACTGATTGGCTCCCTTTAGCAGCATGGTCTAATTTAGAAAGGTCAGGAAATTGTGTTTAACGTCTACTGAGTCAACAAACTTAGGAAAAACACAAGTGGCAAAAAGAAAACACTCTCAGCAGGATTGGCCCTTATGCAATGGCTCCAAGGAGAAGAGCCGAGGGAGAAGCTTAGCAATGTCTGCACCACTGCACACTGACAAGAAATCCTTTTTGCCATGAAATCACACTTCGCATATTTTTACAGTGTGAAGACAT
Source organism: Homo sapiens (assembly GCF_000001405.40). NCBI lineage: Eukaryota > Metazoa > Chordata > Mammalia > Primates > Hominidae > Homo > Homo sapiens. Next base: position 139,475,920 of record NC_000023.11, read on the forward strand.
ATACACTTCAGCTCAGAGAGAGTTTACTCTTTGTTGCAATGAAACTGATGAAATAAAGGCTTTTGTTGTTGTTTTTACATGAATATCATCAGGGCTAAACCCAACTTCTTGGCAGGACTAGGGGGAATGGGCAGAGGGAGGCCATCTCCTACCACTGCTACTACCCCTGAGGTCCAGCAAATATGGGCATGAGGGCCTGGGGAAAAAAGGCATATCATAGAGAAAAGAACTTTCATCTGAAGAATGCAAGGCTTTTTAAGTTATGAGGCCCAGAGAGACATTAAAATGAGACCACAATCCCATCCTATCCCCCACGTGAGCTATGAATTCATCTCAAAACTACGTGTTTTTGCCACAAGTAGCTATAAATTAATCTAATAATGCCACACTGGACACTATAACCCACACCCTATAGCCTACCAACATATACCAATCACTAATCAATGTTACTTCTATAAACCAGCGAGAATTCCTGACAAACAACTTTGTATCAATCCACTCCTTGTTCCCCCTTTTTGCCTTTAAAAATCCACTTGCGAATGCTGCCAATTGGACTGTATATTCAGGGCAATTTGCATCTATGCTCCTGGTTGCAATCCTCAAGCCTGGCCCAAATAAACTCTAATTATATTAATTTTGCTTCAGCTTCTTCCTTTTAGGTTAACACCACTTAGGATTCTCCCAGGGAGGCTTATTCAGCTTATTCAGGTGTATAAATCTAATTTTCCTGCCCCACAGCCAGTGAAAAGCTGCAAGTAGAAGGTGGAAAAGGTTGGCCAGAAGCAGGCTATTCCATCCTACTACTTCATTGTAATTCCAATAGCCACAGGCATATGTCATCAACGCTAAAAAACGAACAGAAAGTAACAAACTGGGAAGCACAGTATGATGGTTAATTTTAGGTGTCAGCTTGACTGCATTAAAGAACATCTAGAGAACTGTAAAACATCACTTCTGAATCTGTCTGTGAGGGTGTTTCCAGAGGAGATTGGCATGTGAGTTCGTGGACTGAGTGGGGAAGATCTGCCCTCAATGTGACAGGCACCATCCAATCAGCTGGGGACCCAGGTAGAACAAAAAAGGCAGGGAGAAGACTATTTCCCCCTCTTTCTCCTGAAGCTAGGACACTCTTCTTCTCTTCCCCTTGGACAGCAGAACTTCAGGCTCTTTGGCCTTTGGACTCCAGGATTTATACCAGCACCCTCAGTTCCTGCTATGGGTTCTCAGGCCTTGGGCTGAGAGTTACACCATCGGCTTCCCTGGTTCTGAAGCCTATAGACTTGGGCTGAACTATGCTACCAGCATTCCGGGATCTCCAGCTTGCAGATGGCCTGTTGTGGAACTTTACAGCCTCTATATTCATATGAGCCAATTCCCCTAATAAATATCCTCTCGTATGTCTGTATTTCTATTATATATCCTATTGGTTCTATCTCTCTGGAGAACCCTGACTAATGCACACAGTACAAAATAACTATCAGACAAAACCACAACCAAGGAAAAAGAGAATCATGCTTTAAAAAATGCAAATTTTGTCAAATTATTTGCATCCCCTGAGAAACAAGGACAGGGATAGCAAATCTAGAGGAATTCCAAGTTCTAACATAAATTTGCTGTGTGACCTTGAACAAGTCACAGTCCCTCTCTTTGCTTCAATTTCTCCATCTGCAAATTGAGAAAATAGTATGGACTAGAGAATCTTTCAAATAGCCTCTCAGCCTAACACTCTGAGCTCAGTGATTCAATTGCCAGATTGAAAATATGTAAGTAGCATTATCTTCCCAAACAAAGGTTATCACATGAATTTGTTTGTTCATCATAACAAAGACAGGTCAATGATTATAATTATAATTATAATAGGTCAACTGTCCCACATGAACCCTGCTCAATTTCCAGCTACATAATTATATTGAGGAACAGGAACACTTGCTACTTTGAGCTGATAGCAAAATTCCTCTCCTCTCTGGGAGAGAACTGTTTCTATTTAGGACAAAGACCATACTTAGTTATGAAGATGAGTCCCCTGGGCAGAACCTGCATGGTCTGGGCTGAGACCAACTTAACAGCTAAACTGCTCTAAACAAGAAATGAAAATAATTTGGGTGGTTGGAAGGAAATGTGCTGGAAAGGGAAAGAGAAGAGGTGGAAGGCCGGAACAAGAGGCCCTGCAGCACAATGGACAGCTAAATCACAAGTTTAAGGGAAATCTGGTACTAGTGTTGCTGGATCAAATTTTACTGGGCATCTTGTATTTTCACTTCAGGTGAACAAAGAATAATTTTTAGTATAACTTTTCCAAATATTGCTTGAGACATACTAAAAAATTCATTTATCAGAAGTTCAGATTTTACTGGGTGTCCTGTATATTTATTTGCTAAATCTGGCAAGTCTACCAGTGGCAGAAATGACAAACATTTTAGGAACTTCAATCTGAGATTGTTTAGCTATACTAGGGTATAACCTCCCTTAGGGCTACCACTAATCCATAAAGCATGATTACATTAATTAGAAAAAGGTGATTCTTCTTCCCAGTACCTACCTAAGGCACAGGCTTAATGAGTGTGGTTCACGGGTTAGATTTCAGCCTCGATTCTCCTCTAAATCCTGCCTCTCTTCCATGTCTTCAAACCTTTAGCAAAGTCTTCTGTACATGGCCCTAGGTTAAGGGTATGGAAGACAGTGAATGAAGGTCTCCTGGCCCCAGAGTACAAGATTTGCATAGAGAAATGCAGGAAAAGAGAAGCAAGCTTATTTCAGGATATATGCCTCAGAGGAAAGGTCAAGGATTCAGTGGCCACAGGCAATAGCATCCAGAGTGACTGAGTAAGAGTCCTCAGACCTTGCCAAAAATCCTGAGATATTAGAGAGGTTGTAGGCTGCCCATTGTATATTGGGTGAGAATTAGAGTCAATAATCAGGGAAAGGGTAAAACCTGAAGATGGAACAATTTGGAATATAAATGTGGTTATATAACTAAAGAGGGAAGTAGGCAGTTCATGAAGATTTAGAGATCATGGAGAAAGAGGAACTCCTACTTATACTCAAGACCCAGGTCAACTGTTACCTGCTCTGTAAAGCTGATGGTTCTAGGCAGAATTTATTCATTTTTCTTTGTGCTCCAATTCTCCTAGCACCTGTATCTGTTAGAAGCCACGTGGAAAAAAACAATCAGAATATAAGGTACAAGTCTCTCTGTCCCTCTCCTCTCTCCCTTTCTCCATTCTCGCTTTCTGTAGAAGCAGATTATGAGTTATTTGAAAACAAGGACTAGGCCGGGCGCGGTGGCTCACGCCTGTAATCCCAGCACTTTGGGAGGCCGAGGCGGGTGGATCACGAGGTCAGGAGATCGAGACCATCCTAGCGAACATTGTGAAACCCTGTCTCTACTAAAAATACAAAAAATTAGCTGGGCGTGGTGGTGGGCCCCTGTAGTCCCAGCTACTTGGGAGGCTGAGGCAGGCAGGAGAATGGCATGAACCCGGGAGGCAGAGCTTACAGTGAGCCGAGATCACGCCACTGCACTCCAGCCTGGGCAACAGAGCGAGACTCCATCTCAAAAAAAAAAAAAAGAAAAAAGAAAACAAGGACTGATATATCAATTTTATAATTGATATTATATAATTATTATATAAATTTATTAATTTTATATAATATTAATATTTATTAATTTTATAAATTAATAAATTATTATATAGAATTTATTAATTTTATAAATTAATAAATTATTATATAGAATTTATTAATTTTATAGCCCCAGTGATTGGCATATACTAGCCAACAGATACATTTGTGAAAAAATAAAATATATTTTGAGTTTAAAATTAAGACTGTAGAAAAACATAATAATAGTTTTAAGTATATGGCAGTGTTTATAGTTGTTTTCTATGTTTTTAGAGGGCAACATAAGAGGATAGACATCTCAAATGCAACATGAAGGAAGTAGAATAGGCATAAGAAAGAAAAGAATAATAATTTCAGCCACTGGGTGATCAGCCTCTAATGTAGGCTTTTTTAAAAATTCATTTTTAATTCACTTTAGTCAGTTCAATACGGTCCTACCTCAGGGACCCTTGCAGATCTAAAATCCTGTTTCTCATGGCTCTAAACTCCAAGTACAGCAAGAACAGTAGCTACCATTTCCCTAACCCAGTAGGGTAGTTCACTTTTGCAATGCTATGCAAATGACCAGGAGAGCTGACACTTTGGGAAGATTTGCCCGAAAAGGAAAACAAACTGCTAGTCCAGAGAAAACTCACAGTTACCTACTTTTATTCCACTCTGAACTTTTCCTTTAAGGAGGAAGAGTTGCAATTGACTCCTGAAAGCCCTGCTGATTCAGTCCTGTTGACTAATCGGTTTGGGTTAATTTTGGAAATGCTAGAACTGTCTGAACTCTTGTATAAAAGAATTGTAAATAGAAATCTGGAAAGGAGAAAGGAAGGACAGGTCAAGTCTTAGAATAATATTGCTAATAGTGATGAGAATTTTTCTGCCCTACAAAATCTCGTGGCTTCATTCTCCCTCTTTTGTTCACATTTGACTTAAAAGAAAAAAAAAATGCATCCCTCCTTTCCAATGTTAAGTCCACTTGACTTGGTGCTTTATGTGCCCATCCCTCTTATATTAATTCTCATTGTTTCCACCCTCCTCCTTTCTGTTTGTTTTTCCCCAATTCCTCTTACTCTGATACCTTTCTCTTGGCTTACACACATGCTTGGTTCTCGCCAAAGCCTCACTTTTCTGCATCTCTGCTGCCTTCCAAGCAAACATGACTCGTTCTCACCAATATCCAGTTGTCCTCTCCTCCCAGGCATAAAAAGTAAGCACTGTCCACTCTCCTGCAGTTACATAGGCTTATGTGACTCGTTTTCACCAATGAACTATGAGTGAGGTAACATGTCACTTAGGGCAGAAGCTTGGAAGAGCAGGTGTGAAATGTCCATGCACTCTTTTTCACTGAAGCGGCAACTGAGGAGACTTCGTGTTCCAGAAGGCACAGCAACAGATGATTCAAGTCTCTGTTAGCCTGGGTCAAACAGAGACCTCTCCTCTGGATTATGATGATTATACAGTATGAGTGAGAAATCAAGTATTTTTGTGTGTTAAAGCATTGAGATTTGAAGGTTATTTGTTAATGTTATATTGCTTAGACAGTCCTGATTAATACAGTCCTCTTTCTCTCCCACTTTACTAGCAGATATCTTGAAATAATAGTCTAAACAGTGGTTGTCAAATGTACCTGTGCATAAGTGACACCTGGAGTGCTTTCTTTTTCTTTTTCTTTCTTTTTTTTTTTTTCTATACTTTACGTTCTGGGATACATGTGCAGAATGTGTAGGTTTGCTGCATAGGTATACATGTGTCATGGTGGTTTGCTGCACCTATCAACACATCATCTAGGTTTTAAGCCCTGCACGCATTAGATATTTGTCCTAATGCTCTCCCTCCCCTTTCCCCCAACCCCGTGACAGGCCATGGTGTGTGATGTTCCCCTCCCTGTGTCCATGTGTTCTCATTGTTCAACTCCCATTTATGAGTGAGAACATGCAGTGCTTGGTTTTCTGTCTGGAGTGCTTTTTTAAAAGCCAGATTTTTAGGCCCCACCCCAGACTTGATGAATCTGAATACAGTTCTGAGGCTTGGCAATCTGTATTTTTACAGGCTCCGCAAGTGACTCTGAAGCAGCCAAACTGCACCAATCCTCAGACATGGACACCCAGAGTTTTACTTTCTCACCTCCCGTTTACACATAAACATTCTGTAACCTGGTTTCTCCATTCCTTACCCTTGCTACTAACCCTCAGAAGTCATGTAAGACTTCCAGGACCTCCTAATTGCAAAATCATTCAGTCCCTGTTGTATTCAAATTCCCTGTAGCAAGTGGCAAAGTTACCTGCCACTCCCTTTCGTGAAATTCTCTTTTCCTTTAGTTTTCATGATATGATGCTACTATTATTGGCTTTCAGTTCTGTGACCAATGTGTTTTTCTTTTTCTTCTTTCTTGTTTCATCCTTAGTAAAAGTGACCCTATACTTTTTAACAACATTTTTATTCATTTTGACAAATTTCAGTTCTGATTGTGCTCTTGTGCTTTTTTAATGGTTGATTTTTAAGCCATTTTAGTTTTTAATTTTAAAATTTTAAAAAAATGTTGTGGGTACATAGTAGCTGTATATATTTATGGGGCACATGAGATGCTTTGATACAGGCATGCAATGTGAAATAAGCATATCATGGAAAATGGGATATCCATCCCCTCAAGCATTTATTCTCTGTGTTACAAACAATCCAATTATACACTTTAAGTAATTTTAAAATGTACAATTAAGTTATTATTGACTATAGTCACCCTATTGTGCTATCAAATAGTAGGTCTTATTCATTATTTATATTTTTGTGCCCATTAACCATCCTCACCTCCTCCCCAGACCCCCAATAGCATTCCCAGCCCCTGGTAACCATCCTTCTACTCTCTTATCTCCATGAGTTCAGTTGTTTTGATTTTTAGATCCCACAAATAAGTGAGAACATGCAATGTTAGTCTTCCTGTGCCTGGCTTATTTCCCTTAACATAATGATCACCTCTTGCCAGCATTTGAGGTAGGGAGAGTGTAGGCACTTATGGGAACCTATTGCAGTAGGATCTACCCTAGTTTTATTTTACATTTCCAACTGCCTTTTGGCAGTATCTCCATTCAAATGTTTAACCACCATTGTAAACCCAACATGTTCAAAACCAAGCAAATCTTCTTATCTTTCAAATCAATGACTTTAACTGATTTCTCTAGTTCTGTGAGTGATCCTATGTATCTAGTCACCCAGGCTTACAAATTTGCTGTCACGTTTGTTTCCTCTCTACCTTATTTCCAACATTCAGTGAGTTACCTAGTATGATGGTTAATTTTAGGTGTCATCTGGATTAAGGAATACCCAGATAACTGGTAAAGTGTGTCTGTGAGGGTGTTTCCAAAGGAGACTGACTCATGAGTCAGTGGACTGAGTGGGGAAGATCCACCTTCAATGTGGGCAAGCACTATCCAGATAGGAACCCCAATAGAACAAAAAAAGGTGGAGGAATGGTATTTTTTTCTCTGTCTTTCCAGGAGCTGGGACATTCTTCTCGTGCACTTGGACATTAGAACTCCAGACTCTCTGGCATTTGGACTGCAGGACCTGAAGCTTTCAGACTTGAACTGAACCATGCCTGTTAGGGGACTTCTCAGTCTCCATAATCATGTGAGCCAATTCCCTTAAAAAATCCCCCGCTCATCTACATCTATATCTGATCTATATCATCTATATCTACATCCTATCTGTTCTATCTTCATGAAAAACCCTGACACCAAGTCAGAACCAATTTAGCTCTCCAATATGTCACTCAGTCCTGTCGCCTCTGTTCTCTTTCCACTGCCACCAGAGTAAGTCAGGCTCACATCATCTCTACCTAGACCAGTGCAGTGGCCTAACTACCTTTCGCACTTTCAAGATATTCCACAGAGTGCTATGCAATTCATGTTCAAAGTAAGAGCTGCTCTAGCTGACATTGGAGTTTACCCCAATATTTCTTTCCAGCCATTTTTCTTATCACTCCACTACTTTACCTGGTACTGTACCTTGACCACGACCTATGTTTTCCAATCCCTCTCCATGCCTTAATTAGCTGAGATAAAACACTCTATATTTACCGAGAGCATAGAATTTAATAATCACCTCTCTACCATCCTTAATGTAATTTGAGTGCCTTGCACTCAGGAAATACAGCTCAGTACATATTTGTGGAAGTATGTGGTGTTCTATGGTTCACAGAGGATATATTATACATCTTCAAATTTGCTTGTTAACATAGGTTCTGCATTTGGCAGGACTCTACTAATCCCACTCCCACCCCAAAATATACAATTCTTCGTGGTTGATGTTTGTCAGCTTTGGGCTAACCTAACTGGGCCACAAAATGAGGAAAGACAGCCATCTGGAGCTTTAAGAGCATGCCCTTTGCCCAGGGAAACATGCCAGGTCATGCAGAGGAAGGCTGTATTCGTGAAATTACTTTTGGCATCAAGTTCAACCCTTTGCATCTTGCTTTCCTCTCTGCTTGCTCCCTTATGCTTATCTGGCTTCCAGCAAACACTGCCCTTCAAGCATGATGACCTGTTTGATCAATCTCCTGGCTCTTGACCTTCCTGCTTTCCTTCCTAGGTATAAATTACATTCTTCCTCCAGACTCAGAATTTTCTCAGACTCAGTTCCAAGACAGCATTTGGCTTGGCCTCAGGACCTCATGACTAGGAAGAGCAGAGTTCTATCCCATTCCGGGAGAAACCATACAACTATGGGGCTGCTTTCAAATTTTGTGCTCAAGTCTGATGGCAGTAACTAAAAACCATCTGTTGTCGTGTTTTAGCATGAGTGGTATAGCTTGCAAATGCCTTGGTGCACTACCTTCCATCAGTTATTCTTGAAATTCTAGGTTCTGTTGTGGAGGGATGTCAGAATCAAAGTTGATTGGCCTCTTAGCAAAATCTCTGGTGCCAGAAAGGGACTGTGCATTGATTTTCCCCATTGTGTGTGGCATCCTTATCACCTCCCAGCATACTGCTCCTTGTTGGTACTTTTTCTAGACTAAAAAGAAAAAGCACTATCTGTTTTTTCCCATTCTTACCTACTGAAAATCCTGTCACACTTTTATGCTTCTGAGATGGGCGATAGGAAGGTCTTGACTAAAGGGCTTCAGGACACTAATCCACATAAATGGCAGATCTGATATCAGCATGATTGCTCTGCTTCTCTCTTCACAGTTCTGGAACAAAAAGTATAGGGCTGTAAGGAAAATATTTACTCATTCTGTAAACATCTGGGGAGCACCAACTCTATGCCAAATGGAAGGAATCCAAATTTTCCTTCTCTCAAGTAGTTCACAATAAAGTAGGAAAGACCCAAACACATCGTTTCCTTTTCTTATTATAATCACTTAAAAGAAGCATTTTCTCACATTCAAGAGGCCTCTGTTCCACTTTTGCTTGCCCACTTCTGTCTTTTTATTTCTTGCAAAAGAAAATGAGTTTTGCTTAGGGAATTGAGTATATAGATCCAGTGGACAGAAGATAAAAGATTTCCATGGTAGTGACTTACTTATAGCATTTTCCTTGCAGAGATTATTCCACCATAGAAAATATTCCATTAGCACGAGAGGTTGCTTCATTTCATCTTCCTTTTGTCTTATGGAACCCCTATTGTAAGAAACACGGAACTTAAAAATGTCCAACCTTAACAAAGAGATCACTTCCCAGTATTGTGAATACATGGAGGGTAGAGGTGAAGCCATGCTACTAGAGAAACACAAAAGGTTGGGCCTAGTGCCTGGCCCAGGCTGGGAAGTGGGAGTCAGCAAATGGTTCTTGAAGGTAATACTTGAGCCAAGACTGAAGGATAAGGGGAGAGGGAGGAGAACAAGTCAGGCTAAGAGGGTCTCATTCCTGGTAGAGCAGAATGGGAGCAATGGCCTCAGGATGAGGAGTGGCAATGACACACAGCACCTAAAGATCACTGGTCCATCAACAAAAGGAAGGAAATGAGGCTGGCATGGTAGGCAGTGTCAGGTTACCAACAAGCCTCTTCCACTAAGCAAATAGAAACAACAAAATATCTGCAAATTCTCTACCTGTGATGTTTGGGAAATATCTTCAGTGACCTGGGAATGAATTTTCCCCATGTTGCTTTAAAAAAGTTCCCTTTCTCCCTTAACTGGATAGTAATATATCCCAGGTATCCTGGGTGCCAATGTCATTTGGGAACTTCTTTAAGTCACAGCAGATATTTTAAAGGGTGGTGAAGGTCACTAGGTCTCCTTTGAAAATACAGAGGCCCTAGGCAGCCATTAAGGTCCTTTTGTGAATGTCACAAGTAACAAATGTTCAATTGCCAGAGAAAACTGGAAGACCAAATGATAGGTGCAACCTGTAGTGATCAAAAGGAACATCTCACAAATGAGAACAAAGAGAAGATGGGCAGGAAGAAGGAAAGAGGAAGCACACAATTTGAAATGGACATTGAACTGGCAACAGAGCTCAGCATGGTACTTTGAAGATGGCAAACATAGTGACTTGGGACTAAGAAGAGGGAGAGGCAAAAGCCCAGTCAGATGCTCACATAGAATAAATAACCAATTGGCAGCATGGGCCATTGCAGCACATATTAGTTTTCTGTGACCACTGAAACAAATTGCCACAAATTTTAAACAGCAATTTATTTTCTTGCAGTTCTGGTGGCCAAAAAGCAAGATATCAACAAAGCTACACTCCTTCTGGAAGCACTAGAAGTGAATCATTCTTTGTCTCTTCTGGCTTCTGGTGGCTGTCAATACTCCTTAGCCTGTGTCCATATCACTCCAATCTCTGCCTCCATCTTCACAGGGCTTTCTCGTGTGTGTCTGTGCCTTCTCCTCTTCTGTCTCTTATAAAGAAACTTATCATTGGATTTAGGACCACATGGATAATCCAGAATGACTCATGAGATCCTTAACTTAGGTATAGCTGCAAACACTCTTTTTCCAAATAAGGTCACATTCATAGGTTCTGGGGGTTAGGATGTAAACATATATTTTGGGGGCCACCATTCAACCCATTACATAGTGTTTATGTGGGGGAGAGATATCCTCCCTTTTTGTCTTCCTGATTGTAATGTTAATATACGTTCATCATAAAAATATAGTGAATATAGAAAATCACAAAGAAACTTAAAACTCATCTTTAATTTCACAACCCAGAGTCAGCCACTGGTAAAAATTTCAGAAATCATATTCCAGACTTCTATGACTATATGTACTGATTTGTTAGGCTCCTATGGTACTTACTATTGTGAAATCTGCTTCTTTCCCAATTATAGACATATTGTGAACATCATCCCATGCCTTTAAATCTCTTTCCACAACAAAATTTTTATCAGCTGCCTAATATGCCATCACATGTCTGTATCATAGTTTAATGAATTGGTTTTGAACTGTTTGACATTTAGGCTGTCCCCAGTTTTTCAGTGTTATCAGTAACACTGAGATGAGGACATGCATGCCAGGGTATTTAAAAGAAAACTTGGGTTGCATGATACAATGGGACATTGACTGTGGATACCCTAAATTCTCTGAGTTTTATAGTAAAGTGTGCATTGGACTATACTGAATCAGGCCCAAGTTAGGAAAAAGATTTGGCCTGGAACAGAGAATCACTTTATAACTTCTCTTTCTCAGAAAAAAAAATACATTTATTCAGCTTCCTCTCTTGCCACTCTCTGTGTTATGCTTTTTATTTTCTTAAAAGGGTGGGAGTGACACACCTATTTCCTCTTTTTAAAATGTTATTAATATTTTATTAATGCCTACCATCTTGTCTGGCCAAGCAAACCATCTTACTCAGTGAAGTATTAATATAGCTTTTCATTTTAAGTCCCATGATAAAGCCAGAAAAGACTAGCACTAGAAAAAAATCTACTTTTATTTTTTATTATTTCTATACCTGCACTGAGAAATATTTGTATCTAGACTAGAATAAATGGACAGGAGGATAAGGGTCATGGGTAAACTGAGTAAATACAGCATTTTAGAAAAAGCTATTTAGACCCCTAAATAACTAGAAAAGATATTCCTCAGATTGGGGTGAAAGGGAAGCTTATGTTTGAATTATAAAAAGTCAGTACAAACCCATCTGGAAGGATCATATAATGAGGAACACAAACAGCCTCCAGAATGTTCATCAAAGAAAATTAATATTCGCTGAGCGTATAAGGCCAACATTGCATTGCCATAAGGAAATACCCAAAAATGGGTAATTTGTAAAGAAAAGAGGTTTAATCAGTTCACAGTTCTGCAGGCTGTACAGGAAGCATAACACTAGCGTATGCCTCTAGGGAGGCCTCTGGAAGTTTACAATCATGGCAGAAGGTGAAGTAGGAACTTGAACCTCACATGGCAAAAGTAGGAACAAGAGAGAGAGCAGGAAGGGGCCACACACATTTAAATGACCAGATCTCACAAGAACTCACTGGTTATCACAAGGACAGCACCAACGGGATGGTGCTAAGCCATTCGTGAGAAATTCAAGCCCATGATCCGATCACCTCCCACCAGACCCCATCTCCAACATTGAGATTTACATTTCAATATTAGATTTGGGTGGGGACACACATCCAAACTATATCACTGAGGAAGCCCATTCTTGTGAACGTCCAGCTTACGTTTTGAAACTACAAGAGAAGTAGACCGTTCCAATGTACTTATATTTGTGATTTCCAGGTTTACTGCCACATAATTTTGGCCCATAAAGTGAATACTCTTTCTGATTTGGGATTGTGCATTCATAAAGTTAGCAACTACTAAAAAAAAAAAAGTCAATATTATAGTTATTTCTGTGCCTGAGTAGCACAAGTGGACAAATCTGATGAAATCACAGAAGTGGTGATAGCAACACACAACACTAGTATATAGAGTTTCAAGAAACATATTGGAAGTGCATATTCATTGCTCACTCAGCTTGACTGACTCCAGTAAATCCACCCCAGTAGTGATTTACCAAAAAAAAAAAAAAATTGATCCAATCCTGGCAGAGGAGGATTGTTGAGAACTTTGAAAGAACACATTTTAGTCCAAGCAATAAATTTGTTAATAGCAGATTCTTCTTCTTCTTCTTTTTTTTTTTGAGATGGAGTCTCACTTTGTCACCCAGGCTGGAGTACAGTGGTGTGAACTTGACTCACTGCAACATCCGCCTCCTGGGTTCAAGCGGTTCTCCTGCCTCAGCCTCCTGAGTAGCCTTGATACACAGCATGATCCCTTACCCCTCAGACTGGCCAAGAATGAGCTTCTAGATTTGTCCCATTTACCCATTTCGTCATTCATCGGTTATTCTCTATGTCCACTATCAATGATCTTGAAATCAAATAGGAGAGGAAACACACAAATAAAACTAAGTAAATAAATAACACTGCTAAGTATACTAAGAAAGGTAAGAGCATGGACGAGGAGCAAACACTTACCCTAAACCATCATCATATTTTTACTTCCAAGGCACTACTATTTGACTTAGCATCTCAGCTGACCACTCAATGTCTAGGTTCTTCCCAAGCTGACTACAGTGCTTAATTTTTTTTATTTTGTGCTTACTATATGCCACATATTTTACATACATTATCTCATGTAATGCTCACAATCACCATATAAGGTAGATACAAATTCTATTTCATGGGCTTAGAAAAGATGAGTAAAATTACCCAAGAATTTGAACATAGTTTGTCCTAATTCCAAAGCTCTGGTTTATTCTACCTCACTATGCTGACTCTCAAATTTTCAAAGAGATTTATAGAATTAAAGTGTACAGAGTGATTGACCAGAGTGAGTGTGCTAGTCCATTCTCACCTTGCTATAAAGAAATATTTGACACTGGGTAATTTATAAAGAAAGGAGGTTTATTTCTTATTTCTGAGGGCTCTGTTCTGTTCCATTGGTCTATATCTCTGTTTTGGTACCAGTACCATGCTGTTTTGGTTACTGTAGCCTTGTAGTATAGTCTGAAGTCAGGTAGCGTGATGCCTCCAGCTTTGTTCTATTGCACATCTACAACTATCTGATCTTTGACAAATCTGACAGAAACAAGAAATGGGGAAAGGATTCCCTATTTAACAATTGGTGCTGGGAAAACCGGCTAGCCATATGTAGAAAGCTGAAACTGGATCCCTTCCTTACACCTTATACAAAAATTAATTCAAGATGGATTGAAGACTTAAATGTTAGACCTAAAACCATAAAAACCCTAGAAGAAAACCTAGGCAATAGCATTCAGGACATAGGCATGGGCAAGGACTTCATGTCAAAAACACCAAAAGCAATGGCAACAAAAGCCAAAATTGACAAATGGGATCTAATTCAACTAAAGAGCTTCTGCACAGCAAAAGAAACTACCATCAGAGTGAACAGGCAATCTACAGAATGGGAGAAAATTTTTGCAATCTACTCATCTGACAAAGGGCTAATATCCAGAATCTACAAAGAACTCAAACAAATTTACAAGAAAAAAACAAACAACCCCATCAAAAAGTGGGCGAAGGATATGAACAGACACTTCGCAAAAGAAGACATTTATGCAGCCAAAAGACACATGAAAAAATGCTCACCATCACTGGCCATCAGAGAAATGCAGATCAAAACCACAATGAGATATCATCTCACACCAGTTAGAATGGCAATCATTAAAAACTCAGGAAACAACAGGTGCTGGAGAGGATGTGGAGAAATAGGAACACTTTGACACTGTTGGTGGGATTGTAAACTAGTTCAACCATTGTGGAAGACAGTGTGGCAATTCCTCAGGAATCTAGAACTAGAAATACCATTTGACCCAGCCATCCCATTACTGGGTATATACCCAAAGGAATATAAATCATTGCTGCTATAAAGACACGTGCACATATATGTTTATTGCAGCACTACTCACAATAGCAAAGACTTGGAACCAAGCCAAATGTCCAACAATGATAGACTGGATTAAGAAAATGTGGCACATATACACCATGGAATACTATGCAGTCATAAAAAATGATGAGTTCATGTCCTTTGTAGGGACATGGATGAAGCTGGAAACCATCATTCTCAGCAAACTACTGCAAGGACAAAAATCCATGTTCTCACTCATAGGTGGGAATTGAACAATGAGAACACATGGACACAGGAAGGGGAACATCACACACTGGGGCCTGTTGTGGGGTGTGGGGAGGGGGGAGGGATAGCATTAAGAGATATACCTAATGTAAATGATGAGTTAAGGGGTACAACACACCAACATGGCACATGTATACATATGTAACAAAACTACACATTGTGCACATGTACCCTAGAACTTAAAGTATTATATATATATATATATATATATATATATATATATATAGAGAGAGAGAGAGAGAGAGAGAGAGAGAGAGAGAGAGAGAGGTTTAATTGGCTCATGGTTCTTCACGCCATACAGGAAGCATGGTGCTGACATCTGCTTAGCTTCTGGGGAGTCCTCAGGAAGACTACAATCACGGTGGAAGGTGAAGGAGGAAGAAGAATGTCACATGGCCAGAGCAGAAGTAAGAGGGAGGGAGGGAGGTGCTATACACTTTTAAACAACCAGATCTTGTGAGAACTTACTGTCACAAGGACAGCACTAAGGCGATGGTGTTAAACCATTCATAAGACATCCACCCCATGATCCAGTCACCTCCCACCAGGCCCCACCTTCAACATTAGGGATTACATTTCAACATGAGATTTGGGTGGGGACACACAGGCAAACTATATCATTCTGCCTCAGTCCCTCCCAAATCTCATGTCCTTCTCACATTTTAAAATACAATCAGGCCTTCCCGATAATCCCCCAAAATCTTAACTAATTCCAGCATTAACTCAAATGTCCAAAGTCCAAAGTTCCATCTGAGACAAGGCAAGTCCCATGAGTCAATTAAACCTCTTTTCTTTATAAATTACCCAGTAACAGGTATTTCTTTATGGTAATGGGAAAATGGACTAACGCAGTGGGTAAGAAGGAGCCCTTGGATTCAATCATTAGGAAATCATATTTGTGTCCACTGTATTAGTTTGCTAGGCCTGCATAACAAAGTACCAAAAACTGGGTGGCTTAAACAGCAGAAATTTATTGTGTCACGGTTTTGAAGGCTAGTAACGAGTGATCAAAGTGTCAGCAGGGTTGGTTCCTCCTAAGGGCTGTGAGGAAGGCTCTGTTCCAGCCCTTTCTCCTAGTTTCCAATAGCCTCAGGCATTCTTTGGCTTGTAGATTATATTCTCCCTGTGTCTTCATATCATCTATTCTGTACACATCTGTCTCTATGTCCAAATTTCCCCTTTTTATAAAGAAACCAGTCATATTGTATTAGGGCCTACCTCAATGATATCATTTTAACTTGATTATCTCTGTAAAGACCCTATTTCTAAATGAGGTCACATTCTGTAGTACCAGAGGCTAGGACTTCAACACTTCTATTTTGAGAGGACACAATTCATCTCAAAATACCCACTGAATGAGCACTTTCAGCTCAGTAGTATACATAGAAGGAAGACCAAAAAGGGATAAAGGTTGAGATATGATAAGGTCATGGAAATTGGCTGGGAGTAGGGTGCTAGAAGAGGCTGGAGAATGTTTTACAGGTGAAAGGCACCAGGAAAAAAGGAGAACTTCAAGATCTACAGGGAGAGGATAATTGACAGAGCACAGTCCTGAGGGGAATGAGAGCAGTGAATTATCAGAAAGAAGGTAGGATGCCACTTCTTTGGAAACAAAAGAGAAGGGAAAAGAAGCTTTAACCAACTTCTATTTGTGGGAATTTCTGGAGCTATCTTCATCACCTCAGCCCAAGTCTCATTCCAGATTCTCGTGAGGCCTGCCTCATATTTCTTCAGTAACTTGCAGCGTTAGCTTTATAACTTTATTACAGCTTCATTTGCAGCTTTAAAATTCTCAGGTACTGTTTACCACTTGATACAAAGTATTACAGGATCTTTCTCATAGTTATTTCGAGAAAAATGTCAGTGGGCTCAAGAATATAGCACAACACAGAAGACAAGCAATTGAACAAATGAACACACACATATAAAGAGAAGGAGACAATGTCACACAGAACAATCAGGTCTTGTCACTACTTAAACCAGACCGTAGCTCATTGCTCTGTGCAGCTGAGGTTAAGCATGCCTGAGGCAAAGGCCTGCAGGCACAGACAGAGAGAAAGCACTGAACAAGGGTGTCAACAAAGCATATGCCTGAGCCAAGACATGTGACAGAGAGGAGCCCTCCATTTGCAGCTGTTCACACTCCAATAATGGGACACTCAGAAAACAACTACAAAATCCCTCATCCTCATTTCCTGCTAGGGTAAGCAACATTTAAGTGTGGACCTAAAAACCTTATCATAGAATGAACAGTTTGAATAAAAAGCATGCCATATTGCCTAGAGTTTCAATATTTCAACCCAGTTGTCAAAATCTGGAGCTTCTTGGCAAGAGGCAAGTCCTACAGACAGATGTGAAATAGACACTTTTGGAAATGGACATTTTGGATATGATGACCCTATTAGCCACCAGAGCTCCAGTGATTCTGGCAGGGCTTTTTGGAGTTGGCCCTGGTGCTGCTGATCTGGGGAGTTCATATAGCATACCTCCTGCTATCACATCATATTCATTTTGGCAAATTAAAAGAGCCCATTAGAGAAAGTTGAAATGCTTTCCTCAGGAGCTTTTATCAAATTAGTGCAAGGATACAGAATATGACCCTAAAACCCACTGAGTGCCCAGCTTGACTTCTAACCATGAACAACAGTAGGCTCAAGAATATAGCACAACACAAAATACAAGCATGATAGCATCATCAGTATTTCTCTCTCCCATCACAATTTCTCTTGGACTCATACACGTAGTATACATTTATGGAAATAGCTTATATATAGCTTACCTAAAAGCATGCTTCATTCTATATAAAATGTGATATCTTATAAGTGAGCATTCACTCCACACACTTTATTCTTTCACAAATTTGACAGTTCTCTTTTGAAATGAAAAGCTCTCATAAACCAGCACCCTTTGTGTATCTTGTCTGTGTGTGTGTGTGTGTGTGTGAATGTGTATAACATAACCAAGAGAATATTTTAGTATATAAAGCAATAAAGGCCTAGATTTCATAAACCACATCCCAAAAATAAAATGAAAACTTCAAAAACCCTGACAGGTTCAACCATTAAGCCCTTTCTGTTTAAGGCATTATTCATAGAAAATGGTTTTTGAAATTTTATATCAAATTATAAATATTATTATGTAGTCCAACTGTTATACTACCTGTTCATAACTCAAATATTTTGTTTTCAAAGCAGAGTTTACATGAAGAAACAAAGCCCAGAAACAAATCCCATGGACTACTAATTCAATCAGACCATTCATGGCTTTGCTTTCTTTCTTCCCTCCCTTCATCTCCATTTGGGAGCTATGAGGCAATTAATGTTGTCTCTATGCGCTCTGGTTAACCACAGAAGAACTCAATTCAGAAAGTCCAACTGTTGCTCACTCATGTCAATTAAAGGACTCTATGCTTAAATCTGCTCCAGGCCATCTTTTAGAAATGAACCTTTGTGGCCAAAATTATCAGATGGGGAAAGGCACTGAAAATTAATTAGTGCTGTTCCTAGGTATCAGCAAGGATGTTGCAGTGCCATTGTGCTTTAGGAAACTCATCTGGGACTTGAAGCTACACTCAGAATTTGCACTATCTCACCTATTTTCTAAATTGATTCTTACAAATGACAGATACTGGCAGGTCACTTCATAGAGGGTAAAAGTCAAAGAGCAGAGAACCAAAAATTGGGCTAAATCTTCAATTCACAATACACATGGCCTTAAACTTCTGCTTCAGAAGAGATTTGTACATCAAGGTTGGCTCTTCACACTAGCAGAGATACGGAATCAGCCTCCAAATTGTCACTGCTGACATGACATTTAATGGTGGGGAAAAACCCAAGTGTCCTCTTTTGTGTGACTTGTTGAATGTCAGAATAAACGACGTTAAATGTTCCAATGTTTATTCTTTCTTGCTTCACGCTAACCTTTCCATCTTTATCCTACCACACCCTGCTCCTCCCCCCTCAAAATCAGCAAAGAACTCAATTGGCCTGTCATGATGATGGAATGTACCAATGTCTTAATTATAACACATTGTCTTGGCTAGAACAAAAAGTGTTTCCATTACAATATTTGCTTTGACACACTGTCACTGCCCAATATCTCTTTTCCATGTTGTAGTCAACAAAATTGTGAGGGGATTATCTCTCACCAAATTTTAAAAATAAGTGAGGAATCTCCTGACATACAGTCTACTCTGAGATCCCGCCAACCCAGGGATGGGGCAAAGCCTCATAGAGTGAACAGACTCTTAAGAAACAAAAGTTGTTCTCATTTACTCTCACCGCCAGGCACACACTTAAGGGTTCTTCAATTACCTCACTGGTCTCTCTTTTAAGTGACCTCTGCTAGCTCTTCCTTATCTCCTTGAACTTTAAGTGTTAGAGGGCACCAGGGCCTTGTTTTTGGACATTTTCCCTTCTCTATGCTCACTCCCTTGGTGATCTCATCTGTGTCATTGCTTTAATTTCCATCTACATAGACACAACTTCTAAATGTTTGTGCGTGTGTGGAAAGGGGGATGTGATCTTTTGAGGCCCAGATATATGCATCAAACTGCCTCCTCAATATCTCCTTTTGGATATCAATAGGTGCCTCAAATTTAACATATCCAAAACCAAAACCCTGACTTTACCCCCAAAACCTGCTCCTCCTCAATCTTCCTCATCTAAGTTAATGATAATCTCATCCTTTTTGCTGTTCAGGTCAAATCCTTAAGATGATCCTAACTCCTGTCTTTCTCTCCCACTCCACACCCCATCTGTAAGAAAATTCTCTTGACAATACTTTCAGAATATATCTAGAACCCGGTCATTTTTCACTCCCTCTATTGTTGCCACCCTGGTTTAACCACCATCATCTCTCCCCTAGATTGCTGCAAACAGCCTCCTCACTGGTCAGCCTCGGCCCTTGCCCCCTTCAGTCTGTTTTCAAAACAGCAGCCCGAGTGATCCCCTTAACACATCTCAGATCATATGACGTCTCTGTACAAATCCTTCTACCGGCTCCCCATCTCTCCCAGAATATAAACTCTACTCCTTGTACTGGCCTACAAGGACCTCCATGATCTGGATTTCCATGTGCTCTCTGAGGTTGTCTCCTACCACACTCTGCCTCTCTCACTCAGCTCCAGGCACCCGGCATTTCACCAACCTGGCTACATGTAGGCCCATATCAGGGTCTTTGCAATTGCTATTCTGCCTCTCCCGAATGATCTCTCCCCAGATAGCTGCATGCATCATTCATTCAACTCCTTCAGGTCTTCGCTCAAATGGCACCTTCCCAGTGAGTCCTTCCATTGCCACCCAATTCAAAATGCTACACTCTCCTATATACCACATGTGTATTACTTGTCCTACTACCATCCTTTATTTTACTCAATAGCACTTATCACCAACACACTATGTGTTGCATTTCTTGTTTAATTCTGTCTCCCCTGATACTTGAATGTACAGTCTATGAGGTCAGGGATTTATGCCTGTATTGTTCTCTGCTCTATCCCTAGCCCCTACAATATACCTAGCACATGGTGAGTGCTCAATAAACATCATTACAATAAATGAATTAAAATCCCAAGGCAACTAGTCAATTCAGAATAAAACTAAGGAAAATCTATCAAAGTAGTTATGTATTCAATTAAATATTCATTCCAGCCAATTATTCAATTATTTGAGATATATATTCAATTATATACATTATATATATATATGTGACACAGAGTGAGAGAAAGAACTTAAACCAGTTAGCAATTAAGCAATAGAAGCAGAAATGAAGGTGGAGGGGCTGAGCAGAGGTAACTCCAGCCCCTGGGGCACCACCAAGGCAGCCAAGGTCAATTTTGTAGGCCTGAATGCTTTAAACAGTAACTTGCAAAGTTTATGACAAACTATTATTGACAACTCAACTAGCCATCCAAAAAAGGCAGATTCATCCAGCCTCTAACTAAAAGCTTTTTATTTTGTTGCATAAAATGGCTATAATCAATTATAGATGTAAACAAAATTACTAAGTATAATTATTTTTTATCTGATATTTCATCATCAATAGAAAAACAGACAAGTTTCTTCAGGAAAAAGATAGGTCCTGTAACAGGGAAATGTGGTTTACTAATGAATTAATGATCACATTTGTCCTTTCTACTTTAAAGCCTGGACTTTCTCATCACTCATTTCCTTCACTTGAGTGAAAAAGCTATCTTCGCAATAATCTTTTTTAAGTTGGGAACTTCAACTTAACTTGCATTTTTAATTTTTACCTTTTGATATTTTTTTCCAAGACATATTTTACCATGATAGGATTTCTCAGATGAAAGCAGAGTTCAAGGTAGGTTACTACACACAAGTCTAATTAAATATTTGAGAAAATGGGTCTTTTGAACCAGCAAGAGTTGAAAATTTTATTTATTCATTTTCTTTCTAATATACTAAAATTGAAATGTGGGGGTTTGAGATGACTGAATAAATGCTAGCCCAAACATCAACTCAGCTTCTAAGATGGCAAAGCTGGATAATAACAAAAGCACTGGCTAGAATTCAGAGTCTTGGTTTCTGTACCTGTAAGACTGATAGTAGCTCTCTTCCCTGCCTCTCTCAATGGATTGCTGTGAAACTCAAATACGAAAACAATGGGAATGGGCTCTGTCAATGATAAAATGCTGTCCATGTATAAGCCAAACTACGGGGAAGTAGGGGGAACTTGCTTCTACTTATTTCCCAAGCTGGGTGAACAAACAGAATTGTTAAAATGTCAAAACATTTGGCCCCCATAGAAAATAAAATGTTTTAAAAAGCAAAAGAACATTATTGTGTTGAATCAATAAAAAATTCCTTTTATGTTTCATCTGCTATGATGTGTTATCTTTGGAGACAATATATGATGTTTCTCTTTTAAAAATGTCACAGCATTGAGGATAATAATTTCTCTTAGAAGATCCTTTTTGAAAAATGGCCAAACATAAATCTTTTACCCTCAATTTATGTCATAGCAATCGATAACCAGGGTGGCTGGCTGACTTGTAATTGGCTGTATTCTACCCAAAATGTCTCTTGATTCTAGAATGCAGGGTTACAGCAACTACTTTTACAAGACCCTGAGATACATATTGAAAACCAGCTACCTATATAACACTAGTTTCTAATATGTCAAAAACTTTATCATCTAACTTGGGTGGAACAGTGTCCTCTCTCTTCCCTTTTATCCACATAGTCACATTATGCTGTACAATTGTACATCATTTTTTCCCAGTCTCCTTTGCTAATTTGAAGATTCTTACATGTGGAGGCTACTGAGTGATTATTATCATACTCTCCAGTTTTAATTCATAAATGGATTAAGAACAACTTAACACATTTCTACAGCTGAAATGAGTGTGGTTACTTCACAAGTCATCCACTGATGCCAACTTAAACCACAAAACCATAAAATGAGGAGCCTAAGCTTTGTGCTGTTAGTTACAAGACAGAGCTTCAGTAAACCTATGTAAATAGTTCAGTCAGTTGTGCCTCAGCCTCCCAACTCTGCAGCCTTCCCTGATACTTTCTCTTGATCCCTGTATTCAGAGGCAGGCAAAAATGATTGGTAATAGGTGCAAATTTTAGTCTCCACCCTAATGTGACATGTAATTAACAGAGATAAGATATTTAAAAGGTTAGGTAATATTTATTTTATTGAGTACCTACCAAATGAAAAGGACTTATAGATACTGTGTCACTTATTCATTCATTCATTTATTCATAAATAACTTATTAAATGTTAGACAACCCAAAATAAGCAAAGCAGAAAACGTTCCTACATTCGCGTAGCTTAAAATTGAGTGTGAGAGACAGCTATTTAAACATTATCATACTACTTCTGCTTCCAAGTAGAATGTAATAAGTCACAGTAAATAGACACTTCTGCTGTAATAATTACTTAAATATGAATAAATTATAAAAATGGTATTTAGATGCCTGAGAGAGCTTTGATAACAATTAGGACTAGATGAATTAAATTTCCATAGAGTAGACAACCATTCCAAGCCCTGCACCACAAAAAAATATAAAAGGAATCCTTGAGACAGAAAAAAAAAGATACCAGACAGGAAAATGGAAATGCAGGAAGGAATGAAGAATAGAGGAATGAACTAATATGTGGGTTAATATCAATAAATATTAACTTCACAAAGTAATAAAAATACTATCATATAGAATTCATATTCAATGACAACAATAACAAAAAAGCAAGATAAAGGTAAAAGGAGTTTTGAGGTTCTAAGGTTTTATATTGGTTATGGAGATATGGCTAAATAATAATTTTCAGTACAGTGAAATAATTCACAAATGCATGCTATAATCTCTAGAGTAGCCCCTAAATGTATAGCACAAATATGTATAACTAACAAATTATTAGAAGAAAACACAGAACAGAACAATGTATTTTGTAATTTATCCAAAAGACAGTAAGATGACAGAAGAAATATAAAACAGATGAGCCAAGAAGGAAATGAAAGACAACGTGGTACATATAAACTCAGCTATATCAGTAATTACAATGTATTTAAAAGAACTAATTACTCCAAATAAAAGACTAAGATTACAAAACCAGACAAAAAACAACCAAAACCAAAACACAACTATGTACAATGATACCAAAACAAGACACAGGTATCACAAAAAATAAGATGACAGACCAACATATTTTATGAATTTAGATGCCAAAATTCTCAATGAAATACCACTAAAACAAATTCAGCAACACATAAAAAGAACTATGTACCATAGCCATAGGGAATCTATCTTAGGAATTCTAGCTGATTTGGCATATGAAAATCAATCAATGTAATATACCATATAAATACAATAAAGGACAAAAATCACATGATCATCTCAATAGATGCAGAAAAGCATTTGACACAATCCAACACTCATTCATGATGAAAACACTCAACACAGTAGGAATACTAGGAAGTTTTCTCAACCTGAAAAATAGCAATCTATGAAAAACCTACAGCCAACATCTTACTCATTAGTGAAAAAAAAAATAATGTTTTCTCCCTAACATCAGAAGGTAGATAAGGATGTCCACTCTCATCACTTTTACTCAACATTGTCCTGGAGATTCTAGCAGGGCAATTACACAAGAAAATGAAATAAAATTCATCAAGTTGTAGAGGAAGAAATAAAACTGTCTCTCTTCAGAGATGACACAATCTTATACATATAGAGGAAATCACAAGAAATCTCCTCAAAAATCTATTAGAACTAATAAGAGAGTTCAGCAAAGTTCTAGAGTATAAGATCAATATACAACAATCCATAGTATTTCTATACATTACCAATGCACATTATGAAAATGAAATTAAGAAAATTCCATTTACAATAGCATGAAAAAGAATAAAGCACTTAGAAACTTTTTAAAGGAATGCAATATTTATATATTGAAAACTACAAAATATTGTTGAAAGAAATTATTAAAGAAGACCTAAATAAATGGAAAGACATCTTATATTTATGGGTTTGAAAAATTACTATTGTTGAGATGGCGATACTCCCCATATTGATCTACAAATTCAATGCAATACCTTTCAAATTCCCACCTGGATTTTGTGCAGAAATTGACAAACTAATCATAAAATTTATACAGAAATGCAAGAGACTCAGAAAAACCAAAACAATCTCAAAAAAAGAAGACTCATTCTTTCAAATTTCAAAATTTATTACAAAGCTATGGTAATTAAGACATTGTGAGTGACATAAGGATAGACATACACCTCAATGGAATAGAAATAAGAGCCAAATAGCTTGGCAGTTCCTCAAGGTATTAAATATAAATTTATCATATAACCCCAGCAATCCTACTCCTAGATATATACTCAAAGACATTGAAAACATATGTTGACATGAAACCTTTACATAAGTGTTCATGGCAGTATTATTCATAATGACCAAAAAGTGGAAACAACCCAAATGTCCATCAGTTAATGAATGGATAAGCCACATATGTTACAGCCATACATGGGATGGTTTTCAACATAAAAAAATGAAGGACTGATATATACTACAAGATGGATGAACCTTACAAACATTATGCTAATTAAAGAAGCTAAACACAAAAGACCACATTTGTATAATTCTATTTATGTGAAATATCCAGAATAGGCAAATCTCTAGTGACAGAAAGTAAATTAATATTTTCTGGGGTCTTGGGATGAGGGGGAAATTGGATGAGAATAATGGATATCTTTGGGTGATAATGAAAATGTTCTAAAATTAGATAGTGGTTACAACTTTGAGAATAGGCCAAAAACTATTGAACTGTCCACTTAAAAGTATGGAAATTATATCTTGGCTGAGCATGGTGGCTCACACCTCTAATCCTAGCACTTTGGGAGACTGAGGTGGGCAAATCACCTGAGGTTGGGAGTTTGAGACCACCTGGCCAACATGGTGAAACCTGTCTCTACTAAAAATACAAAAATTAGCCAGATGTGGTGGTGCACGCCTGTAATCCCAGCTACTCGGGAGGCCAAGGCATGAGAATCACTTGAACCCAGAAGGCGGAGGTTGCAGTTGGCTGAGATCGAGCCACTGAACTCCAGCCTTGGTGACAGAGCAAGACTCTTATCTCAAACAACAAAAAATAAAAATAAAATAAAATATAGTTAACTTTATTATTCTTACAAGAGTTAATTTTTTAAAAAATATATAAGGGCACAGAAAAGTCCAAAGTAAAAGGATAAAAAAATTAAGTAATTCAAACATTAACCAAAAGAAGCCTGTCATAACTATACTGATATCAGGCAAAGTAAATTTTAAGGCAATAAGCATTATTATAGATAATAGAACAACATTTTATAATAAGTGGTAAAAACTTTTCAGTATCCTCAAAATGATAAGGAAGTCATTATCTTCAACAAGAAGATATTATTATCCTAAAACTATATACACAGAATAATATGGCCTCAAAGTATATAAAGCAAAAAACCAACAAAACTAAAAGCAGAAATTGACAACTCTCCAATCATAAAGGAATATTAACACACTTATCTTCATAGCTGATAGAACAGGCAGAAAAAAATCAGTATACATATAAAATTTCTGAAGAACATAATTAACAAACTTGATGTAATATTCATTTATAGAGCACTGCATACAAACAAGCCACAATCCACATTTTTCATGTCACAGAGAGTATTTATCAAAATCAATTATATGAAGAAAACCTCAACAAATTTTAAAATATTGAAATCATTCAGAGTGTTTTTTTAACCAAAATAGAATTAAAACAGGAATTAACAACAGAAAGATAACTAGGAAAAACAACTCAACTGAATGAAAGTTATACAGTACACACAAAACAACTATCACCAATGGGTCATGTTAGTTTAAGTATAAGTTCAAGTCTTTAAGTCTTTGCTATTCTCCTTTGAGTCTGTTTTGTAACAATGTGGTTCAGGGGTCAGCCTGAGACTTTCACGATGTTTACACACAGGATTAGGAGATCTCCTTCTACAGCACTCTACCCTCTGGGAATTATCCTTCACTCTCCAGACATGCTTACCTGGGTTTCGTTCCCTAATTCTCCTAGCCAGGAAGGCAGCACCATTTCTACTTGAGTTTTAGCTGCCTTTACTGTCCTGCCTCACTGAACAACTGATGCCTGCTCTTGGATCAAAGCCACAAAAAACAAAAATACCACAAAATGCCCACGTCCATTATTTCAAGTTTCAGTTCTCCTTCACAGTTTGCCCATCTGTACTTTCTCCTCAGTATCCTCAGGTAGTTATCTTTGTATTTTGCCCAGAGTGAAGAGTTACCAGTGGGAGAGTTGATCTATTGGGGAGTTGATCTATTGATCTATAACAGGAGCTAGAGGGCCTGCTTTGTGATTTTAATTTACATTTATCTGATGACAATGAAGCAAGATGACTATGGCTTTCTCATTAGAAAATATAAAAATATAAGATAGTGGAATCGCATACCTAAAGTGATGAAAGAAAAAAAGTTCATCCAGAATTCTATATCTAATAAAAATATCCTTCAGGAATGACAGTGAAATGCATTTTCAGAAAAAGAAAAACTAAGAAAACACATTATGGTATTCTTCAGACTAAAGGGAAATAATAATAGAGAGAGGCTTTGAATTTTTAATGAAAATAATTTAAAATGATTTAGTTCTTAAATTCTTTAAAACAAACATTGTTTGAAGAAAAAGCATAGCATTTTTTTGTGAGGTTTTCAATGTAGGTAGATGTAATACATATGATAATTATAACATAAAAGATGACAGTGGGGGTTAAAGGGACCTATAGGATTTAAAAGTTCTTACATTTTCCATGAAATGATACAATATTCATTCTAAACAAACCGGTAAAGTTTAGGGAGATATATATATATATATATATATCCATATATATGTATATATCCATATATATATATCCATATATATGTATATATCCATATATATCCATATATATATCCATATATATATCATATATATCCATATATATATCCATATATATATCATATATATCCATATATATCCATATATATCCATAAATATATACATATATATCCATATATATCCATATATACATCCATATATATCCATATATATACATATATATCCATATATATCCATATACAACCATATATATCCATATATATCCATATATATCCATACATATAGCCGTGTATATATATCCATATATATAGCCGTGTATATATATCCATATATATAGCCGTGTATATATATCCATATATATATCCGTGTATGTATATCCGTATATATATATCCGTGTATGTATATCCGTATATATATATCCGTGTATGTATATCCGTATATATATATCCGTGTATGTATATCCGTATATATATATCCGTGTATGTATATCCGTATATATATATCCGTGTATGTATATCCGTATATATATATCCGTGTATGTATATCCGTATATATATATCCGTATATGTATATCCATATATATCCATATATATATCCATATATATCCATATATATATCGATATATATATATCCATATATATATCGATATATATATATCCATATATATATCATATATATATCCATATATATATCATATATATATCCATATATATATCATATATATATATCCATATATATATCATATATATATCCATATATATATCATATATATATATCCATATATATCCATATATATATATCCATATATATATCCAACTAGCAACTAGCAAATGCAACTATATATATATATATATATATATATATATATAATTTGCTAGTACAACCACTAAAAATAGTGTGAGGGTAGTGTTAATAGGATAAAACAAAGATTCAAAGAGACTGATCAATTTGCCCAAGGTCATGTCACAGCTAAGTGGCTGAGCTAAGATTTGAACCCAGATTATCTAATTCTAAAGCCCATGCTCTGTTCGTGACTACAGGCTGCCTCTTCAAACTTTGAGTGTAATCAAACCCATAATCTTTGAGTTTCTATGCACTAAGTCGCCGAACCATACCTTAATCCAAGAACTGAAACTCCACTATTTGTCTCATAAATATCAACCAGCTGCTGGGCAGACTATTGGTCAGCAGATGTCCTCTTGATGCCCTGATACATGACTTTACATGTGAGAAACAGCTCCTAACATTCTAGTCATAAAATATAAAATATCATATATATATACATGTATATATGTGTATATATGTGTACGTATATACGTATATATGTATACATATATACACATATATATGTATGTACACATATATATGTATATATGTGTACATATATACGTATATGTGTATATATGTGTACATATATACGTATATATGTACACATATATACATATATGTGTATGTATATGTATATATGTACACATATATACATATATGTGTATGTATATGTATATATACGTATATATGTATATATGTGTGTATATATATATATGCTTTCATTAGCATTTCAGAATTGAAAACTATGAGCAGCTGAGATTAGGAGAGCTGGCTCCAGGCTTTAAGGAAAGTGTGGGTAAAGGAGGCTGTAGACTGGTAGAAGAGGGTTTAGAGGAAAATTGATGGGCAGGTGGAAGAAAATAAGGCAAAATTCTAATCATATGGCCTAATTGGGGCAGTTCACCTCAGCCATAATGAATACAGGCCCTGGGAATAAAAGGAGATCCAAGCCTTCCCTGATGGTAGGGATGAGACGTCCTAATATCCTCTCTGCCTCAGAGCTGGTTGGGGTAAGTACACAGGTTGGATCCTGGAGAAGGCAGAGACTGACAGTCAGAGCTTTCCCTGAACAGAGAGAATGTTCAGTAGTTTATTGCACAGAGGAAAATAATATGGTCTCCCTGCAGAGTTTGATGTATAGGAATGGAACAATTCTACGACCTACTATTTTGCTCCTATAACATAAACTCATCTCTAAAAATCATCTCAATCATTTCTAAGACACCCCTCCATCACTTCTTGTGCCTGCTTCTCTTGGAGAAATGCAGAATGTTTTAGAGAATATCAACAGAGAGAACGCTGAAGTCTTTCTGTCCCCAGGCTAGCCAAGTCCCAGAGAAAAGTAGAAGGGATGAGATTAAATTCTGCCAGCAAATCCCCTAGACATCATTCTTGGCATGAGCTTCTCTTGCCCAGCCCTGCACAGGCTGGTTCTTTGGGCTTTCATCTTCTGAGTATACTGGCTTGTCTTGCTAACCAGGAGGCCATTTGACAGCCATAATTATTTCCCAGGTATATTGCAGCATGACGGTTTATTTATTTTGTGGATGGCTGAGCCAAATCTGGGAGGATAAGTCTAACACCATTTCTTCGTAATAGCTCAGTTGTTCCAATACCATTTTCTTCTCAACCTCCAAAATACAGGTTACTTTATTTATTTCAGTATTCTTTGTGCATTTAACCACCATTCTCATTCCACAGGCTTTGGTGAATTAAAGTAACTACAGTTACCAACTCTTTTTATTGAAAAACTCTTTATGAGTTGATTGTAACTGCTTCTCCAATTATAATTGCTTCCTCTCCACAGGCCTCGCTATTCAAGACTCTGAGTTACCTTGATCATGAAACTTCAATGTGGAAATTTCCCAAGACCATATTCTGAAGTAGCCTTTTTAACCCTGAGAGTGCTTTTGAGAGCTGTGTCCACATTAAATTCTGAACCGTCCTTTTATCCCATATTGCAGCCACAGAGATCAGACTGGTGGTTGACAGAGATTTAATCAGAGCATTTAATACTCTCAAATTCCTGCCAGTTGATTGTGTCACTTTATTTAAAAATGAACAAAGCAGTTAGAAAAAAAAGTTATTATAGTCCTTGGAAATTTTCAGTCACAAATCAAAACTCTCTGTAGTGGGAACTATGGATGGATTCACATAAATGATGGTTTAGTGTATGGGGGATATTATATCTATGGTGCAACATATGCGGGAGGCACAAAAGAACCTCAGTAATCTGGTCATACAATTACAGAAAGGAAGCAGGCTGGAGTTTTAAAAGCATAGGTTTCGGACTCAGACAAACCTGGATCACAGTTCTGCCATTTCCTAGTTGTTACTTTGAGCAAGTTACCTCATGTCTTTGAGGCTTAATCAGTTCATCTATAATGTGGGAAAAGCAAAAATACCAAATTTACAATGTTGTAAGGATGAAGACAGTAAGGACGCAAATAACTTGAGAATAGGCTCTGGCAGATGACCAAAGAAGCTCTGCTGATCAGAAATATTTTGATTATTCCCAGACTCTGCTGTCAGTTAATCACACATCCTCTATTCCAGTCAACCTCTGCTACTTGAAAGGCAGGATATTGGTGGTGGTGGTGGTGACAGTGACAGCAGTTACCCTTTGTTGATCTCTTTCTATATACTGCTCTGCTAAGTACCTTACATGCACTGTTTTACTTAATTTCACTTAATCCTGACAACCACTCTATGTGGTAAGTGCCAACATAGTAGCTAACCACAAGGGTTTTGCAATCAGAAAGATCTGGGTTTGAAGTGTGGCTCCCCTACTCAGTAGCTGGGTGACTTTGGACAAGCCATAGAACCTATTTCAGTAAACAGAGTATCAATTTCCCCATCTGTAGCAAAAATATACTTCTTATTTCATAGGCTGTTGTGAGAATTTAAGGGGATAGTATAAATAAAATTCCTGGCACGTAAGAGGTGTTCAATGTTAGACTACTTCCTTCTCTCCCTGTAAGTTAGTACAAAAAGGGCAAATGAATGAGTTTATATGTTACCTTATCATGCTTTAAATCTAAACATTTCACCAAAATTCATAGGAAGAAATATAGTAAAGAAATAAACTGAAAAATCAAGCCATCTTGGAAGAAAGCTGAAAGGATATTTTTATCTTAGCTTTTTCCAATATTACTCCTAAAAACAGTGCTATTTTTATTTGAATGTAGTGTTATTTCTCAGTTTTATTTACTTGACAGCTGCTTCGATAGTTCTTCACTGGGGTCATGTTTACTGAAAGAAAGCATATTGTGATATTTGAATAAGCCATTTTAGAGGCTCCATTTTGACCAAATATAAACAATATAGATGTCAGGCAAGCAGAGTCAGAAATCAATCTAGCAGCAAACTCCATCTTAATGGCAACACACATCAATTGTCAATTCCCAGAAACACTCTAACTGCCCTCTTACCAGCAAGAGACAGGGCTCCACTCTGTGCAGAACTTTCACAAGCTGCCCCTACTACAACACGCAACGTGCTCAGTGTTCATAACTTCCCACCCTCACTCACTCTGTACCTTTTTCCTCACTCTGATTTCTTTCATCCACTGACCATCAACCATTTCATCTCTAAATCACTCCCTTAGCTGGACAGATAATCTAGTCCATCCAGACATATTACTTTGGCTTCCTCCTGCTCAAATGGTTCTATCATCTCCCCACCTAGCCCATGCTGGTAACACAGATTAAACTCTTCTTAAATTGACCTGGCTCCATAGAAGACTTCGGCCCACACACTGTCACTGCCAGCAGCTTCCTAAACCTGTTCTACCACAGCCTTGTATACAGCCCTGCATTGACAGGTGTGAGTAAGAGGGATCAGCAACCCAACAGTCATCCCTGACAAAAGCCTGAACTTGAAGGCAAATGGGATTTTCATGGAACAAACCTTTCTTCTAGGGTCCCTCTGGTACGGGAGGGTGGCAGGGAAATGCTGGGAAAAGAAAGGTGGGGTCCTTGCTAGGGCTCCACCTCTGGGCCTGTGCCCATGGGCCTAGGTGAGGACAGGCATTTCTGTTTTTGTGCCCAAATGTTGCATTTCCCAAGACCACCCTGGCCTGCCACGCCCCCATCCTGTGCCTATAAAAATCCTGAGACCCTAGTGGGCAGAGACACAAGCAGATGGACATTGAGAGGAACACACCGGCAGAAGAACACACCAGCAGACAACAGCAGGCCACCAACCAGCTGGGGCGGTAGGAGGAGAGCTTCCACCATTCAATAAAACCTTGCACTCATTCTCCAAGCCCACGTGTGATCCGATTTTTCCAGTACACCAAGGCAAGAACCCGGTATACAGAAAGTCCTCTGTCATTGCGATAAGGCAGAGGGTCTAATTGAGCTGATAAACACAAGCTACCTATAAACGGCAAAACTGAAAGAGCATACTGTAACACACGCCCACTGGGGCTTCAGGAGCTGTGAACATTCACCCCTAGACACTGCCGTGAGGTCACAGTCTCACAACCTGCCGGTCTGCATGCTTCCCCTAAAGGCTTGAGTAGCAGGGCACTAAAGAAGCAAGCCACTCCCCCTGTCAACCACCCTGCGAGAGGGACAAGGGAGCTTTTTCCTTTTCACCTCTCTCTGTTTTTCATCCCACTTCTTGCATTATCCCAGTGGTAGTTTCTTTTAAGATCAATCTCCACTATTGCCCTAAATTAATGTTCCCTCCATAAGTCTTCTTTATCAGTACCTAGCTATTCGGATTGGCACTCCCATTAGCCAAGGCAAGTGACTGCAACAAAGGAAACATCTTTCTGAGTTGCTACCGAGCACACCAGTATTTTCATCAGATTCAGCTGAATGGCACAACATCCACCTTTCCACTTAGGAAACATGTGTTGGAGGCTATGGGCACAATTACAGTGTACACTTTGAGACTTTTGTAGCAATCAAACAAGTTATTTATACTCCTCCTTGTTACCAAAAAAAAATGTAAGGTAGCTTACTGTAAATAATGTGTACACATGAACATACAGTGTGGAATGAGAGACAATGGAGACTCCATCTAATGGGTTGGGAGCGGGAAGGGAAGTGATGATGAGAAATTACCTAATGGGTACAATGTGCATTATTTGGGTGATGGATACGATAAAAGCCCTGACTACACTACTATGCAATATATCTATGTAACAAAATTATTCTTGTACCCCATAAATTTATACAAATTTTTTAAAATTGTAAAAGAAAAAACAATATGTCAGGAAATCAGGGGAAGGTGAAAATAATGGTAGAAAGGTTCAAACAGGGACAGGAGAAAGGTTAGTACTTAAAATGTCTACTGGAAGTCCAAAACATTGGCTAATTGGTGAGCTACAAATCTGGCCAGTGTGAAGAAGGAAAAGCAGTTACATGATTTACAACGCCTATAGGAAATAAGCCAAACAAGAGAAGCATGGGTATTCGTGGGTACCAAGACAAGACATCACATTACATTATCTACAACAACATAGTTCATAGGGCTATTTCCTCTATGATCCCTCCTATAGGCCATTGGCTTCGAGGCAAAGCACAGTCCAGCTTCTACAGTGAGCCAGAGTTACGGGATTTAGATAAGCAGCTCTCCAAAGGTCTGGCTTAATTTAGAGAGAGGTTTTAGAATTTTTGTAGGAATGGATGGATAACAACATTTGGGTGATCCTCCCTAAATATGGTGCCCACAACTGAGTTTTGGATTTTAGCATCAGGAGGTCCTTGAAAATGTTGCTTGACAAGTCACTAAAATGGAGCTCCTTTAGACTACCAGTGAAGAACAGAATCATGTCATTTAGCAGTGAGTCTAGCTGTAGTGAATCAAATACTCATGTCAGTCATTTAAAAAATACAAAATAATCATAAAATGTCTAACATAAAACAACATAATTTCCTGGTACACATTTTTAAATAAATCACAAGTGTAATTTATAAAATAAATCCTAAGGTCGCCTCCATGATGCCCTCTTTCTGGTATCCACACTCTTATATAACGCCTTCCCTCTGAATGTGGGTAGGACCTGTGACTTGCTTCTGACTGACACATATGGCAAAAGTGATCTTACTCTGGTGATCAGGTTACATTGTATACCACTTCATTTTGTTAGCAGTCTGTTTTTACAGACGCCTTGCTGGTTCGATAAAGTTAAGTGACCATATTGGGGAAGTCCACATGGTAAGAAACTATGGATGATTTCTAAAAACTGTGGGCAGCCTCTTGGAACTGAAGACAGCCTCCAGCCAACAGTCAGCACAAACCTAGGGCCCACTGTACTCTTAACCCCAAGAGAATGAATTCTGACAACCACCTAATTGAGCTGGGAAGGAGATTCTTCTTCATTTGAGTATTCAAATTATTATACACCCTGACTGGTACCATGAGTGTAGCCTTATAAGACCCCAAGCAGAGGACCCAGTTAAGCCACGCCTATATTACTGATCACAAAAACTGTGAAGTAATAAATATGTGTTGTTTTAAGCCACTATGTTTGTAATAATTTGTTGTACAGAAATAAGTACCCAATATGGCCAGGCACTGTGGCTCATGCCTGTAATCCCAGCATTTTGGGAGGCCGAAGCAGGTGGATCACTTCAGGTCAAGAGTTTGAGACCAGCCTGGCCAACATAGCAAAACCCCGTCTCTACTAAAACTACAAAAATTAGCTGGACTTGGTGGCATGCACCTGTAATCCCAGCTACTCAGGAGGCTGAGGTGGGAGAATCGCTTTAACCTGGGAGGCAGATGTTGCAGTGAGCCGAGATTGTACCACTGCACTCCAGCCTAGGAGACAGAGTAAGACTCCATCTCAAAAAAAAAAAAAAAAAAAGAAAAAGAAAAGAAAGAAGTACCCAATACAAG
Organism: Homo sapiens; assembly: GCF_000001405.40. Taxonomy (NCBI): domain Eukaryota; kingdom Metazoa; phylum Chordata; class Mammalia; order Primates; family Hominidae; genus Homo; species Homo sapiens. The sequence continues at coordinate 139,510,676 of NC_000023.11, forward strand.
ATAGATTTGTTCTAAAATGTGTGCCAAAATAGAGATATAGACCAATGGAACAGAACAGAGCCCTCAGAAATAATGCCACACATCTACAACTATCTGATCTTTGACAAACCTGACAAAAACAAGAAATGGGGAAAGGATTCCCTATTTAATAAATGGTGCTGGGAAAACTGGCTAGCCATATGTAGAAAGCTGAAACTGGATCCCTTCCTTACACCTTATACAAAAATTAATTCAAGATGGATTAAAAACTTAAATGTTAGACCTAAAACCATAAAAACCCTAGAAGAAAACCTAGGCAATAGCATTCAGGACATAGGCATGGGCAAGGACTTCATGTCAAAAACACCAAAAGCAATGGCAACAAAAGCCAAAATTGACAAATGGGATCTAATTAAACTAAAGAGTTTCTGCACAGCAAAAGAAACTACCATCAGAGTGAACAGGCAACCTAAAGAATGAGAGAAAATTTTTGCAATCTACCCATCTGACAAAGGGCTAATATCTAGAATCTACAAAGAACTCAAAGAAATTTACAAGAAAAAAACAAACAACCCCATCAACAAGTTGGCGAAGGATATGAACAGACTCTTCTCAAAAGAAGACATTTATGCAGCCAAAAAACACATGAAAAAATGCTCATCATCACTGGCCATCAGAGAAATGCAAATCAAAACCACAATGAGATACCATCTCACACAAGTTAGAATGGCGATCATTAAAAAGTCAGGAAACAACAGGTGCTGGAGAGGATGTGGAGAAATAGGAACACTTTTACACTGTTGGTGGGACTGTAAACTGGTTCAACCATTGTGGAAGACAGTGTGGCAATTCCTGAGGGATCTAGAACTAGAAATACCATTTGATCCAGCCATCCCATTACTGGGTATATACCCAAAGGATTATAAATCATGCTGCTATAAAGACACATGCACACGTATGTTTATTGCGGCACTATTCACAATAGCGAAGACTTGGAACCAAGCCAAATGTCCACCAATGATAGGCTGAATTAAGAAAATGTGGCACATATACACCATGGAATACTATGCAGCCATAAAAAATGATGAGTCCATGTCCTTTGTAGGGACATGGATGAAGCTGGAAACCATCATTCTCAGCACACTATCGCAAGGACAAAAAACCAAACACCGCATGTTCTCACTCATAGGTGGGAATTGAGCAATGAGAACACTTGGACACAGGAAGGGGAACATCACACACTGGGGCCTGTTGTGGGGTGGGGGGAGAGGGGAGGGATAGCATCAGGAGATATACCTAATGTAAATGACGAGTTAATGGGTGCAGCACACCAACATGGCACATGTGTACATATGTAACAAACCTGCACGTTGTGCACATGTACCCTAAAACTTAAAGTATAATAAAAAATAAAATAAAATAAATTTACAACTGTAGACATATTTGTCTACAGTAAATATAAGACTAAACAATCAGATACTAAATCATTAAATGATTATCAGTTAGTATCTTTAATTTTCTTATACTTCTATATTTTCTATAGATCATCTTTGTAACAAAAAGAAAATAAACCAAATGAAAATGAAATGAATTCTCTCAAAAAGAATTAAGACAGGAAGAAGTCTCACAAAGTAATGTAAAATGTATCTTATGGTTTATGTAAAATTCTTAATAAAAGTACCTTCTTTTCTCCAAAAAAAATAGTCCATTGGTTAACTATAAGCCAATTAAATGGTATGGCCCACTTACCAAAAAATAAATCTTTGGTTTGAGAATAGAACACAGAAAATCTCTCCAGATACAAACAGATAGCAGGGCTAGTTGATTATTAAAATCTCTTCTGGTTTCTGCCAATACAACCATTTCATCTACTTTGGCTGTGTCCTTGGCTGTGTGCAAAGCACCATTACTGGGCTTCAAGAGAGCAAGAACTGGAATTAAAGCCTAGATCACATGACCTCAAAAAGCTTACAAGCTGCTCAGGGACACCAAACATATATATGTGAAACAACTTACAACAAACACCAAATAACCTATCAATTTTATTCACACAAACTAACGAAGATGCAGGGAATCCAATTAGACATATGATAGGCATTTTTAAATGCATTTACATTCAGCTTTAGGTGTATAGGTGTTTTGGGTGCTTATATTTGATCGTGGATATGCCTGCTGTTCTGAGATTTTACCTCAAAATAAACAGAAACGTTGTGCGCATTATCCCCCATTCTTCCATTGAAAAGGAGCAGGCTGGTTCTTTCATATCAATTGATGCAAGGTTTGTCTTTTCTCTCCCCTGCCCTGAACCAAAGGAGATACGTTGAGGGGGAAACAGAGGTTCAGTGAACTTTTCTACTTCCTCAGTGCCACTACTATATCTGAGTACATTAGCTCTAGCTGTTTTATTCTTAATTTTTAAAAGTTAAATACTCACTACAAAAAAAAAATTATAAACAGGAAAAAAAGAAATGCTAAAAACCTGTAACCCAGCCTCAGAGGAAAAAAAACACTGAAAATTTTGGGTTAACTTACTATAAGTGTACATGTATGTATTAAAATTAACCCATACACACACACACACACACACGGTGAATATAATTATATTAACATGCTGATTTTTTCCCTCACTTAGCAATTGTGAGCATCTTTTCGTATCAAATATTCTTTCCTATTACTGCAATTTAAATCCAATTTAAATTGCATATTTTAAGCTTCCTTGAAAATAAAGCAGATGTTCCAGTTTAGAATCATTGTAAACCATATTATTTTTCAGGTCTAGTTCATTTATTTGTATACATTGATTGAAACCATAATTCGCATGCCATGCTATTCACCAATTTAAAGTGTACAATTTAATGATTTTTAGCACATTCACAAAACTGTGGAAACATTACTACAATATTTTAAATATTTTGATCACCACCAAAAGAAACTCTATATCCATTAGCAGTAACCCCTCATTTCCCCCAACCTTCCCACAAAGCCCTCAATAACCACTAGTCCACTATTTTGTCTCTATAGATTTGCCTCTTCTGACACTTCACATGAATGGGATCATACACTATGAGCCTCTTGTGACTGGCTTCTGTGAGTTAGCATAATGTTGTCAAGGTTCATTCATGTTGTAGCACGTATAAATCCTTCATTCCTGTTTATGGCTGAATAATATTCCATTGTATGGATATACCAAATTCTGCTTATCTATGCATTTGTTGACAGACACTTGAATTGTTTACACTTTTTGGCTATTAGCAATAATGCTGTTATGAACATTCATGTACAGGTTTTTGTGTAGACCTGTTTTTTGTTTTTTTTTGTTTTTTTTTTTTTGAGACGGAGTCTTGCTCTGTCACCCAGGCTGGAGTGCAGTGGCGCAATCTTGGCTCACTGCAAGCTCTGCCTCCCGGGTTCACGCCATTCTCCTGCCTCAGCCTCCCAAGTAGCTGGGACTACAGGCGTCTGCCACAGCACCCGGCTAATTTTTTGTATTTTTAGTAGAGACGGGGTTTCACCATGGTCTCAATCTCCTGACCTCGTGATCCGCCTGCCTCGGCCTCCCAAAGTGCTGGGATTACAGGTGTGAGCCACCGCGTCCAGCCCTGTGTAGATATGTTTTCATTTCTTCTGAGTATATACCTAAGAGTGTAATTCCTGGGTCACAAGGTAACTCTGTGTTTAACATTTTAATGAATCATCAAAATGTTTTCCACAGTAACTATACCGTTTTACTTTGCCAAGAGCAGTGTAGAAGGGTTCCACTTTCTCCACATCCTTGCCTAATATTTTTCATCTTGTTGATTATAGTCATCCTAGTAATCCATTTTGCATATAGTATGAGTTAGGGATTCAACTTCATTCTTTTGCATGTAGAAATCTGATTGTCCCAGTACTGAAGGCTATTATTTTCCCCCTTTGAATTATCTTGATACCCTTGTCAAAATCAATGACCATAAATGTGAGAGTTTATTTATAGACTCCATTTTGTTACACTGATCCATATGATAGGCTGAATATTGGCCCCTCAATTATGTCTACTTCCAAGTTCCCAGAAATTATGAATATGTTACCTTATATGGCAAAAGAGACTTTGCAAATGTGGGTAAGAATCTTAAGATGGGGAGATATTCCATAATTATCCAATAGGCCCAATGAAATTATAAGAATTCCTATAACAGAGAGGCAATAAGATCATACTCAGTAGGAGATTTAACGATGGAAGTAAGAGTTTGGAGTAATGCAAGGAAGGGGCCATGAGTTGGAAATACTGGCAGTCGCTAGAAACCAAAAAATGTGAGGAAATGGAATGTCTACTCTGTTCTTTCAGAAGAAACTAGCCCTGGCAACACCTTGACTTTAGTCCACTGAAATTGATTTTGAACTTCTGACCTCCAGAAGAAGAAAATAATAAATGTGTTATTTTAAGCCACCAAATTTGTGGTGCTTTGTTACCACAGCAACAGGAAACTAATATAATCTACATGTCTAGCCTTATACCAATACTATACTCTCTTGATTATACTAGCATTGCTGTAAGTTTTGATGTCGGAAAACATAAGTCCTCCAACTTCATTCTTCTTAAGTATTGTTTTGGCTATTCTGGCAAACCATAGCATGTTAATGGATTTATATTCTATTGTTTGTTACCATAATTTATTTGAATAATTCTTATTGTTGGATATTTGGGTTGTTTTGAAATATTTTGCTATTATAATGACTGCAATAAATATCCTCCAAGATATTTTCTGTACTTTTATAATTATTGCCTTGATGTTTATGTCAAAAGGAGTATATTTTTGAAGCTTTTGGTATGGCCTCAATGATCTCCAGAACTGTATACTCCAACCAACAGTATATGAGAGTGCTCATTTTCCTACACTCTCATCAACCCTGTTATCAAATTATAGACAAATTTTACATTAAATTATACATTTAGATGTGAAAGATAAAGCTATAAAGTTAGTATAAAATTTTAAGAGAATATCTTTATGACCTAGAAGCAGTGAAGTACTTCTTAAATAAAACTTTAAAGACACAGACTATAAAAGCAAAAACTAATGAATTTAATAAATTCCAATTGAGAGTTTCTATTCAACAAAGTATAAGAAAAACACAGACAAAGTTAATTGACATGTGACAGATTAGGAAACATTATTTGTAATGTCTAAAACTGACAATGAATTAACATCTGGAAAACTCAAGAAAAGCCTTCAAATTAACAGCCCTGGTAGAAAATTAGGCAAAGCCTGTGAGCTGACAATTTACAAAAAGAGAAACCCAAAATTCTGAAAAGCCTATCAAGATGTATTCTAAAATGCAATAAGGGGATATCATTTAAAACAGATTGCACTTTACTTATGTTAAACTAGCAAAACTTATAAAGGAGGATAATGCAAATAATTGACAAGAATTACAGTACAGAAATCTATATGCACTACTGGTGGGAGTGTAGATTGGTGCAGCCAATCTGGAGACAAATTGGTGGTGTCTAGACAAATCAGAGATATGAATACCCCAACATCATGGTATTATGTTCCTGTACATAAATCCCAAGTAAGTTATCACACCACTCCATAAGGGTACTGATAAGAAGGCATTATTTGTGGAAACAAGGTGTTTTAGGCAACCTGGATGTCATTTACTGGCAAAGTAGTTAGGAAAAAAATGTGGTATCTGCACACCAGGCAGCAGTTAGGAGCACTAGACTGGATATGTCTAAGGCAATAAAAATATATCTTAAAATTATGGCACTGATTTTAAAACTTAAGAAAAACAATGAGATATATAATACCATCCCATTCTTATAAATTAAAATATATGCCAGCTAAACAGAGTGGAGAGTTCAGAAAGAAATCCACATGTACAGAGCCAATTGATTTTTGAGAAAAGTGGCAAGGTAATACTAGGATCAAAAGACAGACTTATCAATTAATAATTCTGGGAAAATTCCAAATCCATATAAAATTAAAAACCTCAACTATTACCTCATTTCATATACAAAAATTATCCAAGATATATGATAGTCTAAAACATAAATGCTAAAACTATAAAGCTTTTATAAACTTGATTAATGTTCTAAAAGTGGTATGTGTTGGCCCTCTCAGAGGCATGGACAATTCAAAAACATTTCAGAAAGAAAGCTATGCTTAGCACAACTTAAACACTAATGATGGAGTAATAGTTTTCTATTGCTGTGTTCTGTAAGTTAGAAGTATAAGCTGGCTCAAGTGAGAGCTCAGCTTAAGATCTCACAAGGTTGAAGTCAAGATGTAAGCCTACTGGGCTCCTGCCTGGAGGCCCTAGAAAATAATCCACTTTTAGGCTCATTAAGATTGTTGGCCGAATTAAATTTCCTGCTAGCTGTTAGCCAGGGGTAGCTCTGAGCTCCCAGAGACCAATCTTCAGTCCTTTCACGTGGCCCCCTCCATCTTCAAAGTCACAAATGCTTTACCAAATCCTTCAGGTACTTTGCGTGTCTCTGACTTCTCTTTCTGCTATCAGCTGTAGAAAGCTCTCTGCATCTAAAGAACACACCTGATTGTGTCGGCCCACATAGATATTCTCTATATCATAACATCAACTAACTTGGAACTTTAATTATCAAACTAACACCAAAAGGATCTGATAATTAAATTGGAATTATGGCCCAGAAAATTAGGCCAGGACCTGTGTGTTAACCCTAAAAAGGGTTACTGCCCGCTAAATAGGATCCAGAGTCTGCTAACACACTTTACAAAATGTCCAGAATACACATAACAACCACCTTTCATATCAAGACGCAGGAAAATCACAATTGTAATAAACAGAGATAGTCAAGGAGAGTCAACTTTGAAATATCAGATGTCCAAATGATCTGCAAGGATATTAAAGCAGCCATCATAAAAATGTTTCAATAATCAATTACAAATTATCTCAAAAATTAAAAAGCTGGAAACCTCAGCAAAATGTAGAAGTTGTTTTTTTAAAGGAAGAAAATGGAAATTATAAAACTGTAAAAACAATAGCCAAATTTGGAAAAAATCTCTGGATGGGCTCAATATTATAGTGTAGCTAAGCAAGGATACAATCAACGAACTTAAAGAGAGTTCTGTACAAATCTGCTTAAGTGTTGGGGGAAAGGCTTATGGGGTGCCTGTATAAACTGGCCATAAAAATATGGGACAATAAGTTGTGGAAAGCCACAAGAGGCCTCTGAGGAGGAAAGCCTCCTAATTGCCATCATGTTTCCATGGTCAGAGTGAGACCCACTCTCTTATCTGTAAACACTGTGTTCAAGGAGAAAGACACTCCTTTAAAGCATTGGAATGTGGACAAATATGCAGGCTCCTAGTTAAGCCCGCTCCCACCAGCTACTCTCTGATAAGTTAAAGATATACTGTTTGAACACAAAGAAGATTCACTTAAACCACCACTGCTATAAATTACGCATATGACACACTGCCTCCCTTTCACTGTTTTGCCCTGAACATCTGCTTCTTAAATCTAAGTAATTGTACTGAATAAATAATGTGGAGACCAGAGCTCTGAGCCTTTTGCAGACTCCATTTTACAATTGGCCCCCTGGCCCCCACTCTTAACCTGTCTCTTCTCATTCCTTCATCGCCACTGGACTTTGGGTACCCTATGGGTGGTGTTGAGGCTGGTCCCAACACTTAAGAACAGAGAAAAAGATAATAAAGACTAATAAAAGTGAAAGAGACTAAAGAACCCGTAAGACAATAAAATAGATGCAACATTTATATCATCAGTGTCCCAGAGGGAGAAGAAAAAGAAACTAGTGGCAAAGAAATTATGCTGAAATTTTTCAGTTTTGGCAAAAGACACAAACTTAAAGATTCAAAAAGTTTAATAAACCCCAAGTAGTATAAACACAAATAAATGCATACCAAAACACATAATAAGTATGCTTCTGAAAAGTCAAAAAAAAAATCTTGAAAGCACTCAGTGGAAAATGACACATTACCTATTTGAATTTGAATGAGTATCAATTTCTGATCTGAAATCATGGAGGTCTGAGGGAAGTGGCACATTTTTCAAGTACTGAAGAAGAAAGAAGGAACTATCGACCACAAATTATATGTTCGGTGAAACCAATCTTTAGGAGTGAAAGGGAAATGAAACATTTTCAGACAAAGAATAATGAAAATAATTTGTTGCCAACAGACTTATCTTTAATGAGTGGCTTTAAAAATTCTTCAAAAAGAGGGAAATAATAAAAGAAAAAATCTTGGAGCATTGGATAGGAAGATGGAACGAGCAGAGGTATAAATATAAATGGTCTAAATGTACCAATCAAAAGACAGAAATTGACAGAGACATTAAAAAAATATGACTCAGCCATATGGGTGGCACATGTCTACAGTTCCAGCTACTCAGGAGGCTGAGGCAGAGTGGTCACTTGAGCCCAGGAGTTTGAGACTAGCCTGGGCAACAAAGCAAGTCTCTACCTCCAAAATAAATAAATAAATAAATAATTTTAAATGAACATAAGTGGGATGAAAGCAAAAGGATAGAAAGAGAAAAATATATATCATGCAATCATTGATAGTAAAACAAGCAAAACACAGAAGTAGCTATATTAATATCAAATAAAGTCAACATAAGAGCAAAGAAAATTACTAAAAACAAAGAGGGACATAACAAACATAAAAGGATCAATCTACCAGGGAATTATAATGACCCTAAATGGGTACACACTAAATAACAGCGTTTCAAAATACATGAAGCTAAATCTGATAGCGCTGAAAGAATAAATAGGCAAATCCAAAATTATAGGTGGGAACTTCAACACTGCCCTGTCAGCAACTGATAGAAATACTAGATATAATATTAGCAATACAGAAGATATGAATAACACAATCAACCTACAGGATAGAATCGGTATATATACAATGCTCCCCCACCCGCCCCCCAACAGCAGAATACACTTTTTTTTCAAGAGCCACATAAGATTCACAAATACAGACCATATCCTGGGCCATAAAAGAAACTTCAACATAAGAAAAGAACTGAAATTATAGTGTGTTCTCTGACAATAATGGAATCAAACTAGAAATCAATATTGGAAGGATGAAATGAAAATATCTAAACACATGAAACTTAAACTAACTTTTAAATAAGCCATGGGTTTAAAAGGAAGCCTCAAAGGAAATTAAAGAAAACATTGAACTGAATAAAAATGAGAATAGAACATGTCAATTTTGTGAAATGAAGCTAAAGCAATACTGAGAAAGAAATTTAGAGCAGTTAATGCTCACATTAGAATGACAGAAGGGAGGGAGGGAGAAAAGGGTTGAAAAACTATTGAGTACTATGTTCACTAATTGGGTGATGAGCTCAATAGAAGCCCAAACCCCAGCATTACATAATATACCAATGTAACAAACCTGCACATGTACCCCCGAACCTAAAATTTTTTTAATGCTCATTGTATTTTTAAATACCTCATTAATTACTTGTGAAGGACATTGGCAAAACACACTATGAAAATGGAGAGTTATAGGACAATCAGGAAATCACAACCAAATGAACATTGATTGGATATTTGATGGTATTTTGGAATCATTTTCAATTTTTTTACAATTTCAACTTTTATTTCAGATTCAGGGGGTACATATGCAGATTTGTTACACAGGTATATTATGTGATACTGAGGTTTGGAATGCAAATGATCCCACCACCCAGGTAGTGAGCATAGTACCCAACAGGTGGTTTTTCAACCCTTACCCCCTTACTCACCCTCTAGTAGTTCTCATTACCCATTATTGCCATCTTTGTCCATGAGTACCCAATGTTTAGCTCCCACTTATAAGTGAGAACATGTGGTGTTTGGTTTTCTTTTTCTGCGTTTGTTCACTTAGAATAATGGCCTTCAGCTATATCCATGTTGTTGCAAAGAACATGATTTCATTCTTTTTATGGCTGCGTAGTATTCCATGGTGTATATGTACTACATTTTCTTTATTCGATCCACTGTTGATAGACACTTAGGTTGATTTCATATCTTTGCTACTGTAAATAATGCTGCAATGAACATGCAAGTGCATGTGTCTTTTTGGTAGAAAGATTTATTTCTTTTGGATATATATCCAGTATCAGGATTGCTGGGTCAAATGGTAGTTCTGAGTTCCTTGAGAAATCTCCACACTGCTTTCCACAGTGGCTGAACCAACTCACATTCCCACCAACAGTATATAAGTGTCTCCTTTTCTCTGTAGCCTCGCCAGTATGTGTTGGTTTTTGACTTTTTAATAATGGTCACTCTGACTGGTGTGAGATGGTATCTCATTGTGGGTTTGATTTGCATTTCTTTGATGATTAATGATGTTGAGCATTTTTTCATACGTTTGTCAGCTGCTAATATGTCTTCTTTTGAGAAGTGTCTGTCCATGCCTTTTGCCCACTTTTTAATAGGGTTATTTGGTTTTTGCTTGTTGAGTTGTTTAAGTTTCTTATAGATTCTGGATAAACCTTACTTGGATGCATAGTCTGTGAATATTTTCTCCCATTCTGTAGATTGTCTGTTTACTCTGTTGATAGTTTCCTTTTGCTGTGAAGAAGTGGATTGCTCCTGCAGGACCTTGGGAGACAGCATTAAACAACCAAAACTAAGGACCCTCATAGAGACCATTTCACTCTCCTGCCTCCTCCACGAGAGCAGGTGCTGGTATCCATGGCTGAGAGACCTGAAGACAATTCACATCAAAGGACTCTGTGCAGACAATCCCCAGACCCAGACCAAAGTCTGGTAGCCCTGCTGGGTAGCTAGATCCAGAAGAGAAATAACAATCGCTACAGTTCAGCTATCAGGAAGCCACATCCCAGGCAAAAGGGGGAGAGTACTACATCAAGGGAACAGTCCATGGGACAAAAGAATCTGAACAGCAGCCTTGAGCCCCAGATCTTCCCTCTGACATAGCCTACCCAAATGAGAAGAAACCAGAAAAACAATTCTGGAAATATGACAAAATGAAGTTCTTTAACAACCCCAAGTAATCACACTAGCTCACCAACAGATCCAATGGATCCAAACCAAGAAGAAATCCCTGATTTACCTGAAAAAGAATTCAGAATGTTGATTATTAAGCTAATAAAGAAGGCACCAGAGAAATGAGAAAAAGGCACAAACAATTTAAGGAAATTAATAAATGATACAAGGTATGAGGGGAGAAATCGTCAGTGAAATAGATAGCATAAATAAAAAACAATCACAACTTCAGGAAATAAAGAACACACTTAGACAAATGCAAAATGTACTACAAAATCTCAGCAATAGAATTGAACAAGCAGAAGAAAGAACTTCAGAGTTCAAAGACAAGGTTTTCAAATTAACTTAATCCAACAAAGACAAAGAAAAAAGACCAAAAAAACTGAACAAAGCCTCCAAGAAGTTTGGGATTATGTTAAACAACCAAACCTAAGAATAATTGGTATTCCTAAAGAAAATAAGAGAAGTCTAAAGTTTGGAAAACATATTTGGGAGAATAATCAAAGAGAAACTTCCCTGGCCTTGCTAGAGACCTAGACATCCAAATACAAGAAGCTCAAAAAACACCTGGGAAATTCATTGCTGAAAGGTCATTGCTTAGGCACACTGTCATCAGGTTATCTAACGTCAAGATGAAGGAAAGAATCTTAAGACCTGTGAGGCAAAAGCACCAGGTAACTTATAAAGGAAAATCTATCAGGTTAACAACAGATTTCTCAGCAGAAACCCTACAAGCTAGAAGGGATTATGGCCCTATCTTCAGCCTCCTTAAACAAAACAATAATCAGTGAAGAGTTTTGTATCCAGCAAAACTAAGCTTCATTAATGAAGGAAAGATTTAGTCTATTTCAGACAAACAAATGCTAAGAGAATTTGCCACTACAAAGTCAGCACTACAAGACCTGCTAAAAGGAGCTCTCAATCTTGAAACAAATCCTGGAAACATAAAGAAAACCAGAACCTCTTTAAAGCATAAATCTTACAGGACCTACAAAGCAAAAATACAGAAAAAAAACAAGGTACACAGGCAACAAATAGCACAATGAATAGAATAGTATCTCATATCTCAATACAAGCCTTGAATATAAATGGCCTAAATGCTCCACTTAAAAGATACAGAATTTCAGAATGGATGAGAATTCACCAACCATATATATCCTGCCTTCAAGAGACTCGCCTAACACATAAGGACTCACATAAACTTAAGGTAAAGGGGTGAAAAAAGACATTCCAGGCAAATGGACACCAGAAACGAGCAGGAGTAGCTATTCTTATATTAGACAAAACAAACTTTAAAGGAACAGCAATAAAAAAAGAAAAAGAGAGGCATTATATAATGATAAAACGCCTTGTCCAACATGAAAATATCGCAATTCTAGGCCAGGCACGGTGGCTCACGCCTGTAATCCCAACATTTTGGGAGGCTGAGGCAGGCAGATCATGAGGTCAGGAGATGGAGACCATCCTGGCTAACATGGTGAAACCCCATCTCTACTAAAAATACAAAAAATTAGCTGGGCTTGGTGGTGGGTGCCTGTAGTCCCAGCTAATTGGGAGGCTGAGGCAGGAGAATGGCGTGAACCTGGGAGGCGGAGCTTGCAGTGAGCTAAGATCGTGTCACTGCACTCCAGCCTGGGTGACAGTGTGAGACTCCATCTCAAAAAAAAAAAAAAAAAATATATATATATATATATATATATATATATATATATATATATATATATCACAATTCTAAATATATATGCACCTAACACTGGAGCTCCCAAATTTATAAAACAATTACTACTAGACCTAAGAAATGAGATAAATAGCAACACAATAATAGTGAGGTACTTCAATACTCCACTGAGAGCACTAGACAGGTCATCAAGACAGAAAGTCAACAAAGAAACAATGGATTTAAAGTACACCCTGGAGGGGGTGGAGCCAAGATGGCTGAATAGGAACAGCTCCAGTCTACAGCTCCCAGCGTGAGTGACGCAGAAGATGGGTGATGTCTGCATTTCCAACTGAGGTACCGGGATCATCTCAATGGGGAGTGTTGGACAGTGGGTGCAGAAGAGTGGGTGCAGCACACCGAGCATGAGTCGAAGCAGGGCGAGACATCACCTCACCCAGGAAGCGCAAGGGATAAGGGAATTCCCTTTCCTAGTGAAAGAAAGGGGTGACAGACGGCACCTGGAAAATCGGGTCACTCCCACCCTAATACTGCGCTTTTCCAATGGTCTTAGCAAATGGCACACCAGGAAATTATATCCCACGCCTGGCTCAGAGGGCCCTACACCCACGGAGCCTCGCTCATTGCTAGCACAGCAGTCTGAGATCAAACTGCAAGGTGGCAGTGAGGCTGGGGGAGGGGCTTCCACCATTGCTGAGGCTTGAGGAGGTAAACAAAGCAGCCAGGAAGCTCAATCTGGGTGGAACCCAGATCAAGGAGGCCTGCCTGCCTCTGTAGACTCCACCTCTGGGGGCAGGGCGTAGCCAAACAAAAGTCAGCAGAAACCTCTGAAGACTTAAATGTCCCTGTCTGACAGCTTTGAAGAGAGTAGTGGTTCTCCCAGCATGCAGCTTGAGATCTGAGAATGGACAGACTGCCTCCTCAAGTGGGTCACTGACCCCCGAGTAGCCTAACTGGGAGGCACCCCCCAGTAGGGGCAGACTGACACCTCACACGACCGGGTACTCCTCTGAGACAAAACTTCCAGAGGAATGATCAGGCAGCAACATTTGCTGTTCACAAATATCCGCTGTTCTGCAGCCTCTGCTGCTGACACCCAGGCAAACAGAGTCTGGAGTGGACCTCCAGCAAACTCCAACAAACCTGCAGCTGAGTGTCCTGACTGTTAGAAGGAAAACTAACAAACAGAAAGGACATCCACACCAAAACCCCATCTGTACGTCACCATCATCAAAGACCAAAGGTAGATAAAACCACAAAGATGGGGAAAAAACAGAGCAGAAAAACTGGAAACTCTAAAAATCAGAGCACCTCTCCTCCTCCAAAGGAATGCAGCTCCTCACCAGCAATGAAACAAAGCTGGACGGAGAATGACTTTGACGAGTTGAGAGAACAAGGCTTCAGATGATCAAACTACTCCGAGCTAAAGGAGGAAGTTCGAACCCATGGCAAAGAAGTTAAAAACATTGAAAAAAAATTAGATGAATGGCTACCTAGAATAACCAATGCAGAGAAGTCCTTAAAAGACCTGATGGAGCTGAAAACCATGGCACGAGAACTATGTGATGAATGCATAAGCCTCAATAACCGATTCGATCAACTGGAAGAAAGGGTATCAGTGATGGAAGATCAAATGAATGAAATGAAGTGAGAAGAGAAGTTTAGAGAAAAAAGAATAAAAAGAAAGGAACAAAGCCTCCAAGAAATATGGGACTACGTGAAAAGACCAAATCTACGTCTGATTGGTGTACCTGAAAGTGACGGGGAGAATGGAACCAAGATAGAAAACACTCTGCAGGATATTATCCAGGAGAACTTCCCCAATCTAGCAAGGCAGGCCAACATTCAAATTCAGGAAATACAGAGAACACCACAAAGATACTCCTCGAAAAGAGCAACTCCAAGACACATAATTGTCAGATTCACCAAAGTTGAAATGAAGGGAAAAAATGTTAAGGGCAGACAGAGAGAAAGGTTGGGTTACCCACAAAGGGAAGCACATCAGAATAACAGCTGATCTCTCGGCAGAAACTCTACAAGCCAGAAGAGAGTGGAGGCCAATATTCAACATTCTTAAAGAAAAGAATTTTCAACCCAGAATTTCATATCCAGCCAAACTAAGCTTCATAAGTGAAGGAGAAATAAAATACTTTATAGACAAGCAAATGCTGAGAGATTTTGTCAAAACCAGGCCTGTCCTAAAAGAGCTCCTGAAGGAAGCACTAAACATGGAAAGGAACAACTGGTACCAGCCACTGCAAAAACATGCCAAATTGTAAAGACCATCGAGGCTGGGAAGAAACTGCATCAACTAATGAGCAAAATAACCAGCTAACATCATAATGACAGGATCAAATTCACACATAACAATATTAACCTTAAATGTAAATGGGCTAAATGCTCCAATTAAAAGACACAGACTGGCAAATTGGATAAAGAGTCAAGACCCATCAGTGTGCTGTATTCAGGAAACTCATCTCACATGCAGAGACACACATAGGCTCAAAATAAAGGGATGGAGGAAGATCTACCAAGCAAATGGAAAACAAAAAGGCAGGGTTTGCAATCCTAGTCTCTGATAAAACAGACTTTAAACCAACAAAGATCAAAAGAGACAAAGAAGGCCATTACATAATGGTAAAGGGATCAATTCAACAAGAAGAGCTAACTATCCTAAATATATATGCACCCAATACAGGAGCACCCAGATTCATAAAGCAAGTCCTTAGAGACCTACAAAGAGACTTAGACTCCCACACAATAATAATGGGAGACTTTAACACCATACTGTCAACATTAGACAGATCAACGAGACAGAAAGTTAACAAGGATATCCAGGAATTGAACTCAGTTCTGCACCAAGCGGACCTAATAGACATCTACAGAACTCTCCACCCCAAATCAACAGAATATACATTCTTCTCAGCACTACACCACACCTATTCCAAAATTGATCACATAGTTGAAAGTAAAGCACTCCTCAGCAAATGTAAAAGAACAGAAATTATAACAAACTATCTCTCAGACCACAGTGCAATCAAACTAGAACTCAGGATTAAGAAACTCACTCAAAACCACTCGACTACATGGAAACTGAACAACCTGCTCCTGAATGACTACTGGGTACATAACGAAATGAAGGCAGAAATAAAGATGTTCTTTGAAACCAACAAGAACAAAGACGCAACATACCAGAATCTCTGGGACACATTCAAAGCAGTGTGTAGAGGGAAATTTATAGCACTAAATGCCCACAAGAGAAAGCAGGACGGATCTAAAATGGATACCCTAACATCACAATTAAAAGAACTAGAGAAGCAAGAGCAAACACATTCAAAAGCTAGCAGAAGGCAAGAAATAACTAAGATCAGAGCAGAACTGAAGGAAATAGAGACACAAAAAACCTTTCAAAAAATCAATGAACCCAGGAGCTGGTTTTTTGAAAAGATCAACAAAACCGATAGACCACTAGCAAGACTAATAAAGAAGAAAAGAGAGAAGAATCAAATAGATGCAATAAAAAATGATAAAGGGGATATCACCACCGATCCCGCAGAAATACAAACTACCATCAGAGAATACTATAAACACCTCTATACAAATAAACTAGAAAACCTAGAAGAAATGGATAAATTCCTCGACACATACACCCTCCCAAGACTAAACCAGGAAGAAGTTGAATCTCTGAATAGACCAATAACAGGAGCTGAAATTGAGGCAATAATTAATAGCTTACTGACCAAAAAAAGTCCAGGACCAGATGGATTCACAGCCAAATTCTACCAGAGGTACAAGGAGGAGCTGGTACCATTCCTTCTGAAACTATTCCAATCAATAGAAAAAGAGGGAATCCTCCCTAACTCATTTTATGAGGCCAGCATCATCCTGATACCAAAGCCTGGCAGAGACACAACAAAAAAAGAGAATTTTAGACCAATATCCCTGATGAACATCAATGCAAAAATCCTCAATAAAATACTGGCAAACCAAATCCAGCAGCACATCAAAAAGCTTGTCCACCATAATCAAGTGGGCTTCATCCCTGGGATGCAAGGCTGGTTCAACATATGCAAATCAATAAATGTAATCCAGCATATATACAGAACCAAAGACAAAAACCACATGATTACCTCAATAGATGCAGAAAAGGCCTTTGACAAAATTCAACAACCTTCATGCTAAAAACTCTCAATAAATTAGGTATTGATGGGATGTATCTCAAAATCATAAGAGCTATCTATGACAAACCCACAGCCAATATCATACTGAATGGGCAAGAACTGGAAGCATTCCCTTTGAAAACTGGCACAAGACAGGGATGCCCTCTCTCACCACTCCTATTCAACATAGTGTTGGAAGTTCTGGTCAGGGCAATCGGGAAGGAAAAGGAAATAAAGGGTATTCAATTAGGAAAAGAGGAAGTCAAATTGTCCCTGTTTGCAGATGACATGATTGTATATCTAGAAAACCCCATTGTCTCATTCCAAAATCTCCTTAAGCTGATAGGCAACTTCAGCAAAGTCTCAGGATACAAAATCAATGTGCAAAAATCACAGGCATTCTTATACACCAATAGCAGACAAACAGACAGCCAAATCATGAGTGAACTCCCATTCACAATTGCTTCAAAGAGAATAAAATACCTAGGAATCCTACTTACAAGGGATGTGAAGGACCTCTTCAAGGAGAACTACAAACCACTGCTCAATGAAATAAAAGAGGATACAAACAAATGGAAGAACATTACATGCTCATGGGTAGGAAGAATCAATATCATGAAAATGGCCATACTGCCCAAGGTAATTTATAGATTCAATGCCATCCCCATCAAGCTACCAATGACTTTCTTCACAGAATTGGAAAAAACTACTTTAAAGTTCATATGGAACCAAAAAAGAGCCCGCATCGCCAAGTCAATCCTAAGCCAAAAGAACAAAGCTGGAGGCATCATGCTACCTGACTTCAAACTATACTACAAGGCTACAGTAACCAAAACAGCATGGTACTGGTACCAAAACAGAGATACAGACCAATGGAACAGAACAGAGCCCTCAGAAATAATGCCACATATCTACAACTATCTGATCTTTGAAAAACCTGACAAAAACAAGAAATGGGGAAAGGATTCCCTATTTAATAAATGGTGCTGGGAAAACTGGCTAGCCATATGTAGAAAGCTGAAACTGGATCCCTTCCTTATACCTTATACAAAAATTAATTCAAGATGGATTAAAGACTTCAATGTTAGACCTAAAACCATAAAAACCCTAGAAGAAAACCTAGGCAATACCATTCAGGACATAGGCATGGGCAAGGACTTCATGTCTAAAACACCAAAAGCAATGGCAACAAAAGCCAAAATTGACAAATGGGATCAAATGAAACTAAAGAGCTTCTGCACAGCAAAAGAAACTACCATCAGAGTGAACAGGCAACCTAAAGAATGGGAGAAAAATTTTGCAATCTACTCATCTGTCCAAGGGCTAATACCTAGAATCTAAAATGAACTCAAACAAATTTACAGAAAAAAACAAACAACCCCATCAACAAGTGGGTGAAGGATATGAACAGACACTTCTCAAAAGAAGACATTTATGCAGCCAACAGACACATGAAAAAATGCTCAGCATCACCGGCCATCAGAGAAATGCAAATCAAAACCACAATGAGATACCATCTCACACAAGTTAGAATGGCGATCATCAAAAACTCAGGAAGCAACAGGTGCTGGAGAGGATGTGGAGAAATAGGAACACTTTGACACTGTTGGTGGGACTGTAAACTAGTTCAACCATTGTGGAAGTCAGTGTGGCGATTCCTCAGGGATCTAGACCTAGAAATACCATCTGACCCAGCCATCCCATTATTGGGTATATACCCAAAGTATTATAAATCATGCTGCTATAAAGACACATGCACACGTATGTTTATTGCGGCACTTTTCACAATAGCAATGACTTGGAACCAACCCAAATGTCCAACAATGATAGACTGGATTAAGAAAATGTGGCACATATACACCATGGAATACTAGGCAGCCATAAAAAGAAAATGAGTTCATGTCCTTTGTAGGGACATGGATGAAGCTAGAAACCATCATTCTCAGCAAACTATCGCAAGGACAAAAAACCAAACACCGCATGTTCTCACTCATAGGTGGGAACTGAACAATGAGAACACTTGGACACAGGAAGGGGAACATCACACACCGGGGCCTGTTGTGGGGTGGGGGGTGAGGGGAGGGATAGCATTAGGGGATATACCTAATGCTAAATGACGAGTTAATGGGTACAGCACACCAACATGGCACATGTATACATATGTAACAAACCTGCTCGTTGTGCACATGTACCCTAAAACTTAAAGTATAATAATAAAAAAAAGATCATTCTAAAATTTATACAAGCCCTTAGAACAGTTAAAAATATCTTACCAAAAGAAGAATAAAGTTGGAGGAATCACTCTACCTAATATAAAGTCTTACTACATAGCTACAGTAATTATGACAGTGTTATATTGGCAGAGGGATAAATACATCAATGGCACAAAGAATAGATAGAGAAACTGGAAGTAGACCCAAAACAATATGGTTAACTGACTTACGAAAAAATTTCAGAAGCCATTCAATCGAGGAAGGATAGGGTGGTATTGTTGTTTTTTGTTTTAACAAATTGTGCTGGATAAATTGGACATACCTATGGAAAAAAAAATGAAGTTTGACTTAAACATCATACTTTACACAAATATTAACTCAAAATGGAGCATGGGCATAAATCTAAAACTTCAAACTGTAAAACATTTAGAAAAAAATAGGAAAAAAATCATCAGGATCTAGTGTTAGTGGAAGAGTTCTAAATGTGATCCATAAAACAAAAACAAATAAACTGGACTACATCAAAACTAAAAAATTCTACTCTGTGAAAGACCTAATTAAGAGGACAAAAGACAAGCTACAGGCTGGAGACAATATATTTAATCCACGTATCTATGAAAGGACTCATATCTAGAATATATAAACAACCTTAAGAATCTGACAGTAAAAAAAAAAAATCAGACTAACTGGACCACTCATACATTGCTGATGGAAATGTAAAGTGGTACAGCCATTTTGGTAAACATCATTGCTCTCTGACAAAGATACGGTGGGTCCCACTGATGAACTGTGCTGCCACAGTAAATGTAGCCACTATGCCTATCTCCATTCTGAAGATGTGTCACTTCCTGTTTCAGACTCAAATCAGCCACAGTGGCAGAAGCCCACGAAATCAGAGGTGAAATTTAATAATGACCACTGCCCATTCTCTTCACTTGTCCCAAGAGGCCATTGGAAATAGTCCAAAGACCCATTGAGGGAGATGGACATTATTTCCCAGAAGTAAATACAGCTCAGCTTGTACTTTGGTACAACTAATCGACCTTACCACTTTCACAATCTGCTAGCAAAGGTTATGCAGCGCGTGAACATGATCATGGCAGAATCACCAGGCCTCATCACCATCTGCCTTTTAGGATATCTACTCAGTGCTGAATGTACAGGTTTGTTTCCTTTTTTAAAATACATTGAGTATGCTTGCCTTTTAGATATAGAAATATCTGATGCTGTCTTCTTCACTAAATTTTGATTACATGATTTGACAGCAATATTGAAGAGTCTAACAGCCAGCACGCAGGTTGGTAAGTACTGGTTCTTTGTTAGCTAGGTTTTCTTCTTCTTCATTTTTAAAACTAAATAGATCGACAATGCTTATGATGCATTTATGTTTAATAAACACTGTTCAGTTCATGATTTGGTCATGTAATTCCTGTTAGAAAACATTCATCTCCTTGGTTTAAAAAAATTAAAAGTGGGAAAACAAAGAAATAGCAGAATATAGTGAAAAAAAATAACCACATTATTTTTGTTTGGACTTACCACTTTGAAATCAAAATGGGAAACAAAAGCACAAACAATGGCCTTATTTACACAAAAAGTCTGATTTTAAGATATATGACATTTCAAGGTTTCAGAAGTATGTAATGAGGTGTGTCTCTAATTTTTTAAATTATATATCTTCAATTTAAAGTTTTAGTTAAAACATAAAGATTAACCTTTCATTAGCAAGCTGTTAGTTATCACCAAAGCTTTTCATGGATTAGGAAAAAATCATTTTGTCTCTATGTCAAACATCTTGGAGTTGATATTTGGGGAAACACAATACTCAGTTGAGTTCCCTAGGGGAGAAAAGCAAGCTTAAGAATTGACATAAAGAGTAGGAAGTTAGCTAATGCAACATATATCACTTTGTTTTTTCACAACTACAGTGACTTTATGTATTTCCCAGAGGAAGGCATACAGGGAAGAAATTATCCCATTTGGACAAACAGCATGTTCTCACAGGAAGCATTTATCACACTTACTTGTCAACTTTCTAGAATCAAATCTAGTAGCTGACAGTACCAGGATCAGGGGTGCCAACCCTAAGCACCCCCAGAAAGCTGACTGGCCCTGTGGTTCCCACTCCAGACATGATGTCAGCTGTGAAATCAGACTGAAATGCTGAAATAACGATAAAAAAAAATACAGAGGTTAAACTAGCAAAGTGAGTAAAGTCAAGGGATAAAGAAAATTTGTTGGAAAACTCACAAAGCAGGACATAAAGCAAGGCCATTAGATATATCTCATTAGTGTGACATCTGGGAGGACAAAGCATCCAAACCCTTTCTTCTATATAAGTGGTGAGATGATGAAGGTTGTAAGAGGGCTTCTGCCCCCTTGAAGACTTCAGATGCTGGGGAAAGGATAGATAAGAATAAGGATGAACCAGGCTTTTGGAGCCTGGGAAATAATGACTAGCGATAAACCTGAAGGGAAGTTAAGTATACGATCCCCAGATAATACTAAGGAGAAAGGCAATGTGATTCTGCAGCCATTGTAGCCAGAGATAATAAGCCCTTGAGGAAGGGGCCAGGGGAATTTTTCTAAGGATAGACAGTATTAATGCAGCACTCTCTTCTGCTATTAAACTCTCATTGGCTTCTAAAAGGAGTTTCGGTGAGTGATTTGCTGAGATGTTGCATTTTCATGGCTGCTGCCTTTAGGTATTATTGCAACAGTTTGGAATTTTGAAATTAAAACAGTTCTGTAAAACCAGTTTAGTTTTGTAAAGTGTATGCATCAAAGATGTCCTTCATTCAGACATTACTGAGTTACAACTATGGTGCCAGGTACTGTGTCAGGGTACTAGGGGTATGGG
This sequence comes from Homo sapiens, assembly GCF_000001405.40. Taxonomy (NCBI): domain Eukaryota; kingdom Metazoa; phylum Chordata; class Mammalia; order Primates; family Hominidae; genus Homo; species Homo sapiens. The sequence goes on from NC_000023.11 coordinate 139,532,550, forward strand.
GATAAACCAGACTCCCTCTTTGATCTAAAGCAGCATGAGGCCAGGTGAGAGGTTTCAATATAATGTGATAAAATGTGCACTAGGTACTAAGGGATCATAGAGAAAGGAACACATTAAATGGGGAAACAATTGATAGAGAGAGAATATTTTCATCTGGGTCTTAAAAGATGAGTAGGCGTTCTCTCTCTTTAAATGTCTGATATAAGGGCATTTTATGCAAAGAGGATCACTCGTGCAAAGACTCAGATTTGCAAGAACGTGAGGTATTTCAGGAGTTTTGTATGGTTCCATATGGACTATGACAAGTGAGACAGGTAAACTAGGCAGAGCTGGTCATCAGATAATGAAGTCATTAACCTAAGGAGATTGGACAATAAAATGCAATATGGAGGTATCGAAGTATAAACATAAGGAGTACCACTGATGGCTGATTTAGGATGCCCAGTCTGGCAACACGCTAATGAAATGATAGTGGGGGAGGGGGCCGTACCAAGACTAGGAGAGAGCAGTCCTGAGACTATTGCAATTATCTGCGGGAGACATAAAGGCTAGAACCTGAACAGTAGCAGTACAAAAAAAGAGGGGAGTTCAAATGATATTAAGGAAGTAGAAGTGGTATGACTTAACCATCTGGGTATGGAAGGGGAAATGGCTAGAGTCTTGGGGACTTTGTGTTTGATGTGATTATGGACCACAGAATAATGTCTAAGAGAACTGGCTCTTTAGTCTGACTGCCAGAGTCTGAATCCTGAATGTTTTAGTATGTTACCTTGGGCAAAGCCCTTAGCCTCTATGAATCTATCTTCCTCATTCATAAAAATAAGATGACAGTGCCTATCTCGTGGGACTTTTGTGAGGATGAAGTGAGATAATGGATGCAAAGTTACTGAGCACAGTGTCCAACACAGCAGAAGCATTACATATACATTAGCTATTACTGGCTACATTATGATATACAGTTAGGGAGTTGGAAAGATAATCTGAAATTCAGGAGACGTATCTGACTATAGGTGAGTATTTGGAACTCATTGTTCTGTAAACAGTAGTTACAGCCACGTGTGTGGGCATCTGGAGAGTGAGCATGGATATTGTGATACCTAGTACAGTGCCTGGCAGTAGTGGTTGTATGCTCAGTAAATTTTGTTGACAGGGTCAGGGCCGGACTAGACTGTGGTAAGCAAGGCCTGTAGGGCATAAATATACTTGTATGCCCCGAGAAGTGAGGACCTCTTAAATATTGTGCCCTACATGCCTTGTTTGGTTCACTCTTGTCCCAGCCCTAGCAAGTATATATAAGGTGAAAAAGGAAAAAGCTGAGGCTGGAGCCTGGGAGAACCCTGGACATTTAAGGGCCATGGAGAGGAACAGGAGTTAATCAATTCAAGTGCTGGATGGATAACAGGAGTTAGAGCAAAGCGGGGAACCAGAATAGAGTGATTATTATAAAAAGAGTTTCCTAAAAAGGGAGAGATCAACAATTAGAAATTATTTAGAGCAGCCAGTAAATACATAAACTCAAAATTATTCTTTAGGTCATTCCTGATTGTGACAATAGTCATTTCATTATATAAATGTGATTAAGGAAGGAAAAGAGCTACACAGAAGTTATTAAAGAGCTAAAGAGAATTGAGAAATTTAAAACAGAAGAAAGTAGGGCCAACATGAAAGGAGTAGGGAGAAAAAGAGATAACCAGCATATTGTCTCACTGATCCTGCCAACACCTGTGAGATAGATATTCTTATTATACTACTGTTAAACCTAATTTACATTTGACAAAGTTAAGGTTCAGAGCTTGTGTGACTTGTCCAAGGTCACAGGTCTAGAGGAGGCAGATACTTGATTCAAACCTATTTCTGTCTGATCTGATTCTAAAGTCTGTTTTTTCACTCAACCACACTGTACAGTCAGCTCTCCTTGTGAGTTCCACAGCCACAGATTCAATTAACTGCAGATCAAAAATATTCAAGAAAAAAATGGATGGTTGCATCTCTACTGAACATGTACAGACTCTTTTATCTTTCATTATTCCCTAAACAATACAGCATAACAACTATTTACATAGCATTTACATTGTATTAGCTATTAAGAGAAACCTAGAGATGATTTAAAGTACAAAGGAGGATGTGTTTAGGTTATATGCAAATAGTAAGCCATTTTTATATCGGAGACTTGAGCATCCACAGATCTTGATATTTGCAGGGGGTCTTGCCACCAATTTTCCATGGATACTGAGGAACGACTGTAAATGGATGCAGGCATGGATGCTATTTAGGAGTGTCCAGGGCCAAGTAAATGAGTTGCTGAGCAGAGAGGTGGGTGGAGGCTGTGAGGCATCAATATGTGGTGGCATCCATCTGCATTTTGGTGATTTTTTTCCTTCACAGTCCTCGGCTGTCTGGGAAGAGAAGGATGAAGGCAGATGGCTGCTCCAATTTAGGGGCTAGGATTGCAGGGTGGGCACAGCATTGCAAACGAGTGAAGGAAATTGAGAAATATGGCCAATGAAGAGTTGAAGAGAGGCCTGGCATGGTGGCTCACACCTATAATCCCAGCACTTTCAGAGGCCCAGGCAGGCAGATCACTTGAGGTCAGGAGTTCGACACCAGCCTGGCCAACAAGGTGAAATGGTGAAACCCCGGCTTTACTAAAAATACAAAAATTAGCTGGGCATGGTGGCGGGTGCCTGTAATCCCAGCTACTTGGGAGGCTGAGGCAGGAGAATAGCTTGAACCTGGGAGATGGAGGTTGCAGTGAGCTGAGATCGCACCACTGCACTCCAGCCTGGGCGACAGAGCAAGACTCTGTCAAAAAAAAAAGAGTTGAAGAGAAAAAGTCTAGGCTAAATTCAAAGAAAAAAAGTGAGCCCAAAAGGAACTTGCAGAGCAAGGGAAAAGCAGGGATGTCAAGGGACTAGAACACTCCATAAAGTGAACAGCTGCAATGAAAATAAGGGAAGAAAGTTTAGTTCATCTCCGTTTCTTTCCTTTCCTTTTTACTTTCCTTTCTCTTCCTTTTTGGAGTTAATCAGGAAGTAGTCCCAAATACCCCAGAAAGTTCATCTTATAAGCCCTTGGTCCTCTTGAGATGGTATCAGATATATTGCTAGACCCTTGAAGAAAGGAACAACTCCAGGCAACTTCTTGAGTCCCTGTTATTAATTTTATACATACACACACATATATGTATATACATGAAAACACACAAACACATGTGTGTGTATACAGCCATGCATTCCTTAACAATGGGGATATATTCTGAGAAATGTGTCATTAAGCAATTTCATCATTGTGCGAACATAATAGAGTGTACTTACCTAAACCTAAATGGTATAGCTTACTACATACCTAGGTTGTATTGATGTGGCCTATTGCTCCTAGGCTCCTGGGCTGCAAACCTGTACAGCATGTGACTGTACTGAACACTGTAGGCAATGGTAACAGTGGTATTTGTGTATCTAAACATAGAAAAGGTACAGTGAAAATACAGTATTATAACCTTATGGGACCACTGTCGTATAATGTGGTCCATCATTGACCAAAATGTCATTGTGCAGCAAATGATTATCTCATATATATATATATATGATATGATATATATGATATATATGTGTGTGTATATATGTATACATATATATGTGTACATATATGTATACATATATACACACACATATATATGTACACACATATATGTATATATATGTACACACATATATGTATATATATATGTACACACACACACATAGAGAGAGAGAGAGAGGAGAGGAGAGGAAGGAGGGAGGGAAGGAGAAATATGATTCAGATAGAGACATCTATCCTCCAGAGTTCAGGAGTGTCTCTTCAGACTAGGTAGATGTAGCTTAAAAAAAACATATCCTGAATTCTAGAGAGATGCTTAAATCACTGCAATTCCTATAACACTTGCCAACCAAAGGTGCTGTTGATCTGAAATTGCTTTTTTAAATTAATGCAGTGATTTTTCTTTAACATCTAGTGACAGACACTGGGGTCACATTTGCAGCTGGACCATAATTAGGCTTCTGTTCTTCAGGAGACATTTGTTCAAAGTCATTTGGGCAACCATATTCTGAAAACAGCCCAGCCAGGGTGATGGATCACTTTGCAAAGATCCTCAATGAGCTATTTTCAAGTGATGACAAAGTGTGAAGTTAACCGCTCATTTGAGAACTTTCTTTTTCATCCAAAGTAAATTCAAATATGATTAGAAATCTGACCTTTTATTACTGGAATTCTCTTGACTAAAAGTAAAATTGAATTTTAATTCCTAAATCTCCATGTGTATACAGTACTGTGGGAACATCACAGATTTTGGCTCCATGCCCTAAAGAGAAATTGGCTTTCAGATTATTTGGATTAAAAACAAAGACTTTCTTAAGAGATGTAAAATTTTCATGATGTTTTCTTTTTTGCTAAAACTAAAGAATTATTCTTTTACATTTCAGTTTTTCTTGATCATGAAAACGCCAACAAAATTCTGAATCGGCCAAAGAGGTATAATTCAGGTAAATTGGAAGAGTTTGTTCAAGGGAACCTTGAGAGAGAATGTATGGAAGAAAAGTGTAGTTTTGAAGAAGCACGAGAAGTTTTTGAAAACACTGAAAGAACAGTGAGTATTTCCACATAATACCCTTCAGATGCAGAGCATAGAATAGAAAATCTTTAAAAAGACACTTCTCTTTAAAATTTTAAAGCATCCATATATATTTATGTATGTTAAATGTTATAAAAGATAGGAAATCAATACCAAAACACTTTAGATATTACCGTTAATTTGTCTTCTTTTATTCTTTATAGACTGAATTTTGGAAGCAGTATGTTGGTAAGCAATTCATTTTATCCTCTAGCTAATATATGAAACATATGAGAATTATGTGGGTTTTTTCTCTGCATAAATAGATAATATATTAAACTTTGTCAAAAGGACTCAGAAAGATCAGTCCAACCCTCTAACCCATATTGAATGGTGATATACTACAGGGTTATGCCAGTGTGGGAACTATCGCTGGTAAATAAGTTTAATCCTCCCTAGGGCTTCACAAAGAACATTGTTCCACCCCAGGAGGGTGGAAGGAAGAAACTGAAATGATTGTGTCTTAGAACCTAATGAAAGTTTGCATTCCTCAGTAAAATCAGAGACTGCTGATTGACTTAAATGTTTATAGCTTCAAAGTCCTCCTCATTATCATGGCCCACAAGCCCTTCCATGATTGTCCTTCCCCACCCTCCCCATTACCCTTCTTGCCTCCTCTGCTACTTCTCTCCTCGCACACTGGGCTCCAGCCACCCTGGCCTTCCTGTCACTTCTTGCACACTCTAGGAATGCTCCCACTTTGGAGGCTTTATCTGGCTGTTTCTCTTATTTGGCTGTTCCCAACTTCCTGTGGGCTGACTCCCTCACCTCCTTCGGGTCTTTGCCCAAATGTTACCATCTTAATGAGGCCTACCTTCACCATCTATTAATACTTCAACCTGCCCCAGTAGCCTTACCACTCTAGACACCTGTACAGAACTCCACTCTACTTTTTAACAGAGCTTTTCACCATCTAATGTATCATATAATTTCTTACTCATACTATTTATCATTTATTTTCTCCTACTCCACTAAAATGCAAGTTTCATGTTGGCAGGGATATTCAATTGTTTTGTTTATTGATATATTCCTAGCACCTAGAACAGTATCTGGAAAAGAGGTACTCAGTAAATATTTATCAAATGAATTGACCAAAAGAAGGAAAACTCAAAACTTTAATGACAACTAACTTTAAAGCTACAATAACTTAAAATTCAGCAGTAGGATTTTGAGGGAGGGTAAGTTTCAAAGATTGACTTACCTAAGACTATCTGCATAAATAAAAAGAAATTAATCCAGACAACAAATTCACCAACTTCCATCAATTGGAAATCCAATTCTATTTTCTACAGTTTATGTTCTGGAGACACTACTGGACACTCTTTTACTCTCATAACTCATAACTCCTCCACTTTTGTTTTTAAATCATGAGAGAAAAAGAGTTGACTCTGTTATATTGTTTTATCTACCTTTCCTTGATCTTAGAAACGAATACTACCATACCAGCTTCTACTGAGGTGCCCCCTAAAGTTAGTCCAAATAGGTCTTTGCAATCTCCATTCCCGCAGAATTTAGAACTTTGAATCACATGATTTATTTCTAAAAGTAAATCCATGCCGATTTTCCCCACCAAAAAATTCCTGACTATTAAACTCCTACAATCCCTTCATTGCTCACTCCCCACCCCCAGGATCATATTTTAAAGTTGGGCCCTTGCCTTTTGGGTCACATAGGTACACTGTTTGCTATACCACAGGTATAGCTATCTGGAAAACATGGAGGGTATTATTCTGTTACTACTGCTTCGTCAACCAAAAAATAAAACAAAACAAGAACAAAAAAGAAACAAACTCCCTGCCTCTTTTCACTTGCAGTCAAGGTTCCTAACCACTACAAAATTAGCCTATGTTTCTTCTTGCACATAGTAGAAACCCAAGCTTCTCACTGCTGTGCTATTCTGTACCATCAACTCATCACATAAAGAGCCTGGTTGAAGAATGATTGTCCAACCACATTACTAGCATCTGTCAAGACTTTCCAGTTTACAAAAGGCCTATCACATTTAACCCTCACACCATCCTTGTGACCAAAGCATTATTAACTCCATTTTACAGGAGAGTAAACTGAAGCTTAGGGAAGTTAAAAGAACTGCCAAAGGTCTCCCAGTTGGGGAGTCATGAAGCCCAGAAGAGAAGCCAAATTCTCTGCTGCTCAACCCCTTGCTTTCACTATTACACCTCAGGGCCTTCAAATCTAAATGCAGTTATTCATTAAACAGGAACCTGGTAGTCTTAAACAGGAATCTCTCACTTGGTAAGATCTTGTCTCTTGTTGTATTTGACCCCAACTGTCTATGGCTTTGCCTGAACCCAAAGTACACACAGCCTAGAAACCAAAGGAGAACCAAATGTGGGATAAAATGACACTCATTTTAACGACATGTCTCAGCAAATGAGTTCCTGTGTAGCTGGCTGAAAGCCCAGACCCTTTCAGTAAAACATCCTGAATAATTCACATTTGTTGGTCTATAATATAAAGGGCAAATGTAGCTCATTTTTAGACCAGTTCTGAACATCAATAGTAACAAACCAGAGATAACCGATTTTGTTTTCATAGAATTGGAACAAATTAGAGTATCTGTGCAAAAGCATATCAGATCTAGGAGCAGAGGGGACAAGGTCTAATTTTTAAATAAGCAAATTTTCCAGGGAGGGACTACTTATGATAAAGGGATATTAGTCTCTTAGTCAACGGAACCTGGATACACGCTTCTGACAGAGAAGAGGGAGAATAGGCAGGAATCTACACACCAGATGTCAAGGAGATTTGCTTTAAAATACGACTGATAATTAGAAATTTCTCAGTTTCCCCCTTTTCCCTCATTCTTTGATTCTTATTGTTATCTTTATCTCTTACTCCTTTGTTTCTCATATATTGAGTCTTACAGATCAAGCTCCTATTTTTTTCTTCAGGGGTATTTTTCTAGTTCAAAGTGCCTACCATCTCCCTTCTGGTTCTATTCATCCTTCTCTCCCAAAGCTCCTTTAGAAGTGTGGATTAAGGCAGAGCACTAAGAAACCAGACTTAAAGATTCCCTTCTCATTCTGACTTTTCTCCTTTCACCTATTCCTTCCTCCTGTTTTCTTACCATCAGTGTCTTCAAAGGCTTTCAAGTACACGGTAAATGCAGAAACTTCAAGAAAGGCAGAATGGAAACATAACCAATGCATACATAAATAAAGCACACTGTAGAATCTTTTTAAATTCTGTATGATATATCGAATGCTGTCTCTCACATTACCTAGACCATTTGAAACCGAATTTGTAAAACATAGACTATCTTTAAGTAGTAACAGATGCTTCTGACATGTTTTCTATTGTCTTGAACCATTACTGCATATGATACATCAAAGTTAAGTGACAATACAAGAAAGCAGATTCATTTGCTCCCTGCCTAGGCCGTCAGTTCCTAAAGTGGAAACGCCATATATTATCTAGCTCAGTTTGCTCTACAAGACCTGCAATAGAGCCTTGTGTGACATAGAGATAATATTTGTTGAAGCAATTAAATTTGACTTGGAATTAACTCTGCCATCATTCTATAAGGAAGGATTGAAAATCCTTCTCACCCTGTGCTGATATAGTACCTTTCTATACAAAAACGTCCTTCTCCCTCTTCCCTTGGATTGCATAAACTATGTACATGCCTTCCTCAGGGCACTTTTCTAGGACAGTGTCAGCCTAAGGATCTTTGTTTGGGTGGCTTTTAGAAACTCAGGAAGACAGGAGCATCATATGCCTATAGGCAGCTGGCTTCCAGGTCAGTAGTTTTGCTCTGACCCTAAAATCAGACTCCCATCCCAATGAGTATCTACAGGGGAGGACCGGGCATTCTAAGCAGTTTACGTGCCAATTCAATTTCTTAACCTATCTCAAAGATGGAGATCAGTGTGAGTCCAATCCATGTTTAAATGGCGGCAGTTGCAAGGATGACATTAATTCCTATGAATGTTGGTGTCCCTTTGGATTTGAAGGAAAGAACTGTGAATTAGGTAAGTAACTATTTTTTGAATACTCATGGTTCAAAGTTTCCCTCTGAAACAAGTTGAAACTGGAAAATGCAATATTGGTGTATCATAATTTTTCTTAAAAACATACCTTTGATGCTTATAAACATTTCATTTGTAGTGATAGTTTTCAGGATATGAGTTCAAGAAGCTACATTAAAATCAATAACAATATTTGGTAACTAATATTAAGTAATAATGATGTTCCACTCACTTATTAATCTTTAATACAACCGTATGTGGTTAGTACTATCATTATGCGCATTCTATGCAGATGAGAAAACCGCAACTCCAACGGCCAAAAATTACAGAGGCATAAATGGTTTAGACAGGACTTAAACTTCAGTGTGACCAAAACCCATGCTTCTAACTACTATATTCAAAACTCAGAGAAAACTGAACCCAGAAAATTGAAATCATGACTAAATTGCTATCAACATAGGTAGTGAAAGTCAATTAAGTACAGAACTGGAGTATGACTGGCCAATTATCCCATATAATGGGAATTCTCCACATGTACAAACCACTTCATATGCTAAACTTGTTGACAACATTCAAAGCTCATCCCTGAATTTGACTATATTGATTACATCAAAAATGTTACATAGCAACCTTAGAATCCTTGTGTACCTTTTCTTCTCAAAGCCTAGATTATTTCTTTTTCCGACGTTTCAGTAATTGGAGCAGTAAACCCCAGTGTCCCTTACCTACTTGTTTATTACCTCCAGATGCAATATTACTGGTACTGTGATTGAGAAACGCACACAGTGCTAATGAGGAATTCACTTTCTACTCTGACACTCTGGAAGAATAGAGATGCAATCCTAAGGAAGAATTTAACACCACAGGCTACATGACTAAGGATAAAGAGTAGAAAATTAGCAGGACTCTATTAAGGCATTACAGCAATCCACCTGACAGATGAAAAAGGCATGAAATGAAATGAAATGTAGCAGCTACACTCGTCCTATTGAGAAAGGAAAAAAGTCACCTGTAATGTTGTTCAGAAATCCTTTCAGTACTAAAAAATTCATTGACCATCTTCCTTTAGTCTCGAAAATTTCTTAGAAGGTAAAAAAAGGAAAAGGTGACAGGGCAAAGACATTTGAAAAGAAAGAAAAGAGTGAATGAACTTGCACACCTGGCTTGGACTCCCATTCCCTTAGGTTTCCATTGTGGGGGACAAACTAATGCCTGGGTTACCTTTCTTGAGAGTGTGTTAATTGATTCAATATCTCTGAAGTGCTACTTTCATCTGAAAGGTTATAATTTGAAATTCAGATTTACCTGGATAAATTTGATCTTGCTATTATGGAAACCTCTAGAAATCCTTGGAGTAGTTACTCATTATCAGCTTAAATAATATAGCCGGTGGAGCTGAGGGAATGAGTAACTCAATTAGTCTCAGTTACAACTGAAGGGCACATTGTTGTAAACTATAATTGAAAACATAAATATCTTTACCTAGTTTAAAAATAAAGATGCTTTAAAAGGAGGAAGGGAATAGCCCTGAGGAATGTAAATATAAGCACAAAACTTCTACAACAGAGTTTGCTACGTGTGTGGCTGTGTTCCACCCAGCAAAAATGCTAAGTCTACAACTGACACAACTTGGATACTCTCATGTTCCCACATTTTGGTTTGGTCAAGGCTGTGCAGTTGTACTGCAGCCACCACCACTCCTGGCCTCTACAGTATATTGATCTGACCCACCAATCTGATCAAGGTTTAGAAAAATATTTTCAGCCCAGTTAGCTCACAAACAAAATGAGAATTCCCACAAATTGCTCTTTATCTCAGACAACAGAGGAAAGCTACAGCAAAAGCATAAACAAATTACCATTTAAGTTTGTTGCTTCAAATTAAAGACTAATTGCAACAGCTACTAGATAGCACAGTTTATGGGGCATCTCGGCCCCAAGTCTTTTGTCTTATAAGGTCTTGAAAAAAAGAAAGGAGATTTTCATCAATAAGAGTTTTTTGTTATCTTTTTCCCTTGTTCATCAGGCCCTTCACTGCGAGAGAGAGGTGTAAACGTTCAGGGCATGCATTCTAGTTAAAGAATATTAATTGGCTATTGGGTCCCTTTGGTTAGAATAAAGACCTCTGTATGATGTCCCTAGCTGTACATCAAACCCAAATATCTCTCAGATAAATGAAGGTCTGTAAGAATTTGGTCATTCCTGTCTCTTCTAAAGAGTAACAGAGGCATTTTCCCGCAGTAAAGTAGAATGGAAAGAAAACAAAAATCACAAGCCTATAAACACCTTCTTCAATTTTCCCAGCATGTCACAGACACTACTGTCTTATTTACTACGTATTTCTGAGGAGTAAAAAAAGGAAATATGTTGAGTTTAGCTGAAGCACAGCATATTTTGTGGTAAACTTGTTAAATAAAACATCTTTTGTCCAAGCTTTGGTTGTCACACAAGTGGATATATCAGGAAATATAAAGGCAGAATAAACTAAAGCAGAACATACTAACATTTGTAGTAGGCATGAAGGGAATTAGAAAGTGTTTGTGTTAACATGGAGGGAGGGAGAACAGATGCTTTGAGATGTTCTTCAACAGATATTCTAGGCACTGAGACCCCCTTCGGGACCAGAGAGAGCCCATATCCACCACAGTACCTGACACATAAATGCTCAGTAATTGATAAATGAGTCCCATTCTAACTGTTCCTTAGCCCTGCTCTATGGAACTCTCCCCTGGAATTCCTTGTGCCATTATTTTATTTCTGGAATCTTCAGCCTTTTAGCTGAGGGCAAAAGATTGCTGATTAGGAAGCAATATTTCCCACCTCCTGCGCAAAACAAGCCAAAGATCAACAGCAGCAGCAACATACTGAGCCCTAAAGGGCAATGACAAATGTGGAGAATGATACAGAGGTCTGGTTACTTCTTAGCCAATGACACAGAATCACAATTGAGAAAACACAGAGTTTATTCATTCCCATTGTGCATGCCCTGGACAAACCAAGCTGCACCTTTCGTAACTTATCACAATCTCATATTGACGGAACACTTTCTACAGGTAATGTTTGATTTGGCTGAACACTTTAGCATTGCTTCGTAGCAACAAAATGATAGCTAGTAACAGAAAAAGATCCAGGGATATTACCACTGTTAGTGAGGAGAAAGGCCTTTTAATTAATTAATTAATTAATTAATAGGACCAAGTGCCATCTTTTTGGATCATGCCCTTAGTGGATTATTGGTAGCAAAGGTTAAAGCTCAAGCTGGTTCCTTTGTCCCCCTGGCAACAGTTGATTTGCCTCCCTTTATCTCCTGAAGTATCCGTAAGGACTAAGAGCCAATTATTACATTTGGCTATGCTAGCATATGTAAAATAGAGTTTAAAAGTTTAGATTCATCACTCAAAAATTCATATTCTCCAAAACCATACAGTCACTCTGTTAGCCTGTGTTCCCCCAGAAAAAAAGTCACAAGCTTATTTATTAACATGTGCAATCCCAGGGGGCAAGAGAAAGGAACTGAAGAGTGAGGCAGAAAGGAAAAGAAAGCCAATAAGAGGATGAGTTATCAAACTACTCGTTTCTAACAGCAACTGATTGCTTAACTTCCTGGGACTGTCTCCAATAAGTCAAATTGGCCTCAGGTTAGTCCACCTGAGTGGGAAGAAGCGGTGAAAGAATTTGTCTGTCAGTATCTGTCTCTCATTGGTTAGAAGTTCGACTTATGGGGAATTAACTCCCTCACATTTCCTAGTTGGATATGCTTGGGTACCCAGAGGGTCATATGGCATCCATGCCTCAGCATGAACAGGGAAGCTTCAAGGCAAAAGACACATAGTGCAGCTATGAGCCAAGGCAATTCAAGGATACACCCATAGGAGGCTGGTTGACATCCACCCAGAGCTAATCACCACCATGCTGGAAAAAGACACAGGTGAAGCTGAGAAGAATGAAGGTGGTGCATAGGAGGTATCTAATACAGTCACTCATTTTCAAACTTTCCATGTTATGATTGCACTGACCACTGAGGATTTCTATTGAAAGTTTTACTGTTGTCAAACACGTACACAAGGGGAAAGGTGTCTTACATTGTTTATGTTCCTGTGCTGCTCTAGAAACAGAAATAGGCTCAAGAGCAGAGCCTGTTTTTCTTAATTCAGCAGGTCTAAGCTAACAAGTCCTGAAACATGGTACTTCCTGTTATTGGTATTGCATAGGAGAAACAAAGGGAAAGCACAGTAATTAGAAAATACAAAACAAGATGGCAGGAATAAGCCAAAAATATCAGGAAACACAATTATTGTGAATTGGGATTAAACTAATCTATTAATAATGACAACTTTCAGCTTGGAGTTAAAAATTTAATTGTATACTGTTAACGAAAGTGATACCTAAAATAAAATTACACTGGGAGGCCAAAATGAAGGGATGTGAAAAGAACTATCAGGTAAAAACTAACAAAAAGAAACTAGCAAAGCAATCTTAATATCAGACAAAATAGAATCCAAGAGGAAAATCATTTCAAAAGACAAGAGATTTTTTTTATTAATAAGGGGAATTGCATAGGAGAGTAAAGAAAATGTGGGCCACTGGAATGCTTAGCACTAATGACATATTGGTCTTTGGTCTTCAGTTACCTTACAGGACCCTATTTCATTCTCTTATGTTTGATATGTAACCACCTCAGCCAGCTTCAAGTTGCTTTTTGGCCCTAATGGACTTCCTAGCACTATAATTTCTTTTTTTTAAATGTTTTATTTTAGGTTTAGGGGTACATGTGAAGGTTTGTTACATAGATAAACATGTGTCACAGGGGTTTGTTGTACATATTATTACATGACGCAGATATTCAGCTCAGTACCAAATAGTGATCTTTTCTGCTCCTCTGCCTCATCCCACCCTCCTCCCTCAAGTAGACTCCAGTATCTGTTGTTTCCTTCTTTGTGTTTATAAGTTCTTAACACTTAGCTCCCGCTTACAAGTGAGAACCTGCAGTATTTGATTTTTGTTCCTACGCTAGTTTCCTAAGGATGATAGCCTCCAGCTCCATTCATATTCCCACAAAAGACATAATCTCCTTCTTTTCTATGGCTGCATAATATTCCATGGTATATATGAACCACATTTTCTTTATCCGGTCTGTCATTGATGGGCATTTAGGTTGATTCCATGTCTGCTATTCTAACACTGTAATTTCTAAAGACTTCCAGATTCTACTTTTATAGGTAACCTGTTAAACAGTCTAGCTCTGGAAGCCAAGCAATTTCTAGAATAACTAAGCAATAGAAATTACACTTCAATGCAGAAAGGCAGTATCTACATGAGATTATGAAATTGCGGTTGCTTTTTGTGTTCACTGAAAAAAATAAGTAAAACTGTAACTTTCAGAAAAAATGATTGTACATATAGAAAACCCAAAGCATCTAAACAATTAAAATAAATAAGTATAGAAAGATTACTGGATACAGAGTCAACATACAAATATCAATTGTATGTCTATATACCAGCAACGATTCAAAAATGATTTTTATAATAGCATTAAAAATTAGACGCTTAGTAATAAATGTGAGAAAGATGTGCAAGAACTCTACATAAAAAATTATGAGACGTTATTGAGAAAAATTAAGGAAAACCTAAATAAATGAATGAATAGGCAATGTTTATCAATTAAAGGATACAATATAGTAAATATATCAAATGTTTACTAATGGATTCAATGCAATACCAAAGTGCCCAGCAGGCTTTTTTTGGTGGTGGGAGGTCGGGCAGGATTCATAAGCTAATTATAAAATGCATATGGAAATGCAAAGAGCCAAGGATAGCCAAGACAGTTTTGAGGAAGAATAAACTTGTACTACTTACACTACCAGATGTCAAGACTTATTATCGAGTTACATTTATTAAGACAGTGTGGTACTGACACAAGGATAGACAAATAGATCAGTGAAACACACTAGAGTGCTCAGAAGCACACCTGTACATATATAAAGGCTTGATTTATGATAGAGGTGCCAGTGCAGTAGAGAAGGAAATTATTGGTGTTTTCAATAAAAAGTGATAGGTCAATTAGATATTCATATGGCATGAAGTATGAAACAATAACAATTTATATTCATAACTTGCAGAAAGCAAAAATTTCTTAAAATACAAAAAGTGATCACCATAAAGGAAAAGATTGATAAACTGGACTATATTAAAACTAAGGACTCCTGTTCAGCAAAAGACACTACTTCGACTGAAAAGACAAGTCACAGAGTGAGACAAGATATCTGCAATACAGATACCTAATAACTGAACCCCATACAGTGATGGTGGGAATTTAAGTTCGTACAATCATTTTAGAAAATTGCTTGGCAGTATCTACTAGATCTGAACATGTGATCCAGTAATTACACTCATAATTATAAGCCAGTAAAAAGGCATGTTTATGTCACCAAAAGATATATACAAGAATGTTCATTACACTATTATACATAAGAGCCAAAAACTGGAAACAAACCAAATATCCATTAACAGTAGAATGAATAAATAAAAGCTGTAATAGTAATACAGTGGAATACTACACAGCAATGTAAATGAACTACTGCTGTACAAAACAACATGGTTTAATCTCACAGACAAAATGTTAAATGAAAGACACAGACGAGTACATATTGCGAACTTCTGTTTATAATTCAAGAACTGGCAAGAACTGTTTACTGTGTTAGAAGTCCAGGTAATGGTAACCTATAAAAAGGAAAAAGGGTGGAATGATTGGGAGGGGGCATCTTCTGGGGTATTGATAATGTGCTATGTATTGGTCAGTTTAGTGTTTAAACAGGCTCATTTACTTTGTGAAAACTTACACTAAAATTGTGTGTATTTTTTGAATATATGTTATACATTAATAAATAGGGTTTTTAAACCTGTAGTTCATAATTTAGTGAAAGTAGAATATCCAAACATTTAGTTTTAAACCAATCAATTATAGTGCTACCATCATTTTTATGCATTATTGAGAAGTTTATTTTACCTTTCTTTCCACTCTTATTTCAAGGCTCCAAAATTTCTCTCCCCAACGTATATTGGGGGCAACATGAATGCCCCCAATGTATATTTGACCCATACATGAGTCAGTAGTTCCATGTACTTTTTAGAAATGCATGTTAAATGATGCTGTTACTGTCTATTTTGCTTCTTTTAGATGTAACATGTAACATTAAGAATGGCAGATGCGAGCAGTTTTGTAAAAATAGTGCTGATAACAAGGTGGTTTGCTCCTGTACTGAGGGATATCGACTTGCAGAAAACCAGAAGTCCTGTGAACCAGCAGGTCATAATCTGAATAAGATTTTTTAAAGAAAATCTGTATCTGAAACTTCAGCATTTTAACAAACCTACATAATTTTAATTCCTACTTGAATCTGCTTCCTTTTGAAATCATAGAAAATATCAGTAGCTTGAATTAGACCAATTAATTTTCTAGATTGCATCATATTTTAAATATAAACTATGTAATCATCTACAACCTGAATTCTTTCTGTGTCCAATTTGTCCAATTTTTTTCTCTAACATTTATATCACAAAGCAATTAATTTGTGTGATTTCTGCATATGTATTTGTAATTCATCAAGTCAAATCAATGTAGTAATACTATATCATAAAATATACACAAATAATTGAGTGATAGGCTTCTAGTATAAGGACGGTAAGTTTGAAGCATGATTCTATCTGGGCTGGCTAGTTTACTCTGAGAAAGTTATTTTTTATTGTTGGGTCTTAAGCTGAGTTTACACACTTGGTGTCAGAATGATTCCGGCAATGAACTGTTTTATGTTCTGCTAGGCTGATCAGCACAATCTATATGGCTGTGAACAAAACAATGTTTCCCAGTCATGCCAACCATGCCACCATTTTAACAGCTGATTAGTGTATTCAGAACATCTCCACTCCATGTTCGTATGGCTGTTATCTAAAGATGAAAGCAGTAGACACTTTTATTTTTTGAAAAATTTAGGCTCTGCAGGGTCAATTATATTTGATAAATGAGGGGCTTTTTTGAAGCAAACTAGATATAATTTCTTTTGCATTTCTAAAGCCTGATATCTTATTAATTGGTACATTAAATTGTGCACCATTTCTCTGTAACTGTTTCAGTACCTGTCTCAGCACTATACCAGGCAGAAGAAATTAAAGAAAGAACCAGTGCCGAGATCAGCTTGGTCAGGGAGACCCTAATCCTGCGGCACTAGAGGAATTAAAGACACACACACAGAAATATAGAGTATGGAGTGGGAAATCAGGGGTCTCACAGCCTTCAGAGCTGAGAGCCCCGAACAGAGATTTACCCACATATTTATTGACAGCAAGCCAGTCATAAGATTTACTGAAAGTATTCCTTATGGGAAATAAAGGGATGAGTCTGGCTAGTTATCTGCAGCAGGAACATGTCCTTAAGGCACAAATCACTTATGCAATTGTCTGTGGTTTAAGAACACCTTTAAGCAGTTTTCCGCCCTGGGTGGGCCAGGTGTTCCTTGCCCTCATTCTGGTAAACCCACAACCTTCCAGTGTGGATATCAAGGCCATCACGAGCATATCACAGTGCTGCAGAGATTTTGTTTATGGCCAGTTTTGGGGCCAGTTTATGGCCAGATTTGGAGGCCTGTTCCCAACAAACCAGAAGCTAGGAATATATATCCTGCAAATAAAATGAAGAATCTCTAAGGCTTCAGGGCCTGCCCACTTGTTCTTCTGCCTGGTTCTTCACATACACTGTCTCAAAGCTAGTCTACCTTGAGAGGAGCATGAATATGTGTGTGGGTGTGTGTCTGTGTATTTTAACCTTAAAAACCTAACTTCCAGTATAGACAGATGGCATACTAGCTAAACCCTTACAAGTTCTTCTATGCTATAAAAGAGAAACAGAATTGAGAACCACCTCCAACTATTAAGTGTTATATTTGAATATAGCCTTAGCTTTAGCAGAATAAGTAGGCCAAACTTAAAATAAGCTTTTCTGCCTTTTCAATGATAAAGGTCCCTTTTCTGTAGCCATTGTTGATTGTGTACACTTATACATAAGTATTTTGAACTAATTTCCTGTTTTCTCAACCACTTGCTGTCTTCATGATACTTTGTCGCAGCTGGTTGCTATAGAAATGTCTGTTACAAGGAATGTGGCTTGAAGGAAAGTGATAAATGAAAATGAAATGTGAAGTGACTTTGTTTGACTACAAATTCCCATTCTGGTAGTCCCCAGTGTATCAATACATTATTTTTCTTTAGAAAATAAACCAACCCAAGGAAAAATGGTGGGCAGGTCCTGGTGAATATGGCTGTGATAATTATATTAGCAATCTCTTTGGCTAATATTTGAAGCCCAAATAATTGAATCACAATGATCTCTCCCCAGAAAATATATAAAATGCACCTTGGAATCTAGAAGGCCTTTTAGTCTGCAAAAGAAACCTTCTTAATCATAAGCAGCAGAAGTCCCATTTACCAAATTGGAAAGTTAAAGTTACAAAGCATCAATCATAAGACTTCCATTCAGGGATGGCAATTGGGAGTAAGACTTTTTAGTAAAGAAACTAAACACAAAGTCATTAGACTCTGTAAAAGTCTTACCAAATTTGATTCTGGAACACCTATTCTATTTCCGTAAAGATGATGAATTCCGGAGCCAAATGTTCTTTTCATGAAGGATTTGAAAACTGTCCATGAAAATAACGCAATCAACCTTTTAGCTTGAGACTCTATTCACTGATTAGATTTTTTTAAATACTGATGGGCCTGCTTCTCAGAAGTGACAAGGATGGGCCTCAATCTCAATTTTTGTAATACATGTTCCATTTGCCAATGAGAAATATCAGGTTACTAATTTTTCTTCTATTTTTCTAGTGCCATTTCCATGTGGAAGAGTTTCTGTTTCACAAACTTCTAAGCTCACCCGTGCTGAGACTGTTTTTCCTGATGTGGACTATGTAAATTCTACTGAAGCTGAAACCATTTTGGATAACATCACTCAAAGCACCCAATCATTTAATGACTTCACTCGGGTTGTTGGTGGAGAAGATGCCAAACCAGGTCAATTCCCTTGGCAGGTACTTTATACTGATGGTGTGTCAAAACTGGAGCTCAGCTGGCAAGACACAGGCCAGGTGGGAGACTGAGGCTATTTTACTAGACAGACCTATTGGGATGTGAGAAGTATTTAGGCAAGTTTCAGCACTAACCAATGTGAGAAGGCCTCCAGAGATGAGCAGTTGGTGAAAGAGAGGCTCAAAACCAGCTACCATACAGGTCAAGAAGAATTTGGCATTAAGGAAACAGCATAGCAGGATTCCAGACAGGCAACTGGTCAACAACATGAAGGTCTGGAAGAAAGGTCGCAGGTACTCAGGTTCAGGGCACTACTTCAGCTTCAGCCCTTGCAAAAACTGGTGAGAGTTGGAAAGTCTTTAGGCTAAGAAAAATTGGATTATTTAAAAGGGGGTAAAGAAAGGGACTCAAGGAGGAAGGATTAAGGCAAGAACTAGGTTCCAAGAAACAGGGCATGAGAGAGAGTCTTGATCTACCACTATAGTTCTCGTGGTAGCATCAGAATCACCTGGGAACGTAGAAATGCAAATTCTCCTGCTCTACACTAGACCTACCAAATCAGAATATCTAGGGGGTGGGGCCCAGCAGTCTGTGCGCAAACAAGCACTGCAGGTGATTTTGATGCACATTATAGTTTGAAAACTAGGCCAGGTGCAGTGGCTCATGCCAATAATCCCAGCACTTTGGGAGACTGAGACGGGAGGATTGCTTAAACCCAGGAGTTTGAGACCAGCCTGGGCAACACGGCGAAACCCCACCTCTAATTAAAAAAAATACAAAAATTAGCTAGGTGTGATGGCTCCCACCTGTGCTCCCAGCTATTCAGGAGGCTGAGGTGGGAGAATCACCTGAGCCTGGAAAGTCGAGGCTGCAGTGAATTGTGATCACACCACTGCACTTCAGCCTGAGTGACAGAGTAAGACCCTATCTCAAAAAACAGAAAAAGAAAAACACTGGCCCAAAGGAAATGAACTTGTTACAGAAGCCGGGGTTCAAAACACCAAATAATGCACTTGTACCTAGTCCTTCCCGGGTGCTCTGCAGACATTTCTCCAAGCGTAGTCTGCAAACAACCTACATATGTAGAATTACCTATGCACATTTTTCATTTAACAACCAAGAGCTACATTTGTAGCAAAATCTGGGTTGTAACTTAGCCTACAGCTGAAGCCTAAGAGATTCCGTCTGTGAGAAGAAATAACCCACCTCTTTGGCCCCCCTCCCCAGGCAGGAAGCCAGGATGGTCCTTATATAAAGTTGTGCTGTCCAATAGGTAACCACTAGCCACATATGGCTATTTAAATTTAAATTAACTACAATTAAGAGAAATTAAAAATTCAATTCCTCAATTGCACCTGCCAAATTTTAAGCACATAACAACCACATGTGGCTAGTAACTACTGTATTGGAGAGTGCAAGCGGAGATAGAACACTCTATTACTGCAGAAATTTCTATTGGATAGCACTTATAATAGTTTAGTGTAACTTAAAACTCCCTAGTTGCCACAGTCATGATTTAGTAGTAATTTCATGGATTTCTCTACTGAGGTTAGAATCTCTGCCATTAGAGACTGATAAATTTAAAGTTTGCAATTATCAAACTGGTGACAATTTAAGCCAGAATCAGGTAAATGTCCTCAGTTTTAACAGCATTGGAATTTTCTGGGACTAGCTGTGTATCTATCCAGGATTCTTGAGAATGCCTGCCATTTTTCAACATAATGGATGTAAGGTATTACACATATACCTGGGGATGGGGTGGTAGGTATAATTGCACAAGCATTGTGGAGAATGGTATCAAAGAGTGGCAGAACATCACAATCAAGGTTTTCCCTTTCTTTTACCTTTGCTTTTTAAAAAGACAATATTTGCTGGACCTGATCTTATAACTCATAAATGGGACACTGTATGTTCCTTTTTACCTCCTCTGTTTCTACTTAATTGCACCCTATGAGGACTGCTTCCCTTACCTACCATAACCCCTTCCTTCACTCATCCATATCTTTACTCTTCTTCACAACTCTGTAATATTGACCTTCTTTATGAACCTTTCCTGGAACAATCCCTCTTAAGTGCAAGCACTGTTATTATGCCTTCAATGTATTTAATATCCATGTATCTATTCTCTCTAATTTTGTCATTTTGTGTTCTCATGTATTTTCATTCATTATGTGTCCAACTTCCATGGATAACATGGTTACAACAAAAGATCCTACTTTATGACAATTATCTTCCTTGGGTTTGTGGGACATAGAACAGTGCTCAGAGTAGGGGATCCAAGAACCCAGGAGAATATATTAGCTAAGAAGATAACTTCCGTTTTTAAAAGTCCAAGATTCAGGAGATCAAAACCATCCTGGCTAACATAGTGAAACCCCGTCTCTTCCAAAAATACAAAAAATTAGCCCGGCGTGGTGGCAGGCGCCTATAGTCCCAGCTACACGGGAGGCTGAGGCAGGAGAATGGCGTGAACCGGGGAGGCGGAGCTGGCAGTGAGCCGAGATCCCGCCACTGCACTCCAGCCTGGGCGACAGAGCGAGACTCCGTCTCAAAAAAAAAAAAAAAAAAAAAGTCCAAGATTAAAAAAAAAAAAAAAAAAGGATGTCTGCTTTGTGAGTTTAGCATTGTCTCCTTGTCATTCCAGAAATGAAATGGCAAATACATTTAAATCAGAACTAAAAAGGGGAACAGGGTATAAAGGCTCAATTTAGTCACATCATTTCCGTTTCTCACCCACCCCCTTTAAACCAGATGTTTGCCAATGCATTAACAATGCAGATGTTTCCTGAAAGAAAGTTTAGTAACTCAAGCAGACACCTTATTTTCTTTTCAAGCAGAAAAGACTATGAGATGGTGGTTGTGGTTGTTCCGGGAGGGAGAAGATATAAATGATACACATTATTTCAAATCATTTCATGACCTCACTGCACACTTATAGTTATTGTACCTGTTGTCTTTTTGCTGTCAAGCCTAGCTAAGATCATTTGGAATGTTCAAGATCACTCATACATGCATGTGCACACATACACATGCACATATGTTCACTCCCTATTTCATCCACATGAACTAAGATTACTGATGTGTACAGATTCAAAGCACTTTTATTCTTTTCCAAAGGCAAGAAGCTGAGCTACTTTCCAGAATAGTTGTGAAAGACCCTGTCATACTTCTGCATTGTTTCCTCCACACCACCTCCATCCAGTTCCTTATGAATGGTTACTGGTTTTCAAAAATATGAGATAAATTGAGTGTATAAAAGTCATTTTTAGACAAAATGAAACAGGAAATGAAAGAAACCAGAATCTCTCCTCATTTGTGGATGGGCCAGCTCCACCATGTCATGGTTAATCTGCAGGGAGGAAATACTAGATTTGATTGCAGATCAGACTGCAGCAAACCTGCTGTGACTAAGGCATCAAGAGAAAGCAAGCAACAGCTGGGGCTTCAGTGGTGAAAACATTATATATCTAGCTTTGAAATATGAAATACTGTTTAGCAGTGTCACCTAGAAAAGAGTGTTTCAAAATGCTGATGCTTCATAAGAACCTTTCTCTTCAGAGTTGTTTCTTTTATCTTTCAAATTAGCCAGGGTGGGAAATAAAGTGATCACTTGGTGAAGAAATCTCACAAAGAAGAACATAGAGAGTTCACTTTCATCTGGAGTAATGAACAGATTGAACAAACTAGAAATGGTTAGTCTGTTAAAGAAAAGGTGTAGGTGAGCTGTTTGCAAGAGCCACAAGGGAAAGGGGAAGACAACTTCTTTGTGGACTTAAGGGTGAAAGTTGCAAGCAGGCAAGACGATTCTGACCTCCATTAAGAAAGCCCTTTCCAACCAACAACCACTGGGTTGGTTACGCAGGTTGGGCAGCATTGGGAGCAAATGTTGATTGAACAAATGTTTGTCGGAATTGTTGACTTAAAGAGCTGTTCTGTCACTGGGGACAGCAGCGGCTAGATAGCCCCATTCAGGGAGAGGGCATTTGTTCACCTGGCCAGAGATCAGAGCAGGCTAAGGGACTGCTGGGATCCTGTCCAGCTTTGAGACCCTACAGAGCCATGTTCACCTAGCACGTATCCCGTCTGCGGTCACGCTCATTTCTTACCTTATTCCAGGGCTTTCACCTCAGCTTGCCAGGCTGGAGCCAAGGGCCAACGCAGCCGCGCCTTGTTCGCGATGGTAGCTTCCCAGGAGCCCCCTATGGTTCCGGAACGGCGCTGCCGGCCCCATCCTGTTTGCTACCTCCTAAAGCCAAAGGCACTGGCGGGCCGGGCCAGCTTCTAAAGTCGCGCAAGGTTAGAAGGTTCCGGACAGGAACGGCGTGAGGCCAATGGAAGGAGGTACTTCAGTTTCCCTCCAGATGCCCAGCGATGGGCTCAGAGCTCCTTGAGAACTCGGGAAAGGAAGCAGGGTCTCTGAAGAAATACTTCAGGAGTAGAAAGAGGAAGCTAGAGGGTTAAATGCACTACACAGGAACAGAAATGAGTTTTTCTTAGAGTTAGTATATGTCTAGAGGTGTAGTAAACTAAAACAAGTCTTGAATTGCATACCGCCACGTAGGGAAGAAATGAAAACCTTTGAATATTAGTGAAAAAAGGGAAACTGCAACGCCTGTATTACTAGATAGCTTTCATCAACAGCTCAAAACCGACAGATTTAAAGAAGCAACACCGCATTTTGGCTTTCTAAAGCTTTAATTTGGTTTGGATCCCATGCCCATGACCCTGCCAGCTGACAATTCTAAGCATGCGCAAACTGGCCCCAAAAATTCCTCCCACATTTCCGAAGAACTATTTGGCCCTTTATGTGAAGTACCTGGTTTTTCCATTTTCTGTTTTACCATAGGCCTCAGTTCGGTGTGTGGCGTATTTATTCTACATTTAACAATTTGAAGATCATTCTATTAGATTAAAAAAAAAGAATACAATGGAAGCCAAGTGATTAAGCTTTCCTTATGCTTATATTAAGTTGTAGCATATGCATTTACCGATAGTTAACCGTATTAACCTACAGAAAATGTCCAGGGAAATGGTCTATTTCTTATTCTATTTTTGACCTAAAGAAAATCTTTAAAATGTCTTAGCATTTTCCCCAGTCTCCATCCACTTTCCTCAGCTTTGGCCTGAAGCTATCTTTAAAGGTACCCTGTACAGCTCTTGCCCTGTACAGCTAGCTACAGAGATTCAATCCTTTCTGTTCGATTAGGACACATCTCAGTGGCAGATAACATGCAAAGTTATTATATGTATGAACCAGAACTTGTTTTTCCTTAGGGGCCAGGATGTTACACTAAGGTCTTAAGACTATAGTAATATCTTCACTTGAAAAAGCCCTCTATTATTCCTATCTCAGATGATAAAAATTCAATTAAGAGAAATAAGAACGTGACATGTGTAATCGCACCTGGCTCTACAAAGCTAGTCTGGACAGACATTTAAACAATTATCCTCTAAGATTATTTGATGAAATGCATTTCAATGACTAGTTAACCATTAAAAACCAAAGTGAGCATCCCATCTGTTCCCAGTCAAATGACCTAGAGCAAAGGACTAGGCAAACCACATCTGTGGGCATAGCAAGCTGTACATCACAAACAAATGAATTTGCTTTGTATATGAGTGAGAGCAAACACTCTTTATTGTACAACTTGGGTGGGTAAGTAGGGAGAATAATGGTTTTACTGAAATCGCAGGTAACGGTTACGTTGGAGTTAAAGGTTAGGAAGAAAACCAAAGGGTAAGAGCTGTTGTTCTGGGCTGGCATTGTCAATGAAGAGCATAAATTCAGATGTGAATGTATATTTTGTAGAAGCATGTGTGTTGTTGGTTTTTGTGTATGTGTGAGTCTGAAAGAGGGAAAACAGGCTCCCATTAGACTATGACTAACAAAAATGTTTGACAGATTATAACTCAGATGTCTTACTCAGAGCATATGCCTTCCCATTTTCCCCATTATTCCCCAACATGATGTCTTTAAGAACTTGTCCTTGACCGAGCAGACATCTCATACCCCAAATAGCTAATATTTTGATAGCTATGATCCTGAACGGCCAAACATTCCAAAACCAAGTAGTTTGTAATATCTTTAAATGCAAATATATTTTAGGCCTTTTCCTTGGCAAGGATGTTTGGTCAGGGGTTGGCAAAAATAATGCTCTTCAGACTTAAAAGAACACAACCATATTTCTTAGCCATCCACCAGAAAGTAGTAGAAGCTCCAGGAAGCAAGTCTTTGTCAGGAGTCAGACTAGCTACATCATAATCTCTCTGCCCAGGGGCTGTGGATGTCATCCATCCTGGCCTAACTAGCCTACTGAGCTGAGAGATGTCCAATTTCCCCCCAATACACTAACCAGAGGAGAAGGACCGTGATATCATTGCATGTGAATTCTTAATTCCAATTGCTTAAACAAATATGTTCAGTTGTAACTATCAATACCAGTATATAACAGTGTTGGCCAAGTTTTATTGATGCTGACAATCAATTGGAGTTACAGCCAGACACATGGTCTTATGACCGGCGTACTTACGCAGGGCTTTGCACTGAGACAGGTCGTGCATCTGAGGTTTACTGCTTTGCATTTTTGTTTTGTAACTGAAGTCTGATGAGACAGCCAGAGCATGTGCTACCTAGGGACTTGAATCCCTGCAGCCCCATTTCACTTCTCACCACCTTCCGGGGTGGTTTCTCGACCTCCCACTCCCCTACCACCTGGTGCCTTAGCCAGCCCTGGCTCTCCCTCCAAACACCTGCCCAATGAGCACTGCCACCCCATGGTGCCCAGACATGCTCTCCCTCCTCATCCCTACCTAGCTACCATTGCCACTCCCCTCCCCCAGCGGGGACATGGGCATAGGAGCAGGGAGAGTTAAGGTTGGTCAGGTGCACGTGCCCTATGCTATCTTGGAAGGGGGCTTGGCCATGTGGCATCTCTGGACCAAGAATGCGCCACAGCACATTTGGAGGGTGAATGGTGGGGGCACACCCCTTGTCCACCTCTATTTCAGGCATGGAACACATCCTGGCATGAAAGTTGCAGTCCCTTGGGAATCACCTCTCCACCTTGATTGCCACAGTAGGCCAGTGACAAGGGAAGATTGACACATCATCCCCTGCTGGGGCCCAGTGTCCTGTGGCTGGCAGGCAGGGGATCCTAAGGACATGTGGGTGTTAAATTGTAGGGTGCACTTCCTGGGCACCTTTGAGGGTCTGCACTGCCCCAGCAAATATCCCCATGCTAGAAGGAGCAAAATATTAAATGGCAAATTTTAAAAATGTAACAAGATGGGTTGCAAAAGAGACTACAGAGGAAAGCAAAAGTTTTGTATTTTAGTATCTTCCATGGCACTTTTCTTCCTAGCTTTTGAACAAGGGGCCCCACATTTTTATTTCTCACTGAGCCCCACAAAGTATGTAGCCATTCCTGCCCGGAGTGAGGACTTTTAAAACATAAAGATTATCAAGTCTTGGAAATTCTGATTCAGTAGATATATAACAGGTCTCAAACTTAATTATGTAAAGAATATTCTGGAGAGCTTCCTTTTACCCAGTCCCACCCACCAAATATTCTGATAAATTAAGCTTCGATTAGCCCCCAGATCTGCATTTTATAAGGATCCCCAGATGATTCTACTGCAATTGGTCCACAGACCATGCCTGGACCGAATTTGGGTGCTTAGGAGCACAAATTCTGGAGCCGGGCAGACTTGAGTTTGCTTCCTAGCTTTACCAACTGATCTCAGGGGAGTTAATGTTTACCTCTAAACTTTAGCTCATGCATCTATAAATAAATATATTAATATCATGTCATAAGGATATTATGTTGTATTAAATGTCTTTAAAACACCACAATGATTAGCCCAAAGTAAACACTCAATAAATGTTCAAAAATTTAGGAAAATTGTTAAGACTGGGTTGTATGCACACTGGTGTTTATTATATTATGTAGTTTTTTCTGTATTTTTACAACATTTCAGAATTAAAAGCAACAGCTAGAAAAAGAGGGAAATGGCCGGGTGCAGTGGCTCACGCCTGTAATCCCAGCACTTTGGGAGGCCAAGGCGGGCGGATCACGAGGTTGAGAGATCGAGACCATCCTGGCCAACATGGTGAAACCCCATCTCTACTAAAAATACAAAAATTAACTGGGCATGGTGGCATGCGCCTGTAGTCCCAGGAGAATTGCTTGAACCTGGGAGGCGGAGGTTGCAGTGAGCCAAGATCTCACCACTGCTCTCCAGCCTGGTGACAGGGCAAGACTCCGTCAAAAAAAAAAAAGAGAGGGAGAGCCAGAGTATGAAAAAGGAAGTCAGAGCCCTTTAATGAGTCAGCTTTGTAGGTCTCCAGGTAGGAGGCTAGTGCTTCAGTGTCTAGGACATAGTAGGTGTTCAGTAAATTAAATTCAGGACAAAAAGAACATGCCCCAAGGACCATCTGATATCCACTTAAAGTGATGGACTACCTCGTTTCCCTTGTTTATGAATGGGTTCATGCCTAAGACTGTGTGCACTTTAATACAAGGGCAGTCGTTCAGAACTAGTCAGGTCCTGAAAAGGATTTACCAAATGTTGAGTGTGCCCTCTAGTGTTCACACTTCCCAGCTTTCTTCCTATAAAGGTGGATCAAGGCACTTGCTTACAACTGGAACTGAAATCCTCCAAGTCGATCTAGACATTGAGATGGAGAAAATATTCATTGTCGACTGTAATTATGCAACGAATATCCAGTTGAGATAATGGACTTGCCTCTTATCTAATAATACCCAGGCTCAATGCGTCACTGCTTTGTCCACTTTGCCCAAAATTCAAGCACAGCTAAGTTGATATTTTAGGACAAAGGCAGCTTACTATCCAGCCAGAGGGGAGTAGAATATGGTTAAGAGAGAGTGGAAAGAATGAATGAGCCCTGCTATTCCTCACTGCCTGGATGGCTATAAGCACAGCCCTTATGGAGGCCTTAGGTCTTGCTTCATAATATTCCAGTTTGAAAAGGGTTTGAAAAGACCTCCTAGAAAAATCAGTAGTTTTTCTCTTTTGAGTAACATGTAGCAAAAAAAATTTCATCATGTAGGTACAGGGAACACCCTAATAACTATTAATCTCAAGGAGTCAAGCCAGTGTGTTTCCTAATGTATCTGCTGTATCCCCATGAAGCAAATTTTGCCATCAGAGAAACTGACTCATGGGGAAAAAATCCAAGGACCTCAAATCACCAAAAGAAGCCATTCCTCAGATTTGCCTAAGCTTAAGCTTCCCTGTCTCTCATTGTGTGTTGCTTTCAATGCAGTTACATAAATGGCTTTTTTGTTTATGCACCAAAAACACTAATTCATCTGCAAAGCTCACATTTCCAGAAACATTCCATTTCTGCCAGCACCTAGAAGCCAATATTTTGCCTATTCCTGTAACCAGCACACATATTTATTTTTTTCTAGATCAAATGTATTATGCAGTAAGAGTCTTAATTTTGTTTTCACAGGTTGTTTTGAATGGTAAAGTTGATGCATTCTGTGGAGGCTCTATCGTTAATGAAAAATGGATTGTAACTGCTGCCCACTGTGTTGAAACTGGTGTTAAAATTACAGTTGTCGCAGGTAAATACACAGAAAGAATAATAATCTGCAGCACCACTAGCTCTTTAATATGATTGGTACACCATATTTTACTAAGGTCTAATAAAATTGTTGTTGAATAAATTGGGCTAAAGGCAGAAGGGTCATAATTTCAGAACCCACGTCGCACCGTCCTCCAAGCATCCATAGTTCTTTTGATATACCCCTATTATCACTCATTTCAGTGAGGTACAATTAGTTCTTGATGTAGCCATTTCCATACCAGAAGGCCTTCCCAAAAATCAGTGTCATGTCACCGATCCTTTTATCTCTGGTGCTTGGCACAACCTGTAGCAGGTCCTCAGAAAACAAACATTTGAATTAATGGCCAAATGAGTTTGTGCTCAAAAAAGGGGTGAGGATACTTGAAATTTGGAAAATCTAGGATAATTCATGACTAGTGGATTCATTATCACCAATGAAAGGCTTATAACAGCATGAGTGAACAGAACCATCTCTATGATAGTCCTGAATGGCTTTTTGGTCTGAAAAATATGCATTGGCTCTCATTACATTTAACCAAAATTATCACAATATAAGAATGAGATCTTTAACATTGCCAATTAGGTCAGTGGTCCCAAGTAGTCACTTAGAAAATCTGTGTATGTGAAATACTGTTTGTGACTTAAAATGAAATTTATTTTTAATAGGTGAACATAATATTGAGGAGACAGAACATACAGAGCAAAAGCGAAATGTGATTCGAATTATTCCTCACCACAACTACAATGCAGCTATTAATAAGTACAACCATGACATTGCCCTTCTGGAACTGGACGAACCCTTAGTGCTAAACAGCTACGTTACACCTATTTGCATTGCTGACAAGGAATACACGAACATCTTCCTCAAATTTGGATCTGGCTATGTAAGTGGCTGGGGAAGAGTCTTCCACAAAGGGAGATCAGCTTTAGTTCTTCAGTACCTTAGAGTTCCACTTGTTGACCGAGCCACATGTCTTCGATCTACAAAGTTCACCATCTATAACAACATGTTCTGTGCTGGCTTCCATGAAGGAGGTAGAGATTCATGTCAAGGAGATAGTGGGGGACCCCATGTTACTGAAGTGGAAGGGACCAGTTTCTTAACTGGAATTATTAGCTGGGGTGAAGAGTGTGCAATGAAAGGCAAATATGGAATATATACCAAGGTATCCCGGTATGTCAACTGGATTAAGGAAAAAACAAAGCTCACTTAATGAAAGATGGATTTCCAAGGTTAATTCATTGGAATTGAAAATTAACAGGGCCTCTCACTAACTAATCACTTTCCCATCTTTTGTTAGATTTGAATATATACATTCTATGATCATTGCTTTTTCTCTTTACAGGGGAGAATTTCATATTTTACCTGAGCAAATTGATTAGAAAATGGAACCACTAGAGGAATATAATGTGTTAGGAAATTACAGTCATTTCTAAGGGCCCAGCCCTTGACAAAATTGTGAAGTTAAATTCTCCACTCTGTCCATCAGATACTATGGTTCTCCACTATGGCAACTAACTCACTCAATTTTCCCTCCTTAGCAGCATTCCATCTTCCCGATCTTCTTTGCTTCTCCAACCAAAACATCAATGTTTATTAGTTCTGTATACAGTACAGGATCTTTGGTCTACTCTATCACAAGGCCAGTACCACACTCATGAAGAAAGAACACAGGAGTAGCTGAGAGGCTAAAACTCATCAAAAACACTACTCCTTTTCCTCTACCCTATTCCTCAATCTTTTACCTTTTCCAAATCCCAATCCCCAAATCAGTTTTTCTCTTTCTTACTCCCTCTCTCCCTTTTACCCTCCATGGTCGTTAAAGGAGAGATGGGGAGCATCATTCTGTTATACTTCTGTACACAGTTATACATGTCTATCAAACCCAGACTTGCTTCCGTAGTGGAGACTTGCTTTTCAGAACATAGGGATGAAGTAAGGTGCCTGAAAAGTTTGGGGGAAAAGTTTCTTTCAGAGAGTTAAGTTATTTTATATATATAATATATATATAAAATATATAATATACAATATAAATATATAGTGTGTGTGTATGCGTGTGTGTAGACACACACGCATACACACATATAATGGAAGCAATAAGCCATTCTAAGAGCTTGTATGGTTATGGAGGTCTGACTAGGCATGATTTCACGAAGGCAAGATTGGCATATCATTGTAACTAAAAAAGCTGACATTGACCCAGACATATTGTACTCTTTCTAAAAATAATAATAATAATGCTAACAGAAAGAAGAGAACCGTTCGTTTGCAATCTACAGCTAGTAGAGACTTTGAGGAAGAATTCAACAGTGTGTCTTCAGCAGTGTTCAGAGCCAAGCAAGAAGTTGAAGTTGCCTAGACCAGAGGACATAAGTATCATGTCTCCTTTAACTAGCATACCCCGAAGTGGAGAAGGGTGCAGCAGGCTCAAAGGCATAAGTCATTCCAATCAGCCAACTAAGTTGTCCTTTTCTGGTTTCGTGTTCACCATGGAACATTTTGATTATAGTTAATCCTTCTATCTTGAATCTTCTAGAGAGTTGCTGACCAACTGACGTATGTTTCCCTTTGTGAATTAATAAACTGGTGTTCTGGTTCATACCTTGGCTTTTTGTGGATTCCATTGATGTGAATCAGTCACCCTGTATTTGATGATGCATGGGACTACTGACAAAATCACTCTGACCCCGCCAAGCTGCTGCCTTCTCCTGCCCCAACCTCACCCCCAGCCAGGCCTCACTCTTGCTAGTTCCTTTAGTTCTTTTAGTCAATATATTTTTGTCTTCGCATATAAGTATAAATAAACATATTTTTAAATTTCTTGGCTGGGCCCAGTGGCTCACGCCTATAATCCCAGCACTTCTGGAGGCCAAGGTGGGCGGATCACCTGAGGTTAGGAGTTTCAGGCCAGCCTGGCCAACATGGTGAAACCCTGTCTCTACTAAAAATAGAACAATTAGCTGGGCTTGGTAATGTGCACCTATAATCCCAGCTACTGGGGAGGCTGAGGCAGGAGAATCACTTGAGCCTGGGGAGCAGGGGGTGCGGGAGGTTGCAGTGAGACAAGATCGCACCAGTGCACTCCCCATCCTGGGTGACAGAGTGAGACTCTGTCTCAAAGAAAATAAATAAATAAATACATTTCTTGAGGCGTTTCTTGTTAAATCATTCATGGAGAGGCATCCCAAACACTACATTCAACAAAACACTCTGAAAAATGTTTTCAAATGCAATATAACACAGCAGAGATTTGATGCTCTGTTATCCAGTTTTCATATAAGGCAGTGTGAGCTGTGTCCCAGAGA
The DNA here is from genome assembly GCF_000001405.40 of Homo sapiens. Lineage (NCBI taxonomy): Eukaryota > Metazoa > Chordata > Mammalia > Primates > Hominidae > Homo > Homo sapiens. The sequence goes on from NC_000023.11 coordinate 139,564,164, forward strand.
GGACAGTGGTCTGAATCCACCTGAGACAGAATTGGGTCTAACTAACTGTGAGTATGGCCTTCAATAAGTCACTCTCCATTTGGGAATTTGATTTCTCCACTTCTATAATGAGAGTATTTGACAGGATGCTCTCCCAAATCCCTTGCAATTTTGTTAGTCTGTGATTTCATGTTTTTATTTTTATTCCTTCATCCAACAAATAGTCAAGGAGTAATTGCTGTCTGCCAAATACCAACAGTATTCATTAAATTGTAATTCAGATTTTATATATATATAAATAATGTATAATGTGTATAAATTGCTTTGTGAGTGCCTACTACACTGCTAGACAGTAGTTGCTCAATAATTGTTAGCTGAATCAGAATCCATGTTTATCCCAGAGTAGCAATTAGTCTTGCATCGAGTATCGTGAAAGAAGGCCACGCTTAAATAAGAATAATGCCTGGGGTTTAGGTTTTATGAAAAAATGAAAGGAAATTAGTTCTGCTTTTGTTGACTAAAGGAAGGGAAGAGAGAAGAGACTATAATTGTCTGCCTCAGATTTAAGGAGGAGGCTAATTCATGCATTAAACACGTTACTTCAAATTTGAATGACCAAAGGTCTGTAGCCTCAGCACTTCAAAATTGGTAAAAGTAAGACACTCTGGCCTTGTTTCCATAGAGACCACCCCTTACAAAGGCACCAATGGGAAACTGGCCTCAGGACTCCTGTTATTGGTCTTCTCTGTGGCAGAGAAAGGAGCTCTTGGACCCATAAATCTCTGAGCCACAGTTCTTTTTGCCATGGGCTCAAAAATGATTGAATTCATCATGAGCCACCTGTGGCATATTGCCACCACTAAACATGTGGGGCCTTTAAGCTCACTAAGAGCCAATGTCTTCAGAGCCAGCCCTGGCTTGATTCTACCTAGGGCATTTGCAGTTGCCATATAAGAATCATTAGTGCTTTCAAAATTACTGTAGATACTTTGCCTAAATAGACTAAAACATGCTGCCGTCATATTGGAAGTGACAGATTAAAATAGAACTCTTGCCAAGTGAAGGAAAGTGTGCTAATATAATGCAGTCATTTTAACTTGCTGTTTAAGTGTGATTGTTTTTAGTTCTTTTGAATATTATTTGTTTTATACTGACAGGAACGAAGTACTGTCCAATTTTCTCTGCCAAGGAAAAAAGAAAAGGTGTTCTTCCTTACTTACCTGAACCAAAACAGACCAGTTTACAAAATTGCCTAATTATAATTGCTAAACAAGTTCCGAATGCTTACAGTCTAATCCAAGAATGTCAGAGCTGCAAGGGCCCTTAAACACCATCCAATCCACTCCACTCATTTAGCAGATGAAGAGATTGAGGGCAACATAAGGCCAGGCCCAAGATAACACAATGACAGCCAGGACTAGAGCTCAAGTCTCCCACCCTGCACTTTGAAAGAATAATGCTTTCAACTGGAGTACATTAACTCTACTGTCTATATTTTTAGGGCAGCTGGGGCATTCTGCATTGGTGGCAATCCTCTCAACAACCCTGGGACTGAAAACTGCCTGGAATTCTTACTAACAATTCTCTAATTGACCAAAAGGTGACGAAATCAAGGAGACCAATAAGGTAGCTTGGAAAGCAGAGTGGCAGTCAGATAACAAACTGGAGCTTCAACCCCTGGCTCATAGCAGGTTCTCAGTAAATACATGTAGGATAAACGTGTGGTGCTGGTGTCTGGCGTTTAGCCCAGCTGTGGGCACTGGGCCTTCCAGATGTGACATTTGACTACTATAGCACATTCAACAGTGTCATCTGGCACACAGTCATTCCAGCAACAATTCAACTTTATTCACTGCAACTGTGCTGGGGAAGACGTGCGGCACACGGAGACAGCAGGTTACTCCAGAAGCTGTTTGAGGGTTGAAGGCAGGCTTCAAAGGCCCACCGAAGCTGAGATTCTAACAATGCATTGCACCTGCGGATGATTGGGAAACAGACTACAGATGCTGAAAGGCCTCTCTGAGTAAAGCAATCAGGAATCAGAGCTCTTTTTGAATCTGAGGCTTATGCCATCTAAAAAATCTCAGGGTTAAAGCCATAAAAATCAGCATGTTGTGTAAACTGTGGAAACTATTGAAAGAATCACAGCAGGCAAAGGACTGTGGGACCCCTGCTCTTTTCAATCAATCCAGGCCCACAAATCACTCTAGTCATTTTTTCCTACGGTAGTTTCGAGGCAAATCTTTTTCATCCAGTCTTTGGGGCTATGGACTGCCTTGAGATTTCTGAGTCAATCTCAACTTCTAATATAGGTATCAAAAGTGAAGAAGAGCAGGCAGATCTTTTCTTGCATATGTAGACAAAGAGGCAAAGACTTCTGTCTGGAAGAAGGCAGAGACATTTTCTCCATGCCTTCACAGAACTATTTCAAACTCCTGGCCAGGTCATTCCACTCTAATAGGAGAGCTATCCTTCTATTCTCTTGGTTAAGAGAAAGCTGGAAATAGAAACAGGGATATTCCAGGCCAGACACAATGGCTCACGCCTGTAATCCCAACACTTTGGGAGGCCGAGGCAGGCAGATCACTTGAGGTCAGGAGTTCAAGATTAGTCTGGCCAACATGGTGAAACCCATCTTTACTAAAAATACAAAAATTAGCCGGGTGTGGTGGCGCACGCTTATAATCCCAGCTACTCGGGAGGCTGAGGCACGAGAATTGCTTGAACCCAGGAGGCAGAGGTTGCAGTGAGCCAAGATCATGCCATTGCACTCACATCTGGGTGACAGAGCAAGAAAGGAAGAAAGAAAGGAAGAGAGAGAGAGAGAGGAGGGAGGAAGGAAGGAAGGAAGGAAGGAAGGAAGGAAGGAAGGAAGAAAGGAAGGAAGGAAGGAAAGATACTAATGATTCCAAAGGCTTTCATTCAAACAGTTGCTGCATTGTAATGTTAAGTATGAGATACTAATTCATAAAAATTTACCACCATAGTAAATCTCCCTGATACCATCACTCTTAAACCTTTAGAAATGCTACAGCATCTAGCTTCTCTAGATCAATAATCACAGAGGCTTAAGTGCTGACCTCATAAAGATAAAGAGTTCCCATGATTTACACATTACGTGCTTTCATAAATATCTATATATAAAAGCCTATTTTCCTCTTGGACTATATTACAAAAGTAAGTATGCATTTTCATAAGATTCAAACCCAGCTCTAAATGTAAGAAGCCAAATTAAGAATGTAGCAATGTATGAATGAAAAGGAAGGAAAAAAGCCATTACTAACCACAACTCTGTGCAAAACTCCCTGTCATCTAAGGTAGGAATAAGATATTTATCTTGAACACATAAGGGAATATGTCATAGAAAGGGAGACAGGGAGGTTGAGGCAGGTGACTGGCTTGAGCTCAGAAGTTCAAGAGCAGCCTGGGCAACGTGGCAAAACCCTGTCTCTACAAAAAATACAAAAATTAGCCAGGCATGGTGGCTCATGCCTGTAGTCCCAGCTACTCAGGAGGCTGAGGTGGGAGGATCGCTTGAATCTGGGAGGTTGAGGCAGCAGAGAGCCATGGTTGCACCACTGCACTCTAGCCTGGGTGGCAAAGTGAGACCTTGTCTCAGAAAAAGAAAAAGAGGAAGGGAGGGAGGGAGGAAGGGAGGGAGGGAGGTAAGGGAGGGAGGAAGGGAGGAAGGGAAAGGAAGGGAGACAAAAATACAAAAAAAAAAAAAAAAGGCCTCCTGCATTCACTTTCTTCCTAGGCTATAAGGAGGTGTTTTCATTAATTTCTAGGAAATGTAAAAAAGATTAGCCTAGGAAACTATGGTTATAACCCTGGCCTTTTTATCTCCTGTTTTGTGTTTGTCTTCTCCATAAGCTGTATCTACCCCTCTTGTCTGTGCTTTCTGTCCTCATTTAGGTAGCTATTTTGTTTTTGTACCTTATTTTTATAGATTCAGCTCTTAGCTTTCATTTCAATCTCTTTCTCCCTATAGCTATTACCCAATCAAATAACCTTGTGATAAAGTTTAATATCTGAACAAAACTGTTGTTCTTGGCCACAGGGATTTCGTTTCTCTCAATATGCCTCCCATATTTTAGTTGTCTATGTTCTCTTCCATACACTCTGTTTCTAGTCCTAGATGAACATGCTTAAGATTAGAATCTCCACTTCCTTAGTTTAGAAAATCTAGATTTAAGTAACAGATATGCTAAAAGGACAGGTGCACATTACCTAATAGTGGGATTGTTATAATTCAGAAGTCTTAGTACACTCTAATAAAGAATTTTACTGTACACTTTCTATGTACCTAGCGTTGTATCTATTTCCTAAGGTGCAATGAATGGTATGCTGGAACTGGCATATACAAACTAACTCTCAAAAACCAATGTTAAAAGAAAAACTTTAGACAAAATAAATTCAACTGGAGGTCATTATATTAAGTGAAATAAATGAGGCACAGAAAGATAAACATCACATGTTCTAACTTATGTGTGAGATCTAAAGATCAAAATAACTTAACTCATGGACATAGAGCCTAGAAGGATAGTTACCAGAGGCTGGAAAGCGTAGTGGGGGGTTGGAGGGTAAGTGAGGATGGCTGATGAATACAAAAAAATAGAAAGAATAAGACCTAGTGTTTGATAGCACAACAGGGTGACTATAGTCAATAATAATTTAATTGTACATTTGTAATAACTAAAAGAGTATCATTGGATTGTTTGTAATGCAATGCATAAATGCTTAAGGTGATGGAGACCCCATCTTCCATGATGTGATTATTACACATTGCATGCTTGTACCAAAATATCTCATATATTCCATAAATATATACACCTACTATTTACCCACAAAAATTAAAAATAAAAAAGGAAAACAAAGAAAAAGATTCAACAGAGTTTATCTGAGCAAAGAATGATTCATGAATGGTGTAGCAGTCAGAATCAGGGGAGGTTCAGAGAGCTCTGCTGCAGCAGCCTGAGCAGTGAGTTTTTATGGGCTGACAGAGAAGGAAGACAAAATATATTTAACTGGTTAGAGTGGAAATACCCTAGTTAGAGGTGAGTTGCTGATTTCTGATTGATAAAGTCTCCAGTCTCCTTTTACTGTTTACACTGGGCTTCAGTTTGCTTATGTAGGAACTTAAAGGGCTTGAGCGGTCCAAGTCGGGTATCCAGTGGCTTCCCCTACCCTTTTTTTTTTTTTTGAAATGGAGTCTCACTCTGTTGCCCGGACTTGAGTCCAGTGGCCCGATCTCGGCTCACTGCAACCTCCACCGCCCAGGTTCAAGCGATTCTCCTGCCTCAGCCTCCTGAGTAGCTGGGATTACAGGCACCTGCCATCACTTCCAGCTAATTTTTGTATTTTTAGCAGACACAGGGTTTTACCATGTTGGCCAGGCTGGTCTCAAACTCCTGACCTCAGGTGATCTGCCTGCCTCGGCCTCCCAAAGTGCTGGGATTACAGGTATGAGCCACTGCACCAGCCACTTTTTTAACACCAATTTTGCACATCACTTCCTAACTTCCAGTTCTGTGTCCTCATGTTGGTAGCTTGAAATCTGCCATGGTAGGAATCTTTACACCATAGAAATCAACAAATGGTACAAATAGGGTTTTGGTGTGTCTTTTAAAGAGAATCAGTTGCTTACCATTTGCCAACATACAACTGGACACAATATAATTGTTTGACTAACAACTCGTCATTTTTGCAGTACAGCTACTCAATTATTGCTATGACTGAGCACTAAATTCACATTGTAAATTAAAATATAAAGGTTGTTTAAGGGAGCAAAATGTTCATGAAATAGAAATATTGAGAAAACCAGGCCTTTAAAGATGTTCACAGATGGTAACAGATACTTTGTGTTGTAAAATAAAATGTAACATTTCTTAAGTGCAAATATTTCTCCTACAACACATTCACACATTGTAATCCACCAAGGTTTATTTTATGGTATTTTTCTGCTGTGCCAGTATGTCAGTTCATAGTAATTTGTAATATGCTTATAAAAACTGTGGAAAAGAGTTCTTGACTGCTATTTTTGGTAAGCATGTAAGAACACTAAAACTAAAAAAAAAAAAAAAAAAAAAAAAAATTTCCACAGGGATGTATGGAAGGTAAGTGTGATGCGGTTTCACTACATTTCAGTCAGGGGGCACGACATTTTATTCCACTTTTCCAGTACTGAACTAAAGTGAGCAGAATGTTATACAGTGTAAAATGATTTTGACATTTAAAAATGTATTCAGAATAATATCTTGAACTCCCAAGTACCAGCATCCATCCATTTCTCATCTTTTATTTCTCTCTCTCTCTCTCTCTTCAGAGGTAGCTATCTTTCTTAGTTTGGTGTTCATCATTATCCAGCATGTTCATATACTTTAACCCTAAACTATCCACTAAAATATATATTTCGTTTTACATATTTTAAAACGTTATACAAATGCTATCATATTGTTTCTATCCTGCATTTTTTTTCCTGTGGGATTCATTTATGATGATATGGGTAGCTCTAGGTCATTTATTTTAGTTTCTATATCAATTTTATGGCATGATATTCAATAAACTAGTTATGTAACCTTCTGTTTGTGGTAATTCATGTTGTCTCTAAATTTTTTACTCTTCTAAACATTGCTGCTATAAACATTCTGGCACATGTGTGAGCCTTCGTGTGGGGTACATCCTTAGGAGTAAAAATGCTAAGCCATAGAGCATTCACTTCAACTGTACTTGGTATTAGCAGATAGCTCACCAAAGTGTTATCAATGTATGCTCCCAGTAGTAGCATGTACAAGTTCTTGCTTCATGTCCTTCCCAACGGTTGGTATTTTTAGAAATATGGGCAGATTTTTGAGCTAATAATATTCATACATAGAATGCCTACTTTTGCATTGAATCCAGGTAATTTGAAACTATTTGTAAATGTATGACTACAGCCCTAAGTGCTTCTTGGGGTCAGTAAAGAAATTATTTTAGCCTCTAATATGAGATTACAAAATGTCCATTATGATATTTCTCTTTTAAGTCATTTTTATTATGGTTGTAAAGTTATGGCTCACTTAATTACTTAACATGTTATCATTTGGTTTCTTATAACTTCCCATGTAAAAGAGTGCATTCACTATCAAACTGTGCTATAACCTATCAACTAAGACAACTCAGCCCAAGTCCTTCTCATGCTTTAAATTTTTCTGACTCTCTCTTCTCCACTTCTGCTTCATTATAATTTTTTAAATTTACTTTTTTTTTGAGATAGTGTCTCACTCTGTCACCCAGGCTGGAGTGCAGTGGCATGATCATAGTTCACAGCAGCCTCAGTCTCCTGGGTTCAAGCAATCCTCTGCTTCAGCCTCCCGAGTAGCTGAGACTACAGGCATGTGCTACCATGCCTGGCTAATTTTTTTTTTTTTTTTTTTTAAGAGCTGGGGTCTCACTATGTTGCCAGGGCTGGTCTCAAACTCCCGAGCTTAAGCAATCCTCCTGCCTTGACCTCTCAAAGTGCTGGGATTACAGGTGTAAGCCACCAAACCCGGCCATAATTTTTCATTTGTTCTCCAGAAAGGTTGTGTTTGTCGCTTATTTTGGAAATAATTAAGTTAGTGAGTCTGACAAATTTTTAGATGAAATTTATCTTTGAAATGGTTTACATTTTGTTTTGGGTGGGTTTAAGGAAAGTTTCATTTAGCTTAAGGAACTTAATCTTCACAAAGTTCAACTTCATTGGCTGTTCTCAGTACACATTATGAGTCCTATTTGATGGACACATGCTTAAAACACCTCCTCAGAATTTAATGTGCTTATTCATACACGCAAAAAAATGAGGTGATCAATATATAGGGGCAACTAAGCCCTCACCAAATGCAAAGGACAATTTAATACTTAACTACGTCATGAAATTTTTAAAAATGCATTTTGAAGTAAAAAGTAATTTTTTAAAAATCTGGTTGTCACTTTTACTAATTGCCTTTTGAACAGTATAAAGAGTTTAGTTTTTGTCCATAACACCGGTTTCTTCCCATGTTTTCCCATAAAACCCCTTGCAAACTGACCAGTCGAAATCAATGTGAGGAAGTGTACTGAAATGTAATAAAAATGACTTGTTTTGATATTTTATTGCCTGAGACTTGACTCATTAAACACCGTAGAGTCTGCTGCCCTGCAGGAAGAAGGCTCCTGTGTTCTAATACTTACTAAATAATAAGCATTTTCCTCAGTGAAAGTCTGTTGAGTGAAACCAGGTTGATTTCTGACTAGACCCAAAACAAAATCACTGACCTGATTTCTCTTCAAGTCAAGTATTTCTTCTGCTCTCCTACACTTTCCACAATGTATTATGAAATTTTTCTCTTAAGAGAATGTAAACGCTTAGATGTCAGGGTGGCTTTTATAACAACCACGTATTTTTTTAGATTTTTTTTATTATTATACTTTAAGTTCTGGGATACATGGGCAGAACTTGCAGGTTTGTTACATAGGTATACACGTGCCATGGTGGTTTGCTGCACCCATCAACCCGTCACCTACATTAGGTATTTCTCCTGATGCTATCCCGCCCCTAGCTCCCCACCCCCCGAGAGGCCCTGGTGTGTGATGTTCCCCTCCTTGTGTTCATGTGTTCTCATTGTTCAACTCCCACTTATGAGTGAGAACATGTGGTGTTTGGTTTTCTGTTCCTGTGTTAGTTTCATGAGAATGATGGTTTCCAGCTTCATTCATGTACCTGCAAAGGACATAAACTCATCCTTTTTTATGGCTGCATAGTAATACATGGTGTATATGTGCCACATTTTCTTTATCCAGTCTATCATTGACGGGCATTTGGGTTGGTTCCAAGTCTTTGCTATTGTGAATAGTGCTGCAATAAACATATGTGTGCATGTGTCTTTATGGTAGAATGATTAAATTCCTTTAGGTATATACCCAGTAACGGGATTGCTGGGTCAAATGTATTTCTGATTCTAGATCCTTGAGGAATCACCACACTGTCTTCCACAATGGAACAACTATGTATTTTATATTGTGAGACTCATGTGTAATTTTGGAAATATCACCAATAGCATTTTACCCCTCAAACAACACAGGAATAAAACTTGAATACACATTTTATTTTTCAGGGAGTTCTTTGGAGACGAATTTAATTTGATTAACTAATTCACTGATGGTGCTGATATAATTTGGATGTTGTTCCTGCCCAAATCTCATGTTGAAATGTAATTCCCAATGTTGGAGGTGGGGCCTGGTGGGAGGTGATTGGATCATCGGGACGAATTTCTTGTGAATGGTTCAGCACCATCCTTTTGGTAGTGTCCTCATGATAGTGGGTGAGTTCTCACAAGATCTGGTCATTTAAAAGTGTGAGGCCCATCCCCCATCACTCTCCTGCTCCTGCTTTTGCTGTGTGATGTGCAAGCTCCCACTTGGCCCTCTGCCATGATTGCAAGCTTCCAGAGACCTCCGCAGAAGCATATGCCACTATGCTTCCTCTACAGCCTGCAGAACCGTGAGCCAACTAAACCTCATTTCTTATAAATTACCCAGTCTCACATATTTCTTTATAGCAATGCAAGAACGGCCTAACACAAGTGTTTTCTCAAAAGACCTCAAAACAAATTTAAAGGTAAAAGAGGTAGTTATCCTGTGATGGGATGCTTATTAAGACATCTAAAACAATCTCAGTGTTGTTTTCTTTTAATGAAAGATTCAGTCAAACCAAGGTTATAGGCTTCTCTCCTCACTCTATATTAAGGCACATGTACTAGCTTCCAAATGGGCTGTGAAAGAGATCATTAGGTCTGGCAATTCCAACTAAAGAGTCCTTTGCAGAAGCAAGTTATAGATCAGAAAACAACTGCAGGTATCTAGGTGCTTTCCAGGATTCCTTGAGCTTCAGTATATGGAAGCAGACTTTTTTAGGGTATGGAAGCATGCACTCATAAACATGGCTATCTAACCTTTGAAACTGCTTTCATTGCTATCTTACAGATTTGAGTAAAGCAACTTCTTGAGCAAAACATTGTACTCTGGCTCTGGTCAGATCTCCCTCTTTCTCTCCTCTCTCTCTCAAAGAGAGAATCATGAAGTAAGGCTGAAGGTAAACATTAATCTAAAAATACTTATGGTGCCTTTAGGAGAGTATCACTGATAAATGAGAGGAAAGTTATTTTCAATGTATAATTGACGTTATACCAAACTGAAGAAAGTATATGAATGAATTTAAGGTTGAATATTTTTAATGTGGAATATACACAAGTGCATTTACATCGTAAGTACATTTACAATGTAATTAAATTTCTGAAGACCTTAAAGTGAAATTGCTGCTATATTTTAGAGTAATACACATTTATAGTCTAATAAAATTAAGACAGTACAGTTACATTTGTAAACATATACAAATATAGCATTCATGTACAGTTATTAAAATATTAAATGACTATAACAGAACTCAGCATTGTTTTAAATGATTAAAATCTCTAGTTTACTACCATGAAATTAAAACACTTTGTGCAGAGTGACATCATTATTCAAGAATTTCATTTCCCTAATTCTGTCTTCTAAATCACAGTATTAGCAAACAAAATAAATGTATTTTGATTTCATTCTGTTGTTGCAGAAGAATTAAGTGAAATATCAAGCATATGGACACTTTAATGAGTAACTTATAAATCTACCATCAGGAATTCCAGCAACTGGACATTAGAAGATTTATAATTTGCAAGTACCTTTAGATAAAATACAATTGGTTTGCCATACAGATTGTTCCATCAGATGATACCACTGGCATAATCTGTGATCTTCATACAATATATAAACCTAATTGAAAGACAAATTACATGTTATATAGCTATTGTGTTTATTGTTTTGTATTAACCAATCACAGAAAAACATGCACCTAATATGCAACTTGAAAGTCCAACTCACAATTCATGATTCAAAAAGCAGAAGTTTCAAACCATTGTTTTCAGAAGTCCATAATATAAAATACTCCAAACATAAATTCAACATTGCATGCAACAACTGGCCATTTGCTTCAAAAGAAGTGATCACAGTGTTTATATATTTAAAAAAGAGAAATCTATATATGTATTATTTTTAAAAAACTAAGAAGAAATACAACTTCAGAAAATCTTTTCTAGAATAAATTTTTCTAGAAAATTGAAAAGTAAAGACATTGAAAAGCAGAGCTTTATTAAGAAACATCTGTGGTGCCGATATGAATATTTAACTTAAAGCTGTGACATGTACCTAAACTTCAATGCATAAAATTTAAAGTTTAACATATCAAAACGACAGGATTTTTAGCTTTGGATCATCTTAAAACTATAAGATGGCTCTAACAACCCTAAAGGTCAGTCAGCATGCAAAAGAGATCCTTCAGAACATATCTCTTTGGGGCATTATAATCACATAGATAGCACATAATTAAATAATAGACTATCAATTAACACAGGAGTTTAAATCTCTGATTCTCTCTCTTCCCTCTTTGAAGTTTTGTTACTGAAAAGTTACCCAAAAAATACAAGTAAAACTTTTTATCTGTAAAAGTTCAAAAGAATTGATTTCAGATTTTCAGGTGAAATCCAAACAGAGGCTGTAAAAAACTTTAATTGGCAACAAAATAGCACCGCACTTTTGTGTTGGGGTAATGGAAGATGCAAAGATGCTTCTTGCAAGACTGAGAAGCTGCGAATAACGAAGTTCAACTCCATGCTGAGGAAATTTCTGTAGATGTCATGGGCAGTGTAGGATAACCTGACTATGGTGCTGTTTATCTGTAACCCTTTTAGGAAATATAATATAGTTCGCACCCTCAAAGAAAATATTATTTTTAGAAAGTCTATTCAATCTCCTTGAATTCAAGGGGAACTCGGTTTCCTTGTGTTACTCAGAACTGCATCTCCAAAATAATTAAGAATGATGTTAACACTCAAATGACTTTTAAAGCCAAAATGTTATCTGTGCTATAACTTCTCAGGCTTAGTGTGAGGATTCAAAAGGTCCATCATAAACTCAAGGTGATGTCTTCTGGTTATTAATTTTAATATGAAAGGTCTTCAGTTTCATAATTATTAAAGGAATTTATTTTATAGAAGAGATAGCTTCACTGAAAGCAAAACAAAATAAATAAGATTCTCTTCTTCTACAATCAATTTTTATAAATATTGTACTAATTATGTCATATGCATGAAGATAATAGGAAACATGTTAAATGCATAATATCAGAGAGATCTTTACATTCTATTTGCCAGATTGTAAATGAAACCCTCTAACTTATTTTTTAAACCTAATGCTGTTGACAGTTGCATAGTCAGTTATAATGTCCTAATCCACTGATGGACACACATCACAATGTATTTTTATAAGCCACAATATACTATTTCGCTCTGTGCAATGTAATGAGAGGATAGATCTCAATCAAGACTCACTTGATATTGTAGCATTCAACCAAAATCTACCGTGAAGTATTAATTTGTCATTTCAACCTAAGTCAAAAATGCATGTCATTTGAAAGTAATATATTTTAATAATAATCTTAAGTCAGGGGCTTCCAGAGAACACAGATCAATGGGACCTTGTCCTCTTATCTAGTATCATGCCACACAATAATAAATGCTTAAAATGCTGATGATATAGCAATACATTACATTTCAACTCTCCCAATAGCACTGCAAAAAAAGAAGAATATTGAAAAAGTGCACTCACAGTAGAAATAAAGTGGCTAGAAAGGAATAATGTGAGTTTCCCCCCAAATAAAATGTATTACATTGATAAATGTATAGGTAAGCCCTTCACTGCCTGAAAAATAAGCACAGACCCAAAGTAGACTGAAATTGTTGTTTTTCCATACACTTTTCAAAGGGTGCTAATAAGCCATAAATCTACTGGGATTAGTTAACAGTAATAGAATAATTTCAAATTGAAACTAATCAAATATATAATTTTATATGTCCTGCATTACAATTAGCTAAAAATTAATGTAATTAACTTTGTCCTGAATTAAATGTGAGGAGATCTGGCTCTACTTAAAATGATGATGATAAGTGATGGAAAATATACTCTGTGTCTTCTTAATGTTGAGTACAAATGTTTATATGGAAGTTAGATGAGTACACTTTGTGTTTTCACTTTTGAATCTTGGAGATCTGAGCACAAGAAGGAAATTTTTTTCTAGTATATACATTACAGTATTATTTTATGGCTTTATTGGGTTTTTTAAATTGCTTCATAAAAAACAATTTATTTAAAACACTGATTTATATGTCTTGATTCAAACAGTTATTTGAGCACATATTTTAAGTGACCCATGTTTCTTATTTCTGTTCTCTTTCTGTGTCTCTGCCTCTCTCTCTCTCTTCATTGACCATTTAAATAAGCATGAAATAGTTGGCAGAAAGCTGGCTATATTTATTTTCAAACTTAACAACTCTTCGATGCGATCAGTTAATTTTGATTAATTAGAACTATTTGGCTTTTGAAAGTGTTCAAAATGTTACTGTCTTAGATTTTATCCTTTTCTAACATGTATATATTTTTTTAAGTTGTAAACTGCTCAATTCAGCATGTGTAATGTTTCTTTGTATTTGTCTGATACTCTTCTTTTATGGCTACCGCTTTTTGTCTTTTTTCATAGGTTATTGGGGTACAGGTGGTATTTGGTTACGTGAGTAAATCCTTTAGTGGTGATTTGTGAGATTTTGGTGCATCTATCACCCGAGCAGTATACACTGCACCCTATTTGTAGTATTTTATCCCTCGCCCCCTCCCACACTTCCCCCCAAGTCCCCAAAGTCCATTGTATCATTCTTATGCCTTTGCGTCCTCATAGCTTTTTGTCTTGTATAAGAAATTGTTAACTATTCAAAGTCATGACAACATCGTCCTGTTTGGTTTTAGGAGATTTATTATTTTAGCTTTTAGGTTTAGATCTGTGATCCAACTCAAAATAATTTTTGTGTATGAAGTAAGATATAGAGATGGAGGTTCACTTATTTTTCCATATGGATACCCAGTTGCCAAGCATCATTTGTTAAAACAACCTTCCTTTCCCCATTCAAATGACTTGACCCCTTGATTAAAAATGATTATGTATATGTGGGACTATTTATGAAATCATTATTTTTCTATACTTACACTAATGCCATATTGTATTGATTACTGTAGTTTATAAGGGGTATTGAAATCAGGTGCTTAAGTCCTCCCAATTTTTACGATTCTTCTGTACTAGATCCTTTGCCTTTTTACATATTTTTCAGAATAAATTTGTCTTATAAATTTTCAAAAGGAGTTGCTGAGATTTTGATTTTGATTTCATTGAATCTATAGGACAATTTGGGGATAATGGGTTTCTTAACAAAATTGAGATTCCCAAATCATGCACATGGTATAGCTCTCCATTTATTAGGTCATCTTAATTATATCTCAGCAATGATCTGTAGTTTTCAGTATGGAAGCCTTGTGATCTGTTATTAGATTTATTTCTATTTATTCTATATCTTATGTTGCTAATATAAATGTTCTTTTGAAATTTTATTTTTAAATTCTTTGTTGCTAGGATATAGAATTATAATTTATTTTTGTAAAGACTGCACATTGTGGCCTTGTAAAATTCACTTATTAGTTCTAGTAGGGACTTGTATGTAAATTCCTTATGGTTTTGTACATATACATGATCTGCTAATCATGACGGTGCATCTTCTTTTTTAATCTTTTAGTTCTTTAATGTTTTCCTTGTGTTATGGAACTGACTAGGACTTACAGTATAATGTTAAATAAAAATGGTCAGTGACTATCCTTGGCTTGTTTCCAATCTTAGGGAGAAAACTTCCAATAGTTCACCATTAAGTATGATGCTAACTGTGGGTTTTCATAATGTGTTTTATCATATTGAAGAAACTCCCTTTATTCCTTGTTTGCTGATAGTTTTTGTCATAAATGAGTATGAAGTTCTATCGATGGCTTTCTTGTATCTATTGAAATGATTATATAATTTTCTTCCTCATTATGTTAATATGATGAATTACATTGATTTTCAAGTGTCTAATACAGGTATTTAAAGCCATACATTTGCCTCCCTCTTTAGCTGCATCCAGAAATTTTTTGATATTTTGAGTTTTCATTTTCATCCAATTTGAAATAGTTCTAATTTCCCTTGTACTTTCTTTGTCTCATGTATTGTATAGATGTGTATTCTTTAATATCAAAATACTTTGGATTTACTGATTTCTAAGATTACATCCTGAGACTATATGATTCCAATCTTTTGAAATTTATGAAGACTTGTTTTATGACACAGAAGGCAGCCTATCTTGGTGAATGTTCCATGTATACTTGAAAATAATGATGCATTCTGCAGTTGTTGGGTGTAGATTTTTAATAAATGTCAAATGGTTCAGGTTGTCAGTATACTAGATTTCGGATTACTAATTAAGTAATTCAATAATTATCTAAATAATTTAACAATTAGTGCAAAAAGCCTTTGAAAGATGACCCATATTAGAGTTATCAAACAAACAAATGAGAAGTGACTCCATTTGAGCAGTTCCCATGTGACCCAGCATTTCTATTAAGCCTCATTATCCCTAGATTTCATTTTATGTTACAAATAAAATTTGGAACCAAATAAGTTACACCTGGTGTGTTTAAACAGTCTACCATTACCTGGAATTCGAACAAACAAAAGACCAAAACTAGGATTTCAGAGGAAGTGTGTGCATGCAAGAATCATCTTATTTAACAATTCATTGATTTTCCTTTTCTGTGCTACCTTTTAACAGACAACTAAGTGTCACTTAGAGGAAAAAACTACAAGAAAACGGGTTTATATACAGAAATGTTACATACTATGGGTTAAGTTAATAGAAATGAACATCAGATTAGCTCCCAATGCTTCATACTACCTTCACACATAAGTCTTGGGTATAGACACAAGTGTGTTTGTGTATGTGTGTCTGTGTGTGTGTAGCAGAGACCTACCATAAAGAAATAACATGCTCCTAGGACAGTGTAGAACTACATACTAGTAAAGTATTCTTGGGCAGTAAGGCAGGTACCTTAAAAGCATATCCTCAGTATTTAATTCTGAAGGGTATCTTACAAAACACCATAGTATCTTCAATCTCTTTCAAGACTATCAACTTTATAGGGAAAAGTCTAATGTGCCTTTAAAATTTTCATTCATAAATTTAAAACTATTAAAGAAAAAAAATAAATTCTAGCTAACATAATGTGTTTGCTGCTTTATTTCTAACTGCAGAGAGGTCATTACTCTATGCCAATGTCCTCTTTGGTGAAGCTTTAACATTTTTAGTCTTCAAATTGTGTACAGTTTATTCATATTGTACCTGTAACTTTGGCATTCCGAAACCTATGGTCACCAATTAAAATATGTAAACTGTTTCCTAGAATCAGGCCTTCTTTTCTTCTGTTTAGATTTTTCACCAACCTAAATAATAAATGAATTAGTAGCCAACAATGGTAATACTAAGTGAATTAAAACAAATACATTACGTTGCAGCTCAAACTTTCACAAGGCTACTGCATGTGTTCAAAGACCTTCATGACACTGTGCATGAGTCCTTTAAGTAATCTACAAAGGACTTTGGTTATTAGAAAAAATTATTACTTTAATGATCCATCATTAACTTTTAATTCTCTGTGTACACTCTTCCACCTAAAGGGTTAGAGTACACAGTCAATGTAGCATTTCAGTTCAAGTTATTGACCCAATGAAGACAGAAATCTTACATTTAGAATATCCAAAAGAATTATGGAAGTTTCATTCAATCCGAACAATATTTTCTTCCTGCTTTGGGTTCTCTCCTACCTAAACAGTATATTTGGCAGAACCATCTTTACAACCAGTACTATATAAAGTCAAAGGCATAAGGGTAGAATGAGAAAGTCAATATTTGACCTGATAAACAGAAGTGTAGCTATGTTGTAAAGTAGTAAAGTGTGGTCTCTGGCACACAGTAGGCGTTCATTAAATATGTGGCTAATGAATGATTTAAATGACCAGATGGAATGTGATCTGTAGCCATTACAAAGCCCAGACGTATCAGCTAAAACATCTGAGCCAAAGGTAAACTACAAAAGAACATGCAGACTCATAGCATGTCATTCGTTCAAAGCATTTTTCACTCACCAAAGGTTAATGTTCCTTTCAGTGAGCTTTATAGGCAGTGCTGAAGCAATGAAAATGAAAGCCATCGCTGTGATATTTCTGCTTTTGGAGACTGTATAACAAAGATACAGATAAAGCAGAACATTTGATTAGCTATCTATGTGCCCCAGCTGGAGATCATCACAGGCTTTGCAAACACACCTACCATTGACCCTCAGCATTCCCATGGAGAAGCTGAATGACATCTCCATTTCTAATCAGGAGGTCTTCTGAGCCTCTCTTCCTGCAGTCTGCTAGGGATCTATATTTGCTTGGAGACTGTAAAGTTGTTTTAAAAAATTATATTACAAACTTGATTGCAAAACCACTTGCATAACTGCCTGCTCTGCAACATGAAGAATTAACTCTTTTCTTCACTGGTAAATGTGGTAGCTGCAGCAGCTTTGCAGGAACAGACAGACATGAAGCAGTATGTGATGGGGAACGAAAAAGGCAGAACAAGTTTATCTAACCTGAAGAATTAATTTTTATTTGAAAAAAAGAATTACAACATGAAATATACAGAAAATAGCAGAGCACAACTAATTTAAGTTACATTAATTATAAGCAGAAATCCAGAAAAAAAGTGTGAAAATATTAACTTTTAAATACGGCTTTTGTAAACTACTCTCATGAAAATTTTATCTGGGCACATACAGACAGTAGCCCTGAACAAAATTTACTCATGCCCCGAAAAGAATTTCTGGGCTTTGTATTGTTTCACACAAGTTAAAACAATGGGCACAAAAGCTGTGGTTTCAACAAAAGCATATTAAATCATAATGTTGTGCTTTACTTGACCTTAGCCATTTTGCAGCCGTAATTTTGACTTAATTCATTAATAAACTAAATAATCCAAGGCACACCGATTGCATTTGGTTACAAAGTAGAGAAGAAATAATTTTCAAGTCCAAAAGTATTCTGAGATGAGAATCTTTCAAGCACAATATCTGACACATTAAATACATGATTTTAAAAAGACAGCGTACCATAATTAAAAGCTTTATTAAATGAAAGAAAAGAAGTATGTGCTGTGGTTTCTTTGCGTGTCCATTAACCTGAAAACAACATCTGCATCATTTGAGCTCAATGTCTTTTGCGCAGTATTTTTCCAAATGAGCTGAGAAGCAGGCAGGAAAGAGCTACTTGCCATTTGACATAGTAGCTTCATCAATATAGGAGAGCCATCTCCGACACAGGTCTCTACAAGGGAAGCAGCACCCATTATTGCTCAGTTTACAACTTGACCAAGTGAAGCCAAAAGAGCAGGTCATTCCAGCTTCTTGTTTTGGCAGGGAAGAAGGGTGTATGGAATACATTGTGTTGCTCTTTTATATGTTTTCCTTAGTAGCACATCTCAGAGAATTATTGGACAAAGAGAGAGAAACTAATAGGTTTTTCTATATTCCCATCCTCTGTGATTAAAGCATTCTTCAATTTTGCATATTTACTTTATCTTCTGATACCATAGCTAGAAAAAAAAATGCCTACTTAAAACTGAGTTCTTTACAATGCCTTCATAGATCATCTACAGCAAACGGTTAAACACAAACTGGCTTCCTCTGACTTTTTGCTCGCATTTAACAACTACTACTATCCATTCCATCCCCAGCTAACATTAATTAAAGAAATTAAACTTCTTTTTATTATTAGTCTAAGCCTGAGATTCCCAAAGTGTGGGAGACAGACTGTTGTGGGTTCCTGAGACCCTTTCAAGGGGTCTGCAAGGTCAACCTACATTAAGACACTATTTGCCTTTTTCACTCTCATCCTCTCACAAGTACACAGTGGAGTTTTCTAGAGGATACTAGGTGTATGGTAGCACAACAAATTGAATGCAAAAGTGGATATGAGAATTCACCTTTTACTGAGCCAGAAGTTAAAGTGATTTACAAAAGTATTTCTTTTGTAAGTATTTAAGTATTTAAATCAGTCTTCTCACTGATTTTTATTTTGAAAAATGTAACTTTTTAAACAAAAATCTTATTGATATAAACTTACAATGGGTTTATTAATATTTTTAAACAATTATTACATTCAAAATTTTGTATTTCTTAGTTTTATCACATGGTAAATATCAATAGATGTAACCTATATACCATGGAATACTCTGCAGCCATAAAAAGAAATGCAATCATGTCCTTTGCAGCAAGGTGGATGCAGCTGGAAACCGTTATCCTAAGCAAATTAACGCAGGAACAGAAAACCAAATACCACGTGTTCTCACTTATAAGTGGGGGCTAAGCATTGGGTACACGTGGACACAAAGATGGGCACAATGAACACTGGGGACTACTAGAGGGAGGAAAGAGGGTTGGCAGAAGGGCTGAAAAACTACATGTTGGGTACTATGCTCACTACCTGGGTGACAGGACCATTCATACTCCAAATCTCAGCATCACGCAGTATTCCCATGTAACAAAACCTTACACATGTACCTCCTGAATCTAAAATAAAAGTTGAAAGTATTTTTTAAAAGATATAACCTACATAAACAAGAGTTCTTTGGGGTTTTCAATTTTCAAGGATGTAAAGGCTTCTTTCATTAAAAAGTTTGGGAACTGCAGGTATAGACAATTAACTCTGGACAAATATCTTACCAGATCTAAGTCTCAGTTTCCTCCTCTGTAAATTGAAGGTAATAAAGCCCGCTCTTTTTCATACTAATACTGTGAATATTAATTGAGAAATCATTTGGGAAACGGTAAACTATCACACAAATATGTATTATGGTCATCATAGTATTAGGAGAAACAATATCTACTTTTTTAAAGACTGCATTTCAGAGTCAATGCTGTACAGCTTTGTGATTATCCATGCCATTATCCTTTTTTTTTTTTTTTTTTTTTTTTGAGACAGAGTTTCGCTCTTGTTGCCCAGGCTGGAGTGCAAGGGCACTATCTCAGCTCACTGCAACCTGCACCTCCTGGGTTCAAGCGATTCTCCTGCCTCAGCCTCCTGAATAGCTGGGATTACAGGCATGCGCCACCACAACCGCCTAATTTTGTATTTTTAGTAGAGACGAGGTTTACCCTCTTATACTAACAGTAGAACTGCCAAATGTAATTGATTCCTCTGAAGGGCACCAAGGAGCACTCTACCTCCAAGCATCACTCCTACCTTCCAAGCTGGTGACTTTAGAAAAGTAGGGATTTACTCCCAAACAGTCCTACCTCCTCTTTAATAGCCCACTGGTATCCTACCAACTTGCAAACTATTCCTTCTATAAACACTTTAACCTTAAAGCAACCTCCTTTAATTTTACAGGGTGCTCCCTTGCTCTAATATGCTGAGATTTTATATCATTAGTGTATTTTTGAGAACACACTAAAATATATCCCCCAGATGTTATTAAATCGTTTTTAATGTATAATGCTTATTTCCTTTATTTTCTAATCTGGAATCCAAACTGGTTTTTAAAGTGTATTTGAAGCCCCTTTGTTCTCTGATTTTATTTCACATGCCTGGATGGAAAACACAGTGGTGAAGCTCTACTAAAGATAAAACTGGGATTTTAGAGATTTGGAAAGATTGACTATCTATTTCATCAACATCAGCAGAAGCTCTATGTATAGGTCAAACAGGTTCTACTTAAAGACAGAAGTGCTTCCTGATGTTCATAATAAGATTTATTTCAACTATTTTAGCAATGGCTTACTCCTAATGGCCTCAAGGATGCTGACAAAAGATTGCCCCTATGTGCTCCACCTATATTTCATCAGTAAAACTGCCTCAATAATTTTAATTTACTATATTATTACTAACCATGAGGGGCCTATTTTCTTCTTCATTTTCATCATAAGTAGGGTAGAAATAGTTGCTTGACCATTCCGCAGGTTCTTCAGAGATTTCTGCAGATTGTGATGCCTCAGTCCAAACTATAAGAAAAGTGTGGAATGTGGCAGTTACTTCATGGTGCTAATTTACCACAAGGTGAGAAGTAAAACTAGCTGTAATCCTTTAAAAAGTTGAATTTAAAAAAATGGATTAACCAATCTAATGTAAGCAGCAAATTAACAGATCTCATCCTGGCCACATTAAACTATTCATGCAACCTGGGAAAAGTCATTGTCATCTTTTTCTAACTTGGTTTCCTCACCTGTCAAATGAAGGCATTAGTACTATGCTCTCTCCTTACTTCTTTGGGGGCCACAGCATAGATGACCTGAGGGAAGTGACCTTTAATTGGATAAATGGAAACTCTACAAGGCTATCATTACCTTTTTCTCCTCAACCAGTAGAGAACTCTTCCATATTAAGGATCATCATATTAAAGTGTTGAGTATCAGGCACTCTGTTAGGCATTTCTCCAAAGAAGTCTATGCTGTTGATCCTAGAGTTGTTTAGGTGATCCTCATGTATGCTTCTACAGCACTTCGTACTTCCCTGCTGTAACACTCGCCAAATTTACTTTTAATTGCTTGTTTAACTATCTTTCTATTCTCCTAGCTTCATGAGGATGGCAGCTGAGTGTATCCTAGTTAGACTATATGCCTAGCACTTTGCATAACTCCTGGAATGCAGATCATGCTATGTCAATATTTGTTGAATTAAATAAAGTATTTAAAATCACTTCAAATAAAACCATTCACAGAGGAAGAATAAATATTTCGGCTGTTAATGACTCTTCTCTATTCATTAAACCAACGGTAAGTGAAATGCGCATTCCTTGAAGCCAGTATATATGTTTTATTCATCACTATATCCTTTATAGCAGGGGTTCCCAAACTTGACCATGCATCAAAATCACAGAGAGAGCCTGTTAAAACTCAAGTGGCTGGGCCTTGTTCCCAGAGTTTCTGATCCAGAAGGTCTGAATAGAGCAAGAGAATTTGTCTTCTGTAAAAGTTTCCAGGTGATGTTGATTCTAGTGGTCCAGGGACCACACTTTGACAACCAATACTCTCTAGTGCCCATCAGAGTGTCCTGCATATGCAAGACATGAGAGCCTTATAAAAATGGGTTAACTGTATTTTGTTTATACAAAAATACCAAGTGGGTAGATTTCCAAATTAATAATACGAGGTAAAAATTTGCACACCCATGAGTCTCGTCTTAAGATGACCATGACACATACCTGTATTTGCTTCTGCCTGAACTGACGCAATTGCCTCACAGACCTCCACCACAGTGCTGGTGTGTTCCAATTCAGTTTCCTCAGTACTTATAAAAGCTCCCTGTTGCTTTCTGAAATAGTGATGTATAAAACTAAGTGAGCTTTTGTACAGTTTACAAGTAAAAAGAAATTTAAAGTGGTATTTCTTCCATTGATACCAAGTGTTAAGAACATGCTGAGAATCCATCCAAACAGCCAATACTCCCTATTTAAATCTGTGTGGCAATAGGTTATAATATACAAAAGCTTAAATCTCAGATCCAAGCCAGCAGGTTCTCTATTATGTAAGGAGAAAAACTACTCCCTTCTAGACCCAAAGTAAGGGTATTGTATACAATCCCCGTTGCTCTGTGGACTTATAACATTAATGAATTAGGTAAGTTGTTGTATATAAATGAAGATGAAACCTTCAACTGATTCATATTGTTGAGTATGTACCAGCTACTATTAAGTCAATTACTGCATAAAACCTAAAGATGTTACTCCTATAATGTACGATAAAAGATGGAGCTTTTTGAACTCTGAAAGATAAAGACTTTATCTGCAACTTTTAAATGGTTCTCCTAAATCTCCACGTGAACCACCATATGTTTCATCTGATTTTAGCTACCTCAGAAAGATGACATGCAGCGAAGGAAAAAACAGTATTTCTAATAAGTCATTCAATGATCACCACAGCAAGCAGATGCTGTGTGGTGAATCTCTGTGCCAGGCCTTCAGAATCAATGAGAGAATTCTTTCTGTATATATGCAAATGTTCAGCGAGAACTCCACCTTTTGGAATTTCTAGAGGCTTCCTTAATGACTCCTGGTTGTGTCCAGGCTCAGTTCCCTCCCAGGATCCATACCTTCTCTCTATGTAGAGAGAGGCCAAATCACCAGCAAGAGGTCCCCATCAAGGGACTGTAAAACTGTGAGCCAGTCCTTCATTTGCTCTATTCCCATATTCTTACAACCCTCTTTTTCCAGTCAGATCAAAGGTGACCAAAAATACTTTGAAAAAAAAAGCTTATGAGCACAGCCTCCTTTCCTGTCAGCCTACATGTAATTCTTCCAATGATATATTAAAAATAAAGCATTTTCAATCATGTTTAGAAATCAACCCAAGGGATAACTATTAAGAACTATCAGCCTCCAGTATAAGGCTGGACCTCAGAAAATGATGTTTATGGAATTTGATGAGTTATTGCTAAATTGGTGGATGGTTCTTGTCAGAGATACTTTAATTACATTGCTTCATGTTACATACAGAAAACAAAAGATTGCAGGAGTGGTATTTCTTAAAGAATAATCACTTACTCATCATTCTGCTGAAGAGAAATCTGAAACTTATCCCGTTCTGTTAATTGATCCTGTTGCTTTCTTTTTTTAACTGAGAAATAAAACAAAGCATATTATCATTCAGAAGTCACACTTCTTACTTCCTTGAAGGCCAATGACTTTCTCTCTCTCACACACACACACACACACACACACGCATCCTTGCCATTAGACTTAAGCTTCACAGACTTGAAATAATCAGAGGGAAGGCCAGTCTCAAGTTTGAATTTGGAAAGGTCTGGACCATATAATATTTTATTCAAGAAGTTCAAGTTTAGAAGTAGAACTGGCTCCCATTCCATCATTATAGAGCAATGATTACTCGAGATATTAAGCAGAGTCACCTCATGGAAAGGACTGGGGATTACCACAATCAGTTCACTGTGTTGCTTCTCAACTGCTTCTTAAGCACAAGGGTTCATTTTCTAGTGTAAAGTTCATTCTTCAAAATAGTTTAAACAATCCTCTGAATCTCAATCTCCTACTAATTAAATTAACAAATCTTCTCATTGTAATAGTATAAAGTAAATATCAGCCCCATTCTCTGGAAAAATAATTTAAAAATCTGAGTCAATAAGCTGTTACTATACTTCTTGTTCTGAAGAATGCAGGCTTGAATTTACCTGTCAAAAGTTCCTGCTGCTTCAACAAAATATTTCTTATTTCTTTTAGCCACGTCATCTTCACATCTACATTAGAAGCCTAAAGATTAAAAAAAAAGCGGGAGGGAGGTGGTACACATTTCCTTTTAAAAAGGATGTACTATAATAAAACAAATGTAATTGTGTACATAAAATATGATCTACTCCCTATAACACCATACTCAAATCTTAACCGTTTGATTGTTAAAATTTTTATGAAGCAAATAATTTGCTATCAGATTAGATGAAATAATACAGTCAGAACCATTTTTGCTGTAATCCCAGGACTTTGGGAGGCCAAGGTGGGCAGATCTCTTGAGCCCAGGAGTTTGAGACCAGCCTGGGGAACATAGGGAAACCCCATCTCTACTACTACTACTACTACTAATAATAATAATAATAATTAGCCAGGTGTGGTGGCATGTGCCTGTAGTCCCAGCTACTTGAGAGGGTGAGGTGGGAGAATCGCTTGAGCCTGGGAGGCAGAGGTTGAAGTGAGCCGAGATCACACCACTGCACTCCAGCCTGAGCAACAGGGTGAGACGCTGTCTCAAAAAAAAAAAATCCATTTTGAAATTGCCCTTAAATAATGGTAAAATAATGCTTGGATGAAACTGTGAAATATAATTTCACTTATTTTGTCTTTACAGGAGGATTCTTTTTAAAATATAACATTTTGATGTTTAATTTTAGTAAAATAAAACAAGCTCTACTATTTCTGAAAAGGCCATCTATTGCAGAATAACCTTGGTGACTGATGGTAACATGAAATCCTCCTTAAATATCCTCCCATCACTTACAAGATGTTTGTTAAATGATACCAAATATTATATCTTAAGCAAGCCAAGAAAACATATTTTTATAGATTGCAGTCACCTAGTAAAGAATTACAACAAACAAAAAACACTGAGCATTTTTAACAGATAACAGCACATTGACAACTCCAGATACAAATATTTATTGCAATGACAACATCCTCTTGAAATGTTCTGATTCCTCTTCCCTTCCCTGAAACATGTTGGACCCTATACAACTGGCCAGGGCTTTAACCATGTTCTTTAGAAGCAGAAAGCAAGTCTGAACTGTCACATCCCCATGTCTCATAATCAGGTACCCCTAGAATGCTTAGCATAAGAGGAACTCAGAACTATTATAATTCCATAACTTGGAAATTTGATGGGGACAGAGAAGTACCTGCCAAGCTGTCAGCTCTAGTTGATAAGTCTCTTATGTAGTTGTGAAAACTTGAAGCCCTAGAGAACACCACAGGCATATCTCAATGTAACTACTAGAAAACATTTAAATACATCACAAAGAATATTCAAATAATATTTAACTGACCTACATGAAAGGGGTGGAAATTTTGAAATGCGACCAAAATTATTTTTGTTTATAAATTCGGGCTTTTGTATTTCAATGCAGGTTTGGGTTTCTAGAAGAATTTTCAAATGACCAACCTGGACAATATAAACTTCTTCCTTTTCACCATACCAGATTTCAAACTTGCGGTTATCACCTTTTACATATTCAGTGATTCCAACTTCATCCATCTATAATAAATAAGTCAAAATTTTCATGAGCATTTTATTTTGAATATGAAATTACATTAAATCTACCCTATCATATTCTAAGTGAAACAGAATTTCTCTTGGGCAGAAAAATACATGTTATATTAAATGAATATGAAATAGTAATTACAATCATAGACGAGAGTATTTAAATGTTTTCATTGAACTATGCACTTTATAGTTCAGATTGCACGCTTCATTTCAGTGGTTGACACAAATGTTATAAATCTGAACATCCAAGTAGCCCATCTAAGATCTAATTATGTTATAAATTAATAGTACACTATTAAAACAAATTATTGAGTCAAACACAGAAGTCATTAAACATCAATAAAGAAAAGCCACTGAAAATTAATTTAAATAGTTATTTAGAATAATCATTTGACAGACCACTTAATCCTACAAATTATAATTTATTTTGATAGAAGTCCTACAAGTTATAAACATCTAATTCATGGGACAGGAGAGAACCAGCCAGGTACACAAGGATCTCTCTATTTTCCACCAATCCCTTGGCCTTTCTAAAAAAAAAATAATAATAATAATATGTAATGGGACATTGTTGTCTTTTTGTACCCAGTGAAACTTCTGTACACAATATCTCTTCCTTATTCCTTACCACAATTTTTTCTTTTCCTCAGCGTGATTGTGCAAGTCATAAACTCTTCCATTTTCTTTCATCATTTTCTGCTAACAGCTTGGCTAATTGCATTTTGGGCAATCTCACTCCTTTGCACAAACATTCTTTTAGTTCCTTTCTGCCTTCCTCTTTTCTTTCAATTCTTAACCTAATTATCTAAAGGAGTATCTCACTCTCTGTTCTAGTTATGAGCCCCCCAAATGGCCCTTATTAGAGCTAATAAGCATTAAAGATAGTGCTAGGGAGATCGCCATACCAAGGAGAAGAAAAGCACTTATGCTTAGAAATGTAATTTAACATAACATATTAATGAAAGAACCTGTAACATCCACCCTGAACGTAGTAAGAAGTTATTTTCACAATGTCCCAAACTATCTTTATATTCTCACTCCATCATTCCAACTAACCTACTTCTGCTCAAATATCACAATTTAAGATGAATAGTAATCTCATATTCAATATTTTTAAAAATTAATTTTGTTTCATTACATGGTTTTGTCTTAATAACATGATAAGCTGGAAGGCCCACAGGCTTTGAAGTTAGAGAGGTCTGGATTGGAATACATCTCTACCATTCACTAGCTATGTGTCTTGGTGCAAGTTGCTTAACTTTTCTAAACTTCAGTTTCCTCAACTATAAAATAGAAAGAACACCTATTTCATAGGGTTGATATAAGGACTAAATAGCATGGAGTAAATGCTTAGATCCTATAATGAGCTTTCTAAAGTGTGAGTTTGCTTTCTACTCTTTCCCCTATTTAAGTTGCAATTGTTTTGTTATTTTTTTATTGCAAACATATAGTACATCATTATCAATTAAGTGAACTTTTCTAAGTTGCCCTGGAAATCTAACCATTATGTGTTGCACATAGTAAGGACTATGTGCAATTTGTAAAATTTTTAAAAATCGATGATAATAAACACATGAACTAAGGAATCTGAAGGACTCGAATCTCCCCATCTGGTCAACTTTGACTTTAGATAGGGCCTTTCCTTGCATATAAGCAGCCAACTTAAAATATAACATATAAATAATTAGAAAGTACATGGTCAGGCCATGGGATCCCAGCTTTGTATGGTGCAGTCAAAACAAGAGTTCATTTAAAGTGAGAGACATAGACAAAGGCAACAACAGACACTGGGGACTACCAGAGGAGGGACGGAGGGAGAGGGACAAGGGTTGGAAAACTAACTCTTGGGGACAATGCTCAGTACCTGGGTGATGGGATATTTGTGCCCCAAACCTAAACATCATGCAATACAGCCAGGTAACAAACCTGCAGATGTACCCCCTGAATCTAAAATAAAAGTTAAAAAAAAAAGTGAGAGAGAAGGTTCAGCAGTGGAATATCTGCAATGATCCTCTCTACCAAGGGTAAGACTGTGAAACTAATAACCCAGATTCTTAAATAACACATTGACTAGGAATGCTAGCAATTGCTTAATGCTGGAATCTCATGATAAGCAGGCAAGCAGAAGTGAGCGTAGTGAACCCTAAGAAATATCCTAATTTTTAGTGGTATCACCATTTTCCAAGTAATCCTGGTCTAAAGCCTTGTAGGCATCACTGGCTAATATTGTTTATTAAGGATACTTGGCATTACTGGGGAACCAAAGAAGAATCAGAAAGATTTTCTTCCTTCAATGTCAGGTATTATTTAATTTTTGTAGCTAGTAAGTCATCAAGCCCATCTGTCTACCTTCTATTGAAATGTTTCTTGAATCTATCCCACCTTCTCTGTTTCCATGGTACCTATTGCAGTTTCAGTTTTCATGACTTAATCACCTAATATCCCCCTTACTTTAATGTACTCAAGAAACATTTTGTTGGCATGTCCATCATTGTAACAAATTAAAGGTAAAATAGAAAATTAATATGAAATAGAAATACTATATTAGGTAGAAATTAGGTCACCTCATGATAAAATGTACATCAAATGCATTTGGGTCAAATATGCCTATGAAGGTAAAGTACCTTCCCAAGGAATAGGTATACAGACAGCAAGAGATTTGAACCCTCTCTGACATGGATTACAAATTTATGGTTCTCAATCTATGTTTATTAATTACTTAGAAGGCCCTTTGAGATTTGGGGGCTTAGAGGTGGACTGCTAAAATCAAAGGAGCAACTGGCCCTTTGTGACGAAACCAAGAGTTTTAAAGAAGCTGCTGTGGGTTCAGAGTGAAGCAGGGAAAATACACAATAGGAAGAACTACTTCTTTTTGACCCGACCCTGGGCAGGAACCTTGTTGGGAACAACTAGGGGCTGCTGATCCTATGGGAAGAATCAAAAGCAAGGCCTGCTTACAGGTAGTCTCCTAATACAAATACCTCATGCCTGTCTCAAAACATATTGCCTGTCCTCTTTATAACTGCTACTGAAAATTTCATCAATTGTCAAATATACTGGTGATGAGAACTATGAAAGAACATGCTCATGAAAAGTAACTAACATGATAGTGGTTGGGGAATTAAGGACAATCGTTTTCTCTATTTTTGAAATTTTTTGTGACAAATGTTATATTGGTTTTAGAATTTAAAATTCAAGGAATTTATCCATTTCTTCTAGATTTTCTAGTTTATTTGCATAGAGGTGTTTATAGTATTCTCTGATGGTAGTTTGTATTTCTGTGGGATTGGTAGTGATATCCCCTTTATCATTTTTTATTGCGTCTATTTGATTCTTCTCTCTTTTCTTCTTTATTAGTCTTGCTAGCAGTTTATCAATTTTGTTGATCCTTTCAAAAAACCAGCTCCTGAATCTCTGAATAGACCAATAACAGGCTCTGAAATTGGGGCAATAATCAATAGCTTACCAACCAAAAAGAGCCCAGGACCAGATGGATTCACAGCCGAATTCTACCAGAGGTACAAGGAGGAACTGGTACCATTCCTTCTGAAACTATTCCAATCAATAGAAAAAGAAGGAATCCTCCCTAACTCATTTTATGAGGCCAGCATCATCCTGATACCAAAGCCGGGCAGAGACACAACCAAAAAAGAGAATTTTAGACCAATATCCTTGATGAACATTGATGCAAAAATCTTCAATAAAATACTGGCAAACCGAATCCAGCAGCACATCAAAAAGCTTATCCACCATGATCAAGCGGGCTTCATCCCTGGGATGCAAGGCTGGTTCAATATACGCAAATCGATAAATGTAATCCAGCATATAAACAGAACCAAACACAAAAACCACATGATTATCTCAATAGAAATATTATATCTAGAAAACCCCATTGTCTCAGCCCAAAATCTCCTTAAGCTGATAAGCAACTTCAGCAAAGTCTCAGGATACAAAATCAATGTACAAAAATCACAAGCATTCTTATACACCAATAACAGACAAACAGAGAGCCAAATCATGAATGAACTCCCATTCACAATTGCTACAAAGAGAATAAAATACCTAGGAATCCAACTTACAAGGGACATGAAGGACCTCTTCAAGGAGAACTACAAACCACTGCTCAATGAAATAAAAGAGGATATAAAGAAATGGAAGAACATTCCATGCTCATGGGTAGGAAGAATCAATATCGTGAAAATGGCCATACTGCCCAAGGTAATTTATAGATTCAATGCCATCCCCATCAAGCTACCAATGACTTTCTTCACAGAATTGGAAAAAACTACTTTAAAGTTCATATGGAACCAAAAAAGAGCCCGCACCGCCAAGTCAATCCTAAGCCAAAAGAACAAAGCTGGAGGCATCACGCTACCTGACTTCAAACTATACTACAAGGCTACACTAACCAAAACAGCATGGTACTGGTGCCAAAACAGAGATATAGATCAATGGAACAGAACAGAGCACTCAGAAATAATGCCGCATATCTACAACTATCTGATCTTTGACAAACCTGACAAAAACAAGCAATGGGGAAAGGATTCCCTATTTAATAAATGGTGCTGGGAAAACTGGCTAGCCATATGTAGAAAGCTGAAACTGGATCCCTTCCTTACACCTTATACAAAAATTAATTCAAGATGGATTGAAGACTTAAATGTTAGACCTAAAACTATAAAAATCCTAGAAGAAAACCTAGGCATTACCATTCAGGACATAGGCATGGGCAAGGACTTCATGTCTAAAACACCAAAAGCAATGGCAACAAAAGCCAAAATTGACAAATGGGATCTAATTAAACTAAAGAGCTTCTGCACAGCAAAAGAAACTACCATCAGAGTGAACAGGCAACCTACAGAATGGGAGAAAATTTTCGCAACCTACTCACCTGACAAAGGGCTAATATCCAGAATCTACAATGAATTCAAACAAATTTACAAGAAAAAAACAAATAACCCCATCAAAAAGTGGGCGAAGGACATGAACAGACACTTCTCAAAAGAAGACATTTATGCAGCCAAAAAACACATGACAAAATGCTCACCATCACTGGCCATCAGAGAAATGCAAATCAAAACCACAATGAGATATCATCTCACACCAGTTAGAATGGCAATCATTAAAAAGTCAGGAAACAACAGGTGCTGGAGAGGATGTGGAGAAATAGGAACACTTTTACACTGTTAGTGGGACTGTAAACTAGTTCAACCATTGTGGAAGTCAGTGTGGCGATTCCTCAGGGATCTAGAACTAGAAATACCATTTGACCCAGCCATCCCATTACTGGGTATATACCCAAAGGACTATAAATCATGCTGCTATAAAGACACATGCACACATGTATTTATTGCAGCACTATTCACAATAGCAAAGACTTGGAATCAACCCAAATGTCCAACAATGATAGACTGGATTAAGAAAATGTGGCACATATACACCATGGAATACTATGCAGCCATAAAATATGATGAGTTCATGTCCTTTGTAGGGACATGGATGAAATTGGAAATCATCATTCTCAGTAAACTATCGCAAGAACAAAAAACCAAACACCACATCTTCTCACTCATAGGTGGGAATTGAACAATGAGAACACATGGACACAGGAAGGGGAACATCACACTCCGGGGACTGTTGTGGGGTGGGGGGAGGGGGGAGGGATAGCTTTAGGAGATATACCTAATGCTAAATGATGAGTTAATGGGTGCAGCACACCAGCGTGGCACATGTATACATATGTAACTAACCTGCACATTGTGCACATGTACCCTAAAACTTAAAGTATAATAATAATAAAATAAAAAAATAAAAAATAAAAAAAAATTTAAAATTCAAAAGATGAAATGCATTAGATGTAAAAAAATTCAAATTTGTCAATTATGGGTCTCATGTGAATTGGAAGTTCTTCTTCTCTATTGGAGAAACCAGCTGTAAGTATCATTGGGTTGTCAATAACTTCCCCAAACAATACTGTTCTCTTTTTAATAACAAACTAATATTAGGACAAAATGGGGATTTTGTTTATAGGAGAGAATAAAGTAATTTTGAAAGACGGAACAGGACAGATAAGGAAAGGATTCAGCTATAGGTGGCTTTGAACACCCAGGTAGGGTGGAGCTAGGGAGTGGAGGAGGAACACAGAAAGGAAGGTGGGGACATGCTAAACACAAAAGTTACCCATTTTTAAATTGCATTGAGGAAAAGGAGGAAACTCTTTCCTCCCTGTCTCTCCTGTAGCATAAGGCTCCTTTCTAACAAGACCAAGAACTCCACCCAGTGTCACTCGAAAGAGAGTGCTTATGAGGAGGCTGGGACACTCCTTATCATTTCAAACTGTGCTCTTCAGGACGCTAGGGAGCCCCCTTGGGGAATACCTAGGATCGTAGTGAGAAGAAAGGGAGGAATCAAAGCTCTGAATTACCTCACCTTCACTTCAAGCAGAGAAGTTATGATTCATCTGACTTCTACATAAGACTTAAGATTTTTTAAAAAAAACAAAGATGTGCAGCGAAAGTATAAAACCTACTCATTTGAAACAAAAAAAATGTACAAACTGGGAGACACACACACACGAAACAATACTACATTACCCGATACAAATTGTCTTACTTTCCAACAGTGTTTAAAACTGTATGACGGGTATCTGTCAGAGCCTTCTCCACTTTCAACACGCCTTTTGCAAAAAACAATGGCTTTTTCATACAAGAAAAGGTGTCGCTGCATTGGTTTGAATCTAGCCAAATCCTTCATTTTTGTAGCACCTTTCTTGTGCCCTATCCAAACGCTGAATCCACCTTGCATTATCATCTTGCCCAGTTCATTTAAGTTTCCCTAGAATGGAAAATCAAAACCCATTAGTAGAAAGCAAAGCTACATTCAGCTCTCTGACACCAACATGTTAGGGTTCAGCTTAAGCTACTCAAACCCTGAAGAATAATTTATGTTTTTTTAAAAACTTAACTTTGTATGTTAAAACATGGCATGCACCACATAAGTACAAAATTACTGTGGGGGTGGGGGACAAAAGAAACTTCCTTTTCTCTGGCTTCATATCATCTGGAGGTATTTCAGCTAGGGTAAGTCTCCCCATCTCTTCTTCAATCCTGATTGGTGCATGATATATACCAGTTCAAGTTTTCCCACTGGGTGGAGCTAACCTGTTAAAAGGCTACACAAGTGCTAAAGATTTGATTCTTTTCTTTCCTATCTATTCCTATCTACAGGGGCAAGCAGCAATTATGGAGCAATACGTTTTCTTAGCTGACTCAAACATTCCTTAAGCAGGATCTCCCAGGTCTGGGATTGGGGGAAGACTGTTGGGGACAAGGGGGATCTCATAAATCCATTTGGCTGCTGATCTGAAGCCAATTCTCCACTTAGCATTATCAGTAGTAACATCAACATTTTGATCTCCAGTTATCTGATTCTTATACGTTATTTCTCAATTGGTTCCAGGAGGGGAAAAGGGATGTTGAGATGCCGACCCTCTAAAATTCCAACAATTATTAAAATGTGCTTACAATATAGCCATTTATTGCAATCTGATGCATAGAATCATTAACTGACTTCAGTAAATCCAGCATTGCATCGAGTGCCTTCTTCAACAGAGCAGATCCTTCACAGTCTTTGCTATATTTTAATAGCTCCTGTAATTAGAAATCAGGAATTAATATTAGGCAGATATTAATATCTGGTTGAAATGAATAAGTTTTTGGCTAACATGCTTTCAAGCTGGAATCCAAATATAATGTCACATTTTGGAGTAATTCCTTTTACATGCCCTTTGCTGCAGTAATATTTTTAATGGCTGTCAAAATAGAGGAAGTAGAATAGTGACTGAATAGTATAAAACAAAGGACATTTAATGCTTCTGGAGTTGAAGTATAATAGCTATTAAGACACATCAGAGATCAATTTTTAAAGCCATTACATGTAGGGTTCTTTTGTCCTCTACATACAGTAATTTGTTTTAGCCATGATGCACTCATAATGCATATAGCATAGAATATTATGAAAATTCACTTTAAAACAAGCCATATTGTATTTATACTTAACACAAGATTCTAGCAATCCTTTCGCATTATACTAGGGGAGTGCCATTCGCATTTTTCATTAGGAAGGCCCCTATGAAATGCAGCCTCAAAACTATAAGAAATATTTGCTTTGTTTAGTTCTTCTTACTAATATTTAAAGTTCTTCAGTAAAACATTGTGCGGAAATCAACACAACTTGTATGAAAAATTAAATAGCTAAGATCCCAGATATTCTCAGCCTGATATCTATGCCTATGGCATTTGTAGCCACAGTGAATTGATGGAGCACACTGCAAAATTCTGCCAAATCCAGCCTTCCCAGTCATTGAGCCTACCTATTTCTAGTGCTTCCTAGTAAACTATTTCCTTTTTAATGGCTCTGTCATATCTGACTCAAAAAGTAAAGAAACAAACAAATGCTTCATATAATTACCTTCAACAATAACTGATATTTAGTGATTCGTTGCACTGGTTTGAGTAAATAGGAATCCAGTCTAAGTCTGTGTTTTAACTTTCTTTGACATTCCTGTCATTAAAAGATAAATATCAATAAAATTAAATTAAGACATGTACCTGTGAAAATGCCAAGTGTTCATTGATTAAACCTAATGCCCCAATGTTTCTTACATCTCAAAGAATATTTATTGGAAAAATCACTGTTATAGTACAGAAATTATAAGACACAATATATCTGAAAAACTACCATAAACACTATTTCAAGGATTGGAGAGGTAAACAATTTCAACATTTCAAAGATTTAAAAGTTTTCAAATATAAATTCATATTGATGTGGAATGCTTAAAAGGTGTGAAAGCAGGGAATGACTATAGATTAACATGATTAAAACGTTCTTTAATATATTCAAGAAAATTCACGAAAGACCAAGCTCTACAAGCCAAGGCTCAGAAAAGAAATTGGTTGTGCTGAATATAAATCAGACTGGATATGAGAACAAAATTTTTAATATAACAAGAAAAAGCCATCATCAACTGGTGCTATACTTCAGTAATTGGCCCATTGCCACTATAAATATAAGGGTCATGATGTTGGGTTCCGGGAACATTGTAGGGGCCCATAGTTAGGGCAAGATGCAGATATTTAGGATGAAATGTGCATAGAGAAAGTATAGAACACAAAGGGATTGGGGAAAAATACGCCTGAATAAGAACCATGGCTCTCCTCTGAATATGGGTAAAATCCAACATACAATCTAATTCAAATGAGACTTAAAGATGGGGGACTGCTATTAGGTTGGTGCAAAAGTGATTGTGGTTTTTGCCATTACTTTCAGTGGCAAAAACCACAGTAACTTTTGCACCAACTTGATACATGCGTTTAGATCTCCTCACTCATGACAACCAACTAAAATGATGGAAAAGTTATTTTACTAGGCAAAATCACAAAGTTATGAAGAAGATAAGCAAGGGGAAAACTTCCGCAAAATTTGGAAACTGGAAACCAAACTTAGAAGTGGTCAACAACCAAGCACACTGGAGAAAAGTGGATTTCAAGTTGGTGGAGGAAAAAGCCAAGGAACAACTCAATTTATGTTATAAACATCTCTTCCCTGCCCTCCACAAAGTCTCAGGGATTATAGACACCAAGTACCTCTGAAAGTGGGAGGTAAAGGTGCGGTTCAAGAAAGGATGCTTGTTGAAAGTCTTTTTAAGAAGTAATTAGATAATAACAAGTGTTGGTGAGGATATGGAGCAATTAATACCCTCATACACTGCTGTTGGAAATGCAAAACGGTGCAGTAACTTTGGAAAAGAGTCCAGCAGTTTCTCAAAAAGTTAAATGTAGAGTTACTATATGATCCAGCACTTTCACTCCCAGGTGTATAGCCAAGAGGAATGAAAATATATGTCTACAGAAAAACTTATGCAAAAGCATTCTCAGCAGCATTGTTCATAATAATCAAAAGGTAGAAACAAGCCAAATGTGCATCAATCAATGAATGGATAAATAAAATGCTATACATCCATATAATGGAATATTATTCAACCATAAATAGGAATAAAAAACTAATACATGCTACAACATGGACGAACCACTAAACTATTATGCTAAATGAAAGAAAGAAGTCAAACACAAAAGACCACATATTGTATGATTCCATTTATATGAAATGTCCAGAATAGGCAAATCTATTGAAGACAGGATGCAGATTAGTGATTGCCTAGGGCTGCTTAGATTGGGGAAAAAAGGGAGGGTAAGACTGGTTTCTTTTTAGTGATAAAAACATGGTTGTACAACCTTGTGAATCTAGTAAAACCACTGAATTGTATACTTTAAAAGGGCGAACTGATGGCATTTTAGTTATAGCTCAATAAAGCTGTTACAAGAAGAAAATAAATGGCATGAAAATCTAAACAAAAGCAATAAGGCTCTCAGATAACCACACCACTTTGCACAGCTGGGTGCCTTCTCTTCCCTTCCTTTGGCAGAAAAATGGATGTTTATCTAGAAAGAGTAAAACACAGGCCCTATGGACCAAAGGATACAAGGTTCAACTTAGGGCAGAGTACCATATTGAAAAATATTCAAGTACTCTCCATGTTATATCTCAAACAAGTGACCCTCAGCCTTTTCTCCCAACTCTGCTACCACAACACTAGCATCCAGATCATTATACACAAGGTAGCAGTTCAAGGAATCTGACCAGCCTAATAGAAATGCTCTAAAGATACAGGTATTTGGGAATCCCTTCAAGCAAATAGCTTGAGACAAATAACTCAACAATGAGGATCATGGTCAATAAACCCACATATGCCCTGGAAACTTCCAATGAGCTTTTTAGTGTTTACTCCTAATGTAAGTGGACAGACAAGTATCACCAGACATTTGAGGAGAGCATCAAACATGGGTAATAGGAACCAAACAAAGAGAAATAGAAGAAAAAAAGCAAAGTGAAGACAACAGAAGATGTGCAGGGAGAAGAAAGCCATTTTTAAAAGAAAAATCTATTATCATCTTTGTATAGATGAATGAAGATACTGAATTCATAAAATGAAAATAGAATTCTATTAAAAGAAACATTGAAAAAACAGTAAAAGGATGAGGGCTCTTCAAAATTAAAAACACAATGGCAGAAATGGAAACCTCAATGGAAGAACTAGAAAGTAGAGTAATAAGACAAAGAATGGAAAATAGAAAAGATAAGATAATTAGAGGACCAGTCCAGGATATCCAATATCCGTACAACAGAAATTCCAAAAAGAGAAAATGGAGACAATTGGGTGGAGGAAATCAAAGAAAACCTCCAAGTAAATTTGTACAGGAGGTTCCAAATTCAAAGTTATCACCCTAATACTAGCATAATGGATAAAAATAGTGCCAACATTTGAACACTGAAAATAAGTTTTCATAAGCTTTCAGAGGACAGAAACTAAGTCACCTACAAAGGAACAACAATTAAAATGGCATCAGATTTCTGAATAGCAACACTGGAAGCTAGAAGACAATCAAGCAATACCTTCAAAATTCTGAGTATAATTATTTCTTACCTAGAATTCTATACACAGCCAAACTAGCAATGAAGTCTTAGGGTAGAATAAAGATATTTGCAGACACATACACTCTCAAAAACTTTTATGTACTGTGTACACTTTCTTGGGAAAACTACTGGAGGATGTGTTCCACCAAACAAGGGAGGTAAACAAGAAAAATAAAGACATGGCACCTAGGAATGAGGAGAGCCTATGCAATAGACAGGTGAGGAGAATTCCAAAAATTATGTTCACCAAGATCCCCAGATGACAGCTGCGCAACAAGCCTAGTGAGTCTAGACAAGCAAGACAGAAAACCCCAGGAGATATTTCTTTAAGAATATGAAATTCAGAGAAAATAGAATGTGTTTAAATGTAATAAGAAGAGATTTTTGTAACTCCCACATCTGGGAGAGGTTGGGGTAGAATAACGATAAGTATCTAGAAAACTGAGTAAAAAAACCACTGCAAGACAAACAGAAGGGTAGGAAAAGCAACCCTATTATACCACATGATTCATCTGAGCAAAGAAATTACGTAGTCTTAATTTAATACTGTATATCAATCTAACCAAAATTACGATATGACTATAGTGGAGATTTTGAAAGAAAAGAAGTATATTTGTATATGTGGTAGTTGGGTGGGTGGAGGGGCGTGAAAGAGAGCTAAATCTTCATCTTCCATAGTATAAAGGATAAAGATAAGCATGTCATTTGGAGCTATGGAGGTAAATACCAAAGGATGTAGCTAAAAGTGCTGAAAGTGTTTGCCTCTGGGAAGTTACAAATGTGTTTGTGTGTGTTGGGGGGGAGGGTGGATTTGCTCTTTAACTCATATACGTATATGCACATGTAACGTACTTAAAGTAGAAAATGAATTTATAATTAAGAAATACCGCAATATCTTCCAGAAAGAATATATCCAATACTTGAATAATTACTGTACCTGGAAAAATGCGCATTCTGAATACTTCCTCCAAATTGTTTCTGATCTGGGCTTATTCTGACAATATTTTGCATACATCTGAAAATCATCCTTCTGTGATAAAAAACAAATTCAAATGTATTACTAATTTGTGAATATGACTTTTGCCATCAAGAAAGGCTAAACAAGAGTGTAACCAAGCATCCTAGGAAATGTGGCCTAAAGGGCCTACTGTACTAGCAGCTGGTCAAAAGCCTTTTTTATATTCCAAGAACAGCATGCCCATTGCATCTGGTGGGAGGACACATAATTATCTAAGTAATATCAGAGCTTCCACTTGCCAAGCTTGAGGCTTAGATGGAGGCTTCTCTGTCTGAACTATAAAAACCTACTTTTTGCATAACGATGAACTAATAGGCTGCCAAGAAATATATTCTGTTATTAGTCTCTTGATTCCCTAGTGAATGAACTTGTAGCTGACTTCCAAGTTAGAGCCTACAGTCCTAGGTTCATCACTGGGACTTTATCACTGTAGCATAATCCATTTAGGCACTTATGCAATTCTCTTTCCCTGGAATCCTCTTTCTCTGACCCTCATGAATGGGCTACCTCCTACTCATTATTTAACATTTATCTCATGAGTTATCTCTTCTATACAACCATTGTTTATACCCCCATTCTATGCAAGACGCCCCTCTTCTGGATTTTCCCAGGACCATTTGTATATTTCAAATCTAATGCAACTCATCTTCTACACAATTAATAATTTCCCTGTTTTTATATCTAAATAGATTTGGGCTTGGTATCCACATTATCTGGCACAATGCTTGGTGCATAGTAGGTGACCAGTAAATGGTTGTTGAATAAATAAACAATTCATCAATAAACATTTATTAAACCACAACTGGTTGCTAAGAACGCTGCTAACCCAATGAGAGATACAACAATATATAGGATATGGACTCTCGTTCTAAGGGCTGTCCATTAAGTTTGGGAGAAAATTCACGTATATATGTAAAGGTGCACAAGCACAGTAAATATAAAATCTCCCATGAGTAGGATAGACATTACATACTATGGAGTCTAAAGGAAGGATAAACTGCTATTGCTTGATGAGGTTGGGAAAGAATTTGGTCATAATTTAAATATGCTTAAAGTTAGAACATCTTAGCCGGACACGGTGGCTCACGCCTGTAATCCCAACACTTTGGGAGGCTGAGGTGGGCAGATCACGAGGTCAGGAGATCGAGACCATCCTCGCTAACACGGTGAAACCCCGTCTCTACTAAAAATACAAAAAATTAGCTGGGCGTGGTGGTGGGCACCTGTAGTCCCAGCTACTCGGGAGGCTGAGGCAGGAGAATGGTGTGAACCCGGGACGTGGAGGTTGCAGTGAGCCGAGATCACACCACTGAACTCCAGCCTGGGTGACAGAGTGAGACTGTCTCAAAAATAAAAATAAAAAAATAAAATAAATAAAGTTAGAACACGTTGAGCAAGGTTGACACACAGTTCTTTCTTATCCTTATTCTCTTCTCATTTCATAAACACTTTCTGGGATAAGACATCTATTTTGAAGCTTTCAACAATCACCTCTATTGAATTAACTCTTAAATCAAGACAAAACTGATCTTTCAGGAAGAAGAGAAACTGCATAAGCAGAGAAGCATACACAAAAAATATTCTAAAAGAAAACTAATGGAGGAGAGTATGATCACTAACCTGGGAAGTCAATTGTATTAACCATACTTGGGACACAGAGGAATGGGCCTCCCTAAATGCTTTTGTTGAATGAAAAGAACTGACAGCTCTCTGTTTCTGTGAAGTTCCTGTGATAGATGCCTTGATGGCTGAAAGTCAGACTAGATCCAATTCTAAAACTTTACATGTATTTTAATAAGACAAATAATATAAATAATAAGGTGTTTTTTAGGCAAAAAAAAAAAAATTAACCAAGCCCCAGATGGTTTTGTTATCATGATCCCAACTCTTACATCTTCATAGTCAGGATGGTCCCTGGATTACTAGGATTACCCAGGAGTCAGTGTTCAAGAGCTGAGCCACTGAAGCATTTGATACCACAGAATGGAAGGGGTATTTTTATGCTCTGGATATCCCAGTGCATCCATTTCTGCAGCAAAACTTGGTTTGGTATTAAATACTTGCTGGAGTAATGTGTCCTCTCCAAAAACATAAAGACATAAAGTACCTATCTTGTCTCCAAATCTGTTCTTATAAGTGAGTTGCTATTTTGGTGGTGCATATTTATATATATTTAAAAAATAATTTAACTAACCCTTTCCAGGAAACAAGGTCCCACTCTTTCTGGAGCATGAGCACAATTTTCCAGGCTGCTCAAGAAAATGCTGTGAAAATTTCAGAGAAAAAAAATTGCATGATTTTATGTGAAATATAATAAACTGGTAAAGAGAGCACTTTAAATAGTTTTATAAAAAATAAATATTCAATTCAGCAATTACATACTCGTTATGGAATTCATATATTTCTGCCATGTTTCCAAAGAGAATGTCCTTTTTATTTCTCAGGAGAGGTGGCATAAGATCAAACATCTCTGGATTATCCATCTCCGCTCTATAACCCTACCCAAAATAAATACATTCATGCATTTTAAAATAATTACATGCACATTTGGTTGGGCTACTAATGGTGTAGGTACAGCAGAATATTAAGGGATTTGATGGTGAAGTTTTTTGAATTTTATTTCAATTTTAATTCAATTCAAATCTCCTACTTCCCAAAGTTATCCATGACTTTTTTTTTTTTTTTTTTAGAAGGCAGGGCAAGGAAAGGAAGTCAAGTTTTCCAATCAAATAGGCAGAATAAAGTAATAGCTCTTTGGCCTTCAGAGTAGCTTGTAGTGTAGGAAACAAGATAGAAACCAAGATAAAAACATAGACTACAGGTCATCAGCTTCTCCTTAAATTGGCAATACGTGCTTAGGTTTTTTCAGACCAAATTAATATCATGACATTTTTGTCAAAAGAATATTTTATCCCATTCTCAGTTTTTTACATCACGATCTCTAAATAGCACCCTGGGAATAATTGTAACAATCGGCTGTATCCCTAAGAGAACATTTTCTCTTCTGTAATAAATTCTGAATCAATCATTCCCATTACTGAGGGAGAGCCTGAATGTGCACGTTTAACCGACATGCTGCATCAAACAATAAAAGAAATGCCCACTGCTGCCATATGACAACCAAGGAAGGAGACGGAAGTAGAAGATTGCCCCTAAACACTTTCTAATGAATGTAGCAAGGGATCATTCGGGAAAAGATAGGGCAAATACAATTTGAGTCGCTTACCAACAAAACAGTATACAGTTCTCGAACATAAACTCTCTCAGTCTGTATCAGTTCATTTAGTACGTGGCTAAAATGAAAAGACCATATTTATCAGTTATTTTATTACTGAGATCTATATTGCAATGTTTCAAGTATTATCATCATGAGAAGGTAAAAATAGCTAATGCATAGGAATTATCAATGGTTTTCGTTTTAGCATCAAAATATGAAACTACTTTTATGGTTTCTAGAATAAAAACTATATATATATATAGTCTTATGGGTGGTTTTTATACATTGTATTTATATTCATTATATATATAACATATATATATATATATATCCCGCTTTCTTTCATATATATACACATATATATGCTCAAGGGTTACTATTAGCTTTAAAGAACTTTATTTCTAACTCACTGAGATTAGGAATAAATGTACTAAAAACTCACAATAACTATTCCTAAATGTCTGAGGTTTTTATTGTTTGGGGGTAGCATAGTTTATGAACTTTAATACCCTTTTTTTCCCTAAAAAATAAGTATTAGCATTTTAGGCACTATTTTTCCCTTTTCAAAGTAATGTTCTGAAATTTTCTAAAGGAGGCCGCAGATTTTTTTACCCTGGTCTCCTCAAGTGTAGGTCATACTTATATTTCCGTAATGTATATAAATATATTTTTGAGACGGAATCTCACTCTGTCACCCAGGCTTGAGTGCAGTGGGGTAATCTCGGCTTACTGCAACCTCCACCTCCCGGGTTCAAGAGATTCTCCTTCCT
The DNA here is from genome assembly GCF_000001405.40 of Homo sapiens. NCBI lineage: Eukaryota > Metazoa > Chordata > Mammalia > Primates > Hominidae > Homo > Homo sapiens. Next base: position 139,606,474 of record NC_000023.11, read on the forward strand.
CAGCCTCCCTAGTGGCTGGGATTATAGGCGCTCACCACCACACCTGGCTAATTTTTGTATTTTTTGGTAGAGACGGGGTTTCACCATGTTTGTCAGGCTGGTCTCGAACTCCTGACCTCAAGTGATCCGCCCGCCTGGGCCTCCCAACATGCTGGGATTGCAGGCGTGAATAACCACGCCCCACCTGTTTCTGTAATAATTTTGTTTACTGTCTCTGGAAAATAAAGTATATTTTCCTTTCAATGTGATTTCCAATTGACATCATATTTAAAACTCATTTCCCTTGTCCCCAGTATAAGTAACCCATTTGATTTAACTTATACTTTTGGCTTTTTTTCTTTTTCTTTTTGCATATTAAAGCATTTAACATTTGAGAGTCTTACAGTATAAATATGTGTCTGTATATATATATATATGTATCTCATACATACATATGTATACATACAACTTGCTGCAAAATGCTTGCTAATTACAACTGTAACATCAAATTAAAAAGATGAATATTCTTATGTCTAGAATATTAATATACCATTATAACAATGAACAAAACAATTATTAACATCTATAAAATAACATTGTATCAATCTGTATAATCCTTTGTAATTTTTGATGTACCACTCTATTCATTTCGTATATCGAAATTTGCTGAGAGAATAGATCTTAACTGTTCTCACCACAAAAAAAAAATGGTAACTACGTGAGGTGATAGATGTGTTAACTAACTTGATATGGTAATCATTTCACAATATATACACATATCAAAGCATCACATTGTACACTTTAAATATACATAATTTTGTCAATTATATATCAATAAAGCTGAAGAATTAATAGATAAGCTAACTACCATGATTTGATCATTATACATTGTACACATGTATCAAAATTTCACACTGTATTCCATAAATATGTACAATGATTATGTGTCAATGAAAAATAATAATAAAACTTTTTTTAAGAATGATAAACGAAAACCTCCATTTTATTTCAGTCTGGGGTAAAAAAAAGAAGATACCAACATTCTGAAAAAGTTTAGTTAATTTTCTTCAAATCACATAAATAGGCTATAGGTTGGCCAGGCCTAAATCCTGGACTTCTGACACCCAGTAAAACCCCATTCTGTGAACTCAAATTTCTAATCACATTGGCCTTGAACACTGAACCAGACTCCCACAGTTAGATGTGTATGTGAGTTTATATTAATAAATAAAGGATACTTCTTTAAAACATCCAAGCTATTGCCATTGTCCAAACTGGAGGATGGACCAGAACTTCTCTTCTCCTGACAATCAGGCACCACTTCAATCTGAAATACAGAAAATAAAAGTTAAATTAGCACCTCTGTAGGTATAATTTTTCTTCAAGGCGATCCAGCTCAAATTAAGTTTATTCTAGGTCCTAACTCTGAAGATAAATTGAAAAATAAAACTATGATTTTTTTCAAAATAACTTTGATACGTACTAGTAAAAAGTGATTTAAGTTGCCTAAGAAAACAGATTTAAGATACTAATTAGAACTTATTTTATGTATTAACTCTTTATTTATTTGGCATTCTTGGAAAATAAGGTTGATTCATAAAAAGTTAATTTTCTAGATAACTAAAGGGTATTCATTGAAGAACCAAACATCTTTTTAACCATAGTGATTTTTGATGGAAACCTTTCTAGAAAATATTATATGCATCCTTGAATTCTTTAATCAAAGACACACGACATAACTGATCCTTTTCCTTTTTTTTTTTCTAAGATCTGGGGCAAGCTAGAAGATCCTTTTCCTAATGATTCGATGGCATCATCATAAGCTTGAATATGATAAAATCTAATGATGTGCTGCAGGGATACCTGCAGAACTCTATTCTTTCTTGAAATAACTGTAACCTGTACATCTCTGTCTCTACTCCCTGCCACATGTTAGTCGCTATAAGTTGCCTCCCTAATTCTAATAAATTGCCTTATTTTACAGACTCTAAAGGACTTGGACTGGCCTACCGAGTCAACTGCAAAAGATTTGTGATGATTATTTCTTTTAAGAAGCATTTGAAGTGTATTCCTGGTATCCAATCTCAGCTGTATTGGACAGCTGAGCTTGCCAAAAGCCTGACCTCCAAGTAAATGTAACATTTCTTTGGGACAACTAGAACCCAAAATGAAGTACAGTATCTATCAGCTAAATATTTCCCCAAAATGTGACCTACTTATTACAAATGAAAGAAACAAGCATGTATTATGACTTTCTATATATTAGGCAACCACAGTCCTAGGTGCTTAACACATATTATATTTAATCCAAACAGCATTTAGCAAGCAATGGCATTCTTTTCCTCATTTTAAATATGGGAAAACTGAGGCTCAGACAGATTTTACAACATGTAATACTACAGAATTTGGCATTCACCCTGTTTCTTTCTTGAAACCAGAAGTTGTGGCCGTACAGAATAATAACCAGGCTTCGTGTATCAGTATAGACCATTCACTAGGCTGCTATTAATTATATTAAAACTTAGAGCATTATCATATGCCACACATGTTCAAGGTGCTTCACAAATATTAGATTATTTTATCTTTAACTCCATGATGAGAGTGTTCTATTTTTATGCCCATTTTATATATGGAAACTGAGTTCCAGAGAACTTACCCAAGTTTATATAGCCAGTAAGTGATGGAACTGGGATTATAAGCCAGGCAGCCTAGTTTTACAATTTGTACCACTATGCTATACTGCCCCTTAAAAATATGTTCTCATCTTTATTTACCACAAAAAACACAAGAAGAAAATGTGGGGTCTTGGGGACTGGGAGCAGTGGCTCATGCCTGTAATCCCAACACTTTGGGAGACCAAGGCGGGAGGATCACCTGAGGCCAGGAGTTTAAGATCAGCCTTGGCAACATAGCAAGACCCTGTCTATCAAAAAAAGTGTTAAAAATATTAGCCTGGCATAATGGCCCATGCCTGTAGTCTAAGATACTCAGGAGCCTGGGGTGGTAGGATTTCTTGAGCCCAAGAGTTTGAGGCTGCAGTGAGCTATGATCGCACCACTGTAGTCCAGCCTAGGCAACAGAGCGAGACCCTGTCTCAAAAAAAAAAAGAGAGAGAGAAAAGAAAATGTGGGATGTTGTAGCTATGATGAGTCTACTTCTTTACAGATATCAGATTATCATGGATAACTGAGAAGAACAGAATCTTGTATCTAACAATAAGTAAGTAGATTGGGCACAGTGATGCACACCTGTAGTCCCAGCTACTCAGGAGGCTGAAGTGGAAGGGTGGCATGAGCCCAGGAATTAGAGGCAGCAGTGAGCTATGGTCACCCCTGTGAATGGCCACTGCACTCCAGCCTTGGCAACATAGTGAGACCCTGTCTCTAAAAAAACTTAAAAACAACAACAAAAAAGAATGGATATCTTTTTTGAGCTAAGAGTTAGCCTCTGCATGGTCCATTAGAACCTGTCCTGTGTGCTTCATACTTGTAGGACTGGAATTGCTCATGAAAGAAAGTTTATTCTGCACAAAGGTGCAACGCTTACTTACGATTATTGAAGTGATGGTGGGTGGTGGTAAAAAGAAGCTGGAACATATACAAGATGTTCTACAGAAATGATTCTAACCTTGAGCCAGGACTTGAGAAACAGCTCATACTGAGAAACTGGCATATCTGGGGATATGCCAGTAATGCAGTGAAACACAATGCAGCAGCAGCTTTTTTTCTTTTAAATAGTCTTTCAAAGACACAATATTTGTCTAGTGAATGAAACATGTGATTTAAGGCTCATACCAACTCTGCAACTAAAGCAATAAAGTCAATTTTGAATTAATTAATGATATTTACTTTTAAGTTGCTCTGATTTTGTCTCCAAGTCTTCTTCCCTGGTAGAGAAATGTGAAAGAAGAATTTCAAACCAGAATTAAAGTCAGCACTTTTAATAGAAATACATATATATTTATTAAATAACTTGAGTTAATATTCCAATATGTTTATATTAGTATTTTAAAATCACACTATAGAAGATAATGTTTGGTTGGACTTACTCACATGATTTCAGCTTCTTACTGAGCATGATTTTGCTATGTATTCACCCATTCTCTCATTCATCAAACATTCACTTACTTGCCAAGCATTGAGGTAGGTGTTAGTGCTCATAATTATTTGCAGATTTAGTATTCATTCTGACACAAAAACATTTAATCAAATTGTAGCTCATTGATTAACTCAATCAAAAAGAATTTTGAAAACAATCTAAGTTTAATCTACTAATTAGAGCATCTACACTTGTTTGGCACTTTCTACATATTGAGCACTGTTCTAAGAGCTATGCATATATCTTCTTTTTTAATACCCAAAATCATCCTAAGAGGTAGGTAACAACTTCTATCCCTATCTTCTAGATAAGGAATTAAGGTTAATATCTTGTCCAAGAAGCAGAGGTGGTATTCAAATTCATATAATCTACTCTCAGAATGTTTCTAACCACCATATAAACATTTCCAAAGCATGATAAAATGTTAAACATGTCATCAAAATTCAAAACTTTCATCTTTATTTTTTAAATGTTTAGTTTAAAAAGGGTGAGCCACTGTATTATTAAGCAAGGAATCCAGACGTTCCTACAAAGCCGAAGGCATGGTCCAACCAAAGACTAGATTGTTTAGATCCTAATTCTCAGGGCTGCTGAAAAGGCTGTTACTCACACAGGCTGCATGAGACTCCTCTCTCCAGGAAAGGAACAAACCTTTTGTCCTTCCCTCCTCAGCAGGAGCCAGTGACAGGCACACTCAGGAAAACGAAGGGCTGCTATGTTCTCTAGACTCCATACTTCACTTTCACTTATTAAAATATATTTTCTACCTAAACTTCAAGTTTATATCATCATATATGTAAATATATATTAAACAGTGGGAATTATACAAAATTAATTTCTCAATGAATACTAATATGCTCCACTTCAAAGAAACCTGTTCTACAGAGATCCAAACTTATTTTTAAAGGTAACTTAAGAGGCAATTGTTAGTTTTGCCAATTAATTCTTTGCAAATACGTTAAGAGATACAAAATAAATATGTGCACAACTTATGAGAAACACATCTTATTCTTCAAAGCAAGGTAGATGTATTCATTTTTAACAATATAAATACATACAAAATGATTGAGCACCTACACCATATGCTAAGCTCTGTGTTTAGGGATACAAAGATGAACTGCACACAGTTTCTGCCCTTACAGAGCTTAGTTTAGCAAGAGAGACAGAAAACAGACAATTCTACTAAAGCCAAGAAGAAATTTGGGGGTACTTGTTATCACACAGCATGAACACCTAAGCAAACAGGGGTGCAGGGAAGGAGGAGATCTGGGGAGGAAAAGCTTACCTGAAGGAAGTGGCCTAGAAATAGGAAATCTGATAGAGGAGTAGAAGCTAACATGTGGGAAAGGGAGAGGAAAGGAAATAGTGTTCCAGAGAGAGAACAGTGTGTGTAATGTCCACAAAGTAAGACACCTAGGAAAGGGAAGAAGAAGTGGGCAGGGTAAGTGGAAGAGACAGAAAGACTGTCACAGTTGCCAAGGCCAGGATGATGTTAGCTCGGATTAGGAAAGTGGCAGTAAGGATAGCAGTGGGGATGAAAAAAAAAAGTGAATGGATTCGAGAGAGATACTTAGTAGGCACAAATCCACAGGATATAGAATTTTTGATCAATTAGAGGTAGGGCATAAGTGAGGAGGAACCAAGGTCCCAGGCTTGGGCAACTGGGGAAATCATAGTGCCATTCACCAAGATGAAGAGTAGAAAGATTGCAGGAGAGATGAGTTAATCTGAGGTATGTTGAGTCTGAGTTGCCTATGGGAAATTCAAAAAGGCAAATTATAAACAGAGATCCAAAGCTTAGAAGAAAGATCTAGGCTAAAGATCCAGATTTAGGAGCTCAAGTCACATTTTACATTTTATTCCTCGCTGTCAATATCTCCCATTCTCAATAACTACACTCTATATTCAATGTTAATTCTACAAATATTTATTACATCTTGCTAAGTGCCAGGCCCTGTGCTAGGTGCAGAATTATATTTAATGCAAAAAGAAAAAAAAAAACTAAAATAAAACCAAAGAACAAAAAAACAGTTTGACTCATTTTTATGAGAAATTAATACTTATGTTTTGAGTTGACCAAATTTTATATATTTGGCTTAGCGATTAAAAGTCTTAAGAAATTGTTTGGAATGGATTGTTATAATCCCTATTACTAACAGAGCAATTAGGTAAATGAACAAGGTTTGTAGCATACATAATGTTTTGATTTAATTTACAAAGCATGATGTATAATAGATAAAAACATTTATCCATCCATGTCACTTATTTATTAAGCTGCCTTCATCCTCATACATACATTAGGCAGTCTCAAACTGAAGCAAATCCAAGCTACTCCTAACAAAAAGTTGGATCATGAAGTATCTTAAACAAAAGAAGGCCTGATTCATTTTAGCATCGCCAATTGTTTTTCTTTATTCTTTTTGCGGGGTCACTTTATGAAAGACATTGAATTTAGAACCATAATCTACATTTTATATAGTCATTTTCCAACATAAGCATAATACAAAGAGAATAATGGATGGTTATTATGAAAAACAGGAAAAAGTTACTTGCAGGTAGAATGCAACAATGAACTGCTGCTGTTTTTAGATGCCAAACTGGTTTTTCACATGTACACAAACTCAGAAAAATGTATTGGCAAAAGTAATATAATAAAGATGGGTACCTTTTGAAAAAAGTTTACATGCTTGAAAGAAAGAGTATCCAACTCCCACTGCAGAAGGAAATTGTAACGCCATTAAATAAGAATATCAGAAAAAAATGAAACAATACAAAACAAAATGTGCTAATGAGTGACTAATGACTTGCATGGATCTGTAACAGTCTCCTCAAAACTCCGTTCCTCAACCCAAGGTGTACCACTTTAAGAACCTCTAGAAAGAGTTGAGATTTTAGAGGACAATTAAGCAAGCAGCTTTAACCAGAGGAAAGGACTAGTCCAGTTTATCAAGTATTTTTTTATAGTCTTCAATTTTTTTCACCCTATCTTTACAATAACCTGTTGGAGTCAATAGGTATTATCGTCCTTATTGTCCAGGTAAGGAAACTGAGGCTAAAGAGGCTAAGTGAACTGTTCAAGGACACACAGCCAGTACATGGAGCCAGAAATCTAACCGAGGTCTGTCTTCTGCTCAAGAATATCAACCTATTTCAGTTTTATTCTCATAGCTATCGGGTTTTATCCCCTTACTGTTTTTTATTTTGTTATCTTTACTCTTTTTCCAGTAGTTTTAATATTCCCTGTATCTTTGCTATATCTTTGATATTGTATTTAAGACATTGCTTATAGTTTTATTTGTAAATATATTTATATATTTCATAAGTATTAAACATGTAACTTTCATAATCTTAGCCTAGTTACCTGCTTTCATCACCTTTTGAAAATCTGATCCATGCTAGATATAAGCTATTATTTTTATGCTCATTATCCTTGGCTCAAGCCTTCTCTGAATTCCAAAGCAGTTCTCCTACACTAATGAAGCTTCTGACTCTATTTAGATCAGACAGACCAAATTTACTCCCATCTTCACCCATTCCACTTACTTAGGGCCCTAAAGACCAAATTACTCTCCTCTAAGAAGCCCCAAAGGCAGCTCAAGGGAACCCCTGAGCCATCCATATCCAGAGTAGTTCAACACATTATAAGGACAATTATTATTTCCATAGAACTTAGAAAGAAAATAGATCTTACATGGATAAAACTAGGAGATTAAAACTAGAAAATGAACTCTGTAATAGTAAATTACCAACAAAATTATTCTATTTAACAGCATTTATTTAGAAAAGGCAATCCATTTTATTATCTAAGCCATTCACTTACTAGAAGCTTATAAGAACCAAGTCATATTTCACCACTATGCAATATATTCATGTAACAAAACTCTATGTACTTGTACTCCCACATTTATACAAATAAAAAGGAACCAAATCATTGCTTATCTAGAGTAGCAGTAAATATGTGTGTGTGTGTGTGTGTGTGTGTGTGTGTGTGCATGCACACATGTGTATACTAGCTTCATATACTTTCCTTCACCTGCTGGAAAAAAATGCAAGTTTGATGCTGGTAAAATTTTCATACTCATTTTCAAGGCTGGAGTACTCAGTACTGAGACGTTCACAATTCCTTGTACTGTACTATATCACTACTATGTTTTAGTACTGTACAATAACCTCAATCTGACTCTTGCCTTGCACAATATAAATATGACCAAAGATGCTAAAGTGAAATTTTCATCTATCCGCATTGAAGAATAAACTCAGTATTTACATCAAGAGTAACAATATAAACAATAGCAAGAAAAAAAGAGACAGAGAAAGTAAGACATTTTACCTTGTTTAGATGAAAAAAATGGTGTCCCAGATGTGACCAAATTTTCAGGTGTGGGTACCACAAATTGGATTGGCCTCACATGCTTATCTGCCAGGTTCCTGAAACCAGCCTGCTGGTTCTCAAATATACTTCGAATGTTTTCAAGCTTGAGTTGTATAGTCTTCATTTGAACCTGCGAGTTGTATAAGAATTATAGGAAATATTTTATGAAATGAGGTCATTACAAACCCCATTACATTTCTCAGACTCAGATGGTCAAAAAAATAATTTAGAGTTTAAAATATAACTACAAGACATTTAGAAAAATAACAAGACAGATTAATGTATTATGTTCACATGGATATAAAACCAAAATCTCAACCAAAACAACCTGAGGGAAAAAATTACCAAGAAGCAGTCATGAAATTGGTCACTGCATAGAGTGATTTGCCCTTCATTGGTTCATTGGCTGAATCAGATAATGGCTGGGAAAGAAGGCATATTGCTCTTTCCTGTTTAGCATAAGAAAGCCACCAAGTTATAAAAACAATCAAATGAATAACATCGGTATAATATTTTGTTACATTTTACCCTGTAGGACATTCTTGTTATAGTCTTCTATGTTGCAGCAGGCTCCTCAGAGCCACCAATGGATAATACACCTTTGTACCTCTCCTAGATGCTTTGAGGCAGCTAGAGTTAAGCTTGGTTGCTTCCAGAGAATCACTTGGCTATTGCCATGACTGCATTTCTGATTTCCTGGGGCATCCCCTAGGATATTCCGCTAAGCATGGATCTAGATACTGCTCCAATCTTAGAGTCAACTACACATTTTAGCAGCAAATAGCATCACAAATGCTCTTATCTACAATGTGGAAAATTCTTCATGTCATTTCCAAGGGGGCAGTACTGAACTAACCTATAGCTGTCCACCCTGTTAACACCAACTTCTGCCTGCTCCTCCTTCTCCAAGAAGACCCAAATCCTATCTTTATGCTTTCATTCTCAAACTGAGTAGGAAAGCAACATCATCCACAGAGCATCTGCTGATGGTCACTGCAGCACAAAGGAAAGATGTCTGGGGTAAAGTGCTCTTGACATGGACCCAACATTCTGTTATAGAAGAGCTTTGGGCCTTTCTCCAGTGATGCACAACAAAATATGTGTGAGAACACCTAGCACATAAAAGAGTTTTAAAATAATGGATTTGGAGCTCAAAAAGGAAATTATTCTTCATTATATAGCAAACATATGCCTTTGAATTATTTGATGCTTGACAGTGGCACTACTATCACCCCTAAGAGGACAATGTAAGTGCAATTTGACATAAAGTTAGCTGTGAGGTAGTAAAACTCCTCCTACCCACAGTACTGCAATTATAATTTTCTTTAAATATTTATTTGAAAATAAAAAAGCCTCTACCTTAAGCTCAGGAGATAATATTACATCAAATTCATACTGCAGTGTTTCAGGTTCATAATTTATAAAGGGTAGAGCCATTTCAAGAAAATTTTCAATGTCTTGGAGAGCTTTCTGAGCATCTTCTTTAGACTGAAACTTATCTATTTCCTGATTAGCTAGAAGACATTCCCCTTCATCACAGCATTGACGAGCCTGGTAAGAAAATCAAGAAGAAAAAAAAAAAATATGAATTAATAAAGAGAAAACATATTTGTCCAATAAGTGAGTGGTTCTCAGCCTCTGGCTTCCGTGAGTCAGAAATGCTTTCAGAGCTGTTAAAAAAAAAAAAGATATCTGGGTTCTGCCCCCAGAAATTCTGATTCAGTAGCTCTGGGCCATAAGTTGGGCATTTATACTTTTACAGAGCTCCACAGATACTGCTGATACACAGCCGAGGTTGGGAAACACTGCATTTATTTCACAACAACTAATTTATTCTGCAGCAGGAGTCCGACCATTTTCTCAGCACTAACACTTAGTTGCATGTTACTTTCCCAAAATCAGTAACTGAAATATGAAATTCTTAGAAAAATATAAAGTGTAATACAAATGCTTAATGATGGCTAAAGACAAGAATAAAGTTTCCTTCCCAAAGAATGAGATGTAAAGATTAAAATGTTTATGTTCAGATATAATGTCTGTAAGTGATACCCCTATTTTATATTCCACTGCCAACACCAGGTCCATACGGTGACCTGTCAATTCATTGCCTAATCGTGAAAAGGGTCAAACCCACAAGCCATGGAGGAATATTTTCCAGTCACTGTTTAATATTTTATTTCTGTACTATGAAATGTGAAAGGAGTTTCAGGCTTTAGCAAAATGCCCCCCCAGGTTTTTAAAAATGTTCCAAGTACAAACCATCACCAGTGAAGGCTTCAGAGATGTATCGAAAATACAAAGGAAGCCATTACTCCACAATCTCAATATTTAGAACAAAGGGTAAAATTTGAACTATATTGGATCTTTCATGAATAGTTCATTGGTAGATGGATGAAAAAATCATAATCAAACTCAGTCCTTCAGACTTCTTACAAATTTAATTCCAAAGCTATACCAGTCCCTGACCATATAACCTCTGAGAAGATGAAAAGTATTCCATGCGACAGGAGGGCAAGGTGCTTCAGGCTAGCAGGACCTGGAAAAAAATGTGTGTTCCTTTTCAGAAATGGATCATTTCCCATTACACTACCTGCTGTAGGAGTTTATGCATTTTGAAGGTCCTGCTGAGTTGTATCCGTTTTGCTTTTATCTCATTAACCAAAATATCAGAAAGGTAACGTAGCTCATTGCACCTCTGGCAGATTAAATCAAGTGCATAATGGTGATTTGCTGCAAGCTTGTGTCCATGTAATATCACAAACTGGGCCTTTGATAATAGCTCCTGATTATAACAAAGACAAAAAATAATGAATACATGATCTCTGTTCCTATAGAGAAAAAAAGAAGAAAATAATTAAGAAGCAAAATGTTTGAGCAAGAAGGATACATTGCCAAAAATACAATTTGATGTCTACTTCTTCAGGCTGCAAAAAAAAAAACACAAACAAACAAACAAAAAAACAAAAACAAAAACTTACAGTTATAATAATTAGCTGCAGCAGTGATGTCATTAGAAGCTCATGCATTTCTGGTTATAGAAACTGAAAATTGCACATCACACACAGAATGTGGGTGAGATTTTTTCTCCTAATATGTGTGGATTTAGAATAGAACCACCTATATTAAATGAGGTATACACACCAGCCAAGTGTATTTCATATCATCTCAGCCTTAGAAATCTCATCAGAGTTGTCATGTACCTGGACTACTTCACATACCTGAAGTCACAGGGTTTCTATGTCAAAAAATGACCTTTAGTGGCCTTGCCTCCACTCCATCAACTACTCACTCCCCCCAGTGTAGAGACTCGAACATAGTAGGGGTTCAAGAAATGCTTGTCAAAATAAAATAAATAAAACTCAAACACAGAATGAGGAAATGACTGGCCTCTCTATCTAGTGGGAAAACCAGGTTTAAAATGGAGAGCTGTTGTCTAATGGGTATACAGTTTCAATTTTATAAGGTGAAAAAGTTCTGGAGCTGTTGCACAACAACGCGAATTTACTTATCACTACTGAACTGAACATTTAAAAATGATTAAGACGGTAAATTTCATGTTATGTGTTTTTACCACAATTAGAAACGAAAAATTATTAAATGGAAAAAAATTAAGTCTCCCTTAGTTTCCAAACCAGTTTGCCTCCTCTTTCTACTATACCATAGGGCTATGTAAAGTGTCCCATGATCACACAGATCTACAAGCATAATTCCAGAACTAGTTATCATAACTGTTGCTTCTTCAATATTTGTTTTCACATACTCATGGTTCACCCATAAATCTGTTTGTATGCTGAGAATTCATCTTAAAAAGCGTGGCCTTGCTCTCACATAAAAAGCATGGCCTTGCTCTCACATAAAAGCTAAGAGTTTTTTAAGTATTAAAGCCACTAGTCCAAAATTTAAGACTAGCAGGGATAATGAAAACTGCCTCTTTTGAGTGGTTACTATATAGTCCAGTGTTGTGCCAGGTGCTTTATATACACCTAAATGAATATTCACAATTGCTCTGCAAAGTAGGTCATTTTATCCCCAGTTTATAGATGAAGACACTGAGGATTAGAAACCAATTTACTCAAGGTCACAGATAGTAAGAATAAGTAGAAATATCTATGTGAGTCTCCATTTGGTTAAACTGCATATATCCTAAAGTGGGCATTTAAGGAATTATGTTCTTGTATGTTCCCATCATTTCCAAGCACCATATATCATTCTTCATACACATTTTTCTAGCTTCTCCAAAATAATTTATGCCCTTGTTCTTATTGGTGGGCTTGAAACAGTTCACGCCATTGTCTCAGTGACCTCCTTTTACAACTAACTACATGATATATCTGTAGTGTCACCTCTGGCCTGCATTGAACAAAACAGAATATAGACCAATATAATTGTGCCTGATATACAGAATGTTGTTATGATGGGAGGAAGGCAAGCGATAAAAGGCTACAAATAGGGTGCAGTGTATACTGTTCGGGTGATGGGTGCACCAAAATCTCACAAATCACCACTAAAGAACTTACTCATATAACCAAATACCACCTATACCCCAGTAACTTATGGAAAAATAAAAATAAAGAAATTAATAATAAGGGTTTATACTACCTACTCCCGCCAAAACATGACTATTATACTGTATAATATAGCAGACATCTAAAATACAATCTTACCTGAGAATTTTCATCTAAGTTTTCCAATTTTTTTATTTTTTGTTTTACTTGAGCTATAGTCCCTGTTACATCAGCCAGTTCTGCTTGTTGGTTTAATAGAAATTCAACTTCAGTCACAAGCTAAAAATACGAAACAAAGAGGTTTTAAAAACATAAAATTTATCCCCTTATGATCAAGTTTTATACAAAATGCTTTTAAACAAAAATATTGACATGGAGAAATTACACATATAAAAAATTTGGTTATTTTATTCACAGAAATAGCTATAATCTGTTAAAATTTAACCTCATAGATATCAATGTGTACTCTTGATGTATAAAAGATCACCATGTACATGTGTAGGTTCGTATATGAGGACATGTATTTGCATAAATGTATACGTGTGAGGTATGTATAGGTATATATACATTTGTGTGTGTGTGTGTGTGTGTGTGTGTGTGTATATATATATAGCAAATATCTAAAACAAAATCTTACCTGAGAATTTTCATCTAAGTGTTTTTTTCATCATTCCCCAGCTCTCTGGTGAATTATCCTAAAAGCAAAAGCCCTCCAGAAGTAATAAGCACATCTCCCACCCAGACCTTGGTCTTTAATACCATTTCCCAGAAAAAGAAACCAGGGCTCCTCAAGGAAATAACTGATTCCAGGGTTGAGGCAGAATAGGTACAAGATGAACTTGGAATATATTTTTATGCCAGAAAGTAAGAAAGTGATTTATTTAAATGTTGGAGTATGTCACAAGGACACAGCAGCAGTTTGAAACACCACAATAGTCAAGAACACTAATAAATTATAAACAATCAAAAAACTAGGAATCAGAAAAGAAGTCAAATCATCTTTCTTTGCTGACAACATGATTCTATACCTAGAAAACACTAAAGACTACCAAAAGGCTCCTAGAATTGATAAACAACTTCAGGAAAGTTTTACGATACAAAATCAATGTACAAAAATCAGTAGCATTTCTATACACCAATAATGTTCAAGCTGAAAGCCAAATCAAGAATGCAATTTCATTTACAATGACCACAAAAAGAATAAAATACCCAGTAATACATGTAGCCCAAGGAGGAGAAAAATCTCTATAAGGAGACCTACAAAACACTGCTGAAATAGATCATACATGACACAAACAAATGGAGAAAACATTCCATGCTCATAGATTTGAAGAATCACTATCATTCAAATGGCCATACTGTCCAAAATAATCTGCCAATTCAATGTTATTCCTATCAAACTACCAACAGCCTTTTTCACAGAATTAGAAAAACTATTCTAAAATTCATATGGAACCACAAAAGAGCTCAAATAGCCAAAGCAATCATAAGCAAAAAGAACAAGGGCAGAAATAACATATTACCCGACATCAAACTATACCAAAACAACATAGTCCTGGTACAAAAACAGACACTTAGACCAATGGAACAGAATAGAGAACCCAGAAATAAAGCCACGCATCTACAACCATCAGATCTTTTACCAAATCAACGAAAATAATCAAAGGGGAAAGGACTCCCTATTCAACAAATGGTGCTGAGATAGCTGACTAATCATATAAAGAAGAGTGAAACTGGACCCCTACCTTTCACCATATATAACAATTAACTAAGGATGGATTAAAGATCTAAATGCAAGACCTCAATATACAAGAATCTTGGGAGAAAAGCTAGGAAACACTAATCTGGACATTGGCCTTGGGAAAGAATTTATGACTAAAATTTCAAAAGCAATTTCAACAAATACAAAAATTGATACGTGGGACCTAATTAAACTAAAGAGCTTCTGCATAACCAAAGAAGCTATCAACAGAGTAAACAGACAACCTACAGAATGGGAGAAAATATTCACAAACTATGCATCTGACAAAAATCTAATATCCAGAATCTGTAAGGAACTTAAACAATTCAACAAGCAAAAAACTAATAACTCTCAAAACACAGATATAGATCAATGGAACAGAACAGAGCACTCAGAAATAATGCCGCATATCTACAACCATCTGATCTTTGACAAACCTGACAAAAACAAGAAATGGGGAAAGGATTCCCTATTTAATAAATGGTGCTGGGAAAACTGGCTAGCCATATGTAGAAAGCTGAAACTGGATCCCTTCCTTACATCTTATACAAAAACTAATTCAAGATGGATTAAAGACTTACATGTTAGACCTAAAACCATAAAAACCCTAGAAGAAAACCTAGGCAATACCATTCAGGACATAGGCATGGGCAAGGACTTCATGTCTAAAACACCGAAAGCAATGGCAACAAAAGCCAAAATTGACAAATGGGATCTAATTAAACTAAAGAGCTTCTGCACAGCAAAAGAAACTATCATCAGAGTGAACAGGCAACCTACAGAATGGGAGAAAATTTTCGCAACCTACTCATCTGACAAAGGGCTAATATCCAGAATCCACAATGAACTCAAACAAATTTACAAGAAAAAAACAAACAACCCCATCAAAAAGTGGGCGAAGGATATGAACAGACACTTCTCAAAAGAAGACATTTATGCAGCCAAAAAACGCATGAAAAAATGCTCATCATCACTGGCCATCAGAGAAATGCAAATCAAAACCACAATGAGATACCATCTCACACAAGTTAGAATGGCGATCATTAAAAAGTCAGGAAACAACAGGTGCTGGAGAGGATGTGGAGAAATAGGAACACTTTTACATTATTGGTGGGACTGTAAACTAGTTCAACCATTGTGGAAGTCAGTGTGGCGATTCCTCAGGGATCTAGAACTAGAAATACCATTTGACCCAGCCATCCCATTACTGGGTATATACCCAAAGGATTATAAATCCTGCTGCTATAAAGACATATGCACACGTATGTTTATTGTGGCACTATTCACAATAGCAAAGACTTGGAACCAAGCCAAATGTCCAACAACGATAGAGTGGATTAAGAAAATGTGGCACATATACACCATGGAATACTATGCAGCCATAAAATATGATGAGTTCATGTCCTTTGTAGGGACATGGATGAAGCTAGAAACCATCATTCTCAGCAAACTATCGCAAGGACAAAAAAACCAAACACCGCATGTTCTCACTCATAGGTGGGAATTGAACAATGAGAACACATGGACACAGAAAGGGGAACATCACACTCTGGGGCCTGTTGTGGGGTGGGGGGCGAGGGGAGGGATAGCATTAGGAGATATACCTAATGCTAAATGACAAGTTAATAGGTGTAGCACACCAACATGGCACATGTATACATATGTAACGAACCTGCACATTGTACTCATGTACCCTAAAACTTAAAGTATAATAATAATAAAATAAAAAAAAACTAATAACTCCACTAAAAAGTGAGCAGAGGACATGAACAGATACTTCTCAAAAGAAGACATACAGATTTCCAACAAAGAGGAGAAAATGCTCAATATCACTAATCATCAGAGAAATGCAAATCAAATGAGATAACATATCACATCAGTCAGAATGGCTATTATTAAAGAGACAAAAAGGAACAGATGCTGGTGAGGCTATGGAGAGAAGGGAACGCTGATACACTGCTGGTGGGAAAGTAAATTAGTTCAGCCACTGTGGAAGGCATCCTGAATATTTAAGAACTTAAGACAGAACTACCATTTGACCCAGCAATCCCATTACTGAGTATATACCCAATGGAAAATAAATCATTCTATCAAAAAGGCAATGCAATTGTATGTTCACTGCAGCACTATTCGCAATAGCAAAGACTTGGAATCAACCCAGGTGCCCATCAATGATGGACTGGATAAAGAAAATGTGGTACAAATACATCATGGAATACTATGCAGCCATAAAAAAAACAAAATCATGTCTTTTGCAGCAACATGATGCAGCTGGAGGCCATTATCCTAAGCAAACTAACACAGAGACTGAAAACCAAACACAGTATGTTGTCACTTATAAGTGGAAGTTAAGCATTGGTTACACATAGACATAAAGACAGAACAATAAATGCTGGAGACTACCAAAAGGGGGAAGAGGAGGAAGGCAAGGGCTTAAAAACTAACTATTGGATATTATGCTCACTACCTGAGTAACGGCATCATTCACACCTCAAATGTAACAGTATACCCATGTAACAGTATACCCATGTAACAAACGTGCATGTGTATGCCCTGAATCTAAAATAAAAGTTGAAAGTTTTAAAAACCAATAAGTAAAAATCTTTGAATCAAATAAAGAAATAAATGGAGAGAAGGGAAGGCTCTTGCTTCAGTAGAATGCCTAGTGTGGACTGATAAATGTGGACTGGACATGGGAGTTGAAAATAATCATTATTTTGCAACCATCACAGCAAAGATTTGTCCAGGCAAACATCATCAGTTGATGCTAAATTTACGGGGAAATTTTTATGAGAAGGAGGATATTTGCATAACCTTAAATTTTCTCCCCACACATTTCCTACTAGTTAGAAGGGGAGTAAAAGTAGCTTTACAGTGGAGAAATTCAACAACACCCTGAATAGGTAATCAGAATCCACATCAACAATAAGAGGGAGGTAGGCTTCATTCACCTGCAGATATGATTCCTTAAGAAGGACACTTCACTAATGTGGTATTCTAGCTGGTCATATATACTAAATAGAATCATGAGAAGATGTCCAACAAACTCCAAATGAAGAAAAATGCATTTCAAAAGGGACTATGGCTGGGCATGAGTCCTTATAGCTCATGCCTGGAATCCCAGCACTTTGGGAGGCTGAGGCGGGAGGATTGTTTGAGCCTAGGAGTTGCAGACCAGCCTGGGCAACACAGTGAGACCCCATCCCCACAAAAATTAAAAAGTTAGCCAGGCATGGTGGTGCATACCTGTAGTCCCAGCTACTTGGGAGGCTGAGGGGGGAGGATGGCTTAAGCCCAGGAGTTTGAGGCTACAGTAGCTATGATTGTGTCACTGTACTCCAGCCTGGGAGACAGAACTGTCTCAAAAAAAAAAAAAAAGGACTATATTCTTCAAAATGTCAGAGTCATAAAAGACAAAGAAAGGCTGTGGAAATGTTCTAGATTCAAGGGCACTAAAGACACAAGACAACTTAATGCAAGACTGGACCCTATATAGGATCCGATTCTGAAGGAAAAATAAATGCTATAAAAGACTTGACTGAGTCAACTGACAAAATTGAAATACCAATGGTAGATAATATAAAAGTATTGCATTGTTAAATGTACTGAATCTGATAACTGTACTATGGTTATATAACAGAATATCCCTATTACTAGAAAAAATGGAAGCATTTAGGGGGAAAGGGCCATCATGTGTGCAACTTACACTCAAATGGGTCAGAAAATATATTATTTGTCAGATCAGAAAAAAATATTATCTGTATATATATGAGGGAGGGAATAAAAATAATAGAGCAAATGGAGTAAAATATTGTCATTAAGTTAATCTGGGAAGAAGGTATATGGGTATTTTTATTTTTCTTATATTTGCCATTTTTCTGTAAGTTTATGTTTCTACGTGTTTTTTTAAAAAGTCATGTTTCTAGACATACAGAACTTGTCGACATGTCACTATGAGACACACCATGTCAGTGAGATTATAATCTAAGACAAACAACAATATTGATTAAAGACAGGAATTAATGACTTGGGGAAACAGAACATAACCACAGGACAAGAATTTGGTATGCATGCAAATTAATATGTAAGTATAAGCATAATGGGTATGTTCAGGAAAAGTGCTATTTTCTGTGTATTCAGTTGGAGACGAGGGAGAAACACAAATACCTAGAAGGACCAAGAGCAACCTGACCTATTCTTTCTTTAGGGAAGGTTTCATGCAGAACATTTCAAAAGATGTTTGAATCAAAGGAGAGAAAACGCTAGTGGTAACTGAGCCCCGCGTCCAGAGTACAGTGCTCCTCCGAAACCTAACTCTGATGAGCAAGTGAAATACAAAGCAAGTAAGCCATTCATGGGCAGAAAACAAGCTGGGCACATGCAAGAGGAACAAGTGAGTTTTCCTTGGATCCTCTGGTGAAGTATATACTGTGAGAGAGACTGTGATAAGGTTGAACATGACCGCAAAAGGAAAAGAAACTAAATCTATGCATCTTGACCATATATGATGGATTTTCCAGGAAGGTCCAATTGGAATGTATTTTTAATTATTTATTAAACTTATTTAATTTCATCTCTCAGGCTTTTCACAGGAATAAACTCCTGGATCAGAAATAAAAGCTTGTTAGGTCTTATTAAATATGGTCAGCATAGGTACATGGGATTTAAAAACCAAGAAGGAAGTTGGTATTATTCCCTTGGAAAGCTACCTCATAACCTTGAATACCCTTTAGATCTAAGATAAATTTGAATAACAAACCCCAAAGTAGAGAGTAACTTTGTCCCTGTCATATATATTGGCAGTTTGATACTTTCTCAAAGGAAACGAGTAAGCTGAAAAAGTAGAAGTCTCAGAATTTTAGTAGAGATTTTCTTCAGTCTAAGCCAAGGTTCATTTACATTTGCCTCCTTTTTTTTCTTTGTAGGTATAAATGGGCATCTTGCAAGGCAGGATTTCTCATGATTAAGGAGTAAAAACCTCTGGTGTAATGAAAAAAGGTATACAAAGAAATGTTTTAACTGACCTGTTGAAAATCCTGCTCAAACTTCCATAGTTGCAGATACTGCTCCATTTTTAATTGATGTTTTTCCCAAAATCCATCAAAAGCTGTTTCCATATCATGTACTTGAGTCAGCAACCTTAAGAAAGAAAACTCCAATAAATTCCTAAAAGCAACTATCTGTTTTGTAAGTATGTAGATAAGTGTGGTCTGGACATTAAGAATTATAGGCAAAGTCATAGCCCATGACACTTGGTTCTACCTATAGAGACAACCAATGTCCACAGACTCTCTTCTACAAGCAAAATCATCTCTGTAGGACAACCTAGAAATAAGTTCTCAGATTTCCAGAGGTCCAGGAATACTTTAACACTTAACATATTGCAGCAAAAATGTATAATTTCCTTTCAAAAATATAAAATAAGTAACTCTAAACCAAAAAGAGAGTACTCACTTATTAATAGTTTGCCAGTCACCACTTATTTGCCGATGACATTCTAGTCTTGAACTGACAGCTCCTTCAGTGTCAGGCACTTCCAGATTTGTTAGCAGAATTTTTCCTTCTTTGGTTACAGCTGTAATATCATTCTGTCCAAAGACACAAAAGGAGTATCACCTAATTAGTAATCCAACCTGAATGATGTGATGGGAAGGGAGCATACAACTATGGCATGAAGAATCGAAACAGTTAATTCTAGAATGGCCTTTGCTTTCATAGCTCTCTGAAAATTCACAAAATTTCAAAATCTCAGTGCCACAAAATCTAAAAGCTGTGAAGATCCAAGAAGCCCTTGCCTTAGAGATGGACGTTGCAATTAATGTTTTTATAAGATCATCATGGGCAGAAGTACCATGTGCTCTATTTGTAGCCTCCTTCTCTAACTGGTAGAAAGTTCCAATCCAGTCCATCCTATTCTGCTAATATTTTATTTTTATTTACTTTTTTAGAGATGGGATCTTGCTATGTTGCCCAGGCTGGACACAAACTCCTGGGCTCAAGCAATTCTCCTGCCTCAGGCTCCCGCGTAGCAGGGACAACAAATATGTACCACTGCACCTGGCACTGTTCTGCTAACACTTTTAATGAGCTCAAATAAAGCAGTAGTAGCACAATAAAAACCACCACAGTAGAAAGCATACAATTGCAAATAATACTTAATGCATATTCAGATACAGTTAAATGCCTTTGCTACTAATCCTTAATTGTTACCAATCACTCCCTGCCTTAAGTCTTATTTTACTTCACATTTAGGTTTAATTAACTCATCAAGAAGTATATGCCTCTATTCAGAAGGGCTTAACCTCAGTGGGTGGTGTAACAATATAGACCTTTCTCAGACATCTAAGAGTGATTTAAGATTTCTTTCAGGTGGTCCAAGAGTCCCTTGAAATTGTAAGCAAAAGTTTTGGTGTACATTTATTCTGAGGACAGATTCCATGACACCATCACCAATATGGGTAATAATATCAACATTAAAAGCCAATATTTACGAAGTACCAACTATGTACGGAACATTGTTATACATAGATCAGTTTCTTTGCCTCATTTCATCTTCACAGCAATCCTACCAGGTATGATGCATCATCATCATCACCAACCTCACTGTAAAGATACAGAAACTGCAACTCAGAAAAGGTAAGCAAATTGCCTGACAACATGCAGTTTGTGAAAAACAGAGCTTTCTTTCCTTGGACAGAGCTTTGTTTTTAGATTGTGATTCAAAAGGTCAGTTTCTTGCAAATCAAACCACAATGAGATACCATCTCACACCAGTCATAATGACTATTATTAAAAAGACAAAAAATAACAGATGCTGGAGAGGCTACAGAGAAAAGGGAACACTGACACATACTTGTTGGGGATGTAAATTAGTTCAGTCACTGTGGAAAGCAGTCTGGAGATTTCTCAAAGAGCTTAAAACAGAACACCATTCAACCCAGCATTGCCATTACTGGGTTTATACCCAAAGGAAAATAAATTGTTCTACCAAAAGACACATGCACTCATACGTCATTGCAGCACTATTCACAACAGCAGAAACATGGAATCAACCTAGGTGCCCATCAATGGTGGACTGTATAAAGAAAATGTGGTACACATACACCATGGAATACTATACAGTCATAAAAAAGAACGAGATCATGTCCTCTGCAGCAACATGGATGCAGCTGTAGGCCATTATCCTAAGCAAATTAATGCAAGAACAGGAAACCAAATACTGCATGTTCTCACAAGTGGGAGCTAAACATTAGGTACACATGGACATAAAGATGGGAACAATAGACAGTGGGGACTACTAGAGGAAGGAGGGTGGGAGGAGGCAGAGTGTTGAAAAACTACCTATCTGGTACTATGCTCACTACCTGGGTGACAGGATCATTCGTACACCAAACCTCAGCATCCCACAATTTATCCATGTAACAAACCTGCACATGTACCCTCTGGACCTAAAATAAAAGTTGGAAAAAAACTCAGTTTATCTTTTTAATTTAAACACATATCTCTATATACAGCTTTAATCTTCTAATGCACACAGTATGTCTATTATCAGATGAGAGAGACAAGTTATATGAATGCCCAGTGCTTGTTCAGATTATTCTTAAACTTTCTGAAGAAAGTGGATCCAAAAAATACTTGCTGATTATCTGAATTGCACTTCAGAATCCTTCACAAAACAACACTCCACAAAGACCTGGATAGGAGAGCACAAACAATTTGCAACCCCTGGTCTACTGTAGGAAACATCAAGACCTAGTATTCTGCAGAGAAGAGAACTTACAATCAATTGAGCAATGTTAGCCTTGGTCACAATGCTAGCTCACAGCAGAGATGGGACTAGAAACTCGGCCTCCTGACTCCTCCTCAAAAATAAAAAATACAGCCATGCATCACTTAATGTTGGGGATATGTTCCGAGAAATGCATTGTTAGGCAATTTCATCATTTTGTGAACATCACAGAGTGCATTTACAAAAACCTAGATGGATAGCCTACTGGACACCTAGGCTACAGGGTATAGCCTATTGCTCCTAAGCTACAAACCTGTACAGCATGTTACTGTACTGTATACTGTAGGCAGTTGTAGGCATACTGTAGGCAGTTGTAACACAACGGTATACGTTTGTGTATCTAAACATGTCTAAACATAGAAAAGGTACAGTAAAAATATGGTACAATCATATGGGACTACTGTCATATATGTGGTTCATCATTGATCACAACAACCTTATGCAGTACATGACCGCACATAGTAAAACAAAAGACTATATTTCTTTTTCTGCAGCATTTATAAGATGTTTTTAAATAACTTCTCAAATTAATGCACCATTTACGGAGGGGACACTTAGGTCTAACATATCCAGGACAGTCTTCTCTTATAAAGTATAATTTTTTTTAGTTTTTAAATATATTACATAAATGTCTTTTATCTCCCCTTATGCAACAGTCAGTGTAAAATGGAGATAATAAACACCTCTCTAGATAAAGACCATGGAAATCTTTTGTTTGTCAACTCTATCAGACATACCTTCAACAGATGATACCTTTCAGCACGAATTGCCAGAATTTCTTCTATTGAGGGAATATCATCTGGTAGTTCTGTCTCAGCCAGTTCAGTTCCAAAGGACTGTAACATCTGAGCCATTTCTTTCACTGTGAGGGCAAAATTTTCTATAGCCTGCAAAGAGCCGGTGATTACTTTAATTATATGGTCACTCTGTGAGCATATCAAAAACTGGATCAGTAAGTGTATTTGTTTTTATTGGGGGTATAACGGCAAACACATATACTATGAACTCTCCTCTGCTAGAGAAATATGGCATTGCTCTTGGCAATCAACTGTAACTCTTCATCTAAAACTCTAAGAAACTGAAGGAAGATTAAGAGTCTTCCTGAATATCTTTTATCCAAATTTCTTGACTTATTTCTTGGACACTAATGAAAACTATTTCTTAAAGATGCCATGTATTGAGTAGTTTGTTTTATTTTCTTGAAAATTACAGTATTTTCCTTATTCTATAAACTCTCCAATTGGCAAAATTGCCTTATAATAACCTTACTTCTGAAGAGAGATGAGAACAGTAAAGTCACTTTATATTTGTTTATTATCATTTGTGAATAAGCATTAGCATTCCAAACAAGGTGATAATTGAAGGAAACGGGGGAAAAACTAGTCACAACAACTCATTTCAGGTACTATAGAATATTTGGAATGGTGGCCCCAAAGCCTTTGTTGCCATAAAATGGTAAGTACGGTTTTGTTGTTTCTTTTGTTTCTAAAATCAATTACTCTGAGAAAGAAGGGCAAAATGTAGAGACCATATGACCATCTGTTAACCATGCATATCAAAATATTTGCTTGTTTATTTATAGCATTACAGGTTATTAAAGGCTAGGCATTGCTAATTTTGGCAATACATCTTCATGTGAATGAATGAATTGTTGAATGAATGCATTGTTAAATGAATTAATGAATGAAATGTTGAGTGAAGAACAAGTATGAGGAAAATGGAATCCTAATTTAATGGGACATCATTAATTTCTTCAGAAGGGTTCCCCTATCTCTGGGATTAGAAGTCAAGATACTCATATACCACAGACATACTTGGGAGGTGCAGGGCCCTTGCCTATTTGTAAATTTCTAAAACAGAAGTACAGTCTTTGCTACAAATTTAAATGCCTCAGAAGCATCACTAGAATAATGAGATTAATAATACTATTTGCACTTATTGACGGTTTGCCATATGCTAGGCACTGTGTAAAACATTTTACTTTTGCTATCTCATTTAGTCTTTTTAAGATCCCTGTGAGGTAAGGTATTATTAGTCCCATTTTGCAGTTAGGAAAACTAAGACTCAGAGAGGTTATGTATATTGACCAAGGTCATATAACTAAAAATCAGCAGGGCCAGGATTTGAATCCAAACCCTTCATTTCTTCAAGTTACTATATAGCCACAGGAGGGGATGGGCAGAGTATGATCTCCTTATTCCCTAGGATTCTCCTTCAATTGCCATCCTCAGTGACTGCTCATCATTTCTAGATATTGCCTATGGAAGAAAACCAAGATGTTGAATTTATATGTATGTGAAAAATGAGGGCCCAGAAAGCTGGGGTTTTTTTGTTTTGTTTTGTTTTGTTTTTTTCAAATAGGAAAGAATTCTAGAACTAGATTTAAAGGCTAACATGAAGAACTATAGGCTCTACAGTAAGGGCAAAGACAACATACATTTCTGAAGATGATCCATTCACTGTGGCAGTACTGCAAGGTGCCGCCTAACTCAGGGGTTAATTGCTTGTCATCAATGTATGTCAGCAAATCACTAACTGAGCTCAGCATAACAACCTATATAAATAAGCAAAAAAGATACTGTTAACTGCCCTTCATGCCATCCCTCCATTAAACTGTAAAATGAACTTTGGCATACATTTAGCAGAAAGTTACCTCTGATAAATGGTTTTAACAGTTCTCTCCTGTACATGCCCCCATACATGTATGCGCTACCTTCTTCAGATAATAACAGTTTCTATTTACAAAACATTTTCTGTAAAGCTAAATCAATCTCCACAGAAACCAAAACGCCTAATTTTCCTCCATCTAAAAGTTTGCATTGTTAATGGTCCAGCTTCTAAAAGAATGCTATGCTCACAACAAAGAAAAGGACTTTATGTAGTAAGTTATAATTTATCAGGAGGGGCTGACCTTTTCAAAAGTATCAAAATTTATGAGCACCCTATTCCTAACCTTAAAAACAAACAAAAATATTTTTAAAAAGTCATGGTACTCTGGACTAGCTCAGGATGTAAGTTCACGGGAGTTCAAATACATAAAACATACACTCAATTTTACTAAAAATAAAATTTCCTGCTTATATACACATACACGCACATACATATACACACATGCACACATACATATATACACATATATATAACATATATGACATATATTTTTTGCAAAAGTAATTGCTTTGTTATAAATTGATGAATCGATTTCTTTTTCAAATGGTAGAAGTGAAAGACTTTTGGGCATTTCAAATGTATACTTTTAAAAGACATTTTAATTTTTTTCTTTTAAATGACACATGGGCACATGTAAAATATAAACAGCATGGTACAGGTCTTCATGAGAATTAGAGGAACAAAACATTTAAATAATATACTCTTACTGGTAATTTAAGCATAAAATCCTCCTGACTAAACCAAAATCCAATGTCTGTGAACGTTCGTTGAAGAAAGCTGGTAGGACGTAAAACCAAAACCAAGTGCAAGTTCCCAGGGAAGGAAGCCTGTAGAAAGAAAGAACAAAAGAAATTGGAAAAAAAATTGTCAACACACACTCAACTGAGCACATATCAGAAAATATGTAACTGAAGGAAACAAATTTTAAATTCATAAAAGCCAGTAAAAGGCCAACACTTTACAAATGGATATTGATAAAATCTAAAAACATGCAAATAGAAAAATAATGTAAGGCTCCAGGTCAGATCCTTGCAACACTTCTGGTACGAAATTTTCTCACACTAAAGAAGTAGATCCAACCTTATGAAGAAATAGACTCTAAATCTTATTTTAGAGTTATTTGAACTCAAATTGCACTTATTTCCTATAAAAACAAATAGAATTAGGTGGCAGTTTCCTAGGATAACCCTAAAAGTCAAAGGGTTTTTGTCTGTGTATTTACACTAAACAATGAAAGAAAACTTTATTATGGGATTATATTTTTATTTTAATCCAATCAATATTTACTGAACATCTTCTATGTGTCTACTTCATGTATTTAAATGAATATCAAGCTCTGTTAGGCATTGAATGTTCACAAATTAAGAAAACACAATCTCTACCCAACAGTTCAACTGCAGAGTCCATTACTAATCAGCAATTCTTTAACTAAATTGATAAGTAATCAAAGGAATTAGAATAATATACAAGGGGAAATGATAGCACAAACTCTCCGAGACATAGGAAGGTCAAAAAGATCTTGAAGCATAACGAGGAGTTAACTGGATCAGAATGTTGTTCTAGTTCACCAATGTTTCCCCAGCGTCTAGAACTTGCTGGCACATAGTATGCAGTCAAAAATAACTGCTACACTAAAGAATTCAAAAGACAAAGAAGGAGGACACATTGCAAAATAAGTGGAGAACGGAGTAACATATCCCAATTTTAATAACAAATCACCACGTACTAAATGCTTACTCTGTGCAAAGCATTTTGCCAATATTATCATAAATTCTTTTCATAATAATTCTATGAAGGAGTTAGGTTACTCACTTTTACAAATAAAGAAAGTGAGACTCAGAGAGTTTAAGGATACCTTCCCCCAGCTGGCAAAGCCTTCATTTGCCCCTAAGTCTGTGCTCTTAATCACTAAACTACTCCACCTCCTGAAAAGGCCCTAGTCAAGAGAGCTAGATGAAATGACACTGGGGGACAATGGGAGATGGTGTTGGGAAAACGGGCCAGAACCACATCAGAAAGGATCATGGGTTTTTTTTTCCTGGAGGTAAGGGGAGTCTCTAAAAGGTTTTGAGCATCAGAACAACATGGTCAAATTTGCATTTTAGAAAGATCACTTTGGCTTTGGGAAGAACTGGATTTGAACAAGAGTAGAAGCAGACAGATGAGCTAGGAGGCTGGTACAGTAATCCAAGCCAGGAATGATGAGTTTCTGAACTAAAGTAATGATACCAGGAATAAGAGTAGAATTTAGGAGGCACAATCAGCAAGACATAACTACTTGATGTACTTGCCGAGAAAGGAGGTACTAGGAGGATCAAACTCCAGATTTGGGGCTTGAGTAACTGGTTGAATAGTACAACCTTCACTGAGATGGGAAACACAAGAGAAACAGGTTTTAAGAAGGGAAACAAGATTCTGATCTCCATTCATATACACGTTAGGTTGGAAGGGTCAGCAGGACATCCAGATGATGTCCTTCGGATAGCTGTTTGTACAATTAAGAAGGGAAAGAAGTCTAGGCTAAAAGTGGAGAATCAGGAGCCATCAGCCTCAAGATGGCAGATTAGAGCATAATAGAGCAAAATATATGAAAAATGTTCCAACTGCAATTATATTTCAGGCATATTACAATACTAGTAATTAAACAAAACTATAAACTAAGAATAAGATACTGTGGGGCAAGGAGTTTATGGGAACTCTCTGTACTTCCTGTTAAATTTTGTTGTGAACTTAAAACTGCTCTAAAAAAATAAAGTCTATTTTAAAATAAAAGAAAAAAGTAACTTCCACCAGGGTATAAAACATAGACTCTTTGGGAAATGATGCTCAAAACTGGGGATTTTCCTAATTCAATTTGAGATGGTGATAAAACATAAAATGTTAAGTGGCAATGAGAACTAGAGTAAATGAAAGAGAAATGAGTGTGATAAGCACAAATAAGTAAATTAAAAGAGCATAAAATTAAATCAATAAATTAAACAATGATTATCAATATACATAAATTGGGATGGCTGTCCAACTCATAATTCCCCCAGGAGGCCATGACTGTTACTCTCTCCCTTCATCTGAGAAACGACTCCCCCTTCTATTATTCTACACATTGGTTCCAAATGAGAACTCTTATTTTCCTACACGGCCCTGCCCTTCCAACACACAATGATTAATAGTGATTAGAAGTATGATTAGGGCCAGACATGGTGATTCATGCCTGTAATCCCAACAGGCTAGGAGACCGAGGATGGAGGATCACTTGAGGCCAGGAGTTCCAGAACAGCTTGGACAACATAGTGAGACCCCATCTCTACAAAAAATTTAAAAATTATCCAGTCATGGTGGCATGCGCCTATGGTTCCAGTTACTCAGGAGGCTGAGGCGGGAGGATCACTTGAGCCCAGGAAGTTGAGCCTGCAGTGAGCCATGATGGCGACAGAGCGAGACCTCATCTTTTTAAAAAAGAAAAAGAAAAAACATAAGTATGAACATTTGATGTAAGCAGGGCCAAAGAAGTCCTGCCCTAGAATTTTCAAACGAATACTGAGTGAAGGAAACTTTGAGGATGCCATTCAAAAGCAGCAGATTGCCAAGAGCCCTGCTGCTGGGGAAACATTGAAAAGAATAAAGTTAACATGTATACAGAAACAGAGAGAGACAGAGAAACAGAGAGTTCCAACGGTAATGTATATCCTACCTTCTATTATGTACGTAATGTATATTTTATTTTATGTTAAGTATAATATGTATTTTCCAGCTGGACACGGTGGCTCACACCTGTAATCCCAGCACTTTGGGAAGCTGAGGTGGGAGGATTATTTGAGGCCAGGAGTTCGAGACCAGCCTGGCCAACATGGTGAAAACCCGTTTCTACTAAAAATACAAAAAATTAGCCGGGTGTGTTGGCACACGCCTGTGGTCCCCGCTCCTGGGGAGGCTGAAGCATGAGAATCACTTGAACCCAGGAGGTGGAGGCTGTGGTGATCTGAGATTATGCCACTGCACTCCAGCCTGGGCAACAGGGTGAGACTCTGCCGAAAAAAAATATATATATATGTTTTCCAGTTATTACAGGAATTAAAAGAAATAATGAATATAAAGGCACTTCTAAAATTTTTATTTTAGGTTTGGGGGTATATGCAAAGGTTACAGAGACAAACACGTGTCACAGTGGGGGTTGTTGTACATATTATTCCTTCACCTAGGTATTAAGCTCAGTACCCAATAGTGATCTTTTCTGCTCCTCTCCCTCCTCCCACCCTCCACCCTCAAGTAGACCCGTGTCTGTTGTTTCCTTCTTTGTGTTCATAACTTCTTATTTAGCTCCCACTTATAAGTGAGAACATGCAGTATTTAAGGAACTTAAACAAATTTACAAGAGAAAAACAAACAACCCCATTAAAAAGTGGGCCAAGGACATGAAAAGGCACTTTTTAAACTGTAAAAAATATTAATAAGATAGTTTTAAAATTTTGCCTTGGATTCTCGGACGTCAGAACAAGCAGGTTTGGGTAGAAAACTTTAGGGATATGGATAAAGGCTAGCTTAAGGGAAGAATCTGACAGGGACTTGTGGGAACTTTTGGCCTATTTTTAAGTGGAAAGCACAGATTCTATTTTTACTCCCTTAATTTTAGGAGTTAAGCCTTTCCTTTTTCTTCACCTGGGTAAATTCCCATTATATTATTATACTCACCTGCCTTGAACCTGTTTATTTTTTCACTTTTAAATGAAATTGAAAGCACCCTACTTTTGCCAACATTTAAAGCAAAATTACTTTTATTCTTTCATGGATTCTAAGTTGATCTGGTTTCATCTTTCTCTCTCTGACTTCCCTTAATCTCATATTCTCTTGTATCTAGAATTATCTGGATACAAGAACCTGGGGCTGACTTCAAGCCAGGGGTACTCACCCATCTCCAAAATTATGTGTGAGGGAGGAGGGGATGGGAGGATACTATGGGAATAGAGAGAGCTATGTAGCAACTCTCTGCCTGAGGTAAGGCCCTGCTCTCTACTCTGCCATTCCTAGGAGAGCAAGGCTGTACCAGCAGCCAGGTCCAGAGACAGCTGATCACATAGCAGGGAACAAAGTAGAAAGAAAGGAGAGAGAAGGAAAATCACCGTCTGCAAGATGAGTGGGGAAGTGATTTTAAGCAGGGGTAGGGGTATTCAGCTGCTCATAAGCTAGGGATTTTATGTTGGATGTTTATTAAACCTGTTATTGCTCTATTTAATAAAGTGGATTATCCCAAACATTGACGGCTATATAAGTTGCTTCTAAAGATAATTCTATATGCTAATCAGTTCATTCTTAAGTAAAACCTTCTGATTATCTTAGCATACCTTCTCATTCCTTAATTCCTTCAAAATGTTTAGTAATTCACTTGTCACAAAAAGCCCAGAAAAACTTGGGCTTTTAAAGAAAATGCACCATCAAAGGATGAAAACTTCATTTATTGACTACATAATAACATTTACAATATTTTTTGTTATAGTTTATAGTACAATTTTATAATCTTTTTTGCATATCTTCCTAGAGCACATGGATTCTGTTAACCCAATAGTTACTCCCAATTTTAGTAGCCATTTGGGAGACTAAATAACTTGTAGGCAATAGCTACACAACTACTAAGCAATCAGAGCAATCAGGTGGCACTCAAACAATTCATCTGATTTGTCAGTTATTTTTCTAGAAAACTAAATCATATAGTTTAGACCAGGTGTGTTGTTTTCATCCCTCGTGCCCACACGTGAATAAGACATACCTGAATTTTTAATCCCACTCCCATTCACTTAACCCAGACCATAACAGGTGCCTACCAAACTGTCACACTTTTAAAGTATGACATTTATGACTACTTTTCATAGCTTCTCTTTAGCAAAAAAAATACGTATATTTATGTATATTTATATATTCAGGACCTCTCAAAGCTTTAAGGTAGGGAAAGGAGATTGGAGAGTTGGACAGGGGTGGAAATGTCATTTATTGAATGCATACTACTAGAATTATGCCCATAAAGAGCACTATTATGACATTGTGCTAAGTATTTACATGCAGTAGGTTCTATTTTTGTCCTCATTTCACAACTGGAGAAACTGAGTGCCATTATCCTCAAAGATGTCTACATCCTAATCCCTGGAACCTGGTAATATGTTATCTTATATGGTAAAAGAGACTTTATAAATGTGATTAAGGATCTTGATATGGGGAGATTATCCGGGATTATCATGGTGGGACCGATGTAATCATTAGGATAAGAGGGAGGCAGGAGAGTCAGAGAAGAAGATGTGATGGCAGAGGTCAAAGTGATGCAGGGGTATAAACCAAGGAATGTGGACGATCTCTGCAAGCTAGAAAAGTCAAAGAAACAGATTCTTCTCTAGAGACTCCAGAAGGAACACAGCTCTGCTGACCCTTGATTTTTAGCCCAGTTGGGTAATCTTGGACTTCTGACCTCCAGAACCGTAATGATACATTTTCACTGTTTTAAGCCACTAAGTTTGTAGTAATCTATTACAGCAGCAATAGGGAACTAACACATTGAGGTTTTGTGAGGTCAGGCAATTTTTCAAGACCTTCTAGCACATAAGTAGCAGAATTAAAACCCCGCTTCACCTGCCTGTTGAACTAGACTCAGTCAACAAGAGGAATTTGCAGAAGTTATAGCAGGGATGACACAAGAATCAGGTTGGTTGAGAATCTAAACCTGAGACCTAAAGCAGAGGTGACAAACTTGAATGCCTACCATGTGTTAGGGAGATAATGTAAATGTGAAGTAGGCTTAATTAAAGAACAGCCTAAATTAGGTGGAAAATAGCAATTCATACTCCTCCTATATGACGAGGAGCAACAGGAAGTGGTGGGGACCATGGTGAACTGGAGAACATTCAAAGCAGAGGGCACTCATAAGTCAGTTCACTCATAAATCAGTTCCAGCTACATGTTGTCATGTGGCAAGGTGGGCCCAGCATTGCCAACTCTTTGGTTTCTCAAGAGAAGACAGAAATCCAGATTGTCATGCAAAGCCCAGATGTTTAAAGATGGAAAACAAATTGAAAGTTTGTTAAAATGCTGCATACTCTAAACAAAACGCATCTGTGCACTGACAATTTGCAACCTCTGAACCAAAAAGCTTCATAGATCTGAACATCAATCAATATCAATAATATGGACACGTCCTTATCTGTGATTGCCGGCTATGAGAATCTAGAGGGGACAGAACACTCTTGAGCAATTTTAACCTGACAAGCCATATACATTTAAGATTAGTTTGTATGTATCTATGTTGATATACATATAAGTAT
Source organism: Homo sapiens (assembly GCF_000001405.40). Lineage (NCBI taxonomy): Eukaryota > Metazoa > Chordata > Mammalia > Primates > Hominidae > Homo > Homo sapiens. The sequence goes on from NC_000023.11 coordinate 139,638,926, forward strand.
ATATAGAGAGTACTTTTTCTCTATATACCAATATTTGTAACAACTAAAATTCTCAAGATAATCCATTTTAAAGCTAGTATTTAAATGAACAATCAAACAGCATAGGGTATCAGATGCACATATCAAAGCAAATATAGTTCAAGACCAGTGAACTTTCCCATTTTGGTTTGGGAATATTATATTTCTAAATTCTTGGGTATGCTGCTTTAAGAACCTCTAATCTGTATGGTTATATAAACATGAAAAAGCACAATTTCTTTTTCCCCAAAATAAAAACTGAGATTTTGAAAGTATAATTCATTTTTGAGAACTTGTCAAAAAAGCAAAGGGATTTGGGCAAAGGTTAGTCTTGTTTTATTTCAATGTGTTTTTGCTTTTTTAAAAAAATAGTTTGCACGAGAGAGGAAACAGCATTGGTTTTAGGTTCTCGCAGACATTTTTCTGGAGTTCCAGCATGTGACTGCTTAAAGACATCTCAGTAAAAGCGAACCAGCTGCCTATCACATAGGACTCGGAGCCATGTGTCCAATCACTGTACGTGGTCCCACCCCAGCCCTCAGCAGCAGCTCTTACAGGCTCTTCAAGGTAACGAGCACAAAATAAGCTCCCTCTCATCTTTCCCTCCCAGAGAACAGATTTACTCCCTTTTACTCACACGTACTTCCAGATTGCCTAGTTCTATGATCTTACAGCAGTAACAACAACAATAACAACAAGAGCAGGCGTAAACCAAATACATCATTTCACTACCGAAGTCTAGAAATTAACCTTGTTTAATACTCTTGTGTGTGCTCTCTAAGGGAGGCAATTCATCACCCTATGCACACTTTTCAGTTATTCTAGTTATTATTTCTAGAATGTTTAAAGTAACTTATAAAACATAAAAGTTTGGTTACTTACTATAAAAATAATTTATTTTCCTATAGCTTTTCCTATTTAATCTTTAGGGTAAAGAAAGGCAGTAACAATAAGAGAGACCCTTGACTAAAAGCCATTATGTATGTGTCAGACTTCTTATATATATATTATCTTATTTAGCCTTCAAAACATTGCAGTAAACTGGATATTATTCCCTTTTTACAGAGGAGCAAACTGAAGCACAGTTGGTAAGCAGCGGTAGTACGGCCTATCTGGATCCTAAGGGCAAACTCTTTCTAGACACTTAACACCTCATAGACTGAATGCACACTCGGATTTACTGTTTGCCATTCAGGGATGATTTGACCTTGATGTTTCCAAAATGGGACAAATAACATTTGAAACAAGTTGCTGGAAACAATTTAGCATATACAGTCCACCAAAAGGAAAGTATCATAATTTACTGTCAGACAAATGTTGAGATGCTGACAGGCACTTGACTTTCATAAGGTCTGAACCATCTCTGCAGAATATGTTGGGAAAAAAATCTCATGACCTCAAGCTATAGAGAATAGTTTGCAACAGTATGAGCCACTTCCACACTCTTCCCCCCATATCCCCACCTTAAAAAGTACAGACAGTATGAGTTGTCAAGCAACTTGTCAAGTGACGTCAGGAGGATAGCCCAAAGCAATACTCCTTCCTTGTGGTTTGCCCTTTTCGTCACATATATATCTATTCTCCTCCCCTCTCTCTCACTCAGCTACAGTCATTGAAATTTCTACCAAGTAACTAGTTCAAACATTTTTTTGGACTTCAAGTGGCATTGGACCATCCTTTTAGATGTTACCTGTCCACAGCCTCCAGAATCAGCCCAATTCCAGAGACCCTTCAAGGTGAAACCATTTTTTTACTAGCTAAGGTTCAAATTCTTTACTCTGGTCAAGTCCTATCCATATAAGGAAAGCATATGTGTCTTCTACTATAGTTCTAGGCTTCAGAATTAATCCAATTAATCCCACTCATATCTGTTCCTACATATCACTTAATTCATTTATGAGAAAAAAAAACACAGGAAAGAATCAAGGAAAGGTAACAGCAACATATACTCTTACTTAACACCCAAACATATGCCATCTCCTGTATAAGGCCTTCTCCACCAGCCAGAATTTCTTTTCAAAATAGTCATTTACGAACATGTCTTACCCTTTCTATTAGATTGAGAGTTCCTTCAGCCCAGTAGCCATTCCATATTTACCTTTGTAACTTATGTTGTATATATCACAGTGCTAGATATGTCTATTCAGTGAGTACCCCTGTGCTGTATTTATTGTGTGTATATTAATGCATGTGTATAGACATAAAACTAAGTTCAGCACTGAGAATATATATATATATAAATATATATATAAATATATGTATATATATAATTAGGAACTTTCTGAAAGCTTAAGTTAACCTTTGATAACAAAAGTGCTAATATCAGTTGCCTACAATACTGCAAAGTACATACACAAACATTTCTTGTGCACCATAAATCGTCTGTTAAAAGTCTGAATCTATATTCTCATAATATAAAAACATGTATAGAGCCAAAGATATAATTTTGTCAAAATAAAGCCAACTATAGTTTTTAAAATAGCAGTCTGTGCTAAGAGCTTTATTAGAAAATAAATCATTTACACACCTATTGATGTTCACTGTCATTCAACAATAATAAAAGTCTTACTTTCCTTATCATAATTTTAATTCAAACTGTCATTTTTTTCCTATGGTCAATTTTTACCTTCTTATCTGTGTGTGTGTGTTATCTCGATATTTTTAGTGAGCAAGTTTATATTTTAAACCATAACATCAATAACATTATATTAATCTTTGAAAGAAAAAGAGTGGCATTTAAAGCCTTTTTGATGATTAGTTTTTTATTAAATTAGCTAGTGTTATTTCAACATTTCTCCAAAATACATCTAAAGATCACATTAGAAATTTGCTGGGAATTTACTATATGAATAAATGAATGAAGGGAAAATTTAGGCAAAAGACTGCATGAAATGTACCTGAGAGGAGAGACTTCCAAATTCTAGTCTATATTGAAAAGTGAGTTACTGTCTTTTTCCCTAAAAGAAAAAAGTTGTCAGCAGGTGACAATTTTGTACCTACGAAGTTTCAGTTTGGAGAAGAATTGAAACCATAAGGATTTCAAATCATTACAGATTTTAAATTTATTCACTTATACGGTAACACCCAGGAAAGGCTGCATTTTTAAGTGATGATGGAATCCCCTCCAGACCTATCCATGGCAATATACTCTACTTGATCATGGTGAAAGAAAGGATGAATCCTTTTGTTAGATATTGTTTTAAGTCATTATTTAAAGCTATGCTGTCCAATGATTCAAAATTGTTCATACAGTCTTAAACGAATAACATGACTAAGGTGCTCATTCATAAACCTGATGACATTTAGATTTTGAAATTATATTCTACCCCCTCAATTGCCTGAAAATTACCCTATGTCAATATCACAGTAATCACATCAATGCAATCCATGCAAATATAAGTCTCCATTCTCTCCATCTGTCCTTAAAAACCCTACTCAGCAGTTTGTGCTATAGCACCATGCTGCAGCATCCCAGCACTTGAACTTGGGAACAGGCTTTCCAGGAGTGCAGACAGAGCCCTTACCGCATTCCTTCTGAACCTCATCTTGCCTCTCCGGGGATTTGCTTCTGCCATTTCGCCTGTACGCAATTACACTTTTCTTTTCCAATTGTCAACGCAACGTTGATGAAATACGAGCTGCTTCTTGGGTAGTATTTAAAAACGGCAGCCAAAAATCTCTATCAAACAAAGCTGCCGTGGCTGCTTCCATTAGCACAGTGGCAGCAATGCTGGGGAGGAAAAAAAAAAAAAAACCACTATCCCTGATTAGTCAGCTGACAGATCCTTCCCTTCTGCTCCTTGTAATTCAGAGTTAACACATTCCTCCAATTACTTAGCCTGATTGAACCTTGTGGATTAGCTTGTGCTGGACTGCTCAAGAAGATCAGGCATGTCCTAAGAGTGGAAGGAGGAGGAAAAAAAAACCAGCTCTCTTCCTAGGAGCAGGCTTGATGGGACTGGCTTTCTCCTCTGCGCAGTTTGATTTTTAAGGTGGAATGCTAAGAATCTTTGTGAAGGTAGTATTAACTCATGCTTTTTACTCTCGTCCTACCCTGGTATGTGACTTAAATTTCAATTCTGTTTTGTTTTCTCTGTTATTGTATTCTGGGTTTAAGCCTTGTGAAAGGCTATAGTTTGCAAAATTTTGTCCTGGTAATAATCTAGAAAGAATAGAACATGCAAACTTTCTAAGACGGATACAATTCTCTCCCAAATTAACCTTTCCCCAAAATGTATAACTAAAATAAAGTCTCCTCTCATTAATTATGAAATACAACCTAAATGCTTTTATTTGTTTTGAAATCTACAAATAAAGGTATTCAAATTGAATTGTATGATTATTTCACAGACACTTGTTTGAAATAATACACCACAGGCAATTATACCTAGCTACACAATGGTAGATTTCACTAGAAATCCTTTCTGAATGCCAACTTTTGCACTTGAAATTAGCTTGCATTCAATATTTACCTTTATTTCAAACAGTAACCAACAGTTACTAATGGTTGAGATGTAATTAATGTGCTCTTGAGTATGAGTATAGAAACTATACCACAAGCAAAAACATTTAACATGTTAAAAAAGAAACACCTAAAACAACCTATAGCCAGTTACATGTGGTCAGAATCTGTACCCCTCCCTTGCCCAGCACGATCAATTTGGCAGTTATGAAAATAAAGGGACCCTGGGATCCAAGTTCTTTACTGAGCATAGGTCAAAATTCTCCACTGAGAAAGCAGCCCTGGGAATACAGAAAGAGGAGTATCACTCCCCGGTAGACAAGTAATTACCCTCTGTTGACTTCAAAATGACAGGATCATGACCTAATCTTATATTTCTCTTTTATGAAAAATAGAACCTCTGTTACAAGCCACCTATTTTGAATAATAAAAATAAAACTCTACCAAAAAAACTAACGTCAGGTGCCAAACCAGTCACAAAATGAAAATTAATTTAATCAGGCGGGTGCAGTGTTGGCCAAAAGAAAAAAACCTGGGTGATAAAAAATGTTCTAATGTAACAAGTGCTTTATTTAGTATAAGAGAAGCAATTATTAGCATAAACCAAGGTCTACTCAGCAAGCCCAAGGACCAATCCTAAAAGACCGGAGCAAGGGAAATAGCTTTTACTTTATTTAGCCCCACTGATAAGGCTCAATTGTATATGGAGGACAGATCTAATCTCTCAAAAGAAATTTTACCTTTATCTAAATAACATTGAATGTATTTGTCTATTTGTAAGCCAATTGGAAAATGATAGAAACCATCACCAACTGGAATTCTTGACATTTCAATTCTTGCTCTGGCTTTTTTGGTTACTTGGCTATTTGAGCTTGGATTCATCACATAGCCATTCCAAAGTATAAATATCAATGTGATTTCATCATCTATAAGACAATTATAGTGATACCTACTTGCAGTACTTAATCAGGAAATGAAGAGAATCAACAATACTTAATAAATGTGAATGCTTTTGAAAAAGCACTAATATGCTATAGAAAGTCAAATTTTCTTCTATTTTATTTTAGTAATTTGAGTATATCTAATGTTAACTCTTCTCTCCACTGCTAATGATTAAACACCTCTGTTAAATAAACAGGAAACCACTTTTTGCTTATTTGTCCAAAGTGAGGAATAATTCATTCTGAGTATTAAAAGAATAATGATCTTACCCATTTTACCTTGCAAGTGCTAGAACATTGGCTTGGAAGTCCAACAACCTAGATTTTTGTTTTGCCTTTGCAACTAAATCAAGTTCTTGTGGTGGGCGTGACCTCCTCAATCAGTCAGGAGACAAAGTAAGAATTTCAGATGGCTGGCAATGTTGGAATCTCAAAGAAAAAAAATATATTGATTCCCAGCTATTCTAGTCTGATAGAGGAAGTTGGCCACATGGCACTTCCACAGAGAGCCCATATCTTGCCAGCTCAGAAGGAGTCTGGGGGTCCCTCATCTCCCTCCTCGTCTATGAAAGTGAAGTGTCAAACAATTTTGTGATACCCTTGTGAGCCTAAAAGTGTAAAAGATTATCTTGGTCATGGGCAGAATTGTACCTCTCGTTATTTTAATTAGAGAAAATGTTTCTCTCTCTGGGTCTTGGGAACCTGGGGACTAGATACCAGTAGGGAAGTTATATATCATTTTATATGTGACTCATCTCCCTACCCTATCCTAGGGTAAAACAAATCTAGAAAGTTGTACACTGAAATGTTAAAAACTGCTTATTTTGGGGTGGTTGGATTACTATTGTTTTAAACTTTCTTCTTTATACTTTTTCACATACGAGTATGCAACACAGCTATTTCCACCAAAATAAATAAATAAATAAATAATTTTAAAAAGCTTCCATAAAAACTTGCCTTGTCCTGAAAGGCACATAGAACCATGAATCTCTTCTCACTCATAACTGGAGCCACAAACTACTCACTCATTCTTACTAGGTTTTATTTTGGGTAGAGTTATTTATCTCAGTCTCTGCTACAACCTCTCCTTCTACTTTCCCTCCTCACATTCCATCAATTTTTATTGTCTCCGTCAGTACCAAAGTAATCTATACCTCCCAAAACAGAAAGTATAATATAAAACAAAAATAAAAAGTTACTGTATAATGCATAGATACTTACCGAGATTTTTTGGAGAGAGATTTTGAGAGAAGACCATGTATCCAATCTTCGATCCAGAATAATGGTAAACCGGGAGTCTGATCCATTTTGCCTGAACGATAAGAAGAAATAAGAACTTTTTCTTAATAATAATGCAAATTTGTTATATATGCCTTCATTCTATTTCTGATTATTTCATCTACATTTGATGTCTTGACTGAAGACAGATTTGGAATTGGAAAGCTATCACAAAGTCCTATCTTAGAAAACTAATCTGAATACATATTCCCTTACTCACTATTTAAAATTTCTTTTGCAGCATTAATGTCAATCTTTTAAATAGGAAAGTGATAGTGTAATGAAGATAGGTCACTAAAATTGATTTAGAATACTGTAATCTTGGGTGTGGGAAAACTCAAAAGATAAGTGTCCTTCATGATATCAGATTTAACTTTCCATGCAATCCATCATGAGTCAATGATCCATTCACTCATTCAAAATCACACTGCTAAATCTATTTTTCTAACTCTAGTCTGCTCCTGAGGAAATGCAGTTTAATGGAAAATATAACTTCTATTTGCCCTAAAAATATCACTTTCAAGCTTCAATAGGTACATTGTAAGTTTCATTTTCTGAGATTTGATTTTTGTTCATGAGACTTTGAATTTTATCATCCTAGATTTGTGTCCTCTTGTTCTTCAGGGTTAGTAACTAGAAAATTCTTCCTTTGAAAATTTTGTCTTTAACACACATAAAATCTCTAAGAAACCTTTTTAAACTTTCCATTTTAAAGCATTCTAGTTCCAAATAATTTTTAATTTCAAGACATTCCTCCTAGTATCTCCCAGTACCACTATTGAATCTACTTAAGATTCAGTCTTCTTGTGTTATATTCAGAAGAAATGAAAAATGGCTGTACTCACTCTTGGCTGGTAATATTTCCTTTTAAGCAAATTAAAGCATATATGTATGACCATCGTTCTCAACCTATGTTCTTTTTGATGGGAACAAATACTCCTAGATCCCCAATTTTATTTTCATAGATTCTCAGGATAATTTTTGTAACAATTTAGGTAGCTGCCAGCTTCTCCTTCTAAGTTGTACTTCTTATCTACTCTGAAGTTAAGTCAGTTGGTTATTCACCATGATAATAATAGCTATATTAAGCCATTTTCATGTTATGACATTCAGATGGATATCTGATATAAAGCGAATTGAAAAAAATGTAATGAAATACTATACCTTGCAATAGATGTCAGGTAAGTAAGTACTTTTGCTATTACTTCCTCTGGTATACATCTAAAATTACAGTTTTCTGGAAACGTAATGATCCAAGCATTGTCCTTTCCCCGGCCACCTACAACAATAGAAAAATAATCAACTGAATTAAAAATGTATATAACAACGAAGCAAGAAGAGGATTTTAGATTTGAATACTGTTTTGCAGCAACACAACTTTTTTGCAAAGATGATGATCTCCACATAAAACCAAAATGGCTCCAAGTTCCTGACACTTTAAGTTTAAAAGGTGGCAGAGTAGTTTCTCAATAAAAAAAGAAAAAGAAAGAGAGTAAAATGAATGAATATAGTCAGAAGAAAATGTCATGAAATGCATATAATAAATACAGTGGAAAATAGCTGATTCCCCAATCTGGACAACCAAGGGGTTGGGAAATAACTGTTTCTATACCAATGAGCCTAAATTTAAAATGAGTGAATGATGGCTTGACAGCAAGTGGAAAATTTGATATAATCGATCTCTTAGTGTCATGGTGAGCAGGAAAAGATACAGAGCACCCTATAGGAAATAGGTGATGGTCTAATGTGTTTATGGAAGAAACAACAAAAGGAATGATGGCAGGAATGACATAGGAATTTTATTAATGCAAAGAAAGATCACAAATTATCTGTGGGTCAAAATTCAATGTTCAGCCTGGGTAGGGGTCCAGGCAGAGGTGTAGGGTTGTGGAAGCTCCCCGCAGACCCATGCAGCCATTAACCTGGAGCAGTTGCATCCAGCAGTATCTTGACCAAGTGGGTGACCTTGACTCCTGGAAAGCATGGATCCCAGTGCTCATAGGTGAGGCTGCCCTAAGCCCATTTCCATAGGAACCAGGAATAATGGTAACTGTCATAGGGGTTCTTGGTGAGGGAATGATTGCACCAGCTCTGGGCTTTCATTTTGGTTTCTACCCGTTTCTCCACCCAGCCCAATAGCCCTCTATGCAGCCTGAAGGATGAGAAATATTGAAAACGAAAGCCACTTAAGTGCAGAGATGAGCCTTACATGTGTTTAAGGTTCACATCTGCAGCCAGCCTAGCACCTACACAGAGAGCGAATGCTCAATAAATACTAAGTGCCAAATAGAATCTGAAGAATTATTTTAGGAGGAAAGTTGCAAGGTGGCCTTTGAAATTAGCTCAGCAATAGAAATTTTTTTAGTTCAGTTGTAATTTTTATTTGGCTGAATTTAAGTGAATAAAGATGTAAAAATATTTTTAATTCAATCTGCAATAAAAATATGACAATAGAAAAGGATACAGGCCGGGCACAGTGGTTCATGCCTGTAACCCCAGCACTTTGGGAGGCCGAAGCCAGAGGATCACTTGAGGTCAGGAGTACAAGACCAGCCTGGCCAACATGTTGAAACCCTGTCTCTACCAAAAATACAAAAATTAGCCGGGTGTGGTGGTGCACGCCTGTAATCCCAGCTACTCCGGAGGTTGAGGCAGGAGAATCGCTTGAACCTGGGAGGCAAAGGTTGCGGTGAGCCAAGATCATGCCACTACACTCCAGCCTGGACAACAGAGCAAGACCCCGTCTCTCCACGCCCCCCCCAAAAAGAAAGAAAAAGAAAAGGATATAAAATGGAATCACAACAATACTCAACGCAAAAGAAGACAGAAATGGAGGAAAACAAAGAACACATGGGACAAATGGGAAAAGCTACCATCTCACTATTTGTATTTTGCTTATTATATGATAGTAAGATGGTAGATTTAAATCCATCCATATGAATAATCACATAAAATGTCAATGATCTAGGCACTGCAATTAAAAGTCAAAGATCATCAAACTGGATAAAAAGAAAGACTGAATTATATGCTGCCCACAAGAAACACACATTTTAAATATAAAAGTACAAATTATTAAAAGCAAAGGATAGAAAAAGATATACCATGACAGTGCTAATCAAAACAAAGCTGTCTAATATTTGACAAAGTAGATTTCAGAGTCGAAAATATTACCAGATATTAAAATGATCATTTGATCATGATAAAGTGGTCGATTCATCAATGGGACATAATCTTAAATGCTTATGCACCTAATAACAGAGCTTCAAAATACACAAAGCAAAAACTGATAGAGTGGCAAGAGGAAATAGACAAATTCACAATTTTAGTCAGATATTTCACCACCCATCTCTCAATAATTGATAGAACAAGTAGACAAAGAATTTGCAAGGATATTGTATACCTGAACAACAGTCTCAACCAACATGACCTAATTGACATTTCTAGAACACTCCATCCAACAAAAGCAGAATACACTTTCTTCTCTAGTGCACATGGAAAAAGATCAAATTAATTATTTGCCTCAATATTTACCAAGGGAAACTTGAGAGACAGTATTCATTCCCAAATTATTTTTTAATCAAACTAGTCCAAAGTATTAAATCAAAGGGTTATTAATCTTCACTGTATGATATTCCAGAATTAGAGTAGAGTGAAAATAATCACTGAGAATAATGGCATCCACTGAAGAGTTTTTAAAAAACTCAAAGGAGAAACTGTACAATTCTGAACCAAGAGATTTAGTGAATCTTTAAGCAAAGGGCCTCTATAGATACAGTATGGTATAGAACTAGTAATATAAATGATATGTAATATATAATGTAATAAATATCTTAAATATAACTACATACTTGCCAAGCAAGCTGGTGAGCACTCTAGTTAAGGACAGAACCATCTAGCACTTAGGCAAACTACACTTATCAAAGGAAAGGTGGCAAGGCTCCTATAAGAGTAAATTATCATTGACTAATCTATAAATGATTATTACCACTGAACACCTACAAGTACTGTCCTACGAGTAAACTTTATGAGAAGAGATCAAAAGAGATATTTACATTCCAAATCAGGAAGTTTTAATTATTTTTTACCATTGGGAACCCTTTCTTCAAAGGAAGCTATAGGTAGAAGCATTTTTAAAACAAATACAAAAAGCAGTTAAGGAAGGAAAGGTGTAGAGAGGGGTCTGGATGGGTGCAGCAAGCCCTGAGGATGGTTCTATTTAGAACACGGTTTGGAAAACACAGATAATCTTAAGTAAAATCTCCAAAACTTAAAAGTGAACGTAACATACTGCTAAATTTACTGACACTCACACATTTCTGCCACTTATAAAATAAAACATAAAGCCATATTAATTAAGTCATCATTAATTCACAGTTACCACTAATTAGAATCATTTTTAATTAAGCTTTATCATAGGTATAATTATAATCATTTAAAAGCAGAGGCCAGGCTGGGTGCGACGGCTCATGCCTGTAATCACAGCACTTTGAGAAGCCAGGATAGGAGGATCGCTTGAGGCCAGGAGTTCAAGACCAGCCTAGGCAACATAGCAAAACCCTTTTGCTACAAAAATATAAAAATTAGCTAGGCGTGGTGGCACACTCCTATAGTTCCAGTGACTCAGGAGGCTGAGGTGGAAGGATCACTTGAACCAAGGAGTTTAAGGTTACATTGAGCTATGATCGTACCACTGTACTGGAGCCTGGACAAAAGAGCAAGAAGTTGTCTTTAAAAATAATAATAATGATAATAAAAGCAGAGGCCAGATTGAAGTGTCTAATTAGGATCACTTATAAAGTAAAAGCTTGTTTAGTAAACTGAGCATGTGAGTGCCATTTTTCAGAGAATTAATTAAACTATTTAGAAGGAATAAGATAGTTTCTTGTACTCCTAAGAAGCATTCGTCTTTATAAAAACAATGTATTAATATATACCAGTAAGTTTTCTTTATCTGTTTAATATGCTAAATGTAATATTTAATGATATAATTCAAATTACTCTAATACCTGAAAGTAATTTGCTTGTTTTTAAGCAAAACTTTCCCCAAAGTCTGACCAGAAGCTAAAGGGGCAGGATGGTTTACCATAGTTACGTCTCTAAAAATGGGTAATGCTATTTAGCGGCATTATTCACAATAGCCAAACGGTAGAAGCAACCAAAGTATCTATCAATGGATGAACAGATAAACAAAGTGTGGAATATACATAAAATGGATTATTATTCAGCCTTAAAAAGGAAGTTCTGACACATGCTACAACATCGATGAAACTTGAAGACCTTATGCTAAGTGAAATAAGCCAGTCACAAAAAGACACATACCTTATGATTCATTTACATCAGGTACCTAAGATAGTCAAATTCATAGAGAAAGAAAGTAAAATTGCGGTTGACAGGGGCTAGAGAGAGGAAGGAATGAAACGGGGAGTAATTGTTTAATGGATATAGAGTTTCAATTTTGCAAGACCTGAAACTCCGGAGATGGTGGTGGCAATGGTGGCACAAAAATGTAAACGTACTTAATGCCGCTGAACTGTACTCTTCAAAATGGTTAAAATGATAAGTTGTATGTTAAATTTATTTTACCATAATTACTAAAAATTATATACAAGTGTATATACATCTTTGAGAAAAATCAACTTTCTTTATAATGTGTAAATGAAATCCTAAAAAAAAATACTTAGTGCATGCTGATTATTTAGTGCAACTTGCCACCATTTGTAATACACATTTGAGTAATCAAAGAAGCTACCTCAGCTGCTCCCCTCCCACCCAGCCTGCAACCACCTAGGAGACATATTCTACTTTCAACTATCATAGATTTCTGAAGACTCGTCTGAAAGTCAAATGTATAAGAGTGGTAAGGTCGGTTTTACTCATATATCTAAAATGCTTAAAACCTCCAATTATTCTCTAAATGTCCATTTGTTTAGCAACTAGGTGCACAATGTACAAATGTTTATTGAAATAGTGCTTCTCAAATGAATATATATAATAGCTCTATATATAGAGAGCGAGCTATTTATATAATAGGTACCAAACTAACTGCTAATCAAGTCATATATCTATCTGGACTATATATAAGAAAGTTTGCTTACCAGACAAGAAGGCGATGTCTTGCATTAAGAAATGACTGATGTCCTTTATACGGAGGAGCAGATCGGTTTCTATGACAAACGAAAATAGAAGAAATGACATACATGTTAAGGTACAGCCTTACATGATTTTAGACACATGATTTCTCACTGTGTCTAAAATTATTCTGGGAGCCCCACAGGTCTGTGTCCACAGACACTGTCGATCTCTTTCCTCCTCTCAACTACATGGCAAAGAAATCACACTCGAAAATATCACTGAATAAGTAGAACCAGTGACCTACTTCTCAGAATCTATGCCCAAAACATAAACTACTCTCACTCACCAGAAAGCCAAGGACAAAGGCACAAACTCCAGGACATTCGGATTTATTTGAAGGGTAGATGGTCATGGGGAGACACTGTAGCAGATTGTCTTCTACTTCTGATAATGCCTTTCACTCTACAAAGCTTTATTAGCAATTACAAAGTGCTTTTTGGATTTTTTAATCTTATTGAATCCTTAAAAAATCTCTAAGGTAGGTACTGTTATCCCATTTTACAAGTGGTTAACCATATAGGCTTCTTAGTCTAGATAGACGTGGATTCAAATCCAGCTTGTTGCATTTACTGGCCATGCAAACGCGGGCAAGTTAGTTAGCCTCTCTAAACCTTAGTTTCCTCAGCTATAAACTGGGCATAATGATATCTACCTCACAAGGTACCATGCAAACTAAATGTGAAATACCTGGCATAATGGTAAGTGTTCAATAAAAAGTAGCATATTAACTCATTTTTTATCATTACAGATGGAACAATGTCCATGCATTGTTCAATGTGCTTTGATTGTCCCAGATCTTAAGTGTTAACTTACAATGTTCAATTCTAGTGAACTCTATAGGGGCCAAAAATCAAAGTACACTACCTGCCTCTGGTCCATGAACAAGGAAAACTTTTTAAAAGAAAACGGGTCATCAAACTAGGCTATTTTGGCTTGTCGGTTTTAATGCCTGTGGTTTCACATCTCTTACTGAAGCCATGTTTTTCACCTGCTCTCTGACACAAAGTGCCTTCAAAGTCCTGGTCTCTGGTGGTGTCAGGCTGATGATGCATTACCCTTCTCAGTGCTCCTCAAATCACACCACATGGATGTGGTTTATAAAGGACAATCCTCAAGGGAATTAAAAAAAAAAGTTCTCAATGGTTCCACAATAGACAGTGGAATAGGTTATCTGTTATAGACACCCCCCCGACACATGATTAGAAACATAAAGCAATTTTAATTGATGTTTATTTTCATAAGATACATGCCATTACAAATATCTAATTTGTCAATACATAAAGTCATTTCTTAAAAATGTCTTGTAATTTTATATATTTAGACTCGATATATTTCAGATCAAGGCATGCACATTTACACTCGCAGTTATTCTTTCCATGCTAGATGTTTAATCAGATAAAAGAATGTGTTTATAACAGCTACAAACATGTGTCACATATTGACATTTTCAGGCATGGAGCCATGGAAGAAGGGTGAGAATGAGGGTAATGCAAAAGATACAAGAACACTTTCTCCCCTGAGGAGCCTGCAAAAGTGGCAATAGTTAAAATGTGTTCTACTTTTTAAATGAGAAAGCATCAGACATAAAAATATTCCTACATAATAGGAGACCCAAATTTCTCCCTTGCTTTGATCAGTAGGAACAAGTACAAAGACGAATTGATGCATTTTATGTCAGGTGGCAGATCTGGAAGTATTAATATGAACAACTTGATTCTCTGATACCACTCAGACTCTTGCATAGCTATGGAAACTATGTCCACTTACTCTACAATTTAAGCACTCATGTAATGAGAGAGGCCTCAGGACCCAAAATAAAAGTCTGTGGGCTGGGAGTGGGAGCACCAGGGCCTAGTGTGGGCTTGACCACTTAGCTGCTCTGTAATTTTCAACAAGTCACTCCCCACTCCTCACCTCATTACCTCCATTTTATTTTATATTTCTTATCAAGGTAAAATATGCATACAAAATTTACCATTTTAAGTGTACAGTTCAGTGGTAATAAATATATTTACATTCTTTTTTCCCCTTCATCCCCTCCCCTCTACCCTTCCCAGCCTCTGGTAACCACCAATCTACTCTCTATCTTCATGAGATCCATTTTTTTAGCTCTCACATATTAGTGAGAACAAGCAGTATTTGTGTTTCTGTGTTTGGCTTACTTCATTTAACATAATTGCCACCATTTCCATTCATTTGGCTGCAAATAAGAGGATTTCATTCTGTTTTATGTATGAATAACATTCCATGGTGTATATATACCATATTTTCTTTATCCATTCATCTGTTGAATGGCACTTAGATTGAGTCCATATTTTGGCTATTGTAAATAGTGCTGCAATAAACATGGGAGTGTAAATATCTCTTCAATATATTGACTTTCTTTCTTTTGAATATGTACCCAGAGTGGAATTGTTGGATTCTATGGTAGTTCTATTTTTCGTTTTTTGCAAAACCTCCATACTGTTCTTCATAGTGGCTGTACTAGTTTACTTTCCCACCAACAGTGTGCAAGAATTCCCCTTTCCCCACACCCTCACCAGCATCTGTTATTGCCTGTCTTTTTGATACAAGCCATTTTAACTGGGGTGAGATATGTCATTGTAGTTTTGATTTCCATTTTTCTGATGATTAGTGATGTTGAACATTTTTTCATATACCTGTTGGTCATTGTTATGTCTTCTTTTGAGAAATGTCTATTCAGATCTTTTGCCCATTTTATAAATTGAATTATTTGGGTCCTTTGCTATTGAGTTGTTTGAGCTCCTTATATTTTCTGGTTACTAATCCCTTGTCAAATGGATAGTTTGCGAATATTTTCTTTCATTCTGTGAATTGTCTCCTCACTTTGTTGATTGTTTCCTTTGCTATGCAGAAGCTTTTTAGCTTGATGTGATCCCATTTGTCTATTTTTGCTGTGGTTGCCTATGCTTTTGAGGTTTTGCACAAAAAACTCTGCCCAGACCAATGTTCTGGAAAGTTTCCCCAACATTTTCATCTAGTAGTTTCATAGTTTCAGGTCTTCAATTTAAGTTCTTTAATCCATTTTGATTTGATTTTTGTGTATGGTGAGAGATAGGGATCTAGTTTCATTCTTCCACATACAGTTATCCAGTTTTTCCAGCATCATTTATTGAAAATATTTCCTTTCCCCATTGTAGATTCTTATCACTTTTGTCGAATATGACTTGGCTGTAAATGTATGGATTTACATCTGGGTTCTCTATTCTGTTCCATTGGTCTATGTGTCTGTTTTATGCCAGTATCATGCTGTTATGGTCAATACAGCTTTGTAGCAAGTTTTGAAGTTACCTAGTACAATGCCTGCAGCTTTGTTCTTTTTGGTTAGGACTGCTTTGGCCATTTCAGGTCTTTTGTGGTTCTGTATACGTTATTAGAATTTTTTACTATTTATCTGAAGCATGCCCTGGAATTTGATAGAGATTGCATCGAATCTGTAAATTTCTGTGGGTAGAATTGTCATTTTAACAATATTAATTCTTCCAATCCATGATCATGAAATATCTTTCCAATTTTGTGTGTCCTCTTCTATTTCTTTCATCAAATTTTATAGTCTTTCACTTTTTGGTTAGATTGATTCCTAGGTATTTTATATTTTTGTAGCTATTGTAAATGTGATCAGATTGCTTTCTTGATTTCTTTTACAGATTGTTTGCTGTTGGTGTATATAAATGCTACTGACTTTTGTACGTTGATTTCGTATTCTGCACCTTTACTGAATTTGTTTATCAGTTCTAAGAGTTTTTTATTATTATTATTATACTTTAAGTTCTAGGGTACAAGCGCACAACGTGCAGGTTTGTTACATATGTATACATGTGCCATGTTGGTGTGCTGCACCCATTAACTCGTTATTTACATTAGGTATTTCTCCTAATGTTATCCCTCCCCACTCCCCCTTCCCTCCACCGCACAGCAGACCCCTGTGTGTGATGTTCCCCTTCCTGTGTCCAAGTGTTCTCATAGAGTTCTAACAGTTTTTTGATGGAGTCTTTAGGTTTTTCCGGGTACAAGATCATGTCATCTACAAACAAAACTAATAAGGCTTCTTTCTTTCCAGTATGGATGCCCCTTATTTCTTTCTCTTGCCTAGTTTCTCTGGCCAGGACTTCCAGTGTTGTGCTGAATAAAAGTGGCAAAAGTGGGCATCCTTGTCTTGCTCCAGTTCTTGGACAAAAGGCCTTCAATTTTTCCACATTCAGTACAATATTAGCTGTGGTCATTACTCCCACTTTAGAAATGAGGGCAATACAGTAAATGCTGTTTTTTTTTGTTTGTTTGTTTTGTTTTTGTTTTTGTTTTGAGACGGAGTCTCGCTCTGTCACCCAGGCTGAAGTGCAGTGGCGCGATCTCGGCTCACTGCAAGCTCTGCCTCCCGGGTTGACACCATTCTCCTGCCTCAGCCTCCCGAGTAGCTGGGACTACAGGTGCCTGCCACCATACCTGGCTAATTTTTTGTGTTTTTTAGTAGAGACGGGGTTTCACCGTGTTAGCCAGGATGGTCTCGATCTCCTGACCTCGTGATCCGCCCGCCTCGGCCTCCCAAAGTGCTGGGATTACAGGCGTGAGCCACCGCACCCGGCCAGTAAATGCTTTTTAAGGTACCCTACATTCTATGAGATCCAACAACATGTAAAATCCATAGATGTAAAAACAGACTGATGTTTTCTATCATAAAATGTAGCCCACAACTGTGCCAATAAAATAACATTTCCACACTAAAGAGAAAGGATGAAATCACGGTTACAAGAGAAAATATTACTACTTTAATAAATGATCAAGTTCTGGGTTGGAAACAGACTGAAGGGGAAGAAGATAACACAGGAAAGACAACAGAAGACACACAGTTATCAATTGAGCAGCTGCAAGGGACGAGGTAAGATTGTTGCTGAGAACAAAGAGAAACAGAAAATACTGACTTTAGATAAAGTTGTGACACTGAGTTACACCCAGCTTTGTAGCTGACCCTCTCGAATTTCCACACGGATTTTTTCCTGAAATATAAAAGTGAGAACAAATAATTTATACTGTTCCTATTGCTGACCTTTTAAATGCATTCACTTAGAGCATGAGAAATAAAAAGCCTAGATCACCAAACCTGGATCAAGTCCACATTACAGCATGTTCCTTGTTGACTAGATTTACGTTTGATAGGAAGGTTGTCAAGCTGTCTCATGTAGAAAACTCAACTACTCACAGATAAAAAGGATTCATTCTCCTTACATTGGACTCGTTGCTAAGCCCAAAAAGGAGCTGACTTAGAAGCCAAATAAAGGGCTGTAACTCAACAGGTAATCTGATAAACACCCTTAAAAACACCCTACTGGAGCAAATCTTCATTTTAAGACTTCTGCTGAAAATCCATGTGCTTGTACAATCAAACACAATCAGATACAAATTGAAATCAAAAGTCAAAATAAGCATTTCCAATTAATTCATTCCTACATATGATCAAAAAGCAAAAGAGTCAAGCAAACACATCACTAATATTTATTTTATTATTTAAAAGGTAGTTGTGCCAATGAGGATACAAACTTAGAAATCCAAATATGAATTTTTAAAGTTCTAAAATGTGTGGAAATAAATAATTGATTTAGAAAGGCTCACATAGAGAAGGAAGGTATACGCATCCAATCAGTAGCTCTAGTCTGGCTGTGTCACTTGTAAAAATGCAGAACATGGATCATCTCAATACAGCATGTGCTTTAAAGTTTTTAAAGATTTATTTTGCATTCATTCACTTTTTAAACAAATATTTATTGAGTGTCTACTATATGCCAGATTCTGCTCTAAGCTGTGTTTGGACAGATGTTCTGAAAAAAAGTAAAAGTTCACAATCAAGTAAGTTTGTGAAATATTAGGGGTTAAACACACTGCAATATTTCCTAGTAAATACACATGTACACATTGTGACTCCTTGGGTATGGGCTATGTATGCAGTATTTCTCAAACCTATTGATCAGGTTTGCTCAGTCAGTTTATTGGTCGGTTGGTTGTTCATTGGTTGGTTTTTACCCTCAGAGAGAGACAGAAGACAAACAGAAAGCAAGAGAGAGAGCTAGAAAGACTCCATATGAAGAAGCACTTTGTTCTAAAGTCAGAACTGTCTGTAGATGAAATGACTTTCATGGAAGATAGACAATCCCTTTCCTATCATTAATAGCATTCAAACAAAGGCCAAGCTGCTCTGTGGTAAAGAAAAGAGAGGAAAATCAAGCATATAGTTGACTGGAATAGATTATCTTTTAGAATAAGATTTAATGGTATATTCTCAGCAACAGTAAGTGATTCTAGGAAAAGAAAGCAAAAAAAATCTATATACTCATGAATTTGGGAGGGGTCAGTAAGGGAGGCAGGAGGAACTTAGTTTTTATGTTCCAAATTTGAAATTAATAGAATTCTGAGTCATATTCATTTGTTTTGGGATTTGTTTATATTTTTTACCTTAAGAATATGTAAAAGTTCATCTTCAATGTCCAAGAGTCCTCTATAAGAAGGAAGAGATTGGGGACTTAAGTGAATATTGTTCCTTCAGTAAATTAAATTGGATTAAGCAATGTGGGTTTTTTTTTTCCCCATAATGAATGATTTCCTTGTGAAATTATTTTCAGCATGGAAATCAGTGTATGGAGATACGTTGTTAAATGCTCCAGAAAGATTATAGAAAATCTATGTAACATCCTATTGTCTCATTATGTGACAACACAGAAATTAAGTTCACAAATATAAAATAAAAATTTCCTGACAAGCAGTTATTAACAAGGAAACTTTCTTTGGTAACAGTTCAAGAAACTTGAAATTTAAGATACATTATGAGTAGTTACAAATAGAGGGTCAAAATTCTTTAAGCCTACCCTGTCAGAGTGAAGCCTCTGCTAAAAAAAGATGTGTTTTTTTTTTTTTTTTTTTTTTTTTGAGACAAGGTCTCACTCTGTTGCCCAGGCTGGAGTGCAGTGGTGTAATCTTGGCTCATTGCAACCTCCCATCTCCTGGGCTCAACCCATGCTCCAACCTCAGCCTCCCAAGTAACTGGGACTACAGGCGCACACCACTATGCCCAGCTAATTTTTCTATTTTTTGTAGAGACGGGGTGGGGGTGTCTCCCTGTGTTGTCCAGGCTGGTCTCGAACTCTGGGATCAAGTGATCCTCCCACCTTGACCTCCCAAAGTGTTGGGATTACAGATGTGAACCACCAGGCCCGGTCAAATGATCTTTTAAGAACTACTTCTGGCTGGGTGCGGTGGCTCACGCCTGTAATCCCAGCACTTTGGGAGGCCGAGGCAGGCGGATCACGAGGTCAAGAGATGGAGACTATCCTGGCCAACATGGTGAAACCCTGTCGCTGCTAAAAATACAAAAATTAGCTGGGCGTGGTGGCACGTGCCTGTAGTCCCAGCTACTCGGGAGGCCCGGCAGGAGAATTGCTTAAACCTGGGAGGCGGAGGTTGCAGTGAGGTGAGATCGTGCCACTGCACTCCAGCCTGGTGACAGAGCAAGACTTCGTCTAAAAAAAAAAATAAAAAATTTAAAAATTAAAAAAAAAACTATTTCTCTGAGAGTCTTTGCCTTCATGATTTGAGTACATATCACCATTCCAGGAATTTAAACTATACTAAGTTTATTAGTTATTCTATGGGGCTAATGATAGCTTAAAAATTAAGTAAATTGGTATCTATAAGCTTTCCCATTTTATAGAAAACATTTTTTTACTTCAGATCCCAGAGTGTAACAGCAATAATTCCAACACTTGAACTTTATTTCACAGCGACGCTCTCTCATGTCCATTTATCCAACCTCTCTGGGGTTTCTATTCATATACAATAGAAAAATATGAGTTCTGAACCAGGCTGCACACACGTGCCATGTCATCCAAGCACTACGGAGCCATAGCAAATAAACTACTTAAAAGAGGAAATGCCTCTACTCTCACATGGTTTCCTAAAAATAAATAAGAGGTAAAAACAGAGCACAAACAAATAAAAATAGAAAGGGAAATGTCAGCCAGAAAGATAGTCTCTTCCATGGCAATAAACTCATTGCCACCACCAATATGAAAACAGACTGAGAAAGTGTAGTAAATGAACAATCGCTACCATTTGCTGAGCAACTAGTATCAACCAGGCACTACACAAGGCACTTTATATGCAGTTTCTCTGGTCCTAACAACAATCCTCCAGGGTTGATATTAAAACACTTATCTTGCAGATAAGTTAACAGCCTCAGGGAGGCTACCTTTCATACTTCATTCATTCATACCATTCATACATACCATTCATTCAAACTTCTCTTATTCATTTGAAAGACTCATACTGAACAAATGCCAGGTGCCAGGCACTGTTCAGATGCAAAGTAGAATCTAGTAGGAGATTCAGCAAAGCTTTTACCATGTCATCTATCTAGTTCCCTAACCTTCAGATAGGTCATCTAAAATCTGTACTCAGAAGGTTATACCCAAATAGCTCTAATGCAAATTACTAACTAGATATGACTCCATAACCTCCCATTTTCTTCCAGGATGGGTTTCATCCCAAACTATATCAAGAATGTTTATAAACAATCTTTTGAAAGAAACTCCATTATTTTTACAGCCTGAAATTCTCAACAATGATGCTTACTTTTAGCAATGATTTCTTTGAAAGTTCCCTACTTCTGATGTGCAGGACAGATAAAATTAGGTTTTGTTTGAGTCCTAAATCCTGTGCAAGGCAGATGGGATTCTATGTGTGTATTTTTTTCCTTTCAATCTGAACATCGATACTCTATACCATCTGTAAATAGTAATGACTTAGCACATGCAATAAACTGAAATGTTGTCTTGACAAATGTTATGCTTTAAAAGGTGAAACAAATAAAAGGGTAATTCTGAAACCATCACAAAATGAATTCCCATTGGACTACAGTAAAACAATCTATGCAGTGCTTTGTTCTGCAGTAAAGGTACAATATAAAAGGCATTCATAATTCTGTGCTAACAGAATAAAACCAAGATTCATATTAAATCCTTTTCCTGCTAACACCTACTGGAGCCGCCTTCCAATCCATTGTGTAATTCAATTCAGCAAATATCCACTGGATTCTCATTTGCTCCTCTCTGCTAGGTGCTGTGGCCCATGGGAATATAAACAGAGTTCCTCACCTCACAAAGCATAAAAATTAAGAGAAGATGGAAATATATACAAACTACTGGCCATAATATAAGGCAGGGTATAGTACATGCTAGAATAGAAATATGCAATATAAAGCATGGAGAGAGGAGAAATGATTACATCTAAATTGAGGATGAGAGAAAAGGGAAGGTTTAATAGATAATGAGACATGTAAGCTGAGCCTTCAAAATTGATTAGGATTCAAATACATGGACAGGGGAACAGAGAATGTCATCCCAAGTGAAAGAAACAAGGCATCAATATAGGAGTAGGTGAAAGAATCAGGGACTTTATAGGGACTGATATGGTTTGAGTATAGAGATAGGATGATCTAGTTAAAGCTAGAAAGCAAGACCAGAAGCAGAAAGTGTAGGATCTTGCATGCTGACAGAGGAGGAAAACAGGCTTCTTGAAAGCCTCTGATTCAGCATCACTGACTTAACACAAAGATGTTGTCCAGGCAGTCAACGCCTACAACAGAATGGCAGGGATATAAGAACTGGTGGCTTCTACAGTGAATTAGCTACCAACTTTTGATATAACCTCAGGCAATTCACTGAAGATTCCCTATGACTCAGGTTTTGTACAAGCACGTATACAACAAAATGTGTGGGAAGGAGAAGGAGAAAGGAAAAGTAGGAGGAAGGCTCTCTCTTATCAGTTATAAAACTCCAAACAAAACTTGTCCTGAATACTATTCTAAGATGCTAAGTACTATTCTATTCAAATGTTAACATTTCTGAAATCTGGAGGTATCTTAGATCTGAATGCCATCATCACATTTGATTGTTTTTCATTTTTCTGTCCAAAACCCTATATTAAGTACCTTAGAGCCAAGCACATACAACTATAAAAAAAGAAAAAGAAAATTCAAAAAATAAATTCCAGTCTTTTTATAACCGACATATATATGACACATATGTATATAAATATATTTGTTGTAATAATATTAGCCATGAGTTCAACTATGTTCGAGTCATGTGAGTCCACCTCATAAACCATCTTACCTGGGATAGTCTTGGGGAACCCACTGCTCATAGTCACTTCCCCAAAGGAAAAAGTAAAACTATCTCTATTTATAAATGATGTGATCTTGTACATAAAAAACACTAAGGAATTTACACACAGACAGACAGACAGACACACAAAAGCTGTTACAACTAACAAATTCAGCAAGGGTGCAGGATACAAGGTCAAGATAGAAGAATCAATTTTATTTCTATTGTACAAAGCATAAATGGAAAACATACTCTTAAAACTATAAAATATTATTGAAAGAAATTAAATATCTGAGAAATTGAAAGCCAATCCATGTTCATATCTTGGAATATAATACTATTGAAGTAGCAATACTCCCTAAATTGATATACAGATTGAAAAGAACCCCTATAAAGATTTTAGCTCGCTTTTTTCTTACAGAAATTAACAGGTGGAACCTAAAACTCATATGGAAATACAAGGGAGCCAAATTAACCAAAACAGTCTCGAAACAAAAGGACAAAGTTAGAGAACTCACAGTTCCCGATTTCAAAGCTTAGTACAAAGCTACAATAAAAAAGACAGTGTGGTACTGACATAAGGATAGACATAAAGATCAATGGAATGGAATGGAGAGTCCAAAAAAGTAGCCCATATATTGAGGGTCAGTTGATTTTTTTGTACAAATTAATGGGGTACATGTAAAATTTTGTTACATGTATATAATGTGTAGGGATCAAAATGGTATTTAAGGTGTCCCAAGTACCCAAGTGCTTGGGTACCCAGGTACAATACATTTCTGTTAACTATAGTCACCCTACTCTACTATGAAACACTGAATTTATTCCTTCTAATTGTATGTACCCTTTTACCCACTTCTCTTCACCCTCCCCCTTCTCCAAATTCACCCTTTCAGTCTCTGTTATCTGTCTTTTCATGGTCTACTGCCATGTGATGAATTTTTTAGCTCTCACATTTAAGTAACAACATGCAATATTTACCTTTAAACCTGGTTTATTTCACTTAAAATAATGACCTACAGTTTCATCCATGTTGCTGCAAATGACATGATTTCATTTTTTATGACCAAATATTATTCCATTGTGTATATATGCCACATTTTCTTTATCCATTCATCCGTTGATGGACACTTAGGTTGATTCCATATTTTTCTATCGTGAATAATGCTGCAATAAACATGTGAGTGCAAGTATCCCTTATTCATATACTGATTTCTTTTCATTTGGGTAGATACCCAGTAGCAGGATTGCTGGATGAAATGGTAATTGTATTTTTAATTTTTTGAGAAATCTCCATGGTATTTTCCACAGTGACTGTACTAGTTTACATTTCTACCCGCAGTATATAAGAATTCCCTTTAAATACTTGTTAAATACTTGTTTTGTGGCATAAAATGTGGTCTATCCTGAAGAATGTTCCATGTGTAGATGAAAAGAATATATATCCTGCAGTTAAGGAATAGAATCTTCTGTAAGTGTCTGTTAGGTCCATTCAGTCTAATGTACAGACTTTTTCATTATTTTTTAACTTTTATTCTAGGTTTGGAGGTACATGTGAAGGTTTGTTACATAGATAAACACGTGTTGCAGGGGTTTGTTGTACATATTATTTAATCACCCAGGTTTTAAGCCCAATAGCCAATAGTTTGCTTTGTTTTTTTTTTTTTTTTGGCTCCTCTTCCTCTTCCCATCCTCCCACTCAAGCTGACCCCAATGTCTGTTGTTTCCTTCTTTGCGTTCATAAGTTCTTATCATTTAGCTCCCACTAATTTACAGTTTAAATCGAATGTTTCTTTGTTGATTTTCTGGCTAGGTGATCTGTCTAATGCTGAGAGTGGGGTGTTGAATGCCCCACTATTATTGTATTGCAGTCTATATCTCTCTTTAGATCTAGTAATATTGGCTTTATGGTCCTGGGTGCTTTAGTGTTGGGTAAATATATATTTAGAATTGTTATATCCACTTGCTGGATTGACCAATTAATTATATATAATGACCTCCTTTCTCTTTCTCCAGTTTTTGTTTTGTTTTGTTTTTTTACTGTTTGTTTTTTGGGGTGGCTTTTTTTTGTTTGTGTTTTGTTTTTTGTTTTTGTTTTTTGAGGCAGAGTCTCTCTCTGTCACCCAGGCTGGAGTGCAGTGGTGCGATTTCGGCTCACTGCAACCTCTGCCTCCCAGGTTCAAGCAATTCTCCGGCCTTAGCCTCCCAAGTAGCTGGGACTACAGGCACAAGCCCCCATGCTCAGCTAATTTTTGCATTTTTAGTAGACAGGGTTTTGCCATATTGGCCAGGGTGGTCTCGAACTCCTGACCTCAAGTAATCTGCCTGCCTCGGCCTCCCAAGGTGCTAGGATTACAGGCATTGAGCCACCGCGCCCAGCCTTTTTAAAACAAAAAACAAAAAAAAAAAACCATTTTTGATGTAAAATCTGCTTTATCTGATATATGTACAGCTATTCCTGGTCACCTTTGGTTTCCATTTACATGGAATATATTTTGTCCATTCCTTTACATTGAGTCTATGTGTTTCTTTACTGGTAAGGTGAAGCCATACAGGCTTCTGTCCTTCCATTCACTTAAGGCCCAAGGGATCTTTAATCAGCTTGTGGTGAATGTTGCCATGCCTGGGAATCACCCTCCAGGGCAACAGGTTTCCCTCTGGCCCAGGGCATGTCCAGAAATGCCCTCCCAGAGGCAAGGCCTGGAATCAGGGACCGCATGAGCCCTCTTGGTGCTCTATCCCACTGTGGCTGAGCTAGTACCTAAAGTGGAAGACAGTAAAGTCCCCTTTACTTTTCCCTCTGCTTTTCTCAAGCAGTAGTCTCTCCCCATAGCCATCACAGCTGAAAAATGTGTTGGGTCTCACTTGAAGCCATCACATCTCAGAGTTTCACCCAAGGCCCATGGCATACTACCTGGGTATCACAGCTGGTTATTCAGGGCCCAAGGTCTCTTTAGTCAGCAAGTGATGGATCCTACCTGGATAGGCTTTTCCCCTTCAAGGCAGTAGGTTCCCTTGTGGTCCAAGGTGTGTCTAGAAATGCCGTATGGGAGCTAGAGCCTGGAATGGGGGCCTCATGACTCTGCTTGGTGGTTTATCCTTCTGTGGCTGAGTTGTTACCCAAGATATAAGACAAAAGTCATCTTTACTCTTCCCTCTCCTTTCCTCAAGTGGAAGGAAGAGGTCTCTTTTGGAGCTGCAAGCTGTGTTGCCTGGGTTGTGAGAGAGGTGGCACAAGCACTCCCTTAGCTTCCCTGGCTGGTGTCTCAGTAAAGTCACATGTTCCCCAAGTCCACTGGCTCTGAACCCAACTCCACACTAGGATTTGCAGTCCTTGTGGCCTAGACTGCCTTTCAAGGTTATTGAGGGTCCCAGAGCACTTCACCCCATGGCAGCGAGCTTGCTGGAACTCAAGTTCCTACTGCTGATATGGGTTATTCCCCTCTGGCTGAAGCTGGCCTGAATGCTCACTTTGTGAGTGGGCATCAGCTGAGTTCAGCCCAGTTTTGCTTTCCACTGTGACTAGGGCAGCACTGAGTTCAATGCAAAGTCCCACAGTTTCTGTGATCTCCCTCTCCCAAGTGTACAGATTTCTCCATGCTGCAGAGATGTGGCTACTGCAGGGTAGTGGGGGAGGGATGGCATTGGCAATTCAAACTGTCTTTCCTACCCTCTTCAGTGCCTCTTTCAGTGATATGAAGTTTCAACCTGGTATTATGAATGCTCACCTGATTTTTGGTTCTTATGAGGTGCTTTTATTATGTAGATAGTTGTTGAATTTGGTGTTCCTGCAGGGGGTATGATTGGTGGGGCCTTCTATTCTGCCATCCTGCTCTGCTCCTCAGATTAGTATCTGTGTCCCTTTCTCCTTTGTGTGTTTGCTTTATCAGTGAGTTATGTGTTTTCATGTGTTTTTTATAAGGATATTATAATCCTTTCCTTTTGATTTTTATGGGTACATGGTAGGTGTGTGTGTATATATATATATATATATATATATATATACACACACACACAAACCATATATATATGTATATTATATATATACATATATATACACACACACATACACACACACACAAGGCACATGAGATATTTTGATACAGGCATACAATGTGAAATAAGCACATTATGGAGAAAGGAGTATGTATCCCCTCAAGCATTTATCCTTATTATTACAAATAATCCAATTACATTCTTTAAGTTATTTAAAAATATACAATTAAGTTATTATTGACTATAGTCACTCTATTGTGCTATCAAATAGTAGGTCTTATTCATTCATTCTTTTTTTTTTTTGTACACATTAACCATCCCCACCTCTCCCCCAACACCCCATGCCCTTCCCAGCCTCTGGTAACCATCCTTCTACTCTCTATGCTTATGAGTTCAATTATGGTAGTAAATGTATGTCCAGTAAATGTGTGTCCAGGTTTAGGACTCCCTTGAGCATTTCTTTTAGGGCCAGTCTGGTGGCCCTAAAGTGAATTTCCTCAGCATTTGCTTGTTTAAAAAATACTTTATTTCTCCTTCATTTATAAAGGATAGTTTATTGGATATAGTATTCTTGGCTGGTATTTTTTTTCTTTCAGCACTTTACATGTATCATCCCATTCTCTATTGGCCTCTGAAGTTTCTGCTGAGAAATCTGCTGTTAGTCTGATGCAGTTTCTTTTACAGGTGACTAGACACTTTTCTTTTGCTGTGGTTAGAATTCACTCCTTATCTTTGACTTAAGAAAGTCAGAATATAATGTGCCCTTAAGAAGACCTTTTGCATTATATCTTCCTGGGGATCATTGAGACTCCTGCATCTGAACACCTAAAATCTCTTGCTAGGGTTGGAAAGTTTTCATCTATTATTTCTTTAAATAGATTTTCTAATCTCTTCATTTTCTCTTTGCCCTCAGGGATACTGATAATTCATATGTTCAGTAGCTTTATTTTGTCCCAAATGTCCCAAAAAATTGCTTGCTCTTTTTTTATCCTAATCTCTTTATTTTCTCTATCTGGGTTATTTCAAAAGACCTGTCTTCATGTTCCATGATTCTTTCTTCTGCCTGATCTAGTGTATTATTGATGCTTTCAAACGTATTTTGTATTTCTTTCAAGTAATTCTTGAGTTCTAGAATTTCTATTCGGTTCTCTTTTAAAATATCCATCTCTTTGGTAAACTTCTCATTCATACCCTGATTGTTTTTCTGACTTCTTTGTATTATTTTTCAGAATTCTCCTGTATCTCACTGAGCTTCTTTAAAATCAATATTTTGAATTCTTTTTTTTTTTTTTTTGACAGGTTCTTGCTCTGTTACCCAGATAGAACTACAGGCATGTGCCACCATGCTTGGCTTATTTTATTTTATTTTTTAAGAGATAGGGTCTCACTATGTTGCTCAGGTTAGTCCCAGTCATCAGGGTTCAAGTGATCCTCCTGCCTTGGCCTCCCAAAGCACTAGCATTACAGGCATGAGCCAGCATGCCCAAGCGGTATGCACTGATGTAGGTGGTGGCTGCAATGTGCTGGCCAAGCCAGTCTCCAGGCCTGCAGGTAGCATTTGCAGGTAGGTGTCAGCTGAGGTGGTAGTAGCCAGGAGTTTAGGTCGTACATCCAGCCCCTAGGAGGAATGTTCAGGTGCCCAAAGTGGTGAATTGGGTTGTTCATCCCTCATGATTCCAGGCTATGTGCTCTGTCTCAGGGGGTGTGGGCAGGCTCATGCTCAGGTCTCCAATGGTGAGAGCAGGCACTGCTTGTGGTAGGTAGGATCTGGGTGATCTTCAGGTTTTGGGCAGTGTTTGGGGAAAGGGTGGTAGCAGCCATGCTAAGGCCCTGTCACTGGAGAGGGTGGGGCTGTTGGTGGCCACAGTCCAAGCTGGTGGGTGGTGAGCACATGTAACTCTCACACTCCGATCCCAGTGGGGCACACTCCCCAGCTCTAGCAGTGGTAGCATACTGCTTGGGCATGCTGGCTCATGCCTGTAATGCTAGTGCTTTGGGAGGCCAAGGCAGGAGGATCACTTGAACCCTGATGACTGGGACTAACCTGAGCAACATAGTGGTAGCCCATTTTTAGCTTGTGCCTCAGCCCCAGCTGTAGGAGCCCCATGACTCAGTTGCAGCCACAACTCATGCTTCACTCATGTCCCAGCTTAGTCCCAGTGGTCCTCCCTTTCTAGCACCGGCAGCTGCAACCCATGCACTTGCTTCTCAGCTCCAGCTGCGTAAGTTCATTCCCAGCTCACTCCCAGTCTCTGAGCATGCCTATCTTTGTGCCCCAGGGTAGTGTACACTGACAGCAATGTTGGCAGTTATCAGCAGGCTGATTCCCCAGTTTCCAGCAGCAATAACACCTCAGTCCCAACACCGCTGGGTTCCAGGATACTGTGCAGTCTGTTAAAGGCTAAGACTGCAAATAGTGTCTTGATGTAGCCACTCAAGACTCAGAACAGGTGTGGGTCCTAGTGCTAGTTCCTTCCCTGGAGCAGTTCCATCTCACGGTCTCCTGGTAACTCCTTATGTTTGTTTCAGGCTTTGAGAAGATAGAGGGCCTCTTCCATGGCCAGGATTGCATGCTTCCAGTGTGGGGATGTGAGTCACTAAAAGTCTCTCACTTAACCTTTCCCTGTGTTGGGAAGTCACTCCCAGCTGCCTGCCAATCCCGGCCAAGCAGGCTGCCTCTCTTCCTTCTCTTTCCTTGATTTTGGTGTTTCCTGTCACTCTTCTGTTGAAGTTCAGTGTTCTTTCTTGGATAATGTATCCAAAATGTGTGATTGTCTATACGCTATTTTGGTTTTTCTAAGTGGAGGGGGCAAGTATGAAACGTTTCTATTCAGCCATCATGATACGTCTCTCAAATGACTTTTGACAAGAACAAATAAATTCACTGGGGAAAACAAAAGTATTCTCAAGAAACAGTGATGAAATAACAGGATATCTACATATGTCATATATATATGTATATATATAAAAATTAACTAAAAGTGGATCAAACACCAAAATGTAGCAGCTAAAACAATCAAAATATTAAATTATAGAAGTAAATCTTTGTGACCTTGCATTTGGCAAAACCTTCTTATTTATACATTACATCAAAAGTACAAATGTTTAAAATTATATAAATTGGGCTTCATCAAAATTAAAACTTTGTGCTTCAAAAGATACTAAGAAAGTGAAAAGATGACGTACAGAATAAGAGGATATATTTGCAAATCGTATATCTGATAAGGGACATGTATCTAGAATATAAAGAACACTTATAAATCAATAACAAAAAGACAAAGAATTGAGTTAAAATGGGCAAAATATTTGAATAGACATATCTCCAAAGAAGATATACAAGTGGTCCATGAGCACATGCAAGGATGCTCAACATCATTTAGTCATTAGGAAAATGTATATGGAAACCACAATGATACCACATCACACCCAAGAGGATGTCTGTAACAAAAAAGATGGACAAGAACAAGTGTTGATTAGTACGTGGACAAATTGGAACCCTCATACATGTAAATGTAAAATGTTATTATAAAATGTAAAATGGTTCATCCCCTACGGAATAGAGTTTTGCAATTCCTCAGAAGGTTACACATAGATTTACCACATGTCCCAGCAATTCTACCTCTAGATATACAGCAAAGAGAAATGAAAACATATTACTACACAAAAACTTATACACAAATGTTAATAGCCACATTATTCATAAAACCCCAAAGGTGGAAATAACTCAAATATCCATTAACTGTAGAATGGGTAAACAAAAGCAGCATATCCATACAGTGGAAAATTATTTGGCAATAAAAAGAAACGAAGGACTAATACATCCTACAACATGGATGAATCCTGAAAAAAACACGCTAAGTGAAAGAAGCCAGACACAAAAGACCAAATATTGTGTTATTTCATTTCTATGAAATGTCTAGAATAAGCATAGAGAGAAAGATAGAAAATAGATTAGAGATTGCCTAGGGCTAGGGGAATCAGGGAGCTTCGGAAATGATAGCTAAAATATACAGGGTTTCTTTAGGGAGTAACAAAATGTTCTAAAATTGATTGCAGTGATGGTTATGTACACCTCTGCGAATATGCTAAAAACATTTAATTTAAATGGGTAAATTGTATTATACGTGTATTATATCCCAACTAAGCCATTACCAAAAAGCTCAAGGAAAAATTTGGTATTTATAAGAAAAAAGTTCATTTGAACGATGAATGTACTTTTTTCCACTTATCTTTTCAAAAGGATTTAATTATTTAAAAAAGAGATATGAAAGAAAAAAATACCAAAAACATAAGAAGTAGGCTACACTTTTGGAAATGTATGCTAGGGAAAAAAGACTGCAATGACATCACAGCACCAATATGTTATATTTGGGGATTATTATCTTAAACACATTTAATTCTTTTTTTATTATACTTTAAGTTCTAGGGCACATGTGCACAATCTGCAGGTTTGTTACATAGGTATACATGTGCCATGTTGGTTTGCTGCACCCATTAACTCGTCATTTACATTAGGTATTTCTCCTAATGCTATCCCTCCCCCCTCCACCCACCCCACCACAGGCCCCGGGGTGTGATGTTCCCTGCCCTGTGTCCAAGTGTTCTCATTGTTCAATTCCCACCTATGGGTCAGAACAGGCGGTGTTTGGTTTTCTGTCCTTGTGATAGTTTACTCAGAATGATGATTTCCAGCTTCATCCATGTCCCTGCACAGGACATGAACTCATCCCTTTTTATGGCTGCATAGTATTCCATGGTGTACATGTGCCAAATTTTCTTAATCCAGTCTACCATTGATGGACATTTGGCTTAGTTTCAAGTTATTGCTATTGTGAATAGTGCTGCAATAAACATACGTGTGCATGTGTCTTTATAGTAGCATGATTTATAATCCTTTGGGTATATACCCAATAATGGGATTGCTGGGTCAAATGGTATTTCTAGTTCTAGATGCTTGAGGAATTGTGACACTGTCTTCCACAATGGTTGAAGTAGTTTACACTCCCACCAACAGTGTAAAAGTGTTCCTATTGCTCCACATCCTCTCCAGCATCTGTTGTTTCCTGACTTTTTAATGATCGCCATTCTAATGGGTGTGAGATGGTATCTCATTGTGGTTTTGATTTGCATTTCTCTGATGGCCAGGGATGATGAGCATTTTTTCATGTGTCTGTTGGCTGCATAAATGTCTTCTTTTGAGAAGTGCCTGTTCATATCCTTTGCCCACTTTTTAATGGGGTTCTTTGTTTTTTCCTTGTAAATTTGTTTAAGTTATTTGTAGATTCTGGATATTAGCCCTTTGTCAGTTAGGTAGATTGCAAAAATTTTCTCCCATTCTGTAGGCTGCCTGTTCACTCTGATGGTAGTTTCTTCTGCTGTGCAGAAGCTCTTTAGTTTAATTAGATCTCATTTGTCAAGTTTGGCTTTTGTTGCCATTGCTTTTGGTGTTTTAGTCATGAAGCCCTTGCCCATGCCTATGTCCTGAATGGTATTGCCTAGGTTTTCTTCTAGGGTTTTTATGGTTTTAGGTCTAACATTTAAGTCTTTAATCCATCTTGAATTAATTTTTGTATAAGGTGTAAGGAAGGGATCCAGTTTCAGCTTTCTACATATGGCTAGCTAGTTTTCCCAGCACCATTTATTAAATAGGGAATCCTTTCCCCATTTCTTGTTTTTGTCAGGTTTGTCAAAGATCAGATGGTTGTAGATGTCTGGTGTTATTTCTGAGGCCTCTGTTCTGTTCCATTGGTCTATATATCTGTTTTGGTACCAGTACTATGCTGTTTTGGTTACTGTAGCCTTGTAATATAGTTTGAAGACAGGTAGCATGACGCCTCCAGCTTTGTTCTTTTGGCTTAGGATTGTCTAGGCAATGGAGGCTCTTTTTTGGTTCCATATGAACTTTAAAGTAGTTTTTTCCAATTCTGTGAAGAAAGTCATTGGTAGCTTGATGGGGATGGCATTGAATGTATAAATTACCTTGGGCAGTATGGCCATTTTCGCGATACTGATTCTTCCTATCCATGAGCTTGGAATGTTCTTCCATTTGTTTGTGTCCTCTTTTATTTTGCTGAGCAGTGGTTTGTAGTTCTCCTTGAAGAGGGACTTCACATCCCTTGTAAGTTGGATTCCTAGGTATTTTATTCTCTTTGTAGCAATTGTGAATGGGAGTTCACTCATGATTTGGCTCTCTGTTTGTTTGTTCTTAGTGTATAGGAATGCTTGTGATTTTTGCATATTGATTTTGTATCCTAAGACTTTGCTGAAGTTGCTTCTCAGCTGAAGGAGATTTTGGGCTGAGACAATTGGGTTTTCTAAATATACAATCATGTCATCTGCAAACAGGGACAATTTGGCTTCTTCTTTTCCTAACTGAATACGCTTTATTTCTTTCTCTTGCCTGATTGCCCTGGCCAGAACTTCCAACACTATCTTGAATAGGAGTGGTGAGAGGGGGCACCCCTGTGTTGTGCCAGTTTTCAAAGGAAATGCTTCCAGTTTTTGCCCATTCAGTATGACATTGGCTGTGGGTTTATCAAAAATAGCTCTTATTATTTTGAGATACATTCCATCAATACCTAGTTTATTGAGAGTTTTTAGCATGAAGCACTGTTGAATTTTCTCAAAGGCCTTTTCTGCATCTATTGAGATAATCATATGGTTTTTGCCGTTGGTCCTGTTTATGTGATGGATTATGTTTATTGATTTGCATATGTTGAACCAGTCTGGCATCCCAGGGATGAAGCCAACTTGATCATGGTGGACAAGCTTTTTGATGTGCTGCTGGATTCGGTTTGCCAGTATTTTATTGAGGATTTTCACATCGATATTCATCAGGGATATTAGCCTAAAATTCTCTTTTTTTGTTGTGTCTCTGCCAGGCTTTGGTATCAGGATGATGCTGGCCTCATAAAATGAGTTAGGGAGGATTCCCTCTTTTTCTATTGATTGGAATAGTTTCAGAAGGAATAGTACCAGCTCCTCCTTGTATCTCTGGTAGAATTCGGCTGTGAATCCATCTGGTCCTGGACTCTTTTTTGTTCGTAGGCTACTAATTATTGCCTCAATTTCAGAGCCTGTTATTGGTCTATTCAGAGATTCAAGTTCTTCCTGGTTTAGTCTTGGGAGGGTGTATGTGTCGAGGAATTTATCCATTTCTTCTAGATTTTCTAGTTTATTTGCGTAGAGGTGCTTGTAGTATTCTCTAATGGTAGTTTGTATTTCTGTGGGATCGGTGGTGATATCCCCCTTATCATTTTTTATTGCGTCTATTTGATTCTTCTCTCTTTTCTTCTTTATTAGTCTTGCTAGCAGTCTATCAATTTTGTCAATCTTTCAAAAAACCAACTCCTGGATTCATTGATTTTTTTGAAGGGTTTTTTGCATCTCTATCTCCTTCAGTTCTGCTCTGATCTTAGTTATTTATTGTCTTCTGCTAGCTTTTGAATGTGTTTGCTCTTGCTTCTCTAGTTCTTTTAATTGTGATGTTAGGCTGTCGATTTTAGATCTTTCCTGCTTTCTCTTGTGGGCATTTAGTGCTATAAATTTCCCTCTACACACTGCTTTGAATGTGTCCCAGAGATTCTGGTACATTGTGTCTTTGTTCTCATTGGTTTCAAAGAACATCTTTATTTCTGCCTTCATTTCATTATTTACCCAGTGGTCATCCAGGAGCAAGTTGTTCAGTTTCCATGTAGTTGTGCGGTTTTGAGTGAGTTTCTTAATCCTGAGTTCTAATTTGATTGCACTGTGGTCTGAGAGACAGTTTGTTGTGATTTCTGTTCTTTTACGTTTGCTGAGGAGTGCTTTACTTCCAACTATGTGGTCAATTTTGGAATAAATGTGATGTGGTGCTGTGAAGAATGTATATTCTGTTGATTTGGGGTGGAGAGTTCTGTAGATGTCTATTAGGTCTGCTTGCTGTAGAGCTAAGTTCAAGTCCTGGATATCCTTGTTAACCTTCTGTCTCGTTGATCTGTCTAATATTGACAGTGGGGTGTTAAAGTCTCCCATTATTATTGTGTGGGAATCTAAGTGTCTTTGTAGGTCTCTAAGGACTTGCTTTATGAATCTGGGTGTTCCTGTATCGGGTGCATATATCTTTAGGATAGTTAGCTCTTCTTGTTGAATTGATCCCTTTACCATTATGTAATGGCCTTCTTTGTCTCTTTTGATCTTTGTTGGTTTAAAGTCTGTTTTATCAGAGACTAGGATTGCAACCCCTGCTTTTTTTTCTTTTGCTTTCTATTTGCTTGGTAAATATTCCTCCATCCCTTTATTTTGAGCCTATGTGTGTCTCTGCACATGAGATGGGTCTCCTGAATACAGCACACCAATGGGTCTTGACTCTTTATCCAATTTGCCTGTCTGTGTCTTTTAATTGGAGCATTTAGCCCATTTACATTTAAGATTAATATAGTTATGTGTGAATTTGATCCTGTCATTATGATGTTAGCTGGTTACTTTGCCCATTAATTGATGCAGTTTCTTCCTAGCATCGATGGTCTTTACAATTTGGCATGTTTTTTGCAGTGGTTGATACTGGTTGTTCCTTTCCATGTTTAGTGCTTCCTTCAAGAGCTCTTGTAAGGCAGGCCTGGTGGTGACAAAATCTCTCAGCATTTGCTTATCTGTAAAGGATTTTATTTCTCCTTCACTTATGAAGCTTAGTTTGGCTGGATATGAAATTCTGGCTTGAAAATTATTTTCTTTAAGTATGTTGAATATTGGCCCCCAGTCTCCTCTGGCTGGTAGAGTTTCTGCCGAGAGATCTGCTATTACTCTGATGGGCTTCCCTTTGTGGGTAACCCAACCTTTCTCTCTGGCTGCTCTTAACATTTTTTCCTTCATGTCAACCTTGGTGAATCTGACAACTATGTGTCTTGGGGTTGCTCTTCTTGAGGATTATCTTTGTGGTGTTCTCTGTATTTCCTGAATTTGAATGTTGGCCTGCCTTGCTAGGTTGGGGAAGTTCTCCTGGATAATATCCCGAAGAGTGTTTTCCAACTTGGTTCTTTCTCCCTGTCACTTTCAGGTACACCAGTCAAACGTAGATTTGGTCTTTTCACATAGTCCCATATTTCTTGGAGGCTTTGTTTGTTTTCACTCTTTTTTCTCTAAACTTCTCTTCTCGCTTGGTTTCATTAACTTCATCTTCAATCATTAATACCCTTTCTTCCACATGATCGAATCAGCTATTAAAGCTTGTGCATGTGTCACGTAGTTCTTATGCCATGGTTTTCAGCTCGTCAGGTCACTGTTTATTCTAGTTCGCCATTCGTCTAATCTTTTTTCAAGGTTTTAGCTTCCTTGCTATGGGTTCAAACATCCTCCTTTAGCTTGGAGAAGTTTGTTATTACCGACCTTCTGAAGCCTACTTCTGTCAGCTCATCAAAGTCATTCTCTGTCCAGCTTTGTTCCATTGCTGGCGAGGAGATGCAATCCTTTGGAGGAGAAAAGGCTCTCTGGTTTTTAGAATTTTCAGCATTTCTGCTCTGGTTTCTCCCCATCTTTGTGGTTTTATCTACCTTTAGTCTTTAATGTTGGTGACCTACAGATGGCGTTTTGCTGTGGATGTCCTTTTTGTTGATGTTGACGCTATTCCTTTCTGTTTGTTAGTTTTCCTTCTAAGACTCAGGTCCCTCAGCTGCAGGTCTGTTGGAGTTTGCTGGAGGTCCACTCCAGACTCTGTTTGCCTGGGTATCACCAGCGGAGGCTGCAGAACAGCATATATTGCAGAACAGCAAATATTGATGCCTGATCCTTCCTCCGGAAGCTTTGTCCCAGAGGGGCACCTGCCTGTATGAGGTATCAGTAGGCCCTTACTGGGAGGTGTCTCCCAGTTAGGCTACACGGAGGTCAGGGACCCACTTGAGGAGGCAGTCCGTCTGTTCTCCGAGCTCAAACACCATGCTGGGAGAACCACTGCTCTCTTCAGAGCTGTCAGACAGGGACGTTTAAGTCTGCAGCAGTTTCTGCTGCCTTTTATTCAGCTATGCCCTGCCCCCAGAGGTGGAGACTACAGAGGCAGCAGGCCTTGCTGAGTGCAGTGGGCTCTGCCCAGTTTGAGCTTTCCTGGCTGCTTTGTTTACCTACTCAAGCCTCAGCAATGGCGGACCCCCTCCCCCTGCTAGGCTGCTGCTTCACAGGTTGATCTGACACTGCTGTGTTAGCAGTAGGCAAGGCTCTGTGGGCTTGGGATCTGCTGAGCCAGGTGTGAGATATAATCTCCTGGTGCGCCATTTGCTAAGACCATTGGAAAAGCACAGTATTTGGGCGGGAGTGTCCCATTTTTCCAGGTGCCGTCTATCACGGCTTCCCTTGGCTAGGAAAGGGAAATCCCCTGACCCCTTGTGCTTCCCGGGTGAGGTGATGCCCCACCCTGCTTCAGTTCACCCTCCATGCGCTGCACCCACTGTCCAACAAGTCCCAGTGAGATGAACCAGGTACCTCAGTTGGAAATGCAGAAATCACCCATATTTTGTGTTGATCACACTGGGAGCTGCAGACTGGAGCCGTTCCTATTTGGCCATCTTGGAATGGAAAAAAATTCTTATTTTTCTGAACAAATAAGCATTTCCTATAGAGGTCATATAGCATACTCCTTATGAGTTCTCACTCCAGAAACAGATTGACTGGATTCAAATTCCAGCTGTACCACTTGGTAGTTATGTGACCTTGGGCAAGCTACTTAAAATCTGTGTCTGTTTCTTTTATTGGTAAAGTGGAAAAAATGGCAGCACCTATTTCACAGGGTTATTGTAATGAATAAGTTTTTCATACATGCAAAGCACTTACCTTAGTGTATAGTAAGTGCTCGATAAATGTCGGCCATTGTTATAAAGAAAAAATGACATTACAATTTCAAAGGTTTCATGTAAAAGTTAGCATTCATGCAGTCACAGACAATGCTTGTTACAGAGGGTAGCTAGTCAGACATGAGCAGGGCAGGAGAGGGACACCTTCCCACCAGGAATGTCAGGCAACCAACAGGTGATGATCAGGCAGTTATGAAACTGTCTCTCTAAGATAATAATTGGTCACAGCCAGTGCCAAGGAAAGGCCATCTCCCAATAAACAGAAACATCTGAAACTGGTGATCAGCAGCTCCTGATAAGATCTCAGGAGTTGGGTAAGTGGGCTCATGCATGCACACTAAGAGGAAAAGTGGTGGAGTTTAACTGGTATTATGACCTTCTAGGACATTTGACTGGTAAGGGAAGAATGCCTCAAGTAAGGATGCATACAATTTCAGTAAACACACTGTGCATGCTCCCCTCCCAAGTGCTAGCAGGCCACTGCATGTGTGAACAGCCCACCTCAAGGGAAGAATCAGGGGAGAAGAAACACAAGATCCCAGAAGCATCCCAACATATAAAACCCCAAGACCAAAGGTCAAACCATACACTTGATCTCTCAAGTCGCCCACCCGACCCTCTTCCAAGTGTACTTTACTTCCTTTCATTCCTGCTCTAAAGCTTTCTAATAAACTTTCACTCCTGCTCTAAAACTTGCCTCGGTCTCTTCTTCTGCCTTATGACCTTCAGTTGAATTCTTTCTTCTGAGGAGGCAAGAATTGAGGTTGCTGCAGACCATACGAATACGCCACAGGTAACATGCTGAGTTTATTACCACTATAGTTCTGCAAAGATTTTAATTCTGCATCACCTTCTCCAAACAATCACAAAGGACCCCAGAGCCAGAACACCACTCCCATCTTTTCCCCCTTTAAGCCATCTGTGGATGGGGTAATGGGTTATGTTTCCCGATCCATATCTCACGTCTTGTGTACAAGAAAAACTCCTACATTAGATATCATATTTGAATCTAAACATTGAACGTCTAAGTTTGAAAAACATGGAGGAGCTCCCCTTCTTGGTCATATGGGTAACTAAAAATCCTGAAAAACCTTCTAGTACAAAATACAAAAACATGGTGGGAAAAATCAAATTAAATCCTTTTCAGCCAGGCACGATGGCTCACACCTGTAATCCCAGCACTTTGGGAGGCCAAGGCGTGCAGATCACTTGAGGTCAGGAGTTCAAGGGCAGCTGGGCCGACACAGTGAAACTCCGTCTCTACTAAAAATACAAAAATCAGCCAAGTGTGGTGGCAGGCGCCTGTAGTCCCAGCTACTGGGTAGGCTGAGGTGGAAGGATCGCTTGAGCCCAGGAGGTCGAGGCTGCAGTGAGCTGTGATTCCACCACTGCACTACAGCTTGGGTGACAGACCAAGACCCTGTCTCAAAAAAAAATCTTTTTTAATGCATCGCTGAGCTGGCTGGAAAGACAAGCAAATCCTCAGAGGCCAAAATCATTACTTAGGCGAATATCTTGTGGGAGAAGCCAACAAATAATAGCAGTTACCCCTGGGATATCTAACAATTTCCACCTTCACGCTAATGGTCATGCATTGGTGAGGATTCAAATCTTACACTGTTGGGAATCAGATCAGAGAAAATATAGTATGATATCTGTGTAACCTATGGGTAGGATAGACTTTTTAAAGCAAGATGGAAGAAGCAGAAAGCATAAAATAAAAAAACTGATTAATTATGCTACATTAAAATTTTTCATTTCTTTCCTCAAAATACATGATAAAGAAAGTGATGAGACAGTCCAAAACCTGACTGAAGATAATTTCAACACATGTAACGACAAAGAATTAGTAATTAATATCAAGGATATATAAAAGATTATAAGTCAATAATAAGAAAAAGACAACCCATAAATACATGAAAAATAAAACACAAGCAGGCATTTTACAGAAGAGGAAATAAGAATGGCCAATGAACACTTGAAAAGATGCTCCACTGCATTTGTAGTGTGTGAAATGTAAATTTCAAGGAGAGCAGGATAACCTTTTATACTCACCACTTAAGCAACATTTTTTAAAAAATCTAACAATAGCAAGCACTTATATGTGCAACAACATCATTACAGATGTGTTTTGGTTTTGGATTTTGCTCTTATCACAGGTTTACTTTTCATTTTTCACAAAACATCCATTTTGAAGGACCACCTTAAAATTATTTTAGTCATAACTGAAAGAAAACATCCCAAGTAGAATTTTACCCCTCTAGAGCTGAAGGGTAAATACGAATGACTTGACACAAACAATCTAAAATGGAGAAACAAAATCAGTTAGATGTGGCAACAAAGATCAAATGAACTCTGAGATCACATTAAAGACATGTACAATGTCAACCCAAACTTTTAGTGTTTGCCTGAGCACCTACTATGCATTCAATGTCATTTTACCACGTGCTTACAGAGCACATAATAATGAATAGTGTCCACATCTGGAAAAAAACATGCACAGATCTGACTGTTCTCAGATGCTCAGACTTTTAAGTGTGTTTTAAAGGAAGGAACCACAGGATTATTTTACCCTCAGTAGCACAAAGTGGAATTCTAAGGAAGATGTGAAATGTAAGGAAGGAATGAGAGGATGGAAGGAAAGAATAGGAATACAAAACAGGAATCTACAATTCCACACAACTTTAACTTTTTTTTCCATGTGTTTTTCAGCCACTCTAATCATTCATGAATTTGTTCTTTCAACAAACCTTTGTTAGGCTCCTATCTTATATCAGGCCCTGTGCAGCACTGGGGATAGATACAGAAACCAGTTAGACACTGGTCTGGATCTCCTGGGACTCTACATCTAGAGGCAGGAAGCAGTGAAAGCCCAGAGTGATAAGTGTTACAGTAGTATTGAGCCCAGGATGCCAAGAGCACACAGTGAAAGGACATCCAGCACTAAACTGATAAAATAGATCATGTATTAAAAAAATGAAAAAATAAAAAGGTTTTATACTTAACCTACGCCAAGTACCTCCTGGGACGCTTTCAGCACATAATATTGAGTCAGGACCTGAAAGACCTTCCACCTCTTCAGGTCCTGACTCAATATTATATTAAGGTTACAATATAACCTTAAGTATATTAATAATTAAGACCTGTTTCCAAGGATGAGAGCAATATGATAGTGAGCTCCCTCATCTTTTCAAACATGCCTTTTCATAGGCCAGACATGTTTGTATGTGCTGCAAATAAAGGGAAGCCATTCATTTCTGTAATTTTTGTAAACATCAATATTTACACGTATATGTGCATTCATATAGTGTGCAGACATGAAAATATTAAGTGTTTAAAATGGAGGGTTTTAAAACTTTAATCTCCATCTTTACTTATTTTTTATTATTTTATTTATTTATTTTTAGAGACAGGGTCTCACTCTGTCACCCAAGCTGGAGTGCAGTGGTGCAATCATAGCTTCATGCAGCCTCAAACTCCTAGGCTCAAGCGATCCTCCCGCCTAAGCCTTCTGAGTAGCTAGGACTACAGGCAAGTGCCACCACATCCGGCTAATTGTGTGGGTTTTTAAAAAATTTTTTGTAGTCATGAATATAACTGCCTTTGAGAATTAGATTCCTTGGATAATTTGCAAAGCACAGTTAAAAAGAAATCTCTTCATCCGACATTTTGAATATGCCAGAGTATTCCTCAACAACAGAAATGTGGGGAAAAGGCACTGAAAGGGCATTACTTTATTCACCCAAATAATCACCATTCAGTTCTTGCAGTGTAAACGAGTAGGGGCATGTTTGAACATGAGCTTAAAGAAACACTAGTCCCTGACCACTACAGCCACAGCCACCACTAAATATTTCCAAACATACTACCTTAGCAATAGGTAAATATTTACATTAACCCCTATTTAATTTTTTATTATGGCATCAGACCTTTTGAGAGCAGCTATTTAAAGCACAAGCTATAAAAAGAGACAAGATGACCCACTGATATCAGAACTCACAATATCCATGTAGACGTGACTAAATGCCAGATCTCCTACTCTGTAGCTATTCACCTCTTCTTGGGTTCATAAAATCATTTTGAAATGTACAACATCTGCAATGGTAAATCCAATTAAAATGACTTATTTTAGTTTGTAATGCATGCAGAAGAACACACAATATCTGTTCATGGTCCTTTGAATATGTTAATGAAGAAAGTAAACCTGACCCTCTTTTGTAAACTGACAAGTGCAAAATTA
Organism: Homo sapiens; assembly: GCF_000001405.40. Taxonomy (NCBI): domain Eukaryota; kingdom Metazoa; phylum Chordata; class Mammalia; order Primates; family Hominidae; genus Homo; species Homo sapiens. The sequence goes on from NC_000023.11 coordinate 139,680,976, forward strand.
CAAATAAAAACAGGGCCACTGCTTTTTGCTCTATGGCTAATCCCATGATCTAGCCTGCAATTGCAAACTCAAAGATGCCCCCAAATATGCATATTCCTTCTAATTGCCATCAAAGAGTCTCAGAATACATATACCTAATCACACAATTTCAGTTAAAATAGAGAAAATGTTATTTAAAATAACTCTCAAAGGTTATTCTTCTCATCACAGTGTATATGCAACAGCTATTGCTTCCACTTAACAATGGTACAAGAGTACAAATGAAGACGTGATGACCAGAGAACTCTCAGTATCCTTGAATGTAAAGAATACTCTTGGCTGATAGCAGCGGCTGATGCTGACCTAGTCAAGGCATTTATGAAAGGGCAGCTCAACCTCTACCACACCCTCCAGCCACAAAGTTATGCAAAATTCATATTCCAGTAGCATCTACAGGGTCTACTATAAGCCCATTAAGACAAAACTGGGCAAATGCTTTATGCTGAAAAGATACAGTAGCCTCTTTGTGCTCTATGAAAGGGAAATTTTAAAATATCTTAGCATCATGATTTTATATTATATACTTTACTTTTCCTCTTGCATTATTTTATGTGTATCAAAATTTTCGTAATGAAGTAATTTTTAAATACACACATTCCAATACAAGTCTTAGATCAACATATGGTGTATGATCCCAGTTTGGTAAAATATCTAGATATATGTGGATTTTTTATTGTTGCTCTCACCATTAGAAATAAGTTCCCTGAAGGCAGAGATTTATTTACTTGTTCACCATAATATCTCAATAGTGTCTAGCACACTGGAGGTGATCAATAAATGTTTGAATTGAATTGATATATCTATATTCATAGAAAACCTCCTATGTCCTCACACACAAACTATTAGCAGTGTTTACCACCAAGGAGCAGGACTGGGCTAGGCACATGGATGACTTTCATTTATTAGTTTATGGGCATTTGTTTTGTTTAGATATTTTACAAAGATCACATATACATAATTTAATTATAAGAATAGAAGAAGAGGAAATAAAAGATACTTCCCTACCAAAAACAGAAAACAAAAACAGGAAAAAGAAGACTCAAAGGCACTAGGAAATGACAGGAGTAAGAAGGGAGAAATAAGGGGAAGAACCGAGAAAAGAGAAGGATGAAAGAGAGAGGGCAGGAAAAATGCATGAGAAAAAATGAGAAACAGCTGGTGGGAAGTGACAGTGAGAAGACCTCCCCCCACAGGCTTAGTGTCCCAGGTTGCTGCTCCTTGACTATATCTCTTGTAGGTGTTTAATTAAGAGCATGTCTGTGGAAACCTTTTCCTTCAGCCTTCCTTCAGATTAAAAACCATTCAGTAGAGATGGCAGGTTTTCCCTGTACAGCAGCAGGAGCTGACATTGTCTTGGGAACCTCCCTAATAATCACAGCTGAATGAATTTATTATTCAGAAATCCAAAACATGTAGGTAAATTTTGAGAGGAACTGAATCAGTCTGTAAAGAAGAACTACATACGTGGTGATTTACAATATGTAAAAATAGAAATAAGTAAATATTTTTCCTGCTTAAAGCATCAGCAAATCCACTGTAGATCTGGTCCAAGTCCATTTATCGAGCCACTGCAGTCTATTTTCCTAAAAAATATCTCCTGCCACAGGGAGGATAACTACACACTTGATTGACAAATTGTCTTGTCCAGCATGAAAAAGCCTTTGCCGATTCGTGGCAGTGTGGTATCCAAACATATGCCTCTCATTTCTTCTGTTATCCCACCCCAGTCCTACACAGACGTGCCTGCCAAATGCTGAATCACAAACACAAAGGCGACTGAGTTAGTGATGATGTTGTTGTTTTCATTTGTATTATTGTTTTCCCTTGGGAGAGATCAGGTTGATACCTTCTTGCCTTTTAAGACTTCAGCACAGTGTCTAGAATAATTCTCATACTAGGAATGAATATGTTGCAAACTTTCTCCTTTTTTTTTGAGTTAGGGTCTCACTCTGTCACCCACGCTGGAGTGCAGTGGCGAGATCACAGCTCACTGCAGTCTTGACATCCTGGGCTTAAGTGATCCTCCCACCTCAGCTTCCTGAGTAGCTGGGACTACAGGAGTGTGCCACCATGCTCAGCTAATTTTTTAAAATATATTTTGTAGATATGAGGTCTCACTATGTTGCCCAGGCTGGTCTCAAAATCTTGGGCTCAAGCAATCCTCCCACCTAGGCCTCCAAAAGTGCTGGAATTACAGGCGAGAGCCACCGCGCCCAGCCATAAACTTTGTAAATTCATGACAAACTAAAGATGAATAACTATCCAATGTGAGCACTGAAGGGCAGAATGCCAATATCCATTATAGTAAATAATTCCAAATATGTTAAATGTGAATGGTCCATAGTTTGGGAAACCTCAATTTGTGCCACTATAAAAATGAGGTTAAGGTACTTCCTAAATTCATCTACAGATTCAATGCCATCCCTAGCAACATCCCAGATGGCTTTTTGCACAGAAATTTTCAAGCTAGTCTTAAAATTCATATGGATACGCAAGGGACCTGGAATAACCAAAGCAATCTTGAAAAAGAAAAACAAATTTGGAAAGTTTATATTTTCTGATTTCAAAATTAGTACAAAGCTACAGTAATAAAGATAGGTATTATGATAGACTTATAGATACATCAGTGGGAAATAATTGAAAGTCCAGAAATAGATCTTTGTACCGAAGGTTAATTTATTTTCATCCAGGGCACCAAGACATTTCAACGGGGAAAGGATATTCTTTTTAATAAATGATGTTGGGAAACCTGGAGGTGCACATGGAAAAGAATGAAGCTGAATCTTTGCCGCACACTATACACAAAAATCAACTCAAAATGGATCAAAGATCTAAGTATAAGAAGTAAAACTATAAAACTCTTAGACAAACACATAGTTGTAATTTATTATGACCTTGGATTAGGCAATGTTTTCTTATATTTGACATCCAAAGTACAAGCAATAAAAGAAAAAAATAGATACATTCGACCTTCTCAAAGTTAAAAATATTTGCGATTCAAGGAAACCATGAAGTACGTAAAAAGACAACCCACAGAGTGGGAGAAAATATTTGCACATTAAATGTCTGATAAAGATCTCCATTCCAGAGTATATAGAGAACTCTTAAAACTCAACAGTAAAAGAGGAAAAGCCCAATCTTAAATCAGGCAAATAATCCATGTAGACATTTATCCAAAGAAGATATATAAATGGCCAATAAGCACCTGAAAAGGTGCTCAACATCACTAGTCATTCAGGAAATGTAAATCAAAACTACAATAAAAAACTATTTCACACCCACTAGGATGGCTGGGAAATAAAGAGAGATTAACATGTACTAGGAAGAATGTAGAGAAATTATAACCCTCATATGTTGATGGTGGGAATGTAAAAGGGTGCAGCTGCTTTGAAAAACGGTCTGGGATTTCCTCAAGGATGAAACATACAGTTACTCTAGGACCTAGCAATTTCCACACCTAGATACATACCACAGGGAAATGAAAACATATGTCCACATAAAAACTTGTATAAGAATGTTCATAACAACATTATTCATAATAACCAAAAGGTGGAAACCACACAAATGCCTATCATTTTTATTGGATAATTAAAATGTGGCACATCTATGCACTGCAATAAGATGCAGCCATTTTAAGAATGACACAACGACAACATGAATGGACATTGAAAACATTACGCTCAGTGAAAGAAGCCAGTCACAAGAGATCACATATTGTATGATTCTATGTATATGAAATGTCCAGAATAGGCACATCTATAGAAATAGAAAGTAGACTAGTGACTGCCAGGGGCTGAGGAAAAAGGTGGTTGGGAGAAAATGGAGAGTGACTGCTAACGAGTATGGGGTTTCTTTTTGGGGTGATGGGAATATTTTAAACCTAGATTGTGGTAAAGGTTGCACAACTCTGTGATTATACTAAAAACCATTGAATTGCATACTTTAAGTAGGTTAATTGTATGTGAATTATAGCTCTACAAAAGCTATTTTTAAAAATAGGCTCTCATATATGACAAACAGATAGCCAAGGTCATACTGAATGGGGAAAAGTTGACAACATTACCCTTAAGAACTAGAATAAGACAAGGATGTCCACTCTTATCACTCCTATTCAACATAGTACTAGAAATCCTAGCCAAAACAATAAAACAAGACAAAGAAATAGAAGATATCCAAATTGGAAAAGAGGAAGTCAAATTATCTCTGTTTGCTGATGACATGATCATAAGGGAGGAGACCACCCCTCATATTGTCTTATGCCCAATTTCTGCCTCCAAAGAAAGAAGAAGTAAAAACTAAAAGGCGGAAAAGAAATCCACAAGCAGACAGCCCGGCGCCACACCCTGGGCCTGGTAGTTAAAGATAGACCCCTGATCTAACCGGTTATGTTATCTATACATTACAGACATTGTATAGAAAAGCACTGTGAAAATCCCTGTCCTATTCTGTTCCGTTCTAATTACCAGTGCATGCAGCCCCCAGTCATGTACCCCCTGCTTGCTCAATCGATCACGACCCTCTCAAGTGGACCCCCTTAGAGTTGTCAGCCCTTAAAAGGGACAGGAATTGCTCACTCGGGGAGCTCGGCTCTTGAGACAGGAGTCTTGCCCATGCTCCCAGCCGAATAAACTGCTTCCTTCTTTAACTCGGTGTCTGAGGGGTTTTGTCTGTGGCTTGTCCTGCTACAATCATACACCTAGAAAACCCTAAATACTCCTCCAAAATGGACTCCTCCCTAATTCATTTTATGAGGCTAGCATCATCCTTAAACCAAAACCTGACAGAGACACAATTCTAAAACTTCAGGGCAATATTATTGATAAACAGAGATGCAAAAATACTCAACAAAATGCTAGCAAATAGAATCCAGCAGTATATGAAAAAGCTAATCCACCATGATGAAGTAGGCTTTATCCCTGGGACGCAAGTTTGGTTCAAGACATGCAAATCAATAAATGCGATTCACCACATAAATGGGAACTAAAAACAAAAACCACATGATTATCTCAATAGATGCAGAAAAGGCTTTTGACAAAATTCAACACCCCTTCACGTTAAAAAAAAAAAAAAACTCTCGATAAGCTAGGTATTGATGGAACGTACCTCAAAATAATAAGAGCCATCTATGACAAACCCACAGCCGACATCACACTGAATGGACAAAAGCTGGAAGTACTCCCTTTGAAAACTGGCACAAGAAAAGATGTCCTTTCACCACTCTTATTCAAGATAGTATTGGAAGTCCTGGCCAGAGCAATCAGGCAAGAGAAAAAAAATAAAGGACATCCCAATAGGAAGAGAGGAAGTCAAATTATCCCTGTTTGCAGACGACATGATTCTATATTAAAAATACAAAAATTAGCTGGGTGTGGTGGTGCACACCTGTAATCCCAGCTACTTGGGAGGCTGAGGTGAGAGAATCATTTGAGCGTGGGAGGCGGAGGTTGCAGTGAGCTGAGATTGTGCCACTGCATGCCAGCTTGGGTGATAGAGTGAGACTCTATCTCGGAAAAAAAAAAAGTTAACAGGTTCAAACAGCCAAACTTCTGATATTCATAATTTTTCCCCGTAAACCTACGCCTCCTGCAGGCATCTCCATCTCCACTGATGAAAATTTCTGCCATCCACTTGCTAAAGCCAAAAATGTTAGCATTATCCTTAACTCCTCTTTCTCTCATACTCCATATCCAAACCATTAGCAAATCCTTCTGACTCTATCCTCAAAATATATCCAGAATCTATTTGATCACTCTTACCACCTCCACAAATTACCTCTCTGGTTCAAGTTGCCATCATTAATGCTAATAGCCTCTTAACTGGTTTCACTGCTTCCATCTTTGTCTGACCTTAATCCTATTCTCTACACAGCATCCAGAGGGATTCTGTTAACACAGAAGTGACTCCTTTGCTCAAAACCTTCCAATGGCTCATCATCTGACTCAGGTTAAAAGCCTAAATTCTTACCAAGCCCTATGTGATCCAGACTTTATTACATCTATGGCTTCATCTCATGCAGGCACGCATGCACACACACAACACACACACACATACACACACACACACATATGCAAACACTCACTCTGCTTCAGCCATACCCGTCTCTTTCTTGTTCCTTGAACTTGTCAGCATGCTCTTGTCTCAAGGCCTTTCCACTGACTGCCCCCTCTTCCTGAAACACTCTCCCCCAGTCACCTCTGGTAGTTCACTTCCTACCTCCTTCAGGATTTTGCTCAATGGCATCTTCCCAGTGCTGGAAGTAACAAGAAGTCACTCAGATTCTTACATCTGCCATAAACATACAATGAGGGGAAGTTTGGGTGAAAAAATAAATGTAACTTCTGTGACACTGGCCTCTGGCCAGGAGCTAACTGTCTCTGGAACAAGACGTCGAAGCAACAGAAAGAGGCACTGGCCTTGTCAGCCATCAGATAGAAGGCATCTCTCCTCATGGGATTGGCCTCTGCTCCTGCCCTAGAGTAGGTAAGGTGCAAGTTGTTTATTGAGCCTTCAGAGGATGCTTGCTTAAGAAGATGCTGAGCAGAGACAGGGACAATTGCTTTCAAACCTGGGGGCAAATTTTAAGAATGAAGTGCCTTCTGGTGCCAAGCACAGGCATGTCTGAGAAATGCAGTGGATAAAATGCACGTGGAATTGCTGATAGATTCTGAACACACTTGTTTGTTTTACAAGGAAGTAAAATATTACAATTTCACATGTTATTATGCCTCGATTAGCAGGAGAACATAGATTTTTACTGATAACTTATTTAACTGCATCAACCCTCCAAAACACACAAAGGAACTAGAAAGAAAGAAAAGAAAAAGATGTTTTGCAATTGGAATAGATATCACAGAGTCCATGTACTAAAGCTCATATACATTAGTTGAGGTAGATTCCCCACAGGCCTACTCATGGTCTATTATACTTTTCACACAGTTCGAACAAGCTTGATTATCTTGTTCCCTAGTTCGTAACACTCAGAGAAGGCAATGGAGGAGGGGGCATGGAGGATTAGGCAATAACAACTGGCCAGTAGAAACAGTTAAATTAACAGCAGCAAAAAATATCAGCTAACAGAGAGGAAATCTACGGAAAAGTTAGAGGGTAAAAGTCAGGCATTGAAAATTAAAAAGCAGAACAATCTGTCCCCATTTAGTATAGGGACAAACAGCCCTCCACAGTTTAGGAGCCCAGAGGCAGCACTGAATACAGCACATTGAAAGAACTAATGCTATTATAAGGACAATCTTAACCCATCAAAAAAGGATGCAATTATTTCCAGGTTCAGGGGTCAGGAAGGTAAATAGTATTTTTGAAAAGCTTCTCATCCAAAATGGATACATATTTTAAGGGGAAAAAGTCAGGCACTAAAAGTGTTGAACCTCAGTTACCCAGAAAAATCAGTTACGTGGAACACTCACAGTATCGTGTGGCCTAATAGATGACCCATCATCATTGAAATAAATCTTCATACCATACTGGAATGCACACTGAATAAATTTTGTTGTGATTTACATATCTCCCTGAGCTATACTCTGATGAGTAAAATTTGCAGTGAACAGGTTTTCACAACTAATTATGTAAGTTATCTGAGGTTACATTAGATCAGAATAGCTTACATTCTTTCCTCCTGTGATGAATACAAGACGTTTCTTTTTTTCATTTTTTTTCATCATCAGGTAAAGAAATGTGTGAGGGAAAATATAAAGAACAAGTCTGAAAGGTAATTTTATAATGTGTGCCTACTTCTGTACTAGACTTGCTGAGTTATCAATATAGCCCATGGAGAAGTAGATTTAAGGAAAGAACTTCAGTGCCAGGAGATGTTTAATGAACCCTATAGATGATGAGAATAAGAAATAACATTTACTTCTTCCCAGCTGCAGACCCATTCGTCAGCTCTACCTGAATATTCCACAGAAACCACATACCCAGAATTGAAAATCAAACTACCTCTTCCTCTTCCATTCCCTGTGTTAATGGCATCTCTTTCCATTCAGTCACCCTAACCAGAAACCTGAAATTAACCTAGTCTCCTCCCTGTCCCTCGAACACCACGACTAGTCACCAAGTCAAATCAATTTACCCTCTTAATTCCGCTCAGACCTCTCCCCTTCTCCTCATCCCCAGAAGTGACAGTCCATGCCTCTATCCACTGAGAGCCAGCTTACTTCAACTGTGTTCTAACTAGTCATTTTATCTCCAGTCTTCTTCCTCTCCACGGCATAAGCCACACACTGAATCCTCCACACAACTTGGATGATCTTTGTGAAAGCAAAAAGTTCCATCACTCATAGCTGCTGTTGACCACTGTGTATACTGTGCACTGTACAGCCATAGTAAGGGCATCATTCCTGGTGTGGTCTGTGTCAGTGGAGGCCCCAGGGGTTTTGCAGTGCACAACCTGTTCAATCATATGCAGCAGCTTTCTCTATTGCCCTGCTTACAACACTCCAGTGGCTTCCGATTGCTCTGGAAATAAAGTAAAACCACTCAACATGCCTTACGAGGCCCCTCCTACCTCTCCAAATCTCTCTCTCTCCTTTACCCCCCATATTTTACACTCCAGTCATTTAAAAGGAATTTACAATTCCCCAAACCTACTCTGCTCTCCTCTCTCTGCTTGTCTTTGCATATCTTATTTCCTTGCCTGGAATACCATTCACCCACCTATCCCTACCACGTTCAATCCCCACCCGCTGTCCAGCTGGACATTTGTGTGCATCTCTCAAGATTCAACTCATGCATCACTCTCTCCATCAAGTCTTCCCCTAACTCCCTAAGTGAAGCCAATCATTTTCTCTTCTGGTTGCCCCAGGGAAGATTCTGCACACACATATGTCATTAGCTTATTACTCTGTAGTATAATTTCTGGGCCTGAGCAATCCACAAATGGTCATTTTTGACGTGATTGTTCAGAAAGTTATTTACCACAATGAAAAACTTTGTAAACATATTTTAATATATAAATAGCTTCGAAGTATATGGAAATCCATTTTACATTTAAAATTGTTGTACTATAGTGTGTACTCTAATCACATGGCTACAAATCCCTTCCAGGGCAAATGCTGAAAAGGTACAAAAGTATTGCAAGCCCAGGTAAAAACACAGCACAGCAACTGGTGTCATTTAGGTGTTATGACACATTGTAATGCCACAGGAATGGGGGCCTGTCAACATGTAGGAGCCTTCAAAAGTGTGAACAGATGACACATCACACAACTCTAGAAATAAGAGAAATCACTAGCAGCAAAAATATCAACTTACATTTCATAGCATAACTAATTTAACCTTTGTGATTAAGCATGCATTCCTCCAAAGGAGTTTTTTTTTTTTTTTTTTTTTTAGCTCCCAAGATGATGCAGAAGGTAAATGAGAACAAAACGCAAAGTACTTTCCACTGTACTGCACGGAATGTTTCAGCAAGATTTTTTTTTGTAGTCTCCAAAAACTATTTAAATTGCTCTTAAGACCGGAACTAGTTTGTGCCCCATCACCACATTGCCCTTAATGATTTATTACATCTAGAAAATAATATAGACCAGCTCAAAACAAAACAAGCAAGACCAAAGAGTTCTGTGTGATGAAGATGCACAGACCACAGCCTTGAATTAATTCCTCTGGTCTAACTGAAGATGTTTGCATGGCCTCCTTTAGATTTGTGGATAGCACTGAATAGGGAGGTATATTTGGAACATGTGTTGTGGCTATCTGATTTGTGGGAAATTGCCACCAAGTCTATTTTTTGAATACCAAAACTTCCACTGCAAGGCTTAGAACCTACTAAGTCAAAACTACCTTGGGTGCACAGGAAGGCGCGCACATCAATTGCAGCACCTTGCAGACTTCTCTGAAAAGCTCTGGCTGAACTTCAGGTCTCAGAGTTGCACTCTGTTCTGAGGCAGCCCCGGTGCCCCAGTCAGAATGGCCCCATAGGAACGCAGCCCCACAGCCTGCAGCATCCTCCCTGCTACATCAACCCCAAAGCTGGGCAACTTCAGCTTGCTAAATGTGAGTGTATCACGACTGGCAAGTGACCAAGTCCATGTTACCCCACTTACTCCCCTTAATCAAACCATGGCAGCGGCCGTAAAGACTTTGTGAGTTACTTGTCTTTGCTTTTGTTTGTCCTTCCAGACAAACAAGAGCTTTTGCCTTTGTAGGGAAGCAACAAGCTCATGGACCAAGATGAAAAGATGCGCTTTTCTGGGTGCAAAGCCCAAGTCAGTGGCAGCAGCTGTTTCCCTACAACTCCTCCCCCACCTGCCCTGCCACGGCCCTGCTGCTGGTTTCCGAACCTGAGTGCCTTTTTGACTTGGTTTCCTCCACATGCGTTATGGGAAAAACAAAAACAAAAAAAAATTGCTTTTTCAACTTCAGGGAATATTACAAGGGAAGTGCACTCCTCAAAGAGGCTGGGTTCTGGTGTGTGAGATGCAGTGTGGGAAGATACACTCTATTCCCACTTCTCCGGGGACGCACCAAAGTGGGTGAGAAGGGGATAGGAGACCTGAACCAGCAATGGCAGAGACAGTTTCATACTGCTTCCTGCACTTTCCCACGGTCCTCCTGCGGGACCAGAGCTCCTGATCTCACCTCCTGCGAGCTGAGACCAGAGCTGCACGCCTGCAGCGCGGCAGCTGGCCAGAGGAACGGAGAACGGATGACCCAGCGAGTTCGTGGCTGGGAGCGCCACTGCAGCAGGAAAGTGTGTGTGTGCGCGGCGGGCGGGCGGGCGGGCGAGGTGGGGGGGTTGTATAGACTGGAAAATAAAGTGCGCGCGGGGAGGGGTGTGGACTGGAAAATAAAGAAAAGCCGGCCGGGCTGGGGAGGCAGCGGCTGAGAAGAAGGGCAAGCCAGCCCGAGGCCGCCGGGGAGGAGATGAGAGGAGGGGACTTACCTGCCACGAAGACTGCTTGCAGGAGGCAGAGGTAGTTCTTCCCGTACTTCTCGGCAATCCTCACGCGCTGCAGGGCCATGGCCATGTCCACCTGCAGAGGGATCGCCTGGGCTATCGGCATGAAAGTGCAGCCATCTGGGTTCTGGGGCAGGCCTGGGATCCTGCCGCAGGACACTGAGGTCCACGGCGCCGAAGCGGCAGCTTGGGGCATGTGCCTGGCCGCCCGCCTTGGCGAACCCAGGTAGGGCCGGGCCCCTGCCGCTGCCATCCTCACGCTGGAGAGCCGGGCAGGGCCGCTACTCCAGCCAGCAGCTGCCCAGCTCTGACCCGCGCGCCGCCGCTGGGCACTCAGGCACTGCCGGAGGGGTACAGCCCCTGGCCCCGCTCAGCCCAGCTGCGCCGCGGCCGCCAGTCCTCCGGAGCCCCCCTAGTAGGGACAGAGGCGCAGAGGCCCGAGAGCTCCGCGCGCGCGGAGTCCAGGAACTTGTTAAGAGTTTGGGGCTCTGGCGGAGCGCTCTGGCCCCCGCCGCTGCGAGGGCAACTCTCCCTGGGTGCGCACACCCACGCCCCCGCTTAGCCACCGGTGGATGAAAGGAGGCGGGGGCTGTGGAGGAGGGACGCAAGGAGCTAAAAGAGAGAATTTCTGCAGAGATTCCCATTTTCGAGGGACGAAAGGCCAACCTAGGCTAGCACTTGTGGTGGGAGGAGACAGCCCAGCCTCGCACTCTCATGGCAACTCATGCAAGTCTTGGCGGTTTCTTAGCATTCTGGCCAGTATCCACCTGGGCAAAGACTCGGCGCAAGGGAGTTACACTGTGTGAGCACATGCAGGTGGCCCTGTCAGGGCTGCTGTCTTTGCCCGAAGAGAATACTAGCCCTGAATAGTCTGAGAGGTCCTGTGCTGAAGCCGAAATATGTCCTCCGAGGATGCAAACAAACACACAGACATACTCTGATCTCAGTCTTTGGATATGCCAAGTCCCACGCCCTTCAGGTCCCAAACGCCAAGCCTCCTGTATAGACACTTGAGCTGCCATCTGCCATGGGCATGGGAGACTTGACACGCTTTAGAGAGGACACGAGAAAACGGAAAGGCAAGAGGAGGCAACCCGTTTAAGAAGCCAAATGGAAAATGAAAGGAGCTAGAGCTCCTTCCTTGCCCTGAACCCAAAGCACTCAGGGACTGGGCCGAGGGAAGATGGAGCTCCGCAGTGCCTGGAAGGAAAAGGGTATGCAGGACCTGAGGGAGCCCTGCTTGTGAAGCAGTAGCTGGCTGAGGAGAGGCCAGGGGTGTTAGCATTTAAAAAAAATGTGTGTCTGAAGCTGAGCTAATGCCATAGGGATTCGCCCCAATTTTGCTCTAATGCTTAGAAGTCCTGATGTGAATTGCAAATGCCACATCCCACTTTTTTCTTTAATACTTATCCTTTTCAAAATTTTCTGGCAGGAGAGTGGATTAATATTATACAGGCCAATCATTCCAAGTAGATCTCTTATGAGGAATCGCCAATTTATACCTGAGGAAAGTGGGGATAGGCAAGTGCAAAAGGCAGAGTGAGTAGGGGAGGAACACACACACACACACACACACACACACACATGTCCCCCCTACAAGCACACACCTCTTCCCCTAGCCTTGCTTTTTCAACTTCTCGGAGTTGATTTACATATTTTTATCTGAATGTGTAAGCTATTTGAATGTGTTAAGTCAACCAGGCAGAATGTTTGCCAGCCTCTCTCTTGAATATGTGCACAGGGTAGAGGAGCAAATAGTTAAAATTTCCGCACTACTGTGGGTAGTATGACATTAAGAATTCTACCAATGTGGCAGTTGTTGTAAAATAAGTTAAAAATAAATAAGACACAAATGAGGGGTAGTCTATAAAAGTACTAAATAACAACCTAGGAAGACATTTTTAAAATCTAACAATGGGAAAGAGTTTCCATAGCATAATTTAAAAATGAGATTGATCTGCATATGGACAGATGCCCTGCTATGTTGTCAAGTGTAAAAAAGTAAGATGCAAAACAATATTTATTGTTTGATCCCTTATTTTAAACACTATACATGTGTATGGGGATAGAAAATGATTGGGAAGGATACAAACTGCTACCAGTGTTGATCTCTGTAAAGTGAAATTGGAAAGCACTTGGTTATAGGAGAAATCTCATGTTTTTTGCCCAATAAGTAATTATGTTAAACTTTTTACAGTGAGCAACTGTTATTTTTGTAATTCCATTTTTTAAAAAAGAAGGAAATAAATGGAAAAATAACTTTAGGTTTAGAAAGCTATTAGAAACTTAACAATATAAAAGAATGTTTTCTACGTATGTGAAAAATACAAAAATCAAAGAAGAAAAAATTTAAACTTCTGTATAATTAAAAACATAAACAAAAGTCAAATCACAAATGGGAGGTTATTTACAAAGAAATAAGGTAACCAAAAAAATAATATCCTTCAAGGGATCGAGAATAGCCAAAACAATCTTGAAAAAAAAAAAAAACAAAGAGGACTCACACTTCCTGATTTCAAACCTTACTACAAAGCTGCAATAATCAAATCAGTGTGATACTAATATAAGGATAGACTTATAGATCAATAGAATAGAACTGTGAATCCAGAGAAAACCCTTGCATCTAAGGTAAATTATTTTTGACCATGGTGCCAAGACAATTCAATGGAGAAAGAATAGTCTTTTCAACAAATTGTGAACCTTAAAATATACATACCCTTTAACTTGAGGATCTCTCCTACAGAAATAATCAGAGGTTTTTGACAAAAGTTTGTATGCAAAGCATTATTAATTATAGCCCCAAATTGGAAGCAACCCACATGACAAACAATAGCAGATAATAAATTATGATACATCCATAAATGGATATCCATAAATCCATTATCCATAATGGATTTTATGGATTTTTTATCCATAAATGCATAAAATGGATTGTTAAGCATATCAGTTATCAAAAATGCCATTCCTTGTAGTGATGGAACTGTTCTGTATTTAATTCTATCAATGCCAATATTCTGCTTGTGATATTGTACTGTAGTTTTGCAAGATGTTACCATTGGGGGAAACTTGGTAAAGGGTATACAGGATCTCTCTGTATTCTTTCTTTTTTTTTTTTTTTATTGAGTTGGAGTCTGCTCTTCACCCAGGCTGGAGTGCAGTGGCACGATTTCAGCTCACTGCAACCTCTGCCTCCTGGGTTCAAGCAATTCTGCTGCCTCAGCCTCCTGAGTAGCTGGGATTACAGGCACGTGCCACCACACTGGCTAATTTTTGTATTTTTAGTAGAGATGGGGTTTTGCCATGTTGGCCAAGCTGGTCTCAAACTCCTGACCTAAGGTGATCTGCCCGCCTCGGCCTCCCAAAGTGTTGAGATTACAGGCGTGAGCCATCGCGCCCAGCCTCTGTGTATTATTTCTTACAGCTGCTTATGAATCTAGAATTATCTTTAAAAGTCTAATTTTTAAAATGAAATTATTGAAGGATTTTTAAGAACATGAGAAAATGATCATGACCTTATGTTGATTGACTTATCTGCATGCAAGATGAATATGTAGTATAATTTCAACTACATGCCATCTATAAGCATTGAAAGAATGCTGGAAAAAACATGGAGTGGATGGATAGATGACAGCCAAATATGAGAGAGGGAGAGAAAGCCTAAGCTCACATGAGCTCCTTCTGTGTCATCCATAAAATCATTAATTATGCAGTCATTGAAAATAATTACCTCTTCTCTGAAGTTTTGCTAGACTCCCTGAACCAAACACCTTCTTTCATGCCCGTTCATCCTACCTTTCTCAAGCTGATTCTTATCATGTGTTGCAATTGTTTGCAGGTCTATCACTCAGAAATATTCTGAGGCCCTTGATGCCAGAAGAAATGTCTTATTAAGCACTGTCTTCCAGGGCTTGGCATATAGTGGGCCCTCAAAATGTGGGTTACCTGAATGGGTGAATAAAGTAACAATGAGTGAACATCAGTCTTAATTTTACTGCCAACCCTTATTGGAAAGAACACTAACCTCAGGGTTTTTCAGGTCTGAAGAAAAAGATGCATAGCTGTAACTCAGTCTCTAATTTGCATAGCACATTCAGATTCATCTACACTACTCTATAATACAGTTTTTGGGGCCTTACAATGTAACTAACTCTTTTGGAAATAAGGCCCTTTGGTATTATTTCATTAATGCCCTTGGATGAAGTCTAAGGATAAACCAGCCTTATACCAAATTCCTCTCTCTAATGTGATGTGGTAAGGTGTTACACCATCTGCCTAAATCTTACCACTCCTGAGTAGGACACAGGGAATTTGAGTAAGAGGGAATACCCTCCCTCCCTTCCCTCCCTCCCTCCCTTCCTTCCTTCCTTTCTTTTTCTTTCTTTTCTTTCTTTCCTTCCTTCCTTCTTTCTCTTCTCTCCTCTCCTCTCCTCTCCTCTCCTCTCCTCTCCTCTCTTCTCATCTCGTCTCCTCTTCTTTTCTTTTTGTTTGAGACAGAGTCTTTTGTTTTTGTTTGAGACAGAGTCTTGCTCTGTCACCCAGGCTGGAGCGCAGTGGCGCAATCTCAGCTCACTGCAACCTCCACCACCCGGGCTCAAGCGATTCTCATGCCTCAGCCTCCCAAGTAGGTGAGATTACAGTTGCATGCCACCATGCCTGGCTAATTTTTCTATTTTTTTTTTAGTAGAGACGGGGTTTCGCCATGTTGGCCAGGCTAGTCCCCAACTCCTGTCCTCAAGTGATCTGCCCACCGTGGCCTGGAATATTATTTCATTATAGTAAATTAGGCATAGGTTTTGAGAAACCAGAACCTCTGAAATGCTGAAAATGGAGATAGGCAATAAAAGTAAAAATATCCTTACTACCTTTGATTTTGAGAGGTTCTACAGAATTCAGGAAGTCTATTGACATGTGAGGGGGTTACCAAATGAAAACTCCTCATTTATAGAATAAGGATAATAGCAACCTCACAATTTATATAAATTACTTAAGATTATATAAAGGACTATATCAAGTTTCAAACATTAGGTTCTTTGCCATGTATGCAGGGGACATTGGTAGTTTTTGCCTGCCTAGTTGGCATCTATGTACTTCAACATTCCCATGGAGAGTCTCCCTATTCCATTCTAAATCCATGTGACACAGATGAGACTTCCAGCAAACCCCTGCTTCAGGGCAGGAGGGTAGTCCAGGCCAAATAAATGAGTGTATTCTGTCCCCATGGCCACTGTGATAAGTTTGAAGCAATGATACACAATCCCAGTAATTTCTGGAACCAATGAAAGGTAGAGATTATCTTCACTGAATTGTTAGTTACAAAGATGAGGTAAACCTAAGGCCGCAAAGACAGGCTGCCTGAAAATGAAACCAATATCATGAAAACAGGGCTGATACATGTAAAGAGACAGATTCCTAATGATATTATTTGAACATCTGGATCCAGCCATGACTGAAGAAATATCCACCCACTAGATTTTTCAGTTACATAGATCAATAAATTTTCTTTTGTGCTTAAACTAGCTTACAGTTGGGGTTCTATCATTTGCAACCAAAAAAATCCAAACTAATACGTTATGATGAATACATTATAATCTAACTCCAGATTGGCATCATGGAGGCTTCTTAGATGTATGTAAAAATCCTGAAAAGTATGTTAAATGCAAGGGAGTCACTTTGACACCCTCAGCTAAGTAAGCCCAAAGAGATTGGTCAATGAATTGACCTGAATCCAGGCCCTGACATTGACTTGATGTTTACCCCTTCTCAGGAAATTCCTCAGAAATTTTATTCTTATATGTTGCCATTTATAGATCTTCAATTTGTTGCCATTTTAAAGGCCAAAACTTTCCTTTCAGAAGAAAATATTGTTTCAGAGGTAAATATGATTTCTGTTGTGCTTTAAAAGAAGTAGCCCCTTTAAAACTTGCTTTGGGTCAGACGCGGTGGCTCACGCCTGTAATCCCAGTACTTTGGAAGGTCAAGGTAGGAGGATTACTTGAGCCCAGAAGTTCAAGACCAGCCTGAGCAACAAAGGGAGACCCTGTCTCTATAAAAAATACAAAAATTAGCCGGGTGTAGTGGTGCATCCCTGTAGTCCCAGCTACTCTGGGGTCTGAAGTGGGAGGCTCACCTGAGCCTGGTTGGAGGTCAGGGATTGAGGCTGCAGTGAGCCACGATTGTGCCACTGCACTCTAGCCTTGGTGACAAAGTGAGACCCTGTCTCAAAATAAAAATAAAAATAAAAATCCTTGCTCTGTTCTGATGGCCAAAGGCTGTGTAAAAAGTTTAAGAATATTTCCAATGCAATTATACTTGTAATAGAGCAAACAACTACTTCTGTAAATGAAATGCTTTGAGTACTTGCTCAAACGATGATGATATATTGGAAATGTAAATGTTAACTGCTTGGGGCAAAATTAGAGTCAGGAATAGGAGTTTGGAATCATAACTTCCCAACTCTTTCTTTAATTTTTAGCTAGAACTGCCTCTTTCCACATTAGGCATGATGAGTTTAGGCTCAGTGAAATGGGAATAGCTTGTTTCTTTCTGAATTTCTGTGCCACCCAATCAAATATTTACTGACATGAATTGGGACTGAAGACTGCCATCTGAAAAGATGACCAAGTTAAACAGCTAGATGACCAAGTTAAACAGCTTGACCTAACAAAACTAGTTTTACCAGACTGGTTATATAGGTCACATGAAGATAAAAGTATAGGTAATAGACTCACGCTAAGGTCCATAATTGTACATATGACCTGGTTATTTCTCAAAAATATATATTCTTAGGCAACGATGACCAATAAGAAATGTACAAAGAGGACTTAGTATGTAAGACATGTTGTTTAGTTCATATAAGGACAAATTTAAAGAATCAAGTCTTTACATGATGAGCAGTTTACCATCTTAATTTGATATACAGTTGCTGTTACTACTAATAATTACAAAATTAATAATAAGTATACCATCTTCATTTGCATAATGTTTGTAAGCACTTTTTCTTCTGTCATCTCATTTGATCCTCCCAAAACATGTACAAGGAAGGCCCAGTTTATTTATTGCCACATTCCAGGTGAGGAGACTGAGGTTTTGAGGAGCTGAGTTGCCCAAGTTTGTGCCATTTGTCCAAAGCATAACTAGATCTAGACTGTAAGTTGGCTGACTCTAATCCTAGCATTTCTGAAATGAAAATAACCGTATCAATGAATTATAATTTTGCAGATCTGCAGCTTGTTAACATTACGCCAGAACAAAATTCTGTAATTCTCAGTCTTCCTCTGTCTTAAGGGAATCTTAGTGCTTTTAAAGCTTATAAAGTCTAGTCTCCCAATCAATGAAGAGATTCACCTCTTAGCAATTACTGTATCAATTTTAAGGATTCCAGTATTCCAGAGTATCATAGTTTTTATTGTAACAGCATTATTGAGATAGAATGCACATGCCATACAATTCTCCCATTTAAAGTGTACAATTCAATGGTTTTAATATATTCACAGAGATGTACAACCATCACAATCTAATTTTAGAACATCTCATCGTCCCCAAAAGAAACCTGTACCCTTTAGCTGTCACTTCTTAAGGCCCCACATCACCACCAGCCCTAGGAAACCACTAATCTATTTTCTGTCTCAATGGATCTACCTATTCTGGACATTTCATGTAGATGGAATCCTGTAATATGTAACTTTTATATTTGGATTCTTTCACTTAGCATGTTCTCCAGGTTAAACCATGCTGTAGCATGTATTAGTATTTCATTCCTTTTTAAGGCTGAATAATACTTCATTGTATGGCTAGACCATATTTTGTTTATTCATTCATCAGTTGATAGATACCATGTTTTTTAAATATAGAAATATTGAAACCCTGATATTTTAAAACTAACACGATATTTTTTCTCCTGAGAACGTTGTCATTTTCATCTGAAATCTAATCTTTGGATGTGCACAGAGAATATCCTGTATTAAAATTTCAAGCTAGAGATACACTCATTTTGAAAGTATTCTCAGGACAAACTTTCCAAGGCCTCTTATTGTTGTTGAAATAGCTAGTTCTGGGTTACTTGTGTGGTCGAGCATCTTTTTCTGTTTCCTAGTCATTTATGTGTTCTTTCAGAGTCTGTTTGTGTCCTTGGTCTTCTTTCAGAGGACCCTGATGGAATAAATTTAGACTAGGGTGTGGGCATTAAAATGGGGGCATGAGAACGAAGTTGTGATGGAGGATGATGAGAGGAGAGAATAGGTGCTGGGAGATTCTTAGGCCCAATTTCCAACGTTTTCCCTTTAACCTGACCACTTCCTTTTCTCTGGTTTAGGTTCCTTCTGCTTCCTTCCTCCTTTTCCATCCAAGCCAGATTTCTTTTCTTAGGAGCCTACCCCTCCTGTGATAATTTGTTCGACCCAGAATCTTCATTCTCAATCATCCTGTCTGGAGGCACTCAACCCAGAAGGACAGAACAGCCTCATCTGAGCCTCCCCCAGGAGGAACAGCACGTTATAATATTGGGAAGAAGAAGATAACGATATCTCCATTTTAATAGAATATTGATATTTTGGCATGACTGGAAATACCCTTGTAGTTGGAGGAGAGTTTCACCGCCACTGCCCATATTCAGACCAAGCCATGGATCCAGGGACCTTGGGGGTCCACTGAAACCCAGAGGTCTATAGCATTTGGGCTACATCTCAGTCACTGGCTCTGTGGCTGTTGCTATTTCAGACCTCTCCCAGGCCACTGTGGTTCTTCAGGATACAAAGAAAGACACTTCCTTCCTTCCCTTCCCTTCAATGTTTAAAGGCTGTTTCATGCAATAATTAGTCTGTGTAGTTTGAAATGGCAGATGAAACACACTATTTCCACTATTTTTGGAAGGTCAAAAGTAGATAAAGTCATGAGTAAATGTTCAGGGAACCCCAGCTTAGGATGAGGTGGGAGATAGGCTCACAGAAAGGAATATGGACCAAAGGGAAGCCTTGCGATTTGGAGACACCAGGTGCTGTGAAGGGTAGGAGTGAGGCTCATGCCTAAAAACAGTGACATTCATTAAAAGACTCTAATGTGGGAAAAGTCCCTCCTGCCTCCCCAGATCCACTCATTATCGAAGGACAGCACCCACACATAGCACATCCCCTCCTCCCAAGGGAGTAGAGACTTTTCAGGGGAAATTGAAGGCCCTCTGGAGGGAAAAACTTCCCAATCTGGTATTTAGGGGTTTCCCATTATAAGATTCTATACCTCCTCTTGGTCACCCTAAAGCAATGATTTCCAGTTGGCAATCTTCTCCTATAAATACCCCCACCAGTTTTTCTAGATCTCACCCTTAAATATGAACAGGCAGGCTAAGATCACCAAATGTTTGAGGTAAGTCACTGTGATGGTTACTTTTACGTGTCAACTTGGCTAGGCTATAATTAATCAATCAAACACTAATCTGGGTGTCGCTGTAAGGTTTTTGTAGATATGATTAACTTCTACAGTCAGTTGACTTTAAACAAAGGAGATTATCCATGAAAACCATAGCTCACCCAGTCAGTTGGAAGGTCTTAACAGCAAAACTAAAATTTCCCTGAAGGAGAAGAAATTCTGCCTCAAGTCTGAAGTGCCAACTCCTGCCTGAGAATTTCCAGCCTGCTGGCCTGCTTTATATATTTCAAACTTGCCTAGCCAGCACCCCATGATCCTGAAAATCAATTTCTTGAAATAACCACCTACCTACTACAAAAACACCCTTTCTCTGTCTCTATCTTTCTCTGCCTCTGTGTGTCTCACTCTGTCAATAGATTATACAGGCATGTATATAATGTATATAATACACAATTTAAAAATACACAAATACACAAATGTAAAGCACACACATAAGATTCTACATATACATGTACAAATTTTACTAGTTCTTGTTTCTCGGGTAGAACCCCAACAGACAGAAGTCACCAAATGCAAAAGAAGACCAAGACAAACAGTGAAAATGATCTGGGCCCTGCCTGCTTTGTCAAACTTAACCTTGTACACTTTGCTCCAACCGCGCTGGCCTTCTTGGTGTTCCTGGAACACAGAGTGCTTGTTCTTTTCTCAGAGTCTATCACCCCTGGGGCTGCCTCCCACTGCAATGGTTTACCTGGCCTGCTATCCAGATTGTATTCAGGTCTCTGTTCAAGTACTATCACAGCAGAGACATGGTCCCAGCCTATTCTTTAAAACAGACATCCCCCTACTCCCATATGCTCCATCCACTGAATTTTGTTCGTTCATAGCAATGACAACTTCCTTAAATAATATTATTTATTTGTATATTTACTAGTTTTTTCTGTGACAAGAAAAAAATGTCTACAACAGGAACCCTTTACGTCTTTTTTTCCCTTCATGTCAGACAGGTAATGTGCCAATGTTGTAACAAGTTTTGAGGGAGGCACATCTCACACATGTACATGAAAACCCAATCATCATGCTTATGAACTAAAGAAGGATCTATTCGTGTCTTGTTCACTATTGTGTCCCCATCACCTAACACAGTGCCTGGTCCTTTAAGAGTTGAAGAGATGATATATGGAAGGAATGATAAATGGAAAAAAAATCTCTGAAAGAAACAGACGTAGTTCAGGGAACAGTGAACTTTAAAAACAATGCTAATTGGTTACACACTGAAAGATTCAAATCATTATTATAATCCATAAACAATAACGGAATACTGTGAACAAAGAACAATTGGAGAAAAAGAAAGAGAGCTTTCAGACCTGAAAAAGATTGGTGAAACTTTAAAACTTCCACAGAAAAGTCCTAAGTTACCAACACAATGTCACTGAATACAAAATTGGGAAGGGAAGTGCAGAGCTGGCCCTCACTAGCTGGTTCGAGCCAATATCAGGACAACACTGATAGGTGCAGGTAGCTGATGTGGTAGACACTGTAATGTGCCCTTCGGATCCTCCCTCAGGAATGAAGGACTTATTACCCCATCTGTTGAGAAGGCTGCCAGATAAGTCTTTGGCTGTCAGCCTTATTCAGGGATTGCCTCAGCTGAAAAGAGCTACCTAGCCAAGGTCATAGCCCCTTCCAAAGGCATCCCACATTAAATGACTGAACAACTTGGGGTATCAGGGGCCAGTTCCCTGGTCCCAAATGGGGACCACTGCGGCAAATTATCCAATCTTCAGAACTTCTTGTAAGGTTGCATGAGGCTTCTGTCACGAAGCCTTCTTCCTTCTCTTCCCTGCTCTTCTGCATGTGTTAATCCCAGTAATGTGCCCTAATACACCTTCTGTATCTATTTTCTCTTCTAAGTCATGAATTGAAGTCATTAGATGATAGTGATCAGGAGAAGAGAGAGGAGTGAGTGTAGGAAATTTGAGGATACAAGGGAAGGGTGAAATTGTTATTTTAGAGTGAGAAATTGAGTTTCTAGCAAAGTATAGTGGAATTGTCTCAGTGTTGAGTGAGAAAAAAAGATAAGAGACATGAAGAATAAATTCAGGAGGTCCAATATCACACAGGAATCCAGGAGAAAAAAAGAACAGAGAAAATAGGAAAGGATAGGCTGGGCACGGTGGCTCATGCCTGTAATCCCAGCAATTTGGCAGGCCGAGGAGGGGTGTCACCTGAGGTCAGGAGTTCAAGACCAGCCTAGCCAACATGGTGAAACCCCATCTCTACAAAAATACAAAAATTAGCTGGGCATGATGGCGGGTGCCTGTAATACCAGCTACCTGGGAGGCTGAGGCAGGAGAATTGCTTAAACCTAGGAGGTGGAGGTTGCAGTGAGCCAAGATTGTGCCATTGCACTCCAGCCTGAGTGACAGAGCGAGACTCTGTCAAAACAAACAAACAAACAAACCAACAAAAAACAAAAAACACACACAAGGGAAAATGGGGAAGGATATTTCAAAGAAATAATAGAAGAAATAGAAAAAAAATTTCTGGAACTGAAGAACAAGAATATTTGTATTAAAAGGGCCTATCAAATGCAAAATGAGATTATTCAAAAATAACCACACTGGTATACATCCTTATGAATTTTGAAGTACACCACAGACATGAAAGAGAACTTAAATATTTATAGCTGGAAAGAAGCAAATCTGTTACAGAGGATCAATAGGCACAGAGAAAGCTTTCAATAACTTCCAACATCCCTTCATGATAAAACCCCTCAACAGACTAGGTATCAAAAAAAAACATACGTCAAAATAATAACAGCCATTTATGACAAACCCACAGTAAACATCATATCGAATGGGCAAAATTTGGAACCATTCACCTTGAGAACCAGAACAAGATAAGGATGCCCTCTCTCCACTCCTATTCAACATAGTACTGGAAGTCCTAGCCAGAGCAGTCAGGCAAGAGAAAGAAATAAAAAGCATCCACGTATGAAAAGAAGTCACACAATCTCTTTTCCTTGATGATATGAATCTATACTTAGAAAATTTTAAAGATGCTGCCAAAAGGCTCCTAGAAATTGCCTTGTGAACTTGCATATGATTGGCTTATAAATTTGGACAGCTTAAGTAAAGTTGCAGGATACAAAATTAATGTACAAAAATCAGTACCATTTCTATGCATCAACAACATCCAGGCTGAGAGTGAAATCAAGAACACAGTCCCCAAAATCTCAAAAATCACCACTAAAGAACTTACTCATGTAACAAAACACCACCAGTTCCCCAATAACCTGTGGAAATGAAAAATTAAACAAAAATAAAGAACACAGTCTCACTCACAACAGCCACAAAGAAAATGAAATACCTAGAAATACACCTAACCAAGGAGGTGAAAAGTCTCCACAAAGAGAACTACAAAACACTGATGAAAGAAATCAGGAATGACACAAATAAATGGAAAAACATTCCATGTTCATGGATTGGAAGAATCAATATCATAAAAATGGCCATACTGCCCAAAGCAATCTACAGATTCAGTGCTATTCCTATCAAACTGCTAATGGCATTCTTCACACAATTAGAAAAAAAAAAAACTATTCTAAAATTCACATGAAACCAAAAAAGAGCCCAAATAACCAAAGCAATCCAAAGCAAAAAGAACAAAGACGGAGGCATCACACTACCCAACTTCAAACTACACTATAAAGCCACAGTAAACAAAACAACTTGGGTGGCTGGGCACAGTGGCTCACATCTGTAATCCCAGCACTTTGGGAGGCTGAGGTGGCCAGATCACTTGAGGTCAGGAGTTTGAAACCAGCCTGGCCAACATGGTGAAACCCCATCTCTACTAAAACATACACAAATCAGCCAGGCGTGGTGGCGGGCACCTGTAATTCCAGCTACTGGGGAGGCTGAGGCAGGAGAATTGCTTGAATCCAGGGGCATAGGTTGCAGTGAGCTGAGATCACACCATTGCACTCCAGCCTAGGCGACAGAGTGAGACTCAGTCTCAAAAACAAACAAACAAACAAATAAAGACAGCTTGGTAGTGGTACAAAAACAGACACATAGACCAATGGAACAGAATAGAGAACTCAGAAATAAAGCTGCACAGCTACAACCATCTGATCTTTGACAAGGCCAACCAAAACAAGCAGTGGGAAAACAATTCCATATTCAGTAAATGGTGCTGAGATAACTGGCTAGCCATATGCAGAAGATTGAAGCTGGGCCCATACCTTTCTCCATATGCAAAAATTAACTAAAAATGGATTAAAGATTTTAATGTAAGATCTCAAACTATAGAAATCCTGGAAGAAAACCTAGGAAATACTCTTTTCGACATTGGCCTTGGTAAAGAATTTTTGGCTAAGTCCCTAAAAGCAATTGCAATAAAACCAGAAATAGACCAGTGGGACCTCATTAAACTAAAGAGCTTCTGTACAGCAAAAGAAACTATCAGCAGAGCAAACAGACAACCTACAGAATGGGAGAAGATATTTGCAAACTATGTATCTGACAAAGGTCTAATACTCAGAATCTATAGGGAACTTGAAAAAATTAACAAGTAAAAACCAAATAACACCATTAAAAAGTGGGCAAATGACATGAACAGGCACTTTTCGAAAGAAGACATACAAATGGCCAACAAATATATGAAACAATACTCAGCATCACTATCATCAGAGAAATGCAAATCAAAACCACAATGAGATACCATCTCACACCAGTCAGAATGGCTATTACTAAAAAGTCAAAAAACAACAGATGCTGGCTGGCAAGGCAGCAGAGAAAAGCAAACACTTATACACTGTTGGTGGAAATGTAAATTAGTCCAGCCGCTGTGGAAAGCAGTCTGGAGATTTCTGAAAGAACTTAAAACAATTCTACCACTGGACACAGCAATCCCATTACTGGGTATGTACCCAAAAGAAATTATTCTACCAAAAAGACACATGCACTTGTATGTTCATCACTGCACTGTTCACAATAGCAAAGACATGGAGTCAACCCAGGTTCCCATCAGTGGTAAATGGGATAAAGAAAATGTGCTACATATACATTATGGAATACTAGGCAGCCATAAAAAAGAAAGAAATCATTCTTTGCAGCAACATGCACGGAGCTGGAGGCCATAATTCTAAGCAAGTTAGTGCAGGAACAGAAAACCAAATACCACATGTTCTCATTTATGAAGGGAGCTAAGCATTGAGCACACATGGACATTAATATGGGAACAACAGATATTGTGGACTACTAGAGGGTGCAGGGAGGTGGGGAGGATAAAAAAAAAAACAACTATTGGGTACTATGCTCACTACCAGGATGACAGGATCTGTACCTTAAGCCTCAGCATCATGTAATATTCCCATATGACAAATCTGCACATGTACCCCCTTATCTAAAATTAAAGTTGAAAAAAAATGAAACAAAATGACATTGAACTTCTCAATAGCAACACTGGATTCTACAAACTAATGGAAAAATAAACACAAAATCAGGGGGGAAAAGGTTTTTCAGCTTGGAACTTTATACTGCGTCAGACTCTCAAACAAAAATAAAGGTTGTCTAAGATATTTTCAGACATAATTATTATTATTATTATTATTAATAAAAGTTTATAACCCATATAAAGAAGTTAGTAGAGAATGTATTCCCCAAAAAAATGATGAAGTACATCAATGAAGAGCAAGACAATGAATCTAGGAAATAATGATCCGATACAGGAGCACAGACAAAGGGAATTTCAGAAAGAGATGTGCAGCTAGCCGGCAGAGTAACCAGCTCAGATGAAAAAAGAAGGATGGAGGGCTCTGGGAGGGAGCTGCTCCCATCCCTTTCTACCTCTTTCTCACCAAGTTTGGTGAGTTTTCCTTAGGATCTTTTTGGGCCCCTCAAGCAACTTTCAAGAACCTTGCATATCAGAGAAAAAAAGGGTTGGAGTTTCCAATCCTTTCATTCTGAGAAGACCTCTAGGTTCTTCATATAAACAGTCCCACTCCTTCCCCAGAAACTTTCTACCTCCACAAATAAATACTATAGAGGCAAGAATAAAATGTGGTTTTGCCTCACTAGAGACCCTGCTTTAAAAAATGTGAGAAACATCACCATATTCTTTTGGAAGATTGCCCTCAAGACCTCCCATTTTTCTTTGCTCTCCAAGTCTACATCCCCCCGGCTACCTTCTGGGGACCAAGGTAGTTCTTCTTGGTCTGGAAAATTTGCGTGCTTAAAAAGAACTGGACACAAATAATGGAATGGTCTTTTACCCACTGAAAATAAATAATCTGCTGTCCAAATTTATAAGCCAACCATATGCAAGTTCACAAGGCAATTTCTCAAGTCCTAATCCCTAGACGGCTCAGAGACTGAGGCCCATACATTGCATAGGAACCACACCAAGGTACAGCCATCCCATGAAGCCCAGGTGCACACCAGATTTGTTATACTAATAGTTCCAGGTTTACAGTGGTGAAGTTCTAATCCAGAGTTGAGAAATTCCCACCTGCCTTTACTTGGGAATCCTAATTATTTTAGAAAAAACTGAACAGTAGACAAAGAACTGTCAGAGAAACCCAAAGCAGGCTATTGCGGTCTGTATGGACAGATACACCTTTACAAGAACTGCACTGTGTCCTGCAAATCATTGGTCCTAGAAATGGGGGATTCTGGGGAAAAGGGGAAACTACTACAAGAATGAAAATGACTGGCTATGGGGGATGCTATCTATAAAAATATTCCAAGACTGACCCACTCATTGCCCCAATCCATTTCTTATATTACTCTAAGGTAAAGAAATACTTACCACAAATGTTTGTCCTTAAGACTGTCGCAGCTCATTCTGTTTCCTCGGCCAAAAGAATGTACAATACTCTCTGCCTGCTCCAAGAACAAAAGCCTTCTTGCTCTTAACATGAAAAAAAGTTTCAAAGCCAATCTGATGTCAGCAACTGAAAGTGTAGAGAAGCCTTGACTTGAAGTAGAACCCAGAAACAAAATTATAAATCATACACTGTATCACAGTAGAGGAAGGAGACCTAATTTTTTTTTTTATTTACAAGGACAAATCTGGAGAAACAGAACGCCCACTCAAGAGTTAGCCCGACAGTTTGAAAACAAAATACTTCTGCACAAAATGCAGAAGAAGCTGGGCATATCTTTTTTTGTACACGACAAATAAAAATTGTATGGTGTACAATATGATTTCTGATGTATGTATACATCCTGGAATGGCTAAATCAAGCTAATTAATACTTTCTTTACCTCACATATGTATCCTTTTTGTGGTGGGAACATGTAAAATCTACTCTCTTAGCAGTTTTCAAGTACACAATATATTGTTATTAACTATAGTTATCATGATGTACAATAGGTTTCTTGGCAGGGCGCAGCGGCTCACACCTGTAATCCCAGCACTTTGGGGGGCCGAGGTGGGTGGATCACTTGAGGTCACGAGTTCGAGACAAGCCTGGCCAACATGGTGAAACCTCATATCTACTAAAAATACAAAAATTAGCTGGGTGTGATGGCGGACACCTGTAATCCCACCTACTCAGGAGGCTGAGGCAGGAGAATCGCTTGAAGCCAAGAGGCAGAGGTTGCAGTGAGCTGAGATCACACCACTGCACTCCAGCCTGGGCAATAAAGTAAGACTCCATCTCAAAAAATATATACAAATAAAAATATGAAAAAAAATTTAAAAATTAAAAAATAGATCTCTTGATCTTTGTCCTCCTGTCTACGTGTAATGATGCATCCTTTGACCAACATCTCCCAAAACCCTGCCCCATCCTCTGGAAACCACCATTCTACTTTCTACTTCTATGAGTTTGACTTTTTTAGATTCCCCATAGGAGTGAGATCATACAGTATTTTTCTTTCTGTGTCTGGATTATTTCACTTAGCATAATGTCCACTAGGTTCATCCGTACTGTCACAAATGACAGAATTTCATTCTTTTTTAAAGGCTGAATAGCATTTGTGTATATATAGTATAGTATATATAGCATATACTATATACATAGCATATATAGCATATACTATATACATAGCATATATAGCATATACTATATACATAGCATATATAGCATATACTATATACATAGCATATATAGCATATACTATATACATAGTATATATAGCATATACTATGTATATAGTATATGCTATATATACTATGTATATAGTATATATAGCATATACTATATACATAGCATATATAGCATATACTATATACATAGCATATATAGCATATACTATATATACGAATGCTATTCGTATATATATACACTATATAGACACGAATGCTATCATTCATATATATATATATATATATATATATATACAGTATATATAAAAAATATTTTCTTGAGGTTGCTTCCATATCTTGGCTATTGTGAAGAGTGCTGCAATGAACATGGGAGTGTAGATATCTCTTTGACAGACTGATTTCATTTTCTTTGGATATATACCCAGTAGTGGCATTGCTGGATCATATGGTAATTGATAATATGACCATAAATGCCTGGATTTTTTCTGGGCCAGAACATTCATACTGTTTTCCATAGTGGCTGTGCTAATTTACATTCCCACCAACAAGGGCTCCCTTTTCTCCACATCCTCACAAGCACTTGTTATCTTATGTTTTTGATAATTGCTACCCTAACAGGTGCAAAATGTTATCTAAATGTGGTTTTAATTTGCATTTTTGTGATGATAAGTGATGTTGAACATTTTGTCATATACTGGTTGGCCATTTGTATGTCTTCTTTTTAAGAAATGTCTACTCAGGTTCTTTGACCATTTTTAATTGGGTTATTTACTACTTTTTGCTATTGAGTTGAGTTCTTTATATATCTTGGGTATTAACCACTTATCAGATGTATGGTCTGTAAGTATTTTTCCCATTCCATAGATGGTCTTTTGACTCAGTTGTTTCCTTTGATGTACAGAAAACTTTTTAGTTTAATGCTATCCCATTTGTCTATATTTCCTTTTGTTGTCTGTGCTTTTGGGGTCATATCCAAAAAATCTCTGCCTAGACTAATGTCAAGAAACTTTTCTTCTATGTTACTTATTTTGAATTGACACATAGCAAATACATACATATGTATATATATATATATATATATATATAAAATTTATGGAGTGCAGTGTGATGTTTTAATACATGTATACACTGTATAATGATGAAATCAGGGTAATTAGCATATCCATGACCTCATATATTTGTCATATCTTTGTGGTGAGAACATTCAGTTTGAGGTCTTACCTTTAAGTCTTTAATCCATTTTGAGTTGATTTTTGCACATGGTGTGAGATGTGTCTAATTTCATTGTTTTGCATGTGTATATCCAGTTTTCCCAACACCATTTATTGATGAGGCTGTCTTTTCTCCATTGTGTGTTTTTGGCAACTTTTTTGAAGAACAGTTGACCATAAATGCCTGGATTTATTTCTGGGCCAGAAGATCTTTAAGGTATGTCCCAACCTTAATATATGTAGATAAAGGTAAATATATATATCCAGAAAAGCTTATTAAAATACTATCATCCTTACTTGGTTCTTTTTTGTATGTTATCTATATAATTGAAAATGGACATGCATTTACTTTACAACAAGAAAATATAACACATATTTTTAAAAGATACCAAAAATAGAAGTGATCCTTTTAAAACTTAAGTGAGATTATGTCACTCCTCTGTTCATAATATTCCAGACTTCTACTGGAATTCAGAATCAAATCTAATGTCCTTATCATAGTCTACACAGCTCTACATGCTCTCATCCTTCCATACCTAATTTCAACTCCTACCAATCTCCCTCCATTTTGGTCACAGTGACCTCCTGGCAGTACCTCCAATATGCCATGAAAGCTCCTATCTTGGGGTCTGGGCATTTGCTGTTCACATGGCCTGGATTCCCCTTCATCCATATATATGAATGGCTCCCTCTCTCACTTAATTCAGTTCTCTGCTCAAATGTCACCTTGTCAGAGAGAACTTCTTTTACTACCATATCTAAAGTAGCACCTGCTATCATTCTCGGAATATTTGCTTTGATTGCATAAACACTAAAACTTTCTGTGCAATATAAAAGATACATTCTTAATGATTAATTGACACAGAGAAAAATATTTGTGAAATACATGACAACATGCACATATTCTAATATACAGAATTATAATGAGTAAAAAAGGTGAGCAACTTAATAGGACAATGGGTGAAGGAAGTGTAATTGACAAAAGAGGAAATATAAACACCCACATGTACATGGAAAATCTATTGGAACTCACAAATAAGCAAAGAAAAGCTAATATTACCAAGAGTAAACACTATTTTTCCTTTAATCCAGGAGTTGGCAAATTTTTTTTTCTGTAAACAGCTAAGATAATAGAAATGTCCCCCTTTGTGGGCCACATATAGTCTTGGTCAGACATTCTTCATTACCTTTTTTTCCCTACAGCCCTAAAGATGCTGACTGGGTTGCTGACCCCAGATCTATGAGGAATGATTAAAGATGGAGAGCACTTAATGCTGAGAATGGGGAGGGTAAACTGGCTGACTGTTGTTGCGGGCACAGATTCATATAGCTTTTCTCAAAGACAGTTTGTCATGTACATATCTTTTGCCCCAGGAATTCCACATTTTTGACTTTACACCAAGAAGCTACTCGGGCAGGAATGGAAATATTTTTGTACAGAATACATTGCCATGTTATTCATAATAGCAGGCAAGAGGAGGAGGAGAAATTTATATAATAAACTAGGAAATAGTTAAACCATGTGCATGAAATAAATGAAATGCCACACAGCTATTTAAAAGTCATATATATATGAATTAATTTATATAGAACAATCATACGACTTTTTATGGTTTAAAATTATAGTGTGTATAACATAGTTCAATAGATACAAAATTATATATGTATATATGTTGTGTATATGTGTATATATACATATACATATTCAAAAAAATATGGTTACCTCAGGGGGGTTGTGATACTAAGTGACTTTTATGTTTATATTATTAGGTATTGCTTGATTTTGAGCAAGTATCGTCAGTATAATCAGAAAAAAATAAAATTCTTATTGAATTTAGCAAAACCTCAGGTCAATTAAAATGGACTTTTGCCTGAAGTGCAACAGTTTTCTAAACTTATTCTTACAATATAATAATGCAAGATAGTTTTCACAATTTGAACAAATAGTTTTTATGGGTTTTGTTTGCTTTCTGGTTTGTTTCTTGTACCAAAAGGACAGAGTTACTTGTTAACTTGTCTTAAAAATATTCTTTTGGGAATTCTATGATTTATGCATTTTAATCTCTGCCACCTCTTTTCTCCAACTCTCTGTGAACACTCATTGGCACCATACTGGTGTGATATTCCCAACCCAGGGCACAGAGAGTGGAGGTACAAGAAAATCACCCCACTGACCACTGTACAAGAGAAGCTAGGGAGTGGAAGAGTTGAGAGGAGAGGGATAATGAAAGGCATCCGAGAAAGTGCTCACTCAGAAAACGCACAGGGAACTTGTGTTCCCACATCGCTGTCTTTAATTTGCAGCCAAGCAATACTCAGTTACTCTATCATGGAAGCTTCCCATGTTTGAAAATGAAATTGTAAGTGAACAGAGGCATCAGAGCCCTGGTGTTAGGCACAGCACTTCACTTGTACCGTGTTTCACACAAAAGAACAGCTGTTATGGATCCACAGTGCAGATTTCAGTATCAACCAAAAAGGGTTCGCTAACAAAGTTACAACAGGACTTCAGATTAAAGCTGGTACATACGAAATGGGAGTACAGTACTAAACTGTTCAAACTTGCTACACTTTTATTAATAAAGATTTTATTTTTTATTTTGTCACTTTTTGTAAAACACGCTCATTGTGGAAGACTTGCAAACTATGAAAAAGCATAAAGAAACAGAAAAGCGAACCCTAGCCTTAAATTGCATCACTCAGTGGCAACCACAGTTAACATTATGGCTTTTTTTTTCAGTCATTTTGAGATCATACTGTCTATGATTTTGAATACGTATTTTTTACTAAGCATGAAAGCATACTCATTTCCCACTGACAATAGCTTTTTAATAAGTGTGAAGACAAACATGTCTAGGCTTTCAATATCAAAGTAGTGTTGAAATAAGGTTAACAGATTACAATTGCAGAATTTGTTCTTTCATACCTCTATTGTTAAAAATTCCAAATATGAGAGGACTTCAAAAAGTTTGTGGAAAATAAAATTTAAAGATAAAAATTAAAATATAAACTTTATTTCTAACATAAGCTCCATAAAGATGAAGATACTTTGGTAAATGATGATACCAGCCATTTAGGAAAGAGATGTCAATTTAGTCTTTTTGATATTATTAACAGAAGAAAAACGGGTGCCCTTTATAGATTTTTAAGATTAGGAAACAAACAAACAAAAAAAGAGTCAGAAGGAGCCAAATCAGGACTGTGAGGTGGATACCTAATGATTTCCCATTAAAACTCTCACAAAATTGCCCTCATTTGATGAGAGGAATGAGCAAGAGCATTGTCATGGTGGAGAAGGACTCTCTGGTGAAGTTTTCCTGGGCATTTTTTTCTGCTAAAGCTGTGCCTAAAGATGTGCTAAAAATGTTGTCGTTCTTTGGCCCTCCAGAAAGTCAGCAAACAAAATGCCTTGAGTATCTCCAAAAAACTGTTGACATGACTTTTGCTCTTGACTGGTCCACTTTTGCTTTGACTGGACCACTTCCACCACTTGGTAGCCATTGCTTTGATTGTGCTTTGTCTTCAAGATTGTACTGGTAAAGCCATGTTCATCTCCTGTTACAGCTGTCAGGATCTTGATCCCATTTGTTTGAATTGCCATTGAACACTCTGCTGCAGCTGATCTGTGTGCAATGGTTTTGGCGCCCGAGTGGAAAGTTTGCCCAACTTTAATTTTTCAGTCAGAATTTTGTAAGCTGAATCAATTGGGATATCTATGGTGTTGGCTATTGTTTCTTCTGGGAATTGTTGGTCCTCTTCAATTACAGTGCAAATAAATTTTTTTCCTTGCAGATTGATGTAGATGGCCTGCCACTGTGGGCTTCATCTTCAACATGCCTTGTCCCTTCTTAAAACTAGTTACTCATTTATAAACTGCTGATTTTTTTTTTTTTTTTTTGAGATGGAGTCTCACGCTGTCACCCAGGCTGGAGTGCAGTGGCGCGATCTTGGCTCACTGCAACCTCCGCCTTCCAGGTTCAAGCGATTCTCCTGCTTCAGTCTCCCGAGTGGCTGGGATTACAGGCCTGCACCACCATGCCCGGCTAAGTTTTGTATTTTTAGTAGAGAGGGAGTTTCACCACGTTGGCCAGGCTGGTCTCGAATTCCTGACCTCTGGTGATCCACCCACCTTGGCCTCCCAATGTGCTGGGATTACAGGTGTGAACCACCACACCTGGCCCAAAACACTGACATCTAAACACTGGACTAGGCAGTGATTTCAATCAAATGGTCAGAAGATTTTTCATCGTCAAAAGTAGAATCTTTGGGGGAAAATATTCAGTGTGCCATCAATGAACACTATGTTACACACACCTTTTGATGACACATCAGTGATTGACATGAAAGTTAAAATTGCTATCCAAATTTTACACACATGGTAACTTTAAGGCATGGGAAAAAACAAGATAAAAATTTGTCATCCCTTTTAAGTTCCAAAATTATCCAATAGAACAGATAATTTAAACATCAGGAAAAGGCTTTTTTCAAGCTTCCAGAAATATTGGCAAATTGCATAAATAAGCTTTGCCTAATATTTTTGTCATTTATGATGTATTCTTACTTTATTTTAAAAAAACACTCCGAAGTCTTCATATCAGCTTCACCTATTAAATAATGGTACCATTCAATTAAAATGCAAAGCAAAGTTATACTTAGATTTCAGTAGTACATGTTCATCTTTAAAGGTTATAATTTGTTTTAAATAGCAGAGCCATCTGTCCTATGATAGCTCACATGAGCCTAATTATTGGAGAAGTCTAAGAATTTCTCCTGCAAATATGCATCGTGCTGAACTGTACTGAAAACATATTTGACTCTGATACTTCTATCTTACGAGGAAATTACACTCTCAAGTTGATTCTTTATATGAATTTAGTATTGAACTCAATATTACATTCACTATTTTTCAGTAGTGTAAATCACTAATGTCTGCCACCTTCTACATTAGCTATCATCTATTATGTGTTCAAAAAGCAGTTATTACTTCTAGAATTTCCTCATTCATGATTGCTGGCTTGTTATTGTAATGATTATACCTTTAGTTCTTTCCCATAGACAATTTTCAATATAGAGTTGTGTAATTTATTGCAGGCAAACGAAGTTATTTATTTGGAATTGATGACTTGAATCAAATCTGAAAAGGCATGTATATAAAATTAGCAAGATGCTACAGACTTCGGAGGTAGCATTATTACCAGAGATTATAGAACCAAGATTTTAAATATCTCAGCAGATTGGGATATTTAGGTTAAAGTCCAGCGTAGCAACGTCTCCACTTGGACCTAAAATTGTTCTTTCTCCAGAATCCATCCATAAGGGAGTTATGTCTAGAAGATCTGAAAGATGACTTGGCAGCAGGTCTAGATCCCAAGAAAGGGACTGAGTTGCCTCATAGGAAGGAAGTCACTTACGGAATATGTCAAGGCCCACAGACAGTAATTAGGCTAATTATTAGAAGGAGAAATATTCTTAGTATAGTAGGTTCATTTGTTCATTCATTCAACAAATATTGAGGTCATACTATTTTCAAGATACTATACTAGCCACTGAGGGATATATGGGGAGCAAAAGCAGACAAGGCCCCTGTCCTTAAAGGAGCTCTCAAGTATAATTGGAGGAAATATGTAAGATAATAAAGGATGATGTTATTATTTAATCAAATTTATATAGGGCCTATGTTGTGCCACGTACTGCTCTAAGCATTTTACATGTAGTTGACCCACACAACAACCATATGATGTAGGTACTGATAATATCTCCAATCTACAGATGACAAGCCTGACACACAGATATGTTAAGTGACTTGCTCAAGGTCACCCTACTTGTAAGTGGCAGAGTCCACATGCTTACCTCCCATGCCATACTGCTTTGGGATGATAATGGTACAGGTACAGAGTGACAGATCGTGACTCTCACAACTTTTTCTCAGGTGATTTAGTGCCACTAGTTGTTCAGAACTTATTAACTCAATAAACATTTCCTTAGGGTCCCACTGTGTGGCTGGCACTGCACTAGGCAATAAGGATCTACCGATGAACAAGACTGATTTATTCACTGCCCTCAATGGAGCCTGCAGGCCAGCAGAGAAGGAAGATATTGAACAAGTGACATGAAAAGGGAAGCACAGAGAGTAATGGAAGCAGATAACCTGGGACTCTGGCCCAATTTCAGGAGGCATATGTCTCCATCACTCAGGTTGTCCTTTGCCTCAGGCCCACGGGGAAGCAGACCCCATGGGACCTCCTCCTGTTAGACAAACATGGCACTATAGGTTATCTGTGTGAGATGGAGGGAACACAAGGGAAATTGTCTAGGGATCACAAAAGAGATGGAGACAGGGATTCCCCCCATGACACCTACATCTGAGAAGATAGCATCAATTGCATGGTGGTATCCATGGTGAAAGGTGGTATTAGTGTAATCAGGCAGCCATGGAACACCTTCACAGCAGCTTTGGGGCCACAGATATCTCACTGTGGGAGGCAGAGAAGAAACAGAAGAGACCTTCAGATGCCATATGGAGAGAGCTGTGTCCATGAGCTCTTACGAGAACGTGCAAAAGAGATGACTTTGGTGGGGGACTAAGGGTCCCACAGTAGCAGGTAAGCACAAAATCAGCAAAACATCATACTCCTATTATTCTGATGCAATTTTTAAACCAGCTAGTGTGATCTGGGAAATGGAAATTAGAACAACAAGGGTAACTAAAAAGTTCTGCCTTCATGCTCCAAAAACCAATTATACAATTAGAGGATGGGAAGCTGTAGTGGGTTGGTGGTCCTCAAAAATATACGTCCATGCCCCAATCCCTGGGGCCTGTGAATGTGATCTTATTTGGCAAAAGGCTCTTTACGGGTGTAATTAAATTTAGGATCTCAAGATGAGGTTATCCTGGAGGGTCCTAAATTAAATGGCAAGAATCCTTGTAAGATACACACAAAAGAGAGACAAAGGGAGGAGAGGAGAAGGCCAGAGATAGGAATTATACAGCCATAAGCCAAGGACTTAGAACCACCAGAAACTGGCAGAAGCAAAGAAGGACTCTTATGGAACCTTCAGTGAGTGTGTGGCCCTGCTGACACCTTCATTTTAGAGCTCTTGGTTCCAGAACTGTGAAAGAGAATACATTTCTGTTATTTTAAGCCACAAAGTCTGTAGTAATTTGTTACATCTGCCCAGGGACAGTAATATAGGGACCCATGGCTTGGCAACGATTTATGTAAAAAATATCTGGGCAAACAGCATGAAGTGACTGATAAAGAAAGCAAATGCAGGGCCAGGCCTAGTGGCTCACACCTGTAATCCCAACACTTTGGGAGACCAAGGCGGGAGGATCACTTGAGGCCAGGAGTTCCAGACCAGCCTGGCAAACATGGCAAAACCCAGTCTCTACTAAAAATATAAAAATTAGCTGGGAGTGGTGGTGCACACCTGTAATCCCAGCTACTTGGGGGGCTGAAGCAGGAGAACTGCTTGGGCCCCAGAAGTGGAGGTTGCAGTGAGCCAAGACTGCACCACTGGACCACTCCAGCCTGGGTGACAGAGCGAAACCCTGTCTCAAAACAACAACAACAAAAATAAAGCAAATGCAGTCTTTGGCTGCCACAAGAGAAACAGAGTTAATAGACTGAGGAAGCTAATCATTCTGCCACGTAGCTGCAATATTGCACTCTGCTCTAAGTGCCACCTTTTAAGAGAGACATTGATGAATGGGAGCCTAGCCAGAGATAGGTGTCTGGAACTGTGTTGGTTCTGGAGAGCTTGCCATACAAAGGATGAGCTGGTAGCACTGGAGATGGGGATCTTGGAATAGAAATCAATGAACATGAAGGTAACCTTGGAATATGTGAAAAGCTATCTTGTCAAAGAGGAAGTAATCTTGTTTTGTGTTGCTCCAGGAGGCAAAATTGGGTTTAGCAAGTGGAAAGTAAAACAGAAGAAAAAACTAATGACTGTTGATTACAGAAATTCAAAACATTGGAAGTATTTGAAATGGGGAAAAGTGCTGTTTCCTAATTCCAGAGACAGGACATCTGGTCCTGCCTCTGTAGTTAATTGGTTGTGTGACTCTGGACATATCATCTCCCCTTCTTTGGACCTCAGTTTTCTTCTATGTAAAATTATGGGGTTAGGTTGGATGCTTTGGGAAGGCATTGTTTTTTTCCTTTTGGTTGTTTCCTATTTTATGGTTTAATAAAACTGTTAAGATGTTTTACAATTTCTGAGTGCCTAGTATATGCTAAAGCTAAAATCTGGGCTAGGTGTTTTGTTTTGTTTTTTGAGATGGAATTTCGCTCTTGTCGCCCAGGCTGGAGTGCAGTGGTGCAATCTCAGCTCACTGCAATCTCTGCCTCCCGGGTTCAAGCGATTCTCCTGCCTCAGCCTCCCGAGTAGATGGGATTACAGGCGCCCGCCACCACGTCCGGCTAATTTTTGTATAGTTAGTAGAGACAGCATTTCGCCATGTTGGCCAGGCTGGTTTCAAACTCCTGACCTCAGGTGATCTGCCTACCTCGGCCTCCCAAAGTGCTGGGATTACAGGTGTGAGCTGCCATGCCTGGCCTGTGCTAGGTGTGTTAACATGCATGATCTCATATAACTCTCTCCACACTACAGGTTAGGTATGTTCCCCCATTATGAATTGTTCTTGGTGTCAACTTGACTGGATTAAGGGATACTCAGGTAACTAGCAAAGCATTATTTCTGGGTATATCTGTGAGGGTGCTTACAGGAGAGATTGGCATTAGAACCAGTGTACCTAAGTAAGGAAGATCTACCCTTACCCATTGTGCGTGGGCATCAGCCAATCTGCTCAGGGTGCAGAACAAAAAGGCAGAGGAAAGGAGAATTCACTCTCTTTCTTCTGGAGCTGGAACACCCTTCATCTGCTGCCCTTGGACATCAGAACTCCAGGTTTTCTGGTCTTTGGACTCTAAGACTAGCACCAATGGCTCACCAGGTTTTTAGGCCTATGGCTTCAGACTGAGAGTTATATCATTGGCTTCCCTGGTTCTGAGGCCTTTGGATTTGGACTGCACCATTCTACTTGGCTTTCCTCATTCTCCGGCTTGTAGATGGCCTGTCATGGGACTTCTCAGCCTCCATAATCACCTGAGCCAATTTCCCTGTGAATCTCCTCTCCATGCCTCTCTCTCTCTCTCTCTCTCTCTGTCAGTTCTGTCTCTCTGGAGAAACCTAATACATACCCATTTTACAGATTAGAGCACTGAGATTGAGAGAGATTGTGACTTGCCCAAAGTCATATAACTTGTTCATGGGTGAGCTAAAAATTGAACTCAGATCCCCCTGCTTTTAGTATTCTTTCCACCATATCATACTGTCTCCCCTACACAATAGTGACCCTTTGCCACACCTGAATTTAGCAAATTATACAATTCATTGTCAAAGTACTCCTCAGAAATCATTTACCAGGCAATATTAACTATCTCAAACACCCCAAAGAATCAGAACATTTCTGAGCAGACAAAATGGTTGGTGCCAAAGCCTATGCGTTAAAGCCCATAAACTTCATTCAGAAAAATTCTTAGGGCTGCCTCACCCAGAGCCTGTCCCTCATCATTTCGTATACAGTGTCTGTTCTTCCTTCCCGAAGAGAAAGGCAAGCTGGAGGGCTGGTCTGCAGCATCCTGGGAGCCTGAGACAGCCTGGGTTGTTAGGCTGTGGAGCATGGAGGCAAAGGCAAAAAGATTAGCAGTGTCCCGTGGAGTCTCCACAAAAGGGGAAGATAAACAGCAAGGTCAATGAGTCTAGCCCTTTGGAATTCCATGCATGAGAGGCTCAACACAGGAAGCAGGTCAGAGAGGTCTAGAGGAATATCTTGAACCAGTGACTACGCAGCCAGCTGCAGAGGTTTTTACATGGTTCCGGGGACTCTGGGGTGGGAAGAAGAGAGCAGTACCCTGAGAGTGCAGTACAGTCCAAAAGTATACACTAGGTTCTGATATACTACTCTGGATTTTTAGTCAGTTACATGCTATAATTTAAAAAAAATCTGTGGGCCGGGTGCAGTGGCTCACGCCTGTAATCCCAGCTCTCAGGGAGGCTAAGAGGCGGGAGGATAGCTTGAGCCCAGGAGTTCGAGACCTGCCTGGGCAATATAGCGAGACCCCGTTCTCCAGAAAAAGGAAAAAAAAAAACAAAAGACAAAAAAAAAATAAGCGTAACTTCCCTCAAAGCAACAACCCCCCCCCCCCCCGCTTTAAAAAAAAAAAAATACAAATAAATCAGCCGGGCGTGGTGACAGGCGCCTATAGTCCCAGCTACTCGGGAGGCTGAGGCAGGAGAATGGTGTGAACCCGGGAGGTGGAGCTTGCAGTGAGCTGAGATGGCGCCACTGCACTCCAGCCTGGGCTACAGAGCGAGACTCTGGCTCAAAAAGAAAAAAAAAAATCTGTGGGGGAAGTCAAGAGGAAGAAGGTAGACATGGACCAATAGGCGTAACAAAAATTAAATATTGACAATGAGAGCAAGGGAGCTGACAGGAAGACTATAGAAAGAAATACGATATCCTCCTAAAGCTAAGCAGTGTGAAGACCCAGAAAGGCTGGCACTACTGTACTTATTGCCGAGTCCTTTAGTGGATATCCATAATGATGACTCAGCGTTATTGAGAAGGTGAGGTGGTATTCTGTGCCTTCTGCATATGAAGGCAGAGATGAGTGCAACATATTATAAAAAGACTTCCACCCACGATGACCTGAAGAAAAAAATTTAATGCCCCAAAGAATAATTGCAGTTGTCTAGCAAATGCAACGATGTAGAAATTGACAGAGCAGAATGAAAGAGATAATGCTTTAAAAATAATATTAAAGGCAGCTGTTAAGGAATGTAGTAAATGTGGGAGAAGGCACTCAATAAATACGTTTAAAAAATTAAACTCAGTTTGGACCCTGCCTAGCTCCCATTCTGGAGAGGTATCTAAATAAATGAATGGGTGACTGAATGTATGAATGAAAATTATCTGGCCTGAGGTCCCCCTTTCACTAGGGTTGTTCTATGGTTCTTGGAGCTAATGCAGTGTCAAGGTGTTGGAGATGGAGGACACCTGTCTTATCTTCAATCATCATCCACACACATTACCACTCAGGAGGTCCATTATCCCTATCTGCATCATGTGTTCCAGGGCCAGAAGCTGTTCTGTGTTCTTGCCATGTTGAGGAATGGTTTCTGCCAATGCTGGCTAGGATGCCATTTGCCTTGAAGCACCCCTCTATTGTCCTCTCTGTTCTTGTTTCCCTGAAGGTGCTGCTCAGCAGAACAGTGGTCTGACCTGATCTTTGCACTAAAAGATCCTTTCTCATTTCTCCTCCCTGCAGCCTGGGGCATTCTGTTCTTCCAATTTGAGGAAAGGCTTCTGTAATCATGTAGTTCCAAGACACTCTATGCCCATGACACCCATTTTTCCCTCTCCTCTGAAAACCTACATTCTTAATGATCTGCCCGTGGAACAGAAAAGCCAAGAAGCTCTGCAGGCAATCTTATGCTTTCCTGGTGCCATATATTAATACTTCTAAAGTAATGAGCATGAGGCTGGCCATGTTTATGGAGAACATAAGGGTGAAAATGCCCCATATATTAATTGTCATATCCCTCTCCCCTCTCAGTTCAAAGCCAGTCAAGAAATAAGCCAGACATCAGAGATATAATGCGTTTGTGTATTCGACAAATATTTTTAAACATTATGCTCCCCCAGCATTGCTCTAGGCACTAAGAATACAGCAGCGCCTGAAGCAGACAAAATAGCAATCTATTATTTGCAAAGATGCATTTTAAAACTTGGCCTAGTCTGAGGCCAAAATGACTTCCCATTCCTTCCTCTCTGAATTGAATTTATCCATTTAATCACAGACTGAGTGGCTAGAAAACTAGAGCCACCTCCTCCACCCTGCCTATCGGATTCCTTGCCCGCACTGAGCATACTGCATGAAGGATTTGGGAATGGAGAAAGGAAGGTGATCAGCCTGCAAGCTGGCAGTTCTGAAAGAGGAAGGGCCCAAGTGGGGCTAAACCACACATGTGGAGTAACCCCCTTCTCCAGTCTCACCAGTCAGCTAATTGAGGAGGGGAGGGCAGAAACCTTCTTCCACATGCTTCCTGCAGGAAGACAGTTTCTATTTCATGAGTGGAAGCAGAAGGATGAAAAGAAGGAAAGTCATTTCCTTTGCAATTAATATTGCAGCTTTTTTTCCAGAGCCTGGTGAATTATTCTTGAATTTTGAATATGATGTATGTGAATTTCATTTATCTATGAAATGATATGCTAACTCCTTTATTTAGGTCTTTTTTAATGCTAAGTGTCTTTATTACTAATTAAGAAGGCTGATTATACAAGGACCCTCTATTTCCATTAATTCAAGCATCCATTAAAAATTATCATCAGTATTGCACTAAATATGTTACAGGAGTGACTTGTTTTTCCGCAATTTTCTTCATATGGGATATATAATTGACATTTATAAAGGGGATGAAATCT
Source organism: Homo sapiens (assembly GCF_000001405.40). NCBI lineage: Eukaryota > Metazoa > Chordata > Mammalia > Primates > Hominidae > Homo > Homo sapiens. The sequence continues at coordinate 139,723,055 of NC_000023.11, forward strand.
AGCCCCTTAAAGTTTCACCTTTATGTTTATACACACTCTTAAGAGTATAAATCCGAACCTGACTCCTTAAATCCTTGATGTGCTAGTCCCTGGCCTATTTACCCTCAGATACATTCCTTGTACTTCTTTGCTCTGTTTTGTATTGTTTCTCAGGTCCTCAAGTTAGCTGGGTCTAGCTAATGGAAGGCAGACTGGAGGCTTGGGGACAGAAGCCAGGGTATTTCTGCCTCAGGCTGCATCTCCAATAGTGGCCATGGCTCTGCTGTGGCCCCAGCTGCTCCTGATAGGCCCACAGTGATTCCGACTTCTGCCAAATGACCAGGCCATTGGCTCCAGAAGTCGATTTCCTCCTATTGCCCCCACAACCTAAGGATGGTTCTGGCCTCTGCCTCTTTGTAATCTCTGGGCCGTTTCACAGAATCCCCAATGGGCTGTTCAGCTATACTATCTGTGTAATCTATTCCTTGTATTAATTTCATTATTAAAATTAAAGAAGTGTTCTTGTATTCTCACTCCAAGGGTGGGAAGCAGGGGTAGTAAGCTAAAACTTGCCTTGGAAAATACCTGAATAAGTACCGGTGCTGAGGCCCAGTTCAGCAGCTTCAGATTAGACGAAAGGGGGAAAACGAAAACTTAGGCCTGGGCCATTCTCAGGCCACTCACCTCAACCCTAAGAGCAATGACATGACTTTATCAATGGTTTTATCTATGGTTGTATCTGACTGCATCTGATGGACCCACACAAAAATGACTGCAGTAACACTTGCCTTTTGATCATTCTAGAATCCAACGGGGAATGCTTTAAGAGTCCCAGACAAACTGCAAAGTGTAGTATAGCAGGAAACACATGGGTCATACCTGAGTTCAGTCCTGGGAGACTAGCAAGATAATTAACTTATCTGAGCCTCAGTTGATATGTTAAATATCTGGAGTTTAATGATCTCTACATAGGACTATTGTGAAAATTAAATAAGGTACATACAAAAGCAGTCCATAAAGTGCTATGCAGATGTTAGATAATTAGTCTTCTGTATCAGCTTAATTTAATGTTTTCCCATTAATATTTTTAAGCTTCATTGTTTTAGCTTTCTTAAAATTGTGAAACCATTTCAAAGTTGTAAAAATAGTGCAAAGAATTTTCATACACCCCCCACTTGGATTCCCCAAAATATATCATAATCACAGCATAATTTCAAATTATCAGAAAACATAGATATATTGCCTATACAATGTTATATAGCCTAGATACTGTAGTCAAACTTCACTAATTATCCCACTAATGTTCAATTTCTGGTCCAAGATCATATGCCACGGTTAGTTTTCACAATAAAGTTTTAGTTGTTTTGTTTATCTGGGAGAGTTACTCAGTCTTGCTCTTTCATGATCTTTGTAATTTTGAAGCCAGTTATTGTGCAGAATATCCTTCAATTTTGGTTTGTCTGTTTTCTCAAGTTTAATACTAACATTTTGATGATTTGTTTATTCATGCCATCAGGGGTGATATAAAAATAGAAACACAGTGTCCTAGTTAAGTTCACAGACTCTAATCGGAATACCTGGATTCAAACTCTGGCTCCACCAGACAGTGTAACCTTGAGTATTTTTGGGACTCAGTATCCTCATCTGTCAGATGAAGAAACATCAGTACCTATCTCCTAGGGTTACTGGAATTACTAAAGGAATGAATACGTGTAAAGTGGTTAGAACAGTTCCTGGCACATATTAAGTGCTGTGTAAGTGTTAGCTAATGTGAGGAATTGGGTTTTGGCAACTGCTGAAGAGACCAAAGTAGCAGCAGGTATTTTAGTTATGTACATCCTTTTTGCTCAATCCTGCCCAAAGAGCCAAGGCCAAAGACTCACTGCCAGCAGGAATTCTGGCCCACCATGAGTGCACTGTTTCTCTCAGCCACAGGCCTCAGCACTTACTCCCAAAGCCCATGAGATGAGGACTTGCTTGATCCACGCTGCAACATTTCTTTAGCACAATAGGTCTACGCAATAGGAACTGAGCCCATGTTTCCTCGCCCATCAGTTGTTGGTAAAATTGTGTCAAATTAATTTTTTAAAAGTTGCAAAATAATTAAGCCCACTTTTTTCCCCTGATAACTATTCTCAGAACACAGGCCTTCAGACTTCATTAGTATGCATCCAGCACTTTGCCCATGGACACATTCACTGAATAACCATAGTGATAACCTCAGCCCTTAACCTCTGCCTGTGCTTCTTGTTGAAGGGGCCAGATCACTCGGACCCTCACAATACTCACTGTATTGGCCAACTGTGGGCAGACTAAGCAGTGAGGCGAAGAGGGAGCGCCCCATAAGGCTGGATGGGGGAAGGGAAGGAAGCTTGAACTGACTGATTCCAATAAGCCAAAATAACGTAAGACATCTATGAAAATGTGGTAAATGACAACTGTTCATTAAAAAATTAAGCAATAACAAACCCTTAACATAAAAGTAACAATGCCTACATATGAATAGCAAATGACATTTTACAAAGCAATTTTCATTCTTTACCTTATTTGCCCTGCCACACACCATCTTACAGGTGAGAAAGAAAAAGGATTCAGAGAGAAATGTGGCAAAGCTGATACTTTAATTCAGGTTTTCGCATATTTTCCACTTAATGAAAAAGAAGAAAATACACACTAAATATAGATCAAAGACCAACAGGATTAAAAGACTACCAAAACATAGAGACTGAAATGTAGAAATGCAATGAAACCAGTTTCCGTAGAGCAACTCTGGTTTCTTGGCAGTCAAGGACAGTGAGGTTTTTCAAGAAAAGGGACTTTCACAAGGTCTTGGGTGCAGGCTGAGCAATGTAAGAAGAGGTGGGGGAAGTGGTGTGCACACACACACACACCTTTGGACCAAGTTTCAAGCTACTGTAAAATCCCTTCATGTTTGACTGCTTAAGAATCAAATGAGTTCAATGGGTTGAAGACACAGACCACAAAGACCAAACATATGCTACCTTCAATGCATGGCTGGCATCAAGCACACTGCCAAGCACAAAGTAGACTTTCAATATGTATTTACTGATTTGGCTGGACTTTTATCTATGCAGTAACAAGGTACAGTGTTATTAAAAACTCCTACAAATATCTTACCCTCCCCAAATTAGGTATTGCCATAAAATACCAGTTGAACTCATGTAGAAATGGTCAAACTTCTGTCAATTGTGCAGGTCAAGAAGAAATTAGAAACTTAGTTCCCATCAACAAATTGCTTCCATATTATTTTAATGTCAAACTGAGACCTTTCCCAAAAAAAAGAGGCTGATATATCAATCATATCATACCAAAGTTTATTGATTACATCAAACAAAAATTTCTGTAATGGAAAAGGCAAGTTGCAGTCATAAAAGATGGCATTCACATTCATTTTAGAAAGCAACAACGTAGATGTAAAAAACTGCTTAAGTGAAAAATGTAATATTGCAGTCCCATTTTGCAAGCTGAAAAATGATTTTGTCAACACGCATAAAATCTGCACATTTATATACTGCATGTTATTAAAAAATTCCATCACTAAATTATTACGAATTTTGCAAAGTTAGGCTTACATTTATACTGTTGCTGGTGTATGTGTAAGTAGATATGGAATGAATGTTTTCAGTTTAGTAGGTAACATCCTCAAACAATGGACAGCGGTTGTGAAAATTACAAAGACATTTTGATAGCTCAAAATTATTCAAATTATAGGTAGATGATCTTATTATATTTTTTTCCCTTTCTCTGTCACAAATAGGGTGATTACATTGAGTGCTAGGAATACTGCATGGTCTATTTCAAGTTATTCGATCTGCTAACCCCACACTGGCCAGTTTTTAGCTCTTCAGTAAAATATCTTTTAAAAAGGAAAGCCAGGTCCCTCTCAAGGATCTAGGCCATGATATCATGTATCATTGCCATTCTGAATTTGAGCTGCAGTATCACAATGTAATGTGTAGCTGAGACATAACTCTAAATCCCCCTTACTCCTTGTCTTTCTTTCTTTCTGGCTGGAAGGAATTTTACATGCAACCAGTTATTTTTCTACTAGATTATTCTGTTAACTCTCCAATGGTACTGCATTAAACAAGCCTCTCTACTGTGGCTCTCTTGTCTGTATTCACAGTTCCCATAGATTTTATGTAAAACAGCAATCATAATACAGCAACAACAACCATAAGAACAAGAAAACAAACACAAAATATCAAAAGCTTTCCTGGGTTAGACTTTTTTAGCTCTTTGGAATAGGCAAAGAATATAGAGACTTTTGTTTTCAGCAGCTTACCTCAAATACGGGCTACCAGAACACAGCACACTTAGGTAAGTTGTGAATGACATGTAACAAAATGCTCAAAAATAATACTGATATATGAGAGCAAATGAAATAATGAAAAAGGGTCTATAATGATGGAATGGCTTCTGATAACTGAAATTATGTTCTTTTCTAGAATTTAGAAAAAAATCATACCTAAACATTAACACAAAATATATGTGGAAGAATCAAATGTGCCATATGGACTATATAAATATAATACAGATTAACTCCAATACTTTTCCAAATCAAGGTACAATATAAACATTAATAATAGTACAGGCATGCCAGAAAGACAAAAAAAAAACAAAAAAACTAGCAGTCAAATAAATATGGTCATTTATATCCAAAAAAGTATGTGTTTAACATTGAATGAAGACATTTCACATTTATGTTTCAAGTGAACTAATTAGAAGGCTAAACCTTCCTTCTAGTTCAGTTAGTCAAGGACTTTACTAAGGTCAGTTACATGGTTTAGAGTTAGACCATTTCCCTGTCCAAGTTAAGAGACAACATTCATCTTCACAGAGTCATGGCTCTACAAGCTGAACCACCGTTTTGGGGTGGCTCCTTCCCCCTTTCCAAATTGGCCAAGTTTAAGAAAAAGCACTGCATATATGCATAAATGCAATCTCTTTCAAATAAAAACCGTCAAAAGTTTAAAATAAGCTATATTTCTTCCTCTTCACATAAAATTATAAAAGGCTGATATTCAGAATGACCTTTATTTTTATATAACTATGGTTTAAACCACCTTACTGCAGATCCCAGTAAAATCAACACTGGAAAAATCTGTTTATTTTCTAACTACTTTGAGGGGCTACTAAGTGATTGGAAATGTTTTATACTTTATTTTCAAGTCTAGTAGGCTTACACCCATAAGTGGGGTTTAATTCAGAAGAATAAAAAATAAACAATTTTTTTCTATTCCCACAAAAATACCCGTAAGTTAACACTTTCCACATAAGCGTTCAAGGTATTTTTTTGGCAAGAATATTCTACCAAGACATTAGTAGCACATGGGTAAACAGAAGGGATTAACTATTCTGTCTGATGCATTGATACTATTTAGTTATTCTGTATTTTCAAGTATTCCTTATGTACTTGGGAAAAAAAATTAAGATGATCATTTAGGAGGAATGAGAAATGTGATCCAAATAGTCTATTTCTTCTGCCAGGCAAAAAAAGTAGTATTAGCAAAATCTATTCATTCTCATTGCATAACTTCTACTTCATACTATTGTATTTAAATCCATTCACAAAGTTCATGGGTTAAAAGAGCACCCATTTGAGTTATATTACTCTAACTAAAGCCAGAATTCTAAGTATTCTTGCTTTCAACTTTCATATAATTCTTAACTTACAGCTTTGGCCATAAAGGCTACTTACAATAATGGTAAATGCTTAAGAGAATCATTTGGTATTTTAATGAACATTTATTGTGAACTCTAGACATGAGAGTGGTTTAGTGTGTTGCGTATCAAGTATCCTGAGATGATAACTTTTTGTAGTTGTTTCTTCATGCTTTCTTTTTTAGCTGTAACCACTGTCAGTATGCTTGTAGGACAATAACATAGGCAGTTCAAGATTCGGATTCTGAAAAATGTAAAATATACAGATTTAAAAGGCTTATTTTAATAATGTGAAACCATCTGTTAAGCATTTTCAGAAATAAGTAGTAAATTTTGTTATGAGAGTAAAGCAACTGTCTTAACAAAGTGCCAAGTTTTATTCACATGCAGGGGAAAAAAAGAGTGACACTATAACCAGATTTTAATCCTTTCTTCATTTGTCAGCTGAATAGATTCAGGCTTGCTTTTTGCTTTTGGATTGTTCCAGGGTTCTCCTAATACTTTCTACCTCTGGGATTATTTACCATAGCAGAGGTTTAGCTTGCTGTGATCCCTTCTCCTCTAGGCTGGGAGGTCCTTGAAAACAGGAACATTTTATTTACCTTCTATCTCCAGCAGCTAGTAATAGTGTCTGGCACACAGCAGATACTCAGGAAATGTTTGATGAATGATTAGATTGCTGTTTTTCTTGATGTGTTAATTTTGACAGAGGAAGTCTGAAGATATATTCAGCTTTGGAAGATTATTGTGAAAATATTCTTCCTTTTTACTGAAAGAAGCATATTTCCCCCCTACAATATGGAAGTTAATTTTCCTTTTGGTAGATCATGTATCTATGAGTCGATTGATTCTTCTGTTTTTTCTTATGCTTCATCTTTTTGGAAGAGAAACCACGGATATTTCCCTATCAAATCTGTAGATTCTTCTCTGTCCTCTAAACATCATCAAATGCTATGATCAGGATGGTGCATGACAGACAAACTGATCATTAAGTGTAAGTCAAGTATGTTAAGAAATGGAAGTCATATGTCAAAACAGGGAGCCTGATTCTCCACTCTAAAACTCAATCTTTTTGAACCTGAGTAGTGGAAGGTCTTAAGTAGTATGCTATTTTCTTCCCATTCTGGGACACCTCCTTTGCCATGGCTGGACTAGAAGCTCATTAGAATACCTTCCATTTCTATTTATGTTCCACATTCTCCAGAACCACTAGTAGGTTTTCAGGTAGCTCTGCAGGGTCATGGTGACTCTAACCAAAATAAGGTTGCCATTCATACTGAGAATGTAACTCACATTGAGGAGTTAGGTAGTTTCCTTACCAACCAAGGAACAAACTAGATGCCTAAACTAGCTGCTAATTATTGTCTTTGGAGGAGAAATAATGCCACATGAAAATCTATTCCTGGAAGAAATAACTACATTAAAAATAAGACAATTGTTTTTAAAAAATACTTCCTCAGTTCTATGTTAGACATTGTAGGAGATAAGGCCCTGGAGAGGCCAAAAGCAACAGCAGTGTCTTCTATCCAGCCCAGTCCCCCAAACCACAGACCAAGCTAAAGAGAGCAATCCAGGGGGATACAAAATTAGCCAGAAACAATATAGCTAAAATGCATCACACAGCTTAGAACGAGGCAATCTGGGACAAAGGGGTCAAAGACCTTGAAGGTTACTTGTGAAGCAGATTCATTACTAAGGGAAAACATACTCAGGTAAGTTGTTCAAAAATGGGTAAAAAGATGCTAACTGTGGCAAAATGAGTCTGCTTCTAAAATAACAGTGCAGATGTAGACTGCGATGAACTCCAGGAAGACAGAAGAACCAATGGAGTCAATCCATTAATTTAACTTGTATTCTTTGCTAGAGGGTGGCAGAGTTGACAGCTGTTGAAAAAAATGGGCCTATAAGGTGGACTCGCAATTATTAGCTTCAAAGTGAACTAACCCACAATTGTATTCATGATGATCATTAATTTTTATGTGTGCATGAAAGATGGCCCTGCTTTAAGCTGTGTAGAGTTGTTTCCAAGCTGACAAGCTTGGAAGCCTTGTTCATTAATTACTCTAAATTCCTATGGATGGATAAAAGACCTCCAGAGGTCTGAGTTGTTAAAGGCCCCCACTGAAGGAAATACAGACTATACATAAAGGAGTCATTCTGAGTTCAAGGGGCCCTCCCACGGCGTATCAATTCCTCCCAAATATTTTTGGGGGTAAATGAAACATTATAAAGTGAATTTAATCATTTTTGGAAACATTAATTATAAAGCATTTTATATCATTAGGCAAGCATCCCCCTGAATGGCTATGAAATATTTTACCTCTGAAAGTTGAAACATTTAGCTTGAATAAAACTTGACATTAAAAAAGTTATGATTAGACTGGTTCATTGATATATATTTGGAGATCAGACATTTACAAGGACATAAGTGTATACAGTACCTGCAAACACACAGACACAGCACATGAAGGTACAAACACATTTAGTTATTTTCACATAATTCCCAAGAGAACATGCAATGCTAAATTGGCTTGATATTATACAGATGCAATTTTGGAATATTTACTTTTAGTTTTCCAAATGATCTTTATAAATCAAAGTTATATTTCCTGATCAATATTAACAAACATTTTCACATGGTGGCCTTGCCATGACAACTTGCCCCTTACAAATTAAATATGCTGTATCAACATTTGGCTCTGAAAAATGTTTAACATTTTATTTGGGGGGCTTATCATATTTTAATGTTTAATATTTTAAATGCATATTTCCCCATATTCCAAGTAATGCATCTTTATATTTTTGCAAAGAATATTGTAAAGTTCACCACACCAACAGCAGAGAAAATTTAGAGAGTGATATTTTCATTTTTTCTTTATAATGCTGTTAATCCGATTTTTTAAAGCCAGCCCATTTGTTTAACACTAGGTACCTGTTACAATACATTAGATTCGTCTGAGAATGTTCGTAAAAGAAGAGGTCTGACTGAAGGTCTGGCGGATAATGAGTCAGATGCCCTTCTACAGCTCAGATTTCTCTGTAATAGTGAGGCAAAGATACTTAAAGCATTTGAAAATTGGTTAACCTACCTGGTGATTATATATTTAAAAAAAGGTAAAAGAAAAAAATCATTTCCTATAGACTACTCCTCTGGCCAAAAGTACAAATGATTACACTATATAGTAAATGTATAACATTCAAATGAATACATTCAAAGGCCTAAGAAAGTCTCCAACTCGAATTGTTTTTGTGGTAGAAGTAAACAGACAACAGTAGTATGTAGTAAACTTGGGTTTTTGGAATGGCACTGGTAAGTAATATGGTAAGATGAGTCAATATGGTTTGATTAGTAAACCTTACCATCCTTTTGGTGAACACCTCTGAGAGTTGTGCCGGTGCCGTATTATCAAACAAAGAGAAATTTGTGCAAAACATTCCTGTCCTGGTGAACAGACTAGCTCTAACACGCCATGGCCACTGCATACCGTGGATCAATGAAGACTACAGACCCGTAGTCCAAGCTTTTAAAAATTACTTCCTCTCCAGTGTGACAATTTGGAAGGTGAACACATGATTAAAAGAAAATGACAAAATACTCTAAGCATCAATAGAAGATATAAAATGAGTCATGAGAAGTAATTTTTCATAAAGAATTAGAAAATGGTGTCAGGCAAATGAGAATGCAAGCAAGTTGGTACATTAAGAAAGGAAATCACCTTATTCACTCCAAGAGAAACTGTGATTGCTGGAAGTTTGAGAAAGCATGAAGATAGCAGATGTTCCTGAGGAAGGGAGGCGTTTCGTTACCTTGTTCACAATTGCACAAAAGGTGGAAAATTGCAGTAGAAAAAAGAGAAATGCAGAAACCAAAAAAAAAAAAAAAGTAAATAATCTCTCAAATGTAAGACATTTAAAAAGAAAACTTGAGAATTCGAAGCCGAAATGATATGTTAGTTTTGAAGACATTATTTTCTGAAGTAAAAGCAGAGTCAGAGATAGGAATAGTCTATTATTACGTGCCAACTACTATTTCTCTACATATCAATTTGAAATTATTTTGTTAATGGGAAAATTGACTATTTTAAATAAAATAGCTTTAAAATATGCTTCTCGTTAAAATAAGACTTATCTCTAATCATTAATTCACTATCCTACATTTGTTCAAAATCCATTGGTCAAAGAGTTATGTCCAGGGTCCATTGCCAATCACCAATCTATCTTGAAGTAATTATCTCCCCTATGCAACTGTACAGATACACTATGAAGGGACTGACTGCTCTTAAGCAGTTGCAGGATAAAAACTTAATCAAAAATAACAATGGGAAAACATTTGGTGATACCACATTTCAGTCCCATTTGCCTCTGACCAATGCTTAACTTCCTTTCTTACAACCTAATTTGATTGGTTTCCCTGTTTTTCCTACAGAGTCCTCTTTAGAAAGATAGGCTAAATTTTACCTGGGTAAGGTATTATTTTTTTTCCCCTTAAAACACCCAGAAAAGTGAAAATGGATAAAGTTTAACTGGCAAACCTAAGGTTATTTTTTTCCTTCTGATTCTGTGCCTGAAATTATAAGGTAATTTACAGACTCAGTTTTGGCATTGCCCAAGCAAAACAGAAGATGAGTGGTCAACAATGTGGATGACTTGAACAACTCTGCTAATAAAGATTACCCATATTGTCTACTTAGTGACCTAAAATGGGCTTAGAAAAAGAAACCAGCTAAAGTAACATTTGTTTCCAGAAGATTCTAATAAACAATTAAACTTTCAAAGGTAAATAATTTATTCATGTTTTGACAACTACATTTTTTCTTGTTTTTACCTTAAATGAAGAAAGTTGGTGGAATGAAGAAAGTTGATAGACATATTGATAGAATGCAAATTACCAATTGATAAAGCTAGAGAATATTTAGATTCTGAGAAAAAGATTTTAATTGTTTCTATCTTCTATTTTATGGGCAAAAACCCTGCGACAAGATCAGCATGATACCAAGTTCCCCACCCCCGTGTTTAATGCACAAACCTATCTATTCAAGACTGCAACTGTAAGCACGTTTTGGTGTGCTCAAACACTTGTATCCAACCATCGGAGATAAAAGTATTTCTATGAAGCAGAAATATTAGGAGTTAATAGATTAGGTGTTAAAACTACTTTATAAAGGAAATGAAAGTACAGAAAGCAGGAGAAAGCATGGAAAGAGTAACTAAAGCAATAAAAAAATTGATATAGCTAGCAACCGGCAGTGGGGTGGGGTAAACAGGAGATAATGAGCTAAAACAGAATGAAATTTCCACATTCCTTTGCAGTCATCTAGAGAGCTTTGACACCAGCTCAATTAGCAGTATGTCAAAGAGGCCAATGGATAAAGGCCCATCTCAACAGCCACGACATTAGGATTAAACTTTATTTTTGTCTAATCCAGCTAACAGGGCTATTGCCCTGTGAACCCATGGTTGTATATGACACTGTAAGAATCATAATAGTAATCATCATTATTATAATGATTAACTATATTCTCCAAAATTTCCAAAATGCTTTCTCTGGGACTTTGGCTCAGACAGTTGACATTCTTCCCTTCCCTGTCTACCACTCTGAAAGAGTTCTCTACATAATGGAATATTTCTTCCTGTTTGTGCTGACATCCCATGCTAAGCACGGCCATGTTGCTGGGTGCATTCCCATTAAATTATAGTCTTCCTTTGTCAAGCTTCAGCGAAGTTAAGCCTCCTTTTTGATTGTGGTGACTTACATGAGAAAACTTCACACAGGATATGTGGAAATTTCTCCATTGGAAATGTGAAATGGTATTTGCTACTTGGCCAGAAACTCCAGATATATTTCATTGATTTACAGACAGCCAATGACTGTGCTTAGGGGGGACACAACTTTTTGAAATACAAAAATCCTATACTTGACCTTTCCTTGAGGTGTTATCCTGCTGTTTCACTGTTCAGTGCTCAATGGTAGTTTCATCATATACCCTCAACAGCATTGCTATGCAGCTTTGTCACTTCATAAAGCTAAAGAAAAGCTCTAGGATCCTTAATAACGGAACTTTGGGGAAAAAAATTAACCTCATTGCTAAAAATACAGCTGATGGATACATGGCTTAACTACAACCCTTGAGTTAAACAACTGAGAGAACCTACATTTGAAGATACTGGAATTCTTTCTAATACTAGCATTATGACAGAACTCAGTTGCAGTGGAGGCTGCCATACTAGCGATTTTACTGGAGGTTTCAGGAGGTAGTGACTTGAAATAGCTCAATTGTGTTAAAACAAGCCACATCACTGATTCTGCTATTCTGTTTAATACCTGCTTACAGAAGTATTCCATATGAATGCTCCTTATAACCAGAGTGAGAGCTGCTTGTGAGCTAGGGCCACATCTGATTCATCCCTGAATTACCAACACCTAGTACAGTAGCTAACTCATAGTGGGCCCTCAGGCAAGGTATGCTGAATTGAACAGAATTCAGCATAAGGTTGCTCTTATAATTGTTAAATATAAATAGCTTAGCTTCTTTCTCAAATGCCATAGAGACATTTTCACTACACACTGCTAAGTCCCCTTCTCAAAGCAGCTGCCAAGACCCACATAAGAACAGCACTGGCAGCTGACCTGCCACATTTCTGGCTGTGTACATAAAGTGTCCACGATACTTATTGGTTGAAGTCAGGGATTCTTCTACTCTAGGTAGAGACACACATTTGACCACATCGGGGGATCTATCAGGATATGGGGCAGACCCAGTATCTTTTGCCTCTCTTTAAAATGAGGCCAATGTCTTAGCAAGGAATACAGAACAAAGTAGGAAATCACACAGAGTGTCAGACTGTTGGTCACTGAGCATAAAGACTAAAATATTTGGGGGAAAATAACATACTCTTTCTCCCTTATCTTAGAAGTTGGCCTCCACCTCTTTGATATAGCCAAATAGGGCCTTATATAAACAGATGTGATTTATCAGAATAGCCATGGCTGCCATGTTGCAGTAGGCCTCTATGCATTCATATTGCACTACTTTGCTCTTGCATTTTCTCATAAGAAAAAAAAAAAAGAGGCAGCACTGCTGAGTGCCCACAACATTTTGCCTCATTTGCGACTCCTGAAATCCCAGAGTCTGAAAAACCATCTAGCCTTTCAGACATTGGATGTAAAGAGAGATGTTCATCAGTAGGTGGTTCAACAAATGTTTATTGGTTCAACAAGGGTAGGAATAAATGAATGAATGATTGCATGAATGAAAATGATTATGGAAATTTTCCTGGTTGTTCTAGCATATCAGCATGCCAAGCCATAGCACAGACACTAGAATTCTTCCTACGCTGGACATAACCCATAACAAATTTCATGCTAAACCCCTGGCAACAGTCTATGCTGCTAAGTAAAAAAGGACGCAGTCCCAGAACTCCGTACTTTCAACAGAAGTTCAGAATCTGTTCGTGTGAAAAAAAAAAATGTTCTAAGTCTTTATCTGTGACTGCTTAGTAGCATCCCACAATTTAATGGTCTATGTAACAGTCACCTCCAGCCAATGTCTAACTTTTTTGAGAGGGCCTAATAAGGAAGAAGATAAGATGACATGTTTGAAAGTTTTGTTTTCTGAGATTTTTCTATCATCTTTAGACCATGTAGCTGGGTGTGAGTCATTATTTAAAATGAGCTCCATTACCTCAAATAAGAGACACATTTAGGATCATTCCAAAGTATACTCCCAAATAAGGATGGAAGAGCAACTTGGAAATCTTTCCCTGGAAAATTCTCTATTATAAAAAGCCCCAAATCATTTCTTATTGCAACATTATTTTATTTGGTTTCATGCAAATTGCCACTTGAGACATTCTGGGTGGAGTCTGTTGTATCAAACTGTTTTATCCCTGTTCAACCGATATTAAGACATAATCAGGTATTTGAATGCAACTTTTCCATCCTAAAACACCAGACTAGAGTAAAGCAGTTGTAACTAAGCTAACATTACTGTGTTCAGTTTCAGCCCATAAGACATGTAGAAAGCAGGGAGTTAAGGGCAATTCTGGCCACCTAATTACACACTGACTGGCCTTGTATATGAAGAATCAATGTACCCTATGACAGTTCTCTTGTTTTTGATTGGGGCTGACACTGACTTGCGACATGAATCTCCTCTTTTACAATTCTAATCACTGAAGGTTTTCCTACTCTAATCATTTCAGATCCCCATGTCTATGTAATATCAACTACTGGATTCTATCAATTCAACAGGCAAAAACAAAATCATGATGTAACAGTTTTGTGGCTAAACTGGTTGACAAATTTATCAAATAAGTCAGGTAGTCATAGCTTAGAATATTACCTGAAAATACTGCCTTGGAGGTGCTACAAGATCTAGTTGGTGTCAATATGACAGAAACAGTTTTGTTTAATAAAATCAGCTACTGTTGGCAGGAATATGACATATTTAATTAGCCTGTTGGTCAAAATCTGCCAAAAGTTTTATTTTCCATGCTCATCTCCCTATTTCGCTTTAAAGGCTTTTTAAAAAATGTTTAAAAGATATCATAATGAGGCAGCAGAAAAAATAACTTCTCATTCCCACAGGAAATTTACAATTTAATAGGAAAAATAAAAACACACTCATAAAACTATCTTGAATTTTTACGAGTGTGTTCCAGAGGCTAAGGATGTCAAAACCACATCCAGGGAATTCTCTTTGGTTCAAATATACTGCTGGACAGACAGGGCTAGAAGCAACGCAGAGATTAAGCAGCACTATAATTAAAGGAAGGGGAAAGGTTTGAAAGAGGCAAATTGGTATTATCAACTGAAAAAAATCTGCAAACAGCCCACAGGGAAATTTCTAAGTTTAAAGCGAAAATGTTGGTGTGGAAATTCCTGGTGTGAAAATTCTAGGCTAAATACAAAATAAAATAATTTTTTCCTTTTAAAATTCCATATGGAGCATATGAGATACTCCATATGGATTGCCGAAGGTCACATAGAACACTATTAAGGAATCTACTTACCACCTGCATTGGATAACGAAGTTTTTACTATACTTTTTATGCAGAAGAGGAAATTAAGTGATGAACCTGTAAGGAGGGGTTTAACATGCTGTAACTAATGTAATTTTCTAAATCAGGTTTTTAGCTCATGGCAGATATTGAGGCCCCTTCCAAAAATCAGGTTGTAAGATAAACTTAGTTCTTACCCTGGCACTTCTTCTTCTTACATTCTTTAATACTATCAGAAGAATCTCAGGGAACAGGCTGATAAATATTAGAAGAATTATAGCCAACCATGTGGATACAGAAGACAGCATTTGGGCAAATACAAAATACATTCTCTGTTGCTTGAGAAAAGGCCTGCAGTGGAAAGAAAATACATGATGGAAAAACAAATCAATTCCTGTCATATGAAATGGACATTTAATTAAAATGTCGTTTGTATTTAAAAAGAATCTTCCTTACATACATTAATAAAAATAATTTTCTCTAGAATATCCCAAAGTAATAAACAAATTTCATTTACCAAATGTTTGGAAAAAAAGGAATGATAATCAAAGGAGAAAAAAGATAAAATGCATTTGACTTGAAGACAATCAGGCAATCAATTCTAAAGCTGCCAACTGGCGACTATTTATGTGCATTAGAAAATGCTGGTGCTTAAAAGATATTCAAGAGAAATGGTTCATTTTTATCCTAACAAGCATTTTATTTCCTCAGCTGTTTTATTAAGATGGGGATGGATTTGTGTTCTGTATTCAGAAATTCAAAAGACATTTTTATAACTCTCTCCCAATAAAAACACTATGTAAATATAAAAAGGACAGTAGAAGCTTATCATCTCTCTCAAATGGAAGGAATCTACCATTGTCATCCACAAATATATATTAACAGTATGTGCCAAATAGGTTGACACAGAGTAGAATATTGCTAATTGGACATTAAGCCTTAGAATCCAGAAATCCAGCAGGAACCCCCATTCTGGAGTTAGATTTCATTCTGAGTCATCCACTTCATTGTAAAGTGGCCATTGAGAAGCACAGCCTGTTTCCCTTCCCTTCTGTCTGAGCTGAACCACAGAGAGCCTCAGTAGGTGAAGCTATTGTTCTTTGAAGGTGAGGGGGAAGAAGTGGTTGCTTAAAGACAGGATGCACATCAGACTGCCCTAGGATTAAAGAGCTCCAGGTAGATAACCATGGCTCCTGTTTATTAGATGACACATCATGCTTCCTGAAGATAATTTGGTTTCTCATTTAAAAATTAATGTCTATGCACCCTTATGTAACATGATAAAACTGAGTTTGTGGCTCTACTTTTATGAAAATTAGATTGTGGAATAAAAGTGAGAACAGGAAGGTAGAAAAATTTATGAGGCCTAGGCTACACAGGCTTTCTGGGAAAAGTCTGCCACATGGAAAAGACTTCTGCAGAACTCTACCTCACTCAAATTCTGAAGAACACCTTGAATAATGTTCTAGGCAGTTAACTGAGCCATAACAGGGGCCCAGATGACAAATGGCAGCTAGTCACAGAGTGTTCCTTGGCATCATACCTTCTGACTAATGCATCCAGTTGTTTTTTGTTTTTTTTTTTTAACCTCCATGTCATCTATGGAGTTTTGTAGTAGGGCAGTAAAAAATAAACACTATTATTTCTGGATGTGGTTTGGGGCTCGGAAGTCATCATTCTCACTACCCAACCCCAAAGACGGGTGTGACTCAATGCCTCAGGGTAAAACATGTCTAGAGACATCAGTTGTGACCACATTCAGCTGAAGTTTCACATTGTTTCTAGTCACATTTTACTGGTTGCTTTATAAGTTTATATTCATGCAGTGGCTCAACTCTACTTAATGATAATACTTCAGGCAATAAAATAAAAAATAGATTAACATTTCATTTTTAGTAGCACTAATGAATAAACAGGTGTGACAATACCATAATCATTTACTGGATTTATTTTCATCAATAAGGAATAGTCTGTAGAAAGGGTTGGAAATGAGTTCGCTGGAAACATTTTATTTTTGTAGAAATTTTGCATAATTAGTTCAGATGCTGATTACATAGATTCATAGAATTATGGTACTCTGGGCAGACATACAATTGTATATGGTATGTTCTTAATCAACTTTGAATTATTTGTTATATTATTAAAGAAAATAGAGACTTCTTCCAGCTTCATTGCTCTCAATTACCTATAGAGGTACCAAATATATGCTGTAATTATACTTTTTAAAGCTGGTACTTCCTTAAATGATTAGGTTTCTCATATTTTTATTTCTTAAGGTTTTTATTTTTAAAAAGCTTTTCAAAATAGAGTTTCTTCTAATTAAGACTCAAGGGACATAAACATAAGCCTCACATCTCTGTGATAAAATAGAATCATTTTGTATGTAAGATTTTGCTCAAAGCAATGAAAATATGTACTCCTGAAATCTTACACTATGGCTTGCTCTAGCCATGCTCTCTGCTGCTGGCATCCTTGTCAGGGGAAGCCATTCACTAAAAAAAACAACTCTGACATTTAAAAATAAAATATATGTTTTTGGGAGTAAAGAAAGGAGATGCAAATATATAACTCTCCCAATCACAGCTTATGTGTCCCTCACTGGACTCTATTCTCCTTGAGTACAGTCTAGTCATCTCTCTAACCCATAGAGTCTCAAGCACAAAACTGATTCTGAACAAACATCTATCTACTGAACCAAGATGAACTAAATGAACTTTAAAGACAAGCTGCAGAGTCTGCCTTTCTACATCTTCCCTCCTCCACCAAAACAGTAAGATGACAATTTCAAAATACAACCCTCTGAATTATTAAGTTGTATATATCCTATACCCTGAGCACACCTGTAGTAACATGAATCATGGTTATATACTATCAAGAGAAAATAAGGGTCCAAATGGACAATAATGTATCTGTTGGTCAATATATCAGGTAGAAACTTCACAGGATGAGTATTTCCTCTGAAAATCACGAGAGGTTGTGCTGAAAACTATAGTTTCACTAGAGAGATGTTTACAACACCTTCAAACAGACAGAAGCTACCAAAGGGAGGTCTTCTGAGTGACTTGTGCAGTCTATATATGTGTATTTAAAATCTTACCTGAAATTAGTAGCACTACCAGCTAACAAATAACCTTCAGGCCATTAATATTAAAGACGTGTCATCTTATATAATTAAAATTTTTAAAGTATAATGAATGCTTACATATATAGTGTACATACACATGTATCTACTTTGCTATTTACATATTGCTCACACATGTACAATTGCTTACCAAATAATTCCTCCCCAGAAGAATGAGAAAAATACATAGAAGGCTAAAGAACCCCAAATCACAAAGTGATTTATCCACGTCCAGAATCGGGTATCCAAGGCAAGCTGAAAAGATACAACACAAAAGATTTCACGACGGTTACGAATTGCACCAGGCAATACGCTATAGTATCTGATAACTAGTACACAATGATACCTATGAAAGGATCTAGCTTGGGCCAGGGATCCAGAGAAGAGGGGAACTAAACAGAACCCAGGTTTTTCAAAGAACAAGGGTGAGAAAGCTGAGCTCTGCCCTAAGGCCTCTAAACTGGCGTACAGGCTGGAGGTGTGATCAGGCTAAGTAGCTAGTAGGTGTAGGGCTGCAGATATCTCAGTACTGGGGAATGGGCAAGGAATGAAGTAATGGTAATATCTAGGAGGCCCAAGCCCCAAGTCCTCAGGCAATGGCAGCCAGGAAGATGATGGCAAAAGGAGACCTAGCTGGTGGGGGCAGATAAGCTGAAAAGAAGTAGGAGAGGGAAGGGGTAGCTAGGAAGGGTAGACAAACTACAAAACTTTCAAAGGTGTCGTGAAAGCTCAAACACAACAGACGGGAGTCACTAAATGCAAAGGCTCTATACATCTAACATCATGTAGCAATGAATCATGGGTTTGACTATGTAGTGTATCTTTCCAATTGCAAAACCTGTATCTAGTCCATTAAATTAATAAAATATTCAGTTAGATTTTAATCTCTTCATGTTTCTGCCAGGACCAATCATGTTTTCAGATTGTGGTATCTGGGGTTTTCAAATGTGATCTAAAAACAAAAGTATGGACTATTTCGCTTGCTTAAAACTTCTGGGTCACATGAGCTAATATCCAGAGCAGTTAATTTTTATAGAGGAGATGGTGTCTCAGTTTTGTTACTTGCTGTGACACCATGGTCATCAGCTCTCTGTTATAGTTTCTCATTTATAAACAGGATGTTGATAACATTATTAATGTAGCTCAGTCTTGAATTGCTATTCTTCTGGTTGCTAAGGAAAATACTAATATGAATCCAAAGATAATACTAATATTAATCCAAAGAGGAGGGAGTGGAAGTCTTTGAGATACACTTGAAAAACACTGTGAAGGCCATTTGGAAGCCCTGTGGCTATATGCAAGGCCAGGGGAAAAAAGGAGGGGGGAGGCGTCCATTTCAAATTGTGATACTGTGAGACATAATAAAAACCGAAAACTAGCATATATTGAAATGAGCACCCTCCTAAGTGCTTTATTCACTAATTGAGTCCTCAAAAAGGGTAGGTGCTACTTCTATCTCGATTTTATAGAAGAGGAAAGTGAGGCACAGAGAGGTAAAGTTACTTGCCGAAGGACACACAGCTAGTAAGTGGCTATACTGAGATGAATTGTAATGTCCTTTTAAGGTCCTAAAATGTTACTGAAATAGATGAATAAAGCAAACATATGTTAGCTCTATCTGGTATAAGAAATAAACCAGGAACAAAAATTTAGAGGGAAAGGTAAGAGAGATCCTTTGACAATTATACTTCTGAATTCTGCTTCTAACCCCTGGGCATGCCAGAATTCATTTAAAGGTATTTACTCATGGAACCCATGTGAGGTGTTTATTATTGGAATGACAAAAATAATTTGATTATGCTTTCAACTATAAGAGATTCCCAAATCATGGGCCTCAAGGGTAGCATTCAGTGAGGCTTCACAGCATTATCACATGGCTGCATGTCAATGCCAATGATTTTGCCAAAATTACCTCCCTTTTGTTTACCTGCATTATATTCTTAGGCACTTTATCACTAACATGGGTAAATTTTAATGATGAATACATTTTATATATTTTTATTTTTTTATATTTATTTTTAAATTAAAAAAAAAAAAATATATATATATATATATATATATATATATATATATAAAAATAGAGACAGGGTCTTGCTATGTTGCCCAGGCTGGTCTTGAACTCCTGGGCTCAAGCGATCTGCCCACCTTGGTCTCCCAAAGTGCTGGGATTATAGGCATGAGCCACCAACCTGGCCATCAGTGATGAAAACATTTTATAAGATTTCACTACTACCAAGCTCTTTTTCACATATTATCTTGCTCATATATACCTATTTTAGGCCTGGGGTTCTTAAACAGAAGTATAATTTTTAGAAGATTCAAGTACTTAACATAATCACACACACACACACACTCTCTCTCTCTCTCTCGCTCTCTCTCTCACTCTCACCCACAGCCTGTTTATATGCCACTTATCATAACGCCTTAAAAACAGCAATAAAGAAGAAACAGATTTTCGACATAAGTATGGTGTTTGAATTTTTTTAAGTAAAACAATATAAAGAGGATTACGATATACTGGGGAAAAAACTGATCAAAAAATAGTATACAAATACCCAAATCCCTAGTATCATACACATTTTAGTAAGTATTAAGGCAAACACTTGAATAACAACCCATAACAAGAAATAAAGGAGACAAAAAAATGGTATATTAGGATAAGACAAGAAAGTATTATAAAAACAGTATTAAAAAATACATGAATAAGTAAAAATCTAACCTTCAGGGTTACAGTGAATACTAAGACTGTAAAAACAATGGTTCCAAAAGTCCAGTTTCCGTATACCTGAAAAACATTTAATAATTACATGTACCATGTATATACAAGTATTATCTTAGTATTTTTTCATTTAAAAAAAAAGCCAAGTTGAATCCTGTGTGTAAGTGCCAAATATTTTTGTATGAATTGTTTAGGGAAACAGCTAGTCAGTAAGATCAGGCCACAATGCCAGATTTTCCTGTGATCCAATTTTCACAAAAAGGTACACCACACCTGTGGCTGGTAGGGTTTATTTCTATTACTCCATGCAGCACTGAAGAGGGAACTCACTGTTGTGATAAAGGCCAAAGAAGGCAACTACTCTACTAACAGCAATGTTCATCAAAACAAGTCATTTGGATGATTCATGTCTCTAAAGAATTTGATATGGGATTTTCCTATAATATAGAACTAAACCTCTCAAATGAGCAGTAATTTATAGACAAATGGATTCACATTTTTTAAATGAGTCTGATTTTTTTGGCTGTAAATACAAGAGCTATCAGCATGTGCACATCAAAAAAAAAAGCAGATACCATGTATAAATCCAAATGATGGCAATGAATGGCACATATGCTTACCAAATGCTGTCAAGATCTGAATGCGTAACATTAAAACAGAAAATGAGATGTAAAAGGTTTTTTCAAAAAAATAAAAACAAAAATTAAGGTTAATAGAAGCAAAAAAAAGGATTCACTCAAATCATACATGAGTGTTATGTTTTGTTGCTAAAAGTAATTCATACACTTACTGTAATTTCAGCAAACATTTAGAGGGATGGTGACATATACAGTAAAACCTTATTAATTTGGACTTTATGAACTCAAAATGGGTAATGAATTAAACAGACGCTGAATTGATGCTCTCATGCACCACCTGGAAAGTTTGCTGAGCAAATGAATCACATCGACTATAGGAGAGTATCTGCCTACTTTGGAGCAAACTCCTTTTAAGCAGTAGCCAGCTACATAAAATCTGTCTGCCAAATAAAACTAACATAAAAAGTGAAAGCTGCACAATCAGTTATAAATCTGAAGAGGCCAGGAAATCATAAAATCAAATCCATTCTTCTTACTGATGGGCAAAACTGACCTGGGAAACTGATGTGATTTTCCCAAGTACTCACAGGATTTAGCAGGACATTCTCTTTGGCAAGTTCTACATGTGACTACTTTAAAGCAGATCTGTGTTTCCCCAACAAGTACTTTATGATTAATAATTTTCATGGATTCATACTAAACTGATTTTTGTTAGTCCAAATTAGAGAGGTTTTGACTGTAGTGCCTAATTTTAAAGTACCATTCAAATTCACTGAACCTATTACTTCTGTAACAGGTGTTACCAGGTTCCAGACATAGTATCCTCAGTAAATTCTTTTTGAACCTTAGCTTTCCTTCACATTATGATTATAAAGAATGAATGACCATAAAAGAAGAATCTCAGAAATAGCAAAGGAGAACTTAGTGAAAGCAGTATGCAAGGTAGTGTTTTTGTTTTCCTATTGTGTGGCTGCAGAAAAAGGCCTCAGCTGTCCCCGCCATCAGTAATTTTCTCCTAGAGTACAGCCAGGGCAAAATTACCCCAGTGCAACTGCTGAATGAGATAGTCATGTTCTGGGAAGACACTGGCAGGACCAGAATAGCCTTTCTGCAGAATACTGTGCTTCCATTGGGAAGAGGAGGGAGAGAAGAGAATTCCTCTCTTCACATATTGGGCCAACACTCCAAAGATATGGCAGCTACCCGCTTCAGCTCCAAGCATGGAAGGCCACTATGAGTAAAAACTGAATGCGGCCAGGCTTTACTTTAAAATGGGAAAAACCTTTCTCACATCAAAGAGCAGGAGTCTGAAGTCCCAAGAACTCTGTTCATCTAGTAAAAATTACAGCCAAGTTAAGGTTCCAGAAAGTTTGCACATAAGCTCTCTAGTTAGCCATGCACAGAAAGTGATTTCTTATTTCACTTCTATTGTTCTAAAGAAGCTGTGAGAACTAACTACTGTATCTTCAGAAAAAGTTTGTAAAATGATTACAGCTAGAGTATGTATATGACAAATCCAGCACCTATGGGAAAAAGACAAGCCATGCTTATAATACCAAAAGATGTAATGACAGGTTCTTTTTACCTTTCCATTTTCTTCTAGGGATGCAGTCTGAAAAAGAAAGTAAGTCCCAAAGAAGAACACTGTCCCTTCAAAGGCAGCCAGAAATGTCCAATATAAGAAGGGGCCCAACTGTAGCATGGCATTGCCAGAAATTTTCCTATTGAGAAATGGGGGGAAAAAACCATTAGTGAAACTTTTCATTTAAACATACAGTGAAATGTCAAAGGTGGGCGTGGAATTTGACCCTGTTATAATGAAGGGGGCTACCCTTAATGGCCTGACAGATTTTTGGTAAAGGGTCAGACTGAGCCAAAGGCTGACCTTCATGCAATCATCTCCTGACTCAGCCACTGGAGTAAACTCTCTAAACTCTTCCAAATTTTTGGTCACTGACAACAATAACATCAATAATAATTCGCTTCCATTTAATGGTACTTATATACCAGGAACTGGGTTCACAGTTTTACAGACATTATTTTTATCCACATAAAAACATGAGATAGGTATTACTACCACTCACATTTGCTAATAATAAGGAGCCTCAGAAAGGTGTAACACAATGGTACCCAAACTTTGATGCACTTTGGAATCCCCTGAGGATCATTAAAAACTACTAATGCCTGGCTGCCATCTTTATTCTGATTTAATTGGCATAAGGTATAACCTGGAGGTCAGGATATTTTTAAAGCCCACCAGTTGATTTCAATGTGCAGTATAGTCTGGGAACCACTAGTGTAGCAGCCGTGCCAAAGTTCACTTGGTAACAGACTGAGCTAATATACAATCCTGGATTGACTTGACTTCAGAGCATATGCTCTCAACCAAGCTACCAAGCTTTCCAAGAACAATTACAATATTTATTTTAATCAAGATTTACTCCTGGAAATTTCACCTTTTTTTAGGTCTTACGGTGCCCTTTATATTTTTCCATCAAGTCAAATAACATGTTTGCAGTTGTATAATGATACTTTGATAAATGGGAGGTGGATAGATTAAGTTTAAATCTGTCAAAAATAGCACAACCTTCTCAGCCTAAGTCAGAACGCTAAATAAGGCTACCAATTCTAATGGAGCAGAGCTGCAGAAAAAGATGGGTTGGTGCATGTGTTTCTTTTGGATTCTATTTCAAATTGCTCTTAACATTTAATAAATGATATCTAATTACTCAAATAACATACTTGTCGCTAATACTACCAAGAATGTCACTGGGCTGTATCAAGTAAGAAACACCTTTGTAATATAAATGCAACTAATCCTTGTTCAGTTGGTATTGGGTACTGTGGGGCTTCGTGCACATGGCAATTATGCAACTTCTACCTACTAGGGTTTCCAGGTACATGCAGCGATCTGAAACTCAGGGTATGCTCTCTGTCCTAGAAAAATGGCAGAATGAGGTAGCTGCTTCCCAGAAACAAGCTCTCCCTATAGCCAGTAAGTCATGTTTCCAAGGCAACTAGGAACCACAGGTAAGGCACCTCCGTAAAGATCCTTGCAGGCAGTGCCCAACAACTGCCAGCCAATGTGGCTTTTGACAGTCACTGACTTGGGCTGGGGAAGAAAGGGCAAAAGCAGGAAGTAGTTCCTGTCTTTACAGACCATCGATGGGAATTATATCACATTCAGTGGGGGAAAAGAGCAGGAGCAGCATGATATGTTGAATTATAGGTCAGGCTTTCTAGCTGCATTCGAATAAAGAAGCTGTCAAAAACTCAGAATGGGGCAATCAACATGAAGGACAGCATGAGAGAGAATCAAGATCTGGGGAGAGGTTGATGAGCAGCAAAGGCCTGAGCACCTCCGTATTATGGTAGGCAGCAGGTATACCAGAACCCTTTCTTTTGCCTTTTAAAGCTGTAGAAGAAACAAATTACACCTGTTCCCTCTATAGAAAAACTAGTTTATTTCTTACATTTCTCTTAAAAATATAAAAGCATCCAATTATGTCATCTCACATCCAAGTGTTTGGTAATACCCAAGTCACTAAATCACCAAAGGTAAAATCTATAATACACTACACAACGCCACTGCTAATATTAATTGGCATACTGTACAGAGAGCCATATAGGAAGACCAGGGCTTCATGTTCACAAAAGAACAGTCAGAGTAATGAAACTATCTACAGTCTGGTGACAGGCCAAGAGCAGTGTCTTGTCAGAGCAGGCATTCACAACTTGCAAGTATGAGATCAAAAAGGAAAGCCGCACTTTGGGCTCGGCAATAGGTATGCCATGGCCTTTATTTTTGCATCAGATGTGGCAAGTCTACGCAAAATTCAATAAATCATGACCTACACCTAGCACAGTCACTAAAACCTTATGGAAACCCTTATGATATTTTGTACTCAACAGCTTTTTGCAGATTTTTCACATTCTTAATTTATACAAGTGTTCAGCACAGCTCTGAAGGCTGGAGGAGGGTGTTAGAATAATAATAAGATTAATAGCTATCATTGCTTGAAAACTTGTCAGGCACTATTTTTTTTAAGTTCTTTAATACATAGTGGCTCATTTACTCCTCACAAAACCATTGTGATTAGGTGCTACTGTTGCCCATGTATTACTGAAGGTGAAACTGAGGCACATTGCAGTAACCTGGGTAAGGTCACCTGGTAAGTAGCAGAGGCTTTCAGCCCAGGTGTTAGTCTGAGCTCTTGGTGGGACGGAATGGGAGGAATTCTGCCTACTACTCCTCAAACCCCATTTCAACCAGAGCAACTGCACTATCGGGCTTCACTTTAGAAGTTGTCTGGAAACAACTACAGTTAAAACAATGTTTTAAAACCACTGGCTTGCTGGAAAAAGCACTGGCAAGAGGGTTGAATTCTGATCTTCATTTTGCATCTGGTTGTACCCTGTGTCCTTAGGTAAGTCATTTCGGGGCCCTGGTTCCTTATTTTCAAAAAGAGTGTAGTAGGAGCTGATGCTTGTAAGATTTCTACCAAAGTTCTAATGATTCTCCTCTACATCTAATTATGCATTTACAACAAATATAGGATCAGCAGAACATGTAAACACCATGAAGATGCAATCAGCAAACTCTAGACTGGGAGAAATTTTACAACATAAATAATCTGGTTTTGTCCACAAATAAATTGCAAGGTTAACCTAAACATTAAAAGAGACTCAGAAAGTATATAAACCAATTGCAATGTGTGGACCTTCTTTAGATCCTGATTCAAATAAGCATGCTATGAAAAGAAATGAGTCAACTGGAGAAATGTGACCATTGACTATTTGATATTAAGGACTTAAGTGATAGGGTATTATTATTTTTAAAAATCCTTGTCTTTAAGAGATGCATAATGAAATAACTGTTTTTGAGATTTACTTCAAAATAAGCCTGTGATAGAGCAGACGGGGTTATCAGTGGAATAGGAATGTCAAGGAATTGAGAGTTGTTGAAGCTGAGTGGTTAGGACAAGCTGAGTGGTTCAACAACTATTTACATTCATTCATTATATAAATAGCATTCTCTCTACTTTTATGTATGTCTGAAATTTTCCTTAATAAAGACCTTTAAAATGATAAATTTCACAACTGTGTAATTCTAACAATTGCTAAATGTAAATTTTATGAGTCATGCTGGTTAAAAAAAATCCCTTAAATTTGTGTATCTTCATTTCATACAAATAAACCATCCAAACCTCTCTATTGCACTTGCTACCTACTATTTAGCAATGCTTACAATCTGCTATAAATTAATATCTTTATCCTTAGCTGTAGGCTACAATTCTAAAAATCCAATTAAATCATAAGTTAAACAACTGGGGCTAGTGCCAAGTCCCCCATCCACAGAGAAAAGCATCCATTTTCAACTGACACAAAATGAATACAATGGCTTATGAGTCCATTATTTTCTTCAACAGTTTTAGAATGGGGCTAACAAAGGTGGGGTGTGGGGCGGCTAATGCTATGGGTGCAGTTTACATGAGAAAGGGTAATATAACTTCATCAGTTCAATCTACAACAAGTAGGAATCAATATTCTAAACTACAGAAGATCTTTGTGTATGCTTTTTTTCTTTGCAGTTAAAATATCATGTCTTCCCATGAGACACTAGAACACTATGACAATATAGTTTCAAGTTTTAGGAATTAGTGACTCTGAACTAAATGTTTCACATATATTCAAGTACAGAACCCACACCTAGGAAATATGTCATTTTCCTGTTGAGCAGTCTGCTTTCAATAGCTAAAAATTCCAAACAGAACCATATAATCATACCACAAACCAAGTGCACAGTTCTGTGTTCTTCCCATCTGCAGATAAAATGAAAATCACAACACTGAAAGTCTTAGGGGGTTTTAACTATATATTTAACTTACATATACAATCGGGGATCTGAGGTCAGAGTGTCAATGTTGATGTGCTGTTCCAGTAGACTATAGGCCAGGATGGGCAAGGATGTGAAGCAGATATTGTACATTGTAAGGTAAGCAGCATCATACAGTGGCTAAAATGAAAAACAACAGAGGAAAGAAAGAAATTTCATGTAACAATCATCTACAAGATGATACTTATGTATGTGAAAAACTTACTAGCTAAAATAAGAAATTTTTTTACATGCTTTTGGTAGTGGCAAAGGAATCTGTAAATAAGGTCACTGCCTAGTAACTATAAAAAAGAAACTAACATATTGTGATGTGTCACATTAATACACCTCCCCTTTAACAGAATCTTATTCAGAATGTTTACATGCTATAAGCTGCATTTCTAATAGACATGAACAACTTTTCAAGATTGCTTAGTAGCTAAAACTAGCTATTCTGGAGTTACTTCAGCAAAGACCATTAAGTATAAGTGAGGAATCCTCAGAGAAACTAAATACAGGCAGCAGCCAGCCTGTGTCACAAATGTTTTGGTTAATATTTTACATATTTTTGGTTAGTATTTTCAAGTCCAAATTGTGTAAGTCTTTTCTAACATCCTCTTCCTGAGAAGTCCCACAGTTCCTCATGGCATGTGTTCTTCCTTCCTGAACTGAGTAATAAACCTAATTTGATCAACTACAAGTGTGTTCATGGGGGTCTTTGACTGGAGAACTTGGACAATCTTGAGCTCCTATAACAGGACTTGGCATACAAAAACAATCAATAAACACTAGATGAATAAATGAATGAGGATAGATCGGAAGCTATAACATTTATAAAGGCCTGCTCTGATATTATAAATCTTCCTTTATTGAAAAAATTTAAAGTATTCTATGAACCTCATTCTGATGAAAGCATTTACATCAGTATTTATCTACACAGTGCTAAAGATTGTCAAACAAACATTTTCTGTGGCCTGAATAAATAATTCCCCATACTCATATGTATTTTTCACATGTATAAATGTCCCTTAATAAAATGCATTAAACTATGACACAAATTAACAAAATAATGTATTTTCAATCAATGGCTACTAAAGATAATTACAAAAGGCTGGGAATTACTTGAATGGTGCATTAGTTAGTTCACTAGTTGACTTCAGAACATTTACCGAGTGCCTACTAAATGACAAGTACTAGGGACAGAGACGATTCCTCCCCTATCCACCAGGGAGTTCAAATTCTAGATGGAGAGGCAGAATGAGAGGTACACAGGGAGCTGGGGAAACCCAGAGGAGGGGACTACAACTCTGGCTGGCAGGAGAGACAAAGCAAATGATAATGGATGCAACATTCTCCATGAAGTTAAAAGACACTTCCAACGTACTTTCTATAAACAAAGATTTAAGCTCAGCAAAGATATTCCACTGAATTAAGAAGTACAAAAAAAAGTGTTGCATTCCTTTTTATTTTCAAAGGAGAGGACTAGTCCGTGGCACATAACACCACATTTTCTTTGGAAGCTACTCATTTTCACTAATGAGTAAATTTAAAAAATACAACTCAGATTGACTGGTGTGTCATTTAGTCTTGAATTTCATTCAAACAAAAGAAGCATCAATCTACTTTTGTTTCACTATGGTACTTTAAAATCACATGACAGATAATTGTAATTCTTAGGTACATAATTAGAAGAGACAGAATATCCCCAAAACAAACAGATAAAGTTGATAATACTGCTTTTTTATGAAACCTGTTACAATGTTTCCTTTTCATTAAAAAAAAAAAAAAGACATTTAGTATCCTAGTTTTGCTAAAGAAAGGGAAGCTTTTTGTGTAAAGAATCTGAATCCTGGTCCATTTCTACATTCTTCATAGTCCTCCTCGCAAGTTCCAGAGAATGCCTAATGTGCTTCTGGACTGAAAAAGGCTGACTACTCAAAGGTACTCCAAAGATATTTGCAATAAAGGTTGCTACATTCAGCACTAGCACAAAACCAAAATCAAAAATAAAGATTTTGCACATCACATTACCTCCTGAGCTCTCCTGGTACTCTTTTACCTTCCTTTTACCTGGTACACTTTTCCTTTAAGATGTCGACGTTATTCCTTCCCTTACCTCCAGGTCTCTGCCCAAATGTCACCTCATCAGAGAGACCTTTTCAGATGTCTAAAACGGCAGCTCTCTCTCTCCCAGTCACACTCTATCCCTTTATTATGCTTTCTTTTTTCCATCATAGCATGTATCAGTACCCAACATAATATATTTGATTGTTGTCTTTCACCCTATCACTACACACTGCAAGTTTCATGGGGGCAAGGAAGTTTATTTTGATCACTGCAATATTCTCAGCACTTAGCCTGGCACAAAGTAGGCAATCAAGAAATAGTTGCCAAATGAATGAACCTACCAGTTGAGCAACGGAAGGAGCCAAACATCAACTCCTATGGAACCATAAGCAGTTAAGGTAATCTAAGAAGACTGAAGACAATCCACGGTTTAAATCTCAGCTGGCTTTGTAAGGAATGAGTCCTTTTTCCCCTAAAATTTGTGCTTGGTAAACATATTTTAAAAGGATAATACAGCAACAGACTCCTTTCAAAATGAAAACAATATTTCCACCAGAACAAGCCAACTTACCTTTAGCACACTGCTACACATTAGTTAAGAGAATTTCAAATATACTTTTAATACTTGCATCCATCCAAGAAAGTAAGGAATTAGCAACATTTTGCTCAATAGCAATTTGAATGTTCAAGAAAAACAGATTGATCAGAACTTACGAAACTCTCTAATACTATTAATTTTGAATACAAGAAGGTTGATGGCACTTCCAAAAACTGCAAGATGCTTAATTTATAATGAAAGATTATCTGCTTAACTGGCACTACTGGGCTAATGACATGGCACTGATGTAAGAGACAGCATACCAAATAGTAAAAAGGCAAATTCAAGAGAAAGAGACCAGTCATTCCCATTGAGAAGAATGCATTCTCTTAAAAATACTGCCAAAGAGACTTCAACACCCTACTGGCAGTATGAGACAGATCACTGAGGCCAAAAATTAACAAAGATATTCAGGCCCTGAATTCAACATGTGACCAAATGGACCTAACAGACATCTACAGAACTCTCTACCCCCAAAACAACAGAATATACATTCCTCTTATCACCACATGGCACATACTCTAAAATCGACCACACAATTGGACATAACAATCCACAGCAAATTCAAAAAAACAAAAATCATACCAACCATACTCTCAAACCACAGAGTGATAAAAATAGAAATGAATACTAAGAAAATCACTCAAAACCATACAACAACATGGAAATTAAACAACCTGCTCCTGAATGATTTTTGGGTAAATAATGAAATTAAGGCAAAAATCAAGAATTTCTTTAAAACTAATGAAGAACAAAGATACAACATACCAGAATCTCTGGGACACAGCTAAGGAAGTGTTAAGAGGGAAATTTATAGCACTAAACACCCGCATCAAAAAGTTAAAAAGAGGGCCGGGCACAGTGGCTGAAGCCTGTAATCCCAGCAATTTGGGAGGCCAACACAGGCAGATCATCTGAGGTCAGGAGTTCAAGACCGGCCTGACCAACATGCTGAAACCCTATCTCTAATAAAATACAAAAATTAGCCAGGTGTGGTGACAGGCACCTGTAATCTCAGCTACTTGGGAGGCTGAGGCAGGAGAAATCACCTGAACCCAGGAGGTGGAGGTGGCAGTGAGCCGAAATCACGCCACTGCATTACAGCCTGGGTGACAGAGCAAGAGAAAAAGAAAGAAAAGAAAGGGAAAGGGAAAGGGAAGAAAAGAAGAAGAAAAGGAAACCAAAGAAAGAAGTTAGAAAGAGGTCAAATTAACAACCCAACATCACAACTAGAGGAACTACAGAAACAAGAGCAAACCAACCCCAAAGCTAGAAGAAAACAAGAAATAACCCAAATCAGAGCTGAACTGAGGGAAACTGAGATGCAAAAAAACCATACAAAAGACCAAGAAATCCAGGAGATGGTTATTTGAAAAAATGTAATAATATACATAGACCATTAGCTGGACTAATACAGAAAAAAAAGAGAAAATTCAAATAAACACAATCAGAAATGACAAAGCAGATGATACTACAGATACAACAGAAATACAAAAACCCTGAGAGACTACTATGAACATTTCTATGCATACAAACTAGAAAACCTATAAGAAATGGTTAAATTTCTGGACATATACAACCTCCCAAGACTGAACCAGTCAGAAAACCAGAGATTTCCTGAATCCCTGAAAAGACCAATAATGACTTCAAAAACTGAAAGGTAATAAAAAGTATACCAACCAAAAAAAAAGCTCAGGACCAGATGGAGTCACAGCCAAATTCTACCAGATGTATAAGGAAGATCTGTAGCATTCCTACTGAAACTATTCCAAAAAAATTGAGAAGGAGGGACTCCTCCCTAAATCATTCTATCAGGCCAGCATCATTCTGATACGGAAACCTTGGCACAGACACAACAACAACAACAAAAAGAAAACTTCAGGCCAATATCCTTGATGAAGAAGATAGATGCAAAAATACTCAACAAAATACTAGCAAACTGAAACCAGCAGCACATCACAAAGCTAATCCACCATGATCAGGCAGGCTTTATCACTAGAATGCAAGGTTGGTTCAATATCTGCAAATCAATAAATGTGATTTATCACATAAACAGAACTAAAAACAAAAACCACATGATCATCTCAATAGATGCAGAAAAGGTTTTCAATAAAATCCATCATGTTAAAAACTCTCAACAAACGAGGCACTGAAAGAACATTCTTCAAAATAATAAGAGCCATCTAAGAAAAACCCATAGCCAACATCACACTTAACAATCAAAAGCTGGAAGCATTCCCTCAAAAACCAGAAGACTAGGATGCCCTCTCTCACCACTCCTATTTAACATAGTACTGGAAGTCCTAGCCAAAGCAATCAGGCAAGAGAAAGAAATAAAAGGCATCCAAATAGGAAGACAGCAAGTCAAACTATCCCTGTTTGCAGACAATATGATTCTATATCTAGAAAACCTCATAGTCTTGCCCCAAAAGCTCCTTGACCTGATAACTTCAGCGAAGTTTCAGGATACGAAATCAATGTACAAAAATCAGTAGCAATCCTATACACCAACAACATCCAAGCTGAGAGCCAAATCAGTAACATAATCCCATTCACAACAGCCACAAAAATAATGAAATGCCTAGAAATACAGCTAACCAGTGAGGTGAAAGATCTTTACAATGAAAATTGCAAAACACTGCTCAAAGAAATCAGAGATGACACAAACAAATGGAAAAACATTCCATGCTCTTGGATAGGAAGAATCAATATTGTTAAAATGGTCATATTGCCCCAGGCAATTTACAAGTTCAATGCTATTCCTATCAAACTACTAATTACATTCTTCACAGAATTAGAAATAAATATTTTAATATTCATATGGCACCAAAAAAGAGCCCAAATAGCCAAGGCAATCCTAAGCAAAATGAACAAAGCTGGAGGCATTACAATACCTGACTTCAAACTATACTACAGGCTACAGTAACCAAAACCGCATGGTACTGATACAAAAACAGACCAATGGAACAGAATAGAGAGCCCGGAAAAAAGGCCACATATCTATGACCATGTGATCTTCAACATAGCTGACAGAAACAAGCAATGGGGAAAAGAATCCCTATTCAATAAATGGCACTAGGATAACTTGCTAGCCACATGCAGAAGATTGAAACTGGACCCGTTTCTTATGCCATATACAAAAATCAACTCAAGATGGATTAAAGACTTAAATGTAAAACCTAAAACTATAACCACCCTGGAAGATAACCTAGGATATACCAGTCTGGACACAGGAGCTGGCAAAGATTTCATCGCAAAGATGCTGAAAGCAATAGCAACAAAAACAAAAACTGACAAATGTTACCTAATTAAATAAAGAATTTCTGCATACAAGAAGATGACTATCAACAGAGTAAACTGACAACCTACAAAATGGGAGAAAATATTTACAAATGATGAATGTGACAAATATGTAATATCCAGCATCTGTAAGGAACTTACATAAATTTATAAGCAAAAATCAAACCACCCCATTAAAAAGTGGGCAAAGGACACGAACAGACACTTTTCAAAAGACATACACGCAGCCAACAAGCATATGAAAAAACGCTCAACATCACTAATCATTAGAGAAATGCAAATCAAAACAAAAACGAGATACCATCTCACACCAGTCAGAATGGCTATTATTAAAAAGTCAAAAAAGTAACAGATGCTGGCAAGGTTGCAGAGAAAAGGGAACACTTGCAGAATGCTGGTGAGAATGTAAATTAGTTTAGCCATTGTGGAGAGCAGTGTGATGATTCCTCAAAGACCTTAAAACAGAATTACCATTCAACCCAGCAATCCCATTACTGGGTATATACCCAAAGGAATATAAATTATTCTACCATAAAGACACATATACACGTTTACTGCAGCATTCTTCATAATATCAAAGATATGTAATCAACCTAAATTCCCATCAATGGTAGACTGGATAAAGAAAATGTGGTACATATATACCATTAAATACTATGCAACCATAAAAAATAAGATCATGTCATTTGCAGCAACACGGATGGAGCTGGAAGCCATCATCCTAAGCAAACTAACACAAAAACAGAAAACCAAATACAGCATATTCTAACTTATAAGTGGGAGCTAAACAATGAGAACATATGGACACAAAGAAGGGAACAACAGACACTGGAGTCTACTTCAGGGTGGAGAGTGAGAGGAGGGAGAGGATCAAAAAGCTACCTATCAGGTACTATACTTTTTACCTGGGTGACAAAATAAACTGAACACCAAACTCCTGTGGCATGAGTTTACCTACATAAACCTGCACATGCACTCCTGAACCTAAAAGTAAAAAAAAAAAAAAAAAAAAAAAACTGCCAAAGAATTAGGAAAAAATCACTTCCTACCAGGAGGACCCAAGAAGAATACATAAGTGTATTCATAAGTGTACTTTGTATTCACAGAAGCATATATAAAGCTTGCCTTTGAAATTTAGAAACTTAACACCTATGGCAATGTGGTAGCTCAGTTTGGCAAAATCACTGAACTTCTCATAGATTAATTATAAAATTTCTGAGTCACTGAGTACTATAGCTCCTGTATTTCGCTGTATTTCGCTATACCTCCCACTAGAAGCAATGCCAAATCCATTTCAGTTTTTAAAACAAAGATGTCTCGCCATCCTACCACTTATGTATCAAGTTAATATATAGCATATTCCTTATGTAATACATGTTCAGAAAACAATAGAAGGCAAAACATCTATAGCTGCTTTACGTAATCCAAAGCTTTCTCTAGGAATCACAGGTTCTTGGCTAGCTTAAAGATTAATGCTTTTCTATAAAACTAACCTGAAAGCCTGCAAAGTTGGGAGATTCCATTTGATGAAATATTAAACTATAACATTTTAGAATTATGAAACACTTTTTATACATTGATAAAAAGAAAAAATTCAAAATACTCTTTTTAATGTTATCACAACTCCAACAGGATGTACCAAAAGCATTTCAAAATGAAGGTAACAATAAGAAAACTAGAAAAGCAAAGACATAAACATTTGCTGTTGTCAAAACCAAGAGATCATTTTACTTTGTACATACATCTCTAATCTCTAGAAATCTAATATATAAGGGTAATTTATTAACAGCAAATGTAAACTATATTATAACGAATAACTTGAGAAACAAACCTGTTGTGAGAATCCACAGAAGAACTGGTACAAAAACTGTGGCAAAATGAAACAAAGGTTCTGAAAAAAAAAAATTAAGACAAGGATTAACATTTTCACTTAATCAACTTGCTAAACTAAAATGGGAAACTATATTCCAAATAGTTTATAATTATTCCTAAATCCTTCTAATGTCAGAATGCAATAAACCTCTATTCCACAGACATAAGGAAACAACTAAAACAATGATTAATTCATATTAAGGCCAACTTTTGCCCTATCAAGGCAGAAGAGGATCTTATTTACTTTATGAGAATCTGTTGCTGTCCTTCTTCCAGGAAATAAATGAGCTCCTCCAATATGAACACCTAATGATACTGTATCTTTAACACCAATTAGATTTGCAAATCATATAGTAGACTGACAATGCTGTAAGTGTACATTTAAAGTCAATTAATGCCAATAAATAGTTGGGAAATTATTATAGATTATGTTGACACTAACAATATCAACTAACGCTTTAATGCCTTTATTACTACCTCATCAAACAATCAACATATCATTACTGAGCATCTACTACACACAAAGGTGGCACACAGATGATAACAAAAAAAGAGTCAACTTCTTTTTCCTAAGTCAGGGCTCCCCCGCCCCTCCCCCGAGGCTGCACAGCAGGAGGTGAGTGGCAGGCAAGTGAGCATTAGGGCCCGAGGTCTCTGGTGCCAAAAAGGTTGGGGACCACTGTCCTAAGGGACTTATTATTTAATTTGAGAAATACTAAAAAGACAAGCAGAAAAGAAACACAAGCTGGGAATTCATAAGGTAGTAAAAGCTACTAAGTGTGATTATAAAATACTGAAAGTAATGTCTTTAAGCAAAACTACCAGCACGAGAATTTTCAAATAAGTGCTATCCTTCAAAGCAGGCTGTGAGCTTTTTTACTGTTACTTGGTCATGATGTCTCTGAACTTCTCTTCAAGAAGCCCCTTCAAGAGCCCACTTTCCAGTCATGCCAGAAAACCAGTCTCCTCCCTTCTGTCAGCTAATTTCTCCAGAATTAGCTCTAGGAGACTTGAGACTGTTTTTAAAAATCAAATGCAACCTCAAAAGATGAACATCTACCACAGCTGAGGATATTTCGATCAATGTACTACTGGCTCTGGAGGATGTTTCTAAAGAAATGAGCTCAACAGGTTTTGAATTGCCCCTGCAGCATGAGTCAGAGCTCCCAAGGTCATCACCTGGAAAAGCAACACTCATTTATACATTATCAGTTCTGGTACAATGCAAAATATAGTCCATAGTATTCCTAGAGTCACAGTTTATGAAAAAAATAAGTGTTCTGAGGTTGAAGCAGGTAGAGCTCAGTGGGGATCATGGGGATGCTCCATTGAGAAGGGAGAGCAGGTATCTACCTCACCCACCAGAATGTAAGTCTCATGAGAAAAGGGACACTGCCTGTCTTATTCCATGGTGTATCCTCAAGCACCTAAAACAGGCCTTGGCACATGGTAACACATTTAAAATATATTTGTTCACCGATTGAATAAACAACTTAGAACTCGAACTATGAATAAAGATGAATAGGACATGTTGATGGCAGGAACCAAGGCAAGAATGTATATATTTTAAACTTATATGGTAAGACAGGGTCACACTGTGGGGTGCATTAAAAGCCAGACTAAAGCTGAGACGGTGGAGAGTAAAGGTTCTAAGGGACAAGTTGAAAAGTGGCATTCTTTAAACACTAATCTAGTTGAATTATGTAAGGAGGATTAAATGGAGAAACAGAAGGCAGGAAGACCTGTCACTGAAGTACTCCGGGAGTGGGCAATAACAATTTGAAGATGCAATGGCGAGAGGATGGAAAGACTTCTCAGCTCAGCCAAATAGAGTTGAAAATTTTAGAAATCCTCTTCGCACAAAAGATAGTAATAAAAAAGAAATACTGCTGAGTCAGTAACCAAGATGATAATGGGCCTAGAGATACTAACGAAGACAGAGGATATCATCTACATAAATAACCACTGGTCAACATTTGCCATTTTAACGCTTGTTTTGCTCTCCTTAACAGAGCATTCCTTCCATCTGGTGGCAGTTGCTTAAATTGCAGGCCAAAACTCAAAAGAGGCAAAATAAGCCTCTGAAATAGGTTCAGATTACTAGGCAGATCTGTATGACAAATCTTCAAGGGATCTCCTACTAGGTGAAGGTCAAGAGAGAATAACCCTTTATTTCCATGAGCTGCTGTTACTGGGTGCAAGGCCCAAAAGACCCTAACTGTGACACATAAAAAGTCCTGGATTTGGAGTAAATGAATCTATGGTGGAACATCTAGCTCTGTCACCTCCTGGATGGAAAGCCAAAGGCAAGTTATACCATCTCTCTGAGCTCTACTTTCCATGTATTTTAAATGGAGATACTACTACTTGACTCATAGGATGTTTGTGAGGATTACATTTTTTAAAAAGTGATTTTGTGAACTCACAAAATACCTTACACATATTGGGTTACCATCATCATTATCATCATTTTCCTCCTCCACAGTGTTTGGCCTGGCTACCAGCAGATACTGGCTACCAGGGTCTTAGAAAATTTGTGAAACTGGGTTCATAGTTTTATAAATATGTATTTTCTTTAAATATAAAGTTAGTAAGAAAGACCTAGGGTTGACTATAGACAACTGACACACAAAATCAGGTGCTGAGCTTTAACTCTTATAAAATATAGGGTATGAAATTCAAATATCATAACTACTTGAATTATATACTAAATACTATATGATTTGAGTAGTTGGAAGATGCACTAAATACTCTACCTACAAACTAGAATCTAATTAAGAAATTTGGTAAATTCTATTCCCTGGTAGACAATAACAAGTATGCAGACTCAGTCTAACGTATACGCTAATGCTTGGTGATAAAACGGAAACCAAGGTATTGTTGAGGAAACTACTTCAGTGTCCAATATTGGGGATTTGCAATGTTGCACAATTATCATGTTTTGGAAGAATATTAAATTGGGTGAGAAAAATGTTCACAACATAAATTAAGTGAAAAAGGCAAAGTGCAAAGCAATATGTATTATACCAATACGTACAAGGTTTCTTTTGGAAATGATAGAAAAGTTTTAGAATTAGACAATGATGATGGTTGCACATCATAGTGAACACATTATAAGTAACTGAATTATACACTTTAAAATGGTGAATTTTAGGCCAAGCATGGTGGCTCAAGCTTGTAATCCCAGCACTTTGAGAGGCTGAGGGGGGCAGATCACTTGAGGTCAGGAGTTTGAGGCCGGCCTGGCCAACATGGTGAAACCCTGTCTCTATTAAAAACACAAAAATCAGCCAGGTGTGGTGGCATGTGCTACTCGGGAAGCTGAGGCATGAGCATCATTTGAACCCAGGAGGCAGAGGCTACAGTGAGCCGAGATCGCGCCACTGCACTCCAGCCTGAGCAACAGAGTGAGACTCTGTCTTTAAGAAAATTTTTCTTTAAAAAAAGGTGAATTTTGTTAAATTATATCTCAAAAAAATTGTAAAAACCTCAATGTAGTGTATAGTGTATAAAAGTATAAAAAAAGTACATATGTTAATTTGTACAGACAAAAGACCAGCAAGGTCACATATCAAAGTGTTACCACTGGTTCTCTTGGTTGACATGCTTATAGACAATTAGAAATGACTGCAAAAATTTCATTTTAGAAAATTTTTATTTTTGTAGAGACAAGGTCTCATATTATTGCCCAGGCTGGTCTCAAAATCCTGACCTCAAGTGATCCTCCCGCCTTGGCCTCCAAAAGCACTAGGATTACAGGAATGAGCCACTACCAAGCCAAAATGTTCTATTTTTTGATTGGTGTAATGGTTACATGGATGTATACATTTGGCAAAACTCATGGAACTGTACACTTTTGATGAATACACTTTATTGTATTTAATTTACATTTCAATAAGGAGGGCTTAAAAATTCCTATCAAAAATTTTGCATCAAAAGGCATTTCTGGTTTCTGATTCATCCAATAGACCACCTCTGCTTTGTTGACTGCAAATTTCAGTATGAGATATCAAAAGCAGCATTAAAAAAAAAAAAGGAAGAACAAAACCATGACCAAGCTGAGCCAATGCTGGATTAAAAAGAAATTAAATTACATATATTTTATCACATACCTTATAGAAGAAGTACTGTACAAGGTGTGCTATTCTCACATAATATAGATGTCCATGAGCCAACAGCAGTTTCTTTAAGTGTTTAAACTTTGGAACAGAATAATCGCTATTCCTAGCTGCTTGGCGACCTTCTTTGCCTTTAATACCTAAAAGAGAGTATCTCTATATGGTGAGCATTTTCTAGAATAAATGACTCCCTGATTTATCTTCACAGTTTCAACTTGGTTTAATGTTATAGTTCAATTCTATCAATTAGTTTTCCTTTTTTAAAAACCAAAAGAGCTTTCTTTAACAGTGACACTGAGACTTACCAAATAATTTAACTAAGTTTAACTGGTAACTCCCTATTCGTAATACAGTATACAACAATTAAATAGAATCATTATTTCAATCATTACAAGGTAAAAATTATCTGAAGAAAAAAACTCAACTTAAAAATAATTAAGTCACTCAGTAAGTGCTTAATTGTGTATGACGCTAGACTAGGTGCTATATTAAGGGAACTCAGAAACCTGGGGTTTGTGGTCTAGGAGTTCAATGAGAAGACGGTGAAATTCTTTCATGTATGAAACCCTGACTAGCAGCGCAAGGGTTCTATGAGCTCGAGCAGCTTTAGGCCATTTGACACTTGGATAACCAATGAGTAGTACTTCAAGTTGCACAAGAAATAGGAATACTTCCAAATGAAAAGAACAGTTTGGGAACCTAAACTGCAGTACAATAATTCCCAAGATATGAATTCCATATCTGGCCCCACCACCCTGCCAAAACAAACAAACTAGCTAACTAACTTGCTGGGGAGTTAGTTGTGTTGCCTAATAGCAACCAGAGAAGGGAAAAAAAATGGTACAGGTGGTGGAAAAGCTGTTGTTGCATGTCAATATATAAATTCAACACTACAGCCCAAACCACCCATTAATACTGCCATGTTGAAAAACAGCCAACCAATTATCATTTCTTAGCCCCAAACAGTTGAGATGTCAAAAGATATAGTACAGCAACATAAGCAGGCAGTCTGGCCAGGGGCAGAAAATCAATAAAAATTTCATGCATGCTGTCAAAGTAAGAGCTAAACAATCAATTGTGCTGCCAGTAGCTTTGGGAAATTCACTCTACTTGGCTAATTGAAAAATATCCTTTAACTTTGTTACATTGCTACATTTCTACCATGGGGTAGGACCTTGGGATGGACATGTTGCATGATCAGATGAGGCCTCCATTTAATTAACAATTATCATTCCAAAATTCAAATTCAAGATGAGTAACCAAAACAGTCACTCTAGAATGTAAGACCACACTACCTAAAAGCAATACTGATACTTTTCACAGCTGCCATCTCATTAGATGTATCTTACCTATTCCCACATGGGATTCCAAGATCATACTAACATCATTGGCACCATCACCTATCGACAGAGTTATTGGGCTGCCTTTTAAATTCTTCACCATTCTGACAATCTAAATATTAAATACAAAAGAGGTGTAAAAAAGGTCAAAGAAGAATGTAAGACTGGGCTACTTTAGGGGTTTATGCCTCATTCACACTTGTAAATAGCAGCCTTGCAAACAGAAAGGTAGTTTGTGCATATACAGTCATCCCTCAGTATCCTTGGAGGACTGGCTCCAGGACGCTCGTAGATACCAAAATCCTCCTGCATACTTTAAATCATCTCTAGGTTTCTTTTAGTAACTAACTACAACGTAAATGCTATGTAAATAGCTGTCATACTGTATTGTTTTAAAATCGGTATTATTTTTATTGTTATACTGTTCGTTGTTTTAGTTTTATTCTAATATTTTCAATCCACAGTTGTTTGGATCTGTGGATGCAGGACCCATGGATACGGAGGGCCAACTGTAATATGTACAATAGTGTCAAATTCACAGATGCAGAACACAGCCATTCAAAATGTAACACCAGCACCCACTTGTCCTAGTTCTATGCATATATGAACTATCAAAAACTTTGCCTCTCATGCATATTAGAGGTCAATACATTTCCTTCTTTTTTCATTGCATCATGTGTTCTTTCAGATCAGATGTTGAATGTGTGACAGTAGAAGCCAGAAAGCTGATTTGGGGTAACATACATAAGGCCACCAGAACCAAGTAGGAAGTCAGAGAACAATGTTTTTGGTTACTTTCTACTCTCTCCTCCCTGCTGACACTCTCACCTTCCCTAGGAGCACATCAACCCTTATTCCAACTTACCTAATGTTAAATTATTGCACCTATCTGGATGCCAACTAAACTTTAATAAATCTCTCACTGCTCAATATGGTCTGACCTCTCCTACGAGTAGCTGTATTTTAAAAGAGGTACACTAAAGGGGTTGACATTTGCAGAAAGATGTCCAAGATATGTGTACAAAGCCTGTCGCTATTCCCTGAGTGTTTCTTCAAGATGTATAAATGTACTGAATAAAATGTTCATCCCTGGTATTAAAATACTTCTGCCTTGGGGTTCTCCAAAAACCTCCTGGCAGAGTTACTTGTGGGAAGTGCATTGGGTGATCAGCTGCCCTCTTACCCTATGTTTTAGATAATCACTGTTTGATGTGGCAAGCCACAAAACCCCTTGGAATCTAGCGGCTTAAAAAAAAATAATTTAGTAGCTAAATAATGCTTTGCAAAAATACTGTCCTCACAATTGTTCTGACCAGTTAACATAAATAAAATCCATTTTCAACATAACTGAAGTGATGAAAAATAATTCATGAGGCTAAGGCACCCTGCAGTTATTTCTTTAAATAGAATTCAATCAGGTTTTAGTTGTATTAAATAGTACAAAAAACCCCACATCCAATTCCACTTAACACAAAAATGATGTGACTATGAAATGCCAGCTTCCCCCAATCCCTCCCCTCAACTTGGTTCTTCTTAAAAACTTTACAGAAGACTGTCAGAAATAACCTGTAAGTGAAAGAATAAAAGACAAAATTAAAGAACCCAAACTAAATGTGTTTTTAATAGGCTACAATAATGGTTAACTAAGTGCACCTGTTATACTGTGTGCAGTAACGATTTGCACCTCAAGGAAAAAATACGCACCCAAGGTTTAGGGAAGGCAATAAAATTATCAAGGGTGACAGCTTCTGCATGAAAACATAGACTAAAAAGAGTAAAACTCTCCACTGTAGAAAGATAAAAGGATATACAATCATGGACCATAAAATCATGAAGGGATTTAGATTCGTAAACATGGACTTTTTCACTCAGCCCTAGATCAAATGGATTAAGACCTCTTCAATCTCTAGGATAGCTTCATGAAAAAAAAAAATATTTTACCAAAAGCTATTCATCAAGTATAATAGCTTGCTTTATATTGTATACAGGAATGTGCTAAGAGCCAAAACAGATATAAGGTTTCATCACACACCTTAAAAAGCATATAAATGAAGTAGTAGAGTTAGGTCATGAGTACAAGAATATTAGATAAGCAGATTAACAATACAAGGTAACAAAATGTAGCATCTGTGCAGGAATGTATGATATTGTCATCCATGTAAGAAGGCCTAGGATGTCAGAGAAGGGAGAAGATACCATACATGCCAGAGTGATCAGGAATTTTACAGAAGGACGAGTGATTTGATCTAAATCATGAAATATTAGTAAGACTCGCATAGATGAGAAAGAAAGAAAGGAGTATTCCAGAGAAAGGAACTAGCATATCCAAGAGCACATAGCCAGATAAATACAGTAAATGCTGAGAGAATAGATCTGGCTTGCCCAGATCAATTGGAATTTTCATATAGGAGACATGGACAGAAATATCTGGAGCTAGTTCAACAGCAGGGTGTAGGAAGAACCGGAGGAAAGCAAGACTGTGGGCAAAGAGAGAAGTTAGGTGGCTAGTTCCAGGAGTTCAATGAGCTATTGAAAGGCCTAGCCCTGAAAGGTAATGAAAAGAAAGGAATAGATGGAAAAGACGATGTAATAAGAAACAGACAAAATTTAGTGACTAAGACTA
Source organism: Homo sapiens (assembly GCF_000001405.40). Classification (NCBI taxonomy): domain Eukaryota; kingdom Metazoa; phylum Chordata; class Mammalia; order Primates; family Hominidae; genus Homo; species Homo sapiens. The sequence goes on from NC_000023.11 coordinate 139,765,930, forward strand.
CAATGAAAGGGTAATGTATGTGGTATGTGGGAAGGCAACACAGGTTTCAAGGTTTTGAATCTAGAAATCTGGAAGTACACTGAGGTCAGTCATAGAAAAAGAAGATGCCAAGGAAAATGATGGTTGGACTCTAGAGAAGTCAGATTTGGGGTGATAATGCCACACCCAAGAATATGTGTTTGGGAAACAGCTGAAAAAGTAAAGTAGATCACCAAATATTTGGATTGGAGATAGTGACTTGAATATCACATACATGAACATGACAGCTAAGTATGTAATATCCTGCAAAAAATAACTATAGTGACAGAAATAAAACAGAATGAGGACTAAACCACAAGTGGTGGCATAATTAAGGTGGAAGAAGCAGCATGGGGTCAGGAATTCATATACCTGCCTGGCAGTGAAGCAGTCAGAACCCAGGTGAGCAATTTGAGCAGCATACACTGAATGTAAGGAAAAAAAGAGATCGCTTTTGCAGGAAAACCTCTGACTAAGGGGACAGATACTTTTGAATAGTGTATTCTGGTTGGATCTGATTCCCAACCTGGGGCCAAGAAAGTTTTACAAGATTGAAGAAAAGAAAGAAGAGCCTCTGATTGCAGTGGGGACTGAGAGCTAGAAGGCAGACAGAAGAAATGCCTCAAATATGATGGGCGCTGTGTGTGTGTGTGTGCATATGTGTGCGTGTGTGTGTGCGCGCGCACAGTATATAAAAGAAAAGCCACAGACACAGCCATCCCCTTGTTTAGAGGAAGTGGTTAAAGAATCTGATGAAGCAAAACTAACACATATGAAAGAATATCCTATAGCATATATGGAAATGAAAAAGTAGGTAATGGAGACTCTAAGTTTCCTTGTACCTAGTGAATACAAAGAAGCAAGGTGAGGCAATTTGGACTGGAGGAGCTGGAAAAGAAAGCATGTAGGAGGTGGCCCTTCATCTAGGTTTCATTATGAGTAAAATTTGTGTTAGGCCAGGGGAATTCAGAGAGAGTGCCAGATGAGGAAATGATGTGACAAAAGTTTTGAAAGTTGCCCTGAGCATGACATATGGAAGACCATGGAAGAACAACCAACAGGAGTGCAGAATGTACACCAGAGAAAGGAGTGATAGTGGACACAAAGTACAAAATTTGTAGAGACATGTTAAGGGACAACAGTGGGGAGCCCCAGGCGCCACATTCACTCAACTGCCCTTCATCCTAAGGGACTAAGAAACTACTGAAAGTGTCCGAAAAAGAATGTATGATAGGAAGAGTTGTGTTTTAACAAGATTAATTTGGGAGTGTGGAGAGATTAAAAATGGGTGGGTGAAAGCAAGGAGACCAGTGAGGAGACTAAATCAAATAGTCTGTGTGTAAAGTCATAAAGGCTTGGACTAGTTGGGCAGTAAAAGGTTTTGAAAGATGGCATCAAAATGAGAGCTATGACAAAAGGTAGGACCAACAGGACATGGCGACTATATATAGAGGGAGAGGAGAAGGATCAAAGGTAGTTTTGAGACATAGGGAGCAAGAGAAAAGTGGCACTGGTAACAAGAACAATATAAAAGAAAAACCAAACTGGTCTGAGGAAGAAAATTTTAAGATCTGTGTTGGACACCAGAATTTTTGTGACGGTAGGGAATCCATATATAGCTGTCTAGCACACAGGTAGAAATAGAAGACTTAATGTCAAGAAAAAGTCAGGGGCACACATTTATCAATGGGAGTCAGAGAAATAGACTTGCTTATCCAGAGAGAGACCATAAAGCTAAAAGTGGAGAGAAAACTTTGCCCTAGAAAAAACAGATAATTAGGGAGAAAATAGAGGATGGCACAAAATAAAAAGTCACTACATTGACAAATAAAATGTCAGGACCATGGACCGTCACAGAGACCATGAAAGCATAATTTTAAGGAGGATATAACTGATGGTGTCAAGAGCAAAGGAGAAATGAGAAAGAGAATGGAAGACTACACAAGGGATGGGCCAGGTCTACCTGCAGGCAAGCCAAGGGAGTAAGAAGAGCAGAAAGAACACACAGAGCTAATGTCATAAGGGATCTAGGAGCAGTGGCAGCAGGCACAAAGCACTCATCAGAGAAAAAAGTCTGGAAGGTGAGGAACTGGGACAGCCAGATTGAGGGGACAACAAGGTGCAGCATAAGTTTAATTCAAAATGGGGAAAGACTTCTGAGTCTGATTACAAAAAGAAAGAAGCCTTGGAGGAAGAAATTAGATAGTAATAATGGCCCTTTGAAGAAGAAATAATTTTTTAAAAAAATAAACATTTGCACATATATGTATAGAAGTATCCAGAATGGAACGTTAACTAATATTCACAGTTACCTGGGCTTTCTGTAATGGTGCCATCCGACAGCAGAGCACTGCAGTACACTTCATACATATTTGTAGGAAAATGCTTTTGTAATTGTTTGAACTAGAGTCTTGACTAGAATTTAGTATGAGTGACAATGTGGAGCCATCTATGATTAATCCATATTCCTGATGTTCTGTCCATGCTCTGAAAAAGAGAAACAATGCTATGTTTGGATTTATTACAGATTTCTGTTTAGGATCCAGATTTTTTTTTTAAACAACAAAGGGGGTGGTCTCAGATAAGGGGAGTCATCAATCTGGTTCCTCAACCTGTTCACTCTAAAGAAGCAACTGCCTCTAATAATGGCACAACAGTGATTTGCAATCGTATCTTTGAGACCCAAGTTGCACATAATAGATGACTACAAGTTCTAAAAGGTCAACTTGGTGAGGCCACATTTCCCAGTTATTTAATCAAACAATTGTCTAAGTGATGCTGTAAAGGTATTTTGTGGATGTGATGAAAGTCCACAAGCAGTTGATTTCAAGTAAGAGAGATCATCCTAGATAACTAAAGTGGGCCTGATTCAGTCACTTGAAAGGTTTTAAGAGGAGAGCTGAGACTTCCTGATGCAGTAGCCTTAGCTACTTCCTGAGACTTCCTAAGGCAGTAGCCTTAGCTACTTCCTGAGACTTCCTAAGGCAGTAGCCTTAGCTCACGCCTGAGAGTCCCAGCCCTTCCTAAGAGCCTATCCCACAAATCTAGACCTGCCCAGCTAGATAATACAATTGCCCAAGCCAAGTCCTAACAATAAATCTCTCAATATATTCTTTTACTGGTTCTATTTTTCTGGTTGAACTTTGACTAATATAAACTTTTTTTTTTGATGTTTAGAAAATAAGAGGTTAAGCAGCCTGACTCTGTATAAGAAACGTATGGTATCTGGAATTCAAATTAATTAGTCAAACTCTGCTATGAAGACAAATCATCAATTAGTCTGAAACTCCCTAGCAATATAGGGAAAAGACAAATGGCTTTGGGGCAAACATACATATATATATATATATATATATATATATATATATATATATATATATTCTTTAAATGTATCATTTTACATACTAGCTTAGTGGTTCTCTAGCCATCCCATTCAAATCATCTGGGTGGCTTTAAAAATTGCCCATGCCTGGGGCCTATCCCCAGACCAATTAAATCAGAGTACCTTGGCCAGGGCTTGGTTATATATAGGTATATTTTAAAAGCTTCCTAGGTGGTTCTCATGTGTAGCCAGGACTAAGAGGTGTTAGGTGTCAGGAAAGACAAATGTGTAACAGGTGCCAAGTATTTAAGAAAAATATAGTGTAAAACTTACAAATGAGAAAATTCTGCCAATTAACTTTTATTTTTCAATTAGGAAACAAACAAGTGGTTATTCAAGTTTTGCTCCGGGGAATCTTGGGTGCCATTTGACAACCACTACAGTGGAAGCATTAGACAAAGCAGGATCTCAGAGATTCAGTTATCTAATTTAATGATACTCAAAGTTTAACGTGCAAAGGAATCACCTGGGAATCTTCTTAAACTGCAAATTCGGATTCGTTAGGTCTGGGGTGTGATGTGAGATTTTGCATTTCTAACAAGCTGCCCAGTGACAATGGAGCTGCTATTCTATAGACGAAGCTTTGAGTAGTGAGGGCCTAATATACCTCATCATTCCTTTATTCCATATTTCTTCAGTGTATACTGCTAATACCATAACATTTTATACTTACAAATATTTTGCTGTATAATTTTATTCACTAAATAAAGAGACATAAATGATGTGTTCTCTTTCTTTGCTCCCCTACTCATATATTAATAGCTTACTTATGGGGCTGAAAACAGCAACTCAATAACCAATGAAGAAATAACTTGTAAACACCAACTATAAGCACACTATATAGAGAAATACAAAGAATTATGGACTAATCTTTTTATGGAGAATAGAAAATCTCCTTAGATTGATAGAAGCATACATGAGAGAACTACCTAACCAAACAAGATAATCAATGGTTGATGTCCAGTTATTGAGACATATCCACACAGGAAAGAATAGTGGATTCTTTGTGAGGTGCAATATCTAAAGTAGGACTTGAAAAACAGGGAATAAAGAGGTGATGTAATAGAATGTATGTTGGGGTGCACTGCAAAAGCAGGTTGAAAAGGTCACTTAAGGCCTCTGGTGTGGCCTGAATCTGTGACTAATGGAGAACCACCAAAGTTTTCAGAGCGGATATGATATGGACAGTGCTTCACTTAAAGATCATTCATCTGGCAGAGGGGCTTAAGGGATTTCATGCATGATGTACTAGACCTCTGATGTGGGTGGGGCACTAGAGGTGAGAATGGGGGTATGAATATGGCTTGGGGGCTGATTTGAAGGGGAAAGGGCAAAGGAGCAGAAGCTGGCAAAGGTGACTGAGTCTGAACCCTGTGTAAGTAAGTAAAGACTGTGCCCGACTCCAAACAAATAACCAGGAAGATGGGCTGATCTGAGACAGTGACAGTAAATTAAGTTTTCCACAAGCCCTGGCTTTTACAAAAGTGTCCTCAGGGCTGTTGAATGGTGCTATAGACTGAATTGTGTTCCCCTGCAAATTCATGCTGAAGCCCTACCCCCAATGTGATTGTATTTGAAGATAGCACCTTTAGAGGGTGAGGCCCTCATGATGGGATTTGCATCTGTTATAAACTGAATTGTGTTCTCCCAAGATTCATCTGTTGAAGCTCTTAACTCCCAGTGTTGTGGTATTAGGAGGTGGGGCCCTTGAGAGTAACTAACTGATATGGTTTGGCTGTGTCCCCACCCAAATCTCAACTTGAATTGTATCTCCCAAAACTGCCATGTGTTGTGGGAGGGACCCAGGGGGAGGTAACTGAATCATAGGGGCCGGTCTTTCCTGTGCTGTTCTCGTGAGAGTGAGTAAGTCTCATGAGATCTGATGGGTTTATCGGGTTTCCGCTTTTGCTTCTTCCTCATTTTTCTGTTACCGTAGCCATGTAAGAAGTGCCTTTTGCCTCTCGCCTTGATTCTGAGGCCTCCCCAGCCATGTGGAACTGTAAGTCCAATTAAATCTCTTTTTCTTCCCAGTCTCGGGTAAGTTTTTATCAGCAGCATGAAAACGGACTAATACAGTAAATTGGTACCAGTAGAGTGGGGTGTTGCTGAAAAGATAACCAAAACTGTGGACGCAACTTTGGAACTGGGTAACAGGCAGAGGCTGGGACAGTTTGGAGGGCTCACAGGAAGACAGGAAAATGTGGGAAAGTTTGGAACCTCCTAGACACTTGTTGAATGGCTTTGACAAAAATGCTGATAGTGATATGAAAAGTAAGGTTCAGGCTGAGGTGGTCTCAGACAGAGATGAGGAACTTGTTGGGAACCGGAGCAAAGGTGACTCTTGCTATGTTTTAGCAGAGAGACTGGTGGCATTTTGTCCCTGCCCTAGAGATTTGTGGAAGTTTGAACTTGAGAGAGATGATTTAGGGTATCTGGCAGAAGAAATTTCTAAGGAGCAAAGCATTCAAAAGGTAATCTAGATGCTGTTAAAAGCATTCCATTTTAAAAGGGAAACAGAGCATAAAGTTCAGAAAATTTGCAGCCTGATGATGCGACAGAAAAGAAAAACCCATTTTCTGAGAAGAAATTCATGCCAGCTGCAGAAATTTGCATAAGAAGCAAGGAGCCTAATGTTAATCCCCAAGACCATGGGGAAAATGTCTCCAGGCCATGTCAGAGACCTTCACAGCAGCCCCTCCCATCACAGGCCCGGAGGCCCAGGAAGAAAAGTGGTTTCATGGGCCAGGCCCAGCGTCCCCGTGCTGTGTGTAGCCTAGGGATTTGGTGCCCTGTGCAGCTGCTCTAGCCATGGCTGAAAGGGGCCAACGTAGAGCTTAGGCCATGGCTTCAGAGGGTGGAAGCCCCAAGCCTTGGCAGCTTCCACATGGCATTGAGCCTGAGGGTACACAAAGTCAAGAACTGAGATTTGGGAACCTCCACCTAGATTTCAGAATATGTATGGAAACGTGTGGATGTCCAGGCAAAAGTTTGCTGCAGGGATGGGGCCCTCATGGAGAACCTCTGCTTGGACAGTGCAGAAGGGAAATGTGGTGTTGGAGTCCCCATACAGAGTCCCTACTGGGGCACTGATTAGTGGAGCTATGAGAAGAGGGCCACCATCCTCCAGACCCCAGAATGGTAGATCCACTGACAGCTTGCACTGTGCACCTGGAAAAGCCGCAGACACTCAATGCCAGCCTGTGAAAGCAGCCAGGAGGGAGACTATACCCTGCAAGGCCACAGAGGCAGAGCTGCCCAAGACCATGGGAACCCACCTCTTGCATCAGCATGACCTGGATGTGAGACATGGAGTCAAAGTAGATCATTTTGGAGCTTTAATAATTGACTGCCCTGCTGGATTTCAGACTTGCATGGGCCCTCTAATCCCTTTGTTTTGGCCAATTTCTCCCATTTGGAACGGCTATATTTACCCAATACCTGTACCCCCATTGTATCTAGGAAGTAACTAGCTTACTTTTGATTTTATACAGGCTCATAGGCAGAAGAGACTTGCCTTGTCTCAGATGAGACTTTGGACTGTAGACTTTTGGGTTAATGCTGAAAGACTTTGGGGGGCTGTTGGGAAGGCATGATTGGTTTTGAAATGTGAGGACATGAGATTTAGAGGGGCCAGGGGCAGAATGATATGATTTGGTTGTGTCCCCACCCAAATCTCAACTTGAATTGTACCTCCCAGAATTCCCATGTGTTGTGGGAGGGACCCAGGGGGAGGTAACTGAATCATGGGGGCTGGTCTTTCCTATGCTGTTCTCATTATAGTGAATTAACTCTCATGAGATCTGATGGGTTTATCAGGGGTTTCTGTTTTCGCTTCTTCCTCATTTTTCTCTTGTCGCTGTCATGTAAGAGGTGCTTTTTGCCATGATTCTGAGGCCTCCCCAACCATGCAGAACTCTAAGTCCAATTAAACCTCTTTTTGTTCCCAGTTTCGGGTATGTCTTTATCAGCAGTGTAAAAACAGACTAATACACTGACTTTAGATGAGTTAATGAAGGTGGGGCCTCCATGATGGGATTACTGCCCTTATAAGAGGAAGAGACAGCAGAGGGCGGCCATTTGCAAGCCAGAAAAAAGCCCTCACAAGAACCCAACCATGCTGGCACTCCAATCACAGAACTTTAGCCTCCAAAACCGTGAAAAATAAATTTCTACTGTTTAATCCATCCAATCTATGGTATTTTGTTATGGCAGCCCAAGCAGACTAAGACAAAAGGAGAAGTAAAATGCACATACTTTGGACTATCTTTAGAAGTACCATTTGGCTAAAGGAAAAAGTTTCTCATAGGCAATTAATAAAAACCTATTTATTATCACTGATGCCCAAGTACTAGAAGAACAACAGCTGTTTTAGAATTGGCCACAGCCTCATGAATGTGGGCTAATCATTTTTAAAGCTTGCTTAAACATTAGCGATGAGGATACAGATATAGCATAGTTGTTATAAGCATGGGATCTGGAATTGGAGAGACTTTCTGAACTTCTTCTTAGCTGTGTGATCTCTATCTGTGAAATGAAGAAAATACGGTTGCCTAACTGGGTTGTTAATGATGATTAAATAATAATTATCATACAAAGCCCTTAACACTGTTCCTGGAACATAAAGTGTGCTTAAGAAATTGAAAATAATATTGCTTAGGGATATTTCAAGTTAGTACAGACACATCCAGTGGCATTTCAAAAAAGGAAATCAATTTGCTTATGGCCAAGGTAAATTCAAGTAATTGGTTTAGACAAAGCTCACCCTTGGTCAATGGGAAGTATAGAAAATATATCTCTGGGCACTGAATTATTGTTTATCAGTGGCTTTCCCTGACACCTTTATGTTCCACAAGTTCTTCCTAGTTGAAAGTAGAGTCAAAGCGGCCATGTCCTCTAAAGAAAGTGGCCACGTTAACAAGTATTTGATTCCATTTGGAGCTCTGGGGTATAAAAATGCACAGAAAATGGCTCCAGAACCTCAAAATGCATGAAAATTGTCATAAAGATTGATTTTATTACATTCAATTTAAGAGACTGTGAAAGGAATATTTTTTTCTTAACATGGACCAGGCCAGAATATCAACATTGAATACCTAGACTCTAAACATTTAAAAATTGAGCTATTTTTCTAAACCTTCCGAAATGTGCAGTTTTCTCTTAAGTTAAAAGAAAAGGTGGAAAGTGCCAAATAATCTCAGATGGGCCATTATTCAAGTCCTCAGGGACGATTTTAACTTATAAGGATAAAACACCTGCAAACAGAAAATCATGCATTACAGAAAATGAAGCCTTTTGTATATGCAGCTGTGATTTACATCTACACCAATGTCTAAATATAAGAAACTGATGTACTTTCTTACTTTTTAAAGCTTCTAGTACTTTTAGGAAACTCATGCAGCAATTTCTTGCGATATTCTATCAATAATTCATGTAATCGATCTTCTTTCCTTTCACTTTCTTCAATGGTTTTTGTGGTTAGTTCTAAGAGCTCAGTGTTGGTCTGGAAAAGGCGGCAGGCATAGCATGTGGATTTAGCTGTCTCCATCTTGTCCCCAGTGAGCACCCAGACTTTCAGGCCTGCTGCATGCAGAGCTTCAATGGTCTCTGCAGCTTGATCTTGTAGCCTGGGAACACAAAAGAAACCTTGTGATCTTCTAAAACTCCTGACAAAGATTCTACAGGAAGGCTTATTAAAGAGAATATTTTTATAATTCACAGCAATTCTAGAGTCCTGACACCTTATCACGGTTGACTTTCATATACATCCCCTACTCATTCTGAGTGTTGTCTCGGGCATAATTTTACTTATTAAAGCAAATTTCAAACAATGAGGTTCTGAAAAGTTTGTGACACCTTGGGTAACTGGTATCCAATGGCAGAATTGAGTATCATCATTCTAAGCTAAAATGTTCAGAAACATTTGTACTCAATGTCACTTTAGCATGTTTCATTTTATATCTAACCATACCAATTAACATCACTTAACATCATTCAAAGTATAAAGGTCCAAACATTCTAATCAGATGATGAGGGAAATTAGTGAATCCCTATCCTTGAGGAGCTTTAAGAACAGGAACATGGGTTTTCAAGGTGGCTGACTAGGGACATCAAATGCCAGTTGTCCTCATAAAAAAGATCAAAGTTACTGGTGAATGGACATCTTCTGAACTGAAAACTGTGGGAAGAGAGCCAGGACCTGTTGGAGAGCCCACAAGAGAAAGCTGGGATACAGAAAAGGGAAGAAGCGAGAGTCTGGCAGAGACTGTCCCTTAAGGAACTCAAAGCCCCATGTAAAGGGTAGGTGGAAATGCTTCTCTGCTTCCCTCACCTTGTGGCAATCTCCTGATCATCAAACTGCTGGGGAACCCCTCTGCCCTCCTTACCTAGGGCAATGCCATCAGTGGCGATATAGGAGCTTCCCAGGGACAGAGATCCAGGTGGCCAGCTCATGCAGGCATGTCAGTACTCCCCTCAGACCCAAACTTAGAGGGCAGGAACCACTGTGTTTGTGCTGCTGTAGTGGGCCAATGCCCTACCTAGGGGAATCTCTGCCCTTGAGTTATCATACCATCAGATTCCCTGCAAATATACTCCAACCCGCTCTGACTTTGGCAAGCTCATGGGGATCAGTGAGTCCCCAGGGAGCTATGGGATCCCTGGAGATCTATCCCTCGGCATGGACTGCCCCTAAGGGGGAGGTAAGCACAGCCTGCTAAGGGCCCTCCTGGGACAAAAGAAATGTGGGCACAGTGACAATCACTGAAGGGGGTAGCACTGAGGGCCAGGAACAGTCATGGAGAGGGGTCATTTCCCACTGTGTCCACCCCCTGTACACTGTTGTTGATGCAGCCAGCAGCAGTTCTTCCCAGTGGATGGTAGCGCATATGTACCTGGAGAAACTTTTCACCTTTTTCGCAGTGGCTCTACCCCTGCTGAAAACGAGCTCAGGCCAATTGGGCTTTCACAAAGGGTGGGGCCCAACTCCAACTCCCTACACAGAGCAGCAGCATCCCAGCAACAGACAGGTAAGCTGCAGAGTTGTCTGCTCTGAACTTGGGGGAAAGGCTCGGCCAAAGCCCATTTTGGTGGCAACCATCAGAGAGATGTATCCATGGTCTGCAGCCACAATGTAACCAGGAACCAAAGGATAAAGTCTATACAAACTGAAGATTGTGAGCCCTACGACAGGGGCATAATGGAGAAGCGGATCATCTTCCTACCTGCACAGGATGAGGAGCTGGTGCACCCCTCCTTGTTCCTTTCCCCAAGACCCAGCATACCCCAACCTGATCTCCAACCCCTGCCACCATCCTTCCCTCAGGGTAGGTGCTTCCACTCATCATCTCCCAGAGGGAGAACTGACTCTTACTCTTAAACTCCATCTACCAGACTGAAGCCTGAACTGCACCACCAAATAAATAACTTGCTGCCAGAAGGGCTTAGTGCTAGTACACATGCTAAGCTTTCTGACACCTCCACACCCTTAGCCCTGCGGGAGGCAGTGTGTCAGCCCTTGCATCCAATACATCACTACAGCAAACAGCATCTGAGAAAGCCACTGCACTGAAGCTATCCACAACCAAGGAAACCATATAGAGCCTTGCCCCGTCGAAAGCACCCAGAAACAAAGCCAAACAATCATACACAACATATACCACAGTCATATCCTCAAGGGAAAAAAGAATTAAAAAATAAAAAATGTCTCATCCAAACTACAGCAAATTCAAAAATAAGAAGCAACAGATCCCTCAGATGAGAAGGAATCAGTGTAAGAACTCTGGCGGTACAAAAAGCTGGGGTGTCTTGACACACACAAAGGATTGTACTACCTCTGTAATAATACAGGCTAACCAGAATGAAAAGTCTGAAATGACAGATAAGGAATTCAAAATATGGATTGCAAGGCAACTCAACGAGATCCAAGAGAAAGTTGAAACTCAACACAAAGAAACCAGAAAAATGATTCAGGATATGAAAGATAAGGATAGCTATAATAAAACAAACCAATTAGAACACCTGGAATTGAAAAATTCACTACAGCAATTTCAAAATACAGCTGGAAGCTGTAACAATAGACTAGACCAAGCAGAAGAAAGAATTGCAGAGCTTGAAGAACAGTCTTTCAAATTAATCCAGTCAGATAAAAAAAAAAAAATTTCAACATGAGCAAAGTCTTTGAGAAATATGGGATTATGTAAAGCAACAAAATCTGTAACTTCTTGGCATTTCTGAGAGAAAAGAAGAAAAAAAGGCAACATGTAAAATATATTTGGGGAATAATTCAGGAAAATTTCTTGAACCTTGCTAGAGGTCAACATCCAGATACAAGAAATTCAGAGAACAACTGTGATATGCTACACAAGATGACCATCACCAAGGCATATAGTCATCAGACTACCCAAGGTTAACAAGAAAAAAAAAATCTTAAAGGCAGCTAGATAAAAAGGACAAATTACCTATAAATGAAATCCCATCAGACTAATAGTGAATTTCTCAGCAGAAATCTTAGAAGCCAGAAGATTGGGGATGTAGTTTGGCCTTTTTTTTTTTAAGAGAGAAAAATCTCAATCTGTCACCTAAAGTGTAGCAGTGGTGCAGTCATGGCTCACTGTAACTTCTGGGCTCAAGCAATCCTCCCACCTCAGCCTCCCAAGCAGCTGAGACTACAAGCACGTGTCACCATGCTTACTTATCTAAAAAAAATTTCTGTAGAGATGGAGTCTCGCTATGCTGCCCAGGCTGGCTGTGAGCTCCCAGGCTCAAGTGTTCCTCCCACCTCAACCTTTCAAAGCACTGGATTACAGGTATAAGCCACCATACCTGGCCTTTAGACTTCCTAAAGAAAAACAACTGCAGCCAATAATTCTATATCCTGCTAAACTAAGCTTCTTAAATTAAGGAAAAATAAAGTTTTTCCCAGACAAGCAAATGCTATGGGAATCTGTCACCACCAAACCTATCCTATAAGAAATGCTTAAAGGAGCTCTAAACACAGAAACAAACGGATGATATTTGCTACTATAAAAGCATATGTTAGTAGAAAGTTAACAGATCCTATAAAGCAATTATATACTTGAGACTACCAAAACAACTAGCTAACAACACTAAGGCAGGAACAAAACCTCACATATCAATATTAACCTTGAATGTAAATGGCCTAAATGCTCCACTTAAAAGACATAGATTGCCGCAATGAATACAAAAATACCATCTGTTAGACAGGGCGTGGTGGCTCACACCTGTAATCCTAGCACTTAAGGAAGCTGAGGCAGGAGGATCACCTGACGTCATGAGTTCGAGACCAGCCTGGCCAACATGGTGAAACCCCGTCTCTACTAAAACTACAAAAATTAGCTGAGTGTGGTGGCAGGCAACCCGTAGTCCCAGCTACTCAGGAGGCTGAGGCAGGAGAATGGTTTGAACCCAGGAGGCGAAGTTGCAGTGAGCCAGGATTGCGCCGCTGCACTCTAGCCTGGGCAACAGAGTGAGACTCTGTCTCAAAAACTTCAACAGACCCATCTCAGGCGTAATGATGACCACAAGCTAAATCTAAAGGGATGGAGAAAGATCTATCATGCAAATAGAAGACAAAAAGGAGCAGGGTTTGATCTTCCTATATCAGATAAAACAGGCTTTAAACCAACAACAGTAAATAAAAAGACAAAGCGGGAATTACATAATGAAAAGGGATTCAATTCAACAAGATTTAACTAGCCTAAATATATACAGACCCAACATCAGAGTGCCCAGATTGATAAAACAATCATCCCTAGACCTAAGGAAAGAGACAGAGAGCCATACAATATTGGGGGATTTTAAGACCCCAATGATAGCACAAGACAGATTATCGAGGCAGAAAACTAACAAAGAAACTCTGGACTTAAATTGGACTCTTGACCAAATGGACCTAATAGACATTTACAAAACACTCTACTCAACAACTGCGGAACATACATTTTTCTCATCTGTGCATGAACATTCTCTAAAATTGATCACATGCTTGGTCATAAAGCAAGTCTCCTGAAATTCAAAACTCAAAATCATACAGAAGCATCTTCTCAGAACAGAGTGAAATAAAATTAGAAATCAATACCAAGGGGAACTCTCAAGACCACATCAGTACATATAAACTGAACAACTTGCTCCTGAATAACTTTTGAGTAAACAATGAAATTAAGGCAGAAACCAAAAAACAATTTTGAAACCAAAGAAAATAGAGACACAATATACCAAAAATTATGGGATATGTCAAAAAGCAGTGTTAAGAGGAAAGTTTATAGCACTAATTGCCTACATCAAAAAGGCAGAAAAATCTCAAATGAACAACCTAATGTCACACCTAAAGGAACTAGAAAAACAAAAACAAACCAGACCCAAAGCTAACAGAGGAGTAACAAAGATTGTAGCAGAACTAAAGTAAATTGAGACCAAAAAAATCATACAAAGGATCAATGAAACAAAAATGAAAAACAAACAGACCAGTAGCTAAATTAACAAAGAAAAAGAGAGGATTAAAATAAGCACAATCAGAAATGACAAAGGTGACATCACAACTGATACCACAGAAATACAAAAGATCCTCAGAGACTATTATGAACATATCTACGAGCACAAACTGGAAAACACAAACAAAATGGATAAATTCCTGGAAACATACAACCTCCCAACATTGAACCAGAAGGAAAAAGAAACCCTAAACAAGCTATGAAACTGAATCAGTAATAACGAATCTACTAATCAAAAAAACCCAGGACCAGAGAGATTAACAGCAGAATTCTATCAGATGTATATAAAGAAGAGTTGGTACCAATCTTATTAAAACTACTCCAAGAAAAATCAGTGAGGTGAGATTCCTCCATAACTCATTCTACAAAACTAGTATCATCCTAAAATAAAAATTTGGCAAGGACACAATAAAAAAAGAAAACTATAGGCCATTATTCATGATGAACATAGATGTAAAAATCCTCAACAAAATACTAGCAAACTGAAACCAGCAGCACATCAGAAAGATAACTCATCATGATCAAACGGGTTTTATTCCTGGGATGCAAGGACGGCTTAACATATGCAAATCAATAAATGTAATTCACCACGTACGTAAAATTAAAACAAAAATTATATGATCATCCCAATAGATGCAGAAAAAATATTCAATAAAATTTGACATACCTTGATGATAAAAAAAAAAAACCCTGAGAACAAACTAGGCATCAAAGAAACATACCTCAAAATAATAAGAACCCTACATGCAAACCCACAGCCAACACCATACTCAATGTGCAAAAGTTGAATGCATTTCCCCTAAAAACTGGAACAAGACAGGGATATCCACTCTTACCACTCCTATTTAACAGAGTACTGGAAGTCCTAGCCAGAGCAATCAGGCAAGATTGCTGGAATACTACGCAGCCATAAGAAAAGTAAAATCGTGTCCTTTGCAGTAACATGGATGCAGCTGGAGGCCACTATCCTAAGTGAAATAACTCAGAGGCAGAAAATCAAATACCACATGTTCTTACTTATAAGTGGGAGCTAATAAATAAGTACACATGGACATAAAAATGGAAATAACAGACAATGGGGACTCCAAAAGGGGGAAGACGGGAGGGGAGTGAGGGTTGAAAAACCACCCATTGAGTATTATGTTAATATCTTAGGTGATGGGATCAATGGAAGCCCAAACCCCAGCATTACACAATATAACCACATAACGAACCTGCACATGTACTACCTGAATGTATAACCCCGACCCACCCTCCAAAAAAAGAGGAACGCCAATCATCCTGAATGTGAATTTAATTATAATTCTTAAAGACGACAAGAGAAAAACGATACTTTCCTCTGGGTTTCTTTTGGCCACAGAATAACAATGAAATTAGACTAAAGGAATTTCATTAGAGTTTCAATACCTTTTAACGTGACTAAACATATGTTTGTAACTTTTTAATTCTCATAATTTTCATATATAATATTTAGAAAATTCTAAAAATATTAAGAATTTAAAACTTATTATTTCAAGCAGATCAATGGCAGTGTCCTGCAATCAAGTCTGAAAAAGGTCAGCCTGTAAGTTAAAAGCATATTATTTTAAAGTATGCAGGCCAGGCACGGCGGCTCATGCCTGTAATCCCAACACTTTCGGAGGTCAAGACAGAAGCTTATTTGAGGCCAGCAGTTCAAGACCAGCCTGGCCAACATGGCGAAACCCCGCCTCTACTAAAAATATGCAAATTAGCTGGGTGTGGTGGCATATGCCTGTAATTCCAGCTAGCTACCCCGGTGGCTGAGGTGTGAGAATCACTTGAACCCAGAAGGCAGAGGTTGCAGTGAGCCGAGATTGTGCCACTGCACTCCAGCCTGGGCGACAGAGCAAGACTCTGTCTCAAAAATAAATAAATAAATAAAAATAAAAATAAAATAAAATAAAGCATGCAAAAACATACTCTGGTCTGTTGAACCAGGTTAGATTAAGCTCTCATGTTGTTCACTCTACCTTAAATTTCCTTTCAGCTCACCTATCTCTGAAAATCTTACCCCTTTGTCTAGGCACCAGCTCAAACAATGGCTGTAGTACCCTTCCCTAAACATGTCAAGACTATTTGATAATATGTGCATAAATATATGGATAGCTTAGTAAATATTCAAAAGACCTGAGTGAAAACTGATTCATTCTTCTAGGTTACATGAATTTACCTTAAAAATCATTCCTACTGGCTGGGTGTGGTGGCTCACGCCTGTAATCCTAGCACTTTGGGAGGCTGAGGCGGACAGATCACGAGGTCAGGAGATCGAAACCATCCTGGCTAACACAGTGAAACCCCATCTCTACTAAAAATACAAAAAAATTAGCCGGGCGTGGTGGTGGGCACCTGTAGTCCCAGCTACCCTGGAGGCTGGGGCAGGAGAACGGCGTGAACCTGGGAGGTGGAGCTGGCAGTGAGCCAAGACCGCGCCACTGCACTCCAGCCTGGGCGACAGAGCGAGACTCTGTCTCAAAAAAAAAAAAATTAATTAAAAAATTAAAAAAAAATCATTCCTACTAACAGCTCAAAATCTGGTGTAATTTTTCATACTTGCTATAATAAATAAATCTTTAAGTCCACTTAAACAATAAAACTAAAGATTTCAAACTTCGAGATTAAATTACTAATCTGGGGCAGATCACACCCAAAACACTGGTCATTAAAATAATAAGAGTATCATTTTCTAGTTACTTGTCTTCAACTGCAGTGGCTCCAATTAAATTCATGTTTGTCTCAATATCATCGAAAACTTTTTCCATTTTTTCTTCTCTGTCTTGTAAGGCCATTTTTGCCTCTATGAGCTGTCTGTTAATTCTTTCATAATCATCTGGAGCAATTTCTTTGAAGGCTACACAGAGTGTCCGATACCCATCCTAGGAGTAAAGTAGGAGATCTGTAGTTATTCTAATAATAGTTGGAAAAAAAAAAAAACACACTCTGTAAATACTCTTGCTTTAGCCATATGGACAAGAGAAATTCTGACACATATTTAGTCTGAAAAAATGAAGAAATTACAACTGAAAAGGTAACATTCAATTAGGTTCAGAAAAAGGAAGTAACAGTTCTTTTAACAAAGGTTGTTGAAAAGTCTTTTAAGGCTGCAAATTCTGACCTGAAACTTGCTCCAGGAAAATGTTTTATATTAAGATAAAAAAAAGTAATATTATCAAATCCCCAAATACAAAACATAGACCACAAAAATAAGCTAAAATGTATTTAAACTGTCATTTAAACAGAAATCCAATAAACATAGTCATTTTCAACATTTCTCTGCTTACTTATTGGTGGGGGAAGGAGTATAGGCTCACCATTGCATTACGTTCCACATGGACTTTAGTTAACTCAATTTCATGATTTTGCACTCTGGGAAAAACTGCCGAGTCTGCTCCTTTACAAAAGAGAAGTATGTCTCCTAAAATAAAGAACCATAGTACTTGACTTAGAATTTTAAGGCTGGTATTGTGGTTTTAGTAAGAGTAACTTTTAAAGCGGTCTCTCTCACCCAAGTGTTGTATATTCTGAGCACACCTTGCAATACTCACCTAAATGGAATGAGAAATCTTGGCCTTCAGTCTGTCAGAAAGGCATGTACCACCTCTTCAAGGTCATTATGAACACAATTAATAAGCCAGAGTTTACAATAGGCACCTCTGTTAAAATATACTTCCTCCCACCAATTCATGGAGGGCTGGGCTTGTGTCAAGGAGCTGCATCTGAATTTCTTCTGAAAATGTATGCCAGGTGCAGTGGCTCATGCCTGTAATCCCAGCATTGTGGGAGGCTGAAGTGGGAGGATCACTTAAGCTCAGGAGTTCAAGACCAGCCTGGGCAACACAGGGAGACCCTGACTCTACTAAAAATTAAAAAATTAGCCAGGCATGGTGGTACACACCTATAGACCCAACTACGCTGGATGCTGAGGTGGAAGGATTGCTTGAGCCCAGGATGTCAAGGCTGCAGTGAGCTATAATCTTGCCACTCCAGCCTAGATGACAGAGTAATACCGTGTCTTAAAAAAAAAAAAATGCAGTGAAGCCATGGCCTAGAGCACACATATGGCATCTACAGATGTCAAGAAGAAAGCTCAAGCTCAAACAAGCTGAAATAATTTTGAATAAACTATATTAACTAGCTTCTAAAACAATGGCTTGATAGTTTTTACTGATGAGAATAGCTTTGTAGAATGCTGGTATAATTGCAGCTTTAGATCACTTCACACACCCAGGAAATATTCACAGTTGTGCACTAAGACAGACACTTTATCCTTATAAGGGAAACAACCGAGGTCAACAAATTAAAAAGTGTAGCTCTGAGGTCAATGACCTTTGTAGACCAGTTCCACAGACATTTCACCATTTGCTGTAGAACATGTGGACATGCACACATAAGAATAGCAAGTATTTGAAATGTTGTGTTTTTTTTTTCATTTATTCTTACACATCCAAAGTGTATTTTAAAATTCACAAAACAAACTCCATGGTCACTTATTAAAATCAATTTCATGACTTTGCAATCACACCACAAAGTATGAATTAAGTGGGATATGTTCCCCCAAGGATCTGTCTGTATCCTCCCATTCTGACATTAAGGAATTTAGAAAATTTAATAGTAAAACGTAAATTACTGGGAAATAAATCAAAAATTTTTAGAAAACAAACCACCTCGGCACACCACACACACACGTATCTGAGAGCCTTCGAATAAAGCAGGATTGCTCGCCCATGGGTCTTGCAGAATCTGAGCAGAAGGCAAACCACCATGGTGCCTCCAAAGACATGAGGGAGCCCAGGATTACAGTACCAGTTCCCCTGCAAAGGGCAAGCTTTACTCTGCTCAACAAAGAACCTGAGCTCTGGAGTGAAACTGCAATGCCATTTCCCAGAAACCAGGCCCTTAGTCCTCTCTACCTCACCTGTTTCCAGGGAGTGTCAAGCAGTAGGGGAACCAGGAAGGTCAGTGAGGGATAACAAGCAACTCCCTATACTCAAGGATTCTGCTGCTAGTAATCCCAAACCATCCAACTATGCTGGGTGGCTGCATGTAAACATTACTGGTAGACTGGTCAGTACCCTGAACCATATAAAAGTCATCCTTTCAGTTCCTGTTCGAACACCCAAGGCAGAGGGATATGGTTCTGCTACCAAGAAAAGGCACACCCTGTCATAACAAGGGTTCTGTCACTAACAATTTGGTAAACAGAACATCTGTGCTTAAAAAAATACATGAAAGCATATGCAAAAGCTACTGCTTTGCATGACTTTCACTAATCCTACACTACTACATGAAATGATTCTCTTTCCTGAAAGAGTGAATCAACCAATAAGCCTACAAATCAACAAAGAGAAAAATTCAAGCTTTTCAGACATGTACCTTCTTGAGTCTTCACAATTACACTCATACGTCGCCGGACAGCATCAAAGTTTAAGGTGTGAAGAAGTTCATATCTTTAAGAGAAATGAGCAAAGTAAAAAACCTAGAATATACTGAGAAAAATAAAGCACAACAGAAATATGTTAAGATATTTAAACATCTTAAATCAACAGATAGCACTGGTTGTGTGCACAACTGGTACTTTCCTTTGTCTCAGAATTTCTCTGAACATAGAACATGCTGTCAGAGGACACCAGTGTTAGTTAAGGGGTATTTATAGCCCCTCAGTATATTACTTAAAATGGTAAGGAGAATGACCACATAAAAATGGAAGATAAAGAGCTGTCCCACCAAGCCATATTTGGAGGGGTCTAGAAACAGTCCCAC
Organism: Homo sapiens; assembly: GCF_000001405.40. Taxonomy (NCBI): domain Eukaryota; kingdom Metazoa; phylum Chordata; class Mammalia; order Primates; family Hominidae; genus Homo; species Homo sapiens. The sequence continues at coordinate 139,785,613 of NC_000023.11, forward strand.
TCTGCCAATTATTTTAGCAGCATTTATGTATGGAGTGCCAGGCACAGTGCTAGGTGCTGGGGAATAGAGGTGAATCTGCCTGAGTCCCTTCCCTTATGCGGGTCACCATATGATAAGGGAGACAGAGCATAATGAGATAACTACCCTTCTAGTTTCTCAAATACTGTAATAAAGGCACTTACAGGGAAGATATAAGAACACAGAAGGAAGTCATCTGAAAGGAGGTTTCCTGGAAGAGGACATGCCTGAGCTGGGTTCTGCAAGGGTAATATGATGAAGAAAGGGGGCCATGGCATTCTGAGTAGAGGGAATGAGCACGGCAGCATGAGAGCACATGGCCCATGGAAGACTTTAAGTAGTTCACCAATGCCCAAAAAACTCATCAATAGGGGAATAGTAAGAGATAAAGCAAGAAAGGTAAGCAGGGGCTGGAAACACATCTTTGTGAGCCATTTCTGGAATTTGGGATTGTATTGTAAGAGCAAAAGAAAGCCAATAAAAGGGTTTAAACAGTGGAATGACATGATGAGACTGGTCAAATGTGTGTGTGGATGGCTGAACTAATCAATGGAGAGACACAGAAGAGTTAAAATAAGAGTTGGTTATTAGAAAAAGTGAGAGGAAATATTTCCTTGAAAATAAACAACTAGTATTTTTTAAAAAAAGTATTTACTACATAGCTTGTTTTGGTGGGAGTGAGGGGGTCATTAGTCTTGCGGGAGTATATGTATAAGACATCTAACATGGCATCTGGTTTGCTGTTGGCCAGATGTGGGCACTGTTGCAGATGGGCTAGAATCTAAACTCTGACAATGACCCTGGGTCCCTGTCAGTCAGACCAAGAACCTTCCTCTGGGCTTCTATGAATCTCTCTCCAAAAGGGTGCATTACCCAAGTACCTGTAAACATATTACAGGTTTCTGAGATGGGTCTCAGGAGATCCTAGGGGCCAGAATGAAAGTCAGATAACATAATTATATTTCAAGTTCAGATGAGGAAATTCAAATTAATCACAGAGCCTAATTAAAATCCACCATTAAGATAAGGTGGCTTTGTTCATTAGGGTCTTTGTGGCAAAAGAGGAAATGTGAAGACACTGGAGCATCAGAGTACTTGCCCCGAGGCTCACACCTGAACATTCCGAACCAAACAAGGCTTCTGGTTTACAGCAAAGCTGCCTTTATTGCCTGGGCTTGCAATCCCAGAGTGATTGCTTGGACACTAGATAGCAGAAGGTTTCACATATATTCACTGATTTTTCCTGTAGCATGTGTTAGAGACCTGAAATGGCATCTAAATTTGAGAAACATTCCAGGCAAACTCTCATTCTGGCTACTGGACCCAGATGTGAACCAGATTGGAATTTCCACCTCAAACTCCAGTTTCTGCAATTCTATGTAACATGGCTTCTACCCCAACTATATTTACATAAAACTCTGAACTGGGAGAGCAGGGTCCTGTATTTTTAGTGGCATCATTTCCTTTGCTGCCCTGCCTGAATCCACTTAAATTTGACTATGGGGTTAAGAAATGACAAACATCAAACACAGAGCTACTTACTCTTCTATTTCTTTTCTTTGGTTCTCTACTCTCATATATCCATTTCGATTTCCTAAAAATGTGAACCCGTACCTATCAAAAACAATAAAAAAGACCTTGTGTATCTCTAAAGAATGATTAATTTTTTTATTATTATTTTTTTTGAGACAGAGTCTCGCTCTGTTGCCCAGGCTGGAGTGCAGTGGCGCGATCTCGGCTCACTGCAACCTTCACCTCCCAGTTTCAAGCGATTCTCCTGCCTCAACCTCCTGAGTAGCTGAGATTACAGGTGTGTGTCACCACACCCGGCTGATTTTTGTATTTTTAGTAGAGACAGAGTTTCACCATGTTGGCCAGGCTGGTCTTGAACTCCTGACCTCAGGTGATCCACCCGCCTTGGCCTCCCAAAGTGCTGGGATTACAGGCGTGAGCCACCGCACCTGGTCTAGAATGATTACTTTCAATGGGGTAACTCATGCTTGTTTATGCTTTTCTTCTCTTTCATATGATCTCAACATATAACTGTACTTTCTTTTCCTGGATAAGTTGATAACAGAGAAAGTCAATGCCCAGCCACAATTATTGTAACCAAGGGAGAGACAATTTGGGTTTCTGATTCTACGGCTAACACACTGGGTGACCTTTGAGCCACTTAATTATCTTGAACCTCATGGGTAAAACTGGACTTTCGGTTCTCAAATGATGTCAAAATTGCTGGGAGCACCTCAGAAATAACATGTGTTGTACAAAAAGTGGCCACTGTTATGTTATTTGCAAAACATAGTATGAACATTCAGACTTCTGGCTGGCATGCATAAATAGTAAGGCAAGTAATACCTACCTGTAACTATTTTCTTTTTAGTCTTAACTGGTTAGGTGTGGGAATTTTCCACAAATTTTTGGCTAAAGCAGTTGTGTTTTTTATTAAATAATAGGAGATGTATGTGCTAAGGTCACTGAAGCAAACGGAAAAAAACAAATAACTTCTGTCCTCCTGTGATTTCACTTTCTTAGGAGAAGTATAAGAAAGTATACTTTACCTTTTAGCTCCTTTCACCAAAGCTATTTCATCTGGTGAAGAGGAGATATAGGTTAATTCAGCTGATTCTGTAGCTCCATCAACAGCATCGTTTGTTTTGATTTCTACAGTATGACATAAACACAAGGCACGTAGAAACAGCTCTTCTCGATTCTGTGGAACAGCAACAAAATAATGATTATTATTTTTAATTTGATCACCCGGTAACTAGGCAGTGAACGGAGAAAATATATTAATGTGAGAGAATGTTGTAACTTCTAACAAACTTAGTAGCAGATACGTATAAATTCTTAACACTCAAATCTGCTATATATTCTCCTAGTACCTAATAAGAGTTCCTGGTTCTCAGCTAGCATACCCTATAGGCTGTGTTAACTCATTAAGGTTATTGTGGCACCACCTAAGCCAAAGCAGTGACTTCTTCATGGCCTAAAAAACTTCATTCAGTATCTAATTCACAATCTAGCAATAGCTCAAGTGTAGGGAGACTCTGGTTAATTTAATGCCTAGACACTCCTGAGACTTTAATCATTTGAACAGACATCATTCTTGGAGGAGCTTACATTTTAAAAGACAAAGCACAAAAAATTATGATCATACAGACAAGCAAGCTTTTACCCAAATGTCATTTCCCACAATTCTCTTTACTTGTAAATTCTACTCATTTACAAATTTCAGAAGTGTCAGTAAAACAAGAAAGGTGAATCCAACAATAGTTATTCTAAAGTCACTGGGCACAGTGGCTCATGCCTGTAATCCCAGCACTTTGGGGGACGGAGGGTGGTGGATTACCTGAGGTCAGGAGTTTGAGACCAGCCTGACCAACATGGTGAAACTCCGTTTCTACTAAAAATACAAAAAAATTAGCCAGGCATGGTGGCAGGCGCCTGTAATCCCAGCTACTCGGGAGGCTGAGGCAGGAGAATCGCTTGAACCTGGGAAGCGGAGGTTGCAGTGAGCTGAGATCATGCCACCGTACTCCAGCCTGGGCAACAGAGTGAGACTCCATCTCAAAAAAAAAAAACAAAAACACAAAAGTCTATGTCATGTGTCCACCTAAAAATTATTTTCTACTATGGAATGTTAACATGCATACACAGATTGGTTTCTTATATAAAACAATAATGCAAATGCACCTTATCTACTTTGTCAAAATATGTTAAAGTTCCATCAGTTTGAGATAATCCATCAACCTCTTGAGTTACACCTTTATATTTGTGGCCATCTATGCAGCATTCAATGAATTCCATGCTGTTTTCAGTGAGTGTTCCAGTCTTATCTGTAAATACATAATCCACCTAAAACAAGGACACAAACATATATTGTTAGTTTCTTCAGTGTGACTAATTTTTAGTTTGCTGTAACGCAAAGCTATTTTCATATCCATAGGAAATCACCCCTTCTAAGACTTCTTGTCAAATGTCAGGGAATTACAGAGACAATATTACCAAAGAAATGAGGAATAAATGAGTATTTTTAAAGACACCAAAATGCTATCACATGTCTAAGGTAGATCTACTCAAATGTAAAAGATGAATAGAAAAAAATGTGACTATTGGCCAGGCACGGTGGCTTATGCCTGTAGTCCCAGCACTTTGGGAGGCTGAGGCAGGAGGATTGCTTGAGCTCAGGAGTTCAAGACCAGCCTGGCCAACATGGTGAAACCCCGTCTCTACTAGAAATACAAAAATTAGCTGGGTGTGGTGGCACACACCTGAAATCCCAGCTACTTGGGAGGCTGAGGCACAAGAATTGCTTGAATCCAGGAGACAAAGGTTGCAGTGAGCTGAGATCACATCACTATACTCCAACCTGGGTGATAGAGTGAGACTCTGTCTCAGGAAAAAAAAAAAAAAGTGACTATTTTATCAAACTAAGAACGCTTCTCATTTAAGTTAACCTTTTTTAAGATAGGGTCTCACTCTGTCACTCAGGCTGGAATGCAGTAGCCATTATAGCTCACTATAACCTCAAACTTCTTGGCTCAAGCAATCCTCCCACCTCAGCCTCCCAAGTAGCTGGGACCACAGGCACGCACCACCACACCAGGCTAATTATTCTGTAATTTTTGTAGAGACAGCATCTCACTATGTTGCCCAGGCTGGTCCCATACTCCTGGGCTCAAGCCTTGGCCTCCCAAAGTGTTGGGATTATAGGCATGAGCCACCATGCCCAGCCAGTTAACCTGTTTGATGTAAAGAAGTTACATAAGTCAATTTTTCAAGTGGGAAGTAAGACTATACTGACCACTTATTTCTCTCTCTCTCTCTCACTCACACACACACACACACACACACACACACACACTCTTACACTTTGTGGGCTAGTACGTACATTACCCATTAAAAATTTTTTCCCAATAAATTAAATGGGATGTAACAAAATAAAACAGAAACTGATGAAGGTTTTTTTCCCCTTTTAAAAGTAAAATTTTCTATAAAAATACTGAATTAAAATAAAATGCACCACATCATATAATATACATAAGAATTAATAACAACATTAACAGTTACCTAATTGGAAGATACAGTATAGGTCAGTAGTGATCAAAACCATAACTGAAATTTCTTTCTTTTTACTATACATATTTTGAAAATACTCAAGTTTCCAAATTTAGAAAAAAAGCAGATAAAGTATAACACAAGTATATTTTCATAAATAATGGAAAATATAAGCCAAGAAATAAATTTGCCACTAAGATAAATCATTTTGAGCATTTCTATTTTATCTCGGTTTTTATCTCTTCTATTTTTAACATCTGGCTTTTGGAAACCCACAATTTTATCCTCGTTTTGGCAATTTATGCTTAAATAGTTAAAATTATGGGCTGATAGGAACAAGCATAAGGACAAGATTAAGGTTTTTATTATGTAAGGGAGAAAGAGATGAACTACAGCAGTAGTTGCTTTCTAATTATTTTTCAAAGCTTTTCACGGTAGCAGCACTGGCACAAATATAGCATTCCAATCTTTTTTTTTTTCTGTTAAGCCAGCCAAGTTTGAACTCTCTCTTTAAATTAATCCAAGTGGTATTACTTGTGTATCATTTAGATTCTTCCAGTTTAAATGAAATTCTTTGGGGCTTTTTTCTGATCAAAATTATTAACCTTCATTTTTCCCTGAAGGGTGTCCTGGATTATTTCATCTCCTGCACTTGGATGAGCATTAGAATCTCTTTTGTTAGTGTCAAAGATGGTAGCTTTAAAATATAAAGTACAATTTATTCACCTATTTCAAACAGTTTGGGCAGTATGAATCTGGATACGTTGAATCTCACAGGTATATGCCTATAAATTATACCCAAATGCAGTAATTATCAAACTGTAGAATGCATCACATGTACTTGGAGGTCTTGTTAAAACTCAGATCACTGCTCTATCACCAGAGTTTCTGAATCAGTCGGTCAGAGGTAGGACCAAATAATTTACACTTCTAAGTTCTCAGGTAGTGTTGATGCTGCTGGTCCTAGGATCATATTTACAGAACCACCGCCCTAATATATGATCTATACTCAGAAAAAGAAGAGGAGTAGATCGACTGTAATTAATTTAACTATTCTCATATTTAACAGAGACAAAGGAATGAAGGGGGAGGCTGCTGCTTTACTCTGACTCTCAAGCAGCCTCTCTTCTTCTTCAAGCTTGCCAAAAAGACTCCTCTGTATCAGTAAGCTCAAAGCCATCATTTGCGTGATATTGTAAAATATATTTGATAAATATATATTTGATCTTCCTTCCTGTTTCCTGACATAAAGCTCCTAAAGCCTTAGTATCTCCAAAGTGATAACAGTGTTTTTGCATGCTAATGAGATGACAAGTGGTTCGGGGCCCCTAGATAGCTTCAGGATGAGTGCAGGTCACTGGAAAGACCAAGGCATGATTACAGGGTTGGGATTTTCAGCCCCACACCTGACCTGGGGAAGGAGGAAAGAGGGGCTGAAGGTTAAGCTTAACACCAGTGGCCAATGATTTAATCAATCATCCCCACATAATGAAGCTTCCATAAACTCCCCAAAAAACTAGGTTCAAAGAGCTTCTGGATAGCTGAACACATGAAATTTCTTGAAGGATGCCTAGAAAGGTCATGGAAGCTCCATGGAAGCTCCACGCCCCTTCCCCCATACTTCACCCATCTCTTCATCTGTATCCTTTGTCATATCCTTTTATAATGAACCAGTAAACATGACTGTTTCCCTGAGTTTTATGACCTGCTCTAGTAAACTAATCAAATCCAAGGAGGGGGTCTAGTAAACTACTGGACCCCATTTTATAGCTGGTCAATCAGAAGCATACGTTACAACCTGAATTAGCAACTGGCATCTGAAGTGGGGGGCAGTCTTATGGGACTGAGCCCTCAACCTGTGAGATCTGACATGATACACTATCTCCAGGTAGGCAGTATCAAAAGTGAACTGGAGGATACCCAGCTGGTGTTTGCTGGAGAACTGCTTGCTTGGTGTGTCAGGAAAAAACTTCACATACCTTTTGTCAAAAGTGTTGAGTGGCTATGTGAGAATAATGAAAGAAAAACAGGGTCTTAGGGATAACTAACATGTAGGGGTTCCTGGAGGGTGGTGCGCCCAAGGAAGGTATGGAAGCTAAACACCCTTTCCCCTATATATCGTCCCACATGTCTCTTCATCTGTGTCCTTTGCAATATCCTTTATATGAAACTGGTGAACGTAAGTTAAGTGTTTTCCTGACTTCTGTCTGCTGCTCTAGCAAGTTAATCAAACCCAAAGAGGGGATTGTGGGTAGCCCAACTTAAAGCTGGTCGATCAGAAGTTCCGGAGGCCCAGACTTGTGACTGGTGTCTAGGAGTCATGGGGCAGTCTTGGGGACTGGGCCCTCACCCTGTGGGATCTGATGTTATCTCCAGGTAGACAGAATTGAACTAGAGGACACCCAGTTGGTGTTCACTGTTTGTCGGTGAGAGAAACTGCTCCCTCCCACATTTGGACACAGAAGTCTCTGTGTTGTTTGCTGTGAGAGCACAGTAAAAACACATTTTGGGAGTTTTCCCTGAAACACATATTAATCCCATCATACAGAAACAATCATGTTAATATTTTGAGTGGTAAAATGTGTATTTACCACTTGAACAGAAATGTAATCTCATTATGTTTGCTACGTAATCTATTTTTCTCACACACATATACATATGTATTTCCATGTCAAGAATATAGATTTACATAATAACTTTTATGGGTTAATTAGTATTTCATTGAATATAATTTCTAAAAAAAGAAAAAAGATTTTCTTTTCCTATCTCTTAGTGAGACAACTGCTGTAGGGTAGAAAAGGCTCTGAAGTATATGTTGAACATGTGAAATGATCTATTTTGTAGATCAAAAATTACCAATGGTTCAACTTAATGGAACACTTGGACTCCATCTTGGCTCCACCACCTACTAACTTTGTGACCTTAGGAAAATCTCTTTATCTCTATGAACTTCAAATATTAACCTTAACGATACCTGCTGCACAAGAATGTAAAGATTAAAAAATAAAGCTCAATAATAATGATCTATAACCTAAAAGGTGCTATATACATGGTGACTGTCACTGATGTTGACTTCACCAAAATCAAAGAACACCAGACTCTTTGCACTGCCCCACATCTTTTCTGATTGATTATGATCACATTGCTATAGTTAGGTCTGATGTGTGTGTCTCCCCAGTGATATTTTTAAAAACTTGAGGGTTTCTTGTTTACTTCATAATAATACCTAGCACACACACACATCCCAGACAGTAAAAGGTGAATAACAGCTACTGGCTTAAATTATTGGAATCAGAATATATACTCACACTATAAAGTTCCACCATTAGGCAGAGCCGCAAGATGGGAAGGCGACACAAAGAAGAGTAGCCCCACGGGTTTTTCAATATGGATTACAATCATTTGGTTGTCTAAAAGATTGATGTCTAATCATAAAAGACTGCATTATTTTCCAACTGAGCTGAGCAGTCTACTTCCTTTTGTTTCTCATGTCAAGCACTGTTCTAAACATATCTTTCTATTCTTAATCCCAGTGTGGGTCACATTAAAAGAGGTTAAGCAAATGCTTGCAATGGTATGAACAGGAATTAAATGACATTGCCTTTAGTAACATAAAAAGTTACACAGATCTTAAATTTGACTCAACAAAGAAAAAACAGGTTACACTTAATTTTGTGTGTACTGGTTTACTGAATACTAAATGGCCTAAGAAACCATTTCAAGACTTCTTTGCACTTTCATTTAGGTCGTTTCTATACATGCAAACTGATAACAATGGCAAGTTGCTTATACACTGTATTAATTGAAGTGATGGTCTGGCTATTAACTTGATTTGACTAAATGACAACCACAGCTAGAAATGCAAGGTTTGGTGGGAGAAAGGAGTGGTGACTAAAAGGAAGACTGCAGCTTCTTTTCACTCATCAAATTTACTAGATCATTACCCAAAGCTCTACTTTACTTTCTGCAGTATTAACATAGTCTAGATGATAAGAAGACTGCATTCCCATAGGTAATATGGAATCTGCTGAAATGAAGATCTGAAAGAGGTAAGAGTCTCATCAAATGGAACCTGACCCGGGCATCTTATCTGTTTTTAGTGAACATTAAGTGTCATATTCGGAATGATGGCTATTCTATTTGTAATAGTAGTTGAGGCTAGCCCCAAGCTAGTCATGCTCAACCTTGAGTAGGTTAACACATACAGCCAGGCACTAAATCCAGAACAGGCAGATTTGCTCAGCATCTAGAATGAACCACTAAATTAACTGTCAGGGAAAGGTTCACTTAAGGTGGCTTGTATACTCAAAATTTTTTCTCATGCACTCTGCAAATTGATGCCTTTTATTGAGATTAGAGCAGTTCTACTCAGATAGCTCTAACCCTGGATGAAAACTTCTGGCCTAAAAGACAATGGTCAGGTACGGCAGCCCACATTGTCAACAAAATAACCTTGTGGGAACAATATCCAAAGGAAAAGCCCTATTCTTAGTGCCTTGGTATCTACACAGGATGTAGACTCCATGGTTTCAGATACTGGTGTCCTGAAGTCAAGTCTAAACAAAATGGTATCTGGAGAGTCCTTTCTACCTTTCAACTGCAGTTGTCATGTGGGTACTTTGATTTAGGCAAAGACTATATCAAGAGTAGAAACAGAAAGCATGGACTGCGGAGAGGCCTAAAGCCAGGAAGTAAGAGTTTTGAGGTGTGAATGCAAATCAGCCCCATTTAAACAAGTGTGAGGCTCTGCTCCAGCCACACAGTTTCATTAACTGAATTTGGAAACTCCCAGTCACAAAAATGACATTTCCACAGTCTTGACATTCTAAATGTCATGAGAATAAAATGCAAGCCAAAAAATTCCTTCAGCTCACAAAGATCATTACATGACACAGAGTAAAATAAAAAAAAGGGGAAAACTTTCTCGATACTATTAAGAAAAGCACCTAAGAAATCATCACTTGAAGAATTACAGCCAGACTGTGTTGCACTGGAAAATAAATGCACCTGGGTTAGAATGGGGTCACAGTCTGGGTTACATTGGTATATAAAGAAGAATGCATTTTGAGGAGTACATGCCCTCACGTTTTCCCTTCATTGAAATTCTTGTACTGGAATAAATAACTCTGCTTGTTAGGTCTATATTCTACCTGATCAGAAATGTACCAAGAAAATGTCAATAGGACAACTCTGGTCAATTTTGCTTATGGAACAAAATACACTTATAAAAGAGCCATATTTGCTACCCCATATTCTATCCACAAATGGTTATAGATGGTGATGAAGACTGTTTCCTGTTCCAAAGCAATAGCTAATAATGTAACATCACCCAGTTCCAAGGAGAATTTCAGTAACGTTCAAATTTAATACATAAATTGTATCCTTCTCAAAAATGCCAGCAAAAGAACTGATGCTGTAACTATGAAAACACTGCTTACCTTCATTACATGCCTGCATTAAAGAATTTTCTCTGAATCACTTTTCCAAATGTGACATGGTCACATATATTGGTAATCCAGACTACACAAAAAGATATTTTCACTACGTTGACAAATTATTTTAAGTAAAACAATGCTCTAACCTGACCAAGTTCTTCATTAAGGTCTGATGTGTTAACCAGGGCTCCTTCATTAATTTCTTCATCATAAAAGTCCTTATCCCATGAGATGAAGAAGGAGCCCAAGAATTTCTGCATTTCTACTGTGACGTACATGGAGACAGGAATGATAAAGTTGAATAGAACCATAAATGATAGGAAGTCGGTGAACATTTTTAAAACCTAAAATAAAAGAGATAGTTCATGCTAATTAGACATACAATTTCATCAGACCAATATAATATAAAGGAAGAATTAATTTCATCTTTATTTCAATGCTGAAAACACTGCTCTTGCTATAAAGATGGAACTTCCTAATAACACTACATCACTGTAGTCAAAATTATCACAGTATGTGAGAACATTTAAGAACACTCTCAATTTTATCATTATTCTTCAGTATATACTACTTCTGTCAGTACTTTTTCACTTCTTTAAGTTCTCTTTGCTCACTCCACCCTAAGATAGGAATGTGAGATCAAAGTTCATATGTAAGGCATTCATTATGCTTTTATCGTGACATTTCACATACTCCTATTACATTAAAATGTCAAAGCATCTTGCCAAATTGTTTCACCTTAAATTCTTATATAAAGAGCTAAAAACAAGCATAGATGCCTAAAGTAAAAGAAAAAAAACTCTTTTTTTCTTTTCTTTTTCTTTCTTTTACAATAAAGAAAATAAAAGTTTTTTTTACAAAAAAAACTTTGTTTTTCTTTTTCTTTCTTTTACAATAAATCTTCTTAAATATTTATTGGCTTAGAGCCACCATGTAATCGAGAGAAAATTCAGAAGCTAACAAAAGGTGCCGTTTCCCTGAGCAGCATTTCAGTGAAGGTTGGCTCAGTCACAAAAAATAGTTTCAATTTTCAGCAGAAAACAAATTACCTTCAAGGTCTCTCGCTCTTTCTGAGTCTTTTGGTTATACCAAGGTTCATCATTGTATGGGGTACTTTGCCAAACATACTTTAGAGTAGTGCATACTGCAGCTTTGGTCAGTAAGATAAATAAATATACAATCAGGAAAGCATTAATAGATCTGAAAAATAAGATAGCATGGATTTTAAAACCAAAGACATCAGTCAGATATGAATTAAACTACTGAGTCATCTAAAGCTTTTTCTGTGTACGACGCGTAACTACAGCACAAGCCTTTGTGTATTAACCTCAGTTATCATAGCTGCAGCATTACTTTCAAGTGGCAAAATGGAAAAGCTGGCCATGAACTGTTTATTGACCACCAATGCTCCCCCAAGTGCAATGGCTGACTAGCTGAACACACCTTATTAAGGTTCCTGTAAAGTGACAGGAGAGGTACACACATGCACACATACACACACCATTACTTACTCAACCCTTATAGAAAGAGTATCTTGTCTCCATTTCCCTGAATCCTAAATGTTTGGGGTAGAGGGCACGGTAGCAATGTGAAATCCTCAAGCTCGGTGTAGGTTCTTTCAGTTTAAAAGTGGAGCTATGGAAAGGGTGCCAGTGATATACTGGTTATCCATGCCAAATACAGGGTGAGGTCTATAGCAGTGGCAACTGGCTTGAGGATCTACGAGGCACTGCTTCAATAGGTGCCAGGAGACTATTATCTATATTATAGAACCAACTTGCATATAGCAACTAAAGGACTCCAAACCATTAACTCCACTAGCAAAAAGGAATGAATTTACAGTTCAAGTAAACTCTGCCCTTTAATAGCTATGTGAGCTTAGGTAAGTCACATACCATCTCCAAGACCATTTCCTCATCTGTAAAGTGGAGAGGTTAACATGAATTACTTCACAGTGTTCTTCAGAGGACTAAACCAAATCAGACATACAAATCATTGAGCACAGTTTCTGGTACATAAACAAGTGCTTAAAATTGTAGTTGCTATTATAATTGATGTTGTTTTTTGTTATGCTTGTTACTTGGAATTACCAAGAAAGTAACTATTTTAATCAATAATGACTAAATAAATTGTGGCGCATACTAACTTTTCAACAGCAGAACGTTTCTGAGATTTCCCTTGGTAGTTCAAAGCCATTTTGGTTTCCATTCCAGTGTAAACAGCAACTCCTAAGAAATTACAGAATATAATAAAAACTAAGAACTTGTCAACCAACTCCTCACCCAGCTGGCTCTATGAATTTTTAAGTCTATAAAAGTGGGAAATCTAGGCCCTCTTCCACTCACCAGTTGTATATCATTTATAGGATAATTTTAATTATATATAGTATTTGTCATATTTCGTCTTAGTTTACCACGTTATAAATTCCCAACACCTAAATGTAGGTTTAAATTAAATGGCAAACCTGCCATGTTTACTTTTTAATATGCACTATTTATTCACAGCCTTTACAAAGCATATTTTTTGATAGGTGTATCTTAAAAATTGTTCACCATATATCTTCTCGGTATTTTTTAGCGTAGCTCCTTTCAGCAAGAGATTTTCAGGTCCCAAAGACCTAAATAAAAAATGAACACAGCTTATCCAAACAAGCCAATAGCATCAACAACTCTGGGGACAGATTTTGCCCTGACACACACCTATCTCCAAGGGGTTCAGAATGTTATCTGTCTACTTATACCATATGCTTACTCCCCAGGACAAGCTGAAAGGTCCTTCACTCTGAAGTTACTTGAGGGTACAGCACAGATGGAAGCACAGTACGGGAGTAGCCAGCAACACACATAGGCAAAAAAAATACATGGGGGGGGATAAAAGGATTATGAATCATGGATAGCAAGACGAGAACAGAACAGAGCAGCAGATCGCAAGACACAAAAGCAGACAGCCATCAATAAAAGACAGGGAATGCAAACGTCAAGGTGGGAAAAATATACTGACATATTTGGAGAGAATAAACCCTCCTTTTGGGGGATCACTGGGGACCCTGTATTTCTTTAACTTTTTGAGTGTGGCTGTAAAGGCCAAGTGGAAAAGTTGCGGTAATTAATATGATGATAGAAGAGGAAAGAAAGCATCCCTTTTTGTATGAACTGCTTGATAAATTGTATGAAGGCTGATACATACAATTCGTATACATAAAACAATTCGTTTTAATGAAGCCTTTCATTTTACGTAAGTCCAGGTAGTTCTTCCAGCATTTTACCCACTGCTTACTTTCTCAATTACTCTCCCACTGTTCTCCAGTTATAATTCCAATGTTGTCAGCCACTTCACAACCGAGGATAATAAATAACATGGCTAGAACAGGTTTGGGAATATAATCCAAAATGTCTGGAGCTCTGCTATTTTGGAAACCATAAGCATTACTTCTAACAGCCCCCTCCCCACAACACAGAGACCCTATCACCACAACTCTACCAATCACAAGGTTAGTTGCTTATTCACCTTTATATTCCTTTTTTTTTTTTTTTTTTTTTTTTTGAGATGGAGTCTTGCTCTTGTTGCCCAGGGTACAGTGCAATGGCTCAATCTTGGCTCACTGCGACCTTCGCCTCCCGGGTTCAAGAGATTCTCCTGCCTCAGCCTCCTGAGTAGTTGGGATTACAGATGTGTGCCACCACGCCCAGCTAAATTTGTATTTTTAATAGAGATTGGGTTTCACCCCGTTGGCCAGGCTGGCTTCAAACTCCTGACCTCAGGTGATCCACCCACCTCAGCCTCCCAAAGTGCTGGGATTACAGGCGTGAGCTACCGCACCCGGCCTATATTCCTTTCTATAATAGAAAGGTATTTGGCTATTTTAGTTGATTTAACAGAAAAATAGACCCCCCCCCCCAACCAAAGGACAAATTAAAGAAACAGCAAACTTACCTGGCAACAGCCTCAAGACTATTACTGTAGATATTGATTCGCCCAACAAATCTGTAAAAAGAACAAAATTGCAAATGTGTTTTCTACATCCAGGTGAAATCCATGTACCAGAAATATGAGAATGAATGAAAATACAAATAATAAAACAGAGATAGATAAAACTGTGAATGAACTACAAAAGCCTATTATATTTCTGGGGGAAAAAAAGTTATGTTGAATTGATAAGGTGTATAACATTTTCATATAATTTTTAAATAACATGATGGGATTATAGGAGCAGAAACAAAGGTTCTCAATTGATTTTCAAGTTCTGTTTAACATCATGCATGCACACAACACCTCTCTCTTTTATAAGTTTATATAAATAACGTAACTTCTATCTTGGATCATGTGAAGAAAGGTTTCTGGTGCTAAAATACAATTTTCAAAACCGCTAGTTCAGTAGTTCTTACACTTGAGTGTGCATCAGAATCACTGGAGCGCTAATTAAACCACAGATTTCTAGGTCCCATCCCTGAGCTTCTGATTCAGGTTCCCCAGTAATGCTGCTGCTGCTGGTCCTGAAACCACTCTTTAAACCATAGTACTAGTCTTAGACAGTGAACACTTGAATGCCATCTTGGAAATGTCCAGCCTGTGACTTGTAGTTGATCTCAATACTGAGCTTGACCCAATCACTTAATATAATAGGTGTATGGTAACCTGTATTTCTGCAAAATAAGGTAAAAATACCTAATCCCTCGTTAACATCAGTGTTTTATAATCTGCATCGTAAACAGCATTTTCCCCAGAAAATAGAAATATATATTACTCATATACACAAAATATGAAGGCTTGCTCATTCATTCATCATATATTAATTGTGCCAGTGCTATACTAAGTGCTGAAGATGTACTAATAAGCAAAAAAGAAATGGCTCCTTGCCCTATAAAAGTAAATAGGCAATTACGACGCAAGTGCTTACCACTAGAGTGATAGAAGTACAAGGTATTCCGAAGTCACACAGCAAGGAATTCAATCGTCTAAGGAAATAAGGAATAACCTTCCCTGTCCTATCATTCTCCTTCATACTTAAAGCAACTGAAAAATGTGGGGATTTCCCTATAAATATGCAAGGGTATAGATATTGTTCTCTAGCTCAGGCAGAATAAGTTACTCCCTTTTCTGTGATTCCATAGACCTTACACTCACCTCTATTATCACCTTGTATAAGCTTAGCTTTATTACTTCATCTCTTGCTCACAGTGAGTCCCTTGAAGGTAGAGAATAACTGTTACACTTTTTGGCCCTAGTTCCTATCATCAAGGTGGATACGGAAGAGGAAGGGAAAGAGGAAAGAAAAAGTGATGAGAAGGAGGGAGGTCATTGTTCTTGAAGTAGAATGAATACTTTGTTTTTCCACTACTAGGTGTTAGTGTAAACCACATCCAACCACTTGGTCACTCATTATGACTAACAGCATGCATTAACAAGATGGGTAATGGATGCCATCTGCAACGGTAGAATAGGATAAAATTAATTAGCCCACGTGGGGATAAAACCTGTTACACTACCCTGATTAGTACTATGCTCTAATCAACCCAACTAACCAGTCTTGAAATCAAACGCCAATTTTTGACAACCCACAATGACTAATAATCAGCAAACCTACTCCAGAGAGCCTAAGTATAGTAAAATAGAGGAAATTACACCATTGTACTCATCCCTTAACTGTTTACTGTGGACAAGAAAGAGCCTATTTGCAATCTTTAGTGCATCATGATCATTCTAAGAAAGGATAGAACCTACTAATTGCATGAAGAGGATATCCCCCTTCTCTCTTTAATGTTAGATGGCATGTAAAAGGATTTGTTTTTTATTTAATTAACTGGTTACTGCATCAGTCTGATAGATCAGCCTTACAGGGTAACATAATCTAAAATTTTGATATATGGCCATGTTTACAAGTAATAAAAATAAAAGAAAAATCATAAGATACCTGGGCCCACAATGATTTATTCTGGGTTGATAGTGAACAAGGCTGATTTGATTCATTTTTCTGCCAGAAGGAAGGAATCGCCCATAAAAACACAAATGAGAGTAGGCTGGTAAGTGGTGGGTGTTTCTTTTGCAATACTATTAGCAAAGAGAAGCAGAGCCAACAAACAGAAGTAAAATGAAACCAGGTGATTCTTACTTGTAGAGGTCAGGTTGAGGCTGTTCACATTCAATTGCTGCTCGGAGGGTATCGATGGATTCTGCTGTACACAGTGCAATGGTATCACGTACTGCATAATGTGTCTAGTTGAAAGCAGAAGAAAAAGTGAAAACCAAAAAAACTTTCTTTTCATAATCATACACCCAACTGATTTCAGAAACAAATTTAGTTTATGTTTTAGTAAGAGGCTTTGGCAGAATAAACAAATATTAACATTTCCCACTAATAAGTTTTATGGTATTATTATGAAAATATATTACAAATAATTAGAAAGATAACCTGCCGCAAGGAGGGTTTCAAAGACAATTAAAAACCTAAAAGCTCTTCTTGACATGGACAGCTGAGAGAATTCTATTCACAACATGCATATAATTAACTAAAACCACGTGAAAAAGTTAATACATTTATTTTTTTTCCTATTTACAGAACTGAGACTTATTATTTTGCTCACTATAGTGTATGGCAATGGAGATATACACATATGAATTGAACATAACCTTTTTGGTCACAAAAATGCTAAAATTTTGCCAACAGCAAGAAAAAAATCATTAATAGTTCCATTACACAAATAGCTTAATTAATGATCTTGAAAATGTTCAATATGGATACATTTTGTACAAGGGGCAGGGAGATGACGTGTCTTGCATTAGTCAGATAATTAGAATATTCTACTAGTGTATATTATGCACTTGATTCATCCAGAACTCAAGGCAGGCGCCAATGAACCCACTTATAAATCATCAAACAAGGGTTAAAGCAGACTCAAAGAGCGCACCACTTAGGCAGAAGGGAAAGCTGTTGTCGTCATCTTGGGGGAAATATTACGGCAATGTCTGAACTATATTTAAAACTATCTCCTGATTTTGAAAACCTCTGTACTTTTAGCTGATTTGATCAGAACAACTTAACTGAAAAAAGAAACTATCTGAAAGTTTTCTTACTCCAAACAACTTTTTCACTATCAGGAAATCTTTATGTAGATTTCTTGATTTATATCTTGACATTCCCTAAATTATAACTTTGTTTTTGAAAAGGTTAAAAGCAGGTCATTACCATGCTTTTGAAATACAGAATTAGTCATCCAACAGGTAAAGGTTCTTTTTTACATACTGAGTCGTAGTCCTCAACTCCAGATGGAATAAACAAACAGAGGAGCCCTCCAAGGACATACCCAGAGGTGAGCCACATGAGTAACCCTCCTTAAAGGCAGCATAGAGAGGATACATCTTCATGCCCTGTGGAGCTCTGGACCATGGCCAAGAAAACCGACTGTGCCAGAAAGTGTATGAGGGAAATAAGTTACCCCCATTTGGCCAAATTTACTTTAAGTCACTTGCAATTATAAATGAGTTATAATTTGTTATATGTACATAAAATGTTGCTTTATAACTTACTTATAAAGCAAACATTTTCCAAACTACACCCTATCTTTTTTTTTTTTTTTTTTTTTTTTTTTTTTTGAGATGGAGACTCACCCTGTCACCTAGGCTGGAGTGCAGTGGCGTGATCTTGGCTCACTGCAACCTCCATCTCCCGGGCTCAAGCAATTCTATTGCCTCAGCCTCCCGAGTAGCTGGAATTACAGGCGCCCACCACTATGCCCGGCTAATTTTTTTGTATTTTTAGTAGAGACAGGGTTTCACCATGTTGGCCAGGCTGGTTTCGAACTGCTGAACTCAAATGATCCGTCTACCTCAGCCTCCCAAAGTGCTAGGATTACAGGCGTGAGCCACCGCACCCAGCCCTAAGTATTATTTTTAAATAGCAATCAAATTACTCCAGGTTGGGTTTCCTACATCCCAAGAATATACATTTTTAATGAAAATATACATTTTAGAAAAAAATAGATCAAATTGTAAGGTTAGCATACATGAAGTTATTTGTATAGTCACACAGTTTAAGCCTATGATTACTCCCATTTTAGAGTCTAAATATTAAATAGGCTGTGTCAATATTAAATTCAAGCAGTGCTATAAAAATTGTGGTAGCTTTTACTTGGGGCTCAGTTTTTCCACACGTAATTACCACCCTTTTACCCAAACACGAGTGTTTGCTTAGAAGTTAAAAAACAATTACATAACAGCTCTTTTCAAATATAAAACCTAAGAAAAAATAAAAATAAGAAAAAATAAAAGATTAGAGGGTGATGGGAGGCAGTATTGTATGATTAACTATCCTGAGATCAAAATGTTTAGGCAAGGTTTAGTCTGTTACCTTGCAATTGGATTCCCCATCAAGACTGGCTGTAGTGACATAACAGGTTCCATCAGTGGTGCAAGATGATAGAAGAATAAGATCACAGGGAAAGGTTTCATCTGCCTGTACTTCTACTACATCACCAACCTGGAATTGAGAAATAAATATAAATATTTTAAATTCCAAACAAAGCATTCATTACACTCATACAAAAGTCAAAACATTAGCAAGAGATTATCTCTAGCTCTGGGGCTTTGAGAGTATCTCAGCATCCTACATCATGTGAAAGGTGATGAAAGAATATTACTCAATATTCAGAATCCTCTTTAAGGTTAGAAGGACTTAGGATGCTTTCAGATTACCTTAGCACTGACCTTTACCTTTAATAAATGATTCTGACATCCGTTTGCTCTCTGATATTTCTTGCACAAATGTTTGATAAGACAATGACATTATCACTTCATGAATGAATCAAGAAAATCTACAACATGTCACAAACTGGGCACTTCATGAACACTGAACAGCCACACTCCCACTCTGTACCACGCATACTTCAACATACTTTGCCTGCCATGTGGTAACAACTGTGTTGTTGGGTGCCAGGTCCTTCTTCAGTGCTCAGAAAATCCCAGTTAATTAGAGAGGCATTGATTTTTCCCAAAATATTTGAATTTTTTTTTTCTATAGGTCACTTTCTATGAATTCATCTGCTGTCAGGAGAATCACTTAATATAGCAATGAGAAACAATTTCTTATCAGCAAGTACCCAAAGCTCAAGGAAAGGAAAAACCTGAGAGAAGAAATCATGAATAATTTAATAATGTAGGGTTAAGTAAATCATAACCATTAAAAGTTTGGACTCTTTAACCTGACTTCTCATCCCAGCTCTGCCACTTAACTATATGACCTTAAATAAGTGTCTTAGACGATTGCAACTACCTCAGAGAATTAATGTGAGCATGAAATGATGATACAAGAAAAGTACTGAGCAAAGTGCCTGGCACATATTAACTACTTCAAAGGTGTTAATTATAATTATTACTAACATCCTGCAACTACTTTACTCCCAACTTATGAAGAGTCATAACATTTTTTTGGAAAGATATAAGAAATCCTCCAGTCTGGTCCTTCCCAAGATTTTCACACCATGGTACATATTGAAAATTATAAATAATACTTTTGTACAGCACCTTCAGGTAAAGGGAAGAGGCTGCTGGATGCAGAAGATAACCCACTTTAGAAGGGAGTCAATATTTGGCACACTGACCTAGACACACTGACTGTGAAATGCTAGGTAATACATGCAACACCCAACTTCTATTTGCAATATGATTCGGCAGATAAAGATGAGGATTTCAAGACCTATTCAGGAAGAATTTTATTTTCTTTGCCAATCTTAATCACTAGCCAAGATCAACAGCATCAATAATTGAACTAACTTGTAAATAATATTTTATTTTGTTGGATTGTTCCTTCCTCACTTACATAAACACTTATGTTGCTTACACAAAACCACAATTTATGCTTAAATATGCAGAAGAGAGATAACAAACAGAATCCTAACACATCTTACAAGAAGGAGATACCCATTAGAGGTCGGAAGATGACTCTCAGGCATTGATAAATAAAACACACAAAGAGAGCATTTTTTCAACAGTTAGGATGTAGTCAGATATGAAATATAAAGGCCCCTATATCTGCAGTGCAAGCTCAGACTGACAAGATGGGTATGAGTCAGATCACAAAGGGCTTAGCAGGCCAGCCTAAGGGATTTAGGCCTCACTCTAAAGGTAAAAGGATAGGTACAGGACTTTTAAAGACAGGGAATAACATGATCTAGTTAGACAATGAACTCTAGAGGTCTATTTACCATTTTAAAAGCCACAAGAGAACATCACCACCTCCCATTACAAACATTAGGAAAAAATGGATAATCTAAAAACAAATACGTATTTTTTAGTCCATCAGAGAGCTGAGGTTGCAAAGCAACCAAGTGAACTGAATTTCAAAGGGTAACAAGTGTTTCTGAGGAGAGACAGGACAGATGAACTGTTTCATAACTGACCAAGCATAGAAGGAAGAGATGGCTACCATGAAAGTGGGTAAGAAGAAAACAACTAGATTTTTAACCAATTCCTAAAGACTGGGTGTGAGCTAGTATGACAGTTCAGAATCTCTACAAGCCTGAGAGACAAGAAGAGACCACAACCATTCACCAGCTCTTCTCTAGAGGCTTCTACTGAGTGTTCATGAGAAAGCATACAGGCAGGAGACCTAAAAGAACCTTTCTCACTGGCACGGGCATACAGGTGGTGACTGCTGTGAAGAAATAGGCACAAAAAAACCATGCCAGAATCATAGACCCCTTTCTCATATTAAGCAAATGTCATCTGCATCTAGGAGAAAGGCAGGAAACCTTCCCTGGCATAGTCTCAGGGAAACATCACTACTGTTAGAGGAGAGGTAGAAACAAAAGTGACCTGCTACAGGGGATGGGACCTGCTACAGGGAATTGGACAGGAAACCTATCATACCAATAACCTGGTGCTGATACAAGGTAGAAGTTCAGTTACTATGAGGGGGGAGGATATTGAGAAAGTCTTACCCTGAGGCTTTGGTGCATATGGCCTGCTTAATATTGTGATTGGAATGAGAAAACCAAGAAATCATTCTGTTCCTGCCAAGAGCCTTACACTGAGTAACAAACAAGAAATAGCAGTCTACCACTGGAGAAAAGGCAAGGGAACGTGGGGCGGGGAGGGGCAACCTCTGGGACTCGGGAATATAGGATGTTGCTGAAAGCAGATAGTATAACAGGAACACCATAAAAAACTCTCCGGCACACCAGGCCCCACACAAAGCTCAAGGTAATGGCATTCTACCACTTAAGGAATTTGAAGTTAAGTGACACATTAAAAACATCAAAAACCAAAGCCAGCCCAACTGTTGACTAGATTGACTCAACCGCCAACACTAGTGGCCTGACAGAAGAAGCCAGGCCCATTTCAGAACACATATACCACTGACCTCAGTGAATACCATTCTTTTACATACAATGCCCAAAATTCAATTAAAAAATGAGATGCACAAAAACACAAGCAAAAAATGAGCCATCATTGAAAGATAAAGCAGTCCATGAAACCAGACCCAAAATGTCCAGATTTTGTAATTATGAAACAGGGACTTAAAAACAGCTATGATTAAGATGTTAAATGGGTGGGGTGTGGTGGCTCACATCTATATTACCAGCACTCTGGGAGGCCAAGGTGGGAGGACCGCATAAGGCCAGGAGTTTGAGACCAGCCTCGGCAACTTAACAGAACCCCATCTCTATAAAAAATGATAATAACAGTTAGCCAAGTGTAGTTGCACACCTATAGACCCAGCTACTCTGGAGATGGAGGTGGGAGGACTGCCTGAGCCCAGGAGTTCAAGGCTGCAGTAAGCTATGGCTGCGCCACTGTACTCCAGCCTGGGCAACAGAGTAAGACCCTGTCTCTTAAAAAAAAAAAAAAAAAAAAGATATTAAATGGTACGGTATTTAGTGGAAAAGGTAGACAACATGTAACAGTGAACGAAGAATGCTGGCAGAGGGATACTACAAAAAAATGAAAATGTAAAGTCAGAAATGAAAACCATGTTATCAGAGATGAAGATTTCCTTCAACTAGTGGACTGGGTACAACAAAGGAAATAATCACTAATTCTGAAGACAGAGCAACTAAAATTATCCAAAGTGATATATAAACAGGAGAAAAAGGAGTGTACTTAAAAAAACAACAAATTACTCAAAGGAGAAAATATCAAACAGTATAATAGTCATGTAATTGGAGTACCGGAAGAATAGAGAGAATGAGTCTGAAAAAATATTTCAAAAAGATAATGACCAAGAATTATCCAAAGTTAATCAAAGCCGACAAACAATAGATCCAAGAGAACTTCGAGAAGGATAACTACGATGAAAAAAATGTAGGTATATCATAGTCAAACTGCTGAAAACTGAAAATAGAAAGAAAAATGTAAAGGCATCAAAGAAATATTATATACACAAGAACAAGAATAGAAATGAAAGACTCATTAGAAACTATGCATATCAGAAGACAATGGAGTAATATCTTTAAAGTACTGAAAGAAAAAAACCCCTCTAACCCATAATTCTATATAGCCAGAAAAATAATTTTCGTAATTGAAGGTGAGATAAAAACTTTTCCATAGGAACATTCACTTCCAGCAGATTTACACTATAAAATACTACAGAAAGCTCTTCATGGATAAAAAATAAGATACTATATGAAAATTTAAATCTGCATAGGGAAATGAAAAAATGTGGGTAAATATAAAATATAGTTCTTATTGTTAATCTTTTAAAAACAGTTTTAGGCTGGGCACGGTGGCTCCCACCCATACTCCTAGCACTTTGGGAGGCTGAGGCAGGCAGATCACCTGAGGTCAGGGGTTCGAGACCAGTCTGGCCAACATGGCAAAACCCCGTCTCTACCAAAAATACAAAAATTAGCCAGGTGCGGTGCCACATGCCTGTAACCCCAGCTACTCAGGAGGCTGAGGCAGAAGAATCACTTGAACTCAGGAGGCAGAGGCTGCAGTGAGCCGAGATCGTGCCACTGTACTCCAGCCTGGGTGACAGAGTGAGACTCTTGTCTTAAAAAAAAAAAAAAAGGTTTTAAAAAGATAATTACAACCTAGTAATTCTGCTCTAAGTTATATACTCAAAAGAATCAAAGGGAAAAACTCAGATACTTATATACCAATGTTCACAGCAGCATTAATCAAAATAGTCAAAAGTTAGAAATAACTCAAATGTCCATCAACATATAAATGGATCAACAAACTGTTATATACATAAATTGGAATATTATTCACCTTTAAAAAGGAAGGAATTTCTGATACATGCTATAACATGGATCAACCTTGAAAACATTATGCTAAGTGAAAGAAGCCAGACATAAATGGACAAGTATTGTACAACTCCACTTACATAAAGTATTGAGGATAGGGAAATTCATAGAGACAAAAAGTATTAATAGAATAGAGGCCACAAGGGGCTGAGGAAGGGAGAAATGGGAAGTTACTGTTTAATGAATAGAGCTTTGTTTGGGATAATGGAAAAGTTCTGGAAATGGATAGTGGTGATGGTTGTACAACATTGTGAATGTACTTACTATAAATAAATTGTACACTTAAAAATGGTTACTTAAAAATGGTTAAATGGGGCCTGGCGCGGTGGCTCATGCCTGTAATCCCAGCATTTTAGGAGGCTGAGGCGGGCAGATCACCTGAAGTCAGGAGTTTGAGACCAGCCTGACCAACATGGAGAAACCCCGTCTCAACTAAAAATACAAAAAAATTAGCCGGGCATGGTGGCGCATGCCTGTAATCCCAGCTACTTGGGAGGCTGAGGCAGGAGAATCGCTTGAACCCAGTAGACAGACGTTGCGGTGAGCCAAGATCACGCCATTGTACTCCAGCCTGGGCAACAAGAGCAAACTCCATCTCAAAGAAAAAAAGTTAAATGGTAAAGTTTATTTTATATATTTTATTACCAAAAAAGACAACTCACAGGCAAAAATAGTAACATATTGTGGGCTTTATAAAATGTAAAAGTAAAACGTATGACAACAATAACACAAAGGGTGTGAATGAGAAAATGAAAATATGCTCTCTGAACACAACGGAATTAAATTAGAAACCAATAACAAAAAGGTATCTAGGCTGGCACGGTGGCTCACACCTGTAATCCCAGCACTTTGGGAGGCCGGGGTGGATGGATCACCTGCGGAGTTCGACACCAGCCTGACCAACATGGTAAAACCTCATCCCTACTAAAAATACAAAATTAGTCGGGCATGGTGGCGCATGCCTGTAATCCCAGCTACTTGGGAGGCTGAGGCAGGAGAATTGCTTGAACCCGGGAGGTGGAGGTTGCAGTGAGCCAAGATTGTGGCATTGCACTCCAGCCTGGGTGACAAGAGCGAAACTCCATCTCAAAACAAAATAATAATAACCAGAAAATTCCCAAATATTTAGAAATTACATAACAAACTTCTAAATAACCCATGAATCGAGGAAGAATTAAAGAGAAATCAGAAAATATTAAACTAAATGAAAATGTAAACATAATATATCCAAATTTGTAGGCTGTTGCTAAAGCAATACTTGGAGGAAAATTTATAGCATTAAACATTTATATTAGAAAAGATGTTCAAATCAACTCCTTTTACTAAATCTAACCTAACACCTCATTTTTACCCAAGGAGCTTCTTTACCTCTTAGCATTGTTCCTCATTCTCTGCCCCAATCCATATGTTTTCACACTCTGCCTCTCTGAATTTTACAATCTATTTCATGCCCATCTCATGTGAGAAAACTGTTTTCATTCCCGTTCTCTAAATTCAGAGTTTTTTTTTTTTTTTTTCAGACGCACTCACTGGGTTCTGACCAGTTATGGTCTTGTATTTTTATTCTTTTAGCATTATGTGGCATGACTACTAAGCTAAACTATAAAACTTCTTGAGAGCATGAACCATCTCTTTCATTCTTTGTAACCCTTCTGTAACTCAGCACAATATTTCAATATATTTTGGTTGATTCATTGGTTGAAGTACTAGAGTATAACTTTTATTTCTATTTGGCACTAAAGCATGACATATGATTGAGAGGTGTCTTACTATATCTAGTTTCTGATATTTCGGACGCCAAAAAATACTCCTTCCATTAAAAATAATAGTGTCTTCACAATGGAATTCCTCAAGTCCTATTATAAGTCTCATTCTCTGTGCTGTATGAAATTCCATCCAGTCTCATGGCATCATACGGTATGTACAGACTGATGACACCCAAATTTCAACTTCTATTTAAAACACCTCCTCTGAGCTCCAGGATTGACAACTCCAACTGTATGTCTAATAGGTTTCTCAAACTTAACATAGCCAAAAGTGAATTCCTGATTTCTCTTCACTCCCACCTCTGTCCCTAAATCTGTTTTTCTCCTAGGCTTTCCCATCTTATTTAAAAGCACTAGCATTTTCTTTAATAGCACTATGTAATTCCCTCAGTTGCTCAGGCCAAAACCAGGAAGGCTATCTTAATTATTCTTTTTTTTTTTTTCTGTTTCTCTCACCCACTACATCCTAAATCACTAAATCCTGATTATTCTACCTCCAAAAAATATCCTGAATATATCCATTTCCCTTAAAATCTAAACAGGTAGTAAAGAGTTGTGGTTAAGAGCATGGACTCTACACCTAGGCTTGCTTTAATTCAAATCCCAGCTTTCCAACTTACTAGTAGTGGGCAAGTTCCTTAACCTCCTTATGCCTCGGTTTCATCATCTGTAAAGAGAGGATAATAAAAATACCTACTTCATATGGCTGTTGTTGAGGGTTAAATGAGTTAACAGAATGTAAAAAAAGACTGCCTGGCATATACTACATACCATATAAATGGTGACTACTATTTTTATTATTGTTATCAATACTACTATCATCCTAATATAAGCCCTTATCATTTTTTGCCTAAGCTATATCTCTCTGATTGCACATTCATGCTTTCATTTTGCCTCACTCCAGTTTTATTTTTAAAAATCATCAAGTCACTCTCCGGCTTTAACACTTCAAAGACTCCCCACCACACTAAGGATGCAGACCAAGTCTCTCTCTTGCTCAAAAGGAGTCTCAACAAACTCTTTCCCCCGACTCCCCAGCCAAGCAATCTGCTATTTAGAGACTGCTGGCTAATAAGCATCTCTTCCCACACACTTACACTCCAGAAACAGCTACATCAAATAGCATCTCACACAATAATTTAATCACAATAGCTTCACATTTATTTAATCAAGATTATACCTGGTTGAGTTCAGCCTCAAGGAAAAGAAGCTTGGTGGAGGGAAAATGAAAAATGGGGGCCTTTGTAAAGGGGAGTGGGGTGGAGTGTCAACAAAATCAGAAAGAGGAAATGAAAGAAAGGGAGAGATGTAAGAGGCCTTTGCCTGCTTTGCAATTTTACGTAGTGTACTGGGAACAACAGATTGGATGCTATGAATCATTTAGGCAGCCTTTGTTTGTTGTTACTGTTGTTGGTTTTTTTTTTTTTTTGAGACAGGGTCTCACTCTGTCACCCAGGCTGGAGTGCAGTGGCTCGATCTCGGATCACCGCAGCCTCAACTTTTTGGGCTCAGGTGATCCTCCCACCTCAGCCTCCCAAGTAGCTGGGACTGCCTGGCTAATTTTTTTGGAGAGACAGGGTTTTGCCATGTTGCCCAGGATGGATTCCAACTCCTGGACTCAAGCGATCCACCCAACTTGGCCTCCCAGAGTGCTGGGATTACAGGCGTAAGCCACTGTACTCAGTCTGCCTTTGGTTCTTACGCTGATCAATAATGCTGAGTTTCTACAGTTGTTTCAAAAACTTCAGATCTTAACCTAACCTAGTTCGGCACAAGTTCCCCCTTGACCAGGATGTAAAGAATAGAGAAAAGAAAAAGTAGAAAAAGGAAGACATTCTATGTCAAACACTGGTGACCCTCCCACTCTGTAGTCTTCCTCCCATCATTACTATAAGATGATGCAAGGAAATTTAACTATTGTTGGGCATATGGAGAATTCTTAAAATTCAATAAGAAAACAACCTGCTTTAAAAATGGGCAAAATCTAAGCAGCATCTCACCAATGAAGATATACAGATGACAAAGAACCATATGAAAAGAAAGTCCATATCATATGTTATCAGTGAAATGCTAATTAAGACAAAAGTGAGATAGTACTACACACCTGTTAAAATGGCCAACATACAAAGCACTGAGAACATCAAAACCCAGTGAGGATGTGGAACAACAAGAACTCCCATTCATTGTTGGTGAGAATGCAAAATGATACAGCTACTTTGGAAGATAGTTTGGCAGTTTCTTACAAAACGAAACATACTCTTACCATACAATTCAGCACTTCTTTGTATTTACTCAAATGAATTGAAAATGTATGTCCATATAAAAACCTGCACACAAATGTTTATAGCAGTTTTACTCATAATTGCCAAAACTCGGAGGCAACTAAAATGCCCTTCAGTAGGTGAATGGATAAACTATGGTATATCCAGAAAATGAAATATTATTCATCACTAGAAACAAATGAGCTATCAAGCCATGGAAAGACATGGAAGAAACTTGAAAGCATATTACTAAGTGAAAGAAGCCAATCTGAAAAGGCTGTATGATTCTAAATATGTGACATCCTAGGAAAGGCAAAACTATAGAGACAGCAGAAAGATCGCTGGTTACCATGGGTTGGGGGGAATAAGGAATGAACAGGAAGAGAACAGAAGATTTTTAGGGCAGTGAAACTATCCTGGTATGACACTACTATGGATACATATGTACATATATACAAATGTAGGCTATGTGGATATGTATCCTATATTTAACAAAACCCACAGAATGTACACCAAGAGTGACCCCTAATATAATCTATGGACTTTGGGTGATAGTGTGCCAAAATAGGTTCACTGATTGTAACAAATGTACCATTCTGGTGTGGGATGTTGACAGCCAGAGAAAATGTGTTTGGGGACAGTGGGTTTATGGGTACTCTCTATATTTTCTACTCAATTTTCCTGTGAACCTAAAACTGCTCTAAAAATATAATTTTTTAATTTAAAAAATCTAATGAGAACCAAAAAATTAGTGTTTGACATGGACAAGTCAAAAATGTTATTTGACAGGGTCTTACTGGGTAAATAATAAACAATGATTAACTGGAATAAACAATTGCCTGAGATTGTCAAAAAAAAAAATACTACTACCTTGGAAGTCTCTTATGTTGCTGATGGGAATGTAAAATGGTACAGGCACTATGGAAAATAGTTTAGTGGTTCATTAAAAAGTTAAACACGTAATTACAATATGACCCAGCAATTTTCCTCCTAGGTATATACCTCAAAGAATTAAAAACAGATGTTCAAACAAAAACTGTAATTCAATGTTCATAGCAATTCATAATACCCAAAAGGTAGAAACAACCCAAATGTCCATCAGCTGGTGAATAAATAAAATGAAATGTTATTCAGCTATCAAAAGGAATGAAATGCTGCTATATACTATAATGCAGATGAACCTCAAAAACATTCTGAGTGAAAGAAGCTAGACAAAAAGGACACATAAGAAATATGAAACATTCAGAATACATACATCCATAGGGACAGAAAGAAGGTTAGTATTGCCAGGGCCTGGGAGGAGGGAGAAATGTGGAGTGACTGCTTATGGGTATAGGGTTTCCTTTTCGGGTGATGAAAATGTTCTGGAACTAGATAGAGTTAACGGTTGCACAACATTATAAAGTACTAAATGACACTAAATTATACACTTTAAAATGGTGTATTTTTACCATTAAAAAAGGAGTGGACTAAGAAAAAATACCTTGATTTTTTCACTTTCTTTTCTCACTCGCTTTGCATTTTCAATAATGTAAACAGTGCTTTTGTTGACTTCATTGTCAGCTCTGTGTCTCAGACAATCCTCATATCCCTGAAAGATAAAAATAACTATATAATTGAGTTCTGATAATGAAATAAAGCTGTTAATAAATTTCTATATCCTCCCATGAGTCAACACCAAATATTTATAATTATAGCATTAATTTAAACTCAGAATGCTAAAGAGACAATGCTACACATTTTAATAGCAAATCTGAGACACACTTTCAAAATACTCCTTAGATAAATAGCTTTGTTGTGTTAAAAGTTTTCTCCACTCTTTAAACATTAATGAAAACACAAGCACTGGAGACTTAATATTTTCATGTGTGAAAGGCTATGATTTATTTTAACTGTACTCTTGAGTTAGTTAATTCTATTTTTTAATTTGAAAAAAGATTGTCCTGGGTTTGTATTTTCTTATAGCCATAATCACTTACATATAATCTTTTGTATATGCTGTAGTAGACTGTTCGAGTAATCATCTCCAAGGGAGTATTTTAATTATTTCTCACCCACAGAGAATAATAGAAAAGGCAAGCAAGGATTGTTTTGGCAGAGAAGCTATGATAAGTTGTAGAGATCAACAGCTAAACTTTTCAACTGACTTGGTGACAAAAGAAAATATAAATTGGTATTCATCGTTTCCAGTTAAAAGTAATCAGAGAAAGATCTAATGGCTCATTTTACTTTGGACTTTTCATCTAAAGTAGATTTAAGCCAAAAGATCTAAAGGATGTTCATGAATGTTTGATCATGACCTCCTCTCCTTTTTTATATACCTTTGTCTTTTTTCGTTGTAAGAATGTCTGTACCTTTTCAAACACAACTGTTTGAAAAGTCTCTTCATCGCCTCCCCCCACTTTTTCCCCTCAGGTACTATATCCATTCTTCTTCTGTCCTCTTTATGACAATGCTAAGCTATCACTTTATAGAGTACATTTTGTGATGCTGGTGAAGAAATAAAGGTCCTAACATGAACCAGTATTGGGAGCAGAATGAATCAGTAAAAAAGCCTTTGAAAACCACACATGCTATTCTTGGAACCAGCAATTTTATGATGTTAAAGAAAATAATCCTATCAGTCTAAGGAAAAGAACATTCCAAAAGTCTTTATTTTGCAACTGAACACTTGATAAAATATTCTTATAGTTCCTGGTAGGCAAGATATAAGACCAGATAACCCCAAGAGGAAAGGTAATCTTGTTCCCAATAATGCTAAGAAGACCTTTGTTTTGCAAGCTTCTTTGGTACCCTTTTTAAAAGCACTTTGTTAAATATCATCTAAAAATATGTTTGTAAATAGTCAGATGCTGTGGACTGACACAAAACATGATTAACATTGTTAACCTACCCTTTCACCTCCAATTTCCTGTTTCCATTTTCATCTGCAATTTTTCAAACATACTAGCATACAAAATGTTCAAAATACTTCAAAGACATCCATATCACAATCTGTGGCAGTCTATCAGCTCTGACAAAAAACAGGAAATGTCCCCTCTACCTACTACCCCCTGAAGCAGTAGAAGGAAAAAACAAGAAAATTAAAGTATTCTTCCCTTGAGTTCTCGCTACAGGCTTAAGCAATTTTTAAAAATCCACAAAAATGGGAGTTTTTCACACAGACATACCACGCTGAAACAATTAATATGCATTAAAAAATCTGCCTCCTATTTCCTGACTGGGCTGTACCTTTTACCTGCTCTTTCTTTTACATTTACACCCACATACACAGATATTTAAGAGGAAACAAGGAAATACATTAAGGATGTGCCTATCATTTTAATAGGTTTTCAAGAGGAACCAAATATAAAATAAATCCATAAAGGATACTACCCACTGTATATAAATATGAAAAAGAGCCTTTGACAATGAAATTCCAACAAGCCTGGACTGAAATGCAGGTGCAAGTGTAAATAAGAAATTTACCTGCTTGATGGCTGTAACAGTTATAACAAAGAAAAGTGGAAGTCCACTGGTAACTGGGCTAGTTGGTGTGTCTACTGTGACCTAGGTAAATAAAATTAAATTGAAAGTAAAATGAAAATTTGTCATTAACTCATATGCAGCACTTACATGCTGCAAACATTTCAAACAGAAACATAGACAAAACACTTTCCAGTAGTAGGGTAAATATTAATTTTCATTAAAACAAAAGCAAACTACATGGCAGTTAGTTTAAGAAATAGTCCTAAATTCAGGCATAGTTTTTATCCCAGCTTGGATTAACCCCTTTATTGAAATATATCCATTCACTTACCACCTATTTGCTGAGCACCATTCTGTCAGCGCTTGTGCTATTATCAGCAAAGCTCTAGAGATACTGCTTTAAACAAGATGGAGACAAGTCCCTGCCTTCATGTAGCTGGCAGCTTACAGGAAAAATCAGACAGTAAAACAAGTGTGTAGATGCTGAGGTCTGAAGGGTAAACAGGAGTTAACTAGACGAAAGGTAGTTTTCTAGGCACAGTGAACAGTATATGCAGGTCTCTAGGAAATAAAGGAAGCCAGTGGCGAGAGGGAGTGTGGTGTGAGATGGGGCTGGAGAGGGAGGCAGGAGCCAGACTGTGCAGGGCCCTCTAGGCCAAAGTAAGCTGTTCATTCTCTATCCCACAAATAGCAGGAAATCCTTGAAAGTTTTAAGCAAGGAAAGGTCACATGAACAGAACTGCATTTTGAAAAGATCATTCTTACTGCTCTGTGGAAGATGAATTAGAAGGGAACAAGAGTGAAGGCAGGGAGTCTATTTAGGAGGCTATTGCTGTAATCTAGGTGAAAGATGATGGGCTTGGACTAGTGTTAGCGGCAGGCATGGAAAGAAGTTCTATAAATATTTAGGAGGCAAAAATGCCAAGAGTTAGATGTAAATGCTAATATTAAAGATGTCTTCCAAGTATCGGGTTAGCATGTCTAGGTGAATGTTGTCATCATTTACTGACACAGGAAATACTGAAAAAGAACTACATTTAAGGGAGGATGATTTTGAGTTCAGTCTGCCCTCCCAACTCGTTGACTCTCATCTCCAACCCTCAACAAGCCCTGCCTCTGCCATACACCCTGTGTTGTAGATACAATGTATACTTCCATGTACGCAAGGCTTCTACATGGCTCTGTGACTTTAGGCAATCTCTTCCCTATCCCTGAAATACCAGTTCAGCATTCTCCACCAAGTAAATCCTTCTAATCCTTAAAGGCTCTGTTCAGATAGCATCTATTCTCTGAAGCCTTATCAAATTCCTCTTGGGTAGAAAAAAATGATAACTTACACTGTATACCCAAAGCATTCTGTTAATGCTTCTTGAATGGCTTTACTACATTAAGTGAATACATAACTGTTATGTGACTGGTCTTCTCAGCTATAGCATAAATTCTTTAAGAGTAGAAAAGCCATATCTTGATCTTCATTGTACCTGCTACCATTTTTGTTGTCTGTCCTACTGCACAGCACATAGTAGGTAGGTGAGTGGTATACATTTGCTGAACTGAAATGAAATGCACTGCCCACCAAGTAGAATGATTCTTTCAAGCAGAATCCTCTAGGTAGTTTATTCTATATCTGTAAGACATCTGACCATAGATCCAGAGGAGCTCCTTTTCAAATCTTCCATCATTCAGGATTAAAATAGGCTCTTGCCCATATTATATCCCAGACTGATTTTAAGTAGCAAGGCTAAATTCAATTACAGTACCATTTACTCAAAGCCTCAAAGTGAGTCAACAGAAGCACTTAACATCAACAGGGCATTGGAGCAACTTCAATGGGATTTTTCTGCTTCATTTAAAAAATGAAATGAGAAAAAAAGTACCTTTAATGTAGTAAAATTTTCAGGGGTAATTATGGCGAGGAAAAGATTTTAATAGCTTACAGATTTAAAGATGGAAGACACAATTTAAACTGTCTAAAATTTAAAACACAAAACAGTAGAAAGAATACAGAGAAGCAGATTGATCTAACTAGGCTCTCACCCTTACAGTGAGTAAATGAATGAGAGAGAGCAAAAATGGTAATCAGGAAGATGAGTGAGAAGTTTCCAATTAGGCTGAAACTGGTATGTAACAAAATAAAACTACTAGTTTGAACTATTTTCAGTTTTGATATATTCCATTTCATTTAATGGTACACAATACACGTCATCCTGGGATGAGCAAAAATATGATATCCATGAAAATTTCAAAGAAAGTAACAATGAAACAAAATCTCAACAGGTTTTCTAGTAAAAACACAACTTTAGAAATTTACAAAATGATAATCTTTAAATGTTATGTTTCTACTTTAAGAAGTCATAATAAGCTCTGGAATGTCTTTTTTTAATTACATGGCATTTTAAGGTTAGAAATAGATTGAAAATTCGTTTAAAGCAATCAAGTTTCTAAAAGTTAAGTGGCTGTTTAAGGAGCTCTTACCTGTACAAGGAAGATTATGAGAAAATAAAAATTTGCAATTCTTCTAAACTGTTCAAACAGATTCTTTGGGAGAAAATTCCAAAGTGTATACTGTAAGGGAGGAAGAAAAAAGAACACTGTTATGAAGAAAACTTGAAAAATCTTAATAGTAATGACTGATTATGGGTCCACATTATCATATAAAGTGATATTTAGTATGTCCAACACTTTGAAACTGAAATCTCACACATATACATAAGCATATATTTAGAGGCACTGTATATGAAAACCTTTTTCAGAAATGAAGCTTTCATTCTACGCATTACAATAACCATCTAGTCTCATACCTTTGCTTTCTCTGACCCAATCTAAATTAGGTTCCTTGTTATGTGTTCTCATGTCACCCTATATATACTTACTTGATAACACTTATTATAGTGAGTTATATATGTGTACATTTTAAATTAAAGTTTCTCCCTTGATAAGCAAAGAGTTCTATAGGAGCAGGTTGTTCACCTGTATTGTTTACAATTTTCCCAACACTCAACACAGTGCCTGGTACAAGGCAGACAATAAATTATTTGGATGGCCAGGCACAGTGGTTCACACCTGTAATCCCAGCACTCTGGGAGGCCAAGGCAGGCAGATCACCTGAAGTCAGGAGTTTGAGACCAGCCTGGCCAACATGGCAAAACCCTGTCTCTACTAAAAATAACAAAAATTAGCCGGGTGTGGTGACGCACACTGTAATCCCAGCTACTCGGGCGGCTGAGACAGGAGAATCGCTTAAACCTGGGAGGCAGCGGTTGCAGTCAGCCAAGATCTCACTACTGCACTCCAGCCTAGACAACAGAGCGAGAATGAGACTCCGTCGCCAAAAAAAAAAAAGGCCTGGGCAACATGGTGAAACCCCATCTCTACTAAAAATACAAAACTTAGCTGGACATGGTGGTGCACGCCTGTAGTCCCAGCTACTTGAGAGGCTAAGACACGAGAATCGCTTGAACCCAGGAGGCGGAGGCTGCAGTGAGCTGATATGGTGCCACTGCACTCCAGCCTGGGCGACAAAGTGAGACCTGCCTCAAAAATAAATAAATAATAAAATAAATAAATAAATAAATTATTTGGAGGAATGAATGAACACATTAATTTCTGGCTCAGCTAACCTCTGGAGTCTTGATGATCATAACAGATACCCCTATGAGTCACTCTGTCCCTATGAGTACCTCCAATTTCCATGACAGCTGGGAAGGTGTATACACAACCCTGGGCCATGGAGGGCTTTCATTTTAATCAATAACATACCACTCTGGGCTGCGCTTTGGTAATTGGTAATAGGTAAAAGTTTCATGCTGAATTGCACACGGCCAGAACTCTTAGGCCAACTGTCAACTGCAGAACTCTTAGGCCAACTGTCAATCGTACTTTGTCCCTGATACCTTAAGCTCAGGGACTGAATCACTTAAAAGTGACCAAAAATCATTGAATTTTTCAGATGACCTAGTAAGACCAGAAACTAGAAAGAAAGAAATGTTTCTTAACCTAAAAAGCTAAATTTACATTTGAGAGTTCTGCGGTTGACAGTTGGCCTAAGAGTTCTCGTCTTCTGACCATGTGCGATTTAGCATGAAACTTTTACCAATTACCAATTACCAAAGCCCATCCCAATTATCTGTATAATATGTGAGAACATAACCTTTAATAAGAGGTGACTGAAAAGCCAAGTTGTAGAGCACGACATACTATATGGGAATTTACTAACCTTTCAGTTTAAAAAGGCTTATGGGCTCAAAATTTAGGGAATCCTCAGGGAAAAAACACAAAAGGAGGCAAGTACATTCAGTAGAACAGCTGCATTACAACCAATAACCAACTTAGAATAGGTTCTACCCTGGAGTCCAAGAAGTTCCTTAGGGAAGATAATTTTAAAATAAATGCAGAATTGTGCATGGATGTGCATCACTTGGGAGAAGAAGGTCCACACTTCTTATGAGATTCCCAAGGTAGCTTGTGACCAAAAATAGAAGCCACTCAAAACCACTGATCCAGTCACTTTGAAGCTGACATAGTTCAGACCAGCATTTTTAACTGTCCCAATTATTTAAAATCAACTTTCTAAAACAATAAGCTAAACTCCAACAACAGGCTAATGGCTGAGCTTCTGGTACGTTACCCTTCTGTTCCCAAATTAAAGAGTTTTTAATTAATCAAATAAGCATTACAGAGTCATCTGTGAAAGGTGATATAAACACATCAAAAGGGAATACTTTTGCTGTTGTCGTTTTTAAGTCCCAACTGTTAGTTGACCACTGTTTTATTAAATGAACTGCTTCCTGGAGGAATTCTGATTATTCCCTTCATAGGAAATGACTGCCCTCTTCTCTCCTTCATCAAGTCATGAGCTCTTAAGAGATCATGGAGCATGTCCTAAGTCCCCTTATCACAGGTGCCTAGAACAATAGTTTAGCACACAGAAGATATACAAGAAATCTTTATTAAAACTTGTGCCCTAGCCATTTACTCTACTGGTTTAACTAAAAGGTAAACTTAGTTTCTAGCACATCTTTTTTAGTATAATACAAATGTAAGATTTTAATGCAGACCAAGAAAAGTCTACTTTTTAGAGTTTTCTAACTAAAAGTGAAATTGAGTTACAGCCATATACATCAAGTTATTCAAATTAACTTGTTTATCTAAAAAGTAGATTCTCCAGCTTGGTCAGTTGCTACAAATCAAAAACAATGTTATCTCAAGCATGACCTCTATGGCAAAAAAAAAAGTTAATCACAAGAAGAAAATGTGTATAGCAGTTTTTTAGACACAATGATGAGAATTCAGTTTTTGTTACAAGTTAGTTCTTGCTTGGAGACGTCAGTAAATAGTATTTATTTATTTATTGAAACAGAGTCTCACACTGTCACCCAGGCTGGAGTGCGGTAGCGCGTTCCCAGCTCACTGCAGCCTCTGCCTCCCAGGCTCAAGCAATCCGCCCGCCTCAGCCTCCTGAGTAGCTGGGACTACAGGCACACACCACCACACCTGGCTAATTTTTGTTGTGTGTGGTTTTTGTTTTTTGGGTTTTTTTTGTTTGTTTGTTTGTTTGTTTGTTTTTTTTGAGACAGAGTCTCACTCTGTCACCCAAGCTAGAGTGCAGTGGTGTGATCTCAGCTCACTGCAACCTCCGCCTCCCAGGTTCAAGCGATTCTCCTGC
Source organism: Homo sapiens (assembly GCF_000001405.40). Lineage (NCBI taxonomy): Eukaryota > Metazoa > Chordata > Mammalia > Primates > Hominidae > Homo > Homo sapiens. Next base: position 139,822,528 of record NC_000023.11, read on the forward strand.
CTCAGCGTCCCGAGTAGCTGGAATTACAGGCATACGCCAACACACCCGGCTAATTTTTATATTTTTAGTAGAGACGGGGTTTCACCATGTTGGTCAGGCTGGTCTTAAACTCCTAAACTCAGGCAATCTGCCCGCCTCGGCCTCCCAAAGTGCTGGGATTACAGGCGTGAGCCACCGCGCCTGGCCAATTTTTGTATTTTTTGTAGATACGGGGTCTCCCTTTGAACCATCTCCGAGGCTGGTCTCGAACTTCACCCGCCTCAGCCTCCCGAAGTGCTGGCATTACAGGTGTGAGCCACTGCACCGGGCCTCTTTTATACTATCTTTAAGTACAACTATAAACTTAAAAAGCAGCCCAGACATTTAGAACATGTTTAAAACTATTTATACAGAAAATGCCAGCTTTGGGCTGGGCATGATGGCTCACACCTGTAATCCCAGCACTTTGGGAGGCTGAGGTGGGTGGATCACCTGCAGTCCGGAGTTCGAGACCAGCCTGGCCAACATGGCGAAACCCCGTGTCTATTAAAAACACAAAAAATTAGCCAGGCGGGCGCCTGTAATCCCAGCTACTTGGGAGGCTGAGGCAGGAGAATCGCTTGAACCCATGAGGCGGAGGTTGCATTGAGCTGAAATCGCGCGCCACTACATTCCAGCCTGGGCGACAGAGACTCTTGTCTCAAAAACAAACAAACAAACAAAAAACGCCAGCTTTCCCGGTACATACAATGCATTTTATATATGCTTTGTAGTGGATTAAATAATCTGTACACAAGTGTGGCCACTAAAGATGAAATTATGTGAAAAAGTTGTGGGTCACTGCCTCAAATATGTATCATCTAATTTAATTTGAAACCAAAACTTTATAAACTTACTAAGCAAATTTCCCAAAGGAGGAAAGTTGAAGAGAATCTCAGCTTTGAGAGTCAATTATTTCATTTAAGCAAAAGGAGGCTTTAGAACTTTACTTGTTTTGACCAGTTCTGTGTTACCCAAGATTTCCAATTTATCATTAAAAATGCTGATGGTTTAGCATTAAAAATGCAGATGAGGAACTTGAGACTCCAAATAACTTTTAATGTGTCTGAATAACTTTTAATGTGTCTGAATAGCAGCAAAAAAGAAAGAGAAAAAGGTAAAAATAAAGTAGTAGATATTTAAAGTAATAATAAAGTTAGCAGTCAACTGCTCAAAGAAAACTTAGGAAAAACTCTTCTGGACATTAGCCTAGGCAAATAACTGATGACGAAGACAAAAAAGCAAATGCCCGAAAACCAAAAATAAACAAACGGGACTTAAATTAAAAAGCTGCACAGCGAAAGAAATAATCAACAGAGTAAACAGACAATCTATAGAATGGCAGAAAATATTTACAAATTATGATTCTGGCAAAAGACTAATATCCAGAATCTATAAGGAACTCAAACAGTAAGAAAAAAAATCAACTCCATTAAAAGCTGGGCAAAGGGCGGGGTGCAGTGACTCACTTCTGTAATCCCGGCACTTTCGGAGGCTGAGGCAGGGGGATTACTTGAGGCCAGGAGTTTGTGACCAGCCTGGCCAATATGGTGAAACCCCGTCTCTACTAAAAATACCAAAAAAAAAAAAAAAAAAATTAATTAATTTTTTAAAAAAAACCTTTAAAATTTTTAAAGGAAAAAAACACACAACAGATAAACATGATGGAAACTAAAGATCCTAAAATTCATAGCAGAGTACAATCAATGCTCCTTTTGCTAAAGAAGGGAATTTCCAAGTTTTGCACCAGCTACAAAATTCTGGTGATTTCCAAAATCCCTGCAGAGTACATTAAAGTTTGTGAGGCTGTAGAGGCCAAATTTTTCTAAAGAAAGTATTTGTGTTCCCAGGAGATAAAAAAACAAAAAGCATTAGGCCGGGTGCAGTGGTTCACGCCTGTAATCCCAGCACTTTGGAAGGCCAAGGCAGGCGGATCACGAGACCATCCTGGCTAACCCAGTGAAACCCCATCTCTACTAAAAATACAAAAAATTAGCCGGGCGTGGTGGTGGGCGCCTGTAGTCCCAGCTACTTGGGAGGCTGAGGCAGGAGAATGGCGTGAACCCAGGAGGCGGGGCTTGCAGTGAGCCAAGATCGCGCCACTGAACTCCAGCCTGGACGACAGAGCGAGACTCTGTCTCCCCCCCACAAAAAAAGCATTACTTTTATAAGCAAATAAAACTTAAAGTAGGTCAAAATGTTTGTCTTCAGTGTTCCCTGCCTTAACATTTATAATGTCACATTACTGGTGGTATTTGTAAACAAAAGCGGCATCCAATTAAGATAGTTATTTTTATGACTGAAGGGTGGAGAAAGAAAATCAACACTTGCTACAAAGTTGGAAGGCAGCTAACATATTCTATAAACAGTATATTTTGAAAAAATAATCCTTTAAAAAATTCTGGTATAAATACAAACAGCCAAGACAATGTGAGGAAGAAAAAGTCAAATTATGAAATTGTTGGTCTTTTCGGAGTAGACCTGAAGGCCTCCATTTAGGAGACAGTATCCCACACATTCAAAACACATGAACTTGAGGAAATCAATAGTACTACTCACTATTGTAATAATAATCACAGAAACACAAATAACAATAGCAGCTACCGTTTGAGTTGTCGCCCCATGCCAAGCACAATGCAAGAGGAGAGAAAAAAAATGAGGAAGGAACCCAAACAGCACGATGATGTAAAAAGACCTCTTTATTCAGAGCAACTAGACCTTATAAAGTAGTTCTACTCCTGGTTTTATTACTAACTCTGCTTGGTGACCATGTGCCTAAATTTCTCTGGCCTTAACCTCTTAAGACCATTTAGCTCTACAAGTCCACAATTCTGAATCAAAGGACTACTACAGACCATTTAATTGGATACCACAAGGTGAGCTGAAATTTCCAGTAAAAGAACTATTCACTATTTTAGGCATAAGTATGTCAACCTCTGGCTGAGAATAAAATTTCTGCCACTAGTGTGTAAGATTAAGAGGAAATAGACATTTTTATCCAAAATAAAATGTTCTATAGGCCTACATATCTGCTCATTAGGCAACAAAATTTTCACCTGTCCTGACCATATTTCACATGTTAATCTCCCAGCAAAACATGATCACTACTGTATCACCGCCCAAACAAGAAATTAAATGCATATTTGAAAACCAAAATGTCATATATTTTTAAGGAAGGGCATAATTTTGTGTTTCAGTTTCTAAGTGATTACAAGTGTACAGTGAACCAAATGTCACCAACTTTTATCTCTGCCTTGCCAGGGCACATGAGGAAGTGAGGAAAATCTTCAAGATCTATTCCATTCTATAAGAGATGGCAGTAGGCCAACCTAGCACCTAACCTGGTCAGCCAGAGGTAAAGACTAGCTAAATAACACTTGCAGAATGATGACTACTGAGTACTAGGAGCTATAAGAAGTGGTTTCACAGAGTATTAGCCCCATTTCACCAACGAGGACATTTAGAATCGGGGCGATTAATTTGACCAAGGTGACACAACTAGTAAGTGGTTGGGCCAGGATTTAAATACAGGTGTTCAAACTTCCAGGCCAATGCTCTTAGTCCTACACTATGCTGAAGAAAGATGCAGTCAAACGGTGACACAGCTGCAGTGACTTAACTCTTAACAGATCACAGCTGAAGCAGTGTACTGAGCAGCATGCACCCTTTGGGACGTAGGAGTCTATTAATACTTGAGAAGTGGGATGGGAGGTGGAGGGGTTGGCAGGGGAACTAGAAAGAAATGCAAATAAAGTCATTCCAGGACAGCATTCTCCAAAAGAATGCAAATTCTTTTATAAAAGAATTTGCATTCTTTTATATCCTAGTTCATCCATTCAAGGGTAATTCAGGAAGCTTTGCACAAGTAAGTAATTTGTATTTTTAGCAAACTTTACGGTTTAAAGTAATATGCATAATCAACAAGCACTGTGAATCATAACGGAAGGCAAGTGAATGATCTTTCACCTATAACAAGACAAAGTGATTTTTTAAATAAACTGTCTTTCAGAGGAATACTTATTATAGCTGGTATATGATCCATATACATGCAAATACATGTACACATACATAAATGCATCAGTTTCCTCAGAAGCACAAATTAGAATGCATTATCTGATTCACTATATGAACATCTATTGAGTTAAAACAAAAACTTACCTTAGATGAGACTATTCTATTATCACAAAATCTTTGTGCAATGTAAGCTTCTGTTTCCGAAACTGGATGATTGCCAACAAACACTGTGCGTGTGCCAACTCGTTTCTCTTCTCCAGCACACTGACCAAGAGAAAAGGGAAAAAATTCAGTTTTTCATCACATTTGTCCACACTTCTACCAAGCCCATAATTCTTGTCCAAGCATGCTGGGCCATAATCTGGCGAGAAAGTAGTAGGGAGAGGAGAAAACCTTGTTAGGGAATTCAAAATCCATTAAGCTCTTACTTGCTGACATAGTAAAGATTAGTAAAAGTGCTGTTTGAACCAACTGTTCTGAGGTCAACAGTGCAATTCTAAAATGATTAAAGAAAGTACCCTAGAGAAACAATATTTTTACTGCCAATCATTTTTCTTTCATCCACAGCCCAAATGAATCTTAACCATAACCTTCACTAGCAACACACTAACTCACGAAAGAATGGACTGGGAATATTTCATTTATTATGCAACTACTGAGGACAACCTTTCAACTACCTTACTAGAGAACAGAAAGCATAATGCAGATTACTTCTAAACACAAAATAATTGTGTATAAGTGTAAAGGTCAGAAATAGAATGGCTGCCTCTATTGAAGAAATGATCGACTTTTTCTAAAAAGAAACTAGTTATTTGGCTTTACAGGATAGTTTATTTTGCAATCTCTCAGAGCCTCATTGTTGTAAAGTTCCAATTCACACAATATATTTCTCATGCCCCTTTTACATTTTTAATAAGTAGACTCACCGAACCTAAAAGTTTCAAGATTGGGCTCTATTTTATCCCACCCTTTAATTTTGCTAAGGCCTCACTCTCTTCACTTTAATCAGGATAATACCCTTTTCTTATATAAATTTGGGACAGTCTCCTTGTATGGTACTATATTACCATATCTGAGACTACCACATATATAAGTCAAAGGATGCATGACAGAAACAAATACCCATTTATATATTCCCATTATTTTTTAGAACTATAATTCCCCAACCTAAAATGTTTTAATATATGTAGTCACAAAGATTTTCCTTCCTTTCAGTGATCTATTTAAAGGTCAAAGGTATAAATCCCACCCTCAAAGTAATCATTTTAAGCAAGACTACTTAGAACTTGTAGTCTTCCAATTATCTACAATGTCTGAAAGTACTCCAGTCTGAATTTGTGCATCTTATGTAGATGGTATGTGGAAAATTATTTCTTCGTTTAAAAATTAAAAATCACCCCCCAAGTACAGATAAAACCTCTTTGCCTTGCGTTTTCATTTAAGCTTATGATATTGCCTTCAAAATTTGTAGGGAATCATGCAAAAAGTAACTGGGACAAACTGAAGTAGAAGAGATTCAGGCTGTATATAACTCTGGAAAGCTACTCTGGCATGTGCTAAGAGAATTTGTGGGATCCCTGGAGACCTGGAAAAAGTCAGTTAAGTATCTATGCTGGATAGCTTAGTTATTTATCTGCCTGCCCAAAGACAAGGCATTAGAACAACTGATTGTCCAAGGTCCTTCGCATGCTAAGAGTAAATGATTCATAGATAAATTTTCACACAGTTCCTGGAAACCAGTAAACAGTACCTTTACCAAGTGGTAGCTTTGATTTAGGGGCTTACTTCTCTGTTTGCAACTGTAATATACAGGTTCTGACACAGCTTACTGATAAGAGCACCAAATTTTCCATAATATCCATTTTGTAAAACTTAAAAGTGAAAGTGTGTGCACCTGCCAGATGTATAGTTTATCTGGCTTCACCCCAGCTCCCACCTTCTGTTGCAGGTTAAGGCCTCTCTGTGGTCTCCACAACAGACCTGACTCTTATAATGTACCAATTTGAATTACAGAAAATGCCAAGTCCACGTATACATTGCAATTTGCAACCTTTAATTTAATATTCATATGGCTGTTTAGTTTTTCACACAAGGAAGAAGTGGCTGCAGAGTAAATGAGGCAGGGTTACCTTTTATACAAGTTCTTAGTTAATTCTACAAGTGGAAAGGGGGAAGAGGCAAAGGAGGTAGAGAATCAGTGAAGTAGGATATGTCATGTGCTGTCAATATAGATTTTTCCCCTCAATTACAGCAACCACTGATTAACTTAAAACAGAAATGGACTAGTGCTTTCCCAATTCTGAATTGTCTTCTACATTCCATGCCAAAGAACAAAAGGAAAAAGCACAATACAATTTTTTTAGGCACACTGATATTTTTATTAATTCCCTACATTTGAATGACATTTCCAGTTTCACTAAGAGCTTTCCTCATACACTATCTCTCTGATCTTTTCTGAATAAGGCCTAAGTGGCCTCTATCTCCATTAAATTGGAGAAAATGGATTGAAATTACTATGCAGGTTTGGGGTTTTGTGTGTGCACATCCCGGCAGTGATTGCTGTTAGATGATGAAACAGAAGCCTGAAAGAAGCAGCAGAATGTCCACTCCTGAGCATTTTCCAAAATAGCATTTTACAGTCTCTTTACCCTAAACAGGTTTGGGTTGAGACGTGCCTGAGACTGGGGGTGGGGTAGTATGAAGTAGGTGTCTTTTCCGTGCCTGTTTCACCCTAAAAGCTGATGAAACTGCAATGGCTGGTGGAATTTCCTGCAACTGTATAATAATATTTGGTTCACATAAAAAATAGCAATGCTGAACTCAAGTAAATTCAATGTAATTGCCCACCTGCTGCCAATATAGAGTGTTAAAAACAGTGGTGTTAGTTCCTGTGATTTTGAATAATGTAGGTGTCTTTGCCAAAGCAGAGAAACGCTAAGTAGAAATCATTTTTAAAATTCCCATTTGGATGGCACGCAGTGTAGTCTGGAGTGGGAGTGTGTGATTCCTGGCACCTCGTAATGAATTGTAATTCATTAGGAGTCCATCCTGTGCTGAACTGCTTCCCATTCAATTGTCCTTAAGAACAGCATTTCTTAAAACTGGAAATATGCTGGTACTGACTCTATTTTAATGACACATCACACTACATAATAAAGTATGGCAAATATTAAAAAATATGTTTACAATATATGAATTAACAGAGAAAGCAATGTAAATTTCTTTCTCAAGATAAAAATCAACCTTTTGTACTCCTAATTTATACCTCCATAGTATAAACTGAATGCTGTAAAAAAAAATAAAGCAAGTAATTTATACCCCAAAATGGCCTCTCAATAAAAAACCTAACACAGTAATTATTTAACTGGCACCATCTTAAAATCCTATGTCTTTGCTAGTCATAAAAAAATGAAAAGCCATTGGAAATAAAATTTGTTCCTTGGTTGCCTCCAGACCTGACTAGATAAGAACTGAAGAAAAACAGAGACCTCAATACAAGACTGTTACTATAAAAGCTGGCAAAAGGATCTGAAATAAAGCCTACCTCTATATCCTTTCCATTTGCTGGCAAACTTATATTTATGAGTTAGCCATAGATCTTTGACTCTTAATCCTGGTCACACAGTGGATTTAAACACAATACTGATGCCTGGTTCTTTTATTTAATATTTAATTTTTCTGGAAGCTCCCCAGGTGACAATTCTAATTTGCAAGCACAGCTAAGAATTACTGCCACAGACTCTTTCAAACAGTGATCGTCCTTAAATAACATCCTGCAAGTTTTTAGTATGCCAGCCATAATCTTGCACTATTTCTTTAAATAATTTAAACAATTTGCTTTCCAAAGGTTAAAAATACAAATAACCCTCAGTGTTCCGTCCAACCATTTTAAGCTGCTCGCAAAGTAAGATTCCCCTTCGACAATTTATTTTGCATGTGGTTATCTCCCATCAATTATTCAGATCACTGATAATGAGAATTACAGGCCCTGATATAATGCAAAGCTACTTGGATTATCAGCAAATAATCTTAAAACCGACGTAATCCCTGGCAGTTACAGCATTACTTTTATTGGTCATCGAACTGCTTTCTGTAAGCAACCACAGCAAATAAAAGTATTTGCTCAAAAATGAACAAAAAAATTTCTTATTAAAATCTGAAGACTTGGCAATGATTTAAAATGGTTCTCCACTCTCCAGCCCAAAGCTATTTTCTTCTCTGAAGCAGGAATATTTTTGAACAGCATAGTGTCTTAAAAAGGCCAAATTCAAAATTGAAAGAGCATTTCATCAAAATTTCAGATGTCTACTAAAATGCTCCCAGAAGTCAGCATTTCCATACTAGGGCTGAAGGGGTGGGGGTATGGGGAGGAGATCACTACAGTGCCAGGAAACATTTCCAGTGTATTAAGCTTCTTGGTTAAAATAACTACAATGTATTCGGTGGTCAAATTGCTGAGGTTTCCAAGCCCACTCCATTATAACAAGCAAAAATGAATAAACTTAATGTGTAATTTACAATCATAACTCTAAAATGATCCTTAAAATTGCACTTTTCAGATTTTGCTTTTACTGCAACTTCTGAAGTGATTAAGCTGTCTCTCCTTTTGCCAAAGGAAGTGAAGCAAGACTGATGGGGCATTTTGTGTTGTTCTGCCTTTAAAGCTTAATTACAGTCATATTAACTGAAATTCTCAAACACCTGACCAAAGGACAAATGAATACATAAAGTTTATCCCTAAACACAAAGATTTCTCTAATTAGGCATTACCCAATGGCTTCACATTTAATTGAAAAAAAAAAACTACTACAGGAAATGGATATTAAGCCTCACACAAACACCTAAATCAGCAAGCACAACACTTAAGAAAAAGACTGACCATGAGGATTTGGATAAGAACAATGCCTTGTTTGGAAGCTCAGAGTGGACCTTTCATTATCTCAAAGTGATCCACTGAGCAGTTTAATTTCACCAGGGACAATCAATTCTAAGTATTCCCAATCTGATCCCCCTTCCCCCACCATGCCCTTACTCCAAGAACTTCAGGGCTCAGAAATTGTGGCTCTAAAGACTGAAATGCAGCTTCATTAAAGGATTGCTAATAGAAAGTTGATGGATCAAAAATACTGTAAACATTCTGTGATTCAAGATTCTAACAGGAATTTTATCTTTTAATGATTCAGGTTCTTCCATTTATAGGAAGTAACCTGCGACTCTCAGTGTTCCTTTGGGGTCTCAGCAACTCAACTTCCCTTATTAACAGAATCTTTCCTAACCCAAAGCCTGACAATATGCACAGAAACTTAACCAGCAAGTATACAAAACCTCAGAAGTTCCCTTTCACTTTCACCCTACCCATCTCTACACACAGCCTTTCATTCCAAACACTTAACAAAATTTAAAACTCTAAATAAGGAGATTCTTAACTCTTAAAGATAGGAGCAGTGAGGCTGAAAATCCAGCTAACCATTTACGATTACCCTCAGGAAATGGATAAAAATATACATGCAAATAAAAAGCAGGAATAAAGCAGGCCCCAAGACCTCAAAACCCAACCTGGCTGAAAAGAGGAGAAATAAATATAGATTACAAACCTCAGAGGCTGGAGGGAGAGATGGGACCATCTGCATACTGACATGCAGAAATTTGGCAACACAATGGCAGCTAAATCTCAGAGAGAATGCTGCAGATTATCAAGCAACTTGTACCAACCCCTGTGATCCTTGTAAAGTTTCCCAGAACTTGGGAAGTGAGCCAATTATGGCTTGCCTAGTTCCTGTACTTCCATGGGAGGCAGCAAAGGAAGCATCAGATGACAGTCTATTCCTTAAGAGCTCAAAGCAGTACTCTGGCGGCCTTAGCCCCATTATTGCACCATTTCATATCTTTTTGTTATTCTTCTCCAAAGACCTGATTTGCCTTTGTAACTTCTGTATTTTAAGGTGTTATTATTTTAAATATCAGTATCTTACACCACACAGTAATTTTTCCTCATCTTGGGAAGTTCTTTTCTAATCCCTGCCTACAATAAATGGACCACAATAAAAAGTGGGGCTAAACAATAAGCTTCGGAGGAAAGTTGAATTGAACTTTTAGTTGTAGTTTAAGAGGAAGAGACATAATCTAAGTATTCACTATGATACAGTTTCTCCACCCTAAGAGTCACTGTAATACAGTAAATTCAAGCTTCAAAAATATATGCAACAAAGGCCTAAGCAGATGGTTTATGTGGAAAGGTCCCTTAGGGATGGAAGACTTTTCTCACTATTTAGATATCTCAGAGGTAAGAAAGTTATATCTCAGCAGCCAACAGTAATATCTAGCAATCGCAAGGAAAAAAGCCAGTGGATATTAGGGAGAAAAATGCCTTGACCAGCATCATTACCTAGAAGAGATAAATTCTCATCCAAAAATTACTTTCTAGATCACCACAGAAGAATTTTTATTACAGTTTAAGAAGAGATAAGAAACTCTAGCTGGAGCAAAAGAAAAAATATTGTAAAACTGGTGTCTGACGACCTGAACAGGGTTTTATTTCTTTTTTCAGTGATAGTGTCATTACTATAAAAGTGATGTTTCCTAGAAAGGTCTGCCAGTTCAAATACAAGTTGGAGTGTGTCCAGCAAAACCAATGAATGCATTTTTCCAAGTAAACTGTTAAATACCATACAAAAAGCAAACTGGCTTAAAAACTGCCCGAGCTGTAAATGTAATTAATTTAAAGAGCACATCCAGGCTATAACTTTTCTTAACATCCCCAACAAAAGAGGTAGATAAAAAGCAAGTTTCCATTGTGGAGCATGGCTTAGTTGAATAAATGAAGAAAGTAAAGGGTTTCGGGGCGGGGGGCGCATTCTTCCTGGACCTGGCACAGTGGCTTGGACCTGTAATCCCAATGCTTTGCTTGAGGCCCAGAGTTCCAGACCAGCCTGGTCAAACATAGTGAGACCCCTGTCTCTACGAAAAAAAAATTTTTTTTAATTAGCGGGGCATGCTGGCACACACCTGTAGTCCTACCTACTAGGGAACCTGAGGCAGGAGGACCACTTAAGCCCAGAAGTTCGAGGTTACAGTGAACTATGATCACCACTGCACTCCAGCTTGGGCAACAGAGTAAAGACCCCATCTCTTTAAAAAAAAACAAACATTCTTCCTACAGGGAAGGCTTTCAGGGCAAAATCTGGAGAGGACAGGGAAAGCAAGACAGTTATGACTCTGAGAAATATTATTTACATTTTTTTTTTCTTCAAAATGAGACCTGGAGAAAATGGCTTAGTTGAGCCTCATTTCCTTATCTATAAAATAAGGTCACATAACGTAAGAGACTGCTTACAGCAGGATTAACAGAAACACCCAGAAATCACTTTAAATGACTGTAAACTATTCGCAGGAACAAAGGATGAGGTTTGCAGATGTTAACAAACTATAGGAATATTGAAACTCTAGCAACTGGGCCAGCATGGAACTAGGCAACGTCCTCAACATAACCCACATGTAAATGTTTTATTTAAAGCAAGAAAGTTTCTGGCTCTACAGAAGAGGCACGGGAAATTTTGGTGCTACCCCTGCCTAAAGGGGCAGGATGAATTATGGTCCACTAGCAGAGAGTGCTTGGTTTTGAAAACACTGTTCTTCAGTGTTCATGAAGAGGACTAGAGTTAGCCAGGGAGCTTGACAAGTGCCATGTTTGATGACAACTGAGGGCCACTGGAGGAGCTTATGGAGGCTGCTGTCCAGAACATATACCGTTAGTATTTTGGAACTGTTGATCTGACATCCTGACAGTAAAAATAGGAATTCGTTTCTCCCTTTGTGGCAGAGTACACAGGCACTTGGGAACTGCACTGGAATTATTGACACTGTCTCTCCATCATCTCTTCCCTCTCCCCAAAGCTTTGGATTTGAAGCTTCTGTGCACTATAAAGACTGGATGCTGCTATAAATATAACTGATGATCTGATTGTAATTATTCCTAAAACATGCTTAAAAGAGACTATATAAATTAGCAAGACGTTTGAAATGTAATGTATAACTTGGATATTGAAGCATAAAAAGAAGAGCACGACAAATATTCAGTAATGCCTTACATATAAATAAAAATTGTTTAGATTGTTAAATTTTAATGTGCCTTTGAGTACTGCCAACTAGGAATGCCACAGTAAGATAAATGGCAAGAATATCAGGACACCACACTCAATGTTCCCCAGACTGAATTACATGGAACAAGTTAATAATGAGGTTCCTTAGAGAAAGGGGAAGCCCACCCCTCCTCCTGGTTATTCACAATGCATACCCATGTAGTAAAAGCTCCATAAAGTCTTGAAGAAACCTCTTTTAACTTTGTGTAAGTCAGCATTTCCCAAAATTTTTTGACCACAGAACTCTTTTCTTCCCACAAGGAAAATCCAGTGACATCACATTCTGTACAACATGTTTTGGGCAATGCTACTGTAATATACCTCTTATCTCAGCAAACATGTCTACATATCTGGGCTACATCTATGCTAGAGTCCACTGGTAGAAAAAACACATGGTATTCACAATCAGCTATACTGGCAAAGCACTCAAGGTTATGAGGTGAGATCAGTGTTGTATTTGTGACAATTTCTATCCATGTATGCCAAAAATTGATAAAATTAAGTATTTGGCTATGATCCCAGGTGGGTGTTTTTGCTTCTAAAGCTTAATAAAGAGAGGCAAGAAACCAGGAGATCAAGGTCCTAATAGCCTTCTACCATCAATCGGTCTGTATGTGTCTTGGGGAAGTCCTGGCATTGGTTTCTTCATATGTAACTTGGAGAGGACTTGACTAAATAATCTGATCTAAAATGAAGCAGGGGAAAGTGGGGCCAGATTTTCTTTGACACGGAGTTTCGCTCTTGTCACCCAGGCTGGACTGCAATGGTGTGATCTCGGCTCACTGCAACCTCCGCCTCCTGGGTTCAAGCAGTTCTCCTGCCTCAGCCTCCTGAATAGCTGGGATTACAGGCGCCCACTACCACACCCAGCTAATTTTTGTATTTTTAGTAAAGACGGGTTTTCGCCATGTTGGCCAGGCTGGTCTCGAACTCCTGACCTCAGGTGATCCACCCGCCTCGGCCTCCCAAAGTGCTGGGATTACAGCCGTGAGCCACCGCACCCAGCTAGTGGGGACGGACTTTCTAGCAATAAAACTTGAAATGTGGCCGGCCGAGTGTGGTGGCTCACACCTATAATCCTAGCACTTTGGGAAGCCGAGGTGGGTGGATCACTTGGTCAGGAGTTTGAGACTAGCCTGGCCAACATGGCAAAACTCCGTCTCTACTAAAAACACAAAAATTAGCCAGGCGTGGTGGTACACACCTGTAATTCCAACTACTTGGGAGGCTGAGGCAGGAGAATCACTTGAACCCGGGAGGCGGAGGTTGCAGTGAGCTGAGATCGCATCACTGCATTCCAGCCTGGGTGACAGAGCGAGACTCCATCTCAAAAAAAAAAAAAAAAAAAAAAAAAAAGCTTGAAAAGTGGCTTTGGATGTTGCATCACTTGCCACCTGTTTCAGCCTAGTCCCCTAAAACAAAAAAAAAGCATTCAAGGGTGAGGAAGAAATTACTCCCTGTTTCAGGATAAAGAGTAACTTACAAACTAATACACACGAGAAGACAATATATGTGGAATAAAAAATTGCAGGTTTGGGCCGGGCACGGTGGCTCATGCCTGTAATCTCAGCACTTTGGGAGGCCGAGGTGGGCAGATCACCTGAGGTCAGGAGTTCGAGACCAGATTGGCCAACATGGCAAAACCTGCCTCTACTAAAAATACAAAAATTAGCCAGGAGTGGTCACAGGTGCCTGTAATCCCAGCTACTCAGGAGGATGAGGCAGGAGAATCGCTTGAGCCTGGGAGCCGGAGGTTGCAGTGAGCCGAGATCGCACCATTGCACTCCAGCCTGGGTGACAGAACGAGACTCTCTCCAAAACAAAAACAAACAAAAACAATTTCAGGCTTCAAAGCAGAAAAGGAGGGAAAAATAAATAAAACCTCATGAAAAGTCACAAAGTCCAGGGAAAGGTTCATGTGCTAATGCCTTTAAAAAAAATGTTTAAGTACAAACTGACTAGATAAAACTCCTTCAAGGTGCTAATTTTGGTACACTAGAGGGTACATTGGTTCTTTCAGGCTTTTAAGATGCCCACTTAAAGCACCACAGTAGCAATTTACTTAATGGTAATCTTTAAATGTGAAAAAATGAATGCCTTCTCAAATGTGCCTATTACCCTAGGGAAATTGTTTACTCCTCTGATAAAACAGAATGAAATCCATTTCCCAGCAACCAAGGTACAAACAACTGCAAGTAAATCAGGTTAGAATTAACTACCATGAGGGCAATTTTTAAAATTAATAAACCTCTTAGAATACAAATCTTACCTATACACAGGATTTCTGCTGTAAAATGAAAACACACACACACATACACACACACACACACAGGGACAGGGAGGAGAGATAAAGCCATTTGAAATAATTTTTATTAGAGTGGATACATTCAAAACGCATGACTTCACAAAAACACCACTCACACTAAAGGCCAAACCACCCTCAAACCAAACAATTTTCCACAAAACAAATGTTTTTTACCAAATAAGACAAACAGTAGTTAGAAGTTCTATTCAAGTGTATGACTGAAAATAGCAATGGGGTATTTCTAAAGCACACATAGGGGGTATCTAGAACCATTATAAGAATTTACAGCCAACATTAAAAAATGCCTAGGAAGCTTTAAACAGAAAATAATACTTTCAGCTAAATCATGAAACAACACAGTAGTTGTAGGTTTCTTCATTAGGAAACCTTTGCTCAGTGGAATGCAAGCAGCTTAGTTATGACTAGTACTCAAAAATTAAAAGTTCATAAAGACTCAATTCTCCTGACTGCAATGCATTTCACTCCAGTTTGCATTATTATAAAAAGCACATGTGTATGCAACATGTTAATACAATTCTAAGTCTATTCTTACTCTACTTTGTAAACTCGGATATGATGTAAAATGTTCTACATGCTGTCAAATAGAAAATAGTTATAGCATTACTTAAGGGAAGAAAAATGGCAGAACCCAATGAAATATAGGCAGTCCTCAAAGAATGGAATTAAAGTGCATTTGCATTGGTAGCATTATTAATGAGGACTGATAGACCTCAAATTAATGGTGGACTGATAGTCTGATTACTTCAGATGGACAGGAATCTGAATGATCTTTATATAGTCAGTGTACTTGAGTATTCTACAATGTTCTGCTGACATCTCAGCTTGGTTCCCAGTCATTTACTATAAGCAAATACAACTATTCCCTGCATGCTGAGCACAGCTAAACTAAAACAAAACAAAAACAAAAAGGAGAAGGGTAGAAATACAAATGTGTCAAACCAATAGAAAATTGCCTATGATGAGAACGTTCAGCTATAAGACTACATGGGGCTTCCTCATAATTCTCAATGCAACTCTCAAAAGACACCTCCAATAGAAGAGTTGTTAAATGATTTAACCAATACATATGTTCAGAAGGAAGAAACTTCTTTGGATGTGAGATTAGTCCTTTAGACTGCTTCTTCAATCCTAAAAATAGTATATAAGAGAAAAACTGGGGTTCTCCTAATAGTTGCAGGTCTATCTCAGAAAGCAATGTACCAGAATGCTGTTGGACTCAAATTTTATGAATTTAGAATCCAATTCTGTCCAATATACCTTTGAGTTTTACTTCTATTTTCATACTGTGAAATAACCATGTAATAAAGTACCAAGGAATGAAATATTCACTGCAAATAAGGGGAAGTTCATTCATGCATTCCAGATGGCGTGAATGAACAGCCTGTAAGAAAAAAAAAAAGAAAATAACAAGTGTTGACAAGGATGTGGAGTAATTGGAACCCTCATACATTGCTGGTGGGACTGTAAAATGATTCAGCTCCTATGAGAAACAGTTTGGCAGTTCATTAAAAAGTTAAACATAGAATTACCATATGACCCCACAATTCCACTCCTAAGCATAGGCCCAAAAGAATTGAAAACAGGTATCAGAACAAAAACTTGTGCATGCATGATCATAGCAGAACTATTCAAAAGGTGGAAACAGTCTGGTGCAGTGGCTCATGCCTGTAATCACGGTACTTTGGGAGGCCAAGGTGGGCGGATCACCTGAGGTCAGTAGTTCGAGCCAGCATGGCCAACATGGTGAAACCCTGTCTCTACTAAAAATACAAAAATTATCCAGGCGTGGTGGCAGATGCCTGTAATCCCAGCTACTTGGGAGGCTGAGGCAGGAAAATCGCTTGAACCCAGGAGGCAGAGATTACATTGAGCTGAGATCACACCACTGCACTCCAGCCAGGGCAACAGAGCAAGATTCTGTCTCAAAAAAAAAAAAGGTGGAAACAACCCAAATGTCCATAACTGATGAATGGATAAACACAATGTGGTATATCCATACAATGAAATATTATTCAGCCATAAAAATGAATGAAGCATTGATATGTTCCACAATGTGAATGAATCTCAAAAACATTATGCCAAGTGAAAGAAGCCAGACACAAAAGGTCACATAATGCATAATTCCATCATATGAAATATGCAGAATAGGTTAATCCATAAAAACAGAAAGCAGATTGGTAGTTACCAGGTGCTAGGGGGAGGGGAGAATGCAGAGTAACTGTTTAATAAGTATGGAGTTTCCTTTTAAGGAGATAAAAATGTTCCGGAACTAGGTACGAGTTTGTGGTTATAAAAAATATAAATGTACTAAATTCCAATAGATTGTTCACTTTACAATGGTTAGTTTTATGTTATGTGAATTTCACCTCAATAAAAAAGTAACTCCCTTGCCTAATAGTGGGTCACAAGGTAAATCCGTTAACACAGTTGATGCATCCATTCAACCAATATTTATTGAGCTCCTACTATGTGTACAGCACTAGAGACAGGGTGATGAGTAAAAAAGACATAGTCCTTGCCTTCAAGGAGCTTAGAGTATAGGGAGAGGGGAGACCGGGCATTCATCAAATGCTCATACAACTCAGCTAAGTGCCAAGAATGATGGCTGCACAGTACCCTGAGGGCTAACCTAGCTAGGACCACACAACAACCATGTGCAACACAAACCTAACCATATTGCTCCTCCAGGCCCCACTTGAATCGTTTCCCATTGATCTTAGAACTGAAAATTAAAATCCTTATTCTGACCTGCAAAGTTTTATACACAGTCTGGTCTCTTCCTCCTATTTCCTCAACTTCATTTGCCCTCCTCTTCTCTTTCTCTATTATAACCCATTGGCCTTTTTTCCATTCCAGGTAAGCCGGAGGACCCTTCTTGTCCCTGAGTATTCCACTGTTTCCCTCGGCATAGAATACTCTTCCCTCTTTACCTGCTGATAATAATCCTTCAGATCTCAACAACCATAATTTTATCATTAACCCTTCTCTGGTGACAATCAAAATGAAGACAGACCAACAATTTGTTCTCCAAAATCTATGTCTGCTACAGGGAATTTACAATGAGCAAAGCAAAGCATGAAGAAAATCTCAATTCAGTTTCTCAAAAAGCCGAAACACCAAGTCTCTTCAAAGTCTCCCCCAAAAGTCTCCTCAAGCATACCTATCAAAATTTACTAAAAGAAATCCTGTGAGAAGTCCTTGACTTTGCAGAAACTGCTTTAAGAAAAACCACCTTCTAATTAGTTTCAGTAAAAACAAGGCAGTGATTATGACAAAAACTTTGTATAGTCTACTACGACACTTTAGTTCATTAAACATAATTTAATGTGACTGGTTGTTGTGATGCCTTGTTAACTGATTTTAAACATACTTCAGACAATTTTCTCCTGAACAGTATTCAGATTCATCATTTCCAGCTGATTAAACAGTTGATTAAAATGATGGTTACAGCTATTTCTATTTTTATAAAAAGTCAGGCTTTAGGCCAGAGATATAATCCCCAATGTAATATTGTTTCTGTGAAGAAAATCAGATTCAATTTACATTATTTTGACTTACAGAAAATTTTCTGTGAACATATCCTGCCATAAAATACAAGGACAATTGTAAAAGGTTTTCAGAAGGGCCTATCATCTGGCACTAGTGTGTACCATGGAACAGAGGCTGGGCATAAGACAAACATTCAAATCAGCCAGTCATGAGCTGTTCTCTTTTTAAGTTTATCTCACTTAATAATCATAAACTGGGGCAGGGTATTTTTCACAGCATTGATTTCTCTGCAAGCAGAGCAGGGAGAAATATCACTAACCTATATAAAGTCTCATACAAAAAAAAAAGACTGAAGGGTGGGAAGGGGGTGAGGGATAAAAGACTACAAATTGGGTTCAGTGTATACTGCTCGGGTGATGGGTGCACCAAAATCTCACAAATCACACTAAAGAACTTACTCATGTAACCAAATACCACTTGTTCCCCAAAAATCTATGGAAATAAAAAAAATTTTTTTAAAGACTCTGCCAAAGCCGTCAAAGGACACTGGTGTGATATAACATTATCTTTGCACTTTTTACAAACTGAAAATTACATTTTAAAGAATAACATCTCAATGATTAACAGATATTATTTATTTATACAGATATTTGACATAACAATTAGTAATGAAGCCCACACAAAGTGCTCACTAATAAATGAGTAAATAACAGCATGTAATCAACGGCACTATTTGTTGGGTCATAGTCTCTACAACACTACTGGGCAATCAACTCTAAACCTAGATACTCTACTACAATTAGACAACAAGACTTGTTTCAGTAGTTTTCATCCACACACTTGAATTTTTATAAATACAAAATACTAGTTAATGAACTGTGTCTAAACCTTTCTAAGACCAAAGAATTGTTTCTACAAAGGGTGAGGTGGAGTAGAGAAGGAGAACTGCAGGTTGAAATGATTGGTGGTACAAGGGCTTGGAGAAGAAAGCTATTTGTTCAAATGAAACTCCAAATGAGAATATTAAAATTCAACATTCAAGAGCTGCAGAGAGGTAAGGAAAACTCTCCTTTCATTGATGTTCAAAAGACAAGAGAGAAAATTTTCTCCTATCAGCTTTTGCCATCCCCATGCTGAGACTACAGTGAATCTTGTGTAGAAGAACAACTAGAACACCTAAGTGGTATATTTCAATCACAAAAATTGCCACTTATGAAATTTTCTGGTACCTTGGGATGGAAAAGGCAATAAACAATAAAGTTTTTAAAACATTATACATACATACACATATATACACACTCCATCTTGCTCTGGAGCTCAGAAACAATGGAACCTAGTAAGGTGATTTTTTTAAGTGATTTCCCTAAGGAAAGTTATTTCTTCCTCGTTCCCCTAGCTATTTTCCTGGGACTAGGACCTTATCAGGTTATAACTCAAAGACAGGCCCATTGCTATCCAAGGCTCCACTTATCTTGCCTTGCATTGCCCTGCCCAGAATGCATGAGCAGGTTTTTTTGTTTTGTTTTGTTTTGCTTTTTTGAGACAGTCTCCTTCTGTCGCCCAGGCTGGAGTGCAGTGGTGCAATCTCGGCTCACTGCAAGCTCCGCCTTCCAGGCTCACGCCATTCTCCTGCCTCAGCCTCCCAAGTAGCTGGGACTACAGGCACCCGCCACCACACGCACCTAATTTGTTTGTATTTTTAGTAGAGGCAGGGTTTCACCGTGTTAGCCAGGATGGTCTCGATCTCCTGACCTCATGATCTGCCCACCTCAGCCTCCCAAAGTGAGCAGGTTTTAAATTCCATACATGCCCTCCAAGGGTACCAATCTTCCTCCTGCCATGTGCCATAGAGTAACTCTCCCCCTTTTCTTCCACTCTTTCACCTTTTGCCATTGTGAAAAGTATCAGCTGGGTAGTAGGTACAGGCTGAGGCGAAGCCCAATCACTTCTCTCCTTTTGCTTGCATTCTACCTCTCACTGACCTCTGAGCTAGGGCTGTATCAATTCCTGCAATAGGCAAGTTTACAATCTCATAGAGTTGACAGGAAACACAAGTAGGACATAAGTGAAGGAAGTATACAAGTATATTTGCAGCGCACTGCTAAGTAAATACAGAAGAAAGGAATAAGAGTTGCTGAAATGTAGAGGCTGACTGGGGCTGCGTAGAGTTTGTCTTAAATTTCCAAGAGATTAATGTGTCTGAGCGTTGGGTAATTTTGGCCTCTTGTGATCTAGAATACGATCAAATTAGTTTGAAAATCTTTGTATAATTCACACGTGCCAGGCTCCAAAGCTAGAGTCTGCATACAATGACAAGAGAATTTTATTTTCAGTTGTATACTGTGCTTGGTTTCAGAGCTACTCTAACAAACCTTACTTTCCCTTGCCATTCTAACTTCATTTTCCACTAGTAGTCTCCAGCAAGAATGCTCTGCTGTCATCAAATTCAACTCCCACCTCATTTTCTCGCCAAGTATCTCAGTTTATTCCCAACTGCTGTTCTCTTGGACTGGAATTGTCTGCATGACTCTCCTTGAAAGTAAACTGAAAGTTCAACTAATGCCAAATTCAGCAGCTTAATTAAGAGTCCCTGTAACATATGGAAGGCTGCAGATACATAAAATTGGCGAACCCTTACAAACTGGCTTCCCCTCAAGGTGATCAGCCAGTGATTCTTGAAGCTGTGTCTTATTCTCTTAGGATACAACAGGACTTCTTCTGCAGTAAGGATAAGTAACACCTAAGTGTCTGTTACGTGCAGATGAAGAATTCTATAGATGGACAGATGGAAAGATGGATGGATGGAAGAATTACAAACAGATATGGCTCACTCATTTGATTAAACAGGCCTAGCCCCAAAATCAGAGTATCATTTAGAGTCATTTGAGATCACCAAGGGTCATCAAGTTATGTATGACCAGAGATGAAAATATAGTATAAACAAGGTTGGAGCCTCAATGTTTAACTGTCTCATGAATATCTTCTGATGGGTATATTTTTGATGCTCAAAAATCAGAGGTACTCCAATATTTGCAATTTTAATGGCCTTTTTTCATAGAGCATGGCAATTACCAGGTTGTTTCAAAGAGCCTGTACAAGGGATGATGAAGAACAGAAGCATACTGGCTATGTGTATCAGTTCTACAGCCAGATATCTGGGTTCAAATATTGGTTCTGCCACTTATTAGTTATGTAACCTGGGGCAAGCTCCTTAACCATGTGATGTCTCAGTTTTCCCACCAGTCTCAAAGGGGGTGATTATGTTGATGACAACTTATAAAGCAATTATGAAACAGTGCCTTCATATTGTAAATACTGAAAAAAAATTGTTAGTTGTGTTATATAGCACAATGGAATAATAAATTCCTTTGCTGCCAATAACTAGTTGCTTCTGACAAAGAAAAAAAAAAAAAACTGATGTCCATGGAAAAAAATATAATTCTAATACAAATAGGTGAAATATATCTGCAGGGTTATTACACTTGAAACTCAGGGAGCACAAATGAAAGAAATTAACATTAACTTTGTTTAACTAAAAAACATATATACAGTCTTTGCGAAACAGAAACAGAGAGAAACCTTATAAAATCAAAATGACCATGAATAGTTTTGTAAATGAACTATGCCACGCTAACTAGATAACACTTCTTAATTAGCATATGAACAAAAGACAGAATAGTACATTGTGACTTCATTCAAGACTTCAATAAAACAAAATGCTTGCAAAAAGGAAAGAAAAATCAGCTTCAAAAGGTTCAGCAAAGGTTATGATAAATGACTCAGTTTAGGGTTGAATGCAAGGAGTAGCAGAGAGTGGAGGGCTCTGGGTAAGCACTAGACTGGAAGCAAAAATAAACAGCATGTGTAATCAAATTCACCCAACTGTGTCATACCACGTGGCCCTGCAATACCTGCAATGCAGGAAAGGCCTGGTGCCGAGTAAGAAGAAAGCACATATGCAGGGCAAGCAGTGGGAAGAAACCTTCCATACTGCCCTGGTAGCACCCTAACTAAAGAGGAGAAGATGGTCAGAGCAGCTAACAGCTCTGAACAAGAAGGGGGCCACAGATTTAGAATTGCAAATGGTTGGCCTCAGACATTCACCTTCTCCTATCATTCTTTCCAAATCAAATCAATAATCTGTGTGTGTGTAGGGGCCTGTGTATTTGTGAGATCCCCTAATCCAAAGGCCTATCCCATTTTATTGAAACAAATATTTAAAGAACATGGAATGAGCTAGACACAGTGATAAGCATAATCCCCATGCTAAATTAGGAAGCTTATCTTACCAGAAAGCCAACTCTATCTCAGTTCCCCCTCTCTGAGTCTGTTTTCCCATTCATAAAGTGTGGGAGTTGAATAAAAAGGTTCCTGTGGTTATCTAATATTGCACAGATTTACCAAAAATTTGTCAAGTTAGCACCCTGAAGATGGAATGTTCAAAACGATAAAATGAGCATAAGCAGGTATTTACTTAAAAGAATGACAGATGATTAAGTGGTTAAGGGGTTGTGAGCAACATTAGGTCCTGGTGGACACACTTGTTTGCCTCTCAGTTTCTCTAGTGCACCTCACCTCCCCAGGGGCTGGACCCAACATTTCCTCCCATCACCGATAAGCCTCAGGCCCAAGGGACCCTGTCTCTTTCTTTAGGGGGTTCATAGCCTCCAGTCAGCTCAAAACAGGCTTCCAGCTAGTGCCCTAGCACTAGCTTGCCTTACTAGAATGCCAGCTCCCTAAGCAGCAGTGGCTCTGTGTTTGATTTAGTGACCAGAGGGCAACGTGGAACAGAACTAAATTAGGAACCCCTACAGAGATTTGCTTTAAAAAACTAGAGAAACCACCACAAATGTTTCTGCTTTTTCATTAATGCATTTATTAACAATAAATGTTTAAAGCAATTTATTTTTATCAGGAGAAGTCAGGGATTTTTGAGAGAAAAGTAAAGGGGAATATATGTAGGGAGTGAAGCAGTGAGAGAAGTCTGAATATATAGTTCAATTATTCCAGTGAGTAGAGGAAATGGAGACCTTGATGTGCTTCATACTAAGTATAAACTACATTAATTAGAGCTTTTAAACATTGAACAATTAAGTTTACATCAATCAAGTTTATACATAAAATACTCTTAAAGGCAACAACACTTTAATTTTTACTGTATTCATCTTTATCAACTACTGTCTTTATTCATAATTCCCTCTATTTAAAGCCCAAAGCTTTCCCAAACTACTGTTCTTGGCAAAAGAACTCTCGCTAATTTTCTGCAATTCTCATTATCCATCATTCTTACAGCTAAAACCTTTAAATCTTTGGAATCACTTTTAAAACACGCTTATGCTTGCCAAATACTGTCCCATTCTTTTTAAATATGCTTGAATAGATTTGCTTTGGGAATAATTACGTTTAAGAAACTGCCAAAGCAACAGGGAAGTTGTACACCACTATAGAGATCGCTCAGATTGTTGTGTGGGGATCTCTGTCACATAAACTTCATTATGGATCTTCGGGTTTCACTATGATCATCCAAAAATAAGTCTGACTTATACGTTCATATTTAAAAGAAAAGTTGCAATAAAGGGCCATGCAATGCTTGACCTTGAGAAACAGTGCCTCTTGTATGAATCCAGGTAACCTCTGGCTATTAATCGGTATGTTATATAACAAACCGGAATAAGCTTTGCTAAGGAGCTTCAATTTTACTAATGTCCAGTTGTTTCCAACCTGGTGAACACTAGATTTCCTTCCTAAATTATTTTTACCCAAAAGAATTCTTAAACAGCTAAATTATAAGACTTTGTGGTATCAGTGGCTATAAATCTCAGTAAGGACCACCTCTGGACTTAATTTAGAGAAATGGAGTATATCTGATAACTAGGAATAAAGAGCTAATCAAAACTGGCTTTGTAAATGTTAAAGTAAGGTTGGGTTAGCAATTGTCCATAGCATTAAGTATGCAATCCATTGTGTAACTCCTAAGGTTTACTTTACTTTTGCTGCTATTTTTTCTTTTTTAAAATAAATTAATAGATTAATAAAAACACAACCACCCAGTTGCTATAGGGAAAGCAGGATTTGGGCTCTAATGGTGACCATAAAACACTATGAAGAAACGCTTTCGTTCACTCCTAGGAATACATTTAAAATTTAAAAGAAACATAATCATAGATCATAAGTAAGGATTTTGGCTACATTTCTAAAATAGCGTGTTCATTGTTATAGTTTGTATTTTGACTGAAACAGACTGATACTAGTTAGAATAAACATTAGGATTTGGAGTAGGAAGCCTATAATGTAGAACTTTAATCAGGTTCAGACCCAGGCAGTATCTGCAAAAGGAAACGGTTGGTGGAAGCGACTGACCAGTGACTCCTGTGGCACTCTGCACTGCTTACATGGCATTTACTGAAAATGCCTGTACAAAAAAAAAAAAAAATTGTGGGACTCAAAAGGCCAATTACATCTACCCATGACTCTCATCCAATTGCCTATCCTGATCTACTTACTGCTCTGGGCTTCCTTCTTCCACTCCACATACATGACCTAATTGTTTCCCTTCCCTCTCTCTCTCCCATTCATTAAACTAAGTCCTGGGCCAGGCGCAGTGGCTCACACCTGTAATCCCAACACTTTGGGAGGCCCAGACAAGCAGATTGCTTGAGCTCAGGAGTTCGAGACAAGCCTGGGCAACATAGTAAAACTTCTCTACAAATACAAAACAATTACCTGGGCATGGTGGCGTGCATGCCTGTAGTCCAAGCTACTCGGGAGATTGAGGCAGGAGGATCAGTTGACCCTGGGAGGCAGAGATTGCAGTGAGTCAAGATCACGCCACTGCACTCCAGCTTGGGCAACAGAGTGAGACCCTGTCTCATCAACAAACAAACAAACTAGCTATGTCCTATATGGCTGGGTGCAGGGGCTTACACCTATAATCCCAGCACTTTGGGAAGCCGAGGTGGGAGGACTCTGCTTGAGCCCAGGAGTTCGAGACCAGCCTGGGCAACACAGTGAGACCTCATCTCTACAAAAAAAATCAAAAAATTAGCTGGATGTGGTGGCTCACGCCTGTAATCCCAGTTATTCCAGAGGCTGAGGCAGGATGATCATCTGAGCCTAGGAGGTTGACGTTGCAGTGAGCTATGATTGTGCCACTGCATTCTAGATTGGAAATCAGAGCAAGAACCTATCTCAAAAAAAAAAAAAAAACTACGTCCTATAGAACCTGCCATCCTTGTTAATCAAACTCTCTATATCTTAACATCAGAAACCCTACCTTACAACCACCCACATTCCTTGAAACTTGGCTGTCTTCTTAAAATTCTTCCCCCTGTGAACCTCTTAACTATGTAACTCAGAGGGCAATAAGCAAGCTTCCTCTTGCCTCCCCCTTGCTTATAGAGTCTATTACTCCATACTCATGGCATCATTCCTTTAGTTTGATATCATCTGGAGATACCAGCTTTTACCCATCCTCATCATGGTCATCTATCCATCTCCTTGGACGTGTGCCTTCATTCATTTGGGTCACTGGTGGCCTCTCCATCTCATCTCCTGCCATCATCTGATGAAATCTGAACACACCATCTTATAGTTCTCAGACTTCTTATCTGTAGTGACCTTTACCATCCGTTGTCATCACTATCAAACACCGGTCTCTGGTCACTTATTGCCCATTGGCTGAAGAGTTTGAAATTTGGCTTTCAAACTTGTTCTCTATGCCAACACTTGCCATGGTACTTGAAAATTCTATCATCCACATGCAACACCCACCCCAATCCAGAAACCTAGATTGCTGAGTCCCAAAACTCCTTTGCTTTAAGGATCTTCACCTCCACTCTTTTTTACCTACCTCTTCTATAGTGAGAGAGTAGGATCTGTTATCACATATTACTTCATCCCTGACACATAATAGCCCTCTCTCATTTTTCAGCTCCATAACTTCTACTACATAGCTCTTTAAGACCTCTACTCTCTTTTTTGTTTTTTTTTTTTAAGAGACAGGGGTCTCACTATGTTGCCCAGGTTGGAGTGCAGTGGCTATTCACAGGCATAATCATGTGCAATGCAGCCTTGAACACCTGGGCTCAAGTGATCTTCCCATTTCAGCCTCCTGAGTAGCTGGGCCTACAGGCATGTAGCACTGCACTCAGCTAAAGACCACTACTCTTTTGACTCTACCCTCAGTTTCTCAAAGCCCTTACCAGTCCTCATCTACACTTTCCCTCTGATCTCTGAACACCATATTGATTCATGGAACCTATTCTCTCACTAGCCCTCTCAATTCCTTCCCAACCTGGCTTTTTGCCATAAATGACTTACCTACAAAGCTCTAAATCCAGGACCAATCTCGCAAACTGCTTTCTTCATTCCTGCATGTAGGAGGCTGAGAACAGTTTTGGTAAAACCACACTGATAAAAAATTAATGTCATTACAAATTCTTCAGTGCTACTCCACAAACCTCCACTTGTCTTCCTTCATCTGACTCTCCACTTACCCTAAATGCTCATTTCAAAGCTTCATGACTCTCAAGTCCCCTATCACAATCCTCTCTATATGGGTGACCTTGCTCCTACATCCCTTAGAAAATCAGGGTCATCTAGGAAGCATTCCCTCACACTGTGTGCACATCAGCTCTTTCCTTCCAGTTTGAGAAAGAATAAAGTATCTCTTCTCCCATTCAAGACTCACAAAGAGCCTCTACCTATGTTTTGATCTCTATCTCCCCATATTTTTTGACCAATAATTATCCTGTCTTTCCTATACTGTCAACCACTTCATCTCTACTTTGTATCTACCCATGTTTCCTTAACTTAAATATATTTAAATACTTATTTTCCTTTAAAAAAAACTCCACGATTTCCTTGACTATGTACCCTATTTCTAGCCTCTTCTCCCCTTCCCTCTATAGGCCCAATGTAAAGTGGTATTCTTCAGGGCAGAAATGTGTTTGTTTTATTCACTGACATGCCATTAACATCTAGAGCAAGGCCTGACACATGGTAGGAGCTCAATAAATAACCATTGAATAAATGACCATGTTCCTCAAAAGAATATACCATCTCTACTTCCTCACCTCCTCTTCACTCTTTCAGCCCTCTCTCTGTAGGCTGGTCCATAGACCCACACTCCCATAACTCTAACTTGCCAAATGCAATGAATAGTTCTCAGTCTTTATCTTACTTAAACCTCTGCTATGGTTTGAATGTCCCCTCCAAAACTCATGTTAAAATTTAAATGCCACTGTGATGGTATTAAGAGATAGGACCGGAACCCTTAAGAGATAATTAGGCCATGAGGGCTCTGCCCCCATTAATGGATTAATGTCATAATTGCAGAAGTGGGTTGGTTATCATGAGAGTGGATTGTTATGAAAGCAAGTTCGGCCCTCTCTTGCTCACTTGCTCTTGCCCTCTTTTGCCCTTCTGCCTTCCACCATGGGATGATGCAGCAAGAAGGTTCTCAACAGAAGCCGAGCCCTCAACCTTTGACTTCCTACCCTCCAGAATTGTTAGAAATGAATTTCTTTTATTTATAAATTACTCCATGTGTGGTATTCTATTATAGCAACACAAAATGAAGAAAGACAGAGAAGTGGTACCGAGAGTAGGATTGTTACTATAAAAAATAACTGAAAATGTGGAACTGGGTAATGGGTAGGGGCTGGAAGAACCTGGAAGAGCAGATTAGAAAAAGCCTAGATTGCCATAAATGGAGTATTAAGGATGATTCTGATGAGGGCTCGGAAGAAGAGACGTGCTATGGGGAAAGTCTGAGGCCTCTTAGGGATTACTTAAGGGGTCATGATCAGAATGTTGGTATAAACATGGACATAAAGGCCATTCTGATGAGGTCTCAGATAAAAAAGATAAATATCTTATTGTAAACTGGAGTAAACACCATCCTTGTTATGAAGTGGCAAATAATGTGGCTGAATTGTGTGCATGACCTAGGGCAGGATTTAAGAGCAATGAACTAATGAACTAGGATATTTGGTAGAAGAAATTTCTAAGCAAAATATCAAAGGAGCTGTGTGGCTATTTTTAACCATATACAGTAGGAGTTGAGAAGAAAGAAATGAGTTAAAGATGAAATTTACAATTTAAAAAGAGGTACAACAGGGGCCGGGGGCAGTGGCTCACACTTGTAATCCCAGCATTTTGGGAGGCCGAGGCGGGTGGATCACGAGGTCAGGAATTCAAGACTAGCCTGGCCAAGATGGTGAAACCCCGTCTACTAAAAATACAAACAATTAGCCAGGCGTAGTGGCGGGCACCTATAATCCCAGCTACTCGGGAGGCTGAGGCAGAGAATTGTTGAACCCGGGAGGCGGAGGCTGCAGTGAGCCAAGATTGCACCACTGCACTCTAGACTGGGTGACAGAACAAGGCTCTGTCTCAAAAA
Source organism: Homo sapiens (assembly GCF_000001405.40). Lineage (NCBI taxonomy): Eukaryota > Metazoa > Chordata > Mammalia > Primates > Hominidae > Homo > Homo sapiens. Next base: position 139,850,915 of record NC_000023.11, read on the forward strand.
AATAGATAAATAAAATAAAAAGCACAACAGAAAGATTTTTTAATTTTTCAGCTTGGCCAGGTACAGAATGAAAAAGCATTCCTGGGGAGCAAACCAACGGTGTGGCCAAGCAACCCTTTGCTACAGAGATTCATACTAACAAAAGGAATCACCAAGACAATGGAGGAAGACCCCAAAGGCATTTCAGAGATCTTTGAGGCTGCCCTCCCATTACAGGCCCAGAGCTGCAGGAGGGAAGAATGGTTCTGGAGGACAGACCTGGGGCATACTCCACAGGCTATCTGCCCAGAGTCTCTCCTCCCTGCATTCCAGCCCAGCACTCCATGGCCACCCCAGCCATGGCTCAAGGGAGCCCAGGTGAGGATCGAGCTGCTGCTCCACAAAGTCCATGCCATAAACCTTGGTGGTGTCTACATGGTGCCAATTCTGCAGGTGTGCAGAATATGAGAGTTGTGGGGGCATAGCTAACTCTATCTAGATTTCAAAGGATGTCACAGACAGCCTGGGTGCCCAGGCAGAGACTTGTCAGAGGGGTGGAGCCACCACAGAAAGCTCCTACCAGGGAAATGCCAAGTAGAAATGTGAGGTTGGAGCCAGCACAGAGAGTCCTCAATAGGGAAATGCATAGTGGAAATATGGGACTGGGACCATTACCATGATTCCAGAACTGTAGAGCTCCTAGTTTACAGCATCAGCCTGGGAGAGCTGCAAGTAGGAGACTCCAACCTGTGAGTTACTGAGTGCACTGAACCCAACAAAGCCATAGGAGCAAGGCTGCCTGAGGCCTTGGGGGCCAAATCTCTATCCCAGTGTACCCAGGATGCAGGATATGTAGTCAGAGGAGATTATTATTTAGCTTTAAAACTTAATGTTGTTTTCCCTGAAGGGTTTTGGACTTACTGGGGATGAGTTATCCCTTCCTTCTTGGTTATTCCTCCCTTTTGGAATGGGAATGTCTAACCTATGCTATTTTGATAGCACATAACTTGTTCATTTCACAGGCTCACAGCTGGAGAGAAATTCACATTAGGATGAATCATGCCTTGAGTCTCTCATCTATATCTGATTTAGATGAGACTCTGGGATTTGGAGTTGATTCTGGAATGAGTTAAGACTTCTGCGGTGTCATGTGCCTATAGTCCCAGCTATGTGGGAGACTGAGGTGGGAGAATCGCTTGCGCCCAGGACATTGACACTGCAGTGAGATGTTATCATGCAAAAAAAAAGAAAAAGAAAAAAGAAAAAAAACCCAACAACTTTTGGGTGCACTCACCATTGTTCCATCTGTAAGGGTGCACCCTTCTATACAGAAGTACCTTGCACCGCTGAGAATTAAAAAGAAAATTGTATATTCGAATGCTATTCCTTTAGCAGCACTGAAACTTTATATGTGACAATTTGGGGGCCCATCTGGGATTACATTCCCCTCCTGGGGTGGTCTCTGGTTCTGCAGTGCACCCTGCCCTATTGTGGTGGCCTCAGGGGTGAGAAATCAAGACCCACCCAGTGCGAGGAATAACCCAAGCTCTCAGCAATGCGGGGGGGGGGGGGGGGGGGGGGGGGGGGGAACTGGCCAGCGACCTAGCTTAAAGGATCCTCACATACTGTGGCAATGACTCTGTGCGCAGACCAAGGAAGGATAAGCCGCGGGAGCCGTAAAGTACTTCCTTGGTGGTCAAATTCTGGAGGGCTAAATATGTGTATGCGTGAATGATCACCAACAACCCTGCTTACGGTGTTGTGTGGATGGTGACAAGTCCTACTGCAGGATGGAGTGAGTGGGTCCTCTCCATGGTTCCATAGCTACCTCATATGGCTTAGGGCAGATCCTGCCATGGGATTTATACCAGCACACCAACACTAACAGGGGCCTAATTCTCCCTTAGGGGAGCAGCCAGAGAGGACAGCACGAGTGGGAAGTGTGCAAAGGACCTTCAGAGGGGAAAAGGGGGGAAACAGGTCAACCTCCCAGGACAAGCAAGGCAAAATACTCCCTGGTTTGAGGGGTTGAGCCTTCTAGGACAGGCAAGACACCCCCTGGTTTGAGGGGTTGAGCCTTGTGGGACAGGCAAGGCAAGACATCCCTGGTGTGAGGGGTTGAGCCTTCTGAGACAGGCAAAGCGAGACTTCCCTGGTGTTGAGGGGTTGAGCCTCCTGGGACAGGCAAGGCGAGACATCCCTGGTTTCAGGGGTTGAGACTTCTGCTAATTTCAAGGCTTGAACCTCACACAAACCCCCCCTTTCTTCTTAGAGGAAGAAAAAGTAGCTCCACTCCCGCCAGTCCCTCCCCTAGGGGAAGAGGAAGGAGAGGGGAGAACAGCAGCATAAGCGGCTGGCAGAGGCAAGGAAAGACCAGCAGAGAGAGAGAGACAGAGACAGAGACAGAAAGAGAGACAGAGAGGAGAGAAAAAGAGAGAGGGGAAAGACAGAGAGAGGGGAAAGACAGAGAGGGGAAGAAAGAGAGGGGGAAGAGAGAGAAGAGGCAAAGAGAGAGAGAGGAAGAGACAGAGGAAGAGACAGAGAGACAAAGAGGGAGTCAAAGATTGAGAGAAACAAAGTCAAAGAGAAAGAGAGAGAGATATACAAGTAGTTAAGAAAAAAACAGTGTACCCTATTCCTTTAAAAGCCAAGGTAAATTAGGAACCTGTACTTGATAATTAAAGGTCTTCTCCGTGACCCTATAACACTCCAATACCACTTTGTTGTCAGTGTAAACAAGGACGTAGCCCGAAAGCACTGAGGCCATGGACAACCCCGTAGCCTTCTTATCAAAAATCCTTAACCCAGTAACCCGCAGATGGCCTAAATACATTCTATCTGTAGCAGCAATGGCTTTGCTAACAGAAGAAAGTAAAAAAATAACTTTTAGAGGAAACCTGATTGTGAGCACACCTCACCAGTTCAGAACTATCCTAAGTCAAAAAAAAAAAAAAAAAAAAAAAAAAAGGTAGCTTACTAACTCAAAAATCTTAAAGTATGGGGCTATTCTGTTAGAAAAAGATGATTTAACATTAACGACGGATAATTCCCTTAACGCAGCAGGTTTCCTAACAGGGTATCTAAATCTTAATTAATTACCACACAAAGGTCTGACCAGACCTAGGAGGAACTCCCTTCAGGACAGGACAATAGATGGTTCCTCCCAGGTGACTGAGTGAAAAAGACACAATAGGTATTCAGTAATTGACAGGGAAACTCTTGTAAAAGCAGAGTTAGGAAAATGGCCTAATAATTGGTCTAATCAAACATGGATGAGCTGTTTCCACTCAGCTAAGCCTTAAAGTACTTACAGAATCAGGAAGGAACCATCTATATCAATTCTAAGTTAATTTGGACTAAACAAGGTCTTATTAACAGCAAAGGATAATTGAAATCCCAAACTTACAAAGTTTTCAACAAAAGTAAAGTTTGCTAAAAGTTAACGTATTATCCTAACTTGTAACATGTATTATCCTAACTTCTAATCTTATGGCCTTAGGCAGTCTAGTCCACAGATATGAAGGAAGTTCGCTTTGGAAAAGAATGGTTATCACCTTTAGGAAAAAAAAGGGGGGAGGAGAATTTATGTAAAGAGAATGTTATATGGTAAATTCTTGTCCTGAAATAACTGGTTGCTTAAAGAAAGGGATGTTTGCAATAAGTCAGAAAGTTGAGGCATGTCGAAGAATTGTCTGTGAAAGCCGTGAAAGAAAAAAAAAGTGTCTTATAAAAAGGAATTTATGCAAGAAATGTTGTATAATTTAAAAGTAATTAGACCTCCTGAATGTAAAACTATTGCAGAAACAGTTTATTTGCAAGGTGTATAAGCAAAGTAAAATATACTTTCAGTAAAAGGATTATAAGGAGGCATAAGAATGTGGATTTTTACCTACATTAAAAGGTTAAAAAAATTTGTTTTGAAGGTTTAAGCAAGTTTTAAAACATTAATTGTAAAGGAAACTGTATGCAAACATATTGGCTAAGGTTGAAAGGGTATCATCCAATTTTTCTGTGAACTGGACATTAAAATAAAAACACAAAGGGTTTTTCTTAAAGCACTAACCTGCTCTTTAACAAAAATTATAAAAGGTTAAAAAGAGTCTATAAAAATCTTACCTTATGGTCAGACATTAAAAATTGAATAAATTATGTCTATAAGTTTTATTAAAACTAAGTTTAAAATTAATAACACACTAATATAAAGGTGAAATTTAGCTTATCTGGTATAAAAATAATACAGGAAGCATTGTCAAATATAAAATGGTGTTTGGCTTTCTTTGGTCTAAAAACTAATAAAAATAGGTGCTACAGGAAATTTCTCAGTAAGAAGGCACCAAGGACTATAAAGTCCACTGCTGATGTACCCACATTTAAAACAAAAGGTCAGTTTCTTAGAAATTATATACTTGGTTTATCTTCCACTTTCCTTTCCCTCAAAACTAAAAGTCTTTTAGCACATGTACCACACCTAGAATTTCCGGTAAACCAGCGCCAGCCTGAAGATCACGTTCTCATCAAAGGGTGAAAAGAAGGAAAACTCGAGCCAGCCTGGGAAGGACCCTACCTTGTGCTGCTAACCACCGCTGTTCGTACAGCAAAAAAGGGATGGACTCATCATACCCGAGTCAAGAAAGCGCCACCCCCTCCAGAGTTGTGGGCCCTAGTCCCAGGAGAAAACCCTACCAAACTAAAGCTAAGAAAAATTTAACTCTTTCATCTATCTATTACTCTTTCTTCTTTCCTCGCTCTATTCCTGACCATTTAGTTATTAACATAACCAAGTCAATTTTGCCTCAAACTATTGCATTTAATGCTTGCCTTGTTAAACCCTGTGGGGACTTGCCAAGTCAAAGACAGCTCTCTACTTCAGAAAAGTACCTCTGTCCCTCCTGACTCTCCTCAGACTGGACATTAGTAAATTGGGACCATTTAATCTGGGGAGATTTCGATAAAGACCCCAGTGTCAACCAGGAGGCTTGCCCCCCGATGTAGACCTTTATATCGTAGTTGGTCCAGTGTTCTGTGGACCACTAAAGAGCAAGGGTGGACTGCCCCAGTTGGTTTTTGTAATTTCCTAAAACCATATATTCATTTTACGAGAGGATCATAGAAGTTAAAGACTTAAAACAAACTTTGGCAATTAAGACAGGATACCAAGATGCAAATGCCTGGTTGGAATGGATCAAAAATTCCGACCACACGTTTAACAAAGCAATTGTTATTCTTGTGCGCACGGCAGGCCAGAGGCCCAGATTGTCCCCTTTCCACTAGGGTGGTCCTCCAGTCGACCAGGCGTGGACTGCATGGTAGCTCTTTTCCAGGATTCTACAGCCTAGAGTAATAAGTCGTGCCAAGCTCTCTCTCTGCTATATCTTGAAGTTCGGCACCCTGCGGGTCAGCCCCCAAGGGCCATCCAGCTTCCGTCTCCCAACACTAGGTTCACTTCATGTCTCCCTTGACAGGGAGGAAACTTATCACTCCTTGGAGACCTGAAGGGATGTAGTGAGCTTAAGAATTGTCAAAAGCTTACCAATCAGTCAGCCTTTATTCATCCCTGAGCAGATGTGTAGTGGTATTATGGTGGACCTTTACTGGACACTCTGCCAAGTAACTGAAGTGGCACTTATGCTTTAGTCCAATTGGCTATCCCTTTCACCCTGGCATTTCATCAACCAGGAGGAGGAAAAATAAGACATCATAAAGCGAGAGAAGTACCTTATGGGTCTTTTGACTCTCACGTCTATTTAGATGCAATTGGAGTCCCACGGGGAATACCAGATCAATTTAAAGCCCGAAATCAAATAGCTGCAGGATTTGTCAATATTTTGGTGGGTGACAGTTAATAAAAATGTAGATTGGATAAACTACATCTATTACAACCAACAGTGATTTATTAACTACACTAGAGATGCTGTTAAAGGAATAGCTGAACAATTAGGGGCTACTAGCCAGATGGCTTGGGAAAATAGGACAGCCTTAGACATGATATTAGCAGAAAGAGGAGGAGTTTGCATCATGATTAAAACTCAATGTTGCACTTCATCCCAAACACCACCACCCCTAATGGAAGTATAACAAAGGCATTGCAAGGTCTGACTGCTCTATCCAATGAGTCAGCCAGCAACTCAGGGGTAAATGACCTCTTTACAGGATGGCTAGAAAAGTAGTTCGGTAAACGGAAAGAAATAATAGCCTCAATTCTTATTTCTCTCACAGCCATAATGAGTGTACTTAATCTTGTCGGGTGCTGTGTCATACCATGCACCCGTAAGTTGATGCAGAGGCTCATAAAAATAGCACTTACTAAAACCTCCCTTAACTATCCTCCACCTTATCCAGAGAAGCTTCTTCTTTTAGAAAATCAAGCAAAACAACTAAGCTAAGACATGTTAAAAGTTTGAAAAGAAAGCTGTAAGGAAATACAAGGGGAGGGGCTGTTAGATATGAGTTCTAAATTTCTTTTCAAAGAATTAATATGTCAGTGTGTTCAATTCTTTTCCTTCTACTTTTAAACTTAACTTCCTCGTAAAGAATCTTTTTCGATTACCTGCTCCACCCTGACTCATTCCGATCACCTGCTCCACCCTAACTCATTCCGATCACCTGCTCCACTCTAACTCATTCCGATTACCTGCTACCTGCTCTGCCCTGATTCCCGCCAAAGCACTCATCCTGTCATTCTCTTTAAATTAGCCAATCGGAATTAGTTTAGCCTGTGCGGTCTTAACCCTACCCAATAGGGGAACAACGCAGCAGCAGGGGCCACGTGCGTCAGGGTAAGAACCCCTTCCCCTCCCTTGTCCAAGTGTACGCTCACCATTATTCCATCTGTAAGGGCGCACCCTTCTATATAGAAGTACCTTGCCTTGCTGAGAATTAAAAAGAAAATTTTTAAATTAAAAAAAAAAAAACTTTTGGAGCCATTAAGGTAGAATTAATATACTTCATATGTGAGAAGGACATGGGTTTCAGGGCCTCAGGAACAGAAAGTTATGGTTTGGATATCCCCTCCAAAACTCATGCTGAAATGTGATTGCCACTATGATGGTATTAAGAGGTGGGACCAGGATGGTAAGAGGTGATTAGGCCATAAGGGCTCTGCCCTCATGAATAGATTATTGTTAGAGTGGGTTGTTATAAAAATTAATTTGGCTCCCTCCTGCTCTTGCCCTCTTGCTCTCTCAAACTTTCTTGCCCTTCCACCTTCTGCCATGGGGCAACTCAGCAAGAAGGACCTCGGCAGATGCAGGCCCTTCAACCTTGGGCTTCCCGGCCTTTGAGAACGGTAAGAAATCAATTTATTTTCATTATGAACTACCCAGTCTGTTAGAGCAACACAAATTAGACTAAGATAAACTCTCTTTAGCAAGACACTATTAGCCATATTCTCCTTCTTGGAAGACAATTTTTTCCTTTCCTTCCCTAACACTACACCTGTCTCACCTCTATGGACATGACTTCTCAGTTTCCTTTGCCAGATATGCTTGTCCTGCTCCCATATTAAATGATGCTATTTCTCTAGATTTGGCTCTCAGCTCTCTGTCCTTCATCATTCTACATGTTCTCCCTGGGTTTCCTAATCCACATGTGTGGCTTTAATTACCATCTTTATGTTGATCACACCAAAAAGGTGTATCTACAGCCCCAGACTTCTCTTCTGAACTATACATGCAATATAAGAATAATAACAACCACTGACGTTTGAGGGTTTATGTTTCAAAAAACAATTCTAAGCTCTTTGCATGTATTTATTCATTTAGTCCTCACAACCAACCAACAAAAAAGATATTATTATCCCCATTGTACAGATGAGGAAGCCAAGGCACAAAAAAATGAAAGCAACTTAATCCAAGGTTATTACACAGCCAGCTACTAAGTGATAGAGCTGATTCATAGTGATATGAGTACCCTTTTCATAAAACAGCTTTATTAATAAATCACATACTAAATGAAAATTCACTCATTTAATAATACCATGGTTTTTAACATATTCACAGCATTGTGCAACCATCACCACAATCTAACTCTAAAACACTTTCATCACCCCCAAAAGAAACTCAACCGAGTATACATGAGGAAGCACTGGTATTAGTACTTTACTTTGATTTTAGAAACTGAAACTTTAAGATAATTACATTTTTTTTAAATTCAAACATATGTTAAGCTGATTAAGACAAACTTTTTTTTACAGTGTACATATATTGGTTTTACACTACAAAAATATTTTTATGTGTTTAAAAAGGGAGCTTTCTAAATAAGCTGATCTCATAGAAGTAGAGAGCAGAATAGCGGCAACTACAGGCTGGGAAGGATAGGCAGGAGGGATGGCTCTTGGATTCAAAATTACTGCTAGACAGGAGGAATAAGTTACAGTGTTCTATAGCACTGTAGGGTGACTACAATTAATAATTTATTCCATATTTTCAAATAGCCAAGAGAAAATGTTGAATATTCTCAACACAAAGAAATGATAAATGTTTAAGGTGATGGATATGCTAATCACCCTGATTTGATCATTACACATTGTATACATGTATTGAAATATCACTCTATACCCCATAAATACATTATGTGTCAATTAAAAGTTGTTATAAAAAAATTAAATGGAACTTTCCATCAGGATTAGATTTACCCATGTGTTATGTCAAATTCAAACAAAAAAGAGCTAAGTATTCCTACAACTAGACAAATATTGCAACCTTAATGTGTTACCAGAAGGCAGACATATTCAACCCTCACGTAAACAGTAAAAAAGAGAAAACCTTTATGAAACGGAATGAAGGATGATCTCTCCTTACAAACACAATTTTGCATAATGCATTTGTGTCTAGTTACATGGAAAATGGAACCAATTGTTTAAAGCCAGAAGGGTATATAAATGCCAATTTTCAACAATATATATGGCACAAATGAAAAGAAAGTGCTTGGCTGGGCGCGGTGGCTCACGCCTGTAATCCCAGCACTTTGGGAGGCCGAGGCGGGCGGATCACGAGGTCAGGAGATCGAGACCATCCCGGCTAAAAACGGTGAAACCCCGTCTCTACTAAAAATACAAAAAAAAATTAGCCGGGCGTAGTGGCGGGCGCCTGTAGTCCCAGCTACTTGGGAGGCTGAGGCAGAAGAATGGCGTGAACCCGGGAGGCGGAGCTTGCAGTGAGCCGAGATCCCGCCACTGCACTCCAGCCTGGGCGACAGAGCGAGACTCCGTCTCAAAAAAAAAAAAAAAAAAAAAAGAAAAGAAAGTGCTTAACAAAAGAAAATGGAAAAGGCTTTTTTAAAACAGAATAGAGTTCATTAGACTTTTCATGACTATAATTAGAAAAGATATTTCTATGTTGCTATAGGTAGAGAGATGCAGCAAGAGTAAAACTGCACCATTTATGCCAACTCTCCTTGCATAGTGACTGCAACTTACCAATGAATTATTTCCAATCTAATTTACCATTTGAGGACTTGAAATAGAAAATTTAAAAAAACAGATATACAGGTTTTAAGAGATAGGAGAAAAGAATACCCTTGAAGAAAAGCACGGATATCTAATTTTACAAAGCAGAATATTTTCAAATGCCTGTTTCTGGGTCTCATATATCCTGTACCTCATTTGAGGTTCGAAATGTGTTACTTCAAAATAATCCAGATTCAGGCTGGGTGCAGTGGCTCACACCTGTAATCCCAGCACTTTGGGAGGCTGAGGGAGGTGGATCACCTGAAGTCAGAAGTTCGAGACCAGCCTGGCCAACATGGTGAAACCCCATCTCTACTAAAACTACAAAAATTAGCCGGGCATAGTGATGCACATCTGTAATCCCAGCTATTCGTGAGGCTGAGGCAGAAGAATCGCTTGAACCCGGGAGGCAGAGGTTGCAGTGAGCTGAGATCACACCACTGCACTCCAGTCTGGGCAACAGAGCGAGACTCCGTCTCAGAAAAAATAAAAATAAAAAGAAGCCAGATTCAGATACCGCAGCTCCTAATAACCTTGAAACCATCACTGGTGTGAATGAGCAGCTCTATTTCCATCTGAGATCAAAGCATGAGGAAGGTTAATTCATGCCCTGAATCACCCCTGTAGACTCTTTGCTCAAGTCAATAATCATTTATCAAGCATTTCTACGCCCCAATGCCCCAGACTCTACATTGTGTGTTGGGGACCAGAGAGGAAGAAGTAGGAGAGGAGAAATACATCTAATGAGACACAGAATATGGGACTGTGATAAGTAGTACGGCAGCCTTAACAAGACTAATCTGTTTTTAGACCAAGTATCCCAAATTTTTGTTCTAGAAAACATAGACAGTCCAGCTTCAAATATGATATGAGTCACGTGAGAAAGATTAGTTTCAAAGGAAATGGAAAGAAGAAAAAGAGTAGATCTGAGAAGCATGAAGGTATTCCCTCACTATTTTATTCATTTCATAAACATTTTAAATTAAGTACAAATATGTCAGGTTCAGGAGATACAAATACTGATTTTGGCCAAGTTCTCAAGGAAGTCTCAGTTTAGTGAACATAGTGAATGAATGTTGACATAGCATGCTGACAAGTGGAGATAACAATATTAAAGAAATTAATAATATTTAACATTTAATGAAGACTTACCAGGTGGAGTTCAAAGCATTTCATATGTATTGACTCATTTAAGCCTTGTAACAACTCTGTGATGTAGGTAGTTATTAATTTCCCCATTTTACAGATGAGGACACTGAAGCACAAAGAGGTTATGTGGGTGATCCTAGTTCAGGTGACTAAAAAGGAGCGAAGCCAAAATTTGTATCTCAATGGACTGACTCTCAAGCCTGCATACCTAACACAGTATTACACTGTCTTAAGCAAATGCACAAATCAAATTCGTGTAGTCCTAGATAATAATCCTGTTATACACACACACACACACACACACACACACACACCCTCTTCATCCACAGTTTCTAGCTCATAACTTCCATAACCCTTGTCATAATCTGTTGTTATAATGTTGGGGCACTTTAGGCCTCAGGAAACAGATCTCTCTGACCCTCTCCTGTCTTCCTTTCACCTGCCCAAGGGAAGACTCTTATCAACAGACACTCATTCCAAAGAGGACCCTGTCCCATACCCTAAGGGAAGGAATGCTACACAGAGTAGCCAAGAAAAGTCTGAACAGACAAGCCTTGCTGGGTTTAGATCATGAGCTTTTTGTCCAATCACATTTCTACATGGTTGTATTTAGATAAAATACATTAAAAACTCAAACAGAAAGGGTTCAGAGGGCTTCTGGATAGCTGAACACATGTAGGTTCCTAGAGGGTGGTACACCCAGGGAGGTCATGGAGACTCCACTCTCCTTCCCCCATACCTCGCCCTACACATTTTTTCATCAGTATCCTTTGTAATAAACCAGTAAATGTGTTTCCCTGAGTTCTGTGAGCTTCTCCGGCAAAGTAATCAAACCCAAGGAGAGGTTCATGGGAACCTCAACTTGAAGCTCCTCGGTCAGAAGTTGCAGAGGCCCAGACTTGGAACTGGTGCCTGGGAGAGGGGGCAATTTTGGGGACTGCGCCCTCTACCTGTGGGATCTGATGCTATCTCCAGAAAGATGGTGTCAAAATTGAATTAGAGGACACAGCTGGTGTTCACTGCTTAGTGTATTGGAAAAAATCCCCACATTTTGTCACGGAAGTCTTCTGTGTTGATTGTTGTTGTGTTGTTGGTGTGAGAGCAGAGCTGATTTGAGAGTTTTTCCGAAACAAATCCTCACAGCAAAGTTATAAAGTAGGTTTCATCATCCCCACTTTGAAGAGGAGAAAATAGAGGCAGAGAGCATAACTAAATCACTCAAAGTCTTCCACCTAAGCAGGAAGCAGAGCCAGAGTACAAATCCAAATTGGCCTTAAATTTCTTTATATCTTAGAAATGTCAGTTCTAACCACACTGGAAAAGTGAACCACTATGTATACAGTTCTTCCAGAGTAGCAGTATCACACTGAAAACATACTAGTGCTTTAAAAATGCCTTAGGCACATGGTGCCTTGGGGAATAACTGCTCTAGCATCTGTTTCTGCATTAAACAGTTACAACAAAAACTAATAATTCTTGAAGACCAGCAACACACACTGTACTTTGATTTGTTCTAGTAAGAACAGAAACCCCCGAGAAGAAAAGACAAACAGGACATAGGACTCGCTTTACAGTTTTGTTGGTAATAAAGTTGGGTCTGCCAAAATTATACCATGTGCTACATAATGACTTGTTCAGGGAAAAGAATTCTATGTTACCTGAGGACTTTAATTTCAAAGTGATTTTATCTATTAATTCTACCACTTAGAAAAACACATTTGTTTTTAATCATTCCTGAGAACTATATTAAAATAGCATTCACAGGCCAGGTGTGGTGGCTCACACCTGTAATCCCAGAACTTTGGGAAGCCCAGGTGGGCAGATCACTTGAGGTCAGGAGTTCGAGACCAGCCTGGCCAACATGGCGAAACCCAATCTCTACTAAAAATACAAAAATCAGCTGGGTGTGGTGGCACGCACCTGTAGTCCCAGCTACTTGGGAGGCTAAGGAAGGAGAATCACTTGAACCCAGGGGGAGGAGGTTGCAGTGAGCCGAGACTGGGCCACTGCACTCCAGCCTGGATGACAGAGGGAGACTCTGCCTCAAAATTAAAATAAAATAAAAAATAAATAAAATAAAATAGCATTCATCAGGGCCACAAAGCAGCCCAAATGGTATGCCATTACTGATGCTTGATTCAAATTTAAACAATTGATGACACATACAAATACTGCTCCAGAGTTAGAGTAGAAACTAGGAACATTTTACTGATGGAAAGTACATTTCCAAAGAATGTTGAAGCCATAAGAAAAAACATTCTTAAAATATTTTTTAAGAATCAAGTATTAGTGGGCTGGGTGTGGTGGCTCACACCTATAATCCCAGCACTGTAGGAGGCTGAGGTGGGTGGATTGCTTGAGCCTGGGAGCTTGAGACCAGCGTGGGCAACATATCAAAACCTCGTCACTATAAAAAGTACAAAAATTAGCTGGACGTGGTGGTGCGTGCCTGTAGTTCCAGCTACTTGGAAGGCTGAGAGGTAGGAGGATTGCTTACACCCTGGAGGTTGAGGCTGCAGTGAGCCGAGATCAAGCCACTGCACTCCATCCAGTCTGGGCGACAGAGCAAGACCCTGCCTCAAAAAATAAAAAAGGAAGAAAAACGAAAAGAGTATTAGCAAAAAAAGTATTTTAGGATAACTGAAACATATGTGACCATATTAAGGATCCTTCACACCTCTAATTTTTAGTTTATATATTACATAAATCAGTATGTATAATATAAATGTACAGTTTTACAGCTATTAATGCTTAATTTGCTCATTTAGTATACTTTACAGTGTATTTTTAGGATTTAACTTCTTACAAATGGAACCACAAACCTCTCAACTTCAAGAAATGCAAGGTTCTTTTACCTTTGTGCCAATTTTTGAAAGTAGCAAAAACCTGACAATAAGACAAATTATCAACATTCAAGATGAATGACAACTGTACATTTTCTTGTTCAAGTGTGTGGCAGATGTGGAAAGTGACAGTAAAAAAGATTTTAGATCAAAACACTGGCTCTGCTACTTACTAGCAAGATATGTCATCTTTGCCAAGTTACTTAGCCATTCTGTGCCTCAGTGTCCTTATATGTAAATTGGGACATACAATATTCCTATAAGGTTTAAACAAAATAACATACATATAGTGTCTGGCCCATAGTTGGCACTCCGTAAATGTTAATTTCCATCACCATCACCCACGCTCCCATTTTCTGAAAAGATGCTAAGGAAAAAGTATTAAATACTACTTTTGACAGATGGAGCTTAGTACACATACAGTTTCACTTTCCAAGAAACCAAGATGAGTAGTTTTCTGCCTTTTTTGCAACATATTACTGAAAACTGAAGACTTGTCTATCTTAACTAGATGTGAGTCTTTACAGGCCTAGACTAATTTCTTTCTTGGCTACAAAGACATAGGGCTCTAAAGCTGGTAAAAATGAAGCAAGGAGTTAAAAAGTGGAACAGATCCACTAGCTTAAGCACAGCCTGGAATTCTACAACAGTATCCACATTCCACAGAAAATTAAAGGAGCTTCTAGCCTTAGAACATGAGTGCGCTTACTGTGTCTAATCAAAGTCAAAGCTCAAAAGTTCCCATTTTTGTCTAAAATGTTTAAGGCCAGGCACTGTGGCTCATGTTTATAATCCCAGCACTCTGGAAGGCTGAGGCAGGATTGCTTGAGCCCAGGAGTCCAAGACCAACATGGCAAGACCTCATCTCTACAAAATTAAAATTAAAAAAAATTAAACTGGCATGGTGGCACATGCCTGTGATCCCAGCTACTTGGGAGGCTCAGGCAGGAGGATCACTTAAGCTCAGAAGGTCGAGGCCATGATCACGTTACTGCAATCTAGCCTGGGCAATGGCGTGAGATTCTCAAAAAAAGAAAAACAGGATGTTTTAAGATTTTGTCCTTTAGGTATTCACATATCTAATTTAAATACAAACTGCTATGATTAATTATCAAAAATCCAAAACACTAATTTAAAGAAGACAAAACAGGCCAGGCGTGGTGGCTCACGCCTGTAATTCCAGCACTTTGGGAGGCCGAGGCGGGCGGATCACGAGGTCAAGAGATTGAGACCATCCTGGCCAACATGGTGAAACCCTATCTCTACTAAAAATACAAAAAAATTAGCCGGGCGTGGTGGCGTGCACCTGTAATCCCAGCTACTCGGAGACTAAGGCAGTAGAATCGCTTGAACCCGGGAGGCGGAGGTTGCAGTGAGCAAAGATCGTGCCACTGCACTCCAGCCTGGGTGACAGAGCGAGACCCTGTCCCCAAAAAAAATAAATAAATAAATAAATAAGACAAAAACAATAGTTTTGAAAAATCTGCTTAAATTCCATTTAAACATTTATCTTACAAAGAATTATTTGATACTTTCAGGTGTGCACTACCAGGCCAGGCTCTGGAAATGCCAAGATAAACACATCTCTAAGGCCAACTTTCCAAGTCAGGAATAAAAACAAGTAATACTTTTTCAATGTTTACCACATACCAGGTAATCTTGTAATATGTTATACAGAACTATTTACTCTGTGCAGTAAAGATGACTATTAGTCCCATTTTAAAACAGAAAAGGGCCAAGCGCGGTGGCACATGCCTGTAATAGCAGCACTTTGGCAGGCTGAGGCGGGCAGATCACGAGGTCAGGAGTTCGAGACCAGCCTGACCAACATAGTGAAACCCTGTCTCTACTAAAAATACAAAAATTAGCTGGGTGTGGTGATGCGCGCCTGTAATCCCAGCTATTCAGGAGGCTGAGGAAGGAGAATCGCTTGAATCTAGGAAGCAGAGTTTACAGTGAGCCAAGGTTGCACCACTATACTCCAGCCTGGGTGACAGAGAAAGACTCTGTCTCAAAAAAAAAAAAAAAAAAAAAAAACAGAAAAGACTGAGACACAGAGAAATTATGTGACCTGCCCATGATCACACAGATAAAAAGCTTCAGGAAGCCAGGCATCGTGGCTCACCCCTATAATCCCAGCACATTGGGAAGCCAAGGTGGGCCGATCGCTTGAGTTCAGGAGTCTGAGACCAGTCTAGACAACATGGAGAAACCCCGTCTCTACAAAAAATAAAACAAGTAGCCGGACATGGTGGCACACACCTGTAGTCCCAGGTACTCGGGAGGCTGAGGTGGGAGGATCACATTAAGCCTGTGAGGTCGAGGCTGTGGTAAGCAACGACTGTGCCACCACACTCTAGCATGGGTGACAGAAGAAGACCCTGTTTCAAAAACAAACAAAAAAAAAGACGCCGGAAGAATCTGAAGTCTAACAGTCTGGCTCCAAACACTACACTCTTAACAATACACTGGCGAGGCATGGTGGCTCACACCTATAAATCCAACACTTTGGGAGGCCGAGACAAGCAGATTGCTTGAGCTCAGGAATTCGAGACCAGCCTGGGCAACATGGCAAAGCCCTGTCTCTACAAAAAATACAAAAAACATTAGCCAGGTATGGTAGTGCATGCCTGTAATCTCAGCTACTTGAGAGGCTGAGGTGGGAGGATCACTCGAGCCTGGGAGTTTGAAGCTGCAGAGAGCTGTGTTTGCACTACTGCACTCCAGACTAAGCGACAGAGCAAGACCCTGTCTTCAAAAACAAAACAAAACAAAATTTACTATCAGAGGCAGCTGAATTTGTTGAATCGTTCAACAAATATTCACTAAGTGCCTACTACATACCTGGTATGATTTAGGCAGTGAGAACACAACAGTTTAAAAAAAGACAAAAATCCCTTCCCTCATAGCGCTTACATTCTAGTGGGAGGAGACAGACAATAAACAAGATAAGTAAAATCTATAGTATGGTAGACAGCAATAAGTGCCAAGGAGAACAATAAATCAAGGAAGGGGGATAGGAAGTGTTGGGGGAGGTTGCAATTTTAGATAGGGTTACAAAGGAAGGCCTCCCTGAGAAGGACACATTATGACTAAAGGAGAGACCCCACTCCCATTCACACACAGAAAAATGCAATAGATTTCCCCATGGCTGCAGTCTCCAAGAATTCACAATCCAGAAGAGAAGACAGGCACCCAAATAGATCATTATAACCCAGTGTGGTGAATATAACATCAGAGGAGCTACAGGCAAGTGTGAGGAAAAAGAGTGCCTAAGCCCAAACTCAGGGGTCAGCAGAGACTTCCTAGATGTGATGCCTGAAGCAAGCCTTTCAAAGATGAGTAGGGGTTAAACAGGCTAAGAAGTAAGAGGGAGGATCTGGCAGAGCAGCTAGCATGCGCAAAGGCCCAAGGGCAGGAGATGGAATGGGGTGACTGAGTGACCCACAAGGAGTTCACCTATTGCTGAAGAAAAACATATGAGGAAAAAGATAGCAAGAGGCAAGGCTGGACAAGCTACACTGGGGCACATATGACTGTATTTACCTAGGTGATAACTGTTGAGGGCCTGGACCAAAGCTGCAGCCATGAGAATGGAAGAGGAGAAGGAGTTAAGAGAGATTAAAAAAAGAACTGAAAAGACTTAGAGGTGTATTGCTTAAATGACAGAGTAAATGGGGACATTATCACCTAGAAAGGGAATACAGAAAAACCAGATTTATGAGTGGAGATGATAATGAGCTGTTTTGGACACACTGCATATCTACATCCAAAGGAGTGAAACTGGACCTTTATCTTACACCATACATGAAAATCAACACAAAATGGATTAAAGACTTAAATGTAACACCTGAAACTGAAACTCCTATAAGAAAACATAAAAATAAATCACTGGTTTTGGCAATGATTTTTTTGCATATGACCCCAAAAGTACAGGCAACAAAAGCAAAAATACACAAGTAGGACTACACGAAACTAAAAAGCTTCTGCACAGCAAAGAAAACAATCAACAGAACGAATAGGCAACCTATGGAATGGGAGAAAATATTTGGAAACCATGTATCTGACAAGGGGCTAATATCTAAAATATATAAGAAATTCCTGGCCAGGCGCGGTGGCTCAAGCCTGTAATCCCAACACTTTGGGAGGCTGAGGCAGGTGGATCACCTGAGGTCAGGAGTTCAAGACCAGTCTGACCAATATGGTGAAACCCCATCTCTACTAAAAGTACAAAAAAAAAAAAAAATTAGCCAGGCGTGGTGGCGGTGCGCCTGTAGTCCCAGCTACTCAGGAGGCTGAGACAGGAGAATTGTTTGAACCCAGGAGGTGGAAGTTGCAGTGAGCCAAGATCATGCCACTGCACTCCAGCCTGGGTGACAGAGCCAGACTCCGTCTCAAAAAAAAAAAAAGAACAAAAAAGAAATTCTTACAACATAATAGCAAAAAACCAAATAGCCCAGTTAAAAAATAGACAAAGGAACTGAATAGACACTTCTCCAAAAAAGACATACAATGGCCAACAGGTAAATGAAAAGGAACTCAACATCACTAATCATCAAGGAAATGCAAATCAAAACCATAATGAGGTATCACTTCAGACCTGATAGAATGGATATTATCAAAAAAATCAAAAGATAAAATGTGTCAGTGAGGATGTGGAAAAACTGCAACCCTTGTAACACTGTTGGTGGGAATGTAAAATGGTGCAGCTGCTATGAAAACCAGTATGGTGGTTCCCCAAAAAATTAAACATAGAATTACCATACAATCCAGCAATCCCACTTCTGGGTGTATCACCACAAAATTAAAATCAGAATCTTGAAGACATATCTGTACTTCCATATTCATTGAAGCAGTATTCACAACAGCCAAGATAAGGAAGCAACCCAAATGTCCATTGACAGATGAATGGATAAAGAAAACGTGGTATATTCGTATCTGATTGAATTGGAACCTGTCTGGTTAATTTATTACCTGATTTGATGAACCAAGGAAAGCCAGGAATTTAAACAAATATTTACATTTAATATCATAACATAAAGGTGCTTTAAATATTATAGCATTTGTACCCATAATATATGTTAATATTTCCTATGTTAAATAATAATGATAGCTGAAGTGTTTATGAATAGAATCATATGATGTTTAGAAATTGTTTAAAATTAGTTATGGGGGCAGGCGCGGTGGCTCACGCCTGTAATCCCAGCACTTTGGTAGGCCAAGGTGGGTGGATCGGTTGAGGCCAGTTCAAGACTAGCCTGGCCAATGTGGCAAAACCCCCTCTCTACTAAAAAAAAAAAAAAAAAAAAAAAAATTAGCTGGGCATGGTGGCATATGCCTGTAATCCCAGCTACTGGGGAGGCTGAGGCACAAGAATCGCTTGAACCTGGGAGGTGGAGGTTGCAGTGAGCTGAGATCATGCTACTGCACTTTAGCCTGGGCGACAGAGAAACACTCTGTCTCAAAATAATAATAATAATAATAATAATATAATATAATAAGTTCTGGGAAGGTGAACGTGGGAAATGAAGAGATAATAAGTAAAACTAGACTGGCAAAAAAAAAAAAAAAAAAGGAAATGTGATATATTCATACAATGAATACCATTTGGTCTTAAAAAAGGAAATCCTCCCATTGTGACATGAATGAACCTGGAAGACATTTTGCTAAATGAAATAAGCCAGTCACAGAAAAACAAATAACTGTATGATCCCACTTCATGTCATATGTTCTTACAACAACAAACCAGAAGAAGCATAAGGAAACTTTTGGAGGCAATAGATATGTTTATTACTTTAGTTGTAGTGGTTTCATGGGTGTATGCATATGTACAAACTCATCAAATTGTATGCATTAAATATGTGCAGTTTTATCAATTATAATTCAATAAAGCTGCTTTAAAAATTTTTTAAAAGAGTACCTACCCCATAGTGTTGTGAGAAGTAAATACAGTACATTGGTGATCATTAAATGATAGCTGTAATTATTCAAAATATTTACACGTATGTTTAGTTATCTATGTTCAAGTATATGATACTGGTTTTCATTTTTATTGTTCCAAATGTTATTTTTACACTGGCTTTTTTAAAATTAGGAACTATCAAACAGCAAAATGTATAAACTTTCAATATCATTACTCCAATTTTTCTTTAAAAAAGTTTTTATGTGATTCCTCAAACATGAGTAAACAAAAATGTAGAAGGATGTCTGTTGACAGCACTGTTTATAATAGTAAAACAAACAAATTAAATAATCCAAATGTCCCTCAGGAGAAGACTGTTTAAATGAGCTACGGAATATCTAAACATTGGAATACTGTGGGACATCTATTTATGAGTAGCTACGTAAATACCCATATGAAATAATTTGTAATATATAGTAAGTTAAAAACTAAATTGAATATTAAGAATTGTATGATTCTTCTGTGTATAAAAAGATACACGCGGCCAGGCGCGGTGGCTCACGCCTGTAATCCCAGCACTTTGGGAGGCCGAGGCGGGTGGATCATGAGGTCAGGAGATCGAGACCATCCTGGCTAACACGGTGAAACCCCGTCTCTGCTAAAAATACAAAAAATTAGCCGGGCGCGGTGGCGGGCGCCTGTAGTCCCAGCTACTCGGGAGGCTGAGGCAGGAGAATGGCGTGAACCCGGGAAGCGGAGCTTGCAGTGAGCCGAGATTGCGCCACTGCAGTCCGCAGTCCGACCTGGGCGACAGAGCGAGACTCCGTCTCAAAAAAAAAAAAAAAAAAAAAAGATACACGCACTGTGTATATGTGTGTGTGTGTACTTAGACTGACATAAAAACCATATGAAAGTCTAGATAAGAAACTGAACAGGGCTTTGAATGAAGTGTGGATATAAACTTTTTTACACTTTCTGTAATTTTTTTTTTTTGAGATGGAGTCTTGCTCTGTCTGCCCAGGCTGGAGTGCAGTGGCGTGATCTCGGCTCACTGCAACCTCCACCTCCCAGGTTCAAGCGACTCTCATGCCTCAGCTCCCGAGTAGCTGGCATTACAGGTGTGCGCCACCACGCCCAGCTAATTTTTGTATTTTCTGGTAGAGATGGGGTTTCACTATGTTGGCCAGGCTGGTCTCGAACTCCTCACCTCAAGTGATCCGCCTACCTCGGCCTCCGAAAGTCCTGGGATTACAGGCATGAGCCACTGTGCCTGGCCACCCCCGCTTTTTTTTTTTTTTTTTTTTGAAACAGGGTCTCACTCTGGTTGTCCAGGCTAGAGTACAATGGTGCAATCTTGGCTCACTGCAACCTCAACCTCCATGGGCTCAGGTGATTCTCCCACCTCAGCCTCCTGAGTAGCTGGAACTACACGTGTGTGCCACCACACCTGGCTAATTTTTTTGTATTTTTTGTAGAGACAGGGTTTCACCATGTTTCCCATTTCCCAGGCTGGTCTCGAACTACAGGACTCAAGCAATCTGCCCACCTCGGCCTCCCAAAGTGCTGGGATTACAGGCGTGAGCAACCTCACCCGACCTGTTTAAAAATTTTTAACCACATATAATACTTTTTAATTTTAAAACAAATCCTCATGACTAATTGTCAAATTTTTAAAATCATATATATCCTGATTACATACAATGTAAATGAAAGAGAATCAAAGAGACAGATGACCCTGAATGAAAAAATACACTCCTACTGATTTTATCATTAGGTAAAAAAGGATCTAAGTTTTAAGTTATTATAAAGCACCCTTCAGTCCCTATTTGGCTGACACAATTCAGGTATTTTAAGATAGCCTAAAAAATTAAAACATAATAATGCTTTGTGTAAACAGCTAAAAATTGATAACAACCATAGTACATTTCAGAATAATAACAGCATCTGAAATTGTCTACATCAAGCTTACAAATTAATGATCTGACACAGAACAAAGTTTATAAAAGAAGCTTCTAGGTTCAGGATTTTCCCAGAAAGATAAAATAAAAATGTGGGGGGGGGGAGGGGTGGAACTGTATCTTCAAAAGCTTGAAATAAAACTATTATACCTGTGTAACCACACAAATCAGCTTTCTTTTTATTATTATACTTTAAGTTCTAGGGTACATGTGCACAACGTGCAGGTTTGTTACATATGTATATATGTGCCATGTTGGTGTGCTGCACCCCTTAACTCGTCATTTACATTAGGTATATCTCCCTAATGCTATCCCTCCCCGCTCCCTCCACCCCACGACAGGCCCCGGTGTGTGATGTTCCCCACCCTGTGTCCAAGTGTTCTCATTGTTCAATTCCCACCTATGAGTGAGAACATGTGGTGTTTGGTTTTCTGTCCTTGCGATAGTTTGCTCAGAATGATGGTTTCCAGCTTCGCAAATCAGCTTTCTAAATATTAGTAACCTGTAGGCAATTCAACTTAAAAAAAATTGACAGGAGGAAAAGTGGGGCTTCAGCTTTCAAAATCAGCCCTTTTAATATGTATTGCTTTGCTCTGTCCAAAGCATCCCAAAATGTACAATCTCATTAAAGTTACTGAGCATAATGGATTTTTAGCCTGATGCAGCAATTTGCATTAATTCATGTGATCACAAATGTATTTATTTTCCAAAGAAACTGCTTTCTCAAGCATAAAGGAACCACCCAGCAATAGGGCTTGTTTTTCCTTTCAGTGCAGCTTTCTTATGTGTAAGTTATCAAATATTAATCTAGTTGTATTACATAGTGGAGCAGACTTCAAGTCCTTTAAAAGATACAATTACACATTTTTAAAGACATGCTAAATTCTATTTAAAATGTCTATGGCTTCTTGTTTCAATACTGAGTATATGTTTATAAATCCTGGTTTGACTTGTAAATTTTTTTATCTAAAAAATTCAATAGAAAGCTACTGGCTGTAGAGATTAATGGTATACACTTAACACAAAAATTGATTGGCTTTGTCATAGAGACAAAAAGTAGAACAGTGGTTGCCAGGGGCTGGGGAGAAAAGAAAACGGGAAGTTTATTGTTTAATGAATACAGAATTTGTTTTGCAAGATGACAAGAGTTCTAGAGATGGAGAGTTGTGATGGTTGCACAATAGTGTGAATGCAGTTAATGCCACAGAACAGTACACTTAAACATGGTTAAGATGGGCCAGGCATGGGGGTTCACGCCTGTAATCCCAGCACTTTGGGAGGCTGAGGCAGGCGGATCATTTGAGGCCAGGAGTTGGAGACCAGCCTGGCCAACATGGCAAAAACAGGTCTCTACTAAAAATACAAAAATTAGCCAGGAGTGGTGGTGGGTGCCTGTAATAGCAGCTACTTAAGAGGCTGAGGCAGAGAATTGCTTGAACCTGGGAGGCAGAGGCTGCAGCGAGCCAAGATCTCACCACTGCACTCCAGGCTGGGTAACAGAGCGAGACTCCAACTCAAAAAAAAAAAAAAAAAAAAAAGGTTAAGATGGTAAATTTCGTTACATGTATGTTACTACAATTTAAAAAAAAAAAATTTTAAGTAAATTGGCTTGTTTCTGAAACATTAAAAAAAAAAGTTGATTGGCTCCAAAGACAGTGCAGTGTAGCAGTTAAAGTGCAGCCAACAACTCCATGCACCCGAGACCAATTAAGAACAAAAACTGAGTACAGGTTCAAGTAGGTTGTTTGGATAAACTTCCAGCTCTACTCCTAAGCAGCTATGTAATTTGGGCAACTCATTTATTATCTCCCTGCACCTCAGTTTCCTTATTTACAGAATATAGAAAACAACCAGGTTTTTTTTTTTTTTTTAAACAGAGTCTCGCTCTGTCACCCAGGCTGGAGTGCAATGGCACGATCTCGGCTCACTGCAACCTCCGTCTCCCAGGCTCAAGCAATTCTCCTGCCTCAGCCTCCCGAGTACCTGGGATTACAGACGTGTGCCACCATGCCTGGCTAATTTTTTTTTTTTTTTTTTTTTTGTATTTTTAGCAGAGACAGGGTTTCACCATGTTGGCCAGACTGGTCTCGAACTCCTGACCTCAGGTAATCCACCCACCTCGGACTCCCAAAGTGCTAGGATTACAGGCGTGAGCCACCGCGCCTGGCACAATCAGGTTTTTCTACCAGTTCTGTGAGATAATACCTGTACAGTGCACATCATAGGGACTGGAATATAAAAAGCACTCAATAAACGTTAGCTATTATTAGCAACCACATTAATATAAAAAGTTGATTTTCCCAAACTAAAGAGAAATGCATTTGTTCCCATTTTGGCAAAAGTGCAAGAGGACAAGTGAATGTGTGTGGCTAGATGCCAAAACTCAATGCTAATTCCAGACTGACCAATTATGGCGATATGTGGGCCTTAATTTGAATCCAGGTTTTCTCAAAAGGTGCTTCTGAGAAGGTCTGCAGGAGCATCCCCAGGGAACTTGTTCAAAATGCAGAGCTCTGTGTGTCAGGCCAAACTTAGTGAATACCAATCTCCGGAGGTGAGGCTTAGAACGCCCAGCCATATCTGGCTATAATCAGACACAATGTGGGGAATTTGAGGAGAGGAAGGGAGAGGTAAAATGAATGAAATCTGCTCTACAGTGAGGCTTCCTGATTTATCTGGTCTTGATTAACTTTACTAGCAGGTGGGGCATGAATCTTGACATCAATTTCCAAGACCAGCCAAATGTCTCATCTTATTTAAATATTCTTCCCTCACCTACTACCTCCTCCTCCCCCTAATCTCAATCCTTGATGGAAGAGCATACTACACAAATTTAGGACTCAATCCTCTCCATCACACCACTTTTAGTTACCCATTCATTTGGTTCCACTGTAGGAAGATGAAACCAAATGTCATATTCTCAGAATAAAATTGCACAAATTTAGATATTATAATATCTATTTCCAGTAACTACCTGGTTTCTCATCTGGCCACTAAAGTTCTTTTAGTTACTGCCCTTCTTATGCTCTTTAGCCAAGAACAGTAAAACACCTCTGAAGAACCTTCCTTAGGGTAAGCAGGATATCAACCTAGGTTTCCTTTTGAGACTAATAACACCAATTTGGCCAGGCGTAGTGCCTCACACCTGTAATCCCAGCAGTTTGGGAGGCCGAGGTGGGCGGATCGCTTGAAGTCAGGAGTTCAAGACCAGCCTGGGCCCCATCTCCACAAAAAAAAAAAAAAAAAAGAAAAAAGAAATTAGCTGGGCGAGGTGGCACACACCTGTAGTCTTAGCTACTCGGAGGCTGAGGTGGAAAGATCCCTTGAGCCCAGAAGGTTGAGGCTTTAG
This sequence comes from Homo sapiens, assembly GCF_000001405.40. Taxonomy (NCBI): domain Eukaryota; kingdom Metazoa; phylum Chordata; class Mammalia; order Primates; family Hominidae; genus Homo; species Homo sapiens. Next base: position 139,875,540 of record NC_000023.11, read on the forward strand.
TGAGCTGTGTTTGTGCCACTGCACTCCAGCCTGGGCAGCAAAGTAAGACCCTGTCTCAAAAAAAATAAAAAATAAAAAAACAATACTCCTGGAGCATGAACCTGGAGAGCATTCAGGCCCCTGAATAAGTGTACATTTTTATATTCAAGTGGTTGCTAATAATAGCTAAGGTTTATTGAGTGCTTTCTATATTCCAGTCCCTGTGATGTGTACTATACAGATATTATCTCATAAAATTGTTAGAGGAACCTGCTTGTTTTCAGTATTTTATAAATAAGGGAACTGAGGTACAGGGAGATTAAATGAATTGCCCAAATCACATACCTTCTTAGGAGTAGAGCAGGATACAGGAGAACAACGTTAGGAAGTGAAAAAGGAAAAGTCAGAAGTTATCTGAGACGTTTTTCTTTGAGAAGTACTTCTAGCTCATTCTTCCTGTCAAGCTGAGTAGCAGCCTTATACATTTTATCTGACAAGAAAACACATTACTTCATCTGCAGCATCAGGAATTAACAAAAGAGCCAAACTGCTGACCTTCAGTTACTAAATCCTTCTACAGTACTTACACTACAGTAGGAAGTAGGGTAGTCTGGGAAAAGAAACAACAGCAAATATAGTCTTGAAGCTCACCCCCACAAAAACAATAAAATAAAACTTCCTAGAAAAGCTGTTGATAAAGTGTCCATTGAAAGAAAATGCTACAGCCACTTCTCTAACAAGAACAAAACAAAAATGGTGTGTTTTTTCCCAAAATTATTATATAACTGATCCTAGAGAAAAATCACTATCTCTAGAAGCACCCTCCCAGCCACACAGATGTTTGTCAAGTACCCTTTCCAAACAAGGCAGTACCTTAGGCAGAAAGTGCGGCTGAAATCCCAATACAACAATTTTTTTTGAGATGCGATCTCAACTATGTTGCCCAGGCACAAGTGCAGTGCCTGTTCACAGGCAAGATCATCACATACTGTAGCTTTGAACGCCTGAGCCTAAGGGTTTCTCCTGCCTCAGCCTCCCAAGTAGCTAGGACCACAGGTGGGCATCACCACATCTCCCTAACACATTTCTTTATTTATAACAAGAAATCTTCTAAGCTGCAAGTGATGCCAATTTTAATCCTGAGCTAGAAAGCAGGGAGAATAACAGTACCTACCTCAAAGGATTTGAGAGGACTCCAGGAGGTAACGATGTAGAAAGTGTTTTAAACAGCACCTGGCATTTGCTAGAGGAACAGAAAATGTTAGCTGCTGCAGCTAAGTTTTACACAACCAAAAATTCTAGATAAACCTTGGCAATTTGCTTAAATGGAAAACTGACTTAAAAAACCAAAATGCAGTAAGAGGGTTATTTAAAATAGACAAGAAATGCCTGCAGGTGAACAATGCCATATCTATGCCATATGCAGGACTGGGCAGTATTAAGGGGCACAGGGCTCAACCAAAGAGAGACTACAATTTCTGACCTGGAAAAGTGACATGCTAATGAGGGAAACAGGACAAACACTCATGTGAGACTAGACTTCATTCGTCTGTGCCATCTACCAATGACCATCAATGATTCCCCAAATGGCTGAGCCTCCACTGCTGCTATTTCAAAGGCAATTCCTCTGGGGCCCCTGGTCTGAGTTTCTGTAAGCCCAGGGGCCTATGTGCAGTACCAACTATTGGATTTTCCTGTGCTGCTGTTCTTCTGCTTAATTGCTTCCTCAGTTGTTCATACGTGGATTTCCTTGTAACACCTCAAAGGGAAGTTAAGAAGTAGCAATTAACATTTATGACCAATATCATTTTAGAAGACACAACTTATGACCTTGCCAGGCACAAAACACATCATTTATAGTGATGATAACCCTTAAGACAGTAGCCGTAAGCTAAATAATATATGCGGCTAAGAAGAGACATGTCAATATAAGAGCAACCTTGTTATTTCCGGCTCACCAAGAGTCATTAACCAAGCTGCCACCCATTCACCACAAGATATACACACCTAGTATCAGTAGAGCTGGACAGGGCCTTGCACAGAAGCAATTTAGGGAAGGGGGAATGAAAATGTTAAAGAATTGACTTGCGTCCCAGTGCGGCAGTGGGTAGCAAACTTCCACAAATGAGCTGTGCTCCACAGATGCTTTGCAAAAGTCCACTGTTGGCTACTGAGAACTATTATCTTTCTTAATAAGAAATAACACAGAATGGTAAAAAACGGCCAAGCCCAGTGACTCATGCCTGTAAACACAACACTTTGGGAGGCCAAGAAGGGTGGATCGCTTGGGGCCAGGAGTTCGAGACCAGCCAGGCAAAAGTGATGAAACCCCGTCTCTACCAAAAACTACAAAAATTAGGTGGGCGTGGTGGCACGTGCCTGTAATCCCAGCTACTTGGAAGGCTGAGGCAGGAGAATCGCTTGAAACCGGAAGAGGGAGGTTGCAGTGAGCCGAGATCATGCCACTGCACTCTAGCCTGGACAAAGAGCAAGTGAGACTCTGTCTCAAAGAGGAAAAAACAAACAAAAAAATAATGGCTAAAAAAAATGGGTTTTACATTTATAGTCAGACTGCCTAGATTTGCACCCTGAATCTACCCTTTCTTAGCGTTATAACTTTAACTCATTTAACTTCTCTAAGTTTTACTTTCTGACACGTAAAATGAAAATAATAAAGGATTAGGGTGATGAGTCAGCAAATAATGCACAGACAAAGCTTAGCACAATGTCTGGCACACTGTTGTACTCAATAATTATTGTTACCCTTGAAATAATAAAAATGGTGTGCAGGTAGCCAGAAAAGCCCACAAAGGTCTATTTTACCAATAATGTGGCCAAAATAGCAAATATTTATCACACAAAGTTAGTAAAGCCAAATATTGGCAATAATAGTTACGGACAGAAAATAAAATTAATATGTTTTTAACTTTGTGTGAAAATCAAAACAAGATATTTTTGTTGATTCTGAAGAAAATCTGACACCCTGAAAGACCTTTAACTATGGATTACATAGATTCATTCATTCAAAGAACATTTATTGAGCACCTACAAAAAATCTGTTAGGTACCAAAGACTGAAAAATGCTAACAATAGAAGCAAGTGTAAAATGCTATAATGGACACAGAACACAGGGACGGGAAGAATTCGTTCTACCCCAGGTACGTCAGAGAAGGAAGATCCAGGGCAGCATACCACAGAAGAAATGACATTTGAGTTGGGTCTAGGATTTCACCAGTGAATGGAAGAGCGGCAGCTTCAGAAAGGGAACAACAGGAGCCAATACCTAGAGGCATCTGGCAAACACCAAGAGGTACCTGAGGTATCTAGCAGCCTATAAATAGCGTGGTACGGACAGAGACTAGGGGGAGGGGAGGGGGAATCATAGAAAGGAGACTAAGCCTGGGCAACATATCAAGACTCTGTCCTACAAAAAAATACAAAAAGTAACCAGGCATGGTAGCGTACACTTGTAGTCCCAGCTACTCAGGAGGCTGAGCTGGGAGGAGGCTCAGCCTGGGGAGTTTGAGGCTACAGTGAGCCACGATAGTACCACTGTACTTCAGCCTGGTAACAGAGCAAGACCTCATGTCAAAAACAAAACAAAACAAAACAGGAGACTATAAATGTAGGCCTGAGAAAACCTGTGAGGGCCGGAGAGAAAGGAAATAAAATCAGTATCTTGAAGGGATATCTGTACCCCCATGTTCATTGTAGGATTATTCACAATAGCCAAGATATGGTCACAACCTAAGTATCCATCAACAGATAAATGGATAAAGAAAATGTGGTATATATTACACAATGGAATATTATTCACCATTAAAAAAACAAAAAAAAAATCATGCCATTTGTAACAAAATGAATGAACCTAGAGGACAGTTATGCTAAGTGAAATAAACCAGACACAGAAAGGCAAATACTATATGGTCTCACTTATATGTGGAATCCTAGAAAAGCTGAATCCCAGAAACAAAGAGTGGTTTCCAGAGATAAGGGGGTGAGATAGGAAAATAATCAAATGGCACAAATTTTCAGATAGAAGATGAACAAGTTCTGGGGCTCTAATGTACACCATGGGTGGTATTAGATGAGTTAATTAATTTGACCGTGATAATCATTACACAATATATATGTATATCAAATCATCACATTGCACTGCACACTTTCAATTTATACAATCTTTGTCAATTAAATATTTTAAAATAATTTTTCAAAAAAGAATACCCATTAGGGAATTTGCGCACCTCTAGACTTTGGCATAGAGGCAACTGGATGCAGCAAGACTGGTGTTTCCAAATAGCACTGTCTATAGATAAAGAAATGCAAGGAAATAACTACTTTAAAAGTCAGGATAATGGTTATTTCAGAAGGAGAGAAGGTTTTTGACTGGGAGAGGGCACCTGGAAGGACTTCTGGGGTGGCTGACAAAGCTCTATTGCTTGATCTGGATGGTGATTTCAAGTATGTGTGCCTTGTAATATTGTATTAAGCTACACATTTGTTTGATTTTTTAAATTCTTGTCTCATTTTACAATAAAAAAGCTAAAAAGGAAAGAAAAAAAAAACACCTTCTTTTGCCACTATATAGGCCATCCAGGGCAGAGAGGGTACAAAAAGATGAGGAAAGAAGTTATTACCTCAAGATGAAAGATGATGAGGGCCAGGCCCAGAGCAAGAATAGTAGGAGTAAGAAGAATGAAATAAACCCACTGGTGAAACATCTTGAGAGTAGGCTGCCACAAAGTTCCAGAGGACTTTAGCAGGAGAAGGCTTAAAGAAGATAGAGAGTGATTTCAGATTTGGACATAGTGAGTATGAGATGTCTTTGGGAATTCAAATACTACTTTCCCCTTGCTCATTTTAATGTATGGCTTTCCTTTGCCTTGGTACACATCTCTCAATAGTAATACTCTATTTCCTACCATTTACAATTCAATTCATGTGTTTGGCTTTCAAATGGGATAGAATGAGGAGGAGGAGGAGGAGGAGGTAGTTCTTGATGTAATCAGGCAAAACTTGGAAAACAAAGGAGGAAGATGGTTAAAAGAAATGTTTTAGTAGTAAAAGACAAGTAAAGGAGATAATATCCCATGTGAACTACTCCACTGAAAGGGAAGAAAGGATACAGAAGAAGAGCTATTGGGTCAGATTCCCCACCTGATCAGCAAAAATCAAGGGAAGGGGGATACATCATGCACTCGCCTTATTTTCACATCTGGGACTTTCTTAAGTTAGCTATATGTAATCTAAAGGAGAATTATAATAGAAATTTGAAAGTAAGAGAGATGGTAAATAAGACAGACAAGAAAAGGTATTCTACACCAGGTTAGCACACAATGGAGAAGCAAGTAATTTTGCTTAATCTACAAGTCATAACAAACTGTCCTCACTTGGAAGAAAAGACAGATATAAGCAACTGTGTGTTAATTACAGTCTGGGACACAGCAGCCCAGGTCCATAGAGTTGGGTTGCTATGGCCCATAATTTAACAAATGCATGAACAACTGACTTTGATAACATTCAACTGGAAATATTAAGATGTTACCCTCAGAGTCCTGCTTCTATTGCATAATAAAAGAACTCTAGCTACCATTTATTGAGCACTTACTCTATGCCAGGCACAGTCTAAGCCTTCAGCATCCATTATCTGATTGAAACCTCACAGCAAGCCCATGAGGTAGGTGCCATTAATCATCACCACATTACGAATAAGGAATGCCTTCAAGTGGTAACTCTAGGGAAACAAGATATGAGGAAGACTGCATAGAGCAGACTTGGGCCTGGGCTAAAAGGAGTGCCTGCCTCATACATGGTTCAACCCAGGCCACGAGAGTAGAATATTTCATAAGGAGTATGGGCTGTATCTCCAGTTGCTGATATAGAGTGATTTTTTTTCAGGTCTTATCCTCAGCATGTTTATCTCCTACCACTGCAACATGTGGCAGTGGTAGGCGGCCGGTAGCAATTCTAAGATTTGGGATCCCAGCCAGCTCTCTGTTTCTTTCCATCAGAAATATAACCAACATCTGGCAGAGTCAGCAAACGTCAAGATGTATGGGTCTCCACTAATTCATACATTACAAACTGGCTTCTCAAAATTGGTCAAATTCCATTACAGAATTACAGTTCAGCTGCACTGAATACTAAATACATATGAGCCATTAGCTGAGACTTTGAAATCTCTTTGCTCTATGGAAATTTCTATTCTGGTAGTAGTTGTTGCATGAGATTTTATCTTTATCGCACTTTTCCTGGCAGCAGTAAAATTCCATTTCCATCAACTGTTTCCTCTCAAGAAAGAAGTCTCTCAGGAAATACTCAAAACATTGTTCAACAAAGTTCTCAAATATGAATCATTTTCAACTGCCAGGAAGACACTCCTTTCCCCCACTGTTTTGCATCATAATAGGCTTTCTCTAAAATGACAGCTTTGGGGGAAGATATACTTATTTGGGGAAAAAAGACATTTATTAACTACAGTGTAAATCCTTTATTCTTCTCCCTCTATGGCTTTGCTTAAGCAGTTCCCTCTGCCTCAACTACCTTCTCCCCAGATCTGCCTGTCCAAGCCCTACCAATGCATTCATTCAAACGAACACTTCCTGAGTACCTAACAGATTTTTGGTCCTGTAATAGGTGGTAGGGGTACAAATCAAATAAATGTATTAAAAATTTGCCAAGCAAAGATTATGGTATGATCATGGCAGGACGTGGGATCACGATGGACATTCTGAGATTTTCCTTCAATGAAAAGTTTTTTGGAAGAAAAAACATTTACAGCTGGCCCTTTAAGGACAAGCAGGAGGAATTTAACGAAAGAGAAAAGGAATTTATGGTAGCCAAGAAGAGGCCAAGAGGCAACTCAAGGGTCTCCAACTACAAGGAGCACAACTGATTAAGGACCCCATCTGCCTCAGAAACTCATCCTAGTGTCTGTACTAAGTCACACCTCCAAAGGGGTGCTCCCAACCAATCACTGAGTACAGCAGGGATACCAAAGCAGACTGTTGCTGGAAGTTGCAGGACTCCACTAACAGCTGACTTTGCACTCCCCAATAGCTTTTCTGAATCTTCTTTAGACTGCACTGCCGTCTGGAAACCTTCTGCCTAACCAGCTCTCCCCTATCCCCCCTTCACTAGGGCTCAGACTTGCATGAAGGACTAATGGCACTCCCAGCCTTCTCAGCCCCCTCACCATTGTCTGTTCCACATGCATTTTCCCCTAATAAACCCTTGCCAATTTAATCCTGTGTGTCTGTTTTTCAGAGGACCCAGATTAATACAGCATTCTATACAGAGAGCTCAGCATAAATAAATACCCAGAGGTATGAAAAATCATGATGGGTTCTAAGCACCCCAAGGAGTGGTATGTGCCTGAAGCAAGCTGTGGAAGTGTAGAAGAAGCTGGGCCAAATCAGTGGAGGCCTTGTATGTCCTGATAAGAAACTTCAACTTGGTCCTATGAGAAACAGGGAGCCACCAGAAAGTTTTAAGCAAGGAAAGGGCATGTTTTTCAAAAAACTGTTCTGCTAGCAGAACGAAGGGTGGACAGGGCAAAGCAGAAATTGGAAGCACCTCTATGTATGCTTCCATCTTGTCTGCTAGCTTGTGAGGTCCTGAAGGATGAAATCATATTTTTTGCTTGTTTTGCTTTAATCTTAGAATAGTGTTTAACACGAAGTAGCTCCTCAAGAGGCCCCACTAAATCTACAAGGTTGGGCCTCACCTCATGGCCCAACATTTTAGTTAAAGCCACTCAAAAGTTTCATGAAGCCTGGTCATTCCTGCTTGGACACTGGAACCCTCTCCATCAATCTAGAAAGAGATGGTTATGTGTATGAAGGGTAGAAGAAACTATTCCCAAACTTTGCCTCTTGCCGACTGGTTATTTCATGAACTCCTTTGAAGACAGGCATCTAATCACATTTGTTGATCCTAACTGTGGGACAAAGGTAGTCATTAGATATTTAGTTTTTGAATGTTAACCAAATCAATGAAATTTAGAGAGCCAGATCAAGCTCAAGGCCCAGAGGTCTAATCCAAAGAACATAAACAAAAATCAGAATTGGCTTCTGAATATGGACTCACTGTCCAATGATGATCTTTGGGAAAATGTAGCCTTATTTTTTTCATCATAAGGTGGCAATAAGACCTACCCTAAAATGATGTACAAAGTAAGGTGAAAATTAAATAAGAAGATGTGGCCACTGTAATTGGAAAAGAGTAAAATAAATTTTACAGACTGAATATACAATTGGGGAAAATAGACAAATCGAAGATATCAAAACCTAAATATCACCCTAACACAAAGACATCCTGGACTTCTGAATAAATATGAGAAACATAACTTACTTATTACATTGTGACATCAGCTTGCTAAGAAAGGTCATAATTAACCACAAAGTCTACAATAAAACTCTAAGTTTAACATATTTACTTAAAGACTTCATGGCTAGAAGGAAAGCATACTGATTACCAATTCTGATTTTCAACAATATCAAGGGATGGTGTGGTATTATCCAAAAATTGTCAAGATACAATTTTCATGTGTCAAGCAGCACTTTTGGCTGGAAGAGTACTTCTATGAAATCAAATAATCATATGAACCAATTCCCAGAAGGCTATTGATTGGTAGAGTTGGAGCCAACAGCCCTCCCAAAGTCCAAGGCACTGATAGTCTGATGCCCTTTCTCAGACTCATTCTCATCTCCCTGACTTGACTAATGAAACACACAGAAGCTCTTGGGCCCTGCTTGTAAGACCCAAAATAACCTTACTGAAACAACCTGAAATGGTTTGTGTCACTTAGAGAAGACAGTCTCACGTCATAAACTGTCAGATCTACATGGGCTAAGGGACTAAAGTTAGCTAGCAATGGTCTGTTGTCCATGTAAAATAAAAACGGCATCTCCAATCCTCCACACTGAGATAACCACTTCCAAACCAGTAGGCAAGTCCAGAGCATTCAGGAATACTTTATTTTTTATTTTGATGAGGTCTTGCTATGTTGCCCAGGCTGGTCTTGAACTCCTGGCCTCAGGCAATCCTCCCTCCTGGGCCTCTCAAAGTGCTGGGATTACAAGCGTGAGTCACTGCACCCAGCTCAGCAGTACTTTTTAAAATTTTCCAAATTTGCAAACTGATTTAGTAAATACCTTGTGTTATTTTGACTTGAGAAGGAGTGAAAAGTAGACAAAATGAATTCCATTTTTATAAAAGAACTTTAGGCAATTTTGTCAAAAGAACTAAACAAACAACTATAGAAATCATTCTAAGTCTCCTTTGCCATCTTCTAAAACCAGATTATTTTCATTTACAAAATACATTTAATGGTAGGAAATCAATAATGATGATAGTAATGGACACCACTAAATTGAGCACATTCTATGTGAGACATTTTACATATATTATCTGTATTCCTCAAAACTCAATGTAAATGTTCTACATTTCAAATTTTTAAAACATGAGGCTCAGAGAGACAAATGTGCCACAAATCAAGTAAATGGCAAAGCTGAGATACAAATCACGATATCTAAAAGCCCAGATTTTAGATGGCAATGAAAGGTGGGAGGGCTTTTCTCTCCTTCCAAATCTCAATTTCTACCTCACTCTCCCAATTCCTGTCCTTCCCTCCCTTCCTCTGTCTCTCTCACACAAACACAAACACATGCACACACATACCCACTCACTTCCAAAGAGAGGCGATACCATACAGTGAGCTAATAACGGTTTTATCCAAAACACCTGCATTTAAATTCTGACCGCCCCCCCACCACCCTGCCATTTACTAGCTCCAAGACTTGGTGGTACAAATTGTTTGATGGACCTCACTTTCCATCAAGTGAGATTAAATAAGATAAACATACACACTGCCTAGTACATACTATTTTTGTTACATTTCCCCCCACTCACTTTTGATAGCCTAAAAGACCAAACGAAGAGGAACCAAAAACATGCTACCTGTATTGTATGCTAAGCAAGGGAGTTAGCACTTCCCTTAGGATGGAAAAATTTCTATGACTTATAAAACACACATATGGTTAAGGAATTGCTACCTACTTCATTTCTTTTATCCATGATTTTTATCCATAAAATACAAGAGAATAAGCTATTATTGCCATGTGGAATTTAGACTAGTAATGCAAGAATAGTTCGGCATTCATACGTCAAACACAATGCCATTCACAGTGTCAGCAGTCAAAAACAAGGAAAAATCTGTATGACTAATTCTATAGGTACAGAAAAAGTGCAAGATTCATTCAGCAGCCCTTCATTACTTAAAAAACAACAGCAACAACAACTCAGCTAACTAGAAATCAAAAGAAACTTCCTCAACCTGGTAAAGAGCATCTATGAAGAAAAAAAAAAGATAAAGAGCATCTATGAAAAACTTACAGCTAACTCATACTTAATAATAAAACACAAAATGATTTCCCCCTAAGATCAGGAAGAAGGCAGGGAATCCACTCTTAACACTCCTACTCAACATCATATAAGATAGAACTCCTAGCTAATGCAATAAGGTACAGAAAAAAAATACAGATACTTATAGATGGGAGAGGAAAAATAATACTGCCTTTATTCACAGAAAATGTAATTATCTATCCAGAAAATATAAAAGAATCTATAAGAGACTACTAGATATAATTAGTGACTGGCAAAGTTTAAGAACATAAGATCAATATATAGAAATTGTTTTTTTTCCTTGCCTTGCTATAAAAAAAATCAACTGTATTTTTATACACAATAGTGAAGAACAGGAAAATGAAATTTTTAAAAGCACCAGTTGTGGCCAGGCGCGGTGGCTTATGCCTGTAATCCTAGCACTTTGGGAGTCCAAGGTGGGCAGATCACGAGGTCAAGAGATTGAGGCCATCCTCGCCAACATGGTGAAACCCCGTCTATACTAAAAATACAAAAATTCGCTGGGCGTGGTGGAGCACACCTGTAGTCCCAGTTACTCGGGAGGCTGAGGCAGAAGAATTGCTTGATTGCTTGAACCCGGGAAGTGGAGGTTGCAGTGAGCTGAGATTTTCCAGCCTGGCAACAGAGCAAGACTCCATCTCAAAAAAAAAAAAAAAAAAAGCACCAGTTACTACAGCACCAAGAAACATGTGATACTGAGGGATCAATCTAACAAAGTATTATAAGATTTGTACGTTGAAAAGTATCAAAAACACTGATGAGAGAAATCAAAGACTTCCTTGCAGAGATACACTGTGTTCATGGATCAGAAGACTCAATATCATCAGTATTGCAATTCTCCTCCAAATTATCTATAGATTTTAATTCACAGCAAATAAAATCCCGTTTCTTTTTCAAAAATTTATAAGGTAACTCCAAAATTATATGGAAAAAATAATTTAGGATAACCTAAACAATTTTGTAAAAAAAAAAAGAAACTTGGAGTACTCATACCAATTGATTTCAAGACTTACAATAAAGCTATAATATTCTAGACAGCGTAGGCAAAAGGGTAACATAGATCAATGAAACAAAATAAAAATTCCAGAAACTGATCCACACATATATGGTCAATTAATTTTTGACAAGGATGCCAAGCTAATTCAATAGACAAAGTATAGTTTTTTTCGTCTTATCAACAAATGATGCTGGAACAATTAGATATATCTATATTCAAAAAATGAATCTCAACCTGTATCTTGCACTATACATAAAAGTCAACCGGAAATTCATCATAGACTGAAATGTAAACCCTAAAGCTATAAAATTTCTAGAAAAAATAGAAGCAAATATTCATGATCCTGAGTTGGGCAACTGTTTCTTAGATAGGACAGAAAAACCATTAACCATAAAAGAAAATATTGAGGCCAGGCACAGTGGCTCACGTTTGTAATCTCAGCCCTCTGGGAGGCCAAGGTGGGAGGATCTCTTCAGGAGTTTGAGACCAGCCAGGGCAACATAATAAAACCCTGTTTCTACAAAAAAAACCACAAAAATTAGCTGGGCATGGTGGTGCACACCTATAGTACCAGCTACTCGGGAGGCTGAGGTAGGAGGATTGCTTGAGTTCAGGAGGCCAGCAGTGAGCCATGATTGAACCAGTGCTCTCCAGCCTGGGTGACAGAACAAGGCCCTGTCTGAAAAAAACAGACAACACAAGACTGAAAAATGGAACTTCAATCAAAACTTAAAACTACTGCTCTTGGGCTGGGGGTGGTGGCTCACACCTGTAATCCCAGCACTTTGGGAGGCCAAGGTGGGCGGATTTGCCTGAGCTCAGGAGTTTGCAACCAGCCTGGGCAACAAGGTAAAACCCCATCTCTACTAAAATACAAAAAATTAGCTAGGCATGGTAGCATGCACCTATAGTCCCAGCTACTCAGAAGGCTGAGGTAGGAGAATTGCTTGAACCCAGGAGGCGGAGGTTTCAGTGAGCCGAGATCGCACCACTGCACTCCAGCCTGGGCGATAGAGCAAGACTCCGTCTCAAAAAAAAAAAAAAAACACACACACAAAACTACTGCTCTTTGAAACACACTATTTAAAAAGTAAAAAGACAAGCCATAGACTGGGAAAAACATTTGCAAAACACATATCTGATAAAGGACCAGTAGCCAGAATATATAAAGAACACTCAAAGCTGTAAAGCTGTATAATTTTTTTTTTTTTTTGATACAGTCTCACTCTGTCACCCAGGCTGGAGTGCAACAGTGCGATCTCAGCTCATTGCAACCTCTGCCTCCCGGGTTCAGGTGATTCTCCTGCCTCAGCCTCCCGAGTAGCTGGGATTACAGGCGCCCGCCACAACGCCCAGCTAATTTTTGTATTTTTGTAGAGACGGGGTTTCACCATGTTGGCCAGGCTGCTCTCGAACTCCTGACCTCAAGTAATCTGCCCACCTTGGCCCCAAAGTGCTGAGATTACAGGTGTGAGCCACTGCGCCCAGCCCAAAGCTGTATAATTTTTCAAAACCCTGCCAAATCAAAAAAATGTTAAGACACTTGTTCAAAATCATTAGTCATTAGGAAAAATGCAGAATAAAATTACAGTGAGATATTACTATTCACCTACCAGAATGGCTAAAGTTTTAAAGGACAGACAATAACAATATTGGTGAGGATATGGAGCAAATGCAACCTTATATGTTGCTGTTAGGAAACAAAAATGGTATAGTCACTTTGAAAAATAGTTGGGCAGCTTAAGATATAAAGTTAAATACATAGTTTTCATACTACCCAGTATGAAAATGTACCCAGTACATTTCAGTCTATGATGCTTTTATATATTTACTGAAAACAGGATATACATCTACACAGAAACCTGAACACAGTTTTTTTTTTTTTGGAGACAGGGTCTTACTCTGTTGCCCAGGCTGGAGTGCAGTGGCACAATCTCAGCACACTGCAACCTCCGCCTCTCGGGTTCAAGCAATTCTCATGCCTCCGCCTCCGAGTAGCTGGGACTATAGGCACACACCGCCACACACAGATAATTTTTATATTTTTAGTAGAGATGGGGTTTCACCATTTTGGCCAGGCTGGTCTCGAATTCCTGACCTCAAGTAACTCGCTCACCTTGGCCTCCCAAAGTGCTAGGATTACAGGTGTGAGCCACCATGCCTGGCCTGAACACAAATATTTACAGCACCTTTATTCATAACCACCAAAAAGTGAAAACAGTCCAAATGTCCATCAGCTACTGGTGAATGGATACACAAATTATAGTGTTATCTCTTTAATGGAATTCTACTCAGCAATGAAAGGCAGCAAACTGGATAAATGCAAGGACATAGATGACTCCCAAAAGCATTATGCCAAGTAAAACAAGCCAGACTCAAAGGCTATACATTTTGATCCCATTTATATGGAATTCTAGAAATGACGAAACTGTAAGGGACAGAAATCAGATTAGCGGTTGCCAGGGGTTGGCAGTTTAGGGAGGGGACTGACTACAAAGGAGCATGAGGGAACTTTTTAGGTGACAGAAAATTTGATTATTTTGATTTCAGTGGTGATTACAATTTATATAATTTTGTCAAAATTCATCGATTTTTACATACCTAAAAAGGGCAAATTTTACTGTATGTAAATTATACCTCAATAATTCTCAAGAAAAAAGTTGTGTTACAAAAGTAACAACCTCGAAAGAGCCAACTATTTTAGGCAGAGATCTACAACTGATTTGAACTGAAAAGGCTGATTTCTGATTATAAATTTAAGATCATGATTAAAGCACAGGAAGATATGCAGGGCAGATTAAGTTCATGAAAGTTGTGTATGTGTCTCTCACTGTTAATTGATATAATTGTGTAAAAACGGGCTCTGGTAAGAAGGTGAGAAAGGCATAATTAAGAACCAAAATACTCCATTTGGTATTTATTCAAAACAGGCTGACAACAGAATAAATGGCCATAATTGTCCTTACAAATTGCTTGAGTTTGTAGATGACTCATTCAAAGAACTGCCTAAGGAGACAGGAATTTTATTCAAGTACTAATTCTCCTCACTTCACAACCACTCTGATTTAGAAGAGAAGGGGTGAAGTATTTTTATTCTATGCAATTTCTACCTCTTGATCAGAGTTCTGAAAAGACATAGTAGAAGCTTATCTTGGCAGCAGAGACAACAGGGTGGGAGAAGATCAAGAGTTTTCTAAAACCCCTAAAGGGCTTTTCTCTCTGTTTTGGCAGGCAGGTAGCTTATCCAGTAGTGGATAAGCCAGTGTGCATGGTTCTGGCTTTGCAAGGAGCTATGGTCAAAACAGTGTGGTTTTGTGTGGTGGTTCACACCTGTAATCCCAACACTTTGGGAGGCCGAGGCAGGAGGATTCCTTGAAGCCAGGAGTTTGAGACCAGCCTAGGTAACAAAACAAGACCTCATCTCTACAAAAAATTTTTTTAAAAAGCCAGGCATGGTGGAACATGCCTGTGGTTCCAGCTACTTGGGAGGCTGAGGTGGAAGGATCGCTTGAGCCTAAAAGTTCAAAGCTTCAGTGAGCTATGAAAATGCCACTGTACTTCAGCCTGGGTGACAGTGTCAGACCCCATCTCTAAATGAAACAAAACAGTGATAGGATCCATTTAAGTACCATTATCAGAGCCCCAAGGAAGAAGTAAACTGAAAAACAGACTATAGAAACTTGTATTTATTCACTCATTCCTTCATCTATTCATCCAACAATTATTTATGGACTGCCCACTCTGGGCCAGGCTCTGTGTTAAACTGAAGACATAAAGATAACCTGGACTGAAGTAGTTTACAATCTTGTGGTGGGCAGGAGTGGGGGGTGTATAAAGTGCAACAGCATCCAACAGGCTGGAGTACGCCATAACAGAAGAGGAAAATCAGACTTGTGATTTTTCCCCATATACCATTTTCTATCAAGTTCTCAGTGCCCCAGAGTTCACCAGGAAAGCAAAAATGGCAACCACTCCAGGCAGTGGGAACAGCACATGCAACAGAAGTACAAGTAAGCACAGTGTAGCCAGCAAACTTCATTAAGTTCTAGGGTACTAAGAACCTGATAGAAAATAGCATGTAATAAAACTGGAGAAGTAGGCATGAATCAGAAAGGTCGAAGGCTTCATGAGTTATGCCAAGAAGTTAGATATCCTTGTGGGGTGTGGGGTAAACAATGGGCAGCCTATGAACAGGGGAAGAACAAATCAAGATTTGCATAAAGAAAGATGATTCCAAAAGCAAGTCAGAGATTGGCCAAAAAAAAAAAAAAAAAAAAAAGAAGGAAGATGAGGAGTTTCCTGTATTTTAGCTGAAAAGCTGGTGGTGGACTAGAAAGTTGGTGTTAACTAATGGGTACTAGTTTAATACCTGAGTGACAAAATAATCTGTACAGCAAGCCCCCATAAGTTTAACTATATAACAAACCTACACATGTACCCCGAACTTAAAATAAAAGTTAAATTAAAAAGAGAAAGTTGGTGTTAACTGGAATGGCAGAAAGCCCTCCATGAACCACCCTTCAGTCATGCAGAGAAAATGACTCATTCTCCCGCCCAATGTATATCTCTAGCTAGCCATCATGATTGTTTATTCTCTACCCCAACTGGACTAGCAGCTTCCTAGAAACTGGAATGCTCTCTCTCACTCACACACACATGCATGCACACATACTCATCTCCCCATTGCCTAGCTAAAGGTAGATGTTTAGTAACTGTGCAGACACTAAGGAATGAGTGAATAAATAAATGAATGCATTGATGGTTTTGGCACAAGAAACCAATAGAGAGGTACTGCAAAATGCGATTGATGGGTTATCTTGGGAGTTACCAAGCTATCCATCTGATGGAAAGTTGAAGTATAAGCTTCTGAGAGTCTTTTTCAATACAAAGATTTCATGATTCTAGTTCTCCCTTGCCCCTAATTAATTTTTTTTAAGACAGGGTCTCACTCTGTTGCCCAGGCTGGAGTGCAGTGGTGTAGTCTCAACACACTGCAACCTCCACCTCCCAGGTTCAAGCAATTCTCATGCCTCAGCCTCTCAAGTCTCTGAGATTACAGGTGCACACCACCACGCTTGGCTAATTTTCCTATTTTTAGTAGAGATGGGATTTCACCTTATTGGCCAGGCTGGTCTCCAATTCCTGACCTCATGTGATCTGCCTGTGTCGGCCTCCCAAAGTGCTGGGATTACGGGCGCGAGCTACTGCACCCGGCCTAGTAATAGATTTTTAAAATAAAGGTTCCAGAGAAAGAAAACTACTGATTTTCATAATTAAGCTACTGAAGGCAGGCAGCATGGCAGATCAAAAAGTACAGAATGTCAGGTGCTTGGAGGTGGACCCAGAAGCAAGGCCTAGAAGGAAATCCAAGTGACAAGAGCACATTACTAGAAAAGACAGTGCAGCAACAACCAAAGGTCCAGGCAGGTGAGCAGTGAGCATGAGGATACTCAGCAAGGTAAAAGCAGACAGAATATAACATCAGGGAAATCTGGTAAAAAGGCAATTAGTGGGTGAGCATCTATAACATCAGGATTGGGCAGCAAAGACCCAACCACAGGTATGGGTCTAGGCAGAGCTTAAGTTCCCCAGAAGCTTAGCTAAAAAGAAAACATGTTCCTACCTTTGGATGAATTGGGGTGCCAACCATTGTACCCATAAAAGGACTTCACAGGGGATAAACAGAGTAAGGACCAGTTTCTGGCCCAGAAATACAAGGGCTAGTCTTAATCACAACGAGCCAGACAACAGCAATCTTACAAAAACATGACCACACAAAGTCAGAATGATACTAGCAAACATGCTGAACTGCTGAGCTAGCAGTCTGAGGTTCCCAAAATTCTCTCTAACTCAAGACAGGCTAAGACTCAAAGCCTCATTCAGGGCTGACCTGCCCCAGCTCTGTCCATTGGAAAGCCACGTAGACAGAGAAGCCAACAGGCTCACACAGTCCCCCCAACATCAGAGAGTATGAGGCACGCCTCTAAGTTCAAAAGAGGTGCTCAAAAATACCAGTGAAAGAGAATGAGAGCCTGTCACACAGAAAGAAAGGAGAAGAGGAATATGGAATCCAGTATACAGAGATCTTGTCTCTGTACATTTACTCCACTCACAACTACTTTTAGGAATGTTTGTCGCCCAGGCTGGAGTGCAAGTGGGGCAATCTCGGCTCACTGCAACCTCTGCCTCCCAGGCTCAAGCGATTTTCGTGCCTCAGCCTCTCGAGCAGCTGGGACTACAGAAGCGTGCCACCAAGCCTGGCTAATTTTTGGGTTTTTTTGTTTGGTTGTTTGTTTTTTACTAGAGATGGGGTTTCACCATGTTGGCCAGGCTGGTCTCGAACTCCTGACCTCAAGTAATCCGCCTGCCTCAGCCTCCCAAAGTGCTGGGATTACAGGCATAAGCCACCAGGCCTGGTCAAAAATGCATATCTTAAAAAGCTCTATGGCCCATAGGTATTACCTAGAAATCTATTCATGTTCACATTTCATATAATTTATTCATTCTCATATTTGTAGTCATATCTAGAAAAAAGAATTTGACACCAGGTTAAGATCATGTCCCCAACTATATATGAAACGTTTTGTGGGAAAATCAGATTCCTCTTACATTTTTATCTAATGTACCTTATCATGAGCATAACAGGTAACTGGGAAGACAGTCAGTATTGCTACTCTTATTTCCCATTCTGAACCACAGATTTAGATGGTCTTAAGGGGTTTAAGCAATGCTCTGGCCTTTTTACTCTCACTGTACAGATGAAAATCTGAGGACCATTGAGAAAGTTACATAACAAACTACAAAAAAAAAAAAAAATTGCACAACAAACTAGTGGCATAGCCAGCAAAGAAACCCAGATGCCTATGTTCCTTCCATGTTTGCAGTATCATCAAATCTGGTAGAGATGCCTGTCATTAGGAAGTTAAATCCAGTAAAATGTATTTACTTATAATTCTTTTTTTTTTTAATAATTCTTAACTCTTTCCAATGAGCTCATATATATAGCCCAACAGAAAATCTGCTCTTTCCATTCACACAGACCATCGATACTTGATACGACAGAATGGAAATCCACTAGAGCTTACACAATTTAGATTCTCTAACTCCAAAGCAAAAGAAGGCCTCAAGCAACATTATTTGATTATGAGATTTTGCTGCTGGGAAGAATTAATCAAATTCATCCTAGAGGCTCATCTGCTGCATGACATACTCATTCCTTGATACTGAAACTCCCTAACAAATTTCAACACAAGATGTGATGGTGACTTCTTTTCCTAGTACTTTCTGATCTTCATCTGTTACCTTGACTAGCATTTGAAGGAATGAAAATAAGGAGGTTGCTTTATCCCTAGTATCACACAATCTTTTGTATTTATATTAAAGCTGGGAAGACAGAAAAGGTCTCACTTAAGGACACACTTTTCACTACTTACGAATACGAAATAAGTGAAGAAGACAAATACCACATGTTCTCATTCATATGTGAGAGCTACAAAAATGGATCTCATGAAGATAGAGAGTAGACTGGTAGTTATCAGAGGAAGAGTTTGGGGGAAGGGAAGATGAAGAGAGGTTGATTAATGGGTACAAATATACACTTAGAAGAATAAGACCTAGTGTTTGATACATCAGTAGAGTGACTATAGTTAACAATAATCTACTGTATATTTCAAAATACCTAGAAAAGAAGATTCCAAATGTTTCCAGCAAAAAAAAAGAGATAAATGTTTAACGTGATGGATATCCCAATTACTGATTTGATCATTACACATTTTATGAATGTATCAAAATATTACAGGTATCCCAAAATATGTACATCTATTAATGTATCAATAAAAATAATAAAAAACTAAAATTACTGAAGAGGTGAGAAAGTCTAATAACTGGTAAATCATAAATAAAATCACATTCTTCGAGACCAGCCTGGCCAACATAGCAAGACCCCGTCTCTACTAAAAATACAAAATTAGCTGGGTATGGTGGAGCACACCTGTAATCCCAGCTACTCAGGAGGCTAAGGCAGGATAATCACTTGAACCCAGGAGGCAGAGGTTGCAGTGAGCCGAGATCATGCCATTGTACTCCAGCCTGGACAAAAAGGGCAAAACTCCATCTCAAAAAATTTTAAAAGTGAGTACTAGATTCTTCCACGTGGTAAACGGATATAAGAGATACTGGAAAGTGACAGTGAGGAAAATAATGTAAACCTAAATATCCTTTAGCTTACTTTTTTGGCATTTCGCTCAAATTCAGGGAGTTCCCCTAGACCTCATTAGGCAGAACTTAGATTAATAAATTTGTCCAGCAAAAAATCCCTACTTTTAGAATAAGTTTTTTTTTTATTTTTTTGAGACAGAGTCTTGCTCTGTCACTCAGTCTGGAGTGCAGTGGCACGATCTCAGTCACTGTAGTCTCCACCTTTTGGGTTCAAGCGATTCTCCTGTCTTAGCCTCCTGAGTAGCTGGGATTACAGGTGCGCACCACCACACCCAGCTAATTTTGTATTTTTTGTAGAGACAGGGTTTTGCCATGTTGGCCAGGCTGGTCTTGAACTCCTGACCTCAAGTGATGCACCTGCCCCAGCCTCCCAAAGTGCTGGGATTACAGGTGTGAGCCATTGCGCCTGGCCTAGAATAGCTTATTTTTGTCTATTTGCCTTTTATAGTAGATGTGTCTAAACATAGTGAGATATTTTCATACATTCATGTGTAATGATCAAATCAGAGTAATTGGGATATCCATCACCTTATTATAGGCATGCACCACCATACCCAGTTAATTTTTGTCTATTTGGCTTTTATAGTAGACGCATCTAAACACAGTGAGATGTATTTTTTCTAGTGATAAATCAAACTAGAATCCAAAACTACTAATAATATACTAAAGGTCACCTTAAACACTTATCTCTTTTTTTTGCTGGAAACATTTAGTAGAGACAAGATTTTGCCATGTTTGAACTCCTGGCCTCAAGCTGTCCGCCCGCCTCAGCTTCCCAAAGTGCTGGGATTATAGGTTGATTAATGGGTACAAACATACACTTAGAAGAAATAAGACCTAGTGTTGGATAGATCAGTAGAGTGACTATAGTTAACAATAATCTACTGTATATTTCATTCTGCTGAATGAATAAATAAAATGAACCATACTCCTCTCCAGAATCAGAGACGGAAAAATCAATACAAATCATTTTTAAAAAGATAACTGTACAGTGTGTAAACCTAAGAAACACTACTTCAGAAAGGTGACCAAGTTAACATCATCAATGATAAGCCTGTTGACACTATGTACCGTGGATATATGATGAGAATGGCCCTTCACCTCCCTGGTCTTCCTCCCCAAAATCCACAACTCACATCTAATCATGAGAAAAACATCAGACAAATCCCAATTGAAGGACATTCTACAAAACACCTGACCAGTATTCCTCTAAACTGTCAGTCACCAAAAACAAGGAAAGTCTGAGAAACTGTCACAGCCAAGAAGAGTCCAAATAAATATGATGACTAAATATGATGTGGTGACCTAGATGGGATCCTGAAAAAGCAAAAGGACATTTGAGAAATACTAAGGAAATCTGAATGAAGTATGAACTTCAGTTAATTTTATACACACACACACACACACACACACACACACACACACACACACACACACTTTTTTTCCCTTTCTTGAGAAAGAGTCTCTCTCTCTCTCTCTCTCTCTCTCTCTCTCTCTGCCCAGGCTGGAGTGCAGTGGCACAATCTCGGCTCACTGCAACCCCAGCCTCTTGGGTTCAGCGATTTTCAAGTCTCAGCCTCCTGGGTAGTCCCAAGCATGCCACCACACCCGGCTAATTTTTTTGTAATTTTAGTAGAGACGGGGTTTCACCATGTTGGCCAGGCTATTCTCGAACTCCTGACCTCAAGGCCCAGTCAGCCTCCCAATAATAATAATATATTAATATTGGCTTATTAATTATGGCAAATGTACCATTCTAATGTAAGATGTTAATAATAAGGGAAACTGAACCAGGTGTGGTGGCTCACGCCTGAAATCCCAGCACTTTGGAAGGCCGAGGTGGGCAGATGGCTTGAGCTCAGGAGTTCAAGACCAGCCTGGGCAAAATGGTGACATCACGTCTCTCCTAAAATACAAAAATTAGCTGGGCATGGTGGTGCATGCCTGTGGTCCCAGCTACTCGGGAGGCTGAGGTGGGAGAACTACTTGAAACGGGAGGCCAAGGTAGCAGTAAGCCGAGATTGGGCCACTGCACTCCAGCCTGAGAGAGAGTGAGACCCTGTCTCAAAATAATAAGGGAAACTGGGTATGGGGCATATACAGGTATCCCAAAATATGTACATCTATTATGTATCAATAAAAAATAATAAAATATTGTTCACTATTTTTTCTAGTGATAACTCAAACTAGAATCCAAAACTACTAACAATATACTAAAGGTCAACTTCAGTGAAAAGTGAATTGGGCCGAGCGCAGAGGCTCACACCTGTAATCCCAGCACTTTGGGAAGCCGAGGCGGGCGGACAGCTTGAGGCCAGGAGTTCAAAACATGACAAAACCCTGTCTCTACTCAAATTACAAAAATTAGCTGGGTATGGTGGCACACACCTATAATCCCAGCTACTCAGGAAGCTGAGGCATGAGAATTACTTGAACCTGGGAGGAGGAGGTTGCAGTGAGCTGAGATGGCGCCACTGCATTCCAGCCTGGGCAACAGAGTAAGACTCTGTCTCAAAAAAAAAAAAAAGAAAAAAGAAAAAGTGAATTGTTTACTTTCTGTGCACCTTTTCTACTGGGACAGTCTTTCTGAGAAGTGCTTTAAGTGCATGTTAGAAGCCAGGGACATTTAGCCAGGCGTGGTGGCACGTGACTGTAGTCCCAGCTACTCAGGAGGCTGAGGTGGGAGGATCTCTTGAACGGGGAAGTCAAGGCTGCAGTGAGCTATGATCATGCCACTGCACTCCAGCCTGGGCAACAGAGCAAAACCCTGTGTCAAAAAAAAAAAAAAAGCAGCAGCAGCCAGGGATATGAATTAGGAGTGGGGTGGGTAGAGAGTGAGTGGGGCTGCTGGAGACAATGTTCCCATGGCACTGACCCTGGTTAACAGTCTTTGAGCAAGTACTATCACTTGCTGTAATTCCTTCTTCCTCATCCTTTGCTCCTTTTGAATATGATGATTTCTAGGAATGAACCTTCTTTATGACACATGCTGTATATTATTTGGTTTGAAGCAGGCTTGAATTTATGTCACTAAGGCAATGTTCTTTTTCAAAGCTCTCGGTTAGTTCTTAAGATATCAGAACCTGCAAAAAGCACGTGTAGGGCTGTTATTATCCCTTCAGATCAATAGCTCAGTCACTACTATGAGGTATTAAGAAAGGAATTAGGAAGACAAGCAAATCTTTAGGGCTGCATCTATTCTAGCAAAAGAAGCACAGTAGTGAAGCACAAACATATTTTAATAAAAACCATTTTAGCAAGTGAGTTCTTACCAAGCAAAGAAATCCTGGGCTACTCTACCCAAATGTTTTCATAAAGGTTTTAGCTATGAGGCAATCAGATTCCAGGAGCTACAGGCAAACAGAGAAGGCTTGGAGGCTGGGGGATGAGTAGACGTGGGGATGAGTAGATGTGGGCAACAGGTGGACACAGGAGCATTTACACAAATACGTTAGGTTCCAACTAAGTGCTCCAGAATATTCACTAAAATATTCATTTTAATGTCAAATCCCTTCACAATTTAAATCAATATTTGAAACATGTCAACTGCATACACCTGTCTCCTAATAAAGTAAAACTTAAAAGGAAATACTGAAAAACAATGGAGAAGGTCTCACTCAGCAAGAAATGATATTCTTTAGAATCTCCTACTTAAATAACAATCTCTTCTGCTACTCTTAGTGACTTGTTTCCATAGAGTACAGTATGGAAAGAGGAAAAACAGTAACTTAACAGTGGAGGAACCTGGCAATCACTACTTTAGATAGCTGAGTTATAGCAACACCAACAGTGGTAAGTCATGCTGTTAACATTTACCTTTGATATGATATGAAATGGCACTTCATCTCTCGTCTTCCAAAACTCAGTAACACCAGTCTAATCACGAGGAAAACATCAGACAAATCCCAGTTGAGGGACATTCTACAAAATACCTGACCAGTATCCCTCAAAATTGTCAACATCACCAAAATGAAGGAAAGTCTGAGAAACTGTCATAGCCAAGAAGAGCCTGAGGAGACATGATGACTAAATGTAATGTGGGGCCGGATGCAATGGCTCAAGCTTATAATCCCAGCACTTTGGGAGGCCGAGGCAGGGGGATCACTTGAGATCAGGAGTTCAAAACCAGCCTAGCCAACATGGTGAAACCCCATCTCTACTAAAAATACAAAAAAATTAGCCAGGCGTGGTGGCGGGAACCCCCAGCTACTCGGGAGGCTGAGGCAGGAGAATTGCTTGCACCTGAGAGGCAGAGGTTGCAGTGAGCTGAGATCGCATCACTGCACTCCAGCCTGGGTGACAGAGCAAGACTGCGTCTCAAAAAAAAAAAAAAATGTAATGTGGCATTTTGGAAGGGACCCCAGAACAGGAAAATGACATTAAAGAAAAACCGAGAAAATCTAAATAAAGTATAAACTTTAGTTTAAAATAATGTATCAATGTTGATTCATGAATCGTGACAAATTACCCATTACTACTGCAAGATGTTAACAATAGGGAAAATGGGTGCAGGATATATGGAAACTACACGATCTTTATAACTTTTCTGTAAATTTAAAATGATTCTAAAATAAAAATTTTTTTTAAACATTTAAAAAGATTTCTTGGTTATCTCAAGAAAGAATCCCCAAACTCTGCTTCTAACCACATATCAGAAAGAGAATCAATGAGCCCTGGACACCTGTTGTACAAGAAAGAAACCTGCAATTAATTTCCTATGGCTCATCTAATAGTCATCAGATGGAAGTAGTTTTGTCAAAATAGTGTCTTTGAGTCAAACATGAAGTGAATTAAGAGCCAGCGGCAAAATCGGGGATGAGCGACCTATTTTAACAATGTGGTCAATCCATCAGCAATAACAACTTGATTGTGTAGCACAATCCTGGAGCCTGAACAGCCAAGGATATGCACATTCAAAAATTGCTAATGCTGGCCGGGCGCGGTGGCTCATGCCTGTAATCCCAGCACTTTGGGAGGCCAAGGCAGGTGGATCACGAAGTCGAGAGATCGAGACCATCCTGGCCAACATGATGAAACCCCGTCTCTACAAAAAATACAAAAATTAGCGGGGTGTGGTGGCATGCGCCTGTAGTCCCAGCTACTTGGGAGGCTGAGGCAGGAGAATCACCTGATCCCGGGAGGTGGAGGTTACAGTGAGCCATGATCTTGCCACTGCACTCCAGCCTGGCAACAGAGCGAGACTCCGTCTCAAAAAAAAAAAAAAAAAAAAAAAATTGCTAATGCTTCACAAAGCTTTAGATACAAAATCAGAAACTACCATCTAAGCTTTAGAGGGAAAAAAAAGTTTTGTCCTTTTACAATAAACATTTTTGAAAAAAATTAAAACCCTCCAACAGTTACTATAGAATCCTGGACTTATATGGCAGTATATAAAAGTCAGGAATTCAGGAGGCAGAAGTTGGAGAACCCTTATTTTTTAAAGTTCAGGTTTGAGTAGACTTGTTTACAGTTCAGTTGGTCAAGCAGAGCTTGTTTACATTCCGGGTAACATCTGAAGACATCAACTGATAAAATGGGGAGGGGGCAAAAAGAAGTTCATTACCCAGTGTTGGTAAGAAACAATGCACTTAATTTTGTAAATAGGTAAGGAGGTGTAAACTGGACTTTATATTTTACTTACCAAGTGTTATGAATGTTTGGGTTCCCCCTCCAACCCCAAGTTCTTAATATTGAAATCCTAACCTTCAATATGGTATTAGAAGGTAGGGCCTTTGAGAGGTGATTAGATCATGGCAGTGAAGCCTGGAGGAGTTAGTGCCCTTAAAAGAAGCCAGACAGTTCCAAAGTGAATGGACACCATCCTGTTTGGAAGGCTGCTACTTAGATCAAAGAAGGTAAAAACAGATCCACTCAGTGGGCTGAATTACATGCAGTTTTTCTAACAGTGATGAAAGAATTGAACAATGGTGCAAACCCCTGGGTTTGGGTTTTTACTGACTCATGGGCAGTGACCAATGGCCTAGCCATACACTCAGACAAGAGGGCCATGGACACCTGGACTATCAAAAGAATGCCCAAATGAAGCATGGCCCTGTGGAGACGTGAGGGGGCATTAAAGGAGAGTAAGTCAGTGCCCATCAGAACTCCCTTCCAGGTTTGGAAGTTGACTGGAATCGACAAGTAGATATCCCTGTGTGCTCCCTTGAAGTGGCCACCTGGGCCCATGAAATGAGTGGATATGGGGGTATTGTAGCACTACAGTGATGGGCTGAATCTAGACATGTTCCTTTTGCACCCTCTCAGGCACAAAATGCCAGAAAGAACTGTTCTGTTTCTCAGCAAAAGAGACAGAGATTGCTGATGGCTGCGGGGCAGATTCTCTGGTGGGAAGGCCCTGAACATAGCTGGCAACTGAGACTAATGCTGGTAGCCCCGTGGGGAGGCTAAAAATGGGACCTGACAGGAATAAACACTGACTCTGGAGTGGGCTTTGCTTATCTAATGGAAGATGAAAATGCTCAGAGTACCATAAAAAAATATAGAAGATATTGTATAGATTTGGATGGCTGGCCATCATTTTTTCAGACCAAGGAACACACTGTACAGCCCACAAAGTCCAACAATGAGTAGCAAGATATCCTTAGTGTAACAGTTTGACAGAGAAGTAGAATGGGCAACTGAAACCTTGGTTGTCTAAAACGGGGAGATAAAAGCATGAAGGGCTGGCTTACACACCTTCATGAGTGTGTGCTCACACCTCAACATGAATGGGACTAGAGTGTCCCTGATAGATTTTTTTTTCCTCTGTTTTTCTGGTTTATCTGGGGAAGAGGGGGTGGGGAAGATGCCAGTATGAAAGAAATTAAATCTTGGAACCCCAAAATCACTAAGCTAAAGGGAAAAGTCAAACTGGGGACTGCTTAGGGCAAACCTGCCTCCCATTCTATTCAAAGTCATCCCTCTGCTCACTGAGATGAATGTGTATCTGATTACTTCCTTTGGAAAGGATAATCAGAAACTCAAAAGAATGCAATCTTTTGTCTCTTATCTACCTATGACCTGAAAGGCCCCTCCCAGCTTCAAGTTGTCCCGCCTTTCCCAACTAAACCGAGGTACATATTGATTGATGTCTCAGGTCTCCCTAAAATGTGTAAAACCAAGCTGTACCCCGACCACCTTGCACACATATCATCAGGACCTCCTGAGGCTGTCACAGACCATCCTTAACTTTGGCAAAATAAACTTCCTAAATTAACTGGACCTATCTCAGATATCTGGGGTTCACACTGATATGACTATGTAGTTCCTGCCAAGGGAGGACTACACTAACATAACGACTATAGTTTGTTCTTTCTTCCTCAAATCACCTCAGGAAAAAAATATTAATTTTTTCTCCCCTACCTGATGCAATGGCCCTAGGACCAGGGCTGCAAGTACAAGTGTTAGAACAGCAGGGATGATTTCTAAGCAAAAAACAAACTATGTTTTTAAACCTTACGTCAAAATTCCTAAGGTCATGATGGATTGTGCCTTCAATCCATCTAGCAAAATTGGGGCTAACTGTGATTGCAGCTATATTGCCTGGTGGTAAAAATAGCTCACTAGTTCTACACCTTTGTAACCTTACCCTGTCTGAGTAGACTGAGGAGGAGGTACTTGCCAGACTTGTACTGCTGCCTGCTATCTAGACCAGCACAGTGACAATTCTAATGTCTCTTCCAATGTTGAAAAAGTTAGTGTACCAACGGAGAGAAGGAGAAATACTAGCTGAAATTAAAGAAATGAATAAATGGGATATTGAGGAAAATTAAATATTATGTTACCAACTCAAGAGTCTCAGAGCAAGAGATAACATTGTCTATAAGCTCAATAATCCCAGATGCCTGAAAGGGTAAAGCTATATATATTTACCAAGGCCACTCCTGCTTTTGGAAGCTGACAAGATTGAGAAGAAACCCACAAACAGGAGTGGCCTCATCTTGGAAGACATTCATATACTATGATGGGCTGAAGTAATTATTAATGATTGTGCATAGTATATACTTTTATGTGAAAAATCCATAGTCAAAAACCAGGGGGTGGCCTGTGGTATTATGGTATATACTGGTTTTCATCCACGGTTCCTGGCTCATAACTTCCATAGCCCTTGTTACAGCATTTTGTTATAATGTTGGGTGTGTTAGGACTCAGGGGGCAGGCCTCTGACCTTTTCCTGCCCTCCTTTCTTATTGTAGGTCTTAAGAGCCTTCCATGCAAGGGTCCCACCCTATACCCTGGGGGAAGGAATGCTGATGTCTTGAAGCTTCCATAAAAACCCAAGGGGTCAGGGTTCAGTAAGCTTCCAGATAGCTGACACGTGGAGGTTCCTGGAGGGTGGCAACCCCAGGAAGGGCCTGGAAGCTCTGAGCTTCTTCTCCCATATCTCACCCTATGTGTCTCTTCAACTGTATCCTCTGTAGTACCCTTTATAATAAACCGGTAAGCATTAAAAAAAAAAAAATTAACTATAAAAAAAATTTTTTTAAGGCCAAAGAGTTTGCTATCCCTCTCTCTGATTTCAACCAGAAGACAGCGTCTGCAAACCGGGAAGAGTGCCCTCACCAGACATCCTATCTGCCAGAGCCTTCATCTTGGACTTACCAGGCTCTAGAACTTTGAAAAGTAAATTTCTGGGTTGTTTAAGCTACCCAGTCTGTGGTATTCTGTTATAGCAGCCTGAACTAGGGCAAAGACAACCTTCACTCAATATTTTTATAGAACACCGGTTTTCAAATTTTATTATGCCTCACCATCACCTGGAGGGTTTGTTAGAATACAGATTGCCAGGCCCTACCCAGAGTTTCTGGGGTAGTACGTCTGAATCAGGGGCCTGAGAATTGCATTTCTAACAGCTCCCAGGTGATGTGATACACTGTCTTGTCTTTTGTAAACACTCTAACAAAATTAGAAAACCTACGATCAAATGTAAGGACCTAAACAAAATTCAAAACTAAATTTACATAATTTGTGAATTTTCTGCTTTTTCTTTTGCAACAAATATTTTTTGAGCATTTATTCCAGTGCCCAGAACTAGACTGGACACTGGCACTGGGTGGAGTACTGAGTAAACTAAAACACGCATGCTTTTGGCCGGGCACGGTGGCTCACGCCTGTAATCCCAACACTTTGGGAGGCCGAGGTGGGTGGATCACCTGAGGTCGGGAGTTCGAGATCAGCCTGGCCAACATGGTGAAACCCCATCTCTACCAAAAATACAAAAAATTAGCTTGGCGTGGTGGTGGGCACCTGTAATCCAGCTACTCGGGAGGTTGAGGCAGGAGAATAGCTTGAACCCAGCAAGCAGAGGTTGCAGTGAGCCGAGATCACACCACTGCACTCCAGACTGGGCGACAAGAGCGAAACTCCATCTCGAAAAAATAATATGCTTTTTTATTTTTTAGATGTTGTTCTACAGGTAGAGGGGGGCTAATAACTAGTCTCGTAATTCATTAATTACAATTGCAGGAAGAGGTACATAAGAGAAGTACAAGGTACTATGAGGCCCTGTAAGATTGGGTGGTCTGACATTAGCCTGGGTCAGGGAAGGCTTCTTTAAGGAAAAGACACTTGAACTTAGTTCTGAAGGAGGAGCAGAAATGGGGTCCTCGGGGAGAGAGCATTCCATATAGTGGGAAGACCGCACACAGTAGAAACAGAATACAGTAGGAGGGTAGATCCCTCAGAGAAGGCCAGAGATACTGTTGCAG
The DNA here is from genome assembly GCF_000001405.40 of Homo sapiens. NCBI lineage: Eukaryota > Metazoa > Chordata > Mammalia > Primates > Hominidae > Homo > Homo sapiens. Next base: position 139,904,865 of record NC_000023.11, read on the forward strand.
GCAGGCATGCAGAGCCTAGCAGGTAGAGTAAGGAGTCTGAATCGTGCTCTAAGTATGAACGGAGCTACTAGGGATTCTTAGCTAGAAACTAACTTAATGTATGTTTCAAAAAGAGTCAGCCTAGCTGCTTTGCAGAGATGGAATAAGAGTAGCAAGAGTGGATCCAAAAAAACAATTCAGGGGACCACAATCTGTGGAATTGGGTGATGGACTGGGTAAGACGGAGTGAGGGAAAGGAAGAAAGATTCAAGGCTAACTCTACAAAATGTTGTGAAGTGATTAGCAGTGCTTTTTCCAATCTGAATTGAATTTTTCCCTATGGCATAGTGTGAGAGGAAAACAATGGATTTTATCTGTGCCTGGGAAAAGACGGGGCTTACAAAAATAAACAGTAGGATGACAGATCAAATGTTTCCCTTTTCCAAGAATGGAAAATTCCTTTTGAGAGCATTATATATTAAGCTCGTAGGTAGCTTTAATGTCTCCTTTCACATTTGTGGAAGCAGACTGACAGGATTATTCATCTCATGCCATAGTCTCTGAACTATAGGAGCATCTTACTTTTACCTTCTCATAGCATTTGTCACTTTCTGTCTTGTATTTTCATTATATAACAATGTTTCTTATCTCCCTTCTAAAACTGTAAGTTCCCTAGTGAAACATAATTTACCACAAAAATAAGAAATCCCAAAGACAATCTATGTACTCCAACCTAGGGATGTTGTAAGTAGGAAGGGGATTAGAGAAAAAATAGGCAGAAAATTATTTTCTTTTGGCTCATTAAACAAATGAGTTATCCTTAAAAAAGTGACACAGGAAAAGTTTTTTTTTTAAAGTACTTACGTATTTTATGTAAAAATGTTTAAAGCAGCAATCAAATATAATTAAAGAAAATAGTAAAAGGTTGGAAAATATTGCCTGCTGTAATTGGAAAGGCTACTAAGCAAGATTTGGAAGATCAAGGGCAAAAATGAATGGAAGATCAAGGGCAAAAATGAAAATACTTCCACTCTTTCATGTCACCACATCCTTAAACCGCACTGACAATGGCTAATTGAAGTTAACTAGAGCTCTACAGCAAACTCAGACCATAAATAATTTCTACCCTTAGCAAAAATCTATCTCCCCTCCCACCGCCCCCACAACAAACACCTCTACAGTCCAAGTATGTGCAACACTCTTAACTGTGTGTGGCAGAAGAATCTTAGTCCCTCCCTTCTTTGGGAGCTAAGCTTTCCATCTAAGAAAAAGCCAAGGCTGGGCATAGTGGCTCATGCCTATAATCTCAGCACTTTGGGAGGCTGAGGCAGGTGGACATGAGTTACTTAAAGCATATGTAGCTTGAGCCCAGGAGTTCAAGACCAACCTGTAGAGTGAGACCCCATCTCTACAAAAAAAAAAAAATTAGCTGGGGTCATGGCATATACCTGTAGTCCTAGCTACTTGGGAGGCTGAGGTGGGAGAATCGCTTGAGCCCGGGAGGTTGAGGTTGCAGTGGGCTGTGGTTGCACCATTGTACTCCAGCCTTGGTGACAGGGCAAGACACTGTCTCCAAAAAAAACGAAAAAAAAAAAGTCAAGAAAAAATCAGATACCTCAGTCCAGGTCCTAGCATAACTCATTAATTTAACATTCATTGGCCGGGCATGGTGGCTCACAGCCGTAATCCCAGCACTTTGGGAAGCCAAGGCGGGTAGATCACGAGGTCAGGAGTTCAAGACCAGCCTGGCCAAGATGGTAAAACCCCGTCTCTACTAAAAATACAAAAATTAGCCCGGTGCCGTAGCAGGCACCTGTAATCCCAGCTACTCAGGAGGCTGAGGCAGGAGAATCACTTGAACCCGGGGAGCAGAGGTTGCAGTGAGCCGAGATCATACCACTGCACTCCAGCCTGGGCAACAGAGTGAGACTCTGTCTCAAAAAAAAAAACAAAACAAACAACAACAACAACAACAAAAATTCATTAAGGCCTTGTATTGCTTGCAGTAGGTGAATATGTGGCACAATGGTGTCTTTCCACGCTAACTACTTTCTGATGGGGTCTGATAAGGTCCTAGACTCAAGCATGTTAAAACCAACCATGCATTCTTATAGGCTTCATAACAACCCAAAATGGTATTTCTTGCTCACAAAACTTCATTTGGGGATTTATTCAAATGACACCTTCTCAGTGAGGCCTTCTTCACCCTTTGAAAAACTGCAACCCTCACCCCTGACACTTTCTATCATCATTCTCTGCTTTATCTTTCCTTTATCACTCATCACAGGAGATATTACAATTATGTTGTTTACTGCCTGTCTCCCTGTCCACTGGATTGTCCTCCCAAATCTGTTCTTCCTTTCTTCCTGAACACCTCACTTTCCAACCAGAAACTACATTTCCCTGTCTCCCTTGTGGCTAGGGAGGGCCACATGACTAAGATTTCTCCAATGGCATGTGCGCAAAAGTAATATGTGAAAGTTTCTGTCACCTTCCTAAAGAAGCTTCTCCTGGACTCCCTTTCCTTCATGCTGGCTGGAACTTTAAAAATCAAATGCTGTGAAAGACAGAATTGACCAACACAGCCTGGAATGGTGGATGGCCTCATAGAAAAGAAGCTGCTGGCCGGGCACGGTGGCTCACACCTGTAATCCCAGCACTTTGGGAGGCTGAGCGGGGCACATCACGAGGTCAGGAGATCGAGACCATCCTGGCTAACACGGTGAAACCCCGTTTCTACTAAAAATACAAAAAATTAGCCGGGCATGGTGGTGGGTGCCTGTAGTCCCAGCTACTTGAGAGGCTAAGGCAGGAGAATCGCTTGAACCCAGGAGGCGGAGGTTACAGTGAGCCGAGATTGCGCCACTGCACTCCGGCCTGGGAGACAGAGCGACACTCTGTCTCAAAAAAAAAAGAAAAGAAAAAGAAAAGAGACTGCTTACCTTCTCTGGGTTGTTACACGCCAGAGAACCAAACGTCTATAATTTTTTGGCCACTGTATTTTGGAGCTCTTTGTTACATTATTTTACCCTGTACCCTAACAACAGCTTCCTACATTAGAATGTAGAGACAAAAAGGTCAGAGATTCCTGTCTGTTTTGCTCATCAGTCCATCCCTACCAAGTAGAACAGTGTCTGGCATGTGATAGGATACTCAATAAATATGTGTGAATGGATTAAATAGACAACTTTATTATCATCGCCCTCCCCATCTCCAGATCACCTTCATGGCTACCAGAAATTAGATTACAAAATCCAAATGCTCCCCAGAAGTTCCTATATCCCATTCACTGCCATCTTCCCCCGGTTCCACTGAGTGTGCCCTTCAGCCCCACTAGCCTCCTTTAAGCTTCTCCAATGTGCCTGACTCTTGCCCAACTCAGGGTCTTTGTGCAAGCTGGTTCCAGTAACTACTCCCAAACCCCTTTGCAGAAGTAGTCCTCATTCCTTCAGTTATCTGCTTAAATGTCATCTCCTCTGACAGAACTTTCATGTTACCCTATCAAAACATATCCTATTTCTGCTATCTCTGTATCCTATTCATTTTATTCATAACACTTATGAAAATGAGTAAATAAAAAATGTGTTGGGTTTTCCATTCTAAACTGGATTATAAGGTCCATCAGGACATGAACCACTTTTGTTTTTATTTACCACTTGGTCCCCATTGCCTAGCATATAGTGCCTAGCTGGTTATAAATAGGTAATAAAGGAGTAAACAAATGAACTTCACTAAAGATGTTGCATGTTTAAGTATGTTGGGGTGGATATGAGTTACTTAAAGCATATGTAGCTCTCCATAAATACAGTATTCAAATGTCCTTGACTACCTTCCTGACAATAACATAAGTTTCTATTTATGGGGCTATAAACCAATGCACAACCTGGCAGATTTTTTATTGCTTTCTTAGAAGGATTATCACTCCCTCTTTCCACTACTAGCTTTTAGTTGCTAATAAGCAGGTAGAATTTTAATGACTCCTATTGGTATGATGGACTAAGTAGCTTTTACTAGGATGTTTCCAATGCAGGCTCACATGGGGATATAATTTAAAATAAATGATTATTATACTTTAGGACCATGCCAACTGGCCTCCCAGGACCCAGGACTAAAGCTCCTCTGCTTTCTCAGGTCAAAGTTTCAGTTAATCAATTTGCTTCTAAATTATGTAACCTGAGATTGCTCTCTAAAACTGTATGGGCACCAGCCAAACTGGGCACATGGAACAATCTGGGGGTACTCAGTGACAGAGACTTTAAACCACACTGCTTTTGGGGTTTTTTTTATTTTGTTTTGTTTTGTTTTGAGACAGAGTTTCACTCTTATTGCCCAGGCTGGAGTGCAGTGGCGCGATCTTGGCTCACTGCAACCTCCACCTCCCAGGTTCAAGCAATTCTCCTACCTCAGCCTCCCGAGTGGCTGGGATTACAGGCACCTGCCACCACGCCTGGCTAATTTTTTTGTATTTTTAGTAAAGACGGGCTTCATCATGTTGGCCAGGCTGGTCTCAAACTCCTGACCTCAGGTGATCCACCCGCCTCGGCTTCCCAAATTGCTGGGATTACATGAGTGAGTTATTGCGCCCGGCCCACACTGTTTTTAAATAACATTTCTTTCCTTCTGTATCTGGTCTGTGATGTGATGGTGGATACACAAACTTATGCATGGGATAAAACTGCATAGAACTAAACACATACACACACACACACACACCCCATGCACACACACACAAGTGAATACAAAATATGGAAAATCTGAAAAACATTGGTGGACGGCATCAACATCAGTATCTTGGTTGTGGCATTATAGTGCAATTTTACAAGATGTTACCACTGGGGAGAAATTGGGTAGAGTACGTGGGATCTCTCTGCATTTTTTCTTACAATTCCATGTGTATCCATAAATATCTCAATAAAATTTTACATCAAAAATGCTGTTTCAACACAGAAACTCTAGGATACTACAGAATTCAGCTGGTTACTTTTCTGAAGAAAACAGGAAGGAAGACGCTGGGGAAATGAGAGAAAGAGAAGTAGGAGTAAATATGAAACTTCATAGTGGGAAAGGTTACTAAAAGAACACTGCATTCCTGTAGCCTGCACGTCCTTAGAAACACCTCATAAAGTAACTGTGGTTTTACTTTACTCACAGGACTATTGCTAGATCTATGGGAAAGAACTATAAGACAGTTGCTAAAAGTTTGAAAAAGACAGTTACTAAACGTATGAAAGACCTGATAATCTACTTTTTTACCTCAGGTATTGGCATATTCCACACATCTGTACTATTCTTGAGTGTGATCACTTAGGAATGAATATGATTTGAACTCATGTTAAGAGAGGGTGTCAAATTGAGAACCAGGCAGATCCACCACCTACAGTAAAAATGACCCTAAATTGAAGAAATTAGATCCCAAAGATTCTTGGTGAATTTTGAAGTCTTCATCAGTATATCCATATTAAAAGGAGATGACAGAAGCCAAAATAAAAGAATTATGGGCTGCCTGTAATCCCAGCACTTTGGGAGGCCGAGGCGGGCAGATCACGAGGTCAGGAGATCAAGACCATCCTGGCTAACATGGTGAAATCCAATCTCTACTAAACATACAAAAAATTAGCCGGGCATGGTGGCAGGTGCCTACAATCCCAGCTACTCAAGAGGCTGAGGCTGGAGAATCGCTTGAACCCAGGGGGCAGAGGTTGCAGTGAGCCGAGATTCTGCCATTGCACTCCAGCCTGGGTGACAGAGTGAGACTCTGTCTCAAAAAAAAAAAAAGAATTATGGGCTGACAGGACAACTGGATTAAAATAAGCATCAGTTTCATTAAAAACGGCTAACTTGAAGATAAATCTTTTGACTCCAGCTCTTTAGGAGATCTAAAGTGACCTTGATGGACAGTGGAAGAAATCACAACATGGAATTCCTTGAATAAAAATTTATTGACTTTAAATAATTTTGCCTAACGTTACAGATACATGATAAAAAAAAAACCCTCTTTAAAAAATAAAAAAGAACACTGCATATTCTGAAAACACAGTCACATATCCGAAATCTACTTCAGGTCACAGTGTCAAAGAGTAAGAGACCAGAACATATGTTAAGGAACATCTAGTTCCATACCTGCATTCTAAAGACCTGAAAAGTGAGGCTCAAAAAATAATTTGCAAAATGTTAAAAGTTTTAGAAAAAAGAAACAGGAGACTAGCTTCCCAACATTGGCATAGAGAAAGATTGCTTAAACAAGATACATAAAGCACTAACCATAAAGAAAAAGACAGAAAAATTTAACTACATTAAAATTAAGAACTTGTTTATCAAAAGGTACCAAAAAAAAAATAGTAAAAGCAGAAGGCAAAGTATCTTAGAGAAGATATCTGCAACATAGATAACCACAAAGCTTTAGTGTTTTGAATATGAAAAGGACTCTTAAAGTTAGTATGAGAAAGATAACCCAATAGAAAATAGTAAAAGGAAATAAACAAGTAGATAAGGAGAGAAACATAAATGGCCCATAAACATATGCAAAAATGTTTAACTTCATTAGTAATCAGAGAAATGCAAATTAATATCATCGTGAAATAAAATTTCACACACAATAGATTGGCAAAAAGAAAGAACTCAAACAATAGCAAGTGTTGAGAAAATATAAATCAATGGAAACTCATATATTGCTAGTGAGAATGCCCATTGGTACAACTACTCTGGGTAACAATTTTACCTCCTTTTGTAAAGATGCACATTCCAAGACCTATGATTACGTATGTGAGACTTCCTATACATACAGTTTTGTGTTTCTATGTATATGCAAATCCTACACACACACACACCCCACAAGAGAAATATCCTTTAATAAATACACACACACCAAAAGATACATATTGTTCTTAGCAGCACTGATCATGCCAGGAAAATAAAAAATCCTGTGAACAACCCAAAGGCCCATCGACAGGAGAATGGATAAACTCTAGTAAACTCCCAAGGTGAAATATTATTCAGCAGTGACAATGAATGAATTATGCCTACATAAAACCTTAAAAAGAATCTTAGCAGGCCAGGCACGGTGGATCACGCCTGTAATAATCTCAGCACTTTGGGAGGCCGAGGGAGGGCGGATCACTTGAGGCCAGGAGTTCAAGACCAGCCTGGCCATGGCAAGACCCCGTCTCTACTAAAATACAAAAATCAGCCAAGCATGGTGGCATATGCCCGTAGTCTCAGCTAGTTGGGAGGCTGAGGCAGGCGAATCGCTTGAACCCAGGAGTCAGAGGGTGCAGTAAGCCAAGATCACCCCACTGCACTCCAGCCTGAGAGACAGAGTAAGACTCTGTCTCAAAAAAAAAAAAAAAAAAAAACTTAGCAATACAATATTGAGTAAAAAACAATATACAAACCATTTTTATAAAGCTCAAAATAAGAAAGCTAAATATCTAAGTTTGCATACATACATGTTAGAACTATAAAATAGAATGATTATTACAAAAATAAGGCTAATGGTTACACGGTGGTGGGAAGGCAAGGAGAGGAGATAGGGAAGTAGTACATAGGTAGAATTGTATTGCTAATGTTATAATTCTCAAGTTGGGTAGTGGGTATGCAGGGGTTTATTTTATTATTATGCACATATTTTATATCTATTCTATTTGCATAGAATATTACATTTTTAAATGACAGTTTCTTTTAAAAGGAAGTGATTTTTCCAAGGCTACACTGCTCATTAGTAGAGGCACCATAACAAAGAAGTTCCCACCCCCATACCTCAAAAAACTTCCACAATGTGAGGTACATATTAGGAAATAAACAGATACTTGTTAATGCACATTGAATTTCATGACTACTTAAAATCATCAATTTCAAACATGGATTCTATAAATCCATTAATAAATCTTCTGATTTGATTACGTATGATTTTTGATTGCACTGCCTTCATTAGTATCTTTAATAAGTAATATGTCTGAATTTTTACAGGAATATTTTAATTGCACTGCCTGAAATTTCAAAACAGGGATATATGTTCTCCTGATACTTTTAATCAAGGTCTGGGGTCTAACCTAACAAATGATTATGACTTTTAAAATAGACTTTATTTACAGACTCAATTTTCTGAAACTGCTCCCTTGCTAGGGCTCTCAGCCTTAGGTTGAATCACTGGCTGTAATAAACATGGCACCCAATTCAGCTCGACCAAATTACCACTTGTTCTCAAGTATATACACATGAATTGTCTACTTATTGCCTCCTACTGTCTTCTAGCAGCTGTCACTCAGCCTGTCCAAGGACTGCCACTCTATCTAACATTCTGCAACTAATTAATTGTATTCATAAGTAGAGATGAGTAAGAGTGCTTTTGAAAAATAATGGCAGGTGACCACTGGCAAAGGCAGTGTTGATTCCCAGGAAGCTTGCCCGTAATATTCCAGCATCAACAAAAATCCTCTCCTCCATTAGTGCTGTTAGCTAAAAGATTAATATAATTAGATTTGAGTTTAATTAATTCTAGAGCATAGTTACCAACCAAGGCATGGGTCTACATTAGATCCTCAATCATTCAGATCAGTGTAAAACTAAACAGTATACCCCTATTAAAAACCCATAAACAGTGTCAGGCCTCTGAGCCCAAGCTAAGCCATCATATCCCCCTGTGACCTGTAGGTATACATCCAGATGGCCTGAAGTAACTGAAGAATCACACAAGAAGTGAAATTTAAATGGCCTGTTCCTGCCTTAACTGATGACATTACCTTGTGAAATTCCTTCTCCTGGCTCATCCTGGCTCAAAAGCTCCCCCACTGAGCACCTTGTGTCCCCCGCCCCTACCGGCCAGAGAACAACCCCCTTTGACTGTAATTTTCCTTTACCTACCCAAATCCTATAAAACAGTCCCACCCCTATCTCCCTTCGTTGACTCTCTTTTTGGACTCAGCCCGCCTGCACCCAGGTGAAATGAACAGCCTTGTTGCTCACACGAAGTCTGTTTGGTGATCTCTTCACACGGACGCGAGTGAAACAGTACTTCCTAAAATTTGTCAATGTTCCCATCCAAAGTATATAAAATTCAGTTCAAACTCATTACTATTAAAGGGGAAACTGAAATTTGGGGTAGAATACCGTCAAATGTGCAATCAAGAGATGGAGACCCAAAGAGTAAAACAGATAAAAACCCAACAGAAAATAGTCAAAAGATTCGCTCACTCGTAGACTCTAAGCCTAAACACATAGTACAGAATTATAAAGCTGGGAAATAACTTAGATATATATCATCCCAGGAGCCCATGCAGTTCACAGATAAGGAAACTGAAGACAAGGGCAATAGAACTGAGCCTGGAATTCCATATTTCTGAATTCTCAATTCACTGAATAATCTTGGAAAAGCCACTTACCCTCTCTCAGTCCATTTTCCCAGCTATAATGAAGATGTTGGACTACTAAATGGCCTCTAAGGTTCTTTAATAGTTCTAGGATTCACTGAGCCTTACAGACCATCTAGCAGCCCAAGCCCTTTATTTTACAGATGGGAAGTCTAGCAAACTACAATTATTTATAGTAGAGTCTGCCATTCCTGGCCTATAGACACTTTAGATTTGTTCATTCATCTTCACATGATCCTAGGACATAAATGTGACAGTTAATTTTATGTGTCAACTTGACTAGGCCACAGCATGCTCAGGTATTTGGCCAAGCATTATTCTAGATGTGTCCGCCAAGGTGTTTCTGGATGAGATTAACATTTGAATCAGAAGACTGAGTAAAGCAGATTGCCCTCCATAATGTGGGTGGGCCTCATCAAATCAGTGTAAGGCCTGAGTAGAACAAAAAGGCTGCCCTTCCCCTTCCCTCAGCTAAGGAATAACTCCTCCTGCATTTTCCTGCCTTCAGAATTGAATAGTGACTCTTCCTGAGTCTTGAACCTACCAGTCTTCAGACTGGAACTTACACCATCAGTTCTTCTGGGTCTCCAACTTGCAGACTGCAGATCTTGGGTCTTGTCAAGCTACATAAACCCATGAGCCAATTCCTTATGATAAATCACTTCTTGTATATATCCTATTGGTTCTGTTTCTCTGGAGAATCCTAATAACCAAATGTGTATAATAAACTAATGCTTATACAGCACTTAAAACAGTTCCTGGAACTTACCACTCTAGGTTTTGCTGTTATGATGATTAAAAGGCAAAGAAAAACAGCTTACAACTATAACAATTCCATAAACCTGCAACATATCAATGAAATCATGGATCAGCAATTCAAGATATCCTACAAAACACAAATGCCTACACCTAAAGTAAAATTTTAAAAAAGATTTTTAAAAATTTCAAATCTTGACCCATATAAAATAATTAGATTAGCTCCATCTTTGTGCAATAAGGACTTAAATGAGACACTACTATCATTGCTGAATATCTGGTACCCCCTAAAGTTGCAATAAACTCACAAAAATAATAACATTAAAAGTACTTGCACCTCGATAAAGCTGTTTAAAAACAAATTTTGAAACAAGAATTTGAAAAACACATAGACAAAAAGTTATCAAAAGGACTTAAAAATTACACCTGGCGTAGTGGCTCACACCTATAATCTCAGCACTTTGGGAGGCCGAGGCAGGAGGATCAAATGAGGCCAGGAGTTTCAGACCAGCCTGGTCAACACAGTGAAACCCTGACTCTACTAAAAATGCAAAATTTAGCCAGGCATGGTGGTGCACGTCTGTAATCCTAGCTACTCGGGAGGCTGAGGCACGAAAATAATTTGAACCCAGGAGGCAGAGGTTACAGTGAGCCACTCCACTCCAGCCTGGGTGACAGAGCAAGACTCTATCTCAAAAAAAGAAAAAGAAAAAGAAAAAAAAATATTTGATTAATAAACACTTCATTTGGTATTTATACTGGAGTATTTTTTAATTGATATATAATAGTTGTACATATTTTAGGAGTACGTTAAGTACTTTGAAAATATAATAGCAAATTGCTGAAGAAAATCAATGTTGTAAATGTGTATGAAACCACAGTGAAGCTTATAGAGTTAATTCATTAACTACATCACAGAATATTAAATAACTAAAATCATAATTTAAAAAGGCATGATGTATGTATTATAAAACACAACATGTGGCCAGCACGGTGGCTCACGTCTGTAATCTCAGCATTTTGGGAGGCCGAGGCAGACAGATTACCTGAGGTCAGGAGTTCGAGACCAGCCTGCCCAACATGGTGAAACCCTGTCTCTACTAAAAATACAAAAATTAGCTGTGCGTGGTGGCACACACCTGTAATCCCAGCTACTCGGGAGGCTGAGGCAAGAGCATCGCTTGAACCCAGGAGGCAGAGGTTGCAGTGAGCCGAGATCACACCACTGCATTCCAGCCTGGGTAACAGAGCAAGACTCTGTCTTAAAAAAAAAAAAAAAAGACTGGACATCACTTAGTCTTTGATCTCTCAGTCAAGCACTACAAGTCTATAATTATAAATGGGAAGATTAGAAATGCAAATAGAAATCGTATTTCACTTATTCAGCAAGCATTTAATGAGCACATATTATGTCAGGCAGTGAGGCATTAGGGATATAGCAATGAGCAAAAATAGTCACAGGTCTTACCTTCATGGAGCATACTATATAGAGGAAATCTAGACACTAAGTAAGTTACCAAATACAGTATGCAAATGTAAAGTCAACTACAAAAAGAGTATGAAGGACAGGTTCATAGTAACATGAGAACCTGGCATTGTCTGAGGGAAGGATCAGGAACAGCTTCCTTAGGGAAGTGATGATTAAGCTGAGCTCTCAGAAATAAGTAAGAGTTGAGACAACTGACTACAGGAGAGAAGTGTACCAGGAATATACAGTATATACAACGGTCCTGTGGCAGATGGAACACAAAAAATGAGGAAGGTTTTTTGCAGAAATTAAAAAAAATATATATCCACCATAAAATCCATATGGAATCTTAAGGCACCCCAAATAGCCAAAACAATCTTGAAAAAGAGCAAAGTTGGGGGTCTTGCAACTCCTGATTTCAAAACATATTACAAAACAATATGTAATCAAAGTAATCAAAACCACGTGACACTGGCGTAAAGACAGACACACAGGCAAACAGAATAAAAATAAATATCTCAGAAGTAAACTCTCATGTACATGGTCAAATGATCTTTAACAAGGGTGCCAAAACCACTCAGTGGGGGAAAAGAGTCTTCTCTTTTTTTCTTACCCTGTCCTACGATGCTGGGAGAGTCTTCAAATAAATGGTGCCAGGAAAACTGGACATCAACATGCAAAAGAATGAAGTTGGACCCTTATCTTATACTACATACAAAAATTAACTCAAAGTCGATTGAAGATCTACATGTAAGACTTATAAACTATCAATTAAACTTAAAAATATGCAACTCCTAGAAGAAAACAGAGGGGAAAAGACTCATGACATTTGGATTTGACAGTGATTTCATGGATATGACATTAAAAGCACAGGCAACGAAAGCATAAACAGACAAATGATGAGACTACATCAAACTTTAATACTTCTGTTCATCAAAGTAAGTAATCATCACAATGAAAAGGCAACCTATGGAATGTGGGAAAATATTTGCAAATCATATATTTCATAAGGAAATATTATCCAGAATATGTAAATAACTCCTACAACTGAGCAACAACAAAAAAGGAAATAACCCCCCCGCAACCAAAATGGGTAAAGGACTTAGGTAGACATTTCTCAAAAGATGACATACAAATGGCCAAAAAACATAGGAAATGATGCTCACATCACTAATCATCCAAGAAATGCAAATCAAAATCACAATAAGATGTAACCTCACACCCATTAAGACAGCTATTATAGGTCAGGCGTGGTGGTTCCCACTTGTAATCCCAGCACGTGGGAGGCCAAGGCAGGGGGATCACATAAGGTCAGGAGTTCGAGACCAGCCTGGCCAACATGGTGAAACCCAGTCTCTACCAAAAAGACAAAAATTAGCTGGGCATGGTGGTACACGCCTGTAATTCCAGCTATTCGGGAGGCTGAGGCAGGAGAATCACTTGAACCTGGGAAGCAGAGATTGCAGTGAGCAGAGATCGCAATACTGCACTTCAGCCTGGGCAGCAGAGCCAGGCTTTGTCTCAAAAAAAAAAAAAAAAAAAAAAAAAAAGACAGTTACTATAAAAAATATAGCAATTGTTGGTGAGTATATGGAGAAACTAGAACCCTTAATGGGAATGTAAAATGATGTAGCCACTGTTGAAAACAGTACAGAAGTTCCTCAAAAAATTAAACACAGAATTACCACATGCACAGCAGTCTCATTTCTGGGTATATATCCAAAGAATTGAAAGCACAATCTCGAAGAGAGATATTTGCACACTGATGTTCATAGCAGCATTATTCACAATAGCCAAGAGGTGGAAGCAATCCAAATGACTATCTACAGATGAATGTATAAACAAAATATATATATACGCAATGAAACATAATCCAGTCTTTAAAAGGAAGAAAATCAGGCCAGGCATGTGGCTCACGCCTGTAATCCCAGCACTTTGGGAGGCCGAGGCGGGTGGATCACCTGAAGTCAGAAGTTCCAGACCAGCCTGGCCAACATGGCGAAACCCCGTCTCTACTAAAAATACAAAAATTAGCTGGGCATAGTGGTGGGTAACTATAATCCCATATAATCCCAGCTACTCGGGAGGCTGAGGCAGGAGAATTGCTTGAACCCGGGGCGGGGGTGGGGGTGGGGACAGAGGTTGCAGTGAGCCAAGACCACTCCACTTCACTCCAGCCTGGGTGACAAAGCGAAACCACTCCACTTCACTCCAGCCTGGGTGACAGACTGAAACCCCATTTCAAAAAAAAAAAAAAAAAAAAAGGGAAGAAAATCCTCTCACATGCTACAACATGGAGAATCCTGGAGGACTTTATGCTAAGTGAAATAAGCCAGTCACAAAAAGACCAATACTGCATGAAGTGGGGGAGCTGTTGTTTAATGGGTATGGAGTTTCAGTTTTGCAAGATGAAAAAGTTCTAGAGATCTGTTGCATACAATGTGAATACAATTTGCACTACTCTATGCTTTAAAGAAAGATGGTAAGTTTTAGGTGTTTTCTTTACAATTAAAAATACTAGTTATTGGCCGGGTGCTGTGGCTCACACCTGTAATTCCAGCACTTTGGGAGGCTGAGGAGGGTGCATCACCTGAGGTTGGGAGTTCAAGACCAGCCTGGCCAACATGGCGAAACCCTGTCTCTAATAAAAATATTTTTAAATTAGCCAGGCATGGTGGCGTGTGCCTGTAATTCCAGCTGCTCAGGAGGCTGAGGCACGAGAATAGCTTGAACCCGGGAGGCAGACATGGCAGTGAGCCGAGATCACACCACTGCACTCCAGCCGGGGCGACAGAGCAAGACTCTGTCTCAAAAAAACACACACATGGCTGGCGTAGTGGCTCTCACCTATAATCCCAGGAAAACCCTATCTCTACTAAAAATACAAAAATTAGCTGCGTGGTGGCGGGCACCTGTAATCCCAGCTACTCAGGAGGCTGAGAAGAGAATGGCTTGAACCCGGGAGGCGGAGGTTGCAGTGAGCAGAGATCGCAGCACTGCACTCAAACTTAAACACACACACACACACACACACACACACACACACACACACACACACACAAACTACTTATTTAAGTGAGGAAGAACTGAAGAAAGCAGTTTGGTAGTTCCTGAAAAGTTTAAACATACAATTACCATATGACCCAGCAATTCCACTAATATATACTCAAGTAAAAACATATTCATTTTAAAAAGCAAAAAAATGTGCCAGGCACAGTGGCTCACACCTGTAATTCCGGCACTTTGGGAGGCCAAGGTGGGCGGATGACCTAAGGCCAAGAGTTCGAGACAAGCCTGGCCAATATGGTGAAACCCCATATCTACTAAAAATACAAAAATAGCCGGGTGTGGTGGTGCACGCCTGTTGTCCCAGCTACTCAGGAGGCTGAGGCAGGAGAATTGCTTGAACCTGGGAGGCGGAGGCTGCAATGTGCCATGATGGCGCCACTGCACTCCAGCCTGGGCAACAGAGTGAGACTCTGTCTCAATAAAAAAATAAAAAAGAAAGGACAAAAATGTTCGAAGAAACATTTTTCACAAGAGTCAAAAAGTGCGAACAACCCAAATGTCCATCAGCTGATGAACAGATAAATAAAATGTGCTCTCTCCATAAAACGGAGTATTCTCTGCCTTCAAAAGGAATGAGTCCGGGCGCGGTGGCTCACGCCTATAATCCCAGCACTTTGGGAGGCCGAGCCGGGCGGATGACCTGAGGTCAGTTCAAGACCAGCCTAGCCAACATAGCAAAACCCCGTCTCTACTAAAAATACAAAAATTAGTCGAGTGTGGTGGTGCGTGCCTGTAGTCCAAGCTACTTTGGAGGCTGAGGCATGAGAATCGCTTGAACCCAGGAGGCACAGGTTGCAGTGAGCCGAGATCATACCACTGCACTCCAGCCTGGGTGACAGACTCCACCTCAAAAAAAAAAAAAAAAGAATTAAGTACTGATACTGATACATGCTACAACATGAACAAATCTTGAAAATATTACTATGCTACACCAAAGAATTCAGTCACAAAGGAACACATATTGTATGATTCCACTGGCAATCCAGAGATAAGAAAGTAGATGGGTGGTTGCCAAGGGCTGAAGGATAGAGGACTGGGACTAAGAGCTAACGGATGGGGTTTCTTTTTGAGGTAGTGGAAATGTGCTGGAATTAGATAGCTGTGATAGTTACACAGCATAGGAAATTTAAATCCACTTAAGTGTATACTTTAAAGTGGTGAATTTTATGTTAGGTGAATTATCTCAGTTTTTAAAAGTGAATGAAAAAAAGTGAAAGAGAGAGAGCAATACCAGCAAAGTATTTAACCAGAAATCAGTCGAAAGTCAATGAAGTGCTCCTGGTGTGCGTCTGTAAAAGATCCCCCTGGAGCTGTGTGGAAGACAGATAGGAGAGGGCAAAGGTGGATAATAAAATAATCAATTGCAAAGGTCCAGGTAAATGACAGCAGTAGCTTAAACTTGAATGGTGGTAGGTGTGGGCATGAAGAAAGGTGGATGGATGTGACAGCATTTTCAGAAATAGAACCTACTGGATTCTCTGACAAATGTGATGAAGGGAAAGGTTAGTATTAAGTATGACTGCTAGGTTTTTAGCTTGAGCTACTAGGAGGGGGATGGTGCCATTTACTGAACGGGAAAACTGGAGGAGGAACAAATATGAAAGTGGAGAGATGCTAATGACTTAGACGAGGGTGGCAGTCATGATGATAAAGAAAAGTGGCACTGACTAAGCATGGTGTCGTGATGAACTGGTTATGAGGGTGATATGTGTCCCCACCCAAATCTCATCTTGAATTATAATCCCCATAATACCCACCTGTCAAGGGAGAGACCAGGTGGAGGCAACTGAATCATGGGGGTGGTTTTCCCCATGTTCTCGTGATAGTGAGTGAGTCTCACGAGATCTGACGGTTTCATAAGGGCCTCTTCCCCCCTTCACTCGGCACTTCTCCTTCCTGCCACCTTGTGAGGGTGTCTTGCGTCCTAATTGCCTTCTGCCATGATTGGAAGTTTCCTGAGGCCTCCCCAGCCATGTGGAACTGTGAGTCCATTAAACCTCTTTCCTTTATAAATTACCCAATCTCAGGCAGTTCTTTAAAGCAGTATGAAAATAGACTAATACAGAGGGAATGAGATGCAATTCATGTTCTGGTAAGTCCGAATGATGCAGTCAGATCTGAAAGTCTATCAAAAGCTTTCTTATCTAATAGCAGTGAACTATAAATGTGTTGGTAAGGAATGTGCTCCTGAAAAAAGGCCTGATCTCCAGCTTTTTAAATAAATGACCACTAGTACTCAAGAAAATGAACTGCCATCCTGTCTCCCATGTGTAGTGAAAGTTACCAGAAATGTGTACCCATAATTTAAGCAGGGTAACTAAGTAAGCAGTCCTATAATAATATATGAAGTAGTGTCATGATATATTACCCCAAATATATATTTCATCCTGGTCTCTGCCTTACTGTCTCTGCACCAAATAAGGCCGGGCATGGCAGCTCACGCCAGTAATCCCAGCACTTTGGGAGGCTGAGTCAGGTGGATCACTTGAGGTCAGGAGTTCAAGACCAGCCTGGCCAACATGGTGAAACCCTGTCTCTCCTAAAAATACAAAAATTAGCCAGGTGTGGTGGCACACGCCTGTAGTCTCAGCTACTCAGGAGGCTGAGGCAGGAGAATCACTTGAACCCAGGAGGCAGAGGTTGCAGTGAGCCGAGATTGTGCCACTGCACTCCAGCCTGGGCAACAGAGCAAGACTGTCTCTCTCTCTCTCTCCTTCTCTAAATATATATATATATATATATATATATATATATATATATATATATATGCATTTTTTTTAAATGACATAAATTTACTGGAGTCATAGGTTTCAGAAAAGAGCATCTATGTATGGGAAGATTCCTATAGCTATTGTTGTGGAGACCTAAAGCCACCTGTTTTTAGCATCTCCTTTTTTAAAATCAAAATTACTACAGCAAACGTAAGGCATTGAAGATCGAGGTTTTGGTGTTTCTGCTGTGTCATGGACAGGATGTTTGTGTTCCCCTAAAATTCTTATGTGGAAATCCTAACTTCCAAGGTGACAGTACTAGGAGGTGAGGCATCTGACAGGTGATCAGGCCATGAAGGTGGAGCCCTCATAAATGGGATTAGTGCCCTAGGGAGCTCATTTCACTCTTTTTCTGCCATGTGAAGATACAATAAGTCACCAGTCTGCGACGTGAAGCCCCCTCACCAGTACCCAACCATGCTGGCATCCTGATCTTGGACTTCCAAGTTCCAGGATTGTGAGAAATAAATTTCTGTTGTGCATAAGCCACTGAATCTATGTTATACTTTTTATTTGTTTTGTTTTGTTTTTTTGAGGCAGAGTCTCGCTCTATTACTCAGGCTGGAGTGCAGTGGTGCCATCTCTGCTCACTGCAACCTCCACCTCCCTGGCTCAAGCAGTTCTCCAGCCTCAGCCTCCCGAGTAGCTGGGATTACAGGTGCTCTCCATCACACCTGGCTAATTTTTGTTTTTAGTAGAGATGGGGTTTCACCATGTTGGCCAGCCTGGTTTTGAACTCCTGACCTCAAATGATCCACCTGCCTCAGCCTCCCAAAGTGCTGGGATTACAGGCGTGAGCCACTGAGCCCCACCTGTTATACTTTTTTTTATAACAGCTCAAACTCATTTGGGGTTGGCATGTATGTTCTCTAAATTGACTGGTTCCCATGCTTTAAGTACAACAATGACCCTGCACCATTGCTCAGGTAATTGCCTCCTCCTGTAATGAGACTGCCCATCCCTAAAATCTCAGAACCTTCAGCCCTTTGGGTCCCCAGAGGCCCAGTTGACAGGCTACTTCCTCCATAAAGCTCTCCCCAAGAAATGAAGCCAGAGAGCCAGTGCCTCCTTCTGAATGCCTACTGCACTTACTGTGTATGTCCTTCAAAAGGATGGCTCTGGTGACCTACTGGCCTTGTGTGGAGGATGGTCCTGTGTGCTGGTCTTCTCTCTCTTCTACCAAACTGCAGGCTACTGGTGAGCAGGGCTGTACCTTACACACCTCTACAGCACCAAATAGGGGATGAGTGTTCCAAGAAAGCTGTGATTCACATGAATGTTTTCAGAAAAGAAGCCAGAATAAATTGTACACTATACTATAGATCCCTTAATCCTTATTACTGCAAAATACATTAATTGTGAAGCTTAAAGAACGTCCCCACTGCTTACACAACAGGTGTAGCTTACATAATCTGCTCTACCCAGCTGTTACTTACTTGTGGCAATTCCCTCCTGGCTTCTACTCCCTGTCGATATGTGGGATTACTGCACCATCCAGTATGATTTCCTTATTCCTTGCTCCAATCATAACAAATTTGTTAATTTTCCTTTATAACAGTAAAAATGGCTGAAACTCCAAATAACCAGAGATATCCCTAGGGTTTTCCATGACTATAAAACTCAAAAGACAATCCAGGATATAAACCAATATTTGTAAATATTGCCATAAAATTCATTGCTCAGAATTTTTTTTTTCCTATATAGTCTTCTTTGACAAAATACTGCAGTATTCCCACCATTTGGAAATTGTGTTACCCAAAAGGTATAGAATGGGATGAAGTGATGATGCAAATGAGTATTAGGACTATGAGCAAATGAATGGGAGCAGTAACAAAAGTCCAAAAGTCAGGAAAAATGAAAATCCACGAACTTGGCGATGCTCCAGAGAGGAAACCAGCAAGTGTTGACGCTAAACTGGCAGAAACATCAATACTTCCTGGCTCCCCCACTGGGTGCATCAATTTACCACCGGCAGGCTGCTCTTCTGCTTCAAGTGACAAACAGTAAGTGCTTTCAATGACAGTATGAAAAGGAATGACCCATAATCTAGAAGCATGGCTATGGGCAGCAAAGAAAAGATGTGATTGCTGGGAGTCTGTCTCAGCTGTACTGCTGATTAGCTTAATGATCTTGGACAAGTCATTTCCTTTCACTGAAAAAATACCAGTGTTTCACAATATTTGCGTGATGGAAAGAGTTAACATAGCAGGCCTGACACTGCTATTCTTAGTAAGGCCTGTTTGCAAGGTTGGTCCTTGGCTGGTGTCTGGGGACTTGGATTTTGGGAGGGTTTCCATCACCCTGATAAGAGTGGCTCACTCTGCTTAAGCTGTGTAAACAATAGGGTTTACACTGAATACCTGCTTTCCTCCTTGGGGTCTGGAATTTTGCTGTGTACCAGGTGGAGGGTGCCTGTGTGACCAGCTCCCACTAAAAACCCTGGGTACTGAATCTCTAATAAGCTTCCCTAGTAGACATTTCACACAAGTTGTCAAAACTCATTTGCTAGAGGAATTAAGCATGACCTGTGTGATTTCAGTGAAAGAGGACTGGAAGCTTGCACATGGTTTCCTCCAGACTTGGCCCCAATGAGCCTTTTCCCGTTACTGACTTTGCTCTGTATCCTTTTGCTATAATAAATCACATCCGCAAGCGTTTCTATGTACTGAGTTCTGCCAGTGAATCAACAAACCTAGGCCGGTTTTGAGGACCTCTGTCACAATTGGTATAGTGTTGAATAGTCTACCAAACGTTTTTTTCAACAGTCTTGTGAAATAGGTATTATTATTCCCATTCTATCGATGAAGAAACTGAAGTTCAAAAAGGTGAACAGAGAGTGTGCCCAGAAAATAAATATTTCCGTGTTTACTATATTATATATTGCTGTTCTCAAATTTTAGTGAACCTAAGAACCACTTGGAATGCTTGTTAAAAACAGTTTCTTGGAGTCTGTCACCCAAGACTTGGATTCAGTAAGTTCAAGGCCCAGGAATCTGTATTTATAGTAAGCATACAGGATTATTATTATTTGAGATGGAGTTTTGCTCTTGTTGCCCAGGCTGGAGTGCAATGGCACGATCTCGGCTCAGTGCAACCTCTGCCTCCCAGGTTCAAGTGATTCTCCCGCCTCAGCCTCTCAAGTAGCTGGGATTACAGGCCTGTGCTACCACTCCTGGCTAATTTTGTAGCCCAGTCTGAAATGCATAAGCTTCTTGGTGGCTGCTTCCTAAACTGATCATTCTTCATCTGTTATTACTGACTCAGACTGTGTTACCAATTCAGCTCAAAACAATTAAACAAGTATTAATTGAACATCTACTGTTTACCTGATGCTGTGCTAACTGCAAGATCATTTTCAAGAACACTTCTGATTTTTCCAAGAATACCTTGGTAAAGAGAAAGGGACTAGGAAAACATTGCCACATTAATACTTTATGACAACATATAATAGAGACGTCTAAAAAACAAATGATGATATCTGCTTGAACAGCAATATCATCAACATCACCAATCCTCCCATATTCCATTAAATACATATGGCACAAGAAATCAATGATTTCTACTTCACAAATACAGGTTAACCTTCTAAATCTGGAAATCCACGGTCCATTATCATTTATAAATCACATCTTCTATTATCAAGAAGTCAGCCGACCCAGTAATCCGTCCATACACTGCAATAATTGAGGGGCTGTCTGCCAATGTGTGGGCATAGGGCATCCTGTGCCCATATCTGCAGTGCTGAGCACTCATTCATCATTAAGCTGCAGCAGTGTTAACATATGCTGCAGTTGTGCCAGTATGTTTTGTTTTACGATCACCGCTAATCTACCCTTATACCAGGCCAAGAAGGTAAATGTTAAGTGAAAGGAAATAAACTCGAGAGCCAGCACCTAATTCATTTGTGGAAGCCCAGAACCTCCCTCCACCTAACCAGAAAAACTCCCCCAGTCTCGAGGGTTCCAGATGTAAAAGGTTCATCTGTATAAAGCACTACAGATGTACAGGAAATTCCACCACCTTGAAGAAAAAAATAGTATTTTTTTTTTATATCCCATGCATTCACCCTCTTTGAGAGAACTGAATAACCATGTTAGACAAGCAATGAGCCTTGATTTTTTCCATCACTCAACAAACCAGTATTTGATTTCACTCAGTGGGCTAGTTCTTTGCACATCATGCAGACACAGCAAGGTTAGTTATGGTTCTTTCAGGGGCCACTGGCCATCCTTTACCTCCTAGAACCCACTGCTCAGCAGGTGGTAAACTGGCAGCTTTTTGAAAAAACAAGCTCTTTTGAACAGTTGCATCAATATAAAAATGGCCAGCTTCACCTGCCCAAATCTCAATTCAGCTAAAAGTTAATTAGGAACACTGGAAACTACCTGGTATATAGGCACTCAATATTACTCACTAAATGGCTGAATTATTAGCAATAAGCATAAACAAAAGGAACAAACAGTAAACACTTACAGAAAGTATTCAGGACACATTCAGAGTTTTATGTTGCTTAGTCACTAAAAGGTAGATCAGGAAAAAAGAAGACAAAACCTGCTTTCACTTGTGTAAAGATTTATTTCAAGTTACAGTGGTTCATTTCTAAATAAGTTTCCCACCTTGCGTGGGGTCAGCCTAGCATCTATTTGCAAAAGAGCAGTTTGCCATGCGTAGGTCAGATGAAAGGAGACAAATGCAAGAAACTCCTTTTTAACTGACATCCAAACAACCAGAAAATAACTGATATTGTACAATCTATTTTTAGTAGAAAGAAAAATGACAAGTATGTAATAGTAACTTATTCACAAAGATCAAATTTCATGGTATGTCACAAATGTATTCAATGCAATGCAGTTACCATGCCCTCTATATCTATAGTTGTGTATGTAATGATAATTACAGCTCAGGAAGACAGGAACCTTGTCTGTCTTGCTCATCTACGACCCCAGGATTGACTGCAGTGCCCAGCACATAGTAGGTGCTCAGTGAATATTTGCTGAATGATAATTGCTCTGCAAAACCATACAATGCCTTAATCATCTAAGAAAGAGGCCAGGCATGCTGGCTCTTGCCTGTAATTCCAGCACTTTGGGAGGCCGAGGTAGGGAAATCGCCTGAGGTCAAGAGCTCGAGACTAGCCTGGCCAACATGGTGAAACCCCGTTTCTACTAAAAAATACAAAAAATTAGCCAGGCGTGGTGGCAGGCGCCTGTAATCCCAGCTACTAGGGGGGCTGAGGCAGGAGAATCGCTTGAACTCGTGAGGCGGAGGTTGCAGTGAGCCAAGATCGTGCCATTGCACTCCAGCCTGGATGACAAGAGTAAGACTCTGTCTCAAAAAAAATAACAATAAAAATAAAAATAAATAAAAGAAGGGGATATTTTGTGGCCGGGCTCATGCAGATGGCAGATCCTGGGACTTCTCAGCCTCTGTAACTGCATGATCCAATTCCCATAATAAATCTCAAAAAAAAGGAAAAAAAAAAAGATTATACTATGGTCAGTATAGCTTTCGGCATTAGATGTATTTATTCTAATTCTTAGAATACTAGTAATGTATACGGTATACCCCAACTAACAAGAACTCATTCTTTGCTCATTCTGCATAAGAGCGGGTTTACAATAATCACTATCTGTAAGTAAAGGTTATTATTTATGGGATACATACAAAAGTTGTTCTTTCAAAAAATATTTTACTGAACACCTACTAGGGACCAGGCACTGTGCTAGGAGCTAAGAACACACTGTGAACTGTCCCTGTCTAGGACAGCCTTTCTCAATTAGGGTTCCTTCACTCCAGCTGCGCAGGAAAATGTTAATTTATTACTAACAATGCATGTCCTAGGGCATCAGTGCCAATTCTCTCCATGTTGAGAAAGACTAGGGAGCCATACAAGTTAAAAGGCAATTATAACACAATATGATTTAAAAAAAAAAAGTTGCTTTTAAGTATGGTCAAGTTCAACTGCTAAACCTAGACCTCTATGAACAGCCATGTGGGAGCCGAGATACACAGACCATTTGTAATAGTTGTGCAAATGTAAAAATATTGCAATACATACATACAGATATATTTCTAAACACAGTAAAATAAAATCAATATTTTCCCGCTCGTCAATGTCAGGCCAGGATTATTAGTAAAGTGAAACAGAAAAAAAAAAATGTTTAATTACTCTGATAGTTTAAAGGGGAAACTAAAAACCTTCTTGCTCCTGGGGAAAAAACAAAGCAATTACCTGAACTATTTTCTTAATTGCCTCCATATATTGCTTCATTAGACTAGCCTTGCCTTGGACTCAAAGCAATAAATTAGCTACCTATTTCATTAATTCTTATTTTGTATTTTTTAGTCTTATTTTAAATTTCCATTCTTCCTTATGCAGTCTAATTTCTTCCTAGTCCTGGGCATCTTCTGTGTGATATTATGATTATATGCTACATGCTTTATGAAACCAAAGCAGTTTAAGGGCTTCTAGAATCAGAGATTTAAATGTACTCCAGTATTTCACACTCACAATTAAGCTTTCATGTATCAAAGGTCTAGAAATGCATACCTGTTAACTATCACTGACAAGCTAAACTGACAGCATCCTCTTGACCAAGCCCCCAACCTACTTTATCAAGAAATCTCTTATTTTGAATCTTTAGTATAAAATAATTTCATAAGCCAAAAAGAGGGGGGAATTGTTTTTAGACTTTCAATAAATCTTTAAACCCAAGAGAACACGTTACTATAGTCACTAGGAATTGCATTAAGAATAAAACAAGACAGGATAACATAAAAGTCCATGACCCTTAAATCTCAACTAGTCCAGACTTCTGATTAAATATGCCTTTGAAGAAAATAAATTGTACAGACAGAGTTATTATTACTTATTTACTGTATTTATGGAGATGTTGACTTGAGAACAGGTGGTGCTTTTATTGCACTCAGAGACATCCAACTCTTAAATCCTTTAGGACACCCTCTACATGCCTCAACCCTAAAATGCTATACACCAAATCCACCAATTTCTTTCCACCTCAAAACTGTCAAAAGGAAAGTCATAATTCATCAGAAAGAAAGGAACACAGTTATTAATGGCAAAGAAGTCAAGACCATGTATTTAAAAAAATACAATGAATCACTATTTTCTTTTAGCTTGAAATTGGAAAACTCGAAAAATAAATGGCATTTCAAAAATGATTCAGCAAACACAACTGAGCTATAGAAGATGATGCTTGTAAGAATCCTAAGGGATTCTTCCACGTCAGGTTTAAAATATAAAGGAAGCACTTCTCTAATATGTAGTCTAGTTTTCAATAACCAACAACTACAATCAACACCACTGTAATTTATTTCACAATCAAAACCAATATCAGACACGTACAGGTACACTAAAAAAACAACTCATTTTGAAAGGAATTCATAGCTCTATTTCTAAAATATTAAAACAATCATAAGACAACTCACAACCTTGACTACATCTATACTGCTGTGAAAGTCTCAAAGTTCCACTCAAATCTTTAATTCTAGTCTTCTAGTAATTCAAATGGAAGTACCCCTCAAAGAATTTGTCAGGCAAAAGAGGAGAACAGCGCATGGTTTACTGATCTAAGAGATGGAAAAATTGCCCCCCTCCCCCAAATTTTGAAGCCGTTTTTTAGCAATGATTATTTGATAGTAATTTTCACATTCAGTCCAACGGTATGCAGATTAATTCCTTGCCCTGGGCCTAGGGCTCAGACACAACTCCTAAGAACCTTCCAGCTTACCGCACTGGTACAAATTCCTGATACTTACCACAGTCATGGCTGCGCAGGAAAATGTGAACAGCTGAATATTCCAGCTGCAACAATAAGGTCAAAGCTCATTTCAGTATTAGCAAAAGTGATTCTCTGCTGAGATCTTGGTCGGGGATGCAAAGTACTAGCCTCAAACCTGCAGGCTGGCACCTCAACAACTGCTGCAAATTCTACTGCATGCCCTGGCTTCCTGGGCCAGCACTGCTTAATTACTAGACTCTGATACGATGCAGATCACTTTTCGCAAAAGGGAAGCAATGGGCTTTTAGACCAATACTTGAGTTGTTCGGTTTCAAATGTTCAAATCCTTAAAAAAAAAAAAAAAGGATTTCAACAACTTAAGTTTAATGATTTTATTATGATTCAGAGCCCAGTTGTTTTCCACCATAAGAGTGCCACGTGAAAAGATTATCCTTTTCCTAAATACAATTAGCTTTCATTGCCACCTTTCCCTTTTTGTCACCCCCACGCAACACTCCAAGATCACAAGAATCTATGTGAAACAGCTATTAAGAACAATACCCGCTTGCATTCTCAGGCTAAATGTGAGAAACCAATTTTAGTCACTTGCTTCAGCAAAGCTATCAGTACAAGCCATCACCTACGGATTTCAAGATGATTGATATGTACAACCTCTACTGCTCTATGCCACAGGTAATAATCTGTTCCAATTTCATACTGCATGTTCCTGGGTGGGGTCAACATTTAGAAAACCATTAACACAGCACTATTCTAAAAAGGGATGTGCAAGTATTACTTTTAGCCAGTGTACACTTGTGAAAGTTTCAAATGAAGGAAAAATGAGAGCAAATATATCCGATGTATGAAAAATGTTAGCAACGTTTTGATTAGGAATAATTGCATGAATAAAACCAAATCGACATGTTCTCAAAAGATATATTTTAAGGCAGGTAGAGGAAAGCACTCAGCTTTCAACCCTTTTTCCTAACTACAGAAAAATCAAAATTTGCAGATGAACCCTTTCTTCCACATCATTGGCAGAAATAAAATCCTATTCCCGCCACCACCTCTTGCAATTAAGGAAGTTGCTACAAATAGCAGCACGGAACGTAAATGGTCCTGTTTCGCTCCATTCTTAATGTACCCTCTAGGAGTAAACAGGTTACTCAAAAAAGTCAGTAGCCAGAAAGCGATTTTCCCTATGGCTAACTCCCATGAAAATGAAATTCCCTTTTCTGGGGATTCTGAAGGGGGTAAACGTGGACGGAGGAGTCCAGTCACAGTCCGCCTTCTCCCATGGGTTCAAGGTCTGGAGTGCTCAGTCCTCCGCGAGGCTTCAGACCAGAGATCGGCAGCACGGGCAGTGGCGGCGCAGCCTCCTCGCGGCTGCACATCCACCCGGCCCACCCTGACAATCACGCTCGCCTTTCAAACACCCTAAAGGTGAGCTTTGTAGGCTGGGTCTCCAAAGTTTGCCCGGCCTCCGGTCAGAAGCCGCCCGCTGGCTGAGCCCTAGGCAAGGCTGAGTCTTGCCCTAGTCTCCGGCTCCCTCAGCCCCCAGCTCTTCTTTTGGGCCACCGTGACAGGTCTAGGTTTACCTCCATGTGCTCGTGGCAGAGGAAACAAAAGAAAGCAACCTCCCTGAGAATAAAACGCCATCTTCGACTAATTGGCAAACTGAGGGGTCCCCGGGTCGGTCCCCCCACGAGTCCCCCCCACCACCCAGCCCGAAGGCGGCCCCCAGTTTCAGGCAGAGTTTGTAACAGCTCCGGGAAGCCCTGGTCGAATTGTCCTGGGGGCGAGGGTGGGATACCCCGAGAGCCCTACCTGCCTCCCCTCCCCGGCCGCCTGGGCACCGTGTTTCGGTGAAAAGGAAGAAGAGGGGTGGTGGTGTCTCCCAGAGACGTAACTGCCCCCTCAGAAAATTGTTGTGAGGGACCCGGCGAAGGGGCTGGCGAGCAAGCAAACCGGCACGCGCGGAGCCGCAGCGAGTGTACTTACAAAACGATTCAAGCTCCGGCGGAACATCGCGTCGAAGGCTGCCGGGCGCTGAGCTGGGCTCTACCGGGCTGTCTGGGAAGGCGCCGTCCACAAAACACACTGCGGCGTGGGCCGGCGGCGCCAAGCGGAGCAGCGAGGCGGGCGGCCGGGCCACCCGCTCGCCGCCTGCCCCCCTCGGCTCTCCGCGCTCCCCCGCCCCCCAGCCGCCCGCAGCCTAGCCGCCGCCCCGCCTCACTCGCGGCCCGCCCCCGGCCTGCCTGACCCGGGGGCGGCGGCCCCGCGGATCGCCCTTATCTGGCCCCGGCACCCCGGGCCGGCAGCTCGCGCAGCACCCACTGAGAAGGCGAGCCCGCCGCGCGGGGGAAGGATGGCGGAGGAGCGCGAGGCTCCTCCTGTGGGGAGGGGGCGCCCCCGTCTCTCCGCCAGCGCCGGGCTCGGCACCCCGCGGGATGCGCTCTTCCCCGACGCGGCACCACCGCCCGCCTCCCCGCTGGACTCCGCGGCCGCCCCCCTCGGGGCACGGGGAACCCTCCCGAGGCACCCCGCGCCTCACCTCGCCTCAGCCCGACACTACTCCCCTGTCTCTGTCGGGAGCCACAGCCTCCCTCGCCCCGGCCCTAACTCGTCCGCCGTGCCGCGCCGCGCCGTTTCGCTCGCAGCCCCTCCTCGGTCCGCGGCTGCCGCGCCGCCCCGCGCTCTGGTCCCGCACTCGGGCCAGGGAGCCTGGGTACAGCCAACCGGCCCGCCCTGAGCCAGCCGACGGCCAGACTCCCTCTTCCGGGCGTGGTGGAGCCGGGCTCTGAGGCAGGGCACCGTGAAGACCCCAGCGCGGGAGGGGCGGGGCGGGGTGCGAGGGGGGACTAGTTCTGAAAGCCCACCCTCCTCATCTGCACCGACGAGGGTTCCCCCTCGACCCTCGCGCCGCTGTACTCCCACCTACGCGGCTTTCCCTCCTCTCAGTCTTTCTCTCGTCCTGCCTGCCCACCTAAGCCTTCTTACTTCCACTTTCTCTGAGGTTGTAAAGTCAGGCTTTGTGTCGTTGCTGCTGCGCAGCGGGGCGGGATTTCCCTGACCCCCACCCCGCCCCACCCAGGCCCCTCCCGCTCGCCCCCTCCCCCTCCTTGCTCCCGGGGCAGCCTGGGAGTTGTAGTCCAACCGTCCCCCTACTTCGCCTGGTACCGCGGGCTGGGAGCTCCCCCACACGCTAGTCCCGGGTTTGCCCAGAGGGTTGAAGAAGGAAGCGCGGGCTGAACAGCGGGTTCTCCACGCCGGCCGGCTGGGTGTGGAGGCCGGGCGCACTCGGTAGCCTTCCTAGCGGTGGGACATGTGAGAAGGCTAAATTAGGCAAAGCTCCGAATCCTGGGAGCTTTCCCTGGAACGCAAAATGTGCGCATCAGGAAACCCTCTACACCCTCGGCCCCCAGCTTAGAGCTGGAATTTGCGAAACTTTAAAAATTACAAAAGAAAAGCGAGTCCAGAATTGCCACGAGGCTGGGCATCCCTCCCAACTACCACAACCCCACCCCTTTTCACCGCCCCTTAAGGCGGGGCCCAAGGCTGTTGGAGAAGAACTTGCAGATTCTTCTATAAAAGTCAAAAAGAAGGAAAGGGAGTTCAGAGACTCTTACACGAGTCTTCCGCCTCGCCGCGTTCTCCTGCCAGTTTAGAGCTGGGGACAGGGCCCAGCCACACCACAGGCCTTCCCAAAGGTCGCGAATAGGCCTTTACTACTAGGCATAGGCGCTTCTCCTTTACCCTCCGGAGTTCGGATTCATTTCAACAAACCTTTGCTGGGAATTTTCTTTGTACCAGGCACTGTGCCAGGGCTGGACACAGCGATTTCTTAAAAGACCTCCCCAACAGGGTGGTCGCAATCTGGTTGGGGGATACAAACAAGCGAAAATGCCACGTTAGAATTTAATAATAGCTAGAGTTCAAAGTGCTAGAGAAATAGGGGAGAGCGACATTGCATCTGAAAATGGGGTTTGGGAAGTTTTCCTAAAAGCCCTGGAGATTAAACTAGCCCTTGAAACGTGGGAAGGCTTTAGAGGGACCTGACTGAGCCCAAGGGGACAAAGTCCAGGGTAGAGGGAGAGGTCGGTGAAAAAGCGCAGGACAAACTAAGAAAGAGATCACGCTGTAGTGGCAGACGCCCAGGACGTGTAGGTAAGGGCGGCTCGAACGAAAGCTAAAATCTAAAACTCTTCAAAAACATGTTACGAAGTTTGAACTTCATTCTGCGATCAACGAGAAGCCCATCTCCCAATAAAATGCAAATGCAGGAGACCTAAGGTTTGTTCCCAAACTGTCCTAACTGCCAAGAAGTAAAACCAACCGTTTTCAATTCTTCCCCTCTTATGATTCCTTCTCTGCTCACAGTTGAGCCTGTATCTAATGATTTTTAAGATTTATGTTAAATTTATATTTATATTAATCAGATATTATGATATTTTATTGACAAAAGAGATCTAAAGTTTTGCTCTCTACTGCTTTAAAGATTTTCAAATAGAGTTATTTTCTAGCTTTCTAGCTTTACCTTTTTTTTTTTTTTTTTTTTGAGACAGTCTCACTCTGTCACCCAGGCTGGAGTGCAGTGGCGCGATCTTGGCTCACTGCAGCCTCTGCCTCCTGGGTTCAAGTGATTCTCGTGCCTCAGCCTCCCAAGTAGCTGGGATTACAGATGCCTGCCACCACACCCGGCTAATTTTTGTATTTTTAGTAGAGACGGGGTTTCACCATCTTGCCCAGGTCTCGATCTCCTGACCTCAGGTGATCCACCCGCCTCGGCCTCCCAAAGTGCTAGGATTACAGGCGTGAGCCACCATGCCCGGCCTCTAGCTTTACTTTTATTGAACACAGCAAATACTGTAATTTCTTCACTAGTTTATTTGTTGAACGACTGCTATGTGGCAGACATTATTCTAGATACTGGAATTGGGAGGTGGAGGAGGTTATTGTCTTTAGTTCTAGGTATAAGTCTAGAATTCTTACCAAAATACATCCTTATCAATAAAATAATAAACTAATTTAGACATTTGGGGATACAAGTGCTTGCTAGTGAATAGTAAATAATATCGTTCCAAATTCAATTCTGTTAAACAAGTGGAAAAAATGTACTTTGCTTATAGATTCAAACAGATCAACTTTAAAAAATATTAGAGACCTGAAATTTTTTTTTGTTTGCATTATGCTCTCATACATACCCATTGTCATGTTACTGCAGCCTAATCACAGGAATTTTAAGATTCCTCAAGATATAGCAGTATTGGGCCAGGCGCGGTGGCTCACACCTGTAATCCCAGCACTTTGGGAGGCCAAGGTGAGTGGATCACCTGAGGTCAGGAGTTCGAGACCAGCCTGGGCAACATGGTGAAACCCTGTATCTACTGAAAATACAAAAATTATCCAGGTGTGGTGGCGGATGCCTGTAGTCCCAGCTACTCAGGAGGCTAAGACAGGACAATTGAATCGCTTGAACCTGGGAGGTGTAGGTTGCAGTGAGCCGAGATCGCACCACTGCACTCCAGCCTGGGTGACAAGAGCAAAACTCCATCCCCACCCCCCAAAAAAGATATAGCAGTATTGTTGATTTTTATTTGTTATAATTCTGCTATTTATTCTCTCAATTTATTTCAATACGCCACCTATACTCATGGGTCCAGTCTAATTTGCTCAACTATAAAAATGCAATTCCAGGCATTTTTATGGGATTTTTATTCCAGGTATTTTTATGGGAGGCCGAGGCAGGCAGATTACCTGAAGTCAGGAGTTTGAAACCAGCCTGAACAACATAGCGAAACCCTGTCTCTACTAAAAATACAAAAATTAGCTGGGCGTGGTGGCACGCACCTGTAATCCCAGCTACTCGGGATCGGGAGGCTGAGGCAGGAGAATCACTCGAACCCGGGAGGTGGAGGTTGCAGTGAGCCAAGATCGCGCCAGTACACTCAAGCCTGGGCAACAGAGCGAGACTCCGTCTCAAAAAAAAAAAAATGCAATTCTGGGGGCAGGATGGCTCACACCTGTTATCCCAGCACTTTGGAAGGCGAAGGTAGGAGAATCGCTTGAGTCCAGGAGTTTGAGTCCAGCCTGGGCAACATAGCAAGACCTCATCTTTATTTTTTTTTAATGCAATTCCATACAAATCAAAATATACTCAGCAAAACATGAAATTATGCAAGGTGATTTTTTCTGTATCCAAACTCAACCTGAAATTAGAGCTACTCTCACACACATCCTTCAGAGTCACTCCTTTGTGAGTTTTTTTAAGACAAGAAAAAAGATTTTGGTTCTTTTTAGTGCCTCCTCACAGTTTCCAAAGAAAACCCAGGTGTTGTAGAAAGCTGTTGTCTGTGACTATGTAAAGTAGGCCCTCAGCCAGCATTTTCATTGGGACAACTCCATTGAACAGAACTGCAAAAATGAACTTCCTCCTGCCTAAACTGTCAGAACCCCTGAAACATAACACCACCTCTTCTGGTGGATCAGCTAACTGCAACAGAAAGAAGCCCCACAGGTAGGAATTCAGAGGAAACAGTCTTGTTTCTGTCCTTATTACCAACTTGACTAGATAATGCTTGCTACCTGAGGGAGAGAAGGGAAGGAGTGCTTTCTCAATCCTTTCAGTTCTGTTGCACCATTTCTGTACTAATTACCCAGGAGCTCTTCTTCCCTATTGTCCCCACCCCCAATCTTCCATACCTTCTACCTCAACCCCTCAGAAATCTCACCATGGCAAGTGAGCAAAACAACCACTAGAGCATAGGATGTAGGCCACACCTGTGACGAAGGAGCGCAAACTGCTTCTGGGATCTGTGGGTCGGTCAGCAATTCAAGTAATCTGGCAGGAGGGGAGCGGTGCGAAGGAGTCACTTCCATCTAATACCAAAAAAAGAAAAAAGAAGAAAGAAAAAATTGAGGCTGTTGTATTAGCATCTAAATCACCCCATCATTAGCAAATCGAAGGAATTCAACTGTCTGTCTGAGCTTCCAAACATATCTGGTAAGACTATCTTTTGCCCATTTGAAATTTATTTCCCCCTTTCAAGGCTAGCCTTGATGTTTATTTATGATCAGTTTTACCTGTATCTTCCTTTTGGGCCCCTCCAATTCATTCTGTACACTGCAACCACAGAAATCTATGGCAAGCAAGTCAGATCAAATCACTCCCCTGCTTAGGACTTTTCAGTAGCTTCCCACTCTCTTAGCATAAGTTCAAAATCCTGCCTTAACATCACCAACAAGAACCCTGAATTCTCTGACCTCTGCCTTCCCTCTCTAACCTCAGGTAGACGACTTTTCCTCTCACCAGGCTCTATCCCACGCGTCTGCTTACGTTCCTTGAGTTCCCAAAGCTCCTTCTTTCTTGACAGCTTTTGCACAGGCAACAGTCTCTGCTGGAACGCTTTCACCCACCGTTGCTATTCATCCTTCAGCTCTCAGCTTAAATGTCACTTCCTCAGATGACATCAGGGCTCCCTGTTATTGCCCTCCAAATAGCCCATATTAATTACATCCTAGGGTACTGACAGATGAGGTTAGTAATCATGGAGAATGGCAGAAGTCCAAAGGGACTGAGTGATTATCTAATATTGTCTTGTTTTTCAAAAAGAGGAAGAAGATATATTCTAGTAATCATAATATTGAAGGCAGGTAAGGTTCTATAACTGACCATTAAAAGGATAGTTTTGTTTTTTTAAAAATCACCGTGGAAGGGAAGAGGCAATCGCTAGGAGCCACAATAAGTTCACTGAGGTGAAGTTTGGCCTTCAAGATTCTGTAGAAATTACTTCTTTTTTTTTTTCGAGGCCAAGTCTCACTCTCTCGCCCAGGCTGGAATGCAGTTGCACGATCGTGGCTCACTGCAACCTCCGCCTCCCGGGTTCAAGCAATTCTCCTGCTTCAGCCTCCTGAGTAGCTGGGATTATAGGCACCCACCACCACGCCCTACTAAGTTTTGTATTTTTAGTAGAGACGGGCTTTCGCCATGTTGGCCAGGCTGGTCTCGAACTCCTGACCTCAAGTGATCCACCTGCCTCAGCCTCCCAAAGTGCTGGGATTACAGGCGTGAGCCACCACACCTGGCCAAGAAATTTCTAATTCAGAATTTAACATCCTACAAAACTATATTGAGAGGATAGAGAAGAGGTTAGAAAGATATGGCATAAAAAGACTAAATCTTCATGATTGTAATCCCAGCACTTTGGGAGGCCAAGGCAGGTGAATCATGAGGTCAGGAGTTCAAGACCAGCCTGGCCAAGATGGTGAAACCCCGTCTCTACTAAAAATACAAAAATTAGGGCGTGGTGGCGGGTGCCTGTAATCCCAGCTACTTGGGAGGCTGAGGCAGAGAATTGCTTGAACCCAGGAGGCAGAGGTTGCAGTGGACCAAGATCTTGCCACTGCACTCCAGCCTGGGCAAGAGAACAAGACTCCTTCTCAAAAAAAAAAAAAAAAGACTAAATCTTTATCCCCAATAATAAGAAGTTATTGGTTATTGTCCAGATATATTAATATAATTATTGTATTTAGAAATGAGGAGGTAAATAGAAGAAACAACTGAAATAACAAAAACAACTTGCCTTTGGGAACACAAATCTAGAGTAGGGAAGAACGGGATAAAGGACGTTTTTTTCTTTATAAGCCTTGTAACTGTTCTACTTTTTAAACTGTGTACACACGTTATTTTCATAAAAATTAGTTTAAAATACAAATAGCATTTGGACACAAAAACAGGGAGTAGGAGAGCATTATAGCCAAGGAAATGGCAAAGATGTGGAAGTGAAAAAATACTTCAGTAAATAGTAAGTAGACCTGTCTAGAAAAGCAACGGTCCATACTGAGGAGTGTGTGAAAGGAAAATAAGTCTTGGGGCCCCAAAATTGCTCAAGCTGGGAACTGCTTAGGGCAAACCTGCCTCCCATTCTATTCAAAGTCACCCCTCTGCTCCCTGAGATAAATGCATATCTGATCGCCTCATTTGGAGAAGCTAGTCAGAAGCTCAAAAGAATGCAACCATTTGTCTAGTATCTACCTATGACCTGGAAGCCCCCTCCCCACTTCGAGTTTTCCCACCTTTCCGGACTGAACCATTGTACATATTACACATATTGACTGATGTCTCGTGTCACCCTAAAGTGTATAAAAGCTGTGCCCCTACCACCTTGGGCACATGTCATCAGGACCTCCTGAGGCTGTGTCACGGGCACGTGTCCTCCACCTTGGCAAAATAAACTTTCTAAATTAACTGAGACCTGTCTCAGATTTTTGGGGGTTACAAGTAGTAGATGGTATAAAATTTTAACTTTGATTCTCAGTAAGCCACTGGAATATGCATTCTACCAAATGAGAGAATAAACTAAGAGAGAGGAAGACATGGAATCCAGAAAATGGGATGAACATGAAAGAGAGGAGTAGGGAATTCCCCAGATGATAATGAATGAAAATTCAAGGTAGACAGCTGTGTAGCACACCTAGAGAGGTCAGAGGGGAGTAGGAAGATAGAGGAATCAAGAAGGGATGTCTTTAGAGAAAATAGAAAAACAACTGATACATTACTCAATGTGTTTGACCATGTGGAGAATAGTATTCAGAAAGGTTTTACAGTATTGTGGGAAAATTAGTGAAACCTTAGTGATAAACACATAGAAAGTAAAGCAAACTAAGTAACGAAAACCAAGGCAGCTGTTAATGCTAAGAAAAAGAAACAGTTGCTCAAGAAAGTAAATGAGTTATGATAAAATACTCCCTGACTCCACAGTGACAGACATTCACATAGTCATAGCAATCAAAACACTATATTCTTGGTTTACAAAATTAAAACTTTTTTGTAGGATAAAGGGAGAACAAGTTGGAGGGAGCTTTGTTGTAAGAGATCTAAGTCTTTGTTTTCCATAATACAAAGAAAATAAGTAGTATCTACAAATTGAAAGATTAAGAAATATCCATATAAGTACATTATATAGAAATATGGGGCCGGGCGCAGTGGCTCGCCTGTAATCCCAGCATGTTGGAACACCAAAGTGGGCAGATTGCCTGAGCTCAGGAGTTTGAGACCAGTCTGGGCAACATGGTGAGACCCTATTTCTACTAAAAATACAAAAAAAGCCAGGCGCGGTTGTTCACGCCTGTAATCCCAGCACTTTGGG
Organism: Homo sapiens; assembly: GCF_000001405.40. Classification (NCBI taxonomy): domain Eukaryota; kingdom Metazoa; phylum Chordata; class Mammalia; order Primates; family Hominidae; genus Homo; species Homo sapiens. The sequence goes on from NC_000023.11 coordinate 139,940,163, forward strand.
AGTCCAAGATGGGTGGATCACTTGAGGTCAGGAGTTTGAAACCAGCCTGACCAACATGGTGAAAACCTGTCTCTACTAAAAAAAAAAAACAAAAAAACCTACAAAAATTAGCCGGGCATGTTAGTGCGCGCCTGAAGTCCCAGATACTTGGGAGGCTGAGGCAGGAGAATCCCTTGAACCCAGGAGGCAGAAACTGCAATGAGCCAAGATCACACCACTGCACTCCAGCCTGGGCGACAGAGCGAGACTCTGTCAAAAAAAAAAAAGAAAAAAAAATTAGCCTGGCCGGGTGCACAGTGGCTCACGCCTGTAATCCTAGCACTTAGGAGGCCGGGGCATGTGGATAGCATGAGGTCAGGAATCAGAGACCAGCCTGACCAACGTGGCGAAACCCCGTCTCTACTAAAAATACAAAAATTAGCTAGGCGTGGTGGTGGGCACCTGTAATCCCAGCTACTTGGGAGGCCGAGGCAGGAGGATCTCTTGAGCCCAGGAGGCGTATGTTGCAGTGAGCTGAGATCGTGCCACTGCACTCCAGCCTGGGTGACAAAACAAGACTCTGCCTCCAAAAAAAAGAAAAAGAAAAAAGAAAAACCACGAGAAGAAATATGGAAGTTAATACTAGAAGAAACAGTTAAAACTATTAAAAGTGGTTTCTCTAGTAGTGCAGATCAGAAGTTGGGAGAGATAGAGTAGGCATCTGCTCTTTTTCGTTTCTCTTTTCTTTGCTTTGCTTTTTTTTTTATTTTTTTTTTTGAGATGGAGTCTCACTCTGTCGCCCAGGCTGGAGTGCAATGCCAGGATCTCGGCTCACTGCGACCTCCACCTCCCAGGTTCAAGCGATTCTCCTGCCTCAGCCTCCCGAGTAGCTGGGATTACAGGCATGCACCACCATACCCAGCTAAATTTTTTTTGTATTTTTAGTAGAGACAGGGTCTCTCCATGTTGGACAGGCTAGTCTCGAACTCCTGGCCTCAAGTGATCTGCCCACCTGGGCCTCCCAAAATCCTGGGATTACAGGCGTGAGCCACCTCTCCTGGCCACATGCTCTTTTTCTTTATAAGCCATTTAAATATATTTAACTTTTTACTATGAATATGCATTACTTTCAATAAATAAAAATTAATAAATGAGAATAAATGGCATTTTGAATGGGCAGAAGGGAAGGAGAATATTTCAGCCAAGAGAAACAGCAAAGACATGAAACAGAAAAAACTAAGTAGACCTCCCTAGGGAAGCGAGAGTCCACATTGAGGAGTAGTCAAAGGTAATTTTAATAGCTGTCATTTATTTAGTACTTGCTATGTGCAGACACTGTGCTAGTCACTTTGTACACACTATATCACTCATTTACTCACTAACCCAATAAGGGAAGTACTACTATTATCTTCCATCTTATAGGTAAAGAAACTGAGAGGTTATGGAACAAAACTCAAAGTTGTGCTCAAAGTCACAGCTAGAAAGTAGCAGAGCAAAGTGCTGGATGTGGTTGCTCATGCCTGTAATCCCAGCACTTTGGGAGGCCCAGGCAGGCGGATCAGCTGAGGTCAGGAGTTCAAGACCAGCCTGGCCAACATGGTGAAACCCTGTCTCTACTAAAAATACAAAAATTAGCTGGGCATAGTGGCATGCCCCTGTAATCACAGCTCCTTGGGAAGCTGAGGCAGGAGAATTCCTTGAACCCATGAGGTAGAGGTTGCAGTGAGCCGAGATCACACCACTGCACTCCAGCCAGGGTGACAGAGAGAGACTCCATCTCAAAAAAAAAAAAAAGACAACAAATCCATACTCTCAGCCACTATGTTTTGAGGCATAATTGACAAGATTTAATCACTGAAATAATTTATAGAACAGAGAGGGATGAATCCAAAATAACTCTAAGAAATTAAAGCTTACTAGGAAAATGATGTTCATTCATTTATTCATTTTAACAAATATTTACTGAATATCGACTACATCCGAGTAATTTGGTGGAAATATAGCAATGAATGTGAGAAATATGATACGATCCCTGCTCTCATAGAGCTTATTGTCTGTCATCCATAGGAAAATCACTCAGGGGAACCTCAGTGGAGAAAATTATGAGTTCATTTTTAACTATGTTGAAGTAATAATAGGGTGTTCAAATAAAAAATGCACAGTATGCATGGAAAATGTGGTGTTACAGCTTAGTATAAGATGCTCTAAACCTCAAAAATCTATTCCTGGTCAAGGGAAATCAGAATTCAGAAAAGCTATTTCATTTAATGCTTCAGAAATTCTGCATGAGCTTTAAAAGCACAGTTTCAGTGTTAGCTGGGCTGGAAGCCAGATTGCAGGAGTTTATAGGTATAAACTGTTAATTTGCAAAGCTTGATGGTGGAAGAAAGAAAAAAAGGTCGTACAATAGCTTAGGAGGGCTGTCAGCAGGGTTAAACAACTTTTCTTTTCCAAACTAGAGGAGACCTACACGTGTTTAAAAGTAGAAAAGGAAAGATTCTGTAGAAAGGAGAAGCTAAAGAAGATAATTGAGGAAGCTAGGTGTGAAATGAGGTAGAAAGGGATGAACTAGAGAACACACGGCTCAGATTTGAGAGAGGAGGAGGGGGTGCTCTTCCTTAAGACTATAAAGAAGGCTGAGAGAAGAAAAAGCAAATCAAGTGGTCTTAGGTGAAGAAAATGCATGTGAGTATGTGGTCTCTATCTTTTGAGCAAAGCTTAGTTTTTATGAGAATGGGCAATCGGGAAAGGGGATGGGGTTTCAGAAGGAATCAAAGAATACAGTTTGAGGTTCAGAGTTGAAAATTAGCAAAACTTTTGGTACTCCACAGCCCTATTTCAACCACTTTCTACTGTTTTAAAATAATAGCAGATTGCACCATCCTCCAGTCTTCCTGATCAATTAATTCAAATTTTATCTCACCCAGGCCAACATTTAGGTACTAAGACTCAGGCAGGATGCCATCAAAATCCATTAAAAATGGCTCTCTTCCCAGCAGTGATAGAGATGCAAACTCTCCTTAACAATCAAATCCAACCTTGAATTAATTAATATCTCTGTTGGTGTCTGTTTTATTTTTAAGCCATATAGTTCTTACTGGCTCAATTTCTAGCATTTTGTAACTCCATTTGGCACTCTTCAGCAAGTATTTAGTCTGCCTTACTTGAAAACGTGTTTGCCATTTTGGTTCCAGTTACTTCTTGTCACAGGATATAACTGTGCACAAATAACACCAACATGCACCAAAAATACACCAACATGCACAAAACAGAACAAACGCAAGAGCTTCTTCAGGGCAGGGACTATGCCTTATTTATCTTTGTCCCATTTCCCAGGGAAGAACATGGCACAATGTTGAAGCTCAGGGAATGCTGACAACAAATGAATGGTTATCTATGTGCTGTTAAGGAGACAGCCCTGAACTGAGATCCAGGAGATGTCAGTTGTACCTGTTAACTAGAGTTTTTCCCAGACAAATCACTTATACTCGCTGGACCCTATTTTCCCATGTGAAAATGAGGGGATTGGATGACATTAAATTGCTTCTGATTGAAATTGTGTGGATTTTACATGCCACTTTAAAGTGGATATAATTTTAGGTTTCCAAATAGCAATATTTAGATTGCTGTTAGAAACATTTTCTAAATTCCTGGCCAACTCCTTGGCTACTGCCTGTGAGTCAGAGTAGATCTGTACCTCAGGTCATCTCTCGTAGACATAATAAGCAACTAAATGTGCTACTCGAAAGTTCTGTCCACATGGGAAAATTTGTCTCTTCCATTGTCCTTTATGGGCATCCCATGGTGGGCTTCCAGTGGTGCAGTCTGCCGCTTTCAGATGGTGCCTGCCACCTTAACTGTGCAAAGTTGTGTGTAAACCAGCCTCGTGTATTTATTTTTTTCTTCAGTCATTTGGTCATAGGTGACTCGCCATAAGGCCACTGGTATGGATTTAGGGAGGGGCAGCAATATGGCAGGAGAAAGTGCCATGGGAGCCTGGACCACTTGCTTATGAAACTAACTTATTTTGGCCAGGCGCGGTGGCTCACGCCTGTAATCCCAATACTTTGGAAGGCCAAAGCGGGCAGATCACTTGAGGTCAGGAGTTTGAGACCAGCCTGGCCAACATGGTGAAACCCTGTCTCTACTAAAAATACAAAAATTAGTCGGGCGTGGTGGTGAGTGCCTGAGGCTGAGGTGAAGAATCTCTTGAACCTGGGAGGCGGAGGTTGCAGTGAGCCAAGATCATGCCACTGCACTCCAGCCTAGACAACAGAGCAAAACTCCATCTCAAAAAAAAAAAAAAGGCCTTTTCCCACATATACACCTTCCACAAGATGATGAAATATCACTGAGCATACCAGCCTGTGTGGCCAGCCAGATCAGATAACACTCAGTTTGTGACCAGCAGCTGTGTCATCCTACCTGGGTAGACATTTCATCTCCACTAGAATTCATCAGCAAACCAGGAGATTCTTCTTAAAAAGAGAGCTCCCATCAAAACAGGAAATAGAGGTGAGCAAGCCGTCCATCACAATAGGTATCTACTAGAGCTTCTCAAACTCCTGCCTCCCTCCTTTTATCACTGCCTTTTTCTAGCTACTGCCTCAAGTGTACAGGGCTCTTCTGCAATCCCCTCTGCCCTTATGAGTTGAGGAATGAGATCTGATAAACCTCTTCAATTTAAGAATTTGAGGACTTCTAAAAGTGTGTGAATGTTTATAAGAACCACAGGGAATGAGCAATGCTGGGTCTATGATGATGAGACCTCAAGTATCAATAAGTAAGCTTTTTGAGTGTGTTCACTGACCTACTGCCTCTTGAATGACACCTCGTAAGTGACTGCCAAGTATTCTGTGCAATACCTTCTGTTTTACATTTGTGGGAAGGTCTCTGCCCCAGTGGGCTCACCTTTCAATTTTCAACACCTCCTTCTTACTCCACCCACCCCCCCACTCTGGACTACTGCACCAGTGGCTTATGAGAATCTTCCTAATCAATCCTGAGGGGAACAGAGAACACCCAACAACAAAAGAAACCCATCAAATGAGTACTTACATTGTACGTTTCATTAAAATTCAGAGTAAAGCTACTTCCTTGACTGTGTGTGTACATAAATACATATAGATTGCCCACAATCGCCCAGGCAACCAGATAGAATATTGGACTTTAAAGGCACAATGGTCATGTCATTCTTCACAAGAAGTTAATTAGCTTCTCTCTTACAGAACACTACGAAGACTATGATTGGTAATGTCTGAACTCCTGCTCAGCTATAAGTCATAATAAATAATTAGGCTATTTCTCTGGTAACTGTCATTCCTTGACTGCTGAACAATCTTCTATCATTAATGACTGTTGTATTTTACCACAGGGCAGGCATGTTTCCAATGGCACCCAGGTATCCACAGGAAGTTTTAGCTAGGTCTAATTACTGTAAATCTCTTGCAGACCCACTCACCTCCCCATCCCAATATTGCTATCCAAATGAAATTAAGCTTAAAAGAATAGACAGGTCACAAAAGGGTGGAATAGTTTATGGACCAAGTGCATGTGTGTTCATCATGCAACAGTTTTCTATTTCTCTTTAAGCACTGGATCATTAGGTTTCTTATCTCTTTGGGGCTGCCTTGAGTTATTTCTCAGTCCACCAGCAATCTGGTGTTCAGGACTCTTTTTTTTTTTTTGAGATGGAGTCTCACTCTGTAGCCCAGGCTGGAGTGCAGTGGCATGATCTCGGCTCACTGCAACCTCCGCCTCCTGGGTTCAAGCGATTCTCCTGCCTCAGCTTCCCAAGTATCTGGTACTATAAGAGCGTGCCACCATGCCCATCTACATTTTTTTGTATGTTTAGTAGAGCTGCGGTTTTGCCATGTTGGCCAGGCCGGTCTTGAACTCCTGACCTCAAGTGATCTGCCCACCTCAGAGTCCCAAAGTGTTGGGATTACAGACATGAGCCACCACGCCCAGCCTGTACCGTGAAGTACAGCCAGGCCACAAAGTAATTAAAACTGGAATAGCCAAACAAGAACTGAGATTGTTCTTTTTCTCAAAGTCCACTGTATTAGTTGGGGTTCTCCAGAGAAACAACCAATAGGATATATGAGGAGATTTATTATGGGAATTGGCTCATGCAATTGTAGAGGCTGAGAAGTCCCAGAATCTGCAATCTGCATGAGACCGGCCACAAAATATCCCCATCTTTATAATGATTCCAGTAACATTGGATTAGGGGCCCACTCTACTCCAGTATGACCTCATTTTAACTACATCTGCAATGATGCTATTTCCAAATAATGTCACATTATGGGGCACAGGGGGTTAGGAGTTCAACATATGAATTTTGGGGCACACAATTCAACCCATAACACCAACACCATCACTCTTTTTTTTTGTGACAGAGTTTCGTGCTTGTTGCCCAGGCTGCAGTGCAATGGCGTGATCTTGGCTCGCTGCAACCTCCGCCTCCTGGGTTCAAGTGATTCTCCTGCCTCAGCCTCCTGAGTAGCTGGGATTACAGGCATGCACCACCATACCCAGCTAAGCTTTGTATTTTTAGTAGAGATGGGGTTTCACCATGTTGCTCAGGCTGGTCTCGAACTCCTGACATCAGGTGATCCACCAGCCTCGGCCTCCCAAAGTGTTGGGATTACAGGTGTGAGCCACCGCGCCCAGCCCAACACCGTCACTCTTAAACCACATACCCCTTGCAGCATCTCCTGGATTTGTTTCTCCTCTTATTTGAGTACTTTTTACAAAAGTATTACCAATGTGGATGTTTGTGTGGCAGACCTTTTGAGGCCTTATATGACTGGATAAAACTTACTCCCTACTACCTGTGATGCAACAGAGTAGTTTGGATATTGGTTGTTCCCTCCATATCTCATGTTGAAATGTGATCCTCAAGGTTGGAGATGGGACCTAGTGAGAGGTGTTTGGAGGTGTTTGAGTCATGGGTGTGGATCTCGCATGAATGCCTTGATGCCATCCTCAGTAGAGTGAGTTCTTGCTCTATTAGTTCCCAAGATATCTGATTGTTAAAAAGAGCCTGTCGCCTTCTCTGCATTCTGTTGCTTCCCTCTCACCATGTGATCTGCGTACTCTGGCTCCCCTTGCCTTCCACCTGAATGGAAGCTTCATGAAGCCCTCACCAGAAGCAGATTCAGACAGAAATGTACAACAAAATGTGAGCTTTAGGGTAAGAAACTAAGCAGGGCATGGCGGTGCATACCTGTAGTACCAGCTACTGGGGAGGCTGAGGTGGAAGGATTGCTTGAGCCCAGAGAGGTCAGCACAGAAAATTTTATTTTTGACAATTCCACTCTTTGCCATCTCTATTCCTTCAGAAAAACTAAACTTATAAAAGAAACTTGGTTTTACAACAGTAATATATTCCTTTTTTTGAACAAGTACAACTTTTACAAGTTGACTGCTTTCATTGTAATAATCTATATCTGCCTGTCCTGTAGTGCTTTAGAAGTTTAGTTTTGCTGTGAGCAGCTTCATATTTATTTAGATGAACATGTGGAAATTAAAAGCAAGAAGCTCAATAACATTGTTTTCTCCCAATTTGTAGCCAAGCAATTTGACATTGATTTTTTTTTTTTTAAAATGGTAGAGAGGGTCTATTTATAACAGATACAGTCAACTCTCAATATTTTCAGGGCTAAATCTTTCAGCCGTGCATTGCCATATGTCCTTATTTCTTCTTTTCAGTAACCTGCTTTTTGGTCATTTCAAGGCAATATTCAAAAATGGCCCATTTTTCTAGGAAAAGATGTGAAGGGAAGAGATCGATGATAGAGGCTATAGTTGATTTTTTATTATCAGCAAATTTCTACTGTTCAGAGAAAAATGGCTATATTATATCTAGATTATTCCTATGTTTTATTTTTTACCTACATATATTGATTGATGGCAATTTATTTCCTCATCTCTTTCAGCAATCTTTTCAATGTGTTATTTTGATTCAGACATATACCAGAATAATTCTTTTTTTTGAGACGGAGTCTCGCTCTGTCACCAGGCTGGAGTGTAGTGGCGCGATCTCAGCTTACTACATCATCCGACTCCCTGGTTCAAGCGATTCTCTTGCCTCAGCCTCCCAAGTAGCTGGGATTAGAGGCACGTGCCACCATGCCCAGCTAATTTTTGTATTTTTAGTAGAGACTGAGTTTCACCATTTTGGCCAGGATGGTCTTGATCTCCTGACCTCTGGTGATCCTCCCACCTTGGCCTCCCAAAGTGTTGGGATTACAGGCGTGAGCCACCACGCCCGGCCACATAATAGAATAATTCTAAACAAGTAAAACTCTCTGAAAGTTCATAGATGTAAGTTATAGTTAGTCCTTGTTTATGACCTTTCTGTGCATTATATAAATAACTGCAAAACTCATTAATCGTGCTTAACCCTTCTTTTCTTTTCTTATCTTTTCCCCTTCCTTCCTTCCTTCCTTTTCTTTCCTTCTATTTTTTTTCTTTTTTTGAGACAGAGTCTCGCTTTGTCACCCAGGCTGGAGTGCAGTGGCGTGATCTCGACTCACTGCAACCTCTGCCTCCTGGGTTCAAGAGATTCTCCTGATTTAGCCTCCCAAGTAGCTGAGACTACAGGCACGCACCACCACTCCCAGCTGGTAGAGGCGGGGTTTCACCATGTTGGCTAGGCTGGTCTCAAACTCCTGGCCTCAAGTGATCCGCCCGCCTCGGCCTCCCAAAGTGCTGGGATTACAGGTGTGAACCAGTACACCCAGCCTTAACCCTTGTTTTCTAAGGCCCCAGTAGCACAGGAATAATTGTAAAGTAGTACATGGGTTACAATGGAGATACTTGGCTGAAGCTCCTGCAGACCTTTTTTTTTTTTTTGAAGTGGAGTCTTGCTCTTGTAGCCCAGGCTGGAGTGCAATGGTGCGATCTCAGCTCACTGCAACCTCCGCCTCCCAGGTTCAAGAGATTCTCCTGCCTCAGCCTCCCGAGTAGCTGGGACTACAGGTGCCCACCACCACGCCCAGCTAATTTTTGCATTTTTTACTAGAGACGGGATTTTGCCATGTTGGCCAGGCTGGTCTCGAACTCCTGACCTCTGGTGCTCCACCCACCTAGGCCTCCCAAAGTGCTGGGATTACAGGTATGAGCCACTGCACCCGGCCCTTTTGTCCTACTTCTATTTCCCTTCCTTTGTTGCTTCTAATTCTTAGAGATTGCACACAGTATGGCAGGGACTGTAGAATTGTGGGAACTGACAAAGCTGAAGACTTTTAGTAAGTCCCTGCTTGACACCACTATAACCATCTCACATGTAGTATACTACTTCATTGTGACTGCCCAAAGATCTGTGATTCCCAGCACCATCCCACAGCCAGCTCACCCCTAGCCCCGGTAGAAAGTAGTCTTCTTGCTGAATGAACATTCTTTCGGCTCTTCAGAACAACCCCTCTCCCCACAGGAGGGTGGAATTGAGGATCTCTAAGAATCCTTTTAACTCTATGCTTATATAATTTCATGTAGATAATATACAAGAGAAATGTTTAAAATTTGACCTTTTAATGCTTTTTTAAAAAGTAATGGATTTTTAGAAAGGATTGTACTGAACAAAAGGAGCAAAATATAATATAATCCGTTTCAGGCCCATAGCCAGGATCAGGTTATAAGCTTAGTAGATGAGTGTAAGAAAGGTGATTCAACAGAAAAGGAGCAGGACTGGTCTAAGAGGGAAGAGCCGCACTTGAAATTGGCTTCACAGTGCCCTCTGGAGAAGGGAAAAGTAAGGTAGCAATGGATGGATTGAGCACGTGACCCTGAATAGTTCTTACTGAATAGGGGAGACAAAATAGAGAGTGGGAGAGAAGGAAGTAAGGTACCATAAGAGATAAGACAATGTTGCAAAAAGGCCAAGAAGGAGAAATTTGTGACTCTCTTACTTAAATCAGGACATTTCCAAGAAGTATTAAAGACTATCTATTGGAGTGATAGGGCTTAATTATTTTAAGTATTAGCTTGGCCAAATTTTCACTGGTAAATCAGTCAATCCTCCTTCCCTTCCTCCCTCCCTCCTTTCCTTCCTTCCTTCCCTCCCTCCCTCCTTCCTTCCATCCTTCCTTTTGTGCTAAAATTCTTCTCTGACTTATGGTACATTTATTTCTGTTACATATCCTATAGTGGTCTTATGTGTGAAGCCTGCATTAATGCACTTAGAATTTTTCATATTGAGGCTGGGCACGGTGGCTCATGCCTAGAATCCTAGCACTTTGGGATGCTGAGGAGGGTGGATCACTTGAGGTCAGGAGTTGAAAACCAGCCTGGCCAACATGGTGAAACCCTGTCTCTACTAAAAATAAAAAAAAATTAGTCGGGCATGGTGGCGCACGCCTGTAATCCCAGCTACTTGGAAGGTTGAGGCAGGAGAATTTCTTGAACCCAGGAGGTGGGGGTTGCAGTGAGCCAAGATTGCACCACTGCACCCCAGCCTGGGCAACAGAGTGAGACTCGGTCTCAAAAAAAAAAAAAAATTGCATATTTAATGAGCTCCAAATATTCTGTAAACTCCTACTCTGTAATTAAGTGTGGTTTAAAAAAGAACATATGTAGCTGGGCTTAGTGGCTCATGCCTGTAATCCCAGTACTTTTGGAGGCCGAGGCAGGCGGATTACCTGAGGTCAGGAGTTTGAGACCAGCCTGACTAACATGGTGAAACCTCATCTCTATTAAAAAGACAAAAATTAGCCAGGGGTGGTGGCGCATGCCTGTAATCTCAGCTACTCGGGAGGCCGAGGCAGGAGAATCTCTTGAACCTGGGAGGTGGAGGTTGCAGTGAGCCAAGATCCTGCCACTGCACTCCAGCCTGGGTAGCAGAGTAACAGAGCAAGTCTGTCTCAAAAAAAAAAAAAAAAAAGTCATGCAGATGACTTTTCTTAAGATGTCATTATATTGGCCATCACTAGCAGTTAGTCACTTTTGTTAGATATTAATATTCACAGCTTTTAAGGCATTACATGTCTCCAGGTTCAAAATAGGAAAGAGAAAAGAGCTTAGATTATTTGGCTTTGTCTATCAAGATACTAGAAGAATGTAAACTGAAAACCATACAATTTCTACTTTTGCTATTTTCCAGGCTAGCTCACATTAGCTCCAATATCATCCTAAAATATGAAGCCAGATTGAGCAATGAAATTGCAATTTTTGATTTCTGCGGGAGGTTCCCACAAAAAAAAAGAAATTGCAATTCCAATTTTTAAAAAGTTAGTCTTTTTTTTGTGGGGCTGGGTGGATGGAGTCTCCCTCTGTCGCCTAGGCTGGAGTGCAGTGGTGCGATTTCAGCTCACTGCAATCTCTGCCTCCTGAGTTGAAGATATAGATTCTCCTGCCTCAGCCTCCTGAATAGCTGGGACTACAGGTGTGCACCACCATGCCTGGCTAATTTTTGTATTTTTAGTAGAGACAGTGTTTCTCCATGTTGGCCAGGCTGGTCTTGAACTCCTGACCTCAAGTGATCCGCATGCATTGCCCTCCCAAAGTGCTGAGATTACAGGGGTGAGCCACCGCGACTGGCCAAATTAATCTTAAATGTTTTCAAACACTGATCAACATCATTTGAACAAAGCAACTATAATACATTAGGAGATGGATGGGAAAATTTGAACACAGACTGGATAATCAGTAATAAAAGATTATCATTAATTTTTTTTACCTTCGCGTCTCCCACTTATCATTAATTTTAGGTGAGATAGTGGTATTGTTTGTATGTATTTTTAAGTCTTTATCTTTTACAGATACAAATGGGAGGGGGAATGGATAGGAGTCCAATGAAATAAGATTGGCCATGTAGTGATAATTGTTGAATCTGAGTAATGGTTATATGGGAGTCCATTATACTACTTGCTCTACTTTTGTACATGTTTAAACATTTTTCATAATAAGCAGTTTAAAAATTTGATGAAAACTTTTTCTATTTGTGAATTTAAAAAAGACTAGGCTTTAAAACAGGTAGTACCAATAGGAAATCAAGTCTGCAGCTCCCACAATCCTTTTTTGTTGTTGCTGAGATGGGGTCTGGCTATGTTGCTCAGGCTGGTCTTGAACTCCTGGGATCAAATGATCCTCCCACCTCGGCCTCCCAAAGTGCTGGGCCACAATCCTTTTTTTTTTTTTTTTTTTTTGAGACTGAGTCTTGCTCTGTTGCCCAGGCTGGAGTGCAGTGGTGTGATCTTGGCTCACTGCAACCTCCATCTCCCAGGTTTAAGCAATTCTTCTGCCTCAGCCTCCTGAGTAGCTGGGATTACAGGTGTGCACCACCAAACCTGGCTAATTTTTGTATTTTTAGTAGAGACGGGGTTTTGCCATGTTGGCCAGGCTGGTCTCAAACTCCTGGCCTCAAGTGATCTGCCTGCCTTGGCCTCCCACAGTGCTGGGATTACAGGCGTGAGCCACCGCGCCCGGCCCCCACAATCCTTTTTTAATACATACACTGTTTCTGAAACCTTTTATACATAAGCAGTTACTTTGTGCCGTCTGGTAATTTTATGATGGCTTTATGGGTAAAGACTTGGGGGACCAACTGTGTAGAAGCAGAGATGGGGAAGTCAGATCTGAATGAATAAAACATATTTATATGCCCCTTGCAGGCTGAAAGAATAGCTTAGACTGATTAAAAGTGAAGTAGGGGTTGAGCGCCGTGGCCCACGCCTGTAATCCCAGCACTTTGGGAGGCCGAGGCGGGTGGATCACTTGAGGTCAGGAGTTCGAGACCAGCCTGGCCAACACAGTGAAACCCCATTTCTACTAAAGGAACAAAAATTAGCTGGGCATGGTGGTGGGCACCTGTAATCTCAACTACTTGGGAAGCTGAGGCAGGAGAACCTTTTGAACCCAGGAGGCAGAGGTTGCAGTGAGCCAAGATCACACCACTGCACTTCAGCCTGGGCAACAGAGCAAAACTCTGTCTCAAAAAAAGAAAAAAATGAAGTGAAGTAGAGATTTTGCTCACATAGATGGATTGGGTGATCTGTGAGTAATCAGCATCCTAGTAGCTGGTAGTGAGAAGGCAGTACACCATAATGAATGACTGAGCATAAGCCAGTCATAGATCCAAATCTCAGTTCAGTCAATCACTAGATGCAATCTTACTGTATGTTCCAGAGCCTCAGTTTACTCATCTAATCCCCCATATACTGGCGGACTGTTGAAGTTTAAATAAAAGATATGTAGTGTTAGTACACCAGGTCTGGCTGTTCAGTCCTTGCATGTATTCAAGGGAACCCGAAACCATTACTGATCTTTGGCCAACCCCTAGAAATGTGGCCTTCAGAATGTTCTTATGTGAATGGTTGATGATTATGATTTATACACCTGGAGCAATGGACCAGGCCTCATCAGCTTGTCAGGATTGCTTTGCATAAACATCAACCTATATGAAGTGCATTTGGTTTCATTTGTGAACCTGTGCTTCAGTTGCTTTGGCTGGTAATGTAGCATGATGTCGCTATGAGCCTGAATCTCGATAAAAGTCTCAGACGAAGAGACTTAAACAGTTTTCCCCGGGCAGAGACATTCTGCACATGTCAATGCAGTTTGCTGCTAGAGAGAAAGCATATCCTATGTGGCCCCAGATGGGAAAGTACTCAAAAGCCTGTCCCTAACCTCTCTGGATTTCTCCTGATATATTTTTCCTGTTGCTCTTAGTCTGTGTAATCTTGCTCTAACAAAACCTTAACCATGAGTATTGAGTTTTATGAGTCCTCGTGGTGAATCAGCAAACTTGAAGGTGAATTTAGGACCTGTGAAATATAAAGGGACTAGTACAGTACCTGAAGAATAATATACAACCAATATATGCTTGCTAGTGGCATTTAAATTCTGCCTGCTGGATGTTATAGGGGACAATTGTACTCTGCTAGAATATAGGCTGGGAATACAGGACTTTGCCTGATTTTCTCAATGATGCCCTTAGAAGAAGGGAAGGATAACATTTCATCAATGGGAAACCTAGAGGATAAAACTCCAAGATTCTCCTCTGGCTTCCCATCCTTTCTGACTCAGAGTGGAGAGGTGCCATGTAGAACAAATATGTGGATGAGTAGACCACCAACTGAGACCTTTGGAGAATGCATGCAGGGCAAACTCTTTTACCATTTTGAAGAGTAACAAAAACAATGAAAAGCCTCGTTGAGAGTTACGAAATTTAGAACACTTAGACTAATGTTATGGTGCTCCAAGTGTGGGTGCCACAGTCTGGATCTTCATTTTAGGTAACAGCCACCAGAGACGATGGTGTTAAAAGTGGTTATCAGGAGGGTCAGGCACGGTGGCTCACGCCTGTAATCCCAGCAGCTTGGGAGGCCGAGGCAGGTGGATCACTTGAGGTCAGGAGTTCGAGGCCAGCCTGGGCAACATGGTGAAAACCTGTCTCCACTAAAAATACAAAAATTAGCCGGGCTTGGTGGTGCATGCCCCTGTAGTCCCAGCTACTTGGGAGGCTGAGGCAGGAGAATCACTTGAACCCAGGAGGCAGAGGTTGCAGTGAGCCGAGGTCACACCACTACACTCCAGCCTGGGCGACAGAGTGAGACTTTGTCTCAAAAACAACAACAACAACAACAACAAGTGGTTATCAGGAATTTCTCCAACTCAGCCGGAACCAAGCGAACAGAATGTTTTAGTCTATCCAGGCTGCTATAGTAAAATACCATCAACTGGGTGGCTTATAAACAACCGAAATTTATTGCTCGCAATTCTGGAGGCTAGGAAGTTCAGATCAAGGCACAAGAGTATTCAGTGAGGGCCGGCTCTATGATGTGTAAGTGGGGTCTTTTCACTGTGTCCTCACATTGCGGAAGGGGTGAACTCTAGTCTCTTCAGTCCCTTATAAAGGATTAGTACCCTTATATAGGGCTGAAAGGTACTCACATGACCTAATTACTTCCCAAAGCCTGATACCTCCTGATACCATCACATAGGGGATTAGGTGTCAACACATCAATTTTGGGGGAACACAAACATTTAGTCCATAGCACAGAGCTATTTCCAACAAGCACTGGGCATGACAGAAAAAGAGTCTTCAACTGTGAGGACTGCACATAAACATTAAAAAATAATTGGATTAGGACTTCAGTTGAGAGCTAATCCTAGGGAAGGAAGAGTCTAGGATACCCATCTTGCAATTTCTTTTTTTTTTTTTCTTTTGAGATGGAGTTTTGCTCTGTTACCCAGGCTGGAGGGCAGCTCTTCGATCTCGGCTCACTGCAACCTCCGCCTCCTGGATTCAAGCGATTCTCCTGCCTTAGCCTCCCGAGTAGCTGGGATTACAGACGCCCACTACCACGCCTGGCTAATTTTTGTAATTTTAGTAGAGACGAGATTTTACCACGTTGGCCAGGCTGGTCTCGAACTTCTGACCTCAGGTGATCTGCTCACCTCAGCCTCCCAAAGTGCTAGGATTACAGGTGTGAGCCACCGTACCCGGCCCCATCTTGCAATTTCTTTCTAGGTTTGTGTGAGTGTATGTTTATGGTTCTTATCCAAGTGACCAGGTCTAAGTAAGAGACATCAAAAGATCCTTGTGCCCCCTAAAATGAAATAATAATTACAATAGTAATTTATGTCATGCATTTTATTGATATTTTTAAAATAAATCGCCTCCAAGACAGATATGGGTGATCTTGATAGTGATTTTTCCCTCTACTGGTTTCTTAAGGGATGATGAGCATAAAATAGTTGGTATAAGTTTGCTCTTTCACACTTGGATTTTATTTTTGTTGAGCTCCTAATCATTTAGGGTTACTTCAGAGGTGACTTGATTGTACCCTCTGTCACACGTAATGATTATAACTTTATCACTGTCAACCTCACTATAATATTTCATCGTATCACTGTCATTCACATGATCACCGTATGCATTGTTCCTGGAATCTAACTTACGAAAGGACCTGGAAGAGGACTTGACTTTGCTTGAAACATGTAGGTTTTGAGTGTTTTTCTCCTTTGCCTCAGAAATATCATTGACCAAAGGCCTATAAGTTTTGGCAACAAGATGTTTTTTCTTGTAGGGTTGACAAGTTTCAGCTAATTCAGAGTTGGATAATAAGGCTGCCCTGCCTAGACTCACTGACCTTTTTGGATTAAAATGTTTGGGAGGCTTAGCCAATTCCTGTGGACCGAATGGCTTGGATGGTGAGATTTCATTTTGTGGATGAGATGAATAAAGTGGCTTGAATAGCTGAGGTGGCCTGACTGGCTTATCTGAACTGGCTAGCTTACACGCATAGTCTAGCTTACATAATTTTTCTAGGCTGCCTTTCTTATGTGCCTTTTCCAGGTGAGATGACTTGCTTAATTTTTTTGAGCATGATGACTTGGATGACCTTTTTGGATATGATGGCCTAGTTAACTTTCCTGCACTGTTTGGTATGGATGGCTTTTGTAGACTTGAGGGTCTGATTAATTTTTCTGTGCTGGATTGTGCGGATGCCCTTTCTGGACTCGATGAATCAGATGACTTGTCTGCAGTAGATAGCATGGGTTGTGTTTCTGGACTGCATTGAGAGGCTGTCTTGGCTTCACTGAATGATGTTTTAGATGACTTGGCTGCTATGCCTTTTTTCTTGACCCTGAAAGTATAGAAAATTTGGAGTATAATGATTTAAAACAAAAGAGACCTATTACTATTATCGGAGAACGTATGGTACTGCTTAGACCTGTGGTCTTTTGGGGCTTTAATATGAAAACTGAACACAGTAAGAATCGGAGTGTGACGGCTGTGTGTGGTGGTTCACACCTGTAATCCCACACTTTGGGAGGACGAGGTGGGCAGATCACTTGAGGCCAGGAGTTCGAGACCAGGCTGGCCAACATGGTGAAACTCCATCTCTACTAAAAATACAAAAATTAGCCTGGTGTGGTGGCGCACACCTGTAGTCCCCAGCTACTTGGGAGGCTGAGGCAGGAGAATCGTCTGAACCTGGGAGGCAGAGGTTGCAGTGAGCCGAGATCATGCCATTGCACTCCAGCCTGGGTGACAAAGTGAGACTCTGTCTCAAAAACAAACAAACAAAAACACAAAAACAGAATTGGAGTGGTGAAAGCCACAACTAAGGTTATAAATATGGACTCTTGTTTAATGCTTTTTCTTAAGAGCATTTTACTATTTAACCACATTAGATAACCATATAATCCACATATAGAATTACACAAAGTTATTTCAAATCTGCTGTAAAAAGAGAGAAACACACACACACACACACACAAAGAGAAAGAGAGAGAGAGAATGAACCTCACTTATTTCAGAATTAAACTTTTTATAAAAAAGTCACAGATTGATAATGTATCACAAGAAAAAAACTGTAGGAAAAGTCATTGTTTTTGTATCATATTTACAACATCAAGTTATCGGTGCATATTTAAATTCATAACATTCCTCTGAAACTAAAGGAATACAGTACTGGTACCACGTTTTAGTCACCAGTCTTTGGAATGGGATATTTTTAGGGAACTAGTATATAAAAGGCAGGCACTGAGATCATGAGAGCAACAACAGTGAATAATTTTTCATGTGATTAAGTCTTAAAATGGTAGATTATCCAAAATGTTTTATTGTCTTTGAAAAACAGAGACCCAATTCCCTCTCTCTTTCTCTTCATTTTCGCACTCTTATTTGGATATTCATGCCCTCTTTTCCTGCACTGAATTTATAATGCAATTAATGTCCTGGAGTTCAGCTGAACCTTGAACAAGAGACACTTTGGCTGAAGTTAATAATGTACTAGAGAATATTTAAGAGCTGATATAATTTAAGGGAAAATATTCACCTACAAAAGGTTGGTAGCTCTTCAGAAGTCTAAAGTTAATATTGAGTAACCTGAACAACAATGAAACCTCCGCTATATGTACACACACACACACCTCGCACTCTTAATTTAAAGGAGTAAAACTTACATTCCTGCTTTGGACGCATCATCGCTCAGACAATTATAATGGAGATAACAAAAACAGATAAAGACAAAAACCATGATGATAATACCAACTAAAATGAGTAGATTTCTTCTAAGGTAGTTCAATTTTGTCTGCATTGATTCAACAGGTTTATCTCCTGCAAAGAGATTGTATAATCAGAGAAGGTGTTAAGTAACCAAGTTTTTTTCCACATTGATAGTGGTTTGATAGTGTAGATCAAAATAACATTTCTTCATGAATTATTTTTTAAACCTGATTAATTGTACCACTGTTATGTTTTTACCTCATGGATCCAGCCAGTCCAGAAGCTAAATCTGGGAGGCATCGCTGACTAATCCATACCATTACCTGGGTTATCCCTGAATCTTGGCTTGCTTATCACATTACCCAGGTTTTTGAATCTGTGTGTGTGTGTCTTGCATGTATAAGTGTACTTGAGTGTTAACGTGTGTGTGAATGTGTGTGTGTAATTGAAAAAGGATGTGATAAAAACAAACCTCTGTTAAAAACCTACTATATGCTGGAGATCTGGCAAGATGGCCAAATAGGAACAGCTCTGGTCTGCAGCTCCCAGCGAGACCAATGCAGAAGGTGGGTGATATCTGCATTTCCAACTGAGGTACCCAGTTCATCTCACTGGAACTACTTAGGAGTACCCAGTTCATCTCATTGGGACTGCAATGGGTGCAGCCCAAGGAGGGCGAGCAGAAGCAGAGTGGGGCATTGCCTCACCTGGGAAGTGCAAGGAGCCAGGGGCCTCCTTCTCCCAGCCAAGGGAAGCAGTGAGGGACTGTACTATCCAGCCCAGATACTACGCTTTTCCCATGGTTTTGGCAATCCACAGACCAGGAGATTCTCTCGTGTGCCTACAACACCAGGGCCCTGGGTTTCAAGCACAAAACTGGGTGGCTATTTGGGCAGACACAGAGCTAGCTGTAGCAGTTTTTTTTCCCCCCAGTGGCACCTGGAAGCCCAGTGAGACAGAACCATTCACTCTCCTGGAAAGGGGGCTGAACCCAGGGAGCCACGTGGTCTCGCTCAGCAGATCCGACTCCCATGGAGCCCAGCAAGCTAAGATCTACTGGCTTGACATTCTCGATGCCAGCACAGCAGTCTGAAGTAGACCCAGGATGATGGAGCTTGGTGGGGGGAGGGGCGTCCACCATTACTGAGGCTTCAGGAGGCACTTTTCCCCCTGACAGTGCTAAGGAGGCCAGGAAGTTCGGACTGGGTGGAACTCACCACAGCGCTGCAAAGCAACTGTGGCCAGACTGCCTCTCTAGATTCCTCCTCACTGGGTAGGGCATCTCTGAAAGAAAGGCAACAGCCCCAGTCAGGGGCTTACAGATAAAACTCCCACCTCCCTGGGACAGAGCACCTGGGGGAACGGGTGGCTGTAGGCACAGTTTCTGCGGATTTAAACATTCCTGCCTGCCAGCTCTGAAGAGAGCAGTGGATTCTGACAAGGAGGATTCTTCCAGCACAGACCTGCTAAGAGACAGACTGCCTCCTCAAGTGGGTCCCTGACTCCCGTGCCTCCCGGATGGAGAGACCTCCCAGCAGGGGTCAACAGACATCTCATACAGGAGAGCTCTGGCTGGCATCAGGCTAGTGCCCCTCTGGGACAAAGCTTCCAGAGGAGGGAGCAGGCAGCAATCTTTGTTGTTCTGCAGCCTCCGCTGGTGATACCCAGGCAAATAGGGTCTGGAGTGGACCTCCAGCAAACTGCAGCAGACCTGCAGAAGAGGGGCCTGATTGTTAGAAGAAAAACTAAGAAACAGAAAGCAATAATATCAACATCAACAAAAAGGACCCCCACACAAAAACCCCATCCAAAGGTCATTAGCCTCAAAGATCAAAGGTAGATAAATCCACAAAGATGAGGAAAACCCAGCACAAAAATGCTGAAAATTCCAAAAACCAAAATGTCTTTTCTCCTCCAAATGATCACAACTCCTCTCCAGCAAGGGCACAAAACTAGACAAAGAATGAGTTTGATGAATTGACAGAAGTAGACTTCAGAAGATGGGTAATAACAAACTCCTCTGAGCTAAAGGAGCATGTTCTAACCAAATGCAAGGAAGCTAAGAACCTTGATAAAAGGTTACAGAAATGGCTAACTAGAATAACCAATTTAGAGAAGAACATAAATGACCTGATGGAGGTGAAAAACACAGCACGAGAACTTCGTGATGCATATACAAGTATCAATAGACAAATCAATCAAGCAGAAGAAAGGATATCAGAGATTGAAGATCAACTTACTGAAATAAGGTGTGAAAACAGGATTAGAGAAAAAAGAATGAAAAACAAAATGAACAAAGCCTCCAAGAAATATGGGACTATGTGAAAAGACCAAACCTACGATTGATTGGTGCACCTGAAAGTGACGGGGAGAATGGAACCAAGTTGGAAAACACACTTCAGGATATTATCCAGGAGAACTTCCCCAACCTAGCAAGACAGGCCAACTTTCAAATTCAGAAAATACAATGAACACCACTAAGATACTCCTGGAGAAGAGCAACCCCAAGACACATAATCATCAGATTCTCCAAGGTTGAAACGAAGGAAAAAATGTTAAGCACAGCCAGAGAGAAAGGTCAGATTACCTACAAAGGGAAGCTCATCAAACTAACAGAGGATCTCTCTGCAGAAACTCTACAAGCCAGAAGAGAGTGGGGGCCAATATTCAACATTCTTAAAGAAAAGAATTTTCAACTCAGAATTTTATATCCAGTCAAACTAAGTTTCATAAATGAAAGAGAAATAAAATCCTTTCCAGACAAGCAAATACTGAGGGATTTTTGTCACCACCAGGCCTGCCTTACAAGAGCTCCTGAAGGAAGCACTAAATATAGAAAGCAAAAACCAGTACCAGCCACTGCAGAAACACACCAAAATATAAAGATCAATGACACTATGAAGAAACTGCAACAACTAATGTGCAAAATAACCAACTAGCATCATGATGACAGGATCAACTTCACACATAATAATATTAACCTTCAATGTAAATGGTCTAAATGCTCCAATTAAAAGACATAGACTGGCAAATTGGATAAAGAGTCAAGACTCATCAGTATGCTGTATTCAGGAGACCCATCACACGTGAAAAGACACACATAGGCTCAAAATAAAGGAATGGAGGAATATTTACCAAGTGAATGGAAAGCCAAAAAAAGCAGGGGTTGCAATCCTAGCCTCTGAAAAAACGGACTTTAAACCAACAAAGATCAAAAAAGACAAACAAGGGCATTACATAATGGTAAAGGTATCAATGCAACAAGAAGAGCCAACTATCCTAAATAGATATGCACCCAATACAGGAGCACCCAGATTCATACAACAAACTCTTAGACACCTACAAAGAGACTTAGACTCCCACACAATAATAGTGGGAAACTTTAACATCCCACTGTCAATATTAGACAGATCAATGAGACAGAAAATTAACAAGGATATTCACAACTTGAACTCAGCTCTGGACCAAGTGGACCTAATAGAACTCTCCAACCCAAATCAACAGAATATACATTCTTCTCAGCACCACATAGCACTTATTCTAAAACCAACCACGTGATTGGAAGTAAAACACTCCTCAGCAAATGCAAAAGAACGGAAATCATAACGAATGGTCTTTCAGATCACAGTGCAATCAAATTAGAACTCAGGTTTAAGAAACTCACTCAAAACCACACAACTACATGGAAACTGAACAACCTGCTCCTGAATGACCGCTGGGTACATAACAAAATTAAGTCAGAAATAAAGAAGTTCTTTGAAACTAATGAGATCAAAGAATCAACGTACCAGCATCTCTGGGACACAGCTAATACAGTGTTAAGTGGGAAATTTATAGCACTAAATGCCCACATCAGAAAGCAGAAAAGATCTGAAATTGACACCCTAATATCACAATTAAAAGAACTAGAGAAGCAAGAGCAAACTCATTCAAAAGCTAGCAGAAGACAGGAAATAATTAAGATCAGAGCAGAACTGAAGGAGATAGACACATGAAAAACCCTTCAAAAAAATCAATGAATCCAGGAGCTGGTTTATTGAAAACATTAATAAAATATATAGACCACTAGCCAGACTAATAAAGAAGAAAAGAGAGAAGAATCAAATAGACACAATAAAAAATAATAAAGGGGGTATCACCAATGATCCTACAGAAATACAAACTACCATCAGAGAATAGTATAAACACCTCTATGCAAATAAACTAGAAAATCTAGAAGAAATGGATAAATTCCTGGACACACACATTCTCCCAAGACTAAACTAGGAAGAAGTCAAGTCTGTGAATAGACCAATAACAAGTTCTGAAATTGAGGCAGTAATTAATAGCCTACCAACCAAAAAAAGCCCAGGACCAGACAATTCACAGCCAAATTCTACCAGAGGTACAAATAGGAGCTGGTACCATTCCTTCTGAAACTATTTTAAATAATAGAAAAAGAGGGACTCCTCCCTAACTCGTTTTATGAGGCCGGCGTCATCCTGATATGAAAACCTGGCAGAGACACAACAAAAAAAGAAAATTTCAGGTCAATATCCCTGATGAACATTGATGCTAAAATTCTCAATAAAATACTGGCAAACCGAATCCAGCAGCACATCAAACAGCTTATCCACCACCATCAAGTCGGCTTCATCCCTGGGATGCAAGGCTGGTTCAACAAACGTAAATCAATAAATGTAATCCATCACATAAACAGAACCAATTACAAAAGCCACATGATTATCTCAATAGATGCAGCAAAGGCCTTTGATAAAATTCAACACCCCTTCATGCTAAAAACTCTCAATAAACTAGGTATTGATGGAACATATCTCAAAATAATAAGAGCTATTTATGACAAACCCATAGCCAATATCATACTGAATGGGCAAAAGCTGGAAGCATCCCCTTTGAAAACCTGCACAAGACAAGGATGCCCTCTCACCACTCCTATTCAACATAGTATTGGAACTTCTGGCCAGGGCAATCGGGCCAGAAATAAAAGCGTATTCAAATAGAAAGAAAGTCAAATTGTCTCTGTTTGCAGATGACATGATTGTATATTTAGAAAATCCCATCATCTTAGCCCAAAATCTCCTTAAGCTGATAAACAAATTCAGCAAAGTCTCAGGATACAAAATCAATGTCCAAAAATCACAAGGATTCCTATACATCAATAATAGATAAGCAGAGAGCCAAATCATAAGTGAACTCCCATTCACAATTACTACAAAGAGAATAAAATACCTAGGAATACAACTTACAAGAGATGTGAAGGAACTCTTCAAGGAGAACTACAAACCACTGCTCAAGGAAATAAGAGAGGTCACAAACAAATGGAAAAACATTCCATGCTCATGGATAGGAAGAATCAATATCGTGAAAATGGCCATACTGCCTGAAGTAATTTATAGATTCAATGCTATTCCCATCAAGCTACCACTGACTTTCTTCACAGAATTAGAAAAAACTACTTTAAATCTCATATGGAACCAAAAAAGAGTCTGTATAGCAAAGACAATCCTAAGCAAAAAGAACAAAGCTGGAGGCATCACTCTACCTTACTTCAAACTATACTACAAGGCTACAGTAACCAAAACAGTATGGTGCTGGTACCAAAACAGATACATAGACCAAAGGAACAAAACAGAGGCCTCAGAAATGACACCACACATTTAAAGCCATCTGATCTTTGACAAACCTGACAAAAACAAGTAATGGGGAAAGGATTCCCTATTTAATAAACGGTGCTGACAAAACTGGCTAGCCATGTGCAGAAAACAGAAACTGGATCCCTTTTTTACACCTTATTCAAAAATTAACTCAAGATGGATTAAAGACTTCAATGTAAAACCTAAAACCATAAAAACCCTAGAAGAAAACCTAGGCAATACCATTCAGGACATAGGCATGGGCAAAGGCTTCATGACTAAAACACCAAAAGCAATGGCAACAAAAGCCAAAATTGACAAATGGAATCTAATTAAACTAAAGAGCTTCTGCACAGCAAAAGAAACTATCATCAGAGTAAACACGCAACCTACAGAATGGGAGAAAATTTTTACAATCTATCCATCTGAGAAAGGGCTAATATCCAGAATCTATAAGGAACTTAAACAAATTTACAAGAAAAAACAAACACCCCCATCAAAAAGTTGGCGAAGGATACGAACAGACACTTCTCAAAAGAAGACATTTATGTGGTCAACAAACATATGAAAAAAAGCTCATCATCACTGGTCATTAGAGAAATGCAAATCAAAACCACAATGAGATACCATCTCATGCCAGTTAAAATGGTGATCATTAAAAAGTCTGGAAACAACAGATGCTGATGAGGGGAGGAGAAATAGGAACGCTTTTACACTGTTGGTTGGAGTGTAAATTAGTTCAACCACTGTGGAAGACAGTGTGGCAATCCCTCAAGGATCTAGAACCAGAAATACCATTTGACCCAGCAATCCCATTACTGGATATATACCCAAAGGATTATAAATCATTCTACTGTAAAGACGCATACACACGTATGTTTATTGCAGCACTATTTACAATAGCAAAGACCTGGAACCAACCCAAATGCCCATCAATGATAGACTGGTTTAAGAAAATGTGGCACATATACACCATGGAATACTATGCAGCCATAAAAAAGAATGAGTTCATGTCCTGTGCAGGGACATGGGTAAAGCTGGAAACCATCATTCTCAGCAAACTAACAGAGGAACAGAAAACCAAACACTTCATTTTCTCACTCATAAGTGGGAGTTGAACAATGAGAACACATGGACACAGGGAGAGGAACATCACACACTGGGGCCTGTTGTGGGGGTTGGGGGCAAGGGGAGGGAGAGGATTAGGACAAATACCTAATGCATGTGGGGCTTAAAACCTAGATAATGGGTTGACAGGTGCAGCAAACCACCATGGCACATGTATACCTATGTAACAAACCTGCACGTTCTGCACATGTATCCCAGAACTTGAAGTAAAAAAAACAAAAAACAAAAATAAACCCCTACTGTATGTTAAGTCCCTTGCCAGATTCATTTATATAGTATTAGCTAGTTTGGTGGGGACAGGTTGGTATATTGAGTGGGGAAGGGTGGTAAAGGAGGACCATAAGTCTGTCATCTTGATGCTTATATTTTGCTTAAGTTTTTTAATATCAGCTGTTGTATTAGAAATTCTTGAAGACCTACTAATGTTAACACTGCTAAAAGTAACAGCAGATTTCTTAAATACAGCTGGCGTTTCTAATTAAATACTTTAATGTATACTGTAACAGATCATAATTTACAAGTTTTAAGGTTAGGCACCTACCTGTAGTAGAAGATCCATTGGTTTGGTTTGTAGTCATGCAATTATTTTTCCAAATGGACAAAAGTAGGACACAAATAACAAGATTCATGTCCGCAACTTGGTTCAAATGATTTGTCTACTAAGGTAACTACTGAATTTATACAGTTCAGAGTGTTCTAGGCATTTATGACATCATTACCATTGTGTGTCATACTCTGACAACATAATCTCACCATAGGGAAGCATAAGCTTCTGTATACAAATTTTACCAAATGACTTTTTTTTTTTTTTTTTTTTTTGAGACGGAGTTTGGCTCAGGCTGGAGTGCAATGGCATCATCTTGGCTCTCTGCAACCTCCACCTCCCGGGTTCAAGGCACGGTGGCTCACAGCTGTAATCCCAGCACTTTCGGAGGCGGAGGTGGGCGGATCACTTGAGGTCAGGAGTTCAAGACCAGCCTGGCCAACACGGTAAAACCCTGTCTCTATTAAAATGCAAAAATAGCTGGGCATGGTGGTGGGCACCTGTAATCCCAGCCACTTGGGAGGCTGAGGCAGGAGAATCACTTAAACCTGGGAGGTGGAGGTTGCAGTGAGCCGAGATTGCGCCACTGCACTCCAGCCTGGGCGACAGAGCAAGACTCTGTCTCAAAAAAAATAAAATAAAGAGTAAAAAAGAAATGAAAGAACATGTCCTATAAAGGTGACAGTGTTTGAAATTATGCATTTGGGGCCATTGGAATATAATAAAATTAAACATTAATTGGAAAACCCCCAGCCTGGCCAATATTGTGAAACCCCCTCTCTACCATAAAAAAAAAAATACAAAAATTAGCCGGGCGTAGTGGCAGGCACCTGTAATCCCAGCTACTCAGGAGGCTAACACAAGACAATCACTTGAACCCAGGAGGCAGAGGTTGCAGTGAGCCTAGATGGCGCCACTGCACTGCAGCCTGGGTGACAGAGCAAGACTCCATCTTAAAAAAAATAAAAAACCAAAAAAAAAAAAATACAACTCAGTTTTACCCTGAAGGTCTAAATAATCCTGCTCATACTTTTTAACTGTATAAAAATCAGAAAATGTTATTCTATTGCTTTTGAATAAGCTGCTTTTGAAAATTTGAATAGGGCTTATAAAGTGAAAGAATGTATCTGTCACCTTTTTTAAAAAAAGAAATCAGGTTTTTTTTTTTCCCTAGTGTTGGATACATGGTAGACAAATATCTTAAAGCCAGTATTTCAGAAACAGCTTCCAAATTAATTTGAACATTAACTTCATATTCATAATGGTTACAAAAACACTTTACTTTCTTTGGCTTTAACATAGATTTATATGATTTTTATTTCATTTGCAAGTTTACATGACTAGCATGTTAGTAATAATAGATTTCACTCAGAAATTCTAGGTATTATTTTGATAAAAATTGTATATAATAAGTACACTATAAAACCCCATTTCTTGCTTCATATTTGTTGTTGTTATTGTTTTGATTGTTGCCAGGACTAGAGTAAAACCCAGTGAGATATTTGCCTGTAGCACAAAATTTAAGGGGTGTTGCAAAATTCAGTAATCAAATAAGATTTTAACGTGATATTTAAAAACCAAAATTAATGCCAAAAATCTATGACCAACAAAATATTGAACATTTAAATAAAGACAGGATCTGATTCTGCATTTGCATGAGCCTGTCCCACTCCCCTCACCCTAATCCCAGCTCTGTATCTTGAGCCTGCAGGGCCATATTTATTCTTTTCCACTTTAAAAAGCAGAGGGGAAGGGTCCAAGGACTTAGCCAGGTACTTAACAGGGCTGTGTCCCCAAGACCCCTAAAAATCTCACTAGGTCATTTTCCCCAGAGAGCTGCTCCTGGGCCCTTGTGTAATGATTCTTGGTGAAGAATGGCTGCTCCTGGTTTCTCTCTCCTTGGTTCTCCAGAGATTAACCTGTACCACTTTTCTGATTTCCGCCATTATATTTGATTGTCTTGCTTCCAATGTCTGGCTGGCGTCATATCTATAGGAATCAGTAGTAGGAAAAGCTCCTAAGCTCTTCCCAGCACCCACATGGCAAGTTTGAACCTTTGCCCTCATCCGGGTGAGAGGAACCTTTCTGGGGTTGCCACCTTGGGGATTTCTACTGCCCTCCTCTGGACCTCAATTGACAGTGCAATTCCGCCTTGGGCCTTCAACTTTTTCCCCTTATTTGATTTTTTTTAATTAAAAAAATATATGCACCTTATAAAAATTTTAAATCACACAGAGGTATTTCAGACTTCCTTTATCCCTTGAGATCTTCTGACCCCTTTAAAATTGCTTTAAATATTCCTTACTCACAGCTTGTGAAGATGCCTGAAATCTTCATCTCTATTTTTAATTGCACTTTAAAATTGCATTAGGAATATATTAATATTAACCCATTCTCATTATGAAAAATACACAAGACAGACATATACAGAATAAAACGTTATAGACTCTTTTCCTTCCCCACTCCACTCTATCCCCATTCTGGAGACAATGACACAAAAATTTGATGTGCATCTCTCAGATCTCTTTCTACATATTTACATACATATCTATGTACATGATGCACACCCATACTACATATAAATGGGAACATTCTATAAATATTCCTTTTCAGGATTTAAAAAAATCACACAACTATTCATATGCTGATATTCATAGCAGTATTATTCGCAATAGCCAAAAGGTGGAAACAACCTAAATGTCCATCAACAGATAAATGGGTAAACAAAATGCGGTATATGCATACAACGGAACAATATTTAGCCTTAAAAAGGAAGGGAATTCCAATATATAATACAACATGAATGAACCCTGAAAACATTATGCTAAGAAATAAGCCACATATTATATGATTCCACTTATATGGGGTACTTAGAGTGGTCAAATTCATAGAGACAGAAAGTAGAATGGTGGTTACCAGGGGCTGGGTAGAGTGGGGAACGGGGAATTATTGTTTAATGGGGACAGAGGTACAGTTTGGGATGGTGGAAAACTTCTGGATATGGATGTGATGATGACTGTACAGCAATGTGAATCTGCTTGATGTCACTGAAGTGTACACTCAGAAATGGTTAAAATAGTAAATTTTATGTTATATTAATTTTCTGCAATAAAAATATTTAAAAAAAATACACAACTAATGCTTAAACCATTTCCTTGTAAAAAAAAAAAAAAAAAAAAGTCACATGTGGCTGGGCACGGTGGCTCACGCCTGTAATCCCAGCACTTTGGGAGGCCAAGGAGAGTGGATCACCTGAGGTCAGGAGTTTGAGACCAGCCTGGCCAGCATGGTGAAACCCCGTCTCTACTAAAAATACAAAGATTAGCCAGGTGTGGTGGCAGGCACCTGTAGTCCCAGCTACTCGGGAGGCTGAGGCAGGAGAATCGCTTGAACCCAGGAGGCGGAGGTTGCAGTGAGCCGAGATCGCGCTATTGCACTCCAGCCTGGGCAACAAAAGCAAAACTCCATCTCAAAAAAAATAAAATAGAATAAAATAAAATAAAATAAGTGGTCAAGAAATGTTATTATTATTGGGTATAGTACCCACTTTTAGAGAGTTGATAAAGTAGGCCAGCAGATAATACCTATGTTGTTAATATCAGGAGTCAGGGACTGAAGGGAATTTGAGAATGGGGGCCAGAAAGAGAAGCAGAAGAGTCCCCAAATGGAAAGTGAGTGGTTGCCAATCAACTCTAGTGTTTAACTTTATGAAACAAAAAGTAGAAGAGATATAAGAACAAATAGATAGAAGCAAAGTTATACTACACAACTTTCAGCTCAAGATAAATCAAGTGGACACAAAATTATTAAGGAGGTAGAATATGTAAATAACATAAAATATAATCAATAGGGTTGATCATATATACATATATATGGAACTTTACAGTCCTTCCTTCTCTTTTTCACAGACATAATGAATTGTTTTATCTTCTTGGGGGCAGGAAATCTATCATTTTGGAAAACCACTTCTTTCCACCTCAACCAAATGGTCTTGATAAGAACTAACAATTATAGTATCCCTCTCTCCTGGCCACAAGGGTGAGCATGTGGCTCAGGCTAGACCAGTAATCGGTTCCCATCTCTAACCATAGTGATTGGTTTATAGTTGGGCATGTGACTCAGGACAGGCTAATCAGAAGTTTTCCCCAAAGATTTTTCAAACAATCTGGGCTGAGAAATTCCCTTACCACCAGCGCAGTAAACCTGGAAAAGATGTCCAAAGGTACCTGTGACACAGCCCCTGATGGCAGGAGTAAGCTAATTAGAAAGGATGAAAGTGGCTGGGTGTGGTGGCTCATGCCTGTAATCCCAGCACTTTGGGAGGCTGAGGCGGGCATATCTCTTGAGTTCAGGAGTCCGAGACTAGCCTGGCCAAAATGGTGAAACCCCGTCTCTACTAAAAATACAAAAATTAGCTGGGCATGGTAGCACACACCTATAATCCCAGCTACTTGGGAGGCTGAGGTTGGAGAATTGTTTGAACCCAGGAGGCAGAGGTTGCAGTGAGCCGAGATCACGCCACTGCACTCCAGCCTAGGCCACAGAGTGAGACTCTGTCTCAAAATAAATAAACAAAGAATAAAAGTGACATAAAGAGAAACATAAAGATGAAAGATGGAGAGTCTTCCAAGGAGAGTTACAATTCCTGTTTTCCTACAGCCATCTGCATTGCTGCCCTTCTAGTGGTTTGATTATATGTATTAATATAGTCCTTTTTTTGATTCACTGGTTGGAACTGGCTTTGTGTCATTTTCAACCAGAAGGGCTCTAACGAATACAAATTGATGTGATGTGTGTATATAAACAACAGGATAATAGCACGGAGGTCCCTGAGCCATTAATTCAGATTGATGGGTCAAAGCCAGACCCAGCATACTTGTTCTCGGGACAGCAGCCCCCAGCCACACCTCTGTAGCACAGGGGATGCTGCTGAGGTAGAATGAATCTGACACCTACGTTCACTGGAATTTTAAATGTTCCCCTGCCAGCAGTTACCAATACATCTCCTCTTTGCAGGCATGGACATTTCTGGTGAGAAGACTGTTAACAGCTTCCCCTCTTATATCTCTGTGCATAGCCAGTAAGACTTCCCTGCCAGTGCAAAGGCATGTGTATTCTTACTTGCATACGTTCACAACATGTGTACACATGCGTGCCCTCCAGGGTCTTCACACATGCACATATATGCATGAGCTCTCAGGTAGAACATGTAGGAAGCATCTGTAGTACTAGAAATTATGTTTCGTTTATTTTTAAATCTCATATGCCATATGTCTGTTAATGTGCTCTAGTTATTACCACATAAAGAATGAATAGCTGGTTTGATCTCAATTGTCGTCCAGCCTCAATTTGTTCAGTGACTGACATTAATGAAATCGTAATAGGTTGCTTTCTAGAAGGTTTTAACCATCCTCTAAGGGAGATTTTGACATTCTAGTATCCATTTCACACTTCTTTGCCTATTCTGCCATCGTGTGGGCAAGGAACACAAACATCAAGGTGTTAATGACCCAAGGTTGCATTTGAAAAGGGCTCTAATGATTACAGATTTTTTTTTTTCTCCAGGGGTAGAGGAAAAGTGGGAAGGACATGAGGAGGAAACACAAGTCCCCTCGCACCACCGCGTAAAAAGGCTGACTCTCCCTTCCTTCCTTCCTTCCTTCCTTCCTTCCTTCCTTCCTTCCTTCCTTCCTTCCTTCCTTCTTTCCTTAATTCCTCCCTCCCTCCCTCCCTCCCTCTCTTTCTTTTTTTCTTTCGACAGAGTCTGGCTTTGTTGCCCAAGCGGGAGTTCAGTGGCGCGATCTCAGCTCACTGCAACCTTCGCCTCCCTGGTTCAAGCGATTCTCTTGCTTCGGCCTCCCGAGTACCTGGGATTACAGGCGCCGGCCATGATGCCCGGCTAATTTTTGTATTTTTAGTAGAGACGGGGTTTCACCATGTTGGCCAGGCTCAAACTCCTGACCTCAGGTGATCCACCCGCCTCGGCCTCCCAAAGTGCTGGGATTACAGGCATGAGCTACCGCACCCGGCCAAAAGCTGACTACTTTTACTAAATCTTTACAAGGAGTTCAGGTTGGAGGGTTTGCTCATCGGAATGCAGTGTCCCTCAGAGGAACTAGCGCATATTAGCACCACCGTATGCCAGGCATGGAATTCTCGCGGCAATCCCTTGGGTGGAGGCCAGCTGGGTAGGCACTATCATTGCATTATCATCTTCCTTTTACAGATGAGCCTACTGAGATCCAGAACGGCTAAGTATCATGTCTAAATTCCCACAGGTAGTAAGTGGCAAAGCCAGGAGGTTTTGAAAATAAGCTGGGAATATAAACGGAAACTATAAAAAAAGTTTCATTAGAAAACTATGTACAAAGAAAAACAAATTACAGGAATACGATTGCACACAAGGCAATGTATATCTATGTCTTATGAAGCTAAATAATAAAACCAATACTTATGAATGCACCAACTAACTTAAGGAAACAGCACCACCAATGCCACTGAATCTCCTTGGGTGCTCCTCTCTGACCCTATCCTCTTGTCTCCTTGCCCTGAGATAGCCACTATCCTTTTTTTTCATTCCCTTGATTTTCATTACTGTTTTATTCCAAAAGTATGTGTGTTTAGTTTTGCTTTGTTCTGAAATGTATACAAATGGAATTTTATACATTTTACGTTTCTCCTGTGACTTGCTTTATTCACTCAAAGTTGCTCGTGAGATTCATCCATGTTGCTTGGTGTACTTGCAGTACTTTTTTCACCAATGTATAGAATTCTATACATTCAATTCTATTCTATTCCAATTTCACCAATGTATAGATTTCAGTATAGAATTCTGGCACATGAACGTGCCAGAATGTACTCATTCATTTTCCTGCTGATAGACACTTGGCTTGTTTCCAGGTTTTCACTATTACGTGCAATGCTGCTATAAATGCTCACGTACATGACTTGTGGGACATGGTGTAAAAGTTTCTCTAGGGAATATACATGGAAACAAATGGCTGCATTATAGTGAATACAAATGTTCAACTTTTACAAAACAACCTAATATCCTTTTCCAAAGTGGTTGTATTATATCCGTTCATGTTCCTACTGGAATGTATGAGAGTTTCCATTGGTTTACATCTTTTGCTACCATTTGAAGTTCCCAGAACTTTAAATTTTGGCCAAACTAATGAGGTTAAAATGGCATGTCGTTGTAGGTTTCTAGGAGTTTGTCAAATTTGTAAAAGTTTTCAAATTTAGTGGCATTAAGTTGCATCAGTTGATGGGGCAGAGAGAGAGCATTCCAGGTTGGGGGAGCCACTTGGGAAAGGGTTCTAAGTCAGGTCAGAGGTTGGTGCATGTAAGGAACAGAAAAAAAGCCAGCATAGATGTTGCATAATGTGTTCACCTCTGCCTTAGGCAGCTAACCTCTCGGTACCTCACATTTTGCCTGACTTTACCTACGGCATCTGCCAGACCTTACCTGCTAGACCTGACTACTTCTGAACAGCTCTCAAGTATTACACCATATTATATGGTGAAATTGGGCTTTAATTTTAACCAGATGGATTCAAACTAGCTCTTATGTTTTTTTATCAGTTAGCTCTCACATTTGGATGAACTTCCAGAAGCTTATTTCAAAATATCTTTCTGACCATTGCACCATGGGTCCACTGTCAAATCCTCCTTGATCATCAAACAACTTTAAATTTGCTTTTTGAAATGTATTTAGGCTCTCATATACAGTTCTGAAAGACATGTGAGAATAAATTTTCAGGAATTTATTTTAGAGCAAAAAATCAACTTCCATTGGCCTAGAATAAGGAGAGAACCTGTTAACGAGGCAACTGTGAATTATGATTATCTTTGTTCTTTGGGAGATTTTACTGCTGGTCGAGTGAGTCTGAAAGTCTAACTCAGGTTTTGCCCATTGGATTGCAACATACAGACAATAAAAACAAAACCCAAGATAAGAATTAATAATTATGAAGTAAGTGAAGTTTGCCTTTGGCCCTCTGTGATAGCTAGAGTCTGATGATAGCCCCCAGGGAATCACACGACCTGGCATTTGCACCCTTGTGTAATCTCTGCCCACATTAAATACGGGCTGGCCTGTGACTGGTGTTAACTAATAGACTGCTGTAGAAGGGACACTGTGTCAGTTCTAGATCTAGCCTTTAAGAGGACTGGCAGTTTCTGCTTCCTATCTCTTGGAATACTCACTTTTGGGAACCCTGAGCCACTGTGTGAAATGTCTAGCCACTCTTCTGCAGAGACCACAGGGAGAGGTCATGTGGAGGGTAGAGGCCCTGAGACCATATGGAGAGACATAGCAGTCCAGCTGTACCAGTGTCCCAGTCAAGCCTCCAGATGACTCCAGCCTCAGCTATCATGTGACTGCAACTGTAGGAGGGCTCCCAAGATAGACCAGCAGAGCTTCACAGCTGAGCTCAATAAACCCACAGCACCATGATAGATAATACAATGGTTTTAAGCCACTAAATTTTAGGGTGGCTTGTTATGTAATAATAGGTAACCAAGGCCGGGCGTGGTGGCTCACGCCTATAATCCCAGCCCTTGGAGGCTGAGGCAGGTGGATCACCTGAGGTTGGGAGTTTGAGACCAGCCTGACCCACATGGAGAAACCCCGTCTCTACTAAAAATACAAAAATTAGCTGGGTGTGGTGGTGCACACTTGTAATTCCAGCTACTCGGGAGGCTGAGGCAGGGGAATCGCTTGAATCCGGGAGGCGGAGGTTGCAGTGAGCTGAGATAGCGCCATTGCACTCCAGCCTGGGCAACAAGGGTGAAACTCTGTCTCAAAAAAAAAAAAAAAAAAGTGACCAAAATAGAAATTAATATGTGAAAGTGGAGTGCTGACGTAACAAGAATCTAAAACATGTGGCAGTGGGCAAAAGCTGAAATGGCCATGTAGAAACTGTTAGTGAAGGCTTGAAGGAAATATGCAATTTTTGGAGCTCTCAGTCACCATATAAAAAGCCTAAATACCAGCAATAGAGCGAGACTCCGTCTCAAAAAAAAAAAAAAAAAAAAAAAAAGCCTAAATACCTTGCTGGAAAGGCCACCTGGAGTGGCAAGGTCTTGATATACAAGGAAAAAGAGAAAGGCTCAACCTTCCAAGCATTCCAGATGACTCTAACCTGGTTGCATTACTATCTAATTGCAACCACGTGAGATAATCCAAGTGAAACCAGCTAAGGAACTGCCCAGCTGAGACAAGTTCACTACTAGAACAATGTGAGATAATAAAATGGTTGCTGTTTTAAGCCATTAAGTTTTGGCAATGGTTGTTATGCACGATAGATAACTGAAACACCTCCTATGGCCTCAGGTTTTCATTGTTCATTGACTCCTGTGCTCATACATATTCCGGACCCACAGTTATAAAGTTCCACCTCAATCTCCCTTCCTTTTGGCAGTGCTACAGATGGTCATTAAGGCCTTGGCTTTGCAGTCATGTGACCCTCAGGTCAAATCCCTGCTCATGTGCTTATTTATTAACTGATTAAATTTTGGTAGATCATTTAAACATTTTGATACTTTAATTTTTTTAATCTGTCAAATGGGGGAAATGGTGCTTATCTCATCCAAGTCTTGTTATGAGGATAAAATAATCATAAGCATCTCGATTACTTCAAAGCTATGGAAATAAGTTTACATTATTTTTTTCTTTTCTTTTTTCTTTCTTTCTTTTTTTTTTTTTTGAGACGGACTTTCACCCTATTGTCCAGGCTGGAGTGCAATGGCGTGATCTCGGCTCACTGCAACCTCTGCCTTCCAGGTTCAAGCGATTCTCCTGCCTCGGCCTCCTGAGTAGCTGGGATTACAAGCACCCGCCACCACACCCGGCTAATTTTTTGTACTTTTAGTAGAGACAGGGTTTCACCATGTTGGCCAGGCTGGTCTCAAACTCCTGACCTCAGGTGATCTGCCCACCTCGGCCTCCCAAAGTCCTGAGATTACAGGTGTGAGCCACCGTGGCCGGCCCTCTATTTTTATTAGATAATGAGAAATTAGCCACACTAGCCCCACAAAGACTGCAAGTTAGTCAAACTACGCTCTTTCTGAATCCCAGTTTATATCTGCAAAAATACTAGCTAACCACCGTCCACTCACAAAAAGCAGGTTATAGTCCGAGAAGTCACCATTAACTTGGGTTACTGATTTCAATCTGTCCTTCCACAATCCTTGGCCTGTTTCTTTGCCAGTGTCCCTTAGACACTGCCTCTCATTTGGGGACTTGCTTCATTCTCAGCTCCAAGTAATTCCCCTCAAACGCTTCCACAGAACCAAGGCTCACTCATCCATCACTAGCTGAGGCATTTTTTTTTCAGATATTTGTCAATCCTAAAGTACCTGCCTAATTGCAACCTTGTTCCGAGACAAAGTAGGCTCCCTAACTGGATTCAAAAAGCCTCTTCTGGAGTTCAGCTTTCCTTTTCTTTTTCTTTCTTTCTTTTTTTTTTTTTTTTTTTTTTTTGAGACAGTCTCGTGCTGTCGCCCAGGCTGGAGTGCAATGGTGCATTCTTAGCTCACTGCAACCTCTGCCTCCTGGGTTCAAGCGATTTTCCTGCCTCAGCCTCCCAAGTAGCTAGGATTACAGGCACCTACCATCATGCCTAGATATATATATATATATTTTTTTTTTTTTAGTAGAGACAGGGTTTTACCATGTTGGCCAGGCTGGTCTCGAACTCCCAACCTCAGGTGATCCACCTGCCTTGGCCTCCCAAAGTGCTGGGATTACAGGTGTGAGCCACCACCCCTAGCCTGGAGTTCAGCGTTCAAGCAAGATGGGGCAACATGGGCTGCATTTATTCCGCCACATGAAGCAACAACAACAACAACAAACAGACAACATATATATGAAACAGCAGTCTTAAGATGCAAAACATCAGGCAATAGAGGATAGTAATCCTGGGAGATGGGAGATGGAACATAAGATGAATGCTACAGTGTCCCAGGTTATTACACTAAGAGAGTTTCCAGGCCACACTGCATGAAGGAGGAATCCAGGTGGAGACAGGCAGACTTTCTGAGGGTTTACAATAAAGTAGAAGTATGATATATGGCAGTAATAGCACAAAGGCCAGGAGGTAAGAAATGAAGGTATATGATTGTGTAGTTCTTATACTGTGTGTGAAATGGGATAACAATTGGAAGTAGGCTCTGAGAAGATGAAGATGTATCCAATAAACCCTAAAGCAATCACTAAAACAATAAAACAAAGAGATATAGCTAATGACTTAACAGAGGAAATAAAATGAAATAATAAATAAATAATCCCAAATAAGGCAGAAAGAGATGAGAAACTACTAATGAGATGATACAATTAAATGTAACTATATCAGTAATTACATTAAATGTACATGGTCTAAACACTTCAGTTAAAGGCACAGATTGTCATATTGGATAAAAAAGCAACACTCAGCAACCTTCTGTCTATAAGAAACCAACTTTGGATATAAAGACAAATAGGTTAAAAATAAAAGGATGGCCAGATTGGTCAAAGGGTACAAACTTGCAGTTGTAACATAAATAAGTTCTGGAGACATAATGTACAGTATGGTGACTGTGAGAGTTTTCAGAATCAAAATGAAGTCACTTATGCCAAACCCTAACGAAATGGAGTCAGGAGGCCATAATGGAGGGGCTCTAACACACACATGCCTGTGATAAAAAGTATTCCAAGTACTCTCCGAAAACCATAACTTTGCACAAGGACGACCGCAATCTTGCACAAAAAATACTTATGCAGACTGGGTGCAGTGGCTCACATCTGTAATACCAGCACTTTGGGAGGCCAAGACAGGCGGATTGCTTGAGCTCAGGAGTTCAAGACCAGCCTGGGCAACATGGAGAAATCCCATCTCTACAAAAAATACAAAAATTAGCCAGGTGTAGTGGTGCACAACTGTAGTCCCAGACACTCGGGAGGCTAAGGTGGGAGGATCAATTGAGCCAGGGAAGTGGAGGCTGCACTGAGCCACCATTGCACCACTGCACTCCAGCTGGGGTGACAGAGTGAGACCCTGTCTCAAAAAAAAAAAAAAAAAACACTTAGGCGAGGATGTCTGCTCAGCAACTGCCTATTCAGCCTTTGACTGACGCCACCCTTGTTATTAATTCTTGTAGCCAAGAATAATCGTTTCAAAATAATTTCTGTAACAGTCTTCATTTTGCCTTTGTAAGTTTCCCCTTGCCTCAGCCTCCCTGGATATGCCTATGATCCATCATAGCACATGTCTTGGATTATAATCCTGCTAAGTCCTGAATAAACCCATTATCTTTGCAGAGTCTCTCTCCATTGTTATTTTAGGTTGGCATGATAATAGTTCATAATAAGGTATTCTATACTTGAGATTTACCAATAGAATAGATCTTAGGTATTTTCACCATACACAAGAAGAAGTAGCTATGTGAAATGATGGATATGTTAATTAGCTTGATTGTGGTAATCATTTCACAATGTATATCAAAACATCACATTGTACACTTTAAATATATATAATTTTTATTTGTCAATTATAACTCAGTAGAGTTGGGGCAAAGTGAAAGGATGGAAAAGTATATACTGTGGTAACACTAGTTAGATGAAAGCTGGAGTGGTTACATAAATATCAAAGTAAATTCAAAAGCAAAGATTACTGTCACAGATAAAGGAAGTTGTTTCATAATGACAAAAGGGTCAATTCACTGAGTGGAAATAATAATTCTAAGTGTTTATGCACCCAAGAACAGAACTCCAAAATGTATGAGGCAAAATTGAAGAAGCAGCAAGGATAAATAACAATTATAGTCAGAAATCTCAATACTTCTTCCTCAATTATTGCTACAAGTAGGTAGAAAATTGTGAAGGATATAGAAAAGTTGAACATGCAGCCATAAAAAGGATGAGTTCAGGCCAGGCGCGGTGGCTCACGCCTGTAATCCCAGCACTTTGGGAGGCTGAGGCGGGTGGATCACCATGTCAGGAGTTTGAGACCAGCCTGGCCAACATAATGAAACCCCATCTCTACTAAAAATACAAAAAATTAGCTGAATGTGGTGGCAGGTGCCTGTAGTCCTAGCTACTTGGGAGGCTGAGGCAGGAGAATTGCTTGAACCCGGGAGGTGGAGGTTGCAGTGAGCCGAGATTGTGCCACTGCACTCCGGCCTAGGCAATAGAGCAAGACTGTGTTTCAAAAAAAAAAAAAAAAAAAAAAAAAGGATGAGTTCATGTCTTTTGCAGGGACATGGATGAAGTTGGAAGCCATCATCCTCAGCAAACTAACACAGGAACAGAAAACCAAACACCGCATGTTCTCACTCATAAGTGGGAGTTGAACAATGAGAACACATGGACACAGGGAGGGGAACATCACACACCAGGGCCTGTTGGAAGGTTGGGGGGTGAGGGGAGGGAACATAGAGGACAGGTCAATAGGTGAAGCAAACCACCATGGCACATATATACCTATGTAAACTGCCTGCACATTCTGCACATGTATCCTGGAACTTAAAGTTAAAAAAAAAAAAAAAAGCCCAACCAGTTGGGGGAAAAAAAAATGTTGAACAGTACTATCAACCAACTTGACATAATTGGCATTTATAGAAGACTCTACCCAACAAAAGTAGAATAACACGTTTTTTTTCCAAGTGTCTGTGGAACATTTACCATAGTGCATACACTGTGTCAGAAAATTAGGATTGAATAATTTAAAAGGATTCAAACCATACAGAGTAGGCTGTTTGACAACTAGGGAATTAAATTAGAAATCAATAAAAAACGTTCTCTTGAAAATCCCCCACATATTGGAAACTAAACAACACATTTCTTAATAACATACGGGCCCAAAAAGATATCAGAAGGGAAATTAGCAAGTATTTTGAAATGAATAAAAATGAAAATACAGTATAACAGAATTTGTAGAGTGCTACTAAAGCAGTGCTTGGGGGGAATTTATAGCACTAAATGCCTATGTTAGAAAAGGAGAGGCCAGGCGTGGTGGCTCACGCCTGTAATCCCAGCACTTTGGGAGGCTGGGGGTGGGGGTGGATCACCTGAGGTCAGGAGTTCGAGACCAGCCTGGCTAACATGGTGAAACCCCATCTCTACTAAAAATACAAAAAAATTAGGCAGGCTGGCGGTGGGCGCCTGTAATCCCAGCTACTTGGGAGGCTGAGGCAGGAGAATCGCTTGAACCTGGGAGGTGGAGGTTGCAGTGTTGCAGTGACCCGAGATCGTGCCATTGCAATCCAGCCTGGACAACAAGAGCAAAACTCTGTCTCAAAAAAAAAAAAAAAAAAAAAAAGGAAAAAGAAGAAAGAAAAAAGAAAAGGAGAAAGGTTTTAAGTCAGTGACCTCAGTTTTCACTTTAAGAAACTAGAAAAAGGAGAGTAAATTAAACTCAACATAAGCAGAGGAAAGGAAATAATTAAGATCAGAGCACACGTAAATGAAATGTGAAACAACAATAAAAACCAAAACAATGCAGAAAAATCCAATGAAATCAAATGCTGCTTCTTTGAGAAGATCAATGAAATCGATAAATCTCCAGCCATACTTACCAGGAAAAAAAAAAAAGAGAAGAGAGACAAATCACTATAAATTCTACAGATATTAAAAGGATAACAAAAAACTATTATAAATAAATGTATGCCCATAAACATGACAACTTAGAAAGACACAAATTTCCAAAGTTCCACCAGTTATTAAATGTGAATCCTTCAACAAGTTATTTTAAGTGTCTAGACCTCAGTTTCTTTGTATTAAAATGGTCGAGTTTGTGAAGAGCAAATGTACCTGAAGTTATTAGCCATTATTATTATTACTATTGTTATCTTGGATTCAGACTTACAGAGCAAATGAGGATTTGGATGGGACTGAGGAAAAAAACATGTGATTCACAAATAGTTACTGCAGGAGCTAGTTGATTTGGTAAAATGCTCTTGATTGGACCTCTGATTTTGTTCAATCTCATTGTTTTTGTTTTAAAAGTTTTCCTGCTCACTAAAGAGTACTTATTGATGCCTTGTGTATTAAAAACCTGATTGATCACTATCATTAAATTGTGCTGATAAAAAGATTTCTTTTTTTTTAAATTATATATATATTTTTTTTCTCTCTCTCTCTCTCTGTTTTTTAAACTTCTCCTTCTGGAACAGAGCTACCCTATAGGCAGTGTGCCCAGAGTATCCTTTTTTTTTGAAACAGGATCTTGCTCTGTCACCCAGGCTGGAATTCAGTGACATGATCACAGTTCACTGCAGCCTCGATCTCCTGGGCTCAACCAATCCTCCCACCTCAGCCTCCTGAGTAGCTGGGACTACGGGTATGCACCACCACATCCGGCTAATTTTTTTGATTTTTAGTAGAGACGAGGTTTTGCTATATTCCCCAGACTGGTCTTGAACTCCTGACCTCAAGCAATCTTCCCACCTCAGCCTCCCAAAGTGCTAGGATTACAGGTGTGAGTCACGGCACCTGGCTAGATTTCTTAATTAAATAGCTGGAAATTTCAATAATCTTTACTATCTAGGGAAAAAAATAATCTTTAAAACATTTAGTTTTCATTCCTAGAGCCTACAGCAATAAATAAAGTTAATTCAAACAATTTTACTAACCTATGACTCAAAGTGAAATTTAAGGAACTACTCATCAAGTGATCAAGTAGGTGAATTTTTTTTTTGCCTGGTGTGTAGTCTTTTTCAACTAAATTCCTCATATGAACTGCTGAAAAGAGAAAATTATTTGAGTGACTATTTCCTCAATTTCCTTCATTTCTTTAAGGAGAAATGACTGGTACCACTCTAGATGCATAGGAAAGAAGTTAATTCATTACACAGGGTGGATGCCTTAGGGCATCAGGGCTTAATCGCTTTACAGAACCTCAGTTGAAAATGCTGATCTACAGAAACAAGACACCATCCACCCATCTCACAGGGTTGCTCCAGGGATGATCAAAATCAAATCCTTTAAAATCTCATGTGCAACAAACTTAATGCTGCACTCTAAGATAATGCAGAGTTACTCATTCATTATAATTAGGATGAAACTTTTAAAAATGTTTATTTTTTTAAATAAAGAACTTATGCCACTATCTTAAAAACAGGAAATACAAACAAAAAATATCTTTCATAAACACCACCTAGAGAAAGTCAAATTAATATTTAAAGTGCATATCCATCCTGATTAAAAAAAGTATATATATACATATATATATATATATATGTATATATATATATTTTTTTTTTAGATGGAGTCTCCCTCTGTCACCAGGCTGGAATGCAGTGGCACGATCTCAGCTCATTGCAACCTCTGCCTCCTGGGTTCAAGCGATTCTCCTGCCTCAGCCTCCCGAGTAGCTGGGACCACAGGCGCCTGCCACCACGCCCAACTAATTTTTGTATTTTTAATAGAGATAGGGTTTCACCCTGTTGGCCAGGATGGTCTCGATCTCTTGACCTTGTGATCTGCCCGCCTCGGCCTCCCAAAATGCTGGGATTACAGGCATGAGCCACTGCGCCTGGCCTATTTATGTATAATTTTTAATACAAGTGACGTGGAAGTTTGAAACCTAAAGAATAGCTTTTCCTTCAACACCAGTGGGTACATAGACTTAAAAATTGATACATAATGATTGTACATATTCTGAAGTACATGTGGTATTTTGATACATGCATACAATGTATAATGAAATCAGGACAACTGGGGTATCCATCATTTCAAACATTTATTTTTTTGTGTGTGCTGGGAATATTCCAAATCTAAGACTTTTGAAGTTGAGAAGGATTTGGAAGAGAAAACTGAGGCCCAGAGACTGGAAATGATTTGACCAACACAGGGAAGAACTTGGGCTGGGGCTGCAGACTTCTGCTGCATAGCCAGAGATCTTTACTCTCTCTTCACTGTGCTGCCTGTCATGGAGATCAGTGATATTCTGGCTTTTATCAAGTATCTTTTCCCTAAAATATCTTTTCCTTTTCCTGGTAAGTATGCTTAAGAGGAATCTGCTAGAGAATAGAGGAAGAAGGAACTTGGTTAACATTTTTTTTTTTCTCTTGAGACAGAGCCTTGCTCTGTCACCCAGGCTGGCGTACAGTGGTGAGATCTTGGCTCACTGTGACCTCCTCCCGGGCCCAAGTGATTCTCATCCCTCAGCCTCCCAAGCAGCTGGGACTACAGGCGTGCGCCATCATGCCCGGCTAATTTTTGTATATATGTATGTATTTTTTTTAGTAGAGATAGGGTTTCACCATGTTGGCCAGGCTGGTCTTGAACTCCTGGCCTCAAGTGATCCACCCACCTCGGTCTTCCAAAATGGTGAGATTACAGGCATGAGCCACTGCGCTCGGCAATAAACAGCTTTTGATAACTTGGTTAGTTAGATTTTTGTCTGGCTCAACTTTTCGTTGTTGTTGTTGTTAGAAAATTGGATTGGCAGGTCAGACATAGTGCTAGTGAGTGAAATAGACCTAATTACTTTATAATGCGTTTTTAATTTAATGTTCAACAAAGGCCAGTTACTCTACACACAAATCAATAAACAAACAACCAAAGCTGATTGTTGGGCCGCAAAAAAACATTGCAAGCTGATTGCTGGTTGCCTGGTTTCCTAAGCACGGCCTAATGCAATTTGAGATAACCTTGAAGCTTTACACAAGCCTTACTGAAAGAGCTATTTTGAAATAGTTAAGAGTGGCCTGTAAACAATTTC
This sequence comes from Homo sapiens, assembly GCF_000001405.40. Classification (NCBI taxonomy): domain Eukaryota; kingdom Metazoa; phylum Chordata; class Mammalia; order Primates; family Hominidae; genus Homo; species Homo sapiens. The sequence goes on from NC_000023.11 coordinate 139,983,117, forward strand.
AGGTAGCCTGTAAATTGTGTACAACATCTCAAAGCACCTTTCCAAATTCTGACCATGTTGAGCAGGAGTTGAAAATGAAGCTCAGAGATGGATGTATGACAGCAAAGAAAGTGGGAAGAACTAGAATGGTGTGGTTTAAGGGGCACCTGGAAGGCTTTTTGTCCAAAAAGCTCTTTCCCATTACACGTCAAATGCCTGAAATTCTTTCATTATAGACTGGAACCAAATGACTAAACAACTGCCTTAGTGGGGATTAGTTTTGGGAGCCGAGGTGAGAGGACCACAAGGAGAGCAATTGCTGTGAAGGGCAGGTGGCTTCACCAGGTCCTTTCCAACTCTGTGGAAATGAAAGTGTGGAGGCTTTTGTCGAAAGTTTCTTCCCTCCCTCCCTCCCTTCCTTCCTTTCTTTTTTTCGAGTCTCACTCTGTCGCCCAGCCTGGAGTACAGTGGAGTGATCTCAGCTCACTGCAACCTCCACCTCCCAGGTTCAAGCGATTCTCCTGACTCAGCCTCCCGAGTAGCCGGGATTATAGGTGTGCACCACCATGCCTGGCTAATTTTTGCATTTTTAGTAGAAACAGAGTTTCGCCATGTTGGACGGCTGGTCTTGAATTCCTGACCTTAGATGATTCGCCTGCCTCAGCCTCCCAAAGTGCTGGGATTACAGGCATGAGCCACCGCGCCCGGCTGAAGGTTTATTTCTTTCTAAATGCGATTGACTTCTAAAACAAGTCACTTTATTTTTTTTTCGCCAATAGAGCATCACTTGGTTTAACATGCAGTTCTCATGAACTATGTAAAACTGTTCTGCTTTGCAACTCAAATTGTTCAAATGTACTGTTTTGCAAGTTCAATTTTTGATTTGTTTTCTTAAAGTGAAAACTATCTTAATATTTCAAAACAAATGCATTTAAGTAAAATAAGAATATTTCATTCCTATCATAACATATATCTCAAAAGTCTTAAATTACTCTACTGAATCATTAAAATATCAGAACAAAATTTATCCTTATAGCAATGATAAGAGCTGTGTCCCAAGCCTCACCTAGGATAGGGAGAAGGGAGATCAACATCACTGTCTAAAGGGTTAGAATTTTACCAGTGTCCTTTATAATAGTGTTTTAAAAATACATGTCCTATCAGTCTTCACCCAGCTTTAATGTTTTCTTAAAATGTGAAGGCATGGATTTTAAATGACTCATTAAAAATATAAAGTATAGGCCGGGTGTGGTGGCTCATACCTGTAATCTCAGTACTTTGGGAGGCCGAGGCCGGCAGATCACTTGCAGTCAGGAGTTCGAGACCAGGCTGGCCAACATGGTGAAACCTCGTCTCTACTAAAAATACAAAAATTAGCTGGGTGTGATGGCATGCGCCTGTATACAGGCTCCTGAGAAGCCTGTAGTCCCAGCTTCTCAGGAGGCTGAGGCAGGAGAATCATTTGAACCCGGGAGGTGGAGGTTGCGGTGAGCCGAGATCGTGCCACTGAACTCCAGCCTAGGAGACAGAGCAAGACTCCCTCTCAAAAAAAAAAAAAAATTAGAGATGTTAAAAATGTGTGACAGTATGGATTTAATCAGGAAATGAAGACAGGCAGAATGAACCATTTTAAGAAAAGGAGAGAGTATAAAAATAGTGAATGTGCCCATGAGGTGCTGGCAGTAGCTAATATTATGCCACTGGTAAATCACTACCGAGACGCTGCATTAGGACGCTGGCGTTATGATTTGTGTTTCCCTTCTGCTTTCCAGACTTTCTGGAATGCTGTTATAACGTTTTTATTAGTAGCTATGTTTGTCTTTATATACTTACATTCTACAGTGATTCACAAGAATACAACAATAATGTTTTTTGCAAATTACAATTTTAAAAGTTGTCAGCAGTGAAGCATTAGGATGCAGTTGAATGAGCACTCTTTTGAGAAATCAGGAAACCTGGATTTTAACCCCAGCTCTACCACCATGGTCAAGTGATGTTTCCACTCTGTGCCTTGGTTTTTCCATAGGTAAAATGAAGAGGGTGGACAAGATGGTCTCCAAGTTCTCTTTGCAGTCCTTAGTCCTCTGGCTCCTTTCTGTCAACATGTGTTTAATGATTACTCCATTCAAACTTAAAGTACTTAATATTTCACAAGGTGCACTTAAGTTTAAAGATAATATGTAATGTCCGGGTGCGGTGGCTCATGCCTGTAATCCCAGCACTTTGGGAGGCCGAGGCGGGCGGATCACCTGAGGTCAGGAGTTCAAGACCAGCCTGGCCAACAAGACAAAACCCATCTCTACTAAAAATACAAAAATTAGCTGGGCATGGTGGTGCACGCCTGTAGTCCCAGTTACTCGGGAGCCTGAGGCAGGAGAATCGCTTGAGCCTAGCAGGTGGAGGTTGCAGTGAGCTGAGATCCTGCCACTGCACTCTAGCCTGGGTGACAGAGCGAGACTCCGTTTCAAAAATAAATAAATAAAATAAAATAAAATAAAATAAAATATCTACCAAATTTTGTTTGTTTGTTTTGTTTGGAAATGGAAAAGAAACCCTATCTGCCTTATGGTCAAAGCAGCCATCCTAGATCGGGTCTGACAACAGACAAAAGCCATAGAGGAAGGAAAGAATTGACAGGGCCTTCTGTTTATTCCAAATATCTATTGAAAATACAGCCACAAAGAACAAAAAGGGCTAGGCATGGTGGCTTATGCCTATAATCCCAGCACTTTGGGAGGCTGAGGTGGGCGGATCACCTGAGGTCAAGAGTTCGAGACCAGCTTGGCCAACGTGGTGAAACTGCGTCTCTATTAAAAATACAAAAATTATCCGGGCATGGTGGCACATGGCTGTAATCCCAGCTATTTGGGAGTCTGAGGCAGGAGAATTGCTTGAACTCAGGAGGCAGAGGTTGCAGTGAGCCAAGATCGTGCCACTGCACTCCAGCCTGGGGGACAGAGAAAGACTCCTTCTCAAAAAAAACAAAAAAACCCAAAAGAGCAAAAAGGAAACCAGTGTGTAAACATCAGCAGGACATTTGCCCAGAGAAGTAAGGAGAGAAACATGGGCCTGGGAATTTTGACTGGATGAATTCCATGTAAAAGCTGCCCTCTTTGACAGTGGTATGAAAGCAGGTGTGAGCTTTCAGCCTCAGTGCTGACATTAAGAAACTATGTTATCTGGGTTTAACTGTGCGGAGACAGTAGATAGAAACCTTTTCATCTGAGAGGAGTAACATTAAAGTTGGTACTCTAAAATCAAACTCTAACATTTAGGTGAAGAAAATGACAAAATTTGCTTCAGTGCTCTAAGTACTATAGTCCTGTTTAAACTCTTCCCATCCATTTCAGCATCATATCAGCAACAGAGACCAAGACTGAGCCCCCAGTATGGCACTATTCTTTGAAGAGACATACTGGCCACTTGGTGGCAAGTTGACTGCATTGGGCCCTTTCATCCTGGAAATTGATCCTCACAGGGAGAGATACTTATCCAGGCATGAGCTTGCCTTTCCTGCTTGTACAGCCAGCACCACTCTATGCAGCCTTATGGAATTCCTGATCCATAAATATGGTTATCCCACACGACATAGCATCTGACTAAACTACCTCTGCACAGCAAAGGAGGTGCAGGAGTAGTTCAAATGCTGTGAGCTCCACTGATCATCTCATTTACCACACCATCCAGAGCAGCTGGTCTCATAGAACACTGGAGAAGCCTTCTTCTTCTTCTTCTTCTTTTTTTTTTTTTTTTTTGAGACAGAGTCTTGCTCTGTTGCCCAGGATGGAGGCTGGAGTGCAGTGGCACCATCTTGGCTCACTGCAGCCTCCACCTCTCAGGTTCAAGCGATTCTCCTGTCTCGGCCTCCCTAGTAGCTGGGATTACAGGAATGAACCACCATGCCCGGCTAATTTTTTCTATTTTTAGTAGAGATGGGGTTTCGCCATGTTGGCCAGGCTGGTCTCAAACTCCTGACCTCAGGTGATCCACCCGTCTCGGCCTCCCAAAGTGCTGGGATTACAGGCGTGAGCCACCATGCCCGGCCTGGAGCAGCCTTCTAAAGGTACAACTGAAGTGTCAGCTCAGAAGAAACACTCTGAAAATGGGGAGCCAACCTTCAAAGTACAGTGTATTTGTTAAATCACAGACTGCTATATGGTGCTGTGCTCCAGTGTTAAGGATACATGAGTTCAGAATCCAAGTGGTGGAAAGATGAGTGGCCCTGATTGCTTTCACTCTTAATGACCCACTGGGAGCTTATACTTTCTGTCATTTTAACTCTGGGCTCTGCTAAGCTGGAAGTCTTGTTTGTCAAAGGGTATGCACTCTTTTTTTTTTTTTTTTTACAAGGATGTTCATTATTTATTGGGGAAACAATTGGAAATGCCAGTAATAGTGCAAGTGCAGTGAGTTCTTACACCATGAGGCACTGTGTACTTTTAAGGTGTGAGTGTATGTCCTTTCTCTTTCTGTTTAGTCCAACCCCTTCAGACCTGAGAGCCTTCCCTTAACTGCCACACCCTAAGGGATTAAGGTCGAGGGATCATGTGTGTTCTAGGCTGCCCTACAGTTGTTAGTCAAACCAGATGATCAGATGGGGGCTAAGCAGTTTGAGACACAAAGAGTCACTTCCAGAAGAATGCCTGTGGGTGCTTTGCTTCACATGATCTATTGCTTATTCTCACATACAGAAATGCAAAGGGCCCATGGCCCCTAACTCGACTTCACAGAAGTGTCTGGTGCCAGAATGGCAAGGGGACCTATGATGCCCCCCCAACTTCCTTTTCCTTTTCAGCTCGTGATTACTCAGTTTGGGAACAGTGACAATAACTTTACAAATACATATACAGATGTATCTTCTGTCCACTCAGGTCAGTAATACTGGAATTTGGTTCCTTGAAGCTGAATGCCCACCAAAGTTTCTGAACAAAGTCCCTAATGGTGGGTCTTTCATGTGAAGAAGGAAAAGTTCCTCATTTAAAGTCTCCTCAAATTTTTGTGAATGGTTGGCACTCATCTCAGTAGATATCTAATGGCCTGCTCCCAGCATGGACCAGTTAGGGGTATCTTCTTCCACCAGTCCTATTCCTCTGTCTTTTCTGGGGTACCACTGTGATCCAATAAATGTTTAATTCTTCATGGTAGTTATTTCTTTTAACCTGACTTTCCTCAGATTATTTATCCCTTCGACTGAGACAGTTTATAGTACATCTTCCTCTTTTTATTCTCTTTTGATTTATTGCTATAACCTTGTGTCCATTTGAAGAAGTGAGCCTGAACTCCAACAGGCAAGGGAGACATGAAGGAAAAATAGTGACAGAGACTGTGAGACCTGAAGGAAGGGGAGTCCTGTGAATGTACTTAGTGGAGAGAACTGCAGGCTGAACCCCCAGTGCCTGTGGGAAGGAAGAGGAATGCAGATGGACTCAGACTGAGCAGTGAACATCCCAGCAGAGGATATAGGATCTGGCTGACCCTCAGCCTTGATGAGCCCCTGCTTGGTATTTTTTTAATTCTCCCCAGACTGGTTATCCCCTTCTTTTGGTGAGTGCATCCCAATCCTTCTTTAGGGAAGTATTCCCTTTCCTGTTTGCATATAATCTTGGCAAGGCTAAACCAGTCAACTCCAGCCTACTCTGAACAAGGGCCTCACTCGTAATCCAAGCTTGGACAGTTGTACTCTATGACTTAAGACTTTAATTCTTGCTCCCAGTGATCCCTAGGGGGAAAACAATCTGAGTGTATTCACTCTGAAGTACCAAGAAATTGAGCACTAATTCCCACTTTCTAGACTTCCAGTGCTACTGAGGCCTTTTTCCTTCCAAAAGAGTATTGCAAAGTTTTGTCTTCAATTCAGGCTATTTAAATTGATTATTTGGTTCTTATTGTTTCTCTTTCATTTTCTAGAGTTTTTTTTTATTATTATAATTTAAGTTTTAGGGTACATGTGCACAATGTGCAGGTTAGTTACATATGTATACATGTGCCATGCTGGTGTGCTGCACCCATTAACTCGTCATTTAGCATTAGGTATATCTCCCAATGCTATCCCTCCCCCCTCCCCTCACCCAACAACAGTCCCCAGAGTGTGATGTTCCCCTTCCTGTGTCCATGTGTTCTCATTGTTAAATTCCCACCTATGAGTGAGAACATGCGGTGTTTGGTTTTTTGCCCTTGCGATAGTTTACTGAGAATGATGATTTCCAATTTCATCCATGTCCCTACAAAGGACATGAACTCATCATTTTTTATGGCTGCATAGTATTCCATGGTGTATATGTGCCACATTTTCTTAATCCAGTCCATCATTGTTGGACATTTGGGTTGATTCCAAGTCTTTGCTATTGTGAATAGTGCCACAATAAACATACGTGTGCATGTGTCTTTATAGCAGCATGATTTATAGTCCTTTGGGTATATACCCAGTAATGGGATGGCTGGGTCAAATGGTATTTCTAGGTCTAGATCCCTGAGCAATCGCCACACTGACTTCCACAATGGTTGAACTAGTTTACAGTCCCACCAACAGTGTAAAAGTGTTCCTATTTCTCTACATCCTCTCCAGCACCTGTTGTTTCCTGACTTTTTAATGATCGTCATTCTAGCTGGTGTGAGATGGTATCTCATTGTGGTTTTGATTTGCATTTCTCTGATGGCCAGTGATGATGAGCATTTTTTCATGTGTCTTTTGGCTGCATAAATGTCTTCTTTTGAGCAGTGTCTGTTCATATCCTTTGCCCACTTTTTGATGGGGTTGTTTGTTTTTTTCTTGTAAATTTGTTTGGGTTCATTGTAGATTCTGGATATTAGCCCTTTGTCAGATGAGTAGGTTGCAAAAATTTTCTCCCATTTTGTAAGTTGCCTGTTCACTCTGATGGTAGTTTCTTTTGCTGTGCAGAAGCTCTTTAGTTTAATTAGATCCCATTTGTCAATTTTGGCTTTTGTTGCCATTGCTTTTGGTGTTTTAGACATGAAGTCCTTGCCCATGCCTATGTCCTGAATGGTAATTCCTAGGCTTTCTTCTAGGGTTTTTATGGTTTTAGGTCTAACATTTAACTCTTTAATCCATCTTGAATTAATTTTTGTATAAGGTGTAAGGAAGGGATCCAGTTTCAGCTTTCTACATATGGCTAGCCAGTTTTCCCAGCACCATTTATTAAATAGGGAATCCTTTCCCCATTGCTTGTTTTTCTCAGGTTTGTCAAAGATCACATAGTTGTAGATATGCGGCATTATTTCTGAGTGCTCTGTTCTATTCCATTGATCTATATCTCTGTTTTGGTACCAGTACCATGCTGTTTTGGTTACTGTAGCCTTGTAGTATAGTTTGAAGTCAGGTAGCGTGATGCCTCCAGCTTTGTTCTTTTGGCTTAGGATTGACTTGGCGATGTGGGCTCTTTTTTGGTTCCATATGAACTTTAAAGTAGTTTTTTCCAATTCTGTGAAGAAAGTCATTGGTAGCTTGATGGGGATGGCATTGAATCTATAAATTACCTTGGGCAGTATGGCCATTTTCACGATATTGATTCTTCTTACCCATGAGCATGGAATGTTCTTCCATTTGTTTGTATCCTCTTTTATTTCATTGAGCAGTGGTTTGTAGTTCTCCTTGAAGAGGTCCTTCACGTCCCTTGTAAGTTGGATTCCTAAGTATTTTATTCTCTTTGTAGCAATTGTGAATGGGAGTTCACTCATGATTTGGCTCTCTGTTTGTCTGTTTTTGGTGTATAAGAATGCTTGTGATTTTTGTACATTGATTTTGTATCCTGAGACTTTGCTGAAGTTGCTTATCAGCTTAAGGAGATTTTGAGCTGAGATGATGGGGTTTTCTAGATATACAATCATATCATCTGCAAACAGGGACAATTTGACTTCCTCTTTTCCTAATTGAATACCCTTTATTTCCTTCTCCTGCCTAATTGGCCTGGCCAGAACTTCCAACACTAAGTTGAATAGGAGTGGTGCGAGAGGGCATCCTTGTCTTGTGCCAGTTTTCAAAGGGAATGCTTCCAGTTTTTGCCCATTCAGTATGATATTGGTTGTGGGTTTGTCATAGATAGCTCTAATTATTTTGAGATACGTTCCATCAATACCTAATTTATTGAGAGTTTTTAGCATGAAGGTTGTTGAATTTTGTCAAAGGCCTTTTCTGCAACTATTGAGATAATTATGTGGTTTTTGTCTTTGGTTCTGTTTATATGCTGGATTACATTTATTGATTTGCGTATATTGAACCAGCCTTGCATCCCAGGGATGAAGCCCACTTGATCATGGTGGATGAGCTTTTTGATGTGCTGCTGGATTCGGTTTGCCAGTATTTTATTGAGGATTTTTGCATCAATGTTCATCAAGGATATTGGTCTAAAATTCTCTTTTTTGGTTGTGTCTCTGTCCAGCTTTGGTATCAGGATGATGCTGGCCTCATAAAATGAGTTAGGGAGGATTCCCTCTTTTTCTATTGATTGGAATAGTTTCAGAAGGAATGGTACCAGTTCCTCCTTGTACCTCTGGTAGAATTTGGCTGTGAATCCATCTGGTCCTGGACTCTTTTTGGTTGGTAAGCTATTGATTATTGCCACAATTTCAGATCCTGTTATTGGTCTATTCAGAGATTCAACTTCTTCCTGGTTTAGTCTTGGGAGGGTGTATGTGTCGAGGAATTTATCCATTTCTTCTAGATTTTCTAGTTTATTTGTGTAGAGGTGTTTGTAGCATTCTCTGATGGTAGTTTGTATTTCTGTGGGATCGGTGGTGATATCCCCTTTATCATTTTTTATTGCGTCTATTTGATTCTTCTCTCTTTTTTTCTTTATTAGTCTTGCTAGCGGTCTATCAATTTTGTTGATCCTTTCAAAAAACCAGCTCCTGGATTCATTAATTTTTTGAAGGGTTTTTTGTGTCTCTATTTCCTTCAGTTCTGCTCTGATTTTAGTTATTTCTTGCCTTCTGGTAGCTTTTGAATGTGTTTGCTCTTGCTTTTCTAGTTCTTTTAATTGTGATGTTAGGGTGTCAGTTTTGGATCTTTCCTGCTTTCTTATGTGGGCATTTAGTGCTATAAATTTCCCTCTACACACTGCTTTGAATGCGTCCCAGAGATTCTGGTATGTTGTGTCTTTGTTCTCATTGGTTTCAAAGAACATCTTTATTTCTGCCTTCATTTCGTTATGTACCCAGTAGTCATTCAGGAGCAGGTTGTTCAGTTTCCATGTAGTTGAGCAGTTTTGAGTGAGTTTCTTAATCCTGAGTTCTAGTTTGATTGCACTGTGGTCTGAGAGACAGTTTGTTATAATTTCTGTTCTTTTACATTTGCTGAAAAGTGCTTTACTTCCAACTCTGTAGTCAATTTTGGAATAGGTGTGGTGTGGTGCTGAAAAAAATGTATATTCTGTTGATTTGGGGTGGAGAGTTCTGTAGCTGTCTGTTAGGTCTGCTTGGTGCAGAGCTGAGTTCAATTCCTGGATATCCTTGTTAACTTGCTGTCTCGTTGATCTGTCTAATGTTGACAGTGGGGTGTTAAAGTCTCCCATTATTAATGTGTGGGAGTCTAAGTCTCTTTGTAGGTCACTCAGGACTTGCTTTATGAATCTGAGTGATCCTGTATGGGCTGCATATATATTTAGGATAGTTAGCTCTTCTTGTTGAATTGATCCCCTTACCATTATGTAATGGCCTTCCTTGTCTCTTTTGATCTTTGTTGGTTTAAAGTCTGTTTTGTCAGAGACTAGGATTGCAACCCCTGCCTTTTTTTGTTTTCCATTTGCTTGGTAGATCTTCCTCCATCCTTTTATTTTGAGCTTATGTGTGTCTCTGCACGTGAGATGGGTTTCCTGAATACAGCACACTGATGGGTCTTGACTCTTTATCCAATTTTCCAGTCTGTGTCTTTTAATTGGAGCATTTAGTCCATTTACATTTAAAGTTAATATTGTTATGTGTGAATTTGATCCTGTCATTATGATGTTAGCTGGTTATTTTGCTCGTTAGTTGATGCAGTTTCTTCCTAGTCTCGATGGTCTTTACATTTTGGCATGATTTTGCAGCGGCTGGTACCAGTTGTGCCTTTCCATGTTTAGTTCTTCCTTCAGGAGCTCTTTTAGGGCAGGCCTGGTGGTGACAAAATCTCTCAACATTTGCTTGTCTGTAAAGTATTTTATTTCTCCTTCACTTATGAAGCTTAGTTTGGCTGGATATGAAATTCTGGTTTGAAAATTCTTTTCTTTAAGCATGTTGAATATTGGCCCCCACTCTCTTCTGGCTTTAGAGTTTCTGCCGAAGAGATCCACTGTTAGCCTGATGGGCTTCTCTTTGTGGGTAACCCGACCTTTCTCTCTGGCTGCCCTTAACATTTTTTCCTTCATTTCAACTTTGGTGAATCCGACAATTATGTGTCTTGGAGTTGCTCTTCTCGAGGAGTATCTTTGTGGTGTTCTCTGTATTTCCTGAATCTGAACGTTGGCCTGCCTTGCTAGATTGGGGAAGTTCTCCTGGATAATATCCTGCAGAGTGTTTTCCACCTTGGTTCCATTCTCCCCGTCACTTTCAGGTACACCAATCAGACGCAGATTTGGTCTTTTCACATAGTCCCACATTTCTTGGAGGCTTTGTTCGTTTCTTTTTATTCTTTTTTCTCTAAACTTCCCTTCTTGCTTCATTTCATTCATTTCATCTTCCATCACTGATACCCTTTCTTCCAGTTGATCGCATCGGCTCCTGAGGCTTCTGCATACTTCACGTAGTTCTCAAGCCTTGGCTTTCAGCTCCATCAGCTCCTTTAAGCACTTCTCTGTATTGGTTATTCTAGTTATACATTCGTCTAAATTTTTTTCAAAGTTTTCAACTTCTTTGCCTTTGGTTTGAATTTCCTCCTGTAGCTCGGAGTTGTTTGATCATCTGAAGGCTTCTTCTCTCAACTCGTCAAAGTCATTCTCTGTCCAGCTTTGTTCCATTGCTGGTGAGGAACTGTGTTCCTTTGGAGGAAGAGAGGTGCTCTGCTTTTTAGAGTTTCCAGTTTTTCTGCTCTGTTTTTTCCCCATCTTTGTGATTTTATCTACTTTTGGTCTTTGATGATGGTGATGTACAGATGAGTTTTTGGTGTGGATGTCCTTTCTGTTTGTTAGTTTTCCTTCTAACAGACAGGACCCTCAGCTGCAGGTCTGTTGGAGTTTGCTAGAGGTCCACTCCAGACCCTGTTTCCCTGGGTATCAGCAGCGGTGTCTGCAGAACCGCGGATTTTTGTGATCCACGAATGCTGCTGTCTGATCATTCCTCTGGAAGTTTTGTCTCAGAGGAGTACCCGGCCGTGTGAGGTGTCAGTCTGCCCCTACTGGGGGGTGCCTCCCAGTTAGGCTGCTCGGGGGTCAGGGGTCAGGGACCCACTTGAGGAGGCAGTCTGTCCATTCTCAGATCTCCAGCTGTGTGCTGGGAGAACCACTGCTCTCCTAAAAGCTGTCAGACAGGGACGTTTAAGTCTGCAGAGGTTACTGCTGTCTTTTTGTTTGTCTGTGCCCTGCCCCCAGAAGTGGAGCCTACAGAGGCACGCAGGCCTCCTTGAGCTTTGGTGGGCTTCACCCAGTTCGAGCTTCCCTGCTGCTTTGTTTACCTAAGCGAGCCTGGGCAATGGCGGGCACCCCTCCCTCAGCCTCGCTGCCACCTTGCAGTTTGATCTCAGACTGCTGTGCTAGCAATCAGGGAGACTCCGTGGGCGTAGGACCCTCCGAGCCATGTGTGGGATATAATCTCCTGGTGCGCCCTTTCCTAAGCCCGCCGGAAAAGCGCAGTATTCGGGTGGGAGTGCCCTAATTTTCCAGGTGCCGTCTGTCACCCCTTTCCTTGACCAGAAAAGGGAACTCCCTGATCCCTTGCGTTTCCCGAGTGAGGCAATGCCTCCCCCTGCTTCGGCTGGCGCATGGTGCGCTGCACCCACTGTCCTGCGCCCACTGTCTGGCACTCCCTGGTGAGATAAACCTGGTACCTCAGATGGAAATGCAGAAATCACCCGTCTTCTGTGTCGCTCACTCTGGGAGCTGTAGACCGGAGCTGTTCCTATTCGGCCATCTTGGCTCCTCCCCTCGGGTATGCACTCTTTCCAGGAAACACAGCAAGGGTCCCATTTAACTACAAGTCAGAGGTGATTCCAGGGCACTTTGGATTCCTCGTGCCCCAGGATCAAGCAGGTAAGAAGAGCCACTATACAGGCAAGGGTAGTTGATCCTGGCATTTAGGAGAAGGTATGGTGGGCTTTTTTTTGTTTTGTTTTTTTGTTTTTTTTTTAGACAGAGTCTCACTCTGTTGCCCAGGCTGGAGTGCAGTGGCACAATCTCGGCTCACTGCAAGCTCCTCCTCCTGGGTTCACACCATTCTCCTGCCTCTGCCTCCCGAGTAGCTGGGACTACAGATGCCCGCCACCACACCCTGCTAATTTTTTGTATTTTTAGTAGAGATGGCGTTTCACCGTGTTAGCCAGGATGATCTCCATCTCCTGACCTCGTGATCTGCCCGCCTTGGCCTCCCAAAGCACTGGGATTACAGGCATGAGCCACGGCGCCCGGCTGGTATGGTGGTTTTTACACAGTGGTGGCAGGGAGGAATTGTGTGGCGATCCTAGGTGATCCTCTTGGGTACCTCCTGGTAGTCTCTTGCCCCATTCTAACTGAATAGGGAAGTGCAGTAATTCCAGACTAAGTAGGTCTCAGACCACTCAAGAATAAAGATTTGGACCACATCACCAGGAAGTCAACAAGACCTGAGGAGGAGATAGCTGAGGGAGAGGTAGATTTAGAATGGATAGTAGAGGAGGGAGAGGGTGACTCTCTCAGACCAACTACAACGACTGGGGTTGTAGTTCATCTCACTAACTACCTTCTTACGTTTCTCTCAGAAAGAAATGTTCATGGGACAATGCAGGAGCTTCTCCACAAAACCGTGTAGAGTAAATCTGTGTGGCCAAAGATGTGGATGGACAGTGGCAGCAATGAGAATGCACCTCACAGACCTCTTACTACAGGGACCATAATTGGCTAAGGGCCTCAGCTATTGCATTCTGAAATCTATGCGAGACTGTTGTGCCACACCACCCACGGGTGACTCCCAGCAAGGGCTGAGAACTCCCTTAGACTAGATGGCAATCCAGGACACTTCCACCCAAACTTTTCTCCTTGCTTCCTTCATCCAGAGTCAGAATTGTATTGCAGTCTGAGGGTGCTTTCAGACTCTCCAAGCTTCCTCCTTATTTCCTTTCACACAGGTATTTCTTTTAATAACATTCTTGTACATTTAATCCTTTATTGACATCTGCTTTTCAGAGGATCTGGACCAACACAGGGGCAAAGTGGAGACAATTGGCAAATCTTAGAGAATGGTCTGTGGGGGTACTTTTATGATGATTGCAACTCTTCTTTAAGTTTGAAATTACATCAAAAATAAAAGTTGGAAACAACTGACTTCATGTGTTTGAAAGCACTATTACAAAAAATGTCAATCAAATATAAACTCTTAGAAAGTGGAAGTGTCCTGGATTGTCATCTGGTCTAAGGAGTTCCCTGCCTTCAGGAAGTCTGTGAGCCAGTCTCTCTCCTGCAACTGCTTTACTATGAGGGGGTAGTCTGGTCAGATGCTATATTGTATGGGCTACTAGGCCTATGGATCAGGAATTCCATAAGCTCACAGATAATGGTGCTGGCTGAGGCTCTATAAGCAGAAAAGGCAAACTTATGCCTGGATAAATATCTATCCCTGAGCCGGCCGGGTGGCTCAAGCCTGTAATCCTAGCACTTTGGGAGGCCGAGGCAGGTGGGTCACAAGGTCAGGAGTTCAAGACCAGCCGGGCCAACATGGTGAAACCCCATCTCTACTAAAAATACAAAAAAAAAAAAAAGATAGCCAGGTGTGGTGACTCGAGCCTGTAGTCCCAGCTACTCGGGAGGCTGGGGCAGGAGAATTGCTTGAACCTGGGAGTCAGAGTTTGCAGTGAGCCGAGATCATGCCACTGCACTCCACCTGGGCAACAGAGCAAGACTCTGTCTTGAGGGAAAAAAAAAAAAAAAAAAAGGCCGGGCATGGTGGCTCATACTGGTAATCCCAGCACTTTGGGAGGCTGAGGTGGGAGGGTCACCTGAGGTCTGGAGTTTGAGACCAGCCTGACCAACATGGTGAAACCCCATCTCCACTGAAAATACAAAAAATCTGCTGGGCATGGGGGCGGGCACCTGTATTCCCAGCTACTCAAGAGACTGAGGCAGAAGAATTGCTTGAACCCGGGAGGCGGAGGTTGCAGTGAGCCGAGATCGCACCACTGCACTCCAGCTTGGGCGACAGAGCAAGACTCCGTCTCTAAAATATATATACCCCTGTAAAGATGAACTGCAGGTCTTTCCAGAATGGGAGGGCCCAATCTAGTCAATTTGCCACCAAGTGGCCAGTAAGTTTCTTTAAAGAATACTGCTGTACTGGAGGCTTAGTCTTTTTTTTTTTTTAGACGGAGTTTCGCTCTTGTTGCCTAGGCTGGAGTGTAATGGCGCCATCTCAGCTCACTGCAACCTCTGCCTCCCAGGTTCAAGCAATTCCTCTGCCTCAGCCTCTCAAGTAGCTGAGATTACAGGTGCACACCACCACGCCTGGCTAATTTTGTATTTTTAGTAGAGACAGGGTTTCACCGTGTTGGCCAGGCTGGTCTCGAACTCCAGACCTCAGGTGATCCTCCCACCTCGGCCTCCCAAAGTGCTGGGATTACAAGTGTGAGCCACTACACCCGGCCTCTTCTAGATTTATTGGTTTGTATTTTACTCTAAGGAAGAACTGTTCCTTCTACTCTAATAATTAACTCAATAACTAATTAATTAATATCAGTATGGATTCATGGATTCTTATTATATTTAACGCATTATTATGCATTGCTATCATTATTTCAATGCACATATTATTATTTATTTATTTACCTATTTTTATTTTACTTTAAGTTCTGGGATACATATGTTGAATGTGCAGGTTTGTTACGTAGGTGTACATGTGCCATGGTGGTTTGCTGCACCTATCAACCTGTCATCTAGGTTTTAAGCTCCACATGTATTAGATATTTGTCCTAATGCTCTCCCTCCCCTTTCCCCCAGCCCCCCAACAGGCCCCAGTGTGTGATGTTTCCCTTCCTGTGCCCATGTGTTCTCATTGTTCAGATCTCACTTATGAGTGAGACCATGCAGTATTTGGTTTTCTGTTCCTGTGTTAGTTTGCTGAGGATGATGGTTTCCAGCTTCATCCATGTCCTCTGCAAAGGACATGAACTCATTCCCTTTCATAGCTGCGTAGTATTCCATGGTGTATATGTGCCACATTTTCTTTACTAGTCTATCATTGATGGGCATTTGGATTGATTCCAAGTCTTTGCTATTGTAAATTGTGCTGCAATTAACATACGTGTGCATGTGCTTTTATAGTAGAATGATTTATAATCCTTTGGGTATATACCCAGTAATGGGATTGCTGGGTTAAATGGTATTTCTGGTTCTAGGTCCTTGAGGAATTGCCCCACTGTTTTCCACAATGGTTGAACTAATTTACACTCCTACCAACAGCATAATAGCGTTCCTATTTCTCCTCCCCTCGCCAGCATCTGTTGTTTCCAGACTTTTTAATGATTGCCATTCTAACTGGTGTGAGATGCTATCTCATAGTGGTTTTGATTTGCATTTCTCTAATGACCAGTGATGATGAGCTTTTTTTCATATGTTTGTTGGGCACATAAATATCTTTTTGAGAAGTGTCTGTTCATATCCTTCACCCACTTTTTGATGTTTTTTTTTTTTCTTGTAAATTTGTTTAAGTTCCTTGTAGATTCTGGATATTAGACCTTTGTCAATGAATAGATTGCAAAAATTTTCTCCCATTTTGTAGGTTGCCTATTCACTCTGATGACAATTTTTTTTTTTTTTTCTGAGCAGAAGCTCTTTAGTTTAACTAGATCCCATTTGTCAATTTTGGCTTTTGTTGCAATTGCTTTTGCTGTTTTAGTCATGAGGTCTTTGTCCATGCCTATATCCTGAATGGTATTGCCTAGGTTTTCTTCTCGGGTTTTTATAGTTTTAGGTTTTACGTTTTAGTCTTTAATCCATCTTGAGTTAATTTTTGTATAAGGTGTAAGGAAGGGATCCAGTTTCTGTTTTCTGCATATGGCTAGCCATTTTTCCCAGCACCATTTATTAAATAGAGAGTCCTTTCCCCATTGCTTGTTTTTGTCAGGTTTGTTAAAGATCAGATGGTTGTAGATGTGTGGTGTTATTTCTGAGGCCTCTGTTCTGTGCCATTGGTTTATAGATCTGTTTTGGTACCAGTATGGTGCTATTACTATGCTAATTAATGTAGCCTTGTAGTATAGTTTGAAGTCAGGTAGCATGATGCCTCCAGCTTTGTTCTTTTTGCTTAGGATTGTCTTGGCTATATGGGCTCTATTTTAGTTCCATATGAAATTTAAAGTAGTTTTCTTCTAGTTCTGTGAAGAAAGTCAGTGGTAGCTTGATGAGAATAGCATCGAATCTATAAATTACTTTGGGCAGTATGACCATTTTCACGATATTGATTTTTTTACCCATGAGCGTGGAATGTTTTTCCATTTGTTTGTGTCCTCTCATTTCCTCGAGCAGTGGTTTGTAGTTCTCCTTGAAGAGGTCCTTCACATCCCTTGTAAGTTGTATTCCTAGGTATTTTATTTTCTTTGTAGCAATTGTGAATTGGAGTTAACTCATGATTTGGCACTCTGTCTATTATTGGTGTATAGGAATTCTTGTGATTTTTGCACAAGAATTTTGTATCCTGAGACTTTGCCGAAGTTGTTTACCAGCTTAAGGAATTTTTGGGCTGAGACAATTGGGTTTTCTAAATATGCAATCATTTAATCTGCAAATAGAGACAATTTGACCTTCTCTCTTACTATTTGAATGCCCTTTATTTCTTTCTCTTGCCTAAGTGCCCTGGCCAGAACTTCCAATACTATGTTGAATAGGAGTAGTGAGAGAGGGCATCCTTGTCTTGTGCCGGTTTTCAAAGGGAATGCTTCCAGCTTTTGCCCATTCAGTATGATATTGGCTGTGGGTCTGTCATAAATAGTTCTTATTATTTTGAGATACGTTCCATCAGTACCTAGTTTTTTGAGAGTTTTTAGCATGAAGGTGTGTTGAATTTTATCAAAGGCCTTTGTCTGCATCTATTGAGATAATCATGTGGTTTCTGCAATTGGTTCTGTTTATGTCATGGATTCTGTTTATGTGATGGGTTACATTTATTGATTTGCATATGTTGAACCAGCCTCACATCCCAGGTATGAAGCCGACTTGATCATGGTGGATAAGCTTTTTGATGTGCTGCTGGATTTGGTTTGCCAGTATTTTATTGAGGATTTTTGCATCGATGTTGACAATCTGACTGAGGGGCATAAGGCAGAAAAAGAGACTGAGGCAAGTTTTAGGGCAGGAGTGGAAGGCAAGAATTGATGTTGCTGCAGACCCATATGGATTCACTGCTGAAATAGACAAGCAGAAGATGGCCGACTAGGAACAGCTCTGGTCTGCAACTCCCAACAAGACCAATGCAAAAGGCAGGTGATTTCTTCATTTCCAACTGAGGTACGCTGTTCATCTCATTGGGACTGGTTAGGCAGTGGGTGCAACCTAGGGAGGGCAAGCAGAAGTAGGGTGGGGCATCGCCTGACCTGGGAAGCGCAAGGGGCAGGGGAGCCTCCCTTTCCCAGCCAAGGAAAGCTGTGAGGGATTTTGCTATCTCACCCACATACTACGCTTTTCTCATGGTTTTTGCAATCTGCAGACCAGGAGATTCCCTCGTGTGCCTACACCACCAGGGCCCTGGGTTTCAAGAACAAAACTGGGCAGCTGTTTGGGCAGACACCGAACTAGCTGCAGGAGTTTTTCTTTTTCATACCCCAGTGGCGCCTGGAACCCCATTGGGATAGAACCGTTTACTCCCTTGGAAAGGGGGCTGAAGCCAGGGAGTAAAGTGGTCTTGCTCAGCGGGTCCCACTCCCACAGAGCCCAGCAAGCTAAGAACCACTGGCTTGAAATTCTCACTGCCAGCACAGCAGTCTGAAGTAGACCTGGGATGATCGAGCTTGGTCGGGGGAGGGGTGTCCGCCATTACTGAGGCTTGAGTAGGTGGTTTTCCCCTCACAGTGCTAAGGACTGGGCAGAACTCAACACAGCACTGCAAAGTGGCTGTGGCCAGACTGCCTCTCTAGATTCCTCTTCACTGGGCAGGGCATATCTGAAAGAAAGGCAGCAGCCCCAGTCAGGGGCTTATAGATATAACTCCCATCTCCCTGGGACAGAGCACCTGAGGGAAGGGGCAACTGTAGATGCACCTTCAGCAGACTTAAATGTTCCTGCCTGCCAGCTCTGAAGAGAGCAGCTGATCCTGACAAAGAGGGTTTTACCGGGACAGCGCTCGAGCTCTGCTAAGGGACAGATGGCCTCCTCAAGTGGGTCCATGACCACTGTGCCTCCTGACTGGGAGAGACCTCCCAGGAGGGGTTGACAAACACCTAATACAGGAGAGCTCCGGCTGGCATCAGGCCGGTGCCCCTCTGGGACAAAGCTTCCAGAGGAAGGAGCAGGCAGCAATCTTTGCTGTTCTGCAGCCTCCGCTGGTGATACCCAGGCAAATAGGGTCTGGAGTGGACCTACAGCAAACTGCAGCAGACCTGCAGAAGAGGGGCCTGACTGTTAGAATAAAAACTTACAAACAGAAAGCAATAACATCAACATCAACAAAAAGAATCCCCACACAGAAACCCCATCCAAAGGTCATCAACCTCAAAGATAAAAGGTAGATAAATCCATGAAGATGAGGAAAACCCAGCGCAAAAAGGGTGAAAATTTCAAAAACCAGAATTACTCTTCTCCTCCAAATGATCACAACTCCTCCCCAGCAAGGCCACAAAACTCGACAGACAATGAGTTTGACGAATTGACAGAAGTGGGCTTCAGAAGGTGGCTACAAATAACAAACTCCTCTGAGCTAAAGGAGCATGTTCTAACCAAATACAAGGAAGCTCAGAACCTCAACAAAAGGTTACAGGAACTGCTAACTAGAATAACCAGTTTAGAGAAGAACATAAATGACCTGGAGGAGCTGAAAAACATAGTACGAGAACTTCATGATGCATATACAAGTATCAACAGCTGAATCAATCAAGCGGAAGAAAGGATATCAGAGATTGAAGTTCAGCTTTCTGAAATGAGGTGTGAAGACAAGATTAGAGAAAAAAATTGAAAAGGAATGAACAAAGCCTCCAAGAAATATGGGACTATGTGAAAAGACCAACCTACAATTGATTAGTATACATGAAAGTGACAGGGAGAATGGAACCAAGTTGGAAAACACACTTCAGGGTATTATCCAGGAGAACTTCACAAACCTAGCAAGACAGGCCAACTTTCAAATTCAGGAAATACAGAGAACACCACAAAGATACTCCTCGAGAAGAGCAACCCCAAGACACATAATCGTCAGATTCACCAAGGTTGAAATGAAGGAAAAAATGTTAAGGGCAGCCAGAGAGAAAGGTTGGGTTACCCACAAAGGGAAACCCATCAGACTAATAGCGGATCTGTCTGCAGAAACCCTACAAGCCAGAAGAGAGTGGGAGCCAATATTCAATATTCTTAAAGAAAAGAATTTTCAACCCAGAATTTCATATCCAGCCAAACTAAGTTTCATAAATGAAGGAGAAATAAAATCCTTTCCCAACAAGCAAATGCTGAGGGATTTTTTTGTCACCAATCAATTCAACAAGAAGAGCTAACTATCCTAAATATATATGCACCCAATACAGGAGCACCTGGATTCATACAACACGTTCTTGGAGACCTACAAAGAGACTTAGACTCCCACACAATAATAGTGGGAGACTTTAACACCCCACTGTCAATAGTAGACAGATCAATGAGACAGAAAATTAACAAGGATATTCACGAGTTGAACTCAGCTCTGGACCAAGCAGACCTAATAGACATCTACAGAACTCTCCACCCCAAATCAATAGTATATACATTCTTCTCAGCACCACATAGCACTTATTCTAAAATCGACCACATAATTTGAAGTAAAACACTCCTCAGCAAATGCAAAAGAACGGAAATCATAACAAACAGCCTCTCAGACCACACTGCAATCAAATTAGAACTCAGGATTAAGAAACTCACTCAAAACCGCACAACTACATGGAAACTGAACAACCTGCTCCTGAGTGAGTACTGGGTAAATAATGAAATTAAGGCAGAAATAATGAAGTTCTTTGAAACCAATGAGACTAAAGAGACAATGTACCAGACTTTCTGGGACACAGCTAAAGCAGTGTTTAGAGGGAAATTTATAGCACTAAATGCCCACATTGAGAAAGTGGGAAAGATCCAAAATCGACACCCTAACATCACAATGAAAAGAACTAGAGAAGCAAGAGCAAACAAATTCAAAAGCTAGCAGAAGACAAGAAATAACTATGGTCAGAAAGGAACTGAAAGAGATAGAGGCACAAAAAACCCTCCAAAAAATCAATGAATCCAGGAGCTGGTTTTTTGAAAAGATTAAAAAAATAGATAGAATGCTAGCCAGACTAATAAAGAAGAAAAGAGAGAAGAATCAAATAGACACCATAAAAAATGATAAAAGGGATATCACCGCTGATCCCACAGAAATACAAACTACCATCAGAGACTATAAACACCTTTATGCAAATAAACTAGAAAGTCTAGAAGAAATGGATGCATTCCTGGACACATACACCCTCCCAAGACTAAACCAGGAAGAAGTCAAATTCCTGAATAGACCAGTAACAAGTTCTGAAATTGAGGCAGTAATTAATAGCCTAACAACCAAAAAAAGCCCAGGACCAGACGGATTCACAGCCAAATTCTACCAGAGGTACAAATAGGAGCTGGTACCATTCCTTCTGAAACTATTCCAAACAATAGAAAAAGAGGGACTCCTTCCTAACTCATTTTATGAGGCCAGCATCATCCTGATTCCAAAACCTGGCAGAGACACAAGAAAAGAAGAAAATTTCAGGCCAATATCACTGATGAACATTGATGCAAAAATCCTCAATAAAATACTGGAAACTTCTTTAAAAGACCTACTTATTCAGACTGTCAGGGATGGGGCTAAGAAATATATATTTTCATAGCCTCATTAGGTGATTCTTATGCACATTCAGGTTTGAACTGGAGGTATAACGACTCTAGCTCTGGTAACTGACAGGTTTGAAATCTGGCCCTGAAAATTTCTAGCTAACTATGGGCCAGTCATTTAACCCCTCTGAGCTTTAGTTCCCTCATCTGTAAAATGTGAATATAATAATAATGCCTACGTCGTAGAGTGGTTTTGATGATTAAATGAGCTATTATATGTAAAGCCCTTATCACCATGCCTAGCGCTCAATGAATGGTAACTATTATTTATAAAGCACGAGCCCAGATTTTTAATTGTTTTGCTCTTATAGTTCCCAATAAACATTGCTATTATTATCATAGGTTAATAGGAGACCACGGAGAGGCAGTGTGGTATAGCAAAATGAGCACAGGACATGGAGTCAGATCTGGATTCAAATCTTAGCTCTGCCCTTATAGGCTATGATCATAAACAAATCACGATCTGTGTGAGCCTCGGTTTCCTCTTCCATAAGATGGTGATAATAACAGTATCTTCATCCTGAGTTGTAATAATTAAATGAGATAATCCACTTAAAGAACTTGGCATTCAGTAAGCACTTAGTACATAATGCCAAAATTTGTCTCCCCACCCACCCCTCCTGAAGCCTCACTGTAGTGATCAAAATGATTGGCTAAGGATAATACAGGTACAGCCCATGGAAAAATTCTCTTAGAAGTCTAGTTTAGGCATTTTTACCTAGTTTAGATTTTGCCATTGGTAGTTTTCTGAACTTGGATCTTTTACTGTATGATCTCTTCTTACTGTGACTTCTGCATTTGCAAACCTCACCATAACCCTGCTTATTAAAATAGATGCATTTGTGGTTGATGATTATCATTGCATCTCTTTATCTGGTTAAAAGCTAAACATGTTCCTAGTCCAGAACTTCAGAATGATCCAAGGGTTCCATGAAGCCACATGGCAGACATGTATAAATCATTAGTATCTTAAGATCTAAGTAAATCACATCAATATTTAGATAGTCACCCTTCTATCTCCTGATTTGCATATTTAGTCAGCAGTAAAATACATTTTGTAAATCTCTGATGTTTCAGAAGTTGCCAGTTGCTAAAGAAAACGGTCTCACCTGATTAGACAGACTGAGGCATAGTTACCAGTTAGCCAATTCCTGCCAGTATGGGCAAGAGGACACTAATATGATGGAAACCAGGAGTCTGCAAGGCTTAGACATCTGCTTTGGTCTAGATTGTCAAGGTCTTGACCATGTCAGCAGAAGGGCAATTAACTCTAGTCATTTACCTTGTCAAGACTAGGGTCCAAATAGAAAATTTCAGTTAGAAGAATAAGTTCAATAGATCTATTGTACAACATGGCAACTATGGTTAATAACAATGTATTGTATTCTTAAAAATTGCTAAGAGAGTAGATTTTAAGTGTTCTCACCACAAAATAATAAGTATGTGAGGTAATGCATATGTTAATTAGCTCAATTTAGCCACATTCCCAAATTCGTACATATTTCAAAACATGTTATATATGACAAATACATATAATTATGATATTTCAACTTAAAATCAATCAATCAATGTTAAACAAAACTCCATTAATGAATACTTCAGAGAATGACACCGGTCAGTGAGCATCTATCCTCCTACAGCAGTAGAGATGTGTATGCAAGTGTATGGTAGACACACCTGGCAGTGAAATTAAACTTAAGCATAACCTGAGAATTACCCTATATGGCAGATGCACCTGAGTGTGAGTTCTGAGCTGAGGAATCCAGAAATGGCCAACTGGGAGATACGTTCCTTGCCTGTATATCCAGGAGGAACATCTGAACCCCTGGCCATCCAGTGGAATGCAGAAGGGAGTGAGGCCCTTTGTTTTGGGTTAAATGAAATTTGCTGGATGGAAGTTGTTAGGGGGAGGGTGCTAAGTGAATATCTTATATAAACTGATTGCTTTTTGTAAGCCGTTGTGGTTGTCCTGCCCAGCCCGCCACCACTGGACTTTCCCTGTATGTAAGGTGGTTCTCCTGTCCAGTCCAGCACCACCGGACCATCCCTGCATATAAGTTTCCTGCTAATGAAACCCTATGTCTCATTTGCTGGCTCTGGGTCTCTTCTTTGGCCTCTTGAACCCAGCACCATCCCTGTTGAAGTTAATAGGAGTCTGGTATGACAGCAAGTACCTACAATGCAAAGCAATAACTTATTAAGTACCATGTGGGTGGTACAGACCCTACATCTTACGGGGGCTATGAGGAAGGAGAAACATATCAGACTCTCCAAGAGCAGGTGCACTTTGGAAAAACATTTAAGATACCTACAGATTTTGTAATACAAATATAAAACAAATAAAGATCTATAATATTAATATAATATTGGCTGGAACCAATATGTGAATGATAGACTAAGAAAGCATGGTTAGGGTTGTGAGTTGAAACAGGTCAAGAATTTGACAGCCATTCTACCCAGTCAACAGATTTTTGTTAAGACACTGTTCTTGGCACTAGGGAGACAGCAGTGAACAAGGTAGATGACACCTATCTTGGGCAAGATAGTTAAACTCTCTACATCTCAGGGTCATCCTTAAAATGGGAAGAACATTCATTATTCCTACCTCATGGAGTTGGTGTGAGGATTAAAGGAGGGCAAAGAGTATAAAGTGTTTTGCATTATGTTCTTCAGAGTAGACACATCATAAATGAAATAATTAGCCTGCTGGGGAGAATAAGTGGTTCATCAGCTTGGCTGTGAAGATGTATATGGTTTTGATAGGCAGAGACAAAAGGAAGATATATAAGTAGAGAGAACAGCATTAATTAAGTCACACAAAGAAACTTTTTGACATTGGCATTCATAGACATATTTCATTTACATGAATTCAGCTATACACACTAGGAGAAAATTGTTTAAGTAGTACAGGCAAATTATCCCACCATTATATTCAGTTAATATATACCCTGGGTTGAGTGTGAGACGAAAGGCACGAATTTGTTCTTTCGTCTCACAGTGTGAACACCTCACTTTGCTGAACGTCATTCTTTTGTTTAGATACATATTTTGCATGTAGTGTGGTCAGCCACGAGTGCAAGCCAGTTACTTAATCTGAGGGTCAAACAAGAGGAACAACCCAGTCATCTGCTCTTGCACTGGAGGAGAAGCTGGCAGTGCTGAACGTTCTGAGAAAAGAATGTCATTCTTCAATGTCGCACCTTCCTAAGGCATTACGCAAAGTCATTTGACCAGATGATTTTCATTTTACATGTTGATTTTAGGATGTATCTTGTGTTTAAGGAATGACTTCACTACGTGTGTCAGGAATCGTGCCAGATGCTGGTGATACAGTGATTTCAAAAAACCTGTCAATGTACAAATCTATGTCCAGTAAAAAATCTTGTAAACATAAAGGCAAATTGTGTTGCCAGCGTATCTAATCTATGAAAATGCTAAGGAAAATCTGTGAAAATGATAAAACAAGATGGAAATTCAGACATAAGGTAATAAATGAAGAGCACTGGAAATTCTAAATAGGTAGTAAAATATAACACATTTTTTCCTTTAAAATTTTAAAGGGCAATTGAATGTTGAAATCATGTAATAACAGCAACATATTTGAGGTGTTATATCATAAGTAAAAGTAAAACATAAAACATAAAACAATGATAGCACTAAAAGCAGGAAGGGTGTAAACATCATGACATAATTTTACTATTATTATACATAAATGGTATATTATTTGTTTGTTATAACTTCGACTTTTATTTTACATTCGGGGGAACATGTGCAGGTTTATTACATGGCTATAGCACATGAGGCTCAGGTTTAGGGTATGATTGTTCCCATCATCCAGGTAGAGGGCATACTACCCAGTAGTTAGTTTTTCAGCAGTTGCCCTTCTCCCTCACCCTCTAGTGGTCCTCAGTATCTACTGTTGCCATTTTTATGTTCATGAGTACCCAATGTTTAGCTCCCACTTGTGAGATCACGTGGCATTTGGTTTTCTGTTCCTGCATTAATTCACTTAGGATAATGGCCTCCAGCTGCCTCCATGTTGCTGCAAAGGATATGATTTTACTCTTTTTTATGGTTGTATAGTATTCCATGGCATATGTGTACCACATTTTCTTGATCCAATCCACCATTGATGAGCACCTAGGTTGATTCCACCTCTTTGCTATTGTGAATGGTGCTGTGATAAACATTTGAGTGCATATGCTTTTTGGTAGTATAATTGCTGGGTTGAATGGTAGTTCTGTATTAAGTTCTCTGAGAAATCTCCAAAATTATTCCACAGTAGCTAAACTAATTTACACTCCCACCAACAATGTATACGCATTCTCTTTTCTCCACAGCCTACCAGCAACACGATAATAGTGGGGGAACTCAGTACTCCACTGACAGTACTAGACATGCCATCAAAGCAGAAAATCAGCAAAGAAACAATGGACTTAAACAATACACTAGAAAAAGTGGACTTAACAGATATTTAGAAAACATTCTACCTAAGAACTGCAGATAATATGTTATTTTCATCAGCATATAAAACATTCTCCAAGATAGACCATACAGTAGATCACAAAACAAGTCTCAATAAATTTAAGAAAATCAGAATTATATCAAGTATCCTATCAGACCACAATGGAATAAAATTGGAAATTAACTCCAAAAGGAATCCTCAAAACTATAAAAATACATGGAAATTAAATAATCTACTCCTGAATGATCTTTGGGTCAACAATGAAATCAAGATGGAAATTTAAAATTTCATTAAACTGAATGATAATGGTGACACAACTTATCAAAACATCTGAGATACAGCAAAAGCAGTGCTAAGAGGAAAGTTCATAGCATTAAATGTCTACATCAAAAAATCTGAAAGAGCACAAATAGACGATCTAAGGTCACACCTCAAGGAACTAGAGAAACAAGAACAAGCCAAACCCAAACCCAGCAGAAGAAAAGAAATAATAAAGATCAGAGCATAACTACATGAAATTTAAACAAAAAGAAAAATACAAAAGATAAATGAAACAAAAAGTTGATTTGAAGAGATAAACAAAATTAATAGATCATTAGTGAGATTAGCCAAGAAGAGAAGAGAAAATCCCAATAAGCTCAATTAGAAATGAAACAAGAGGTATTATAACTGGTGCCACAGAAATACAAAAGATCATTCAAGGCTACTATGAAAACCTTTATGTGCACAAACTAGAAAATCTAGAGGAGGTGGACAAATTTATAACCCTCCTAGATTAAATCAGGAAGAAATAGAAACTCTCACATGCAAGAACACCCACAGGCTCAAAATAAAGGGATGGAGGAAATCTACGAAGCAAATGGAAACCAGAAAAAAGCAGGGCTCACAATCTCAGACAAAACAGACTTTAAACTAGCATATGAGATGGGTCTCTTGAAGACAGCATACCTACCATCAGGTCTTGCTTCTTTATCCAGCTTGCGACTCTGTGACTTTTAACTGGAGCATTTAGCCTCTTTATACTCAAGGTTAGTATCGATATGTGTGGATTTGATCCTGTCATCATGTTGTTAGCTGGTTATAATGCCAACTTGTTCGTGTGGTTGCTTTACAGTGTCAGTGGCCCGTGTACTTAAGTGTTTTTGTAGTGGCTGGTAATGGTCTTTCCTTTCCATATTTATTGCTTCTTTCAGGAGCTCTAAAAAGGCGGGTCTGGTGGTAACAAATTCCCTCAGCATTTGCTTGTCCAAAAAGGATCTTATTTCTCATTTGCTTATGAAGTTTAGTTTGGCTGTATATGAAATTCTCTGTTGGAATTTCTTTTCTATAAGAATGTTAAATAGAGGCCCCCAATCTCTTTTGGCTTGAAAGGTTTCTGCTGAGAGGTCTGCTGTTAGTCTGATGGGCTTCCCTCTGTAGCTGACCTGGCGTTTCTCTCCAGCTGTCTTTAACAGTTTTTTTCTTTCATCTGATCTTGGAGAATCTGATAATTATGTCTTGGAGATGATCTTCTAGTGAAGTATCTTGCTAAAGTTCTCTGTATTAGCTTAATTTTAATGTTGGCCTCTCTAACTAGGTTGCAGAATTTCTCATGGATGATAACCTGAAATAAGTTTTCCAAATTGTTTCCATTCTCCCTATCTCTTTCAGGGATGCCAATGAGTTACAGATTTGGTCTGTTTACATAATCCCATATTTCTCAGAGGTTTTTTTCCATTCCTTTCCATTCTTGTTTTTTTATTTTTCTCTGACTGTCATTTCAGAAAGGCAGTCTTCACGCTCTAAGATTCTTTCCTCGGCTTGGTCTATTCTGCTGTTAATACTTACAATTGCATTATGAAATTCTTGTAGTGTGTTTTTCAGCTGAATCAGTCAGTTATGTTCCTTTCAATACTGGCTATTTTGTCTGTCAGCTCCTGCATCATTTTATTGTGATTCTTAGCTTTCTTGAATTGGGTTTCAATGTTCTCCTGAATCTTGATGATCTTTGTTCCTATCAATATTCTGAATGCTATTTCTGTCATTTCAGTCATTTCCATCTCTTTAAGAAACATTGCTGGGGAACTAATGTGGTCGTTTGGAGGAAAGAAGACACTCTGGCTTTTTGAAATGTCACACTTTTGGCAATTGCTCTTTCTCATCTTTGTGGGCTGATTTTCCTTCAATCTTTGAAGTTGCTATTTTTGGATTTTTTTCCACCTTTTATGCTATTTCATGACCTTAGGGGTTTGATTGTGGCATAAGTTTTTTCAATCAACTGGATTCATTTCTGGACGATTTTAGGGGGCTAAGACTTAGCTCAGGACTCCTAGACTGCATGTCCTAACTCTGGAGGACTAGTATCAGGCCCTGGCTTTGTTCTCTGGCCACTTAAGTTTAGGAACTTGCTGCACTAGAGGGGCCAAGGTGCTCCTAGAGCACTAGTCACAACAGTCCAATGGGCGGTGCCAACCAAAGTACTTCCTAGGGCAGTGGCAGCATGATTTATCTTTATTCGCCCATGGCAGGAGTGGCATCAGTGGCAGCATGATAAGGTGTCCACTTTTCAGCTGCAGTGAGGTGCTAGCAGGTGCCAGGATGCTGGTTGTCATGTGGGCATTTGCAGCAGCAGCATTGGCAGCGTGTCGTGGGGAAGCAGGGGGCCCCACTGGCATCTTTGTGTATGTTTGTGCTGGTGACAGTTTTAGCATAGTGGTGGGGCCCTGGTGGCCACAGGACTGTGTGAGCTCTTTGTGTGTGTTTATGGGTGGCGGTGGCTGCTCAGGGCCAGGGCAGGTCTCTGTTCTCTTTGCCTAGTTTCTGGCAGCAGCAGCGTCAACACAGGGGCAGGGTGCTGGTGGCAGGTAAGGCTAAGGGGCTCCATGCCCTCCAAAACTTCGATGGGAATGGCAGGGGCTGGCAGAAGTGGCATGGCAGGGTGCACATCTGCCTGTGCACACACATGCCAGCAAAGTGATTTGGGAGGTGGCCATGGGCTAGTATCTGCAGGCAAGGTACCACTGGGGAGGCTGCAGTGGAAGGAGAGAATGTGCAGGCTGATATGTGTCTGTGGAGGCTGCTCTGCTGGAGCTCTCTGCTTGTCAGGTGTGGTCTGCCAGCACAGGAGCTATGATGCAGGCCACCAAGAGGAACACCCCTTTTGGGCACCGGAGGCTGCACTGCAAGCACCCAGGGAGAGTCCAGCAGGCTGAGGGGTGTTCAGGTTGGACCAGTCCCATCTCATGGCCAAGACCACCCTGCAGAGTTCATGTGTGACAATTCCTCTAGGGCTAAGTCTCCTATAGGAGTAAGTTGAGCCTAAGGGAATGGGTGTCCCTGGCTGTGCTCCACTACAGATGCTCCTGCATGAAACCCTCTGGGCTCCACACTGGCTGGAACTCTGCCCTGACCACTTCTGTAAGCAGCCGTCTTTGACAACTCAAGTGTCCACAGTGGTCATGGGGACTCCTCTGGCCAGGATTCCAAAGGCCCATGGTTAGAGCAGGTTGCTCTTTGCTTCTTCAACTCACCCCTTCCCCAGGAGTTGTTGGGGGCTAGGAATGAGTCCTGGTGCATGGTAGCCCCGTGCAGGGTTCCCAGCTTCCTCCTTCTTTGGCCCGACATCTGTGTCTTCCCTACAACCGCTCTCAATGCCTTCCCTTTGAAGATCTGCTAAGAGTGCACCAGTCTTCCCAATGTCCCAATCCCTCAGTGGCAGATGTTCCCCCTGGCTGTGTCTAGTTGACCATCTTGATCACAGGTCTACTTTGCTCTCATAAACCCTGATAAAGCCTTGTTCCCAGTAGCCTCACAATGAGATGGAGAAGCCTCAGAGAACGCACCAATGTGGTTACTCCAGGGTGACAGAGGCGTGACTCACTTCAATTTTTGTTGTTGTCACAATTGCTTTTGAGGATCTAGCTATAAATTCTCTCCCAAGGCTGATGTCCAGAGTTGTGTTTCCTAGGTTTTCTTCTAGGATTCTTAAAGTTTGAAGTCTTACATTTAAATCTTTAATCCACCTTGAGTTACTTTTTTATATGGTGAAAGGTAGGGGTCCAGTTTTATTCTTCTGCATATGTCTAGCCAGCTATCCCAGCACCATTTATTGAAGACTGCTGTTTCCTCACTGCTAACTTTTATTGACTTTGTCAAAGATCAGATGGCTGTTGGTGTGTGGGTTTATTTCTCAGCTCTCTATTCTGTTCCATTGGTTTA
Source organism: Homo sapiens (assembly GCF_000001405.40). Classification (NCBI taxonomy): domain Eukaryota; kingdom Metazoa; phylum Chordata; class Mammalia; order Primates; family Hominidae; genus Homo; species Homo sapiens. The sequence continues at coordinate 140,012,943 of NC_000023.11, forward strand.
TGTGTGTTTTTGTACCGCTATCATGCTGTTTTGGTCACTGTAGCTTTGTAGTATAGTTTGAAGTCAGGTAGTGTGATGCCTCCAGCTTTGTTCTTTTTGCCTAGAAGTCCTTTGACTATTCTGGCTCTTTTTGGTTCCATATGAATTTTAGAATAGTTTCTTCCCAATTCTGTGAAAAGTGATGTTGGTCGTTTCACAGGAATAACGTCGAAATCTGTAGACTGCTTTGGGCAGTATGTCCATTTGAATGATATTGATTCTTCCAATTCATGAGCAAGGAATGTTTTTCCATTTGTTTGTGTCATCTACAACTTCTTTCAGCAGTGTTTTGTACATCTCCTTGTAGAGCTCTTTCATCTCCTTGGTTAGATGTATTCCTAGGTAATTTTTTTGTGGCTATTGTAAATGGGATTACTTCTTGATTTGGCTGTCAGCTTGACCATTATTTGTGTATAGAAATGGTACTGATTTTTTACAATGATTTTTGTATCCTGGAACTTTACTGAAGTCATTTATCAGTTCCAGGAGCCTTTTGGTGGACTCTTTAGGGTTTTTTAGGTATAGAATCATATTGTCTGTTTAGAGAGATAGCTTGACTTCTCTTTCTATTTGGATGCCTTTTTTTTCTTTCTCTTGCTGACTGATCTGGCTAGAACTTCCATTAATTCTGTGTTGAATGTAACAAGATAAGGATGCATATTGTAATCCACACAACAAATAAAAAATAATAATATAAAAAGCTATTATTAAAAAGCCAATGGAGAAAACAGAATAAAATACAAAAAAAAAAAAAAACTCTCAACCCAAATGAAGACACAAAAGAAGGATATGTATATAACAAATAACAGAGAGACCAAATAGAAAACAAAAAGAAAGTGGGTACACTTAAACACAGCCATGTCAATAATCCCACTAAATACACATGTATTAAACACTCCAACAAAAGACAGAGGTTGATGAACTTGATTTAAAAATCAATATCCAATTATATGCTCTTAACAAATAATGCACTTAAAATACAAAACACAGCTAGGTTGAAAGTACCAGGATGGAGGAGATATGCAATGCAAACAGTAGATGAGTATGGAAGAAATAACGGAGCTTCAAAATACATGAAGCAAAATTTTACAAAGTTAAAAGAGAAATAGATAAATCCATAATCACAGCTGTAAATTTAAAATCTCTTCTATTAATTATTGACAAATGAAGCAGACAAATAAATTAGTAAGGATATATGTAGTATTTGAAAACTCCTATCAACCAAATTTGACCGACACCAAGGTAAACCAAATTCTGGGTCATAAAATGAGTTTCTATATATTTTAAAATATTTAAATAGTGAAATATGTTCTCTGACCACAAAGAAATTAAATCAGAAACCAATAGCAAAAACATATCTAGAAGATCCCCAATACTTGGAAATTAGGGACATTCTTCTAAACAATTCATGGTTTAAAAAGAAATTAGAAGTGAAATTAAAGATATATCAAACTGCACAAGAAAACACAATATATCAAATTTTGTGAGATGCAGCTTAAGCAGTCCTAAGTGGAAAATTTATAGCTTTATTTTTATATTAGAAAAGAAGAATGGTTTGAAGTGAATAATATAGGATTTCACCTGAAGGGGCTACAAATTACATTGAAATTGAATAGAAAAAATAAAATAGTAAAGATAAGGAACAGAAATAATTGAAATAGAAAAAGCCAAAATGATAGACAGAAATCAAGGAAGCTGAAGATAGTTTTTAAAGGAATAAAATTCATAAAAGCCTAGCTAAAAGTAATCAAGAAAAAAAACACAAAACATAAGTTACCAATTTCAGAAATTATAGAGGTTGCATCGCTACACATGCTACACGCATTTCAAAACTATGAAGGGAATATTATGTACAACTTTATGCCAACAAATTTGACAATTTAGATGCAATGGAAAAAGTCTTTGAAAAACAATTTTCCAAAATAACATTAGACTGGACTTTTTGAATAGTGTAAATACCAAAGTTAATTCAAAACATAATAGCTTCTCAAAAGGAAAGTTTCAGGAATGGATGTCTTCACGGATGACTACTACCAAATACTTAAGGAGGAAACAATACCAATTTTAAACAAATTGAACATTACAAAACATTGCAGACATAAATTAAACACCTAAATAAATGAAGAGATATACGTTCAGAAATTGAAGGTCACAAAGTTGTTAAGATTTCAATTCTCCCTATATTGATTTATAAATTCAACACCGTCACAATGAAATCATAACAGGCTTTGACATTAATAGAAATGCTGATTCTAAAATTTTTAAGAACGTAGGGAGTGTAAATTAGTTCAACCATTGTGGAAGACAGTGTGGGGATTCCTCAAGGATCTAGAACTAGAAATACCATTTGACCCAGCCATCCCGTTACTGGGTAAGGATTATGAATCATGCTACTATAAAGACACATGCACACGTATGTTTATTGCGGCACTATTCACAATAGCAAAGACTTGGAACCAACCCAAATGTCCAACAATGATAGACTGGATTAAGAAAATGTGGCACATATACACCATGGAATACTATGCAGCCATAAAAAGGATGAGTTCATATCCTTTGTAGGGACATGGATGAAGCTGGAAACCATCATTCTGAGCAAACTATCACAAGGACAGAAAACCAAACACTGCATGTTCTCACTCATAGATGGGAATTGAACAATGAGAACACTTGGACACAGGGTGGGGAGCATCACACACTGGGGCCTGTTGGGGGGTCGGGGGCTAGGGGAGGGATAGCATTAGGAGATATACCTAATGTAAATGACGAGTTAATGGGTGCAGCAAACCAACATGGCACATGTATACCTATGTATCAAACCTGCACGTTGTGCACTTGTACCCTAGAACTTAAAAGCATAATAATAATAAAAAAGAATGTATGAGGGACCTAGAATAGCTGAAATGATCTTGTAAAAGAAGAGCAAAGTTGAATGAGCTGGGCTACCTAATTTTATGTCTTAGCATAAAATTGTGACATGACATGAAATTAATCATGACAATGTGGTTTTGGCATAAGGATAGGCAAATAGATCAATGGAGCAGAATAGATGAGGAGTTGGCAATCTCTTTTTCTAAAAGGACAGATAGCAAATACTTTATGTGGTGCAGGCTATACAATCTCTGTCGCAACTACTCTGTTGTAGTGTGAAAGCAGCCATAGCTGATAGTTAAATTAGTGTATCTGTGTTCTAGTAAAGTTTTATGAACAATGAAATTTCAATTTCACATAATTTTTACATCATAAAATATTCTTTTGCTTTTTTTCTCAACCATTTAGAAATGTGAACCCTTTGTCAGATGAGTAGGTTGCAAAAATTTTCTCCCATTTTGTAGGTTGCCTGTTCACTCTGATGGTAGTTTCTTTTGCTGTGCAGAAGCTCTTTAGTTTAATTAGATCCCATTTGTCAATTTTGGCTTTTGTTGCCATTGCTTTTGGTGTTTTAGACATGAAGTCCTTGCCCATGCCTATGTCCTGAATGGTAATGCCTAGGTTTTCTTCTAGGGTTTTTATGGTTTTAGAAGGGGAACATCACACTCTGGGGACTGTTGTGGGGTGGGGGGAGGGGGGAGGGATAGCACTGGGAGATATACCTAATGCTAGATGACGAGTTAGTGGGTGCAGCACACCAGCATGGCACATGTATACGTATGTAACTAACCTGCACAATGTGCACATGTACCCTAAAACTTAAAGTATAATAATAAATAAATAAATAAATAAAAATGCAGGAAAAAAAATATTATCATGAAAAAAAAAAAAGAAATGTGAACCAAAAAAAAAAAAAACCAAAAACACCTGTCTTAGTTTACAAACCATACCAAAACAGATACAAATGGAAATTTGTTTGAGGGAAGTGGATTGATTCATATTTTGACTGAGAATTAAATAAGGCCACTGTACCTTGGAGGGATTTTAGATAAGACATCTAAAATAGTAGGTCATGGTAAAGGGTGGGAGAGAACAGAATGAACCACTGAATGGGGGTGGCTGTAGGGAATGCCTTTAAGGAAACACCTTCTCCCTGCTATGTGACCCACCAGAATTGAACATGGGGAAATGATGAGGGTAGCAGGTCATTTTGAAATGGACCTTCGGGTAGTATTTGGGGTGGAAAAATCCCCTTTCTCCAACCACATTTTGGCCACCCCAGCAACACCACCCCCACAGAGGTATCAGCGCTTTGTGATGTCCAAGCCACCCCAAGACTACCATTGGATGGGGTGCCCCATTCTGACCAAACAAAGCTGAAGGGTAGGGCTCCTCATTACCCAGGGGTGGGTATACATAAGGAGGTCAGGAGCATAGGGTAGATTGTTGGGAGGCTTAAATATGGCTAAGGAGACCCACACACCAGTGAAGCCTAAAGAAAATATGAAACAACCAATTCTAAGCACGAAAAAGCCTACCCCAAGAACCAAAGAGAAGAAGGAAAAGAAGAACTCTTCTCAACAAAAGACCAACAAAAATGGCAAGGTCAGATGATCCTATCCTTGTTCCTTCTTTTCTTCCCCCTCTATTCTCTCAAGACCCCTATCCTGTCCTTGCCTAGCACAACCCCCTTCCTCAGCCTGCACTCCTATTCATAAAGCTCCCCTTCCTATACAACCTCTTTCTCTTCCCCTAAACCAATGTCCTTCTAGCTCACTGTGTTGTGCTTCCAGGTGGAGAAGAAAATCATAAAGGTTAAAAAACCCCTTCAAAGGATTTCAAGAAAAAAAACTCAATCACCTCCTTCCTGCTCCAAAAAGCCTAGGATAACAATGAGACCAACAATATTTGTGTGTCACCACAAGCAGAATAAGACACAACATAAAAATCGGAAGAGCAAGCACAAAAGACAACAGAAAATGAAAATCAGAAGAGCAAGCCCAGAAGCCGCTGGCAAAAGCAAACCATCCCAAGTAACCATCTCTGCTGCCAGTAAATGCAGAGCCTGGATCAGAAACGTACAACTAGCAACAGCAACTCTGGGGAATCACCAATCACATAAAGGCCAAAGCTGAGACCAATAGTGTTCCACCCATGCTGATGAATGCAATAAAATCAGCACAATGTAAAAGGATGATGTGGATGTTTGTCTGTAGTGGGGAGGGGGTTAAGGAAGAAAAACTGCTAAGAGGGAGAGAGGCAGGGTCCTGTAAGGTTGGGGGCCAGACCAACAGGTATACAGTTAGCCATCGGGGGATAAGGAGTGGGTGAGGACTAAGAAATGAAGACAAATCAACACTTTGCCCCACAGACAAGAAGAAAAAGGGCTTTGGCGTTTCTACATGTACTTAGGGTAGGTGTGGGTAGCAACATCAAGGTCTAAATTCCCAGAACCCAGTTAGGAGGAGGGTTTTATGTGTGATGTGTGTGGCAATAACACACCCCACAAAAAGAAAATAAAACCACCTCCAGGTCACCCATGTCATAGTGGTGTATGTTGTACCCCACACTATGCTATAAGCAAGTAAAGGCCCTCAGGAGGACCCAAAACTCATCCTATCAGGAGTCACTTTCAGCACCCTGATAGACAAATAGTAGAGTTTGGAGGCCACAAACCCAGCACTAATTAGGCCACTTTCTTGTTAAGTAGCTTAGGATGGAGCAGTGTCCTACCAAGTGTGGGGGCAGTGGCAGAGGTCTGCCCACTTGCTGGCCATAAAGAAAAACATTGTCTGCAGAGAATTTTAATATAAGAATAATAAAACCCAGGAAAAGTCAGTCTTTTACTTACTAGCAGCAGATACAAGTTTTCAATTTTTCTCTCCCCAAATCCTCTTTTGGTCTGAGTTGTGAAAGATTGCTGTGGTTAAATTTAAGCTTGAATAAAATCAATGTAAGGTGCAAATTAGCTGATTTTTAATATTTATGTTTTAATAATCATTTTATTCTACAGGGAAGTTAATTTGGATAAATCCTTATTAAATAGTTGGTCCGAGACATAGGCTGTTCCTTTCTAAAGTAAGCTCTTAACAATTTGGAATTGTTTTGATGCAGGACAGGCAAGCCCCACACTTGGGGCTTAGGTGGGAGGGTTCTTGGCTTCACTCAGGAAAGAATTCAAAGGCAAGCCAGTGGTGTTAAACAGCAACTTTAATTGAAGCAGAAGTGTAGAGAGCAGCAGAGGTACTGCTCCTGCTCCTTGCAGAGCAGGGCTGCCCCATACGCAGTGTCCCCAGAGTAGCAGCTCAGAGGCAGTTCTGCACTCATATTGATTCCCACTTTTAATTATATTCAAATTAAGGAGCAATTTATGCAGAAATTTCTAGGATGAGGGTGGTAACTTCCAGGTTGTCAGGTCATTGCCATGGAAAGAGGCAGTAACTCCTGGGTGTTGCCATGGCAACGGTAAATTGACATGCCACATTGCTAGACAAGGCTTAAGGAAAGCTGCTTCTGCCCTAGACCTGGTTTAGCTAGTCCTCAATTGGGTCTGCTGTCCAAGCCCCGCCTCTGGAGTCAAGTCCTGCCTCCTACCTCAGTTTGAGCTTGCTTTGAGCATACTTCCAGACTGCAGTCCCTGTGGTAATATATGACACATATGTCTACACTTTAAAAGTACACGAAATTAAAAATTATAGCATGTGATTATAAAGGCAAAGAACAACCACCTCAGCTCTGTGATTCTGTGTAATCACTTGCTTTTATTGGTGTCTAAATCGGTGAAACGAAGTGTTAAATTTAAGGAGTAAAATTTGGGGGGATAAAGACATTTTTATTACATTTGAAAATAAAATATTTTACTGAATTTGAACAATATACTCAAGCATGAAATGTATTCTTTAATTGCTCATTAATACTACATAAAAATCAAAATGCTAAAATTTTATATCAGTTGCATATTTTAGTAGTTGCCTACATTTTACTTTTGCTTAATTTTCTTAAAATTGCCTTATGATTTTTACTATGACAACTATATGCAAAATGTTTTATAGAGAAAATTTACACTTTATTTTCTTTCTGGTTATAATTATTTGTGTTAATTCATGTGTATTACTAAAAATATTCTGTTGAGGTAGCGGCGTTAAAAATATACCTCACAACTCAGTGTATATACTAAAAATCATTCAATTATGCACATTTATTAAGTGGTTGTACATTAAATGAATGAATTGTATGTCATGTAATTATAGCTCAATTAAATTGGCTGTGTGTGTGTGTGTGAGTGTGTGTGTATGTGTGTGTGTGTGTATCCAGGTGAGAAGTATATTAATTGTGTCATGGAGGGAAATATTTTTTATGTAAAATCTCTCATAATTTGGCCCCAGTCTCTGGTATTTTTGTTTTTCTTTTTTTCTTTTTGTTTTAAACAGCTCTATTGAGGAATAATTAACCTACAAAAAAATTGCATGTTTAAAGTATGCAATTTGATCAGTTTCCACATACATAGACTTCTGGTAAACCAACACCTCAATTAAAATACTGAACATATTCATTCGTAATCTCCAAATGCTCAAAACTGGAGACAACCCAAATGGCCATTAATAGATTAAATAATAAACAAATTGTTGTATATTCATACAATGGAATACTACTCAGCAATAAAAAGCGAATGAACTAAGAATACACATAATGACATGCATGAATCTCAAAATAATTATGCTGAGAGAAAGAAACCAAACAAAACAAAGTGTTTACTATATGATTCCATTTATATAATATTTTAGAAATTACAAAGTAATCCATAGTGATAAAGAAAATCATTAGTTGCCTGGAGACAAATTTGAGTCGAGGTGGAAGGAGTAGAAAGGAGCGATTACAAAGGAGCACACAGAAACTTTTGGGAATAATGGATATATTCATTACCTTAAGTGTGGAGATGGTTTCATAGATGATTATGTACGTCAAACCTTTTCAGTTTGTACACTTTATTTATTTATTTTTTGAGACAGGGTCTCACTGTGTTGCCCAGGCTGGAATGCAGTGGTGTGATCTGGGCTCACTGCAGACTTGACCTCCCAGGCTCCGGCAATCCTCCCACCTCAGCCTCCCTAGTAGCTGGGGCTGTAGGCACACATCACCATACCTGACTAATTTTTTTTTCATTTTTTGTAGAGAGGAGGTCTCACTATGTTGCCCAGGCTGGTCTTGAACTCCTGGGCTCAAGGGATCCTCCTACCTTGGCCTCCCACAGTGCTGGGATTATAGGCATGAGCCACTGTTCCCGGCTGTACACTTTAAATATATGCATTTTACTTCATGTCGACTATACCTAAATAAAGGGTTCTTAAGCTATTGTTATTCTAGAGAGATAAGGGCAGATAATTACATTTACAAAACAAAAACAGAATGGACAACTATTATATACCCATCATAACTAAAAATAATAAATAAATAAGCAATAAGATCCCCAAACCAGGATGGTTTCCAAATGTAATAATAGAACAAAAACTAGTTCTTGAAAATTAAAAAATATAACAACTAAATTTAAATATTAATTAAAAACTCAGGCAACCACGATTAAATTCCAAAAACATTATTTTAAATAAAAGAAATATACTCTATAATTTTTCTGAAGCTTGAGAACAGTCAAAACAATATGTGGCAATAAATATCAGAATACTGTTTACCTTTGGGTTTGATATTGACTGGAAAATGGGCATGAGGAAATATTCTGAAGTGATGAAAATATTCTATATCTTGATATGTGTGGGGGTTACATGACTGGGTATATACATATGTAAAAGTTCATCTAGTTATACATTGAAATTTGTGCATACCTCAATTTCAGAAATTGAATACTAATGCTGAAATACAAAGTGAAGAAATTCCCTATGAAGTAGAATAAAAGAAAAATAAATAAGAGCAAAAATATAACTTCAGAAAGTCAATCCAAAAGATCTAACATCTGAATAATAGGGATTCCAGAAAGAGAAAACAAAGAAAATAAAGAACGTGAAATTATCATTTAGTAATATATAAAATTTCCGTAGAACTGAGGTACTGGAGTCTCCATTTGGACTAAAAGAACCCAATGAGTGTCCACCAAAAGGAATGAATATATACATATTATCATCTGAAATTTCAGAATTTTGTGATAAATAAATTATCCTGAATGCTGTCTCAGAGAAAAAAAGTCAAATATCACACATGAAGGAATGAAAATGAAAATTGCATTTCACTTCTTTATAGCAATACTGGATGCTAGAAGATACTGGAAGAATGTCTTAATATATTATTTATGGAAAATAAATTTTTTCTTAGGATTTTATACTGAGCCAAACTATGTTTCCAATGTTATGACAGAATAAATACATTTTTAGATATGCAGGCTTTCAAAATATTTACCTCCAATTCATTCTGTTCTGGTTACATAAAAACCACCCTAAGTCATAGTTGCTTAAAAAAACAACAATAATTTTGTTGTTGTTGTTAATGACTCTGAAATTCGAGTAGGTCTAAATGGCGAAGGCTGGGCTCGTGTTTCAAGTGGTATCAGTTAGGGTGTCTCAATTGAGACTTGAAAGGCCCACTTCAAGATTGCTCACTCATGTGTCTGGCAGTTAATATTGGCTGCTGGCTGAGAGTTTAGACAGAATTGAGAGCTGGAGTCCTTGATTCTCTCCACATAGACCTCTACCTGTGACCTGTGATTCTTCATAGCATGGTGGCTGGGTTCAAAGGTTGAGGATTCTGAGAGAAAGCCAGGTTGAAACTACTGATTTTTATGGCCTAGACTTGGAAACCACACGGCATCATTTCTGTCATGCTCTGTTAGTCAAGGTATGCTCAATGGTCTGCCCAGGTTGAAGAGGAGGGAACACAGAGTCTACCTCTGCACAGAGAAGTGGCAAGATTCTGGAGAAATATGTTGGACAGAACATATCTCTGTGGCAATTCTTGGGAAATAAAATATAGAGTTTACTGCACACCCTTTCTTAGGCAACTATTGGAGAGTGGGCTACACTCAAATGGGAGTGTAGGCCCAAAAAGTAGATGTGGATCTAAGCAATCAAGAATTCAACACAAGAGAGATGCAAAGAAAATCTCTAGGATGAGCTGGGCGCCATGGCTCATGCCGCAATCCCAGCACTTTGGGAGACCAAGGCAGGTGGATTACTTGTGGTCAGGAGTTTGAGACCAGCCTGGCCGACAGGGTGAAACCATGTCTACTAAAAATACAAAAATGAGCCAGGCATGGTGGCAGGTGCTTATAATCCCAGCTAACCGCGAGGCTGAGGCAGAAGAATCACTTGAGTCCGGGAGGTGGAGGTTGCAGTAAGCCGAGATCTTGCCACTGCACTCCAGCCTGGGAGACAGAGCGAGACTCTGTCTCAAAAAAAAAAAAAAAATCTCTAGGATGATGGTAAAAAGAGATCTCTAGATCACAGCTGTTCAGCAGGCCTAGAGCAATGAGTTCAGATTCCAGCAGTCCTGAAAGTTCTGGGAGAGATTTCTTCAAGAAGATGAAATTGCCAGGAGGAGAATTTGGGGTTGTTTTGGTGGTAAGTACACAGAAAATCAAGTAAGTTTTAAAAATGCTAGGGAAAAATGTGAAGGAGATGGAAAATAATCATAATGTACTTCATGACTAAGTTGACTATTGTGTCTACATAATCATAATAATGTTAACATTGAATATTGATCTAAAAGTGTAACTATATTGAGAGCATATGGATGGGTCGTGGGATGTGTGTGTAAGAGAGAAGCAGAGAGAGAGAGAGACAGGTACAGAGGCTAACTCCTATCTCCCATAACGTAAACTCAATCTAAAAAATGCTTCAAGCTGTAAACCCAAGCCCTTTTCATGCAAGCATGGAATTTGGAGAAGTAGCTGTAAATAGAAATATAATCAGCTCAAAGAACTAACTGAAAGTGGTTGCATCTGGGGAGCAGAATACAAGAAAGGACTGTTGCTTTTCTTTTCTTTTCTTTTTTTTTTTTTGCCATCACGGGGCCAGAATTTCTCTTAAAAAAAAATTATTTAACTTTAAGTTCTGGGATACATGTGGAGAACGGACTGTTGCTTTTCTTAACAGGTCTTATAGATCTAGTTGTCTCTTTAAACTACATGTGTATATTTATTTAATAAAAAATAAAACTAATTTTATTTATTTTTTATTTTTTTAAATTTATTTATTTATTATATTATACTTTAAGTTCTAGTGTACATGTGCACAATGTGCAGGTTTGTTACATATGTATACATGTGCCCTGTTGGTGTGCTGCACCCATTAACTCGTCATTTACATTAGGTATGTCTCCTAATGCTATCCCTCCCCCCTCCCCCAACCCCACGACAGGCCACAGTGTATGATGTTCCCCACGCTGTGTCCAAGTGTTCTCATTGTTCAATTCCCACCTATGAGTGAGAACATGCGATGTTTGGTTTTCTGTCCTTGCGATAGTTTGCTCAGAATGATGGTTTCCAGCTTCATCCATGTCCTTACAAAGGACATGAACTCATCCGTTTTTATGGCTGCGTAGCATTCCATGGTGTATATGTGCCACATTTTCTTAATCCAGTCTATCATTGTTGGACATTTGGGTTGGTTCCAAGTCTTTGCTATTGTGAATAGTGCCACAATAAACATACGTGTGCATGTGTCTTTATAGCAGCATGATTTATAATACTTTGGGTATATGCTCAGTAATGCGATTGCTGCGTCAAATGGTATTTCTGGTTCTAGATCCTTGAGGAATCACCACACTGTCTTCCACAATGGTTGAAGTAGTTGACAGTCCCACCAACAGTGTAAAAGTGTTCCTACTTCTCCACGTCCTCTCCAGCACCTGTTGTTTCCTGACTTTTTAATGATTGCCATTCTAACAGGTGTGAGATGGTATCTCATTGTGGTTTTGATTTGCATTTCTCTGATGGCCAGGGATGATGAGCATTTTTTCATGTGTTTTTTGGCTGCATAAATGTCTTCTTTTGAGAAGTGTCTGCTCATATCCTTCGCCCACTTTTTGATGGGGTTGTTTGATTTTTTCTTGTAAATTTGTTTAATTTCCTGTAGATTCTGGATATTAGCCCTTTGTCAGATGGAGAGATTGCAAAATTTTTCTCCCATTCTGTAGGTTGCCTGTTCACTCTGATGGTAGTTTCTTTTGCTGTGCAGAAGCTCTTTAGTTTAATTAGATCCCATTTGTCAATTTTGGCTTTTGTTGCCATTGCTTTTAGTATTTTAGTCATGAAGTCCTTGCTCATGCCTATGTCCTGATGGGTATTGCCTAGGTTTTCTTCTAGGGTTTTAATGGTTTTAGGTCTAACATTTAACTCTTTAATCCATCTTGAATTAATTTTTGTATAAGGTGTAAGGAAGGGATCCAGTTTCAGCTTTCTACATATGGCTAGCCAGTTTTCCCAGCACCATTTATTAAATAGGGAATCCTTTCCCCATTTCTTGTTTTTGTCAGGTTTGTCAAAGATCAGATAGTTGTAGATGTGTGGCATTATTTCTGAGGCCTCTGTTCTGTTCCATTGGTCTATATCTCTGTTTTGGTACCAGTACTATGCTGTTTTGGTTACTGTAGCCTTGTAATATAGTTTGAAGTCAGGTAGCATGATGCCTCCAGCTTTGTTCTTTTGGCTTAGGATTGTCTTGGCAATGTGGGCTCTTTTTTCATTCCATATAAAACTAATTTTAAAAAGATATTCCTCCTCCAAATCAGTCCATTAATTGCAGTAGTCTTCCTTTCTTTTCTTTTCTTTTCTTTTTTTTTTTTTTTGAGACAGGATCTCACTCCCATTGCCCAGGCTGAAGTGCAGTGGTGCAATCATGGCTCACTGCAGCCTCAAATTCTCAGGCTCAGGGGACTCTCCCACCTCAGCCTCCTGACTAGCTGGAACTACAGGCATGCACCACCATGCCTGGCTACTTTTTTTTGTATGTTTTTAGTAGAGACAGGGTTTCGCCATGTTGCCCAGGCTGATCTCTAATGCCTGGGTTCAAGTGATCCGACTGCCTTGGCCTCCCAAAGTGCTGGGATTAGAGGCGTGAGCCACCACGCCCGGCCTAATTGCAGTAGTCTTCTAAACTTCCTGCTGAGGCCATGGGCAAAGCCGGGCTTTTGTAAAAAATCATTTCCCTTGACGATAAGGCTGTGGCATTTTTTTTTTTTTCAGTACTTACCGCTTCCACGGTACTTAGCGTTCCTGCCAATAAAAGAAGGTGGGGGGTAATAAGAGATGTTCAACTTCATTAGTAATGGGAAAAATAAATGCAAATTAAAACAATAATAGGTTGGATCAGGAGATATAACACTGCAGTGGTTAAAATCATGGGCATTGGAACCAGGCTGCCTCTATTCAAATGCAAGCTCTATTGCTTGTAGCTGTGTGACCTTGGACATGTTGCTTTAGTTCTCTTAGCTTCAGTTTTCACATCTGTAAAAAGGAGTTTATACAGTATTTTCTTCCTATGGTTGTTGTGAGGATACAACGAATTAATACGTACAAAGTGCTCAGAACAGAGAAAATACTTTGCAAAGTAATCTGGCAAATCTAGTAAACTGGAAAATGCTTATACTTTGTGGCCCAGCAATTCAATTCCTAAGTGTCTCCCCGAGCAAAACTCTCAGAAGTGGGCACAAAGGGACATGCCACGAGAGCATTTTCTCCAGTACTCTTTGTAATAGCAAAATATAAAATTGAAATTAAAAAGTGGAAACAACCTAATTATCTCTCAGTTGATGAATGGGTAATTAAGCTGTGATTTACTTATACAGTAGAATGCTACGTAACTGTTAAAATGAATGAACTAGAGTGAATACTACAGCAACATTAATCAGCATGAATAAGTTTTTAAAAACAATATTGCATAGAAAAAATGAAGAAAAAGAGCAAACATACACTATTCAATTTTAAAAATTGTAAGAATACTTGAAATACTTTTTTTTTTTTGAGATGGAGTGTCACTCTGTCACCCAGCCTGGAGTGCAGTGGCGCAGTCTTGGCTCACTGCAAACTCCGCCTCCCGGGTTCAAGTGATTCTCCTGCCTCAGCCTCCTGAGTAGCTGTGATTATAGATGTCCGCCACCATGCCTGGCTAATTTTTTGTATTTTTAATAGATACAGGTTTCGCCGTGTTGGCCAGGCTGGTCTTGAACTTCTGACCTCTAGTGATCTGCCCACCTCGGCCTCTGAAAGAGCTGGGATTACAGGCGTGAGCCTCTGTGCCCGGCTGAAATAATTGCTTATATTCATACATAAGTACAAATATATGCACAAAAGTGATGCATGACAACTGCAGGACAGTGTTTACCCAAGGAGAGATATGGATGAAGAGGTCATGGGTTGTAGAGTTTTGCTGTATTTGTAATACATTATTTATTAGAGAGAGCTGAAGCAAATGAAGCAAAATGGTAGCGTCCAGTTAATTGCATGGTGATTATAGGTGGCTGTTTTATCATTTTATCAAGTGCAACTTACAATTAATCTGTAGATTTAACTTCTATAAAATATGATTAATAAACTGAAAAACATTATACAAACGTTAGACCACTATCGTTATTCATATGTCATTATTCAGGCAATATATGAACATGCAGGGCAAAGATAATGCTTAAGTTGAGAAACAGCCAAGGTGTAATGCTGGTAGACTGTCCTAGCGTTCTAAATTCCAATGAGTTTATTTTTATTTATTTATTTTTTTTGAGACGGAGTCTCACTCTGTCACCCAGGCTGGAGTTCAGTGGCGTGATCTCAGCTCACTGCAACCTCCGCCTCCTGGGTTCAAGCGATTCTCCTGCCTCAGCCTCCCCAGTAGCTGGGATTACAGGCGCCCTCCACCACGCCCAGCTAACTTTTGTATTTTTAGTAGAGACGGGGTTTTACCATGTTGGCCAGGCTGGTCTCAAACTCCTGACCTCAGGTGATCTGGCTTCCTTGGCCTCCCAAAGTGCTAGAATTACAGGCGTGAGCCACCAGGCCCAGCCTGACTTTATTCTTTGGGTCACTCATGAATAGTGAAGACTGATTAACAAAAAATAAAATGATTCCCACCTACTGCTGGAAGTAGCAATGGAGAAAACTTGAAGAAGACCAAACACTGATAAAATTTCCCATCCTTAAAGTCTGGCTAGCTCTCTCCTCCACTGAGAACCCTTCACTGATCATCCTCCTCCCCAGTCAGAATCCACCTTCTTAGGCTCCTGCAGCATTTCATCACAAGCAGTGTTCTCATTAGCTTTCCATGAATTTATCTTCCCCAATAAACTGTGAAACTGAGAGCAGAGAATATCTCTATTTCACTTCTTATATTCCCTGCTGGGAATATCCTTTCTTACCCACTCGTCAAGCCTCAGGTCCAGAAAACCCTTTCCTGATTCCCCCAATTTGGGTTAATGCTCTTCCTCTGTGCCTCCATAGTACCCTAAGCCAATTTCTGCTGCAGTGTGTGTCACACCATATTACTGTCATTCCCTGTTTACCTGACACTCCATAGAGACTGTGAGCTCCTTGACTCAGGGACTGTGTCCCCGCAGTGTTCAACAAAGGACTGGCCTATAGAGGGATTGCAATGATTGCATACTTAAATCAAGAAAACGTACCAATTCTGCAATTAAGTCTTATATATGCATAGCAGATGCTCTGGCTTGATTGTAGTCGAAGAATAGCTGGTGTGGAGGATTGAGTTCTAATTGTCATTATTAATCTCATTGTGAGCATAGAAGCACCGTAAAAACACCAAAACCTAGCTGAGAGTATATACAGGAGTGACACTTTTCAAATGGGCATAATTAACAAGGGAGTGTAACAATTTTGTGATGGCCTTTTATGTTCATTTTTCCCAAGCCCCATCTGATCACCTTTTTAGTAGTAATATATGGAATATAGTAGCTTGGTTTTTTTGTTTTTGTTTTTGTTTTTCGTGTTTTTTTTTTTGACACGGAGTCTCACTCTATTGCCCAGGCTGGAGTACAGTGGCGTGACCTCAGCTCACTGCAACCTCTGCCTCCTGAGTTCAAGTGATTCTCGTGCCTCAGCCTCCCGAGTAGATGGGATTACAGGTGCATGCTACCATGCCTGGCTAATTATTGTGTTTTTAGTAGAGGTGGTGTTTCACCATGTTGGCCAGGCTGGTCTTGAACTCCTGACGTCAAGTGATCTGCCCACCTCAGCCTCCCAAAGTGCTGGGATTACAAGTGTGAGCCACCGCGCCCTGGCTATAGTAGTTTGTTAAACTAAATACCATTCTGTTAGCTTTTTATTTATTTGTTTTTTTGAGACAGGGTCTCACTCTGTCATATAGGCTGGAGTGTAGTGGCACAGTGATGACTCACTGTAGCCTTGACCTCCCAGACTCAGGTGATCCTCCCACCTCAGCCTCCCGAATATCTGTGAATACAGGCACATGCCACCACACTCAGCTAATTTTTGTATTTTTTGTGGAGATGAGGTTTTGCCGTTTTGCCCAGGCTGGTCTCAAAGTCCTAAGCTCAAGTGATTTGCCTGCCTGAACCTCACAAAGTACTGGGATTACAGACGTGAGCCACCATGCCCAGCCCCCATTCTGTTAGCTTTATAATAACATTAACTAACATTTGTTAAGCACTCACTAAGTTTAAACCAAGATTGATAAACAGTTATTCACGTGTAATTCTTCCCAAAGTATCTTAGCAGTACTATTATTACTCTATGTTATAGGTGAAGAAACTGAGGCTCAGAAAGATGAAGTAACCTGCCCAAAATCACTCAGCACTTAAACCTGGGTAAGTTGACTACAAAATCAATCTTCTTAAACATCTCGACAATATTTCATTTCCTTTTTAAGACATCGTGGTTGCCATTTAGGATGGCCTCCTGTGATTCCTACATCCAGGTATTCATTCCCCTTGAATGTGGGCTGGTTTGTGACTTATTTCTAACTAAGAGTATCTGGTGCTGGCCGGGTGTGCTGGCTCATGCCTGTAATCCCAGCACTTTGGGAGGCCAAGTCGGATGGATCACTTGAGGTAAGGAGTTCGAAAGCAGCCTGGCCAACATGGTGAAACCCTGTCTCTACTAAAAATACAAAAATAAGCCAGGCGTGGTGGCATGCACCTGTAATCCCAGCTACTTGTGAAGCTGAGGCAGGAGAATCGCTTAAACCCAGGAGGCCAAGGTTGGAGTGAGCCGAGGTTGCGCCACTGCACTCTAGTCTGGGTGACAGAGCGAGACCCTGTATCAAAAAAAAAAAAAAAAAAAAAAGAGTATATGGTGCAGGTGATGAGTTATCACTTCTGTGATTAAGTTACAAGAGATGGTAATCTCTGTTTTTCCAGCACACTTGCTACCTTATTGGCTTTGAAAAAGCAAGTTGTCTTGTTGAGGAGGACACTGTGGCAAGGATCTTGGGGCAGCCCCTGGCCCATAGCCAGATAGAAACTGAGGCCTTTGGTTTTACAAACCACAAGGAACTGAATTTTCCCAACAACTACATGAGACTGGAAGCAAATCCTTCCCCAGCCAACCTTCAGAAGAGAATCAAGCTCTGGTTAACACATTGATTGTAGCGTCATTAGAGACCCTGAAGCAGAAGATCCTGTTAAGCAGCGGCCAGATTCCTGACCTACAAAAACTGTCAGATGATAAATGGGTATTGTTTTAGGCTGTGAAATTGTGGCAATTTATTGTGCATCAATAGATTACTGATACAACCATTAAAGATACTGCTACAACTAAGTTATATAAATTATGTGTATTAATATATAAATATTGCAAACACATGAGTTTACTATGTGTCATGCACTATTCTAAGTACATGTATTTACTCCCAACTATCATATGAGGTAGGTACCACTATTGCCTCCATTTTCTAGATGAGAAAATAGAGGTATAGATGTTGTCAGTAACTTGGTCACACATCTAGACAATGGTGGAACTTAGATTTTTATCCAGGTATTCTGGCATTGAGAGTCTCACTCCTTAACCACTCTTATATTGAATCCAATATAATAATTTCTGAAAAAGATTCACGAGAGAATGTGGCCATTAAAACTTAATTTATTAACATTTATTTATTTTAATTTGTGCAAATATATAGGGTACATAAATTTTGTTACATGTATATAATACATAGCGACCAAGTCATGGTATTCGGAGTATCCATCACCCAACTACAATACATTTTTGTTAAGTATAGTCATCCTATTCTATTAGTAAACACTGAATTTATCCCTTCTATCTTACTGTATGTTTGTATCCTTTAACCCACTTCTCTTTACCCTTCCCCTCCCCCAACACATCCTTCCCAGTCTCTGTTATCTAATTTTTCACTCTCTACCTCCATGTGTTCCAATTTTATAGCTCTCATATATGAGTGAGAACATTAGCATTTATTTTGAAAGCATACTATCTTTTTTTAAAAAAAATTATACTTTAAGTTCTGGGATACATGTGCAGAATGTGCAGGTTTGTTACATAGGTATACACGTGCCATGGTGGCTTCGTGCACCCATCAAGCCATCATCTACATTAGGTATTTCTCCTAATGCTATCCCTCCCTTGGCCCCCAAACCCCCAACAGGTCCTGGTGTGTGATGTTCCCCTCCCTGTGTCCATGTGTTCTCATTGTTCAACTCCCACTTATGAGTGAGAACATGCGGTGTTTGGTTTTCTGTTCCTGTGTTAGTTTGCTGAGGATGATGGTTTCCAGCTTCATCCATGTCCCTGCAAAGGACATGAACTCATCCTTTTTTATGGCTGCATAGTATTCCATAGTGTATATGTGCCACATTTTCTTTATCCAGTCTATCATTGATGGGCCTTTGGGTTGGTTCCAAGTCTTTGCTATTGTGAACAGTGCTGCAATAAACATACGTGTGCATGTGCCTTTATAGTAGCATGATTTATAATCCTTTGGGTATATACCCAGTAATGGGATTGCTGGGTCAAATGGTATTTCTGGTTTTAGATCCTTGAGGAATCACCACACTGTCTTCCACAATGGTTGAACTAACTTACACTCCCACCAACAGTGTAAAAGCATTCCTATTTCTCCACATCCTCTCCAGCATCTGTTGTTTCCTGACTTTTTAATGATCGCCATTCTAACTGGTGTGAGATGGTATCTCATTGTGGTTTTGATTTGCATTTCTCTACTGACCAGTGATGATGAGCTTTTTTTCACATTTGTTGGCCACATAAATGTCTTCTTTTGAGAAGTGTCTGTTAATATCCTTTGCCCACTTTTTGATGGGGTTTTCTTTTCTTGTAAATTTGTTTAATTTTCTATAGATTCTGGATATTAGCCCTTTGTCAGATAAGTAGATTGCAAAAATTTTCTCCCATTCTGTAGGTTGCCTGTTCACTCTGATGATAGTTTCTTTTGATGTGCAGAAACTCTTTAGTTTAATTAGATCCCATTTGTCAATTATGGCTTTTGTTGCCATCGAAAAGCATACTATCGATACTGAACTTGAATTGGAAGAGGCGAGTCTGGTCTCAAAATGGAGGTAAAACCACCGCCCGGTCGCCCCCAGCCCAACTCCGGCCGTCGGCTGTCGCTGCCAGAGGGAGGAGGGCCATGATCCAAAGGAACCAGAGCAGTTGAGAAAACTGTTTATTGGTGGTCTGAGCTTTGAAACTACAGAAGATAGTTTAAAAGAACATTTTGAGAAATGGGACACACTCACAGATTGTGTGGTAATGAGAGACCGCCAAACAAAACGTTCCAGGGGCTTAGGTTTTGTGACTTATTCTTGTGTTACAGAGGTAGATGCAGCAATGTGTGCTCGACCACACAAGGTTGATGGGCATGTAGTGGAACCAAAAAGAGCTGTTTCTAGAGAGGATTCTGTAAAGCCCGGTGCCCATCTAACAGTGAAGAAAATTTTTGTTGGTGGTATTAAAGAAGATACAGAAGAATATAATTTGAGAGACTACTTTGAAAAGTATGGCAAGATTGAAACCATAGAAGTTATGGAAGACAGGCAGAGTGGAAAAAAGAGAGGATTTGCTTTTGTAACTTTTGATGGTCACGATACAGTTGATAAAATTGTTGTTCAGAAATACCACACTATTAATAGGCATAATTGTGAAGCAAAAAGGCCGTTTCTAAACAAGAAATGCAGTCTGCTGGATCATAGAGAGGTCGTGGAGGTGGGTCTGGCAATTTTATGGGTTGCGGAGGAAGCTTTGGAGATGGTGGAGGTAATTTTGGCCTTGGTGGAAACTTTGGTGGAAGAGGAGGCTATGGTGGTGGAGGTGGTGGCAGCAGAGGTAGTTATGGGGGAGGTGATGGTGGATATAATAGATTTGGAGGTGATGGTGGCAACTATGGCAGTGGTCCTGGTTGTAGTAGTAGAGGGGGCTATGGCGGTGGTGGACCAGGATATGGAAACCAAGGTGGTGGGTATGGTGGAGGTGGTGGAGGATATGATGGTTACAATGAAGGAGGAAATTTTGGCGGTGGTAACTATGGTGGTGGTGGGAACTATAGTGATTTTGGAAATTATAGTGGACAACAGCAATCAAATTATGGACCCATGAAAGGGGGCAGTTTTGGTGGAAGACACTCGGGCAGTCCCTATGGTGGTGGTTATGGATCTGGTGGTGGAAGTGGTGGATATGGTAGCAGAAGGTTCTAAAAACAGCAAAAAAGGGCTACAGTTCTTAGCAGGAGAGAGAGAGCGAGGAGTTGTCAGGAAAGCTGCAGGTTACTTTGAGACAGTCGTCCCAAATGCATTAGAGGAACTGTAAAAATCTGCCACAGAAGGAACGATGATCCATAGTCAGAAAAGTTACTGCAGCTTAAACAGGAAACCCTTCTTGTTCAGGACTGTCATAGCCACAGTTTGCAAAAAGTGCAGCTATTGATTAATGCAATGTAGTGTCAATTAGATGTACATTCCTGAGGTCTTTTATCTGTTGTAGCTTTGTCTTTTTATTTTTCTTTTCATTACATCAGGTATATTGCCCTGTAAATTGTGGTAGTGGTACCAGGAATAAAAAATTAAGGAATTTTTAACTTTTCACAAAAAAAAAAAAAAAGAAAAGCATACTATCTTAAAACAGCCACACCTAAAAACAGATGTCATAAGGAAAATCTATTTTCTCTATCATGACTCTATTAAGTAAGGGCTTTCCAAAGGTAACCATGGAGGATGAGAGGTTGGAATCTAAATAGGTGAAAATTGGAACGAACTCTTGAATAGTTTGTCTTTTCTCATCTGGCTAAATGCTCTCAATTAGAATAAGATACACTGCAATTTATTCTCAAAATGTTTTAATTAAGTCAGAACACAGAGACCTTGATATTTCCATGATTTCATTTTATTCTGGAGATAACAACTAAAATAATTTACATATTAGATTCTTGGCAGTTCATATTTAGTAGTAGTGGTTAGCGAAAGAGGAGGGATTTGTCTTCCAAACAAAACATTGAGGTTGAAAATAGGATAAAGAGGAGCAACATTAATTTAGAACTAGGAAAATTATTTTCAACATCATTTTTAGCGTGCTATCAATTTTTACCAGAAGTTAATATATATTTATGCCAATAAACACTTAGTCACCGGAAATAGCATATGTCTGTTTTTAGAATAGGGGAACTTCTGGGTAGCTAACAACAATGGCAGCCACCTAGGTCCCAATCTCCTAATATCCCTCCAAAATCAATACAGAACAACAAGAGAAAAACAAAACTATGCAAAACCATACTCTCACAATAACTTGAAGAGAAAGAATACTCCAAATTCAAAAGAACTGTAAGTAAAAGGAGAAATAACACCAAATCATAATGCATTGCTGCTCATGCTTCTCTTTCCTCCTACTCGCCCTGCCATGAGACATTGTGGCCAGCAAGGCAGACTGAATAAATCTGAGGGAAAAACAGAAGAGGGAAGGTAGCTAAAGGGCCAAAAGATAAGTAAAACCACCACCGGAAAGAGTGAATATACTCTAAATTTTTTAAAAAAGTGTCTAAGTAGATCAGAGTATATGGACTACAGGGGAAAAAATTTAAAAGTATGTGTGATTTGAAGGGGCAGTCTTTGAAACAGTTAGCCTCTGGGAAAGAAAAAAAGGTAAAAAAGTAATGAAGAACGATTTGGCAATTGAGTGGTGAAGGGGAAAAAAGCAAAAGGTCAAAATTTATGTTCAGCAAGAGAAGAAAGAACCACAAAATCAGAGAACAGAAAAACCCCCTTCTCTATTACCAAAACAAAAGCACAAATTTACTAAATAGCTGAACTCTGTTATGCTGACAGAAGAGGGCGCCATTAAAGTAGGAATCTCATAAAATACCACGGTATCACAAAATGAAAACCAAAAAGAGCTATACACAGTTGTTGAGAGAGAAATTCATGGCACTAAATACTTACAATAGAAAGGAGGAAGGACTTCGAATCAATAATCTAAGTGACTACCTCAAAAAACTAAAGAAAGAAGAGCAAAATAAACCCCAGGCAAGCAGAAGAAAGGAAATAAAAAGAGCAGAAATAAATGCAGTTGAAAATAGAAAAACAGGCCAGGCGCGGTGGCTCATGCCTGCAATCCCAGCACTTCGGGAGGCTGAGGCAGGTGGATCACCTGAGGTCAGGAGTTTAAGACCAGCCTGTCCAACATGGGGAATCCTCGTCTTTACTAAAAATACAAAAATTAGCCATGCGCAGTGGTGTACATCTATAGTCCCAGCTACTTGGGAGCCTGAGGCAGAAGAATCGCTTGAACCTGGGAGGCAGAGGTTGCAGTGAGCTGAGATCACACCACTGAACTCCAGCCTGGGTGACAGAGTGAGGCCCTGTGAGACTCGGTCTCAAAAAAAAAAAAAAAAAAAAAATAGAGAAAATGAAGGGCTAAAAAAATCCCATAGTATTCCATGTTGTTTATCCATTCATCATTTGATGGACATTTGCATTATTTTCACTTTTGGCTATTATGGATTATGCTCTTATGAGTATTTGTGTACAAGTGTTTGTGTTGACATAAGTTTTGATTTATCTTGGGTGTATATCTAATAGCAGAATTGCTGGGTCATATAATACCTCTATATTTAACTTTTGCAGAACTGCCAAACTGTTTTACAAAGTAGTGCATCTTTTTACATTCTCACCAGCAGTGCATGAGTGTTTGAATTTCTCTACATCCTTACCAACACTTGTCATCATTTATCTTTTTGATTCTAGGAATACTAGTGGGTATAAAATGTTATCTCATTGGGATTTTGATTTCCATTTCCCTAGCAACAAATAACAATGAGCATCTTTTGATGTGCCTATTGGTCATTTGTATGTCTTTTTTTTTTTTTTTTGGAGAAATGTGCTGAAATTCTTTGCTTGTTTTTCAGTTGGGTTATTTGTCTTTTTATTATTTAATTGTAAGTGCTCTTTATATATACAGGATACAAGTCCCTTGCCAGATAAATGATTTTCAAATTTTTTCTTCCAGTCTGTGAACTATCTTTTCACTTTTTCGATGGTGCATTAGTTACAGGAAAGGGGCCCCAATCCAGACCCCAAGAGAGGGTTCTTGGATCTCATGCAAGAAAGAATTTAGGGCGAGTCCACAGGGTAACGTGAAAGCCAGTTTATTAGGAAAGTAAAGGAATAAAGATAGCTACTCCATAGACAGAGCAGCCCTGAGAGTTGCTGGTTGCTCATTTTTATGGTTATTTCTTGATTATATGCTAAATAAGGAGTGGATTATTCATGCATCCCCTTTTTAGACCATATAGGGTAACTTCCTGGCATTGCCATTGCATTTATAAACTGTTATGGCCCTGATGGGAGTGTAGCAGTGAGGACGACCAGAGGTCACTCTCGTTGCCATCTTGGTTTTGTTGGATTTTAGCCAGCTTATTTACTGCAACCTGTTTTATCAGCAAGGTCTTTATGACCCGTATTTTGTGCTGATCTTCTATCTCATCCTGTGACTTAGAATGCCTTAACCATCTGGGAATGCAGCCCAGTAGGTCTCAGCCTCATTTTACCCATCTCCTATTCAAAATGGAGCTGCTCTAGCTCACACGCCTCTGACACTTTGAAGCACAAAAGTTTTAAATTTTGATCAAGTATAATTAATCTATTAATATTGTTTTTGCTTTCTTTTTTGTGCCATATCTAAGAAATAATTGCCCAGTTCAATTGATTTTTGACAAAGAATGAAAAGCAATTCAATGAAGGAAAGATAATTTTTGCAACCAATGATGCTGGCATAATTGGACAACCATGGGGCAAAAAAACAAACCTCCCCTAAACCTCACATCATATACAAGAATTAAGACAAAATAGATCATGGATATAAATATAAACATAAAACTCTAAAACTTTACAGAAAACATATGAGAATATATTTGGGAAATAGGGCTAGGTGAAGACTCTTAGACATAATACCAAAAGAACAATCTGTATAAGGAACCGTTGACAAGTTGGACTTCATCAAAATTAAAAATTTTGCACCACAGAACATGGTTAATTTTATGTGTCAACTTAACTAGGCCATGGGCTGCCCAGATCTTTGGTTAAATATTATTTCTCTGTGTGTCTGTGAGGGTGTTTCTGGATGAGAGCAACATTTGAATCATAGAGTGAATAAAGCAGATCGCCTTCCCCAGTGTGGATGGACCTCATCCAATCTGTGGAAAGACTGAATCGAATAAAAAGCTAAGTAAGAAAAAATTCATTCTCCCTGTCTGAACTTTCAGCTAGACCATTGGTCTCCCTCTTTCAGACTTGGCCTCAGACTGGAGGATATCACTGGCTCTTGTGGGTCTCCAGCTTGCCACCTGCAGATCTTGAACTTTTCACTGTCCCTAATCACATGACCCAATTTTTAATTGTCTATCTATCTATCTCTATCTGATCTGTATCTATCTATATTTCTCTCTCTCTCTATCTCTCTATCTATGTATCTATCTATCTATCTATCTATCTATCTATCTATCTATCATCTATCTATCGCTCTCTGAATATTGAAAGAAAGATACTGGTTTTGTTTTTCTGGAAAATACAGAACAATAAAGATTTTGGTACAGAGTGGTTTCAGAGAAACAGAATTTTAAGGATGAGTTTTGTGAATGGTTCTAAGGTGTCTGGAATTGGCTGTCTAATCTCATTAGATTTAAAGATGCTAATAACCATTTCCAGTAGTAAAAAAAAGCACTGATAATCCATGGCACGATCTGGCAACTGAAGTATGCAAAATATTTCAATTGGATATTCCTAATCAACCACTTATAAGAAGCAAGAAGGAGGAGGTGGAGCAAGATAGCCAAATAGAATCCTCCAGTGATCATCCCTACATAGGAACACTAAATTTAACAATTATCCCTGGAAGAAAGCACTTTCATAAGAACCAAAAACAAGTTGAGCAATCACAGTACCTGGTTTTAATATTTAATATTAAGGAAAGAGGCACTGAAGAGAGTAGGAAAGATGGTTTTACATTGCCTATACCACCCCTCCCCCATTCCCCAGTAGCACACAGAAAGAGAATCTGTGTCCTTTGGGGAGGGAGAGGAAAGTGACTGTGGGACTTTGTATTGGAACTCAGCGCTACCCTGTCACAGCAGAACACAAGACAGGGAAGAAGGATTTGGTCAATGCCCATGGAGTGAGCGTTTAGATCAGCCCCAGTCAGAGGGGAATCCTACACTCCAGTGGGAACTGAGTTCTGACCAGCCCCACCAGTGGTGAACTAAAGTGCCCTGGGGTCCTGAAAAAATTTGAAAGGCAGTCTAGGCCACAAGGACCACAGTCCTTGGGCAAGTCCTGCTGCTGTGCTGGGCTCAGAGCCAGTGGACTTGGGCACAAGTGACCCATGGAGACACCATCTGGGGCAGCCAAGGAAGAGCTTGCAGATCCAACTCCAAGCAGTGCAGCTTGGGGAGAGACTGCTTTTGCTTGCAGAAAGGAGAGGGAAGAGTAAAGAGGACTTTGTTTAGCAATTTGGATACCAGCTCAGCCACAGTAAAATAAAGCACCAAGCAGAGTCCCGAAGCCCCCCAGTTCCAGGCCCTAGCTCCTGGGTGACAGTGCTAGACCTACCCTGGGCTAGAAAGAAACCTGCTACCCTGAAGGAAAGGACCCAGCTCTGGTAGGATTCAACACCTTCTGACTAAAGAGCCCTTGGGCCTTGAATAAACATCAGCAATAGCCAGGCAGTAGTTGCCATTGGCCTTGGATGAGACCCAGTACAATGCTGGCTTCAGGTGTAACCCAGCACAGTCCCAGCTATGGTAGCAGTGGGAGTGCTTGCATCACTCCTCTCTCAACTCCAGGCAGCCAAACATGGAGAGAGAGACTGTTTCTTTGGGAGAAAGTGAGGGAAGAATACAAGAAACTCTGCCTGGTGATCCAGGAATTTTCACAGATCTTAGCCAAGCCCACTAAGACAATACATCTATGAGGAGTATACAAGAGTTGCAGTGCTACTGGGCTTTGGGGTTTCCACTAGTGAAGATATGGCTGCAGTGACCAAAGACTTAGATCATAACACTCCATTCGCTTTGAATACCTGGAAAGCCTTCTCAAAAGGACAAGACAAGAAAGGCCAAACTGTGAAGATTAGAATAAATACCTAAGTCTTCAATGCTCAGACATTGATGAACATTCACAAGTATCAAGAACATTCAGAGAAACATGGCCTCACCAAATGAACTAAACAAGGCACCAGTGATGAATCCTGGGGTGGCAGAGATATGTTACCTTTCAGACAGAATTCAAAATAGCTGTTTTGAGGAAGCTTAATGAACTTCAAGATAACACAGAAAAAGAATTCGGAGTCCCAGAATAGAAATTTAACAAAGAGATTGAAATTATTTAAAAAATCAAGCAGAAATTCTGGAGCTAAAAAATTCAATTGACAAACTAAAAAATGCATCAGATGGCTGGGTGCATCTCACGCCTCTAATCGCAGCACTTCTAGAGGCTGAGGCATGCAGATCACTTGAGGTCACAAATTTAAGACCAGCCTGGCCAACATGGTGAAACCCTGTGTCTACTAAAAATACAAAAAAATTAACCAGTTGTGGTGGCATGCACCTGTAGTCCCAGCTACTCAGGAGGCTGAGGCAGGAGAATCATTTGAACCTGGGAGGCAGAGGTTGCAGTGAGCCGAGATCGTGCCACTGCACTCTAGCCTGGGTGACAGAGCAAGACCCTGTCTTAAATAAATACAAACATACATACACACATACATACATAATGCATCAGAGTCTCTCAACAGCAGAAGTAATCAAGCAGAAGAAAGATTTTGTGTCCAAGAGGCTATGCCTGGAACTGGGGACCCCAAAAGCCTGCTTGTTGCTCTACCTTATTATGGCTGAGCTGGTATCTAAGGTGCAAGACAGAGTCCCTTTTACTTTTCCTTCTTTTCTCAAACAGAAGGAGTCTTTCACTTATAGGTGGGAATGTGCTTGGTCACACCTGAAGTCAGCACATTTCAGAGCCCAAGGCCCATGGCATACTTCTTAGTTATTACTGCTGGCTATTTGGGACCAAGGGCTCTTTAGTCTGGAAGTGATGAATCCTGCCTTCCCTTCAAGGCAGCAGTTTCCATTTTGGCCCAGGGTGTATCTAGAAACGCCCATGAGCCATGAACTAGAATGTGGGCCTCATGACTCTGCTTGGTGCCCTATCCTGTGGCTGAGCTGATATCCCACATGCAAGATAAAGTCCTCTTTACTCTTTGCTTTCCTCTCTTTAAGCAGAAAGAATGAGTCACTTTTATTGCTGCAAGCTGCACTGCCCGGGGTCGGGGAGGTTTGGCACAATCACTCCCTTAGTCACTTCGACTGGTGTCTCCTTAGGTCACATGCCACCCTAGTCTTCTGGCTCTGAGCCCATCTCAGCACTAGGAATTGCCTAGTAATCATAGTGCTTGTGTCCCAGACAGTCTTTCAAGTTTACCAAGGACCCCAGGGCACTTTGGCCCACAGTACGAGGCTTGCCAAGAAACTCAAGTTCCAACTGCTGGGATGGGTGATTCCTCTCCGGCTAGGTCTTGTCCAAATGTTCCCTCCATGCCTGGGTACTGGCTGAGCCCAGCATGGCTTTGTTCTCCATTATGACAGGCAACACCGAGTTCAATGTAATGTCCCCTAGTCACTGAGCTCTCCTTTTCCAATGCGCACATACTCTCTGCACCACAGGGATGCTGCCAGGGGATGGGGAAGAGGTGGCGCTGGTAATATAAAACTGTCTCTCTGACCCTCTTCAGTACCTCTTTAGCAATATGGAGTTAAAAATAGGTATTGTGATTGCTTACCTGATTTTTGGTTATTGTGATGGTGCTTTTCTGTTGCAGACAGTTGTTAAAATTTGGTGTTTCTGTTGGGGGGACAAATGGTGTAGGCTTCTATTTGGCCATCTTGTTCCACCCTCTTTAATTTTTAAAGAGATAGTTCTTGTCCTAAAATTTTTCTTTTCTATAACATTCTATACTTCTGGTATGAGTAGAATATTTTCTCTTATCTCTAAGGATGACAATGATAATGTTTGAAAGTTTTCTTCTGCCACCTGCATTGCCTGTTTCCTCAGAATCCCTTCATTTCTGTTGTTTATGTTATTCTTTCTCTTTAGCATTGAAAATTTTTCTGAAAATTCTGATGATTGTAAGCTATTTGTTTATATATAAGAATGAGATTGGAAGTTCTTTGTGCATAGGTGGGATTGTCTACCAGCAGCCATCTGAAGTTGGGGGAAGATACCTGAGGGGTCCATTATTTGACTTTTAACCGTCCTTTTCTATTTTGAACTCTGTGCCTTACTCCTGTTTTCAACTGTATTCCATGCCTTCAAATTCTGGGTCACTCTATGTTCTACAGGGTGACTAATTTACCTACTGCTCTTTGTCCCCCTCTGCAGATGCTTGGGCTATAGTGCCCTCTGAGCCCTCCATTCCCTCTCCTCCAGCCGTAAACTGTCTTCACAATTTCTGTTAAATCTTTTATTTGGCTGTTATTATCTCTCCTGTTTTATTTATTTATGTGAGTATGTTTATGTATTTGTAATTACAAAAGCAACTTTATTTTTGTCTCCCACTATTTTAAATTTGTTCAGGTTTGGTAGTCTATCCTTTGCCTTTTGTTGAAAACTCAGGCTGTCTCAGTGATTTCCTGATCACTCTTTGACAGTCTCGCAGGGTCTTGCTCTGTCACCCAGGCTGGAGTGCAGTGGTGCGATCATGGCTCACTGCAGCCTCGACCTCCCAGGCTCGGGTGATCCTTCCACTCCAGCCTCTCAGTATCTACATTACTTTTTAAAATTAAAAATATATATATTTGATTTATTTATTTTCTTTGAGACAGAGTCTTGCTCTGTTGCCCAGGCTGGAATTCAGTGACTTGATCTCAGCTCACTGCAGCCCCTGCCTCTCAGGTTCCAGTGAGTCTCGTGCCTCAGCCTCACAAGTAGCTGGGATTACATGCATATGCCACCATGCCCGGCTACTTTTTTGTATTTTTAGTAGAGATGTAGTTTCACTATGTTGGCCAGACTGGTCTCGAATTCTTGGCCTCAAGTGATCCACCCGTCTCAGCCTCGAAAATTGCTGGGATTACAGGTGTGAGCCACCACACCTGGTTCCTACATTACTTTTTAAAATACATTATACTAAATGAAAGAAGCCAGACATACATCATAAATTTCACCCATTTAAAGTGTACAATCTGGCTGGGCGTGGTAGCTCACGTCTGTAATCCCAGCATTTTGGGAGGCCTGAGGTGGGTGGATTGCTTGAGCTCAGGAGTTCCAGACCAGCCTGGGCAACATGGTGAAACCCCAGCAAAGAAAGAAAGAAAAAGAAAGAAAGAAGGAAGGAAGGAAGGAAGGAAAGGAAGAAAGAAAGAAAGAAAGAAAGAAAGAAAGAAAGAAAGAAAGAGAAAGAAAGAAAGAAACCAACCTAGGCATAGTGGCATGCACCTGTAGTCCCAGCTACTCTGGAGGCTGAGGCAGGAGAATCGCTTGAGCCCAGGAGGTCAAGACTGCAGTGCAACTGTGATTGGGCCACTGCACTCCAGTCTGGGCAACAGAGCAAGACCCTGTCTCTAAATAAATAAATAAATAAGTAAAGTGTATAGTTTAATGGTTTTAGTATATTTACAGTTGTGTTATCATCACCACTATCTAATTACAGAGCATTTTTATCACCCTAAAATAAATCTCATAATTACTAGTAGTCGCTGCCAACTCCCACTTGCCTCCATTCCCTTGCAACCACTAATCTACTTTCTATGTCCAGAAAATGCCTTTTCTGGACATTTTATATAAATGGCATTATACAATATGTGACCTTTCATGTTTGGCTTCCTTCACTCAGCATAATTTTTTTAAAATTTTACTTTAAGTTCTGGGATACATGTGCAGAATGTGCAGGTTTGTTACATAGGTATACATGTGCCATGGTTGTTTGCTGCACCTATCAACCCGTCATCTAGGTTTTAAGCCCAGCATGCATTAGGTATTTGTCTTAATGCTCTCCAACCCCTTGCCCCTCACCCCCTGACAGGCCCCAGTGCGTGATGTTCTCCTCCCTGTGTCCATGTGTTCCCATTGTTCAACTCCCACTTATGAGTGAGAACATGCAGTATTTGGTTTTCTGTTCCCGTGTTAGTTTGCTGAGAATGATGGCTTCCAGCTCCATCCATGTCCCTGCAAAGGACATGATCTCATTCTTTTTTATGGTTGCATAGTATTCCATGGTGTATATGTGCCAGATTTTCTTTATCCAATCTATCACTGATGGACATTTATGTTGGTTCCAAGTCTTTGCTATTGTAAATAGTCACTCAGCATAATGTTTTTAAGGTTCATCCATGTCGTAGCATGTATTAGTACTTCATTCCTTTTTATGGCTGAGCAATATCTTATTGGGTAGTTATGCCTTACTTTGTTTTTCCATTTTATCAGTTGGTGGACATTTGGGTTGCTTGTACTTTTTGGCTATTGTGAATAATGCTGCTGTGAACATTTGTGTACACATATGTTTTCAGTTCTCTTGGGGATATACCTATAAATGGAAATACTACATCATATGGTAACTTTATCTTAAAATTATTGAGGAAATGCCAAAATGTTTTCCACATTAGCTGCACCATTTTTTCTTTCTACCAGCAACATACAATGATTCTAATATCTTCACATCTTTGCTAGTGCTTGTTTTTTCCTTTTTAAAAATTTTAGCCATCTTAGTGGGTATGAAGTAGTATCTCATTTTGGTTTTGATTTACATTTCCCTAATGACTAATGATGCTTTTTTTCATCTCCTTATTGGCCACTTGTATGTCTTCCTTGGAGAAATGTCTATTGAGGTCATTTGCTCATTTTTAATTGAGTAATTTGTCTTTTCATTATGGAATTATAAGTATTATTATGTATTCTATATACAAGTCCCATATCAGTTATATTTGTAAATACTTTCTCCCATTCTATGGTTGTCTTTCACTTTCTTGATAGTGTCCTTACAAGTGTAGAAGTTTCTAATGTTGTTGAAGTCCCATTTATGTATTCATTCTTTGGGCACTTGTACTTTTTAGGTATTATATCTAAGAAACCATTGCCTAATCTAAGGTCATGAAGATTTATACCAATGTTTTCTTCTGACCATTTTATAACTTCAGAGTTTTAGATGAGACATTTGGGTCATTGATCCATATGGAGTTTATGTGTATAGTGTGAGTTAAGGGTCCAGCTTCATTCTTTTGCTTCTGCATATCCAAGTGCCTCAGAATCATTTGTTGAAAAGATTACCCTTTCCACACTGAAGGGTCTTGGCACCCTTGTCAAAAATCAATTGACCATAAATGTCTATTTTTAATGGAAAATTATCTTCATCTTAAAATTCTATGGCAATCCAAACATGCTCATGTTAAATGTTAGAGTAAAATATGCAAGGACTCAAAAAATTCCTCCTATGAACTCTTCTGGAAGCAATTGGAGGTTTTGCTCTACTAAAATGAAGGAGTAAGCCAAGAAAAAGAAAGACATAGGGTAAGATCCAGGAAACAAGACTCTAACTCCAGGGGATGGGAAGGGAGAGTCCCAGGAAGACAGTCATGTTCAAGGCCATGAGAATAACTGGCTTAGTTTGTAGCGGGGGAACAGGGAGCTGCAAAAGGGCAATCTTTATGGGGAATATGGAAGCAGCAGATTTTTAGATGAATCAGAGTGTTTGGAAAAATTATTAATAGATATTTTACAGAACTGTTAGAATACTGGGGGGGGGGAAGCATTAGAAATATTGAAATCTCAAATAATAAAATACTGAAGCCATTATTAACTTCAAAAAAAAAACCCCAAAATCTAACAATAATATGCTAAGACTAACAATAATGTGCTACTTTGCTTAGCAGCAAACAATAATTGCATAGCCATAATCGTGTGAACCTGGCAATGATTTAATCAAGCATTGTGATAGAAATTTTAAGGGAATTGATGAATCTGGGTGTGCAGTGTGGGGAGGTATAAGAAAGCTAAATTGTCAACTACTGTAAAAGAAAATCAATAGATAGTATCTAATATCAATAAATAAATAGCTCTTTAGGCATATTATTTAGATAATATAACGTGGAAATCAGAAGAAACAGCTATTATTGTTTCTTGGGAGGGTGATGGGGAATGCTGGGGTAGGGGACTGCTGTTATTTGCTATGTCATGCCTCAATATTATTTTATGTTTATGTGTGTGTGTTACTATGAAAACAAAAATTGTTGCTCTTTAACTCACAAGCCAGCAGGAGGTACAAAGAGACTACCACCTCATAACATGGCTCAACTGGAAACTTAGGCTTCACCTTTGATTATCTGAACTTCGCCTCCATGTGGGTGAAGTATGTGGCAGAGACAGAAGGGCCTTGAGCCTTCTAGATGCCAACCTCTGATGATGTGAATTAATGCGTGCAGGTGGCTTTCAACTGGCCAGCTAATTTCTGCAATATAGGAAATGACTGTAATTTCTGTTTTTGCATCTGGCCTCAAAAGAGAAAGTGGCCCCAATTGCCTATTGAATTTATGGAGATGAGATCTCAAGTATCTTAGGATAATTGTTGGATGAAGGGACAGGCTTTGCCAGAAAAGCAATTTTAGTACTTTCCCCTCTCATAAGGTACTCTGAAACAATTTTTCTATTTAAATTTTTTAAAGTACCATATCTTCAAAAAATCTCCATTTTTGCTGTGACTGGCATGTTTTGTTAATGCATTTTAGCTCCCATCCTAGTGTCTGAGGTCACCAAAACAGGGTTCTACTTAGCTAGCTTTCTTTCTTATTTACCCTGCTTTATAGTTATGTGTTTGTCTTACTACCTAGGTCCCAAGTATATCTCCTGTTAGTGATCATGATGGTAGGTTTCTGTGCCCCTTTTTCTGTTCCTTATCTATCTCTTTCATCACCTCCCTAAACCATTTTTTTGTGGTTGTTTGCTTCGCATTCCCACATTTTTCTTTCCATTGTCCGTTCATTTAAGAAATATTCATAGAGCAGCTATAATATGCATTAAAACATGACACTCCCCGAGGAGTGCTCTCAACAGTCTAATTGAGGTGACATACAAATGATGAATAGAAATAGTAATTAACTAGAGTTAATGATGTAATGACAAAATTATTTCTATACACGGTGAACGCTACGGGATTAAAAAATAAAGGTAATACGTGCTCATTGCAGGAAATTGGCAAAATACAGAAAATATACCAAAAAATATGAAAATTGAGTTGGACTGTCTAGGTTGGAATCCTAGTACGTGGCCTTCAAATATTTTTTTCTGGCATATGTTGTATGATTCTTAATTGCAGTTTAACATGTTTTTCCTCCATGTTTCATTTTTCCTATCTTATTCTTTATTTGCTATGTTTGTCACTGTCATTTCCTATTTCTTTAACATCTATCCTTGTTAGAGATATATCCTTGGGCAAGTTGCTTAACCTCTCTGAGCCCTACTTTCTTTATCTGTTATGTAAGGATAATAATATTAGAGGGATACAGGAGGCGGAGGTGGTTGCAGTGAGCCGAGATCGCGCCACTGCACTCTAGCCTGGCAACAGAGCGAGACTCCGTCTCAAAATAAATACATAAAATAAATCATCATCATCATCATCATAATATTAGAGGGCTAATAGGCTTACCACAGAGCCTGGTAGACGTAAGTGGTAGTAGTCACAGTTGTCATTACCACCACCATCAGTTTTTTGGTACATGGCCTTCAAATATTTTTTTCTGGCATATGTTTTATGATTCTTAATTGCAGTTTAACATGTTTTCCCTCCATGTTTCATTTTTCTTACCTTATTCTTTATTTGCTATGCTTGTCACTGTCATTTCCTATTTCTTTAACATTTTCTCTAATTTCTCCTGTTTTTTTTTTCTACCTGTAATATTTCTTTTCTACCATTATTTGGAAATAGTCTGACAGGCAAGAAATATTTACTGAGCTGCTACAAAGTACAGGTACTGTGTTAAGTCTCAGGGAGACTGAAAATAGAAGGTGAAGAAATTTATTCTTTTTCAGTAAATTTGCTTACATAGGGAGTCATTTTTGGCATAGGCAACAAGAGACCTAGGCCCTGGTCCCTAGCTCTGTCACTCTCCAGGTTGTGTGACCTCTTTCACTTTCTAATTTGTCCAAATGGGTACATTAATGCCTGCCCTGCCATTGTCATTAGGCTGTGGATTATGGAATGTCAATGAGCTTTTGCAAACTAGACATATGGAAAAAAATGGCAAGTACATACGTTTAGAGAGAAACTCGTTCCTAGCTGCTTTATTAGTGGGCAGCATAGGCTGTTTTTGTTCTTTTTAAAAAATTTCTTCTTAGGTTGGCACAAAAGTAATTGCCATTCCTTTTAATGGCAAACACCCCAATTGCTTTTGTACCAACCAATAATTAATCTTCTTACCTTCACTCACTTTGTCAAGAATAGTTAAATCTCTGGTCAGAATTACCCTGAAGTCAAACTGGTTTAATATACTAAACCAGCTAAATGTTTGATGATATACATAGTTATTACAAAAATAAAATGCTGCCCTCTGTATAGACTAGATGGAGCCCTCCCCTTCCCCCACCAGCTTGTCCTCCATAGACCATTGAAATTCACTAGCCCTTGGTCTGTACTGAAAAATTGACGTATTATTTAGATCAGAGATTCATTATTCTGAGGCATTTTAAAAGCAGCAAGACCAAGTAAAATCAATATTTGCTTGGAATTTGCCAGGTATTAAAATTAACTTTTTCTACAGCATTTGAGAAAATCAAATACAACTCCATTATTTTTATAATCATACAAAGAATCATATTCATATACTGCCTTGGATTTTGTTTTAAAATATACAGACATATAAAATGTTTGGGGGCTATATGAAACAATAATAGCAGAGTTTACAATCACTGAAGCTAGGAGACTGGCCACGGAGACTCGTTACTTGTTCTCTCTACTTTTTGTATGTTTGAAAATTGGACTTGATGAAGAATAAAAATGAAACAAATTAAAACACAGAGGTCATTTTCACTGTTCATTGTAGTTTGTTTCTATAGGCATTTTCATGGCCTAATAATTTTGATTTGTTAATTGGGAAATCTATAAGATCATGTGGAATTTGAAACTTTTCCAAGCATTTTGGATTTGTTTTTATTTCACTGAAAACCCTGTGGGGGGCATGATTACTTTTGTTGTTCTTGTTATGCAGTCAAGGAAACTTTATGGTCAAGTGAGTTGCCCGAGGTGACACAACTTCGTAGCACTACAAGATGGGCTAGCAGCTAGGTTTCTTGACTGCCATGCTGAAGCCCTTTTTACACAAACATCAGAGGGCAAAATAATTCACAGGTATGTTTGAATAAGCCTTCTTTAATTACTGGGATATTTTGTTAATGTGATGCCAGCAAGTTCTTTTAACGTATAAAATTTTAAGTTCATGAGGCCTGATGACAAGTAAGAAATTCCCATTTATCAAGCCAGGCACTGTTTTAAGTGTTTTATATTTAAGTTTTTCCCCAAATCCCTGGGTTTCAGTTATGCATCCTGCAACTTACTGGCTGTAGGACCTTGAACAACTTAAATGACACCCCTCAGCATCAATTTCCTTATCTGTAAAAGCGGGGTGATCATACCTACCTCATTGGGAGTTTGGCAGAGTTAATGAGATAACATATATAAAGTGCCCAACACAGTGCCTGGAACATACCAAAATGATTAAAGAGATGATACTGAGAAAACAAAAGGCAAGGAGGAAGATGCCTATAAGGCTCAGAAGAAAGCACAAATTGTTTAGAAAACTGTAAACCATCTGACATGGCTGCCTCCAAACTCTCCCCCGCTCTGCACTACTCTCATTCTACATTATGTGATAGTCACCTTGTTTTAATAATACAGGCATGATTGTGTTAACTCCCCACTCAAAACTCTTAAATGGTCCCTATAATATCTCAGCATTCCAGAATCTTTTTGTCAGCAAAATGGAAACCATTTCAAAGTTTACTACAAAATTTGTACTTTTGCAACTCTCCGTGGAGTACAAGAACAATGCTGTGTGAAATATATGCTGGTGACAATTTAACAACTTAGGAAGGTAGAGAAGGATAATTTAATAAATGATAAAAAATATATCCTCATATTTCATATTTTATATCAACATTAGTTTCAGGTACATACAAATGGAAACAACAAAAATGGGGGCCAAAAATTAAGACCATAACAATGTGAATATTTATTGCACCTCTGTATAGAGGACATGTTAAGCTTAAAAACGATAGAAGAAAAATCATGAAAGAAACTATTTATATATCTGACTATATAAAAAAAAAGCTTCTACATGCCAAATATAATAAAAGACAAAGAACAAACTTGGAAAAATATTTGCCATGTATATAACAGAAAAAGTAATGTCTTGAATAGCTAAAGAGCACATACAAAATAATGAGAAAATCCAAAGGCTTTCAGTGGAAAATGACATTAACAAACAAGTCACAAAAAAGGAAAGTGAATGGCTAATAAACATATGAATAAATGTTCACCTGCACTGGTAATCAAAAATGCTAATGGAAGCAAGAGCCCAATTTTCACCTATTAATTAACAAAGATGGCAGAGCGCGGTGGCTCACGCCTGTAATCCCAGCACTTTGGGAGGCCAAGGTGGGTGGATCATGAGATTGAGACCATCCTGGTCAACATGGTGAAACCCCATCTCTACTAAAAATACAAAAATTAGCCAGGCGTGGTGGCGTGCACTTGTAATCGCAGCTACTTGGGAGGCTGAGGCAGGAGAATCACTTGAACCTGGGAGATGGAGGTTGCAGTGAGCTGAGATTGTGCCACTGCACTCCAGCCTGTCCAGCCTGGTGACAGAGCAAGACTCCATCTCAAAAACACAAACAAAAACAAAATGAAACAAAACAACAATAACAACAAAAAAAAAACAAAAAAACAAACAAAGGTGAAAAGAGATAATACTCCAATACTCTAGTTAGCCAGAGTAGCATAAGAAAGGGATTCATACATTGGTAATGGGGGCATAAACTGATGCAGTCTTCATGGAAAGCAATTTGACAACATATTTCAGGAGCTAAAACATCGTCTTATCCTTGACCTGTAGCTCCACTCTTAATATAATAACAATCACTTCTCAGGAAGTAAGCTGAGGTCCAGACAAAATTTATGCAAAGAGATGCCCATTTATAATAACCAAATTGTCAATCAACCTAAATGTTCAACAATGGGGATTTGGGTAAATACATTATTGTATAATCTTAGAATAGTATGCAGCTATTAAAAACTGTGCCTATGGGAGAATTGCTTGAACTCAGGAGGTGGAGGTTGCAGTGAGCCAAGATCGTGCCATTGCATTCCAGCCTGGGTGACAGGAGCGAAACTCCATCTCTAAATAAATAAATAAATAAATAAATAATAAAAATTGTGCCTATGATGACTGTTAAATGTCTTGGAAAACCTTTATTATATAATGTTGAGAAATAGAAAGATGATACATCACTGTACATATATGTTTTCACCTGGGTTAAAAAAACATAGATGCATGGGAACAAAAGGAAAAACTGTTAATGTGGTAGGTTTCTCAGGGAGGTGAGATTATAGGTGCTTATTATAACATTTGTGGTCATTTTTTCTGTGTTTTACAAATTTTTGACAATGGCCATGTATTTTTGTTATTTACAAAAAAGAATATTTAGAATAGACCATGAGAAATGCTGCAGACTACAAATATTCCCCATTATCAATATTTAATCACAATTATTATTAGAGTGTTTGATGTCCAGCAGATGGAGCTGCATCCCTTACCATTTGGCTTGCACTCTGGGACTATAAAAACTGTTTTCATTTGTTTTGTTTTCTTTGAAGCAAATCCCTTGTATCCTCCTAAAGGTTTTGTAAAGCATATGTTCTTTAAAAAAAAAAAAAAGATTACATTTAAAATTTGTTTTGAGAATTTTATGAAACCCCTCTGGGGTAATTAGAGGCCCCCTGGGGTGTCACAAAAAGCAGGGCTATGCAATGGATTTGGGGAACTGGGTTACTTGAGAGATTAGCTGATTGTGTGGAGCCACAAAAGGAGTCGGGGCAAAGTCAGAAAAAACAAGTTGAGGGTCCCGTTCACTGGGCTTCATTTGTTGAGGAAAGACAGGGTAGAAAATTGTATTTTGATGTGTAAGTGCACAGGCTTAGCATTTCCGCATCATTCCAGAATTGATGTTTTCATTGGTTCCCAACACATATTTAGGGTGGTGATTAAAAACACTGGCTTACTTAAGACCTCCATTCAAAGTCAAATTTCACAACTTCCTACCTGTGTGACTTTGGGCAAATCATTTCACCTCTCTGTGCCTAACTTTCCTCATTTGTAAAGTAGAAATAGTAATACAACCTACTCATAAGGTGTTGTGAGGGTCAAATTATATAATGTATGTAAAAGTGTTTGCCATAATAATTGGCAAATGGTAAGCACAAAATAAATGTTAGCCATGATTATAATTCATTCATTTATTCAACACACACATTGGTACCAACTATGTGTCGGGCAATGGGCTGCGCACTGGAAGAGAAAAAACAGACACGTTCTGCCCTCTGGGAGTTTAGAGGAGGAACAATACCATGCCTAAGAAGCAGTGTGAGAAAGCTCGGGACCAGGATTTCTGGGTCTCACTCTGGCCTTGGCTTATTTTAGGACCTCAGATATAATAAATTACTTAATCTCCATTTTTCTCTCAGTAAAACAAGGGATTTGGATGAGATGATCTCTTTCAGCTCTGGAGCATTCTGACTGTATTTCAAAGAACATTGCTGAATGAGATCAAATCAAAGTTATTATCTTTCAAATATATTCACATTATGCAGTCTCTTCTCAGGAGGTGCAAAATTCTCATAATTAGGAAAAGGTCCAAGGGCAAACAGAATGATTACAGCAGAGGCTGGATAAGACACCCATATCTGAGACGCCAGAGAAAAGAAAAATCAGTCTTCAAAAAAATACCGAAACAGTGCCTTACAAAAAATATATTTATGGTTACTTTAATTGCCAAAGAATAAAAATGAGTTAATTTCCATTTCACAAACTTCGTGGGACATCAACATTTGTTTGCTATTTTCAGATTACAACAAAATTGTGTTTTGTTATTACAGCACATTTGTGTGTGCGTGCATGTGTGTGTATGAGCATGTCAATGTCTGTGGGTGTGGTTGCTTTTTGCTATCATTATTTTATTCACTTAAACCATCTATCAGCAAACATTTTCTGTAACGGACCAGATAGCAAATATTTTAGGCTTTGTTGGCCGTATACCATCTCTGTTGCATATTCTTCTTATGTTTTTAACAACCATTTAATGATATAAAAACCATCCTTCAATCCCAGGGTGTACAAAAATAGACTGAAGATTAGATTTGGTCTGTAGTCCAGTTTGCTGACCTCATCTTAAATCACATTTTCAGCTTCCTGTCTCCATGAGTTAGGTTTCATGGTATGTCTCCACCACCACGCCATCCCACCTTACTCAGTGCACAGGTCGTTTCTTACCCTAGTCTCCTCTACTTGTTCTCATCTGATTGTGCACAGTCCCTGCTTCCCATCTAATTACTCTAATTCCAGCGACATCCTGGTGTACGATGATGCAGTTCTAGCAGAAAGCATCACCCCAAAACAAAATGGTAGTTGGTGGTCTGGTCCACGAGATTGACTGCTCCATGGACATGCACCCATCAACATATCTGTCCCATGAAGCAAATCGCAAGGTTTCCTGGGCCCAGCTCCTTAACCATGGCAATGGCTTTGACTCACTTCTACCTAGAACCAAACTTTTCATTATTCAGCAAATATTTACTGTGCATCAATTATATGCTTGGCATTGTACCAGACTCAGGACACAGCAAAGAACAGTGTGGGCATGGCTGTGACCCTCACAGAGCTTACACACCACTGCGAGGGAAAAAGACATGGAGGCACATCCTTGTAGCAATGCTGGAATTTTTATGTAATATTTCAAGAAGTACAGGTTTTTGTGGGAGCACAGAGAAAGGCATCTAACCCAGCTGTGGAGGTCAGGGGAGGTTGCCTCCAGAGGAAGTGACACTTAACTCTTTCTACGTGGGAAAGATATATGGAACCCTCTATTAGAGCCGATTAGAGCAGCAGGCACCCTAATCTCCTTAGTAAATGGGTCTTGAGCTCTACTTAGAATTTTGGTGACAGTAATCCTGCCAAATCTGACTTTATCCCTTTGGACTAAGCTCCTGGTCTTGGTCCTACTTTCAAGGCTTCATTCCCCAGAAACACTGTCTTCACACCTCCTCCCACTGGTCATGCCCTTACATCTACAACACTGACTCTAACCTAGTCAGTTCACCTCTTCCAGGTAAAGCATTTTTGCTAAAGTGACCTGAATTGAGTAGCCAATTGGCAAGAACAGTGATAATCAGCTTTCAATGATTAATATTGATATCAGCAATTACTCTTTTCAGATATTGGACATTTGCCTTTTCCAGTGGGCTTGGTTAGTTATGAATAGGCATCCAGGCTTAAATGGATATTTTCTATACTCAACATTTTAGGTGTAAATTCTGAATCCCCGGGGAAAATTGGTCAGAAAAGGTCCTCTTACTCTTCATTAACTGTAAAATGAATGTAAAGAATCTCTTCCATTTGTGCCCCCCCAACCCCGTGCAGGGGCTTCTTGGGAGGTATGTTAGCCTATTCATATGTTAATTCCGCAGAGCCCTCTATCTTTTCACAGAGGCCCTGTACAATGATGGGGGAGTCTGCATATTTCAAAAGAGCAGCATATGCTTCTTAAGGTGAACGTGCAATATAACACTGCAGGGGAAATACAGTGCATTTTTCTTTGCCGCTTTGCAGAGAGAGTTTACAAGCATCATTTGGAAATGGATGGCATTTTTCTGTATAGGAATTGAGTTTGACAATTAACCATGATTTTTTTTCTTTTAATTTAGAGGCCCAGGTCTTCTAAACAACATTCTTTTTCATGTAAATAAAATAAATAAAAGAAAAGAAAATTTTAATTCCTGGAAAAGCACCAGAAATGCCTTCTCCTGAAGCTGTTTAACTGTTGTTTTGAAAATGCATTCTCCTCAGAAAAAATTCTGAGTTGGGAGGGAAGCAGACAATATATATAACTTGATATCTTAAATTTCTCTCTCACTCTCTTTTTTTTCATTCTTAAGCCTAATGCATCCTATCACAAGAGTGCTTAATGTTTAGGTTATAATTTCAGATATGCAAATGATTCATTAGTAGAGTATTTGATAATCATATTTCAAAAAACTTCTGATAGACAGTAATTGCGTCTTCTAGAATTATATTCCAGTGCTCAGTAATGACAAACACTGTGTATTAATTTCACGTATTAGAAATAATGATTAAAGTAAAACCTATTTGATGTAATGACCATTAGTTCAGAGCTGTAGAACGATGCTTCGTGGCTTAAGATGAATAATAATGGCCCGTTTTTCATCAGACAGATGTTCCATCTTATTGTAAAAAGATGTTACATCACAGAAATAGAAAATGTAAAACAACTAGAAAATACTATGTCACCAAGCTTGATTAACCAATTGAACAATTAATGTCTGAAAAGCATTAGCATTTGCAATGCACTGTGTGCTGTTTTTATCATGTTTTCTATGGGACCAATTTTGAAGAACGTTTTACAAAAGTAAAATTTAAAAATTAGAGAAGAAATATGTAGTAATATAGTTCAAGTTTGTGTGGACGATGAAATGCTGGGATGTCAAACCACAGTGTTGTAAAAATTAAAAAAAAAAAAAAGCGTAACTGTTAACGATGGTTGTCCCCTGGGCAGGTTACTGGGTGGCTGAGGGACAGGAATAGGAGAGATTTTTTTTGGATTTACTTTTTACTCCTTTTTTAAATGTTTTGCATTGTATAGTATATGCATTGTTCAGTATTTTTAAATAATTTCATTTTAAACAACAATAACAACTCATAACCATATATTGAAGTGGAGAGGAAGCATGAGAAACTACCATAATAGGCTTCGGGGCCACACACACACACACACACGCACACGCGCGCACACACACACACACACACACTCATTTCCCAATTCTGTTTCTTTCTAGTTATGAGGCCTCGAGAAGGTTGCTTATCTTTCCTAAACTAAGAGAACCCACCTCATGGGTCTGATAGGAGTATTTAAATAGGTTGTAGAATGACACCTGTCACGTTAAGTGCTTGATAAATGTTGACTAGCATTATTGTTTATATCATACTAAAAACAGTCTCATCTAATACAGTAGTCCTCCAACATCTATTACTCTTATTTTCACAGTGCCAATTTAAAATAGTATTTATGTGGCTTGCTTTTATTTATTTAAAGCCTAACCCATTCCATTGAGAAAGAAGTGAAAGATTCATTTTTCTCTTCTCCCTCCCTTCTTTCCTTTCTACCACAAACTTTTCCTGGGTACCTACTAAGGGC
Organism: Homo sapiens; assembly: GCF_000001405.40. Taxonomy (NCBI): domain Eukaryota; kingdom Metazoa; phylum Chordata; class Mammalia; order Primates; family Hominidae; genus Homo; species Homo sapiens. The sequence goes on from NC_000023.11 coordinate 140,055,789, forward strand.
TAAGTGCACAGTGCATACAGAACCTTAGAAATGATCCATACTAATTTTTCGACTGATATAAGAATTTATTACTGTCATGTACCTTAAAGGTGACCCAGCTACAGTTTCAACCCTCCATGTAACAAGAGACCTCACTGCTTCCTGAATCATACTTTCCTTTGTTAAACAATTCTAATTTGTTAGAATGATCTTTTTCACATTGAACTAAAAATTGTTGTCCCTACGGTTTCCATAGTTGGGTAAACCTCTATAATTTTCCTAACTCGTCTCTTACTTGCAATTCTTTACTTCTGTCACAGTGCTGGTATCAGAACCCAGATCCCCTGACTCCTTGTCCAGTACTGTTTAGAGATTATTTTATTTTATTTTTTATTGATTTTTGAGACAGAGTCTCACTCCATCACCCAGGCTGGAGTGCAGTGGCACGATCTCGGCTCACTGCAATCTCCGCCTCCTGGGTTCAAGCAATTCTTGTGCCTCAGGCTTCTGAGTAGCTGGGATTACAGGCATGCGCCACCACGCCTGGCTGATTTTTGTATTTTTAGTAGAGACGGGTTTCGTAATGTTGGCCAGGTTGGTCTCGAACTCCTGACCTCAAGTGATCCACCCGCCTCAGCCTCCCAAAGTGCTGGGATTACAGGCGTGAGCCACCGTACCCAGCCTAGAGGTTATTTTAAATAAAAATCTCTGCCAGCCCAGTTGGCTGCCTTCGATTCCATTGAACACCCTGACCTTGTCCAAAAGACTGACAGTGTTGAGGACTTCATTTTAAACACAAAGGAAAAAATTGCGAGAGTGCTTCCCAGGCAAGACCTAGTGCATCCTAGTCAAAGTTCCTCCAATCCAGTGGTTACCCTAGCATCAAGTATTGTACCAAGGACAAGAGTCTGGTGAGAGCAATTCTTCATGAGTTCTATAGCTGTGCTAGTCAAAAAGTGCTTTCCCTCGGCTGAGAATCACTAAACACAACACAAGCCTCCTTGATATTCTATTCAGTTTTTCAGAGCTTCAAAATTTACTACTAAGTAATTTGAATTGCTCAGTGTTTCCAGTGTTCATTGGGAGCAAAATACCCTAGTCGCTTTGTCAACTTGCCACTTAATCAATGCAGAGAACAGGTGATCTTACTATGGGTTGTTCAAATGTGCATCTTCTGAAATAGGTGCCGGTCTCAGAGTCTGGGAAACCTTTGTCAGGGTCAGATGTAAGACAGTCAGGTGAATCATTCTTATTCCTAGATCTGGTGAGTGCGCTAGCTGGGCAGGCTAGGACTGGGTTTGCAAATAGAAGGGAGGAGACATCTTTCAGTGCAAGTCCCACTGAGACAGGTCCTGAGTTATGCCAGGAGGGGGCAGCAGAGAGCTGGCCTACTTATGAGCCAGGCGAACCCAGCGGTGAGGGGAGTACAATGGAGAACTCGAAGCTGAAGAGTGTGGGATTGGCGCTGAAGAGTGTGGGATTGTCTCCCAAAGGCGTAGAAAAGACACTAATCGAGTAAGAGGCCTAGTGAGGGAGTTGCCAGGTGGAGGGAGATAATCACGGAGGAGGCACCTTCGTGAGGGCAAATTCACCAACTCAGGAGGCGGGGCCCACCCAATTTAAAGGCGAGCCTGGCTTTGGAATAAAACAAACCGTGGCATGAAACTAGGCCCTGACTTGGGAAGTCTAACATTCTTGAGCCTCAGTTTCCTCATGTATAAAAGGAGAATAATAGCAGTGCTTACCTCATATGGCTGTTATGAAATACATCTGGCATATACTGAACAATTAAAAACTACCTAATAATAACCACCTGCTGTTAAAAAGACACAAACTTGGCCGGGCACGGTGGCTCCTGCCTGTAATTCCAGCACTTTGGGAGGCCGAAGTGGGCGGACCACCTGAGATCAGGAGTTCGAGACCAGCCTGGCCAACATGGTGAAACCCTGTCTCTACTAAAAATACAAAAATTAGCCGGGCGTGGTGGCAGGAGCTGTAATCCCAGCTACTTGGGAGGCTGAGGCAGGAGAATTGCTTGAAACCAGGAGGCGAAGGTTGCAGTGAGCCGAGATCATGCCATTGCACTCCAGCCTGGGCAACAAGAGCAAAACTCCGTCTAAAACACACACACACACACACACACACACACACAAATTCAATGAAATAATGAGGTTTTGAGGGGCCACTAGAGAACGTCTGAACAGAAAAGTTAATGGTCTGCCCTGCCTCCCTTTGGAACCTCACATCAGGGCAATAGAATCATACTACTAACTTGCCCCTATTCCTGGTGTTTTTCAGATTAAAGTCAGCAGATATATCACCATAAAACAAGTCAATCTTCATAAATATCTGTGTCCAAATACTGTTTCTCAGACTGTCATTTGCAGCCAGAATTGGCACAAGAACTCCTCTGCTGAACCTTGGATCAGAACTCGTGGTTAGAAAAATATGCCCAGTCTTCAGAGGGGAGTGGTCAGCCAGTGATGGGCTTGTGGGGGAGCCTGGGTGGGAACTGCTTTAGAGCTGAGCCTCAGATCAGATCACAGCACTGGTGCCACTGAGTTTTCTTTGGGTGTTCCACACCCTGAGCTCCTTTCAGAGTGCAAACACTCTTGAATTGGATAATAAAATCAAAATAACACACACAGGACTGAAAGCTCTGGGCACAGTGGTGAGGAAGAGGGTTATAGAGAGTGGGAAAGAAAAGTGAAAGTGGGGGCTGGGCGCGGTGGCTCATGCCTGTAATCCCAGCGCTTTGGGAGGTCGAGGTGGGCGGATCACGAGGTCAGGAGATTGAGACCAACCTAGCTAACACGGTGAAACCCCATCTCTACTAAAAAATAGAAAAAATTAGCCGGGCGTGGTGGCGGGTACCTGTAGTCCCAGCTATTCGGGAGGCTGAGGCAGGAGAATGGCGTGAACCCGGGAGGCGGAGCTTGCAGTGAGCCAAGATCCAGCCACTGCACTCCAGCCTGGGCGACAGCGAGACTCTGTCTCAAAAAAAAAAGAAAAAAAAAAAGAAAAGTGAAGGTGGAAAGCTGGGATCACTAAAGTGAACCTGGCTGAACAACCAGCTTTTTTCAAGACTGGCCAAAAGCCAAAATCTAGAACTCTGTATACATATTCAGTTACTTTCTTTCCAAAAATTTCATCCTAAAAAATAGTTACAGAGTGGTTACCTACGCTTGAGTAAGATGTTAAAGGAGAAACTTGATACAAGATTTTTAAAAATGGCCCCATCTAGTATTAGAGTGCCTTGAAGAAAAGCACTAAAGAAGACCAAACGAAGATATTTGAATGAGAAGAACTTCTTAAGCACAACCGCTTATGGATGTCTGGGGGCTGTATTTGAGGAATTATCCGGATTTTTTTTTTCCCAGCAAGCATATCAATACAAAGTTCTGGGACCCTTTTTTTAAGGAATTGGGCATCTGCAGAACCAAGGTAGGTGTGGACTCCTACTAGAAAGTTCCAGTACTGTCTTTCCAGGAAAATGATTCATGGGGATACAAGTTCAATTATAGTTTATTCTTTGAAGTGTGCTAGATATCAGACTAACAATTAGGGCATTATATTTGCTTCATGATAATAAATTATTATTTACTTCATCAAACACTGTGTGATAGGATAGTCAGAAAAGCTCCTTTAAATAGTTTAAAGTGTCTAGATGCTTCTACACCTAATATGTGTACTATGAGAGCGAGAGAAAGAGAGAAAGAGAGGAGGAGAGGGAGAAGGGAGAAGATATCATATTTTTTAAATTCATTACAGGCCAAGAGCTTATAGGATTTTTAAAATAAATTTTTTAATTGACAGATAACAATGTATGTATTTAATAAGTCTTTTCCTTTGTCACTTCCTCTGTGAAGCTGTGATATACCTTCCAGTCCTCTATCAGAGCACTTCTTTTGTATTTAATGAATTATTTATAGGTCCAGTTTAACCAGCTGCTGAGATCCTTGAGGGAAGAAGCTGGGTTTCTTTCCTCTTTCTGGCCCTAGGGCCCAGTTCTGGGTGTGACAGATAGCAGACACTCAAAATATTAAATGAAAGCATACATGAAATAAGAACATAAAATGTTTCTAGTTCTTTAGGATAAAAATAAATTATCCACCTAACAGAAAAATTGCATATCATGTTTAATTTTGAGAAGGCCACCATATATATATATATATATATATGTATATATATATATATATATATATATATGTATATATATATATATATATATATATATATATATATATATATTTTTTTTTTTTTAGATGGAGTCTCACTGTGTCACCCAGGCTGGAGTGTAGTGGCACAATCTCAGCTCACTGCAACCTCCATCTCCTGGGTTGAAGTGATCCTCCCACTTCAGCCTCCCTAGTAGCTGGGACTACAGATGTGCACTATCATGCTTGGTTAATTTTTGTATTTTTAGTAGAGACAGGGTTTCACCATGTTGGCCAGGCTGTTCTCAAACTCCTGACCTCAATGATCCACCTGCCTTGGCCTCCCAAAGTGCTGGGATTACAGATGTGAGCCACCATGCCCCGCCCAAAAACATTTGCATAATTTTTTTCTGAGATTAGTCAGATATTACCAAGACTACAAACTATGGCATGGCCTTTCTGTTAAAGGGCAGCTGGAGGCAAAAGTGTGTGGTGGATGAAGTCCATCATCAGTTTCCCTTTTCTGTAGCTTTCAACCATGCTCTTCCATCAACAAGAATTTATTGAGCACTTAGTATGTACCCAGTATTTTTGCTGGACACCACAACGAAAGATATACAAGTACACAAAAGTCAAGGAGACTAGCTTAACTGACCCCAAACAATTAGGGAGAGAGACACATGACAAAGGACTAGCTGCAGATGCTGAATCATTCAGGTGCAGATTCTAAATGCTGTAGGAAGTCAAAGGAAAGAAGAGATTGATGAGGGAGTTATGTTCTGGGAAGGCTTCCTGAATGAAATTGAACTGAAACTGGATCCCCAAGGATGGGGAGAATTTAGCAAGTAAAGGGCAAGAGGAGATTATTTCAAAGAGGGGGATCAAGGTGAACAATGGATCAGGAAGCAGGAATGAATGTGCTGTGTGTTTGTATATGCCTTGAGCATCACGAAGTGGCTGTCCACAACAGAGTACCTCTTTACTGGTTCAAAGTCAAGGCATGCTGAGGAGGAAGGCAGGCTATGTGTGAAGTGTAGGGAGCACCCTGGCCAAATCGCGGTGAGTTTATCAGCTCTTTCTACTTCTGTTTTCTATTGTACCTTTGTGTTATCTGTCTTCTGATAGTACAGGAAGATGAGTATAGTGGTTATTAAGTTTTTCACTACAGTAAGGTTCCTCGTCAGAGGCAGCTCCCTCCCTCAACGCCATGGTGAGCTTGCCGAACACGGGAGGAGATAGGACTGGTTAGAGCTTGAGTTTGGAGAGGTGAGTAGGGGCCAGATTAGAAAAAGCTCAATATGTTATCAGTAGAGTTTAGGTGATAGTAATACGTTTTTATGATGTTTTACACCTTACCAGAGTGCTTTCCTGTCATTTGTCTCCATTTATTCTCAGGAGAACCCTATAAAGTAGGCAGGGATGACATTTCTATTCCTTTTTTTAACAGATGAGGAAGCTGATCCAGACCAGGAAGTTTCCAGGTCTGGGTTCAGTGCAGTAGAGAAGTGCAGAGGCCAACATATAGATAGCTTTATTTTATTTATTTACTTTTTTTAAAGAGTCTGGGTCTCTCTTTGTTGCCCAGGCCGGAGTGCAGTAGTGCAACCATAGTTCACTGTGGCCTCACATTCCCAAGCTCAAGTGATCCTCCCACCTCAGCCTCCCAAGTAGCTGGGACTATAGGTGTGCCCCACCATGCCTGGCTAATTTTTTTTTATTTTTATTTTTTTTGTAGTGACAGGGTCTTGCTATGTTGCCCAGGCTTGTTTCAAACTCCTGGCTTAAAGTGATCCTCCCACCTTGACCTCCCAAAGTACTAGGATTACAGGCATGAGCCACTGCACTTGGCCACAAATATTAATATGCAATATAATTACAGCTCCCTCAAAGAAATGGGGTCCCTGAGCTTTGGTATCTGGGGGTTTAGGATGGGCATAGGAGGAACAACATTTGCCTCGAACTGCAGTGTGTAGTGCTAAGATGGCCAAATTGAGAGGCAACATTCTTGGGTGGTACCAACTTGAAGCCAGTCATCCAAAGGAGGCATCAATGCAGACAAGCTAGGCAGAGAGGGAGAATCTGGAGGTGAGCCAATAGGATCAAAACCAGGAAGACCAGACAAGAAAAGGAATGTTTCAACAGAAGGATGAAAGGCAGAACATGGAGATACTCCCTAAGCTATGGAGGGGAGCTAAAATAGTCATTGCAAAAATCCTTGTGGTCTTTGTTGTTTGTGGTGAGGTATCATTAAAAATTCTGATGGAGTGGCTAGATGTGGTGGCTCACATCTGTAATCTCACCACTTTGGGAGGCCTACGTCGGGGGGGATCACTTGAAGCCAGGAGTTCAGGAGCAGCCTGGGAAACACAGTGAGACCCCATCTCTACAAAAAATTTAGAAATTAGCTGGGCCCAGTGGCTCATGCACGTGGTCCCAGCTACTCAGGAGGCTGAGGTGGGAGGATTGCTTGAGCCCAGGAGTTTGAGGTTGCATTGAGCTATGAACATGCCACTGCACTCCAGTCTGGGCAACAGACCCCAACTCTAAAAAAAAAAAAAAAAAATTCTGATGGAATCTAAATACCAACATTTCCTCACACCTCACTTCTTGCTCTGTTGAGGTAGCTGGTGTTTCCCTACATTTGCCTGGCCAAAGGCCTTGATGTGCTCTAGAGAATTCTGAGGTTGGAGGCAGGAACCATTCCTTCAACCTTTACATTTTTCAGGAGCTTGAATTGAAAGTTCTAGCCTTGCAGACATCTCCAGGGAGGCCTGAGGTGCTTGAGGGGGAGGGGACTCCATGTCGTGTGCTAGACCTGAATTCCTGAAACCCGAGCATTATCAAGGAACCTCCCAATAAAGCTTACACATTTGTATAACTACCCTGGCTGGCTTCCCATATCCACCATCCTCTGTGTTTATGTGAATTGCTAGGCCAAATAGCAACAATAATAAAAACAACTTTATTAGTGAATTTAGGCTCCTGGGTGTGTCCAAGCCTTTGCTGAGTCCCACCCCATTTTGTATCCTGGTCCTCAGTCTTTTTTTTTTTTTTTTTGAGCTGGAGTGTCACTCTGTCACCCAGGCTATAGTACAGTGGTGTGATCTTGGCTCACTGCAACCTCTGCCTCCTGGGTTCAAGCGATTCTCCTGCCTCAGCCTCCTGAGTAGCTGAGACTACAGGTGCCTGTCACTAAGCCCGGCTAGCTTTTTGTATTTTTAGTAGAGATGCGGTTACTCTATGTTGTCCAGGCTCGTCTCGAACTCCTGGCCTCAAGTGATCTGCCCACCTTGGCCTCTCAAAGTGCTGGGATTACAGGTGTAAGCCACCGTGCCTGGCCTGGTCCTCAGTCTTATAATGGAGTGTTCCTCATCCCATTAGGGCTCAAGGTGTAGGTTCCTTCCTTTTTACTAAAGTAATGATAGTCTCGGGGACTCATGGTGACTCCATGGAATCAACTCTGATTCACAGACATAAGGCATCCCAGTTAAAGAAACCAGTAATCCATGAGGCCATCATTAAGATGGGTGTGTATCTAGCATCCCATTAGTTGTGCTGTCCATGACACACTGTTCCTGCTTCCTTTTGGTCTTTGTCTTCTTCTGCCTTGAATCCCATGAGATGACTTTGTCATGGAAAAATAAAATCCTATATTTCATGCTACTTTTCTGCCAACCACATTGCTGGTGCCCCTAGCAAATACTACCTCATGTAATAGCCCTAAGCTAAAGGTCTTAGGCAAGTCCCCAGTTTATGATAAAATGTTTTCAGGTGTGAAAGTGGCAATGGCACTTCTCCATCACCACTGTGATTCGGCAGTAGAACTGAGACTAAGATGGCTTTGACTTACTATGCAAGTTTATTCTCACACAATGTGTGGAAAGGTTTCCTCAGTTCTTCTACCACCCCCATGGGTAATCTGCTGCTCTCTCTGAGCCTCGCCTTCTTGGATCAGCTCTGGGAGATTCAGGTCCTTACACAATTCAACCATGGAGACCATATAACCTCATCCTTAGCAGCAGGTGGTTAAAAGGAGATGCTTTCAGGTTTTGGAACAAGACCTCTTACCAGCCATAATGATGTTTTTGTTGTTTCTCGAACATCCTATACTCCTACTCACCCATGGAGCCTTTGCACTTGCTAGTCTCTTGATCTGAAATACTCTTTCCTTCTATCTTCACATGGCTAGCTTCTTATCTTCATTCAGGTCTCTGCTCAGAGAGGCCTTCTTTGACTACCCAAATTAACATAGCCTTCCCCCCATCACATCCTCACTGTCTTTGTACTTACCTCCCTTAACTTTCTTTCACAACACAGCACCTCAACCTTATATATATACACACACACATATATATATATATATATATATACACACACACACATATATATATATATATTTCTTTTTTGGTCCTTGTTCATGGTCTGACTATACAATACAATATAAGTTATGTGAGGTCAGGAACTTTGTCATGTATGAACTGTTCCCAGCACCCAGAATGGTGCCTGGCACATAGTAGGCATTTAATACATTTGGCAAGAATGTTCTAAATTTACAGTTATTATTATAATTATTTTTATCATTGTTATCAACCAGGCTGAAAAGAAGGTACTAAGGAATGGAAGTCACAGTGAGATTCTCCCCATCACCACTGACTGCTATCTCCCATCCCTGAGGACCATGAGGAAGAAAAAACAAAAACAAAAAATTTGAGCCCCATATAGTAGCTTCGGGTTGTCACATGCAGGCCGAAATAGAATTCTTAGAGTTATGGATGCCCACCTTCCTCCATGGGACTCACTGGGACGCTGCCTCCCCAACCCTGTGAACCAGCTACTTCTACCATGCTTCAATCACTCCCTTCAAATCATCTGGAATTCACACTGACTGCTTAACCAATTCACCTGTAAACTCAACCCTTTCCTAAAACAGTCTTTTCATGACTTAGCCTTAAGTGAAACCTAGTTCCTCAGTAAAGAGACCATCATTCCAGCTGCTTCTTGAGCTGCCTACACGTCATGTTCCCACACTTCATGGGCCAGCAGGGCTAGTTTTTTCCTCACTCTCCAAACCCATTTACAGCTCCTCCACCCTCTTTTAAGCAAAGACAAGACTCAAAACCAACAACAACAAAAAACAAGGCCCAAAATTTCTGCTCCTTTGGAGACGTATGCCTCAGTTGAACCGCTCTTTAACCTTCCCTGTCACCATCATCTATGGGTCTCCTAGACTTACCTCTGTATTGATGAAACACTTTGGCAGTAGGCCCACTCTTTCCCCATGCCAAGTCTTACCACACATTCTGGGCAAAGTCAACAGCTTATGTGAGCAACCTATCTGACACCTTAATCTTGAAGCTGCTTGACTTCCACCTCAGCCACCCTCATCTCCTATCTCACCTCGTAATTTTTTAGCACCCCAGAATTGTTCCATCTCTAAGACCACGACTTCTGACATTCCTCTCTGACCACAACTTCCTAGCCCTTTAGTTTGCATAGTCAGTCCCTGCCACTCCCACTACCCCCAACCCCCGACCCCACTGCCTCATCCCTCTACTTTCCCCTATTTTGACTTTCTTCTCCTTCCATCTTGCATAACATGGCTCTTCTTTTGCTCTTTTGTCAATATTCTTCACAACCAGTGAGCCTCCCCCCACCTCTTCTTCCCCCTACACAAAATATAAGGGAGCATACATTCTCTGGTGCCAAACCCACACTTGTATGATCCTAAGAATGAGTGCCTCCTTACATTCTGTGCCAGGGAAGGGGGGTGTGGGAAGGAGGCTCAATCAACTCAACCTACTGTCTAGGAAATCCTCAAATCTGGATTAACTCAAATTATCTGCTTTTTTTTTTTTTAATACCTTTCCTGGGGTAGCTGAGCACTACCAGAAAAAGTCACACAACAAGATAAATTCATTCCACTGCGCATTCATGATTGTTCACCTCAAGTGGTCCTTAAACCTAGCCTAGTAATTCACTCATTGCCACACACTGTACAATAACTATTTTAAATCTTTTCCACTTTCCTCAAACCTTTGACCCTGCTACCTACTTCCATCTCCACTCTTAGACAACGACTCAGGTCTCTTCTTAGGGAAAATAGAAGTCATCAGATACAACTTACTTCAATCTCCTCCACCACATTTATAATCCTAGCTGCATCCTTTTTCTATGTCAGATGAGGTATCATCTTCTTGCCATGATCTACTTGCCTTCCTGCTGCCTTTTCTGGCATCTTGCCTGATTTAGTAATATCCTGTCTTTCTTCCTCTATTGAAAATCTCTTCCCTACTATCAACTTCTCATCAGCATTTAAACATGCACCCATCTTTAAAATACATCTTTCTTTGGTCACATGTCTCCCTGCCAGACTACTGCCCTGTATCTCTCTTGACCTTCACAACTAAACACCTTTAAAACAGTTCCCACATTTTCTCATTAACACTCCTCCATCCACCACAATATTTTTTTCTGTTTCCTTACTCCTCCCATCATGAAACTGCTCTCACTAGTGATCTCTTTGTTGCTAAAGCTAATGGAAACTTTCAAGCATTCAATTACCCAACTGTTTAGTAGCAGTCAACATTACTGACCACTTCCTCCTTCTCAAAGTTTTCTTTTTTTTCCCTTGTTTTCCACAGAAACACACAATCTTGTATTTTTTCTTTTTTTTTTTTTTTTAGACGGAGTCTCACTCTGTCGCCCAGGCTGGAGTTCAGTGGAACAATCTCAGCTCACTGCAACCTCTGTCTCCCAGGTTCAAGCGATTCTCCTGTCTCAGCCTCCTGAGTAGCTGGGATTACAGGCCCGTGCCACCATGTCCGGTTAATTTTTGTATTTTCAGTAGAGATGGGGTTTCACCATGTTGGCCAGGCTGGTCTCGAACTCCTGACCTCAGGTGATCCACCCGCCTCGGCCTCCCAAAGTGCTGATATTACAGGCATGAGCCACTGTGCCCAGCTGTATTTTTTCATTTTTCTCTGGATGTTCTTTTTTCAGTCTTTGTGTTGGATTTTTCTCCATCTGCCCCAAATATTTTCATCCACTCAGTCTTTTACTGGATATCTCTACTTGGATGTCTTACAGGCAACTCCAACTCAGTATGTTCAAAATTGAACTCATCTCCCTCCCACACACACACACACACACACACACACACACACACACACCAGCTTCTGTGCAGTGTTCTCTATTTAGGTTAATGTCATCAAATAGCAAATCTAGAAACCTGAGACATCTTTTCAACGTTGGCTCTGCTTTTCTCTCTTTCTTTTCATAGCTGGGTAATCAATAAGTCATGTTGCTCTAGCCTAAACCAGTCTTATCAACATTTTCTCAAGGGCACACTTATCAGAACCTCGTTCTCTCTAACCAGCTGCAAGGAGCTTAGAAAAGGATGGTTCTGGAAAGCAATGACCAGTCAAAGTACCCCGGCTGACCCAAGATTAGCCCAGTAACCTCAAGGACATGATGAGATCAGTAACCTCAGCATGCATGTAACTCTTATATAAGATAAGGAAGCTACTCAGTGTGTGGTCTATGCACTAACAGCACCTATATCACTCAAGAGCTTATTAGAAATGCAGAATTTCTTTTTTTAAAATTATACTTTAAGTTCTGGGATACATGTGCAGAACGTGCAGGTTTGTTACATAGGTACACATGTGCCATGGTGGTTTGCTGCACCCATCAACCCGTCATCTACATTAAGTATTTCTCCTAATGCTCTCCCTCCCCTTGCCCCCCACCCCCCGACAGGCCCTGGTGTGTGATGTTCCCCTCCCTGTGTCCATATGTTCTCATTGTTCAACTCCCACTTATGAATGAGAACATGCGGTGTTTGGTTTTCTGTTCCTGTGTTAGTTTGCTGAGAATGATGATTTCCAGCTTCATCCATGTCCCTGCAAAGGACATGAACTCATTCTTTTTTATGGTTGAAGATGCAGAATTTCAATCCAGTGTACTTCCTACTACCAATTGAATCAGAATCTGCATTTTAGAAGATTGGTAGGAAAAAGAGAGGGCAAGGCTTGGACTTACATGTCTGGGGCAGAGCCTGGAGGTGTTTGGGAAACTCTGGACAAAAGCATTTCATTTTCACGTAATATATTTACCCATCTTAAAAATTTACATTTTAAAAATGTACTTTTACATTTACAATTAAAAGTGATTGGCCGGAGGCCGGGTGAGGTGGCTTATGCCTGTAATCCCGGCACTTTGGGAGGCTGAGGCAGGTGGATCACGAGGTCAGGAGATTGAGACCGTCCTGGCTAACACGGTGAAACCCCGTTTCTACTAAAAAAAAAAAAATCAAAAAATTAGCTGGGCATGGTGGCATGTGCCTGTAGTCCCGACTACTCGGGAGGCTGAGGCAGGAGAATTGCTTGAACCCAGGAGGTGGAGGTTGCAGTGAGCCGAGATCGCGCCACTGCACTCCAGCCTGGGTGACAGAGTGAGACTCTGTCTAAAAAAAAAAGTAGATTGGATGGGCGCGGTCTTCTCGCCTGTAATCCCAGCACTTTGGGTGGCCAAGGCAGGCAGATCACGAGGTCAGGAGTTCGAGAACAGCCTGGCCAACATGGTGAAACCCCGTCTCTACCAAAAATACAAAAGTTAGGTATGGTGGCCGGCGCTTGTAATCCCAGCTACTTGGGAGGCTGAGGCAGGAGAATCGCTTGAAACCAGAAGGTGGAGGTTGCAGTGAGTGGAAATCACGCCACTGCACTCCAGCATGGGCAACAAGAATGAAACTCCATCTCAAAAAAAAAAAAAAAAGTAGGTAATGGCAAGAAGATGAATGACAATGGAAGGACCCTGCTTAACTTTCAATTATGTGATTTTTGCTTTTGTGGCTACAGTTAGAGAATCTAGTATAGGCAGAGGATGCTTTTACGGTATGACGTATGACATGCTCAGGCAATGCTCAGGCAGACATTGCAGTGTTTATTATTATACGTTAACGTAGAGTAAAGTTGACTTTTCAATGAGGTTTTCAAAATAGTTGAGCCCATTTTCATTTAGGTGGCTGTAACTTTACCATCTACCTTTGCATAGTGCTTAATAATTGGCAGAGTTTAGAACTTCATTGGTCTCATAAAAGCTCCTTAAGGTGAGTACTTCAAGTTTTATTGCCACCTTTCACAGAGGAAGAAACTGAGTCTTTGGGAGTTCGAAGAAATGTATTTTCCTCATGATTACTTGGCCTATCAGAACCTGAGACTGGGATCTGATCATCCTCTCTCCCAACATCCATCACAAGTATTGCTATTGTGGATGTTATAGTAATTATTGGGTCTAGGTCAGTTCTGCAAATGTGTGTCACTTCACTGAGATGATACTGAAAATTGTGGTTTCACAGGGTAAAATAGGGGTAAGAATCCCTGCTTATGCTCTTCTCTTAGATATGAGAAGCATGCAAAGCCCTTCAACATCAAGCGTGCATTCTTAATAGGGTGATATAATCTCCAAAGTGGGAAGAATATTGGTTCTTGGGTGACAGAAAATTTCGATTTATACAAAGCACAGATATACATACAGTACATAAACAGATATAGAGTATATCTGTGGTATTAAAATTTCAAAAGGGGGCAATTAGGAAAAAAGGTCTAAAAAGACTCCTGGAGGTGGGAGAGCAATAAGGAAAATGAAGGTTGAGGGACTGACATAGAGAGCTAGAGGAGCTCTGTCTTTCAGAAATGCTTCAGAAAGACCCAATGTAAGTCAGTACTTTATATAACTTAGTTAGCCCCATCACGCCTTTGAGACATAGTTGCTATGAAGAACATAAGCAGGGAAGTGGTGCCGCAGAGTGCCAAAAAGAATCAGATATGGATTCAATATTTTCTGTCCTACAGCTACAGATTTCACACTGGGCAAATCATTCCAGGCCTGGCTAAAGGACCAAGGCTAAGGGCTCAGGTCTGAGGAAGGTTGCCTGGTATTCAATCCTAGCTCTGACATCTACCATATGGGGTCCTTGAGGTTGGGCAAAATGTTGGGCCGCCCTGAGTCTCACTTTGCTCATCTACAAATGTGGCTCTTTAAAGTACCTACCTCCTAGGGTTCTTGTGAGAATCCAGTGAGTTGATGTCTGACAAGATAGTAAAGCAGTGTCTGGTACTTGGTAGCTACTGTCTAAGGGAGCATTGCCTGGTGCATTGTAACTACTACCCAAGTAGTTGTTAAGTAAATGAACAGTCTAGGGAAGCCATTCTCCCACTGAGCACATTTTATGCCTGCTATATTCAAGGCACTGATACATGTGTGAGGTACATGCAGACATGTCAGAAGTAGACCCTACCTTCAGGGACTCTACTGTCTTTCAGGTGAAGCAATAAGAGTATGGAATAACCAGGACAGAAAGTAGTGCATGTATAGTCAGAGTCATGAGTGGTAACTAGTACTTTATAAATACAGACAGGGAAGAAATCATGTACAGCAGGGATGATGGAGAAATCCTCCACTAAAGAAGAAGGATTTCATTTGGGTCTTAAGGAAGGCATTAGATATTAAGGTATATGGTAATTGCTGGAAATGTGGTGGCAAAATATTAGCAGAGTGGAGAATATGTAAAAAGGCTTGGAGGAGGGAAAGCCCAATGTATGTTTAGGAGAAGGTGATTAATCCACCTTCACTAACGCATAAGGTTTGACGGTGGGAGTAGGATATAAATCCAGGGGTGAAGACAGGAGCCAATAATGCTTTCTGTAATGCTTTGATAGTAATTTCTCCTAGATAGAATGCAAGCATTAGGACATCAGGGTCTGTGTCTGTCTTGCTCTGTGCTTTATCCCCAGTGCCTAGCACAGTACTTAGCAAAGAGTAGAGTCTCAGTAAGAATATGTTAAAAAATGAATAAATTAAAGAAACAAATAGGTTTCAAGAAAATAATTTTCTAAAAAAAGATTTGGAATCATTGTGTCAATAGAGAGAAGCTGCTGAAGGAGACAAAGATGTAAGATTAAATGTCATGGAAGTTGGTCAGGTCTTTGGCCATCGATACACATGCATCAAAGAACAGAAGAATGTGAATATCCATTGCACAGGAACCTGAGTCCAAAATGAGTTTCTTAACCAAAATCCACAAGTCAGAAGTAAAGGAAAGTTGGAGGAGACAAATGTGGACAATGTATTACTCCACTTTCTATTGCTAGAACTGAATACCACAGACTGGGTAATTTATAAAGAATACAGGTTTGTTTAGCTCATAATCCTAGAGATTGGAAAGTCCAAGATCAAGGGGCCAGTGCCTGGTGAGGGCTTTCTTGCCACATCATAACATGATGGAGGACATCACATGGTGAGAAAGCAACAGTGTGCCAGCTCAGGTCTCTCTTCCTCTTCTTATAAAACCACCAACCCCACCTTTGACTGCAGGGTGAGGGGGTGGGGCTCAACCTGATGACCTTATCTAGCCCTAATTTGGAGGTTCCACCTCCAAATGCCATCAGCATATGAATTTGAAGACTTAGTTTCCAACACATAAAATTCAGGGGGCACATTCAAGCCACAGCAGACAGGCAGCTGTCTCTGAGATAATTGAGCTGCTGAAGGCCTTTTTTTCTCTGCAGCACATAGGGGTAGGGTTGGTAGGGGGACAGTGCAGGCCTCAAAGACATTGGTGGGCATAGGACTGATTTTTCTGCGTGGAGGCAGCAGGAATTGAAATCTAGGAATCTGGAAGTCCTCAATAAAGCTTGGGGCCAGGCCAGAGGGCCTTCTTAGAGAGTGATGTGCATGGGCCTAGTGGTGACCCCAGCAAAGTCCACCACCATCAGGCCACCAGACACATGCTGGCCTGAAGACATGGAGCAATACACTGGGTGTTCAGTAGTGTTTGGATTCTGAAGATGAAAGATTGGGCAGAGAGCATTCTGCCTTTGAGTACATTGCTGTCCCTGTTGTTTCTTGACCTGGTAACAAGAAGGTTCCTAATGTATCATCATGTCTGAAGTTGGAGTTATAAACACATTGTATACCAGAATTTTATGTAGCCTGCTGGGAACTTGAAATGACCACATAGACAGGTGCTCTGGAGGCAGAAACAGACCAGATTTGTGTCCCAGTTCTTCCACCTCCTAGTTCTTACCTCTGGGACCTTGGGCCAGGCCCTGAGTCATTCTTGCCTCAGTTTCTTCATGTATAAAATGGCATCTATCTCATAGGCTTCTTGGGAGGATTAAATGAAGTAATGTTTGGAGTATGCTTGGCACATAGTGATTAAGATCTGACCCCAATTCACAAACCTCCAAGAAAGCTGGTCTCCAGGACAAAAAGGACAGGTCCACTAAGCCTTATCTGAAATCCCATGAATAGCGCAAAAGCACCATTTATAAAAGGGAAACTATAAACTATACCTCATTAAAATCAGGACATGCAAAAAAGGTGAAAAGACTATGAGAAAATATTCACAAACCATATATCTGACAAAAGACTAGGACCTAAAATATTAAAAAAAAACTTGCAAACTCAAGAAACAAATAATTTAATTAGAAATAGAACATAACACATGAATAGTCATTTCACTGAAAAGGATATACAGGTGGCAGATAAGCACATAAAAAGATGTTCCAGGCCAGGCATGGTGGCTCATGCCTATAATCCCAGCACTTTGTGAGGCTGACACAAGAGGATTGCTTGAGCCTAGGACTTCGAGACCAGCCTGGGCAACATAGTGATAGCCTGTATCTTAAAAAAAAAAAAAAAAAAAAAGGCAAAAAAATTTTAAATGGTGTTCCACATCAATACCTCAACATAAGGAAAATGCAGATTAAAACTACAATGGGATGTCACTATACAGCTATCAAAGAGAATGGTTGAAATGAAAAGTAGTGATAATAACAAATGCTGCTGAGGGTATGGAGAAACAGAATCACTCATACATTGCTGTGGGAATGTGAAATGGTAGAGTCACTCTGGAAAATCATTTCTTTAAAAAGTGAACATGCAACTGCTGTATGACTGACAATTGCACTACTGAGCATTTGTCCCAGAAAATGAAGACTTGTGCTCATGCAAAATTGTGTACATGAATATTCATAGCACACTTATTTGTATTAGAAAGACACAACATGGCTGGGTGCAGCGACTCACGCCTATAATCCCAGCACTTCGGGAGGTTGAGGCAGGCGGATCACCTGAGATCAGGAGGTCAAGACCAGCCTGGCCAACATGGTGAAACACTGTCTCTACTAAAAATACAAAAATTAGTGGGGTGTGGTGGCACATGCCTGTAATCCCAGCTACTTGGGAGGCGGAGGCAGGAGAATCACTTGAACCTGGGAGGCGGAGGTTGCAGTGAGCCGAGATTGCGCCACTGCATTCCAGCCTGGGCAGCAGTGAGACTCTGTCTCAAAAAAAAAAAAAAAAAAAAAAGAAGGGAAAACAAAACAAAACTTGGAAACAGCTCATATGTCTTATAGTAGGTGAATGGTTAGAGAAAAATACTGTGGTATATCCACCACCACAGATATGACCCAGCCATGAAAATTAGTGAACTGTTAGTACACACAACAGTCTAGATGGCTCTTCAGGGAATTATGCTGAATAAAAAGAGCCAATCCATAAGGTTACAGACAGTAGGATTCCCTTTATATAATATTCTTTTTTATTATTTATTTCTTTATTTATTTTAAACTTTTATTTTAGGTTCAGGGGTACATGTGCAGGTTTGTTATATAGGCAAACTCATATCGCAGGGGTTTGTTGTACAGATTATTTCGTCACCCAGGCACTAAGCCTATTACCCTATATAATATATATATATATTTTTTTTGAGATGGAGTCTTGCTCTGTTGCCCAGTCTAGAGTGCAGTGGCACGATCTCGGCTCACTGCAAGCTCCGCCTCCCGGGTTCACGCCATTCTTCTGCCTCAGCCTCCCGAGGAGCTGGGACTACAGGCGCCCACCACCACGCCCGGCTAATTATTTGAATTTTTAGTAGAGACGGGGTTTCACCTTGTTAGCCAGGATGGTCTCGATCTCCTGACCTCGTGATCCACCCTCCTCGGCCTCCCAAAGTGCTGGGATTACAGGCGTGAGCCACCGCGCCCAGCTCTATAATATTCTTGTAATGACAAAATTATAGAACTGGCAAACAGATTAGTGATTACCAGGGATTAGGGATGGGTGCTGGGGTCTGGGAGGGAGGTACATGTGATTATAAAAGGAAAAATGAATGATCCTTGTGGTAATAAAATTGTTCAGTATGTTGACTGTGCTGTTAGATACATGAACCTACATATGTGATAAAATTCCGTGGAACAAAATACACACACATGCAAATGGGTACACGCAAAACCAGGGAAATGTGAATAACATCGGTGGATTGTACAAATGTCATTGTCTTGGTTGCGATCTTGTAGTACAGTTTTCTAAGATGTTACCCTTTGGGGAGACTGGATCTAGGGTACATGGGATCTCTCTGTATTATCTCTTACATCTACAATTACCTCAACTAAGATTTCAATAAACACATAGACAGTGACAGATAAAGTGCCACTAATTGTAAAACTAAATCAGAAATAAAATAAAGCAATGACAGAGAACCTCTCTCAGAGAAGCAAGAGGTACAACTCCCAGAGCAATTTCTACGCAGAGCACTGTGTCATGAAGCCTGATCCAAGGTCCTGTCTGGACTCGATGGGACAGAGAACCTCTTCAGTGATGTCTGCCCTCATGAAGGTGGAAGTGTTCTGAGAACCAGTGCTGCATATTCACCACCCATTCTATGTGGAATGCCTGTCTCATAATGACAGCGTGGCACTGTGACATCTGGGGTAGAGGGGGTTTTGAGGCAGCAGGGCCTGTTTAGGGCTCCACAAATTCCACCACCGTAGACCACGCCCTACAAGTGCAGGTGGGTTCCATGATTACATTGGGCTGTACACTAGCCAGATCCCTAAGGGGCTGAGACCGCGGCTAATGTACCAGAAGCTGATATTCACTGAACCTAGGCCCTGGGCTCTACATGAATCAATTTACTAAGTACTTTGCATGAATCAATTTACTTAATCCTTGCCACAGTCCTATTGCTTACTTTTGAAAACCAGGCTTTCCTGTTCCCACATGTTCCAACCCTGGTGTATTAGGTGTTCATTCTGCCACTGGGTCATTGGCTGATACTGACTTCTTCGTAGAGCAGCTGAGAGGTCCTTGAGAGTGACTCTCATCAGCCACTCCTCACTCACCTCCTGCCTCCTGTGCCCCAGGATTGCTGGCTAATTAGGAAGTGGCCAAGTGGGACCGTGCAGGGATCCTGGACTCTCCACAGCCACCACATCCTGTGGTCAGACAGCAGGGCTCCAGGGCAGGGATCTTGGGTAACAATAGCCGACCTATATGGAGCATTGCCTGGGTGCCAGACCCTGTGCTCAGAGTGCCACCCTTATCCTCTGACTTCATCCCCACCAGTGTCCTTTGAAATTGGTAGGATTTCCATCCCTTTTGCGTGATAAGGAGATCAAGGGTTACAGAGGTGAAGTTGCACGAGTGCACAAAGCTGATCAGTGGAGAGCAGTAATTTGCACCCAGGCTTGGCTGACCCCAGAGCCCAAGATCAAGTTCAGGGCTCTGCCCAGGGCTCAATAAATATGTAGTGGCTGAATGAAAGGCCACTGGATAAATCTCATCCTGGGGCAGTACTAGTAGTCCTTAGGGTATGTGTCCTGAAATGAGGTAGCAAACCCGTCAACTGGGGTATAGGTGTGATCTGAGCTTGCGCTAAAAGATCCATCTCCTTATAGAGGCGTCAAGGAGAATTGTTCGTTTGTTGAGTACCTGCTATACATCCAGTTCTGGGCTACACTTCAAGGATGAATGAGATGGGGTCCCCTGTTTTAGAAAACACTCAGTGTTGCTGTGGAGACCAATGTCAGTTGTGAACTTCATGGTCTTTACCTGCTGTTTCCATCTTGTGAGGCCCCGTCCACCTTGTCACCTTACTTCAGATCACCACTTGGGCTGTGACTGCTATACATTTCTGTGATGGGTTTCACTTAGGAGTTTTAGACTGTTTTGTGATTGGGCTTGGCTGGGCCTGGGCCTCCTGATATGGTGGTTTAACCCTCATTTCAGCATGTGTGTGTGTCATGGGGTGGTGAGAAGATACATTATTACAAGAATTTAAGCTTCCTTCCTTTTTCAAGTGTCTTTCCCATATACTCTCCTAATTGGTATTTTGTTGGGCTAGTGGTTCTCAAAGTGTATACCCTGGACCAGCAGCATTACCTAGGAGTTTTTTGAATGCAAAAGATCAGGCCCCAACCCAGACCTACTGAATCAGAATCCCTGGAGTTGGGCCCAGCAATCTGTGTTTTGACAAGCTCTCCAGGTGATCATGATGCAAGCTCAGGTTTAAGAATCATTGATAAATATAATGGGCCTGGGGTGTGGCTGGTACTTCATAAATGGTCAAGATGGTTACTTGGAATGATTCTGATACTTTGTAGAGCTGACTGGTCAAGAACTTGTTGTTCCTGAAGGAGGCAACATGGACCTGGTGCTCACCTTGGTTTCCCAAGGACCTTCCAGTATTTAGCCCTGAAAGTCCCACATCCTGGCAACTTCCTATAGTCACAGACATTTAGTTACCTTACTGATAAAGGGCAGTGTAGTGCCACCCATTGTTGCCAGGGTGCCATTATGTACCTTGAATTTACAGAGGGGCAAACTGTAACAGAGAGAAGTCACACAGTTAGGAAGGATGTGTTGGTGCCAGAATTCAAATCCAGATCTGTCTCACTCCAGAGTCTATGCTTTTAACAAATTTCTCAATGTGGAATTGCTATGTCAGAGCATGCATGTGAAAAATTTCTAATACTGTTGCTGAATTCTTATTCAAGAGGCACACCACATTGCCTCTTGTCCGAGAGCCACAGCAACACACATATTTTTATGCACTATTGTATATATATTAATGCAGCATATATATGTATGTATATATGACAATGCATATAAAAAGATGTGTTTTTTCCATATATTTACCAAATGGGGTTTTATGAACCTGTTTGATCTTTGCCAATCTGATAAGTAGGCCTCATTTTATTTTCTGGTGCACATTTTTGACTTCAGCTAGTGTGATCAGTTGGACAGCAAAGCTGAGTGTAATGGGACACAAGAAATTGAATAGGGCATACCTTGTTTTGGCTTAGTGTGAACTTCATTGAAATAAAGTCCTGATGCACTTCAGAGGCTCCTGGGGATACCATTAAAGATACATATGTGAAAATCTATGAGGATGAACATCCCATCTCATTGGTCCCAAGTGGATGCCAGGATTGAAGAGACCATTTTGTAAAGAAGCTTGCTGGTCTTTTCTAAGTCTCTAAAGACATCTTCCTCCTTCAAGTTGCAGTTACATGCTTGCGGCTTGGCTGAGAAACCCATTAGGTTACCTGGGGGAACAACATGTTGGAGGTTTAGGACACATACTCTCTCTATTCTTCAAGGGAATTTGTCTCTTTCTTCCAACCTCCTCAAATTGGTGGCAGAGTAGAGAGACATTTGATCTGTCAAAGGAATTGGAGAGGGCACAGGAATTCAAAAGCATGAGGTTGGAGGAGATATATACATGTTGTAAATGTGGAGAATCCACTAGCAAGTGAAAATGGGAGCCGTATTCCTGTACAAAGCCTACAAAAAGTTTGTGACTGAGGTGTTGAAAATACGGAAGTTCTGACTCTCAATTCTTGTTTGCCTTTGAGGTCTCAACTCACCTGGACTGTTTTACCCCAAGGGTTCAGGGATAGCCCTCATCTATTTGGCCAGTAATTAGCCCAAGACTTGAGCCAGTTCTCATATCTGGACATTCTTGTCCTTCAGTATGTGGATGATTTACTTTTAGCCACCCGTTCAGAAACCTTGTGCCATCAAACCACCCAAGCACTTTTTAACTTCCTCGCCACCTGTGGCTGTTTCCAAACCAAAAGCTCAGCTCTGCTCACAGCAGGTTAAATACTTACGGCTAAAATTATCCAAAGGCACCAGGGCCCTCAGTGAGGAATGTATCCAGCCCATACTGGCTTATCCTAATCCCAAAACCCTAAAGCAACTAAGAGGCTTCCTTGGCATAACAGGCTTCTGCCGAATATGGATTCCCAGGTATGGCGAAATAGCAGGCCATTATATACACTAATTAAGGAAACTCAGAAAGTCAATAACCATTTAGTAAAATGGACACCTGGAGCAAAAGTGGCTTTCCAGGCCCTAAAGAAGGCCCTAACCCAAGCCCCAGTGTTAAGCTTGCCAACAGGGCAAGACTTTTGTTTAAATGTCACAGAAAAAACAGGAATAGCTCTAGGAGACCTTACACAGGTCCAAGGGATGAGCTTGCAACCCATGGCATACCTGAGTAAGGAAACTGATGTAGTGGCAAAGGGTTGGCCTCATTGTTTACTGGTAGTGGCGGCAGTAGCAGTGTTAGTATCTAAAACAGTTAAAATAATACAGGGAGGAGATCTTACTGTGTGGATATCTCATGATGTGAATGGCATACTCACTGCTAAAGGAGACTTGTGTCTGTCAGACAACCGTTTACTTAAATATCAGGCTCTATTACTTGAAGGGCCAGTGCTGCGACTGCGCACTTTTGCAACTCTTAACCCAGCCACATTTCTTCCAGACAATGAAGAAAAAATAGAACATAACTGTCAAGTGATTGCCCAAACCTACACCATTCGAGGGGACCTTCTAGAGGTTCCCTTGACTGATCCCAACCTCAACTTGTATACTGATGGAAGTTCCTTTGTAGAAAAAGGACTTCAAAAAGCAGGGTATGCAGTGGTCAGTAATAATGGAATACTTAAAAGTAATCCCCTCACTCCAGAAACTAGTGCTCAGCTGGCAGAACTAATAGCCCTCACTCAGGCACTAGAATTAGGAAAAAAAAAAAGGATAAATATATATACAGACTCTAAGTATGCTTACCTAGTCCTCCATGCCAATGCAGCAATATGGAGAGAAAGAGAATTCCTACCTTCTGAGGAAACACCTATCAAACGTCAGGAAGCGATTAGGAGATATTATTGGCTGTACAAAAACCTAAAGACCTTACACTACCGGAGTCATCAGAAAAAAAAAAAAAGGGAAATAGAAGGAAACCGCCAAGCGGATATTAAAGCCAAAAGAGCCACAAGGCAGGACCCTCCATTAAAAATGCTTATAGAAGGACCCCTAATATGGGATAATCCCCTCCGGGAAACCAAGCCCCAGTACTCAAAAGAAAAAATAGAATGGGGAACCTCACGAGGACATAGTTTCCTCCCCTCAGGATGGCTAGCCACCAAAGAAGGAAAAATACTTTCGCCAGCAGCTAACCAATGGAAATTACTTAAAACCCTTCACCAAACCTTTCACTTAGGATTGATAGCAACCATCAGATGGCCAAATCATTATTTACTGGACCAGGCCTTTTCAAAACTATCAAGCAGATAGTCATGGCTTGTGAAGTGTGCCAAAAAACACCCCCTGCGCTTCAGGCCATACATTTCAATCCCTGTACCTGAACAATCGAACAACTTCAGCACAGAAATAAACACCACTTCCATTTTAGTAGGACCTCTTGTTTCCAATCTGCAAATAACCCATACCTCAAACCTCACCTGTGTAAAATTTAGCAATACTATAGACACAACCAACTCCGAATGCATCAGGTGGGTAACTCCTCCCACACAAATAGTCTGCCTACGCTCAGAAATATTTTTTGTCTGTGGTACCTCAGCCTATCGTTGTTTAAATGGCTCTTCAGAATCTACGTGCTTCCTCTCATTCTTAGTGCCCCCTATGACCATCTACACTGAACAAGATTTATACAATTATGTCGTACCTAAGCCCCACAAGAAAAGAGTACCCATTCTTCCTTCTGTTATCGGAGCAGGAGTGCTAGGCGGACTAGGTACTGGCATTGGCAGTATCACAACCTCTACTCTGTTCTACAAACTATCTCAAAAACTAAATGGTGACATGGAACGGGTCGCCGACTCCCTGGTCACCTTGCAAGATCAACTTGACTCCCTAGCAGCAGTAGTCCTTCAAAATTGAAGAGCTTTAGACTTGCTAACCACCAAAAGAGGGGGAACCTGTTTATTTTTAGGGGAAAAATGCTGTTATTATGTTAATCAATCCGGAATCATCACCGAAAAAGTTTAAAAAATTCGAGATTGAATATAACATAAAGCAGAAGAGCTTCAAAACACCGGACCCTGGGGCCTCCTCAGCCAGTGGATGCCCTGGATTCTTCCTCTTAGGACTTCTAGCAGCTATAATATTGTTACTCCTCTTTGGACCCTGTATCTTTAAGCTCCTTGTTAAGCTTGTCTCTTCCAGAATCAAAGCCATAAAGCTACAAATGGTTCTTCAAATGGAGCCCCAGATGCAGTCCATGACTAAAATCTACCACAGACCCCTGGACTGGCCTGCTAGCCCGTGCTCCAACATTGATGATATTGAAGGCACCCCTCCTGAGGAAATCTCAACTGCACGACCTCTACTACACCCCAATTCAGCAGGAAGCAGTTAGAGCGGTCATTGGCCAACCTCCCCACAGCACTTGAGTTTTCCTGTTGAGGGGGTTACTGAGGGACAGGACTAGCTGGATTTCCTAAGCCGACTAAGAATCCCTAAGCCTAGCTGGGAAGGTGACCACATCCACTTTTAAACACAGGGCTTGCAACTTAGCTCACACCCGACTAATCAGGTAGTAAAGAGAGCTCACTAAAATGCTAATTAGGCAAAAACAGGAGGTAAAGAAATAGCCAATCATTTATTGTCTGAGAGCACAGTGGGAGGGACAATGACTGGGATATAAACCCAGGCATTCGAGCTGGCAATGGCTACCCTCTTTGGGTCCCCTCCCTTTGTATGGGAGCTCTGTTTTCACTCTATTAAATCTTGCAACTGCAAAAAAAAAAAAAAAAAAAAAAAAAAATATGGAACTTGAAGGAATAATGAAAAGTAAAGTTAATGTATATATAACTTAGACTCTGAAAGGAAGAAGGAGGCCTCAAGAAAGGCCTAAAAACTGGAGGAGGCCCTGTTGCAGATGGCTAAAGTTTAGAAGAAAGGAAAGTTCTACATACCATGTTCCAAGAAAGAGGTAGTCTACATGAGTTGTGGAGTCCCTGTGTCCCTAATGTGGTAGCTTTCTGATGTGATTGCCTGCTTGGAAGATTTCTCCCAAGTGACTTACATTCACAGCAGGTAGACTGGACAACTAACATGGATTGATACCTTGGTGAAGAGAAAACCAAAAAAAAATTTCCTTTTTAGAATATTTCCAGCTCTATCAAGTTGTAATTTAGATACAATAAGATAATAAGATCCACCCATTTTATTTTTATTTTTTAGATGATTTAGATTTTATTTTATTTTTATTTATTTTTCTTCAATTTTTATTTTAAGTTTGGGGGTACGTGTGCAGGATGTGCAGGTTTGTTACACAGGTAAACGTGTGCCATGCTGGTTTGATGTACAGGTCATCTCATCACCTAGGTACAAGCCCAGCATCCATTAGCTATTCTTCCTGATGCTCTCCTTTTCCCAACACCCCGGCTCCAACAGGCCCCAGTGTGTGTTGTTCCCCACAATGTGTCCATGAATCCACCAGTTTTAAATGTATAGTTGGATGAATTTTAGTAATTTTATACGGTTGTGTAATCACCACCACAATTAAGTCATGGTGCAGTTTCGTATATCTAAAAAGTTTCCTTGTGCCAATTTATACCCTTCCAAGACCCCATTAATTTGCTTTCTGTCACTGCAGTCTTTTGTATTTGACTTCTTCTACTTAGCATAATATTTTTGAGATTTATCCATCTTGTTGGGTCTATCAGGATTTGTTCCTTTTAATTGCACAGTTTGTTTATCCATTCATCAGTTGATGGACATTTGAATTGTTTCCAGTTTGGGGCTACTATGAATCATGCTGCTATGAACTTTTGAGTGTGGGTATTTCTGGATGTATATTTTCACTTCTTTTGTGTAGATATCTAGAAGTGGAATTTCTGGGTTGTATGTTAACTGTATGTTTAATTTCATAACATATATAACCTCCTCCCATACTGTTTTCCAAGTGGTTATACCCACTTTGGATTCTCACCAGCAATTTCTATGAGAGATCTATTGATCCACATCCTTTCCATCACTTGGTATTGTCAGTCTTTTTAATACTAGCCATTTGAATGGGTGTGTAGTGATGTATCACTGTGGTTCTAATTCACATTTTTTCATATGGCTAATGATGTTGAGTATCTTTTCATGTACTTATTGGCCATTCATACACTTACTTTTGTGAAATGTCTGTTCAAACATTTTGCCTATTTTTAATTGGCTTATTTGTCTTTTTCTTACTGAGTGATAGGAAATGTTTATAGATTCTGGATACATGTTAGATGTATGTATTGCAAATATTTTCTCCTTGTATCTTATGAAGAATAGAAGTTTTGAATTTTATGAAGTCCAATTTATTAAATGTTTTCCTTTTATGGTTTATGCTTTTTGTATCCTAAGAAATCTCAGCCTACCACAAGGTCCCAAATTTTTCTCTTATGTCTTCTAGAAACTTGATAGTTTTAGTTTGTACATTTGGGTCTATCTATGGAACATTTTGAGTTAATTTTTGTGCCTGGTGTGAGATAAGGGTAGAGGTTTATATTCTTTCCCAAATGGATATCCATTTGTTCCAGCATTATTTGTTTAAAAAACAGGCCGGCCGTGGTGGCTCACGCCTGTAATCCCAGCACTTTGGGAGGCTGAGGCGGGTGGATCATGAAGTCTGGAGTTTGAGACCATCCTGGCCAACATGATGAAACCCTGTCTCTACTAAAAATACAAAAAATGAGCCGGGCATGGTGGCACGTGCCTGTAGTCCCAGCTACTCGGGAGGCTGAAGCAGGAGAACTGCTTGAACCCAGGAGGCAGATCTTGCAGTGAGCCCAGATTGTGCCACTGCACTCCAGCCTGGTGACAGAGCGAGACTCCGAGACTCCGTCTCAAACAAAACAAAACAAAACAAAAACAAACAAACAAACAGTCCTAGTTTGTTTGTTTGCTTTTCTTCTGTTTTCTCTCTGTACTTGTATTTTACTGAGCTAAGGGTCCGTTGTCTGTATCTGGTAACAATCATGTGGATCTAAATTGTAAGTGGAAATACTACTGTTGCTTCAGAAATGGAGCCTAGGTTGTAAGGAATATTAGTAATTTGGCTATGGCATTTGGTAATGTTTTGTGGATGTGTAAACTAAGGATACCACAAGAAGAACCAATACACATGTTAATCCATTTATCCTCACCTATCTTTGAAGACCTCCAAAAATATTAACTGTAATTTAGCTCAGAAACTATCAAACCTAGCCTCATCTGAATCACTTAAATTGTCTTAAATTTTGCCTTCAATTGTCCTTTATTTTTATTGTAGAGATAATGACTGCATATGGTTTCTAAGAAATTGAACAGTATAGAAGAGAAAGTTTCCTGTTTATTTACTAGTTTCCAGTCAAGAGGTAACTGTTTAAAATTAATTTGAATTTTGAGTTTTTCTGATGATTAACATCATTACTTTAAAAATGTGTTTATACTTCTAGCTCTTGCTTTATCATTTTTAGACAGTATTTGTTGACTACTAAGAAAAATGAAGGATTTAACATATGCTACCTCTTTAACCTATTTCTGACTTCCTCCAAATTTTATTATATTATTATAATTTTCAGAACATCTTAGTGGTTGCCTTTACAACTTTAAGTAATATACTTAAATCTCTATTTCTGGATCCATTAATTACATACAACGTTTATTGGCGCTCATTTCAGAGATGCTTGCCTACACTCTTTCTCCCTCCACTGCTTCCGACTTCTGCCAGGTATAATATTTCTTGTATGTTATTAAGCTCATAGTAACTACTGCCTGTGTTCAAATCTCTGTTCCAACACTTGTTATCTATGTAATCTTGGGTAAATTACTGAACGTCTCTGTGCCATCACTTTCCTCAATTGTCAAATGGAGATGATAACATCTTCATAGGGTTGCTGTAAGATAAAATTTCACTGAAATCGAAATAAATATTTCAAAGCACTTAAAATTATATTTGGCATATAGTAAGTGCTTTTTAAGTGTTAAATATAAAAATAAAATGACAAAATTTAAAAATAAAAAAATTCTGTTTTACAACTTTAATGAAATCTTCAGACTGCTGTATCTCTAGCTTGATTAAAAAAATCAAACCAATGGGCAAAAGAGATAAACATTTCACCAAGGAGGATATACAGATGGCAAATAGGCACATGGAAATATGTTCAACATCATTAATTGTTAGGGAGACTTAAATTAAAAACACAATGAGATCACTATGTATCTATCAGAAGGGCTAAAATTTGTACAGTAACACATGCTTTGGAAGAGGTGGTGAAACTGGATCACTCATACAGTGCTGGTAGAAATGTAAAATGATACAGCCACTTTAGAAGAAAGTTTCTTTTGGAGGAAAGTGGGTATAGATATAAGAAGGAAACATAAGGGATTCTTGTGGTGATGGAATTGTTCTGTATTTTGACTGTACCTTGACTGTACCAATGTCAATATCTTGGTTATGATATTGTGTTATAATTTTACAAAGTGTCGTCAGTGAGGGAAATGGGGTAAAGGATACACTGGATCCTCTGGCTCTCTCTGTATTGTTTCTTACAACTACATGTGAATCTAAGATTACCTTAAAATGAAAAGTTTACAGCTAGGCATGGTGGCACATGCCTATAATCCTAGCACTTTGGGAGGCTGAGGCAGACGGACTGCTTGAGCCCGGGAGTTTGAGACCAGCCTGGCCAACATGGCAAAGCCCCATCTCTACGAAAAAAATACACAAAATTATCCGGGCATGGTGGCACGTGCCTGTAGTCCCAGCTACAGAGAGGGTGCTGAGGTGGGGGAATGACCTGAGCCCGGGAAGTTGAGGCTGCAGTGAGCCATGATTGCACCACTGCACTACAGCCTGGGTAATGGGAGTGAGACCCTGTCTCAAAAAAAAAAAAAAATTAAAAGCTTAATTTAAAAAATTGAACCAATAAACAGCGTTTCCAATAGTAAATTCCATGTAAATAATATTCACAGCAAGACCAAGGTGTGTGATTGGACCCAGAGAGAAAAAAATGTAACCATATGGCACCAAAGAAGTGCTGCTTGAAGGAGAATGCTTCAAGTGTCAAAATCAAATGGATTATCTTTTCTTACACTCCTTCAATGGCTCAGGATGATGCCACGTGTTAGTATGCTTCTTATTAGAACCAAGATCATAATACAGCTTTTTGTTTTCTTTAGAGTTCCTAATTGTATTTGTTTTATTGACAACCAAAACCACATGTAAATAACTTCTGGTTTCTTATATGGGTTGATTATGGAATTTGTGTCCATCTTAAGAGTATTTTTCACTGACCTCCCTGACTTCCTGTTCTAATTATGACCTATTGCTTTCTTGGTCAGCTTAGTAGTTGTCATCTTGAAATTTCTTTTATGCACACCTCTGTGATGCTTTAAAATACAGATTCCCAGGCCTCACCCCAGACCTATTCAATTGGCTGGGGTATGGGTGTTTTTGAAAAGCTCCCTCAAGTGATTTTGCTGATTAGTCACATTTGGGACCCCATTTAGCTAATCCTTAGAGTCCTATAGCTGCTGTTATTATTAATAATAATAGTAATAATATATACTGTTTATTGAGGATTTACTATGTAACAGGCTTTATTTTAGGTGTGAGTGCATGGTCTCATTTACTCTTTACTACAAACCTATGAAGTAAGGACTATTATTATCATCATTTTAGAGAAAACTGAATATCAGAGAAATTAAATCACACCACTTTCAAGCTCCAGAGCCAGAATTAGAACTCAGTTTTGTCTGACAATATAATCTTCAATTTTAACCAACAAACTATGTTAATTTTAAAGTAGGTGGGTGTGGTGACGCTTGCCTGTAATCTCAGCTACTCAGGAGGCTGAGGCAAAAGGATGGCTTGAGCAGAGGAGTTCTGGGTTGTAGTGCCCTATGACGATAGGGTGCCTGCACTAGGTTCAGCATCAATATGGTGACCTCCTGAGAGCAAGGGACTACCAGGTTGCCCAAGGAGGGGTGATCTAGCCCAGGAATGGAGCAGGTCAAAACTCCTGTGCTTATCAGTAGTGGGATGGTATGTGTGTGAATAGCCGCTGAACTCCAGCCTGGGCAACATAGTTAGACCCCGTCTCTAATAATTAAAATTATAAGATAAAATAAAAACTCAGTAGCTCCATGGAAAACATCTAGAAGTCAAAGAGCTTAGTATTGGAGCACAGGTAAAAGGAGAGTATGTATTGTCAACAAATTTTACAGCTAAAACCTGACATCTTTTAATTAGTTAATTAAGCAATGTCATTTTTGTAAGATACCAGAGATATGAAAAACGGGCCATGGATTAAATGGAAAGCCCTGGGGATTTCTTTTGAACTCTGAATATTTTGGATGTCATAGAAACAATTTATAAGTAAACTCTTGTTGAACTAGAGTCTTAATATTTACAAATAACGTATGCTCTTACTGTTCTGATACGGACTGATCCCCAGAATCCATCAGGTTAAAAAGAAATGGCATATGCTACCATTTATATTAAAAAGAAGAGGGATGCATATTTGCATTTGGTGATGAAGACATAAGAATCTCTGAAAAGATACACAAGAAGAAAACAAAACAAAACAAAAACCCATGCCCTAGTAATGGGCACAAAAATAACGTTTGAAATCTAAATCTAAATTGTTAATAAAATGTGCAAAACTACTACACACACATATAATGGAATAGTGAATTTTGTGTTACATTAGATCACTGTATGCTTTCATACTGTATTGGTTGTTTTTCTTGTGTAATTTAAAAACCAAACCAACTCTGCTAATTAAGCTCTCCCTGGCCAAGAGCTCACTTGGATCTCTGACAGTTCCTAGTTAAAGCCTAGTTTGTGGTTTTTGACAACAAACCAAGACCCTGTTGTTTGCTTCAAGAAAGCTGGCTGGTTTTAGTTTCTGGCATTATTCTGGGGGGTACCCTTATCCCAACAAGTCACTAATTGTCTTGACCATGACTTACAGTTGTGCCAGATTTTTCTTGGTTGCTTTCTGTTTGAGTCAGGTAGTAAGAGTAGTGATGAAATTATTGTTAATTTGGTTTTGATTTATGACAGATTATCTTGGAAACAGGAATAGGTGGTATACAGAGATGACTATATAAGGACAAAATCAACTAAATCAAATTATTTGAACTAATATGTGTTTTTGGCATATATTTTAATTCTTCCACTCATTGCTTCTTAATTAGTCTAGAACTCCAAAGATGAAAACATCATAGGACATTTAATAAGATGAAATGTTAAAAATGTACTACTTCTGATAATGGTATTCAATGTCAATAGTATTTAGTAATTTTTTTTTTACAATTTTCCTCATTTATTTTGGCATGTTTAGGAATAGGAAAAGAGGCTGAGTCAGAGACCTTCAGTACTTTTATTATTAAATCTACCTCATCTCCCTTTTTGTATCTCCCTACCAGAAAAGAAATGGCCTAAGAATTTCCACCTGCTTAGTTTGATATTTTAAGACATCTCATAACACTTTGATTTCACTAACATATTACCCAAAGCAACTAGTTTCCATCACCTTTACCCTCTTACGAATCCCCAAACTAAGCTTAAGAGGAAATCACAAGCCGTGTAAAAAAAAAAAATTAGAACTATTTCTTCCTTCCCCTATATGCTCTACTGGTGTCACTTAACTAAAACTCCTCAGTCTGCGACCTTGAGAAACCTAGAGGCTAAATAGGAGGAGTAGAGTATTGAAGGTCATCCTCTCGACCACCACCCAAAAAGAAGAGCATATATTCATCCTAACAGGTATGTGTTTTCATAATTATGGCAGATGGTGATTGAAGCAAAGGCAATTCAAAAAGGGGGGCACGTGAAAGCAATAATTTTGAATGTTTGACATTTGTTTTGAAACTACCTTACTACCCCGTACCCTTTACCATCTGTCTGTTATCCCTCCCAACACCCACCTCTGTCTTCCCACAGGGCTCCATTGTGTGCAGTTCCTGTTTCTCAGGGGCGGAGCTGTGGGAGGCAGCCATGGGTGCCATAATAGGCACCTGCGGCCAGCACAATGGGCTGTGGGTGCTTGTGGGAGAGACAGATTGATGTATTGTGCATGGGGGAGGAGGGCTGTCACTTGAATCCATGTGAACCCAGGCTTTAGGGGCAAGGGAGATTGACAGCTTTTGTAGGTTGCATTTCTTTTTCAAAGCTTGGCTTTAATAGACAGTAAGTTTGGGGCCCC
Organism: Homo sapiens; assembly: GCF_000001405.40. Lineage (NCBI taxonomy): Eukaryota > Metazoa > Chordata > Mammalia > Primates > Hominidae > Homo > Homo sapiens. Next base: position 140,088,259 of record NC_000023.11, read on the forward strand.
AGGCTTTCACTCCCATAATTCTAACAGGGCAATCACGAGCATTCAGCATTTCTTTTTACCCCCCTTGTTACGCATTAAATGATTTCAGTAAAGGAATGTGCAGCATTAATTAGAATTTGTTAGCAGATACCAAGGGGAAAAGTTTCTTCACAACAACTATAGGAGGTGTCATTTGTACAAAGACTTTTTTGTTTTCTTTCCCCATTACATTATCACTGCAATATGTAAGGTAGTGATTCTTTTCATTTAAATTAAGTGGAAAGCTACTAAATCTTGTTTTATTCTCCAAAAAGAATAAGGTCCTTAACACTTATCTTTTAACTTCTTTCATTTCCTAAGGTTGGTGTTTACTTTTGCTTTCAGTCTGACCCATTTACTGGTCTGTGTGGTTGTGTATCCAGTTTTGTGTACCATTTAGCTCTTACAATTACAAGCAACCCACTACTGATATATAAGGATTGTTTCCAGGTGAAAATAGCTAGCAATAATACTGGAAATCATTGATACTGGAGCCCATTTTCGTAATGGTATACTGAGAAACGCTAAAAATGAGATTGCTATAGATTTGTGTCCTAACTTATTTTCTAACACTATTTTTCCCTACTTGATATTTAACCTTAGCCAAGACACCAAACTTATGGAAGAATGAGGCAGTGGCAAAGAAATATTTTTTTTCCCGCAGAAAACTTACTCCTAAACCATGTCAGTTTTTTTTTTAAACATCAAAAGTTCTCCCTCACACACATACACAGATAGCATCATTTCCTTAGAGCAAGTAAGAAAATGGTCTTTTTGTTTAGTATCTGTTTCCTATTATTTTAAAAATAATCCGGACATTTTAGAATTATATAGGAAGAAAACTAATGTCAGATAGGATATCTTATAAACACACTCTCTGGCATCCTGAGAACTGATAAAACATTACTAAAATTTCTGGTGTGATTTTTTTCTAACATCTCTCATATAAAATCATTTTCTCAGTAGAAGGAGTTGGAGGCTAATTGAATTAGAATTTCCCCTACTCAATTGTTTTATTTAAATGTGTTAAGGACAACAGTGAAAAATATTGTCTACCATTATTTCTCAGAAAGAACATATTCTCACACAGTTGTCCGGCTCTGTCTATAATAATAATTTGGCGCAATGGTTTAAAAAGTAGTGGGGTGATAATAATTAGGGTGTGCGACACAGAAATTTCAATGTGGGATTCAACATTTCACCATGCAGGGCATGAAAATTGCCGACCAGGGCTGGTCAGCTCTAAGTACTAATTAACTAATTAATCAGGTGCTGAAACCAACTGAATGGAGGATACCAGCCAGACAACTCAAGCCCAAGCAGAGTGTTGTGCTCTTTAAAAGACAGAGCAGTCTTTCTTCTTGGTTTTTAACCCAGTCAAAAATGAGAGGAGAAAGTAGGATATGCTGTCCTACTGTCAGTCACTTTGGTCTAAGCTTTTTACTTAGAGAAAATAAAACAAAAACATGTGCCTGTGATAATGACTGTGATGCACCAGATGTAGGGCAACCCTCAAAGCTCTGCAAACCTGCTTACTCCTTGGCCATGAAGTATTAATATTTCAGGTCTGGTGAGGGGTGGGGGATGAAGTAGGGTCTGCCTTCTTGGTTTCTTCCACAATATATATTTTTTAACATAAAAGAATGAGAAACGTATCTCTCCTCTTAGGCTGATCTTAGGTCTTTTGCCTCATCCTTCGTTTATGTAAATGAGAAGAGTCCAATTACACATATGGAAAAAGGGTTTAATGAATCGTGAAAAAGCCCGGTTTGCAGAGAAAGGGCACAATTCACTCTTCTTCTCTTCTAAATTTAACTTAGAAACATGTATTTCTTTTAAGGGAGATGATAAAACTTAATGATAATTTTATTTTATGTACTAATTTTCATTCTTGGGAATTATTAGACATATTTTGCTAGAAGAGTTAGCTTTATTTATGTCTGTAAGGCTTTCTGGATACTTAGCAATTATTCCACAACAAAAACTGCAAAATTCTAACTTTTTTCTCTAAATCTTAAAAATGATTACGTTAGTTCCTCCAACTTTTGATGTTATTTTTAGCTCAGTGATTTTTTTTTTGTTTGTTTGTTTTTAACACAGTTTGCTCTGGAATTGTCTGCACTGAAAAAACATTGCATTATTACAAGGGATTTGTTATTGAACCCAAGGAAATGACGTTAGTGTTCCATACCGTTTTAGCTTAATTTTGGTATTATTATGATGTTTTAACTAGCTAGAATTTTTAGGGTTTTGGAAATTAGTTTTTTTTTTTCCTTTTTTTTCCTAAAAGGGACTGAACTTTATATTAGAACAGAAAATCTCGTGTTTGAGCATTCATTTTTATTTCCTTTTTTCTTTCCCCTTGCTCCTTCATCTTGGGATTTTCAATAGTTGAGAGTAGTCCACACAGAATCCACTCTCCACCCCATTTTTCTTAATGACAAAAACCTTTGCAAGAATGAAGGGGGGATCAATACCATTTCTGACCGTTACTCTTGTAATTTGATAAGTATGAAACTAACCCCGAAGTAGTGCTTTGCAGGGACAGCAGGAAAGTTCTCAATCAGGACTGGAGCACTTTCCGGAGACCTAGTTTAACAACTTCAACGGGCACTTGGGGAAACTGAGGCCCAAGAAGACGAGGCAGGCACTTTCCCTGTGATTTTTTTTCTTCTACAAAATACTACTTTCGTCCACGGAAAACACTTTTCTCGGGCACCTAGTGTGGGGAGGACATTGCTAGGGTCCAGACTGCCTGCCTACCCACGAGGGCCGCGCTCTTTCCACTTTTATTCCCCCGGCCTCCCCGGATCGGCGCCCTGGATGTGATCGACACCATGAAGTTGCCCCATAATCCTCTCTGGCAACATAGGATGTAAAATTTGATCAGCTCATTGGATGAAGCCGACAAGTCCCAAAAATGTGTGAAAAGGGGGCTAAGAGGTAGGCAGGCGCCGCGTTGAGGCAGCGCTCCTGCCAGCCCCGCTCCGAGTTATCGGTGCTGCAGCCGCGGCGCAAGCGGGGGCTGGGACCGAGCTGCGGGGCCGCAGCGGCGGCGGCGACCGAGGCGGCGGCGGCGGCGGCGGCTGGGAGGCCGCGGCGCCATGGGGGGGCCGTAGGAGCGGACCGTGGGGCCGGAAGGGGGCATCGCGGCGGCGCCGGCGGCTGCGGGGTTATCTCCGCGGCCGCGAAGGCAGCATCCACGCCGTTGCGGGTGGCTGAGCCGGCGGGCGGGGCGGGGCGTGCACCAGGGCCGCGGGCGACTAGCGCTGTAGCAGTTGGCCTCAGGGCCCCGCCGCCCGCGCGCCCGCCCGCCCGCAGGGCGGCGCACGCGAAGGAGGCGGCGGCCGCAGAAGGAGGCGGGGAGCTCGGAGCAGGAGGTGAGGAGGTGGAGGACCAAGAGTAGGCAGCAGCGGCGGCGGCGGAGGAGGAGGCGGTGGTGGAGGTGCGCGGCCTGAAGAGGAGGATGGAGGAGCAGCAGAAGGAGGGCGAGGCCGAGGTCGCGGAGCACTGGTTTTCCAAGTGGGAGCGCCAGTGCCTGGCTGAGGCCGAGCAGGAGGAGCAGCTGCCCCCCGAGCTGCAGGAGGAGGCGGCTGCAGAGTTGGCAGGGCTCAAGAGCGAGAAGCAGAAGCTGTGGCACCTCTTCCAGATCTCGGCCACCGCCGTTGCTCAGCTTTACAAGGATTCTGGGTGCCAACAGCAAGGACTTTCCATGTGGGACCCCTTCCAGAATGCGGCCATGGCCGTGACCAGCCTCTACAAAGAGAGCGGGGATGCCCACCAACGAAGTTTTGACTTGGGTGTCCAGGTTGGCCACCAGCGTCGCATCAAAGATGTGCTGGAGTGGGTGAAAAAGGGCCGGAGCACCATTCGTCGCGAAGACTTGATTAGCTTCCTGTGTGGCAAAGTGCCCCCCGCTCCTCCTCCACCTCGCACTCCTAGGACACCCCCGAAGCCACCCACTGGGGTCACCAGCCAGGCTGTGGCAACTGAGTCCAGCTCATCGGTGGACGTCGACCTGCAGCCCTTCCAGGAGGCGATCGCCCTGCATGGCCTCAGTGGTGCTATGGCCGGCATCAGCATGCGATCGGGCGACTCGCCTCAAGACAGCGGTGTCGCCAGCAGTGGGCGCCGAAAAACTAGCTTCTTGGAGGACGACTTGAATCCCTTCGACTCAGAGGAACTGGCCCTCCACCTGGACAGTGGGGGGATCCGCAAGCGCACCTCGGCCCAATGCAGTGATGGCATCACAGACTCCCCAATCCAAAAGCGCAACCGAATGGTCTAAACTGCCTCATTGGTTGCCTGCCGCCATATTGCTTGAGAGTGAACTCAACCGTCGACATGCTTGTCTAAAGGTTACTGGAGACCATTTTTCTTCCCTTCTCTAAGTTAAACAAAGATTTCTAACAATTTTGCCATAAAGAAACTTTAAAAGTATTCCAGAAGAGGCTTCATATGACTCTGACTTTCCAAAAAATATAATCCTAGCAGAGAACAAATATGTAGTAGTTAGCAGGATCATTTAAAGCAAACGTATCTGGTCAAGGCAGGAGTCTGATTTATCTTGTTCACAGTTATATTCCTCAGCACCTAGCACAGTTCCAGGTGCTCAATAAATGTTCATTGAATGAATAAATGTGACCTTATTTATTCTTAAAGGGAAGTCATAGCAGGTGTTTACTTGGTTATAGAATACTTTTTTCTTTGATAATTGTTGGCTTTAATGGTCTTTGCCAATTCAATTGCATTGTATCAAAATGTAAAACTTGACATCTTTGTGAAATCTGGAGTCTTCCATTTTTACCTCACTATACCATGCACCTAATTTCTAGAAAGAAACTGCAAGTAATACATATTAGGCTGTGATTTTTTTAATTTTGAAAAATTGTTGATTTTGGTGATTATGTGATGCTGCAAAGAGGTGCTGTGGTGGTTACGCAGGTATTACTTAATATTGAGTCAATTCAGTGCTTTTTTGGGGAAAACTAAACCATCAACTGAGACCCTGATGAGATGGTGGCCCAGTGGTGCTCTTTTTTTTTAGGAATGTAAAAATTCCTTTTTCTGAGGTTACATCTTTTTTATGATCTCTGTTTTGAAGTGGAAGACCAAGTAGTCAGAATGAACTTCTGGGTTTTTTTTTTTTTTTCTTTTTTTTTTTTTTTTAAGACAGAGCCTCGCACTGTTGCCCGGGCTGGAGTGCAATGGCGTGATCTCGGCTCACTGCAACCTCCGCCTCCCGGGTTCAAGGGATTCTCCTGCCTCAGCCTCCCGAGAAGCTGGGATTGCAGGTGCCTGCCACCACGCCCGGCTAATTTTTTGTGTTTTTAGTAGAGACGGGGTTTCACTATGTTGGCCAGGCTGGTCTCGAACTCCTGACCTTGTGATCCGCCCACCTTGGCCTCCCAAAGTGCTGGGATTACAGGCGTGAGCCACCGTGCCCAGCCTTTTGAACTTCTGGGTTTTAATTAAGGGTACAGCATGGTATAACCAAAAGAGTGTGAACTTCGTTTTAAAAGGACCAACAGCAGAATCCTAGCTCTATAAATTAGCTGCATGATTTTGAACAAGTTACTTAATGTCTATTGACCTCAGTTTTTCATCTGTAAAATGGAACTGTGTGTCTCCTAAGGTGGTTGTGAGGATCAGGTGAAATTTATATTTCAAGTGTCCAGCACAATCTTGGCACATAAAATACTCAATAAAGGTTCTCCCTTCTCTATAAATAAAAATCAATAAAACATTAAAATCATTTTATTTTAGAAAAAGCAGAAAAGTAGATCAGCTTTAAAATCAGCAAGTAGAATCTCTGTGTTTGAACTGGAAATTACTGTTTCACATTAGAAACTTGCCTAAATATCACAGATCTTGTGTAAGTGTGTTGAGCTCATGAGCACTCAGGGTCACCAATCTGGATACTAGGGCAACCTTGGAGTTCCTGAAGTTGCCTGAAGGATGCACTTTGCAATTAGGGGTAATGAAACATCTACCACCTCTGGCCTGAAAAAATATGAGGAGGAGGGTGTAAAGTAGAAAAAAATTGGAAGCCAAGGTCCTAGGGCACCTAAAAGGCTAAAGTGGTTTTAAATGAGGTTGGGGTAGGGTGGGGTGGGGTGGTGTGGAGGCGATGAAGGAGGTAGAGCAGGTGGGGATCTGGGGGGTTGGGGAGGGGAGGGGAGGTGGGAGTATGATTATTGAAGTGGGGGTGGGGAGTTAAAAAGCCCAATCTTCCCAGGGTCTCCCAAAACCAGTGCATAAAATATTATAGATTGGCAAAACCTTGCCTTTATGTTCACACCAGAGTTGTTTCTGCTTCATTAGCATGGCCTTTCGAGTAGATTTGTAATTGATGAATGCATTAAAATAATAAAATAATGCAAATTCCATGATATAATAAAAACTGGCTGGCCGGGCACGGTGGCTCATGCCTGTAATCCCAGCACTTTGGGAGGCCGAGGTGGGCAGATCACCTGAGGTCAGGAGTTCGAGACCAGCCTGGCCAACATGGTGAATGAAACCCCATCTCTACTAAAAATATAAAAATTAGCGGGGCGTGGTGGTGGGCACCTGTAATCCCAGCTACTCAGGAAGCTGAGGCAGGAGAATCACTTGAACCCAGGAGGTGGAGGTTGCAGTGAGCTGAGACCGCACCATTGCACTCCAGCCTGGGCGACAAGAGCAAAACTCCGTCTCAAAAAAAAAAAAAAAAAAAAAAAAAAAAAGAGAAAAAAACCCAGAGAAGAACTGGCTATTGAGGTACTGTGCTAGGTCCTGAGAAGGGATATAAAAAAGCATAAAAACAATTCTTATCCTCAAAGAGCACATCCTGCCTTGGAAGATAAATTATGTAGCCAAAAGCACGCTTCTAACTGGGAAAAGTGCCCAAGGGCTGTGCAGAATTCAGAGGTCAGAGACTCTCCTTGCTGAGAGGGTCACAGCTTCTGGAAGAAGTAGCATTTGAACCGGGCCCAGAAAAATGGGTAGGAAGGGAGTGTCCAGGGATGCCAACAGGGAACGGTGTCTAACAAAGTTTGAGAAGGAGCAAACAGTGAAGTGAGTTCAGGGAATCACAAGAAATGGGTAGGGGAGGTACAAGCCAAGGTGTTTAGGGTCTCAAATGCCTGTCCCCAGTTCTTTAGGTTCTCTCTAGGTGCAGGAGTTAATACTGCTTTAGGAAGATTAGCTTGACAGAATGCCAGCTTGTCCAAAACTGAGACACTGGGGCAGAGACAGAGACAGGACAGGGTATCCCTGTAGGATGCATTTTACTGGGGATGTTGCCATTCAGTTAACCCGCATTGGGGGAGATGTTTACCTTGACAGGGCTTTCTCTGACAAGCCTTTGCTCATCCCACCCTCCCACAACACAAAGCTTACAAGGTAGGAAACAGCTTCACTGTGTTCTACAGTGCTTCTTTTTTTTTTTTTTTTTTTTTGAGGCGGAGTCTCGCTCCCTCCCAGGCTGGAGTGCAGTGGTGCGATCTCGGCTCACTGCAAGCTCCACCTCCCAGGTTCACGCCATTCTCCTGCCTCAGCCTCCCAAGTAGTTGGGACTACAGGCGCCCGCTACCATGCCTGGCTAATTTTTTTGTAATTTTAGTAGAGTCGGGGTTTCACCATGTTAGCCAGGATGGTCTCGCTATCCTGACCTCCTGATCCACCAGCCTCGGCCTCCCCAAGTGCTGGGATTACAGGCGTGAGCCACCGCGCCCAGCCTACAGTGCTTCTTTAAGGCTAAGAAAGCCTTCACTTCCAACAGCAGTATCTCTTGGAAGGCCAGTTTTGAAGAAACAAAGTGGCCATTCCCTTTTTTTTCCTTCCTGCTTCTTATGCACTGGAATCATTGGGATCTATAGGACTGATCAACCGCAGCAGTTTTAACAGGTAGGTAGGGAAGGTCATAAGAGGTCATGTCAATATGAGGGCAAGGACCTCATCTGTCTTGTTTACTTCTGTAATCCCTAGTACAGTGCCTGATCCATATGGGCACACAATGAATATTTATTAAATGAGTGGAGGAGGAGGACTCTATCCAGACCCAGGTATATCTATTCTCCTTTCCCCTTTCTCTATTTACTTACTGCCCAGGGAAGGCACCTGAAGCCCATACCCTAATTTGTAGATAATTCTTTGCTGTGTATCTTTACCCTCATTCCTAACTACTAGATTCAGCTTTTTGCAGTGTGGTGCGTCCCATGACCACCGCTCATGAGAATCTCCTGAGGAGTTTGTGAAACTGGTGACTTCAGAATCGCCCTTGCTGAATTAAAATCTCAATGGGAGTTTCCCCAAAGCTACCCGCTTTCAGGAAGAGGTCTCAGTAATTGTGTTGCACAGCGAAGTCTGAAAACCCATCCTGATGCTGATTGTGATGGATTCAAGTGATGGATTCAAGGAGCTAATTTTAAATTGATTATTGTTGTTGAACTTTCTATGCAGGCTTAAAGTGAATCTCCCCATTTGTAGATATCTTTATCACTTTGCATAGTTCATACATTCTCTTCCAGGGAGCTTAGATAAGACTGAGGCAAACACTTGTTAATAACTGAAATTTCCTCATTTTTTTCCTTTTTATAGGAGCCTGAGAGAAGAAGGCTCTGATTTCCTAACCTCTAGCTGCATATTTTATCCATTAGACCTCTGCTTTCTGGTGAAAACTGCATATGCACTGATAGTTTGGGAACACTGCAATTAGATCACTTTGCCTTTTATAAAATGATGATGGAGTAGGGATCAGGGGAGGATTGGTTGCTGATCATCTTGGGCCTTTGTGGATGTCTACAGACCTTTATGTTTGATCTTCTAGTAGTATATGCACGGTTACTAGATTGCAAATACAAAGCCAAAAGGGACCTTAAGGATTATTCAGGGCAGGGTCAACTATTCATTTTACAAATGCGGCAACTGACCTCACTAGAAAGGGCCACAGTGACTTATTGGTAAGTTCCAGTCCATTGCTCCCTTCATTGTACCTCCCTTAGTTACATTGTGTATGACCTTGTAATTAATATGTTGATGGTCAGGTGGGGCTGGGGAACTTGATTATGAAGCCACTCTGGCATGGTAAGCGTACTCTTTTTACTACGCTGTGTTTATTTAGGGGAAGCTGTTGGAATTGTGCATTCAGGGAACACAAGTAACCCCTTGCCACTGCCACTGTGCTCTAGCCACCAGCCAAACTAGGCCACTTGAACACTTGAAGTTTCCTGAATTTTCTATAATCTCTGCCTCTGGGCCCTTTTGCCTTGTTGCTCCCTTGGTCTGGAATGCCCCCCGTTGCTTGCCTAACTCCTATTCAGCCTTCAAAGCTCACCTCAGGCTTTATCTTTTTTTTTTTTTGATACCTTCCTTGTCCTTCTGAGTCAGGATTAAATCCCCACACTTTGGACTTATCACTGTAATTGTCAGTTTGCTTCTTTGTCTGCCCCACTAGTCTGTAAACCATTCATTCTTATGCCAAGGGGCTCACTTCCCTAGGGAGGTGTGTAAGAATCTCCATGATTGCATGTGTAGGTTGAAAAAGCATAATCAATATTACATTGTACATTTATGTTTTAGTGAAAAAATTATCTTTGTCATAAAATTATATTAGGGTATGGAAAGCTCAAAACAAAACCTTGGGGGAACAGTTTTATTCTGTGTGACATTAAACATATTTCTGCAAAGAAGGGTAGCAAATAAGTTATCAACATTCTCATTTGTAGACAAAATTGCAGTGTCTCAGGCATCTAGGGCAAGCACGCAGGATCTTGGTTTAAGCCTTGACTTTCCTGATAATCTTAAGCAAGTTGATTTCTTTTCTGGACCTTTTTTTGTTTGATATATGAAATAAGGGAGTTAGTTGTGCTAAAGTCCTCACAGTTCCGGTACTTTCTGATCTCTGATGTAATTCAGTAGGCAATGGTAGTGATAACCTTTCTATGATACTCTCATTTTAGCAATCTAGTATTTGACTGGTTGAGCTCTGTGAGCCCATTGGAAATAAGGACTGCCAAGTTGAAACAATTCAGAGCCAGGAAATTCACTAGGTGGGAGTGGCAGAGCTGCTTGTAGAATGGGAATGTGTGTGCACAGCACACTCTTCCCTCTCTTTTAGTTCCATCTTCTTCAGCAGGTCAAGAATGAAAACAAACAAACAAACAAAAAATTCCAAAGGCTTAGGAGGCACATTACAGCCAAATGTTCCCTTCTTTGGGCACTGTTCTTTTTCAAAAATAAGTTGAGCAGAAGGATGTTACACAGAGAGAAGAGTTCACAGACTCATTGGACTAAAGGGAGAATTGGAAGGTCACCGAGTCCACATGCCCCAACTCTTGTGAGAACTGGAATAGAAACCATTTTGGATCCATGAGCTGCTCTTCTCACATTAAAAAGCTTTTAGAAGAGTCCAAAATCTTCTTCAGGAGCTGCCAGGCAGGTCTTTCTGAAAACAGCCCCAGATTCCTCGGAATGCAGCTGGATGTGCTGCTCTCCTTCTATTGTAGCTTAACTGCAGACAAGCTGGCTATCCATCTCAGTGGAATAATCCTCTTGTATTTTTCAAAATTCCCGTTTCCAAACCTTCGCTTCAGACATTGAAAAAAATAATAAAATCTAACTCATTTAACTTTTTCTCATTTTTTTCTTCCTTCCTTTTTATAAAAAATAAAATCACAACTTTTCCAGCCTCTTGGTTGGATATAATGCTTTTTGTTTCTGTGTTTCCTAATGTACTGCCCCAAACCCTCACATATGGCATGTATTATATAGTATGTCATACATCTACCCTCCTATCCCTAATAGAGACCCCAGCTGCAATTTGTTCATTCTTTACGTCTTGAAATCTCAGGCTTTCTTGACACCAGAACCCAATTTTCTGTTTAAGTGTGAATATCTTAAATTAGAAGCTTATGGGAAAGTTGGGGAAAATGTCAGATCATTAAGGAAATCATGTGCCAAACCACGTGGGAGCCTCTTAAATACAACTTTGGTGGTCATGACCCTGGCCAGAGGGGGAAGCCTGTGATGTCACCTCTTCCCCCAGTCCCAGTTTCACGGATAGTATCTCTGAATGGAATTGTCTGAGGGAGATTGTTCCTTGTGAAAGGTTCACATGATGGAGTTTGAAGAGCTTGTTTTACTCGGAGCCCAGCAGGACAGAGTGGTTTGGAATGCAGCATTCAGTGTGTTCTGTTTGGCTGAAAGCTGTCACAGGGAACAAGTACTTAGCAAACAGCATGAACAAGGATTTGAACTAGAAAACGAGAAGGGCCTTGACAACATTGTAATAGTGGCTTGTGTCCTCAAAAACTACTCAATGGTACACAAGGAGATGATAAAGAAAACTAGGAAAATACATAAATAGATTTGGTTCTCATTAAAAACAACCCAGTGTAAGAGCATTCTAATATGAGTAAAGTTGGACAGAGGTTGCTGAGTCACTGGGACCATCTGCACTTTACTATATGTGATCGGATTTTTGCCTCTTTTTAGCCTTCTGACTAAGTCTGTGCCTGCAGGATATCCACACAACCTGTTGAAAATAGATCGATTGGCTTGGCGGTTGCTCACGCCTATAATCCTAGCACTTTGGGAGGCCAAGGCAGGCGGATCACTTGAGGTCAGGAGTTCGAGACCAGCCTGGCCAACATGGTGAAACCCCGTTTCTACTAAAAATACAAAAACTAGCTGGGTGTGTTGGTGGGCACCTGTAATCCCAGCTACTTGGGAGACTGAGGCAGGAGAATCACTTGAACCTGGGAGGCGGAAATTGCAGTGAGCTGAGATCATACCACTGCACTCCAGCCTGGGCAACAGAGCAAGACTCTGTCTCCAAAATAAATAAATAAATAAAAAAGAAAGAAAGAAAGAAAATAGATCGATTAATCAACTGCTTACTCTGTTTTCACATGCCAAATACCTGGATTGAATGTTTACCTAATTTGGTAAAATATAAAAAAAAAAAAATCAGTTAATTTACTGAATAGACCTGTTGATACCACTTTTGGCTTTTCATGTTTTAAGTGGAATTAGGCGCAATTTAACAGGGCTATTCTTTCAATATTTACATTGCATTTGCTTAAAAATCAATTCTTCCTATTTCTTAAAGTCTCTTTTTAATACTCCAATTTCAGATGATATCTGCACATTATGCATAGAACACACATCTTCATGGATGATAAAATTTAACTCCTGCACTTGTGTGCAGTAATCTTAGGCTCTGTTATGATGCTCTCCATAGGGGCTAGGCCACAGAACCCCTCCTTCTTTAGATGAAATGGTTATGAGAGGGTATTTATTACAACACAGGTCTAGCTTATAATTAATTTTTCCCTATAGCAGCTAGTGCTCTAGCAAGGATTCAGTAGTTATGTAAATGGCCAAGACAGCACAGCACAGCGTTCACACATGATACATGTTAGTCAACTCGGAGTTTTAGGGTTGTGTATGAACATACGCTAGTTACATTAACTTCAGTTTAAAAAGAGATCAAATTCAATTACGCAACTTCTGTCAAATTCAATTCAATTCCACAAACACTGTTAAGAATGCAAGGTAATACGCTACCTGGTGCAAAATGTTTCAATTTTATTTTCCCTTTTCAGTTTGTTGCCATATAGTGTCAACACAGTTAGAAGGGTAAATATTCAAGTTTCATTGTTCAGAAACTTTGAGAATGTCTGTTCTTATTGACTTGCAACTCTTTCTAAAAATTTTACAATTCTCTGCTTGGGAGGCCTTCATTGAGAATTCCTGTTCCTAGCTTGTATACAGATTCAGATATTTTACATACGTAGTTATATTATTGTACCAGTGCTGTGTCATGACCCTTTGGTTTTTGGCACCTTGTTGACCTCAAAAGGAGATGGTGGATGTACAAATTATTAGGATTTAGGTTGTTTTAGGAGTAGAGTTTTAGGCTGATCTTGGTGGCTCACGCCTGTATTCCTAGCACTTTGAGAGGCTGAGGCGGGTGGATCCCTTGAGCTCAAGAGTTTGAGACCAGCCTGAGCAATACAGTGAAGCCCCATCTCTACAAAAAAATACAAAAATTAGCCGGACTTGTTGGTGTGCTCCTGTAGTCCCAGCTATTTGGGAGGCTAAGGTGGGAGGATCACTTGAGCCCAGGAGGCAGAGGTTGTAATGAGCTGTGATTGCACCACTGCACTCCAGCCTGGGTGACAGACCAAGACCAAGACCCTGTCTCAAAACAAAACAAAACAAAAGAGTAGAATTTTGTTTTGTTTTGTTTTGTTTTAGTAGAAAGGGTCCAGTTTTAGCTCCTTCATAGATCATTCTTACTTCCTTGATCACTTAGAGCAGTGCTATCTAGTGGAAATATAATGAAAGACACATATGTAATTCTAAATTTTCCAGTAGCTACATTAAAAAAATGAGTGAATTAATTTTAATAAAATATTTTATTTAACTCAGTATACCCAAAATAGTATCATTTCAACATGCAATCAATATAAAATTATTACTGAGATATTTAATGCTCTTTTACAAATCTTGTCCTAAGTCTTGAAATCCAGTATGTGTTTTACATTTACAGTATATCTCAATTCAGTCTGGGCACAATTCATGTGCTCAATAGGCACATGTTTCTAGTGGCTTCTATGTTGGATAGCACTGTCCTAGGTGGACCTAGCCTCTAACTGGGAGGGAGGATTGTGTTAACTCAAGTGCGCTGACCTCCCTTGAGGGATTTATCAACACTGCCATACTCAGCTCTGTCCAGATTGGGAATCCCTGTTGTCCAATCTGAGATCATTGATCACTTTACTTCAAGGACAGTGATTATGTTATGCTAAGTACCAATTTTTCCACTTTTTCAAAAATAGGTTAGCTGTTACTCCATAGAATTATTCCCTCAATTAGAGGATTTGTCAAAGATGGTAGCTTCATACGGTTTGAAGTAGACAGTTTTAGGGAATAGAAAAAGGAAATATCTCCCCTAACAGTAAATAAATGGTTCTCATTACCTTTAACAGTCATCAGTGTTTATTGGACAACTAATGTGTGTAAGGCAATGTGATAGATGCTGTGAAGGGTATATAATGATGACCCAGACATGCTTTCTGCCCTTAAGGAGCCTATATTCTCGTGAGAGAGTCAAACTACAGACATATATGTGCATACACACAAACACACAAATTCTATGATAAACTAAATATAAATGATTGCCATACTAGAGGCTCACCATGTGTATTAGGGCATAGACAAGGGAGAGATACCTTCCAATTGATAGGATTCAGGGCCAGGTCATGGAAGAGGTAACTGGACTGAGCCTTAAAGGGTCAGTATTTTCAAATCAATTAAAAGGGTTACCTGCAATATATCATACAGAATCAAATTTGAAATTGATCCTAAAACAGTTTAAGCTCACCGATCACCTGGGGACTTGTTGCGTATGTTTTTCCACACTGAGTTAGCCTGGAATGAAACTGTTTTCTGCTCCCACAGCAAGACCCTTGGTACCATTCTGAGAGACTCCATACAGGCTAACTTACTTCCAATCTAATGTGAGTTTTCTAATGTTACCTGACTACACTCTTTTTCTATTTAAGACAGGGCTCAACCATAGGCCATTTGATTAAAATTATATTCTTTGATATGGGGTTTTCCTGTTATGGAGCTGCTGATTATCATTTCCATTGTCAGCTTTGGAGGGGGGAGTCAGAGACATATTATTAATTATCAACTTTATTTGCCTAGCATTTTACAGTTTACCAAGTGCTTTTACACAGATGATTACATTTGGTTCTTATAGTTTCTTTATCTGACAATATTATAGGCAAAGAAACTGAGGCCCAGAAAGATCTGCTGACTTGCTTAGGGTCCTTTGGCTAGTCAGTGGTAGAACTGGGTTAACCCAGGGCTTCTGACTTCCTCGCCAGTGTCCTCATCTTGCCTCTGTCCTGCTTTTCTGCTCCCCCCAAGTCCTGTCCTTCAAGCGCTGGAAAACAAGGATAAGCACGCTAGCTCTCTGATAAGAAGTTTAATAAACAAAAATCCAACCACTCTCGATAGATGAATTAGAGAGGGATTATTTACATTGCAAAATAATTCCCCCATTTGTTCAAAAAGTGACCTCCCTTGTGAGGTTAGCATATAATTTTATTTATAAAAATTAAAAAGAAAGCTTTACACTCAGCAGCTAAAGAGGACATTTATTAGGTGACGTAAAATATTATAGTTCCACAAGGCAGGTCATTATTTGAGGTTGGCAAGAGTAATTTCTTCATATTAGTCAGTTTTCTATTTTCCCAAATGTGTTTTAACCTGAAACCTCTGAAATCAGTGCAGAATTTCAAATTGAGTAGTTTTTTTTTTCCTGGTAAAATACTCTTTTTCATACTCAATGAGTTTCACAGGATGGACTGCATTTTATTTTCTGAACTTAAAAGTAAAAAACATTACTCTGTCCTGAGAAATTTTCCTTCTAGTTCCTTGTTTTGGTGAAATTTTTTTCTAGCTGTTCTCTTTTCAATGGTGTTCTGAAGGATCATCGGCCTTAGCATCAGCCTTAACAATGGTGCAGAAGAATCAGATCTGACATAGAGTGCAACCAATTAACAGCAAAAAAAAAAAAAAAAACCCTCTAAAAACAGCAAAACCTACTGGCATGGGTCACAACCTTATATATTCCGTATCTTATTACCATTTAATATACATCCAGATGAGGCAAATAAGCAATTTTAATGGGAGAGAAATGAAACTTCAGCTGCATTAAGTGGTGACCTGTAACATAGCAAGAAATGTTTTCATTTTCTTCCAAACTGCGTGTTAATGTATGGTTTTCATTGGGAAATAAAGACCAGCAGATAACTAAGAAAATTAGGGGAAGAATGTACTATAAAAATTCTATATGATTGGATTTCTCTAAATGTAGTTTGGTTATCTAAAAAGAACTTTACCTTAATTGAATACAGTATTTATAGGGAGTTTCTGTTCTAGCACATAGAGGGTTTGAGTACCATTTTGATCTATTGTTAGCCTTCCCTAGCACGTCCATTTCTCATATTTAGAGTTTCTGGAATGGTTTTAACTGAAATTATAGCATTTCTCTGCCCATGAAAAAAGCAACATGTTTAACACAGAGGTGCTGTGAATTTAAGTTAGACTAAGTCCCCATGATGAACCCTAAGATAATATGATTCACTTCCACTTCAAGGCATATATTTATTGCCAAAGGAAATTCACATAAACTAAAACATATGCATAAATTTTTGCAGGGGAGGGAACCCTGAACCAGGAGTCAGGAACTGGGTTCTCAACCATGTTCTGGCCCCAACTAGCTCTGTAATTTGTTTTCTTAGGACTTTTGTTACCGAATATGTAAAATGAGGATAGAATTGGACTCAGTGATCACTTTCTTTTTATCTCTAAATTCTACCTCTTCTTTGTTTTGCTTCCACTCTCCTACTACTTGTGATCCATGCTACTTTATATGTTGGTCATGTGATTAATAATCCTTCAGGTTCACAGTTGGAGTAAAAATGTTACTTTGGGGAAACTTGCCATAGTAACTAAATGGCCATTGAGAACACAGAACCGTGAAAGGGCAACATTTCCTATGTAGTTTTACCCCCCAGATGCCCTTGAACTGTACAGCACTTGCATATATTAGTGATGCAAATCTGAGAGAAGAACAAGACCAAGATGTTATGACCAAGACACTCAATTTGCATTGGAATGCCCCATGCAAACAGCACATCAGAACTCATGAAGTGGCATTTGGCTTGAACTCTTGGAAGGCATGCCAGTCTGCAAAGAATTCAAACGGCAAATGTTAGGATGAGAGCAGTCCATTGTTCTTCTCTAAATGCAACTTGATACTGAATCTAAAGAGATTGGGAAAAAATATGAATTTGATCATTTAACTAAAGTCGCTTCCCCTCTATGGGCATAAGTGACCTCATCTATAATATGAGGGCAAAAAACTTGGAGATAGACCTTCCAACCCTAATATTCTGTTTCCATTTGGATTTTTTCTTAAAGGAGGAGGTTTAATATTTGCATGTTGGAGAGATAGAAGAGAGCAACTTCTGAACTGAGGAGTTCTGAGAGAATTAAAGTTTGGAGACAGAATGCACTGCTTTTCCAATTTTGTCTGGTGTTAGACCTGCTCCTCACTCTCTTCTTCTCCATTAAAAGGGCTAATAAAGGTGATGGATAACCGTATGTCACCATGTGTCAGTGGGATATAAACCAGAATAGAGAGGTACAGTACTAGCTTTTGGACTACTGGCTTCCTCACCATTATCCCTTTCTGCCTCTGGTCATCTCACTGCCATCTTGCAAAACTGGTACGGAGATCAAATACATCATGTCTCCTAAACACTTGACATTTGGAGGGCAGGATGCTAGTGACATGAGGGCAAAGTGAATGCTGCGAGGACATTACAAGTTTCACTTATTTAATTTGACAGAAATTTATATAAAACTCACTTTTGTCAGGCACTCTTTTAAAAGTTTTACAAATACTAATTTAGTTTTTATAATATGGATTATAAATTCATACCTATTTTTGTCCCCTAATTAACAGATGAGATAACTGAGGCATGGAGAGGTTAACTACATCGCCTAAAGTCAAACAGCTAGTAACAGCAGAGATGAAAACCCTGGCAGTCTGGCTCCACAATCCATTCTTTTAACCTCTATCCCCACGGGATACTGAGTTGCCTCGTGTAATTTTTCATGTGTCTCACTCCAAGGGTGAAGCAGGTTTTGTGATTAACTAGTAGGCCCCAGAAGTTGGGCAAGCCCCTGACCAAGTCCCCAGTCCTGTCAACCTGACTTAGACCTAGAACCCAGCCATTTTACTTTTTCTTTTTTTCTTTTCCTTTTTTTGAGATGGAGTTTCACTCTTGTCATCCAAGCTGGAGTGCAATGGCGTGATCTCAGCTCACTGCAACCCCCACCTCCCGGGTTCAAGCAGTTCTCCTGCCTCAGCCTCTCGAGTAGCTGGGATTACAGGTGCCCATCACCATGCCCGGCTAATTTTCGTATTTTTTTTTTTAGTAGAGATGGGTTTCACCATGTTGGACAGGCTGGTCTCGAACTCCTGACCTCAGATGATCCGTCCATCTTGGCCTCCCAAAGTGCTGGGATTACAGATGTGAGCCACCATACCTGGCCCCAGCCATGTTATTTTTCCCAACGCTTGGGTTTCTGATGGTCAAACTCGTTCCACTCTTCCTACACTGGAATTGCGTGCTCTCTGATCTCTGTCCTATAGGTTTTCACAAGTTCTCAGACTGTATCTACAGGATAGCAAACATGGCCCTTAAGCCTGTTGGTTTCCTCAACCATCCAGTAAATTGAAGGAGGAAAGACACTCATGCCAATAATAGCTATTGTTTATTGAACAATTACTGTGTGCTAAGACTTGAGAAAAATGTTTTGCATGTTTGTCCTATAATTTTCCCATTAAGCCTAAGAGGTATATTCTTTTATTATCTTCATTTTACAAATGAAAAAAACAAGGCTCACATATGTTGAGAAACTAACTCAAGGTCACACTTTTAAGAACATGATAGAGCTAGGATTTTGACTTAGGCTATGTATACCTGATCCAAAGCTCTTGGATTTAACTACTGTTTTGTACTGCCTCCAGTATTTTTCTGGGATGCCACCCTCCCAATACCACATGTACAGTCAGTGTATCCTATTTTGTAGTTGCTTGTTCAGGCTATTACTGATATATCCAGTTCTGCCTTAGTGGATCATAATTTTAATACAAGTATACCATCGTCTTATAGTAACACAAGCTGTTTGGGGGTTTTAAGGGAGCATTTGCTTTGCCCATAATGGACACCTTTAGTAATGGATCTTCATAAGTGCCACTTTGTCTTAAAGAAGTTATGGAAAGAGACTGTGAGAGGATTTAACTAGGCTAAAGGGATTAGGGCATGTCATATATTATACTCCTGTGGGCTTTTTGATTGGGAAGCTTGGGTCTTCTATCGGAATGGACCTAGACAGACAGAAAATAAGAGTGTTTTGAATAAAATATAAGCATTGTTATTATGGCAGATGAAAACACCTCTAGGATTTGTGATTATCTAATATTCTCACATTATTGCCAGATTTTTTTTTCCAGTTTTGATACTAGATGATTGCTGCTCTTGAATGAATGCAGTTTGGTTTGAAAGCAACTGAGATGATATTAGAACTATGGATGATGCCAAAATATCCATACAAGAAGGCTGAATTAACTAAACCAGACCTTAAAACTCATTTGACTTTATTAATCTTTGTAACTCAAGTGCCACCACCAATCAGAAAGGATCTTCTGTGCCTCTGAGTCTGACTCTAATTGCCAGTTAATAAAAAATGCCAGGGTATCCTTAATCAGCCAATTAACTGACCTAACAATTATAATAGGGAAGGAAGGTGGGAGGGGTTGAGACTAGGAATAACAAATCCCTCAAGGTGGAGTAGAATTCTTTAGGGGTTAATGGTGGACACCCTTTAAAGTAAAAGGATTTTGTTCTACCTTGACTGGTTTCCCGTTTTTTTTTTTCCTTTATCCCTTTCCTGACATTTGTAATTGTTGGAACCCCTAATTGGCTGATTAGCTAATTGAGGGGAGGGAGGGAGAAGAAGAAGAGGGAGAGAGAGAGAAAGAGGCTTATGTGTAGAGTGTGGATTTAAAAAAAAATGGTTCTTCACTCGGAAACAATATTTATCTAAAAGTAGTTGTCTATAGTTAAGGATTTATTATTTGAAATTTACAGCATCACTTTTTCCTTTTTGCTGAAACAGTTACCTCCTAATTTATGAATCCCACAACAGCAACATGCAAATTGAGGTTGAAATATAATGTGAAAGGTCTGACATTAAGGAAGCCAGTTTTTTTTTTTTTACCCGAACAGACCTTCATAAAATTTTAAATAATAGTGAAACAGAAGCTGTCTTTATTAAAAGAGTATATTATTGGGAGAGTATTATGTTTTTATTTGTCTGATAAAAATTAATATGTTAAGAGTACTGAAAAAAGTGTACATGTAGGTGAAGTTCTCTCAATTATCATTTACCAGTTTATAAGTATTCTCAGAAGTTGATGATTAAAAAAATATAGAATTAAAAAAACTATTTTTGCTCCAAGGAACTCTCAGTTGCTGGGGTTTTCCTTTCCAGATGCAAGCATATTTTGTTTTGTTTTGTTTTGTTTTTGTTTTGAGACGGAGTTTTGCTCTTGCTGCCCAGGCTGGAGTGCAGTGGCGCCATCTCGGCTCACCACAACCTCCGCCTGCCAGGTTCAAGCAAGTCTCCTGCCTCAGCCTCCTGAGTAGCTGGGATTACAGGCAGGCGCCATCACACTCGGCTAATTTTTTTTTTTTTTTTTTTTTTTTGTATTTTTAGTAGAGACGGGGTTTCTCCATGTTGGTCAGGCTGGCCTCGAACTCCTGACCTCAGGTGATCTACCTGCTTCGGCCTCCCAAAGTGCTGGGATTACAGGTGTGAGCCACTGCACCTGGCCTAAGCACATGGTTTTTAAAAAATACATTTGGAAACAGAAAATTATGGAAAACTGCCAGAGGGGCTCAAGATTGATTTGCTATACCAACTCCAGCCTCAATCCCAGAGTTATAGACTTTCTATACAATTTATGAATTATATGCAATACTTCTGTATTTTATCACCGATCATCTAGAATTTTTGTCACCAAGCTATGGAATTATAGCATTTTAGCGTTGGAACTAATCTTAGAGATCACCTGCTTCTACCTTCTCATTGAACAGAAAGAAATCAGAGGCCCAGATAGGGGAAGGGACTTGTTTAAGGTCATATGGAAAATTTCCTGGCTAGGCCTGGAGCAGGTCTTCAGATTCCCAGTCCTGTGTTCTTTTCTTTCTTCCAGACTTCTTCTTATATGATACCAAAGGCCAGAGGGCACATATCAGCCACTATATTCTGTTAGAGATCATGTTAATGTAAAATTTGCTGCACTCCAAGTCTGGTTATGTTCATTTTAAAACCATTCCTCAGGCTGGGTGCAGTGGCTCACCCCTGTAATCCCAGCACTGTGGGAGGCCGAGGTGGGCCAATCACAAGGTCAAGAGTTTGAGACCAGCCTGGCCAGCATGGTGAAACTCCATCTCTACTAAAAATACAAAAAATTAGCTGGGCGTAGTGGTGTGCTCCTGTAATCCCAGCTACTCGGGAGGCTGAGGCAGGAGAATCGCTTGAACCCGGGAGGCAGAGGTTGCAGTGAACCGAGATTGAGCCACTGCACTCCAGCTCAGGTGACAGAGTGACACTCCATCTCAAAAATAAATAAGTAAGTAAATAAATAAATAAAACCATTCCTCAATGGCCAGCTCAGAAGGCATATGTCTTAGTTTTATTCTTATGAGTCCCATCTTTCTTTCACTAATGTATTATTAATGTGTCTTCTTTCTGTTCTGCAAAGTTCTCAGGGGAATAGCTGTGTCCTGAATTTGGAAATGGAAATGACTGTAGGATCTATTCCTTTTAATCTCATGGCTAGGAAATGCTGCCGTTTCAACTCTCCAAGATTCTGCTTAAAGGGATTATTTAAAATAGATTTTTTCTAGTGCTATTATAAACTCCACTTGGCTCTACAAAGTACATGTACCTTGATTTTTATTTGCCTTTTTTGGGAGCAGTGGGGTGTTTGTTTTCTCTGTTTTTTGTTTTGTTTTGTTTTCAATCTGCAGGCTTTAAAATTTATTTGTATAGAGACTCCCTTATTTTTCTTACTAGGAGCTAGTTTCCCTTGAGCTTGGAGGGTTCATCACAAATTGCTTGTAAATCAAGATCTGATTAGGAAGTAATATATTCATCTGTAACTCCTGCATAAAAGTTATTCAAGTATTGTGACAAAATAAGTGTTGTTTACTTTATACATTTTCTGCAAATTCTAAAGATTTTGTCTAACTTAAAGACTCTCATGGAATCTCGGGGATTGTGGCTTGCCCACTGAGAGTATAGAGGCTTGCTAAATTAAGTTGATTTGCCTGTGAAAGAAATGCTTCCATTATTCATGTCAGAAGCCTGTCACATCAAATTGAGGGAGTGGAGAAAACCCTTTTTTATCAACATTTAGAACCAAGAAAAACCAACCATTGAGGGTCTGAATTTCAATTGGGGAAAAAGTCAGGCTGAAAGCAGGGTTCAAAAAAAAGAAGGGGGGGGGCTGGGTATTTGTCTAATGTTGAAAATCAGTAGAGGAGATTGATTTAACTTTGGCTGAAACTTTTTATATAGACAGACAGAATGAAACTTCTTAAAGCAGCAAGTAGTACATACAATCTTGGTGTCTTTCATGTGTAAACTTGTCAAAAGTGGTTAAGCTAATTCAAATTTAAATCTCCTTGAATTCCTATTCTTGGACTCTTAATTTGTTTATTTTAAAGGATTTAGGAATGAATTTCTTGGGGGTTACTTTTCAAACACTGATGAATGTATTTTGTTTTTCAAAAGTTCAAGATTATAGGCTCTGGTGTGTGATTAGTAGTTGTATTAATAAGAGAAGGAAGACAGGCCAGTCAAGCCTCAGCCCCCTTGTTTGTATCAGGTATGTGGGCATTTGTCTCTGTGTGGATGTATTGTATACATGTATGCACACACGCACACATACAGAACTTCAAATAAAAAGCAAGCCATTAAGAGAATAACACAACTTTCAACAATAAAGGGAGAACCATTCCCCAAGAAAAAATATCCTCCTGCAATATTAGTTAATTTTAAGAGGATTCTCTTGTATTTGCCAGAATAGATTTTGTTAAATTTTAACTATTTGAAAAAACAATTATAATATAGAAGAATTTATTTGGTTATTATTTATGTAAGAAATCTGATGTTCTTTTTTTTTGCAATATTTGATTTCTATCAGCATATGCATTTCAAATGATTGTGTGCCTAGTGAAATCAATCACAAAACTAAGTTTCTTATTTTTGCAGATTTAATCCTTCCCAACCTTCATTTACCTTGAATATGCTTCTACCATTATTATACAAGTGAGTGTCTTTGATCTGATTTTTTTTAACAAACATTTTTTGGCCTATTAAAAGTCATTTTAATATCATTTTCTGTATTTCTTAGATATATTTTTTAGAGGTTTTAACCTAAGTTTTGTACCAAGAAAACTGTTCCAAAAAAATTTAAAAAAAGAGATAATTTAAACTGAAAAGATTCCTGCTTTCTCCAACCTTTTAAAAAAAAATGAGATCTGAAAACCCGTTAAAGAAAAGAACGGAATCTCCCCTCCCCACTGCCGTTTTTTTTTGTTTTTGTTTTTTTTTGTGGTGAGAGGTTCTGTAGCACTTTAACCCCAAATTGAATATTATGCTTAATTGATATTTGTGTGTATTGGAAATAAGAGTTGGTTGGTGGTGTTCTCCGTACAAAAGTAATTACTTCTCCGATTGACTGCAAATATGTGCAGGTTGTAGATGGGGGACAATGAATGAAATAGGCGATTGTAGTATGGAGGGCTGCAGAAGACAAGGATTAGTGGTGAGCAGAATTGTATTTTGGTGTTCTTTCAGCAACATTACAATCTCCCTGAAAGTGAATGCTGCTAACAAGGAACCTACAGGGCAGGGGGCTGGGGGTGGTGATTGGCGTGGGTGATTGTGGACTGGTATAAAACAGAGAATTGAATATCTAATTTATATATATTTACAAAAGTACAAAACAAACAAGCAAAATAACAAAAAACAACTTTTCTAATTTGACCTGTGCTATTTTTAGGTCACAAAACCACCAGAGGTCATTTCTATTGTGCATTACCCCAGTTTCTATTTGCTGGCTGTTTGTTTCCAACTATCAGAATATAGACTATTATCTGGTGAAGCAATCCAAATAGGTGTGCAACAGGAACTGAGGATAGCAATAGTGGACTCTTCAAGGTTTTCATTTTTTTCCCCATGAGGTGTTATCATTTCTAGGCATTTTCCAAGTGCTGGTAATGTTATTGTCTATGGAATGAAATTTGAATTAGATAGAAGTATAAAGTGATAGGTCTGTAGAGCTGAGAGAATTTAGAAATTGGGTAAAGTTAACCAGTCTTACAGATAAGTACACTGGCAGTGCAGAGAAGAGAGGAACACCAGAACATAGGAACTGTCAGCATCAGAACCTAGTTTTTCTGATTCTGAAGCCAGTGAACTTCCCAGCGATTTACACAGGACTAACTGGCATGGTTTTCCTTCACTTTCTGTGAAACAATATGGAAATGGACCATATTAAATAAAAAGAAGAGGCCTTTGCAACTCCACACCCAGAGATAGCCATTCACAGTCCCTGTATACAAATATAAACCCTAGTATTTTTACTTTGTATTATTCATATTTTCTTCCTTGTTTAATATACATAAATGTCTTATACATAATATTTATATATATAATATATACCTACATTTAATATCCATTTAGCCAGAATATATTAGTGTGTAGTTTTTTTTTTTTTTACCTTGTCATTAGGTATCTGGAGAATTTTGCTGCATTTCCTTAATTGGTTTTGGAAATATTTAAAAATATGTTACAGACATAATGATATTTCACTGTATATAATTTGTATATGCATCACTAACAAAAGGGATTTTTTTCTATGTAACCACAGTACCATTAAATTTTAGTTATTGAGAATAATGTTGCTATGAGCATTTGTATATTAGCTGCTGAATAAAGATATATTTTCAGTTCTCTTGGGTATATACCTAGGAATGGAATTGCTGGGTTATCTGGTAATTCTATGTTTAGGTCTTTGAAAATTGCCAGGCTGTTTTCCTAAGCAACGACACCATTTTACATTTCTACCAGCAGTGTATAAGTGTTCCAATTTCTCTTCATCCTCTATAATACTTGTAATTGTTGTCTTTTTGATTGGAGTCATTCTAGTGGGTATGAAGTGGTATCTTGTTGTGATTTGAATTTGCATTTCCCTGGTGGCTAATGGTGTTGAGCATCTTTTTATGTGTCTGTCTTTTATTTGTGTATCTTTTCTGGAGAAATGTTTATACAGAGATTTTGTTCATTTTAAAAATTGGGTTGTCTTTTTATTATTGAGTTGTAATTGTTCTTTTATAGGTTGTTTGTCAGATATATGATTTGCAAATATGTTTTTTACATTCTGTAGGTTTTCCTTTTATTATTAAGTTAAATTTTAATACACATAATAACTATACCTAGTTATGGTGTATAGTGTGATGTTTTAAAACCTGTATACATTGTGTAATGATCAAGTCAGGGTAATTAGCCTATCCATTGCCTTAAACTATTATTATTTCTTTCTGGTGAGAACATTCAAAATCCTATCTTCTAGTTATTTTGAGATACACAATACAATACTGTTAACTACAGTCATCCTACAGTGCAATACAACGCAGCTTATTTCTCCTACCTATCTGCAATTTTATATTCATTTACCAATATCTCCTTATCCTCTTTTTCCTCCCTTCCTCAGCCTCTGACAACCACTATTCTCTGCTGTGTTTCTATGATATCAGCATTTTTCAATTCTGCAAATGAGTGAGATCATGCAGTATTTGTTTTTCTGTGCTTGGCTTATTTCATTTAATATAATGTCCTTCAGTTTCATTCCTATTGCCACAAATGACGTAAGTTCATTCTTTTTTTATGGCTGAATAATATTCCATTGTGTATATGTATCATATTTTCTTTTTTTAAATTTTTAAGTTCAAGGGTACACATGCAGTTTTGTAACATAGGTAAACTTGTGTCATGGGGCTTTGTTTTACAGATTATTTTATCACCCAGGTATTTAGCCTAGTACCCGTTAGTTACTTTTCCCGATCCTCTCCCTCCTCCCACCCTCCACCCTCTACTAGGCCCCAGTGTGTGTCATTCTCCTCTATGTGTCCATGTGTTCTCATCATTTAGCTTGCACTTATAAGTGAGAACATGGTATTTGTTTTCCTGTTCCTGCATTAGTTTGCTAAGGATAATGGCCTCCAGCTCCATCCATGTCCCTGCACAGGACATGATCTCATTCTTTTTCATGGCTGCATAGTATTCCGTGGTGTATATGTACCACATTTTCTTTATCCAATCTGTCATTGATGGGCATTTAGGTTGATTCCATGTCTTTGCTATTGTGAATAGTGTTGCAATGAACATACATGAGTGTGTGTCTTTATAATAGAACAATTTATATTCCTTTAGATATGTACTCAGTAATGGGATTGATGGGTTGAATGACTTTTTTTTTTTTTTGAGACAGGGTCTCACTCTATTGCTCAGGCTGGAGTGTAGTGGTGTGATCTTGGCTCACTGCAACCTCCGCCTCCCAAATTCAAGCAATTCTCCCACCTCAGCCTCCCGACTAGCTGGGACTACAGGCACGTGCCACTATGCCCATCTAATTTTTGTGTTTTTTGGTAGCGACAGGGTTTCACCATGTTTGCCAGGCTGGTTTTGAGCTCCTGACCTCAAGTGATCCACCTGCCTGGGCCTCCCAAAGTGCTGGGATTACAGGCGTGAGCCACCACGGCTGGCCAAATGATATTTCTGTCTTTAGATCTTTGAGGAATTGCCACACTGTCTTCCATAATGATTGAACTAATTTACACTCCCACCAACAGTGTATAAGCATTCCTTTTTCTCCACAACCTCGCCAGCATCTGTTATTTTTTTGACTTTTTAATAACAGCCATTCTGATTGGTGTGAGACGGTATCTCATTGTGGTTTTGATTTACATTTCTTTAATGATAGTGATGTTGAGATTTTTTTTTCATGTGATTGTTGGCCGCATGTATGTCTTCTTTTGAAAAGTGTCTGTTCTTGTCCTTTGCCTACTTTTTAATGGGGTTGTTTGTTTTTTTTCTTGTAAATTTGTTAAATTCCTTATAGATGCTGGATATTAGACCTTTGATAGATGCATAGTTTGCAAAAATTTTCTCCCAAACTCTGAGTTGTCTGTTTACTCTGTTGACAGTTTATTTTGTTGTGCAGAAGCTTTTAGTTTAATTATATCCCATTTATCAATTTTTGCTTTTGTTGAAATTGCTTTTGGCATCTTCATCATGAAATCTTTGCCTGTGCTTATGTTCTGAATGGTATTGCCAAGGTTTTCTTCTAGGATTTTTATAGTTTTGGGTTTTGCATGTAAGTCTTTAATCCATCTTGAGTTAATTTTTGTATGTGGTGTAAGAAAGGTGTCCAGTTTCAATCTTCTGCACATGGCTAGCCAGTTACCCAGCACCATTTATTGAATAGGGAGTCCTTTTCCCATTGCTGGTTTTGGTCAGCTTTGTCGAAGATCAGATGGTTGTATGTGTGTGACCTAACTTCCGGGCTCTCTGTTCTGTTCCATTGGTCTATGTGCCTGTTTTTGTACCAGTGTACCATCCCATTTTGGTTACTGTAACCCTGTAGTATCATTTGAAGTTGGGTAACATGATGCCTCCAGCTTTGTTCTTTTTGCTTAAGATTGCCTTGGCAATTTGGGCAATTTTTTGGTTCCATATGAATTTTAAAATAGTTTTGTGAAAAATGTCCTTGGTAGTTTGATAGGAATAACATTGAATCTGTAAATTGCTTTGGACAGTGTGGCAATTTTAATGATATTGATTCTTCCTATCCATGATCATGAAATGTTTTTCTATTTGTATCATCTCTGATTTCTTTCAGCAGTGTTTTGTAATTCTTCTTGTAGACATCTTTCACCTTCCTGGTTAGGTGTATTCCTAGATATTTTAATCTTTTTGTGGAATTTTTGAATGGGATTTCATTCTTGATTTGGCTCTTGGGTTGGCTGTTGCTGGTATATTGAAATGCTAGTGATTTTTGTGCATTGATTTTGTATCATTAAACTTTGTTGAAATTTTTTATCAGTTGAAGGAACTTTTGGGCTGAAACTATGAGGTTTTCTAGATATAGGATTATGTCATCTGCAAACAGGGATCATTTGACTTCCTCTCTTCCTGTTTGGATGTCTTGTATTTTTTTCTCTTGCCTGATTGCTCTGGCCAGGACTTCCAATACTGTGTTGCATAAGACTGGTGAGGGAGGGCATCCTTGTCTTGTGCCAGTTTTCAAGGGGAATGCTTCCAGCTTTTGCCCATTTATTATGATGTTGGTTGTGGGTTTGTCATAGCTGGCTCTTATTATTTTGAGGTATGTTTCTTTCATACCTAGGTTTTTGAGAGTTTTTAACATGAAGTGATATTGGATTTTATCAAAAGCCTTTTCTGCATCTATTGATATAATCATGTGTATTTTGTGTTTAGTTCTGTTTATGTGATGAATCACATTTATTGATTTGTGTGTGTTGAACCAACCTTGTATCCCAGGCATAAAGCCCACTTGGTCATTGTGTATTAGCAAGTATATAGAAATTCAGTTGATACTTATATACCAATGTATATCTTGCAATATTTCTAAATTCCCTTGTTAGCTTTAGTAGGTTTTGATGAATCCTTTATGGCTTTTCCTATGTAAGATTATACAATCTGTCATTAGAAATAGTTTAATCTCTTCCTTTCAAATTTGGATGCCTTTTATGTGTATTCCTTACATAATTTCCCTGGCTGGAATTCCAGTATGATGTTGAATAGAACTGGTGAGAGCAGACTACCTTGTCTTGTATTTGATCATAGTGGGAAAGAAATCAGACATTCACCATTAAGTATGATATTAGCTGTGGATATTTTTCTTCATTTTTTATTTTATCTTGATTAAATCTGGAAAATTATCCTTTTCTCCACTTTACATATGCAAGTATAGACCATGGGGTTTGGGAAACACTTTCAACTATGTGACTCTATACTTAGTCATGATAACATTGCAAGCAGTGGAGTGAGGGGGCAAAGTATAAGACTCTGGAGATGATAAACCTCCCTGCCATAGTTTTCCCTCCATATCGCTCACCTGTGTAGAGAATGGTGCTAGAACCAGGTTACCTGAGCATTCACTCTCTAATGTCATAAAAGCATCATTATTTTCCCTAACCTGGCCAATAAAGGTTTCCTCAATTTTTATGACCATGATATTGATGAGCAAATTTCCAAACTGGAGAAAGAGGAGGAAAAAATAATTGTACTACATAACTTTTTCACCTCTGTAAAGGCTTCCAAGGTGGCTTTTTAAAAATGACCTACCCTTTCTGAAAGCGCTAACACGTCTTCACAAAAACAGTAAATCTTTAGCCAGTGAAGGTATACCACTTATCCTAATTCGTGAGTTGTTTATTAAAAGAAAAAAAAAACCTTAAACCTGTGCCTCTTGCAAACCCCAATAAATCATACTAAATATTCAGGGCAAGCAAATAGTTCCCAGAAAAGGTCAAGAAACTTTGGTTTTCCTTGGAGGGCTTGTGGCATTGAAAGCCATGTTGGTTCTCAAGTCTAGTGTCTCAGCAGATTAACCATGAACTTGCAAGTGAAATGGTTTCTAGCGCTTCCCTCTGGTCTCTCTTTTCTTGAACTTCTGAAGCCTATCTTCCTTGATCTCATTTTTTCCTTAACTATACAGTTTTCATTCTCTCATTCAAGAAGGCACATACCAGTGTCATTTTTTTTCTGCAATTTTCCACCTTATAAAAAGAGATCAAGGCCAGCCATCACTCAATTCAAGATAATTGTTGTCATGAGGAAATGTAAGGAAGAGACTTAATAAAGTCTCTACATTTCTAAGAGAAGTGAGAATCTATATTTCTATTGATAACTGTTCATTTATAATTATGGACAAATTTAATTTTTCAGTTTGCCAAAGGCTGTGTTTAATATCTAGTCCAGGTCTAAATGGAAAAGACTCAATTATTTTTAAAGAGATTTTACAAACAAGTTAAAAAGTCTATATTTGCTTATATAGCTACTATTTCAGGTGTTCTTCATTCCTTTGTGCATATTCACATTTCTATCTGGTAACATTTTCTTTCGCCTGAAAGACTTCATTTAATATTTCCTGTATTGTAGTTCTGTTGGTAGTGAATTCCTTTTGCTATTGTGTGTCTGAGAAAATATTTTAAAATATTTTTATTTTGAAAAATTTCAAAGATACAGAGAAATAGAATAAATAGCAGAATAAACACTCATATATCAACATCGACATTTAACAATTATAAGAATTTACTATATTTGCTTCTTCTGATTTTGAAATATGCTAAAGTAAATTATAGATATATTTTACTCCTAAATAATTTCTATATGCATCACTAACAAAAAGGACTTTTTTCCCCACATAACCACAGTACCATTATCATATCTAACAAAATTGGCAATAATTCCCCAATATCCTTTAATGCCCTGTCTACGTTTAAATTTTCCTAATTGTACAAAAAATGTCTTTTACAATTGGCTTATTCAAACTATATTTTAATCAAGAATTGTTTAATGGCTGTAATTCTTAAGTTTCTTCTAATCTAGAATGGTCCTGCTGGTCCCTCCAACTTTTTTTTCCTATGACATTGACTTGTTTCAGATATCAGGTCAGTTGTTCTGTGGAATGCCCCACCCTCTGGGTTTTTCTCATGGTTTCCTCATGATAGTTAACCCCCTGTATATGAACTACGGGGGACAAAGGATAGTTCCTCTGTCACCCGTATTTCATAAAATACAGATATTAGATCTAAAGGCTTGGTCTGGTTCTAGTTAAATTTTTTTTTTTCAAGAATAATTCAGAGGGAGTGGGGAGGTGGGATTTGAACCCATCTCTATGTAAGCCAAAGCATGTACTTAATTGCATTCTTAAAGTATTTTATGAATAAATCAGTGAGTTTTTGGACTGGGGCAAGTTACCTGTGCCCTTAATTAGACTTTACTTCTTCTTTGTATGCTTTTATAAAGAGTGTGAAATTCGAGATACAAGCCTCTATTTTCTTTTAATAGTACTGTGGTGGCTTTGAAAGTCACCCCTCAGACTGAGCATGGTGGCTCACGCCAGTAATCCCAGCACTTTGGGAGACTGAGGCAGGTGGATCGCTTGAGCCCAGAAGTTCGAGACAAGCATGGGCAACATGGTGAAAACCCATTTCTACAAAAAATACAAACATTAGCTGGGCATGGTGGTGCGTGCCTGTAGTCTCACCTACTTGGGAGGCTGAGGTGGGAGGATCATTTGGGCCCAAGAGGTCAAGACTGCAGTGAGCCACGATTGTGCCACTGCACTCGAGTGTGGGCGACAGAGCAAGACCCCACTAAAAAAAAAAAAAAAAAAAGCCACCTCTCAGATCTCTGAATTCAGGGAGCCTGACTGAATGATAAACTCAGTTGCTGAGCCCTGAAATCCTCTACTGCATTTGTGTGAGGCCAAATTTCCCATGGGCTGCTCTCAGCCAATGACAGCACAGCGAGGATACTAAAGCTTCGTCTCCTAGGAGATGAAGAGCTCCTCCAAAGGGTGATTTTCTCTCAAGGATTCTGTTTGTCTTGCTGAAATTTTCTTAGAATTATACTGTAGTCTAAGAGTTTTCTTAACCAATCCTCTTTCCTTCCCCCTTTCCTCCTCAAAGATCAGACCTATATTACTGTCTGACAGCTCTCCGAGCCTCTTAACGGCTCCCTTTGCCTCCATTTTCTCTCATAGGTGTTTTCTCCAATAAATCAATCTTGGTATCCTCTCCTTCCTGGGGGACTCAGACTAATAGGTAACAATTCCCTAATGCATTGACACCTGCCAAATTAAATTCTGGAAATAATATGAAACAACCAACCAAATAAATAGATAATACAAGGAGAATGATAGACTGCTAGAATGGAACTGTCAAATAGCAAGGTTATTGTGTGCTTCAAATATCAATTTTTCAGGGGATGCTGCAATAATAATTTGGTTAGAGATATTAAATTAATATGCATATTAGCAACTCCTAACAGGTAGTTTCACTAAAATATTATTTGAAAATTGGAAAAAAAATGCAATGCCTTCTGGTTGGCACAGATTCTGGAAATAGTAAAATGAATGAAGGTCATGACTTTCTTTTTACTAAATTTTTTATTTTTGATTTTTGTGTACGTAGAATGTGTATAAGTTTATGGAGTGCGTGAAATACTTTGAAACAGACATGCAATATGTAATAATCACATCCGGGTAAATGACATATCCATCTCTTCAAGCATTTCTCCTTAATGTTACAAATAATGCAATTGTGCTCTTTTAGTTATTTTAAAATGTACAATTAAATTATTGACTATAGTCACCCTGGTGTGCTATGAAGTACTAGGTCTCATTCATTCTTTCCAAATACTATTTGTACCCATTAATCATCCCCACTTCCTCCCAACACTACTCAATACCCTCCCCAGCCTCTGGTAACCATCCTTCTACTCTCTATATTCATAACCTGAATTGTTTTAATTTTTAGCTCCCACAAATGAGTGAGAACATGTGTAGTTTGTCTTTCTGTGCCTGGCTTATTTCACTTAACATAATGACCTCCAGTTTTGTCCACGTTGTTGAAAGTCACAGGATATCATTCTTTTTTATGGCTGAATAATACTCCATTGTGTATGTGTACTATATTTTCTTTATCTATTCATATATTGATGGACACTTAGTTTGCTTCCAAATCTTAGCCATTGTGAACAGTGCTGCAACAAACATGGGAGTGCAGATATCTCTTCGATATACTGATTTCCTTTCTTTTATGTATATACCCAGTAGTGGGATTGCTGAATTGTACAGTAGCTCTTTTTTTAGTTTTTTGAGGAACCTCCACACTGTTCTCCATAGTGGTTGTACTATTTTACATTCCCACCAACAGTGTATGAGGGTTCCCTTTTCTCCATAACCTTACCAGCATTTGTTGTTGCCTGACTTTTGGATAAAGGCCATTTTAATTGGGCTGAGATATCTCATTGCTGTTTCAATTTGAATTTCTCTGATGATCAGTGATGTTGAGTACCTTTTCACATATTTGTTTGATTTGTCTTTTTTTGAGAAATATCTATTCAGATCTGTAGCCCATTTTAAAGTCTAATTATTAGAGTTTTTTTTCCTATAGAGTTCTTGGAGCTCTTTGTATATTCTGGTTATGAACCCCTTGTCAGATTGGTAATTTGCACATATTCTCTCCCATTATGTGGGATGTCTCTTCATATTGTTGATTGTTTACTTTGCTGTCCAGAAACTTTACAGCTTGATGTGATTCCATTTGTCCGTTTTTTTGCTTTGGGTTCCTGTGCTTGTGGGGTATTACTCAAGCAATTTTTGTCCAGACCAATGTCCTGGAGCATTTCCCCAAAGTTTTCTTATAGGAGTTTTGTAGTTTGAGGTCTTAGATTTAAGTCTTCAATCCCTTTTGATTTGATTTTTGCATATGGCAAGAGATGGGGTCTAGTTTATGGATATCCAGTTTTCCCAGCACCATTGATTGAAGAGGCTGTCTTTTCCCCAGTGTATGCTCTTGGTACCTTTGTCAAAAATAAGTCACTATAGGTGTGTAAATTTGGTTCTGGGTTCTCTATTCTGTTCCATTGGTCTATGTGTCTGTTTTTATGCCAGTACCATGCTGTTTTGGTTACTGTAGCTCTGTAGTATAATTTGAAGTCAGGTATTGTAGTCAGGCAATGAAGTCTCTATTTTGTTTTTTTTTTTGTCAGGATAGCTTTGGCTATTCTGGGTCTTTTGTTGTTCCATATATATTTTAGGATTTTTTTTGCTATTTCTATGTCACTGGTATATTGACAAGGATTGTATGGAATCTGTAGACTGTTTTGGGTAGTGTGGAAAATTTAAGAATATTGACTCTTCCAATCCATGAACATGGAATATCTCTTCATTTTTTTTTTTCATTTTACTATAATATTTGTTTCCTCCATTTCTTGCATCAGTATTTTATAGTATTCATTGTAGAGATCTTTCACTTTTTTTGCTAATTCCTAGGTGTTTCATTTTATTTGTGGCTATTGTAAATGGGATTACTTTTTCATTTCTATTTCAGATTGTTCACTGTTGGCA
Organism: Homo sapiens; assembly: GCF_000001405.40. NCBI lineage: Eukaryota > Metazoa > Chordata > Mammalia > Primates > Hominidae > Homo > Homo sapiens. Next base: position 140,122,154 of record NC_000023.11, read on the forward strand.
TATAGAAATGCTACTGATTTTTGTATGTTGATTTTGTGTCCTGCAACTTTACTGAATTTGTTTATGAGTTCTAACGGATTTTGGGTGGAGTCTTTCATTTTTTCCAAATGTAAGATCATACCATCTGGAAACAAGGATACAAAATTCTTGGCTGGCAATCATTTTGTTTGAGGAGGCTAAAGACAGGACCCTAATCCCTTCGGGCTTGTAGCGTTTCTGCTGAGAAATCTGCTGTTAATTTGATCAGTTTTCCTTTATAGGTTACCTGAAGATTTTGACTCACAGCTCTTAAGATTCTTTTCTACATTTTGACTTCAGATAACCTGATCACTATATGTCTAGGTGAGATCTTTTTGTTATAAATTTCTCAAGTGTTCTTTGAGCTTCTTGTATTTGGATGTCCAGGTCTCTAGCAAGGCCAGGGACAGTTTCCTCAATTATTACCTCAAATATGTTTTCCAAACTTTTAGATTTCTCTTTTTCCTCAGGAACACCATTTATTCTTATGTCTGGCCATTTAACATAATGCCAAATTTCTTGGAGGCTTTGTTAATTTTTTGGGGTTCTTTTTTCTTTGTCTTTGTCTGATTGGGTTAATTAAAAGACCTTGTCTTTGAGCTCTGAAGTTGTTTCTTCTACTTGTTTGATTCTATTGTTGAAACTTTTCAGTGCATTTTGTATTTCTCTAAGTCTGTCTTTCATTTCCAGAAGTTGTGGTTGCTTTTTCGTTATGATATATATTGCTCTGGAGCATTTTCCATCCATATCCTGTATTTTTTTTTTTTTAATTTTAAGTTGGTTTTCACCCTTCTCTGGTATCTCCTTGAGTAACTTAATAATTGGCTTTCTCAATTCTTTATCTGGCAATTCAGAGATTTCTTCTTGGTTTGGATCCATTGCTGGAGAACAAGTGTGGTCTTTTGGGCATGTTATAGAACATTGTTTTGTCATATTACCAGAATTACTTTTCTGTTTCCTTCTCATTTAGGTAGATTATTTCAGTGGTAAATTCTGGAACTGAAGGGCTGCTGTTCAGATTCTTTTGTCCTGCAGAGTTATCCCTTAATGTGATACACTTCCATTTTCCCTAGGCATGGGGCTTCCTAAGAGTCAGACTGCAATGATTGTTATTGGTCTTCTGGGTCTGGCCACCCAGGGGGCTACCAGGATCTGGGCTGGTGCTGGGGATTGTCTGAAAAGAGTCCTGTGATGCAATCTGTCTTCATGTCTCCCATCCCTGGATACCAGCACCTGCTATGGTGGAGGTGGCAGGGAAGCAAAGTAGACTCTGTGAGAATTCTTGGTTTCAAATATGTTTAGTGTGCTGACTTTCTCAAGTGTTGGTTATGCTGGCAGTGAAGTTGTCACGTGGACAGACTGAGGACCACTGGTTAGCCAGGATGTTGCAGGCAGTGGAATTAGCTGTTGTTTTCTCCTTCCTCGGAACAGGTTTGTTCTGAGTTGCTGCAATGTCCTGAGTTGGTTTGCCTCCAGCCAGGAGGTGGCGCTTTCAAGAGAGCACCAGAGTTTTTTGCCTGTCTCATGGAATTTGCAGTGTCCTGCTATTTCTTTCAAAGGATCTGTGATTTTTTTCAGTTTTCCTGGTATGCTCCAGTGGTGGTTCCTGGAGCAAAAGTCAATGGTGTGAGACTCTACACACTGTTCTGTCCATCCAAGTGGGAGCTGCATATCAGCCCTGTCTCCTATCCACCATCTTTCCTTTTGCCTCTCTGTGTTTTTCTTTGTGCTTACTAGTACAAGTGCATTTTATACCTTCTGATGATTTCTTATTGCTCATTAACATCCCTTTCCTTCAGACTGAAGAACTCCCTTGAGCATTTCTCACAGGACAGGTCTGGTGTTCATAAAATCCCTCAGCTTTTGTTTGTCTGGGAAAGTCTTTATTTCTCCTTTTGCTTGAGGACATTTTTGCCAGATACACTATTCCAGAGTAAAACTATTTTTTTTTCATATAGCACATTAAATATGCCATGCCGCTCTCTCCTGGCCTGTAAGGTTTCCACTGAAAAGTCTGCTGCCAGACACATCAGAGCTCCATTGTATGTTATTTGCTTCTTTTCAGGTGGTCCTTTTAGGAGGCTTTCTTTATCCTTAACCTTTGGGAATTTGACTATTAAATGCTTTGAGGTAGTCTTCTTTGGGTTAAATCTGCTTGGTGTTCTATAACCTTCTTGTACTTGAATGTTGATATCTTTCTCTAGGTTTGGAAAGTTCTCTGTTATTAACCCTTGGAATAAACTTTCTACCCCATCTCTTTTTTTACCTCCTATTTTAGGCCAATAACTCTTAGATTTGCCTTTTTGAGGCTATATTCTATCTCTTTTAGGCATGCTTTATTTTTTTCTTTTGTCTCCTCTGACTGTATATTTTCAAATAGCTTGTCTTCAAGCTCACTAATTCTTTCTTCTGTTTGATCAGTTCTGCTAATAAAAGACTGATGAATTCTTCAGTAGGTCAGTTGCATTTTTCAACTGCAGAATTTCTGCTTGATTCTTTAAATTATTCAAATCTCTTTGTTAAATTCATCTGATGGAATTCTGAATTCCTTCTCTGTGTTATATTGAATTTCTTTGAGTTTCCTTGAATTATCTATTTTGAATTGTCTATCTGAAAGGTCACATATCTCTTTTTCTCTAGGATTGATCCCTGGTGCCTTATTTAGTTTCTTTTGTGATATTGTGTATTTCTTGTGGTCTTGATGCTTATGGATATTTGTCAGTGTCTGGGTACTAAAAGAGTTAGGTATTAATTGTATTCTTCACAGTCTGGGCTTGTTCATGCCCATCTTTCTTGGGAAGGCTTTCCAGGTATTTGAAGGGACTTGGACCCCAAGCCCAGTAACACTGTGGTTCTTGCAGATTTCTAAAGGTATTTTCTTTGTGGTCTTGCATAAGATGTGGAACAATTCTCTGGATTACCAGGCAGAGACTCTTGTTCTCGTCCCTTACTTTCTCCCAAACAAATGGAGTGTCTTTTTTTTTTTTTTTTTTTTTTTTAGATGGACTTTTGCTCTCGTTGCCCAGGCTGGAGTGCAATGGCGTGATCTCGGCTTACTGCAACCTCCACCTCCCGGGTTCAAGCGATTCTCCTGTGTCAGCCTCCCGAGTAGCTGGGATTACAGGCATGTGCCACCATGCCCAGCTAATTTTGTAGTTTTAGTAGAGATGGCGTTTCACCATGTTGGTCAGGCTGGTCTTGAACTCCTGACCTCAGGTGATCTGCCCTCTTTGGCCTCCCAAAGTGCTGGAATTACAGGTGTGAGCCAGTGTGCCTGGCTGGAGTGTCTCTTTTTGTGCTGAGCCTCCTGGAGCTGGGTGTGGGGTAATGCAGGAACTCCTGTGGCCACCACCACTGGGCCTATACTGGGTCAGACCTGAAGCCAGCACAGCACTGAGTCTCTTCCAGCACCCGCTGTAACCACTACCTGGCTACTGCCTATGTTTACTCAAGGCCCTTGGGCTCTCCAGTCAGCAAGTATGGGAGCCTACCGAGTTTGTGTCCTTCCCTTCATGGCACTGAGTTTTCCCAGGCTCTGAGTGGGTCCAGTGATGCTGTCCCAGAGTCAGGGGTTGGAGTAAAAAACCTCAGAAGGCTGCCTTGTGTTCTATTCTACCATAGCTAATCTGGCCCTCAAACCACAAGACAAAGTTTTTCCTGCCCTTCTCTTCCTTTTCCACAAGTAGAGGACCTCTCCCAGTGGCCACCACTATCATTGGCCCATGGGGAATTCTGCCAGGCCACCGCCGATGTTCACTTAAAGCCCAAGGGCTCTTCAGTCAGCTTGTGGTGAGTACTTCCAGGCCTGGGACTCACCTTTCAGGGCAGTGGGCTCCCTTCTGGCCCAGTGCAGCTCCAGAAATGCTGTCAAAGATCAAAGGCTTGGACTTGGGAAGCCCGAGTCCTCTTGGTGCTCTACCTCACTGTGGCTGAGCTGGTACCTAAGGTGCAAGACAAAGTGCCCTTTACTTTTCACTCTGATTTTCTTAAGCAGGAGTCTTTCACCATAGCTGGGAATGTGTTGGCTCTCACCTGAAGCCAGCACATCTCAGAATCTCAACCAAGGCCTATGGCATCCTACCTGGGTATCACTGCTGATTATTTAGGATCCAAGGGCTCTTTAGTAAGCAGCTGATGGGACTCAGTCAAGACTGCATCCTTCTCTTCAAGGCAACAGGTTCCCTTCTGGCCTAGGGTTTGTCTAGACATGACATCCAGGTGCTAGGGCCCAGAATGGGGACCTCATGACTCTGCCCAGTGCCCTATCTGATTGTGGCTGAGTTCTTATTCAAGATGCAAGACAAAGTCCTCTTTACTCTTCACTCTTCTCTCCTCAAGTAGAAGGAAGGAGTCACTTTCTTTGCTGCCAGCTATGCTGCCTGAGATAGGGGAAGGGGTGGTTCAAGCACTCTCTTAGCTGCCCCAGCTGTTGTCTCCCTAGGTCATGTGCCACCCTAGTCCACTGGCTCTAAGCCCAGCCCACTACCATGAGTTGCCTAGGAAGTGCAGTACTTGTATCTTAGGCTACCTTTCAAGTTTACCTAGGACTGCAGAGCACTTTAGCTGACAGTGGTAAGGCTTGCTGTGAAACTCAAGTTCTGATCCCTGGGATGGACAATTCCACTCTGACTGTGGCTGGTCCAAAAGTTCCCTCCATGGGCAGGCACCAGTTGAACCCAGCACAGCTTTGCTGTCTGCTGTGGCAGTGCAGCACTGAGTTCAATGCCAAGTCCCCTAGTCACTACACTCTCCCTCCCCCAAGTGCACAGATTCTCTCTCCATGCCCTGTGGCTACTGCCACGGGATTGAAAAGGGGTAGCATCAGCAATTCAAGAATGTCTTCCCTAGGCCGGGAGCGGTGGCTCATGCCTGTAATCTCAGCACTTTGGGGGACCGAGGCAGGCAGATCACTTGAGGCTAGGAGTTCGAGACTAGCCGGGCCAACATAGTGAAACCCTGTCTCTACTAAAAATACAAAACTTAGCCGGGCATGGTGGTGTGCGCCTGTAATCCCAGCTACTCAGGAGGCTGAGGCAGGAGAATCACTTGAAACCAGGAGGTGGAGGTTGCAGTAAGCCGAGATCGTGCCACTGCATTCCAGCCTGGGTGACAGAGAGAGACTCCGTCTCAAAAAAAAAAAAAGTAAAAATTAGCCGGGCGTGGTGGTGCATGCCTGTAGTCCCAGCTACTCGGGAGGCTGAGGCAGGAGAATTGCTTGCAACCGGGAGGCGGAGGTTGCAGTGAACCACAGTCACACCACTGCACTCCAGCCTGGGTGATGGAGCGAGACTGTCCAAAAAAAAAAAAAAAAAAAAAGAAGAAGTATTTCCTACCCTCTTCAGTGTCTCTTTCAGCAATATGAAGATAAAACCAGGTACTTTGATTGCTCACCTGAATTTTGGTTCTTATGATGGTGCTTTTTAATGTGTAGTTAGTTGTTAATATTTGGTATTCCTGTTGGGGGCAAGATGATCACTGGAGGCTTCTATTTGGCTGTCTTGCTCTACCTTCATGACTTTTTAATATAGGGAATCATTTTTCATGGTTGAAAGAGTTTCACAATAAAAGATAATTTTCTCTATTCTGGGCTAGAGAAGGTACATATATTTTAGAGTTTAAAGCTGTATTCTATATAGTATTATAACTTTTGGGCAACTGTACGGTGGTGGTCTGGAAGGAAGAAGAGGGAGGAGGGAAGGAAGATGTAATATAAATGTCTGATGTGGCATTTGGATGGGAACCAAACACCAAATTCTCTATGTAGATGAATTGGTAACATTTGGATTTTCAAAGCATATTATAAGATCAGATTAAACTTCTCAGTAGCCACACATAAAAAAGATACAGTTGCTTCTGTAAGTTTTAATTTTAAACAATTCATAGAAAAGTAAAATAAAATATTTATTGAGTAGCCTACTGCGTGCTACAGTTTGAGAGGAAGTAGGATTATTGCAGAGTTCAAGATAGGCACAGAAAGATGTTTGTGTGTTAGACTTTACTTGTCCATGGCCCTGCTGTGCTATTTCTGTACTTAAAGAAAAATGGAATTTCAGAGTAGAAATGTTCAATTAACTGTTAAACACCCTCATCAATTAAGAGATCATTTCCAAATCTGATGGATGAGTTCAAAATATCCAATTATTCTAATCATCAGGCGGAAGAACAGTCCAACTCCCAAGGAGAAAAGAGCAGATAAACATGTAAATGAACTCACAAATCTTTTAGAAATACTCTGCCTGGAATGGCTGAATATTAATATACAAAGTTTTCCATGTGTTAAGTGAAGAGCTGAATTACAGCGAGCAATGCGACATTCAGTGACAACCTAATTCTATTTTATTTTGTAATATTTTTCAATACGTGCTAGATTATAAGAGTAAAACACTGGGAACGCAGCCAGGACATGAAAAAGTCTGTGGAAAGCTCCAAAGACTAGGTCTCATAGCTGTTATAAGGCTTGGCAAGTACCACAATTGCGCATCCATTTTCCCTTTTCTACACAGAGCTCGGTTTTCTTTTTTATACTGTCTCTATTCACTAGGACATTATAATATCAAACCCAGGCCAAAAGTCACCGGCACCAGAAAGCCTTCCCTGACCCTTAATACTTGTTGTGACCAGGAGGACTATACCTTAAGGACTTTACAGGGGACATAATTGACTAAGGGTCCCAGCTACTGTGCTCCGAAATTCATCTCCATGTTTGCTTCAAGGTAACACATCTTACAGGGTGCTCCCAGTCAATGATTGAAGATATCCGAGTTGCTAAAGCAGACTTATTCCTGGGAGACATTGCTCTTACCTGTTGCTAACTTTGGCTTGAAGTGTCCCCAACAATGGCTTTGTCAAACCACTTTTGGGCTGCATGGCCGTCTAGGGTGGTACCACCCAACCTTTTCTCCTTCTCTCCTTCATTCATGTTAGACTTACATCATGGTCTAATGACTCTCCCAGACTTTTTTTTTGGCTCTCTTCCTATTTTCTCTCATAAAGGAATTTCCTCTAACAAAATACATGCTCCTTTAATCCTGTCTTGGCGTAGTCTTTTCAGACGACCTGAACTAAGACAACCCTCCATTCTCTAAGTTACCTCTACAGTTGCCTTCTATAATTGCCATTGTTTCATTGTCTTGATTGGCCATTATTTTTTGTTCACATGTGTCTTCCATGCTATATTGTGAGATCCTGGATTGCAGGATTTGTTTTGTCTTATGATTCTCTCCCTCATATTTAGCATGCATTAGGTACATAATCAACGTTTTTAGAGTGAATGATGAATATATAAAGACATAGTTGTTAGGAGCCACTGAATCAGACAGGTGTGATTTCAAATCCCAACTCTGACACTTTAGTAGCCCTGTGACCTTGGACGTGTAAGTTATTTTACTTCCCTGTTCCTCTCTTTCTCATCAGTGAATTGGGGGTGATGATGACAATAATAGGTTCGGCCAGGCACGGTGGCTCACGCCTGTAATCCCAGCACTTTGGAAGGTCGAGGCAGGCAGATCACCGGAGGTCAGGAGTTTGAGACCAGCCTGGCCAACATGGTGAAACCTCGTCTCTACTAAAAATACAAAAATTAGCCAGGCGTGGTGGCAGGCACCTGTAATCTTAGCTACTTGTGAGGCTGAGGCAGGAGAATCGCTTGAACCCGGGAGGCGGAGTTTGCAGTGAGCCGAGATCGCGTCGTCACACTCCAGCCTGGGAGACAAGAGTGAGACTTTCTCAAAAACAAAAACAAACAAACAAAATAATAATAATAGGTTCAACTATATGAAATAGGTTATATTCAGTCTTTTTTGAGTTATAAAGTTAGCAATTTCTGTATGATTCAACCTAACATTTATTATATAGTTTTGTTTGAGAATTAAAATGAAAGGGTATGTAAATTGCAAACTCTAGAAACTGGCCTCTGTAAGACCTTATTGAAGGTTATCAGTTGTTGTTGTTTTGGGGGTTACCATTGTCATTTTTAGCTCTAGGGCAGTGTTGTGAATGTATTACTTCAGTGAAATGTCACCCCGTTCCACAGGGTGAAGTAGGGGTGTGAATCACTGCTCATATTCCATTTTTAGACAATAGAGAGATACAATGTTCATTATCATCTAGCAGTGCATTCTTTTTCTTCTTTTTTCTTTTTTTCTGTAGGGAAGGGGGTCTCACTTTGTTGCCCAGGCTGGTCTTGAACTCCTGGGCTCAAGTAATACACCTGCCTCAGCCTCCCAAAGTGCTGGGATTACAGACGTGAGCCACTGTACCCAGCCTAGCACTGCATGATTAAAAGGACAATATTAAAGAAACAACGTTGTCCCCATTGAGGTGAATATTGTATTTTATTTTATTGTTTTGAGGTAAAAATTCACAAAACTTAAAATTTACCATTTTAATAATTTTAAGTGTATAATTAAGTGATGTTTAGTATATTCACAGTGTTGTGCAATTATCACCACTCTCTAATTTATAATATTCTCATCACCCCCAAAAGAAACCCTATACCCATTGGCATACACTCCCCATTTTCCTCTTTCCTCAGTTCCTGGCAACCACTAGTCTACTTTCTGTTCCTATTGATTTGCTATTCTGGACATTTCATATAAATGGAATCATAGAATATGTGACCTTATGTATTTGGCTTCTTTCATTTAGTATGATACTTCCTTTTTTTTTTTTTTTTGAGACGATCTTGGCTTGCTGCAACCTCCACCTCCAGGGTTCAAGCGATTCTCCTGCCTCAGCCTCCCAAGTAGCTGGGATTATAGGCATGTACCACCACGCCTAGCTAATTTTTGTATTGTTAGTAGAGACGGGTTTTCGTCATGTTGGCCAGGCTAGTCTGGAGCTCCTGACCTCAGGTGATCCACCCACCTAGGGCCCCCAGAGTGCTGGAATTACAGATGTGAGCTACTGCATCCGGCCTAGCAAGATATTTTCAAGGTTCACGCATCTTGTAGCCTGTATCAGTACTTCATTCTTTTTATGGCTGAATAGAATTCTATTTTATAGACCGCATTTTGTCTATCCAGTCATCAGTTGATGGATTATTTGGATTGCTTCCACTTTTGGCTACTACAAATAATGGTTCTATCACCCTTTGCATACAAGTTTTTCTGTGAACACATATTTTCAGTTTTCTTGGGTATATACCTAGGAATGGAATTACTGGCTCATATGCTAACTTTAAAATTAACTTTTTGAGGAATTGTCAAACTTTCCCAGAGCAGCCATATCATCCTACATTCCACTAGCAATGTACGAAGGTACCAGTTTCTCCCCATCTTCACCAATACTTGTTATTTTCTCTTTTCTTCTTCTTCTTTTATAAAAAAATTACAGCTCTTCTTTGTACCTCTCGTAGAATTCGACTGTGAATCCGTCTGGTCCTGGACTTTTTTTGGTTGGTAGGCTATTAATTATTGCCTCAATTTCAGAGCCTGTTATTGGTTTATTCAGAGATTCAACTTCTTCCTGGTTTAGTCTTGGGAGGGTGTATGTGTCCAGGAATTTATCCATTTCTTCTAGATTTTCTAGTTTATTTGCATAGAGGTGTTTATAGTATTCTCTGATGGTAGTTTGTGTTTCTGTGGGATCAGTGGTGATATCCCCTTTATCATTTTTTATTGCATCTATTAGATTATTCTCTCTTTTCTTCTTTATTAGTCTTGCTAGCAGTCTATCAATTTTGTTGATCTTTTCAAAAAATGAACCAACCAAAATGTCCATCAATGATAGACTGGATTAAGAAAATGTGACACATATACACCATGGAATACTATACAGCCATAAAAAGGATGAATTTATGTCCTTTGCAGGAACATGGATGAAGCTGGAAACCATCATTCTCAGCAAACTATCACAAGGACGGAAAACCAAACACCGCATATTCTCACTCATAGTTGGGAATTGAACAATAAGAACACTTGGACACAGGGTGAGGAACATCACACACTGGGGCCTGTTGGGGGGTTGGGGGCTAGGGGAGAGACAGCATTAGGAGAAATACCTAATGTAAATGACGAGTTGATGGGTGCAGCATACCAACATGGCACATGTATACCTATGTAACAAGCCTGCACATTGTGCACGTGTACCCTAGAACTTAAAGTATAATAATAATAATAAAAAAAATTACAGCCATCCTAATGAACGTAGAGTAGTATTTCATTGTGACTTTGATTGGCATTTCTCTAATGACTAATGATGTTGAGAATATTTTCATGTACTTATTAGCTATTTGTATATAAATGGAGAAATGTCCACTCAAATCCTTTGCCCATTTTTATTTTTTTTTGGTCATTTTATTTTGAGGTGTAAATGTTGCTTATACAGCCTATATACAAGTTTTTAAGATTATATATGTGATATGCAAATATTTTCTTCCATTCTGTGGGTTGTCTTTACACTCTCTTGATAATGTTCTTTGTTGCACAAAAGTTTTTAGTTATGATGAAGTCCACTTTATCTAATTTTTCATTTGTTGCCTGTTTTGAATGGCATATTTTAAAAACCATTGATTAAGGTCATAAAGATATATCCCTATGTTTCCTTCTAAAGTTTTAATATATTTAGTTCTTAAATTTAGGTTTCTAGTCTATTTTGGGTTAATTTTTATATATGGTGTGAATAGGGATCCAAATTCATTCTTTTACATGTAGATATCTTGTTAACTCAGTACTTTTTGTTGAAAAGTCTATTTTTCCCCATTGAGGGAATTTCATACAATTGTTGAAAATTAATTGACCATAGATGTATGGGTGTATTTCTGGACTGTCAATTCTATTCCACTGATCTATGTGTTAATTATTATGCCAGTACTCCACAATACGCTTTACTGTATCTTTGTAATAAGTTTTGAAATTGGGAAGTGTGAGTGAGTCCTTGGAATTTGTTCTCCTTTTTCAAGATTTTTTTGGCTCTTAGAGGCCCCTTGCATTTCCATAAGAATGTTATGGAATGTTAAGAATGTTACGGGCCAAGTGCAGTGGCTCATGCCTGTAACCCCAGTGGTTTGTGAGGCTGAGGCCAGAAGATCACTTGAGGCCAGGAGTTTGAGACCAGCTTGGGCAACATAGTGAGACCCTGTCTCTACAAAAAATAAAAACAGCCAGGCATGGTGGTGCATGCCTGTAGTCCTAGATACTCATGAAGCTAAGGCAGGAGGATTGCTTGAGCCTGGAAATTCAAGGTCGCAGTGAGCCATGATCACACCACTGCACTCCAGACTGGGTAACAGAACAAAACCCTGTCTCTGAAAGAAAAAAAAAAAAAAAAGAATCTTATGACTAATGTATTCATTTATTCAAAAAAGGCACCTAGGATATTTTGGCAGAGATTGGTGGACTCTGTAGATAATATGGGGGGAGTATTACCATCCTAACAATAAAGTCTTTTAATCTGTGGACGTGGGATATGCTTCCATTTATTTAGGTCTCCTTTAATTTTTTTCAATAATGTTTTGTAGTTTTCAGTGTACAAGTCTTACACTTGTTCTGTTAAATTTAGTCCTAAGTTTTTTTTCTTTTTGATGCTATTGTAAATGGAATTATTTTCTAAAATTCATTTTCAGATTGTTCATTGCTAGTGAATAGAAATACAAATGATTTTTGTATGTTGATCTTATATCTTGCAACTTTCCTAAATTCATTTATTAGCTCTAATTTTTTTTTTAATTTTGGTGTGGATTCTTGAGGTTTTTCTCAATATAAAATTATGTCATCTGTGAATATAAATAGTTTCACTTTTTCCTTTCTTATGTGGATTTATTTTCTCTCTTTTTCTTATCTAATTGTTCTGGAAAGAACTTTCAGTACAATGTCAAAGTGACAAATCAGACATCCTTGTCTTGTTTCTTATCTTAGGGGAAAAGCATTTAGTGCTTTAACCTTGAGTATAATTTTAGCTGTTAATAGGGTTTTTCATAGATGGCCTTTACTGAATTGAGGTTCTCTTCTATTCCTAATTTATGGAGCGTTTTTACCAATAAAGGGTCTTAGATTTTTACCAAATGTTTTGTTGTACATCTATTGAGATTATTGTGTTTTTTCCTTTATTAATAGGATATATTACATTGATTGGTTTTAATATGGTGACCCAATATGATAAATCCCACTTATTTATGGTGTGTAATCTTTTTTATATGTTGTTGGATTTGGTTTGCTAGTATTTTGTTGAGGATTTTGTGTCTATTCATAAGGATTCTGGTCTGTAGTTTTATTTTCTTGTAATCTCTTTGGCATTAGCATTAGGGTAATACTGGCTTCATATTAGTAAGTGTTCTCTGCTCTTCTATTTTCTTTTACTATTTTTTTTTTTAAAGACAGGGTCTTGCTATGTTGCCTTGAATGGAGTGCAGTGACACTTCATAGGTACAATCATAGCACACTGCAACCTTGAATTCTTGGCCTCGAGGAATCTTCCCACCTTAGCCTCCCAAATAGTTGGGATTACAGTTGCATGCTACCCTCCCTGGCTTTTCTATTTTTTGAAACAGTTTAAGACATATTCATGTTAATTTTTCTTTAATCATTTGAGACTTTACCAGTGAATCTATCTGGTCTGGGCTTTTCTTTACTGGAAGTTTTTGATTACTGACTCAATCTCTGTACCTGTTAAATAACAACTCCCTTTTATCCTCTCTCCTCAGCTCCTGGTAACCACCATTCTATTTTCTATAGCTGTGAATTTGAATATTTTGGATATATCAGTGTTTGAGTCTGTTTCTTGCTGCTGTAACATAATACTAGATAATGAGTAATGTATAAAGAAAAAACATTATTTCTCACAGTTCTGGAGGCTGGGAAGTCCAAGATTGAGGGGCCAACATCTGGTGAGGGCCTCCTTGCTGTGCCAGTTTATGCTTGAAAAGGAGAGGATGGTGGGGGCAGGGAAATTCATCCTTTTATAATAAACACACTGAATGATAATGGCATCAATCCACTCATGAGGCCAGAGCCCTCATGGTCTAATCATATCTTAAAGGTCTCACCTCTTAATATTGTCACATTGGGGATCAAACTGTCAACACAAGAGCTTTGGGGGACACATTCAAACTATAGCACTCATATAAAGTGGCATCTTACTGTAGTTGTCCTTTTGTGACTGATTTACTTCATTTAGCATAATATCCTCATGGTTCATCCATGTTGTAGTGTGTGACAGGATTTCCTTCCTTTTTAGGGCTGCATAGTATCCCACTATACTTATATTCCATATTTTGTTTGTCCATTTGTCCATCAATGGACATTTGGATTGTTTCTGCCTCTTGGCCAATGTGAATAATGCTGCTATGAATATAAGTGCTATGGCTTGAATATTTGTCCCCTTCAAAACTCATGTTGAAATTTAACCCCAATGTGGCAGTATTGAGACATGAAACCTTTAAAAAATGATTGGGTCACAGTAGGCAGAGCTCTTATGAAATAGATTAATCCATTCATGGGCTAATGGATTATTGGGTTATCATGGGAGTGGGACTGGTGGCTTTATAAGAAGAGGAAACGAGACCTGATTTAGCATGCCTATTCCCCTCACCATGTGATGGATGCACTATGCCACTTCAGGACTGCAGAGAGTCACCAACAGAAAGAAGATTTGTGTCCCAGCTCTTCCACCTCCTAGTTCTTACCTCTGGGATCTTGGGCCAGACCCCAAGTCTTTCTTGCCTCAGTTTCTTCATGTATAAAATGCCGCTGATAATGGCATCTATCTCATAGGGTGCCTGGGAGGATTAAATGAAGTAATGTTTGGAGCATGCTTGACACATAGTGATTAAGGTCTGACCCCAATCCACAAACCTCCAAGATAACCGACCTCTAGAACAAAGAGGACAGGTCCACTATGCCTTATCTGAAATCCTATGAATAGCTCAAAAACACCATCCATAAAAGGAAAACTACAAACTATACCTCATCAAAATTAGGACGTGCAAAGAGGTTGAAAAAACAGTCTACTGTCTGAAAAGATCAGGAGAAAATATTTGAAAACCATATATCTGGGAAAGGACTAGGATCTAGGATATAAAAGAAACTCACAAAACTCAACAGTCATAACAAATAATTTAATAAGAAATAGAACATAAGACATGAATAGTCATTTTACTGAAGAGGATATACTGGTGGCAAATAAGTACATAAAGAGATGTTCCAGGCTGGGCATGGTGGCTTACACCTATAATCCCAGCATTTTGGGAAGCTGAGACAAGAGCATTACTTGAGCTCAGGAGTTTGAGACCAGCCTGGACAACACGGTGAAAATCTGTATTTTTTTTAAGAGGTGAAAAAAAATTTTTAAATGGTGTTCCACATCAATACCTCAACATAAGGAAAATGCAAATTAAAACCACAATGGAATGCCACTACACAGCTATCAATAAGAATGCTTGAAATGAAAAGTAGTGATAATAACAAACGCTGCTGAGGGTATGGAGAAACAGAATCACTCATACATTGCTGTGGGAATGTGAAATGGTAAAGTCACTCTGGAAAATCATTTCTTTAAAAAGTGAACATGCAACTGCTATAAGACTGGCAATTGCATTACTGAGCATTTGTCCCTGAAAATGAAGACTTGTGCTCATGCAAAAATTGGTACATGAATATTCATAGCACACTTATTTGTATTAGAAAAACAAAACAAAACAAAACTTGGAAACGGTACAGATGTCTTATAGTAGGTGAATGGTTAGAGAAAAATACTGTGGTATATCCACCATGGAATATTACTCAGCCATGAAAATTAGTGAACTCTTAGTATACACAACAGTCTGGATGGCTCTCCAGGGAATTAAGCTGAATAAAAAGAGTCAATCCATAAGGTTACAGACAGTAGGATTCCATTTTTATAATATTCATTTTTATTTATTTATTTATTTATTTATTTATTTATTTATTTTAAACTTTTATTTTAGGTTCAGGGGTACATGTGCCAGTTTGTTATATAGGCAAAGTCCTGTCACAGGGGTTTGTTGTATGGATTATTTCATCACACAGACACTAAGCCTATTACCCTATATAATATTCTAATATTCTTATAATGACAAAATATAGAACTGGCAAACAGATTAGTGATTACCAGGGATTAGGGATGGGTGCTGGGGTCTGGGAGGGAGGTACATGTGATTATAAAAGGAAAAATGAATGATCCTTGTGGTAATAAAATTGTTCAGTATGTTGACTGTGCTGTTAGATACATGAACCTACATATGTGATAAAATTCCGTGGAACAAAATACACACACATGCAAATGGGTACACGCAAAACCAGGGAAATGTGAATAACATCGGTGGATTGTACAAATGTCATTGTCTTGGTTGCGATCTTGTAGTACAGTTTTCTAAGATGTTACCCTTTGGGGAGACTGGATCTAGGGTACATGGGATCTCTCTGTATTATCTCTTACATCTACAATTACCTCAACTAAGATTTCAATAAACACATAGACAGTGACAGATAAAGTGCCACTAATTGTAAAACTAAATCAGAAATAAAATAAAGCAATGACAGAGAACCTGTCTCAGAGAAGCAAGAGGTACAACTCCCAGAGCAATTTCTACGCAGAGCACTGTGTCATGAAGCCTGATCCAAGGTCCTGTCTGGACTCGATGGGACAGAGAACCTCTTCAGTGATGTCTGCCCTCATGAAGGTGGAAGTGTTCTGAGAACTAGTGCTGCATATTCGCCACCCATTCTATGTGGAATGCCTGTCTCATAATGACAGCGTGGCACTGTGACATCTGGGGTAGAGGGGGTTTTGAGGCAGCAGGGCCTGTTTAGGGCTCCACAAATTCCACCACCGTAGACCACGCCCTACAAGTGCAGGTGGGTTCCATGATTACATTGGGCTGTACACTAGCCAGATCCCTAAGGGGCTGAGACCGCGGCTAATGTACCAGAAGCTGATATTCACTGAACCTAGGCCCTGGGCTCTACATGAATCAATTTACTAAGTACTTTGCATGAATCAATTTACTTAATCCTTGCCACAGTCCTATTGCTTACTTTTGAAAACCAGGCTTTCCTGTTCCCACATGTTCCAACCCTGGTGTATTAGGTGTTCATTCTGCCACTGGGTCATTGGCTGATACTGACTTCTTCGTAGAGCAGCTGAGAGGTCCTTGAGAGTGACTCTCATCAGCCACTCCTCACTCACCTCCTGCCTCCTGTGCCCCAGGATTGCTGGCTAATTAGGAAGTGGCCAAGTGGGACCGTGCAGGGATCCTGGACTCTCCACAGCCACCACATCCTGTGGTCAGACAGCAGGGCTCCAGGGCAGGGATCTTGGGTAACAATAGCCGACCTATATGGAGCATTGCCTGGGTGCCAGACCCTGTGCTCAGAGCGTCACCCCTATCCTCTGACTTCATCCCCACCAGTGTCCTGTGAAATTGGTAGGATTTCCATCCCTTTTTCGTGATAAAGAGATCAAGGGTTACAGAGGTGAAGTTGCGCGAGTGCACAAAGCTGATCAGTGGAGAGCAGTAATTTGCACCCAGGCTTGGCTGACCCCAGAGCCCGTGATCAAGTTTAGAGTCCTGCACAGGGCCTAGCGAAGGTCTCAGTAAATGTACAATGGCTGAATGAAAGGCCACTGGATAAATCTCATCCTGGGGCAGTACTAGTAGTCCTTAGGGTATGTGTCCTGAAATGAGGTAGCAAACCCGTCAACTGGGGTATAGGTGTGATCTGAGCTTGCGCTAAAAGATCCATCTCCTTATAGAGGCGTCAAGGAGAATTGTTCATGTTTGTTGAATATCTGCTATACATCTAGTTCTGGGCTGCACTTTAAGGATGAATGAGATGGGGTCCCCTGTTTTAGAAAACACTCAGTGTTGCTGTGGAGACCAATGTCAGTTGTGAACTTCATGGTGTTTACCTGCTGTTTCCATCTTGTGAGGTCCCTTCCTCCTTGTCACCTTGCTTCTGATCACCACTTAGATTGTGTCTGGTATGGGTTTCACTTAGGGATTTGAGACTGTTTTGTGATTGGGCTTGGCTGGGCCTGGGCCTCCTGATATGGTGGCTTAACCCTCATTTCAGCATGTGTGTGTGTCAGGGGGTGCTGAGAGGGTACATTATGTCCAGAATTTAAGGTCCCTTGCTTTTTCAAATACCTTTTCCATGTGCTCTTCTGATTTGTTATTAATCTAGACAGTTCTCTTAAATTACAAATTTCAAGTAGCATCTCTGAGCCTTACTTTCTTATCCATATTTCATGGGGTCCTAGGACTGGACCAGTGTTCCACAGATATGTAATGACTTGCTCAATGATACAGACTGGATGTGGTACACAGATTGATTCCCCTGTCCCCATGGGGCTTTTGCTATATTTTCCTGCAGCATACTTTTTGAAGCAGCTCACTGCGGTGGAGTATAGGAATCACAAGTGGTAGATAAAGGTAGACCTTCATTAAATCTCAGCTCCTCCATTTCTAAGCTTTTTACCTTGGAGAATTGAATTAAGGTAGCTTAGCCTCAGTTTTCTTCTCTGGAAAATGGTGATACATATAGGACCTGACTTGCAGACTTGGCTTGAGAATTAAATAGTATGATGTATCTAAATTGCCTGGGTCTTTGCAGATGACATTAATATCTATGTAGAATATGCCAAAGGATTGACAAAACATTCTCCTGGAACAAATAAGTGGTTAGTCATAGGGTACAAGGTTAATATATAGAAGTTAATTTCTTTGCTATATAACAGCAATGAACAATTGGAAATAAATTAAGAGTTAAAAACGAATACCATTTAAAATAGCGCCAAAATTTAAATACTTAGGTACAAATGTAACAAATACTTGCAGGATTTATATGTGGAAAGCTACAATGTGCTGATGAAAGAAATCAAAGAAGACCTAAATAAATGGAGAGTTATCTCACATTAACGGACTGAAAACCCAAGTGTTGTTAAGATGTCGATTATTCCCAACTGACCTATAGCTTCAATGCAATCCCAATCAAAATCCTATTAAGCTCTTTGTAGAAATCCACAAACTGATTCTAAAATTTATATGGAAAGGCAAAAGGCCTAAAATAGCCAACAAAATACTGAAGAAGAACAAAGTTGGAGGGCTCAGACTACTACTATGATTTGAAGACTTACTAAAAAGTGACAGGAATCAGATGCTGTTGCATTGGTGAATGAATAGACAAGTAAATCAGTAGAACAAAATAGAGACCTCAGAAAATAGACCCACACAAATATAGTCAACTATTTTTTGACAAGGAAGCACAGTCAATTCAATGGAGCAAAGACAGTCTTTTCGACAAATGATGCTGAAACAATTGGACATTCATATAAAAATAATCTAGACACAGACCTTATATCTTTCCTCAAAATGAACTTGAAATAGATCATAATAGATCACAGACCTAAATGTAAAGTCCCCAGCATGTGGCAGGTGCTCCATCAATGGTCACTGTGGGTATTTGGAAGTGTTCTGAGGCTTTTTGAGTTGGCTGGCCAAGAATTTGTGGTGCTTGAGTGAAGTTGAGTGGGCCTTGTGAAATGCCCGATGTTCTCCCCAGTGTGGCCAGGGGACCATCTGCATCAGAGTCACATGTAGTCTTCATTACCAAGGCAAATTCCTGGGCTTGCTACACACTGAGACTCCCTGTGCCTTGTATTTTTGTTTGCATTTTCATTTTTCTCAAACAATACCCACAGGTGATTTTGGTGCATATTCAGGTTTGAGAATTTTTGGCATATGGGTTAGTCAAGAAAAGGAGTCAGTCACCGCCTGGGTTCCAATTATAACCCCACCAATTTCCATAGCCCATGGTGTAGTAGAAGGGAGAGTAGGTTCTAGATTCAGAGGAATCTGGGTTTCATTTCTGCCTCTGCCTCCTATGGACTGTGTGACCTTGGGCAAGACACCCTCCTCTCTAAGCCTTGATTCTTCTTTTGCTAAATGAGAAGAGTAAAATAGTGATTCTTGTCTCCTAGACTTGTTGGGAGGTTTAAATGAGACAAATCCTGGCCTCATGGGTGTTCTATCAGTGTCAGTTGAATTGCATCTGAACAGCTACCCAAAGGAAAACAGGAAAGTTGGGTACTTGGTTGGTTGTAGGGTAGCTGCAGAGGGGCTTTTTGGAAAGTCAGAAGGCTGTGAGTGAGCCATGTGTGATGTCACAGAAGAGACGGAAGTGATGCTTGGCAGCTCAGGGGTTTAGCCTTCTTTGGGAGCTGGATGCCTGCTCTCAGAAACGGTCTTGATGGTGGAGAGATTCGAAGTCTGAGTGGCTGCCTGCTTTCTGTCTTCAGGGTATGAAAAGCCATTTATAGACCACAGCTATCCCCTTCAAGAACTAGCATTTTCAAAGGAAAATGCGCTCTGTTTTATTAATTTTATTAAATTAAATTTTGTCTGTTCAATGTGCACTCTCTTCTCAAGATGAGAAAAAAATTTAATGTGCACTCTCTTCTCAAGAGGAGAAAAAAACTCCTGAGCCCCCTCTGCTGGCTGTATTGGAGAAGAACAGGCGAGTAAATTGGAATGATCTCTTAAAATCATGCACGTGCTCACAGGGGCATAGAGACACCTACGATTACAGAAACAGCCACATATACTCACATGCCTTTGCATACAACATGCACACAAAGACATGCACAAGCATATACTTACATAACACAGCTACGTTAGTGCAAGGTGGTTGAGGGTACAAACTCTGGCCTCACACAGACCAGCTGTGCATCTCCTATATAGATCTGTGCAACCCTGGACAGGTTGCTTAACTTTTTAATTTTGTCATTTAAAAAATATATACATAAACACATGAATAATGTGTATATATTCCTACATATATAAATATCTATATTATAATGTATGAAAAGGGTCCATTTAGTATATAGTAAGCACTTGGTAAATGGAAGCTATTATCCTTCTATTATTGTTGTTATTAAGCCAAATTCAACCTTTCAGAGCTTCAGTCTAATTTTCTGTAAATTGAGAGCAATAGCAAATATTCATATGGTGCTTACTAGGTGGCTGGCACTGTTCTAAATGCTACCTATGTATTTTCTCATTTAATCTTCACAACGACTTTATAAAGGTACTATTGTTATCCTCATTTTACAGATTAAAAAATGAGTCTTGGGAAGGATAAGTGGTTAGTCCATGCTTACACGTCTAGGAAGTGGAAGAGCTGGGATTCAAACAGGCAGCCTGGCTCTAGATATTCATCTTAAACAGGACACTGCACCTGCCTCATGGATAGGATTAAATGCAATACTTTCTGCAAAGTGCTTAGCACAGTGCTATGCACACCATAAACAGTAAAAACCAACTGTTACTACTCAAATTTCAACTTTGCCACTTACTAACTGGGTCTACACAGATATATACACATCTGTGGGCACGTACAGTTGGTAACATGTAGATGTGTGCACACGCATTCACATACAGAGATGCATATGTAGATACACACAGATGTATTTATTCATCAGTGAATTCAATGACATTTATTGAGTAAACATTACATTATTTGACTGAAGCTCTTCTAGGCTTCTCCACTGGAGATGCAGCATTGAAGAAAACAGGCAAAATTTCCTGGTCTTGTGGATCCAACATTCTAGTGGATGAGAAAGAAGATAAACAAGATTTTAAAATACTGTATAACTGGATAGTGAAAAGTGCTCAGGAGAAAATATAAACAGAAGAGAGATATGAAATGCTGGGTAGGGGGTTGATATTTTACTTAAGGGTGGCTACAGAAGGTACAATAAGGACGATACTTTTTGAGTAAAGATCTAAAGGAGAGCAGAGAGCAAGCATGCAGCTGCCTGGAACAAGAGATTTCCAGGCTGAGGAAATATCAGGGTCAAGTGCCCTGAGATTGGAGAATTCCTGGCATGTTCAAGTATTAGCGAGGAGGCCAGTGTGTCTGAAGTGGGCTGAAAGAAAGGGACAGTAGTAGATAAGTGGGGATGGCCCAGATCATGTAGGTCTTTGTAATCAGTATAAGGGCTTTGGATTTTCCTCCATGATGTAGAAATGTGGCAAGATTTTGAGCAGAGGAATAGCATGATCTAATTTATGTTTTTAAAATTGGCACATAATAATTGTATATGTAATTTATGTTTTAACAAGATCACTCTGGATTCTCTTTGAAAACAAGCAGAAGCAAATTAAGGATAAAATCTCAAATACTAGTTAGGAGGCTATTGTGTAAGTCCAAGCAAGACATTATGGTGGATTGGGTTAAACTGATATGAAGGGAGATGGTGAGAGATATTTGGATATATTATGAGAATAGAGCCAACATAATTTACAGGTGGATTGGGTTAGAGTTGTGAGAAAAAGAGAGAAGTCAAGATGATGCCAAGATATTTTGCGTAAGCAACAAGAAGTGTGGAATTGCCATTAACAGATGGCCAATACCATAGAAAGTGCAGATTGGTATGCGAAGATCAAGAATTGGTTTTTGAACATGTTAAGTTTGAGATGCCAATTAGACATTCAAATGGAGATACAAGTATGTAGTTGAATGTGAAAGTCTGGAGTTCAGAGAAGAGATCTGATCTCAAGATAAAAATCTGTGAATTGTTGGAGAATAGATAAAAGCATGAAACTAGATAAGATTAGCAAGGGAGTAAGTGTAAGTAAAGAAAAAGAGCTTCAAGAACTGAGCCCTGGTGCATTGTTAAGTTAATAAGTCAAAAGGTGAGAAGTTCAGCAAAGGAGATGAGGAAGAATGGTCAGTAAACTAGGAAAGCAGAGATGGTTGAGTGTAGGTGTCCTGGAAGCCAAGTGAAGAGTTTGTAGGATGATCCAGTGTTTATGATCATCATCAACTGTTCATCAACTGCCGAATGTGGCTGATGAGTCAACATGAGGTGTGAGAATTGACTACTGTATCTGAAAACGTGGAGGTCGTTGGCAACCTTGAGAACAGCAGTTTAGAGTGAAGTCGTGGGACAGAAAGCCTGATTGAAATAGGTTAAAAAAGGAATGAGAGGGAAAGAATTGGAAACGGCAAATATCGGTAACTCCCAAGTTTTGCAATAAAGGGGAGTAAAGAAACGGAGCAAGAGCTGAAGGGAAAGTGAGCTCAAGGGTCCCTTGAGATTTTTTTTTTTTTAATTGAGAGAAAAAAAATTCTGGTGTGCTCACATGATGATAGAAATGATCCAGAATTGCTGGATCCCATAGAGAAAGATTTGTGGTGCAGAAAATAGAGGGAAGAATTGCTAGAGGATGTGCTTGAGCAGGTGGAAGGAATGCGACTCCATGCACAGGTGAAGAGGTTGAGCTTAGCTAGGAGCGTCAACTTTTTATCCCCAGTAAAAGGAAACTAGCATATGTAGACAAAGATGCTGACATATTTTTAGAGAAACAGGAAGCAAATTCATAGCTGAGCATGGGGTTAACTTAGAAGTTTGAAGAGAGAGAAGAAAACATAATATGTTTTTCAAGGAGTATCACAATAAATAGACTAGGAGACTATAATATGATTCTGGGGTAAATTTAGTGTCCCACCTGATTTGGGGTTGGTTCATGAGTTGAAAGTGAAACCAGCTGGAATCCTGTATTCCACAACCCACCCCCGCCCCCCCGCCCACCCCCCACCCAGTTTCATTCAGGTACGCAGGTGGAAGCACAGAGGAGGTGGAGAGTTGATTTAACCAGGAGTGTTGCTTAGATAAGTGCCACAAGATATTCTAGTGAGTGACTGACATAATTTAAGCTGGGCCAGGAAAGAAGACAGAAAGGATACCAGGTAGGTAGACAGTGCAAAGATGGTAGTATCAGTAAAATGGATGTCCCAGCAGGGTGAAGGACTACTAGATTTGCAATATAAGAAGGAGTGAACTGAAAAGATAGGAGGTGGTGGTCAGAGAGGGTGACTATGAAATTGAGATTATGGGAGATTTGCAGTTATTGGTCATGGCAAGGTGTAAGGAACATGGCTGTGCTTTGGTCAAGGATAGGCCGAGGTAAACATCCAGAGTGACTCAGCGAGTTTAGAGTGCAGGCATATAACTTCACTTGTTATCACAGCCGTGTAGCCATAACATGGGAAGGCCATCGCTTGGCTCTATGCCACTATTGTCTGTAAAAGGTATAATTGCCCTGCTGACACTGTACAAGCACGCTTGCGCCCAGAGAGAGAGAGTCAAAGCTGTCAGTCTTGCGGACAGACAGGAGGGAACTAGGACACAGCTTGGCTTTCTTGTGCCCAGAGAAATAGTCAAGCTGCTGACCCTGAAGGCAAGGGAGAGCCGGCCGCGCAGCTGTCATGGGGGCTGCCCGCTCAAGCAGCTGAGACAGAGCAGGCAGTGTAAGAGAGCTCCTGCTGAAAACTGCTGCTGAATAAAATCATCTTTCACCTACCTGCGTCCCCCCAGGTGTTCTTTCAGCTATCTGCTACTCATCCACCAACTCCCTCTGGACCTCAGCATGGGCTGGAACCTGACCCTGGAACTGACACAGGCCTAAGTATTGTTGATGAGAAATGACCCCAAGTTCTTTGCAGTGCCTTCTATCCACAGTGAAGTCTGTTTCTCTGCCTCTTGAACCTGAGCTGGCCCTGTGATTTGACCAAGAGAAAGAGGAAAAAGTAATGTATGACTTCTGAGCTTCTGCCTCAAGAGGCCTGGCAGCTTCGGCTTTGCTAAGCTGCCACCACTACATTAAAAAACAAAACACCTCTTTGAGGATGAAATACTACTTGGAGAGAGAAGTCCAGCTGAATCCAGTCCCCAGCCAGCTCACAACCAAAGGCATGAGTGAGCCCAGGTGAGACCAGCACAAAGAACCGCTTAGCCAATTCACAGAATTGTGAGAAATAATACATTTGTTTGTTGTTTGAAGCCACGGTGTTGCAGTGGTATGTTGTACAGCAAGAGATAACACTTTAAAATGTGACTGTGGGAATTAGTGACTGTGGCGGGGTCAAAAATGCAATTGTTGGAGTTCAAAGAACTGAGAAGCCAGGGTGTTGGGTAGATAATCTATATTTATATTACAATTGCCGGGGATTGAAGCAGGCATAGTGTTGGGGGGAGCAATAGTGTACCAGGAGTGAACATCTTCAAGAAATAAGTGGGTGTGATTTGGGGCAGTATGGTCTGATGAAATGAGATTCTAAGAGATTTTTATGTAGCTGGGTATTTATATATGTACATACAGACATATATAAAACCCTACATGCACTTTATGCATACAAACATACAGATATGTGCACACACACAGACATACTACAGATCCACACAGACACACCAAGCATGCAAAATTCATATAAGCATGCAAATATACAGTTCAACACCTAAAACCACATACACACACAGGTATATAGAGGTACCCCTGAACTGAAGTCACAAATGCACAGACATGCACTCACACAGGCATACATAGAAATCCACAAACATAAATGCATGCAAGAATTTAGGCAAATATACAGACAAGTACATAGAGATACAGTGATATATACAGACAGCCTCATATGGAGAGATATGCAGAGGCAGAGAATGTGCTTACACACTTAATAGCACACTAACATCCACATGTGTGCTCATCACATGTGTATGCTCATGGACACATACACACCAATGCACATACACATAGCTACACATGTATAATCATAGAATGTTCACATAAGTACACATATACCCAAACACCTAGACACACATACCACACTTATAGCCACACATCACAGAAATAGAAAATGCACACGCACACAGATTAAGGTACCAAAAGATTTGTGGCCAATCATAGACATATTTGACCACAGATATGCATGCAGACATGTTCATGCACACATCTGAGAGCACACACATACATGTACTCACAGGCACACAGAGGCCATGATAGCACCACAGCACTTGAGAATGCTTTTTTTTAAAATATATATATTTTTTATTATACTTTAAGTTCTACGGTACATGTGCACAACGTGCAGGTTTGTTACATATGTATACATGTGCCATGTTGGTGTGCTGCACCCATTAACTCGTCATTTACATTAGGTATATCTCCTAATGCTATCCCTCCCCCCTCTCCCCACCCCACAACAGGCCCCGGTGTGTGATGTTCCCCTTCCTGTGTCCAAGTGTTCTCATTGTTCAAGTCCCACCTATGAGTGAGAACATGCAGTGTTTGTTTTTTTTGTCCTTGCGATAGTTTGCTGAGAATGATGGTTTCCAGCTTCATCCATGCCCCTACAAAGGACAAGAACTCATCATTTTTTATGGCTTCATAGTATTCTATGGTGTATATGTGCCACAGTTTCTTAATCCAGTCTATCATTGTTGGACATTTGGGTTGGTTCCAAGTCTTTGCTATAGTGAATAGTGCCGCAATAAACATACGTGTGCATGTGTCTTTATAGCAGCATGATTTATAATCCTTTGGGTATATATATATACCCAGTAATGGGATGGCTGGGTCAAATGGTATTTCTAGTTATAGATTCCTGAGGAATCGCCACACTGTCTTCCACAATGGTTGAACTAGTTTACAGTCCCACCAACAGTGTAAAAGCATTCCTATTTCTCCACATCCTCTCCAGCACCTGTTGTTTCTTTTGTTATATTTTGAAATTATTTTAGATTTAGATTTGCGTTCTGCTTATGTTTACCAGGCTGATGGGATGGGGGCTTTTCCAGTGCATAGCAGCCACTGGGCTCCTGCCTCAATGGGGGCTGGGGGCAACTGGGGCTGCAATGAGAGCAGACTGCTGAGCCTCTTGAAATCCAGGAGGAAATGGGAATGAAGGAGTAGTTTTGGCTCAGAAGCATGGCCTTTAAGTGCTTGTAGTAGCATAGCTTAGTGGCTCTCAGTGCAGATTTGGGAGTCCATTAGAACCTAGTTCAAATCCCACCTCTCTCACTTATTGGCTGTGTTATCTTGGAAAAATTATTTCATCTCTCTGAATCCCAGTTTTCTCATTTGGAAAAAAGATGATAGTAATAGCAACTGCCTTAGAATTATTGTGAGTATTAATTGAGTGAATACTCATAAAACACTTAGAACAGCATGTGACATATGGTAAGCTCTTAGTGTTAGCTATTGCTGTTGTTGGTGTTTGAATTAACTCCCTTATCAGCCAGCTGAGAGTCCTGAATTCCTACCATTAACTCTGTTACTTATGGCCTTGTCTTCAGAGATCCCAGGAGCAGAAAGCAGAGGCCTGAGGGAACGGGCCATAGAACAGATGAACTTTGGACTTAAAGGGCTGGGAGAAGGGATGAAGACAGGGCTCAGAAAACTTGGAATGAAGGGGACTTTCTGGGAAGGCAGGCCTATGAGATGCATCAGCTGGAAGTCTTAGATTACAGGGAGCCTAAGACAGAGCTGGTTTTTCAAAGCCTTCTTCCAAAGGCCTGCTTGTAGGATCCCAGTGGAGTCTGTTCCTGGGACTGCCATAGGAGGTGGACACTAAAGGGACAGCTGTCATTCTCTTACTCATTGTCCCAGGGATGTGGAGGATTAGAATATAGGCACCTTCCAAGGCCCTCTACCTATTTTTTAAAAATTGAAAAAATTGAAGAGAAGCATATGTCATGAGCATACGATTCGAAGCATTTCCACAAATTGATACATCTGGGTAACTAGCATTCAGATCAAAAAATTTTAGATGACTGGCATCCTGAAAATCTCCCATTTGTTCCCTTCCAGTGGCTGTACACCAAAGTTAATCACCAGCCTGGTTTCCAACAGCATAGATTTGGTTTCTCCATGTTTGTAAATGAAATCATACAGCTTGTCCTCTTTTGCGTCTGGCTTCTTTTACTGAAAGGTATGTCCATGAGCTTCCCTCATTGATGCATGTATCAGTAGCTTATTCTTTTTTGTTGCTGTATAGTATTCTAATATGTAAATCTATTACACTTTATCTGTTTGAGTATATGTCAGTTTGGGGTATTGGAAATATATACTCTATACATTCTAGTACATTGCCATGATCTGAATGTTTGTATCCCCTCAAAAGTCATATGTTGAAGGGTTACTAGAGGCTGGAAAGAATAGGAGGAAGAGGGGGTAAGGGAGAGATCTGTTAAAGGACACAAAATTACAGCTAGATAAGAAGAACAAACTCTAGAGTTTTATAGCACTGTAGGATAACTATAGTTAACAATAATATGTATTTTCAAATAGCTAAAAGAGAGGATATTGAATGTCCCAACACAAAGAAATGATAAATGTTTGAGATCATGGATATGCTAATTCCCCTGATCTGATCACTATACACTGTATGTACCGAAACATCACTATGTACCTCATAAAAATATGTACAATTATGTGTAA
Organism: Homo sapiens; assembly: GCF_000001405.40. Classification (NCBI taxonomy): domain Eukaryota; kingdom Metazoa; phylum Chordata; class Mammalia; order Primates; family Hominidae; genus Homo; species Homo sapiens. Next base: position 140,149,410 of record NC_000023.11, read on the forward strand.
GTTAAAAATAGAAAGTAAAGTCTATATTACCTCAAAAAAAAAAAAAAAAGCTATATTGTGAAACCTAATCCCGAGTGTGATGGCATTAGGAAGTGGGGCCATTGGAAGATGATTAAGTCATGAATAGGACTCTCGTGAATGAGATTACTGTCCTTATAAAAGGCCAGAGGAAGCCGCCTTGCTCCTTCCACCAATGTGAGGATACAGCTAGAAGGTGCTATCCCAGAAATTGGTCTCTCAGCAGATACCACACCTGTTGGTGCCTTGATCTTACAACTCTCCAGCCTCCAGAATTGTGAAAAATAACTTGCTGTTGTTTATAAGCTACATGGTTTATAGTATTTTGTTATAGCAGCCCAAACAGACTAAGACATGCATCTTTTGGTGAACACATGCACATACCTTAGTTTTAATTCATACATTTTCATAGCCTTGTAAGAGGGCCACCCTCAATTGGATCTACCCTTGTCCAGAAGCCAGGTGATTGAAATTTATCAGAGGTTATTGCATAGCACAACTCCAGGGGTCACCATTGCCATGTGTTGTACATGGCTGGCACCCCTGGGCCACAATGCAGAGGGTCTGGTGCACTCTGGAGTTGTGCAATGGGCAGTTCTCCACCATTCTGCTTCTCAACCACTCTCAGGGGCTGGGAGATGGTTTATTACACTGAACTCTGAAAAACCTTTCCTCAAAATCTCTTTTCCTTGAGTCTTTTTTGCCTTTGAGTCATAGGCACAGAATCACAAGAGCCATGGGTCACTCTGAACGGTGCCAATAACCCATCAGCTAGTTCTATGGCAATGAAAAAAGGAAACCAAAGTTACACCAGGTATTTGATCTTAGAAAAACTGAATCACTCCAAATCACAGAGCCTTTTTTTAAAAAACAAAAACAAAAACAAAAAAACACTTTAAGGGGTTAGACATCAGGTAGACACTGCAGTAGTCTCTCTCACCTACTTTGGCAAGTTAACAAAGGAGAAACTAGGACAAGTTTGGGTTTTGAAAAGGAAGTTTTTGTTTAAACACAAGGCCCCAGCTTCTGTCTCTGCCTCAAGCTTCAGGATGGGTATGTGTAATGCGGCTGGGGAGCCTTTTCTCTGGAAGCAAATTGATCTGCTTTCAGTCTCCGCTCAGCCAGTTCTGAGCTAGGCAAATGGCATAAGTTCTTTAGGTTTCAGTTTTCTCCTCTGAAAAAATCTTGCTACATCATGGGTAGGAAGCATGGGAACAAGAAGAAGACATATAACCATGGTGGACTGAGCAGCCTGCCCTACCTAGGCAAAAAGTGGGTGGCAGGCCCAGAGGTGGAGAATGGTTGCATTGGCTGGCCCCAGGCCTGGCCAACCCAGCCCAGTGCCCAGCAGGTGGGCAGAGGAGGGAGACCATGAACTTTTTTTGTTTTTGAGACAGAGTCTTGCTCTTGTTGCCCAGGCTGGAGTGCAATGGCGCAATCTTGGCTAACTGCAACTTCCGCCTCCCAGGTTCAAGCAATTCTCTTGCCTCAGCCTCCCAAGTGGCTGGGATTACAGGCGCCTGCCACCACGTCCAGCTAATTTTTTGTATTTTTAGCAGAGACGGGGTTTCACGATGTTGGCCATGCTGGTCTCAAACTCCTGACCTCAGGCAATCCACCTGCCTCAGCCTCCCAAAGTGCTGGAATTATAGGTGTGAGCCACTGTGCCTGGCTGAGACCATGAATTCTTAACTTTCTGAATGGAAAAATACTGTTTGGGCAATTTAGTGTTTTGTGGAGTTTGCAACTGGACAGAGCACAGGGGCATGAATCCTTGATCAGGGTTACAAAGAAGCTTCTCTTGAGGGCCCTGTGAGGGCTCTGGAATTGAACAGACCTTAGTTCATTCTTGACTTCAGGCTTTGCCTTTCACCTGTAAAGTGTGTGACAGTTTACACTCTGAGTCTTAGTTTTCTTATCTGGAATCTAAAGAATAATTCTGGTCTTACAGGGTTGCTATGAAGATTACATGAGACCATATGTGATGATTAGGTATCGATTTAACTGAGATATGCCTAGATGGCTGGTGAAATATTGTTTCTGGGTGTGTGTCTCTGAGGGTGTTTCCAGAGGAGACTGACATGTGAGTCAGTGGACTGGGACATGTGCCATGGTGGTTTGCTGCACGTATCAACCTGCCATCTAGGTTTTAAGCCCCGCATACATTAGGTATTTGTCCTAATGCTCTCCCTCCCCTTTCCCCCCACCCTCCGACAGGCCTCAATGTGTGATGTCCCCCTCCCTGTGTCCATGTGTTCAACTCCCACTTATGAGTGAGAACATGTGGTGTTTGGTTCTCTGTTCCTATGTTAGTTTGCTGAGAATGATGGCTTCCAGCTTCATCCATGTCCCTGCACAGGACATGAACTCATTCTTTTTTATGGTTGCATAGTATTCCATGGTATATATGTGCCAGATTTTCTTTATCCAGTCTATCATTGATGGGCATTTGTGTTGGTTCCAAGTCTTTGCTATTGTAAATAGTGCTGCAATAAACATACGTTTGCATGTGTCTTTATAGTAGGACTATTTATAATTTTTTGGGTATATACCCAGTAATGGGATTGCTGGGTCAAATGGTATTTCTGGTTCTAGATCCTTGAGAAATTGCCACACTGTCTTCCACAATGGTTGAACTAATTTACACTTTCACCAACAGTGTAAAAGCATTCCTATTTCTCCACATCCTCTCCGGCATCTGTTGTTTCCATACTTTTTAATGACCGCCATTTTAACTCGTGTGAGGTGATATCTCATTGTGGTTTTGATTTGCATTTCTCTAATGACCAGTGATGATGAGCTTTTTTTCATATGTTTATTGGCCACATAAATGTCTTCTTTTGAGAAGTGTCGGTTCATATCTTTTGCCCACTTTTTGATGTTTTTTTTTTTTTTTCTTGTAAATTTGTTTAAGTTCCTTGTAGACTCTGGATATTAGACCTTTGTCCGATGGGTAGATTGCCAAAATTTTCTCCCATTCTGTAGGTTGCCTGTTCACTCTGATGATAGTTTCTTTTGTTGTGCAGAAGCTCTTTAGTTTGATTAGATCCTGTGTGTCTATTTTGGCTTTTGTTGCCATTGCTTTTGGTGTTTCAGTCATGAAGTCTTTGCCCATGCCTATGTCCTAAATGGTATTGCCTAGCATTTCTTCTGCGGTTTTTATAGTTTGGGGTTTTACATTTAAGGCTTTAATCCATCTTGAGTTAATTTTTGTATAAGGTGTAAGGAAAGGGTGCAGTTTCTGTTTTTGCATATGGCTAGCCAGTTTTCCCAGCACCATTTACTAAATAGGGAATCCTTTCTCCATTGCTCGTTTTTGTCAGGTTTGTCAAAGATCAGATGGTTGTAGATGTGTGGTGTTATGTGTGAGTTCTCTGTTCTGTTCCATTGGTCTATATATCTATGTGGTACCAGTACTGTGCTGTTTTGGTTACTGTAGCCTTGTAGTATAGTTGAAGTCAGGTAGCGTGATGCCTCCAGTGTTGTTCTTTTTGCTTAGGATTTTCTTGGCTATACGGGTCCTTTTTTGGTTCCATATGAAATTTAAAGTAGTTTTTTCTAATTCTGCCAAGAAAGTCAATGGTAGTTTAATGGGAATAGCATTGAATCTAAAAATTACTTTGGGCAGTATGGCCATTTTCACGATATTAATTCTTCTTATTCACGAGCATGGAATGTTTTTCCATTTGTTTGTGTCCTCTCTCATTTCCTTGAGCAGTGGTTTGTAGTTCTCCTTGAAGAGTTCCTTCACGTCCCTTATAAGTTGTATTCCTAGGTATTTTATTCTCTCTGTAGCAATTGTGAATGGGAGTTCACTTATGATTTGGCTCTCAGCTTGTCTATTGTGGAGGTATTATTTCCTCAACTATTTTTAGAGCTCTGAGTTTCTGCCTAACGTAGCCATCCTCAACCACATCAGACCCTCTGTCCCTTGGATAGAATACCTATTTGACAATGGCCTCTTTACCCTGAAAAGAAATGCACAGTTACTATAGCCCATTACTACTCAAAGTGTAATAGCATCAGGGACCAGCAGCATGTTGGCCATCATCTGGGAGCTTGTTAGATATGCAGAATCATGGGTTCCACTCTCAGGTCTGCTAAATCAGAATTTGTGTTTCAATAAGATTCACATGTGGTCTATACAAGTAGTAAAGTTAGAGATTAATTGCTATAACACACTTATGCCCATAATTAAACATAAAGAAACAAAATGCCCTAACTGTAATATGAAGGGGAAATAGAAGGAAAGTAATTGTAATACATTTTTCTTCATACACAATGGCTCACACTTAACTATAGTAGATGTTTGCACCTATATGTAGAATCAGTGTGAAAGTAGCAGCTCTGCATACAGGCTGATGCTACTGGGTTTGTGTCAGCAACCAAAATTTTATAAGCATTATCATAGCTGATGGTTTTCTGAAATGATGGACAACCCTAGACAGACTAGTGAACTAAAAACAAAAGCACAGTGTGATCTTTCCTGGATATATGCACCATTTGCATTTCTGGAAAATGCAGTATCCAGTAAAACCAAAGTAAATGTAAGATGGAGCTAGGCTCAAGGTTCTGATATTTATAAAAATGATTTCTTACTACATGGAAGTTTGGTGGGACCTTCAAAAATAATGCCTGAAGGCCGGGCACGGTGGCTCATGTCTGTAATCCCGGCACTTTGGAAGGCCATGGTGGGTAGATCACTTGAGGTCAGGAATTTGAGACCAACCTGGCCAACATGGTTGAAACCCTATCTCTACTAAAAATACAAAAATTAGCCAGGCCTGGTGGCACATGCCTGTAGTCCCAGTTACTCGGGAGGCTGAGGTGGGAGAATCACTTGAACCCAGGAGGCAGAGGTTGCAGTGAGCTGAGATTGCGCCACTGCACTCCCACCTGGGTGACAGAGTAAGACTCCATCTTAATAATAATAATAATAATAATAATAATAATAATAATAATAATGTTTGAAATAAGTCAATTCTTTGTTGTGTGAGGCATGTCTGGATTCCAGGTCTTCAACTACTAAATGCCAATAGCGACTCATTCAGTCTCTGTAATAATCAAAAGTGCTGCTCCCATCCACTAATACTGAACTATCGAAAAGGAAATTGAGAAAACAATCCCATTTACAATGACACACACACACACACACACACACACACACACACACACACACACACACAAAGAATAAAATACTTAGGAAAAAGAGCACAGGTAAAAGACTTACACACTGAAAATTATAAAACATTGAAAATTAAAGAAGACACAGATAAATGAAAATATATCCTGTGTTGATGGAGTGGAAGAATTAATATTGTTGAAATGTCCATATTACCCAAAGTGATCTATAGATTGACTGCAATTCCTAGCAAAATTGCAACGGCAATGGGGAGAAGAGGAAGATAGCTGGATAGAAGGCTCTACTAATTGTCTCCCTGACAGGAACACAACACTTAACAACTATCTACATAAAAATCACCTTCAAAAGAACCAAAAGTCAGGTGAGCAATTATAGTACCTATTTTTAGTGTCATATTGCTGAAAGGGACATTGAAAAGGGTAAGAATGACAGTCTTGTATTGCTGGTGCCACACTTCCCCAACCCCTCAGAAGTGGCTGTGTGGTGTGGAGACAGAATCTGTATGCTTGGAGGAGGGGAGAGCAAAGCAATTGTCAGACTTTGCATTGAACTCAATGCCACCCTGTAACAGCAGAAAGCAAAACTGGGCTGAAACCAGTCGACTTAATACTTAGAAATAAGAGAACAGATGAAAGATTTATACACTAAAAATTATAAAACAAAGATGAAGAGAATTACAGAAGACACAGAGCATTTAGACCAGCCCTAACCAGAGGGGAATCGTCTATTCCATCAGTTGCAACATGAGTTCTGGCAAGCCTCATCACTGTGGGCTGAAGTGTTCTGGGGCTCTAAATAAACTTGAACAAGAGTCTAGGCCACAAGGACTGCAGCTCCTAGGTGAATCCTAGTGCGGAGCTGGGCTCAGAGCAGGTGGACTTGGAGTCATGCAACTTGCTGAGACACCAGCCAGGGCAGCTAAGGGAGTGCTTAGGCAGTGCCTGCACCACCCATCCCCTAACTCCGGGCAGTGCAGCTCACGGTTCCAGAAGAGACCCCTTCCTTCCACTTGAGAAGAGAAGAACGAAGAATAAAGAGGATTTTGTCTTGCATCTTTGATATAAGCTCAGTCACAGCAGGATAGGGCATCAGTCAGAGTTGTGAGGCTCCCATTTTAGACCCTAGCTCCTAGACATTTCTAGATACACTCTGGGCCAGAAGGGAACATGCTGCCTTGAAGGGAAGGACGCAGTCTCAACAGAAACTATCACCTGCTGACTAAAGAGCCCTTGGACCCTAAAAAAACAGCAGTGATACCCAGGTAGGATGCCAGGGGCCTTGGGTGAGACTGAGGCATGCTGTCTTCAGGTGAGACCCAGAACATTCCTAACTGTGTGGTGGCTGTGGTGAAAGAATCCTTCTGCTTGAGAAAATCACGGTGGAAAGTAAAGGGACCTTTGACTTGTACCTTAGGTACTAGCTCAGCCATAGTGGAGCAGAACATCAAGTGGGCTCTTGGGGCCTCCAATTCCAGGTCTTCACACTTGTGTGGCATTTCTAGAGCTGTGCTGGGTCAGAGGGGAGCCCACTGCCCTGAAAGGGAGTCCTAGGCCTGGCAGCATTCAACACAAACTTACTGAAGGGCCCTTGGGCCTTAAGTGAACATCAGCAGTAGCCTGGCCATACTCCCCAAGGGCCTGTGGTGGTGATGGTCACGGGATGAGGCTCCTCTGCCTGTGGGAAGGGGAGGAAAGAGTGGGAAGGACTGTGTCGGTGGTTTGAGGGCCGGCTTAGTCACAGTAGACTAGAACACCAGGTAGACTTGTAAGGTTTTTGAATCCAGTCCATGGCTCCTGGATAGCATCTCTGAAACTTCCTGGGGCCTGAGGGAACTCACTACCCTGAAGTGAAGGAAAAAAAACCTGACTGGCTTTGCCACCTGCTGATTGTAGAGCCCTAGGACCTTGAGCAAATGCAGGCGGTAGCCAGATAGTGGTTACAGCAGTTCTTGGGTGAGACTGAGTGCTGTGCTGGCTTCAGGTCTTACCCAGTGCAGTCCCACTGGTGGTGGCCACATGGGTGCTTGTATTACCCCACCCCCAGCTCCAGTTGGTTCAGAACAGAGACACACAGAGAGAGAGAGACTCCATTTGTTTGGGAGAAAGTAAGGGAAGAGACAGGAGTCCCAGGCTGGTAATCCAGAGAATTCTTCTGGATCATATCCAAGACTACTAAAGTGGTACCCCATCTTATTGAAATGATCTGTTCACAGCTCTTTTTCCCCTACCTGACTGTGAACTCCTTGAGGGCAGGATTCTGTTTTATTCATGTTTGTATCCACAGAGCCTAACTCAGGGCTGGCTCAGAGTGAGACGTCAATAAAACTGTATTGAACATCAGCATCAATCATTATCATAATCACTTTCTCTCTTTTGTGACATTCATGGCTTTTGCTGTCCAGACAGTCTCATACATTTTATTACTAAGTCGTCTTCCTTCTGGTGGTGATTGCTCTCAGATAATTTCATACATGTAACTGTGGGCTCTCCAAAATGACTAAGTTCCGTAAAAGCAGGATGTTCTTATATTTTTTCTTATTCCGTTCTGTGCTTAGACACCTAATAAGTTGTCAACAACCAGTTTGATTTTGAAATGGCACTGTGTTACTGGGATGCTACAGTTTCAATGGCATTGTATTCATAGTAATTTGCCAGAAAAATAGGAAACTGTACTTTGGTAGAAATGATCTCTTCTAGTCTAGAGAACTCTTTCTTCCACTAAGCTGGTTGCAGTGTATTTCATCATTACATATGAACATCAGCAAAACTGAACTTGCTGAATATTTGGATTATTGCCCAATGTTGATTCCATTTGGTGGACATGAACACCCTGACTATATAATAAATTATTCCAAGCAATTTTGGCGATTGATATGGCCAAAAAGATATTAGGATATTTAGTAAGCCATTGAGAGGCCAGTCCGTAGAGCTATTCAGGGATTTGAACATCTAATCAGTAAGTAGTTTTACAGATTATTGAATCAGAGTGTCAAAAGGCATTTCAAATCATTATGCATTTACAAATATTTACAGATCTTTTAAAGATCAAGTTGGTCATTATCAGTTTCTGTGCTGCATATTGTCAGTATCCACAGTGACCCCAGAGGAGCCTGTGCTGGCAGGAGTAATGCTGTGGTATGTTCAGCTCTGCTGGATCTCCATAGAGGGGGGCTGGAATGCCTTGTGGAACAATGCCCTAGGCTCCAGAGAGCAAAGAATGAAGGGCAGCCTAGTTTGATAACCACATTAAAGCACTACCAACATCTGTTCAAGCCAAAGACAACACTATCTCCAGGAATTAACCTTCTGAACCACTGAATCATTACCCTCAGCAGAGTGAAAGTTGGACAACAACAGCCTATTTGTCAGTGGTTCCTCAGAGAGACGTGGTAAGCCGTATTTTACTGCAAACAGCGTGAGAAGGCCTGGCTCGGCTTTATACATCTTAAACACAGAATATATTTGTGTGGGAAACAAGCAGACAATGAATGTAAATAAACTTTTGATGATACCTTGCAACTTTCCGCATTGATTCCACTCCAGAACAAATGGACCACGGAGGATTGCTTCAGAGAATAGCATTTCCTAAATTTGTACCTAAATGTTTCCCTTCTATTTTAATAAAACAGTGGATACCAATAATGAGAGTACTCACAATATACAAGATGCACACTTGCACTAAATGAAAAACCCAACCATTTGTTGAAAGTGATATAATTCACTATAAATGTAATAATAACTATTTGAATGGGCTTTGTCAAGCTGCATCATATGGAGAGGGAGGCAAGGAGGATGGGAGGGGAAATATAATAAAACAAAAGTTTTAGTATGGAAGTAAGCATAGAATGCCAGTCATCGAAACTTTAGAAGAATCTGGAATTTGGGAGTGTATTTCTTATAATGAAGACTGGCTGCAACTTCTAGTAGGATACATTTTAAGCCTTGCACCACACTAATTGGAAAAACCTTCTCAAGCTTTTTATTTTCTGATATATTCTTAAATGTAGCAAATTATCATTAATAGACACACAGCTTTTATGTCAAATCTGCCTGAGAAGACTGAGACTAAACTGAGTTTGGTCCTTAGATTAGTCCCTGGAATATATGTATTTTATTTTATGACACTTATATTGTACTTACTATGTGCTATTTTATTTATACATTTATTTAGAGACAGGGTCTCTCTCTGTCACCCAGCCTGGAGCGCAGTGGCATGATCATGGCTCACTGCAGCCTTGACCTTCTACTCTCAAATGTCCTCTAGCCTCAGCCTCCTGAGTAGATGGGACTACAGGTGTGCACTAATACACACCCAACTAATTAAAATTTTTTTTCTTTTCCTTTGCAGAGAAGAGGATCTCATTATGTTGACCAGACTGTTTTTAAACTTCTGGCCTCAAGTGATCCTCCTGCCTCGACCTCCCAAAGTGCTGGGATTACAGGCGTGAACCACCACACCTGGCTATGTGCTGATTTAAAAGAAAACAAGTAAATACTGTGTAGTGACTGACACCTGTAATTGCTATAAAACTATTCCCTTTTTTATGATTTAAAGTATATAGACTATCCATACATAGTCTATATAGCGTATATAAGGTATTTAGAAGTATCCATATGTGGTATGTGTGTGTGTATGTATACACATACATACATAGTATATAGAAAGTATGTAGACTTATTTTACCAAACAAAATAAGGTGGAATGGAATGTCAGTGTCATGGCTTACTCCACTCATCTCCCTAAAAGCCATCAAGTCTGTAATATTGTGGGTGGCTTCAGGCATGGATGCCCTTGTGAGCTGACTTGCTAATGCCTATACAGTGTACCTGGATGAGTAGCATGGTATCTTTGAGTCAGTGCAAAATGCCATGACATTGTACTGGGTCTGGACAAAGCAAAGCGCCTTGGGAAATACCACCTTTCGGGTTACCTAAGTGGTTCCCCTTTACAAGTTTAGAGGCAGAGTTCTGTTTAAGTTCTAGTCCCTCCACTCGATCTAGGTAGCAGACTGTAATGATGGAGGGAAGCTGGCACATAGCAGGGATTTATTGAATGTATTTGAGTGAATGAAATAAAACTTTGGATGCAGGACACTTTTGCCCAGCAGTTTTGCCAACATGGTCCATGAACCCTGGTGGGGAGGGGGTTCCCCAAGATCCTTCTGGGGAGGCCATGAGGCCAAACTTTTTAAAAATAATAATGCAAGTACATTATGTGTCCCTTTCACTGTGTTGACATTTGCACTGAAGGTGCAGAAGCAATGGTGGGTAACACTGCTGGCTCATTGGCATGAATTAAGGCAGTGGCACAAAGCTGTACTAGCAGTCATCGTATTCTTCTTCACTAAGCACTCAAAGAATTTAAAATGCCACTTTTAATTAAAAATGTTCCTGATGAAGCAGTTAAAAACATAATTTTTTTTTTTTTTCGAGACAGAGTCTTGCTCTGTTGCCCAGGCTGGAGTGCAGTGGCGTGATCTTGGCTCACTGCAAGCTCTGCCTCCCAGGTTCACGCCATTCTCCTGCCTCAGCCTCCCGAGTAGCTGGGACTACAGGCGCCCGCTACCATGCCCGGCTAATTTTTTGTATTTTTAGTAGAGACGGGGTTTCACCGTGTTAGCCAGGATGGTCTCGATCTCCTGACCTCGTGATCCACCCGCCTCGGCCTCTCAAAGTGCTGGGATTACAGGTGTGAGCCACTGTGCCCGGCAAAAATATAATTTTTATTAAATCTCAACTCTTAAGTACTTATAAGCATAAATCACTTCTGCTGCACACTGAAGTATGATAGTTATCTTAACAGAAACCACTTGTGCAATTGTTTGAATTGTATGCTGAACTGGCCACTTGTTTCCCCATGGAAGTTTTTTTTCTTTTTTTAATTTAAAAGAATGACTGACAGACAAACTATGGTTATTCAGACTTGGGTATATGACAAGACATTTTCTCAAAAATGAGCAAAGCGAGCCTGTCACTTCAAAGAAAACAGCTGACAGTATTTGTTGCCAATGATGGAATTTGAGCTTTCAAGCAAAAATGAGGATTTTGGAAAACTTGTATCCACCACTGTGAGCTTGACAGTTTCCCAATACTTGAAGACTCTGCCAACGAGTCTGGTGATGATATTAATAAATGTGATTTTTTTGGATTTTGTATAATTAAAAGTAAATATTTGGAAGATTTTTGCAACTCAGAAATCAATATTTTTGAAATGATCAATGCATGATGTTATTATATAATGCATGAATCAAAGATCAAAATATAAGCAATGGATTTTGGTATAACAGAGTAAAGTGTACCGATATGTTTTCCAATTCCACATTGCAACTTAACTTAAAAACTGTTACTTGCAAGCTGGGAGCAGTGACTCACGCCTGTAATCCCAGCACTTTGGGAAGCCGAAATGGGCGGATCACCTGAGGTCGGGAGTTCGAGACCAGCCTGACCAACATGGAGAAACCCCATCTCTACTAAAAATACAAAATTAGCCGGGCGTGGTGGTGCATGCCTGTAATCCCAGCTACTCGGGAGGCTGAGGCAGGAGAATCGCTTGAACCCCGGGGAAGCGGAGGTTGTGGTGAGCCGAGATCGTGCCATTGCACTCCAGCCTGGGCAACAAGAGCAAAACTCTGTCTCAAAACAAACAACAACAAAACCTGTCACTTGCAGAGTTTTGGTCCAAGAAGAATAGCCACAATTATCTGAAAAGGCTATCAAAATAATATTTCCTTTTCCAAACATATATCTGTGTGAGGCTGGATTTCTTTTTTATATACATCAATGATAACCACATATTGCAACTGATTGAAATCAGAAGCCAATATAAGATCCAGCTATTTTCTGTTAAGCCAGACATTAAAGAGATTTGCAAAAATGTGAAACAAGGCCATTCTTCTCACTTTTTTGTTTTAAAATATGTAATTTTCATAAAATATGGTATGCTAACATGTAATAGGTTTATTTTTATTTTAAGCAAATTAATAAATACATTTTAAAGTTCTCAAACATTTTAATATAGTTCATATAGATACAACCCACACAAACAAAACCTCTGAAATTTCCAGTCATTGTTAAGAGTGTGAAAGGGCCCTGAGACCAACATGTTTGATAACTGCTACTCTAGTCCAGTGGTTCTCAAAGAGTGGCCCCAGACCACCACCACCACCGCCATCGCCATCATCATCATCATGCCTGGGAACTTGTTAGAAACATCAGTCCTCAGGCCCCACTCTAAATCTACTGAATTAGAAACTCTGGGGATGAGGCCCAGCAGGTTCTGTTTTAACAAGCTTTCCAGGTAATGCTGATCCTCACTAAACTTTCAGAACTCCAAGTCCTACTCCCAACCCCTTACAGATCAGTGTCCATAGTTCCTTAGTGTCTGATTGGTGATGGTGGGAAAGCTCACTTTCCAAGCCAAATGTTACAAACTAGCATTTGCTTTGGACTCAAAAATAGATATCCTGCTCACCCCACCCGTTCCTCCACTTGCACCCTAGTCACTTAGGTGAGCACCACAAGGGAATGTGCCAGAACATCTAGGTGGTGCTTTGTCAGGGAGAGGAAAGTGTTGGTTGAGCTTTAAGAAGGTATATAACATTATGCTTACTGGTCAGAAATGTACTTTTTCTCTAGCTCCTGCCCCATGTGTGCTTCTATCACAGATAGTAATTGAGCTCATTTTCAGAACTGTAAGACCAGAGTAAGTTTTCTAATATTGTTGACATCTCCCTCCTTGCCCTGACTCCATTTCTGTTGACTGAGCACAGCTGGAACAAAATCCTAAGGCCAAGGAGCTGCTGAGCACTCAGTTTGCTGGGCCTTGGCAGCCCCCTTTCACACTGTCTTCAAGGCCTTATTCTACTCCTTCAGCTATCACACTTTTCAAATTCGCAGTGCCCTTGACCAAACATTTAGTCTTGTCTTCCACCTCATCAAGAAAATGTATAAACATATTTATTCATTGTATACCCAGCTCTCTACTCCAGAAACCTGGCTGTCATCCTTGACTCTTTCCTCTCTTACCCTCCACATCCAGCAGTTGACAAAACCTGCCTATTCCGCTTCCTATTAGGGAGTCAGCAGAGTAGAGTGGTTAAGAATGTGGCTTTTGGAGTCAGATGCCTGGGGTGATATCCCACGTGCACTAAGTTTCTGTGTTACATGAACAAGTTTCTTGGCTTCTCTGGGTCTTGGTTTCTTCAACTGTAAAAAAAAAAAAAAAAAAAGCATTATGATAATAATGCTACCTACCTTGTAGGATTGTTAAAAGAACTAAGCAAGGCAATACGTAAAATGCTTGGAACAGTGCCTGGCATATCTATTTCATTTAACAAACTCTTCCAAGGTGCCCTGCACTGCTCTAGAATATATAGTGGCAAACCGGGAATGCACTAATTCTGGCCCCAGTTGTTTCTCATGTCATTTAATGGCATCTCTCTCTTTGTTGGTCTTCCTGTCTTTGCTCTGGCTCCTTCCAGCTTGTTCTTCATCTAGTCAAAAGAGGAATCTTTTTTCATACATCATTGTATCATATTGTTCTCTTGCCTATAACTCTTCAAGGGTCTTCCACTTCCTATAGGATGAAGTTTAACTTTTTAGCCAAGGCTTACCATGGTGAACAACCTCTCATTCCTCACTACTTTGTGATTGGGCCTGTATGTCCTAATACATTCTTTGTTCTGTGTTCCCACAGAACTCTTCCTCTCCCTGTTAAAGCGCCTACCACTTTCATGATACTAATCTCCTTACACACTTGTCTCTCCAAATGGGCTTTGAGAGTCTTAAGGACAAGGACTATACACTAGTCACATTTGTGTTTCCAGAGCTCAGTATATAAATCAAGTAAGATAGAACAGTTCAGAATGAATTGTGGAATGCATGCATGAATAAACAAATAAGTAACTTCTTCAGGCTCCTTCTCATTTGAATTCTATCCCAGAATTTTATGTGGTATTTTCTTATGTGTGTGGATTCTCATGGGACCAGCTTAGTCACTAAATATCATCTTATGCAGGGCTTTTGATCCTGGCTCAGAAGCAGAATCTTCTGGGGATCTTGTTACAATTCCCCGGGTCAGTGATAATTTGCCAAGTTTGGGACTCATATATTTTAGTGAGTCCAGTTCCTTGCTTTTGCTGATGGGGAATGTAAGGCCCAGAGATTGAGTGATTCTGCAGGGTCACATAGCTTGTCAGTGGAAGAGCTGGAATTTGCTATACCAGTGTCCCCATCTTCACCTCACCCAGAGTAACTCCACTTTCATCTGGTTTATATATGGGAGTTCAGCAAAAGATGTGTTTATTTTATTTTTAATTGAGAAAGAGTACAGTCTTGAAGACTCCTGTACTCTACTGCACTCACTGCCCTCCACTGGAGGGCTCCTTACACACACCTGTGGAAGGGCGGTGTGGTGCAGTGGGCTTAATACTGAGCAGGGGTCTGGGGAGCTTGTATTCTCTCCTGCCTTTGTCACTAAGAAGCTGTGTGACTGCAGCAAGTCATTAACTGCTGTTGTGAGTTTCCTCGGTTGTAGAATGAACATAATCAGGCCCATCCTGCTTAATGAGCATGGTTCCTATTTGGCTAACACTTATATTTTCTCTATAGAGCCAAGCACAGTGCTTTACCTGTAGTAGCAGCACCAAAAAGTACTTAGGGAATGAATAAATGAAAGTGTTTTGGAAATGAGAAAGTGGTCTATGAATGTAAGCTATGATTAATAACAAATTCAAAAGCTACTGCTACAGTCGCTCAGCCTTAATGGTAACTTGATTCAAAATGGTTCCTTACAAAATGGAACAAACCGCCCTAACAGACCTTTGTCTTCAAATATAAGAAAAGAAAAACTTACACTGACCAGTCATGTCTATAAGATGTCTAAAGAGCCAGGTAATTTGGTCGATTCATTGAAAAAGCCAGGCCAACAGTACTGGGCCTTGTGCTTCAAAGGAAGCTAAGTGGCTCAGAGCCTTTTGCATTGCTGCTCATTGGCTTGACGTTATGTACACACAGCTATCCTTTCAGTTTCTACAAAATGGCTTATTTTCATTTCTGAAATGGTAGCCACGTGGGAGCCCCTGGGTTGCTGTGGAGAAGGCCAGGAGAGGCCCAGCTGGTTGACAGTCATTGGGCTCCTTGAGCCCTCCGCTTTGCCTTAGCCACTGTTGGGAGGTGGGAGTCCAAGGTTTTTATAGTTCTTCTCTCGAATTAGTGCCTGCAGACTCTACAGCTATGAACATGCAATTAGTCTTTGTTTGTGCACAAAAGGGAGCTTGACCCTTGCCTGTCTTTGATTGGCATGCACAACTCTTGTAGCTACTTACCTAAGGCCCTCTCCAAGGAGCACAGCGTCTTGTTCCTGCACCTGCCTTCAGCTTTTCTCTTTTGTGACTTGCTTCACATAATATTCAGCCCAAGTCACAGCAAGATTGCAGGGATGAAGACATCATGCAGGCACAGTAAGATTTCCTGTTTTTCAGGGAGGTGGGGGAGTGGGTGGGAGGGAGGTTTGAATCTATAACCTGAGGTTTGGATAATTGCTGAGCCCCAAAACACTTAGCAGGAGCCCAAAGAACTGTTTTTTTTTTTCTTAATAAATGAACACTTTGCTTGCTTTCAAAAGCAGACCTCCCATGCCATGGAAAACAAGCTGTATGAACAAAGCTTTACATTTCATTCCAAGTTCACCTGCTTTCCTGTCAATATAGAACTGTCATTTTTTTTGAAAGACAATTGCTATAAAAGGGATGCAATTATTGTGGTCAGAAAATTTCTCTTTAAACCATGCTTTCTGAGATACTAGAAGAGTGTTTATTAGCAGCCTGAATGAGTTAAATACCGTGGTGGCAGATTGCATTTTCAATAAATGTTTTGCAGGAGCTTGATTGGTTTTCAAAACGCACTCATTTCTTACTCTCCATGCCTAAACGTGCCACATCATATTAGAATAAACTACCCAGCTATGGCATTTAGGGAAAAAACTCCAAAGTATGTCTGGTTTGAAGTAAAAGCCATTTCAAACTCCCAAATCTGCAGAGAACATTTAATAAACGGCTCAAAAACAATAATACCTTCCTTTTTGGAGTACCTACTTAGGTTCAGGCATGGTACTGGCTACTTTACACATTTTTTTTTTTCTCGTCAAATCCCTACAGTGGTATTCCATGTTGGGTTTTATTGTCTCTATTAGATAGAGGAGAAAATTGATGCTCACAGATGTTAAAAGACTTGACCATGTGTGTTCAGTTGCTGAGAGGCAGAGCAGATCAGTAAAAATGGTTTTCTGTTCCTCCATGGCATGCCACTGAAACTTTATTTTTTGAAATATGCACACTAGAGTTTACAAAGCCAAAATAGTTTTGTCCTTTGAAGTAGTTACCTTGGGTGCCCAGAGGTACCTTCCAACATCACAGCTATAATTGTCTTTGGAATGCTACTTCTGAGCTGACATACACACTGTGTGGGAACATCTGTCACCTGCCCTCTTACTGGCACTGTACTGTTGACCATCTTGCCATTGCCCAGCTGCGTCATGTACTTTTTTTAGAAGACCTGACTCCCAGTCACTTTTGACTTTTTTTTTTTTTTAATCACCAACCTCTGACAAGAAGGATTTGCCAAAATTTAGGACATTCAGAAGAAAGTGCTCCCAATTCTAGAGATGATTCTAAAACAAGTGTTTCTTCCCCAAAATGGCTATGATAGCATAATTGGCATAGGCGTGTACATTTTGAAAGGGACCATCTTGGCTGGGTGCGGTGGCTCACGCCTGTAATCCCAGCACTTTGGGAGGCTGAGGCGGGTGGATCACTTGAGGTGAGGAGTTCGAGACCAGCCTGGACAACATGGTGAAACCCCGTCTCTACCAAAAAATACAAAAATTAGCCAGGCGTGGTGGTGGGTGCCTATAATCCCAACTACTTGGGTGGCTGAGGCAGGAGAATCACTTGAACCCAGGAGGCAGAGGTTGCGGTGAGCTGAGATCGTGCCACTGCACTCCAGCCTGGGTAACAGAGCGAGACTTTGTCTCACCAAAAAAAGGACAATCTTGCAGGGGCCAGCCCTCCTCTGAATAATATATGAGCTCCACCATGCTTAGGGAGGCATAGAATGGTAATAGGAGTTTGCCCTTTGGCATCATGCTTCCTGTATTTGAATCCTGGCTCTGCCACTTTATTAGCTCTGTGCCTTTAGGAAAGTTATTTTACTCCTCTAATCTTAGTTTTCTTGCCTATAAAATCAGGATAATAATTCTACCTACCCAAACAGGGTTGCTGCATGAATTAAATGGTAATATTTGTAGTACCCTAGGTCCATAGTAAGTGCTCACCTATGTTCACAATTTCTGCTGCTATGTTTCGTCAAAGAAAATATTTCTTTTTGTAGTGATGCCTCATCTATTGTGTGATTCATAGAAGGTTAGTGCTGGATGGGCCCTTTATGATAATCTTATCCAATGGTTTTCAAACTTCTTTTTAACAGCAGAGCCTACAGGTCAAAGGAAAACATACGTGGAGCCTTGATAACCACAATAGCTGAAGTGAAGCTGCTGTTGTTTAAGTGAGTGGGTTACAGATGGGAAGGAACAGATCTCCAGCATTTCAGGATCCACTCTACTCCCTCAGTTGAATTTTGTTGTCACCACTGAATCCTACCCCTCCATCCTTCCAACATGGATTACAAAGGAAGTCCTGACCAAACTTTAAGGCTCCACTTAAATGTTAAACCCTCCACAATGCCTGACAGAGCCAGCCAGAATTAATCTCTTCTTTACCAATTCTCCATTGGCAATATATAATACATTTCTACTATAGCATTTAGCAAATTTTCCTTCATATTAGAGTTATTTTCTTCTAAACCTCTTTAGACCAAGTTCTTTGGGAGCAGGGCCCACATCTTAATTATCTCTGTGTCCCACACAGAGACTGACAATGTAATTTACACATGGGAAACCCTCAGTTACTGCTTATTGGATTGTTAAATAAATGGCCAGAGAGAAATCCAAATCATATTAAGGTCTAGGAAACCAGGGGGAAGGTTCCTATTAAGATGTATTCTGTGCTTTTTCAAAGTTGTTCTCTTTAAAATGTAACTTGAGATGCTTCACAAATCCAGACCTCATTGATTTATGTCATCCTGGCATGATGTGCTTGCCTGGTTTCTTGAGCAAATAGAACCATTCTAATCCTCCTTTGGCCCTTTCTCCATCGTTTGAAGGAATAGGAGGCAGAAAAACCATCTTCAGCACAGTTAATACCTTGAAATATGCAAACAATTTGAAAACCTTTAGACTAGGTACTAATCACATGCCTACAGTAAAAAGCAGAGGAATGAGCGAATGTTGACAAACATCTGTTTTGTAAAGTCAACAGAAGAAGCTAATCTTAGGAACTTATAGAGTCACAGAAATGCTATATTTTGTAAAGGGGAGTAATTGAAGGGAAATAATTAAAAAAGACTTTGAAAATATATTGAGTAAAATTCAAGTGAGAGAAAACAACACAGAGGATAGCAGGAAAATGTAAGAAATCTAGGCCTTCTTCTGGCTTCTTTTGGCTTGTAATAGTGTTGTTATACAGATATGCTTCAGTAGCTAATTACCAAGCCTTGTAAGACAAAGAAGATGAAGTAGTCAGATGCCATAGTACTTCCAAAGAAAAAATTTACTTTTGAATACTGTGAAAACATTTTAAGTCTTTTTTTTTTTTTTTTTTTTTGAGATGGAGTCTTGCTCTGTCGCCCAGGCTGGAGTGCAGTGGTGCAATCTTTGCTCACTGCAGCCTCTGCCTCCTGGGTTCAAGCTATTCTCTTGCCTCAGCCTCCTGAGTAGCTGGGACTACAGGCACACGCCACCACGCCTGGCTGTTTCTTTTCTTTTCTTTTTGTATTTTTAGTAGAGATGGGGTTTTACCATGTTGGTCAGGCTGTTCTCGAACTTCTGACCTCAAGTGATCCTCCTGCCTTGGCCTCCCAAAGTACTGGGTTTACAGGTGTGAGCCACCATGCCCAGCCTGAAAACGTTTTAAGTCTTATTCATTTAACTTTATATATTACATGAGTATATAAGATGAACAAAAATGCATTTCATAAATATAATTAAACTAGGATGCACAGCTTTTTAACTTATACATTAGTGCCTTGCTTGTGGTAGCAGTCAAAGATTAATCATCAGAAATGAGGCTGGAAGGGCTTTCAAAGGATTTAAGATATAAGGATATAAACATTTGGAGGAGTGAGTCCTGCTGTGTTTTTTTAAATAAGGGTTAGTCCTATTATTTCATAATCATTCTATATTCAATTCTTAACTGATGATAAAAGGGAAAAAAACAGAGCTCTAATGATGGTTGTCATCCTCCCTTACAAGGTCAATGCAGAAGACTTTTCATACTGTGGATCTGGGGTTAAACTTGGGCTGGTGCACCTTTCACTTTGGCCATCATCAAGCCAGAGCTTTAAGGCTCTGCAACCTTGTGAAATAAGTCTCAAAGAATTGTAGGATGACAAATTCTGTGCAACAGGGTGGGTTTATGCACTTTAAGTGAGGGAGTTGACTTGTACTCCCTTGTGCCCAAAGCTAGTGCTGATGAGATAGCTCAAAAAAGCAGAACTTTGTTTTAAAGGCAGGAAGAAAGGTAAATAGCATGTTTGGTTAATGCCTATTTCTGCTAGTGGGAGGCTGGTAAAGTTCAGGGGGGAAGAGGCAGCAAAACAATTATCCTTGGATCACATTAAAAAATATCAAATGAGGCTGGGTGCGGTGGCTCACGCCTGTAATCCCAGCATTTTGGGAGGCTGAGGTGGGCGGATCACGAGGTCAGGAGATCGAGACCATCCTGGCTAACATGGTGAAACCCCTTCTCTACTAAAAATACAAAAAAATATCCAAGTGTGGTGGCGGGCACCTGTAGTTCCAGCTACTTGGGAGGCTGAGGCAGGAGAATGGTGTGAACCTGGGAGGCAGAGCTTGCAGTGAGCCGAGATCACGCCACTGCACTCCAGCCTGGGCGACAGAGCGAGACTCCGTCTCAAAAAAAAAAAAAAAAAAATCAAATGATCATCTTTCTATAAAATCTTTTTGGGTTCCTGGGCAAATTTCTCCAGAGAAGTCCTTTTGAATCTATAACTGCAGTAGTGTTCCTTTTCCTCTGGATTTGTTGTAGCAAACATGAAGAGAAATTATAAGGCATGTTGAGAGAGCTGCATGATATGCTATATACAACACCAGATTAAATACAATTTTACTGTGTTGGGTTCTGTGTGATCTGTTAAACCTATGCTATGCATGTACTTTAGAAATCATTTCCTAGCACCAAGATACCATTTGTAGTTTATGGTTACTTCCTTAACAAGTTTGCCATTCCAGCCTTTCTACAGAAATATGACTTCCTGGGGCACCAGTGGTCCTCATCTGCAGTATAGTCACACCTTGTTGTGTCACAATCAGTTGTGAGTTGGGTTCCAAATGATGTGTTTCTACTAATAAGTAAGGATCTGAAGTTTGTAAATGGTTGCCTGTTTTAGTAAATTAGACCTAGTTCAAGTTTGTTCTTATGAAAATGTTGCTTTCATTCACTTGTGTTCTGAAATGCTTGCCCAATTGAGAGAACAAGGTGAAAACTTGCATAACCTTGATTAAGCCTCTGGGAACCAGCCCTGTATGTGAGCTGCTTCTGTCATGTGTGTCCTGGTGGATATAAGCCTGAGAATGGCCATACTATTCCATTGTTTCTATGCAAAACTCAGATATGAATTGGAACCCCCATCCAGGAACATAACCTCACTTCCAGGCCTGTTCACTCATCCTCTCTACTGCTTCAATGACTCCTGAATAAATTAAGCAAGGGCTTCCACTAACTATGGTCAATTTTATTTCTTCACATCTACTTAGAGGACTGCATAACTGAAGTCATTCATTTGCTCACTCAACCAACAAACCTTTATTAAGTCCCTTTTTAGGTACCAATGCACTACTTCATAGGAGAGAGAGAATTTGCACCTGGTGATGCCTAAAAATTAAGTAGAATCTTGTTAGTTTGAGTAAGGGGCAGAGCATGAACAAAGACAGGAGGGGGAAATGGAGGGAGTTTTCACAAAAGAAAAAGAGTTCAGAGTGTCTGAAGCCAGGGAATTTGGAGGTCTTGGAATGTATAGCTATATAGTTTGGAAGGATCCAACCAGATGCTTGATGGACCTAACTCAGCCCCCAGTAAATCAGAACTCAGGAGTGATGAACTGTATTTCAGGTCTCTATGATATGTATTGGTCTGTCTTAGTATGTATTCAATAAATTCCAACCGAACACATATAAATGTGAGTCTGTTTATCACACAGAAAGACTAGCAGCAGCCCTAGTGCAGTTTTGCCCCTCGGATCTCTGATACTTGAATACAGTGCTATTTTTCCACATTTAAAAGATTGAGATACAATTCACACCCCATAAAATTCATTCAAAGTGTATAATTCAGTGGTTTTCAGTTTACTGACAAAGTTGTGTAACTTTCACCACAATTTAATTCCCAATCTAATACCCCCAAATTTTTATCAATCTGAAAAAGAAACCCTGTACTCATTAGCAGTCACTTCGTTTCCCATCCTCCAAGCTCCTAGGCTAACCACTAATCTACTTTCTTTCTGTCTCTATAGATTTACTTTTCTGAGTATTGCCTGTAAATGGAATTATATAACATGGAGCCTTTGTGTACAACTTCTTTCACTTAATATAATGCTTTCAAGGTCCATCCATGTTGTAGCATGTATAAATACTTTATTTTTATTGCTGAATAATATTCCATTGTACGGAGATATATCACATTTTGTTTATTTACCAATTGATGGACCCTTGGGTTCTTTCCACATTTTGGCTATCATAAATAATGTTGCTATGAACATTCATTTTGTGTGGACATATGTTTTTATTTCTCTTGAGCATACAGTTGGAATTGCTGGGTCACATGGTAACTCTTTGTTTAACTTTTTGAGGGACTGCCAAACTGTTTTCTACAGAAAACAGAAGCATTTTACAATTCTACCAGAAATGTATGAGAGTTCCCATTTGATACGGCCTGGATCTGTGTCTCCACAGAATCTCCCCTTGAATTGTAATAATCCCCATGTGTCAAGGACAGGACCAGGTGGAGAAAATTGAATCACGGTGGTGGTTTCCCCCGTGCTGTTCTCATGATGGTGAGTGAGTTCTTATGAGATCTGATGGTTTTATAAGGGATTCTTCCCCCTTTACTTGGCACTTCTCTTTACTGCCACCATGTGAAGAAGGGTGTGTTTGCTTCCCCTTCTGCCATGACTGTATGTTTCCTGAGGCTTCCCCAACCCTGCAGAACTGTAAGCCAATTAAACCTCTTTTCTTTATAAATTACCCAGTCTCGAGTATTTCTTTATAGCAGTGTGAGAATGAACTAATATAGTAAGTTGGTACTGGGAGTGGGGTGCTGCTGTAAAGATACCTGAAAATGTCGAAGTGACTTTGGAACTGGGTAACAGGCAGAGGTTGGAACAGTTTGAAGCGCTTAGAAGATGACAGGAAGATGCGGGAAAGTTCGGAACTTCCCAGAGACTTGTTGAATGGCTTTGAGCAAAATGCTGGTAGTGAAGTGGACAATGAAGTCCAGGCTGAGGTGGTTTCAGATGGAGATGAGAAGCTCATTGGGAACTGGAGCAAAGGTGACTCTTATTATGCTTTAGCAAAGAGACTGGCAGCATTTTGCCCCTGCCCCAAAGATCTGTGAAATTTTGAACTTGAGAGAGATGATTTAGGGTATCTGGCAGAAGAACTTTCTAAGCAACAAAGTTTTTAAGAGGAGGCAGAGCATACAAGCTTGGAAAGTTTGCAGACTGATGGTGCGATAGAAGAGAAGAACCTATTTTCTGGGGAGAAATTCAAGCTGGCTGCAGAAATTTGCATAACTAACAAGGAGGTGAATGTTAATCACCAAGAAAATGGGGAAAATGTGACCAGGGCATGTCAGAGACCTTAATGGCAGCCCCTCCCATCACAGGCTTAGAGGCCTAGGAGGGAAAAATGGTTTTGCAGGCCAGGCCCAGGACCCCCGTGGTCTGTGTAGCCTCAGGACATGGTGCCCTGCATTCCAGCTACTTCACCTCCAGCCATGGCTAAAAGGGGCCAAGGTACACCTCAGGCCATTGCTTCAGATGGTGCAAGCCCCAAGCCTTAGCAGCTTACATGTGGTATTGGCTCTGCAGGTGTAGAGAAGTCAAGAATTGAAGTTGAGGAACTTCCACCTAGATTTCAGAGGATGTATGGAAATGCCTGGACGTGTAGGCAGAAGTCTGCTGCAGGGGCAGAGTCCTCATGGATAACCTCTGCTGGGGTTAGAGCCCCCACACAGAGTCCCCACTGGTGCACTGCATAGTGGAGCTGTGAGAAGAGGGCCATTGTCCTCCAGATCCCAGAATGGTAGGTCAACCAACAGCTTGCACTGTGTGCCTGGAAAAGCCATGGACACTAACCATCAGCCTGTGAAAGCATCTGGGAGGGGGACTGTACCCTGCAAAGCCAGAGGGGCAGAGCTGCCCAAGGCCAGGGGGCTCACCTCTTGCATCAGTGTGACCTGGATGTGAGACATGGAGTCAAAGGGATCATTTTGGAAATTTAAGGTTTAATGACTGCCCTACTGGATTTTGGGCTCACATGAGGCCTGTAACCCCTTTGTTTTGGCCAATTTCTCCCATTTGGAATGGCTATATTTACCCAATGCCTGTATATCCATTGTATTTAGGAAGTAACTAACTTGCTTTTGATTTTACAGGCTCATAGGTGGAAGGGACTTGCCTTGTCTCAGATAAGACTTTGGACTTGGACTTTTGGGTTAATGCTGGAATTAGTTAAGACTTTGGGAGACTGTTGGGAGGGCATGATTGTGTTTTGAAATGTGAGGACATGAGATTTGGTAGGGGCCAGGGGCAGAATGATATGGTTTGGCTCTGTGTCCCCAAGCAAATATCACCTTGAATTGTAATAATCCCCACATGTCAAGGACAGGACCAGGGGGAGATAATCAAATCATGGGGGCAGTTTCCCCTATGCTGTTCTCATGATAGTGAGTTCTCATGAGATGTGATGGTTTTATAAGGGGCTTTGCCCTTTGCTCAGTGCTCATTCTCTCTCCTGCTGCCCTATGTGGAGGTTTCTTCTGCCATGATTGTAAATTTCCTGAGGCCTCCCCAGCCATGTGGAACTGTGAGTCAATTAAACCTCTTTTCTTTATAAATAAGCCAGTCTCGGGTATTTCTTCATGGCAGCATGAGAACAGATTAATACACCATTTCTCTACATCCTCACAACATTTGTCATCATCTGTCTTTTTTATTATAGCTTTCTTAATAGGTGTGAAATAGTATCTAATTGTGGTTTTGATTGTCATTTTCCTAATAACTAATGATGTTGAACTTCTTCATATGTTTACTGACCATTTATATATCTTCTTTGGAAAAATATCTGATTAGTTGTTTTGCCCACCTTCTAATTGGGTTATTTGTATTTTTATTATTGAGTTATAAAAGTTCTTCATATATTCTGTATGATAGATCTTTATCAGATACAGTAGTCCCCCCTTATTTGCAGGGGATACATTCTGAAACCCCCAGTGAATGCCTGAAATCTCAGATAGCACCAAACCCTGTGTGTGTGTGTGTGTGTGTGTGTATATACACACACACATATGTATATATGTATATACACACACATGTATATACACACATATGTACACACATATGCACACACACATATGTATACACACATATATGTACACACATATGCACACACACATATGCACACACATGTACACACATATATGTACACACATATGTATACACACATGTATACACACATACATGTATACACACATACATGTATATACACATGTGTCTATACGTATATACACATGTCTATACGTATATACACATATGTGTCTATACGTGTATACGCATATGTGTATATATATCAGATTAATATATAAATCTGATCACTGAGATGGTAAGTGGGAGGGTAGCATATACAGCATGTATACTCTGGATAAAAGGATGATTGATGTCTTGGGTGAGATGGATCAGGAAAACATGAGATTTCATCACTACTCAGAACGATGTGCAATATAAAACTTATGAATTGTTTGTTTCTGGAATTTTTCATTTAATATTTTCAGACCATAACTGAAACTGTGCAAAGTAAAACCATGCGTAAGGGAAAACTATTGTATTTGGTTTGCAAATATTTTCCGTGATTCTATGTGTTGGCTTTTTACATTCTTGTTGGGGACATTTGAAGCACAAAAGTTTTCAATTTTGGAAAAGTCCAATTTATCTAACTTTTTCCTTGGTTGCTTATGGGGAGGCTGTTTTAAATGAAAGAATAACCCATAGAAATGACCACTAGCCATTGGGATCTGCTAGAGGTTAACATGTGGCTGGAATCCTAAGGCTGGAAAGAGTGAATTATCTTTAATCCTATTACTGGGTTTAGAAAATGTTTTAGAATTAAATGATCATTATCTAGTTGCCAACAATTCTGTTGTTAACATGGTATAGATAGAAGCCTGGACTAGAATAAAAAGACTGTCACCTCTGGGTCTCCATTTTCAATGCCCTGGGATTGCAAGAGTAGCATAGAAACCTGATGGCTGGACAAGAGCAAGGGCATTTTGCTGTGCTTAAAATCAGCTTTGAATTCAAGGGCTGATTTCTAACTCACTGTTTAATCCTCTGACCTTGATTTGAATCAAATTTCCATTTGAAAATAAAGAGCCTCCATTTAAAAACTTTTAACCAACATTTTAAATTGCAAAAATTTAAAATGTTAGTTAAAAATTGAAAAAGTTTAAAAGCCAAGAGAAAGTTGTTGGTAACTCTAGCTTGAGATCTTGCTGTGTATGACACAATGAAGGAATTTTGAAGTTTTTTAAATAAGATCATGGCTGTGGTGAGTGTGGGCCTTTGCTAATTTCTGAAATTTGCTCTGGAGGCTCTCCGTGCATCTGAGCAATTTATTCAGTGAATCTTCCACTTTCTGAGTTAGAGGGAATCTTAGAAGTCATCTAATCCAAACCTCCACCCCTTTTTCAAATCTGCTCTCCAACAATAAGTGGAATGTGGCAGAGAAAATGCCAGTAAGAACCATGAGGGGATGGGCGGCTTAAGGATGTTACGCCTGCTTCAGAAAGAATAGACACTAAAGGAAAGGAAATAAATGAAATGAGGAAGGGAGTTGAGTGAGAGCAAAATAAATAGGGTTTGCAAAGTCTAAGGAAGAAGGCCAGCTTTTGAGATTTAGTTGTGGAAAAAAAGAATTTCTAAATTCCTGCCAGTTACACTTAATCACCCCCTTCTCTAGGGTCCTGTCTCATTTTATGGATAGTTCTATTCTGGTACTGATCACTGTCTGTCTCTCAGTGTGGTTACCTGTTAATATGTCTGTGTGTCCCTCTAGAATAGGAGCCCCTGGAGAAAAAAAGCCGTAGCCTTCCAGTGCCTGACTCTTAGGTCACTTCGCTGGCAGTATTGTGGCATGGCTACAAATATGGGCTATAGGGTCAATAAGGCTTGACTCTTGGCTTCAAAAATGCCACACTGGAAATCCCTCCTGGCTTTGACTGGTTCTATAACCCTGGGCAAGTCACTTAACCTGAGCCTGATATGCATGATGGGTGGAAATATATGAGTGACCTCATATGTAAGATGGGTGGAAATAATAACTCTCCTCTAACTCAGTTGCAAGGATGACAGCTGACCAGCGTGTTTGGTGCTTGGCAAATGGTAGTTGCTGAGATTTGGATTATCAAGCCTCAAGAGATGCTTGTTGGGATTATTTGCATAGGGCAGGTGGAAGAGTCCTGGACCCACTGGAGGCACTATTCCAGCTGGCTTCTTATAGTGCTTAAATTGTTTTTAATTCTTGAGCCTCATAGTGATGACTTCCTAAATCTACTCAACTGGTCTACTTAGGTTCAGTATACTTAATGGTACATAACTCTGTTGTTATTTGGATCTGTTTGATTTCATTCACCTATCCCTTAGTCCAAGGTGACAGGTCAGGTTTCACCAGTGCTGTACTTCAGCTGCTGCCTGGGGAGACAATGGGTGGAAGTCATCCTGAGGAGTCAGGAAGCAAACCTGTGCTCCCTGTTTACTTCCAGGGCCCTGCTGGGGATCACTTTTACCTTTAGGGGTCTTTAGGTAGTTTAGACAAAATGGCAGGCTTTTCTGTTATTGGTAATTATAGTCATGATTGCTGTCACAAATCATTTCTTCACTATGTGAATCTATGTCTACTCTCTGCTAGGTGTTAGAATTAAAGGGTTGAAAGAGAGATTGTCTTTTCCTGAAAGAACACACAGTATAGTATAGAAGACCTGAGAATATAAGATAGTGTGGTGAGTGTTTTTGTTGGGGAAGTATATTGGGTGTCATAAGAGCATAGAGGAGGGGCATCATTCTCTTCTTTGGGACTTTTTAGAAAGCTTCCTAGAGGACTTGCCCCCTGATCTAAGTCTTGAAAGAGAACCCAAGTTATCAGACAAAATCAAGAAGGGAAATTCAGCCCAATCAGAGGCAATAGCATGTACAAAGGCAAGGAGGTGGGAGATGAGTTTGGCCTATAGTGTAAGATGTGAGGAGGAGAGCAGAATGAGAAAATGATAGTAACAATAGCAGCTAATAATAACACAGCATTTATCATGTTTTGGCACTGTGCTCACTATTTAATAGTTAATAACTCACCTAAATGTCAAAACAAGAAAGCTAATAATTTAACAGCTAAAATGTAATGAACTCACCTCACACACCAGGCATTGGTATGGGCGGGTTTTGTGTACTATCTAATTTAATCTTTATTATTACCCCCTATTTTCAGATCAGGCAACTGATGTTGAAAGAGATTTGTTATTGGTCCCAGGCCACATAGATGGCAATTGGCCGAGCTGGAATTTGAATCCGGAGATTGTCTGATTCTTGATCACTAGCCTACAGAGGCAGCTTTTTTCTTTCTGTGCCTGTTGGGCAGACTGTATTACAATGAAAAATGATCTCACATTAGGTCAGTTTCCCTGGACACTAATTCGGCCTCCTAAAATTGTTTTTGAAATAAGGTGGGTCATAATAAAATAACACATGCCCAAATGGACCCTGAAGTCAGCAGAGAGGTGAAAACTGGTTATTCCTGGAGAAGAATTTTTCTGTGCAGGAGTGGAGAGAATTCAGAAAATGTTATTCTGCATTCATGAGAAACTCCAGGGTCCTGCAATGTTTTTGTAGAAACACTAAATTCCCGTCTGGCCAAAGTAAACAGAGCATCACAAATTGGGTTCCAACGCCAGTGGTGAGCTCTTTGTACAAAAGAGCTCACTCTTCCTTCCAGGCCATCAAAAGCCAATTTCCTTCCTGACAAAGCTTGCACTGTTAACCTAGGTTGCATCCAGCTGCATTCCCCTGCGATTTGTGAGACCACCTCTGTGACTCTAATTGTGGCTGAGACTTCAGCTCCATTTGCAAGTACACCTGGATTCTGGCCCTGACTCTCACAGTGATTAGTTGTGTGACTATGGGTAAGTCCCTTAACTTCTCTGAACTTATTTTCCTCATCTGCCATGTGCAGCTATTAGTACCTTGCCTCCCTCACTGGATTGTGGGGGCTAAAATAAGGCATTATGTAGGGTGGGGTTTTGAGAATGCAAAAACATGAAACAAAATGAGGTGATTTTTCTTCTCTGTCAATTTGGCTTGTCTCCTGCATTGACTTTTAAAAAACTCACTAAGGGCAAGAACAAAACCTTTTCCTTACCTTTTGGGAACTTGACAATATGATTCTTTTAGCCTTGCTGAGCATTTGCCAAAAGGACATCTTTGTGCTTTGGGCAGCTTCTTTATTAGGCCTTAGCAGCTGCTTATTTCTTTCATATTATTATGATTTCATTTTGTAGACGTTCTGTAGAGTGCTTTACCGCCGCCGCCCCCCCACCCCGCCCCATCTTTGAAAACAGTGGCGTTTGGTTGTCTTCAGAGCTCTTAAATAGTAGCAAAGGCCCCAAGCAGGCTTGAGTGGACTCCTTTCACTTGTGTGTATGAACACACTAGTGGCAGTAATTAATGAGGAGGATGGGCTTTGTAAACTGGGGACAAGTGAGTGAGTCATGGCACACAGGCTGACCCCCCTCACCTGGGCAGCCTCTGAGGACACCTGCCTCAGATCATTAAAGCCCCCTGCCCAATAGACATAGTCTGACTGCCTCTGCTGGTAGGGGTGAACAAAGCTGAGCATTTACTGGCTGGAGTGCAGGGATGAATGGCTCTTCGGCCAGGCCTGGCCCAGACAGCTGCTCATGCAAAGGGATTCCAAATGAACATGTTTCTATTTAGAACGTACATGTTTTGATTGAATTTGAAGAAAAGCATGAGGTAGCGCTCTCTTTGGAAAACAAACTAATTATGTACTCCTGTGTTGGCTGGTGGTTGGAAGCCGGGCATGTCCACAACAGCACTTCATGGAAAGAATTTTCTTCCCTGTTGAACATGAGACTCTTCTTTAGCACCACAGCTGATGCTTTTTGAAAATCACATGGTGGATAGCTGAAAACGAGCCTTTAGGGAAAGCTTCAGCACAGTAAATATTCTTTTTATATTGGTAATTACCACCACACAATTTTTTTGTTTTCTTAATTTGGATTGGTATATTTTGGGTTTTCCCTGGAGTTTGGATATGGGGTCTACTCAGATGATTTGCTGTCCTGTATGCAGTTGAAAAGTTCCAGGGATGCAAGAGCTGGTGGACCAAGTGACACCCCAAGAAGTTATTGGACTGAACCATTTGCATTTCCATTCAGGTCATGCTGTCTCGGCCAAGCTGTTGACTTAGCACTGTTGTGACTTGGGTGGCTTTGACTCTTCCCATTCAGGCTTTAGAAACATCATTGAGTTAACAGGCCACACACCAATTCACCCTTCTCCCTCCCTACTCTTCAATCCCTTTGTGTTACATAAGGAGGCCTTTCCTTGCTACAAAAAGGTAGCAGGCCTAAGGTTCCATGAGCTCTGTGCCCCTTATACCACCCCCAATTTAGGCTTTGTGCAAGGCTGCTTTTGTTTCCCTCCAAGAATTAAAAGTTAATTGATACCTCAAATGGATGCTGGTCACAAAGCATTTCACCATCCAATGCAGTCCTGCATCCCATTAGATTAACCCTCTTCCGCAGTTCATTGTAAATAAACATCCCCCACCCACAAAAAAAAAAAAAAAAAAAAAAAAAAAAAAAAAAAAAAGCTTACCTACCTGAAACATTGTATTCATTTGAGTTCTGCAGTGGGGCTAAAATTCTATGACAATGTCACTGGGTTAATTAATTTAGATTAATGACTCTTGGAGCTCTGTTTTCCTTTGCCTTCCCTATTTGTCACAGACTATTGAACAAGTATTTCCAAATGTCTGAATTTATTGGGCTATCCAGAGTTCTTCCAGAGATGGGTAGTCATCTCAGCCCTAGACCTTTAATTGTAATACTACACATCCTCCTAAATGATCCTGATATGATAATCCAGTATGCATGGACTGTATATTCATACTGTTCTTCTAGTGAATTTATTTTCAGAGGAAAGAAACACATGAATTTTTTTTCCAAACATGGAGGAAAAAATTTCTATGAGATCAACTGAAAGCACAGTGAAACTGACTCAGTTAAGTTGGGAAAGAAATAAAGAGCACCCAAGTTAGACTTTTGCTGTTACCCTGAGGTGCACAAGTGCACATGCCAATGACCTGACAGGTACTGGCAGAATCCAGGCTTCAATAAGATGTTCTGCAGTTTTGAGGCTTAGATAAATATAAATTGTTTTTCATGCTAAACAAACTTTCTCCATTACCTAGTTTCTGTTCACCTTCAGCTAAGGCCACACAGATAGAATAATTTTTGTTGCCATTAGAAGAATTTTTTTTTTTCTGTCGGTCAAGCTAATTAATTCAGTCATGTGTTGGAAAGACGATGGAAATATATATTTTATCAGCATCCGTATTTCTATTCCAGATGGTCCTACTTACTGCATAGTACTTCCCAAACACCTCTTAGAGTATGAGAGTGAAACCATGACTTCTCTAAAGAAGGTATACAAACGGCCAACAAGCATATAAGAAGGCGCTCAACATCATTAGTCATCAGGAAAATGCAAATCAAAACCACAGTGAAAGATTACTGCATACCTACTAGGATGACTATTATCAAAAAGTCAGATAATAACATGTGTTGGCCAGGATATGGAGAAATTGGATCCCTCTTACACTGCTAGCAGGAATGTAAAAAGGTACAGCCACTTTGGAAAACAGTCTGGCAGTTCTTCAAAGTGTTAAACATAGTGTTATATGACCCAGCAATTACACTCCTAGGTATATACCCAAGAGAACTGAAAATATTATGTCCACACAAAAACTTGTACACATGTTTATGCAGCAGTATTCATAAAAGCCAAAAGAGGAAAACAATCCAAATGTCCACCAATAGCTAAATGAATAAACAAAATATGGTATATCCTTACAATGCAATATTATTCAGCCACAGACAGGATTGAAGTACTGATATGTACTATAACATGGGTGACCCTTGAAAACATTATGCCAAGTGAATGAAGCCAGTTACAAAAGGGTGCATATATACAAAATATTCAGAATAGGTGAATCTGTACAGACAGTAATTAGTGTTTTCCAAGGGCTAGGGGAAGGAGAAAATGGTGGTGGTTGTCATGAGTGATGGCTAAGTGATGCAGAGTTTCTTTTCTGAAAATATCCTAAAATTAGTTGTGGTGATGGATGCACAACTGCAAATATACTAAAAGCCATTGAGTTGTATACTTTAGGCAAATTGTATTGTGTATGAATTATATTTCAAAGAAGTGGTTAAAAAATTAAACTATGACTTTGGACTTAGAGAAGCAATATTTTATCTACCACATTCAAAACCGTAAGAAAAACTAAAATAAGCTAAAAGCAAGACAGCCGTGTATGATTTTCCTTGAAATGGGTATTACAGGGCTGAAGCATTTGAATGCAGCTTGATATTTTTGTTATTTTCCTTTAGTCTGCATTTAGATGAAAACAACTCAGCCCTTATTAGTTTTTAAGTTATGTTCAAAATAATATTTGTGATGCTGCTGAATTCTAGTTGTATCTTGGATTTGTAAGTTTTCCTGTTATTGGTTAAAGTAATGATGTAAGGATATGTTGGTGGGTTGAACTTTTCAGCCTTAACAACAAACATTTTCTCTGAATGGCAATCAAGTTTTTCAAAGCTCTAAATTGGCAATGAGAGACACTAAGATTAGCATTTGAACATGTTTAATCATGAAACAAACTGAATATTTTCTTCCGTAAGGAGAAGAATCGCCTGCACTGGTATACCTGAAGATTAAGCCATTGGAAATACTACGTCCTTTCCTCTAGAACCAGTCTCCATTTGCTCAGAAAAATGAGCAGTCCTATCACTCTGGCACAAAAACTGATGGGAGAGGCGTGCCCAGCCCACTGATTACTTCTCAATAATAATAGTGACTAATGTTTTTGAGGTCTTGCCATGCATCATGTACTGTCCTGAATGATTTACACAAATCATTATTTAATGTTCGCAACCCTATGGCATAGATTTTATTATCATCTCTACTTTACAGATGGTGAACTGAAGCACAGGATGGTAGCACATAAGGTCACACATCTACCAAATGTCAAACCTGAGATTTGAACCCAATTCTGTGTGATACAGAGTCCTGTCCTTAGCCATACTGTTGTCATGCCTCATTAGCTTCTTTTATGGGTTTTTTGTTTGTTTGTTTTTTGTTTTTTTAAAATGAGGGAGAGTGTCCCTAATCCTCTATGCCTTTAGTAGTGGTTCTCAGCTAGGGGCAATTTTGCCACACAGCAGACATTTGAAAATGTCTAGAGACATTTTTGCTGGTCATAACTGGGGGTGGGAGTCGGGACAGAGGTGGGGGTGGGGAATGCTACTAGATGCTGCTAAACGGAGGATCAATTACAGTAGAAGTCCGAGATGCTGCTAAACAGAGGGTCAGTTACAGTGCCATGCTGAGTCATTTTGGAGCCTGAAACAAAAGGAAAATTTAGGAATATTGATCTTACCTTTATTTAAAATTTTGATATTTTGTTCATCATGGAGTTTTGGGGCACTAATTTAGATGTTTTCAAAATATTTAAAAATATTACTTATCTTGATTAACGAGTTTTTTTGGTGTCCTCTTAAATTTCATGCCCAGGGCAAGTGCTTCATTCACCTCACCCTAGTTGTAATGCTATTGCTGAACATCCTACAGTGCATAACATAGCCCCTGAAACTAAGAATTGTCCAGTCCAGAATGTCAATAGTGCTGAGGTTGAGAAACCCTGGCCTGAAGTACTGGAAGAAGTTTCCCCATGGATGGGCAAAGAGAAAATAAAAGGAAAGCGCAATAATACAAGTCATAATAATAGCCACCGTTTACTAAACTATTACTCTAATCTACAAACTGCTGCGCATGTGTTAGTGTTGATCTGTCTTTTGCCAAACCCACCCGGGGAGCCACTAGGCTGCTCTGCCCTCTAGCATCAGAGCTGTCCACTAACCATTAATTAGGTCATTGAACTGCGCTTGCATAGGGTCGCAGAAAACAGTGCACCATATTGCTCCAACTGTAAGTGTAGAATGGGTTTTTTTTCCCCCAACAACAAAAGTGTGTTTTAAATCTCCTTGAAGAAAATCAGCCTAATAAATTGGGGAGCCATTTTGCTGAAGATTGTCACTGACATAACTTTGGGAGTTGCCGGAAGACACAATCAGTTGTTGCAAATCAAGTGCTCCAGAGTATCTTTTCTGACGTGATTTAATGATTTGATAAGGAGTGTCAACTTGGTTTTAAACCTCACAGATATTCTTAGAAAACACTCCTGTACTTGCTTGCTGCTACTCAGAATTAGTAAGCAATGGGGTGCTGTGGAAAGCTGGAGGGCTTCAAGGATGGACTGACCTAAATTCAAGCTGCTTCCACTATTTACTAGATGTATGACCTTGGGCAAATTAGTTAACATCTCCAGGTCACAATTTTCAAGGGATGGCGATGATAATATTACCTAACAGGGTGTAGCATTGGTGTGAGAATTAAATGCAATAGTAGGTCTCTTCTCTCCCTTGAAAAGTGTTATTAGGAAAAAGAAAAACTTTGTTGTTCTGATATTTTAGAAATCTAAAACTCGCTTCTATTTGGAGAAAATAAACTAGATTTCATCACCTTTAGCTGAAAATAATAATAATATTAATAATAGTAAAACATATGCAACTTGAAAAGTTCTTTGAAGTTTTCACTATGAAAATCCACTAGAACATCTTTCCTCCCACACCTCCCCATCGTTTTAAGGCTAGCAAGCTGTTAATTTGTTTCTCCAGTTTTTTTCTGAAGTGGGTCTTCACCTTATTCCTAAAGCCATCTGGGCTGGTTTAGCTCGGTCAGAGCCCAAAGCTAATGAGGCCAAGGTCAGGGCTGCATCCCCATGGGGAGCAGTTAGCTTGGCTCCCTTCTTTGGCCATACCCTGCTTCCCTAACCCTACCAGCTGGCTTTCCACCACGTGTTTGTTTTAAAGGGGGGTGAGAAAGAAGAAGTGTGGCCGTGGACCCTCGCTACCAGCAACAGCTGAAAGTCTGAGTCTTTGTATGAAAAAGGCGGCACATGAAAACCAATCCCCAATTCCACTGGGCCTTGAAGACAGATAATCAGCACTGGTGGTCATATAAAGGCAATGATCACAGTACAGATTATAATTATTTTCTTTCTAATTTATCCCCTTTTTCCTGAGTGTCCGGCCCCATCAGAGAGTGGCAGCCACTTCCTGATGCTCTACCATGGTCCTTGGTTGTTTAGGACAACATAACTGATGCCTGCTGTTGTCAGCAATGCCATGGCAAGAACCTTCTGTGAAGGTTGCAACAAGGTTAAACGTTGGGAGGAGGTTCTTGTTAGTAGCATCCGGTTACTGTTGCTATGATACATTTGGTGCATGATGGCAAGGCATTAACAAAAACCCTCTGTCATCCAAGGTGGAGACAGTTTTTCATCTGGCTTTTGATTTAGCTTCTGTTGCATGTGTCTTTTAAAGGGTATTTGCTAACACACTACACCTGTATCACGGAGCAGCACATGTTTTATCATTTTGGTTGTAAACAGAAAATTATCAGCCAAGGTCCCCAGTAAAGAGAGAGTTTCTGCTAGGACTTCTTACCTATTTCATTCATTAGTATCAAAACAGAAATGAAACCAGTTTGAAACTTTTCAAGAATAATATCTAAATTGTGCTCAAATATCTTCTGTGTGCACAGGATATGGACCTTCTGCTTCTTTTGGTGGCCATTTATGATTTCAAGGCATTGCCTGAAGCAAGAGATGTAAGAAAATCAGAACTACACTCCATATGAATAAAATTATACACAGCTCAGGCTAAGGAAGGGCTAACGGGTGCTCAAGAATATTTCTAGATATAGCTTTTTATTAAGAAAAATTTCTGACATGTAAAAAAGTAGATTGATATCATGAGCCCTTAGGTACCTATCATTCAGTTTTCACGGCCTTCTCTGTTTCATCGCTTTCTCAACCTACCCCCCGCTTCTTGACTATTTTGAAACAAACCTAAGATGTGTCATTCCATTCATAAATACTTTAATAGATATTCCTACAACATTAACACTTCAAAAACACTTTAAGTAGATGTGCAGAATGGCAGAAAATTCTGTGATGAGAGAGAAATCTCATCCTGAGTAGTGTCAGCTCTCCTGGTATCACACTTTTGGGTTACAAAAACTTTTAAAATCTAAAGAAGTGACTGGAGGGGTCAGAAGGGAACAGAATGTTTACGGGCCTTCAGAGGACTGTCACTAGATGAAGCAAAGGTACTGGCACCCAGGTGAATATTCTGGAAGAAGTCTACCACTAAGCTGCCCTGCAGCCTACAGCTGAGAAGAAGTCAAAAAGAAAAGTTGGATAAATGATAAGAAGAGCAGCTCATCAAAAAGAGTGCATCAAGTGAGATTTGAACATGTTGCTGCTTTGTCTTTAAAAGTTGCCCCCAGATCATTATAATAGTCATTAACGTTTGAGCACTTACAATATACCATGTGCAGTTCATGGATTATCTCTTGTAATCTTCGAAATATCTGTGATATATATTGCAATTATCCCCATTTTACAGATGAGGAAACTGAGGTCTAGAGAGACCTGAGGGCAAGGCAATGATTGGGATGCAATCAGTTTGACTCCAGTGCCATTATTTGTAACCACTATGTAGCCCTGCCTTACAACCAGCTTCAAAAGTCATAGGTTAATGGTCAATAAGATTTAAAAATTGAATAGTCATACACTCGTGGGCACTGAGACCTATCTGAATGTCAGCTTAAGTTCATTCCAGGTTATTTGGAACACATGCCTCTATTCATTTATTCATTGATTCACTCATTCATTCAGCAAACATTATATGAGCACCTACCACTAAAGTGTATGCTAGACACTGCAGTATACCAGGATCTCTCCTGCCTAAGTGGACTATTGAATGCAAACTCTTTTTGCTTTAGGGTGAGTGTATCTGTTTTAAAATGAAGACTGTCAAAGGTGGAATGTGCAGTCATCTGGACTCTTGCTTGTAAATAACAGAGACCTACTTTAGCTAGCTTAGGCAAAAAGGAAAAATTTATTCTAAAGACTCTGGGGTTCTCAAGGAACCCAGGGGTAAGAATGTAGCTAGGCTTGACCTGGAACCAGACACTGTGTTAGTGGTCAGGACATTTCTGTGTTTTCACTCCATCTCATCTGTGCCCCTTTCTGCATGTCAGCTTGATTCTTTCTTTCTCTGCTCCCCAGGCTATATGATGGCAGATGGCTATCTCTATTATCTGTATGAATACAGATTACTTATTCTCTGATAGACTCAATAGCCTTATCTGTAAAATAGATTGTTCAATTCCAATGATAAAATGCATGTGGAAATGATTTGTAAATGGTAAATGAGTATAAAAATGTTGTTGATCATTCTTATTACAGGACTTAAAATGGAATTTTCACCTCGTGCCTGTATTCGTATTATAGGCCCAGCTACCCAGAGTGAAACAAAATTTCCCTTAGTCTCAATTCCAAATTCACAGACAGCTGCCCACTTCTAGACCAGTTGGATGTGGTCAAGAAGGGGGCCGTGTTGTACAAACGTGGCTGCCAGAGGATTGAAGAGTGGGGGCAATTCCAAGGAAAGGAAGGGAAAGGGGAGGCTATGAAGACAAACTAATAGGCATTCAATGAAGGAACTGGTAACAAATACTAAAGAAGCACATGAAATTACATGCATTCAAGTTTCTTATACTTCCTTCTGGGATGAAAATTAAGCCAAATAAAATATTACTCAAATATCTGCAAGTGGTTGACAGGTACAATCATGGCAATTATTATATAACATACGTGTCATAGTTTCAAATGCCTTGTCTTGTGTCTAGATAGAAACATTTGAAGTCAATGTTGGATTAACGTCAATCCAATATTGACTTTTGCAATCCAATATTAGATTACAAAATCTAAAATATTCTCACTGCATATATCCCATGGTCAATTGTACCTTCTTTTATTTCAGGTGCTTACAAGTCCTTGAATAGGAGAGGAAATTTGTAAGCCTTATGCTTAACCAAGTTCTTCTTTTTTAAAAAATATTTTCAACTTTTAGTTTAGATTCAGGAAGTACATGTGTAGATTTGCTACATGACCAAATTCTTGAGACTGCAAAAGCAATGAGCTCTTTGCTTTCTACAACTAGGGGGATACAATGAAT
Source organism: Homo sapiens (assembly GCF_000001405.40). Classification (NCBI taxonomy): domain Eukaryota; kingdom Metazoa; phylum Chordata; class Mammalia; order Primates; family Hominidae; genus Homo; species Homo sapiens. The sequence goes on from NC_000023.11 coordinate 140,187,416, forward strand.
GCATTTCATACAAACAGATACATGGATTTATCCCTTAGCACTGGTAATTGTGATTTCAAAAATAACAAAATTCTGGCTCCAAATTATATTCAGACTTGTTCTAGTAATATTTCCCAAATATGCACTGCATTCATGCAATTAGTGTGTTTCACCTTTTAGCAGTCGCTATTTTTTATTATACTTCAGAAATAATACCGCACACCACCAGGCACAGTGGCTCACACCTGTAATCCCAGCACTTTGGGATGCTGAGGCGGGCGGATCACCTGGGGTCAGGAGTTGGAGACCAGCCTGGCTAACATGGTGAAACCCCGTCTCTACTAAAAATACAAAAATTAGCCAGGCGTGGTGGCAGGCACCTGTAGTCCCAGCTACTGGGGAGGTTGAGGCAGGAGAATCGCTTGAACCCGGGAGGCGGAGATTGCAGTGAGCCGAGATCACGCCAGTGCATTCCAGCCTGGGTGACAGAGTGAGACTCCATCTCAAAAAAAAAAAAAAAAAAAAAAAGTAATACCACATACAATATACTCCTTTTTTGCCTATAATCATGTTGTTTGTTTAAACTGGGAGAAACTCTCATTCCCTAGGTATGATGGTGATTTTCATCTATTTAAACCAGTTTTACACCAGTAAGATGTAAGCAGTTACAACAATGTGTTCTTGAAATTGTCATAGGCCATCGATGGCCTCTAATATTTGGCCAGTGGGATCTGGTGGCAGTTAAGAAGATGCAGTCTACATAAAATTGAACTGGCTGTTTGTGTTTCCTTGTCCTCTTTTGGGAAAGACGCATCTTTTGTCAGGAAGGAGTTCTGTGCAAAAAGGCGCTGACTTTCTAGTTTAGACTCGTGAAAAGTCATTGAGGGGATGCATGTAAATAAGGGTTGTGGGGTCAGTCCTTCAGTCTCAAAGCCAGAATGATGCTTAACATTCCAGACCATGGCCTTCAGCAAAGCACCAGGAGCCTCTTCAAAGGCCACCTTTGCCCTGTTCCCACCCTGTTAACACAAGGTGGAAATTCCATTTTGAGTCCTGTAATAAGAATGATCAACGACATTTATATACTGATTTACCATTTACAAATCACTTCCACATGCATTTTATCATTGGAATTGAGCAATCCATTTTACAGATAAGGCTATTTAGTCTATCAGAGAATAAATAACCTGTCCATGATTACGGAGCGAGTAAGTCATGAAGCCCGAACTGAAATCTAGGATTTTGGCCCCAAATCCTGTTCTTTCCCCAGCATACACACATTACTTCTCCAATGGGTGTGTGTTGTTGGCAAATCTCCAAGCCAAAGGATACCATATCTTCTGGTCTCAAGGGAACTGGACAAAAGGTTTAAAGACAGTTGTGAAAAGTAGGGATAAGGAAGTTGATACCTCAGCGCCCAAAGTTTAATTTGGTAAACGAGTGACCACAGTTAATGATCGTTCAAATTCCTCACAATTACATTAAAACACACAGACACACACACACACACACACACACACACACACACACACACACTTTGGGGCTTTTAAGACGTGACATGCAGAAAAAAATAGAGCCTATTCACATAAGATGTTTGAAGACCTTCATTAGTATTTACTTACTTAGCTCATCTTCCTGTCCTCCCTCCCCCACCAAAAAAGTGGGAAGGACATTGGGAGGTTAAAATCTTCTTTAATACAGATTTTTTTTTCAGATATATCTAAACAGCAGATCTAGGTTTGAGAAACTTCACATTTCCACTTTTAAAAACTAGGCTCCATTTTATTGGTTTTAAAACGATTTGATTCACAAACACTTGACAGTTTTCTTTAGGAGCACTGTGATAGTATAAAGAGGGAAAAGCCTGTAGCTCTACAATGTTTTTCTTACAAGTTTATGTTCGCCTTTCTCAGTTATTCTCTGCTTTGTGGATGGTGCCACAAAGCTGTCTGATTTTTAATAATGAGCAGGAGTACATTAGTGGCACATACCCATTTTAACTCTTCCCTTGCAGATTCTTAACTAGAGACTGCACTCAGGACACAGCCAGGATATGCTGTTGAACTTCTCTAGTTGTTGTAAACATTAAATATAAATACCAACCTCACTGTGACCCCTCCCCTTCTGGAAAAGGAAAGTTATGGTGCTTGTGCAGTCAGAATTTTCTACACATAAATCTGAATTGAAAATGACTAGATTTTAATGGGTGTTAATAGTAGCATTATAGTCAGTGGCCTCTTGAGCATGTAGCAGAGTGGTTTCGTTGATACATTCCCACCTGAACCAAACACTGTTATCTTCTTATTTCTTATACCCTTTCCCACTCACCTGGAACCAAACACTTCCCTTTGTTGTATCTTATCTAGGAACAAGGAAATGCCACTAGCTACAGGTAAATATGACCTTTGTGAACTGACAGAAGCCTTCCTCAATGGGATGGCTTGGAGCTCTGGTTTCCAACATGAGATTCATTTCAAAGTGGCCTACCCAGAGTTTATACTTAACCGTGGATTTGTTGGTAGTTTCTGGTGATTTGGTGATGCAATTATGCCTTATGCTAATAAAAGCCATATTACATGGATTTATAGAAATTTTGTTAAAATTTCTTAAAACAAGGAGTCAAATCCTATAACATTCAAAGATGTAATTGGTGTTTGTGATGGAAAATAGTACTTACTGCTAAATTGATACCTTTTAAATAATAAATAAAATGTCATCAAATTCATATATTTGGAATGTTGCAAGTAAAGATGAATAGTTGTATAAAAACTGGATTGCCAGATAAAATATAGGATGTTATATGTTAACTTGAATTTCAGATTAACAAAAAATAACTTTTTAGTATAAGTTTCCCCTTGCAGTATTTAGGATCCATTTACACTAAAAACAAAAATCGTTACCTGTAATTCAGATTTAACTGGGCATCCTATAGTTTTATTTTCTAAATCCAGCAAGCCTAGTAAATAACTCCTATTTTCCCATGACATGAAGCCACCAGATCAAATAGCAATTGTTCTTAACACACAGATCAATTGAAGTAAGCCTGTTACTAACGGGCAACTGACTGGAAAGGAGTATATTTCAGCAGAATCTCTATTAGTCTATTTTACAAATAATATCAGAATTCTGCATAAAGAGGTATATGGTTTTATTCGTTCTCTGAGTTTGATGATTACATATTGTGATCAATCATACAGCAGCAGACGGAATCTTGGAACAGTGTGTCCTCCAGCTGTGGCAGAGAGCCAGGCAGCAATTAGGAAGAATCGCAAGAGCTTACCAGGCGTGTTTGGATTTCTTTTGCTGCGACTAGAAAAGACTACAGACCTTTAAAGGTGATTAGTCCAGAATACTCCACGGTTTCAGTCAGGATCAAAAACATTTATAGTGTTCCTTGAACTGCCTTTATGTAAAGAAGATTTTAGGATTATTTTCTGAAAGGAGTAATTAATAATGAGAACAGTCATAGCAGCAGCAGCAGTTGCTATTTGTTGAAGGTCTAATGTGGGCCAGGCACTGTGGTCAGCTCCTGACTTCCTGTTGGACTCTGGCTAATTCTGGCATCTAACCGAGGTCTAACTCAGGTATAAATTTTAACCACTCTGCTGGATTCCTTTAATAAATTACTGACTTTATACAGAAATATATCAATTTAAAACATGGGCTATGCTCTCACAGGCTACTTACATAACTGTGGTATGGAATAATGGGAGAAAGAGGTGCTTTGGATTTCCAGCACTCACTCAAAGGGTAATATTAGTTTAGGGACATTGCACTTTAAAAATCAAGAAACTGTTGGGAAGAAATTAATCTAGTTTTATTATTTTATTCTCTACCTCATTTCAGAAAGTAGTTAAGGCAGTTCATTCACTTTAGTGCTAATTTATATTCGGTTAAGATGATGTTTTTGCAATTTTGCTGGAACTGTGCTACTGTTTAGCAAGCCCTTCTAGAGCATCTCTGTGCTTGGCTCCTGCTTTCAAGGAGCCAAGGTAAAACAAAATTCGAGACAGGTAAGACAAAATTACCACCAAGTTATCCTCTCAAAGACTTGAAAATAGGCCGGGCATGGTGGCTCACGCCTGTAATCCCAGCACTTTGGGAGGCTGAGGCAGGCGGATCACCTGAGGTCAAGAGTTCGAGACCAGCATGGCCAACATGGTGAAATCCTGTCTCTACTAAAAATATAAAAATCAGCTGGGCATGGTGGCGGGTGCCTGTAATACCAGCTACTCGGGTGGCTGAGACAGGAGAATTGCTCGAACTTGGGGGGCGGGGGTTGCAGTGAGCTGAGATCGCGCCACTGCATTCCGGCCTAGGTGACAGAGCGAGACTCCATCTCAAAAAAAAAGACTTGAAAATAATCCAGAGATTAAATCTCTTCCAACACAACCTGAAAAAAAAGAAGAAAAACAATATAAAACATACAATTTTCCTCCATCCTTGCCCCAGTTCAGAAGTTTAGCCTTTTGCAAGATGGGGGCAGTGATCTCTTCCTTGTTTTCCACTTTTTACCTCTGAGCTCAGGGTGTTAGCACCCTCTGGGCTTCCCTCCCTTAAAGGAAGAACTGACTGCACTTTGTCAGCTGCCCCTTTTGTCAGCCATCCAGGACAAAAAGGAGTTGTGAATTTTTGATGACTACTCCTGTAAGAGCGAACCTGATGGCCTGCCCTCAGGTGGGAATATGAACCTCTTGATGGATAATCTTGCTCAACCAGATGGTCCTCCCGTTAGATTACCTTCAAGGTGTGCTGGCTCCTGCCTTTCCTCCTAAACTCAGTTTGAAATCCCGCCAACTTTCTAGATGAGGAGATTGATTGAGGCTCAGAGAAAAGAAGGGACTTGCTGTAGGAAATATAGCTAGTTAGTCACAGAGGCAAAACTAGCCCCCATGTCTTCTGATTCCTAGGCTAAAAGTTTTGGTTTCATACTGTGCAGTTTCTTCCTGCCTTCAGACTTAGTTTGGGTCCTCACAGTCTCCTCTTTGGTCTAGAACTGTATTCAGTAGGGTCTCTAGTAGAGTATAGCCATCATTTACCAAGAACAGAAGCATGGCTAGTGAGGGTCTAGAAATCAATTATGTTATCTTCAGGTTATAGAGCTTTCATACCGAAAGACAAACATTTGAAGCATAAGTTAAAATAACAACTCTTTCCCACCAAACTGTTAGTGATTTGTTATTATTCCTGTGGAAACACCCTGAAAATGTTTTTTGAAATTCTTTGAAAGAATAAACTAGAGAGCTGAGGAGGGGAGGCACAGTAATAACTAGGTACAAGAAATGGTATTGCAGAATGTAGATTATGACTGGGAAACTATAATAACCCAGTCCCTTCTGTTGCCTAAGAGGAAGCTGTGTTTCTCTTTAACTGTAATTGCGTTTTTCATATACGTGTTCTGGCGATAGCAATTAATCTCTGATTTTATCTGAGCTGTCCTTGAATGAATCTGAAACTGTAACTAAAACAGTTTGAAAACAGCCACACAGAGAAAAAGACAACCAAGACAGTTATTTGGTAATGTAATGCATAAACCAAACTGAATTTGTGTGGTATTTTGTAGATCCTCCTTTGGTCAGGCAAGCAAGGATCAATAATCAACATTTCCCAAATGCTTTAAAGTTATTCATTGATCACAATAGCACATCTGTAAAGACATTTCCATATGAGAAGCATAAGGCTCTGATCTGTTTAGATCAGACCACCTGGTCCCCAATTGGCAGCCTCCAATTGACAAATGAATCATGTCGTGTTCCAGACGTTAGTATGTAAGTCAGTTGGAAACCTGGGGCATGCTTTACCATAGAAGCAATATTATTTATGATGATTAGTTTCTTAGGCTAACTGGCAAACACTATTGCTTTCCAATTCTACTGTGAATTAGCTTACAAGTCTATTTAAATCATGGTGTAATTGAAGGACAACGGTGTTGGCCAATTAGCCTAAAAAACGAAATAGAGGAGAAACGAAATAGAGGAGTAAGACCCATATTTCTCAGAAGACAGTGGTAAGGAATCGATGTGAGCGCTGCAATTTAGATTGCAGAACCTGGTAGCAAATCCCCCAAATTCAGTTTGCCCCATGTTATTCTTCATTTGTAAAGGTCTAAACTGGAATAACCTGATACAGTTCTTCTGTCCATGAGGCAGCTGCTGTAGGGAGACCTGCCCTGAACAGCCAGCTTTGATAATTCTATGATCAGGATACTGACACTCATTTGCTTTGTAATATTGGACATGTGACCCCCACTTTACCTGAGTGGCATTCAGGAAAGTGGAGTAAGATTCTTGGTGGGGTTGTTCTCCTGGTTTGCTTGAGTCTTGCCCTAGCCTGGCCCTACCACTTCAACCTGGAGAAGGGGGGATGAAGGAATGGAAGAGAACTCATGAAATAAGGTGTTCAAGTTCCCGTTTTTTTTAAATTAAAAAAGTGCATATACATGTAATATGTGCCCATTGTAAACAAATTGTGACATAGAAAAATTGAAAAAGGAAAATTAAAATGTGCACATAATTCTGCCACCTACAGATAACAATATCTTGGTATATATGCTTAAATCATTTTTTCTGTTTATGAGCATACACACACATTGAAAAAAATTACAATGATATACTAATATTGATTGGTGACTTTAAGAAAATCTTAATAATATATTGAATATTTTTTATGTCAATAAATATAGATCTATTTATTTTAGAAAAGAAAATGTATAAATAAATAAATAAATATAGATCCACATCAGCATTTTTAGCAACTGCTTAGTAGCCTATAGTATGGATAAACTGTCATTTGTTTGCCCTCTGCCTTACTGAAAGTCCTGACTCCTTTCTGATGCTCTGTACAGACTGTATGTTGCTAGAGCCTGCTTGGCTTGCACTGGCTCTGGAAAGCTATTGTTAGCATCTTTTCCCGTCTTCACATTCAGTGAGGTCACATTGGAAGCTTGAAATTGGCCGTGGTGAGTGCATTTACACTGTGGAAATTGGCAAATGCTCCAATTAGGGGCTTTAGTTTTTACTCCCAAGGAATTGGTGTACTAGCACATTATACAGAGCCTCTCAGCTCATTCCCTGGCTTCACTTTGCCTAGCTCAGCTGGTCTGATGAGGGTGGATGGATGGGAGAAAAGGAACTGACAACAAATAATCACAGTAACAACCAGTTCTCAAACTTTGCTAACATAGATCCATTTGTGGCTAATGCTCCTATTGCAAACTGCAGGCATTGTATCTTAACAATCATGTGTAAATAAATAATAATAAGGTTTTGGAAGCCAAGTGTCTTGGCAAATAAATTAAAGCTGTGTTATCTGTTAACCTAGTAACAAGGTTCAGATCGAATGGATTGCAGATGGGTAGCAAAGCTAGCAATAAGAAGAGTCTAAAAGAACACAACTGGCATTTTGGCTTTCCAAGGATTTTTGTTTCTGTCAGAGAAAGAATGCTCACCAGGAGAATGGCTCCTGTGATCCCCAAGTGTTTGCTCTGTTTACTGTGGGACTTTAAACCTGTGGGGGCAACACCATGTATTAGGAGCAGCACTTCTGGATTCTTCTTTTTTTAGTCAGGTTTTCTTCTTTTCTTATCAGATTGTAGTTTTTGGAAAGAGTGGGAAAGAAGGCCAAGGAAATGTACTTACCCTTAGGGATGGCATAGACATGTCACTTCACAACATGTTTTACTTTTTCCCTTGTCAAAGTAGGAGGGACACAGGGTTAAAGGATGCCTTGTTAGTCTAAGAGTCATGTCCCTCTGTCACTAACATAAAAGTACCTTGAGCGCCTCAGAAACTGTTCCACAACATTCCTTTATATTGTTGTTATTTCTAATAGCATAGTGTGGTGGTGAAGAGTGCAGGCTCCAGAATCTGAAAGATCTAGGTTCAAAGCCCAGTTCTGCAATTTATAAACTATGTGACCCTGGGTATGTTACTTAACATCCATTCTGAGCCTCAATTTCTTCAGCTATAAAATGGGGATGATAATGGTGTCTGTCTTGTAGTTTTGTTGTGCAGATCAATCTAGATGATGCATATAAAAGGCTTGGTATGATGCCCAGTATTTAGTATAAGTTCAGTACTATTGTGATTTTCCTGTAATGGTCTAGTACTCTCTATACATTTTACAGAAATGCTAGCTAAGGTACTCCTGACTGCCCTCACGTGCCCCCCTCTAAATGATCTTTAATATAATAAAAAACCTTGCTGTACACAAAATTATCACCCCATGAGATGATACGTACTTTGTAATCCATCTCAGCTTCAGGATTTTTTTCTCATGAAACAAACAGCTCTTGAATATATTCCCCTGTTATTCCCATCCTTCTAAGTCTGTCTCCTCCATGGAGCCTCTCTTGATCACTCCAGCAGACAACGCTTGTGTGTGCTTTTATAACTGATATCCTTCATCAATTCCACTCCTTCCTCTTCCTCTCGGGATTACCCACTTGGCCCTGAACCATGCCATACCATGTGACTGGTCCAGAGCTCTTACAACAGAATTGCCATCAAACCCTTGTGTTATTTGATAACTGCTCCAGATGCCTAAGATAGAGCAGCAAGAACTACATCAACTCAACTATGCTTTGAGAATAGGTTTGCCAAATTTAGCAAATAAAAATACAGAGTGCCCAGATAAATTTAAATTTCAGATAAACAGTGAATGTTTTTAAATTTTCTTTAATTTTTAAATTTTATTATTGACAAATAATAATTGTATATATTTATAGAGTACAATGTAATGTTTTGATATATTTACATAGATCAAACATTGTGAAATAATTATATTAAGCTAATTAATATATCCATCACCTCATAAACTTATTTTTTGTGTTATGAATATTTAAGATGTACTATTTAGCAATTTTGAAATATATAATACATTTTTTTAGCATGAGTATATTCCAAATGTTGTGTGAGGCATACTTATACTAACCTTTTTGTTATTGTTTATTTGAAATTCCAATTAAAATGGGTGTTCTATATTTTATCTGGCTACTCTAATTGGGAAATGAGCAGAAAAGCTCTAAGAACGCAAAAGAGCTGTCACAAATCCCTGGAACACAGGTACTCTGACATAATCTATCAATTGAACAAATACGTCCTAAACTATTTTGTCATCTGGTTTCTCTGTCCACCAGGGCATATATATGCAGTTGTGTATAGGGTGCTTACAACATCATTGTTTATTTGAGGCACCATTCATAATGTTGACATCAAGATTTACTTATTTATTTTTAACCATTCTCTGGCATACAACAGTAGTGTCTTACTCAAACAAAGTCAGCACATTATGACAATTTTTGGCAGATAGAATTAAGCATCTTGAGGAAGGGGCACCTTTTTCTAGTTCACATTAAGGTGTCATGGATAGTGGTAACCCTGTACTCATTGTAGATTAGCATAAAATGTGCTGCAGCATTTTTCAAACCATGGACTGTAACCCATTGATGGGCTGGGAAATCATGTTAGTGGGTCACGACCAACATTAGTGATGATAATGATGGAATAGAATGGAATAGAATATCAGAGTGTGTTCTATGTAATAAACGTGTTGTCGTTGGGAGTTTCTATTCAGTTTCATATGTGTCTGTCTACTGGATGGTAATAAAAATATATTTCTGTTTTTGTCTCACTGTCAAAAAGATTTGAAAAGCACTGATGTGGTGCTAAAGAACTTAAAATCTTGAGACCAGCACATCAGAGTCCAGATCCTAGTTCTGATACATGCTTGCTGTGTAACCTTAGGCAAATTACTCGACCCTTCTGGGCCTTGGTTACCCCATCTGCAATTTGGGGATAATAATTGTACCTGCCTCCAGGGTTATTCTGAGGATTTAATTAATTAATCCATGCAAAGCACTTAGCACAAGGCCTGGCATATAACAGTGGATCAATGCAGTTTTTGCTGTTATTATCAGTGATTAACCGAGAGCTGAGGGGGTTGGAAGAGACAGGCTCATTAACTGTGGATGAGCAGTGACAGCTGACAGCCAGATGTGGAAAGAAAGGGAATTCAGAATAATGCAAAAGCAGATGAGGCACAATAAAGGATATTAATATAGATCACCCTGAGTCATCAGGAAAAGGTTAAATTATGCCCAGGATGTTCCATCGAATAAGACAAATTTGTAATACATTTAGAAGGGTTTCCAATAAAAATAATCTAAATAAAAAGAATTTGAACACTTAACAGAAAATACCAGTTAATTGGATAAATTAATTTATATGGAAGTTTTGGTTCTACTGCAAGTCCAGTTAAACGAGGTACTCCAGTCTGAAATATTTCCTGCAAGCAATCTTGACTCTCATGTAGGTTGCAGGCTCTCTGAGGGCAGAGACTGAATGTTTTATTTCTTCTGTATCTCCTGCAGAGTCAGTTTGGGGCCAAGCACACAGCTGTTAGTCCTAGGGTCCTCATTCCCCAGGTTAAAATCTGGGGGCCCCTCCCCCTGTCTCCAGTACAGAACACGTCTGCCAACTGTATCAGGTACTAGCCCAACACTGAGCATGGAGGGGTGGTGGTCTTCCCTTCATCTTGCTCCTAGCTGTCTTTGGGAGATGAGAGATGGGAGCAGCATGAGAGAGTTTGCAATCTCCTTTCATAGCCTGTTGCTGCTTACTAATACTTGCCAGGTGCTCGTGTGTGTGTGTGTGTGTGTGTGTGTGTGTGTGTGTGTGTGAAAGAGAGAGAGAATATGAATGCATTCATCTTATGGCTCCAGAGCATTATTAGGCTGTTGGTTCAGAATTCTTTGGAGTATGAAGATTCCTTTAAAAATAACCATCATTTTTTACTGAGCAAATCAAACAGCTGATCTTGGAAGAGCTTGATAAAGACATTTAGATATCAATAATCATTTTCAAATCCATTTGGGGTCTGTAGCATAGCAATCCAACATTCACTTAGAAAGCCCAAGGTTTCTCTCAAAGTATGGACATGTGTAGAGACCCCTTTTTAATGTTTGTAGTTTTTATGAGGTACCTCTTCCTGTCCCACCCTCCCAACTGCCACATCTATAATAGTTGTGCTATTAGAATATAGCGACTGCGGAAGAAGTCCATGGGCAAATAAACCTATGAATTCAACTGCACTTTAAATGAATCAATCATAGCTATATCTATCTACATTAAAAATATAGCACATATATGAGCAAGACATATTTTAGTATATTGCTGTGATAGCTCCCTGTACTCCCTTTTCTTTTTTTTTCTTTTCTTTTCTTTTTTTTTTTTTTGAGATGGAGTCTTGCTCTGTAGCCAGGCTGGAGTGCAGTGGCATGATCTCGGCTCACTGCAACCTCCGCCTCCCAGGTTCAAGTGATTCTCCTGCCTCAGCCTCCCGAGAAGCTGGGACTAGAGGCGCACGCCACCACGCCCAGCTAATTTTTGTATTTTTTAATAGAGACGGGGTTTCATCATGTTGGCCAGGATGTTCTCAATCTCTTGACCTCGTGATCCGCCCGCCTCGGCCTCCCAAAGTGTTGGGATTACAGGCGTGAGCCACCACGCCCGGCCTGCACTCCTTTCTCTTTGCAGTTGAACAACTTATTATTTTATTTATTCACTTGTTAACTAATTTTAATGCCTGTCTCTCCCACTGTACTGTGACCACCATGAGATCAGGGAGTAACTTAATTTGTGCTCACTCTTGTTCTAAGACTCAGCACGAAGCCAGGGCCCTTCTAGATGCTTATTACATTTCTGCTAAATGAGGGGATGAATGGCATAGCTGCTTATGCAGCTTCTGGGCTTTTGTATGATTCTTCTGAAACCAATCAGAATTGAGCTTTCCTAAGTCCACCCCAAGGCAAAAGGCAATGCACTTATAGGTGAAACTGCACACATATGATCTAGAGTGAGAGAAATCATGTGAGTGTTGAGCATTGTCAGTAGAACTTTATTAAAAAATACTTTGTATTAGTTCATTTTCACAGGGCTGATAAAGACATACCCGAGACTAGGTATGTCTTACAAAAGAAAGGGGTTTATTGGACTTACAGCTCCACGTCTGGTGAGACCTCACAATCATGGTGGAAGGCAAAAGGCACTTTTTACTTGGTGGTGGCAAGAGAGAATGAGGGCCAAGTGAAACAAATTTCCTCTTATCAAACCATCAGATCTTATGAGACTTATTCACTACCAGGAGAACAGTATGGGGGAAACCGCCCCTATGATTCAGTTATCTCCCACTGGGTCCCTCCCACAATACATGGGAATTATGGGAGTACAATTCAAGATGAGATCTGGGTAGGGACACAGAGCCAAACCAAATCATACATATACAATACATGACTGGGAGATAGAACAGCAGATTTATTTTAGTTGCATGGGCGAGGAGATAGTGTTCGAGCCAAGATCAAAAGGGCAGGTAAGAAGGCAACTAAATATCTTTCCTGTACTCCCTCTGTGTATGAAGGAAGTTATCTGGACAGAGTGGACTGCAGGAACCCAGGCCCTACAGTGGAAAAGAAAAGGATGTGCTAAAGGAACAAGAGCAGGCTGATGATGCCCACTGAAGAAACTGATGGTAAATCATTGGCCTCTAAGAGAGTCTGTGGTTCTTGGGATACAACACAAATTAAGTTTTATTTCTTATTTTGAGTCAGTAGCACATGCATATTGTGTGAAATTCAAAAGCAACAAAGGACAGTGAAAAGTGCATTTTTCTTCCATCCAGTCAGCCCTGCAGCTGCCAGTCCAGTTTCCTTCCTAAAAGGACTGCTATTGTCAGTTCTTAAGGGAAAATTTACACTAAGGAAAGTTTGCAGGTTCTGTTTGTGTGAAATAAATGAATACATAAATCAGTAAACTAATAAGTAAATCAATCTTTTCCTATTTTTCACTTTCTTGAAATATACACCAGTAACATCTTGGTAACCATCCTTTCTCACATCTTCCTCTGCATGTGTGCCTGTGTGCACACACACGCTATTTTACCTAAAGAGTACTACAGAATACAAGTTTTCACTGTGGGTACCTTTTTAAAAAAATGTGAAGCCTTTTTTTCCTACCCTTTATATTGCTCCCAAAAGGTAACCAATGTGAATAACCTGGTAAGTCTCTTTTCATGTCTTCCTCCATGTTTGCATAATTATATAGAACACTTATATTACATATACAAAAGGGAGGTTTTGGTTATTTGATTTTACAACAGTGGCATCCAAGTATCGTATATATACTACCACATCTTGCTTTTTTCACTTAATAATACACCATGGAAACCACCTCATTCCTTTAAGTGCTGGCATAAAAGGCCATGGTTTAGATATGCAGTTCACTCAGCCATACCCCTTCTCACAAACATGCCTTCCATTTCCAGTGCTTTTATTTCTGTGGAGTAGATTCCCATGAGTGGCATTGCTAGGATGAAATGTAGCTATATATTTAATTTAGTAGATAATACCAGATTCTGGTCCAGACAGACTATAACAATTCATATTTTTACCACCAGTATATGAGAGTATACTTTCTCCAGCATGTTCACATTCACTTTTGTAAAAAAACAAAATTAGGATAACGCTTCAATTTTTTGTCAGCTATTTGTTGACCCAAATCGGGAAATATTTTGAACACTGAAAATACTTGAGTAGATTCTCCTTCAAGGCCAGAGACCTGACTAAGAAAATGCTTTGACTTTATGCATTTGACTTTAACACAACTTGGGTTAATAATCAGCATGATAGCTACCAATTGCTGAGAACATCTGTTGCATTCAGTATTTGCTAAACATTGTCTCATTTAAACTTTTAAGAGCTATTAGAAGACGCTCTTACCCCTTCCCTTTTACAAATGAAGAAATTCAAGTACAGAGAAGTTGAGAGACTTACCAAAGGTCACACAGCCAGGATGTGTCAGAATGGGTCTGTTTAAGTTCAGCATGGGATTCTTATCTACAGTGCCACTATACTTTGATTAGCCTGTATACCTTTGGGCTACTGGAGGTTAAGGCTAGGCCTGACCTTTGTAAAGGTGTGCATTTGCTTTCTGCAGACAGTGAAAAATGAACTGGGAATACAGTCAAGGTCCTAAGTGCTCTGTGTTTGGACCTGGCCAACTGGATGTGGGCAGCTCTGTCTTGCAGCTCTTGAGAAGGTCAAACCCCTCCTGAGGAGCAAGAGTGTCCACTTAGCCAAGGGAAATCACGGTCCCAAGAAGAGAGGCTGGAGTCTATTTGTGCAGTGTGCATTGAGAACCTGGATTTTTGTCTCCTGTCCCCAGGCAGAATTTCTGTCATTCAGGAATGGGAAGTCTTTCCTTAAGTGCTCTTCCTCCACAGCCACTTTGCTTCCAAAAGCTTTCTAGCCTATCTCAGCAAAATAAGGCAGGTAAAGGGCTTCTGGAGAAAAAAGTCTCAGAACAACTGATCACCAGGTCTTGAATCTGCTTTCATCCCTGCAGCTCTGTTTCTGTGTTGACAGGACCAGACCATGATGCATTCTCTAATATCACTGTGATAGAAGTGCTTATTTAAATGGATTCGTAGAGGTGATGAAATTCCTCAGCACAGAATTCCAGCCAAAGATTCCTTGTGAGAGAAAGTGAAGGACACATTGCAATTCTACCCCAAGAGATACTTATAAAGAGAATCAGATGTGGATTGGTTCATCAAATAAAGAAAATCACTGATATTAATGCTTTGGCTGGAAATGGTTTCACCTTGATAGGGGAATCAAAATAACTATAGTTTATTGAGCAATCAGTAAATGACAGGTGATTTGCATACGTTATCTCATTTTATCTTCACCACAACCCTAAAGAGGTAGGTACCATTACTGTGTCCATTTTGCAGATGAGCCAGTTGAGGCTGGGGGGGAGGTCAGTGGCTTTCTGTCTGAGATAGTACTGTGAGTAACTGGTGGGAGTTGAGACTGGAAATCAGGAGTGTCTCAGCCTTCCTTAACCTCCTTGTCCTTCCCCCTGAGCCTGCTCAGGATTTTGGAGCTATCTTATTTTTTTGGGCAGTTGCATCTAAGCATCATTAGACATTCATAATAACAACAGTTTCCATTTATCAGAGACCTGCTATGCGCTAGGCACTTCACATCTGTCCTATACAGTCTGTATGACTCTAAAATCTGAGCTTTCTGTTCTTGATTCTCCACCACTCTATCCCTACAGATAAAGTTTCTTTAGCGATACTGACCAAGGAAAAAAGAGAGAAGGCAAAAAAAAAAAAAAAAATCACGAAAATCAGGAATGGAATAGGGAACTTCACTACAGGACTTGCAGTCAACAAAAGGATAATAAGGGAATATTACAAACAAGTATGAACACATACCTTTGACAACATAGATAATGTGAACTAATTCCTAGAAAAATGCAAATTTTCACAAGCCACCCAATATGAAATAGATAATTTGAAAAGCACTATAATTATTTTTAAAATGGAATTCATAATTTAAAACTCAAATAAATCTCCAGAGTAAGATGGCTTCACTTGAGAATTCTACCTTGTGTTTAAAGAATAATCAATGGCAATTCTTCACAATCTTCTTCAGAAATAGAAGAGTAGAGAACACTTCTCAATTCCTCATATGAAACTAGTATTACTCTGATATAAAAACCGGGCAAAGACAGTCCAAAAAAAGTCTACAGACTAAGATTCCTTCTAAATATAGATGCAAAAATCCCTAACAAAACATTGGCAACTAGAATTCAGAAATATATAAAAACAATTATATACCATTACCAAGTGGGGTTTATTCCAGGGATGCAAGCCTTGTTCAACATTAAAAAAAATCAATTAATGTAATCCATCATATCAACAGGTTAAAGAAGAAAAATTACATGATTATATCAACTGATGCAGGAAAAGTTTCCCAAAATTCAGCTTACTTGTGATAAAATCTCTCAGTGAACGAGAAATAGGGTACCACTTCCTCAGTTTGATAAAGGATATCTATAAATATCTACAGCTAACATTACACTTAATAGTGAAAGGCAGAATGTTTTCCCCCAAAGATTGGCAATAAGGCAAGAATGTCTGCTCTTGTAACTCTTATTCAGCTTAAGACTGGAAGACATATCCAGTTCAATAATGCCAGAGAAAAATAAAACATGCAAAGTGGAAAAGAAAAATCAACCATCTCTATTTGCAGTTAACGTGATGATCTACATAAGAAATCCAAAGGAATCTACACAAAATGCATAAAATTAACAAATGAGTTCAGAAAGTCACAGGATACAAAATAAACTTACAAAAAGAAGTTACATTTTTATATACTGTATATACCAGTAATGAAGATGTTTAAGTTAAATTTTAAAAGTACAAGAGCATATGAAACTACTCAAAAATGAAATACTTACAGAACATGTATGTTTAAAAGTACAAAATAGTAATAAAAAATCATAGAATATCTAAATTAATGGAGAGAAATATGTGTTCATGGATTGGAAGTTTCAACATAGTAAAGATGTCATTTCTCCCCAAATTGTTATAAAAATTTGCCCAATTCTTATAAAAATCCCTGCAATGTTTTATCTAAATATAGAAAAGATTTTTATGAAATGGCAAGGAAATGAGAATAGCTAAAGCAATTTTGAAAAGAAGAAAGTGAAAGGAATAACTCTATTTCAAAACTTATTATATAGGTACAGTCATCAAGATTGTGTGGTGTTGACTGAGGGATAGACTTATATATCAGTGGAAGAGAATAGAGAACCCAGATATAGCACCACACAAGTTCAGCCAACTAATTTTAAAATAGTAATAATATATCAATAGCAACAGAAATACTAATAATAAGCTATTAATATAATTAAATAGCATAACAAATTTCTAGATTTATAAAAAAATTGTGAGGATATTGCAGAGTTTTCATATAATCTGCAACCAGTTTCCCCTCTTATTGACACTTTAGTATAGCACATTTGTTACAATTGATGAACAAATATTAATATATTATTATTAACTAAAGGGCACACTTAATTCAAATTTTTAAAGTTTTACCAAATGTTTATTTCTAACCTGGGATGTCATCCAGAATACTAAATTCTATTTAGTTATCATGCCTCCTTAGGCATTTCTTGACTTTCTTGACAGTTTCTCACTTGTTTTTGATAACTTTGGCAGTTTTGAGGAGCACTGGTCAGGTGTTTTCCAAAATGTCCTTCAACTGAGATTCATCTAATTGTTTTCTCGTAATTAGACTGGAGTTATGGTGCCATAGTTTTGATGTGGTTTGTCCCTGTCAAAACTCATGCTGAAATTTGATTCCCCAGTGTAGCACTGTTAGGTGGTGGGGCCCAGTGGGAGGTGTTTTGGTCATAGGGGTGGGTACCTTATGAATGGATTAATGCCCTCTCACAGTGGTGAGTGAGTTCTCCCTCTCATGGGAATGAATTAGATCCCATGAAAGCAGGTTGTTAAAAGGTTCTGGCTGCCTTGGTTTCTCTCTCTCTTGTTTTTTCTCTTGCCATGTGATCTCTTTGTACATGTCCACTCCCCTTCTGCTTTCCACTATGATGAGTGGAAGTAGCATGAGACTTTCACCAGAAGCTGAGTAGATACCAGCACTATGCTTCTTGAGCTTCCAAGCCTGCAGGATTGTGAACTAAATAGATTTCTTTTCTTCATAAATTACCAAGCCTTAAGTATTCTATTATAGCAAGACAAAATGGACTAAGACATGGGTTTCTGGGAGGAAGACCATAGAGGTAAAGTGCTCTTTCATCACATCATATCAAAGATACCTACCATCAATGTGAGAGCACTGTTGATGTTGACCTTGAACCTGGCTAAGACAGTGTTTGTCAGGTTTCTCCACTGTAAAGTTACTCTTCCTTCCCGCTTTCTATACTTTACTCAGAAGGAAGTCACCACACGAAGGCCACACTTATGGAGTCAGACAGTTATATTCCACTTCATTTAGGGTGAAATATCTATATAAATTATTTGAAATTCTCTGCCTGGGATATTTACTTCTTTTTCTTTATTCATTCATGCATTCATTGAGTTATACCAGTATGGACTCATGGATAACTTATTTATTTATTTATTTATTTATTTATTTATTTATTTTACTTTATTATTATTATACTTTAGGTTTTAGGGTACATGTGCACAATGTACAGGTTAGTTACTTTAGAATATAATCTGATATTACTTTATTTTGTTGCTGAAAGCATTCCAGCTTTGGCCATTGGGAGCTCTTTTTCAGTTGTCTTTGTATCCCTTTCACACATCCCATCATTATTGGTCCTCACTCCCTTTTCCCTTCCCTCCCCTCCCCTCCCTTTTCTTTCCCTCCTTGCTGCCTTCCTTTGTTCTTTTGAGTAATTCCTTACTTTCTGGCACTATAGGATACTCTATGCTCATCTTCAATACTTCCTGCCCCAGTCCTAGAATCAGCCATTTCTCCAAGGATCCCTGATTCTTTTTATTGGAGAATGGTAATAGAATCCAACATCTGCATGCAGGAAGTGTTCTTTGCTCCTGGGGTGTCATTGTTTCTAGGCCTTCTCACCTGATAGAGGCAGGAAATTTATGTGATTATAATAACGTGTATATACACATATTTATAAATGTTTTTATATATATTAATGACTTGCCACTTCCTGCTTCCATTTTGTAGTCTAGCAAATCAAAATGCCCTAATCTCACCTTAATCTTATCTTGCTGGTTAACACCTCTGGACCCTTGTTTACGCTGTTGCCCTGCTTTGCCTCCTCCAGGAAGCTTTCCCTCTCATCTCTAGTCTGCGTTATCTGTGCTTCCATGGCACATGTTCATTTCTTTATCACTGCACTATTGTGGAATATTTGAATGACACTTTGTCTCTCTCCTCAATAGAGTATGAGTTCCTTGTGTGAAAGGACTGGGTCTTATCAATTATGATACAATCAGCACTTGTCTCAGGGTGTATATGTTCACCATCTTTCACAAAGGAAGGTGAATATACACTGTACAAGTACAACTAGAATTTGTTAATGAATCAACTTCTTCAAATGAGGAATTATATTACTTTCTATTGAATATTTACTATATTTAAATAACTGAGCTGGAGGGTTGTTTTGGCATTGCTTAACTGGAATTTAGTTGGATAATTGGGACTTTCAATATAAGTAGAGGCAATGGGAAATTAAAGTTAGTCTCAAAGGAAAGGGAATTTGTTGGATGGTATTCCATTTTCCCTCCTCATTATGTCCTGCTACACACCTAGTTAATAGACAAACAACAACAACAAAAAACCCAATTGCTTACTGACCTCAGTAGTGAACCCCAAATACCACCCTCTCCTATGCAAGGTCTTTGAGAGGCCTTTGCCTAAAAGCTATTAATTAAAAATATAGATCCTACCCTTTTTCCACAAGCTCTCAGATTTTGGCCTTGCAAGTGGTCCCACTTTGTCCTTGTCTTTTTCTTTCATCTTCATAGAAATAGAGCTTAGTCTTTTTAAGTTCTGCAAAGATTAATTCCAGTTAATGCAGTAATATTCACTTATCTGCCATGCTGAATGCTGACTAGACAAAATAGGGGACAGCTGCGCCCAGTCATTTTTGGTTGGAAAAATTCTAATCTGAGCCTCCATCATCAAGGTGAAGATGGCTGTGCAATTATTTACTTTCATGACAAGCCTAGGGCTGAGCTGGGTCAGGAATTTTGGTACCTACCTGCTTTATCACAACATTAGGCAGTAATCCTCTCTTAACATGCTTGCATGGATTTCCCCTTAAGTTAACTTTGCGTAATTGTATTTTTTTTCAAATCAAAACATATTGGAGCTATTTTAACTCTGGTGCTTATATCTCTAGGGTGATATAAAATTCTAATAATATTGAGAAGAATATTTTGAAAACCTGTTTTAATTTTTATTTTTTTAATTTCCATGGGTTTTGGGGGAGCAGGTGGTATTTGTTTACATGGGTAAGTTCTTTAGTGAAAACCTGTTTTTTAAAGAAGAGTTTAATCTTTTGTTTTATTCATGTGACCAATTTATAATACAAAATACTTGAGCCATCAGATGATACTAATAGATTTTGCTTTAATGGCTCTCTGTGTAGAACTTCCTTTGTGAGAACTGGTGACAGATCACTATGTAGGAATTAATAGCATCAATGAGTAAGAATCACTTTATGCTTATTTTTAGTAGAATCAAGAGAACTCCCTTCTGAAGCATTTACAGATTCGTAAATTATATACCAAAATCAGCAAGATTTTGAGAATGCCGGTGAGTTGTTAGTAAAGAACTAGTGCTCAGCAGCTCTGCCAAAGCAAGACCTATAAGAGGGGAGGCATATCTATCTACCGTAAGGAATTTGTCTTGAAATATTACATTTTAACTCTTACTTGAAACAACTCCAACTGAAGGACACAGATTGGTATGGGTGTTGGTTGTAATGGTGCTTACAGGAATGCAGAAAGACCTAGCTTTTTAATTGATGTATCAAAATCTGCAAGCTTTTGCTCGCTAGTGGTTAATTCTAATATGAAAAGGTTGAGAAGATGGTTACTTTTCCCACATGACTCAGATGAGTACTGAATTGAATAAAAAGTGGGCAGTGGTTGTGGTGTTATATGTGTATGGTGGGCAGGAGGGAATTAAAAGTAATGGCAGCAAGGCACAGCATCTCACTTCCTTCACTTTGAGCTTCTCTTCTTAGCCCTTCTAAGCATTCCATCACCATATTTTTTTTTCCTTTTCATGATTACTCATATTGTTCTCTGCCTAAATCCCATCATTCTAGGCCAGGCCCCATTCTTAACTTCTTCATTATACAACTATGATAATAAGTATACATATATTGAGCAATGTACATGTGTGAAACCCTATGGGAGACATTCTACACACATGATAATGTTTAATCTCCACCAGACATTGTGGAATTAGTAAAAAGTGGTAGGAGATGATTTGAAGAAATAAGGAGAAACCAGATCAGGTAGGGGCTTGTGGGCCATGACAGTAATTTAGATTATTCTGAATGTGAATGGATGTCATTGGAGGGTTTTGAGCAGTAGAGTGATACAGTCTGACTTATATCATGAAGTGAGTTCTCTGGATGTCCTGTAGAATGTTGATTAAAAGGGGCCAAGAGCAGAAGCATGAAGACCAGTAAGGAGGCTTTTGGAATGGTAATGAAAAGATAATGGTATCTTGGGTCAGGGAAGTAGTGATGGAAATGGTAAGAAGTGCTGGATTCTAGATATCTTGCGAAGAATGAACTGACACTTCAGGCTGATGGGTTGGATATAGGATAGTGACGGAAAGAAATTTAAGGATGACTTGAAGGTTTTTGGCCTGACCAACGGGGTATATGGTGGTGCCATTTATTTAGATGAGGAACACTGAGGGAGAGTTTAGGGCGAGACTGAAAACCAAGAGTTCAACTTTAGGCACATAGAGTTTGAGATGCCTATTAGATACCCAAGTGGAGAAGTTAGGTAGGTAGTTGTATATATGAGTCTAGAGATAAGAAGAATTTAACTGCTATTGCCACTCATTGATAGGGCTAGAAAATTATAGGAAGCAATTGGCCTGGGAGGTGGGGGAATAGAAGACCAAAGATAGACTTTTCTTGTGAGGAACTGGCCCAAGCTGCCATTGGCTCTACTATATCTTCAATATCACTATGTAACAGGGGTTTTGAAAATCTGTTATAAGACCTGTTCTGGACAACTGTCCTAGAAACTATGTAGGAGCAACATGAAATGACAATAAAAAGGAAGGATGGAGAATAGAACATGTGGAAGAAAAATAAAATTATATTCTATTCAAAATGAGCTTCTACACCAAAATTTCAAAACGCGTGAAAAATATCTACACTTAAGTGAGGTCACCAAGGAAATAAACGATCAGAATATGAATTCATTCAGAATGAAATGATTTTATGAAAAGATCTGTCATTTAAAAAATATGTTTAGGATGCTGAAAGAGGTAAATGAACAACTTTCATTGAAAATAGAAAATTATGAAATAAACAAGCAAAAAGAAATGAAAAATGAGACCACATGAATATAAAAGAACCAATCAGAAATCCTGGACATGAAAAAAAGTCATTTAAATAAAAAATTCAAAAGAACATAAACTTTGGGTTGCATATAGTCAGAGAGAACATATTAAATTGCAAGACAGAGTACTGAGAAATTCTAAATATAGCAAAGAGAATGATTTTTTAAAAACAGAATAATGACATATGAGCTATAGATTGAGAGGCTTCAACAAATATTCTGTAGGAATGACAGAAGTGGTGAAGAATATCGCAGAGAAGTAATGTTTGCTGATATGATAACTGAAAAAACATCCAGAATTGAATGCTTGAGTTCTCAGTTCTGTAGTATACATGAGATTTGAGCAGGATAAATGGAAATATACAGCTAGATACATCATAATAAAACTGCAGAACATTAAGGATTAAGATACTATCTTTAAAACTACCAGAAAACATTGATTACCTATGAAAGAATCAATTAGACTCACAGTATATTTATCATCAGTAAAAAATAGTGTTATCTTAAAGTGCTAGATAAAAATAATTTCAAGAGTGAGGGTAGATCAAAGTATTTTTACACATGCTCAGCCTGCTATTTTACAGGTCAGAGAGGGTCACTAAAGGAACTCTTAAAATATATACTTAAAAAGAAGAAAGGGCAAGTTTAGAATACAAGAACAGGTTAAAACAGCATAGACATGGAATCAACCTAAATGCCCATCAAAGGTAGACTGGATAAAGAAAATGTGGTACATATACACCATGAAATACCATGCAGCTATAAAAAAGAATGAGATAATATCCTTTGTAGCAACATAGATGGATTTGGAAGACATTATCCTAAGTGAACTAATGCAGGAACAGAAAATCAAACACCACATGTTCTCACTTATAAGTGGGAGCTACACATTGAGTACACATGTGATCTGGTTTAGATCTGTGTCCCCGCCCAAATCTCATGTTGATTTGTAATTTGAATGTTGGAGGAGGGGCCTGGTGTGAGGTGATTGGATCATGGGGGCAGATTTCTCTTTTGCTGTTCTCATGATAGTGACTGAGTTCTCACGAGATCTGATTGTTTAAAAGTGTGTAGCACCTTCCCCTTCGCTCTCTTCCTCCTGCTCTGGCCATGTAAGACCTGCTTGCTTCCCCTTCACCTTCCACCATGATTGAAAGTTTCCTGAGGCCTCCCCAGCCATACTGCCTATACATCCTGTGGAACTATGAGCCAATTAAACCTTTTTTTTTTTTTTTTTAAATGGATTACTTAGTCTCAGGCATTTCTTTATAGCAGTGCAAGAACGGACTAATACAACATGGACACCTAATAATCAGTATTGAGTATCAATCAGTGCAAAGAAGGGAATAATAGACACCAGGGCCTACTTGAGGGTGAAGCGTAGGAGGAGGGTGAGAATAAAAAAACTACCTGTCAGGTACCGTGTTTATTACCTGGGGGATGAAATAATCTGTACACCAAACCCCTGCAACATGTAATTTATCCATATAACAAACATCCACATGTACCCCTGAAACTAAAAGTTAAAAAAACCAAAAATAGATTATATAGTTATATATTTAATTAATTGAATGTAAGAATTACTTTTTGATGTTTAAGAAAATATAAAATTAATGCTCAAGATAAAATGAAAAATATTAGAGTATTTAGTTTGAGGTTATAATGTGCTAAGTTCTATATCATATTCAGTAGGTGAATGAAAATTATAATAATTTTAGGTTGTGTTAGAAAAAATTTATATATCCTTATGACAGAAGTGGTGAAGAGTATTGCAGAGAAAAAATTAGTACAGTTTTATATATCCTTAAAATATTAAAAATAACCAGTAAAAACTAGAAATATTATCTATAGCTTCAAAATATGTAGAGAAAAAATATAGAAAACTTTATAAATCAAATTGAAAGTCAAGAGAAAAAAAGAAACAGAAAATGATGCTATACAAAAAACATAAAATGAGAGAAAATTTCTAAAAATGTCAGCAATCATTATAAATGTGAATAGATTAAATTCAGCTATATAGAGGGAAAGATTACCAAATTATGAAACAAAGTCCAATTATATGCTGTTTGTATGATATACACCTAAAACCAAACCAACAGAACATTGAAGTTAATGAAATAGAACAAATAAATGCTATGTGAATTCTAACCAAAAAAGGATTAGTGAGATAATAATATATCAAAGTGGAATTTGAGAGAAAATCATTAATAAAGAGAAACATTGCATAAAAATACATCAACTAGGTATAATAACCGTGGACTTGTATGCCCCTAACTTTGAAATATACAAACAAAACCTAACAGATACACAGAGAGAATTAAACAAATCCACAATTATAGCAAGAGATCTTAGCACATCTCTCTTCAAAATAGAAAGACCAACTGAGATAAATGTCGAGTAGAGAATCCAAAATTACTCAGCATATTAAGAATCAGAAAAAATTGTCCACGTCCATAAAAAATAAACATATGCCAAATGCCAATATGATGCAGTTGTTGAAATTATATGACAAAGACTTTAACGTAGCTATCAAATGCTCTATCAAGTAAGGGTGAATGTTTTTGAAGTAAATAGAAATATAAAAAATGTCCTCAAAGAAATAAAAGATATAAAGAAAAAATAAATGAAAACTTTAGATCTTAAAACTGCAATAACTAATATAAAAAAACTCATTGCATGAACTCAAAAGTAGAATGGAGATGACAAATGCAAGAATCAGTGATCTTGAAGAAAAATCAATAGAAACAATTCAATCTGAACAAAAGGGAGAAAAAATATTTTAAAAAATGAACAGGGCGGCCGGGCGTGGTGGCTCACGCCTGTAATCCCAGCACTTTAGGAGGCCGAGGCGGGCGGATCACGAGGTCAGGGGTTCAAGACCAGCCTGGCCAGCATGGTGAAACCCCGTCTCTACTAAAAATACAAAAAATTAGCTGGGCATGGTGGCACATGCCTGCAGTCCCAGCTACTTGGGAGGCTGAGGCTGGAGAATTGCTTGAACCCAGCAGGTGGAGGTTGCAGTGAGCCAAGATTGCGCCACTGCACTCCAGCCTGGGCGACAGAGTGAGACTCCGTCAAAAAAACAAAACAAAACAAAACAAAACAAAAACAAAAAAAACAGGGCTTCAGGAATCTGTGGAACAATATCTAAAAGTTTAACATATACATAATAGGAATTCCAGAAGGAGAGGAGAAATAGTGTAGGGCAGAAAACATATCGAAGAAATAGTGACTAAACATTTTCCAAATTTGGCAAAAGATATACACTTAAAGATTATAAAAGTTCAGAGAACCTCTAGTAGTATTCATAAAAGAAAACATGATACATTAGACTTCATCAAAGTTAAAAATGTTTGAAATGAGAAAGACACTGATAGAAGAATGAAAAGCTACAGCCTAGGACAAAATATGTGCAAGTCACATATTCAATAAAAAATGTACAGCCGAATATATAGGGGACTCTTGAAACTAAAAAGAAAACAAATGAGCCAATTTAATTAAAAGGGCAAAACATTTGGTGAGAAACTTCACAAAAGTATGTGTGTATATGTATGTATATATATAATATATATACACACACATATGTATATATATGCTCATATATATGAGCATCTCTTCGTGTTCCCATACATATATGTATATACACATATATATATACTCATAGATGTATATACATATATGTATGGGAACACGAAGAGATGCTCATCATACAGAAATATTAGTTAAAACCACAGTGGGACACAGTGACACAGACATTACAATACAAAGCTAAAAATAAAAGGCAATATAAAGTGTCAGTGAAAATGTAGAGTAAACTGGGAGTATCACGCACTGTTGGAATAATCACTTTGAAAAACAGTTTGGCTGTTTCTTAAAGAATTAAACATACACCTACATGTGTTCCAGTTATTCCACTTCTAGGTATTTACCCAAAGGAGAAGAAAGCACAAGTTCATATAAAAACTTGTACATAATGTTTATAGCTTTCTTTGTAATAGCTAAAAGCTGGAAGCAACTTCAATGTCTATCAACAGATGAATATATAAAAAATAGTGGTGTATGGATAAAAATGTGGAATACTACTCAGCAACAAAAATGAATGAACTATTGATATACACAACAACATGGATGATTCTCAGTATCATTATGCTCAGTGAAAGAAGGTAGACACAAAAGACTACTTACTCTTTAATTCCCTTTATGTAAAAATCTAGAAAATATAAACTAACCTTTAGTGACAGAAAGCAGGTTAGCAGTTGCTTGGGAAGTGGGGTGCAGGAAACATGGGAAGGAGAGATTATCAAGAGGCCTGTGAAAATTTTAGGAGATTATAAATGAATATGTTCACTATTTTAATTGAGGTGTTGGTTTACCAGATGTGTATGTGTGTGGAAACTTATCAAATTGCATACTTTAAACATGCAGTTTATTGTAGGTTAATTATTCCTCAATAGACTGTTTAAAACAAAAAGAAAAAAGAAAAACAAAAATACCAGAGACTGGGGCCAAATTATGAAAGATTTTACATAAAAAAAAAGTTTCCCTCCATGACACAATTAATCACCTGGATACATACACACACACACACACATACACACACACACACACAGCCAGTTTAACTGAGCTATAATTACATGCCATACAATTCATTGATTTAAAGTACAATAAACCATTTAATAAATGTGCATAATTGAATGATTTTTAGTATATACACTGAGTTGTGAGGTATATTTTTAACGCCGCTACCTCAACAGAATATGTTTTTAGTAATACACATGAATTAACACAAATAATTATAACCAGAAAGAAAATAAAGTGCAAATTTTCTCTATAAAACATTTTGCATATAGTTGTCATAGTAAAAATCATAAGGCAATTTTAAGAAAATTAAGCAAAAGTAAAATGTAGGCAACTACTAAAATATGCAACTGATATAAAATTTTAGCATTTTGATTTTTATGTAGTATTAATGAGCAATTAAAGAATACATTTCATGCTTGAGTATATTTTTCAAATTCAGTAAGATATTTTATTTTCAAATGCAATAAAAATGTCTTTATCCCCCCAAATTTTACTCCTTAAATTTAACACTTCGTTTCACCGATTTAGACACCAATAAAAGCAAGTGATTACACAGAATCACAGAGCTGAGGTGGTTGTTCTTTGCCTTTATAATCACATGCTATAATTTTTAATTTCATGTACTTTTAAAGTGTAGACATATGTGTCATATATTACCACAGGGACTGCAGTCTGGAAGTATGCTCAAAGCAAGCTCAAACTGAGGTAGGAGGCAGGACTTGACTCCAGAGGCGGGGCTTGGACAGCAGACCCAATTGAGGACTAGCTAAACCAGGTCTAGGGCAGAAGCAGCTTTCCTTAAGCCTTGTCTAGCAATGTGGCATGTCAATTTACCGTTGCCATGGCAACACCCAGGCGTTACTGCCTCTTTCCATGGCAATGACCTGACAACCTGGAAGTTACCACCCTCATCCTAGAAATTTCTGCATAAATTGCTCCTTAATTTGAATATAATTAAAAGTGGGAATCAATATGAGTGCAGAACTGCCTCTGAGCTGCTACTCTGGGGACACTGCGTATGGGGCAGCCCTGCTCTGCAAGGAGCAGGAGCAGTACCTCTGCTGCTCTCTACACTTCTGCTTCAATTAAAGTTGCTGTTTAACACCACTGGCTTGCCTTTGAATTCTTTCCTGAGAGAAGCCAAGAACCCTCCCACCTAAGCCCCAAGTGTGGGGCTTGCCTGTCCTGCATCAAAACAATTCCAAATTGTTAAGAGCTTACTTTAGAAAGGAACAGCCTATGTCTTGGACCAACTATTTAATAAGGATTTATCCAAATTAACTTCCCTGTAGAATAAAATGATTATTAAAACATAAATATTAAAAATCAGCTAATTTGCACCTTGCATTGATTTTGTTCAAGCTTAAATTTAACCACAGCAATCTTTCACAACTCAGACCAAAAGAGGATTTGGGTAGGGAAAAATTGAAAACTTGTATCTGGTGCTAATAAGTAAAAGACTGACTTTTCCTGGGTTTTATTATTCTTATATTAAAATTCTCTGCAGACAATGTTTTTCTTTATGGCCAGCAAGTGGGCAGACCTCTGCCACTGCCCCCACACTTGGTAGGACACTGCTCCATCCTAAGCTACTTAACAAGAAAGTGACCTAATTAGTGCTGGGTTTGTGGCCTCCAAACTCTACTATTTGTCTATCAGGGTGCTGAGAGTGACTCCTGATAGGATGAGTTTTGGGTCCTCCTGAGGGCCTTTACTTGCTTATAGCATAGTGTGGGGTACAACATACACCACTATGACACGGGTGACCTGGAGGTGGTTTTATTGTCTTTTTGTGGGGTGTGTTATTGCCACACACATCACACATAAAACCCTCCTCCTAACTGGGTTCTGGGAATTTAGACCTTGATGTTGCTACCCACACCTACCCTAAGTACATGTAGAAACGCCAAAGCCCTTTTTCTTCTTGTCTGTGGGGCAAAGTGTTGATTTGTCTTCATTTCTTAGTCCTCACCCACTCCTTATCCCCCGATGGCTAACTGTATACCTGTTGGTCTGGCCCCCAACCTTACAGGACCCTGCCTCTCTCCCTCTTAGCAGTTTTTCTTCCTTAACCCCCTCCCCACTACAGACAAACATCCACATCATCCTTTTACATTGTGCTGATTTTATTGCATTCATCAGCATGGGTGGAACACTGTTGGGCTCAGCTTTGGCCTTTATGTGATTGGTGATTCCCCAGAGTTGCTGTTGCTAGTTGTACGTTTCTGATCCAGGCTCTGCATTTACTGGCAGCAGAGATGGTTACTTGGGATGGTTTGCTTTTGCCAGCGGCTTCTGGGCTTGCTCTTCTGATTTTCATTTTCTGTTGTCTTTTGTGCTTGCTCTTCTGATTTTTATGTTGTGTCTTATTCTGCTTGTGGTGACACACAAATATTGTTGGTCTCATTGTTATCCTAGGCTTTTTGGAGCAGGAAGGAGGTGATTGAGTTTTTTTTCTTGAATTCCTTTGAAGGGGTTTTTTTACCTTTATGATTTTCTTCTCCACCTGGAAGGACAACACAGTGAGCCAGAAGGACATCGGTTAAGGGGAAGAGAAAGAGGTTGTATAGGAAGGGGAGCTTTATGAATAGGAGTGCAGGCTGAGGAAGGGGGTTGTGCTAGGCAAGGACAGGATAGGGGTCTTGAGAGAATAGAGGGGGAAGAAAAGAAGGAACAAGGATAGGATCATCTGACCTTGCCATTTTTGTTGGTCTTTTGTTGAGAAGAGTTCTTCTTTTCCTTCTTCTCTTTGGTTCTTGGGGTAGGCTTTTTCGTGCTTAGAATTGGTTGTTTCATATTTTCTTTAGGCTTCACTGGTGTGTGGGTCTCCTTAGCCATATTTAAGCCTCCCAATGGTCTACCCCATGCTCCTGACCTCCTTATGTATACCCACCCCTGGGTAATGAGGAGCCCCACCCTTCAGCTTTGTTTGGCCAGAATGGGGCACCCCTATCCAATGGTAGTCCTGGGGTGGCTTGGACATCACAAAGCGCTGATACCTCTGTGGGGGTGGTGTTGCTGGGGTAGCCAAAATGTGGTTGGAGAAAGGGGATTTTTCCACCCCAAATACTACCCGAAGGTCCATTTCAAAATGACCTGCTACCCTCATCATTTCCCCATGTTCAATTCTGGTGGGTCACATAGCAGGGAGAAGGTGTTTCCTTAAAGGCATTCCCTACAGCCACCGCCATTCAGTGGTTCATTCTGTTCTCTCCCACCCTTTACCATGACCTACTATTTTAGATGTCTTATCTAAAATCCCTCCAAGGTACAGTGGCCTTATTTAATTCTCAGTCAAAATATGAATCATTCCACTTCCCTCAAACAAATTTCCATTTGTATCTGTTTTGGTATGGTTTGTAAACTAAGACAGGCATTTTTGGGTTTGTTTTTTTTTTTTTGGTTTACATTTCTAAATGGTTGAGGAAAAAAAGCAAAAGAATATTTTATGATGTAAAAATTATGTGAAATTGAAATTTCAGTGTTCATAAAACTTTATTAGAACACAGATACACTAACTGTCAGCTATGGCTGCTTTCACACTACAACAGAGTAGTTGCGACAGAGATTGTATAGCCTGCACCACATAAAGTATTTGCTATCCGTCCTTTTAGAAAAAGAGATTGCCAACTCCTCATCTATTCTGTTCCATTGATCTATTTGCCTATCCTTATGCCAAAACCACATTGTCATGATTAATTTCATGTCATGTCACAATTTTATGCTAAGACATAAAATTAGGTAACACAGCTCATCCAACTTTGCTCCTCTTTTACAAGATCATTTCAGCTATTCTAGGTCCCTCATACATTCTTTTTTATTATTATTATGCTTTTAAGTTCTAGGGTACAAGTGCACAACGTGCAGGTTTGATACATAGGTATACATGTGCCATGTTGGTTTGCTGCACCCATTAACTCGTCATTTACATTAGGTATATCTCCTAATGCTATCCCTCCCCTAGCCCCGGACTCCCCAACAGGCCCCACTGTGTGATGCTCCTCACCCTGTGTCCAAGTGTTCTCATTGTTCAATTCCCGCCTATGAGTGAGAACATGTGGTGTTAGGTTTTCTGTTCTTGAGATAGTTTGCTCAGAATGATGGTTTCCAGCTTCATCCATGTTCCTGCAAAGGACATGAACTCATCCTTTTTTATGGCTGCATAGTATTCCATGGTGTATATGTGCCACATTTTCTTAATCCAGTCTATCACTGATGGACATTTGGGTTGGTTCCAAGTCTTTGCTATTGTGAATAGTGCCGCAATAAACATACATGTTCATGTGTGTTTATAGTAGCATGATTCATAATCCTTTGGGTATATACCCAGTAATGGGATGGCTGGGTCAAATGGTATTTCTAGTTCTAGATCCTTGAGGAATCCCCACACTGTCTTCCACAATGGTTGAACTAATTTACACTCCCTACATTCTTAAAAATTTTAGAATCAGGTTTTCTATTAATGTTAAAGCCTGTTATGATTTCATTGTGATGGTGCTGAATTTATAAATCAATAAGGGGAGAATTGAAATCTTAACAACTTTGAGACCTTCAATTTGTAAACGTATATCTCTTCATTTATTTAGGTGTTTAATTTATGTCTCCAATGTTTTGCAATGTTCAATTTGTTTAAAATTGGTATTGTTTCCTCCTTAAGTATTTGGTAGTAGTCATCTGTGAAGACATCCATTCCTGAAACTTTCCTTTTGAGAAGCTTTTATGTTTTGAATTAACTTTGGTATTTACACTATTCAAAAAGTCCAGTCTAATGTTATTTTGGAAAATTGTTTTTCAAAGGCTTTTTCCATTTCATCTAAATTGTCAGATTTGTTGGCATAAAGTTGTACATAATATTCCCTTCATAGTTTTGAAATGCGTGTAGCATGTGTAGCGATGCAACCTCTATAATTTCTGAAATTGGTAACTTATGTTTTGTGTTTTTTTTCTTGATTACTTTTAGCTAGGCTTTTATGAATTTTATTCCTCTAAAAACTATCTTCAGCTTCCTTGATTTCTGTCTATCATTTTGGCTTTTTCTATTTCAATTATTTCTGTTCCTTATCTTTACTATTTTATTTTTTCTATTCAATTTCAATGTAATTTGTAGCCCCTTCAGGTGAAATCCTATATTATTCACTTCAAACCATTCTTCTTTTCTAATATAAAAATAAAGCTATAAATTTTCCACTTAGGACTGCTTAAGCTGCATCTCACAAAATTTGATATATTGTGTTTTCTTATGCAGTTTGATATATCTTTAATTTCACTTCTAATTTCTTTTTAAACCATGAATTGTTTAGAAGAATGTCCCTAATTTCCAAGTATTGGGGATCTTCTAGATATGTTTTTGCTATTGGTTTCTGATTTAATTTCTTTGTGGTCAGAGAACATATTTCACTATTTAAATATTTTAAAATATATAGAAACTCATTTTATGACCCAGAATTTGGTTTACCTTGGTGTCGGTCAAATTTGGTTGATAGGAGTTTTCAAATACTACATATATCCTTACTAATTTATTTGTCTGCTTCATTTGTCAATAATTAATAGAAGAGATTTTAAATTTACAGCTGTGATTATGGATTTATCCATTTCTCTTTTAACTTTGTAAAATTTTGCTTCATGTATTTTGAAGCTCCGTTATTTCTTCCATACTCATCTACTGTTTGCATTGCATATCTCCTCCATCCTGGTACTTTCAACCTAGCTGTGTTTTGTATTTTAAGTGCATTATTTGTTAAGAGCATATAATTGGATATTGATTTTTAAATCAAGTTCATCAACCTCTGTCTTTTGTTGGAGTGTTTAATACATGTGTATTTAGTGGGATTATTGACATGGCTGTGTTTAAGTGTACCCACTTTCTTTTTGTTTTCTATTTGGTCTCTCTGTTATTTGTTATATACATATCCTTCTTTTGTGTCTTCATTTGGGTTGAGAGTTTTTTTTTTTTTTGTATTTTATTCTGTTTTCTCCATTGGCTTTTTAATAATAGCTTTTTATATTATTATTTTTTATTTGTTGTGTGGATTACAATATGCATCCTTATCTTGTTACATTCAACACAGAATTAATGGAAGTTCTAGCCAGATCAGTCAGCAAGAGAAAGAAAAAAAAGGCATCCAAATAGAGAAGTCAAGCTATCTCTCTACACAGACAATATGATTCTATACCTAAAAAACCCTAAAGAGTCCACCAAAAGGCTCCTGGAACTGATAAATGACTTCAGTAAAGTTCCAGGATACAAAAATCATTGTAAAAAATCAGTACCATTTCTATACACAAATAATGGTCAAGCTGACAGCCAAATCAAGAAGTAATCCCATTTACAATAGCCACAAAAAAATTACCTAGGAATACATCTAACCAAGGAGATGAAAGAGCTCTACAAGGAGATGTACAAAACACTGCTGAAAGAAGTTGTAGATGACACAAACAAATGGAAAAACATTCCTTGCTCATGAATTGGAAGAATCAATATCATTCAAATGGACATACTGCCCAAAGCAGTCTACAGATTTCGACGTTATTCCTGTGAAACGACCAACATCACTTTTCACAGAATTGGGAAGAAACTATTCTAAAATTCATATGGAACCAAAAAGAGCCAGAATAGTCAAAGGACTTCTAGGCAAAAAGAACAAAGCTGGAGGCATCACACTACCTGACTTCAAACTATACTACAAAGCTACAGTGACCAAAACAGCATGATAGTGGTACAAAAACACACATAAACCAATGGAACAGAATAGAGAGCTGAGAAATAAACCCACACACCAACAGCCATCTGATCTTTGACAAAGTCAATAAAAGTTAGCAGTGAGGAAACAGCAGTCTTCATTAAATGGTGCTGGGATAGCTGGCTAGACATATGCAGAAGAATAAAACTGGACCCCTACCTTTCACCATATAAAAAAGTAACTCAAGGTGGATTAAAGATTTAAATGTAAGACTTCAAACTTTAAGAATCCTAGAAGAAAACCTAGGAAACACAACTCTGGACATCAGCCTTGGGAGAGAATTTATAGCTAGATCCTCAAAAGCAATTGTGACAACAACAAAAATTGAAGTGAGTCACGCCTCTGTCACCCTGGAGTAACCACATTGGTGCGTTCTCCGAGGCTTCTCCATCTCATTGTGAGGCTACTGGGAACAAGGCTTTATCAGGGTTTATGAGAGCAAAGTAGACCTGTGATCAAGATGGTCAACTAGACACAGCCAGGGGGAACATCTGCCACTGAGGGATTGGGACATTGGGAAGACTGGTGCACTCTTAGCAGATCTTCAAAGGGAAGGCATTGAGAGCGGTTGTAGGGAAGACACAGATGTCGGGCGGAAGAGGGAGGAAGCTGGGAACCCTGCATGGGGCTACCATGCACCAGGACCCATTCCTATCCCCCAACAACTCCTGGGGAAGGGGTGAGTTGAAGAAGGAAAGAGCAACCTGCTCTAACCATGGGCCTTTGGAATCCTGGCCAGAGGAGTCCCCATGACCACTGTGGACACTTGAGTTGGCAAAGACAGCTGCTTACAGAAGTGGTCAGGGCAGAGTTCCAGCCAGTGTGGAGCCCAGAGGGTTTCATGCAGGAGCATCTGTAGTGGATCACAGCCAGGGACACCCATTCCCTTAGGCTCAACTTACTCCTATAGGAGACTTAGCCCTAGAGGAATTGTCACACATGAACTCTGCAGGGTGGTCTTGGCCATGAGATGGGACTGGTCCAACCTGAACACCCCTCAGCCTGCTGGACTCTCCCTGGGTGCTTGCAGTGCAGCCTCAGGTACCCAAAAGGGGTGTTCCTCTTGGTGGCCTGCATCACAGCTCCTGTGCTGGCAGACCACACCTGACAAGCAGAGAGCTCCACCAGAGCAGCCTCCACAGACACATATCAGCCTGCACATGCTCTCCTTCCACTGCAGCCTCCCCAGTGGTACCTTGCCTGCAGATACTAGCCCATGGCCACCTCCCAAATCACTTTGCTGGCATGTGTGTGCACAGGCAGATGTGCACCCTGCCATGCCACTTCTGCCAGCATGAATGCAGCCTGCCATTCCCATCAAAGCTTTGGAGGGCATGGAGCCCCTTAGCCTTACCTGCCACCAGCACCCTGCCCCTGTGTTGATGCTGCTGTTGCCAGAAACTAGGCAAAGAGAACAGAGACCTGCCCTGGCCCTGAGCAGCCACCGCCACCCATAAACACACACAAAGAGCTCACACAGTCCTGTGGCCACCAGGGCCCCACCACTATGCTAAAAGTGTCACCAGCACAAACATACACAAAGATGCCAGTGGGGCCCCCTGCTTCCCCATGACATGCTGCCAATGCTGCTGCTGCAAATGCCCACATGACAACCAGCATCCTGGCACCTGCTAGCACCCCACTGCAGCTGAAAAGTGGACACCTTATCATGCTGCCACTGATACCACTCCTCCCATGGGCGAACAAAGATAAATCATGCTGCCGCAGCCCTACGAAGTGCTTTGGTTGGCACCGCCCATTGGACTGTTGTGACTAGTGGTCTGGGAGCACCTTGGCCCCTCCAGTGCAGCAGGTTCCTAACCTTAAGTGGCCAGAGAACAAAGCCAGGGCCTGATACTAGTCCTCCAGAGTTAGGACACCCAGTCTAGGAGTCCTGAGCTAAGCCTTAGCCCCCTAAAATCTTCCAGAAATGAATCCAGTTGACTGAAAAAACTTATGCCACAATCAAACCCCTAAGGTCATGAAATAGCATAAAAGGGGGAAAAAAATCCAAAAATAGCAACTTCAAAGATTGAAGGAAAATCAGCCCACAAAGATGAGAAAGAGCAATTGCCAGAAGTTTGACATTTCAAAAAGCCAGAGTGTCTTCTTTCCTCCAAACGACCACACTAGTTCCCCAGCAGTGTTTCTTAAAGAGATGGAAATGACTGAAATGACAGAAATAGCATTCAGAATATTGATAGGAACAAAGATCATCAAGATTCAGGAGAACATTGAAACCCAATTCAAGAAAGCTAAGAATCACAATAAAATGATACAGGAGCTGACAGACAAAATAGCCAGTATTGAAAGGAACATAACTGACTGATTCAGCTGAAAAACACACTACAAGAATTTCATAATGCAATTGTAAGTATTAACAGCAGAATAGACCAAGCCGAGGAAAGAATCTTAGAGCGTGAAGACTGCCTTTCTGAAATGACAGTCAGAGAAAAATAAAAAAAACAAGAATGGAAAGGAATGGAAAAAAACCTCTGAGAAATATGGGATTATGTAAACAGACCAAATCTGTAACTCATTGGCATCCCTGAAAGAGATAGGGAGAATGGAAACAATTTGGAAAACTTATTTCAGGTTATCATCCATGAGAAATTCTGCAACCTAGTTAGAGAGGCCAACATTAAAATTAAGCTAATACAGAGAACTTTAGCAAGATACTTCACTAGAAGATCATCTCCAAGACATAATTATCAGATTCTCCAAGATCAGATGAAAGAAAAAATCTGTTAAAGGCAGCTGGAGAGAAACGCCAGGTCAGCTGCAGAGGGAAGCCCATCAGACTAACAGCAGACCTCTCAGCAGAAACCTTTCAAGCCAAAAGAGACTGGGGGCCTGTATTTAACATTCTTATAGAAAAGAAATTCCAACAGAGAATTTCATATACAGCCAAACTAAACTTCATAAGCAAATGAGAAATAAGATCCTTTTTGGACAAGCAAATGCTGAGGGAATTTGTTACCACCAGACCCGCCTTTTTAGAGCTCCTGAAAGAAGCAATAAATATGGAAAGGAAAGACCATTACCAGCCACTACAAAAACACTTAAGTACACGGGCCACTGACACTGTAAAGCAACCACACGAACAAGTTGGCATTATAACCAGCTAACAACATGATGACAGGATCAAATCCACACATATCGATACTAACCTTGAATGTAAAGAGGCTAAATGCTCCAGTTAAAAGTCACACAGTCTCAAGCTGGATAAAGAAGCAAGACCTGATGGTAGGTATGCTGTCTTCAAGAGACCCATCTCATATGCTAGTTTAAAGTCCGTTTTGTCTGAGATTGTGAGCCCTGCTTTTTTCTGGTTTCCATTTGCTTGGTAGATTTCCTCCAACCCTTTATCTTGAGCCTGTGGGTGTTCTTGCATGTGAGAGTTTCTATTTCTTCCTGATTTAATCTAGGAGGGTTGTAAATTTCCAGGAATTTGTCCACCTCCTCTAGATTTTCTAGTTTGTGCACATAAAGGTTTTCATAGTAGCCTCAAATGATCTTTTGTATTTCTGTGGCACCAGTTATAATACCTCTTGTTTCATTTCTAATTGAGCTGATTGGGATTTTCTCTCTTCTCTTCTTGGCTAATCTCACTAATGATCTATTCATTTTGTTTATCTTTTCATATAATCAACTTTTTGTTTGAATTATCTTTTGTATTTTTCTTTTTGTTTAAATTTCATGTAGTTATGCTCTGATATTTGTTATTTCTTTTCTTCTGCTGGGTTTGGGTTTGGCTTGTTCTTGTTTCTCTAGTTCCTTGAGGTGTGACCTTAGATTGTCTATTTGTTCTCTTTCAGATTTTCTGTTGTAGTCATTTAATGCTATGAAATTTCCTCTTAGCACTGCTTTTGCTGTATCTCAGGTGTTTTGATAAGTTGTGTCATGATTATCATTCAGTTTAATGAAATTTTAAATTTCCATCTTGATCTCATTGTTGACGCAGAGATCATTCAGGAGTAGATTATTTAATTTCCATGTATTTTTATAGTTTTGAGGATTCCTTTTGGAGTTAATTTCCACTTTTATTCCATTGTGGTCTGAGAGGATACTTGATATAATTTTGATTTTCTTAAATTTATTGAGACTTGTTTTGTGACCTACTGTATGGTCTATCTTGGAGAATGTTTTATATGCTGATGAAAATAATATATATTCTGCAGTTCTTAGGTAGAATGTTTTCTAAATGTCTATTAAGTCCACTTTTTCTAGTGTATCATTTAAGTCCATTGTTTCTTTGCTGATTTTCTGCTTTGATGGCATGTCTAGTACTGTCAGTGGAGTATTGAGTTCCCCCATTATTATTGTGTTGCTGGTAGGCTGTGGAGAACAGCGAATGCATATACATTGTTGGTGGGAGTGTAAATTAGTTTAGCTACTGTGGAATTAAGTTTGGAGATTTCTCAGAGAACTTAAAACAGAACTACCATTCAACCCAGCAATTATACCACCAAAAAGCATGTGCACTCAAATGTTTATCACAGCACCATTCACAATAGCAAAGAGGTGGAATCAACCTAGGTGCTCATCAATGGTGGATTGGATCAAGAAAATGTGGTACACATATGCCATGGAATACTATACAAAAAGAATGAAAGATGAAAAAGGTATACAAAAAGATGAAAAAGAATAAAATCATGTCCTTTGAAGCAACATGGAGGCAGCTGGAGGCCATTATCCTAAGTGAATTAATGCAGTAACAGAAAACCAAATGCCACATGTTCTCACAAGTGGGAGCTAAACATTGGGTACTCATGAACATAAAAATGGCAACAGTAGATACTGAGGACTACTAGAGTGGGAGGGAGAGGGGGCAATTGTTGAAAAACTACTGGGTACTATGCTCTCTACCTAGATGATGGGATCAATCATACCCTAAACCTGAGCATCATGTGATATAGCCATGTAATAAACCTGCACATGTTCCCCCTGAATGTAAAATAAAAGTCGAAGTTATAACAAACAAATAATATACCATTTATGTATAATAATAGTAAAATTATGTCATGTTTACACCCTTCCTGCTTTTAGTGTTATCATTGTTTTATGTTTTACTTTTACTTATAACACCTCAAATATGTTGCTGTTATTACATGATTTCAACATTCAATTGCCCTTTAAAAATTTAAAGGAAAATAATGTGTTATATTTTACTACCTATTTAGAATTTCCAATGCTCTTCATTTATTACCTTATGTCTGAATTTCCATATTGTTTTATCATTTTCATAGGTTTTCCTTAGCATTTTCATAGATTAGATACGCTGGCAACACAATTTGCCTTTATGTTTACAAGATTTTTTACTGGACATAGATTTGTACATTGACAGGTTTTTTGAAATCACTGTATCACCAGCATCTGGCACGATTCCTGACACACATAGTGAAGTCATTCCTTAAACACAAGATACATCCTAAAATCAACATGTAAAATGAAAATCATCTGGTCAAATGACTTTGCGTAATGCCTTAGGAAGGTGCGACATTGAAGAATGACATTCTTTTCTCAGAACGTTCAGCACTGCCAGCTTCTCCTCCAGTGCAGGAGCAGATGACTGGGTTGTTCCTTTTGTTTGACCCGCAGATTAAGTAACTGGCTTGCACTCGTGGCTGACCACACTACATGCAAAATATGTATCTAAACAAAAGAATGACGTTCAGCAAAGTGAGGTGTTCACACTATGAAATGAAAGAACAAATTCGTGCCTTTCATCTCACACTCAACCCAGGGTATATATTAACTGAATATAATGGTGGGATAATTTGCCTGTACTATTTAAACAATTTTCTCCTAGTGTGTATAGCTGAATTCATGTAAATGAAATATGTCCATGAATGCCAATGTCATAGCCACTCAAAAAGTTTCTTTGCATGAGTGACTTAATTAACGCTGTTCTCTCTACTTAAATATCTTCCTTTTGTCTCTGCCTATCAAAACCATACACATTTTCACAGCCAAGCTGATGAACCACTTATTCTCCCCAGCAGGCTAATTATTTCATTTATGATGTGTCTACTCTGCAGCACATAATGCAAAACACCTAATACTCTTTGCCCTCCTTTAATGAATCCTCTTCCCATTTTAAAGATGACACTTAGATGTAGAGAGTTTAACTATCTTGCCCAAGATTGGTGTCATCTACCTTGTTCACTGCTGTCTCCCCAGTGCCAAGAACAGTGTCTTAACAAAAATCTGTTGACTGGGTAGAATGGTTGTCAGATTCTTGACCTGTTTCAACTCATGACCCTAACCATGCTTTCTTAGTCTGTCATTTGCATACTGGCCCCAGCCAATAATATATTAATATTATAGATCTTTGTTTTACATTTGTATTACAAAATCTGTAGGTATCTTAAATGTTTTTCCAAAGTGCACCTGCCATTTGAGAGTCTGATATGCTTCTCCTTCCTCATAGCCCCCGTAAGATGTAGGGTCTGTACCACCCACATGGCACTTAATAAGATATTGCTTTGCATTGTAGGTACTTGCTGTCATACCAGGCTCCTATTAACTTCAACAGGGATGGCGCCGGGTTCAAGAGGCTGAAGAAGAGACCCAGAGCCAGCAAATGAGACAGAGGGTTTCATTAGCAGGAAACTTATATGCAGGGATGGTCCGGTGGTGCTGGACTGGACAGGAGAACCACCTTACATACAGGGAAAGTCCAGTGGTGGCGGGCTGGGCAGGACAACCACAACGGCTTACAAAAAGCAATCAGTTTATATAAGATATTCACTTAGCACCCTCCCCCTAACAACTTCCATCCAGCAAATTTCATTTAACCCAAAACAAAGGGCCTCACTCCCTTCTGCATTCCACTGGATGGCCAGGGGTCAGATGTTCCTCCTGGATATACAGGCAAGGAACGTATCTCCCAGTTGGCCATTTCTGGATTCCTCAGCTCAGAACACACACTCAGGTGCACCTGCCATATAGGGTAATTCTCAGGTTATGCTTAAGTTTAATTTCACTTCCAGGTGTGTCTACCATACATTTGCATACACATCTCTACTGCTGTAGGAGGATAGATGCTCACTGACCGGTGTCATTCTCTGAAGTATTCATTAATGGAGTTTTGTTTAACATTGATTGATTGATTTTAAGTTGAAATATAATGATATGTATTTGTCATATATAACATGTTTTGAAATATGTATGAATTTGGGAATGTGGCTAAATTGAGCTAATTAACATATGCATTACCTCACATACTTATTATTTTGTGGTGAGAACACCTAAAATCTACTCTCTTAGCAATTTTTAAGAATACAATACATTGTTATTAACTATAATCGCCATGTTGTACAATAGATCTATTGAACTTATTCTTCCTAACTGAAATTTTGTATTTGGACCCTAGTCTTGACAAGGTAAATGACTAGAGTTAATTGCCCTTCTGCTGACATGGTCAAGACCTTGACAATCTAGACCAAAGTAGATGTCTAAGCCTTGCAGACTCCTGGTTTCCATCATATTAGTGTCCTCTTGCCCATACTGACAGGAATTGGCCAACTGGTAACTATGCCTCAGTCTGTCTAATCAGGTGAGACCGTTTTCTTTAGCAACTGGCAACTTCTGGAACATCAG
This sequence comes from Homo sapiens, assembly GCF_000001405.40. Taxonomy (NCBI): domain Eukaryota; kingdom Metazoa; phylum Chordata; class Mammalia; order Primates; family Hominidae; genus Homo; species Homo sapiens. The sequence continues at coordinate 140,228,266 of NC_000023.11, forward strand.
AGATTTACAAAATGTATTTTACTGCTGACTAAATACGCAAATAAGAAGATAGAAGGGTGACTATTTAAATATTGATGTGAATTACTTAGATCTTAAGATTTACTAATGATTTATACATATCTGCCATGTGGCTTCGTGGAACCCTTGGATCATTCTAAAGTTCTGGACTAGGAACATGTTTAGCTTTTAACCAGAAAAAGAGATGCAACGATAATCATCAACCACAAATGCATCTATTTTAATAAGCAGGGTTATGGTGAGGTTTGCAAATGCAGAAGTCATAGTTAGAAGGGATCATATAGTAAAAGGATCCAAGTTCAGAAAACTATCAATGGCAAAATCTAAACTAGGTAAAAATGCCTAAACTAGACTTCTAAGAGAATTTTTCCATGGGCTGTACCTGTATTATCCTTAACCAGTCAATCATTTTGATCACTACAGTGTGGGTTCAGGAGGGGTGGGTGGGGAGACAAATTTTGGCATTATGTACTAAGTGCTTACTGAATGCCAAGTTCTTTAAGTGGATTATCTCATTTAATTATTACAACTCAGGATGAAGATACTGTTATTATCACCATCTTATGGAAGAGGAAACCGAGGCTCACACAGATCGTGATTTGTTTATGATCATAGCCTATAAGGGCAGAGCTTAGATTTGAATCCAGATCTGACTCCATGTCCTGTGCTCATTTTGCTATACCACACTGCCTCTCCGTGGTCTCCTATTAACCTATGATAATAATAGCAATGTTTATTGGGAACTATAAGAGCAAAACAATTGAAAATCTGGGCTCGTGCTTTATAAAAGTTACCATTCATTGAGCGCTAGGCATGGTAATAAGGGCTTTACATATAATAGCTCGTTTAATCATCAAAACCACTCTACGATGTAGGCATTATTATTATATTTGCATTTTACAGATGAGGGAAGTAAAGTTCAGAGGGGTTAAATGACTGGCCCATAGTTAGCTAGAAAGTTTCAGAGCCAGATTTCAAACCTGTCAGTTACCAGAGCTAGAGTCCTTATACCTCCAGTTCAAACCTGAATGTGCATAAGAATCACCTGATGAGGCTATGAAAATGTATATTCCTTAGCCGCATTCCTGAGAGTCTGAATAAGTAGGTCTTTTAAAGAAGTTCCCCAGGGGATTGGAATGCAAGGCCTCCATGGACCATCCTATGAAAACAGTGATCTGCAGCACAAATATGGGCCTGGGGGAAAGAAAATTGAGTACAGCATAGGTTCCATGAGGAGCAGTCACAATTTTATCACAGTGCTGCTATGACTGTTTCTTTCTCCTTCTGACTTGCCCAAATTTGGACTCCGTTTGCCTTTCTAGAACAAAAGCATTACCCTTTCTTTTTACTATCTCACACGGGCCAGATTCTGCTTTCCCAGCAAAATTAACAGCACCAATAACAACAAATCGACTTACTCATTTTTCCTGATAGACCGGGGCTTCTTACTCTATTTTGTACCATGGATCCCATTGGCCTCTGGTGGAGCCTACGGTCCCCTTCTCAGAGTAATATTTCTTAATTATTATTACTTTAAAGACAGGGTCTCTTTCTGTCATCCAGGCTGGAGTGCAGTGGCACAGTCATGACTCACTGCAGCCTCGATTTCCCGGGCTTCAGCAATCCTCCCACCCTCAGCCTCCTGAGTAGCTGGGACTACAGGTGCATGCCACCACACCTGCCTAATTTTTGTATTTTTTGGTAGAGACAGGGTTTTGCCATAGTTGCCCAGGCTGGTCTTGAACTCCTGGGCTCAAGCAATCCACCCGCCTTGGCCTCCCAAAAGAATAATACTTTTTAATGGCTTTGAGGAATAACACTCTAAAGAGCCTCCAGTGATTGCTGCCTCCTTGTATTCATGCCCTTATATAATCTCCTTCACTTGTTTATGGTCTGGAGGTAATAATTTATTTTGAACAAATTGAGTATACCAAAAGTGATGTCACTTTTGTGATCATGTTAAGATTTTCAATATAAGTTTCTTTGAAATATAATTCACATACTATAAATTGTATTCTCTTAAGGTATGCAAAACAGTAGCATTTAGTATGTTACAATGTTGTACAACTATGACCAATATATATTCTATTAATATAAGATTTTTGTCACACCAAAAAGAAACCCAGTACCCATTAGCAGTCATTCCCCATTGTTCTCTCTCCCGAGCCTATGATAACCATTAATCTATTTTTGTCTGTACAAATTTGCCTGTTCTGGATATTTCATAGAAATTGAATTATACAATAAGTGGTACTTTGTGACTGGCTTCTTTCAGTTAATGTAATGTTCTCAAGGTTCATCCATGTTGTAGCATGTGCTAGTACCTGGTTCCATTCTTTGGCTGAATAATATTCCATGATATTGATAGGTTACATTTTACTTATCCATTCATCAGTTGACAGACATTGGGTTTCCTCCACTTTTTTACTATTGTGAATAGTGCTGCTGTGAACATTCATGGACAAATTTTTGCATGAAAATATGTTTTCAATTCTCTTGGATGTATATCTAGGAGTGGAGTTGCTGGGTCATATGGTAACTCTATAATTAAATTAGAGAAACTGCCAAACTATTTCCTAAAGTGGCTGCAATATTTTACATCCCTACCAGCAATGTAGGAGAGTTGCAATTTTTCCACATCCTTGCCAACACTAGTTATTTTCTGTCTTTAATTGAAGCCATCTTAGTGGATGCGAAGTGACATTTCATTGTGGTGTTGTTTTGCATTTTTCTATTGAACAATTTTTCACATCCTTATTGGTCATTTGTATATCTTCATTGGATAAATAGTTATTGAGATCCTTTGCCCACGTTTAAACTGGATTATTTGTCTTTTCTTATTCAATTTAAGAACCCTGTACATGTTTTGTATATTAGACCCTTAGCAGACATATCATTTATAAATGTTTTGTCCTATCCTGTAGAGTCTTTTCTAACAATAGACTTAAGTTTTAGAGCAGTTTTTGATTTACAGAAAACCTGAGCAGCAAGTACAAAGATTTCCCATATATTCTTTCTCTCTCACTGCAATTTTCCCTACTATTAACATCTTGCATTAGTGTGGTACATTTGTTCAAACAGATGAACTGATATTGATACATTGTTAATTAAGTCCTAAATTCACATTAGCGTTTACTCTCCGTATTATATAATTCCATGCATTTTGACAAATGCATAATGTCATGTATCTACTATTATAGTTCATAAAAAATAAGTTCACTTATGATTAAAGTGAAATAAAAATCACCTTAAAAGTCACCTGTGCTCCACCTATTACCCTCTCTCTCCTTTCTCCTGAACCCCTGGCAACCACTCATCTTTCTGTTGTCTAGAATTTCACCTTTTTCCAGAACGTCACATCGTTGGAATTATACAGCCTTTTTATATTGGCTTCTTTCACTAAGCAGTATGCAATTAAGGTTCCTTCACGTCTTTTTCTGATTTGATTGTTTATTCTTTTTCATTGCTGAACAGTATTCCATTTTCTGGATGTATCACAGTTTGTTTATCAACTCACCTGATGAGGAATATCTTGGTTGCCTCTAGTTTTTGGCAATTATAAGTAAAACTTTCATCTTAGGTTGTTTGTGCTGCTATAACAAAATACCTGAGACTTCGTAGCTTATAGTGAACAAAAATTTATTTTTCACAGTTCTGGAGGCTTGGAAGTCCAAGATCAAGATGCTGGCAGGTTCAGTGTCTGGTGAGGGCCCATTCTTTTAAAATGGTGTTGTCTAGGTATCCTCAAATGGCAGAAAGGTAGAAGGACAAAAGAGAGCAAACTCCCTTCTTTCAAGCCTTTTCATAAGGACACCAATCCATTCACAAGAGCAGAGCCCTCATGGCTGAATTACCTCCTAAAGGTCCCACCTCTAAACATTGTTACATTGATGACTAAGTTTCAACATATGAATTCTGGGGGACAGATTAGACCATAGAAGCTACTACAAACATTCTTATGCAGGTTTTTGTGTGAGCATAAGTTTCCAACTCATTTGGGTAAATACCTAGAGGTACAATCGATGGATCACATGGCAAAACTATGTTTAACTTTGCCAAATATTTAATTGAGATGTTTGTTCTCATATTGTTGAATTTTAAGTTTTTGAATTTATTTTTTATTTTATTTATTTTTAAATTTTGTGGGTACATAATAGGTGTACCCACAAAATATAGTTTGTTACATAAGATATTTTGATACAGGCATGCAATGTATAATAATCACGTCAGGGTAAATGGGGAATCCATCACCTTAAGCATTTATCCTTTGTGTTACAAACAATCCAGTGATACATTTTTACTGTGCAATTAAATTATTTTTAACTATAGTCACCCTGTTATGCTAGCAAATACTAGATCTTATTCTTTCTAACTAATTTTTGTACCCATTAACCATCCCCACTTATCCCACATTTCCCTCCCCAGTACCCTTCCCAACCTCTGGTAACTATTCTACTCTCTATTTCCATGTCAGTTTGGTTTTTAAATTTTTAGTTCCCACTAATAAGTGAGAACATGTGATGTTTGTCTTTTTGTGACTGGCTTATTTCACTGAACATAATGACCTCCAGTTCTATTCATGTTGTTGTAAATAATAGGATCTCATTCTTTGTTATGGTTGAATAGTACTCCTTTTATATATGTACCACATTTTCTTTATCCATTCATCTGCTAATGGACATTAGGTTGCCTCCAACTGTTGGCTATTATACATAGCCCTGTAACAAACATGAGAGTGAAGATATCTCTTCGATATACTGATTTCCTTTTTTGGGGAATGTACCTAGGAGTGGGATTGCTGGATCATATGGCAGCTCTGTTTTTAGTTTTTTGAGAAACCTCCAAACGGTTCTCCATAGTGGTTGTACTAATTTACATTCCCATCAACAATGTACAAGTGTTCCCTTTATCCCTATCCTCACTAGCATTTGTTTTTGCCTGATTTTTGGATAAAAGCATTTGAACAGGGGTGAGATGATTTGTCATCGTAGTTTTGATTTGTATTTCTTTTTTTTTTTTTTTTTTGAGACGGAGTCTCGCTCTGTCGCCCAGGCTGGAGTGCAGTGGCGGGATCTCGGCTCACTGCAAGCTCCGCCTCCCGGGTTCACGCCATTCTCCTGCCTCAGCCTCCCAAGTAGCTGGGACTACAGGCGCCCGCCACTACGCCCGGCTAATTTTTTGTATTTTTAGTAGAGACGGGGTTTCACCGTGTTAGCCGGGATGGTCTCAATCTCCTGACCTCGTGATCCGCCCGCCTCGGCCTCCCAAAGTGCTGGGATTACAGGCGTGAGCCACCGCGCCCGGCCTGTATTTCTTTTATGATTGATGATGTTGAGCACATTTTCATATGTCTGTTTGCCATTTGTATCTCTTCTTTTGAGAAATGTCTATTCAAATCATGTGCCCATTTTTTGGTCAGATTATTAGATTTTTTTCCTATAGACCTGTTTGAACTCCTTATATTTTCTGGTTATTAATCTTTTGTCAAATGGGTAGTTTGCAAATATTTTCTCCCATTGGTTGTCTCTTCACTTTGTTGATTATTTCCTTTGCTGTGCAAATGCTTTTAAACTCAATGTGATCCCATTTCTCCATTTTTGCTTTGGTTGCCTGTGCTTCTGGTGTAATGCTCAAGAAATCTTTGCCCAGTACAATGTTCTGGAGATTGTCCCCAATGTTTTCTTGTAGTAGTTTCATAGTTTGAGGTGTTAGATTTAATCTTTAATTCATTTTGATTTGATTTTAGTATATGGCAATAGGTAGGTGATATGGTTTGGCTCTGTGTCCCCACCCAAATCTCATCTTGAATTGTAGTTCCCATAATCCCTACCTGTCGTGGGAGGGACCTAGTGGGAAGTGATTGAATCATGGGGGCAGTTTTCCCCAGGCTGTTCTTGTGATAATGAGCGAGCTCTCACAAGATCTGATGGTTTTATAAGTGTCTGGCATTTCCCTTGCTGGCACTCATTCTCTCTCCTGCTGCCCTGTGAAGAGGTGCCTTCTGTCATGATTTTAAGTTTCTTGAGGTCTCCCCAGCCATAAAGAACTGTGAGTCAATTAAATCTCTTTTCTTTATGAATTACCCAGTCTCATGTATTTTTATAGTAGCCTGAGAATGGACTGATATAGTAGAAGTCCAGTTTCATATTTCTGCATGTGAATATCCAGTTTTTCCAGCACCATTTATTGAAAAGATTGTCCTTTGCCCAATTTATGTTCTTGGAAACTTTGAAAAAGTGAGTCCACTGTAGGTATGTGGATTTATTTCTTGGTTCAGTGTTCTGTTCCACTGATCTATGTATCTGTTTTTTAAAATTTTATTTTAAAAGTAATGGGGTACTGGTGGCTTTTTGTTACATGGATACGTTCTTTAATGGTGATTTCTGAGATTTTGGTGCACCCATCACACTAAAAGTACTGTGCTGTTTTGGTTACTATAGCTCTGTAGCATATTTTTATCTGTCTCCTCAAGCATTTACCCTTTGAGTTACAAACAATCCAATTACATTCTTTAAGTTATTTTAAAATATGAAGTTATTATTGACTATAGTCACCTTGTTGTGCTATCAAATACTAGGTCTTATTTATTCTTTCTATTTTTTGTACCCAATAACCATCCCCTCCTCCCACACCCAACCCCCTACTACCCTTCCCAGTCTCTGGTAATGAGTTGAATTAAGACATTCAATTGTTTTGATGTCTAGATAACACAAATAACTGAGCATATGGAATGTTTGTCTTTCTGTGCTTGGCTTATTTCACTTAACATAATCATCTCGAGTTCCTTTCATGTTGTTGCAAATGACTGGATCTTATACTTTTTATAGCTGAATAGTACTCGATTGTATATATGTACCACATTTTCTTTATCCATTCTTTTTTTTTTATTATACTTTAAGTTCTAGGGTTCATGTGCACAACGTGCAGGTTTGTTACATATGTATACATGTGCCATGTTGGTGTGTTGCACCCATTAACTCGTCATTTACATTAGGTATATCTCCTAATGCTATCCCTGCCCCATCCCCCAACCCCACAACAGGCCCCGGTGTGTTATGTTCCCCTTCCTGTGTCCAAGTGTTCTCATTGTTCAATTCCCACCTATGAGCGAGAACATGCGGTGTTTGGTTTTTTGTCCTTGCAATAGTTTGCTGAGAATGATGGTTTCCAGCTTCATCCATGTCCCTACAAAGGACATGAACTCATCCTTTTTTATGGCTGCATAGTATCCATGGTGTATATGTGCCACATTTTTTTAATCCAGTCTATCATTGTTGGACATTTGGGTTGGTTCCAAGTCTTTGCTATTGTGTATAGTGCCACAATAAACATACGTGTGCATGTGTGTTTATAGTAGCATGATTTATAATCCTTTGGGTATATACCCAGTAATGGGATTGCTGGGTCAAATGGTATTTCTAGTTCTAGATCCTTGAGGAATCACCACACTGTCTTCCACAATGGTTGAACTAGTTGACAGTCCCACCAACATTGTAAAAGCGTTCCTATTTCTCCACATCCTCTCCAGCACCTGTTGTTTCCTGACTTTTTAATGATTGCCATTCTAACTGGTGTGAGATGGTATCTGATTGTGGTTTCTATTTGCATTTCTCTGATGGCCAGTGATGATGAGCATTTTTTCATGTGTCTGTTGGCTGCATAAATGTCTTCTTTTGAGAAGTGTCTGTTCATATCCTTCGCCCACTTGTTGATGGGGTTGTTTTTTTTTTTTTTTATTGTAAATGTGTTTAAGTTCTTTGTAGATTCTGGATATTAGCTGTTTGTCAGATGGGTAGATTGCAAAAATTTTCTCCCATTCTGTAGGTTGCCTGTTCACTCTGATGGTAGTTTCTTTTGTAGTGCAGAAGCTCTTTAGTTTAATTAGATCCCACTTGTCAATTTTGGCTTTTGTTGCCATTGCTTTTGGTGTTTTAGACATGAAGTGCTTGCCCATGCCTATGTCCTGAATGGTATTGCCTAGGTTTTCTTCTAGGGTTTTTATGGTTTTAGGTCTAACATTTAAGTCTTTAATCCATCTTGAATTAATTTTTGTATAAGGTGTAAGGAAGGGATCCAGTTTCAGCTTTCTACATATGGCTAGCCAGTTTTCCCAGCACCATTTATTAAATAGGGAATCCTTTCCCCACTTCTTGTTTTTGTCAGGTTTGTCAAAGATGAGATGGTTGTAGATGTGTGGTATTATTTCTGAGGGCTCTGTTCTGTTCCGTTGATCTATATCTCTGTTTTGGTACCAATACCATGCTGTTTTGGTTACTGTAGCCTTGTAGTATAGTTTGAGGTCAGGTAGCATGATGCCTCCAGCTTTGTTCTTTTGGCTTGGGATTGTCTTGGCAATGCGAGCTCTTTTTTGGTTCCATATGAACTTTAAAGTAGTTTTTCCCAATTCTGTGAAGAAAGTCATTGGTAGCTTGATGGGGATGGCATTGAATCTATAAATTACCTTGGGCAGTATGGCCATTTTGACGATATTGATTCTTCCTATCCATGAGCTTGGAATGTTCTTCCATTTGTTTGTGTCCTCTTGTATTTCGTTGAGCAGTGGTTTGTAGTTCTCCTTGAAGAGGTCCTTCACATCCCTTGTAAGTTGGATTCCTAGGTATTTTATTCTCTTTGAAGCAATAGTGAATGGGAGTTCACTCATGATTTGGCTCTCTGTTTGTCTGTTATTGGTGTATAAGAATGCTTGTGATTTTTGCACATTGATTTTGTATCCTGAGACTTCGCTGAAGTTGCTTATCAGCTTAAGGAGATATTGGGCTGAGACAATGGGGTTTTCTAGATATACAATCATGTCATCTGCAAACAAGGACAATTTCACTTCCTCTTTTCCTAATTGAATACCCTTTATTTCTTTCTCCTGCCTGATTGCCCTGGCCAGAATTTCCAACACTATGTTGAATAGGAGTGGTGAGAGAGGGCATCCCTGTCTTGTGCCGGTTTTCAAAGGGAATGCTTCCAGTTTTTGCCCATTCAGTATGATATTGGCTGTGGGTTTGTCATAAATAGCTCTTATTATTTTGAGATACGTCCCATCAATACCTAATTTATTGAGAGTTTTTAGCATGAAGGGCTGTTGAATTTTGTCAAAAGCCTTTTCTGCATCTATTGAGATAATCATGTGGTTTTTGTCTTTGGTTCTGTTTATATGCTGGATTACATTTATTGTTTTGCATATGTTGAACCAGCCTTGCATCCCAGGGATGAAGCCCACTTGATTATGGTGGATAAGCTTTTTGATGTGCTGCTGGATTCAGTTTGCCAGTATTTTAGTGAGGATTTTTGCATCGATGTTCATCAGGGATATTGGTCTCAAATGATCTTTTTTGGTTGTGTCTCTGCCAGGCTTTGGTATCAGGATGATGCTGGCCTCACAAAATGAGTTAGGGAGGATTCCCTCTTTTTCTGTTGATTGGAATAGTTTCAGAAGGAATGGTACCAGCTCCTCCTTGTACCTCTGGTAGAATTCGGCTATGAATCCATCTGGTCCTGGACTTTTTTTGGTTGGTAAGCTATTATTGATTGCCTCAATTTCAGAGCCTGTTATTGGTCTATGAAGAGATTCAACTTCTTCCTGGTTTAGTCTTGGGAGGGTGTATGTGTCGAGGAATTTATCCATTTCTTCTAGATTTTCTAGTTTATTTATGCAGATGTGTTTATAGTATTCTCTGATGGTAGTTTGTATTTCTGTGGGATTGGTGGTGATATCCCCTTTATCATTTTTTATTGGGTCTATTTGATTCTTCTCTCTTTTCTTCTTCATTATTCTTGCTAGCGGTCTATCAGTTGTGTTGATCTTTTCAAAAAAACCAGCTCCTGGATTCATTGATTTTTTTAACGGTCTTTTATGTTTCTATCTCCTTCAGTTCTGCTCTGATCTTAGTTACTTCCTTGCTTTCTACTAGCTTTTGAATGTGTTTGCTCTTGCTTCTCTAGTTGTTTTAATTGTGATGTTAGGGTGTCAATTTTAGATCTTTCCTGCTTTCTCTTGTGGGCATTTAGTGCTATAAATTTCCCTCTACACACTGCTTTAAATGTGTCCCAGAGATTCTGGTATGTTGTGTCTTTGTTCTCGTTGGTTTCAAAGAACATCTTCATTTCTGCCTTCATTTCGTTATGTACCCAGTAGTCATTCAGGAGCAGGTTGTTCAGTTTCCATGTAGTTGAGCGGTTTTGAGTGAGTTTCTTAATCCTGAGTTCTAGTTTGATTGCACTGTGGTCTGAGAGACAGTTTGTTATAATTTCTGTTCTTTTCCATTTGCTGAGGAGAGCTTTACTTCCAACTATGTGGTCAATTTTGGAATAGGTGTGGTGTGGTGCTGAGAAGATTGTATATTCTGTTGATTTGGGGTGGAGAGTTCTGTAGATGTCTATTAGGCCCGCTTGGTATCCTTTCATCTATTGATGGACACTTAGGTTTCTTCCAAATCTTAGCTATTGTAAACAGTGCTACAACAAACATGGGAATGGAGATATCTCTTTGACATGCTGATTTCCTTTCTTTTGGATATATCCCCAGCAGTGGGATTTCTGGATCATATGGCAGCTCTGTTTTTAGTTTTTGAGAAACCTCCAAACTGTTCTCCAGAGTCGTTGTACTAATTTACATTCCCACCAACAGTGTAGTTGGGTTCCCTTTTCTCCACACTCTCACCAGCATTTGCTATTGCTTGTCTTTTGAATATAATCTGTTTTAACTGGGGTGAGATAATATCTCATTGTAGTTTTGATTTACATTTATCTGATGATCAGTGATGATGATCACCTTTTTGTATGCCTGTTTACCATTGTATGTCTTCTTCTGAGAAATGTCTATTCAAATCTTGTGCCCATTTTGATTGGATTATTAGATTTTTTCACACAGAGTTGTTTGAGCTCCTTATGTATTCTGGTTATTAATCCCTTGTCAGATGGATAGTTTGCATATATTTTCTCCTGTTCCGTGGGTTGTCTTTCCCTTTGTTGATTGTATCCTTGGCTGTGCAGAAGCTGTTTAATGTGATGTGATCCCATTTGTCCATTCTTGCTTTGGTTGTCTGTGTTTGTGGGGTATTGCTCAAGAAACTTTTGCCTAGTGCAATGTCCTAGAGATTTTTCTCATTGTTTTCTTGTAGGAGTTTTATAGTTTGAGGTCTTAGATTTAAGCCTTTAATCCATCTTGATTTGATTTTTTATATGCCAGTAGATAGGGGTCTACTTTTATTCTTCTGCATATTCTCTTCAGCACCAGTTATTGAAGAGACTTTCTTTCCCCCAGTGCATGTTCTTGGCATCTTTGTCAACAATAAGTTAATTGTAGGTGTGTGGATTTGTTTCTGGGTTCTCTATTCTGTTTTATTGGTCTATGTGTCCGTTTTTATGCCAGTACCATGCTGTTTTGGTTACTATAGCTATGTATTATAATTTGAAATCAGGCAATGTGATTCTTCGCGTTTTCTTCTTTTTGTTCAGGATGGCTTTGGCTCTTTTGCATCTTTTCTGGTTCCATATAAATTTTGAGGATTGTTTTTCTTTTCTGTGGGAAAAATCTTAGATAGGGATTGTGTTGAATCTGTAGATTGCTTTGGGTACTGTGGACATTTTAATAATATTGATTTTTCCAATCCATGAACATGGAATATTTTGCCATTGTTTGTGTCCTCTTCAATTATTTTAATCAGTGTTTTATAGTTGTTATTAGGAAGATCTTTCACTTTTTTAGTTAATTCCCAGGTATTTAATTTTATGTGTGGCTATTGTAAATGGGATTACTTAAATTTTTTTTCACATTGTTCACTATTGGCATATAGAAATGCTACTGATTTTTGTATGTTGATTTTGTATGCTATAACTTTATTGAATTTGTTTATCAGTTCTAATAGCTTTCTTGTGGAGTCTTCAGATTTTTCCAAATAGAAGATCATATTATTTGCAAGCAATGATAATTTGACTTCTTCCACTCCACTTTGGATGCCGTTTATTTCTCTTGTCTGTTTGCCCTACCTAGGACTTCCAGTACTGTGTTGAATAACAATGGTGACAATGGCCACCCTTTTCATGCTCCAGATCTTAGAGGAAAGAGCTTTAGTTTTTTCCCATTCTGTGTGATACTACCTGTTGGTCTGTCATATATGATTTTTATTATGTTGAGGTATGTTCCTTCTGTCCCCAATTTCCTGAGGGTTTGTATTATGAAGGGATGTTGAATTTTATCAAATGCTTTTCAGCAGCAATTGAAATGATAATATGGTTTTTATCCTTTATTCTGTTAATATGATGCATCATATTAATTGATTTGTGTATGCATTTTTACATCCCAGGGATAAATACCACTCGGTCATGATGAATGATCTTTCTGATGTATTGTTCAATTCTGTTTAGTAGTATTTGTTGAGGATTTTTGCATCAATATTCACCAAAGATATTGGCCTGTAGTATTCTTTTTTTTAATGTGTCTTTGTCTGGTTTTGTTATCAGGGTAATACTGGTCTCATAAAATGAGAGTGGAAGAGTTCCCTCCTCCTTTATTTTTCAGAATAGTTTAAGTAGGATTGGTATTAGTTCTTCTCTGAATATTTGGTAGAATTCAGCAGTGAAGCCATCAGGTTGCAGACTATTCTTTACTGGGAGATTTTTATTATGGCTTTGATGTAATTACTTGTTATTGGTCTGTTCAGATTTTGGATTTATTCCTGGTTCAAACTTGGTAGGTTGTACATACCTAGGAATTTGTCCATTTCTTCTAGATTTTCCAGTTTATTGGCACATTGTTCCTGGTAGCCACTAATAATCCTTTGAGTTTTCTGTAGTATCAGTTGTAATATCTCCTTTTTAGTTCTGATTTTATTTATTTTGATCTTCTCTCTTTTTTTCATAGTTAGTCTGGCTAATGGTTTGTCAATTTTGTTTAATTTTTCAAAAAAACAACTTTTTATTTCACTACTTTTGTATTTTTTTATTTCAATGTCATATATTTCTGCTCTGATCTTTATTATTTATTTATTTTCTTTTACTAATTTTGGGTTTTGTTTGCTGTTGCCTTTCTAGTTCTTTAGATGCATCATTAGGTTGTTTATTGGAAGATTTCATCTTTTTTAATGTATGCATTTGTAGTTCTATTTCCCTCTTAGTACTGCTTTTGCTGTATACCATAGGTTTTAGTATGTTGTGCTTCCATTATCATTTGTCTCAAGAAATTCTTCCATTTCCTCATTAATTTCTTCATTGACACACTGCTCATTCAGAGCATACTGTTTAATTTTTATGCATTTGTATAGTTTCCAAAATTCCTCGTTATTAATTTCTAGTTATATTTCATTGTAGTCAGAGAAGATGCTTCATATTATTTCAGTTTTTTTGAATGTTTTAAGACTTGTTTTGCAACCTAACATATGGTCTACCCTTGAGAATGATCCATGTGCTGAGAAGACTGTGTATTGTGCAGCTCTTGTGTAAAATGTTCTGTAAATATGTATTAGATCTATTTGGTCTATAGTGCAGATTAAGTGTGAGGTTTCTTTGTTGATTTTTCTGTCTGGAAATGCTGTCTGATGCTAAGAGTAGGATGTAGAACTCTCCAACTGTAATTGTGTTGGGACCTATTTCTAGTTCTAATAATATTTGCTTTATGTATCTGGATACTCCAGTGTTAGGTGCATATATTTTTTAATTGTTATGGACTCTTGCTGAATGGACCTTTTTTATTATATAGTGACCTTCTTTGTCTGTTGTTATAGTTCGTGTCTTGATTATCTATTTTGTCTAAGTATAGTGACTCCTGCTCTTTTTTGGTTTCCATTGGCATAGAATATCTTTTTCCATCTTTTCAGTGTATGTGTGCCTTTATATGTGAAGTGTGTTTCTTATAGACAACAGATCAATGGGTCTTTTTTGTTTCATCCCTTCAGCCAGTCTGTGTCATTTGATTAGAGAGTTTAGTCCATTTACATTCCATGTTATCTTTGGTAAGTAAGGACTTACCTCTGCCCTTTTGTTATTTATTTTCTGGTTATTTTGTGGTCTCTTGCTTCTTTTCTTCCTTGCTATCTTCCTGTACTGAAGGTGATTTTCTCTGGTGATATGATTTAGTTTCTTGTTTTTTATTTTTTATGTGTCCATTGTATGTTTTTTGGTTTGTGATTACCATGAGGCTTGCAAAATACTACCTTATAACCCATTATTTTAACCTGATAACAATTTTATACTATTTGCTTAAACAAACAAGCAAGAACAAAAAGAAAACTAATGAAAACTCTATGCCTTAACTTTGTCCCCCTGCTTTTTAACATTTTTGTTTCTATTTTTATCTTATTGTACTGACTATGTCTTGAAAAGTTGTTGTAGTTAGTATTTTTTATTGGTTCATTATTTAGTCATTCTACTTAGGTCAAGAATAGTGATATGGTTTGGCTGCGTCCCCACCCAAATCTCATCTTGAATTGTAGTTTCCATAATCCCCACGTGTCATGGGAAGGACCTAGTGTGTGGTAATTAAATCATGGGGGCAGTTACCTCCATGCTGTTCTCATGACAGTGAGTGAGTTCTCATGAGATCTGATGGTTTTATAAGGGGCTTTCCCTCGCTTCGCTCTGCACTTCTCCTTGCTGCCATAATGTGAAGAAGGATGTGTTTGCTTCACCTTCTGCCATGATTGTAAAAGTTTCCTGAGGTCTTCCCAGTCATGCTGAACTGTGAGTCAATTAAATCTCCTTCCTTTATAAATTACCCAGTCTCGAGTTTGTCTTTATTAGCAGTGTGAGAATGGACTAATACAAATACTTTATACACTACAGTACAGTGTTATAATCTGTGCTTTTCTGTGTATTTACTATTATTGATAAGCTTTGTACCTTCAGGTGATTATTTACTGGTCATTACCCTTTTTTTCCTGATTGAAGTGCTTCCTTTAGCATTTCTTGTAGGACAGGTCTGCTATTGATGAAATCCCACAGCTTTTGTTTGTCTGGGAAAGTTTTTACTTCTCCTTCATCTTTGAAGGATATTTTCACTGGATATACTATCCTAGGGTAAAGGGTTTTTTTTTTTTTTTCCTTCAACATTTTAAATATGTCATGCCACCCTCTCCTGGCCTGTAAAGTTTCCACTGAAAGGTCTGCTGCCAAACTTATTGGCACTCCACTGTATGTTATTTGTCTTTTTTTTCTTGCTACTTTTAGAATCCTTTATTTTTGCCTTCGGGAATTTGATTATTAAATGCCTTGAGGTAGCCTTTGAGTTAAATCTGCTTGGTGTTCTACATAACCTTCTTGTACTCAAATATTGATATCTTTCTCTAGGTTTAGGAAGTTCTCTGTTATTATTTCTTTAAATAAACTATCTACTCCTCTCTCTTTCTCTACCTCCTCTTTAAGGATAATAACTCTTAGATTTACCCTTTTGAATCTGTTCTCTAGATCCTATAGGTGTTATTCACTCTTTTTTATTCTTTTATCTCCTCTGGCTGTGTATTTTCAAATAGCCTGTCTTCAAGCTCACTAATTCTTTTGCTTTATCAATTCTGCTATTAAATGACTTTGATGCATTCTTCAGTATGCCAGTTGCGTTATTCAGCTCCAGAATTTCTGATTGATTCTTTTTAATCATTTCAATCTCTTTGTTAAATTTATCTGATAGAATTCGGGATTCCTTCTCTATGTTACCTTGAATTTCTTTTCAGTTTCTTCAATACAGTTATTTGACTTCTCTATCTGAAAAGTTACATCTACTAGCATCAACACCATCCAGAAAAACATGACCTCACTAAATGAATTAAAGATGTTATTTCATGTCTCGGCATTGAAGAATTAGGTATTTATTGTAGTCTTCACTGTCTCAGCTTATTTGTAGCCATTCTTCTTGGGAAGGCTTTCCAGACATTTGAAAGGACTTGGGTATTTTGATCTAAGCTTTTCTAATATGCCAGCTGCAAGTTTCTTCTTTCTTGCCTAGACTTTTTTGGGGTTAGGGGGAGTGTACAAATTAATTGAAATTAATTACAACAAATTTAATATCTCTCAAAACTTTAAATGTACATATCCCTTGGTCCAGAAATTCTTTTTCTAGGAATTCATTATGCAAGTGCACCAAGATATATGTAGAAGGATATTCACTACAATACCATTAGTAATGCTAACAACTAAATGTACATCAATAATTTTATTGCATAAATTACACCATGAAACTGTAAAAGCAACAAAGAATTGTTATGTACTGCTAATGAAATGATCTCCAGAATATAGTAAGCAGAAAAAGTGGGAATCGAAGCAGTATGTATGATATGCTTCTATTTGATTATGCATAGAAATTTTCTGGAACTAGACACCAGAAACTGTTAATACTGTATACCACAGGGAATGGGAATGAGGAGTTGGGATTTGAAGTAGGAAGGGCATGTAATTTTTATTGTATACCTGTTTTCCCAAACTGTGCACCAAAGTACCCTGTGTTCCTGGAGGAAATATGAAATTTCAAGGTAAAGACAATGATACTAGAAATCTATTAAATATTGCCAAAGCTACTAAGTCAAGATAGTTTATAATTTCAACATTAGATCATGACACATTCCTTTCATTTTTTCCTTTATAGGGAATTTTTGTTTTTGTTTTGTTTTTATTTTTCCATAAGTTATTGAGGATACAGGTGGTATTTGGTTACATGAGTAAGTTCTTTAGTGGTGATTTGTGAGATTTTGGTGCACTCATCACTCAAGCAGTATACATTGCACCATATTTGTAGTCTTTTATCCCTCACCCCCTACCACTCTTCCCCCTGAGTCCCCAAAGTTTATTGTATCATTCTTATGCTTTTCCTTATAGCTTAGCTCCCACGTATCAGTGTGAACATACGATGTTCGGTTTTCCATTCCTGAGTTACTTCACTTAGAAGAATAGTCTCTAATCTCATCCAGGTCGCTGCAAATGCTATTAAATCATTCCTTTTTATGGCTGACTAGTATTCCATTATATATATCTCTCACAGTTTCTTTATCCACTCATTGACTGATGGGCATTTGGGTTGCTTCCACGATTTTGTAATTGTGAATTATGCTGCTATAAACATGTGTGTGCAAGTATCTTTTTTGTATAATGACTTCTTTTCATCTGGGTAGATTCCCAGTAATGGGATTGCTGGATCAAATGGTAGTTCTATTTTTAGTTCTTTAAGGAATCTCTACACTGTTTTCCATAGTGGCTGTACTAGTTTGCATTCCCACCAGCAGTGTAGAAGTGTCCCCTGATCAACGCATCCACGCCAACATCTATGTTTTTTGATTTTTTGATTATGGCCATTCTTGCAGGAATAAGGTGGCATCACATTATGGTTTTGATTTGCATTTCCCTGATCATTAGTGCTGTTGAACGTTTTTTCGTACCTTTGTTGGCCATTTGTATATCTTCTTTTGAAAATTGCTATTCATGTCCTTAGTCCACTTTTTGATGAGATTGTTTGCTTTTTTCTTACTGATTTGTTTGAGTTCATTGTAGATTCTGGATATTAGTCCTTTGTCAAATGTATCAATTGTGAAGATTGTCTCCCACTCTGTGGGTTGTCTGTTTACTCTGCTGACTGTTCCTTTCGCTTTGCAAAAGTTCTTTAGTTTAATAAGGTCCCAGCTATTTATCTTTGTTTTTATTGCATTTGCTTTTGGGTTCTTGGTCATGAAATCCTTGCCTAAGCCAATGTCTCCAAGGGTTTTTCCAATGTTATCTTCTAGAATTTTTATGTTTCAGGTCTTAGGTTTAAGTTCTTAATCCATCTTGAGTTGATTTTTGTATAAGGTGAGAGATGAGGAACCAGTTTTATTCTCCTACATGTGGCTAGCCAATTATCCCAGCACTATTTGTTGAAAAGGGTGTCCTCTCCCCACTTTATGTTTTTGTTTGCTTACAACACATGCCTTTCAATAATATTATATCTTTGTGAAGTTGGCTTTGGGAAAGTTACTATGATAAAGTAACAAACCCTTTGGGTCATCTAAATGACACTCCATTACAATTTAACTTACCTTCCCTCTGAACTGACTGAAAAGGCCCTATCAGCTCAGGTAAAAAGATCTAGGAGGCTATTCTTCTTACTATCAAGGAAAAAGTTCCCCAAATCCCCAGAAAAGACTACTATAAAAGTGGGTAGGTACCATCATCAAATTATGTTTTAGAAAATCATGACTTTGCTAGGCAATGTTAGTAGAAGTTGACTTTGAAAGATGCTCAGATTATGTTAACACAATGTGAAAATTGAGGTATAATAGAGTCATGATTAATGTGCATATTTCCATATTGAAAGTTCTTAAAGGTTCATGGCTGCCCTTTGAGCTGGAGCAGCTCAGTATTTCTGGTTCAGCCTCTTTGATTGAAAATGCTCTCACCAGACTGACTAGGTTTCCCCAGTGCTTTGTCATTGGGCAGGAGCATTTCTTCTAAGTATATTGAAGCTATCTATAGGAAACCATGGCTCATAATGGTCTGGCTCCTTTCTTTTCTTGGGAATTGGACAGAGGACCTGATCTCAGGGTCTTGACTGAGGTCACCCATTAAGATTGTGACACAGCTAAGACTACAAACTAGGTCTTCTGGTCTAAGGTCAGTGCTCTGTCCATTCCACATCATTCCCTCCAATGTCAGTGAAGTCATGATGGACTGAAGCAATGCTTTGACTAACTTTAAACTTAGGAGGTCAAGCAGACCTTGTGATAAAGGTCTAATTGTGAGACTTGTCTAACCCTCAGTTTCCTCACTTGTTTGATGGGGATGATAATAATATCTACCCCTCAGGATTTTGTAAAGATTAAGTGACATCCTGTAGACAAAGTGCTTAACATGGTGTCTGGCTCAGTGAAAATTTTTAGTAAATGTTGTCCCTTCCTCTTGGCTAAGAGTTTGATCTCTGGAGTGAGCAATGCAAGTTTCGGAGTCTCAGTCCTATCACTGTCTATATGTGTGACTTTGAGATCGTTACTTATCTCCTCTATGCCTTAGTTTCCTTATCTGTCTCACAGTATTGTTATGAGGATGCAATGGGATTATAGATATAAAGTGGTTGAATTCAGTGTTTCTCCTGAAGCAAGTAATCAACTATATATAGTGTGACATAATTATTAATGGCGAGGTTACTAAGAGGAATTTGGTGTGAGCTCCCTGCATGGAGTGATCCTAATCGTGAAATGGTGAAAGCCTGCCAATAGGATGTGTGCTTTGTGTCCTCCATGTCCTATTTTTCCTCTTCTTCCCTACCCAGCCGTTTATCCAATCCCATTCACAGATCCTTGCTTCATAGTCAGGTGTAAGTGGCCAACAGCATAAAATATTACTACTCTCAGTGGGATTTGCATTTTCCAAGCGACTAAAATCCTAAATTGAAAGGAGGAAACTCTAGCGGGGCAAATCCAGCCCTGATTTAGAGCAGAGTTTCTCAGTCTCAGCACTGTGGACATTTTGGGCTGGATAGTTAATTTGGGGGACTTGTGCATTGTAGGATGTTTAGCACCACCTCTGGCCTCAACTTACTAAATGCCAGTAGTGCAACAATGCTTTCCCCAGTTAAGACAAAAATGTCTAAGCACTGCTAAATATCCCCTGGGGAGAGAAATCACGCATAATTATGATCCATTGGTTTAGAGGATTCTGCAGGGAAGTGGGGCCTTCCAGGATATCTTAAATGACACAGGGGTTATAAGTGCAAATGCCTTCAGGGACCAGGCAGAAATGGAAATGCAGAAAGCAGAAGAGTATAATATGATAAGGAGTGGTGGGGCTTGTGGCAAAATGGAGGGTGTATGCCCTATTTAAAGGCATTCAAAGTAAACATTTAAAGAAAAGCTCTCTGGCCGGGCATGGTGGCTCACACCTGTAATTCCAACACTTTAGGAGGCTGAGGAAGGAGGATTGCTTGAGGCCAGGAGTTTAAGATAAGCTTAGGAAACATAGTGAGACCTCATCTCTGCATAAATATTTTAAAATTTTAGCTGGGAATGAGTAGTATGTGCCTGTAGTCCCACCTACTCTGGAGGCTGAGGCAGGAAGATAAGTTGAACCCTGGAGTTGAACGTTGAAATGAGCTGTGATGATGTTACTGCACTCCAGCCCAGGCAACAGAGCAAGACCCTGTCTCTTAAAAGAAAAGAAATAAATTAAAAAGCTCTGTAAGCCAGACAAAGCATATATGAGGACTGAAATGGGCTGCCAGTTTCAAGCCCCAGGTGTAGGCTGTCCCTCAGGATGGTTCAACTGTGGTACGTGCTCTCCTCATTTGGGCCAGTGATTCCCCCAACCCAGTTTCTGCTTTTCCCCCCTCTGCCTTCTGCCTTCAAAATAAGGATGCTTTTAAATAGTCAAGGCATATTTTATTATCCTAGAATGTAGACTTAATTTTAAAGTTCACTAAAACTTTCAAACATATATGTGTTATTCAAATGGGCACATTTCAAATGTAATAATTTAAAACTGTCTATATGTTGTGTTAAAAATGGACAATAACTTGTAAGAACAGTAAAGGCAGGGGGAAAAATCAACAAAAACCAGAAAAACATAGATGAAAATATTAGCAGGGGTTGTGCCCAGGTGAATTTTTCTCTATTTTTTGGTTTCCTATATATTTTTGTAAAGCTTAATGTTATACTGGGGAAAGCATACACTTGAAAGAAGAGCTCTGTGTCATCCAGTACTTGTCCAGATGGGAAAAGTGTCATGAAATCAAATAAATAACAAAAATTCTAATGGCTGAGCTAGTCCTCCTAATCCCTGCACTGTCAGAGGCTTCATGTCTGATGAACAAGAGAACCTGGAGTTCCCTGCGTGTGGTTATTAACATTGATAATAATTGGAACACTAATCTCTGCCCACCACATTCTGTTCTCTGGTCGCTTTCTGCTGCTTTTTAATGACGCGCTTTTGCTTTTTCCCATGTATTCCGCATTATACACATGCTGTACTGCTCTACCTTCCCTCGATTTATGCATGTCTCTAGCAGATGGTTGGGCCAGTCCACCTCGGGTGCTTGTTTAGCATAACAGAGAGCTCAACAACTGGGGCCCCACTCACAATGTTCAGCTTGCATTTCTGGATACTGGTGGGGTAAACACAGGGTTAAGGCCAGCACTTGCCATTTCCGACCTACCTTTACTGCAGCTAGGGGTGGGTTTTCCTATTTGCTTTTCAAGAGTTGTTTTTCCTCTCTCATTTTTTCCACCCGCTACCCCCATTTTTTTCCCTTGGACTTCTCAGGTTTTCTATGAGACTTCTCATGGTAGTGGTGAGTACAGGGAATTTTCGAGGAAAAATTCCATTTTGGAAATCCAGCATTTGGAGTCCCTGCTTAATTTTTTAGTGGCTGAATCTTGTTGAAGGCGAGGGAGGCATCCTTCATTCACCTGCTCCTTTTCCCTCTTTGAAGAAGGATGTGCTGTATCAACCATCCACTCTCCTCAGAATGGTGGAAATTTTGAGCACATGTGGATATGAGCAATTAAAGAAATCAGAATTGACCTCCAATAACACACTTCCAGTCTCTTGAAGCTTGTGAAGTAGTTCAAGTCAGCTTCCGGGTGCCGGGCCTCCTGGCTGCCTCAATTCAGAGCTACACTTCTCCCCATGCTCGTAGCACGTTGATTTCAAGCTCCTGCCATTCTAGGGAGTACTTATGGAGGCTTACTGTGGCAATATAAGCTACATTTTTTTTTCATCTGATCTGGGTCCTCAGATCTTCTGGGCTATTATTTATGAAGAAAAAACTATCTTGTGATAAAACCATCTAAGGAGTTGAAGGTTGTTATTGTTCTAGGTTGCTACAAGATTTGCCTTAATGACTTAAGATGAACACAGCTTGAGATAAGAAACCTGTAAAGTGCCAGTCTGAAGTTTCCTGTAATATGTAATTTCCATGTGGATGGAAAAAATTGATTTCTAATTTATAAAATACGTCCCCCAATTCCAGTTATTACGTACTTTTCTAGTTTCAGCTTGAAATCACTCAGAGTGATGCGTCCACAGAAGGCAAAAAAGCGGGGGTTGCTTTCTTCCCACTCCAGGTGAAGAAGGAAAAAATGGAACTTTGTGGCGAGGAAGCCAAGAAAGCAGTTGGGGTGGTGTGATTGGTGGGGGAGGAGCCTGGATAAATGGTGGTCTCCATATATTTTCAGGACGGCTCTTTTCTCTCCAGCACTGGAGGAAAATCAATATCTTGTTTTCAGATGGGTAAATGGAGTTGTCTCTTTAAAGTGCCCCGGTCAGTTCACCACACGTCGGGCAGCTGCTGCTTTCCAGGCTGCCCCGCGATTCCCAGGCTAGAAGGATTGACAAGGCGATGATAAACTAACGTGCCCCCTCAGCTCTGGGTGTGCGCCATTGTTCCTGCAGCTGAGACCCTCTGCTGCTATTTGCTTTCTCCCACATACATTATTCAACAGCCCAGGAAAAGGCCAAGAACCTCTTTCATTCAGGAATTCTGTATTAAAATAATCAATTTCAAACTGAAGCCGGGAAGGCCAGCTTGCTACAGGGAGAGCCTATTAATAAGCCACCAGTCTTTTCCATTTGCATTGAACTCATGCTGTATTGTGGTAATATGGGATTAT
Organism: Homo sapiens; assembly: GCF_000001405.40. Classification (NCBI taxonomy): domain Eukaryota; kingdom Metazoa; phylum Chordata; class Mammalia; order Primates; family Hominidae; genus Homo; species Homo sapiens. The sequence goes on from NC_000023.11 coordinate 140,250,849, forward strand.
TTTTTTTTTTCAGTTTCCTCCAAGAAACTAAACATTACATTGGTTCTCTTGCCCTTTCATAAATAGCATGTAGAAGAGCTTCTTCATTTGATCCCATCATTAATAGAACACTAGAGGCCATATTTGTGCCTGCTACTCTGCACTGACCAATTCTGATTTTGAAAGTACTTTAAAAAAGCCATTAGCTCTCCATGAAATGTAGCAAGAAGAAAAGTTTTCAAGTGTTTTGTTTTCCATTCATTGGCATTACGTTTCTTGTCTTGTCTCTCCTGCCCCCTGCCTCTAACCATTTCCCCACGTGCACACACACACACACACACACACACACACACACATCGTTATATTCAAGCCCTAAGCCAAAAAATTAGAAACCTTACATGTACAAGTAAAGATAAATTTCAAGTGCTTTCCAGCAGCACCATGAGACACTCTCCCAAATGGGTGTGTTTTCCCTATTTGGTTAATAAAGGGTTAATTTAAAAAACTCCCTTTCTGTGGCTTCCTTATTGTCAAAATTCTTTCTAGGCTTACATCTGTCCGTTTTCATGCCTTTAAACAATCAATGACCAAAAAGTAACTATTAATAATTACTATTCTATAGTCAATTCAACATTTATTAAACACCAACTGTGTACACGAGAAATCTCCAGGGCTTTAACTTGGGGCATCCCAATGAATCAGTTATAATTCCTCAAATGTCCCCTGAAACATGGATTTTTAATATGGTTCCCAGATTTAGCAAATAAAAATATAAGGCACTCTCTTCAATTTGAATTTTAGAGAAATAAACAATTGTTTGGTGTAATTTGTGCCATGTCATCTTTGGGACATACTTATACAAAAAATTCTCATTGTTTATTTGAAATTAAGATTTAACTGGGAGCCCTATATTATATCTGGAAACACTACTTAAAGGAATTCTTGATGTGATGATGAGGTTTTTGATGTTGCTATCTATTACTTTCTTCTCACCTCCAAAGCTTAGACCAGAGAGAAACTGATTGACTGAAGGCTTAGTTAGTAGGGTTCAACTTAATTAAAATTTTATTTTTCCATATTATAAGCTTTCTCAACTAAACTAAATAATTCTAAAATAACGTATAAAAATTCCTGTCCCACTAGTTGATTGATTTAATTAAAGTGGAAAAAAATTGCCCAGAAAAATTCACTGTGTATCCTACATTGTGCCACAGACTGCTAGGCATTAGGGAGACAAAGCTGAGGTAACTGTATCAATGAAAGTGCCCTGTGCAAGAATGCACAACGAATAATAGCCACAGCTGACTATGAGCATGCCCTAGCAGAGGAGAGACATACAGGGGCCAACTCTTGCAACCAGTGGTAGAAGTACATCCCAGAGGAGGGAGGACTCACTCAGCCTCGATTCTGCATAGTAGGGAAAGGTACAACAGACAAAGCACAGAGTATTGTCTACAAGGATCAATTCTGATTAATTCTTTTTTGAGGGCAGTCTGAGTGCTGAGGAACCTAGTAGACAGTGACTGCCCTCTGGGAGCTCACAGTGGGGTTACAAAAAGAAGACATGGTGCTTACAAGACAGAATGGGTGTCAAGAGGGTAGACAAAGTAGCAACTACCCTTTATTACTACAGGCTTACTATGTGCTAGGCATTATGCTAAGTGCTTCATGTAGCTTTGTTTCCTATATCCTCACAATATCCCTTTGACAATATCCCTTTCTGAGATGAGGAAGCTGAGCCTAAGCAAGGTAATTTGGTTTGCTCCACAAGGCCAAGTGCTGGTTCCTAGATTCAAACCCATATCTTAGGCCTAGGTGCTAGTCACCATGTTCTTCTTTGGGGGCTAAAAGGAGGGAGAGAAAATCCTCTGAAAATTTATAGCAGCAATATAAATCCAAATACAGCAAGTATGTGATTCTCTTTTCTGTCCTACTGATCTATTTAGTACAGTGCTAATAATATACTGATTTGATTAGATTAAGGTGGTATTATAATGTGTTGGATATCTGGTACTACAAAATGATATTTTAATTCAGTGGGAACAAGATGGATAATTTAATAAGTGATAATACATCTGGCATCCTTTGAGAGAAAAATAATATTGCATAAATACTATCTTTCATCACATACTAAAATAAATTCCAGAGGAAGACTTAAATATAAAAAAATTACAATCTTGTAGAAAAATCCTGGAGTATATGTGCAAGACAGAGGACAAGATTGGATACTCAGAAGCTATGAAAGGAAAGAGGGGCTTACTAAACATTATATGAATTTAAAAATTCTGTATGGCAAATGAAAACATAAATGAAAGCCACAGACAAATAATAATTTTAGAAATGTTTTTGTAATGCAAAGGGCAGATAGAAAGTATGTCTAAAATACACAAAGAGCTCTTGTAAATTGGGCAAAGGAGGCAAAAAACAACCTAAAGAAAAAATCAAGAAAGGATGTAAAGAGACACTTTCACAGAATAGTAATTTAACAAGCTAAGCAAACTTATGAAAAATGCTCAAATTCACTAATAGTCAAGGAGTTTCAAATTAAAGCAATAATGCGATATCACCTTACAGCCACCAGACAGGCAAAATGTTTAAAAGTGATACAGCTGCTTCCTGAAGAGATGTTGAAAGATCCTGAAATATGCTTTACCTCAGAAATCTCGTTCTTGAGGATATGTGCCATGGAAATATAAGCACCAATGTACAATACTCTCTATATAAGTTTGTTTATTATAGCATTTTCTGTAGTCATGCACATGCACACAGATGAAAACAAAGAGAATGTTGTTAATAGGGAAGATGCCTGAATAAATTGATAAGCCATCAATGCAGTGAAATATTATGCAAACATAAAAAAGAATAAAATAGAGCTCTACCAGGTGATTTGAAAGAGTTTCTATGAAGAATTGTTAAATATGAAAATAAGATGCAGAAAAATGTCCCATTTTAATACATATTTTAAATGGTATATGTAACCTGTATATAATTATTTGGCCATGAAGAACGATATGAAAGGATACATACCAAGCTTTTAACATAGGTGGGAAGGGTAGTAGAGTGGAAAGGGGTGTAGGGAGTAAATGATGTGGGTGGAGAAGATGGAGAGAAGTGAGCCATGTAAAAAAGGGGAAAACACAGAGACTACACTAAAGAAAAATCCCATGCATGTTTGCATTTTTCTTCTTTAAGAAAAGTCTAGGCACTTTTTTGTTTGTTTGTTTGTTTGTTTTTTGCAACTTTTTCTGTGTAGCCCAAAAGAAGGTAATCATTGTTAGGCCTATTGATGGCGACTGCAGCTGTTAGCATATGTGCAAAACAGGCTCACATGACTGAGGAAGAAAATTCCAATTGCTATGAAGTATAACCTTCACTAGAGTATGGAGACCATAGATTTGCCCAAGACCATGAAATTCTGAGTGCATCAATTTTAAACAGTGCTTTTCAAAGCTTAGCTCCTGGTTAACAAGAATTACTAAGCAAAATGGAAAGTTCCCTGATGGCACACATTGGCAATAAACTGAGTTCTGCCATAATTATGGAATTGATTTGAGGGTTGTTCCTCTCTGTTTGCCTCTGTCCCAAAATCGCTCTGGCCCCTTCCATTCTGTTTCCTTAAACGTTTTCTGGTTGTCAACTTTACATCTCAGTGGTAGGCTTTTGGAAACCAAGTGGGCTATTTAAAGAAAAATGAAGAAAATATATCCTAGAATAGATTTAAGATGTCTGTGCTGCCAATATGTGCTGCCAATGTTGCTTGCAGTGGTTATTGGGAAACTTCCCACTTATAGTTCCTACAGACAGGGAGGAGGTCCTCCCTAACCAGAGAATCAATCCAATAAAAAGATACAGGATGCAGCCTTCTCCATCTCTCCAGAAAAAAATGCCAAGAACCTAAGCTGAGGCTTTGGTAATTGGTGTGGGAAAGACAGTTTGCTTCTCCAAGTCATGTGAATATTTTAAAGGGGAACTGAGATGACACCATTTATAGAAATACGCAGGTATGGAAGAAGAGCAGGTTTGGGGAGGTGAAAGATATTTCTCCAACAGATCCATGCCAGGCATCAGGGTGGATAGTTTGAGCAGGGCCTTGGAAAGGTGGGACTTGAATTTAGGAGAGAGGTAAGGCCTGCAATAGGTAAAACTAGAAGCCTGAAGCACTGAAAGAGTCTAAGGAGAAGAAAAAAGAGACAAAGGAACCATGTATTAGTCAGTGTTCTCTAGAGGTACTGAGCTAATAGGAGATATATATGAGTTTATTAAGGAGTATTAAACTCACATGATCACAGGGTCCCACAATAGGCTGTCTGCAAGCCAAGGAGCGAGGAAGCCAATACGAGTCCCAAAACTGAAGAACTTGGAGTCTGATGTTGGAGGGCAAGAAGCATCCAGCAGCATGGGAGAAAGATGTAGGCTGGGAGGCTAAGCCAGTCTAGCCTTTTCATGTTTTTCTGCCTGCTTTATATCCTGGCCATGCTGGCAGCTGATCAGATGGTGCCTACCCAGATTAAGGGTGGGTCAGCCTTTCCCAGTCCACTGTCTCAAATGTTAATCTCCTTTGGCAACACCCTCACAGACACACCCAGGATCAATACTTTGCATCTTTCAACCCAATCAAGTTGACCCTCAGTATTAACTATCACAAGTCCACCCCTTGTCAACTTGAACCCATACACATCTCCTGAGATCATACATAATCTTCAAATAAAGACAATAATAAGGTCATAATTACGCCTAACATAATGCAACTATTCCTTCATACAACCGGAAATGCACCAATCCCCAACCCAAATGCTATTACATACAGTTAACAACACTTAAATGCTGATATGAAGTCAATAAATCTTCTGTCACATGATAAAGGAAAAAGGAAATAAAATGAAGGTATTTTCATAGCACAAGTGTATACAGGCACAAACATGTTTTTAACAAAAGGAGGAGGAAATACTCATGACAATTACAGTTCTCCTTTCTGCAACTGGTCACGTGGTCATAGCTGGTATTGATGATGACCTCCTTCTTCTACCAATTCTATATTCCCTTTGCCTTCAGCAAGCACCTCAGCAGGTCATGGTTTTCTTCCTGGTGGAGTTACTCAAACCTTCATTCCTGAAGGTTGTGGGCCATTTGTAGTCCTGCCTGGATTGGGCTTTTGTAGTTTCTCATTGACCTTAATCACAGGGCATGGTAATACTAAGAGACACCCCAAGGGATCTCCTGTATTCTACGCATACTCTTCCTTACCTCCATTGTGGAGTATTAGACTGATTTCTTCTTGATAGTTCAGGTTGATCACCCCAGCCAATACTGTAACTCTCTTCTTAGCCTGTTGGCTTAGAGGTAGGAGGAGCCCAAAGTGGCCAGTGACAATATTAACTTCCAGTTTAATGGAATCATTGTTGTTTCTCCTGGTAGCAGTGTTCCTCCCTCTGGAACTAAGACCTCTAGGCTAGCAGAAAATAATGTCGCAGGAACAGAAAGTGAAAATTTTGCTAGTGAATCACTAGGGGTAATGGTGAGCGGTGCCACTTTCACTTCCATCCCTTGATTCCTGGACCCATGAATCCTGGCTATAGAAGAAACAGTACCATATATTGCATGCTGATTCAGAGCATACACGACCTTCTGGAGAACTTTGCCCCAGACCTGCAAAGAATTGTCACCTAGTTGACGTTGTAATTGTGACTTTGAAAGGCCATTTCACCGTTCTATCAATCGAACTGCTTCAGGATGATGAAGAACATGGTAAGACCAGTGAATTCTATAAGCATGAGCCCACTGTTGCACTTCTTTAGCCATAAAGTGAGTGCCTTGGTCAGAGGCAATGCTGTGTGGAATACCATGACAGTGGATAAGGCATTCTATGAGTTCATGGATGGTAGTCTTCGCAGAAGCATTGCATGTAGGTTAGGCAAACCCATATCCGGAGTAAGTGTCTATTCCAGTGAGGACAAACTTCTGCCCTTTCTGTGATGGAAGAGCTCAAATATAATCAACCTGCCACCAGGTAGCTGGCTGATCACCCCAAGGAATTGTGCCATATCAAGAGCTCAGTATTGGTCTCTGCTGCTGGGAAATTGGACACTTAGCAGTGGCCACAGCCAGGTCAGCCTTGTTGAGTGGAAGTCCATGTTGCTGAGCCCATGCATAACCTCCATCCCTGCCACCATGGCCACTTTGCTCATGGGCCCGTTGGGTGATGACAGGGGTGGCTGGGGAAAGAGGCTGAGTGGTGTCCATAGAATGGGTCATCCTATCCACTTGATTATTAAAACCCTCCTCTGCTGAGGTCACCCGTTGGTGAGCACTCACATGGGATACCAATATCTTCACAGTTTTTGACCACTCAGAGAGGTCCATCCACACACCTCTTCCCCAAATTTCTGTCACCAATTTTCCAACCATGCTTCTTCCAAGTCCCTGACCATCCAGCCAAACCACTGGCTACAGGCTGTGAATCAGAATATAATAGCATATCTGGCCATTTCTCCTTCCATGCGAAGTGCACAGCCATGTGCACTGCTTGAAGTTCTGCCCACTAGAAAGATTTCCCTTCATCACTGTCCTAGAAAGAGGCTGTAGTGCTGCAGCTGTCCACTTTCGGGTGGTGCCTGCACATCTTGCAGAGCCATCTGTGAACCAGGCCCTAGTCTTCTCTTCCTCTGTCAATTGATCATAGAGAACTCTCCATGAGACCATTGGTGCAGGCTGGGGGAGAGAAAGCAAGGTGGCAGGAGTGGAGACCATGGGCATTTGAGCCACTTCCTCATGTAACTTACTTATGCCTTCAGGACCTGCTTGAGCCCAATCACATATATACCACTTCCATTTGATGATGGAATGCTGCTGTGCACGACCTACTTTATGGCTAGACAGGTCAGAAAGCATCCAGTTCATGATAGGCAGTTTAGGTCACATGGTGACTTGATGACCCATAGTCAAACCTTCAGTTTCCACCAAAGCCCAGTAACAGGCCAAGAGCTGTCTCTCAAAAGGAGAGTAGTTATCTGCAGATGGCAGGGCCTTGTTCTGAAATCCTAGAGGCCTCCACTGTGATTCGCCTATGGGGGCCTGCCAGAGGCTCCAAACAGCATCCCTATCTGCCACTGACACCTCAAGCACCATTGGATCTGCTGGGTCATACAGCCCAAGTGGCAGAGCAGCTTGCACAGCAACCTGGACCTGTTGCAGACCCTTCTGTTCTGGACCCCACTCAAAACTGGCAGCCTTTCAGGTCACTCGATAAATGGGCTGGAGTAACACACCCAAATGAGGAATGTGTTGCCTCCAAAATCCAAGTGGGCTCACTAGATGTTGTGCCTCTTTCTTGGTTGTAGGAGGGGCCAAATGCAGCAACTTATCCTTCACCTTAGAAGGAATATCTCTACAGGCCCCATACCACTGGACTCCTAGAAATTTTACTGAGGTAGCAAGTCCCTGAATTTTAGTCAGATTTATTTCCCATCCTCTGGCATGCAAATGTCTCACCAATAAGTCCAGTGTGCTTGCTACTTCTTGCTCACTGGATCCAATCAGCATAATGCCATCAACGTAATGGACCCAGTGTGATATCTTGTGGAAGCGAAAAGAGATCAAGGTCTCTCTGAATAAGATTATGACACAAAGCCAGAGAGTTGATATACCCCTGAAGTAGGACAGTAAAGGTATATTGCTGACCATGCCGGCTGATGGCAAATTGCTTCTGGTGGGCCTTATGGACAGGAATGTAGAAACAGGCATTTCCCAAGTCAATGACTGCATACCAGGTACACAGAGATATGTTAATTTGCTCAAGCAACGAAACCACATCTGGTACAGCTGCTGCAATTGGAGTCACCACTTGTTTAAGCTTGTAATACTCCGCTGTCATTCTCCAAGATCCGTCTGTCTTCTGCACAGGCCAAATAGAAGAGTTGAAGGGGGATGTGGTGGGAATCACCACTTCTGTGTCTTTCAAGTCTTTGATGGTGGCAGTAATTGCTGCAATCTCTTTCCAGGGATGCGATATTGTTTTTGATTTACTATTTTTCTAGGTATAGGCAGCCCTAATGGCTTTTATTTGGCCTTTCCCACCATAATAGCCCTCACCCTCCCAGTCAGGGAGCCAATGTGGGGGTTCTACCAGCTGCTAAGTATGTCTATGCCAATTATGCATTCTGGCACTGGGGAAATGACACAGGATGAGTTCATGGACCCACTGAACCAACTGTAAGTCAGACCTGAGCTAAAGCTTCATTAATTACCTGACTTCCATAAGTCCCTACTTTAACTGAAGGATCACAATGACATTTTGAGTCCCCTGGAATCCACGTCAGCTAAGAGCCAGTGTCCAGTAGTCCCCGAAATATCTGATCATTTCCCTTTCTCAAAATGCACAGTTACCCTGATAAAAGGCCGGAGGTCTCCTTGGGGAAGGATGGGAGAAAGATTAGCAGCATAAATTGTCAGTATTGTATTGGGGTCCTTCCTTAAGGGGACCCAGCCTCCCCTTCATTCAAGGGGTTCTGGGTGTGTAAACTTGCTCAAGTCTGGAAATTGATTAAGGGGCCATAATTCTCTGTTTCTATAATTCAAATTAGTATTTTGTCCATTCAACCTGAAGATTTCTGCTTATATAAATTAAGTAGAAATATAGTAGGCTTCCTATCAATTTCACTTCTGGGAACACCGTGATTAATTAGCCAATGCCAGAGCTCTACATAAGTCAAACTATTCTGATTGCTGCTTTGCCTCTGCTGTCCATTACAGTAGCTATGCCCACCTTGCCTTCGGTGGTTGAGTGCCACCACTTGGCCCCTGCCACCTCGGGATCCAATTATTCCCATTGAATTTAAATTTTGTAGTTGAGTGACTGCAGATCCCACTGTTAGATCTGACATACAGAGAAGAGCAATTACAGGGCTCTTCATAGATGCAGGTGCTGCCTCACAAATCTATTTTGCAAAGCACTGGTCAAGAGTATATCTTCTGGACCCTCCCAGCTGGGATGAGTAGGTCTAAAGTGACTAATCCACTCCACCATCCCAATCTCTCTAAGCATTTAGATCCCTTCCTCTACATTAAATCAAGAGAGATCAGGCATTTCTAGCTCACTCACAGTGGGCCATCTTTTAATCCATATTTCAGCTAACCAAGCAAATAAGCTATTAGAAACTTTTTTTAACTCCCCGAGCTGCAACATTAAAAGCAGAGTCCCTACTTAGTGGGCCCAAATCGATAAATTCAGCCTGTTCCAACTCTGTTTCTTCCACCATTATCCCACACCCTTAATATCCATTTCCATGCCTGTTCTCCAGATTCAGGCTTATATAAATTAGAAAACTCAACTAGTTACTTTTGAGTGTAGTGCACCTCCTCATGGGTCACACTCTGAACCTCACGTCTAGGGGCCCACTGGGACTTTAGTTACAGATCTAGAAGCAAACAGCGGTGTTGGGGGTGGCTCCTGAGGAGAATCAGCATTATCTTGCTTGGCAACTGCCTCAGGGGAGGCCATCACTGTTGCCTCAGGCAGTGCAGGGTTTATCTCCGCAGACAAAGGTGGAAAGGGCAGCATGTGTCAGGGAGGGGATGTTGCCGCTACTGGGGATGGGGAAGCTGTTTCTTCTGGCAAAAATGGTTCTTCAGATTTTACACCCAGATTTTACAAGCTCAGTGTCACACCCAGATTTTACAAGCTCAGTGTCCCCAGCTTCATCAGGGTCCTCCCATAAGTCCCCATTCCAAGTTGCAGGGTCCCATTTGTTTCCAATCAATGGCCTCATTTTAACAGTAGACACCTGGTGAGGCTGTGCATGCACCTTTCATTTCAGGTCAGCCACTTGCATGATAAGAGCTTGTGTCTGTTTTTCCACAATTTCAGCTCTTTCTATACAGGAGATAAAACTCTCACTCAGGGCAATCTTAGCAGATTTGAGGCTAAGTATCTGCTTCTGAAGCTGGAACATAGAATCCCTGAGTTCATCATCATCTTTCAACACTTTGTCCAGTGAACTCAGGAGCAACCAACCAACTTTATTATGTTCCTTGGTTCTCCACATGTAGTCAAAGGTATTATGTATAGAGTAACTTGCCTCTTATGAGCAGTGAATCAGGAATGTCAAATGACTTTATTTTGCATATCTCTCTAAACAGTTCATGCCAAGGACTATCAGTGTTCTCCATACTTTTAGAAGTAGAGTCCTTAGCATTTTGGGGTCTAATCGTATTAAGCAGCCAACTCCAGAAACCCCAAAACCAATGAAAGAACATTATCCTTAATATTCTGTTCCTCTAGAACCACTCCTGGTACCATAATCTGTATTAGAGTTCTCTAGAGGGACAGAACTAATAGGATATATATATATTAATTTATTATATTTAATAATATAATTATTTATATATATAATAAACATATATATATATATATATGAGTTTATTAAGGAGTATTAAACTCACATGATCACAAGGTCCCACAATAGGCCACCTGCAAGCTGAGGAGGAAGGAAGACAGTCTGAGTCCTAAAGCTGAAGAACTTGGTGTCTGATGTTAGAGGGCAGGAAGCATCCAGCATGGGAGAAAGATGTAGGCTGGGAGGTTAAGCTAGTCTAGCCTTTTCACATTTTTCTGTCTGCTTTATATCCTGGTAGTGCTGGCAGCTGATCAGATGGTGCCTGCCCAGATTATGGGTGGGTCTGCCTTTCCCAGACCACTGTCTCAAATGTTAGTCTCCTTTGGCAACACCCTCACAGACACACCCAGGATCAATACTTTGCATCCTTCAATCCAATCAAGTTGACAGTATTAACCATCATAAGCCAGAAATATCACTTCATTTAGAAATAGGGTGGAAGAAGGAAAGCTGGAAGAAGAAAATGGTGGTGGGAGAGGTGAGAGGGGAAGCAAAAAGTAGAAAGCCACGTCTCCAAAGCCATGGTTCCATGAAAGAGAGCTTCATGAGTGCTAGCACATGCTGCTGAGGGGGTGGAGATATTAAGGACTGGTAGGAAGCACTTGCAGTAGGCAGTTAAAAATGGTGATCTTTAGGAGAGCATGTCAATAATGGATTTGATAGCCAGATTGTAAAGGTTTAAGGAGTAGTTAGTAAAGAAGAAGATGAAGTGAATAAGACTACACTGAAAAGGTGTTCATAGTGAAACATGAGGGTGGCAGAGTGACCACAGAGTTAAGTAAAAGTGATTCAGGGCTAATAGGACTGTGACCTTGTGTAAGGGTGGAGAAGTCTCTGAGGAGAGATAAGAGAGTCTGTGAGAAGAGAGAAGCAGAACTGTAAAAAAACAATAATTAATTGATCAAGTGATGCCCCTTGGCTATAAGGGAAGTGAGCCTATGACAAAAGAAGGAACACAGGTTTTTTTTAATAAGACTTGGCAGAAGAAGAGAAAGAGAGGAATGCATAGGTGGGTGAATGAATGGATGAATGCAGAGAAAAACATTTAAATAATGTTTGTGATTCCTTTAAATTATAAACATGATACATATCTGTTGTAGAGAAAATGGAAAATACAGAAAGTTAAAAAGAAAATGAAAATCACCTGTAGTCCCATCACTCAGGGATACCATTGGGCTGTATTTCCACCCAATTTTGTCTGTGTATATATTTACTTTTATCTTTAAAAAAATTGGGATCATAGTGTATAATTTTGAATGGTCCACTTTTGATTTTTGCTTAATGTATTTGAGGATTTCCACATATATATATATGACACTACTACTAATGGCTGCACAATTACAAGGCTGTAAAACATTTGTTTAACCATTTTTATCTCAGTGAGGCTTTCCGTTGCACTCCTTTATCAATATTATAAGTAGCACTAGCATTACTTGGAAATATTCCCAAAAAATAAATTACCAGGTAAAACTGAATTAAAAATAATTGATAGTTTGCTTTCCAGAAAACCTGTATCAATGTATACCTTCAGCAGCAGTATTGAGGGTCACTGTTTCATCTCACTCTCACCAAATGTAATGCTGTAATAAAACAAGCAAACAAACAAAAACATCTTGCTAATTACTAGACCAAAAATGCTTACTTTGTAAATTTGTAGTTGTATTATTACATGTAGAGTTTAACATTTTAAATATATTGATTAGGTTTCTCTATTTATGGCCTTTTCTATTTTATTCTCTATTGAGCTGTAAGTTTTTCCTACTGCTTTTTATGATCTCTTTAAATGAGAATATGCACAGTTTACTCATTTTTTTTAGTTTTTCTATTGCTCTTGTGTTACGAAAGTCCTACTCTAGCCCTAAGCTATATGAAATATTCACTTTTATTTTTATCTATCCATTTATAGTTTCATTTTTACCATTAACTCTTTAAGCCACCTGAAATTAATTTTGATGTGAAATATGAAAAAACAGTCCAACTTTATTTTACTGTAGTTAACCAATTTACTCAATACCACTTGTATAATACACTTCATTTTCTTTCTGATTTGGGATATAACTTACTCTTCCATTGAAAAACATAAACACTTAAAGATAGAACAGTATTTTTTGAGCTTTTTACTCCATTCCATTGATGTGTCTCTCAACTCTAGTTCCAGTGCTGCACTGTTTTAATTACTGTATTTAATTACTGTAGCTTTAAATTGTGTGTGTTTGTGTGTGTGGGTGTGTATGTGTGTGTTTTGGAGACAGAGTCTCACTCTGTCACTCAGACTGGAGTGCAGTGGCACAATCATGGCTCACTGCAACCTCTGCCTTTTGGGATCAAGCCATCCTCTGGCCTCAGTCTCCAAGTAGCTGGGGTTTACAGGTGCATGCCACCACACGCAGCTAATTTTTTTTTGTATTTTTTATAGAGATGGGGTTTCACCATGTTGCCCAGGCTGGTCTTGAACTGCTGGACTCAGGTGATCTACCTGCCTCGGCCTCCCAAAGTGCTGGGATTACAGGTATCAGCCACTACACCCAGCCTTAAATTGTGTTTTAATATAAGAAGATAATTCTTAGTTTCTCTAGCCCATTGCTTTCTAAGTGAATTTAGAATCTTTCAAGTTTTACTTACAAAAATCCTCCTGGAATTCATTATGGGGAAAATAAGCATCTTGGCCTTCTGGTATATAAGGCAACACATGATAAAGTGTTCAGCCTTGGGAGTCAGGCTGCTTGGATTCAAATTCTGGCTTTGCCACTTCTAACTGTGTGACTTTTAGAAAGTTACTAAATATTTCTGTACCCTAGTTTCTTTATCTGTAAAATAGGGATATTAATAGTGCCTTCTATGTAGGGTTTGCAGCTAGATTAAGTAAATAAACACATAAAGAGAAATGTAGAACAGCATGTGACACATAGTAGGCATTCCTTAAAAGTTAAGTATAGTATGTATCTCCATTTATTAAAGTATGTTGGAGCCCTTATGTAAGGTACAGACATTCCTTTCTTTTCATGGTTCTAATATTAATGAATTTCATTTGTGATGGTTTAATTAAATAACACCAGTTCCCCAATAACACAGTTTGAAATGTAATCACCACAGTATCTTAAGCATGAGTAATTGCATAAAATACAAACTTCAGTGCTATCTCTTTGGTCCACAAATTTACTATGTAAGTAACAGAAGTGCATCATGATTGGTGACTAATGGTATCACTTCTTTCAAACCCAATTGGTGATTGGTCCCTGTGCACAAAGCATGTTGCCTCTTTGTCTCTCAGCGATAAATCTCTGTGATATTTTATGAAAATAGATAATCAAAAGAGTGCGTTGGCCAACAAAGATGAAAGTGCAGCAAGGAACGAAAAGTGACAATGCTAGAAGTGAAATTAGAATCAAACATAAATGAAGTTACAGAAGAAATCATTAACCGTGGGAATGTTGACACCGCCGCCATTCCAGAGACCCTAGAAATGCAACCAGAGGAGCTTAATGGGGGTGAAAGTGTTGACATAAATGTGGGAAATTGTTGTGACAAAAAGAATGAACATGGTCCAGAGGAAGTGATACCAGCAAAAAAAAAAAAAAAAAAAAAAAAAAAGCCAAACCCAAAACAAAACAAACAAAACAAAACAAAAAAACATATTTGAGAAATCCTTGAGATATTTGGCAACATTGAAAATGCAAAGGATACAATATTGAAAGATGATGCAAACTTACAAAGGAGTATTACAATTTGTCAAGGCATAAAAATACACTAGCTTTTATGGAAGACAAGAAGAAGGCAAGTACTGTTTGAACTATCATTGATAACATTTTTTACAAAGTAACAAACACTTTAATTCTCAATATTTCTAATGTTTAAATTACAGTGAACTAAATATTTTACTTTTTCCATTTTCTTATACCTTTATAATGGAATGGATGGTGAGAGAGTTTTTAGTGTATTGGCAGAAATTTTTAAAGGTCACTGAACAATCATAATTCTTCCCATTGATTATTAAGACTGGTTTGTATGGTTTCAGCTTGCTTGGTCTTTTTAACGTTTCTGTACTACCTTGCTCATATTGTAATTGTCTTCATATAGCCCATTCCATACACACATCTTAATAGGATTATTCTTAGTTGTTTTAAATTTATTATAGCTGTTGGGAATGGGATTTATTTTTATTGTTTTCTAACAGATACCTTTGATATATAAGAAAGTTCTTGCTTCCTGTATATTTGCTTAGTGTCTGAATCCCCTGTCAGGTTTTATTATTTCTAGCAGGTTCTCAGTTGATTTGGTGCCTGTCCATTGGGAATCATGAATTTTGATTTTACATGGAACAGCTGTGTGAAAAAAAAAAAAGTCCTGGTTACCTAAGAAAAAAGGTTTCTTGGCTTTCTTCTGCTTTGGAAATGGACTCTCATGTCTGACATCATAGCTAAGCAGACTTATTTCAAAAGCAATCTTGGTGGCATGGAAGATTGTCCTGAGTTGAAATCTCCAATTTGTCACATGCTAGCTGTATTATCTAAACCTGTGTGAACTAAACCTCACTGAGCCTGTTTTCTCATTGGGGAATAGAAATAGTAATATATACCACATGAGATTATTAGAAGGGTTAAGTGAGATAGTGCATATGAGACACCTCCCTGAGAGCACAAAGGAAAAGCTCAATAAATGTTAAGCATTATCTTATTATTTTAAAAATTATTATTATGAAGGAGCAACTTCTTCCTTCCTGGACCTGCTGTACTGCTTAGGAACCCACCCATGCTTTGCTTAAGGACAATTCTTCCAGGGCCAAGACAGATGGTTGGGGTATCTTGCTGATTTTCAATTTCACTGAATCTCTTTATCTTTATGTGTTTTCTTATGAATTTAAATGAGAAATATGGCTTCCACTTTAACACAAAAGTCAATAAGAAAAAATCCTAAGCTGGAAAGAAAGGTGCGGCATAGCTATATTGTTATTTCTAGCCCCTCCCACATTTATTTGGTTGACAAGTGCTGTGAGCCCCATCTCAAGTGCTTCTTGAATCCACCACCCCGCTTCCTTTTCCATTCCCATTACCCTATATCTGGATCTCAGCTCACACGTGAATCTTTGTAACATTTTCTGAAGAGATATTTCTGCCTCTTTTCTCTCACTGCCATTACCCAGACCTTGTACCAGGGAGTTGCTTTTTAAACCACAGGGAAAAAATCATGACCTTTCTTTCCTTAAAAATAAAAAATCTCATTTAGGTCTTCATTACTTATAGGATCTTGACTGAACGCTAAAACCTGTAATTGGAGGCTTTCTATTATCTGATCTCAAACAACTCTTCCAGCTTCATTTCTATTGGCTATCAACACTCAACTCTCCCTCACTTCCCCCAACACACCCTCCCACCACTGCTACCACCAGCAGCAGCTTTACCTCTAAACACGCCTGTTAACAGCTCCCCAGTCCCTAGATGTGTTCTATGCTTTTCTGCCTTCATGTGTATGCTGTTGTTTCTCCAGCCTAAAATCCTCTCCCCATCCCCCTCCATCTTTTAAATCCTGCCCATTTTCACATGCCACAAAGTTCATGAAGTTCTTTCTGTTTTTTCTTTTTTTAACTTTAATTTTAATTTTAATTTATTTTTTATTTTACTTTAAGTTCTGGGATACATGTGCAGAACATGCAGGTTTGTTACATAGGTATACATGTGCCATGGTGGTTTGCTGCACCTATCAACCCGTCATCTAGGTTTTAAGACTCGCATGTATTAGGTATTTGTCCTAACGCTCTCCCTCCGCTTGTCCCCCACTCCCCGACAGGCCCCAGTGTGTGATGTTCCCCTCCCTGTGGCCATGTGTTTTCTTGTTCAACTCCCACTCATGAGTGAGAACAAGAAGTATTTGGTTTTCTGTTCCTGTGATAGTTTGTGAGAATGATGAGTTTCAGCTTCATCCATGTCCCTGCAGAGGACATGAACTCATTCTTTTTATGGCTGCATACTATTCCATGGTATATATGTGCCAGATTTTCTTTATCCATTCTATCATTGATGGGCATTTGTGTGGGTTCCAAGTCTTTGCTATTGTAAATAGTGCTGCAATAAACATATGTGTGCATATGTCTTTATAGTAGAATGATTTATAATTCTTTGGATATATACCCAGTAATGGGATTGCTGGGTCAAATGGTATTTCTGGTTCTAGATCCTTGAGAAATTGCCACACTGTTTTCCACATTAGTTGAACTAATTTACACTCCCACCAACAGTGTAAAAGCATTCCTATTTATGCACAGCCTCACCAGCATCTGTTGTTTCCTGACTTTTTAATAATTGCCATTCTAACTCATGTCAGATGGTATCTCATTTTGGTTTTGATTTGCATTTCTCTAATGACCAGTGATGATAAGCCTTTTTTCATGTTTGTCGGCTGCATAAATTTCCTCTTTTGAGAAGTGTCTGTTCATATCCTTCACCCACTTTTTGATGTGGTTGTGTGTTTTTTTTTCTTGTAAATTTGTTTAAGTTACTTGTAGATTCTGGATATTAGACCTTTGTCAGATGGGTAGATTGCAGAAATACTCTCCTATTCTGTGGGTTGCCTGTTCACTCACATGATAGTTTCTTTTGCTGTACAGGAGCTTTTTAATTTAATTAGATCCCATTATTGAATTTTGGCTTTTGTTGCAATTACTTTTGGTGTTTTAGTCATGAAGACTTTGCCCATGCCTATGTCTTGAATGGTATTGCCTAGGTTTTCTTCTAGAGTATTTATGATTTTGGGTTTTACATTTAAGTCTTTAATCCATCTTGAGTTAATTTGTGTATAAGGAAGGGGTCCAGTTACAGTTTTCTGCATATGGCTGGCCAGTTTTCCCAGCACCATTTATTAAATAGGGAATCCTTTCTAAAACAAGCAAAAACATTGCTTGTTTTTGTCAGGTTTGTCAAAGATCAGATGGTTGTAGATGTGTGGTGTTATTTCTGAGGCCTCTGTGCTGTTCCATTGGTCTATATATCTGTTTTGGTACAAGTACCATGCTGTTTTGGTTATTGTAGACTTGTAGTATAGTTTTAAGTCAGATAGCAGGATGCCTCCAGCTTTGTTCTTTTTGCTTAGAGTAGTCTTGGGCTATACAGGCTCTTTTTTTGGTTCCATATGAAATTTAAAGGTTTTTTGTTGTTGTTGTTGTTGTTGTTGTTTTTTGTTTTTTTTTTCAAATTCTGTGAAGAAAGTCAATGGTAGCCTGATGGGAATAGCATTGAATCTATAAATTACTCTGGGCAGTATGGCCATTTTCACGTATTGATTCTTCCTATTCATGAGCAAGGAATTTTTTTTTCCATTTGTTTGTGTCCTCTCTTATTTCCTTGAGCAGTGGTTTGTAGTTCTCCTTGAAGAGGTCCTTCACGTCCCTTGTAAGTTGGATTCCTAGGTATTTTATTCTCTTTGTAGCACTTGTGAATGGGAGTTCACTCATGATTTGGTTCTCTGATTGTTCTATTATTGGTGTATAGGAAAGCTTGTGATTTTTGCACATTGATTTTGTATCCTAAGAAGTTGCTGAAGTTGCTTATCAGCTTAAGGAGTTTTTGGGCTGAGATGATGGGGTTTTCTAAATATACAATCATGTCATCTGCAAAGAGACAATTTGACTTCCTCTCTTCTTACTTGAATACCTTTTATTTCTTTTTCTTGCCTGATTGCCCTGGCCAGAACTTCCAATACTATGTTGAATAGGAGTGGTGAGAGAGGGCATCCTTGTCTTGTGCCAGTTTTCAAAGGAAATGCTTCCAGTTTTTGCCCATTCAGTATGATATTGGCTGTGGGTTTGTCATAAATAGCTCTTATTATTTTGAGATATGTTACATCAATACCTAGTTTATTGACAGTTTTTAGCATAAAGGTGTATCAAATTTTATCAAATGCCTTTTCTGCATCTATTGAGATAATCAAGTGGTTTTTTTGATTGGTTCTGTTTATGTGATGGATTACATTAATTGATTTGCATATGTTGAACCAGCCTTGCATCCCAGGGATGAAGCTGACTTGATCATGGTGGATAAACTTTTTGATGTGCTGCTGGATTCAGTTTGCCAGTATTTTATTAAGGATTTTTGCATCGATGTTCATCAGGGATATTGGCCTGAAATTTTCTTTTTTTGTTGTGTCTCTGCCAGGTTTTGCAATCAGGATGATACTGGCCTCATAAAATGAGTTAGGGAGGAGTCCCTCTTTTTCTATTGTTTGGAATAGTTTCAGGAGGAATGGCACCAGCTCCTCTTTGTACCTCTGGTAGAATTTGGCTGTGAATCTGTCTGATCCTGGGCTTTTTTTTGGTTGGTAGGCTATTGATTACTGCCTCAATTTCAGAACTTTTTATTGGTCTATTCATGGATTTGACTTCTTCCTGGTTTAGTCTTGGGAGGGTGTATGTGTCCAGCAATTTACCCATTTCTTCTAGATTTTCTAGTTTATTCACGTAGAGGTGTTTATAGTGTTTTCTGATGGTAGTTTGTATTTCTGTGGGATCGGTGGTGATATCCCCTTTATCATTTTCTATCGTGTCAATTTGATTCTTCTATCTTTTCTTCTTTATTAATCTAGCTAGTGGTCTATCTATTTTGTTAATCTTTTAAAAAAACCAGCTCCTGGATTCATTGATTTTTTTTTTTTGAAAGGTTTTTCGTGTCTCTATCTCCTGTTCTGCTTTTATCTTAGTTATTTCTTGTCTTCTGCTAGCTTTTGTATTTGTTTGCTCTTGCTTCTCTAGTTCTTTTAATTGTGACATTGGGGTGCCTGTTTCAGATCTTTCCAGCTTTCTGATGTGGACATTTAGTGCTATAAATTTCCCTCTTAACACTGCTTTAGCTGTGTCCCAGAGATTCTAGCACGTTGTCTCTTTGTTCTCATTGGTTTCAAATAACTTCTTTATTTCTGTCTTAATTTCTGTCTTTACCCAGTAGTCATTTAGGAGCAGGTTGTTCAATTTTCATGTAGTTGTGTGGTTTTGAGTGCATTTCTTTATGTTGAGTTTTAATTTGATTGCACTGCAGTCTGACAGACTGTTATGATTTCAGTTCTTTTACATTTGCTGAGGAGTGTTTTACTTCCAATTATGTGATCAATTTTAGAATAAGTGCTATGTGGCACTGAGAAGAATGTATATTCTGTTGATTTGGGGTGGAGAGTTCTGTAGATCTCTATTAGATCTGCTTGGTCCAGAGCTGAGTTTGAGTTCTGAATATCCTTGTTAATTTTCTGTCTCATTGATCTGTCCAATATTGACAGTGGGGTGTTAAAATCTCCCACTATTATTGTGTGGGAATCTAAGTCTCTGTAGTTCTCTAAGAACTTGTTTTATGAATCTGGGTGCTCCTGTATTGGGTGCATATATATTTAGGATAGTTAGCTCTTCTTGTTGCATTGATCCCTTTACCATTATGTAATACCCTTCTTTGTCACTTTTTATCTTTGTTGGTTTAAAGTCTGTTTTATCAGAGACTAAGATTGCAACCCCTGCTTTTTTTTTTCTTTCCATTTGCTTGGTAAATATTCCTCCACCCCTTTATTTTGAGCCTATATTTGTCTTTGCATGCGAGATAGGTCTCCTGAATACAGCACACCGATGGATGGGTCTTGACTCTTCATCCAATTTGCCAATCTGTGCCTTTTAATTGGGGCATTTAGCCCATTTATATTTAAGGTTAATATTGTTATATCTGAATTTGATACTGTCGTCATGATGCTACCTGGTTATTTTGCACATTCGTTGATGCAGTTTCTTCATAGTGTCATTGGTCTTTATATTTTGGTGTGTTTTTGTGGTGGCTGGTACCAGTTTTTCCTTTCCATATTTAGTGTTTCCTTCAGGAGCTCTTGTAAGGCATGCCTGGTGATGACAAAATCCCTGAGCATTTGCTTGTCTGTAAAGGATTTTATTTCTCCTTCGCTCATGAAGTTTAGTTTGGCTGGATATGAAATTTTTGGTTGAAAATTCTTTTCTTTAAGAATGTTGAATATTGGCCCCCACTCTCTTCTGGCTTGTAGGGTTTCTGCAGAGAGATCTGCTGTTAGTCTGATGGGCTTCCCTTTGTAGGTAACCTGACCTTTTTCTCTGGCTGCCCTTCACATTTTTTCCTTCATTTCAACCTCAGAGAATCTGTCAATTATGTGTTTTGGGGTTGCTCTTCTCAAGGAGTATCTTAGTGGTGTTCTCTGTATTTCCTGAATTTGAATGTTGGCCTGTCTTGCCAGGTTGGGGAAATTCTCCTGGATAATATCCTGAAGTGTGTTTTCCACCTTGGCTCCATTCTCCCCATCACTTTCAGGTACACCAGCCAATTGTAGGTTTGGTCTTTTCACATAGTCCCATATTTCTTGGAGGCTTTGTTCATTCCTTTTCATTCTTTTTTCTCTAATCTTGTCTTCACGCTTTATTTCAGTAAGGTGATTTTCAATCTCTGATATCCTTTCTCCTGCTTGATCAATTTGGCTATTGATTCTTGTGTATGCTTCACGAAGCTCTCGTGCTGCATTTTTCAGCTTCATCAGGTCATTTATGTTCCTCTCTAAACTGGTTATTCTAGTTAGCAGTTCCTGTAATCTTTTATCAAGGTTCTGAGCTTCCTTGCATTGGGTTAGAACATGCTCCTTTAGCTCAGAAGAGTTTGTTACTACCCACCTTCTGAACCCTACATCTGTCAATTCATCAATCTCATTCTCTATCCAATTTTGTGCCCTTGCTGGAGAGGAGTTATGATAATTTGGAGAAGATGCATTCTGGTTTTTGGAATTTTCAGCGTTTTTACCCTGGTTTTTCCTCATCTTCATGGATTTATCTACCTTTGATCTTTGAGGCTGATGACCTTTGGATGGGGTTTTTGTTGGGAGGAGGTCTTTTATGTTGATGTTGCTGTTTTTGCTTTCTGTTTGTTAGTTTTTCTCCTAACAGGCCCCTCTTCTGCAGGTCTGCTGCAGTTTGCTGGAGGTCCACTCCAGACCCTATTTGCCTGGGTATCACCAGTGGAGGCTGCAAAACAGCAAAGATTGCTGCCTGCTTCTTCCTCTGGAAGCTTCGCCCCAGAGGAGCACCAGCCTGATGCCAGCTGGAGCTCTCCTGTATGAGGTGTCTGATGACCCCTGTTGGGAGGTATCTCTCAGTCAGGTGGCATGGGAGTCAGGGACCCACTTGAGGAGGCAGTCTGCCCCTTAACAGAACTGGTGCGCTGTGTGGAGAGAATCCCCCTTGTCAGGATCAGCTGCTCTCTTCAGCGCTGGCAGGCAGGAATGAATTAATCCGCTGAAGCTGCACTCACAGCTGCCCCTTCCCCCAGGTGCTCTGTCCCAGACAGATGAGAGTTTTATCTGTAAGCCCCTAATTGGGGCTCCTGCTTTTCCTTCAGAGATGTCCTGCCCAGTGAGAAGGAATCTAGAGAAGCAGTCTGGCCATAGCTGCTTTGCTGCACTGTGGTGGATTCTGCCCAGTCCAAACCTCCCAGCCTCCTTAGCACTGTCGGGGGAAAATCACCTACTAAAGCCTCAGTAATGGTGGATGCCCCTACCCCTACCAAGCTCGATGATCCCAAGTCGACTTCAGACTGTTGTGCTGGCAGTGAGAATTTCAAGCCAGTGGTTCTTAGCTTGCTGGGCTCTGTGGGAGTGGGACCCACTGAGCTAGACCACTTGGCTCCCTGGCTTCAGCCCCCTTTTCAGGGGAGTGAACGGTTCTGTCTCACTGGGGTTCCAGGTGCCACTGGGGTATGAAAAAAACTCCTACAGCTAGCTTGGCGTCTGCCCAAACAGCCACCAAGTTTTATGCTTGAAACCCAGGATCCTGTTGGTATAGGCACATGAGGGAATCTCCTGGTCTGCAGATTGCAAAAACCATGGGAAAAGCGTAGTACCCAGGCCGCGTAGCACAGTCTCTCATGGCTTCCCTCGGCAGGGGGAGGGAGGTCCCCCCGGCCCTTGCATTTCCTGGGTAAAGCGTTGCCCCATTCTGATTCTGCTCACTCTCCATGGGTTGCACTCACTGCCTAACCAGTCCCAATGAGATTAACTGGGTACCTCAGTTGGAAATGCAGAAATCATCCACCTTCTGCATTGGTGTCTCTGGGAGCTGCAGACTGGAGGTGTTCCTATTCTGCAATCTTGGCCCCTCACCTCTCTGTTTGTACTTCTCTCACTCTCTCCCTCAGAAATCTGAGTGAATAATTTCATCTTCCATCTTCCTAAAGTACTTGCTTATATGTGTTTTCTTACAGTAAGTTCATCTTTCTTCTTGAATATACAGAAGATCTCTGTAAACTGAAATTTTCTCAAGCAGGAGAGCCAGTTCTTAAGCATCTGGGTAAACCCTGGACCATTTCCACATCATATTGTATTTGTCTGCCTCTCTTTTGCCCATCTCTCCACTAGCCCCATCACATTTGAAGATGGGTGAGAACCATGTCTTCTTCACCATTGTATCCCAAGTGTCTGCCACAAAGCCTGGCACATAGTAGGCTCAGTGAAAACTTGTGGAATCAATAATAGCCCTCCCATTTCCTTGACCTCTTTGACCCTGTGATTTGGGCCTCCTGTTTTATTCAGCAACCACTGCTATTACTTGCAGTTTCCTACTTCACCTCTCAAACCTCGAACTCCGAAATGCCTTCTAGCTACCAAAATTTTCTGTCTTCTGGCGAACTTGTTCAACTCCATCTTTGTGACTGATGGCCCCCAGCCTCTCCTTATTCTTTCAGTTAGTCCCCCTCTGACTTCCCTCACCTCCCTTCCCAGTCCAACATTCTGCTCTGTTCTTTCCAGAGCCTTGGCTAGGGTGGGGTCACTGGGGCACAGAAATTTACAGGGCACCACATTTTTCTCCCACCACCTCTCTGGTCTCAGTTGGAAGCCTCATCCTGGCCCCCGGCCAGCCCACTTGGCAGCAGCAGAGATGGATGGAGTGAGAGGCCTGAGGTCAAGGGCTCAGAGCACACCAGCCAGGGGACCTTTTGTGCGTAGGGCTGCCCCTTCCCCCATCAAGAGCAGCTTCCATTGAAGAGAAGGCGAGTTTCACACTGCTTGCCCTGGGCGCCAAAAATGTTAGTTAGGACTCTGGTTCTGTCCCTGCTTCCCTCACCCCTTGATATTGTGCCAATCTCCATGCTGTTTTCTCTGCTTCAGAGCTACAGCAAGCTCTGTTGCTGGGCTTCCTGGGATCACTACCAGTCCCTGCTGCCTTTCCTTGGTGGACACTTGATGGCTGCTCAGCCATCTTTGTAACTGATATTCATATTGGGGTATATTTGTGTTGCAGGATGCAGGCGAGAGAGAGAGAGACACAGACACTTGAGCTGAGCTGCATAGGACTGACAAAAGAAGCCACAAGCCCCTTCACCTTTCTGAGACTCCTTTTCCTCATCTGTGAAATGGGAATGAAAATAGCATTCACCTTATAACATGTTCTAAGGAAAAAAGTACATGGCAGAATGTTTGGCACATATGATAATCATTCCATAGATGTAACTTCTCCTCTCTTAGTTTTGAATAATCTTCCTTTAGTTTACTTTTTCCAAGACTGTGGTGAGAATTAGATAAGAAAACTAGTGATCACACCTACTATAGTAGGTTTGATAAATGTCAGCCATGGCCAACTCCAGAGGCCAGGCAGTAGCTTTTCTTCTCCCCACCCACCTCACTACTTAACACCAACCCAGTCAGTAGGCTGAAAGACTCCTAAGAAAGTTTTTCTTTCAGGATCTACAAGCAAAACATTTTGAGTTGATGCCAAGAATGCTCATTGCCATCAACTTTGTCATAAAGAGGTCAGCCTTGGGTTTCAAATTCTGCCACTGAGTATTAGATTCCTTCTTCAGTGCAGTGGAAGTTTTAAATGCAACTAAAATCAAAGCCAGTTCTTCATATTGCTGGGTTTTAATAAGCCCAGGCACGTTATCATCCATGTTTTTGAAATTACAACCAAGTCCTAGGTAAGAATTGCAAAAAAAGAGGTTCCTGTAAAGTCCTTTACTTACTTTTCCCCAAATGTATTTCTTTTTCCAAAGCCCAGCATTCTATGTGCACGTTCATTGTATGTTGTTTCCAGCTGACTTACCCTTTAGAAAAGTCGTAACCACAGGAAATGCATGCCCTGGAAGTGACTCAGGCATTACAATAGCACATATCCTTCACACTTAGCCAGGCCTCCAAGGAAAGTTGACCAGTGGACTCACCACTCCATATAAACTAAATCAGATGGGATCTCTATTTGCCATACTTGGAAACATGTTATCATGTTAACATTTCTTTTTTTAAATAAATGAGTGGTGTTTTAAACTAGTTCATAGCATTTTCTGAGCAAAATATTTTAATTTTGATGAGGCTCAATTTAATTTTTTTTTCTTTTATGGTTGTGCTTTTGGTATAAAGTCTAAAAGCCCCTGGTCCTAAAGACTTTCTCTTATGCTTTTTATTTTTTCTGAAAGTCTTACATTTTATATTTAAGTCTACAATCCATTTTGAGTTAATTTTCATAATAGATGTGAGATTTAGGCCAAGGTTCATTTTTTTGCCAATGTATGCCCAATTTCTTCAGCATCACTTGTTGAAAAGACTATACTTCCTCCATTGAATTACTTTTGCACTTTTGTCAAACATCATTTGGACATGTTGATATGGATCTGTTCCTGGGTTCTCTATTTTATTTATTTGATCTATCAGATCAATGTCTATTACTCAGCCAATACCACACTGTGTTGATTACTATAGCTACGTACTAACGCTTAATTTTAGGTAGAGTGACTATTCCCACATAATTCCTATTTTTTAAAGATTGTTTTAGCTACTCTAGGGCCTGTAGCTTTCCAAATAAATTTTAGAATAAGCTTGTCTATCTATGCCTACCAAAATCCTTACTGGTATTTTGGTAGGAATTGCATTGAATTTATAGATCAGTCTGGGAACAAGTGACATCTCTTCTATGTTGAGTCTTCCAATCTATAAACATAATATGTATCTGCAATTACTTAGGTATCCTTTGATTTCTTTCAATAGCATTTTATAATTCTAAGTATATAAGCAAGCCCTGTACATGTTTTGTTAGATTTATAACTATATCATTTTCTTTGAAGTGCTTGTAAGTGGTATTCGGTTTTTCATTTTGTTTTCCACATGTTCATTGTTATTGTAAAAATATAATTGATATTTATGTGTTAATTTTGTATCCTGTAACCTTAATGAACTCATTTATAAGTTCTAAGACTTTTTGTGTTATTTCCTTGGGATTTTTTAATTTAAATTTTAATTTTTGTGGGCACATAGTAGGTGTATATATTTATAGGGTACATAAGGTATTTTGATACAGGCATGCAATGTATAATAATTACATAATGTAAAATGAGGTATCCACACCCTCAAGCATTTATACTTTGTATTACAAACAATCCAATTATACTCTTTTAGTTTCTTTAAAATATACAATTAAATTGACTATAGTCACCCCATTCTTCTGTCAAATACTAGGTCTTATTCATTCTTTGTAACTATTTTTTTTTTTTGTACTCGTAAACAATCCCCACCTCCCTCTCCCCACCAACATCCCCACTACCCTTCTCAGCTTCTGGTAACCATCCTTCTACTCTCTATCTCCATGAGTTCAATTGTTTTGATTTTTAGATCCCACAAATAAGTGAAAACATGTGATGTTTATCTTTCTGTGACTGGCTTAATTCACTTAGCATAATGATTTCTACTTCCACCCATGTTGCAAATGATAGGATTTCATTCTTTTTTATGGCTGAATAGTACTCCATTATGTATATGTACCACATTTTCTTTATCCATTCATCTGGTTTTTTTTTTTTTTTTTTTTTTTTTTTTTGGGAGACAAAGTCTCACTCAGTTACCCAGACTGGAGTACAGTGGCACGATCTCAGCTCACTGCAACCTCCGCCTCCCAGGTTCAAGCAATTCTCCTGCCTCAGACTTCCAAGTAGCTGGGATTACAAGCACACGCCACCACACCCAGCTAATTTTTGTATTTTTAGTAGAAACAGGGTTTCACCATGTCGACCAGGCTTGTCTCGAACTCCTGACCTCAGGTGATCCGCCTGCCTCGGCTTCCCAAAATGCTGGGATTATAGGCATGAGCCACTGTGCCTGGCCCCGTTCATCTGTTGATGGACACTTAGGTTGCTTCCAAATTTGGCTATTGTGATCTATGCTGCAACAAACATGGGAGTGCAAATGTCTCTTCAACATGCTGATTTCCTTTCTTTTGGGTATATCACCAACAATGGGATTGCCAGATGATATGGTAGCTCTAGTTTAAGATTTTTGGGGAGCTTTCAAACTGTTCTCCATGGTGGTTGTATTTACATTCCCACCAACACTGTACCAAGGTTCTCTTTTGTCCACATACTTGCCAGCATTTCTTATTGCCTGTCTTTTGGATATAA
This sequence comes from Homo sapiens, assembly GCF_000001405.40. Lineage (NCBI taxonomy): Eukaryota > Metazoa > Chordata > Mammalia > Primates > Hominidae > Homo > Homo sapiens. Next base: position 140,277,625 of record NC_000023.11, read on the forward strand.
GCTATTTAAATTGGGATGAGATAATATTTGTAGTTTTAATTTGCGTTCCTCTGATAATCACTGATGATGATCACCTTTTCATATGCCTGTTTGTCGTTTGTATGTCTTCTTTTGAGAACTGTCTCTTCAACTCTTTTGCCCATTTTTGATGGGATTATTAGATTTTTTTTTTCCTATAGAGTTGTTTAAGCTGCTTATATATTCTGGTTGTTAATCCCTTCCCAGATGAGTAGTTTGCAGACATTTTCTCCCATTCTGTGGGTTGCCTCTTCACTTTGTTGATTATATCCTTTGCTGTGCAGAAGCTTTACAACTTGATGTGATCCCATTTGTCCACCTTTGTTTTGGTTGTGTGTGCTTGTGGGCTTGTGGGGTATTGCTCAAGAAATTTTCACCCAGTCCAAAGTCCTAGAGATTTTCCCCAATGTCGTCTTGTAGTAGTTTCATAGTTTGAGGTCTTAGATTTAAGCCTTTAATCCGTTTTGATTTAATTTTTGTATATGGCAAGACATAGGGATCTGTTTCATTCTTCCGCATATGGATAACCAGTTTTCCCAGCACCATTTATTGAAGAGACTGTCTTTACCCCAGTGTATGTTCTTGGTACCTTTGTCAAAATGCATTCACTGTAGGTGTGTGGATTTGTTACTGGGTTCTCTATACTGTTCCATTGGCCTATGTGTCTGTTTTTATACTACTACCATAGTGTTTTGGTTACTATAGCTTTGTAGCATAATTTGAAGTCAGGTGATGTGACTCCTCCCATTTTGTTCTTTTTTCTCAGGATAGCTTTGACTAGTCTGGGTCTTTTGTGGTTCCATATAAATTTTAGGATCGTTTTTTCTATTTCTGTGAAGAATATCATTGGCATTTTAATAGAAATTGCATTGAATCTGTAGATTACTTTGGTAGTATGGACATTTTAACAATATTGATTCTTCCAATCCATGAACATCCATTTTTTGGGGTCTGCTTCAATTTATTTCATCAGTGTTTTATAGTTTTTATACAGTGTTTTATAGTTTTATTGTCGAGCTCTTTCACTTCTTTGGTTAATTCCTAGGTATTTGATTTTATTTGTAGTTATTGTAAATGGGATTATATCTTGATTTCTTTTTCAGATTTTTCACTGTTGGCATATAGAAATGTTACTGATTTTTGTATGTTGATTTTGTATCCTGTAACTTCACTAGATTTGTTTATCAGTTCTAATGCTTTTTTTGGTGGAGTCTTTGGGTTTTTCCAAATATAAGATATTATTTGCAAACAAGAATAATTTGACTTCTTCCATTCCACTTTGGATGCCCATTAATTCTTTCTCCTGTCTTATTGCTCTAGCTGAGACTTCCAGTACTATGTTGAATAACAGCAGTGACAGTGGGCATCCTTATTGTGTTCCAGATCTTAGAGGAAAGACTTTCAGTTTTTCCCATTCTTGTTATACTACCTGTCAGTCCATCATATATGGCTTTTATTACATTGAGTTTTGTTCCTTCTATACCTAGTGTTTTTAGTATTGTTATTATAAAAGGATATTAAATTTTATCAAATGACTTTCCATCATCAATTGAAATGATCATATGGTTTTTATCCTTCATTCTGTTTATATGATGTGTCACATTGATTGATTTTCATATATTGAACTCAACTTGTATCCCAGGGATAAATCCCACTTGGTCATGATGAATGATGTTTTTATTGTATTGTTGAATTTGATTTGCGAGTATTTTGTTGAGGATTTTTGCATCAATATTCATCAGAGAGATTGGTCTGTAGTTTCCTTTTTTTGATGTGACTTTGTCTATTACTCTGCTATCAGAGTAATACTGGCCTCGTAGAATGAGTTTGGAAGTATTTCATCCTCCTCTGTTTTTTGGAATAGTTTGAGTAGAATTAATGTTAGTTCTTTTTTAAACATTTGCTAGAATTCAGCAGTGCAGCCATCAGGTCCTAGGCTTTTCTTTACTCTGAGACTTTTATTACAGCTTCTGTCACATTACTGGTCTGTTCAGGTGTTGGATTTCTTCCAGGTTCCATCTTGGTAGGTTGTATGTATCTAGGAATTTGTCTACTTCTTCTAGAATTTCCAATTCAATGGCATATAGTTGTTCCTAGTAGCCACTAATGATCCTTTGAATTTCTGTGGTAGCCCTTGTAATGTCTCCTTTTTCACCTCTGATTTTACTTATTTGAATCTTCTCTTTTTCTTAGTCTGGCAAAAGGTTTGTCAGTTTTGTTTAACTTCAAAAAATAAATTTTTGCTTCATTTGTCTTCTGTATTGTTTTCTTCAACTTCATTTATTTCTGCTCTGATCTTTATTATTTCTTTTCTTTAATTTGGGGTTTGCTATGTTCTTGCTTTTTTAGTTCTTTAAGATGCATCATTAAGTTGTTTATTTGAAGTATTTTTTCTTTTCTGATGTAGGCCATTATTGCTATAAAATTCCTTCATAGTAATGCTTTTGCTGTATCCCATAGATTTTGGTGTGTTGTGTCTAGATTGTCATTTGTTTCAATAAATTTTTTCAATTTCCTTATTAATTTATACATTGACCCACTGGTCATTCAGGCAAATATTGTTTAATTTCTATGTATTTGAATAGTTTCCAAGATTTTTCTTATTAGTGATTTATAGTTTTATCCCTTTATTGTCAGAGAAGGTGCTTGATATTATTTCAGGTTTTTTAAAAAAAATATTTTAAGACTTGTTGTGACCTAAGAACATATGGTTTATCCTTGAGAATGATTCATGTGCTGAGGAAAATAATGTGTATTATGCAGTTCTTGGATAAAATGTTCTATAAATATATATTAGATCCATTTGGTCTGTAGTGCAGATTAACTCTCATGATTCTTTGTTGATTTTCTGTCTGGAACATCTGTCCAATGCTGAAAGTGAGGGGTTGAAGTTTCCAGCTATTACTGTATTGGGGCCTATTTATCTTTTTAGTTTGAATGATATTTGCTTTATATATCCATGTGCTTCCATATTGGGTGTGTATATTTTAAAATTGTTATATCCTTTTGTTGAATTGACCCCTTTATCATTACTTAGTAACCTCCTTTGTCTCTCTTTATAGTTTTTGTCTTAATATCTATTTTGTCTGATATAAGTATAGCTTACTCCTGCTCTTTTTTGGTTTCCATTGGCATGGAATATTTTTTCCATCACTTTATTTTCAGTCTATGTGTGTCTTGATAAGTGAAATGTGTTTTTTGTAGGCAACAGATCACTGGGTCTTATTTATTTTAAAATCAATTCAGCCACTCTGTCTTTTTATTGAAGAGTTTAGTCCATTTACATTCAATGTTATTATTGATAAGGACTTAGTCCTGCTGCTTCATTATTTGTTTTCTTTTTGTGTGTGTCTGTGGTCTTCTCTTCCTTCTTTCCTTCCTTCCTGCCTTCTTTTAGTGAAGGTGATTTTGTCAGGTGGTATGTTTTAATTTCTTGCTTTTTATTTTTTGTATATCCATTGTATGTTTTTTGGTTTGAGGTTACCATGAGTCTTGCAAATACTATCTTATCCCTCTTAACCCATTATTTTAACCTGATAACAACTTAACGCATTTTGCATAAACAAACAAGCAAAAGGAAAACTAATAAAAATTCTGCTCCCTATCTTATTATTTTTGCTATTTAACTTTCTGTTGTTCCCATTTATATCTTATTGCACCATCTATGTATTGAAAAGTTTTTGTAGCTATTATTTTTGATTGGTTCATCATTTAGTCTTTCTATTTAAGATAATAGTAGTTTATAAAACTCAGTTACAGCATTATAATAGTCTGTGTTTTTCTGTGTGCTTACTATTACCAGTGAGTTTTGTACCTCCAGCTGATTTCTTCTGCTCATTAATGTTGTTTTCTTTTTGACTGAAGTACTTCCTTTAGCATTTCTTGTAGGACAGACCTGGTATTGATGAAATCCCTTAGCTTTTGTTTGGGAAAATATTTCTCCTTCATCTTTGAATAATATTTTCACTGGATATACTATTCTAGGGTAAAAGTTTCTGTTTTACTTCAACACTTTAAATATGTCGTGCCACTCTCTCCTGGCCTGTAAGTTTTCCACTGAAAAGTCTCCTGCCAGGCGTATTGGAGCTCCATTGGATGTTATTTGTTTCTTTTCTCTTGCTGCTTTTATGATTCTTTTAAGAAATTTTTTTGACCTTTGGGAGTTTGATTGTTAAATTCCTTGAGGTAGACTTCTTTGAGTTAAATCTGCTTGGTGTTCTATAATCTTCTTGTACTTGGATGTTGATATCTTGCTCTAGGTTTGCAAGTTCTCTGTTATTATCCATTTGAAAACTATCTACCCCTATCTCTTTCTCTACCTTCTGTTTACGGCCAGTAACTCTTAGGCATGCCATCTTGAGATTTTCTAGATCTTGTAGGTATGCTTCATTCATTTTCCATTCCTTTTTCTTTTGTCTCCTCTGACTATTTTCAAATAGCCTGTCTTTAAGCTCACTAATTCTTTCTTCTGCTTCATCAATTCTGCTATTAAAAGACTCTGATGCATTCTTAATTGTGTCAATTACATTATTCAACTCCAATAGTCCTGCTTGATTTTTTAAAATGATTTCAATCTCTTCGTTAAATTTGTCTGATTGAATTCTGAATTCCTTCTGTGTGTTAGCTTGAATGTCTTTGAGTTTGCCCAGCTATTTTGAATTCTCTGTCTGAAAGGTCACATATCTCTCTTTCTCTACAATTAGTTCCTGGTGACTTATGTAGTTCATTTGTTGAGTTCATGTTTTCCTGAACGGTGTTGATGCTAGTAGATGTTCTTTGGTTTCTGGGCATTGAAGAGTTAGGTATTTATTGCAGTCTTCATTGTCTGGGCTTCTTTGTAGCCATCCTTCTTGGGAAGACTTCCTAGAGATTTGAAAGGACTTCGGTGTTTTAATCTAAGCTGTATCTGCTTTAGGGGTCACCCCAAGCCCAGTAGCACTGTAGTTCTTCCAGAGTCATAGAGGTACTGCCTTGATGGTCTTGGACAAGGTCCAGGAGAATTCTTTGAATTACCGGCAGAGATTCTTATTCTCTTCCCTTACTTTCTCCGAAACAGAGTCTTTCTCTCTGTCTGAGCCACCTACAGCAGGGACTGGAATGACACAACCACTCCTGTGGCCACCATCACTAGGACTGGACTGGATCAGACCTGAAATCAGCATAGCACCAGGTCTTACTCAAGGCCTGCCGTGACCACTCTCCGGCTATGGCCTATGTTTGTTCAAGGCCCTGGAACTTTACAATCAGCAAATTGCAAAGCCATCCAGGCCCTTTTCCTTCCCTTTATGATGGTGAGTTTCCCCAGGTCCCAGATGGGTCCAGAGGTGCTGTCCAGGAGCCAGGGACTAGAGTCAAAAACCTTAGAAGTCTACCTGGTTATCTATTGTACTGTTGCTGAGCTGGCACTCAGACAAGATGTGGTCCTTTCCATTCTTTCCTGCCCTTTCCAAAGGCAGAGGAGCCTCACTCCATGGCCACTGCCACCACAGGCCATTAGGGAATATTTCCAGACTACCATCTGTGTTTCCGTTAGTCCCAAGGACTCTTCAGTCAGCTTGTGGTGAATGCTGCCCGGCCTGGGACTCACTCTTTAGGGCAGTAGGCTCCTCTCTGGCCCAGGGCAGGTCCAGAAATGCCATCTAAGAGCCAATTCCTGGAATCAGGACCCCAAGAGCCCCCTTGGTCCTCTTACTGTCCCCTCACCCATGGCCAAGCTGGTACCTAAGGTGCAAGACAAAGTCCCCTGTACTTTTCGCTTTGCTCTTCTCAAGTGCAAGGAATCTCACTCTGTAGCCACCACAGGTGAAAATGTGCTGAGCCTCACCTGAAGCCACAAGTATCAGAGTCTCACCCAAGGCCCTCAGTGTAGTACCTGGGTATCACTGTTGGTCATTCAGGGCCCAAGAGCCCTTCAGTTAGCAGGTTGTGAATCCTGCCAGGACTGGTTCCTTCCCTTCAAGGCAGCAGGTCCTCTTCTTTCCCAGGGTATGTCCATAAATGTTATTTGGGAAATAGGCCCTGGAAAAGGGACCTCACACCTCTGACTGGTGCTGTATCCTGGTCTATCTGAGATGGTATCCAAGATGCAAGACAAGGTCTTCCTCATTCTTCCCTCTCCTCTCCTCAAGCAGAAGAAAGGGGTTTCCTTTGAAGCAATGAGCTGTGCATCCTGGGGTTGGGGGAGAGTGATGCCATCAATCCCTTAGCCTCCCTGCCTGGTGTCTTAGTATGTCACGTGTTCCCCACCTCACTGTCTCTGGGCTCTTTTCAGCAATAGGACTTAACCTAGGAGCTTCAGTCTTGTGGCCTAAACTGCCTATCAAGTTTATTTGGAGCCCCAAAGCACTTTAGCCCATGATGGTGACGTTTGTGGGAAGTCAAGTTTAGACCACTGGGATCAGTGATCCCCCTCTGGCTAGGGCTATTTTAAATGCTCGTTCCATGGGCATACATCAGCTGAATTTGGTCTGGTTTTGTTTTCTGTTATACTAGGGTAGCACTGAGTTCAATGTCTCATAATTTTTGCATTTCCCCTCTCCCCAGAGCCCAGAAATGCTTTCTGCACCATGCTGCCTCTGCTGGAAGATGAGTGAGGGGTGGCATTGGTGATTCAAGACTGATTTTTGTACGCCTTCAGTGCCTCTTTTGGCAATATGAAGTTAAAATCAGGTACTGTGAGCACTCACCTGACTTTTGGTTCCTATGAAGGTGCTTTTTTGTGTAGATACCTCTTAAATTGGTGTCCTTTTGGGGAGAATAATCAGTGGGGCCTTTTATTTCACCATCTTTCTCTGCCTCCCTTTTTGGGATTTTCTATGTATACAATAATTTCATTTACAAATAGGAACAGTTTCACTCCTTCCTTTCCAAACTGTATGCCTTTGATCACATTTTCTTGCCTTATTAAAGGGCTAGAAATTCCAATAGTATGATGAATAAGAGTAGTGAAAGCTAACATCACTGGATGTTAAGGGGGAAAACATTCAGCTTTTAACCATTATGTATGATGTTTGTAGATGTTCTTTATCAAGTTGAGATAATTCCTCTTTATTCCTAATTTGCAGAGGTTTTGTTTTGTTTTGTTCAACTTTTATTTTAAGTTCCGGGGTACTTGTGCAGGATGTGCAGGTTTGTTACATAGGTAACCATGTGCCATGGTGGTTTGCTGCACAGATCATCCCATGACCTAGCTATTAAGCCCAGCATCCATTAGCTGTTCTTCCTGATACTCTCCCTCCCCAACCTTCCTGACAGGCCCCAGTATGTATTGTTCCCCCAGTATCCATGTGTTTTCATTGTTCAGCTCCTACTTATAAGTGAGAACATGCAATGTTTGGTTTTCTGTTCCTGTGTTAGTTTGCTGAGGATATTCGCTTCCAGCACCATACATGTCCCTCCAAAGGGCATGTTGTCATTCCTTTTTATGTCTGCATAGTATTCCATGGTGTATATGTGCCACATTTTCTTTGTCCAGTCTATCATTCATGGGCATTTGGGTTGATTCCATGTCTTTACTATTGTGAATAGTGCTGCAATGAACATATGCATGGATGTATCTTTATAATAGAATGATTTATATTCCTATGGGTATATACTTAGTAATGGGATCACTGGGTCAAATGGTATTTCTGCTTCTAGAACTTTGAGAATTGCTGCACTGTCTTCCACAATGGTTGAACTAATTTACACTCCCATGAACAGCGTATAAGCATTCCTTTTTCTCCACAACCTCACCAGCATTTTTTGTTTCTTGATTTTTTTAACAATAGCCATTCTGACTGGTACAAGATGGTATCTTATGGTGGTTTTGATCTGCATTTCTCTAATGATCAGTGATGTTGAGCTTTTGTTCACATGGTTGTTGGCTGCATAAATATCTTCTTTTGAAAACTGTCTGTTCATGTCCTTTGCCCACTTTAATTCGGTTGTTTGGCTTTTTCTCGTAAATTTGTTTAAGTTCCTTGTAAACGCTGGATATTAGACCCTTGTCAGATGGCAGTGTTGCAAAAATTTTCTCCCATTCTGTAGGTTGTCTATTCATTGAAGATAGTTTCTTTTGCAGTGCAAAAGCTCTTTAGATTAATTAGATGCCATGTGTCAATTTTTGCTTTTGTTGCAATGGCTTTTTGCATTGTTATCATGAAATCTTTACCCGTGCCTATGTCCTGAATGGTATTGCCTAGATTTTATTCTAGAGTTTTTACAGTTTTGGGTTATATATTTAAGTCTTTAATCCATCTTGAGTTAATTTTTGCATAAGGTGTAAGGAAAGCATCCAGTTTTAATTTTCTGCATATGGCTAGCCAGTTCCCCCAGCACCGTTTATTAAATAGGGAATTATTTCCTTGATGCTTGTTTTTTTGTAAGATTTGCCAAAGATTAGATGGTTGTAGTTGTGCGGTCTTATTTCTGAGTTCTCTATTCTGTTCCATTGATCTGTGTGTCTGCTTTTGTATTAGTACCGTGCTGTTTTGGTTACTGTAGCCTTGCAGTATAGTTTGAAGTTGGGTAGCATGATGCCTCCAGCTTTGTGCTTTTTGCTTAGGGTTGTCATGGCTATTCAGACTCCTTTTTGGTTCCATATGAATTTTAAGATAGTTTTTTTTCTAATTCTGTGAAGAATGTCAATGGTAGTTTAATGGAAATAGCATTGAATCTATAAATTACTTTGGGCAGTATAACTATTTTCATGATTGATTTTTCCTATCCATGAGCATGAAATGTTTTTCCATTTGTTTGTCCTCTCTGATTTCCTTGAACAGTGGTTTGTAGTTCTCCTTGAAGAGGTCCTTCACTTTCCTTGTTAGCTGTATTCCTAGGTATTTTATTCTTTTTGTAACAATTGTGAATGGGAGTTTATTCATGATTTAGCTCTCGGCTTGCCTGTTGTCAGTGTATAGGAATGCTAGCAATTTTTGCACACTGATTTTGTATCCTGAGACTTTGCTGAAGTTGCTTAAGAAGCTTCTGGGCTGACACATTGCCAAGACAATCCTAAGCCAAAAGAACAAAGCTGGAGGCATCACGCTACCTAACTTCAAACTATACTACAAGGCTACAGTAACCAAAACAGCATGGTACTGGTACCAAAACAGACATATAGACCAATGGAGCAGAACAGAGATCTCAGAAATAACACCACACATCTACAACGATCTCATGTTTGACAAACCTGACAAACACAAGAAATGGGGAAAGGAGTCCCTATTTAATAAATGGTGCTGGGAAAACTGGCTAACCATATGTAGAAAGCTGAAACTGGTTCCCTTCCTTACACCTTATACAAAAATTAATTCAAGATGGATTAAAGACTTAAATGTTAGACCTAAAACCATAAAAGCCCTAGAAGAAAACCTAGGCAATGCCATTCAGGACATAGGCATGGGCAAGGCCTTCATGACTAAAACACCAAAAACAGTGGCAACAAAAGCCAAAATTGACAAATGGGATCTAATTAAACTAGAGAGCTTCTGCACAGCAAAAGAAACTACCATCAGAGTGAACAGGCAACCTACAGAATGGGAGAAAATTTTTGCAATCTACTCGTCTGACAAGGGCTAATATCCAGAATCCACAAAGAACTTAAACAAATTTACAAGAAAAAATCAAACAACCCCATCAAAAAGTGAGTGAAGGATATGAACAGACACTTCTCAAAAGAAGACATTTATGCAGCCAACAGACAGATGAAAAAATGCTCATCATCACTGGCCATCAGAGAAATGCAAACCAAAACCACAATGAGATACCATCTCACACCAGTTAGAATGGCGATCATTAAAAAGTCAGAAAACAACAGGTGCTGGAGAGGATGTGGAGAAAGGAATACTTTCACACTGTTGGTGGGAGTGTAAACTAATTCAACCATTGTGGAAGACAGTGTGGCAATTCCTCAAGGATCTAGAACTAGAAATACCATTTGACCTAGCAATCCCATTACTGGGTATATACCGAAAGGATTATCAATCATGCTACTATAAAGACACATGCACACGTATGTTTATTGTGGCACTATTCACAATAGCAAAGACTTGGAACCAACCCAAATGTCCATCAATGATAGACTGGATTAAGAAAATGTGGCACATATACACCATGGAATACTATGCAGCCATAAAAAATGATGAGTTCATGTCCTTTGTAGGGACATGGATGAAGCTGGAAAGCATCATTCTGAGCAAACTATCACAAGGACAGAAAACCAAACACATCATGTTCTCACTCATAGGTGGAATTGAACAATGAGAACACTTGGACACAGGATGGGGAACATCATACACTGTGGCCTGTCATGGGGTCGAGGGAGCAAGGAGGGATAGCATTAGGAGAAATACCTAATGTAAATGATGAGTTAATGGGTCCAGCACACCAACGTGGCACATGTTTACATATGTAACAAACCTGCACGTTGTGCACATGTACTCTAGAACTTAAAGTATAATAAAAAGAAAAAGAAAGAAAGACAGACAGAAAGAAGCTTCTCAGCTGAGACAATGGGGTTTTCTAGATATAGAATCATATCATCTGCAAACAAGGATAATTTGACTTCCTCTCTTCCTATTTGAATACCCTTTATTTCTTTCTCTTGCCTGATTGCCCTCACCAGAACTTTCAATACTATGTTGAATAGGAGTGGTGAGAGAAGGCATCCTTGTCTTGTGCTGGTTTTAAAAGGGAATGCGTCCAGCTTTTGCCCATTCGGTTTGATATTGACTGTTGGTTTGTCATAAATGGCTCTTATTATTCTGAGTATTTTCCTTCAATACATAGGTTATTGAGAGTTTTTAACATGAAGAGGTGTTGAATTTCATTGGAGGCCTTTTCTACATCTATTGAGATAATCATTTAGTTTTTGTCTTTATTTATGTTTATGTGATAAATTACATTTATTGATTTGCTTATGTTGAACCAACCTTGCATCCTGGGGATGGAACCAACTTGATAGTGCTAGATTAGCTTTTTGATATGCTGTTGGATTCGGTTCACCAGTATTTTTTTTTTTTTTTGAGGATTTTCCCATTGATGTTCATCAGGGATATTGGCCTGAAGTTTTCTTTTTTTGTTGTATCTCTGCCAGATTTTGGTATCAGGATGATGCTGGCTTCATAAAATGAGTTAGGGAGGAGTCCCTTCTTTTCAATTGTTTTGAGTAGTTTCAGTAGAAATGGTACCAGCTCTTATTTGTACCTCTGGTAGAATTCAGCTCTAAATCCATCTAGTACTGGGCTTTCTTTTTCTTTTTTTTTTTTTTGGTTGTAGGCTATTTTTTGCTGAGTCAATTTCAGAACTCGTTATTGGTCTATTCAGGTGTTCAGTTTTTTCCTGGTTCAGTCTTGGGAGGGTGTATGTGTCCAGGAATTTATCAATTTTTCTAGATTTTCCAGTGTATGTGCATAGAGGCATTTACAGTATTCTCCGATGGTTGCTTCTTGTATTTCGGTGGGGTCAGTGGTGATATCCCCTTTATCATTTCTGATTGTGTCTATTTGATTCTTCTTTTTTTTTCTTTATTAGTCTAGCTAGCAGTCTATTTTACTAATTTTTTTTTCACAAAAAAAACAGCTTCTTGTTTCGTTGGTTTTTTGAATGGCATTTTGTGTCTCTGTCTCCTTCAGTTTTGCTCTGATCTTAGTTAATTTTTGCCTTCTGCTAGCTTTGGGGTTTGTTTGTTCTTAGTTCTCTCATTCTTTTAGTTGTGATGTTAAGTTGTAAATTTGAGATTTTTCTATCCTTTTGATGTGGGCATTCAGTGCTATATATTTCCCTCTTACACTGCTTGTGATGGTTAATATTGAGTGTCAACATGAATGGATTGAAGGATGCAAAGTATTGTTCCTGGGTGTGTCTGTGAGGGTGTTGCCAAAGGAGATTAACATTTGAGCCAGTGGACTGGGAAAAGCAGACCCACACTCAATCTGCATGAGCACAATCTAATCAGCTGCCAGTGTGTCCAGAATAAAAGCAGGCAGAATAACGTGGAAAGACTACACTGGTTTAGTCTTCTGGCCTACATCTTTCTCTTGTGCTGGATGCTTCCTGCCCTTGAACATTGGACTCCAAGTTCTTCAGCTTTGGGACTCGGACTGGCTTCCTTGCTCCTTGGCTTGCAGATGGCCTATTCTGTGACCTCACCTTGTGATCGTGTGAGTCAATACTCCTTAATAAACTCTCCTTTATATATACATCTATCCTATTAGTTCTGTCCCTCTAGAGAACCCTGACTAATACACTGCTTTCGCTGTGTCCTAGTGATTCTGGTATGTTGGCTCTTTGTCCTCATTAGTTTCAAAGAACTTCTTGATTTCTGCCTTAATTTCATTATTTACCCAGGAGTCATTCAGGAGCAGGCTGTTTAATTTTCATGAAGTTGTGTGGTTTTGAGTGAATTTCTTAGTCTTGAGTTCTAATTTGATTGTGCTGTGGTCTGAGAAACTGTTATAATTTCAGTTCTTTTGCACTTGCTGGGGAGTATTTTACTTCCAATTATGTGATTAATTTTAAAGTGCCATGTGGTGATAAAAAGAATGTATATTCTGTTGTTTTGAGGTGAAGAGTTCTATAGATATCAATAAGGTTCACTTGATCCAGAGCTGAGTTCAGGTCCTGAATATCTGTGTTAATTTTCTGTCTCAATGATCTGTCTAATATTGTCAGTGGGGTGTTAAAGTTTCCCACTGTTATTGTGTGGGAGTCTAAATCTCTTTGTGGGTCTCTAAGAACTTGCTTTATGAATCTGGGTGCTCCTGTATTGGGTGCATGTATATTCAGGATAGTTAGCTCTTATTGTTGACTTGAACATTTTACCATTATGTAATGCCCTTGTTTATCTTTTTTGATCTTCGTTGGTTTAAAGTGTATTTTATCAGAAACTAGAACCCCTGCTTTTTTCTGTTTTCCATTTGCTTGGTAAATTTTCCTCCATCCCTTTATTTTGAGCCTATATGTGTCTTTGCATGTGAGATGGGTCTTTCGAAGACAGTATATTGATGGGTCTTGACTCATTATACAGCTTGCCATTCTGTGTCTTTAAATGGGGCATTTAGCTCATTTACATTTAAGGTTAATATTGTTATGTGTTAATTTGGTCCTGTCATCATGATGGTAGCTGGTTATTTTGCAGACTTGTTTCATGGTTGCTTCAGAGTGTCCCTTGTCTGTGTATTTCAGTATGTTTTTGTGGTGGCTGGTAACAGTTTTTCCTTTCCAACTTAGTGCTTTCTTCAGGAGCTCTTGCAAGGCAGGCCTGGTGGTGATGAACGCCCTCAGCATTATGCTTGTCTGAAAAGGATCTTATTTCTCCTTTGCATCTGAAGCTTAGTTTGGCCAGATATGAAATTCTGGGTTGGAAATTCTTTTCTTTAAGAATGTTGAATATTGGCCCCCAATCTCTTCTGGCTTACAGCGTTTCTGCTGAGAGGTCCACTGTTAGTCTGATGGGCTTCCATTGTAGGTGACCTGGTCTTTCTCTGTGGCTGCCCTTAACATTGTTTTCTTCCATTTTGACCTTGGAGAATCTGATGATTATTTGTCTTGGGGTTGATCTTCTCATGGAGTATCTTACTGGGGTTCTCTGGATTTCCTGAATCTGAGTTTTGGCCTTTCTTGCTAGGTTGGGGGAAGTTCTCTTTGATGATATCCTGAAGTGTGTTTTCCACCTTGGTTCCATTCTCCCCATCTCTTACAGGTACTCCAATCAATCATAGGTTCGGTCTTTATACATAATTCCATATTTCTCAGAGGTTTTGTTTGTTCCATTTCATTCTTTTTTCTGTATTCTTGTCTGCCTGTCTTATTTCAGAAAGACAGTCTTCAAGCTCTGAGATTCTTTTCTCCACTTGGTCTATTCTGCTATTGGTACTTCTGATTGCATTGTTAAGTTTTCATGTTGTGTTTTTTCAGCTTAATCAGGTCAGTTATGTTTCTTTCTAAACTGGCTATTCTGGTTATCGGCTCCTGTATAGTTTTATTTTAATTATTAGCTTCTTTGCATTGGGTTACAACATGCTTTTTTAGCTCAGTGAATTTCATTATTACCCACCTTCTGATGTCTACTTCTGTCAATTCAGCCATCTCAGCCTGAGTCTCATTCTGTGCCCTTGCTGGAGAGGTGTTGTGGTCATTTGAAGGAGAAGAGGCACTCTAGCTTTCTGAGTTTTCAGCGTTTTTCTGTTGATTCTTTCTCATCTTTGTGGGGTTATCTACCTTTGATCTTTGAGGTTGCTGACCTTTGAATGGGGTTTTTTTTATGGGGTTGTTTTTGTTGATGTTGTTGCTTTCTGTTTGTTTTTCTTTTATCAGTGAGGCCACTCTTCCATAGTGCTGCTTCAGTTTTCTGGGGGTCTGCTCCAGACCCTAGCTGCCTCCATTTTTTCTGTACCTGGAGATATCACCAGTGAAGGCTGCAAAACAGCAAAGATGGCAGCCTACTCCTTTCTCTGGGTGCTCCATCCCAGGGGGATACTGACCTGTTTCCAGAGTGCTCCTGTAGGAGGTGTCTGGAGACCCCTCTTGAGAGGTCTCACCCAGTCAGGAGGAATGAGATCAGAGACCCACTTAAATCAGCAGTCTGGCTGCTTTTTGGTAGAACTGGTTTGCTGCATTGTGGGGAACTCTTCCTCATCCAGACCACTTGGTCTCTCCAGAGCCACAGGCTGAAAAGGCTGAGTTGACTGAACCACAGAGACAGTGGCTGTCCCTCCCCCTGGGGGCTCCATCCCAGGGAGAGATCAGAATTATAACCACAGCTGGAGTTGGTGAAAGTCCCTCAGGGAAGCCCTGCCCAGTAAGGAAGGATGGATCAGGGTCCCACTTACAGCAGCAGTCTGGCAACGATCTAGCACAGCAACTGTGCTGCGTTGTGGGGCACTCCTCCTCATCCAGACCACCTGTACTCCCCAGAGCCAGCAGGCTAGAATGATTGAGTCCACTGAACCACCTGTTTTGTTTTTAATTATGAATGGCTGTTGGATTGTCAGCTGCTTTGTCTGAGTCAATTTACATGACATTTGATTTTTTTCTTCTTTAACTTGTTGATAGGGTGGATTACATTGGTTGATTTTTTTATGGTTGATTTTTCAACATTGAAGCAAATTTGGTGAAGTAAAAAGAATTCAGTCACGGTGTATAATTATTTTATACTGTTGGGGAGTAAGATTTTCATCAACTCTCAAGGTTTCTGGCTGGGTCTAAAAATAAAACTGAAAAAGACAGATTAAAAGGAAAAAAAAGCAGACAAAAATTTTAACATAAGTATTATGTGACATTGGAGCCTTCAGAAATGATGATCTAAAAAGAAAAAGGGAAACCTGTGTATTTTTATGCTTAAGTTAAATGAAGAGTAGACAGTTGTGGAGAAGTATGATTGGACAAAGGGTGTATGATCTAAAGGTAATTAACTGGGGTAGCTTCACAAGTCCTGTTTGTTCAGATTCTTCTGTGTTTCTGTTTTCAGAGACAAGGAAGTTCCTTTCCTCTGGCTGTGAAGTTCGCACTGTCACATTACAGTCTTATGACCTGCTTCAGGGGAGAGTAAAACAATTCTTTCTAGGTTTTATGACCTTCTTTAGAAGAGAAAAGCAGAAGTAGGTAGGTGAGAGGGCCCTTCCTGCTTCTGTCACTTTCTCAAATTCCTTCAGCTTAAAATATTCAGTATGCTAAAGTTCCATATTTTGGGTTTGTGTGTCCTAAACCCTGTCAATACATTGCTATATTTAATTTGCTTTTTTTTTTAAGTACTTTTGAATCAAAGTATATAATACTATTTTTCTGTAGGTGTTTTTATGTTTGTTTGTTTTTGTTTTTGTTTTTTTTAATCAGGGTAATACTTGCCTCAGAAAATGGGTTGTGATGTGTTCCCTCTTCTATTTTCTGAAAGAATATATATAAGATTGCTGGTGATTCTTTAAATGTTTGGTAGAATGCTCCAGTGAAACCACGTGGGCCTGGATATTTTATTTTTTGGGTGTTTTTAATTACAAATTCAGTTTCTTTATGGTAATAGGACAATTCAGAATGTGTATTTTATCTTAGTTTGAGTTTTGGTAGTTTGTAGTTTTTGAGGGATTGGTCTATTTCTCCTGTCAAATTTATGGTACTAAAGTTATTTGTAGTAATCTCTTATTTACCTTTTAATAAACTCAGGTTCTTTAGTGATATCTCCGCTTCATTTCTGATGTTTATTTGTGTCTTCTTTTTGTCAGTGTTGCTACAGGTTTGCTAGTTTTATTGATTTTCCCCGTAAAGAATCAGTGCTGTGTTTCATTGATTTTCTCTACTGTTTCTGTTTTCAGTTTAATTGATTTCTGCTTGCACCTTTGCCATTTCCTTTCTTATGCTTGTTTGAGTGTCTTTCACTCTTCTTTTTCTCATTTCTTGAGGTAGAAACTTAGACCTGTCTTCTTTTCTGATGTAATTATTTACTGTTATAAATTTTCCTTTCTTCACTGCCAAAGCTGCATTCCATGTGTTTTGGCATGTTGTGTCTTTTAAAACTTTTTTAGTAGAATTTATGTTTACAGCAGTTTTAAGTTCACAGCAAAATTTAGCAGAAGGTACAGAGATTTTCCATGTACTCCCTGCCCCAACACATGCATAGCCTTCCACATTATCAATATCCCCCACCAGAGTAGTACATTTGTTACAATTGGTGAGCCTACACTGACACAACTTTTGCAACCAAATCCATCATTTACATTAGAATTCACTCTTAGTTTTATATGAGTGTAACTAATGTGGTTGATTTTATATGTCATAGTACATGAAATAATTGTAGAAAATATAACAGGCTTATAAAGTGCCTTTGCTGCTTTTTTTTTTTTTTTTTTTGCTACTATGCTTTTACTTCTACAAAAAAAAAAAATCCCTTGCAGTGTGAAAGAGAGTAACATTGAAAGTTAGAGAGGGGAAAAAGGGAGCAGAAGAGGTAACAACAAAATAGTACATTTAGTTTGAAGTACAAGCTCAGAGATAAATGAAAACTGACTTAAGAAAGTAATGCTTAATAGAATATGAACAGAAGGGCTGGGGCTACCATTTCAGGAGACAAGACCCAAGCTGAAGGAGCAGACTGGTTCTCAGACTTTAATGGGTATACAAATCACCTGAGTAGCCGTCATGTCTGGGATGGGCCTCAACTATTTGCAGTTCTAAAACTTTTCCAGGTGATGCTGATGTTGCTAGTCATGGACCATCATTTAAGTATCAAGGAGTTAGTTGTCTAGGTTAACTTTCTCATTGTACAGTGAGATTTCCTTCATTATCAGCTATCCCTTCTGTCATTATACCAAACCTCAAGTGAAAGAATGTCTTCAAACAGTTTTGTAATAGGTGTCTAGGACAAGTGAAGCATCTGGGGTCCAAAATGAACAGAGCAGGCAATCAAAACCTCTAACAGAAGGGGGCTATAACAGAACTCATTGCTCTAATTAGTTCCCAAATTATCTCTGCATGCTAGACTCACCAGGAAAACTGAAAATTCCAGAGTCCAGGTCACCTAAGACTAACTAAATCACAATTTTTGAGGGTGGGAAATGGGCATCAGTATTTTTTAAGCTCTTCAGATGATGCTTATGTGCAAAATTGGGAACCACTGTTCTGGTGCCAATACTGGCAATGAGACATCTTAGTCAAGGACAGATGAAAGTTTTTATTAGTTCTGTACAATGAGCCAAGGGGGTAGAGCCAAGAAGATGGGTCTAAGGAACCTCCTTTGGCTTAAAAGAAAGCATAAATTCTCAGGCAGTTGTCAGAGAAATACTTCCACAGCCCTCTCTTGGATATTCTGATCTGAGATTTCTGGAAGCATCAAGGCCTGACTTTGCCTTGTCAAATTTCTGGCCACTCTCTCAGACTATCTGTACTTTTAATTGTCCTTGTTTCTCATACCACCTTCCTAACATTGAACACAAATATTTGGAACTGTAACAAGCCATTTATTAATATTACTTGGATAGGAAGGCACTCTTTAAAAAATATCAGCACTAGTAAACACGAGGTAATTATTATATTCTCCTCACTTGCTTAAACGAAACAGAAACTTTTTTTAAAAAACCCACCTTTGTTGTCTACAGCATTGGCTCTCAAACTTGGCTGTAAATTGGGATCAACTGGGGAGCCATGAAAAGTATTGATCTGTTGGTACCACCCCCCAAAGATTTTGATTTAATTGATATAAGATGCAGAATGGGCTTTGGGTTTTTGAAAAGATCCCAAGCTGATTCTAGTATTCAGCAAAGATGGAAAACAACTGGGTAGAGCAATAGTGTTTGTCTGTCTTGTGTTCCCCAGACTGAGAGCATCAACATCCCCTGAGAACTTCTTAGAAATGCAAAATCTGGAGCCTCATCCCAAGTCTACTGCATCAGGAATCTGGAGAAGTGGGTAGCAGTCTACTCTCTAACAAGCCCACCAGGTGATTCTAATGCATGCTCCAGTTTGAGAATCACTGGTTTAGAATTGAGTGGGTAAATATGTGATATGGTTAGGCTTTGTGTCCCCATCCAGTCCTTGAGTTGTAATCCCCAGGTGTTGAGGGCAAGACCTAGTGGGAGGTGATTAGATCATTGGGGTGGTTTTCCCCATGCTGTTCTCATGATAGTGAGTGAGTTCTCATGAAATCTGATGGTTTTATAAGGGACTCTTCCCCCTTCACTTTATACACACGCGTGCACTCTTCTCTCGCCTGCCACCATGTGAAGAAGGTGCTTGCTTCCTCTTCCACCATGATTGTGAGTTTCCTGAGGCCCTCAGCCCTGTGGAACTGTGAGTCAATTAAATCTCTTCCCTTTATAAATTACCCAGTCGCAGGTATTTCTTCATAGCTGTGTGAGAATGGGCCAATACAATACGCATCTAAAAGTAGGCCTGTTAGCCTTCCTCAGCAATTTCAGTTTCTTAGAGATGGTAACTATTTGAGTGCACTTAGTTGTTGATGTTTATGTGCCATAGTACATGAAATAAGTGTAGGAAATAAACATATAAAATGACTTCACTGCTTTTTGCTACCATGCTTTCACTTTTACAAAAAAAAAGTCTGCAGTGGGAAAGAAAATAACATTAAAAATTAGAGAAGGGAAGAAGGAAGCAGCAGAGGTAAAGACTAAATAGAACATTTAGTTTGAAGCACAAGCTCAGAGATAAATGAAAAGCGATTTGAGAAAGTAGTGCTTAGTAGAAGATGGACAGAAGGGCTAAGGACAACCATAATGATTACATGATATGAGTGAGTTGGCATATTTGTCCCCAGGACTGGTCAGTTTTTACTAACCAGTGAGTCTTAGCCATTTCATCTGTGTCACTTTTTGGGGCCAGACCCTGGCCTGAATGAAGTTAAGAAATTGTGGAACTTATTTCCCAATCATCTGCTTCCCAACTCATGACATGACTTTTAGCAAATCTTTCAATTTGTTTGCAGTTTCCCTAAATTTACATATATAATGGAAACGAGTCTCTTCTATCCCTATAGTCTGCTCAGGGAAGTATCTCTCCTTAGTTCTCAGTGCTGCCCATCCTCCCCAGAGCTCTAGCCACAGTGGAACATATTGCTCTGTCAGAAAGCAGTGTTCTTTGGCTCCAAGTGCTGCTGGACCCAGAGAGAACCAGAATTTGGGGTAACAGAAACTTCGATTCTTCAGTGGTGGGGAGACTAGTCAAAGGAAGGACATGAGTAGAGGCATCTTTATCTTTTGAGGAATGCTGTTTTTCCCCCACCCCAATATAATGCTTTTTATCCTTAAAACTGTACCTCTGAGGATTAAAACATGTTTGGTGGCATTAACATGAAATACTTTTCACTGATGTAATTTTTCTGAGTCATAGGTAGGGAACAACTCTGTGACTATTAACATCTGGCTTGTTGTGGGCCTCTTCTAAGAGAGTTTGTACAAATCAGGCAATAGAAACTTCTAGCCAGAACAGAATTTAGAGATCTCATTTTATGGACCAGAAAGTTGAGGCTTAAGGTCACCAGTTAGTTGAAGGCCAAGTTTTAACCATGCCCTGCTCCAGACGCATCTAAGCCAAATAATGACATTTCTTTAAAAGTTAATTTTCTTTCAGTTTGTTCTTTACTTTTGAGCTAGTATATACTTTTTTATAATGTTCAAAAGTTTAAAATGTCCAGGCATTTGGACAGCGCATTTTCCCTTACTGATGTTGGTGGATATGCCTATCAACTAATAGCAATGGGTGAGCCTCTGAAGGGGATTGCTGCAATCCCCTCTATGACAGTGTGATGAAAAGTGTTTGTTACAACTGTAGGCATGCTATGTTAGCTTATGTTAGCTATTTGAACTAAGTCTGTAGAGCCTCGAATTCCAGGATGGTAGCAGCAGACCTCACATCAATTATTTTCCCCTTTGAGTGGGGATATGTTCTCTGACTCTTGGCACATAGTAGTCTTCAGGATTGTAATCACAAAATCCTTTCCCCCTATCCTAGAGAAACACTTTTGGGAGCTCCTTTTATCATCAGTGGGAGGGGGTGTGTTGAAAGTCTTGTCTGTACGTGTTTTCTGTGCTAATCTGAGAGCTGGACCCAACCCCGGGACTTGGGTCACTTATGCACAGAGATCTCATTGTGAGGGGGGAGGAAAATGGCAGCTCCTCAGCTGCACTTTGAAATTTTGCATTAAAAAAAAAAACAGCAAGTATTCACAAGCCTCTTATTTAGTGAATGAATCCCTTTGTATTTACATCCTTCACAATTCAGGGAACAAATAGGGTTTAGTTGCTAGAAAGTGAAAACTTTAAATTCATCAGCATGGGGGAAATAGTAGGAAATTTAAATGAACAGTGGAAATTGCTCCATCTTAATTCCTTGGTACCTGTTCCTAAGGGCATGGCAAGCAATCCTTTATTTTTCAGTGTCTCCACCTCCAGTTTAGGGCATTATCCAAAAAGGAGTAGCAAAATGCTGAGCAGCATAAATCTGTATTCGGCTGGTGTTGTGCTCACCTGAAATTCTTAAACAAAAGAGCAGAACAATTACTGAGGTTTGCTAATTGACAATTGCCAATAAATGGCCTACTTTCTGCCACGTGCCTTCATCTTGCCCCTGCTCCACCCCTTTTATCTAACACTGGTGTTTACTTCTCAAGAATGAGCAGACCAGTGAGGAAGCATTTTAAAGATCCAAGTCCATCAGAATAGATCTGAAAGAAAATTTTGAATTGACATTATTTCAAAATGGAAATGGGATAAATTCATTCTTGGGTTCTCCCACTCATAAGGCTAGTTTCAAGAAACTCTTCAATATTAATTAGTAGGCTGTGGACCCAGTTCTATGCAATTATGATGAGCCAGTTTTGGGAGCATCAAAGAGCTAACTTATCATATTTTTGAATTACCCATCTAGAAGCCTGAATATTTTTATATTTCCATATTTCTTGAGTAGCACTTAATTTAATCTTAGCCCCATTGATTTCAATAAACCATTGTTGCGTCTCATAAGCAGCACAGCTTCTTCCTCTAACTCATCTCCCCGTGAAATTGGTTTAATGAAGCAGAAAGGTATGAAGCATTAGCAACAGTGGAATCCATGTGGTAGCACTTCATTTTTCAGAGGCACTCACATTTCCACCCTAATTTATAAAATCAGCACACAAATGATTTTTATCACGGCCATTACATCAGTATAAATTACTGCCTTTTCTATAACACGGCAGTTAGTCAAACTGTTGAAATGATATCTATTAGTCAAAGAACGGGGGTGAGGGAGAGGTTGGAAAGAGTTAGTGAAAATGAGGTCTGATGGTTGTCTTACAGAACTACTAACATTAATTTACCATAATGAACACCGATGGGGTATTTTGCAAATGTACAGATGAAAATTAAATTCACAAAGTGAAGCAAATAGGTCAATTTGTTCAGGACAAAGAAGGGGACCTTCAATAAACAAACGGTGCTATATGGAGACAGGCAGCAATGCAATTAGTCAGGCACTCCTCCTATCCGGTGGGCAGACCGCAGCCGCCCTGGGCAGGAGCCATTGTTGTTCTCTCCCTCGTGGGTGTCTTCATTTATCTCATTGTAGGAACTGTCATCCTGGTTTTGTACCCCTCAGCTTCATGGTGTCAAATACATCCTGCCAGAGCCTCCTTGGAGAGTGCTACCCACTGGCATCCCTTCTTTTCACTATTGCCACCTAGGTTGCTTGCCAGAACCTAGTTGCTCCTCCTTTTCAAGTTAGGCAAACCTCAGCCATCTGACCTCACTAATATGGGCCATGTGATTATTTGAGTGGGATTGAGTTGACGAGCTCCTTTGCTCACTGTGAACAAGAGTTTACTAAGCAATTGATTAGCATGACAGTTTCTTTTGGAGAGAGGGTATGCATGGATGGATACAGGAAGAGTTTAACCTGCAGAGAATAGATTGTCCACATGCTTCAGAAGTGACATTTAACCATAAACAATGTGCGGACAAATTGGAAGTCATTCTTGTCTATTGAGTGACATGGTCAGGCAATCCAATAGAGGATGGTATTTTCAAAGAGGAAGATCTTCAGCAGTTGTGATATAGATTTCAATGAAGTTTGGTATTCTGGTCAACATCACAGATATTTGTTTGTATGAAATGAGGTCAGTAGTTCACAGACCTACTAATCTTAATCTTTGACAAACCAAAATGAGTGATATCTGGTATCAAGAGTCCTATAATAGAATCTAAAAACTTTTTGCTTTGGTTTTAAGTTAATCATCATTTGAGTTTATATGTTTTCATTGCCTGTTCTCATCTAATTAGGAAGATGAAGGGTCTGTTCTTTAAATGATGACTTTAGAGATGTAATTCTTTCCTTAATTCCTTAAGTACTCTTTCTTAGTCCTAACCATGGGGAAAATATTACATTCTGCCAGTGATTTTAGACCAGGGCTAGAAAACTTTTTCTGTTAAAAAGGGCCAGTAATAAATATTTTTGGCTCTGTAGGCCATAGAGTGTCTGACTTAACCCACCTATTATTACACAAAAGCAGCCACAGACAATGCATAAAAATCATGTGGCTCTGTTCCAATAAAACTATATTTACAAAAATTGGTGGTAGCCCCGATTTGGCCTATAGGCCATAGTTTGCTGACCCTGGTTTTGGAGCATAAGAAACTTTTATGGTATTAGGAAAATAAACACAAACCAAGGATAAAACCGCAAAGCATGGTCATGAAGCTTCATCAAGCTACACTTGCAGGGAGGTTCCCTTTGCTTAGTTACCCCTCCCCTTTCTTAGGAAGCACAGTTTCCAATTCACAGCTAAACTTCAGTTATGTAAAACCTTTGGAGCTGCATGTATGCACCTAGCTTTCTTCTTCTAGTCTTCATACTTTTTTATACTATCATCTTTTTTTAATCTTGAGTTTTTAATTGTAACTTTTTAATTTTCTTTGTAGATATGGGAGTCTCACTATGTTGCCCAAGCTGATCTTGAACTCCTGGGCTTAAGTGATCCTCCTGCCTCAGCCTTCCAAAGTGCTGGGATTACAGGTGTGAACCACTGAGACTGGCTGAGCTTTTAATTTTTGATTTATGGTCTTCTACAGTATTGTCTTTTGCTCTTGGACTTTATGGAAGGTGTGCCCTTTCTGATTGGTTCTTCAGGCCTGACTCTTGAGTTCAAATAAAACCCATCTCTTGGCAGTTCTTTTTCCCATACCTCAGATTTCCCTTGCCCCCAAATAAGGTATTCGTTCAGCTCAATTATTTCCTAGGATTCAACCCTGTTCAACCCCTCTGATGTTCTTTCTTCCATCTCTTGCTTTTTTTAACTTAGCATCCTTCTCAGCCCTGAAGAGTTATATACAGGTGAGTCTAGTATCGCAAAATGTGCTATACAGGGCTCCATGCTCCAAAGAGCCCTAGCGAGTGATACATGAGTGACACATGTACATGCATGTTCTCTGTCTCTTGCTTTCTTTCCACAATGCACATGTATATATACACACACATACACATTTTTAAAAATATTTACTATCTGCTAAGCATTCTGGTAAGCATTTTACATACATTAGCTCACTTAGTTACTATAAACATTCTGTTAAGGCATGTTTTATATTATTAATATTATTTTTTATCAACATCATCATTATTTTCATCATCTCTGTTTTACAGATGAGAAAATGGAGACCCAGAGCAATTTAACCTTCCCAAGGTCACACAGTGAGAAAGTAGCACAGCCCAGATTTACATTCAGGTTGACCTGAACCAGAGCTTCTGCTCTCATTATCATGACAACAGAATGAGAGTGGTCAGTGCTCTGCTGCTATAGTTTCCCCAGAGATGCTCATAAGAGAAATGCAAATCAAAACCATAATGAGATACTAGTTTATATACACTGGGATTATTATAATTTTAAAAAGCAGATAAGTGTTGGCTAGGATGTGGAGAAATTGGAACCCTTATATATTGCTGATGGAAATGTAAAATATTACAAACACTGTGGGAAACCTTACCTCAGAAGATTAAACATACCATATAATCCAGCAATTCCATTTCTAGATATATACCCAAAAGAAATGAAGGCATATGCTTATATAAAAATTTGTATCCAAATATTTACAGCAGAATTATTCATAATAGCTAGAGAGAATAAATAGTCCAAATGTCCATTAACTAATGAGTGGATAAATAACATATATTATATCCACATAATGGAATATTGTTTGGCAGTTAATGAATCTTGAAAATATTATGCTAAGTAAAAGAGGCTAGTCATAGGCCAAGCTTGGTGGCTTACAGCTGTAATCTCAGTACTTTGGGAGGCTGAGGCAGGAGGATCTGAGTAACAGGGACTTGACTGCTAGATGTTTGAGCCCATTTCCTGTCTTCCTGTGTTATCTCTATGTTGCTGTCACTCTATCTTCTGATGCTATTAATAAGTCTACAGGCCTTAGAGAAGCCTCTCCTAATTCTTGATCCAGGCCTCTAGTGTCATGTAGACAGCATGGACTACAGTCATACAAACCTGGTTCAATATTTGGCTCTGACCCTTACTAGCTATGTAACACTAGAAAGGTTACTTAACCTCTCTGAGACTCAGTTTCTTCATTTTTAAAAGAAGGGACAATAATAGAAACTACCTCACATGGTTGTTATGAGGAAAGAAATAAATGATGAGCATAAAGCCCTTGTCCAGTGTCTGGCACAAAGTATTTGCTATATACATCTTGGCTATCTTAGATGCTGTTGGTATTCCATTTCCCCACGGGCTTCAATCACCACTGCTTCCCATCTACCCCACACAATTTTCTTCAATCCCATGCCATCAACTATGATGAATTTATCAACTATTTTGGCTTCTGAGGGACATCCTGAACATTTTACTCTGGGTGACCCATATAGCCATCCACTTCAGCTATCATTCACTCAATATTATCATATATTAAATAACATTTTTATTCAGATAGAAGCAAACATAATAGGCCGGGCGCAGTGGCTCAAGCCTGTAATCCCAGCACTTTGGGAGGCCGAGGCGGGCAGATCACGAGGTCAGGAGAGCAAGACCATCCTGGCTAACATGGTGAAACTCCGTCTCTACTAAAAATACAAAAAAATTAGCCCGGCGTGGTGGCGGGCGCCTGTAGTCCCAGCTACTCAGGAGGCTGAGGCAAGAGAATGGCATGAACCCGGGAGGCAGAGCTTGCAGTGAGCCGAGATCGCGCCACTGCACTCCAGCCTGGGCGACAGAGCGAGACTCCGTATCAAAAAAAAAAAAAAAAAAAAAAAAAGAAGCAAACATAATAAAATTTATCCATTTAAAGTCTACAATTTTAATGTTTTTAGTATATTTACAAACTTGTTGTATTAGTCTGCTCAGGCTACCATAATAAAATACCATAGACCAGGTGGCTTAAACCATAGAAACTAATCTCACAGTTTTGGAGGCTAAGTCTAAGATCAAGGTGCCAGATCATTTGGCTCCCGGTCAGGGCTCTGTTCCTGGCTTGTAGACAGCTGCCTTCTTGTGTCCTCACACTGGATCTGCTGGTACCTTGATCTTGGACTTTCCAGATTCCAGAACTGTGAGAGACAAATGTTTATTGTTTAAGCCACCCAGTCTATGGTGACTAATCTTACAGCAGCCTGAATTGACTATGACACTAGTCATTAGGAAAATGCAAATTAAAACCACAGTGCAACATTATTGCATACCTGTCAGAAAGACTAAAATGAAAAATAATGACAATACCAAATGCTAATGAGGATGAAGAGAACCTATCTGTCTCATACATTGATGGTAGGAATCTGAAATGGTATAGATTCTCTTTAAAGTTGTTTTGCCAAGCCCATCACGACTGGCTTTGCTCCCCATACCTGCCCGAGATGGAGCACATAGACCAGGGTCCTGTGGATTGCCATACCTATTCCACCACCTTGGGCACCTCAGCACTATTCCTGGGGGCCTGAATTTGGACCTAAATTCCTGGACACCACAACTTCATTTGGCGCTTACCTACAAGCACCACCTATGGGCCTGGAGACTGGCCTGCCCAGACAATCACAACCATCTCCAAGATCAATGCACACTCCTTGGGATTCAGAGAATCATTCCACCACTACTATTGCCATCGCCCATGCCACATTGGCTGCCTATGGTCCCAATAACCCACCCACCCACCAGACACAGTGTTTTCACTACTGGCATCCAAGCAAATCACCTGGAGGCTCAAGAATTGTCATGCCTATAACTGCCAACACAGGTGCCAGGGTATACCACCCTGGGGCATATAAATAAATATAAAAATGCCCAGCTCACTGCTTCCACCACTGAGTCCTGGAGACTGGTCCATCTGGCATCCCAGTGCCATCACAACCTCACCATAGCCTACACTAATAACTTTACCCTAACCTACCAAGTAAATCACAGATGCCATTAATGCTGTTTACAGGCAAAGAAATCGTACAGAGACCACACAACTACATGAACTGAGAATCAAAGACAAGGTACCCTACCCAACCAACACCATAGATATAACTTCAGGAAAAACTTATTCCCTATGAAGATAAATTCAAAATAGGAAGAAGCAATTGTTATACCAGATGTGCAGATGTCAAGGTAAGGACACAAGAAGCATGAAAAAGCAAGGAAATATGCCACCTCCAAAAGAACACAATAATTCTCCAGCAATAGATCATACTCAAAAACAAATTGTTGAAATCCCAGATAAATAATTCAAAATGTTAATTTTAAAGAAGTTCAATGAAATACAAAAGAATAATGAAAAAACAATACAAAGAAATCAGAGAAACAATTAAGGATATGAATGAGAAATTTACCAAAGCGGCAGATATTTTTTAAAAGAACCAAATAGAAATTCTGAAACTGAAGAATTCATTGAAGAAAATACAAAGTACATTTTAAAGCTTCAAAAAAGACTAGAACAGGCAGAAGACATTTCTGCAGGTGAAGAAAGGTCTTTTGAAATAACGTAGTTACATAAACTTTTTAAAAAAAGAATAAAAAATAATGAACAAAGCCTCCCTAACATTTGGGACAATATAAGGGGACTGAGTATTCAAATTATCCGTATTCTCAAGGGTGAAGAGACAAAGAAAGGATTAGGAAACCTATTTAATGAAATATTAGACTAAAACTTCCCATGGGTAGCAAGAGATTTAGACATTCAGATACAAAAGGCTCAGCAATCCCTAAGCAGATACACTGCAAAAAGTTCTCTATGGCACATTATATTTGGAATGCCTAAAATCAAAGAAAAAAACTGCAAGAGGAAAGCATCTAGTCTCTGTAAGGGAAATCCCATCAAATGTTACAGGGAAGATGCGAATGGGATGCTATCTTCAAAGTGAGGAAAGAAAAAACTGTCACCTTGAATACTATATTGAGAAAAATTATCCTTTATAAATAAAGGCAAAATAAAATCTTTCCCAGACAAGCAAATACTGAGGGAATTTGTTACCTCTAGACTAGTCCTACAAGAAATACTCCAAGGAGTCCTAAACCTGGATGTGAAAGGATGACATTTACCATCATTAAAACACAAGAAAGTAAAAAACTCACTGGTAAAGAAATCACACAAAGGAGAAAGAGGGAGTCAAAAGGTATAGAAAATATACCCTATAGAAATCCAACAATGATTATTAATAGGAGAACAAGAAGAAAAAACAGAGAATATGTAAAACA
Organism: Homo sapiens; assembly: GCF_000001405.40. NCBI lineage: Eukaryota > Metazoa > Chordata > Mammalia > Primates > Hominidae > Homo > Homo sapiens. Next base: position 140,305,769 of record NC_000023.11, read on the forward strand.
AACAGAAAACAATTAACATTATGATGGAATCAAAACCTCACATTGCCAATAATAACCTTGAATGTAAATGGATTAAGTTCTCCAAATAAAAGACATAGAATGGCTGAATGGATTAAAAATATGATACAACTATATGCTGCTTACAAGAAACCTACAAGTAAAGACACATATTAACTAAAAGTAAAGGTTGGAGAAAGATATTCCATGCAAGTAAAAACCAAAAGCAAGCAGGAGTAGCTATACTTATATCAGATAAAAGAGACTTCATGTCAAGAACAATTTAAAAAAAGACAAAGAACATCATTATATAAAGGGATCAATTTGGCAAGATAATATAATTCTAAATATTTATGCACCCAACACTGGAGCACCCCAGTTCATAAAGCAAATATTACTAGATCTAAATAGAGAAATAACCTACAATACAATAATAGTGGGGGATTTCAACACACCACTCTCAGCATTAGACAGATTATCTAGACAGAAAATCAACAAAGAAACACTGGATTTAAAATGAGCTTTAGATGAAATGAAACTAACAGACATTTACAGAATATTCTATCCAACAACTGCAGAATATATATTCTCTTCATCAGCATATGAAGCATTCTCTAGGGTAGACCATAAGTATTCCACAAAATAAGTCTCTACAAATTGTAAAAGTCAAAAACTTTTCAAGTATCTTCTCAGACTACAGTGGAATAAAACTAGAAATCAATACCAAGAAGAATTTTTTAAACTATACAAATACATAGAAATTAAACAACATGCTCCTGAATGACCTTTTGGTCAATGAATAAATTAAGATGGAAATTAAGAAAAAGTTTCTTGAAGCCAATGATAATTGAAACAACATACAAAAAAACTATAGGATACAGCAAAAGCAGTGCTAAGAGGAAAGTTTATAGCAATAAATGCCTACATCAAAAAAGTAGAAATATTACAAATTAATAACATAATGATTTGCATCAAGGAACTAGAAAAGCAGTAACAAACCAAACACCAAAATAGCAAGAAAAAACTCCCCATATCAGAGTAGAACTAAATGAAATAGAGACTAAAAAAGTGTATCTCAGAAATTTGTAAAAATAAAAAATGTAATTTTGCAACTTCTTGCAAAACGAAACCATATGATCCACAGCCTCACTCTTGAGGATTTATCCCAGAGAAATGAAAACTTACATTAACAAAAATGCCTCTACACAAAAGTTTATTGCAGCTGTATTTATAGTAGCAAAAATTGGGGAAATACCCAGATATCCTTCAATGGGTGAATAAACAGTCTTTAGTATATTCATACCATGAAATACTACTCAGCAATAAAAAACAATAAACTGTCAATATATGAAACAACTTGCATGATTCTCCAGGGACTTACAATTTTGTACTTAAAAGTAAAAAAAAAAAACCTTTTCCAAAAGGTTACATGCAAAATGATTCTATTTGTATAACATGTATGATATGATAAAGTTTTAAAAATGGACAGATTAGTGGTTGCATCAGTAGGAAAAGATAAACCAACAGAAACTTTTCCTGAGGAAGCCAAACATTAAACTTTCTAGACAAAATCTTTAAATCAACTGTCTTAAAAATACTTGAAGATCCAATGGAAGCCATGGAAAAAGAACTAAAGGAAACCAGAACAGTGTATCACCAAATAGAGAATTATAGTAAAAAGATAATTATTTAAAAATGTAATAGAAAATTTTGAGCTGAAAAATATAATAACTGAAATGAAAACTGTAGTAGAGAGGTTACACAGTAGATTTGGTTAGGGTGAAAAAATAATTATCAAACTTGAAAATAGCTCAGTAGAGATTATTCAGTCCAAGAAACGGAAAAAAAAATTAAAGAAAAATGAACAGGCTAGGAGACCTGTGGAATACCTTCAAGCAAATGAATGTGCTGTTAATGCATATCTCAGAGGGAGAAGAGAGAGAGTAAGGAGGCAGAAAAAGTATTTGAAGGATTAGTGGCTGAAAAGTACCCACGTTTGATGAAAGATTTGCATCTATACCTCCAAAAAACTAAATGAACCGCTAGTATAATCTCAAAGAGGTCCTCACTGAGAAACGTTATTGTCAAATTGTTGAAGTCAGGGCAAGAGAAAATCTTAAAATCGTCAAGAGAAAAGCAACTCATTACATATAAGAGAAACAAAAAGATTAACGGCCACTTTCATCTCAGAAACCATGCAGGTCTGAAAGCACTGTGATTACATATTCAAAGTGCTAAAAGAAAGAACTATAAACTAAAATTTTTATATCTGGCCAAATTATCCTTCACAAATAAAGGAGAAATTAAGGCATTTCCAGATAAAAGCTGAAGAATTCTGTCCCTAGTAGACCTGCCCTACAAAAAATGCAAAAAGGGAGTCTTCTAAGGCTGAAATGAGAGGACATTAGACAATAAAGCCAAACAAAGAAATAAAGAACATTAAAGATAGCTACATAAATAAATGGGAAAGAGAAAAGTATTGCGCATTTTGTTTTAAATTCTCTTTTTTCCCTATATGATTTTAAAGGCAAATATATAAAACAATAATTATAAATCTTTGTTAAGGGAGACACAAAGTATGAAAATGTAATTTGTGACAATAACAACATGTAGGGTAGACGGAGCTATAAAGTAGCAGAATTTTACATAGTGTTGAAAGGAGGGAAAAACATAATTGAAGAGAGCAAGACAGTTGTACAATAATAGTTGGAAACTTCAATATCCCATTTTAAGTCCTGGATAGGACTAGAAGACTGAAGATGAATAAGAAAACAGGGGAATTGAACAAAACTATGAACTAATTAGGCCATATATGTATATGTATATGTATATATATATACATGAACTAATTAGGCCATATATATATATATATGTTCACTCAACAATGGGAAAATATATGTTCTTCTGAAGTATACGTGAAACATTCTCCAGGACAGACTGCATGTTAGGCCACAGAAGAAGTTTCACTAAATTAAAAATGTTTTAAATCATACAAAGAATCTTCTCTAACCACAATGGAAGAAAACAATAACAGAAGGAAAATACAAAAAGTAAAATACATGTGAAAACTGAAAAACACAGTCATAAAATTGGATTAAAGAAGAAATTATGAGTAAAATTGAAAAATACATTGAGATTAATGAAAACAAATCACAGCAATCGACATGTATGAGATACAACAAAATTAGTACTTGGAGGGACATTTATGGCTGAAAATGCTTGGATTTAATAAGGAGAATGATCCCAAGTTAATAACCTAACATTATATATTAAGAAACTAGAAAAAGAAGAGCAAGCTAAACCAAAAGGTACCAGAAGGAGGGAAATAATAAAGATTAGAGTGGAGAAAATAAAAATAGAGAATAGAGAAATAATAGGGATGATTATATTATTATTCTTTCATTCTGTTAATATATTGTATCATGTTGATTGATTAATACAGATTGAAACATCCTTGTATCATTGGGATAAATTCTAGTTGATCATGGTGTATGATCCTATAAATGTGCTGTTGAATTTTGTTTTTTAGTATTTTATTAAAGATTTTTGCATTCATGTTTATCAGGGATATTGTCTTGTAGTTTCATTTCTTGTAGTGTTATTGCCTAGTTTTCATATCAGGGTAATGCTGGCCTCATAAAATGAGTATGAAAGTGTTCCTTCTATTTGTTGAAAGAGTTCAAGAAGGATTGGTATTCATTCCTCTTTGCTTTTTTCTGGGTAGACTGACTAGGAAAAAAAGAAGGCTCAAATTGACAAAATCATAAATAAAAGTGGCATTATTACTATCTATACATTATAGAAACAAAAAGGATTAAGTTTCCTATATGATTTTAAAGATAAGTACATAAAACAATAATTATAAATATTTATACTTATAGATTCTAACTATTTATAGATAATACTGGAAACAGAAAACGGAACAGGAGGGTACACGTTCTAACTCATTCTATGAGGCCTGCATTACCATATAGATGCAAATATTCTCAACAAAATACTAACAAACTGAATACAGCAGCACCTTAAGAAAATATACATCACAACCAAGTAGGATCTTTCCTAAGAATCCAAGTGTGGTTCAATATGAAAGCCAATCAAAGGAATACATCACATTAACAGTACAAAAAAATACATAATTATCAGTTAACCCAGAAAAGGCATTTCACAAAAACCAATACCTTATCATAATAAAAACCCTCAACAAACCATAGAAATAGAGGCAACTTCCTTAACATGATAAGGCCATATGTGAAAAACCCACAGCTAAGGTAATACTCGATATCGTAAGACTAAAAGCTTTTCCTCTAAGATCAGGAATAAAACCAGGATGTCCACTGTCACCACTTCTGTTCAACATGGTATTGGAAGTTCTATCCAGGACAATTAGTCAAAAATGTAGTCCAAACTGGAAATTAAGAAATGAAACTCAATTTGCAGATGATATAATCTGATGCATTAAAATCCTAAGAATCCACAAAAAAACCATTAGAGCTAATAAATGAATTCAGCAAAATTGTAAAATACAAGATCAATATGTACAAATCTCTTCTATTTCTGTACACTAGGAATTAACAGTTTGAAAATAAAATTATGAAAACAATTCCATGTACAATAGAAAATAAAAGAGTAAAAAATTCAGAAAGTAGAATTTCAGGATACAAAATTAATGTACAAAAATCAGTAGCATTTCCATACACCAATAATGTTGAAGCTGAGAGCCAAATCAAGAATGCAATCCCATTTACAATAGCCACAGAAAAAAATACTTAAGAATACATCTAACAAAGGAGGTGAAAGATCTTTACAAGGAGAACTATAAAACACTGCTGAAAGAAATTATAGATGACACAAATGAAAAAACATTCCTTGCTCATAGATTGGAAGAATCAATGTCATTCAAATGACAATACTGCCCAAAGCAACCTACAGATTCAACGTTATTCCTATGAAACTACCGACATCATTCTTCACAAAATTAGAAAAAACAAATCTAAAATTTATGTGGAACCAAAAAAGAGCCTGAGTAGCCAAAGCAATCCTAAGCAATAAGATCAAAGCCAGAGTCACCACATTACCCAACATTAAACTGTACTATAAGGCTACAGTAACCAAAACAGCATGTACTGATACAAAAACAAACACATAGATAAATTAATTAGAATAGAGAACCAGAAATAAATCTGTACATCTACAGTGAACTCACTTTTGGCAAAGGTTCCAAAAACATACACTGGGGAAAGAACAGTCTTTTCAATGAATGGTGTTGGGATAGCTAGTTACCCTGATGCAGAAGAATGAAACTGAACCCATACCTGTCACTGTATACAAACATTAACTCACGATATATTAAAGATTTTAAATTTAAGACATCAGACTATAAGAATCCTAGAAGAAAACCTAGGAAACATCATTCTGGACATAGGCCTTGGAAAAGAATGTATGACCAAGTCCTGAAAAGCAATTGCGACAACAAAAAAAATGGACAAGTGGGACCTAACTAAACCAAAGAACTTCTACACAACAAAAGAAACTATCAACAGAGTATACAGAAATGCACAAACTGGGAGAAAATATTTGCAAACAATGTATCCAACAAAAGTCTAATATCCAGGATTGATAATGAAATTAACAATTCAAGCATAATAATAATAATAATAATAACTATATTAAAAAATGGGCAAAAGGCATGAACAGAAACTCATCCAAAGGAGATGTACAGGTGGCCAACAAACATGAAAAAATAATCAACATTGCTGATCATCAGAGAAATACAAATCAGAACTATAATGAAATATTGTCTTATCCCAATCAGAATGGCTATTATTAAAAAGTCAAAAACCGACAGATACCGGTGAGGCTGTAGAGCAAAGGGAATACTTATACACTTTCAGGGGAATGTAAATTAGTTCAGCCATTGTGGAAAACAGTTTGGAGACTTCTCAAAGAACTTAAAACAGAACTACCATTCGACCCAGCAGTCCCATTGCTGGGTATATATCCAAAACAAAATAAATTGTTCTACCAAAAAGACACATTTACTCATATGTTCATGAGAGCACTATTCACAATAGAAAAGACATGGAATCAACCTAGGTGCCCATCAACAATGGACTGGATAAAGAAAATTAGGTATATATACAACATGGAATACTGCATAGCCATTAAAAAGAATGAAATCATGTTCTTTGCAGGAACATGGAGGCAACCGGAACAGAAAACTAAGTACTGCATATTCTCACAAGTGAGAGCTAAACATTGGTTATTTATGGAGTTAAAGGTGACAATAAGAGGCACTGGGGACTACTAGAAGGGGGAGGGAGGGAAAGGGGTAAGAGTTGAGAAACTAAGTATTGGGTACTATGCTCTTGGACTGGTAGACTTTAAAATAGCAAAGCTACCCAAGGAAATCAGATTCATTGCAATCTCTACAAAACTCCTTTTATAATCTTTTTTTTGCAGAAATGGAAAAGCAGATTCTAAAACTCATGCAGAAAGTCAAAGGACTTCAAGTAGCCAAGACAATATTGAAAAAGAATATTAATGTTGAATGATTCATATTTCCCAACTTGGAAACTTACTGCAAAGCTACAGAAATCAAAAGAGTATGCTACTGGCAAATGGATAGACACATAGATCAATGAAACAGCACTGAAAGTCCGGAAATAATCATGTACATATATATCTCCAGTTAATTTTCAACAAGGGTTTTAAGACCATTCAATTAGGAAAGAATGATCTTTTCAATAAATGGTACCTGGACAACTGGATATTCACAGGCAAGAGATTGAAGTTGGATCCCACTATGTACAAAAATTAACTCAAAATGGGTGAAAGACGTATAGGTAAGAACTAAAAATATAAAACTTTTAGAAGAAAATACAGAGGTAAATCTTCATGACCTTGGATTTGGCAATGGGTTCTTAGATATGTCACCAAAGCATAAGCAACAAAATTAAAAATTAGATAAGCTAGAATTCATCAAAATTCACAACTTTTGCAATTCAAAAGTTACTATCAAGATAGTCCAAAAACAACCTACAGAATGGAAGAAAATATTTGTGTATCCTATATCTATTAAGGGTTTAGTGAGCCATAATTGATAATGACCTCTTACAAATCAGCAATGAAAAGCAAGGACAGGGAAGCAGAGCAAGATGGCAGAATAGAAGGCTCCATGGATCATCCACCCTGCAAGGACACCAACTTAATACTTACATACACAGGAAAAAAACACCTTCATAAGAACCAAAAATTAGGGGAACCCTTATAGTACCTGATGTTAACTTTGTATCACTGAAAGAGGCACTAAAGAGATAGGAAAAACAGTCATGAATCACCAACAATACCCCCCACCCCAACAGTGGCAGCCTGGTATGGAGCACATCTCTGGGTACTGGGGGAAAGAGAGCACAGAAATCGTGAGGCATTGAACTCAGTGCTGTCTTGTTAGAGCAGAAAGGAAAATCTGACCAAACTCAGATGACCTCTACCCATGGAGGGAGCATTTAAACCAGCCCTAGCCAGAGGGGAATCTCCATTCCCAGTGCCCCAGTGGTAGGAACTTGAGTTTTCCACAAACCTTGCCACTGAGGGCCAAGGGGTTCTAGGTCTCTAAGTAAACTTGAAAGGCAGTCCAGACCACAAGGACTGCAACTCCTAGGTGAGTCCTGGTGCTAAACTGGGCCCAGAGACAGTGGACTGGGGGTGTGGGGCACACAACCTACTGAGACACCAGCCGGGGTGGCTATGAGAGTGCTATCATCGCCCTCCCCTAACCCCAGGCTGCATAGCTTGTGGCTCCAAAACAGACCCCTTCCTTCTGCATGATGAGAGGAGATGAAAGAGAGGGGAGGACTTTATCTTGCATTTTAGATACTAGCTCAGCCACAGCAGGGTAGGGCAGCAGTCAGAGTCATGAGGCCCCCATTCCAGGCCCTACCTCTGGGATGACATTTCTAGACACACTGTGGGCCACAAGGGAACCCACTGCCTTGAAGGGAAGAACCCAGTCCTGGCAGCATTTATCACCTGCTATTTGAAGGGCCACTGGTCCCTGAATAACCAACAGCAATACCCAGGTACTGTGTCGAGGGCCTTGGGTGAGCATCTGAGACTTGCTGGCTTTAGATACCACATGGCTACAGGGAGATAAAACATGTAGTGGGCTCTTGGGGTCCCTGATTCCAAGCCTTGACTCTTGCACAGCATTTCTGGACCTGCCGTGGGCCAGAAGGGAGCCCACTGTCCTGAAGTGTGAGTCCTAGGCCAGGCAGCATTTACCAGAAGCTGACTTAGGAGCCCTTTGGCCTTAAGGGAACATCAATGGTAGTCTGGCAGTACTCCATGTGGCCTGTGGTGGCTATGGGGTGAGGCTTCTCTGCCTTTGGAAAGGAGAAGGTAGAGTGGGAAGGACTGCGTCTTATGGTTTGAGTGCCAGCTCAGCTGCAGTACAGCAGAACACCAGGTAGACTTCTAAGGTTTTTGACTTTAGTCCAGGAGTCCCAGATAGCACCTCTGGACCCACCCAGGGCCTGGGGAAGCTCGCCACCCTGAAGGGAAAGACATAGAACTGGCTGGCTCTGCCATCTGCTGATTGCCTAGCCCCAGGGCCTTGAGTGAACATAAGCCATATCCTGGGAGTGGTTACAGCAGGCCTTGGGTAAGACCAAGTACTGTGCTGACTTCAGGTCTGACCCAGTGCAGTCCTAGAAGTGGTGGCCACGGTGGTGGCGTGTCCACTCCACCTCCAACTTTAAGTGGCTCAGAATAGAGAGAGAGACTCCATTTCTTTGAGACAAAGAAAGGTAAGAGGACAGGAGTCTCTGGCTATTAATCCAGAGAATTCTCCAAAATCTTGTCCAGGACCATAAAGATACAGCTTAGAGCACCACATCCAAGTCCTTTCAAATATCTAGAAAGCCTGCCCAAGAAGGACAGATACAAACAATCCCAGGCAGTGAAGACTACAATGAATGCCTAATTCTTCAATGCCCAGACACCAAAGAACATCTATAAGTACCATCCATGAAAACATGACCTCAAACAAATCAACTAAATAAGTCACCAGGGACCAATCCTGGAGAAACTGAGATATGTAACATTTCAGACAGAATTCAAAAGAGCTGTGTTGAGGAAACTCAAAGAAATTCAAAATAACACAGAGAAGGAATTCAGAATTCTATGAGATAAATCTAATAAAGAAATTCAAATAATTAGAAAAAATCAAGCTGAAATTTTGGAGCTGAAAAATGCAACTGGCATACTGAAAATGCATCAGACTGTTTCATTAGCAGAATTCATCAAGCAGAAGAAAGAATTAGTAAGCTTGAAGATGGGCTACTTGAAAATACACAGTGAAGAGGAAGGAAAAAAGAATAAAAACAATGAAGCATGCCTAGAGAACCTAGAAAATAATATCAAAAGGGCAAATCTAGGTGTTATTGGCCTTAATGAGGTAGAGAAAGTGATAGGGGTAGAAAACATATTCAAAGAAATAATAACAGAGAACTTCCTAAACCTAGAGAAACATATCAACATCCAGGTACAAGAAGGTTATAGAATATTAAGCAGCTTTAACCCAAAGAAGACTACTTCTAGGCATGTAATAAACTAACTCCCAAAGGTCAAGGATGAAGAAAGGATCCTAAAAGTAGAAAGAGAAAAGAAACAAGTAACATACAATGGAGTGCCAATACATCTGAAAGCAGACTTCTCAGTGGAAGCCTTACATGCCAGGAGAGAGTGGCATGACATATTTAAAGCGCTGAAGGAAAAAAAATTACCCTAGAATAGTATATCTGGTGAAAATGTCATTCAAAGATTAAGGAGAAATAAAGACTTTCCCAGACAAACAAAAGCTGAGGAATTTCATCCATACCAGACTTGTCCTACAAGAAATATTAAAAGGAGCACTTCAATCAGAAAGAAAAGGCTATTAATAAGCAATAATCACCTGAAGATAAAAAACTTACTGGTAATAGTATGTACACAGAAAAACACAGACTATTATAACACTGTAACTGTGGTGTGTAAACTACTCTTATCCTAAGTAGAAAGACTAAATCATGTGTATTAGTCCGATTTCCCGCTGCTGATAGGGACATACCCGAGACTGGGCAATTTACAAAAGAAAGAGGTTTATCAGACTTACAGTTCCACATGGCTGGGGAGGCCTCACAATCATGGTGGAAGGCAAGGAGAATCAAGTCACATCTTATGTGGTTGGCAGAAGGCAAAGAGAGAGCCTGTACAGGGAAACTCCCCCTTATGAAACCATCAGATCTCCTGAGACTTATTCACTATCACGAGAACACCATGGGAAAGACCTGCCCTCATGATTCAACCACTTCCCACCAGGTCCCTCCCACAACACATGGGAATTTAAGATGAGATTTGGGTGGGGACACAGCCAAACCATATCACCATGAATCAATCAAAAACAATAACTGCAACAACTATTCAAGACATAGACGGTACAATGAAATACTCTCCATGATGTGCTTATTTCACATTGCATGCCTGTATCAAAACATCTCATGTGTCCCATAAATATATATACCTACTATGTATCCACAAACATTAAAAATATTTAAAAAACAACAAAAAGCCAAACAACCCAATTAAAATGTGGGCAAACAATTCAAATAGAAACCAGCACTCCAAAGAATATATATAAATGGCAAACAAGCTGGTGGTGGGATTGCAAAATGATACAGCTGCTTTGAAAAACACTATAACATTTGTCCCAAAAAGTGAAACAGAATTACCATATGACCCAGGATGCCAAACCACATACCCAGGAGAATAGAAAGCAGGTATTTAAACAAAAACATGCACATGAATGTTCATGGCAGCACTATTCATATTAGCCTCAGGGTAGGAAAAACCCCAAATGTTTATCAAGTGATGAATAGATAAACAAAATGTGGAATATCCATAGAAAAATATTATTCAGTCATGAAAAAGAATGATGTACTGATACATATTACAGCATGAATGAACCTCATAAGCATTATGCTAAGTGAAAGAAAACAGAAAAGGTCATTGTATTATACAATTCTGTTTATATGAAGTATATATAATAGGCAAATCCATAGAGACAAAAAGCAGATTCGTGGTTTCCAGGGGCTAGGAGAAGGAGAGGGGGTGGGTAGCTACTGATTAATGTGTATAGGGTTTCCTTTTGGGCTGATGAAAATGTTTTTGAATTAGATAAAGGTGATGGTTGCACAAAATTGGTAATGTGCCAAACACCTTTGAACTGTACATTTAAAATACTTAATTTCATGTTATATGAATTTTACATCAATTTAATAAGTGATCTTTCTAGCTGCCACAAAAAGAATGGATTTGAAAATAGCATGAATGGAAATAAGACTAGTTAGAAGGTCATCACAGTGGTCCAGATGAGAGATAATGGTGGCCTGAATTAAGGTGCTGGCAGTAGGGTTGGAGAGAGGGAAATAAAACTGCTGTTTAGGAGCCATTATGTATAGGATTTGGCGGCCAATAAGATGAGTTGTGGGTCATAGGCATTGAGGATGTCTCCTGGGTTTTGAGACTGGGCATCTGAGTGAACAGCATCACCACTGGGATTAAAACCCATTTTACAGATGCAGAACTGGAGAGGCCATTGGCTTGTCCACTGTCACAAATCAGCCAGTAAGAGAAGTCTCCTGAGCCACCACTCTCCTGAGCTCTCCTGATTCTGGTTCAGAAGGCTTTGCATATAATATAGCAAATATGAGTAGTGATTTTTTAAAAAATTACATGAATATTTTCAAACAATTGTATGATTTGTATCTTATTTACATTTATTTTAATACCTGTGTTTGGAATTATAACGTTGTAGCCATGATCATATTCTGATGAAACCATGTCTCCCCTCCCTGAGACCTCTGCCCCCTAGTGTCTGCCTCTTCCCTTTATAATGCTTTTATATGGTACTGACAACCCTGAAAGACTCCTGTTATTGATCCCCCCAACACAACTGAGTGAACATTCCATAGCCCCTAGTTCTTTCTCTGAAGCAACCCAGTTTTAAGGGACTGAATTTCCGTAACCTTGAGCCTTCTGATACTGGAATAAGGATGATCCACTCAGAGCACCCTCAGATATAGGGATGAGTAGAAGAGGGAGTCAGGTGGAAGGAAGGAGACAAAGCAAGTGACCTATCATGGGGGATAGCTGCTGGAGTGGAAAAGCCAGGACCTTTTGTCTCATAATGTATGGAAGAGTGTGTGCGTGTATGTGATGATCATGATTAAATGGTACATGGTATCAGGGAGAGTTGTCAGCACTGATGCTGATTAAGAATGCTGGAAAACTAATAGTAAGGAAGGAAACTAGAAAAATTGGTCTGAATGTGGAAAAGTAATACTAATTACAATCATTTATGCGAACTGCTTACCATTTATTGCTAATTCCCATCCAACAAAATAACTATTAGGTGTATCATTAAATATGTGTTAGATTAACTTTTTCATCACTTTTATTTGTGATTAGAACAGTAAACTCTGCATGTATGCTCAGGCTTAATAGTTTGTTGCTCATGCAAGCATGGCTGTCAGCTCACAATTAGGAAAAAAAACTATTATGTTAGGGCTGGAGCATGGCAGGCTTTGAATTCCAGGCTAAGCAGTTTATAGTTAATTTAAGAGACAATGGGGAGCCTTTACAGAATAATCAATGGTGGGGGGAGTGAGGGGTGCGGTTTGCGCGTTACACAATCAGCACTGTATTTTAGGAATCACAGATTGGCTGGGCTGGGAGATTGCTTAAAGATTACTCACCCAGTGATGACTAGCCAGGGAGCATGGGCATCCACACTGCGGGTTCTGGATGGATTATGAAGATTTCAGAAAGCCTAAAGGAACCAATGTATTTCTCTATAATAAGGCTGTACAGATCAACCACAGTGTCAGTATTATTTGCTTTGGGCTAGAATTAATCAAATGGGACACTGATCAGAAGAATTGATTGGTGGTTATGAAAGTCATTTTTTTAAAAAATGGCAAAACAAGCTAATTGATCCTTAATAAATAAAAACATTCTTTTTTTTTTTTTTTTTTTGAGACAGATTCTCACTCTGTCGCCCAGGCTGGAGTGCAGTGGCGTGATTTCAGCTCACTGTAACCTCTGCCTCCTGGGTTCAAGCGATTCTCCTGCCTCAGCCTCCTGAGTAGCTGGGACTATAGGCACAGGCCACCACACCTGGCTAATTTTTGTATTTTTAGTAGAGATGGGGTTTCACCATGTTGGCCAGGCTGGTCTCGAACTCCTGACTTCAGGTGATTCCCCCACCTCAGCCTCCCAAACTGCTGGGATTACAGGCGTGAGCCACCACACCTGGCAATAAAAATTTTGACATTAGAAAAATTTTTATAGTCAAGGGCCCTACAGATTGAAAACAAAACAAAAGGGGTCTTGGGTGATGAAAAAGTTGGGAGCCTCAATTGTCATCCAGCCGATCCTTTCATTTATAGATGAAGGAGCAGAGGTTAGAGATGGATGGAACTTGCCTTACAGGAAGATGGAAAAATGGACTGGACAGTGCAAATGGAAGGTAGGTGAGACTAAAGACCAGCAAACCAACTCAGTAGCAAATTGAGATGCCTAGATTAGGGTGGTAGAAGTTAATTTGCAAAGAAAAAGGGCAGATGGGAGAGAGTGAAAAGGCAGTGCCAGATAGGTTCACTGGTTGGATATGAACAGAGAGGAAAAGAAAGAAGTTGAGAATGACTCCAGAATTTCCAGCGTAGTAGACTGAGCCAATGATGGCATTATTAGTGGAAATATAAAAAGCTGGAGGAATAATTGGTTTGGGGGTAGAGGGGAATCATGAATTTGGTTTCATACATATTGACCTTAAGTTGTAGTTTTGTGTATTCAAAAAGAAAATAGCAATAGAAATTAGAAATGCTTGGCTTTGTTTTTTAACCTACTTTATTGAGGTATGATTAATGTACAATAAACTGTACATATTTAATGTATACAACTCAAGGAGTTTGGAGACAGGTATACACCCATGAAAGTATCACCAAAATCTATATTGTGAACCTAGCCATTACCTTCAACTGTTTCCTTCCACCTTCCTTCTCTGTTATTATACTTAATCTATTTTTTTAGAACTGCTTGGCTTTAAATTCTGACTTACGTTGTGCAGGTTTTGGTAAAGAATTTTTCCTTTGACTTTCAGTTTCCACATCTGTAGATTTGGGATATTTGCCTTATGGAATTCATGAGAGGATTAAGTGGGAAGACTTATAAAAAGCACTTAGCACAATATCTAGCAAAGGGCAAGTACTCATTACTCTTCTCTGGAGAAAGAATGGAGATGGAAATGTTTAAGAGGCAGTTAGAAACAAGGGAAAGCTCAGGAGAGCTGTTAAATCCAAAGCTATATTTTTAGGATCTAACTGCAAAACATTGGTGGTACTTACCCAGAGTTTCAGAAAGTTTGAAGTTAGAGGTCTGATAATTTGAGAAGGAATCTAGCAAAGGAGTCTGAAGGAATGGATAGGATGAAATAGGGAGCACACTGTCCAAGAAGCCAAGGGAGGCAGGATAATTTGAAAGTGGAAGAGTATTTCGTGGGGTCAAATGAAATGAAGATATCTAGAAAACAAAGAGGGATATGAGGCCATTGGGAGTTTACTTTAAGAGACAGCAGAGAACTAGGAATGAGTTAGACAAGAGGCTAAGTAGTGAGGGTGGTGCAGCAAAGACAGTAAAGGAAAAGCAACTCTTTCAACATGAATGATGGAATAAGAGGGATACAGGTGACAGTAATTCAAAAAAAGTAGCAGCCATAAGGGAAGGTTATTTTCGGATACTCAAAATCAGAGCATGTTGTATGCTAGGGGAATAATACCAGTGGAGAAGAAGACACTGATAAGGCAGAATAAAGAGGATATATTTGTAAAGCAGGCTCTCTCTCTTTTATTTTATTTTATTATTATTATACTTTAAGTTTTAGGGTACATGTGCACAATGTGCAGGTTAGTTACGTATGTATACATGTGCCATGCTGGTGTGCTGCACCCACTAACTCATCATTTAGCATTAGGTATATCTCCTAAATCTATCCCTCCCCCCTCCCCCCACCCCACAACAGTCCCCAGAGTGTGACGTTCCCCTTCCTGTGTCCATGTGTTCTCATTATTCAATTCCCACCTATGAGTGAGAATATGCGGTGCTTGGTTTTTTGTTCTTGCGATAGTTTACTGAGAATGATGATTTCCAATTTCATCTATGTCCCTACAAAGGACATGAACTCATCATTTTTTATGGCTGCATAGTATTCCATGGTGTATATATGCCACATTTTCTTAATCCAGTCTATCATTATTGGACATTTCGGTTGGTTCCAAGTCTTTGCTATTGTGAATAGTGCCGCAATAAACATACGTGTGCATGTGTCTTTATAGCAGCATGATTTGTAGTCCTTTGGGTATATACCTATAAGCAGGCTCTCTTAAACTATGCAGAGGTAGTCCTAGGTTGTAGCCACATTAAAGGTGTCCCTAGTGGAGGATCTGACATCTAATCCAGGAGAAGTGATGTGAGGTCAAATCAGAAGCAAGCAATCCCACTGAAGCTGTTCTATGACAAAGTGGAATTTATACAAGGGAGGCAAGATTAATTCAATATTCAAAAATCAATCTATGTTATCCACCATATCAAGTTAAGAAAAAAAATCACATGATAATATAAATCAATGATTGTTCTCATTTTTTAAAACATCATATTAGAAGATTTAGCCAGCAGAATAAAGCAAGAAAATAAAATAAAAGGCATACAGACTGGAAAAAAGAAAATTAAACTTCTACTTTCAAATGATGTGGTTGTATGTATAGAAAATCTCAAGAAATCTAGAAAAGAATTCCCAGAACTAATAAATAACTTCAACAAGGTAACAGTATACGAGTGTACGAGATCAACATGCAAAAATCAATTACATTTCTAAATGCTAACAACTAACATGTGGAAATCAAAATCTAAAAACATAATTTACAATCATGCCAAAGAAAATCTGTATAAATGCTTAAGAAAACACATGCAGGATCTATATACTGAACATTACAAAGTGCTGATAAGAGATATCAAAAAAATCTAAAAATGTAAGAACATACTATATTTATGGATTGAAAGTGTCAGCATTATAAAGATGTTAATTTCCCCCAGATTCATCTAAAGGTTTAGTGAAATTTCTATCAAAATTCCAGCATAATTTCATTTTAGACATAGACCTACTTATTCTAAAATGTAAATGGAAAGTCACAGTCCATATAACAGCTATAACAATCTTGTGAAAAAAGATTAAAGTAAAAGAAACCATTCTATCTGATATTAAGGCTCACTATATAGATAGAGGAATCATGACAGTGTCATGATTGGCAGAACGGCAGGCATATGAATTAATGGAAGGAAATAGATAACCCAGAAATGGACCCACACAAATATATCCAGTTCAATAGAGGAAAGATAGCCTTTTCAATAAATGGTCCTGAAACAATGTGATATCCACAGACAAAAAGAAAAAAGAAACTTTGACTTGAACCTCACACATTGCACAAACATTAATTCAAAATGGATCATAGATTTACTTTTCATTTTTTCTTAGAGACAGGGTCTTGCAGCCTCAAACTTCTGGGCTCAAGAAATCCTCCTGCCTTAGCCTCCTTAATAGTTGGGACTACAGGCATGTGCCACCATGCCTGGCTACTTTTTTTTCTTTTTAACTTTTTGTGTAAATAGAGTCTCATTGTGTTGACCAGGCTGGTCTTAAACTTCTGGCCTCAAGCGATCCTCCCATCTTGGCCTCCCAAGATGTTGGTATTACAGACATGAGCCACCATGTCTAGCTTTAAGTACCTATTTTTATTTAATGTTTATAACAATGCTGGATCATAGATTTAAATGTAGAAGGTAAAACAAAGACAATTTTAGAAGAAAACATGGGAGAAAAATCTTTGGGAACAAGACTTAGTGAGGAATTTTTAGTTTTGAAACTAAAAGCACAATCTGTAAGAGGAAAAAGTGATAAATTGGTCTTCATCAAAATGTAAAGATTTTTGCTGTATGAAATATCCTGTTACGAAAATTAAAAAGACAAACTACGATCTTGGAGAAAATATCTGCAATCCGCATACTTGACAAAGGACTAGTATCTAGAATATATGAAGAACTCTCAATTCGGCTGGGTGTGGTGGCTCACAAGGTCAGACATTCAAGACCAGCCTGGCCAAGATGGTGAAATCCCGTCTCTACTAAAAATACAAAAATTAGCCGGGCGTGGTAGCAGGCACCTGTAATCCCAGCTACTTGGGAGTCTGAGGCAGATAATTGCTTGAACCCAGGAGGCAGAGGTTGCAGTGAGCAGAAATCATGCCACTGTACTCCAGCCTGGGTGACAGAGTGAGACTCTGTCTCAAAACCACCACCACTACCACCACCACCACAACAACTCTCAAATCTCAATCCTAAAAATACAAACAATTCAATCACATGATGACCAAGGACATTTCACCAAGAAGGATATGCAGATGGTGGTAAAATAGCAATGAAAACATCTCTAGCCATTAGGGAAATGCAAATTAAAACCACATGTAATGCAGTATTACTGCACATCTGTCAGAATTAGAAAAACAAAAAGTAGTGACACCACTAAACACTGAGGAGGATATGGAGAACCTAGCTCCCTTATTTATTGCTGGTGGGAATATTAAATGGTACAACATCTCTTTGAAACAGTTTGGCAGTTTCTTAGAGAAGAAACACCATGTGATCCACAGTCACACTCTTGAGGATTTATTCTAAAGAAATGAAAAATGTATGTCCACACAAAAACCTGTACACCAAAGTTTATAGAAGCTTTATTCATTATAGCCCTAAATTGGAAAAATAAAAACACAAATGTCCTTCACTGGGTAAATGCTTAAACAAACTGTGGTACATCCATACCATGGAATACTACTCAGCAATAAGAAGAAATGCACTATTGATGCATACCACATCTTGGACGAATCTCCAGAGACTTACACTAAGTGAATAAGGCCAATCCCAAGAGGAAAAGTGCATTTGTATGATGTTCTTGGAATGGCAAAATTTTAGAAATGAACAGATTAGTCATTCCAGTGCCTAGGAATGGGGAGATGGGCAGAGAAGGAGACAGATGTAGTTGTAAAAGGGTAACACAAGGGATATTTTTGGTAATAGAACTGTCCGTTATTTTGATCACGGTGGTGGATACATCAACCTGTACATGTGATAAAATTGTATACAACTAAATACCCTCATACCCACACAAATGAATACAAGTCAAACTGGAGAAATCTAAATAAAATCGGTAGATTGTATCAATGTCAATATCATAGTTGGGGCATCATACTACAGTTTTATAAGATGCTATCATTGGAAAAAACTGGGCAATAGATAAACTAGATGTTACTGTAACAAATGCATATTAATCTATAATTATTTTAAGAAAATTTTCAGTTTAGAAACAAGTGATTAACTGCCATAAGTGGTAGAAATAAAAATGGCATGAGTGAAAATAGGGATACTAGGCAAAAGTCTATCACAGTCCTCCAGATGATAGATGATGGCGGCCTTAATTAAGGTGCTGGCAGTAGACATGGAGAAAAGCAGATGAATTCAAGTTATTTAGAAACCAGTATGTATAGCACTTGTCAGCGAATGAGGTAAGGACTGGGTGACAAGCACTGAAGTCATCTCTAAGGCTTTGATGCTGGATACCTTAGAGAATAGCAATACAACTGGGATTAAAATTCATTTTATACAAGATCTACATGAGGAAAGCTATAAAACTTTGATGAAATAAAAAGATTCTAAATGAATGGAGAAATAGTCCATGTACATGGATAGAAAGATTCAATATTGTCAAGATGTCAGTCTTTTCCATCTTAATCTGTAAATTAAATGCAATCTCAATCAAGATTTCATCAAGTTATTTTATGGACATTTTGTTGGAGGACTAAAACTTCCTGATGTCAAGACTTACCATAAAGCTATAGTAATCAATACAACGAGTTATTGGTCAAAGAATAGACAAATAGATCAGTGGAACAGAATAGAGAGCCCAGAAATAGACCCACATGAATATAGTCAACTGATTTTTGATCAGGGAGCAAAAGCAATTCAATGGAGAAAAGATAGTCCTTTCAACAAGTGGCGCTAGAACAACTGGACACCCTCATGCAAAAGGGTGGGCCTGGTGGCTCACGCCTGTAATCCTAGCATTATGGGAGGCCGAGGCGAGTGGATTACTTGCGGCCAGGAGTTCGAGACAAGCCGGGTCAACATGACGAAACCCTACGTCTACTAAAAATACAAAAATTAGCTGGACGTGGTGGCATAAGCCTGTAATCCCAGCTACTCGGGAGGCTGAAGCATGAGAATGGCTTGAACCCAGGAGGCAGAGTTACAGTGAGCCAAGATTGTGCCACTGCACTCCAGCCTGGGTGCCTGGGTGACAGAGTGAGACTCTGTCTCAAAAACAAAAATCAAAAAAAATTATAATCTAGACATAGACATTACACATTACATTCTTCATAAAAATTAACTCAAAGTGCATCATAGACCTAAAGGTAAAATGTAAAACTATTAAGCTCCTAGAAGATAATATAGGATAAAGTATAGGTGACCTTGGGTTTGGTGATGACTTTTTAGATACAACGCCATAAGCATGATACATGAAAGAAAAAATTGGTAAGTTGGACACTGCTAAGACAACTTCTACTTTGTGAAAAATATTGTTAAGAAAATAAAAAAGCCACAGACTGGCAGAAAATATTTTTAAAACATATCTGATAAAGAACTGGTATCCAAAATACACAAAGAACCCTTAAATCTCAACAATTAGATGACTCAATTTAAAAATTATAAAGCAAGTGAAAAGATGATGAACATCATTTGTCATTAGGGAATTGCAAATTAGAACAATGGGATACCACTATACACATACTAGAATGGCTAAACTCCAAAACACTGACAACACCTACTACTGACAAGGATGTGTTACAACAACAACTCCCATTCAATGCTAGTAGAAATGCAAAAACTCATTTAAACTTTTATGGACACTTAAAAGTTTCCCTCCAATAAGGTGGTACCAATTTATAGTTTCTGAAAATACTTGTGCATACTTGTTGAGAGTTATACATAGTACTTAAATACCTGGAATCTACAGCTAGGTTGCCTACTTTCAAATCGTTGCTCTGCAACTTAGTAGCTGTGTAGTTTTATGCAAGTTATCTAACTTCTCTGTGCCTCAGTTGAATCATCTGTAAAACAGAGATCATAACATTTAGTGTACCTCATGGGATCATTGTGAGGATTAAATGAGTTAATATTTGTAATGTTTTAAGAATTATACCTGGAACAGTGTAAGTGCTATGTATTAGATGTTATTACTGTTCCTCATATGCTGCCTAAGAGTCTTTAATTTATATTATGTATTATATATATATATATTATATATGTATAAATATATATACTTTTTGTATATGTATAAATATAAATTTTAATCTGAGGGTTAAAAATATTGTCTCTTAGAAGTGTCCATTTGCATTTCCCTTTTATGTATTAAGGTTTAGATATATAGGGTTTCATATATTTGAAAGCTATTTATAATTTCTGTTCTGTCTTTTGTGATTTTTCTATTGAGTTGTTGGTATTTTATTGATTTGTAGGAGTTGTTTATATATTAAGAAAATCTCCCTGTATCTGTGGGGTTTATTATTTCATTAGATATTTATTCAGTGCTTATTAAGTATCAAGTACTATACTTGGTTCTAGAGAGCAGCACTGAACAAAACAAAGCCCCGGCTCTCATGAATCTTACATGTAATGGAGAGAGACAGACAATAAGAAAAGAACTAATACGCTGGGTGATGATAAGTGGGATAAAATAATAAAGCATATACAAGGAATAGGGAGTGCTTGGTATGAAGGAGTTGCTATTTTATATATAGTGGTCAGGAAAGGCCTTCCTAATAAGGTGACATTCGAATAGATACCTGAAGGCAATGAAGTAAGCCATGTGGACACTTATTCATTTCAAAAGTATTTATTAAGCCTGTGCCAGGCACAATTCTAGACTCTTGTGTTGCAGTAGTAAATAAGACAAACCACAAAAAGTTTTACCCCGTGGATCACACACTCTGGGGTGGGGGGAAACAGAAATAAATAATAAATGTAATGAATTAATTATATACTATTTTAGTAGTTGATCAATGCTATGGGTAAAAGAAACAGTAAAGTAAGTTCAGGCGGATCAAGAGTGCCAGATCCAGAGTTTGTTACATTAAATAGATGACACCAAGGTGGTAATGGGGTGCCAGATCATGAAGGGCCTCGTGGGCCATTGTACGGATTTGGGCTTTGACTCTGAATTAGATAGGAGTCACTGGAGGATTTTAAACAGAAGAGTGATGTGACATAACCTTCATTTTTAGAGGATCAGTCAGACTGCTATATTGATAACAAACTTGAAGGAGGAAGGACAGAAGCTGGAAGAGCCATAAAAAGCTCTTGCATTCATCCAGGCAAGAGATATGATGGTGGCTTGCACCAGGGTGTTAGCAATGGTGGGGGTGAAAGTGATTGAACTCTGGAGATATTTTGGAGGTAGATGTATAAAGGTTTCCTGAAATATTAAATGTAGGGTGTGAGAAGGGAGGAGATAAGAATGACTCCAAGATTTTTGTACCTAACATTGGAACGATGGAGTTGTCATCAACTGAGATGGGAAAGTTTGTGATTAGAACAGTTTGGGGACTGACCACAGATAGATGCAACTTGAAGCCATGAGACTAGACAAAATCACCAAGAAAGTAGTGAATGTAGATACTGGATTGGGAGATGAGGAAGAGGAAGCAAGGGAGATGAAGAAGGAGCACTCAATGAGATAAAGATAGAACTTGCCTATATACATCTGCGAAAAGAGTATTCCAGTGAAAGGAAACAGAAAGTGTGAAGACCCGGAGGCAGGTCTCTGCTTGGTATTAGTATTTGTCTTGTACTGTTTTATTTCTATGTAGGAAATTTTATTTTTATGTAGCCATATTTATATTTTTTCTTTTAATGGCTTTTGGGTTTATGTCAGGCCTTAAAAAGGCTTTGTAAAGTTATCTCACTACCATTTAAAATACAGTGTATAATCCCAGCACTTTGGGAGCCCAACACGAGCAGATTGCTTCAGCTCACGAGTCTGAGACCAGCCTGGGCAACATGGTGAAACCCTGTCTCTACAGAAAATACAAAAATTAGCCAGGTGTGGTGGTAGGCACCTGTGGTCCCAGCTACTTGAGAGGCTGAGGAGGGAAGGATCACTACTTGAGCCAGGGAAGTGGAAGTCGAAGTGAGCTGAGATCCTGCCACTGCACTCCAGCCTGGGTGACAGAGCAAGACCCTGTCTCAAAAAAATAAATAAATACATACATAAAAATAAATAAATGAAATAAAGTGTTTTCCTTACTAACTTAATACCAAATTTATTTTATGCTAAATTCTCATATATATTTGGATTGTTTGTTCTTCATTGATTTGTCTATCTAATCACGTGCCTATTCCAAACTGCTCTAGTTACTGAAGCTTTGTTCCTGAAGCTTTATAATATGCTTTAATATAAGGTAAATCTATCTCCTCTCTTTACTTTTTTTTTTTTTTTTTTTTTTGTAGAGATGGGGTTTTGCTGTGTTGTCCAGGCTGGTCTTGAACTGGCCTGAAGCAATCTGCCCGCCTCAGCCTCCCAAAGTGTTGGGATTACAGGTGTGACACATGGTGCCCGGCCGCCCTCTCATTACTCTTGTCCTTCAGAATTCGTCTATTACTGCATGTGTATTTTTTCATGAGAACCTTAGAATCACTTGTCCCTGCCTCCAAATCCTGTTTGTGTTTTTATTGGGGCCATATTAAATATAGTGATTAATTTAGGGACAGTTGATATCTTTATAATATTGAGTTTTCTGAGCCAGGAATAAAGTACAACTATCCATTTTAAGAATTCCTTTATGTACTTTAGTAGCATTTATAATTTTTTTATTTACATATTGTATTTTGCTGGATAGTATTATTCATAGGTCATATAGCATTTTTTCTTTTATAAATGAGGTCTATCTTCCCTTTATCCTTTCTAAGTGGTTGTTAACATATAGAAATGTTCTTTATATTTTATTTTGGTATCCATTTACTCTACTGTATCATCTTATTGTTTATAATTTTTTCCATTAATATTCTTGAACTTTCTAGGTGTACAACAAAAGTTTCTGAAAGTAATAATTTTGCATCTTCTTTTTCAGTTTTTTAGACAGTTTTATTCACATATGTTTTATATACCATAAAGTTCAACTGTTTAAAGTAGACAATGTTTTTTGGCATATTTACCCAGTTGTACAAGGATCAACATAATCTGATTATAAAATATTATCATGATGCCCCCAAAGAAACCTTGTACTCATTAGCAGTAAATCCTCATCCTCTCACTCTCTCCCAGCTTTGGGAAACCACTAACCTGCTTTCTGTCTCTATAGATGTGCTTATTCTGGATATAGCATATAAATGAGATGATATAATATGTAGTTTTGTGACTGACATCTTTCACTTAGCATGTTTTCAAGGCTAATTCATGCTATAGTATCTATCAATACTTTATTCTTTTTTACTGTGGTAAAATATGCATAATATAAAATATACCATTTTCACCATTTTTGAGTGTACAGTTCAGTGGCATGAAACACATTACACTGTTGTGCAAACATCACCACCATCTAGTTCCAGAATTTTTACATCTAAATGAAAGCTCTGTACCCATTAAACAATAACTCCCCATTCCCTTCTCCCGGAGTCCCTGGTAAAAACTATTCTACTGTCTGTCTCTATGAATTTGACTAGTCTAATTACCTCATGTAAGTGAAATCATACATTGTTTATCTTTTTGTGTTTGGCTTATTTGGCTGAATAATATTCTAGCGTATGGATATATCACATTTTGTTCATCCATTTATCATCTGCCTATTCATTCATCAGTTTATCCATTCATCACTTTCCACCTTTTGACTGTTATAAACAATGTTGCTGTGAACATTAGTATACACGTTTTTGCAGGGACATATGCTTTTATTTCTCTTGGGCATATACCTAGGAGTAGAATTGCTGAGTTACATATTAACTACATGTTTAAATATTTGAGGAGATGCGAAACTCTTTCCAAAGAAGCTGTAACATTTTTCATTCCCACCTGCAATAAAGGAGAGTTCCAATTTCTCTCATCCATGCCTATTAACTGTTTTACTTTCTTTTTTTTTTAACAGTCACTCTATTGGATGTGAAGTAGTATTCTCCTTGTGGTTTTTATTTGCATTTCCCTATTACTAATGATGTTTAGCACCTTTTCGTGTGTTTATTGCCATTTGCATATCTCTGGATAAATGTACATTCAAATGATTTTCCCTTAAAAATAATTGGGTTGTCTTTTCATTATTGGGTTGTAAGAGTTCTTTATAGATTCTGGATACAGGTCCCTTGTTAGATACACGATTTGCAAATGCTTTCCCTAATATTGTGGGTTGACTTTTCACTTTCTTGATGGTGTCATTTGAATCACAATAGTTTTAATTTTGATGACATCTAATTTACCTATTTTTTTCCTATGGTTGTTTGAACATTTGGTGACATGTCTAAAGAAACCATTACATAACTTAAGATCATAGAGATTTATGCCTCTGTTTTTTTCTAAACGTTTTATAGTTTTAGCATTACATTTAAAAAGTATTTTTTGAGACAGGGCCTTACTCTCTTGCCCAGGCTGGGATGCAGTGGCACAATCATAGCTCACTGTACCCTCAAACTCCTGGGTTCAAGCAAGTCACCCACCTCACCCTTTTGAGCAGTTAGGACTACAGATGCATGCCACCATGCCCA
Organism: Homo sapiens; assembly: GCF_000001405.40. Lineage (NCBI taxonomy): Eukaryota > Metazoa > Chordata > Mammalia > Primates > Hominidae > Homo > Homo sapiens. The sequence continues at coordinate 140,330,711 of NC_000023.11, forward strand.
GCTTGCACTTACCTTTAATTCTATGATCCATTTTGAGTTAATTGTTATATATGGTATAAGGAAGGGGTCCAATTTCATTACTTTGACTGTGGATATCTAGTTGTCTAGGCATCATTTGTTGAAAACATTTTTCCCATTGAATTACCTTGATACCCTTGTTGAAAATCAATTGAGCATAAATGTGAGGGTTTATTTCTGGACTCACAATTCTATTGTATTGATCTACATGTCTATCCTTATGCCAGTACCATGCTTTCTTGATTAATATAGCTTTGTAGCAAGTTTTGAAATCTGGAAGTGTGAGTCTACCAACTTTGTTATTTTTCAATATTATTTTGGCTCTTCTGGGTCCCTTATTCTGCCAAATGAGTTTTAGGATTAGCTTTTTCTATTTCTGCAAAAAATCCACCTGATTTTTAAGGGGATTATGTTTGATTTGTAGATCAATTTCAGCAGTTTTGTCATATTAGCAATATTTGTTTTCCCAATCCATGAAAATGAGATGTCTTTCCATTTACTTAAGTCTTCTTCAATTTATCTTAACAGCGTTTTGTAGATTTTAGTGTACAAATTATACACCTCCTTGGTTAAATGTATTCATAAGTAGTTTATTTTTGATGCTATTATAAATTGAATGGGGTTTTTAATTATTTTTAAGAAAAATTATAGTTCGCTGGGTGTGGTGGCTCATGCCTGTAATCCCAGCACTTTGGGAGGCCAAGGCACGTGGATCACTTGAGGTCAGGGGTTTGAAACCAGCCAGGCCAACATGGTGAAACCCCACCTCTACTAAGAATACAAAAATTAGCCAGGCATGGTGGTAGATGCCTGTAATCCCAGCCACTCAGGAGGCTGAGGCAGGGGAATTGCTTGAATCCAGGAGGCGGAGGTTGCAGTGAGCTGAGATCGCACCACTGCACTCCAGCCTGGGCAACAGAGCAAGACACCGTCTCAAAAAAAAAAAAATATATAGTTGCCAAATAAAACTTTTATATATTTACAGTGTAAAAACATGATGTTTTGGTATATGAATGCATGGTGAAATGGTTATATCAAGCTAATTGACATATCTCTCACCTCACATGCTTATTTTTTGTTGTGAGAACATTTAAGATCACTTTTTTGTAATTTTCAAATATACAATACATTATTATTAACTATAGTCACTATGCTGTACAGTAGATCTCCAGAACTTATTTATCCTGTTTAACTGAAATTTTGTACTCTTTGACCAACATCTTCCCATTCCCAAGCCCCGAACTGCAGTCCTTGGAAACCACCATTCTACTCTCTGCTTCTATGAGTTCAACTTATTTAGACTCCATGTATAAGTGAAATCATGGAGTATTTGTCTTTCTGTGCCTGGCTTACTTCATTTAGCATAATTTTCTCCAGGTTCATCCATGCTGTCACAAATAACAGGATTTCCTTGTTCTTAACACTGAATAGTATTCCATTGTGTGTGTGTGTGTGTGTGTGTGTGTGTGTGTGTGTGTGTGTGTGTGTATAAAACATTTTCCTTCTCCGTTTATCTATTAATGATTTAGGTTGATTTTATATCTTGGCTATTGTGAATAATGTCACAATAAACACAGTAGCACAGACATTTCTTTGACATACTGATTTTAATGCCTTTGGATATATACCCAGAAGTGGAATTCCTGGATCATAGGGTAATTCTATTTTTTACTTTTTGAGGGACTTCCATACTGTTTTCCATAAGGGCTGTACTAATTTACATTCCTTTCCACAGAGTGCAAGCATTCCCTTTTTTCTACATCCCCAACAGCACTTGTTATTTTTGCCTTTTTGATAATAGCCACTGTGATGTTGTGATTTTACCAGTTGAATTTTTTTAAAATTTCCTTTTTGGGTTACTCATTATAGCGTATAGAAGTAGTTTTTTGTGTGTTGATCTTGTATCCTGAAACTTTGCTGAATTTTCTTATTAACCCTAATAGGGATTTTTTTTCTGGTAGATTCTTTAGGATGTTCTATATATAACATCATGTCATTGGGAAAAGAGAGTTTTACTTTTTCTTTTCCTATTTGGATGCCTTTAATTTATTCATCAGTTTTTTGTTTTGTTTTGTTTTGTTTGGCTAGAGCTTCTAGAAAAATGTTGAATAAAAGTGGTGAGAGTGAAATAAAGGGATGGAGGAAATTTTACCAAGCAAATGGGAAGAAAAAAAAAAAAAGCAGGGATTGCAATCGTAGTCTCTGACAAAACAGACTTTAAACCAACAAAGATCAAAAAAGACAAAGAAGGGCATTACATAATGGTAAAGGGAACAATTCAACAAGAAGAGCTAACTATTCTAAATATATATTCACCCAATACACGAGCACCCAGATTCGTAAAACAAGTTCTTAGAGACCTACAAACAGACTTAGACTCCCATACAATAATAGTGAGAGACTTTCACACCCCACTGTCAGTATTAGACAGATCAATGAGACAGAAAATTAACAAGGATATTCAGGACTTGAACTCAGCTCTGGATCAAGTGGACCTAGTAGACATCTACAGAACTCTCTACTCCAAATCAACAGAATCTACATTCTTCTCAGTGCCGCATGGCACTTATTCTAAAATTGACCACATAATTGGAAGTAAAACACTCCTCAGCAAATGCAAAAGAACGGAAATCATAACAGTCTCTCAGACCACAGTGGAATCAAATTAGAACTCAGGATTAAGAAACTCACTCAAAACCACACAATTCCATGGAAATTGAACAACCTCCTCCTGCATGACTCCTAGGTAAATAATGAAATTTAGGCAGAAATCTAGAAGTTCTTTGAAACCAACGAGAACAAAGAGACAATGTACCATAATCTCTGGGACATAGCTAAAGCAGTGTTAAGAGGGAAATTTATGACACTAAATGCCCACATCAGAGGCTTGAAAGATCTCAAATTGACACCCTAAGATCACAATTAAAAGAGCTAGAGAGGCAAGAACAAACTAATCCAAAAACTAGCAGAAGACAAGAAATAACGAAGATCAGAGAAGAACTGAAGGAGATAGAGACATGAAAAACCCTCCAAAAAAAATCAGTGAATTCAGGAGCTGATTTTTTGAAAAAATTAACAAAATAGATAGGCCACTAGCTAGACAAATAAAGAAGAAAAGATAGAAGAATCAAATAGACACAATAAAAAATGATAAAAGGGATATCACCACTGACGCCACAGAAATACAAATTTCCATCAGAGAATACTATAAACACCTCTATGCAAATAAACTAGAAAATCTAGAAGAAATGGATAAACTGCTGGACACATACACCCTCCCAAGACTAAATGAGGAAGAAATTGCATTCCTGAATAGACCAATATCAAATTTTGAAACTGAGGCAGTAATTAGTAGCCTATCAAGCAAAAAAAGCCCAGGATCAGATGGACTCACCGCTGAATTCTACCAGAAATACAAAGAGGAGCTGGTACCATTCCTTTTGAAACAATTCCAAATAATTGAAACGCAAGGATTCCTCCCTAACTCATTTTATGAAGCCAGCATCATCCTGATACTAAAACTGAGAAGAGGCACAACAAAAAAAGAAAAGTTCAGGCTAATATCCCTGATGAACATGGATGTGAAAATCCTCAATAAAATACTGGCAAACTGAATCAATCAGCACATCAAAAACTTATCCACCATGATCAAGTCAGCTTCATCCCTAGGATGCAAGGCTGGTTCAACATATGCAAATCAGTAAATGGAATCAGAACCAAAGACAAAACATAAACAGAACCAAAGACAAAAACCACATGATTATCTCAATAGGTGCAGAAAAGACAAGACCTTTGATAAAATTAAACATCCCTTCATGTTAAAAATTCTCAATAAACTAGATATTGATGGAACATATCTCAAAATCATAAGGGCTATTTATGACAAACCCACAGTCGATATCATATCGAATGGGCAAAAGCTGGAAGCATTCCCTTTGAAATCCGGTACAAGAAAAGGATGTCCTCTCTCACCACTCCTATTCAACATAGTATTGGAAGTTCTAGCCAGGGCAATCAGGTAAGAGAAAGAAATAAAGGGTATTCAAATAGGAAGAGAGGAAGTCAAATTGTCTCTGTTAGGGATGACATGATTGTATATTTAGAAAACCCCATCATCTCTGCCCCAAAACTCCTTAAACTGATAAGCAACTTCAGCAAAGTCTCAGGATACAAAATCAATGTGCAAAAATCACAAGCATTCCTTTACACCAACAATAGACAAGCAGAGAGCCAAATCATGAATGAACTCCCATTCACAATTGTTACAAAGAGAATAAAGTACCTAGGAATACAGCTAACAAGGGATGTGAAGGACTTCTTCAAGGACAGCTACAAACCACTGCTAAAGGAAATAAAAGAAGACACAAACAAATGGAAGAATATTCCCTGCTCATGGATAAGAAGAATCAATATCATGAAAATGGCCATACTGCCCAAAGTAATTTATGGATTCAGTGCTACTCCCATCAAACTACCATTGACATTCTTCACAGAATTAGAAAAAAACTATTTTAAATTTTATATAGAATCAAAGAAGATTCCATATAGCCAAGACAATACTAAGCAAACAGAACAACCCTGGAGGCATCATGCTACCTGACTTCAAACTATACTACAATGCTACAGTAACCAAAACAGCATAGTACTGGTACCAAAACAGAGATATAGATCAATGGAACAGAACAGAGCCCTCAGAAATAATGCCACATATCTACAACTATCTGATCTTTGACAAACCTGAGAAAAACAAGCAGTGGGGAAAGGATCTCCTATTCAGTAAATGGTGCTGAGAAAACTGGCTAGCCATATGCAGAAAACTGAAACTGGACCCCTTCCTTACACCTTATACAAAAATTAACTCAAGATAGATGAAAGACTTAAGTGTAAAACCCAAAACCATAAAAACTCTAGAAGAAAACCTAGGCAATACCATTCAGGACATAGGCAAGGACAAAGACTTCATGACAAAAACCCCAAAAGCAATTGCAAAAAAAGCCAAAATTGACAAATGGGATCCAATTAAACTAAAAAGCTTCTGCACAGCAAAAGAAACTATTCATCAGAGTGAACAGGCAACCTACAGAATGGGAGAAAATTTTTGCAATCTACCCATCTGACAAAGGGCTAATATCCAGAATCTATAAAAAACTCAAACAAATTTACAAGAAAAAAAAACCCATCAAAAAATGGGCAAAGGATATGAACAGACACTTCTCAAAAGAAGACATCTCTGCAGCCAACAGACACATGAAAAAATGCTCATCATCTCTGGTCATGGGAGAAATGCAAATCAAAACCACAGTGAGTTACCATCACACAAAGTTAGAATGGCAATCATTAAAAAGTCAGGAAACAATAGATGCTGGAGAGGATGTGGACAAATAGGAACACTTTTACACTGTTGGTGGGAGTGTAAGTTGGTTCAACCATTGCAGAAGTGTGGCAATTCCTCAAGTTTCTAGAACTAGAATTACCATTTGACCCAGCAATCCCATTACTGGGTATATACCCAAAGGATTATAAATCATGCTACTATAAAGACACATGCACACGTATGTTTATTGTGGCACTATTCACAATACCAAAGATTTGGAACCAACCCAAATGTCCATCAATGATAGACTGCATTAAGAAAATGTGGCATATATACACCATGGAATACTATGCAGCCATAAAAAAGGATGAGTTCATGTCCTTTGCAGGGACATGGATGAAGCTGGAAACCATCATTCTGAGCAAACTATCACAAGGACAGAAAACCAAACACCACATGTTCTCACTTATAGGCGGGAATTCAACCATGAGATCACTTGGACACAGGGCAGGGAACATCACACACCGGGGTCTGTCATGGGGTGGGGGGCTGGGGGAGGGATAGCATTAGGAGAAATATCTAATGTAAATGATGAGTTGATCGATCGGTGCAGCAAACCAGCATGGCACATGTATACCTAAACCTGCATGTTGTGCACATGTACCCTAGAACTTAAAGTATATATATATACACATATATGTGTGTGTGTATATATATATGTGTATATATATACATACATATATGTGTATATATATACATGTATATATGTATGTATATATACATATATATGTATGTATATATATACATGTATACATGTATGTGTGTATATATACATGTATATATGTACTATTAAACCTACTGAAATTGTATGTGAAATTTGGTGCATTGTTTTCTAACCGGGATTCAAATATTAGCTGTATGTTTTGCTGGCTATGTAACCTGAGGCAAGTCATTTAACCTCTCTGAACTTCCATTTCCCTAACTCTAAATCAAAGATCAAAATATCTGTCTTATCAGGGGCTTATTGTGGGAATTAGGGTGAGATATGTCCAGAACCTGGCAAAGTGCTTTGCACAGTAGTTGCCCATTAGATGGGAGCAGTTAGAACCCAAGCCTCTTTCCTCCTGGACTGTATGGTTCCCCTTGACCACGCTGCCTTCCTGAAGATCAGAACTTCTGTGCTAGGTAGAATTCTAAGACAACCTTCAATGAGTCACACTTTTGTATAATTCCCTCCCTTTGATTGTAGGTAGGAACTGTTACTTACTTTTAGCCAATAGACTATGACAAAGATTATGAAATATCACTCCCATAATTAGGTTACCTTATTTGCTGAAGGTGAAGGGATTTTGCCGATGTAATTAAGGCCTTTATCAGTTGACTTTAAATTAATCAAAAAGGAGACTGCATTGGGTGGGACTGACCTAATCAGGTGAACCCTTTATAAAAGGATGTACAGGACAGAGACAAAATAACTCTCTTAAAGAAGCAAGCTGCTGGGAAATAGACTCTGCCAACAACCATATGTGCTTGAAAGAGGTCTCCAAGCCTCAGATTAGATCATAGCCCTGACCAGCACCTTGATCTCAGCCTGTGAGGCCATGGCCAGGTGACTCAACTAAACTGGAGACTGTGAGCCCCACAGAAACTGTGAGATAATTAATATGTGTTGTTTTACACCACTAAGTTTGTGGTAATTTCTTATGCAGCACGAGAAAGTTAATAGAGCTTCTTGGCCTGTTTGTATGCGGGAGACCCTTTTGGCAGTCTGATAAAGACTATGGAGCCCTTTTCAAAATAAATAAATGCCTGAAATAAATACATAAGATTCCCAAGAAGATTACCATGGAAAAAGTTATCCAACTATTTGAAAATATGTGATATATAATATCATATTCTGAACATATTAAACAAAATCTAGTAGTGAGTTTAATAACTTTTGTAATTTTGAAATAGTGGTGAGCATGATCTTTGGAGATATACCTACAGCAACTGTAATGTTATATAAAAATATCTGTGATTTCTGTTGGTGACCATGTCATAGGTACTGCTGATGTCACTTTGTTCTACTGCTTACACCATAAGGAAAGGAACTGTGACGTTTCAGTTACAGGTTAGTAGAAATAGAGATGTCATTTTTTTCTACCTAAATTAATAGACCTCTGAATTCTACCTGTGGATTCTAGGTTACAAACCCTTACTGTAGATAAAGTTAATGATCCAAATAAATAAGAATACTGTAAAATTTGTATCTGCATTATTTAAAAACCGATTCATTCATGAAATTCAAATGTTACTGAGTAATCAACAAAAAGATACTTAATGTCAAAAGAATGAGAGATGACTTAGACTGAACTATTATCTATCTTGTTATGGGAAGATTAATTCAGTCTAGAAAACTATTTTGGTAGTCCCTTCCTATTCAAGTGTGATAAACATATAATATTACTATCCTTTTAATAAGGGACTAATGGGATTCAAATTTTATCTAAATATTCTAATCACTCTAATTCCAACTGAAGGTTGTAAACATACATAATTTACTTTCTGGTTAGATTTATTCAAACAGTTCTCAGAAGAGACAAGCTTGTTGAGGCCACCATCTGCTCTGGGTATTCTCAGGCAGATAGTCGTGTTCAGTTGTAAAGGAAAAAAAACCCAAATGCTAGAAATAGATTACAGAAGAGAAAGTCTAAGGGCAAAGTGCAAGGAGAGGGTTATATTTTCTAGCTTATTGGAAACAAAACCTTCCTCCTAATAATCTGTAGATATTTGATATTATTATAGCTTTGAATAGATACCATGTTTACATGGTTCAAAAGTCAAAGCAGTATAATGAGGAACCCACATAAAAGTCTTATTCTAACCCATAGTACGATTCACCCCACCTCTATCCCCTATAGACTGTGATTCTTTATGTAAACGCAATAAAATATGTATGTGTATATACAGTGTATCACACTCACACACTGTGTGATACATACATCACGCAAACAATGACATACTGTGTATACTGATTTGCACCATGTGCTTTTCACTTAGTGGTAATATTGGATATCTTTCTATATCAATGTAGTGGGAGTGTCCACATGCTCTTTTACACCTGATGAGCATCCTCCAGTGGGAATGTACATGCCATAATGTATTTCACACCTTCTTTTTTTTTTTTTTTTTTTTGCCCAGGCTGGAGTACAATGGCGCGATCTTGACTCAGCGCAGGCTCCGCCTCCAGGGTTCAAGCGATTCTCCTGCCTCAGCCTCCTGAGTAGCTGGGATTTCAGGCATGTGCCACCAAGCCTGGCTAATTTTATATTTTTTAGTAGAGACAGAGTTTCTCCATGTTGGTCAGGCTGGTCCCGAACTCTCCACCTCAGGTGATCCGCCCACCTCGGCCTCCCAAATTGCTAGGATTACAGGCGTGAGCCACTGTGCCTGGCCGATAGGCTATTTTTAAACTTTTACTTATTTTATTTAGAAGTAGTATTGGTTCAGACTTCTTTGGTTTTAAATGACAGAACTCAGCTTAAACTAGATTAAATTAAAAAATGGGATTTGTTAGAAAAAGACTTGAATAATTTGCATCATCAGGAAGAAATGCAGGAGCTAGGGAAGTTCTGTGGGCCTCAGGGCCTGGAACTGGGGTCTAGACATGCTAGAATACTCTCTTTCACTCTCTCTGTCTCTCACACTTTTCCCCGTCAGGGTGTTTGGAGACTATGGAGCCACATCCTTACAGAGGCAAGCCCGAGAGGAAAACAGATCTTCCCCTACTGCTCTACCAGAAAAAAACCTCAGGGAAGATCTTGGGTTGACTTGCATCATGTAGACATCTGATGTGGTTTGGATATTTGTGCCCTCCACAGCTCATGATGAAATTTGGTCTCCAGTGTTGGAGGTGGGGCCTCGTGGGGAGTGTTTGGGTCATGGAGGTGGATCCCTCATGAGTGGCTTGGTGCCCTCTCATAGTAATGAGTGACTTCTCACTCTATTGTATGTTCACCTGAGAGTTGGTTGTTTAAAAGAGTGGTTGTTTAAAAAAGCTGGTTGCATAAAAGAGAGCTGGTTGTTTAAAAAAGCACTCCTCCCCCTTGCTCTCTTTCCTTCTCTCTTGCCATGTGGCTGGCTCCCCTTTCCCTTATGCCATGAGTGGAAGCTCCTTAAAGCCCTCACCAGAAGCAGATGCCGGCACCATGCTTCTTGTGCAGCCTGCAGAACTGTGAACCAAACAAACCTTTTTTCTTTATAAATTACCCAGCCTCAGGTATTCCTTTATAGCCACACAAAACAGACTAGGACAACATCTCTTGATCAATCACCATGGCCAGGGGGATAGATTACTTAATATAATTCAGTATGTGTCACATGTAGCACCCTTGGAATCAGGGGTAGGATGTATTACCTAGAGGAAAAAGAGAAGCGTAAGACAAATAAGACTACAGCCACCACAGCCATGATTGTCAAGCTTGAGTAACCCTTGGTCCTATTTAAAGGGCAAAACATCTCAGGGACTGCCATCCCTCTGATTTAAATTAGGTTTATTATAACATTACTTAAATATGGAAAAATCTAACACGTTGTAAGAGCTCCTAGCTCTTAATACAACAATAAAATGAAAGTCAATTCACAAATTAAATAGAAATAAATCCATAAAACCAATAACATTGAAATAATCACCATTGATATGATATGATGATTGATGTTATTTTGCAGAAATTAATATAGGGCTTGCAACTGAATATGACACAGATTTCTTTTTAATTATTTGGTATGCTTATACTACTAAGCGGTAACTCAGTCTCTTTATTTTTTTCCCATTCCAACTACTATGAAATCTTTGCTGTTACAACAAACATCTGGCCTTTACTTCTTTTCTTTACCCATTAGCTCAGTACAATTCAAGTATCACTGCTTGGAACCTACTTGATCTTAAATAAATAGGAGACTCAAGCCCAGGAATCCTATGTCAATTCTCTTATAAGGTGGCCATCTGGATGATTTATAACATGCCTACCTAAAGGTCTTTTTAGATAAACATCAAAATGAGAACACAAAATTTAAATATTCACATAGAGAATTCATATCCTCCTAGGATTATTTCTGGAAGTCCCAGTGGGGCAAACAGTGGACTTTAGTATAATGTTTCCAGGACTATTTTAGGTGCAAAACTAAAAGTCTGATTACACAGAGAAAGAGAGCTTGATCTAAGACAAAAATAGGCATTCCTGTAAAATTAGAAGACTTGCCCAGCAAGTGGGAAAAATCTGTACTTCAGGTACTTTAGGGAGCTGGGAAGTTCTGCCACCCTCAGCAATCAGCTTAGTGGGTGGAACAGTTGAGCGGGCCTGCATCAAAAAGGTCATCTTACTCAGAGTGTGGAGAACTTTAAAAACAAACAAAAGAAGACATTTGAAAAGACTGGAAAATAGGCGTATATTTTAAAAAAAGTGAAATGAATTGGTGTTAATCAGTTTGAGGATGAAAAGAAAGAAGTAGAGTCAAATATATGAATCAGGATAATCAGTTCATCTCCGTAGGAGGAAGAGAAAATAAGCAACCTTCACTTGCAGGTAAATTACGAATGAGGAAATAATGCATGACAATTAGAACATGTGTCAATGGAAGAAAATTGAATCCCTTTGCGTACAGGTAAAAAGCAGTCATCTGTTTATATGTGGAAGCAAGGCAATAAATCAAAGAATCTTGAAGCACCACTTCTAAGCATAATGGTAGTGTCTATGGCGCTCACTAAGGGTTGAGGTAAACTGGAAATGAACTATGGGTACTTTTGGGGAATTGAATCAGTAGACAGAACTTAAGAAAAGATGAACATCTTTTCCCCAAATCTATTTTAACTGGTGGAAGATTTATATTACAGATGTGTTCATTGAAGAAATGGTTGGACCTCTTAGAAGAAAGAGAATGATGAATTCTGCTATTTTGTCTACTCTTAGAGGAAACTGACAAGTTTCGTGTGTTCACTTAGTTAAATGAATTGTCTGGGATTAATCTTATTGCATTGTAGCTGCAAGACGCACAATCTGACATTTTATCTGTTTGGAGATTTTTCTCCAAAATCAACCCCTGTGCATATACCTAGGATGACCTTGTTTTCTGAACCAGAAATGTAACACGTGGTTTGAGAAGAACACAGTTGGGGATAGTGGTGTGGATATTTATATTTATTCATTCAACAAATATTCACTCATTGTGCACCTACTATGTGCCAGGAACATTTTAGCTACTTGGAAAATGGGATTGAATCAAACCTGCGAAGATCCCTTCCTTCATGGAACTTACATTTATTGTGAGAGGATGGAGAGATAATGGATATTTTTAAAGTAAGTAAATTGTATAATATGTTAGAAGGCAATGAATGCTACAGAAAAAAGAAAAAGAAAGCCAGACAAGGTGGATGAGGCATGCTGTGGTGGGGGAAGAAAGCAGGTTGCAAGATTAAGCAGAGTGGTTAGCATAGGCCTCTCTCAGAGAGTGAGTTTTGAATAAAGACTTAAAAGAAATGAGGAAAGCAGCCAGGTGCCTATGGGTGGGGGAGGGGGGGTGAGTGTCACAAGCAGTGGGGACAGCCAATGGAAAGACTGTGAGAAAGAACAGCAAGAGGACAGTGTGATCAGAGGGGAAGGAGTGAGATGCAGAGTAGAAGAAGGGGAGAGGCAGATCATGACGGCCTTGTAGATCACAGGAAGGCTTTGGCTGTTACTCTGAGGAAAATTGGAGTCACTGTTGTTTTGAGCAGAGGAGTGTCAGCTGATTTCTGTTTAAGAAAGATTACTGTGGGCCTGGGCATGGTGGTTCATGACTGTAATCCCACTGTTTCAGGAGGCCAAGACAGGAGGATTGCTTGAAGCCAGGAGTTTGAGACCAGCCTGGGCAAATAGCAAGACCTTGTCTCTACAAAAAAATAAAAATAAAAATAAAATAGGCAGATGCAGCAACATGTGCCTGTAGTCCCAGCTACTCAGAAGGCTGAGGTGGGAGGGTCTCTTGAGCCCAGGAGTTCGGGGGTACAATAACCTATGGTCATGCCCCTGCACTCCAGCCTGGGTGACAGAGTTAGATTCTGTCTCTAAAAAACAAACAAAAAATGATTACTGTGGCTGCTGTATTCAGAATCACCTGAAAGCAAGTGGCATACATGGTTCCCATATCCATTAATTCAATTACCAGAGCTTAAATAACACTAGTCTCCCAAGAACACTTCAAATCTTAGTTACCATCAAATAGTAACTAATCGCATAAAGTACAGATTGGGTTGATTACTCTTTTCAGTCCACAAATCACTGCATAAATAACAGATGCACATCATGATCAGTGACTAATCATTTCTTTCAAAGTTTTTTCACGTCCGTTGGTGACTGTTTATTATTCACATTACTCAGTTCATGCACAGACAGCAAAGTGTGTACTTGTGTCATCTTGTCTCACAGTGATAAACCCACATGACATTTTATAAAAATGAATAATCAAAAAAGGGGGAATTGGCCAACAAAGATGCAAATACAGCAAAGAAATGAAAAATTATGATGCTGAAAATGACATTCAATCAAAAGTATAGGGAGTTATAAAAGAAATAGCTGACCGTGGGACCATAGGAATGTTGACATTGGCACCATTCCAGAAACCCTGGAAATGCAGCCAGAGGAACTCAGTGAAGGTGAACAAAATTGACATAAATGAGAAAGTTGTAGCAAAAAGGATAAAGATGTCCCAGAGGAAGTAACATCAGCAAACAACTTCACATTGAAGGAACTCTTGGAGATATTTCACACTATTGAAAGTACGAAACATAAAATGTTGGAAGCTGATCCAAACTTCAAAAGGAATATGTCAGTTCACAGGCATAAAAATGATGCTCGCTGAGTATTGTAAGTTATAAAATGAGAAGAAGAAGGCAAGTACTGTTTAAACTACCACTGATGAGTTTTTTATAAAGGAATAAAACATTTTAATGCTCAATGTTTCCAATGCTTTAAATTATACTGTACGAAAAAAAGTTAGTTGTTAGTTTTACTAATTTATTTTGATTCCCCATAATTGATCCAGTTTTCCTAAGTTATTTGATCCCCCATTTAGTACAGTGTAACATATATATTACATAAATATATAAATTACATAATATATATTATATAAATTATGGATCAAAATAAATTAGTAAAATATATAATACATAAAACTCATAAATTTGTAAATTTGATAAATTAATAAATTATATATATATATATATATATTTGTGTTTTTTGAGACAGCCTTTTCCTCTGTCACCTAGGCTGGAGTACAGTGGTGCTATTATAGCTCACTGCAACCTCCACCTCCCCGGCTCAAGGGATCCTCCCACCTCAGCCTCCTGAGTAGCTGGGACTGCAGGCTCATGCCACCACACTCCGCTAATTTTTGCATTGTTTTAGTAGAGACAAGGTCTCACTATGTTGCCCAGCCTGGTCTCGAGCTCCTGGGCTGAAGCGATCTTCCTGCCTTGGCCTCCCAATGTGCTGGGATTACAAGCATGAGCTACTGCGCTTGGTCGTTCCCCTATATATTAATAATGGAATGAACAGTAAAGGAGTTTTTTAATGTTTTGGCAAAAATTTTTAAAGGTCACCGAACAATGGCAATTTTTCTCACTGATTAAGATTGCTTTGCACTGTTTCAGTTTTCATTTTCAGCATCCACACTATCATGCAGTAAGAACTGCCTGTATTTGGTGATAATGACTAGATCTGGGTTTTGACCGTGGAAGTTAGTGGCTGTGGTGAAGTGGAGGTAGTCTTGTAGTTGAAGACTTTTTGGCCCTCCTTTTAGGTAGAAAAATCTTGAATCCATAACAACTGTTGGCAAAAAGAAAAAGACTGGAAGAAAAGGTGGCAAAATGTCATCATGATTACTTCTGGGGGCAGGAAGTGCAGGAGATTGAAATGAAAAGAAGTTCATGTGAATCGTTAAAACAAAACAAAACAATAATCCACAGGCTCTGGGGCCAGATTGATGACTAACTGCATTAACTTTGAGTAAGTTCCCCAGCTTCTCTGTGCCCTAAGACCTCATCTATAAAATATAGATAATAGTATTATCTATATGACCTCATAGGTTTATCAAGATAAAATAAATTAATACTTATAAAACATTTATAAGTTTGATATGTAGTAAGGGCTCAATAAATGTTAACTATTATAATTATTGACATGTATACAGTTAAAAATAGAAGGTGTATTTTTTATTCATTCTCTACATTTCCACTCTTCAGGAATAATCACTGTTAACAATTTAATGGGTATCCATCCAGTTCTTTATTATGCAAACACACACATATATACATATATGTGTGCATAAATATATACACATATATATATGGGTATATGCTTATATATGTGTATATACACACACATACGTATTTGAAATAGAAATGGGATCATACAATGAATACTGTTTAACAGCCTGCTCTGTATACTTAGCAATATGTAAATATATCATTGACATCCTTGTAAGTCATAATGCAGATCTGCATTTTTTTTTTTTTTTTTTTTTTGAGACGGAGTTTCGCTCTTGTCACCCAGGCTCGAGTGCAATGGCGCAATCTCGGCTCACTGCAACCTCCGCCTCCCGGGTTAAAGTGATTCTCCTGCCTCAGCCTCCCGAGTAGCTGGGATTACAGACATGCGCCACCATGCCTGGCTAATTTTGTATTTTTAGTAGAGATGGGGTTTCTCCGTGTTGGTCAGGCTGATCTCAAACGCCTGCCTCGGCCTCCCAAAGTGCTGGCATTACAGGCGTGAGCCACCGTGCCCGGCCCAGATCTGCTTTTTTTTTAATGGTGGCATTTGTGTTCCAGAGTATGTACTATATTTTATTTAACCATTTCCTTACTGATGAATACTTAGCTTATTCTCAAATTTTTCACCTTTACAAATAATGCTACAATGATTTTGACGTTCTGCATATTTTTACACATTTATATGATTGCTTTTGTAGGACAGATTTCTACAAGTGAAATTGTTGAGTCAAAAGGTGTATGCATTTATAATATCTGCATATACTTCCAATTTCTCCTCCAAAGAAGTTGTACCAGTTTATCAATATATAAGCATGCCGTTTTCCCTAGGGCTTCATGCACTCTGGATATTATCAATCTTTAAATATTTTCCTACCTATTAGGCAATGTGGTATCTATCTCCTTAGGTTATAATTTGCATTTCTCTGATCACTATTGAGGTTGAGCATCTTTTCATATGTATATCGGTCATTTGCATTTCCTCTTCTGTGAATTGCTTGCTCAAGTCCTTTTCTGTGAGTCATTTTCTTTTTTATTTATACTTTTCTGTTTTTAAAAAGAAAGAGAAATATTTTGTATTTTTTAAGTAAACTTGTGATCTATTGTTGATCAACCATATTAGCAGTGGAAAGCATTTACTCAGTTCAAAAGAAAGGAAAAATTAAATATATATTTCTTGCTATGAGTTTCTTTTTGGGGGAAGGGGAACAGGAAACAATTTTAATTGCTTAATTCTGCTTTTCTCAATATAAAAATGACACTCCTCTCATTCCCTGGGCCTTCATACTGGAAGACACTATTTGGTCATTTCAAATTCATCGTGGACTTCTGACATATTCTTCTAAGTTGCTCAAGTTTAAACTTTTAAAATTTAATTCAATAGTTAATAGTTTAAGAGTTTTTTTTAAAAGCCATTTTTGAGGTTGATACAGAAGGAAGTACAGGGCTGCACAGTTATTTGATATATTCAGGCCCACTCTAACAACCCATTCTAACTGTTCAGACAGAGGCAGATGTATTTTTTTCTCTCAGAATTCTTTCAGAATGACCTCATAATTGGGCTGCCCCTGTAGGCTCAGCATTGAAGAATAATGAGTTTTTGAACCGTGAGGAGGACATGTTTTGAAACAGAAGCAAATAGTGCAGATTATTTACAATGCTGTCATCAAGGGAATCTGTGCTAGAATGGCTTGAAATGCTCCTGGGACTGAAGCTGGGTATGGCCATTGCAAAGAGTCCAGAGTGGCAATGGCTGGCTTTTCCTAACTCTTCCTGATTCCATTTTTCCTTCACATCAGTAACACGCTAATTGTTGAACAGCAGAGAGGCCAGCCCAAGCTGATTAACAGTCTGGCTTAGTGACAATTTAGTTGAGTTCCATTTCTTCTAAATGATCCTTCAGTTGTTCAGGGAAAAAACAAAGACACAGGGTAAGGTATGTTTGTGTTACCTTATTGTAACGTACACATAGGGGCATTTCTGTAGCCAAACACAGGAAGTATTAAAACTTTAGTAACCTGGTACCTCCTAGACTCTTTTCACTCATATATTCCATGAAAAGACATGCAGATGCTTTCTGACATTTTTACTCAGTGTCTTGACTATTAAATTCACCTTGAGCATTGTGTGTAATCTTGGATCCACCAGAAAGCAAGTATTTACCTTGACCATAATTAGTATCAAAGAAGTGTTATTAATATTTCAGGACACAAATTTAGATTACCAGAATCTGAAGAATTAGAATCTGAAGGTTTAAAGGTCATCTGATCTAATCTCCCTCCCAGCCTTGAGTGTGCCTTCCAGGTCTTCCCTCCCACCAAGCTCCCACCAAGTGGGGAGATATATCCTCAGTTCAGCTAGAATCTCTCCGGTGATATGGAGATACGGAGATCACTGTTACATGAGACAGCCCATCCATCTTAAAATAGCTCAGAGAGGTAGAAAGCTTTTTTTTATTGAACTGAATTTTTTCTTTCTTTAGATTCAACCCACTGAGCCAATGGGAGTCTAGTGGTGTCTCCCAGAACATGTCTAATCTCTGTTACACATCATAGACCTATAAATATTTGAAGATGGTTTCCTTCCCCCTCTTTCCTTAGCTCTACTTTACTACTGTTTCCACTCCAACAGTCAGATTAACTATTCCAAGCTTTTGTGACTTTTGTCATATCAAGCCCCTGGCTACTTCTGTAACCTAATCTTCTACCTGCCTGTGCTTCAGCCACATGACCTCCTTCTGTTCCTCAAATATGAAGTGCATATTCTCTTATATTTTCTTTTTCCACTGATGGAAATATTCTTCCTTCACCTAGCAGCAAGGTTTATTTCCTTACTTCATTTTTCTCAAATATCAGCTCCTCAGAGAAACCTCTCTTGACCATTGTATCTAAATGACCTCCCCCATCTCCATCACTATCCCTTTATCCTGATATATTTTCTTCATAGTATACATCACTCCCTGAAAGATGATTATGTATCCATTTTTGAGTTTGTATATCTCTCCAGCTAAATATAAGTATCATGAGGACAGGGACATCTGTCTTGTTTAGCATATACTAGGTGCTCAGTAAACATTTGTTGAACAAATCATTAGGGTATGATTTTTAATTCCTTTACCATTCTGATGACTCTCTTGACTTTGTCCATATCTCTGTCAAAGTGCAGTGGCCAGAACTGAGAACAGAAACCTAGCTATGATCTAACCAAAGCAGAATAAACCAGCATAACCACATTATTTAATCAATGAGTATATCCCATGTAGCAGGCACCATGCTATGTCATGGATATATGACAGTGAAGAAACTCAACATGGTCCCTGCCTCCAGAGAACTCGTCTAATATCTTATAGAAATTACTCCAGTATGATGAAATCTTAAGATCACATTTGCTCTTTTGGAGGCTATATCATACATCACACTGGAGAATTTACAGTCAATTAAGACTTTAAGCTTCTTATGAGAATTTGGGGGCTCGATTCAAAATCATGTATTTATTCTAACTATTAAACTTCATTGAGTTAAATTTCATCCATCATTCTATTCAAATTATTTGGGGATCTCAGTTCAATCAGTCTTAACCCTAGTCTCCCCAGCTTGTGTCATATCTAAATTTAATAGGTGGACCGTCTACATATGCAAGTCATCTATAAAAGCATTCACTAGGACAAAGATAAAGACAGACCTCTGAGGCACACCACCAGAATATTTCTTTCACCTTAACACCCAAGTCACAATACTTACAAATGCCTTAATGCTGTTCAGATTTTCTGCCTACCATGTTTTCATATGTGCCAATCTGAAAACCCTGTTAAAGAAGGAGCTGAGGTTAGTCAGACATACCTTGTTCCTAGTGAACCCATGTTGGGTACCAAAGACTGTTTCTGGACCTGAGAAACCACTATAAATTCTGTTAGGTAAACAGAACTTTAGTTCTGTTTTAGTACTTTAGTACAAAATTTTAGTTCTGTTTTAGTACTTTAGTATTTCATTTGATATATTTATTTGATCTTAACATCAAGATGTTTGATTTGTTGTGTCCAGAATCTAACTTCTTGCCATTTTTGAAAATCAAAGTAAATATCCATTTCCTTGATTCTAGATCTTCTCCTATTTGCTCTGATTCCTCAAATTGTGCCATAATAGCATTCTTTCTCTCTCTTTTTTTTTTTTTTTATCTCTCCTTGTGTTCTTTTTTCTAAGGTTTCTTAGATGGGGACACAGTCACCTGGGTAATGAGCTTAAAACACATTTAGATAGCACCTATGTGTTCTCTTACACTCTCATCTCAATTTGAGGCTTCTGCTGCTTCTCACTAAGGTTTTCTCTAAACTTTTCCGTCTTAAGCTCATTGTCTTTTACAGAGAATACAACTAATTTGGAGTTCTAGGGTTCTGCTTTTCCTGTCTTTCATCAGCAATACCCCTCCAGCCCGAAGCAGCACATCTCTCCCCTGACTTCTTTGTTCTTGCTCAGAACAAAGCTAACAAAGCCTAATGCTTTTATCCGAGACATTGTCTCCTAATCTCAGCTCACTGGAGACTTTCACCTTTCTGAAATTATTTACATCAGCTGGTGATCCTCTTTGGGTTTGTCCTTAGTGTCATTTCCTACCACTCTCCTCACACTCTGGTTCAGCCACAAGCACCTCCTTGCTGTTCCTTAAAGATGCTAAGCCTATCCCCAAATCAGGGCATTTGCATTTGCTGAAATTTCGCCGTGTAATACTCTTTACCCAGATATTTGCAAGGTTTGCCCCTCACCTCATTCAGATCTCTGCCCATCATTGGAGAGGCTATCCTTGACACTGCAGCTGAAATGGCAAAAACATATACCCACCTCTGCTGGTCACTCTCTGCCCCTTACCCTGCTTCATTTTTCTTCTCTACTATTATCACTATCTGATATATTTATTTGGCTACTGTTTGTCCCCTCTCACAAGTTGCACAAAAACAAGGATCTTCATCTATTTTGTTTATTGCTACAACATATTAGTTGCTCAATAAATATACGTTAAAAATTAGTGATGCCTAGGTATTTCTCTTAGAATACTGTTCCATGAGACCTCCATATCATTTTTTCACCTTCAAGCTGACTTTGAAGACCCTAACAACAAATAATACTGCTGTGAGAATATTGATTGAAAAGTGGCTGTAAATACCACTTACCACCTAGAATTTCTATGAGCTAATCCAAGTGATGTGCAAAGCCAACTTGAAGGTCTAGTACAGAGTGGTACAAGTGGGATTGCAGTATTCACTGGAATTTAGTGAGACAAATCTAAAGACTGGAGGCAGAAGAGGCTGTCTTATCTAAAAGGAGCATATCTGCTAGGTGAAGTCATATGCCATATTAAATTGACATTCACTTAGATCTATAGGTGTTGACATAGAAAGAAGTCCATGATACTGTTACATTTAAAGGGCTGAAAATGGAACATGTGCAGTGTGTTTCCATTTATATGCAATTGAGTATATACACACAGGTATCTATAGGGATATATTAAAACATTAATATGGTTATCTCTAGATAGTGCATTTTATTTTAGATTTTAAAAAATTATTTTTGTTTCTGAGTTGTTTGATTTTCTATTAAAACAATGGTGTGGATTATTTACTCCCCTCTCCAAAAAATATGGAGTTTTTTTTAAAGGGTTCACAGGAACTGGAAAAAGTGGTTGCCTCTGGAGAGTAACTGGAGAACTAATAAAGAAGAAGGGGCACTCACTTTTCACATAACTTGCCATTACACTGGTTGATTTTATACCATGTGCTTGTATTTTTTTAAATATACATGTGATTAGAAAGCTTTGAATTTGAGAATGCATGTTATGTATATTATACGTGGGATGTTAAAGGTCACCTGACTGGAAAGCAGCTGAAAAGGTATTAAAATTGTGATGACAATTTCTGGAACCTAGAGAAAACAACTAGAGAGACTGTGAGTCTAGAATTAATTCTGACTAACTGGGGGAGTGGTTCAGAAAGTGGAAGTGATGAAAATGTAACAAGAGAATGAATGAAGAACCACAAAGTCTTTGACCACCAGAAAGGGTGATATGGTTTGGCTGTGTCCCCACCCAGATCTCATCTTGAATTGTAGTTCCCATAATCACCATGTGTTGTGGGAGGGACCGGGTAATTGAATCATGGAGGCAGTTACCCCCATGCTGCTGTTCTCATGATAGTGAGTGAGTTCTCATGAGATATGATGGTTTTATAAGGGGCTTTTCCCCCTTTTGCTCGGCACTTCTCCTTCCTGCTGCCACTTGAAGAAGGACCTGTTTGATTCCCCTTCCATCATGATTGTAAGTTTCCTGAGACCTCCCCAGCCATGTGGAACTGTGAGTCAATGAAACCTCTATCCTTTATAAATTACTCAGTCTCAGATAGTGCTTATAGCAGCCTGAGAACAGACTAAGACAAGGGGTATTTGTGAGGTCCAATGTCCAAGTTCATAGCATGACTCTACAAGAAAAGATAATTCAAGAGGGTTGGGAAGCTCTCTAAAATGCCACTCTGGCTACAACTACAAATTATCTAATAGAAGAAAATGTAGAGAGGCTCTTAAGGAAGCCAGATAATTTGTATAGGGAAGTCTCAGAAAACTCAGATTTTTAAACATTACTTTTTTAAATAAAAAGGGGCTTATTTTTTACTGGGCAGGAAAGACAGTAACCAAAGAATATGTTGTAGTATTATAATTGATAAAGAAGAAAACCAAGGCAGAGTAAGGGGGCAGAGACTGACCAACAGGAGTGCATGTTAGTGTGTGCTCTTTCTGCTATAGTGGTGAGCATGGCCTTTCTGATGAGGAGAAATTGGGAGGAGATCTGAATTAAATGAGAGAGCAAGGCCTGCACATATCTGGTAAAGAGCATTTCAGGTGAAGAGTTCAGAAAATTTAAAGGCACTGATGTGGGAATATGCTTGGTGTGTTTAAGGAACCACAAGGAAGTGAATGGAGCTAGATCAAAGTGCTGGGACAGTAGTAGGGATGATCTCAGAGGAGTAGAAGGGAGCCAGATCACACAGGGCCTTGTAGGCCATGACAAGAACTTTTAATTACATTCTGAGATGGGTTAGCATTGAAAGGTTCTGAGCAGAGGAGTGGTATGATCCGACAAGAATGGAAGGAAGGGGGAGCATTTTAGAGGCTACTCTATTAATATAGGCAAGAGATGTTAGTGGCTTGGACCGAAGTCCCAATGATAGGGCTGGGGGGACAGAGTTACTTTTCAGATATAAGTTGAAGACAGAGTCAATGTGATTTTTAATGGGGGTAGATATAAGATGCTAAAAAAAAAAAAAAAAGATAAAAGTCCAGGATAAGTCCAAGATATTTGGTCTGAGCAACTAGATAAACAGTGATTGTATTTATTGAGATCAGAACATTTGAAGGATGATCAAGTTTTGGGAGATGGGGATCTAGAATGGGTTTTAGACATACTTAAAGATATCTATTCAAGTGGAGATGTTGAGTTGAAGATACATTCATGAGTGTGAAATGTAGGGAGTGGTCTTTGCTAGAGATGTAAATTTAGGAGTTCTCAGCATATACATTTTTGTGTGTGTGTTTTTGAGACAGAGTCTTGCCCAGGTTGGAGCACAATGGCACGATCTCAGTTCACTGCAACCTCCACCTCCCAGTTTCAAGTGATTCTCCTGCCTCAGCCTTCTGAGTAGCTGGGATTATAGGCACCCACCACCAGGCCAGGCTAATTTTTGATCATGCACGTAATATTTAAAGCCAAGGGACTGGAGAAGCAAATGGACAGGGCTGCTAATTAGGCTTTTCTTAACATCGCCATCCCCCTTCCTTTTCCCTACTTGTACTATACCTGGCCACAGGGATAACTTATCGCTTGGACATATTTCATGTACCTTTTCAATGTGTTCTGCTCTACTCTTTTGACCTTCATATGACAAAAAACAAAGGGAATGTGGTCAGCATAGAGAGTAGGAATTGAACACAGGAAAAACAAGCAGCCACTTTCATGAGACGAATTCTGGGGTCCTGAGAAAAATCTATTACTCCCAATATGTGGTAGCTTCCTTAGCTGCTGGCAGAATCCTCTGATCATTCCTGCCCCACCCCGCTTTTTTTTTGAGATGGAGTTTTGCTCTTGTAGCCCAGGCTGAAGTGCAATGGCGTAGTCTTGGCTCACTGTAACCTCTGCCTCCTGGGTTCAAGTGATTCTCCTGCTTCAGCCTCCCGAGTAGCTAGGATTACAGGCATGCACTACCACACCTGGCTAATTTTGTGTTTTTAGTAGAGACGGGGTTTCACCATGTTGGTCAGCCTGGTCTTGAACTCTTGACCTCAGGTGATCCACCTGCCTTGGCCTCCCGAAGTGCTGGGATTAGAGGTATGAGTCCCTGCGCCTGGCTTTTTTTTTTTTTTTTTTTTTTTGAGACTGAGTCTCACTCTGCTGCACAGGCTGGAGTGCAGTGGTGTGATCTCTGCTCACTGCAACCTCTGCCTCCCGGATTCAAGCAATTCTCCTGCCTCAGCCTCCCGAGTAGCTGGAATTACAGGCACATGCCACCACTCCTGGCTAATTTGAGTAATTTTTTTTTTTTTGGTAGAGATGCGTTTTCACCATGTTGGCCAGGCTGATCTCAAACTCCTGACCTCAGGTGATCCGCTCGCCTCGGCCTCTCAAAGTGCTGGGCTTACAGGTGTGAGCCACCGCACTCGGCCTTCTGATCATTTCTTTATTAAGCTGGAAGTGGAGAACTTTTGTTGTTGTTGAACATTCATAACCTCTAGAGGGGAGATTTTGCAGGCCACTACACACACACACACACACACACACACACACACACACACACAAACACACACATACACACAACACTTTAAAGAAAATAAACTATTCAACTAATCTACTTTTAAATTGAGGAAACATTGACGGTTAACCACAGAAAGTATTAAAATTATGCTTCACTCCCATATAATGGCTGGTTTTAGAGGGGAGAGAGGGGAAAGAAGGAACAGGGACATCCCTGTTCCCCCGCCCCCGCCCCACCCCCCACTCCCCACAGACACAGCAGAAGAAAAGGTGAGGAAGTCATATTGTATTCCTATTTTATACAGTGTAGTGTGCTAGGCCTTGTACATTAATTAGGTCAATAATCCTCACAACAATTCTATCATTGGACCCAGTTTACAGATGAGGAAGTTAAGGCTCAAAGAGTTTAAGTTACTTGCCCAAATTATCATGCAAGTCGCAGAGCCAGTAATCCAGCCCGGGGTTCCTCTAGGCTTTAAAGCCCATATGCTGCCAAACAAGGTAGAGAGGTACAGGAGGTGAGAGTGTTCATCAGAGGCCACATCCTGGGGCTCTGGGATTCACAGTATTTATTACTTGTTACCCCCCTCTTTGAAATGCTAATTAGCTGTTGTTCCCTGCTTGTTAAGTGCTTTCATCCTTAAAGCTTGACAGGTTTTTTCCTTTTTTCTTTTTTTACTAAATGAGGCAACCATCATTTCCCACAAAGCTGCAAACTATTTTCTACCCTTAGGCCAAATAAGCAGAGTCATCCCAGGTTTAGGTAAAGCCCAGCCCAAGGACCTTATCTGACCCCCCATTCTCCCAATGGTAAAGGTTTGAATTCCCATTAAAATGCAGATGCCTCTAAAAGGAGTTAACACTAGCACTGTCAGGTCTCTGCAGTCCGAGGGTATATGAGTATATGACCTTTTCCAAGGGCAGGTTTGAATGGGGATGAAGTCATATTTGCAAAAGAACCCTGGACAGTGAGCTGGCCCCAGCCAGGAGAGCATATGTACACACCTCCCCCGTCTCCCCACACACCAGGTGGATTTAAGGCCGTTTAAGAGGAGGTGGCTTCAATTTAGCAATAAAAAGCCAGTATCATCGCTTACAAACTGTGTGACTATTTGGCTAGTGGTTAGGAATCAGGGAGTCAGGACAGGATCTGTGTCCTGAAGGGTAAAGCAGAACTGTTCATTCTAGGATTTGTTGGGCCTGAAGGAGCTTCTTTCTACCAATTAACCGCATTAAAGTGGAACTTGGGCTTCCAAGACAATGCAGGGGCCCCATCTATGTACAGCCAGAATAGTCTAAAGTCTTAATGGCATTTATTTTCCTCTCAAGTTGTTAGAATAAAACAGTGTGCCATATTTATCCCTTCTTCTGCCAAGAAAGCTCTCCTGATGTTCTCGGTTGAAATTAATTTTCCCCTCCCCATATTCCCATAGCCTTTTGCTTGCACTTCTATTCCAGCGTTTCCCAGTGTCATCCTTATTAGTGTTATTTATGTGCGCATCTGTCTCCTCTTCCAGATTATGAGCTCCTGGAGGGCAGAAACTGCAGTTTATTCATCTCTATCCCCCATGGGCTGCACACAGGGCCCCGCACATCGTAAGCACTCAATAACTGCTTGTTGAATTGAATTATTACTCTCTACCGCTGTTGTTGTGATTGGCATTCATTCATTTAGTCCATTTGCCCCTTAAAAATCTCCTGCCAAGACTCAAAAGTAAAGATGCACAAGTACAAAGAGACATGTTTTTAACAGTTGATGTTTTTTACTTGTTTCATTTAAAATGGACCCAAATGAAAAGAAATGTTTTCTTAGGTCTTGCCGGCTAGACAGAAAAGGTTATCAGCAGATTAAGAGGAGTGTTCTCAAACAGCATCAAGTGTCTTTCAGTGTGACCAATGGGTGAAGACCTTTGTGTGGCCGTAAAAGCTGGCTTAAAGGCTACTTGGATTCATTCTGACATATGTCATATTTTCAAGAGAGGTGTTGAAAGCAGAGTCAAACAAACAGCCAGTCAAAGTGCCGCTCAGCGCACTGGAATTGGCATTACATGAAAGCGTTAGTGAGCACCTCGGTGAACAAGGTTGCCCCCAGGTCTTCCCCGGGAGCTACTTGAAAAGTTGAGAAGTGTACTGGGGGTTCTCATCACATAGTCACATTCCCTCCATTCCACGCCATGTAGCTGGCCTCACGGACACTTTGTAGTGACTACATTCTAGCTGTCAGGTTGTGTTTGTCTTCAGTGCATTGATGCTATCAGTTGAAAACAGCACATCTTTATAGACGGACACATTTTAGGAAACTCCATGGCATATAAAGTACAGATTCCCCTTGCTGTTGCTGACATAATTGAACATGGAAAGAGAAGACCTACCATCTGCAGCACCAAAGGCAAGGAAGGGTTCAGGCAGGCAGGCAAGGTGTGAATGTTTACTGTGCACCTACTATGTTCCTGGTCCTGGGCTGGTGGTAACCACAACAGAGAGTATTAGTCCTTGTGGAACTTAGAGCTCTTGGGCTGGGGCAGGGAATTGGGGGGAGGTGGAGGTAGAGAAGGGACAGGGCAGAGACAGGCATTTAAAAAATAATTCTATAAATCATGAGCTACTTCCACATACAACAAGAACTCTTGACAGAGATACTAAGAGAGCAAGCAAAAGAAAAGTCAGACCTAATTTACAGGGTCAGGGAAGCTTCCTCTGAGGGAATGTGCTTTCAATAGAGACCTGAAGCATGAGTAGGAATTAACCAGGTGAAATACATACATGCATGTTGGAGGGGGTAGTGTTTAGGGAAATGGAACAGCATTTTCAACAGCACTGCAGTAGACAAGATCATTGCACACTGGAGGATTCGGAAGAAGGCCATATGCTTGCAGCATGGGAGGTGAAGTGAAGTGCTACAGGTGTAAGAGGTGAATTTGGAGAAGTCAGCTGGATTGTGTAGGGCTTCACATCTGGGTTTTTTTTTTTTAATCTTGAGGAGTTAGGGAGGAACAAAGAAATAGCTTTCAAATGCTATTCAGCAGGAATGGAAAAGGAAAAGGAATGGACTGCTGATACATGCTACAGCATGGATGAACCTCAAAAACATTATACAAAGTGAAGGAAACCAGTCACAAAATACCCAATATTGTTTGATTCCACTGATATGAAATGTCCAGAAATGGTAATGCACATTAGTGGTTGCCCGGGAGTGGGAATCAGGAATGGAAGAAAATGGGCATAAGATACATTTTGGGAGTGATTAATTCAATTATAAAATTGAATTATGGCAATGATTGTACAACTCTGTAAACTTATTTAAAAATCATTGAGGTATATACTTAAAAATAAATTAATTGAAAGTTAAGAAATCGGCTGGGTGCGGTGGCTCAAGCCTGTAATTCCAGAACTTTGGGAGGCCGAGGCGGGCGGATCATGAAGTCAGGAGATTGAGACCATCCTGGCTAACACGGTGAAACCCCGTCTCTACTAAAAATACAAAAAATTAGCCAGGCGTGGCGGTGGGTGCCTGTAGTCCCAGCTACTCGGGAGGCTGAGGCAGGAGAAAGGCGTGAACCCGGGAGGCGGAGCTTGCAGTGAGCCGAGATCATGCCACTGCACTCCAGCCTGGGTGACAGAGCGAGACTCCATCTCAAAAAAAAAAAAAAGTTAAAAAATAAGAAATGAGCTTTCTGCTCTCCCGTGGAAGGAATGTGAGACGTGTCAGATAAGGAGAAGAACCTTCTTCCCATGCAGCCTAAACCACCCCAAGGGCTGTGAAGGTCTCAGACCCTACTCTTAGTCTCTATGGGCAAAGAAGGCTAGGAGGAAATCTGTTGATTTCCTTGGCGCCTTTAGCTCCATGTGGAGAGTGGGCACAAGCAGACCATATCTTCAGAACTATGAATTGGGCACAAAATAGGAGTGGTTAGTTACCCAAAAGATAGCTGTCATTTTTGTAGATAGGAAAACAGAAGTGTCCATGATCAGCCATTAGAAGAGAGTAATTAGAGCTCAGTGAACACCTCTGCTTTCCAGAAGGTACACTCTCACATTGGTTCCTGGCCAGAGAGCCAAAGGAAGCTGGGCCATGATAAGAATTACAAGCTAACTGCCCATCCAGGTGTTAGGGGGACAATGCCATCACTTATGAGCCTCTATGGTCCCTTGGCCTCTTCTGAGGGCAGCCTCCATCTATTAAATTTCAACAGTTTTCATAATAGTCACCTAATTAGGGGATTGAGAGTGAAATCAGGGGGAAATCTATGCCTCATTCACTGGAAAGCAGTGACTTTCCTGTACTGTGGATGAGAGACAAAAGATCATAACTGATTTTCTGCCCTTCCCAAGGGAACAGTTTGTAATAGTCTAAAGCAATCAAGCAGAAAAATGAATTGGCTTTCCCACTCTGCAGTCCTAGGGGAAAGTATTATAAAAGGTCACCAAATTGCTATATTTGTGTAATTAAATCCAACACTTTGATCAATTTGATGAGGACAGCATTCTCTGTTGCCTTTGAGATCTGTAAACCAACTCTCTCTTCTCTGGCTTTGCTGACTTTCTAGCTGATGTTCATAAGTAACATCAAAGGCTTGCTTTTGATGAGAGCCCATATCTTGCTTTCATACCAACAGAATTGTCCATGGAAATAATAAAATGACAAGACTAAAATTGAAGGAAGTGATAGGAATACAGAGGGAATGGCTTCAAATGAATGAGTTTCTGAATTATAGGCACTCTAAAACAAGTCTGCTACTTGGGGAATATTTCCCATGTGCCGTTTGATGAAATCAATGTTCATTTGAAGAAATAGACCTTCTGCTCCTCTAAGTTCTCTTTGCTGTTAAGTTAGCAATGAATGCAACCAAAAAGGGTATGACTGGACAAGACCAGACAAGACCACCATCTGTTCCCAATGGAAGGTTGCACAAACAGTCTCTGTTCTGCCACTGAGATGCTCTCTGTGTAACTTTGACTTAACTGACTTAACTTCTAGGAGCTGTGCTCCCTCTTCCCCCAGCCCACATTCTGTTTAGAACATAACTAACTGCACCTTTTGTATTTCTTGGTCTCTCCTTCTGGTCTTCCTTCTGACCATCAGGAGGATGCCAAAGAAAGAGCGCTCATCACACTTGCAGTGAATACCAAAAGTTAAGAGTCAGAACTTGGCAGAAGATGAACCACTTACTGGTATGATGACCTTGGGCAAGTTACTAAAACCGTACACCTTCGTTTCTTCATTTCCAAAATTAGGATAATAGAAACAACCTCACAGGATTGTTGTGAGATTAAAAGTAGTTTGAAACCTGTAAAGTACTGAAAACATTGCCTATATCACAGTAATTGTACATTCTTCATTAAAGCAACCACTGGATTGAATACCTAGTATGTGTAGAAAGTGCTGTGGGGCATATGGTACATTACGTGAAGATTATACGAGTGTGTGAAAGGCAACATAGTATAGTGGAAAGAACATGAACTTGGACTCAGAAATCTGGTTTAAATCACCACTCTGACTCTTGCTCTGTGACCTCAAGCAGATAACCCAAACTCTCTGATTCTGTCTCCCCATCTGTAGCATGGGGTCGATGACAACTTACATGGTTCTGCTGATAATTAAATAACATAATGCACATGAGAGGTTCACAAATCTACAGGGGGAGCACCTACAGCCTAGTACATGAGGGATGAATAAATATAAGACTGATTTTTCTTAGGCATGAACTATGAACCTCTCACCAAATGCACCTTCATAGCCAGGAAAAAGACAATTTCAAAGCTGTCTGTGTTTGCAACCATTATGTTACTCTGTTTTACTTTTAAATTTTCCTGCTCCCTTATTTATAGATGGAGACACTGAGGCATAGGAATACTGTTGAAAAGAAATGGCAGGCAAGGATTTGAAACTATCAATTCCCATCCTCTCTAATCTTGCCTCTTTGTTCCAAATAAACTGAAATTAAAAGTGAATTATTATCACTTAATTCACAAAAATGCCATAGTATGTATTTTCTCTCCCTACAGTGTATCTGAAATAGTAGACTTTATTCAATTATTTTTTTATTTTTATGTTTATCTTCTGTCTACTTGTAGTTTATTGGAAGCTTTTGGGAGTGCCCCAGTTTCTCCCTTTCATGAAGGGCTTGGATAATGAGACTTGGATAATGAAGGTGCCTGCCAGCTCTGATATTATGCATTTATAGGAATGTCTCGAAATTTCAAGAATGCATGCAATGGTGTTTCCTTAGTAAATGTCCTTGTAAAAGAAGGTTATGTCCACCTTTCTTTGTATAATCCCATCGGATACTTTGGGAGATCACTAGGAATAATTAACGTGTTCTGGATGACGCGTGCTTAGCTAATTGGGCTGAAAGCCAGGGTTGGTTAGCAAGTTGGCTGAGTGCCAAGTAGCAGGTGTCTGCATAGAGTCAGCACTGATTCTTTATTCAAAGAAGGGAGGAAGACCTATGCATGTTTTGTTTTTGAGAAAGTTTGTCTAGATTTTGCCTCACTCCCACACTCATTTAAAAATGGTGAGATGAAAAAAGTTTATTAGCACTAAAACAAAGATTTCTTTTACTATAGTTTTGTTTCTTTTCACCATTTTCAGTCTGGATTTTAAGAGGTCACTACATGTTCCTACCGGTCTTTAATTACCTTGTATTTTGATTGGAGGCACACAACCAAGATTATTTTATGAAGTTTTGCTTCGAGGCAAGTTGGATTGGGGCTCTTTGCACAGAGATGACTTTTCCTAATCTACTCCCAATTGTTTAATGTTTTGCATTTCCAAGTTAGTCTATCATTTTTACCTTTGGGTTAATTTGTAGTATAGTTCTTCAAGCAACACATTTAAATTATTCACTTCCCTCCTTCCAAGTATAAAATTTCTATTCATCAGAAACCTTCCAAGGAAAAGTTAAGAACATTCAGTGATGGGCACATGGGTATTTAAGCAGGATTTCTGGATCTTGTAAGTGGGGAACAACATTCCCTACATACCACTGATAAATAAGCATCTCGGAATATGCATTCGAATCACTGCCCTCAGGGGTCATTTGGATAAACACATGCTTGAGTTTATAGAGGTAGGGTTTCCCTTGGCCTGAAAAAAAACTGGGCTAGAGAAACTTTTCCATGAATTTTAGGAATTTTGCTGCAAATAATAGAATCCCACTTGAGCTAGCATTATAAAGATTCTAGAAGTCTCGCAGAACTCTAGGGTAGGAAGTGAAAACCCACCAGGAAGCAAGGCAGCCATTGTCTCTCTTTTTCTCTCTGGTCTCTCACCTCTGTATCTTCCAGCAGCATGTCTTCTTCAATCTCTACTTGCAGAAGGGTTTTCTCAACATTCTCTCTTCGTCTATTGAAAATGTCCCCCAGTGTTTAGAAGTCCCTGGGCTATTTTGTGAAAAGAAATGTTGTAATTTTAGAAAGGCTATTGGTGGCATTGATTGCTTTCCTAGCAAGAAAACAAAGGGAGAGTAGTGGATGATCTCTTCCCGCTCTTCTAACTCTGACTTCTTATGATCCTGTAGGGATCTGAATGTATCTTAGAAAATAGTCTAGCTATTAAGTACCATTTTTCTTCAAGTATACAATTGTATCAATTTGTTAGACATCTCAGATCACATTGGGCAGTAGTTGTGAATGAAACCACTCCTCTGTCAGCAGGATAGAAAATTTGTGGTACATGGGAAGCACCACAGCTCTCTCTCCCCCAGCACCTGACAGACACCCATGGCCATGGCTTTCTTCCCTGATGCTCCCAGAGCTGGCCTCAAAATCCTTCTCAGAACCAACTGGATAAACAAAATGTGGTCCATCCATACAACAAAATATTATTCAGAAATAATAAGGAATGAAGTATTGTTACATGATACAACATGGATGAAATTTGCAAACATGATGCTAAGTAAAAGAAACAGGCAGAAAAGACCACATATTATATGATTCCATCTATGTAAAATGTCCAAAATGGGAAAATCCGTAGAGGCAGAAAGGGCTCTGGTGGTTGCCAGGAGCTAGGGGGAGGGGATAATTGGGGAGGGACTGCTTAATGCATATGAGATTTCTTTTTGGGGGTGATGAAAATGTCTTGGAATTACATTGCAGTGATAGGTTGCATAATCCTGTGAATATATGAAAGCCATTCAAGTGTATACTTTAAAAGGGTGAATTTTATGGTATGTGAATTTTACCTCAATTAAAAAAGAATCCTTCTTAGCACAGCACTCCAGGGAACCACCACTAGTGGAATTAGCATGTGTCATAAAATCTCAAGTTTTGCTATTTAGGTTTTTGAGTCCACCTGTGCATGAGCTGAGATCCCTTCCAGCTATGCACTACACAATTACAGACCTTTGGGTTTTTTCTTCTACTGGCATGTTATACCATTTCCCCTCTCTATTTATTCTCTATGCCTCCAGCACCAGTGGAACATTCTCTGTGAAGCCTTTTTTCCTTACTCTCTCCACCTCTACCTTCACCCCAGAACAACTAAATTCCCTATTCTCTGCACACCAACAGCACTTTGTGTATCACTCTAGCCCAGTCCATATCACACTGTATTGTAATTGTGTACTTATTGCTCAGAATTTCCTTCTCGATGGCCTTCCTCATCTTTGTACCTGCAACCCCTCCACAGAGCCTGGTCCAGAGCAGTCTCCCTCAGAAAATAAATAAATAAATAAAATATGGTCTCAGACCTCAGGATAACTACAGATTATTAGGAGACAGATATTCAATTAAAAAGCATGTGCCCAAAATTAGACACTTGGATATGTGGGCCCTGGAGAAGAAAATGATTGAAGAGGCATCCCGGAGAAAGTGACATTTGAGCCTAGCTTTCACATAAGTGAATAAGATTTCTCCAGATGGAAAGACTATGTGTGGTGCTGGAGTATGAGGAGGTGACTTCTAACATTCTAGGTAGAGGAAATAACAGCTGCTGGGACAAGCATGCCAAAGTGCATGGCACATCCTACGGCTCTAAAAATAGGCTGCTTATGACTGGCAGCCGAAGAGAGAGGTTGGGGTCAGGGCATGAAAAGCTTTCGTTACCATATGCAAAGGTTTAGACCTCTTTCTCTGGGCAGTCAGGAGTCATCAGAGTTTTTTTGTTTGTTTTTTTCTTTTTTTTTTTTTTAAGAGGTGACATAATCAGATGTAAATTTTAACATGAGTAAGAGAGGACCTAAGGGACCTAAGAGGAGGCCAAGTTGGTCACTATTTCAGTAGTCCAAGCAAAAAATAATGAAAATTAAAAGTAGGGCAAGCTGCTATGATGTAAACTGCCTATTGCAGGTGGCCTCCAGGAGTTGAGGGCCTTAGCCTTGTAGTCACAAGGAACTAAATTCTGCCAACATCCCCAAAGCTGCGAAGAGAACCCCAAGCTCCAGATGAGAATGCAGTTGCCAACACTTAGATTGCAACCTTGTGAGATTCTAAAAAGAGAACCCAGGAATTCCATGTTAGACTTTTAACCTACAGCACTGTAAGCTAATAAATGTCTTTTCTAAACCAGTAAGTCATGGCAATTTGTTACACATTATAGAAAAACTAATACAGGACCATTCACCATTCATGATTAAATTTACCATTTGCCATTCATCGTAAAGTATTTCAGCAAATTAGGAATAGAAGGAAACTTTCTAAAGTTGATAAAGCCTTCTACGTAAAAACTTACAGTGAATATACTTTTTACTGGTGAAATATTTAATGTTACCTCCTTAACAATGGGGAAAAAGCAAGAATATCAGTTATCATCACTTCCAATTCATATTGCACCTGCAGTTCTAACCAGTACAATAAGGCAAATAAATAAATAAATAAATAAAAGACACACAAATTGGAAATGAAGAAATAAAATGGTCTTTATTTGCAAATGGCATGGGTGTGAGTAGAGGAAATCATAAGAAGTGCACAAAATAGCCATGGGAACAAATAAGTAAATTCAATTAGGTTGTAGACTGCATGATCAATATGCAAAAATCTCTTGTTTTTGTATACGCTAGCAACAATTTGCAACTTTTCTAAAGTGATGCCACTCACTATAGCACGAAAATCATAAAATTGTCCCAAAAATTTTACCAAAGAATAACTGAATACAAACTACATAATATTACAGGGAGAAAAATTTTAAAACCTGAATAAGTGGAAGCCCTTATAAAAGAGGCCTGAGAGAGACTCCTCACCCTTCTGCCATGGGAGGACACAGCAAGAAGGCACTGTCTATGAACCAGAAAGTGGGCCTTCACTAGACACCAAATCTGCTGATGCCTTGATCTTGGACATCCCAAGTTTCAGAATTAACCACATCAGAAACCTATGTCCTGAGACAGTGACATCAGCAAGATGGCAGAGTAGGAGATACTAGACTTTGTTCCCCAACAAAAAAAACAATTATACAGATATCCATAAACATAGATAGATCAGAGAGGGCTCAATAGTTCAACCAAGAACCTGAAGAAACACAGTGGAGTAAAATATGGAGAAAAACCACACGAAAATAATAACTGAAATGGCATACTTGAGACATCTGGAGACAAAGAAAGGTTGAGCCATCAGTATCAGTCATGCAGAAGGTGCCAACATGATCCTCCGTGGCCTGTCCTGCAGAGAACCCCGGCAGCCTTTGCTGATGAGGAACTTAGCAGCCCTTGTGGTAGTCATGGACTCCCTGCAGCTTTCACAGTGGAGGTCCCCTTAGTGGTGGTTAGCATGGATCCCATCGGCTGCCCCACAGAGGATACTGGCAGCTTTTACCACTGAGCTATCCAACAATCATGGTCACTGCGGACTCCCCAGAGACAGAGACGCTACTGCACCCTGCCTGAAGAAGGAGCTGCTGTTGTGCCACCCAGGACCAGGGTGACCCCTTGCCCACAACAACCCCAGCTCCTCACCCAAGGCATATTCCAGGACCCAGGAACCACAGATGTCCTGGGTATATATCCAAAAGAAATAAAATGACGGCCGGGCGCGGTGGCTCACGCCTGTAATCCCAGCACTTTGGGAGGCTGAGGCAGGCGGATCACGAGGTCAGGAGTTCGAGACCAGTCTGGCCAACATAGTGAAACCCCGTCTCTACTAAAAATACAAATACTGCGTGGTGGCGCATGCCTGTAATTCCAGCTACTAGGGAGGCTGAGGCAAGGAGAATTGCTTGAACCTGGGAGGTGGAGGTTGCAGTGAGCCGAGATCGCGCCACTGCATTCCAGCCAAGGCGACAGTGTGAGACTCCATTTCAAAATAAATAAATAAATAAATAAACAAAAAATAAAATCATTATCTCAAAGAGATATTTGCACTGCCGTGTTCATTAGAGTATTATTCTACTATGAATAATATACCTTGGTTACTATACCAAGATATTGAAACAACCTAAGTGTCTGTTGACAGATGAATAAAGAAAATGTTTTTATACATATATATATAATACACACACACATATATGTATATGAATATTATTCAGCCTTAAAGGAAATCCTGCCATTTGCAACAACATGAATGAGCCTGGAGGACATTAGGCTAAGTGAAATAGCCTGATGCAGAAGGACAGACAGCATGATCTCACTTATATGTGAAATCTGAAAAAAAAAAAAAAAAAGTCAAACTCAGAGAGACACAAAATAGAATGGTGTTTACCAGGGTCTGTGAGGTGGGAAAAAGGGGGAAATGTTGGTCAAAGATTACAAACTTTCAATTATAAAATGAAGAATTTCTGGAGACATAATGTACAGCAAGGTGACTATAGTTAATAGTAATGTAGCCTGAGCAACATGGTGAGACCACACCTCTACAAAAAAAATTAAAAATAGCCAGGCATTGTGGCACATGCCTGTAGTCCCAGATACTTGAGAGGTTAGGCAGCAGGATGGCTTGAGCGGAGGAGTTCAAGATTACAGTGGGCCATGATCACACCACTACCGTCCAACCTATTTTAGAGACCCTGTCTCTAATAATAATAATGCGTAATCATTAATAATAATACTTGAAATTTGCTAGGAGAATAGATTTCAAATGTTCTCACTATACAAAATAAAAAGCTAACTAGATTAAGTGATATATATGTTAATGAGCTTGATTGTGGTCATCATTTCACAGTGAATACATATATCAAAGCATCACATTGTAAATCTTCAATACATACAATTTACATTTGTCAATCATACCTCAATAAAGTTCAAAAAATCTAAATAAATGAAAAGATATACCATATTTATGAATCGGAATACTATACTGTTAAGGTATTATTTATTTACAAATTGATTGACAGACTCAATGCAATTCCATTTAAAAACACTACAGTTATTTCTTTGTGGAAGTTGACAAGATGATTCTAAAATTTATTATAAATGCAAAAGAATCTAGACAAGAACAACCTTTTATGAAAGAAGAACAATTTTGGGAGACTTACACTACCCAATTTTAAGACCTATTACCCCTCACTAAGAATGATTGACCCCTCACTAAGGATAGACTAACAACTAATGGGAGAAAACAGTACAGAAACAGATCCATACACATATGGTCAATTGAGGACTCCATTGCAATTCAGTGAGGACAGAAAAAACTTTTATGCAAATGGTGCTGGAATGGCTGGATAAATGTATGGAAGGAAATGTACACTGACTCCTACCTTACAGCATACACAAATATTAATGAGATTAATCATAGACTGAAAAGTATAAACTAAAACTATAAAGATTTTGGAAGAAAACATGGTATGGTATCTTTAGGACTTTGGGGTAGACAAGGATTTTTAGGAGATGGCAGAAAAATAACCATAAAAGAAAATTTGATAAATTGGACTTCATCAAAAAATGCTGTTCTTTTAAATATATGGTTAAGAAGATGAAAAAGCAAACCATACACCGGGAAAAATATTCACAATACATATATCTGAAAAGGGACTCTTATCAAGAATATGTAAAGATTTCCCACAAATTGATCATAAAGATTTAAAAAACCAATAAAAAATAAGCAGTCTTGAACAGTGACTTCACAAAAAAAGATAAAGGGAACAATAAGCACATACAAAATACCGTGTTCAACATTGTTAGTCAGGCCAGGCCCAGTGGCTCACGCCTGTAATCTCAGCACTTTGGGAGGCCGAGGTGGGTGGATCATGAGGTCAGGAGTTCAAGACCAGCCTGGCCAACATGGTGATACCCTGTCTCTACTAAAAATACAAAAATTAGCCGAGTGTGGTGGCATGCACCTGTAGTCCCAGCTACTCAGGAAGTTGATGCAGAAGAATCGCTTTAACCCGGGAGGCAGAGTTAGCTGAGATCGTACCATCGCACTTCAGCCTGGGTGACAGAGCAAGACTCCATCTCAAAAAAAAAAAAAAAGCACTCCAGCCTGAGTGACAGAGTGAGACTCCATCTCAACAAACAAAAAAAATGAACAAAACAAAACAAAACAAAAACATTATTAGTCATCTGGCAACTTGATTATTCTGAATGTTTGTACAGCTATTTGTTCCCGATGATGGCAGTATTCTTGGTGTCCCATAGAGAGAATATGGTAGGCAGCCAGTGTGGGTCTTGTAGCCAGCCTCGGGTTACACAGCACTGACTGGCCCCTTACAGCATAAGGCAGGCTAGACTTTTGCCAGTCTGTCATGAGGTTGCATTTGGAACATTATAGACAGGTTCCAACCTCCATCATCTCTTAACTCGATTACTACAATATCACTGGTCTCTTGCTTCTCTATATAATATATTTTCAATACTGTTGCCAAAAGGATCTTCCTAAAATCTGTCAGATCATGCCATCTCTCTGCTCCAAGCCCCTAATCATGCCTATCCTATTAAAGCACAGAGCCTATATGTAAGTGGCCTATGAAGTCCCACATGGTCTGTACCATTCCACCTCTCTGACTTCATATCCTATTTCTCTTCTTCGTGATTACTTAAATCCAGCCACCCTGGCCTTCATATTGTGTCTCAAATATGTCAGTTACACTCATGTCTCTGGGCCTTTGAATCTTCTCTCCCTTCTGTCTGAAATTTTCTTTCATCAAATAACCCTATGACTTAATCCTTCTCTTCCTTCAGGCCTTTCTGCTCAAATGTTACCTTCTCAGTGAGGTCTTACCTAACCACAGAAATGAAAATTACAACTCCTTTTCCTTTGTTAGAATGCCTTAGCACTCCCTCTCATTTTATATTTTCTCTGTAGCACTTATCACCTTATCATCAATGTACTTATTGCTTTGCCCTCTCCCCCACAACTAAAACAGGAGATCTGAGAGGAAAGCAGAGACTCTCTGGATCAGTGCTTACTGTATCCCAGTACTAATACGATGCTGGTACATAATGAACATTCAACAGATATATATTTAGTGAATGAATGGATAAATATATAAATAAATTAATTGAACAAACATTTTCAGGGTGCCTATTACTCATCTGGTGCTGAGCTAGGCACTAATTACAAGAGGTGTAGGGTAGGTAGATTTCTCCCCAGCAAACAAGGGATGGTGAAGTGATAGGGATGTTGAAGAAACCTAGGGTAAGAAGCAACCTTAGATGTTCTTATCTCTGGGCTAGGCTGGGCTAGTCAAGAAGACCCACTATCTGCAGCCTTTAATTGTACGTGCTCTCTTCTGATGATCCTCTCTGGACAGATACTCCTCATGTGTTTTCTTGTAAAAAGGGTCGGAGAACTTCAATCCACTGGCATTTCTCCAGGAGTTCTGCCTTTCAACATCCTGCATCAAGAGCATAAAAATGAGAAATAAGTTCAATATTAAATAAGGGGTAATGTTTTTAAACAGAAATAAAGCATTATAGGTTTTTTTTAAACTAAATTTGCATGGAAATGACTAAAAACCATTGCTACAAAATTGAGGCTACTACTGATGCCATGTAGTC
Source organism: Homo sapiens (assembly GCF_000001405.40). NCBI lineage: Eukaryota > Metazoa > Chordata > Mammalia > Primates > Hominidae > Homo > Homo sapiens. The sequence continues at coordinate 140,368,980 of NC_000023.11, forward strand.
CACAAAGCAGTAGTGACTCCCTGCAATGGCAAGTCACTACGGACTCAATGCCTGAGGCCACAGGTTGGCACAAATTACGTATTAAGTTCAATAATAAAATTATAAACTGCATTAATAACAATAAGATACGAACACCAGCCTTCCTTCAGTATGTGCAAAATCGAAATGGGCTATTTACTGGCGTATGCATTGAAATGTGTAGCCAGAAGAAGATACCGTTATCAAGAAGTTCTGTGAGAGCTCAGAAGTATGACTTGATGAATTGCAAATGTCACAGCTGAATATTAAGACTGGAGCTTTTTAGGGCATCACACTGTGCCTGGAACCTTGTAGATGTTCTAGCAATTGACTAGGATTTAACAGGGACAGGTTTGCAAATGGCCCCATGATGCCAAGTCTCAATGCCAGAGGTGTTATTCAATGAGAGATTGCAAAGGACTCCAGGACTTATTTATTCTCTCTACATTTATTCAATCTAAAATTAGTTATTGAAGGTCTCTATATGTTAGGCAGTGTTTCAGGCATTGGTGAATACAGTAACAAACAAGACATAAATATCTCTTTCCTCAGGGAGCTTGCATTCCGGTGGTGGGAGACAAACAATAAACATATAAGTCAAATATATAGTACAGTAGATGGTGATGCATGCTATGGAAAAAAATAAAACAGGGAAGGGAGACAGTTAGGATGATAATAGGAAACCTTATAGACCAAATGACATTTAAGCAGAGATCTGTAAAGGGGTTATAGAATAAGTTACATTGTATTTGGGAGGAAAGTATTCCAGGTAAGAGAAACAAATGCAAAGGTCCTGAGCAGGAATTTGTCTAGTGTTTTTGAGAACCAACAACAAGCCAATGTGGCTGAAGCACAGTGAGTTCAGTGGAGAATTTTCTGAAAGAAAGTCAAGATGCCAAATCTGTGGGGCCATGTAGGATTTTAGTTTTTGCTCTGGATGAGAGTAGAAGCCATTGAAGGGGTTTGAACAGTACAGTAACATAATTTGTCTTATATTTTCATAGGACCACTCTGGCTATTGAAAAGAGAATAGTTTGGGATGGTGGCAAGATGAGAAGTTGGGAGAGCATTTGAGAAGCTATCATGACAATCCAGATGAAAGATAATGGGCAACATACACCAAAAAGTTGGTAGCAAGTGGAGGTTGAATAGGTTCATGGCAGTGAAGGTGATGAAAAGTAGGCATATTCTGGGTATGCTTTGAAGAGAGAAACCAAGAGAATTTACTGATGGAATGAATGTGGAATGTGTTGGAAAGAAAGGAGTCAAAGAGGACTCCAAGGATTTGTTGGACAAGATAACTGGAAGGATGGAGTTGTCATTACGAAAAATGGAGAAAACAATAGAAAATTAGGTTGGGGGTGGTGGTAATAAGAGGTGAGGCTTGGGACTAGTAAAGTCAGTCAGGTAGTCAGATATGGGAGTCTGGAGGTCGCACGGAGATCATGGCCTAAACTATAAAGGTGATAGCTATCTGATTAAATTTTTATAGCCATGGGACTGGAGGAGTTTACCTGAGGAGTAAGTGGAGGTGGAGAAGTAAAGTACATGGCTAGAGATTTAGATTGCTCAAATGTTAAATGAATTGAAGAACACATTGAAGTGGGGTTTGTGAATTTCTTTTACTAAAAGGAACACAAAATACTTGCTATGGTCTGAATGTTAATAACCCTCCAAAATTCATAAATTGAAACTTAACCCCCAATGTGATGGTATGAGGAAGTGGGGCTTTTGGGGGTGATTAGGTCATGAGAAATCTGATTTCCAACTTTTTACTAATTATTCATAGAACAACCAGGCCATCTCTAATTTTCTATCGAACAGATTGTTCAGCCTGGACCAGTATCTGAACCTAATCTAATCCCTCTGTACCCTAATAGCTCTCAATCTTGGTATCTAAAGAGTATCAAAGCAGTGGTCTTTTGAGCCACACATTCTAACCTCTTACCTAAGTTTAAGTGCACAATTGATGAACCATGTACTCGATATCATCCTGAAATGGAAATAAATCAAGTTTTGACAAGTTGTTAAAAGCAAAATCGCATATTTATGTTGTGCCCCTTGGTTATGAGACTGCAATAATCAACAGTCAGATGTCTTTTCAGGATTTGGTAATATAAGTTGGGTTACTTCACTCTCCTCTGTTTAGTATCCCAGGCCTCTTAAGGCATTCATTCTGTGAGCCTACTGAACACCCATAGTGAATGCTAAACTAGGCTCTGAAGGACCATAAGACCTGTGATATGGTTTGGCTCTGTGTCCCCATCGAAATCTCATCTTGTAGCTCCCATAATTCCCGCGTGTTGTGGGAGGGACCTGTTGGGAGATGACTGAATTATGGGGGTGGGTCTTTCTTGTGCTGTTCTTGTGATAGTGAATGGGTCTCAGGAGATCTGCTGGTTTGAAAAACAGGTGTTTCGCTGCACAAGCTCTTCTCTCTCATTGCCTGCTGCCATCCATGTAAGACGTGACTTGCTCTTCCTTGCCTCCCACCGTGATAGTGAGGCCTCCCCAGCCACATGGAGCTGTAAGTCTATTAAAAAGGGTCCATTAAAACCCGCTTTTTCTTCCCAGATTCGGGTATATCTTTATCAGCACATGAAGATGGACTAATGCAACCTGCCCTGTGGAAAAATACAATAAAGTTGAGGAGATGAAACATGAAGTGCTGTGAGAGAAGAAGCAACATAGCATATATAAAGACCTAATGTGACTAGGGAGCACTAGAGGAACAGAAGTAAGAATGGCTTCTCAGAGAAGCAAGTGAGGCTTAAGGGAACATGGAGGAATATTAGGATTTAAATAGGAGGAATAATGAAGGGAACAAATTTTTGGCAGAGTGAACAGCAAAATCAAGGGCTTGAATATGGAAGTTAGAAGAATTGCATGAGATATTATTGCATGTAAAGCTACTAGTTGAGTATTTGACACAGTGCAGATGCAAAGTAAGAGCAAAATACATTTTATCAATCATGCTAAGTGACAGCAGGGCTCCAAAGGGAAGTGGAAGGCAGCATCAATTCATAAATGTAAGCTTAAGGAGAGAAAGAAGCCATACCTTTACAGGGAGGCAATATGGTGTGATGGTTAAGGGTACAAGCTTTAGAGTCAGACAGAGCTGAGTTTCAAGGCTTGCTCCTAGGATTTACTAGATCTGTGGACTTGGTTGAGTTAGTTAGGGTCTCAATTTTCTCATATAAAATGGGGAAAATAACTGAACCCCTCTCAGAGTGGTTGTATGAATTAAATGAACTCATCCATGTGAAGAGCTTCATATGGTACCTCGCAAATAATAAACACACAAAGATTGCGATTCTAGATCAGGGGTATGCAAACTTTACCTTGGAAAGGTCCAGATAGTAAATAATTCGACATATGATCTGTCACAACTGCTTAACTTTACCATTGCAGCATGAAAACAACCATGAAAAATATGTAAATGAATGGGCATGGCTGTTTTCCAATAAAACTTTATTCACAGAAACAAGTGACAGATGCCACTATTTAATCAAAATATATAATGCAAACTACATATAAAATTGTAGATTTTCTGGTAGATAATTTAAAAATAAGTAAAAAGAAACAGATGAAATTAATTTTAATGGTGTATTTAACCCAATGTACCCCAATTACTATCATCTAATATGTAATCAATAGAAAAAATTATTAGTGATAGTTTTCCTTCTTTATATAGAGTATTTAAATCCAATATTATTTTATACTTAAAGCACATCTCAATTTAGACTAGCCCCATTTCAAGAGCTCAAGAGTGACATATGGCCGGTGGCCACCATATTGGGCAGCATAGTTCTCAATATTGAACTAGGTTATCTAAGGAATTCTTTTCACTTCTAGTACTCTATTAATTTAAGCCTCAAAGAAAATAAATTATAGTTTGGGGTGTCATAAGTTCAAAATATTTAAAAGTGCTTGACACAATATCAATAAGACAAGAAGTAAGGTTTTGCATACCTCAGGGACCACAAATATAGCCCAATTTCCCATGCCCCTCTGACTTCTACTCCAAACTACATTCAGGATTGATTGATCACAATACTTTTTTTTTTAAGCTGATTCTAGTCCCAACCTCTGAATCCTTGATACAGAATTTCACACATCCACTACCAACGAATCCATGCAAGTAAGCAAAATGCTTTCTATGGGCACTTTCTCAAAGGCAAAAATATGAGCTTGGGAGTGAAAAGATTTGGGGTCAAGTTCTAGCTCTGGTATTCACTGACTCTATAATCTGTGAAAAATCACTAGCCCATTTTGGGCATCAGTTTCCTTACCTGTCAAACATACATTAATAAAAATCCTTCCCCAAACTGACAGCATATTATGAGACACTACATTGAAAAGTGATATGTAGTTATAGAAGATTGTACATACGTGACATTCCCCACTCTGGAATTTCAACCTACACCTGTAACTAGTAGACATGGTGGTGCTTTTAAGAGATCAGCTAGATAAAACATTAAAGCCACTTATGCAGGGGAAATTGACATTGTATGGGGTTGAGGGATCTATGGAAACCACAGAAATAGTGGAGAGTGAGTGAGAAAACCCCCAGTAATTTAAAGGAGGTCACAGCAAAAGCGCAGTTTACCAGGAGGAAGTACCTCAGCCATCTTCAATACCTAGTAAAGTGGGAGCCTGAGACCCTTCTTAAAGGCCCAAGAAAGTGAGTGCAGCATCTTGACATGTGGAAACCAGCACACATGTAAATACAGGCATAGTTCTCACAGTGGTGAAGTGCTCATGCCTTCAGGAGGTTTTGCCTAACTACCAAACACTAAAAGAACCCTGAACTGAGGCTGCAGGATTGCTTGAGGTCAGGAGTTTGAGACCATTCTGGGAAATGTAGCAAGACTCCATCTTAAAAAATTGTTTAAATTAGCTGGGTGTGGTAATGCTGCACACCTGTAGTCCTAGCTACTCAGGAGGCTGATGTGGGAGGATCGCTTGAGCCCAGGAGTTCAAGGCTGTAGTGAGCTATGATCATACCACTGCACTCCAGCTTGGGTGATTGAGCAAGACCCTGTCTCGAAAATAAGAAGATCAAAAATAACCTGGATTGGTGGTATGAGCTTCTGCTTTCCCTAAATCACAGGCATTACACAATCCCTGTGATGTCAGTTGCAATTCTTGAGAGCCACATCCCAGACTCAGTGCATTTCAAGTTGGAAGAGCCCTTGTAGATCATCCTGGGATGTTTGCTGCCTTTGGAATACTGGTCTATGAGGTATTAGTAGCATTAAGATGTATATCATGGTCATATACTTTAGTTAAAAAACACTAAAGGGTTGTGCTACTGCAGGATTTCTCAGAGCCTTTATAATGTGCTGCCATGGTTTGAATGTGCCCCCACAAAGTTCATGTGTAGAGAAATTGGTCGTTAGCGCAGCACTGTTGGGAGGTGGGGCACTGCCCTCATGAATGGATTAATGCTGTTATCCTGGGAGTGGGTTTGTTATCACGTGAGTGTGTTCATTATAAAAGGACAATTTTGGTCTTTATTTTGTCCCTTTATCTCACCCTCTTTTGCCTCTCTGCCTTCTAGCATAGAATGAGGAAGCAAGAAGGCTTTTGCTAGATGCCAGCCCCACAGGTTCTCAGGCCCTTGGCCTCATACTAAGAGTTACACCATCAGCTTTCCTAGTTCTGAGGCTTTTGGGCTTGGACTGAGCCATGTTAGCAGTAACCCCTGGCCTCCAATTTGCAAATGACCTGTTGTGGGACTTCCCAGCCTCCAGAACCATGAGCCAATTAAATTCCTGTTCATTATAAATTACCCAGCCTGTAGTATTTTGTTACAGCAACATAAAATGGACTAAGAGATATGTCAGGGAATAGTGTGACATTCTAAGAAGGGCATATAGAATGGAGTGATTCCAGAACATATTTTACTATTGAACTGTTTGGTTGGGTTTTTTCCTCCCAAACTGGCTTTACGTCTTAAAATCTGCATGAAATATATATTTCCAGTAAGTTCATTTTACATCTGTAAGTCTAGAGAGGGAAAGAAGCTGGTCATTCAACTAGTCAATGGCAGAGCCAGGACTAAACCTTGTTTTCCTTGATTCCCAAATTAATGTTTTTCCACACACACCAGGTCAACCCTCTGTCAGTTTCCTCTGGATGCAAACTATAAACCAAACAAGAAGTATTCTTGATCAGAGAGTAGAAAAATGTCACAGGAAGCTTTCCTAGTTGTCATTACTCATAAATAAGGCTGTGATTATTCATGCCATCATTGGCTTATTATTGAACCTTCAGTTTACTCACAAGCTTTGGAATTAGTAATAAGCCATGAAAAATGACACTTGTCAATCAGCACAATCAAAGCAAATTACTTTTGGATGAGGTTTACCCCAAACAAACAGCATTTTTTGTTTGTGTTTCTGATTTAAACAAAAGGTCTCTTTAGAGCAAGGGCTATTCATGGCTAACTTTCCATTGGCACTAAATTGTGCTTGTAGGAAAATGAAGATAGCAGGTTTAAACTCTCATTAAAGCAGTAGTTCCAGGACCAGCAGTATCAACACCAGTTAGGAGCTTACGAAAAATTCAAAATCTTCAGCTTCACTCCAGACCTACTGAATCAGAAACTCTGGGGTGAGGTCTGGCAATCTTTTTCTCTCTCTCTTTTTTTTTTTAACCAAAGCTTCTAGGTGATTCTGAATGTACAGTCAAGTTTCAGAACCAATACATTAGAGAAAATGAGTCTCTCAAAGGAAGAGAAAGAAAGGCGGTCCAATTTCAGTTGGAAAACTGTATTAGTTCATTTTTGCACTGCTATAAAGAAATAACTGAGACTGAGTAATTTATAAAGAAAAGAAGTTTAATGGACTCACATTTCTGCAGGCTGTACAAGAAGCATAGATGCTTCTGCTTCTGGGGAGGCCTCAGGAAACTTACAATCATGGTGAAAGGTGAAAGAGAAGCAGGCACGTCTTATGTGACCAGAGCAGGAGCAAGTTGGGGGAGGTGCTACACACTTTTAAACAATGAGATCTCACAAGAACTCACTATCATGAGAATAACACCTGAGGGATGGTGTTAAACCATTCATGGGGGTGGTTGCTCCCATGATTCAATCTCCTCCCACCAGGCCCACCTCCAACAGTTGGGGTTACAATTTGACATGAGATTTGGGCAGGGACACAGATTCAAACCATATCAAAAACTCAGGCAAAAGACTCACCTTGTAACAGCATGAAGGTTTTTTTGTTGTTTGTTTGTTTGTTTTTCCCCCAATTTGGAGCTTAGGAAATAAGTGAAGATTAGGTAACACGCAAGAAAAGCATATAGAGCCGTTCAAGAAAAAGATAGGGAGCCTGAATAGGCCAAGGCAATCCTAAGCAAGAAGCACAAAGATACAGGTGTCATGTTGCCTGACTTCAAACTATACTACAGGGCTACGGTAGTCAAACTGCATGGTACTGGTACAAAAACAGGCACATAGACCAATAGAACAAAACAGAGAGCCCAGAAACAAGGCTGCTCACATACGGCCATCTGATCTTTGATGAAGCAGACAAAAACAAGCAATGGGGAAAACACTCCCTATTCAATAAATGGTGCTCGGATAACTGGCTAGTCAGATGCAGAAGATGAAGTTGGACACCTTCCTTACACCATATACAAAAATCAACTCAAGATGGATTAAAGACTTAATGTAAAACCCCACACCCTGGAAAACAACCTAAGCAATACCATTCTGGACATATGAACGAGCAAAGATTTCATAATGAAGATTCCAAAAGCAATTGAAACAAAAATCAAAAATTGACAAATGAGATTTAATTAAAGTTAAGAGCTTTTGCACAGCAAAAGAAACTATCAACAGAGTAAATAGACAACCTACAGAATGGGAGAAAATATTTGCAAACTATGCATCTGACGAAGGTCTAGTATCCAACATCTACAAGGAATTGGAACAAATTTACAAGAGAAAAACAAACAACCCCATTAAAAAGTGGACAAAGTACATGAACAGACACTTTTTAAAAGAAGACATACATGTGGACAACAAGCATATGAAGAAAAGCTCAATATCACTGATCATTAGAGTAATGCAAATCAAAACCGCAATGAGATACCATCTCACACCAGTCGGAATGTCCATTACTATAAAATTAAAAAATAAGAAGGCTGGGTGTGGTGACTCATGCCTGTAATCCCAGAACTTTGGGAGGCAGAGGCGGGTGGATCACCTGAGGTCAGGAGTTCGAGACAAGCCTGGCCAACATGGCGAAACCCTGTCTCTACTAAAAATACAAAAATTAGCCGGGCATGGTGGTGCATGTAATCCCAGCTACTTGGGAGGCTGAGGCAGGAGAATCATTTGAACCCAGGAGGCAGAGGTTGCAGTGGGCCGAGATCATGCCATTGTACTCCAGCCTGGGTGACAAGAGCAAAAACTCCATCAAAAAAAAAAAAAAAAGATACTGGCGATGTTGCAGAGAAAGGGGAACATATACATTGTTTGTGGGAGTGTAAAGTGTAAATTAATTCCACCATTGTGGAAAGCAATATGGCGATTCCACAAAAAGCTAAAAGCAGAAATACCATTAGACCCAGCAATCCCATTACTGGATATATACCCAGAAGAATATGAATCATTCTACCATAAAGACACATGCCTGCAAATGTTTATTGCAGCACTATCCACAATACCAAAGTCATGGAATCAACCTGAATACCCACATATGACAGACTGGATGAAGTGTGGTACGTATACACCATAGCATACTATGCAGCCTTAATAAAGAATGAGATCATGTCTTTTGTGGGAACGTGTATGGAACTGGAGGCTATTATCCTTAGCAAATTAATGCAGGAAAAGAAAACCAAATACCCACATGTTCTCACTTACAACTGGGAGCTAAATGATGAGAACTCATGAACACAAAGAAGGGAAAAATAAACACTGGGGTCTACTTGTGGGTGGAGGGTAGGAGGAGGGAGAGGAGTAGAAAGAAAAAATAACTGTTGGGTACTAGGTTTAATACCTGGGTCACAAAATAATCTGCACAACAAACCCCCATTACATGAGTTTACCTATATTACAAACTTTCACATGCACCTCCCAAACCTAAAATAAATGTTATAAATAATATGTGCTCAGTAAACGGGAAAATGAATGATTATGATGAAAAAAAAATTTGAACACAAATAAAAGGGAAAGATGCCTTACAATAGATTACCTTTCAAATCCTTTAAAAAAAAAACAGAAAAGAAAAAGGAAGGAATGAGAAAGGACTAAACATAGAAAAGATGAACAACCATGAGATGTCCCCCCACCCAAAAAAAAAAAAAAGTCCATTGGGCCATTTAGAAGATCCCTTAAGAATGGCAGAGTGTATGTTCTAATTTTTTCTTGCTCGTTTTGGTTTTGTTTTCTAATTACCTGTTTCCACACTTTGTGTCTGTGGTTCTTAGAACACAGGGGGATCTAGGGAGATCATGGCAGCTCTGTGGTGGGAAGGCAGGGGGTCGAGACCTGTTCCAGTTCAGATCTACCATTTACCATTGGTATAATCCTGGGAAAGTCACTTAATCACTCTGTACCTGTTTCCTATTCTAAAAAATGGACATGATCATCTCTGTTCACTTTGAATGTTAATGCTAGGGCTAGAAAGAAGTTTTGAAATAATCCAGTTCAGTCTCTCAATTTATTAAGTCTGAAGTGTGAGCCCAGAGAGGTGGTCTCCATTGGAGTTTTCTCTAAGGTTGTGGGGCTTATTAGTGGCCATGCCAGAGTAAAAGCCAGATCTCCTGACTCCCAGGCCAGTGTTTTTTCTCTATGTAGGCACCCTCTTCCTATATTCACTACCTTTCCTGCTGGGGTGAGGATGTGAGGCTACTGTGCAATGTGTATGTATGGGTGTAGTGGGGTGGTGCGAAGGAAAGAATGTGCTTAAGCACTGAAGTGGGAATTGGAGGAGGGTGCACTGCTACCCTTTCTGTCTTTTCTCTTGACTTTGGATGCAAATTGTTGGTGCTACGAAGCCTGAGTAATAGACAGTCAAGGAGCAAAGCATACGCTTCCAAGGCCTTTGCTTTATATCTGACTTCTGTAGTTGTCCACTATGCATTAATTGCAGTATATACAAGGATAATCAGTTGAGACAGCCCCATCTACTCTCTGCTGTGAAGCCTGGGGTTCCCTGCCTACTAGAGAAAACCGAAGCCAAGAAAATCAAAGGCCCAGTGGCTGGGCATGGTGGCTCACACCTGTAATCCCAGCACTCTGGGAGGCCAAGGCAAGCAGATCACCTGAGGTCAGGAGTTCAAGGCCAACCTGGTTAACATGGTGAAACCCTGTCTCTACTAAAAAATACAAAAATTGGCTGGGTGTTGTTGTGCACGCCTATAGTCCCAGGTACTCAAGAGGCTGAGGCAGGAGAGTCGCTTGAACCTGGGAGGCGGAGGTTGGAGTGAGCCAAGATCGTGCCACTGCACTCCAGCCTGGGCAACAGAGTGAGACTCTGTCTCAAACAAAACAAAACAAAAAAAACGGTACAAGACAAGGATGTCTTTGCTCACCACTCCTATTTAACATAGTATTGGAACTTCTGGCCAGGGAAATCAGGCAAGAGAAAGAAATAAAGGGTATTCAAATAGGAAGAGAGGAAGTCAAATTATCTCTTTTTGCAGACGACATGATTGTATATTTAGAAAGCCCCGTTGTCTCAGCCCAAAAACTCCTTAAGCTGATAAGTAACTTCAGGAAAGTCTCAGGATACAAAATCAATGTGCAAAAATCACAAGCATTCCTATACACAAATAATAGACAAACAAAGAGCCAAATCATGAGTGAACTCCCATTCACAATTGCTACAAAGAGAATAAAATACCTAGGAATCCAACTTACAAAGGATGTGAAGGACCTCTTCAAGGAGAACTACAAACCACAGCTCAAGGAAATAAGAGAGGACACAAACAAATGAAAAAACATTCCATGCTCATGGATAGGAAGAATCAATACCATGAAAATGGCCATACTGCCCAAAGTAATTTACAGATTCAATGCTGTTCCCATCAAGCTACCATTGGCTTTCTTCACAGAATTGGAAAAAACTACTTGAAATTTCATATGCAACCAAAAAAGAGCCTGCATAGCCAAGGCAACCCTAAGCAAAAAGAACAAAGCTGGAGGCATCATGCAACCTGACTTCAAACTATACTACAAGGCTACAGTAACCAAAACAACATGGTACTGGTACCAAAACAGATATATAGACCAATGGAACAGAATAGAGCCCTCAGAATTAATACCATACATCTACAGCCATCTGATCTTTGACAAACCTGACAAAAACAAGCAATGGGAAAAGGATTCCCTATTTATTAAATGCTGTTGGGAAAACTGGCTAGCCATATGCAGAAAACTGAAACTGGACCCCTTTCTTATACCTTATACAAAAATTAACTCAAGATGGATTAAAGATTTAAATGTAACACCTAAAACCATAAAGACCCTAGAAGAAAACCTAGGCTTTACCATTCAGGACATAGGCATGGGCAAGGACTTCATGACTAAAACACCAAAAGCAATGACAGCAAAAGCCAAAATTGACAAATGGGATCTAATTAAACTAAAGAGCTTCTGCACAGCAAAAGAAACTACCATCAGAGTGAACAGGCAATGTGTAGAATGGGAGAAAATTTTTGCGATCTATCCATCTGACAAAGGGCTAATATCCAGAATCTACAAGGAGCTTAAACACATTTACAAGAAAAAAAAAACCCCATCAAAAAGTGGGCAAAGGATATGAACAGGCACTTTTCAAAAAAAACACATTTATGTGGCCAAGAAACATATGAAAAAAAGCTCATCATCACTGGTCATTAGAGAAATGCAAACCAAAACCACAATGAGATACCATCTCACGCCAGTTAGAATTATGATCATTAAAAGGTCAGGAAACAACAGATGCTGGAGAGGATGTGGACAAATAGGAACACTTTTACACTGTTGGTGGGAGTGTAAATTAGTTCAACCAATGTGGAAGACAGTGTGGCGATTCCTCAAGGATCTAGAACTAGAAAAATACCATTTGACCCAGCAATCCCGTTACTGGGTATATACCCAAAGGATTATAAATCATTCTACTATAAAGACACAGGTACACGTATGTTTATTGTGGCACCATTCACAATAGCAAAGAGTTGGAACCAACCCAAATGCCCATCAATGATAGACTGGATAAAGAAAATGTGGCACATACGCACCATGGAATACTATGCAGCCATATAGAAAAGGATGAGTTCATGTCCTTTGCAGGGACATGGATAAAGCTGGAAACCATCATTCTCAGCATGCTATCATAGGAACAGGAAACCAAACTCCGCATGTTCTCACTCATAAGTGGGAGTTGAACAATGAGAACATATGGGCACAGGGAGGGGAACATCACACACCGGGGCCTGTCAGGGGGTGGGGGGCAAGGGGAGGGATAGCATTAGGAGAAATACCTAATGTAGATGACAGGTTGATGGGTACAGCAAACCACCATGGCACATGTATACCTGTGTAACACACCAGCACGTTCTGCACATGTATTCCAGAACTTAAAGTATATTAATAATAATAAATCAGTTTTCCACAAAAAAAAGTAAAAAGAAAATCAAAAACCCTGCCACCCACCTCAGTTGTGGCACCATCCTCTTAGGGAATTAATACATAATATTCAATATTGATTGCTAACACTTACTGAAACACTACATTGTGTCAAGCACTGTTCTAAGTGTCCCATGGGTACTGGTTTATCAGGTGTTAGCATATGCAGCATGAAAAGGAGGTGTAGATTCTATAATTTGGAGAAACAGGAATTATGTAACAATAATAGGGTTGCTTTACTGCAGGACTTGCCAGAGCCTTTAGTCATACGCCTAGGTGCACTGTGACTCTCTAAGAAGGATATATAGTGTGCAGTGACTCCCAAACTTATTTTCCATTGAATTGTTTCTGTCATTTTGTTTTATTTTCCCCAAATCCAGCCACACCTACAAAAATCTCATGGAATATACATTCTTATTTAATCCCCAAACAACTCATTGAGGTAGGAAAAATTGTTACTCTTACTTTACAGATGGGAAAACTGAGGCTTGGAAACGTTAAATGACTTGCCCAAATTCACAAAGTAAGAGGCAGAGCCATGATTGTAGCATAGCAGACTGGCCCCAGACTAGCTCCTGACCACTATGCCTACTGCTGCTCTGATCATAGTAATAGCTACATTTTTTATAGCATTTACTATGTGGCAGGTGCTATGTTGAGAATTATACATACATGATCTCATTCACCCTCTTAACAACCTGGGAGATGTGTGTGTGTTACTATAATCCCACTGAATATGAAGTCACTGATGCTAGAGAGGTTAAGTAGCCTGGTCACATTGCCTGACTGATAGTAGAATCAAGATTTGAACCCAGTTATGTCTATCTCCAAAGCCCATGCTCTTAACCACTATGTGCTGCTATCTAAATTCTTCATGTACTTAGATACTTTGATGACCCCTAGCAACTAGCATTTCTTGTGTTGATGGATCAAATTGTACTTTAGTTTTTGTAAGTAGTTCTGGCAGTAGAGGCAGGTAATTCCACATAGACAGCTAGAAAGTGCCCACAGGAAAGCCAAACTGGATTCTTGGCATCTGTCATGCTGTGTGAGTGCCCCACAGGAGCTACTTATCACCTCTGTCAGGGAGGAGTTCGCCACCTGTGTCTTAGCAGCTCAGGTTGCTACAGTAAAGTGCCATAGACTGCATGGCTAATAAACAACAGAAACTTATTTCTCACAGTTGCAGAGGCTGGAAGTCTGAGATCATGGTGCCAGCATGGTTGGATTTGTGTGAGGGCCCTCTTCTGGGTTACAGATTGCTAACTTCTTGCTGTGTCCTCACATGGTGAAAAAGAGGACAAGAGAGCTCTCTGGGGTTTCTCTTACAAGGGCACTCATCCCATTCACAGGGGCTCCACCCTTATTACCTAATCACCTCCTAAAGGCTCCATCTCCAAATACCTTCACATAGAGGATCAGGATTTCAACAAATGAATTTCGGGGAGACACATTCAATTTATGTATTGGAAATTTTTTAAAAACTCCATATTTTCCTGATTCCTCAACATCCCCACAAACCAACTGTGAGCACCCCACCCAGATGACCATATACGCCTGTGTGATAAGGCTGGGCCCTGCCACAAGTTCCCCTTCTTGCCCTCCCCCAACTGGGACCTAGAGACATTCAGATGCACCAGTAAAATCCCCTCATACCTTTTGCTTACTCTGACTCTCAATAAATGCACTTGACCACAGGTCCCTGCTTTCTCAGTTCCCCACCTTCTTGGTTGAGCCTATTCCCTGGGAGCTCCTCCCATATGGCCCTGTGTGGTGTACCATGCCTTCTGTCTCTAGGGCCTGTGAGTATAATAAATCCTTTCATTTCATGTCCTTTCCCAGTATAATTTCCATGGCTGTGTTTGGAGTGATCCTTAAAGACCCCACAAGGTTGACTTACTCCCCTTTACAACACAATCCATAACCAGCTGCTCTGCGCCAGAGACCCAGCTGTCAAATAGAGGCCTTGCCCTGGAATGAGGACAGTTTGTGGGCCTTCATTGGAACATCCAGCTTTGAGATAGGCCCCCAGCTCTTAGGAGCTGCTCTCATTAGCAGGGGGCAACCGTGTCCAACCTGTGGACTGCTGTGTACACATCCAAAGCAAGCTGACACTTGCTACATCTGATGGCTAGCAGATCCTGCTCCATACCAGCTGGGCTGATTTTGAAGCAGTGAAGGAGCACAAGCAACTAAGAGACACTCACCATGTTGTCGACAGCCAATGGTAGACTCTGCTCTAACACTGGCAAAGCTAGCCTCATGCCATGTGGGTATACAAGCTAAGTAAGACCCACTGGAAAACATTCAGGCTTGATGATGACAGTGCAACCCCCAGTCTCAGCTCTATAGCCTCACCTCCCTTTTGTTAAATATTGTGAGTAAAGGTGTTCTGACTGCCTACAGAGCTGCTGGGGCTGGTGCCTGCCTAGAGCCCCCAATAGTAGTAGTTTCTGGGAGTCAGGAATCTCATAGACTTGGCTTTGCTCCAGTAAGCCCATTTATCAACCCATACCAATCCCCTACTGCTGATCTGGTTTGTAAGTCTGTTAATTAGCATGAGCAGGCACTATGCTAGGCACAGGGGATAAAGTGGGAAACAAGCCAGAATACAATTCCTGCTTTCAGGGGGGCATGTTTAGGGCATGAGATGGACATTAAATGAATATTACACAATTTATCAGATTACATGATGAATTCCCCCAGGAGGTTATAGGGCAAGGCCTTATGGGTCTTTTGAATACCGATTTTCTGTGCTACCTGTAGGTGCTTGGTCTTGCCTGGCTCTAAGTCCCAAGGCTGTAGCTTTGACTACACCCATCAGTGTTGCTGTGGGCACTCCAGGAAGCTTCCTGGGCTGGTTTACTAATGCCCAGGGTACCAAGAAAGTGTACTACCAGCAGGTTATTTGACACAGGAGCTGACCCCAAAGACCAGCAACCTGAGGCCAGGAACCAGTACTAATTATCAAGCACGAAACTAGACACCATGACTTTACAAGAACCATCTAAGTCCTACTGCAGTAATGGTGGATGATAGTACCAAGTTCCCCTTATCCTAGAGCCCTCAGATTCATGAACTTTAGGAGGTCAAAAATCAGCACTCTCTCCTTTTCCTTCTACATGATATCCTTCTCAGTGTCCTTTGCTGACTCCTCCTCTGCTTAGCCTCTTAATGTTGGGGAGCCCCACAGTTCAATCTGTTTCCATCTTCTTTTTACTATATACACATTCTCCCTGGGTGATCTTATGAAGTCCATGACTATAGATAACAACATATGCTGATGACCTCCAAATGTATGTTTTTAGCCCAGATTCACATCTCCAACTGCCTAACTGGCATCTCCATGTAGATATTTCTAAAGGCTTTTCAAACTTAGCAAGTCCAAAATTGAACGTTGATTTTTGCCCCCAAACACTGTTCCTTTTCCAGCCTTCCTTGGCTCAGTGATTGGCACCACCATTCACCAAGTCATTCAAGCCCCAAATGTATGATTCATCCTAGGCTTCTTCTTTTCCTCAGTCCCCACATCCATTTTATTAGAAGTCCCTTGAATCCTAAGTCCAGCCTCCTTTCTCCATCTCTACCGTTATCACCCTAGTCCCAGTCACTATCATCGCTTTCCTTTACACTTACAGTGGAGGCCCTCCCTCTTCTGCTTTTGCTTTCTTCCAATCCAGTCTCCACAACGGCAGCCAGTGATCTACCTTCAGTGACTATCCATCATGTCATTGCTCTTCCTAGACTCATCCAGTTTTATCTAAAATGGGATTCAAAGTCTTTACCACAGTTTGGGAAACTCTTTACGATCTGCTTTTAACCCTCCCTTCCACCTCATCCGGTGCTACTACTTCTCTTTATTCACCATAATCTTGGCCTTTTTCTGTTCCTTGAACATACCAAGCTCTTTTCGGCTTCGAGGCCTTTGCACACACTGTTTCCTCTGTCTGGAATGCTCTTGGCCCCACACTTCATGTGCCATCCTGTCCTGCCTTAGAGAGGCCTGAAGTAGGTATGCCCCTATTATTCTCTATTTCAGCCTCTTACTTGTTTTCTTCATAGACCTCATTAGAACTTGCAAGTATCTGTTGCTTCCTTTTTCATCTGTTTACTTGATTTTGAGGTAGGGGGATTCTGTCCACCCCACTAGAATGTAAACTCCCTGGGGGCCACCACCACTGCCAGTTGTACTTGGAAGTTAAAATATAGGTTAACTAGGAAAAATAAGTCATTTCCATCAGAATTATTACATTTATCAAATAATTACCAGGGTTTCTTTAAACAAAAAGCTCTTCTTCAGCATCTAAAGTTATCTGATTTACAAATGCCTGATTCATTCCTAACTTTCCTGGCATTCTCCTATCTCAAAACAAATAACTTATATGTATTTCTACTTTATTTTATTTGGTGTGAAAATGAGAAAGAAATTTTGTGAGTGTATCAAGATGGGAAGGATCACCCTTTTTTTATCCTTTTAATGACCTTCAAAGAAGGCAGTGTGGTATAACAGAAAGAACACTCTCTGGCTTGCAGACGAATGGAAGAAATGGCCATCAATCTCAGCTCTGCACCAATGATCTGTGTGACCTTGCTGAAGGTACTTGACTTCTCTGAGCCCCATTTTATACATGAGAGTATTAATACCTTAAGACAGTTATTTTAAAGATGAAGTAAGATTTAGGTCTTATAAAGGTAACTGGCATGTGGTAGGTGCTCAGTGAAAGTTCATTCTTTTCCCTTTAGGGTTAGTCACTGAGAAAAGCATTGCTTCTTCATTTCTCTATTTTTATTATGTTTTTAGTTTTGTTTTTGTTTGTTTGTTTTATTTTAATAGTTTTTGGGGAACAGGTGGTTTTTGGTTACATGGATTAGTTCTTTGGTGGTGATTGCTGAGATTTTGGTGCACCCATCACCCAAGCAGTGTACACTGCACCAAATGTGTAGCCTTTTATTTCTCACCTTCTTCCCCCCTTCTCCTTGAGTCCCCAAAGTCCATTATATCATTCTTATGCCTTTTCGTCCTCATAGCTTGGCTCCTACTTATAAGTGAGAACATACGATATATGGTTTTCCATTCTTGAGTTACTTCACTTAGCATAATGGTCTCCAACTCCATCCAGGCTGCTGCAAATGCCATTATTTCTTTCATTTTTATGGTTGCATTACTCTATGTTTAAATGGTATGTCCTAGGCTACCTACTTGATTTTTGCTTTGGGGTAATTTATGGCTCTTTCCAAAAATCAAATTCACCCCACAAAGATATAGGTTTGTCACCATTGAAGAGATTCTTAACAATATAGTGCACACTCTGAAGGTAGTCCCCAAAAAGGGGTCTCAAAAATACTTTCAACAGTGTCAGTATCACTGTGATAACTGGCCAGACCCCCTGTGAGCTGTATAGGTTCACATACATTTATTGAAATTAAAACAGCAGCATCCATGCTTGTTACTTTCCAGGCATATCTTTTGATATGAGACCATCATTTCAAAGTGAATCGAACCCATCTCATGTACTTAAAGATCCTGTTTCGATATGACTGCCTTTGTGGGAAGTATTTCAGGAGCAAAGACCCTGCACTGGCTAGCTCTTGGCAGACCCGATGGCCTGTTAATAGGACTAGTTCCTACACTGAGACCATCTTGAACTCAGGAGTGGCCTTGAGGCTAAAAGACAAAAGCAGAGTTTAGAGAAGTTAATGAATGAATTCATGCTGGCAAATGTTTCTCTTGGGCCAGAACTCCCATTGATTCCTTTCACATTCCCTGTCGCTGTTTCTCAGAGGCCTCCAGTTACATATGACAAATGGCTGATCATCCAAGCGAAGTGACCTGCCATTCAATAAACTATATCTCAACCAGTGTAGAAGGCAGCTCATTTTTCTCCTTAGGGATCTATTCTCCCTTCATCTGTATGAATATCCTAAATGGGGTTCATTGAGGCCATTACCTGTGCTGAGGGAAGAAAAGCTCCTCTAATCTGCCTGCAGAATCTTTCTTTCCTGTAGAAAGATTTTGGAAAGGCTCTAAAAGTTTTATTACTTCAAGTTAGGCTTGGCCAAATTACTCACAAGTGCTGAATCCTCCTAGGGGTGTCAGCTTGACGGAAGGAGACCTATTCAGATTGGGGACTGCATTGAGGCTGCCAACAAAGACCAATTAGTCTTGATTGGGCTGGTTGCCTTTGGAGGGTGAATGCCCTCAGACCACCAACTCATGCCACCAAAGTGCTCATCCCACCCAGGAGTCAGCTACTTTCTCTCAGTTCCCACTTGGGCTTCACATGACCTCTGGGTCAAACACCTCTCTCTTGCCCTTGCTTTGGTTCCTGCTAGGTTGTGGATAGTGTGCTTGCCCCCAAATGCATTCTTTTCCCAGTCTGTCTGAAAGCTGGTCAGGTTTGCATGATTGTTGTGAGAGACTAAGCAATGTAACTCTCCTTGTGAAAATCCATGTGACTTTATTTTGACATATTTTACTTCTTGGTGGCCCAGACTGTAAGCTTATTTGGAGGAATTCAGATCTAATCTTTAGATTATAGCCATTTACAAGGCTCTACATTTCTGTAACTGGAAATGTATTTAAGCAATGTGATGATGACTTTCTCCCAAAGACCATTTATTGAGCACCTACAAAGTACAATTCAATGCATGGTGTTGGCCGTTTAAGACAAAACCTCTTCCTCTCCAAGAGCTCGCTGACAATAAGGGGTTAAAGCCAAGTACACAAATGATTATGTAACAACAGCTTAATTTCATTAAGCATTTATTATGTGCCAGCACTATGTTAAGTGTTACACATATTTTATTTTACCCTCACAAGTCCACAGTCTTTTATCTACAATTCTAAAGTACAAAGTTTTTAAAAACTCAGAGTTGATTCATATGATTTTTTCCAGAACCAATTTGGCAGTAAAAGCTGACCTGAACTGACATGAGGTTCTTTTTCATTTTAACCTACTTTGTGTAATTATTCAGTTGTTTCACTGTAGAAGTACTAAGGTGTTTGCTTTCAAGGCAGTATCCCTTCTGAGGGGTGTTTTGTAGCATACAAAATGTGCACTATACCGTTTAAAATCCCCAAATCTTTGAATTCTAAAACTCTCATGTCCTCATGATTTGAGAATGAGGAAATAAAACTATTATTGTGTTCATTTTATAAATAATGAGACTGAGGCTCAGAGAAGTGATGCAACTTTGTCATAATCACACCACGAGAGATTAGAAGCACCAAGATTGAAACCCAATTTTGTCTGACTCCAGAGCCCATACTATAAACCACTGTGCAATACCAACCTCTCATCAGAAAACAGTGTAGCAACTATCATAGAAGAGGGTCAGGCTGAGGCTCCAGGGGATCTGATGAAGAAAGGGGACCTCTCATTGGGGGGTTAGTTAAAGCTCCAAGAAGGAAATGTGCATGTGGAACTGTAGCTTGAAGGAAAGAGAGGACTATGAAAAGGGGAAAGTAATCTACCCAAGGCACATTTGGGTAAATAGCAGGTAGCCTTGGCTAGAGAGGGGAGAAGCTGGAAATCAGACTGAGAAGGTACGTAGGGGCAGAGTAGGAAAAGCCAGGGTGACTAGAGTAAGGAGTTTGCAATAAGAACCAGTTATGTTCCCATGGGATCCCAAAGCATATATTGGACATCATGTCATCTTGCCTCCATCCTGCCTTGGAGGAGGAAAGTGCATAATGAATATCCCCATACTTTTTGGCTGGCATTATTTTATTTATTTTTATTAAGCAAATTAACAGGGTACATTGAAAAGGCAGCCAAGAAATTGAGGAGTCAAGAAAAGCAACAGTCGTAAACATCTAGAATAGAAGTATCTGAGCTGGGCTTTGTTGCTCCTTTGCAAGCAGAGAGTTAAAATTTAACCAAGGCACTCATGCCTCACTGCAGCTGGCAGGGATTCAGTGGGAACCTGCCGGCACCCACATGATAACTCACAATCCCCCTCCTGCGCTTAAACAACTCTTTCCTCCTCCTCTTATTTGGAATCCCAGTAAAGGTCATAGGGGAATACATCCATTATCAGGAATTTAAACCTAAAATCTAAGTATGTTCTCTTTTGTCATGAATAATCAAAGTTCTAAACTGATATTTTAGAAATCAGGTGCAGTTCATGAGTAGTGAATTGAGTGTGTCTAATTACATTTTATAGTCATTTAACAGCTGTTAATAATGTAATTTTGTGTTATGCCCAATTTGCACTGAATTACTTTAATAGCACACATTGTATTTATTTTCCTTTTGGTGAAACAGTAATCAAACACTAGGGACTCAAGTTGGACATGGAAATAAATGATTTATTATTTTTACAGGTTTGAAGAACAGGGATTTTTAAAAAGAAAAGAGTAAATCCTATTATAAAACTAAGAGTAGTTGAACACACCCAAATGCATTTGTTTTCTCAGGCATTCCTTTTCGTAAAAATAATAATACTAATAATTTAATGAGCACAATACATTTGTTTCCTATCCAAGTCTGTATCGTTTGATGTGCACCAAGTGTTTGCAAATATACATTTGACTGACAAGCTAATGAGATTTCCCCTCCCACCCCCAAATATCCTTCTGAAATGAAAAGTCCAGATTTCTAAGTTTTTGGTGTATGAGTGAAAGAGACACAGCATTCATTTAAATAGACTCCGCAAAGGAAACTTTCCAAGGTGAGGCTAGAGCAGAAAAGCAGTGTAAAGACAGGAGGGAATACAGCTTTAATAGAAGAAAAAGGCAAACAAGGTAAGCAGGTATTTCTCCCACAAGTTAGAAGAAACTTCTACGTGAGACCTTAATTAGGGTAAAAAGAAGGGTCAATCCTGGACCCCCCTGCCCCCAAAATGGTGGGATAATTGGAATGGTACATTATGAAAGGCCTGCTGTACATTTCCCATTCACTTTAAGCACTTGAAGACCCAAGCATCTAATACTGTGCCCATATGGAAGTGTTTTCTGCAGCCCACATGGATCAATGCCCTTTGTATTTGAAGCAAGCTACAAGAGTAGAACAGAAAGGAATTCTCTCTAGCTGTGGGACACTGGCTGCCATCACTCCATCCAAGACTTGACTTAGCATTTTCTGCCTTTGCCCACTTGCTTCCTAGGGCCTATGTGGGAAGAACTACAAATGGATGGCCTTCCCTCCAGGAGAGCCAGAGTTATTTTGCAATCTGTCGATAGTAGGAGGCTAATTTCATCTCCACTATTTCTCAGGCCCTAGTGATTGGGGCAATGTTGTGTCAAGTGGGGGAGAGTGGTGGGAGAGTTCCACCCCAGGTGCAGGCAATAAGGAGGAGAGGATGGCACTGCCTGTGGTGAATTTAAAAACAATAATAAAACTGACTCAAAGTCTGTCTGCTTTTCATGCTCATCATGTGCTAGCCATCCTAAACAATGTCAGTGATAAAATCCTTCTTCCTGCGGGGTTGCCTGCTCCCACTGCTGCTGTTCTCACGTGGGTATTCCATTGGGTTGTGGGTGGGGGTGGGGCTCTGAGCCCTCACACTATGGGAGAGTTACTGGCCCCCAACCCCTCCAGGCTGTACCCCTTTCTTGTAATGGTGGGCATTATTATGTTATTCTGCAACTAGCATCAAAGTCACTCTCCTCTAGGCCTCCTGCTGGTCCTGATTAGCAGCTGCCACTTCTGTACCCATGTTCTTTAGCCTTTGCAGGGCTCTTCTCATCACTGCTGTTGCTCTTGCCAGTGTGTGGGTGGGTTCTCTTCCTGCCAATGTTTGCAGCTCTTTATTAGCTTCGTAAAGGGTGTTGTGGCTCTTTTAGTTGACAGAGCTTTCTGTTGAAAAATTTGGGACAAGTTGCCAAGGGCTGGCTTGAGGGCATTTAAGTGACACCACCCGATGTCTTACTTCTGCCAACAATCAGCCACTGTCCCCAGCCAAAGCACATGGCCTTTGGATCTTTCGTGCTTCAGGGTGAATTCTTTCCTTACCCAGAGCACTAGTCTCAGAAGTTGGTGGATAAAGGGATAGACTTGAGGCTTAATCCTGGGATCCTGGAGACTAACTCCAAAGGTACAGTTCTCTTCACCTGACCAATCTTTCAGGGCTGTTAGGACAGAGTTCAAGATTTGACCGTGTGTGTTGAGGGGTGGGGATTGGGGGGGCAGTACCTATGCTTGAGTCAAGGAGCATCTAAACCTATGCAACTGCCTCTATAGTCCATAAAAATACAGAGGTTGAGTTATCTCAAAAAGACCTGGCATGGGATTCCTTAGTACACCTTCACTACAATAGATGGTCTCCTTTTTCTTAATCTGTTTTTGGAAAATGGATCCCTTTGAGAATCTAATGTAAACTATGCATGCTTACCTCAGAAAAATGCACACCTCTACATATGTCCAGAATTTTCTATACCACTTAATTGATTTCAGAGATTCAGGTTGTCCAGAAATTTCAGGTTATGAAGTGCTCTAGCAAGTCTTCCTATTCTTACTGCCTCACTCTGTCCAGAAAAATATCCAGGGCCCTCTTCTCCATTAAAAACAGGAGGCACAAAGCCTAGTGCCCACAATAATTTTAGGAACTCATGAAAATGTCTTAATTTATTTTAAAATCAGAAGAAAAACTTTGGACTATTACATCAAAGAAAATGTTTTAGTATATAATAAAACATATTCATCTTTATAACAGTGCAGTAGTAAAACATAAGTTTTATATTTTTATATATCTGGATGCTCCAGTGGTGAGTGCACTTTATATTTTTATGGAGGAAGAGACCCATATAAAGTCATAAGCATTTAGGATCAATGAAAGTCATAATGCAGCCCAGAAAAGACCTATTACAGTATTGTGGAGACAAAGGATAGACAAAATTGTTGTGCATGCACACCTCTCCATGCAAGGAGACAAGGGACCTGTACTACCTTCTCATGAGGGTGGTAGAAGAGCACAGGATTTAAAATTGGGGGATGTGAATTCCAATCGTGGCTCAGCCACTGACTGCTGTGGGACCTTGAGAAAATTATCTCACTTCTGATTTTCTTCATCTGCTAACTGGACTTAAATCTAAAAACTCTACCTGGACCCCACTCAGGTGTCTAATACTCTGGGATATAATAAGAAAACGTATGTTGAAAAGTGCTTCATAAATCTTAAAGTACACGAGATTGTAATTATTAGCATGACAATCCCAGACTGGAAGCATTAGTGATGGAAACCACTCTGAAGTGAGTGGCATGTCTACTCTTGCTGTTGATGAAGGTCACAGATCCCCAGGATAATGAAGAAAAGGATGACTCTGGAAGGAATGGCTAGAGATACAAACCCACAATCCAATTCAGGTAACTGAGTATAAATGTGATTGTAAAGTAGCAAAGCTAACTTTCAGACAGAGGTAACACTTTTTGAATCTTATCTAAATAAATGCTGTTCTTCTAAGTATTCATCCTGAATGGTTATACACTATTCCTACCCATGCTAGCTGTCAAATAACTTTAATAACTCTTTTGGGAATTGTCTTCAGGTCTAGATTATAAACTCCATGCAAAAATTATTGTCATATATAAAACTGGATTTAAAATTGGAAGATCTAGTTTCATGCTTCAGCTCTGTTGCTAATCAGACTGGATCAAAACAAAAACAAAAACAAAAACCAGACACATGAGCTGGAAGCTGCCCACTGACAAGGCCATTTCTTTTCAGCTCGTATAGGCCCTGATCCACCTCTTTGATTTCTGTGTAGTCTTAAAGACCTATCAATTTACTTTGTGACCTAGAGAGTGAGCAGGGCTGGTAGCAGCAGCGGCGGCAGCAGCAGCAGCAACTACCGTCAAGGGCTTAAAATCATGGGAAAGAGCAGGAGTTGCTCTATTTATATCAGAAAAAAAATAGCTTTTAAGGCGAAAACTATAAGAAGGGACAAAGAAGGTCACTATGTAATGATAAAGGGGTCAATTCAGCAAGAGAATATAACAATTTTTAAATATATATGCACAAAACACTGGAGCACCCAGATATATAAAACAAATATTATTAGAGCTAAACAGAGACATGGACACCAATACAATAATAGCTGAAGATTTCAACACCCCACTTTCAGCACTGGACAGATCTTCCAGATAGAAAATCAACAAAGACACATCAGACTCAATCTGCACTACAGACCAAATGGATTTAATAGATATTTACAGGACATTTCATCCAAGGGAGGCAGAATACACATTCTTTTCCTCAGCACATGGATCATTCTCAAGGATACACCATGTTAGGTCACAAAACAAGTTATAAAATGTTGAAAAAATAGAAATAGGCCAGGTGCAGTCACACACACCTGCAATCCCAGCACTTTGGAAGGCCCAGGCACTCAGATCACTTGAGCTCAGGAGTTTGAGACAAGCCTGGACAACATAGCAAAACCTCATATCTACAAAGAAATGCAAAAAATTAGCCAGGTGTGATAGTGCACACCTGTAGTCTGCACTATCTGGGAGGCTGAGGTGGGCAGATGACCTGAGCCTGGGAAGTTGAAGCTGCAGTAAGTCATGATTGCACTGTTGCACTGCAGCCTGGGTGACATAGTGAGACCCTGTCTTAAAAGAAAAATTGAAATAATATCAAGCGTCTTCTCTGACCACAATGGAATAAAACTAGAAATTAGTAATGAGAGGAATTTTGGAAACTACACAGGCACATGGAAATTAAACAATATGCTCGTGAATGACCAGTGGGTCAATGAAGAAGTTAATAAGGAAATTGAAAAAATTTTTGAAACAAATGATAATGCAAACATGACATACCAAAACCTATGGCATAGAGCAAAAGCAGTACTAAGAGGGAAGTTCATAGCTAGAAATGCCTACATCAACAAAGAGAAAAAATTTCAAATGGGCAATCTAATAACGCAACTTAAAGAACTAGAAAAGCAAGAGCAAATCAAACCCAAAATTAGTAGAAGAAAATAAAAAATAAAGATCAGAGCAGAAATAAATAAAATTGAAATTTTTAAGAAAGTGCAAAATATCAATGAAACAAAAGTTGATTTTTTGAAACGTTAAACAAAATTGACAAACATTTAGCCAGACTAAGAAAAAAAAGAAGATCCAAGTAAATAGAATCAGAAATGAAAAAGGAGACATTACAACTGATACTGCAGAAATTCGAAGGATCATTAGTGGCTACTATGAGCTACTGTATGCCAATAAATTGGAAAATCTAGAAGAAATGGACACATTTCTAGACACATACAACCTATCAAGATTGAACTATGAAGAAATACCAAACCTGAACAGATCAATAACAAGTAATGCGATTGAAGCTATAATAAAAAGTCTCCCAGTAAAAAAAAAAAAAAAAAAAAAAAAAAAAAGCCTGGAAACTGATGGCTTCACTGCTGAATTTTACCAAACATTTAAAGAAGAATTAATACCACTCCTATTCAAACTATTCTGAAAAATAGAGGAGGAGGAGGGAATTCTTCCAAACTCATTCTACAAGGCCAGTATTACCCTCATACCAAAACCAGGCAAAGACACATCAAATAAAGAAAATTACAGCCCA
This sequence comes from Homo sapiens, assembly GCF_000001405.40. Lineage (NCBI taxonomy): Eukaryota > Metazoa > Chordata > Mammalia > Primates > Hominidae > Homo > Homo sapiens. Next base: position 140,395,150 of record NC_000023.11, read on the forward strand.
ATATCTCTGAAGAATATTGATGCAAAAGTCCTCAACAAAATACTAGCAAGCCGAATTCAACAATACATTAGAAATATCACATACCATGACCAAGTGGGGTTTGACCCTGGGATGCAAAGATGGTTCAACATATGCAAATCAATTAATGTGATACATCGCATCAACAAAATGATGGGTAAAAACAAAATGATCATTTCAATTGATGCTGAAAAAGCATTTAATAAAATTCAATATCCATTCATAATAAAAACCCTCAAAAAACTGAGGATAGAGAGAACTTAACATAATGAAAACCATATATGGCAAGCTCACAGATAGTACCATACTGCTTGGGGAAAAATGGGAAGCCTTTCCTCTAAGATCTGGAAAATGCCAAGGATGCCTACTGTAACCATTGTTATTCAACATAATACTGGAAGTCTTAGCTACAGCAATCAGACAAAAAAAAAGATATAAAGGGCATCCAAATTGGCAAGGAAGAAGTGAAATTATCCTTGTTTGCTGATGATATGATCATATATTTGGAAAAACCTAAAGACTCCACAAGAAGACTATTAGAACTGATAAATAAATTCACTAAAGTTGTAGGATACACAATCAACATACAAAAATCAGTAGGATTTCTATATGCCAACAGGGAACAATGTGAAAAAGAAACAAAAAAGCAATTGCATTTACAATAGCCACACATAGAATTGAAAACCTAGAAATTAATTTAACCAAAGAAGTAAAAGATGTCTATAATGAAAACTGTAAAACACTGATGAAAGACATTGAAGAAGACACCAAAAAATGGAAAAATATTCCATGTTCATGGATTGGAAGAATCAATATTGTTAAAATATTCATAGTACCCAGAGCAATCTATAGATTCAATGTAATCCCCATGACATTCTTCACAGAAATAAAAAAGAAAATCCTAAAATTTTTATGGAACCACAAAAGACTCAGAATAGTCAAAGTTATCCTAAGCAAAAAGAACAAAGCTGGAGGAATCACATTACCTTACTTCAAATTATACTACAGAGCCACATTAACTATAACAACATGGTACTGGCATAAAAACAGACACATAGACCAATGGAGCAGAATAGAGAAACTAGAAACAAATCCATACACCTACAGTGAACTCATTTTTGACAAAAGTGTCAAGAACATACACTGGGGAAAAGACAGTCTTTTCAATAAATGGTGATGGGAAAACTGGATATCCATATGCAGAAGAATGAAACTGGACCCTTTCTCTTGCCATATACAAAAATAAAATAAACATGGATTAATAAAATAAACATGGATTAAAGACTTCAGTCTGAGACCTTAAACTATGAAACTAGTACAAGAAAACATTGGGGACAATGTCCTTTTCCCAGGACATTGGTCTGGGCAAAGATTTCTTGAGCAATACCTCACAAGCATAGGCAATCAAAGCAAACATGGACAAATGGGATCACATCAAGTTAAAAAGCTTCTGCATAGCAAAGGATACAATCAGCAAAGTGAAGAGACAACCCACAAAATGGGAGAAAATATTTGCAAACTACCCATCTGACAAGGCATTAGTAACCAGAATATATAAGGAGCTCAAACAAGTCTATAGGAAAAAGTCTAATAATGTTATCAAAAAATGGGCAAAAGATTTGAATAGACATTTCTCAAAAGAAGATGTACAAATGGCAAACAGGCATACGAAAAGGTGCTCAACATCACGATTATCAGAGAAATGCAAATCAAAACTACAATGAGATATCATCTAATCCCAGTTAAAACGGATTATATCCAAAAGACAAGCAATAGCAAATGCAGGCGAGGGTGTGGAGAAAAGGGAACTCTTGTACACTGTTGGTGGCAATGTAAATTAGTGCAACCACTATGGAGAACAGTGTGGAGGTCCTTCAAACAACCAAAAAGAGAGGGAAATGTCAACTGTGCTGGTGGGATTAGACACGCCTGCAGTGAAGAAGCAGAAGCTGAGCAGTGACGAGACCAGCAACCCTCACCTCTCTGGAGAGGAGAATGATGATGCTGTCAGTAGAAAGTGGTACAATCACTGAACACCCTGATATACCTACAAACATGCCAAATGCACCTGGAAGGCAAAGTTGGGGAAAGGGAAAATGGAAGTCAAAGAAATGCAAATGTGCTTTCAAATGTGTAAATAGTCTCAAGGAACATCATAACCAACCACTGTTTGGAGTTCAATTTAATTAGCACAGTAAAGAAGAAGATCCATTACTGTTTGCAACTGTAGGAAGCAACAGAGTTACCTTGTATGAATGTCATTGACAAGGAGAAATTCGGTTGTTGCAATCTTGTGTGGACGCTGATGCTGACGAAACTTTTACACTTGTGCATGGACCTATGATAGCAATAGAAGCATAATTGGGATGATTAATCCCACAACAACGCAGTGTAAAAAGCACTATATTGGCCACGGAAATGCTATCAATGAGCTGAAATTCCACCTTAGAGATCCAAATCTACTCCTATCAGTAAGTAAAGATCATGCTTTATGATTATGGAATAATGGACACACTGGTGGCAATATTTGGAAGCATAGAAGGGCACAGAGTTGAAGTTCTAAGCGCTGGTTGTGATCTTTTGCGTGAAAAAATAATGTCCTGTGGTATGGATCACTCAAACTTTGGTGGATCAATTCAAAGAGAATGATGAATTCAATTAGGAAATCTTATGATTATAACCCAAGTAAAACTTACAGGCCATTTAATTCTCAGAAAATCCATTTTCTGATTTTTCTATCAGAGACATACACAGGAATTATGTTGATCGTCTGTGATGGTTAGGTGATTTGATACTTTCTAAGTCTTGTGAAAATGCAGTTGTGTTGGAAACCTGGCAAAACGGAAGGTGATATAGATACAATTCAACCTGGTGACTCTAATGTGACTATTCTTAGGTGATTTGATTGTAGCCAGTGTGATATTTGGTACATGAGATTTTCTATGAATTTCTGGCAAAAGATGCTTACATTGGGCAATCAAGTTGGAAAACTTTATGTTTGAAATTCAGAAGTTTAAGATCCTCATAAAGCCAAATGTACAACACTAACTCATCGTAAATGTGATGCTGCTATTCAACAAACCAGTTTTAGCAGGGATAGCAGCATTCTTATAGTTGTTTGTGATGATGCCAGTATTTGGCTCTGGGTTTGACTTTGATAAAACACTTTCACCTAATCAAAATTAGAGTGTATTGTCTGTATAAAATAGAATTCATGTAGTTTGCTAGTAAGGGCACATAGAGCATTTAGAGTTGTCTTTCGGCATTCAATCAGGTTGAGCTGAATGTAGTGATGTTTACACCGTTTACATTCTTTGTACTGTCTTCCTGCTCAGATTCTACTGCTTTCTAATAAAAATTTGTTTTTGTAAAGCTGTGTGTTGCTTTTGTTATTTTCATTGTGATGGAAAAAAGTTGAAAGTGTCACTATAAAGCAACCACACAAACAAGCCAACATCATAACCAGCTAACAACAAAATGACAAAATCAAATCCACACATATCAATACTAACCTTGAATGTAAATGAAATAAATGCCTCACTTAGAAGGAACAGACTGGCAAGCTGGATTAAAAACAAACAAACAAACACAAGACCCAATGCTATGCTATCTTCAAAAGACCTATTTCACATGTAATGACACCCAGGGGCTCAAAATGAAGGAATGGAGGAAAATCTACCTAGCAAATGGAAAACAGAAAAAGGCAGGGATAGCAATCTTAATTTCAGACAAAACAGACTTCAAACCAACAAAGATCAAAGAGGGGCATTACATAATGGTAAAGGTTTCAATTCAACACAAAGACGTAACTATCTTAAAAATATATTATATATGCACCCAACACATGAGTACCCAGATTTATAAAGCAAGTTCTTAGAGATGTACAAAGAAACATAGACTCCCACTCAATAATAATGGGAGACTTCAACACTCCAGTGACAGTATTAGATCATTCAGGCAAAAAAATTAACAAAGATATTCAGGACCTGAACTCAACCTTGGACCAAGTGAATCTGATAGACCTCTACAGAACTCTCCACCCCAAAACAACAGAATATACATTCTTCTCATCACCACATGGCACATACTCTAAAATTAACCACATAATTTGACATAAAACAATTCTCAGCAAATGCAAAAGAACTGAAATAATACCAAATACATGCTCGGACCATGGTACAATAAAAATAGAAGTCAAGACTAAGAAAATCACTCAAAACCATACAATTACATGGAAATTAAACAACATGGTTCTCAAGGACTTTTGGGTAAATAATGAAATTAAGGCAGAAATCAAGAAGTTCTTTGAAACTAATGAGAACAAAGAGACAATGTGCCAGAATCTCTGGGGTGCAGCAAAACCAGTGTTAAAAAGGAAATTTTTAGCACTAAATACCCACATCAAAAAGCCATTAGAAAAACCCCAAATTAACAACCTAACATCACAACTAAAAGAACTATAGAACCAAGAGCAAACCCCAAAGCCAGCAGAAGACAAGAAATAACCAAGATCAGAGTGGAACTGAAGGAGATAGAGACACAAAAAAACCTTCAAAAAATCACCGAATCGAGGAGTTGCTTTTTTCTGGAAAAAAAAAAAAGAATTAAAATATATAGACCACTAACTAGACTAATAAAGAAGAAAAGAGAGAAGAATCAAATAGACATAATTAGAAATGATAAGGAGGATATCATCACTGACCCCACAGAAATACAAACAACCATCAGAGAATACTATAAACAACTCTATGCACGTACACTAGAAAATCTAGAAAAAAAGGATAGATTCCTGGGCACATACATGCTCCCTAGACTGAACCAAGAAGAATTGAATGCCTGAATAGATCAATAATGAGTTCTGAAATTGAGGCAGTAATAAATAGTTTACCAACCAAAAAAAGCCCAGGACCAAATGGATTTACAGCTGAATTCTACCAGTGGTACAAAGAAGATCTGGTACAATTCCTACAGAAACTATTACAAAAAACTAAGGAGGAGTGACTCTTCCCTAACTTATTCTATGAGGCCAGCATCATCCTGATACCAAAACCTGGCGGAGACACAACGGAAAAACAAAACTCCAATATCCCTGATGAACATCAATGCAAAATGCTCAACAAAACACTTGCAAACTGCATCAAGCCACATATCAAAAAGCTAATCTACTGTGATCAAGTAGGCTTCATACCAGGGATGCAAGTTTGGTTCAATATATGCAAATCAATAAATGTGATTCATCACATAAACAGAACTAAAAGCAAAAACCACAAGACAAAGCTTTCGATAAAATTCAACATTCCTTCATGTTAAAAACTCTCAACAAACTAGGTCTTAAAGGAATATACCTCAAAATAATAAGAACCATCTGTGATAAACCCACAGTCAACAGCATATTGAATGGGCTGGAAGCATTCCCCTTGAAAATAGGCACAAGACAAGGATGCCCTCTCTCACCACTCGTACTCAACATAGTATTGGAAGTCTTAGCCAGAGCAATCAGGCAAGAGAAAGACGTAAAGTGCACCCAAATAGGAAGAGAGGAAGTAAAAGTATCTTTGTTTGCAGATGACATGATTCTACATCTAGAAAATCCCATAGTCCTAGCTCAAAGTCTCCTTCAGCTGATAAACAACTTCAGCAGTTTCAGAATACAAAACAATGTGCAAAAATCACTAGCATTTCTGTACACTAACAACAGCCAAGCTGAGAGCCAAATCAGAAAGGCAATCAATCTCATTCACAATTGCCACAAAAGAATAAAATACCTAGGAATACAGCTAACCAGGGAGGTGAAATATCTCTACAATCAGAAGTACAAGACACTGCTCAAAGAAATCAGAGAAGACACAAACAAATGGAAAAACATTCCATGCTCATGTATAGAATGAATTAATATCATTAAAATGGCCATACTGCCCAAAGCAAATTACAGATTCAATGCTATTCCTATAAAACTACCAATGACATTCTTCACAGAACTAGAAAAAAAACTATTGTAAAATTCATATGGAACCAAAAAAGAGCCCTAATAGCCAAGGCAGTCCTAAGCAAAAATAACAAAGCTGGAGGCATCAAGTTATCCAACCTCAAACTATACCGCAGAGCTACAGTAACCAAAACAGCATAGTACTGGTATAAAAACATGCACTTAGACCAAGGGAACAGAATAGAGAGCCCAGAAATAAGGTGACACATATATGACCATCTGATTTTTGACAAAGCTGACAAAAACAAGCAATGGGGAAAATACTCCCCATTCAATAAATGGTGCTGGGATAACTGGCTAACCATATGCAGAAGATTGAAACTGAGCCCTTTCCTTACACCATATACAAAAATCAACTCAAGATGGATTAAAGACTTAAACATAAAGGCCAAGTTTATAAAAACCTTGGAAGACAACCTAGGCAATACCATCCTGGACAGAGGAATGGGCAAAGATTTTTTGACAAAGATACCGAAAGCAATTATGACAAAAGCAAAAACTGACAGATGGGATCTAATTAAGCTAAAGAGCTTCTACACAGCAAGAAACTATCAACAGTGTAAACAGACAACCTACAGAATGGGAGAAAATATTGGCAAACCATGCATGTGACAAAGGTCTAATATCCAGTATCCATGAGGGGCTTAGAATAATTTACAAGAGAAAATCAAAAAAACAGCCTCATTAAAAATTGGGCAAAGGACATGAACAGACACTTTCATAAAGAAGACATACATAGGAAAAACAAGCACATGCAAAAAGCTCAATATCACTGATCATTAGAGAAATTCAAATCAAAACCAAAATGAGATAGCAACTCACACCAGTCAGAACGGCTATTATTATAAAATCAAAAAATAACAGATGCTGGCAATGTTGCAGAGAATAGGGAACACTTACACACTGTTAGTGGGAGTATAAATTAGTTTCACCATTGTGGAAAGCAGTATGGCAATGTCTCAAAGAGCTAAAAACAGGACTACCATTTGACCCAGCAGTCTCATTACTGGGTATATACCCAGAAGAATACAAATCATTCTACCATAAAGATGCATGCACACGAATGTTCATTACAGCACTATTTACAACAACAAAGACATGGAATCAACCTGAATGTCATGAATGACAGACTGGATAGAGAAACTGTGGTACATATATACCATGGAATACTATGCAGCCATGAAAAAGAATGAGATCATGTCTTTTGTGGGAATGTGGATGGATCTGGAGGCTATTATCCTTAGCAAACTAACACAGGAACAGAAAACCAAATACCCCCATGTTCTGACTTATAAGTGGGAGCTAAATGATGACAACTTATGAACACAAAGAAGAGAACAACAGACACTGGGGTCTATTTGAGGGTGGAGGGTGGAAGGGGGGACAGGTTCAGAAAAGATAACTATTGAGTACTGGGTTAATACCTGGGTGATGAAATAATCTGTACAACAAATCCCCATGACACAAGTTTACCTATGTAATAAATCTTTACATCTACCCCCACACCTAAAAGTTTTAAAAAGAAAGGAAGAAAAATAAATAAATAAAATAAAAATTGAGCTACCACATGATCCAACAATCCCACTTCTGGGTACATACCCAAAAGAAAGGAAGTCAGTATATCAAAGAGATATCTGCACTCCTATGTCTGTTGCAGCACTGTTTACAATAGCTAAGATTTGGAAGCAACCTAAATGTTTATAAACAGATGAATGGATAAATAAAACATGGTACATATACACAATGGAGTACTATTCAGCCATAAAAAAGAGTGAGATGCTGTCATTTGCAACCACATGGATGGAACTAGAGATCATTATGTTAAGTGAAATAAAGTAGGCACAGAAAGACATACATCTCATGTTCTCACTTATTTGTGGCATCCAGAAATCCAAGCAATTAAACCCATGGAGATAGAGAGAAGAACAGAGGCTGGGAAGGGCAGTGGGGGGTTGGAGAGGGAGGTGGGAATGGTTAACAGGTACAAAAAAATAGAAAGAATGAGTAAGACTTACTATTTTATAGCACAATAGAGTGACTATAGTCAATAAAAACTTAATTGTACATTTAAAAATAACTAAAAGAGTGTATTTAGATTATTTGTAACTCAAAGGATAAATGCTTGAGGGGATGGATACCCAATTCTCCATGGTGTGATTATTACACATTGTATGACCATATCAAAACATCACATATAGCCCATAAATATACACACCTACTATGTATCCACAAGAAATAAAAATAAAATAATAAAAACAATAATACATAAAATCATGAGCAGCTTTTGTTTTGGCAGAACTGGTACCCCACTTTCAGCTGTGCAAAGACAACAACCACTACTTTAATTCCAAGTAGTGGTAAAGGAGTGCTTCATTTTGGGACTGCCTGCTAACCAGTCACAAGTACATATTTTGCCAGGCTGGATACCAACAACCTTACTAATGCTGTGGTCAGCAGTGCCCTGTCAAACCAAGTGACAGCCTCTACTTTTGCTTTGGCTCTGTGACCACCTCTGCCACTCAGTCTTTGGCAAGCCCAGGGTTCTTTTTTTTTAATTGCATAAGCCCAATTTTATTTTATTCTAATTTTATTTTATTTCAATGGTTTTTGGAGAACAGATGGTGTCTGGTTACATGAGTAAGTTTTTTAGTGGTGATTTCTGAGATTGAGGGGCACCCATCACCTCAGCAGTGTACACTGTACCCAATTAGTAGTCTTTTATTCCTCACCCTCCTCCGACCCTTTCCCCCAAGTCCTCAAAGTCCATTGTATCATTCTTATGCCTTTGCATCCTCAAAGCTTAGCTCTCACTTACGGATGAGAACTTACGACGTTTGGTTTTCCATTCCTGAATTACTGCACTTAGGATAATGGTCTCTGATTCCATCCAGGGTGCTGCGAATGCCATTATTTCATTCCTTTTTATGGCTGAGTAGTATTCCATGGTGTATTTGTGTGTGTGTGTGTGTGTGTGTGTGTGTATACGCACATATATATATATACACACATACATATCACACTTTCTTTATCCACTCATTGATAGACAGTTGGGTTGGTTCCATATTTTTGCAATTGAGAATTGCACTGCTATAGACATGACTATGCAAGTATCTTTTTCATATAATGACTTCTTTTCCTCTGGGTAGATACCCAGTAGTGGGATTGCTGAATCAAATGGTAGGTCTACTTTTAGTTCTTTAAGGAATCTCCACACTGTTTTTCATAGTGGTTGTCCTAGTTTACATTCCCACCAACAGTGTAAAAGTGTTCCCTTTTCACCACATCCATGCTAATATCTATTGTATTTATTTATTTTTTTATTATGGCCATTCTTGCAGGAGTGAGGTGGTATTGCATTGTGGTTTTGATTTGCATTTCCCTGATCATTAGTGATGTTGAGCATTTTTTCATGTTTGTTGGCTATTTGTATATCTTCTTTTGAGAACTGTCTATTCATATCCTTAGTCCACTTTTTGATGGGATTATTTGTTTTGTTCTTGCTGATTTGTTTTAGTTCCTTACTTGAGTTCCTTGTAGATTCCAGATATTAGTCTTTTGCCAGATGTATAGATTGGGAAGATTTTTCTCCCACTTTGCGAGTTGTCTGTTTACTCTGCTGATTGTTTCTTTTGCTGTGCAGAAGCTTTTTACTTTATTTAAGTCCCAGCTATTTATCTCTGTTTTTGTTGCATTTGCTTTTGGGTTCTCGGTCATGAATTCTTTGCCTAAGCCAACCTCTAGAAGGATTTTTCCAATGTTATCCTCTAGAATTTTTATGGTTTCAGGGCTTAGATTTAAGTCTTAGATCCACCTTGAGTTGTTCTTTTTTTTATACGATGAGAGATGAGGATCCAGTTTCATTCTTCTATATGTGGCTTGCCAATTATCTCAGCACAATTTGTTGAATAGGTTGTCCTTTCCCCAATTTATGTTTTTGTTTGCTTTGTTGAAGAGCAGTTGACTGTAAGTATTTGGCTTTATTTCTGTATTCTCTACTCTGTTGCATTGGTCTATGTGCCTATTTTTTATACTAGCACCATGCTGTTTTGGTGACTATGTCCTTATAGCATAGTTTGAAGTGGGGTAATGTAATGCCTCCAGATTTGTTCTTTTTGCTTAGTCTTGCTTTAGCTATGCAGGCTCTTTTTTGATTCCATATGAATTTTAGGATTGTGTTTATTAGTTCTGTGAAAAATGATGGTGGTATTTTGATGGGAATTGCATTGAATTTATAGATTGCTTTAGGCAGTACGGTCATTTTCACAATATTGATTCTACCCATCCATGAGCATGGAGTGTGTTTCCATTTGTTTCTGTCATCTGTCATTTCTTTCAGCAGTGTTTCATGGTTTTCCTTGTAGAAGTCTTTTACCTCCTTGGTTAAATATATTCCTAAGTAGTTTATTTTATTTTTTGCAGCTATTGTAAAAGGGGTTGACTTCTTGATTTGATTCTTAGCTTGGTTGCTGTTGGTATCTAGCAGAGCTACTAATTTGTGTGTATTAATTTTGTATCTTGAAACTTTTCTGAATTCTTTGATCAGTCCTAGGAGTTTTTGGATGAGTCTTTAGGGTTTTCTAGGTATATGATCATATCATCAGCAAACAGCAACAGTTTGCCTTCCTCTTTATGGATTTGGATGTCCTTTATTTCTTTCTCTTGTCTAATTGCTTTGGCTAGGAATTCCAGTAAAATGCTGAGTAGAAGTGATGAAAGTGGGAATCCTTGTCTTGTTCCAATTCTCAGGGGGAATGCTTTCAACTTTTCCCCATTCAGTATAATGTTGGCTGTGGGTTTGTCATAGATGGCTTTTATTACCTTAAAGTATGTCCCTTGTAGCCAATTTTGCTGAAGGTTTTAATCATAAAAAGTTGCTGGATTTTGTCAAATGCTTTTTCTGCATCCATTAAGATGATCGTGTGATTTTTTTTTTAATTCTGTTTATATGGTGTATCACATTTATTGACTTGTGAATGTTAAACCATCCTTGCATCCCTGGTATGAAACCCACTTGATCATGGTAGATTATCTTTTTGATATGCTATTGGATTCTGTAAGCTAGTATTTTGTTGAGGATTTTTGCATCTATGTTCATCAGGAATATTGGTCTGCAGCTTTCTTTCTTTGTTATGTCCTTTCCTGATTTTGTAGTACAGTGATACTGGCTTCATAGAGTGATTTAGGGAGTATTCCCTCTTTCTCTATCCATTTGAATAGTGTCAATAGGATTGGAATCGATTCTTCTTTGAATGTCTGATGGAGTTCAGCTGTGAATCTGCCTGGTCCTGCACTTTTTTTGTTGGTAACTTTTAAATTACCATTTCAATTTCACTTTGTTATTGGTCTATTCAGAGTTTCTATATCTTCTTGGTTTAATCTAGGAGGGTTGTATATTTTCAGGAATTTATCCATCTCCTCTAGGATTTCTAGCTCATGCGTAATATGGTTTGACTGTGTCCCCATCCAAATCTCACCTTGAACTGTAATAATCCCCATGTTTGACACATGGGCAGGGCCAGGTTGAGATAATTGAATCACAGGGGCAGTTTCCCACATACTGTTCTCGTGGTAGTGAATAATTCTCATGAGATCTGATGACTTTATAAATGGGAGTTCCCCTGCACATGCCCTCTTGCCTGCCACCATGTAAGATGTGACTTTGCTCCTCCTTCACCTTTCACCATGATTGTGAGGCCTCCCCAGCCATGTGGAACGCTGAGCCCATTAAACCTCTTTTTCTTTAGAAATTATGCAGTCTCATTAAGAAAATGTGGCACATACACACCATGGAATACTATGCAGCCATAAAAAAAGGATGAGTTCATGTCCTTTGCAGGAACATGGATGAAGCTGGAAACCATCATTCTCAGCAAACTATCACAAGGACAGAAAACCAAACACATCATGTTCTCACTCATAGGTGGGAATTGAACAATGAGAACACTTGGACACAGGGCGGGGAACATCACACACCAGAGCCTGTTGGTGGGTGGGGGGCTGGGGGAGGGATAGCATTAGGAGAAATACCTAATGTAAATGACCAGTTGATAGGTGCAGCAAACCAACATGGCACATGTATACCTATGTAACAAACCTGCACATTGTGTACATGTACCCTAGAACTTAAAGTATAATTAAAAAAATAAAATTAACAAAAAAAGAAATTACCCAGTCTCAGGTATGTCTTTATTAGCAGCATGAGAACAGGCTAATACAGTGCACAGAAAGGTGTTCATAGAAGCCTTGAACAATCCTTTGTATTTCTGTGGTATCAGTTGTAATATCACCTGTTTTCATTTCAAATTGAGCTTATTTCGAGCTTCGCTCTTCTTTTCTTGGTTGATGCCACTAATGGCCTATCAACTTTATTTATCTTTTCAAAGAACCAGTTTTTTGTTTCATTTATCTTTTTATTTTTTTTGTTTCAGTTTCATTTAACTCTGCTCTGATCTTTATTATTTCTTTTCTTCTGCTGGGTTTGGGTTTGGTTTATTCTTGTTTCTCTAGTTCCTTGAGGTGTGACCTTAAATTGTCTATTGTTGCTCTTTCAGACTGTTTTTTGTTTTTGTTTTTGTTTTTTTTTTGAGATGGAGTCTCGCACTGTCACATGGGCTGGAGTGCAATGGCGTGATCTCAGCTCACTGCAACCTCCACCTCACAGGTTCAAGCAATTCCCCTGCTTCAGCCTCCGGAGTAGCTGGGATTACAGGCACTGCCACCATGCCTGGCTAATTTTTTGTATTTTTTAGTAGAGACGGGGTTTCACTATGTTGGCCAGGCTGGTCTTGAACTCCTGACCTCATGATCCACCCACCTTGGCCTCCCAAAGTGCTGAGATTACAGGCGTGAGCCACCATGCCCAGCCTCTTTCAGACTTTTTGATGTAGGTGTTTAATGCTATGAACTTTCCTCTTGCACTGCTTTTGCTGTATCCCAGGGGTTTTGATAGGTTGTGCCACTATTATTCACTTCAAAGAATTTTTAAATTCCCATCTTGATTTCATTGTTGACCCAATGATCATTCAGGAGCAGGTTGTTTAATTTCCATGTATTGGTATGGTTTTGAGGGTTCCTTTTGCAGTTGATTTCCAATTTTATTCCATTGTGGTCTGAAAGAGTACTTGCTATAATTTTTATTTTCTTAAATTTATTGAGATTTGTTTTGTGGCCTATCATATGGTCTATCTTGGAGAATATTCTATGTGCTGATGAATATAATGTATATTCTGTAGTTGTTGGGTAGAATGTTCTGTAAATATTTGTTAAGTCAATTTACTCTAGGTTATAGTTTAAGTCCATTGTTTCTATGTTGACTTTCTGTTTTGATGACCTGTCCAGTGCTGTCAATGGAGTATTGAAGTCCCCCACTATTATTGTGTTGCTGTCTATCTCATTTCTCAGGTCTAGAAGTAATTGTTTTATGAATTTGGGAGTTCCAGTGTTAGGTGTGTATATATTTAGGATTGTGATATTTTCCTGTTGGACTAGTCCTTTTATCATCATATAATGTCTCTCCCTTGTCTTTTTTAACTGCTGTTTCTTTAAAGTTTGTTTTGTCTGATATAAGAATAGCTACTCCTGCTCACTGTTGGTGTCCATTTGCAGGGGATATCTTTTTCCACCCCTTTACCTTAAGTTTATGTGAGTCCTTACGTGTCAGGTGAGTCTCTTGAAGACAGCAGATACTTGGTTGGTGAATTCTCATCCATTCTACCGTTCTGTATCTTTTAGGTGGAGCATTTAGGCCATTTACATTCAATGTTAGTAGTGAGAGGGGAGATACTATTCTATTCATCATGCTATTTGTTGCCTGAATACATTGTTTTTCTCATATTTTTTTCATTGTGTTATTGTTATATAGGTCCTTTGAGATTTATGCTTTAACATGCTATTTTGGTGTATTTCAAAGATTTGTTTCAAGATTTAGAGCTTCTTTTAACAGTTCTTGCAGTGCTGGCTTGGTAGTGGCAAATTGTCCCAGCATTTGTTTGTCTGAAAAAGACTGTATCTCTCCTTCATTTATGAAGCTTAGTCTTGCTGGCTAATTTTTTGTATTTTTAGTAGAGATGGGGGCTGATAATTGTTTTGTTTAAAGAGGCTAAAGATAGGACCCCAATCTTTTCTAGCTTGTATCATTTCTGCTGAGAAATCTGCTGTTAATCTGATAGGTTTTCCTTTATAGGTTGTCTGATGCTTTTGCCTCACTGTTCTTAAGATTCTTTTTCTGTATCTTGACTTTAGATAACCTGATGACTATGTGCCTAGGTGCTGATTTTTTTTGCGATGAATTTCTCAGGTATTCTTTGAGCTTCTTGTATTTGAATATCTAGATTTCCAGCAAGGCCAGGGATATTTTCCTCAATTATTCCCTCAAATGTTTTCCAAATGTTTAGATTTCTCTTTTTCCCTGGGAACAGCAGTTATTCTTAGGTTTGGTCATTTAACATAATCCCAAACTTTTTGGAGGCTGTGTTTATTTTATTTAAATTCTTTATTCTTTGTCTTTGTCAAATTGGGTTAATTGAAAAGCCTCGTTTTCGAGCTCAGACGTTCTTTCTTCTACGTGTTTGAGTCCATTGCTGAGACTTTCCGGTGCATTTTGCATTTCTCTAAGTGTGTTCCTGATTTCCAGAAGTTGTTATTGTTTTTTATTTATGCTATTTCACTGGATATTTTTCCATTCATATTCTGTATCATTTTTCTTATTTGTTTAAGTTGGATTTTACCTTTCTCTGGTGCCTCCTTGATTGGCTTAATAATCAACCTTCTGAATTCTTTTTGTGGCAATTCAGATATTTTTTTCTTGGTTTGGATCTATTGCTGGTGAGCTAGTGTGATCTCTTGTGGGTGTTAAGGAATGTTGTTTTGTCACCAGAATTGTTTTTCTGATTCCTTCTCATTTGGGTGGACTATGTCAGAGGGATGATCTGGGACTCAAGGGCTGCTGCTCAGATTCTTTTGTCCCACGGGGGTGCTCCCCTGATATGGTGCTCTCCCTTTTCCCCTAGGGTGGGCCTTCCTGAGAGCCAAACTTCAGTGATTGTTATTTCTCTTCTGGATCTAGCCACCCAGTGGAGGTACCAGGCTCCGGGCCAGTAGTGGGGAGTGTCTGCAAAGAGTCCTGGGATGTGATCCATCTTCAGGTCTCTCAGCCATGGGTACCAGTACCTACTCTAGTGGAGGTAGCAGGGGACTGAAGTGGACGCTGTGGGGGTCCTTGGTTGTATTTTTGTTAAATGCACTCACTTTGTGTTGGTTGGCCTCCAGCCAGGAGGTGGCAATTTCAAGAGTGCTTTAGCTGTAGTAGTATAGGGAGGATCAGGTGGTGGGCAGGGCCATAGAGCTCCCAATAGATTATGTCCTTTGTCTTCTGCTACCAGGGTGGTTAAAGAAAGGCCATCAGGCAGGGTCAGGGTTAGGTATGTCTGAGCTCAGACTCTCCTTGGGAAGGGCTTGCTGCAGCTGCTGTGGGAGATGGGGGTGTGGTTCCCAGGCCAATGGAGTTATGTTCCCAAGGGATTATGGCTGTCTCTGCTGGATCACACAGTTCATCAGGAAAGTGGGGGAAAGCCAGCAGTCATAGGCTTCACACGGTTCCCACACCACCTGCAGCCCAAAAGGCTTGTCTCACTCCCACTGTGCCCCCATAACAGCACTGAGTTTATTTCCAGGCAGCTGGTGAGCAGGGCTGAGAACTTGCCCCAGGCTACATGCCTCCCAGCTAAGAAAGCAAGCAGACTGTTCCTTGGCTGTCCCACAAAGCCTGCAGTAGCAATCCACCTCCTTCAAAGGGTCTGTGGATTATCTCAGCGTTCGTGGTATGTTCCTGCAGTAGTTTTTGGAAAAAACGTTCATAATGTGGGTCTCCACACACTGCCCTGTACTTCTGAGTGAGGGCTGCAAGTTAGTCCTGCCTCCTATCTGCCATTCCCCCCCACCCCAGGGCTCTCATTCATTTGTGGAAACATGTCTCAGACTGGGAGCACAGGTTTCAGTATTATTTCAATGAGGAAGCAGCAGAAACAACAGCATTTTCAGTATTAATACTCATTCATTCTACCCGTTCATGTTCTCTGACTGTAACAGATTTAAATTAGAAATCAATAACCAAAAGATACTCTCTCTATATACATATATATGTATATACGTATATATGTATATATACATACATGTGTATATACGTATATATGTATATATACATACATATGTATGCACGTATGTATACACACATATATACATACATATGTATGCACGTATGTATGCACACATATATACATACATATGTATGCACGTATGTATACACACATATATACATACATATGTATGCACGTATGTATACACACATATATACATACATATGTATGCACGTGCGTGTACACATATATACATATGTATGCACGTGCGTGTACACATATATACATATGTATGCACGTGCGTGTACACATATATACATATGTATGCACGTGCGTGTACACATATATACATATGTATGCACGTGCGTGTACACATATATACATATGTATGCACGTGCGTGTACACATATATACATATGTATGCACGTGCGTGTATATACATATATACATATGTATACACGTGCGTGTATATACATATATACACGCGCGTGTATATACATATATACATATGTATACACGTGCGTGTATATACATATATACACGTGTGTGTATATACATATATACATATATACACGTGCATGTATATACATATATACATATATACACGTGCATGTATATATACATATATACATATATACACGTGCATGTATATATACATATATACATATATACACGTGCATGTATATATACATATATACATATATACACGTGCATGTATATATACATATATACATATATACACGTGCATGTATATATACATATATACATATATACACGTGCATGTATATATACATATATACATATATACACGTGCATGTATATATACATATATACATATATACACGTGCATGTATATATACATATATACATATATACACGTGCATGTATATATACATATATACATATATACACGTGCATGTATATATACATATATACATATATACACGTGCATGTATATATACATATATACATATATACACGTGCATGTATATATACATATATATGCAATGCATGTATATATACGTATATGCGCATGCATGTATATATACGTATATGCGCATGCATGTATATATACGTATATGCGCATGCATGTATATATACGTATATGCGCATGCATGTATATATACACATATGCACATGTATGTATACACATATATACCTATATACACATGTACGTATATATACACATATATACCTATATACACATGTACGTATATATACACATATATACCTATATACACATGTACGTATATATACACATATATACCTATATACACATGTACGTATATATACACATATATACCTATATACACATGTACGTATATATACACATATATACCTATATACACATGTACGTATATATACACATATATACCTATATACACATGTACGTATATATACACATATATACCTATATACACATGTATGTGTATACACATATACACATGTATGTGTATACACATATATACACATGTATGTATATACCCATATATACATATAATTTCCCACTGGGGATATATATACACATTATATATATACATATGTGTGTATATATATATACACATTATATATATACATATGTGTATATATATATACACATTATATATATACATATGTGTATATATATATATACACATTATATATATACATATGTGTATATATATATACACATTATTATATACATATGTGTATATATATATATATACACATTATATATATAATAATGTGTATATATATACATATGTGTATATATATATACACATATATACACACATATACACATATGCATATGTGTACATATATACACATATATACACATATATACACATATGCATATGTGTACATATATACACATATATACACATATATACACATATGCGTATGTGTATATATATACACATATATACACATATATACACATATGCGTATGTGTATATATATACACATATATACACATATATACACATATGCATATATGTATTTCCCAAACAGTGGGAAATTATATGTGTATATACACATATGTGTATATATATCCCCAAACAGTGGGAAATTAACACAATCTAAATAAGTAGGAATTCAAAGAAAGAAACCACAAAAGAGAAATTAGAAAATATGTTGAACTGAATGGCAATTAGAGTGTTTAAAAAGTTATGGAATGCAACTAAAGAAGGGCTTAGAGGGAAATTGATAGCTTTAAAGGTCTATGTTAAAAAAGAACAAAGCTCTAAAATGAATTATTTAATTTCTATCCTTAAAAGCTCAAAAAAGAGAGAAAATTAATCCCAGAGTAAGTATAAATTAATAAAGTTAAGAGTGGAAATTAATAAAATAGAAGGCAGACAAATGAAGAACTGACAAGACCAAATATTTGGAAAGGAGGAAGTGAAATGGTCCTTGCCTCCAGAAGTATTGTGTACACAGAACATCTAAAGGAATCTGAAACAAAAACTAAAGGGATCTGATACAAAAAACTATTAGAAGTAATAAGCAAATTTACAAAGGGCACTGGATACAAGCTGCATTCATTTTCTGCTACTGCATAACAGTACCACAAACAGCAGCTAAACTATAAAGCATGTTTATTATCTCAGAATTTCAGTCAGAAGTCTGGGCACAGTGTATCTGGATCTTCCACTCAGGGTCTTACAGGGCTCCAATCAAGGAATTGAACATTGCTGGGTTTCCATGTGGAGGTCTCAACTAGGCAAGGACCCACTACCCTGAACTCATGATTATTGGTAGCAATCAGTTAATTTTGACTGAAGGATTTCAGCCAGTATTTTTGCTGGCTATTGACCAGACCACCTTCAGTTCTTAGAGGCCAACCACAGTTCCTTGCCACATGGGGTTGTCCAGCATGGCTGCTTGCTTCCTCATAGCAGTAAGGTAGAGAGACTACAGCCAGATGAGTGCTACAATCTTATGTAACGTAATCACATAGAATCACGTGCATCCTGTCACCTTTGTCATATTCTGTTGACTATATGCAAGTCACAAGTCACATCCATATTCAAGGGGAGGTCACACAAGGAAATGAAGCCACAATGAGATAATACTTTTTACCAGTGGTCCCCAACCATTTTGGCACCAGGGGCCAGTTTTGTGGAAGACAATTTTTCCACGGACCAGTGCAGGGATGGTTTTGGGATGATTCAAGAGCATTACATTTATTGTGCACTTTATTTCTATTATTATTACATTGTAATATATAATGAAATAATTATACAACTCACTGTAATGTAGAATCAGTGGGAGCCCTGAGCTTGTTTTCCCACAACTAGACAGTCCTATCAAGGGGTTATGAGAGACAGTGACAGATCATCAGGCATTAGGTTCTCATAAGGAGTGTGCAGCCTAGATCCCTCACATGTGCAGTTCACAATAGGGTTCATCCTCCTATGAGAATCTAATGCCACTGCTGATCTGACAGGAGGTGGAGCTCAGGCGGTAATGCAAGTGATGGGGAGTGGCTGTAAATTCAGATGAAGCTTCGCTCTTTTACCTGCTGCTCACCTGCTGTGAGATCTGGTTCCATGGCCCAGGGGTTGGAGACCCCTGCTTTATACCCACCAAAATGACAGTACATAATGTTGAAGAGGATGCGGAGCAACTGGGACTCTCATATATTGCTGGTGGGGAAGTAAAATGTTACAACCATTTTGGAAATCTGTTTGGTATTTTCTTATAAGGTTAAATATACACTGGCCTTATAACACAGATATCATATTCCTAGATATTTACCTAAAAGAAATGAAAACATGTGCCCACAAAAAGATTTGTGTATGAATTTCTATAGTGGGTGTATGCATTATAGTTAAAAACACACCCTAAATGCCCATCAACAGTAAAATGGATTAACAAATTGTGGTATATTTATACAATGTAATACTAGAGAACAATAAAAATAAATGAACTACTGATACATCAAATTAGGTGGAAAAATTTCAAAAATATTTTAATGAATAAAATCCGATACAAAAAAAGTACAAACAGCATGATTCCATTTATATCACCCTCAAAAAGGGTGAAATGATTCTATGGTGAGAAAAATCAGAACAATGGTTATGGTTGCCTTTGGGGAAAGACATGACATTCTTTGCTGGGAAAGGACACTGAAGGAACTTTCTGAAGTAAAAAATATTCTGGTTTCTTTTGGGGGCAGGAGTTGTTTTGTTGTTTTTTTGTTTTTTTATAAAACAGGGTCTGGCTCTGTCTCCTAGGCTGGAGTGTAGTGGCGTGATCTTGGCTCACTGCAGCTTCTGCCACCTGGACTCAAGCAATCCTCCAACCTCAGCCTCCTGAGTAGTTGGGACTACAGGCACATGCCAACACGCACTACTAATTTTTTTTTTAATTTTTTGTAGATACAGGGTTTTGTCATGTTGCCCAGGCTAGTCTCAAACTCCTGGGCTCAAGCAATTCACCAGCTACCAGTCTCGACCTCCCAAAGTGCTGGGATTACAGGCATGAACCACCTGGCAATGTTCTGTATCTTAACTGGGGTGGTGGTGACATGGATGTATACATTTGTTGAATCTCATCAAACCGCGTGCTACATATATATATATATATATATATATATATATATATATATATATATACACACACACAAATATACATATATTTACACAAATGTATATATTTACACAAATATATATATTTACACAAATTACATTTCATTAAAAATTATTTTTAATGGTATTGCCTAGCTTGATCACCCACCTTATTTGGTACATGTGGTAGCAGACAATGACTATTAGTTGCTTTAAAAAAAAATCTGTCCATTTCTAAATCAATCAATCAATCACACAGCACAGAGCTTCTTGTTCTGTGACCCTTAGAAGTTTTATCCAGAGCTCAGAGGCAGGCTAGAGACATGCCTATGGATGGGCCCCAGCTGCTGCTCCTGCAGCCATCTGCTCCTCAGCTGGCCCAGGCCTACCTTGGCCTGCCTGCCTGTCTAACTACTCAAAGCTTCTTCCCTGGTTCCTGCTGAGCTTCTTCTCCTAGAAGCAGCCCCTGCTCCTTCTCCTTGTTTCACAGAATCAGAGGGAAAATGCTGGTATGGTCGTGGTGGTGGGATGGGTTCACCTCTCTTTCACTTGGCTCAGAAAGAAAATGGAACTGGGCCTGATCTTTTTCACTAGGAGACCAGGAGGCTCACTGTTATCATTGCCATTTTCTTGGCTTTCTCTTAGATTCTGGAACATGCCAGACTTTTTATTTTTATTTTATTTTATTTTATTTTATTTTATTTTATTTTATTTTATTTTATTTTATTTTTACCTTGGAGCTTGTGTACTTGCTGTCTCCCTTGTTCAGAAAATTTCTATCCCCAGACCTCAGGTCTTCACATGGCTGGCTCCCTCTTTTCCTTCAGGTTTTCTTCAGGAAGGCTTTGTCTTTACAGCTTCCCCCATGATTCTGTTTCATGATACTACTTAATTCTTTTATGATGACCACCATTTGTAATTTTATTTTTATTTTAGTGGTTATTTGTTTAAAAATCTTTCTCTCCCACTAAACTATAAAGTTTCTTGAAGGTAGGGATTCTAATTTTTTGTTGTTTGGTTGGTTGATTGGTTGATTAGTTGGTTTTTTCTCTCCTGTGCCTCCCATGCCTAACATAGTACCTCACAAATATCTGTTGAATGAAGGAACTGCTATTCTGAAAGTAAGGTACATCTGTGTTCTGGACCACATTTTTTTCCCTCCTTTTTTGGGTCCTTATCTCTCTAATTACGTTTTTAATCCATGGTATTTTTGCTCTCTCCTCGGCCACAGTTTTCTTCCCTTTTACCCTCAAAAACAATCTTGACCATCTTATCTTAAAAAGCAGATGACCTTTTGTGTGAGTCGATTTTTTCTTTTCACCTAACTTTGCCCCTTCACTGCTAAACTCCACACATGCTGTATTTACTGGCTGCTTCCTCTTCCTATCCATCCACCTTAACCTTCAAGCCTGTCTACTACCTATTCTACTCTATGGGCCACTGTTCAGAAGCTTCAAGCCTTACCCAGTTTATGCCCTATTCTTGTTCTTACCTTCCACCACATCTCTATCATTTGAAGAGGATTATTGCCCACTCCTTGAAATTCTCTTTTTTGACTTCTGTCTCTGCTTCTAGTTTTTTTCTCCCTCTCTAGTAATTCCTTTTTGGTCTCTTACATGGATTTAAGCTTTCTCTTCCTACACATAAATGTCCCCTGGAGGACCTCTTTAGGCTTTTTTTCTCTTTTCTTTTATCCTATGCTTATTTCTTTTCTCTCTCTATTCAAATTATACTCAACCTTCAAGGTTCTGCTCAAAGTTTTCTTCCTCCATGAAGCACCCCCTAAGTAGATAGTCAGTCCTCTCTGTTATCTCTCCATTTGCTGAACACTTCTGACATTTAGCATGGTCAGTACTTCTAATCTAGCACCTGCTACAACAGACATGTTTTCTGAATTAGAAATCAAGACTCCTTATCTGACAAAGACTATTCTTTTATGTATGAATTTAATGATATAGAAAGCTTGACAATGATATAAAATTAAATTTTATTCAGTTAGAGATTTAGTAAATTGCAATTGCTCAAAATAATAAAATTACATAAAAGCAGGAAAGTTCTGGATATACAAGTTGTCACTTCAATCAGAGTTATTATCTATGAGTGTTCTTTTTATTTAACATATTATGTCTATGTCCCTGACTATAAGGTAATTTCTTGACTGTGGAACATAGAAGACTAAGAGGAAGTGTTCCATAAACTTTGATTGAATTGAGACACTTTTACTGCTTGTTTCATAAACTGGCTATACAAAATAGTGACATATAGGTTATTGAAAAGATTTCTAGACCAAAAATAGTTTCAAAGTATGAGATTCCTGTAGTCTAGAGCAACATACCATTCACAATTCTGTAAGAAGTGTAAAATGGTTAAGATCATGGGCTTGGTCTAAGACTTGGGTTTAAAGCTCAGCTGTGCCATTTATTACCTGTGTGACATTGCATTATTTAAACTCTCTGTAGGTTCATTTCCTCACCTATAAAATGGGATAATACTTTTATGTAAGCACTCAATAAATGTTACCTATTATGATTAAGCTGCATGTTGTACTTGAAAATTTGCCTTTGCAATTGTGTACTTTCTGGTTAGCATCTTCAAATCCTGGAACAAAAAGTGCATCTTTTTGAAGAGTGACAGTCATGTTACCTTATTTCATGTAATTAAAATTGTTAAATTTGTAAAGTCTTTCTAAAGCAATTCACCAAACTCTGGAAACCAACTGAGGGCAAACTTTTTTTTCACCCTATGGCTTCTAAATATTTGAGTTTTATTTTCCTTTACAAGAAACATCTCATGGCTGCTGAAGTCAAAGACTTAAAAAGTGACTTGGATATAAATGTTTGTTACAGCTGGGATACCCCTACAACTATAGTATTTCAAATCAAATGTCTGTGGGTGAAAGAGGTGACAGTGATTACCAGACTGTCTTATAATAAAGTGGTCATTGTATTTGTATTAGTGACTTGATATTCCTTGGTAATGTCACAACCTTTATTGCTGATTCAGTCAACTATAGTCAAACAGGTGAAAGTTAGAAGATTTTTCTCTCTCTCTGTCTCTTTCTCCCCCCACCCCTGCCATTGAAATCAACCACCCAGTCTTCAGATTTTCACCTATCGATGTATTATATCATCATTTTCATGTGAGAATATCTATTTTCTTTCCAAAAGCAATACATTACAGACCTTCAGTAGCAGTTAATATCAATCAAATATTGGTTTCCACTATTTCTATGGTAAGGGCTTAAACTAGAAAGGTATGTGGCATTACAAGAGTTAGCTTCTGAAGGACTATACTGGGCAACTGAAACAATGATATATCGCTTTTTTTATATACTTTAAGTTTTAGGGTACATGTGCACAATGTGCAGGTTAGTTACATATGTATACATGTGCCATGCTGGTGCACTGCACCCACTAACTCGTCATCTAGCATTAGATATATCTCCCAATGCTATCCCTCCCCCCTCCCCCCACCCCACAACAGGCCCCAGAGTGTGATGTTCCCCTTCCTGTGTCCATGTGTTCTCATTGTTCAATTCCCACCTATGAGTGAGAAGATGTGGTGTTTGGTTTTTTGTTCTTGCGATAGTTTACTGAGAATGATGATTTCCAATTTCATCCATGTCCCTACAAAGGACATGAACTCATCATTTTTTATGGCTGCATAGTATTCCATGGTGTATATGTGCCACATTTTCTTAATCCAGTCTATCATTGTTGGACATTTGGGTTGGTTCCAAGTCTTTGCTATTGTGAATAATGCCGCAATAAATATACGTGTGCATGTGTCTTTATAGCAGCATGATTTATAGTCCTTTGGGTATATACCCAGTAATGGGATGGCTGGGTCAAATGGTATTTCTAGTTCTAGATCCCTGAGGAATCGCCACACTGACTTCCACAATGGTTGAACTAGTTTACAGTCCCACCAACAGTGTAAAAGTGTTCCTATTTCTCCACATCCTCTCCAGCACCTGTTGTTTCCTGACTTTTTAATGATCACCATTCTAACTGGTGTGAGATGGTATCTCATTGTGGTTTTGATTTGCATTTCTCTGATGGCCAGTGATGGTGAGCATTTTTTCATGTGTTTTTTGGCTGCATAAATGTCTTCTTTTGAGAAGTGTCTGTTCATGTCCTTTGCCCACTTTTTGATGGGGTTGTTTGTTTTTTTCTTGTAAATTTGTTTGAGTTCATTGTAGATTCTGGATATTAGCCCTTTGTCAGATGAGTAGGTTGCGAAAATTTTCTCCCATTTTGTAGGCTGCCTGTTCACTCTGATGGTAGTTTCTTTTGCTGTGCAGAAGCTCTTTAGTTTAATTAGATCCCATTTGTCAATTTTGGCTTTTGTTGTCATTGCTTTTGGTGTTTTAGACATGAAGTCCTTGCCCATGCCTATGTCCTGAATGGTAAAGCCTGGGTTTTCTTCTAGGGTTTTTATGGTTTTAGGTCTAACGTTTAAGTCTTTAATCCATCTTGAATTGATTTTTGTATAAGGTATAAGGAAGGGATCCAGTTTCAGCTTTCTACATATGCTAGCCAGTTTTCCCAGCACCATTTATTAAATAGGGAATCCTTTCCCCATTGCTTGTTTTTCTCAGGTTTGTCAAATATCAGATAGTTGTAGATATGTGACATTATTCCTGAGGGCTCTGTCTGTTCCATTGATCTATATCTCTGTTTTGGTACCAGTACCATGCTGTTTTGGTTACTGTAGCCTTGTAGTATAGTTTGAAGTCAGGTAGTGTGATGCCTCCAGCTTTGTTCTTTGGACTTAGGATTGACTTGGCGATGCGGGCTCTTTTTTGGTTCCATATGAACTTTAAAGTAGTTTTTTCCAATTCTGTGAAGAAAGTCATTGGGGTTCAGCTTCCCTCTAAGCCCCTAACATGTTTGTTCTAGTTTATTTCTGGTGACTTCAGTGCTTTTAAAAAGCAATATATAAGCTATATCTAGCTTATATATTGCTTTTTAAAAGCACTGAAGTCACCAGAAATAAACTAGAACAAACATGTTAGGGGCTTAGAGGGAAGCTGAACCCTTTCAAAATTGATATGGTTGGAGTTGGTTGGGGAGATTGGAAATGTTGGTGAAAGTTATCCTGAGTTTCCCTATATATTCTCTGCAATGCACAGAGAACTCTGGTGGAAACAAAGCCACTACAAAGCATTGGACCCACATGCTGCCACCTTTAAAATCCACTAAATAATGAAAATAATATTCTTATGTCATAGTTCATTTTCTGTTGCTAAGACAGAATATCATGGACTTGGTAATTTATAAAAATAGAGGTTTATTAACTCATGGTTCTGGAGATGGGAAGTCCAAGAGCATGGTACCAATATCCACTGATGGCCTTCTTGCTGTGTCATAACATGGCAGAGGGGATTACATGGTAAGAATGCAAGAGCACAAGAGCCAGAGAAAACTTGCTTTTATAACAAAGCCACTCTCATAGTTAGAAACCCACTCCTGTGGGAGAACACTAATCCATTCATGAAGGCAGAGCTCTCATTAATCCATTAATCTATTCATGAGGGCAGAGGGATTGTGTTTCCAACACATACATTTTGGGGGACACATTCATACCGTAGCACCTTATTTCAAAGGAGACATCAATGTTATCAGTAAATTCATTTGTGACACAAACTAGAGGACAGTCTTTGTCATATTTTCAAACCCCAAACTACAAATGAGCAGCCTGTAGACTATCCAGAAGAAGTTCATGGGCCACATTGATGGAGACTCCTCAGTGTTATAGTGTCATTGCTCTCTGCTCTGACCCTGTACCTTTAAGCCAGTCCTCCCCATCCATGCCATGCCCAGACGACAGCAGATAAATGCAAGCACTTCAAATATATTTTATTTTCTACCATCACCTGATTCTCCTCACTTTATCCCCCACTTATATCTGTTCTGTTGACGTTTTTTGTAGCTCCTAGTTCATGATTGTCTCTCATCTTGGTTCTTCCACTGTCACATCAGACTTGATATTTTCTCTGGGTTTTCCAAGATTTAAATATCTATGCTCTCTAATGACCAAGGTCTGCAGTCATCTTCTATTCTAGGCCTTCATGACTAGATTGTTCTTTGTTTTCGAGAATTTAAAATACAGCACTAGGATTCAAACCTTGTCAGTAGTCCACCTGTTTTAGGTCCTGTGATATATCTAGGTCCTGTTAATATATCATAAATCTTCTGGTACTCCACAAAATATTTTCATTTGGTGGTGTCTGCTATAGGTAAGAATCTGAATAATTAAATCCTGATCAAGTGGATTAAAGAGGAATTGGAACAATAATAAGAAGGGATAGAAAGTACTGGAACCTGATATTCTCCTAAGAATGACAGAAAATAGAGATTTTCACCTCTCTTGCCCTTTAAGCATCAGCCTTCATAGCAACATGCACCAATAATGGGATGCTAAAGATGAAAGCCATTGTCATGAAATGCCTGTAGTTGGCTAATGGCCACTGCTTGAGAGGGTCTGAATGGCTCAAGCTTCTGATTAACATGATAGGAAAACGTATCCTACTCATTATAGATTTCATCAAATAGTTATCCAGTTAGGAAGCTCAGAATGTCAGTCACGTATCACTGTTTTTCTCTGAATAGCCTTAATTATAACATCCAGTTTCACTCCTCACAAAGCAGATCACAAGAGCAAAGGCTGTCTTACACCAGGCTCAAGCCTGTCCAAATTGTCATGTTGGAAATTCCCTCTTTGGAGACTTTGGCAAATGGAAGGTTTCCAACCAGTTAGAAAGGAAAGAAGGAACTCCTGCACCATGAGATATCACAACCTTAGACAATGATGATAACTGTAGTCTGTAAAATGTGGTCACATGTGAGTTGTCCAGACCCAGAGTCAACATTTCTGTGCTGAGTGAAACCAGACTTTCTGTTGAAGGGCAGCCCCTGAGAAGGATTCCAGCTGCAGTTTTCCTTGTAGAGGTCTCCACCCTCTAGCATGAAGGCTATCAGGTGTTGGCTCTACAGTTGGACAATCACTTGTCTCAAAATTCTTCAACTTGGCAAGAGATATTAGTGACCTTCTGCTGACCCTACGCCTACCCTTCAAACTTTAGCTTAGTGCTTCTGACTTGGCATAATGACTAGGAATGTTGAGAAAGAGACATTGAATCTACATGAAGGTAGTGTCCACAGAGAATAAACTCATTGTCACAAGGGAGCTTGGCCCAAGGAAAATCATTTGGTCTCTCAGGAGTGAGAACTAGAATATACCTGAATTTCTCCTCCTTACCAGATGTTGCAGGCGTCAGTTCATACTCACTAAGTTTATCTTCTACTTACAACTTAGGATAAATGCCAGTTTAATGCACATACATTTTCAACAGTATTATAAGTTTGTCTTGCTCTTCAATGGGACCCACAGAAACCTAAGTTCACCAAAACCATTTGAGGTGCTGAGTGGTATCCTGATAAACACTTAATTGCTCTGACTCTGAAGTGTAGAAAATAGTCACTAATTTGGAAAAAGAAGTGTGAAGAAGAAAGAAGGTTGTCCTACCCAAATGTATAAAAGGTTTGAGTTATAAAGAAATTTAATGACACTGGAGAACATGTGAGCTTGGATAAAAGGTGAGAGAAACAGTGATATTGTTTACATGGGGATATTGTTTAGGTGATTAATAGTGTGGGCTCTGGCACCTGAAATCCTGGGTTGAAATCCTGGCTCTACCACTGACTAGCTGTGTGATCTTGGACTAGTAACTTGCAGTCTAATCATAAAAATTCAGGGATATAACTCTCCATACTTTACACTCAATTTTGCTGTGAACCTATGTAGTGGTAGGGTTCTCCAGAGACTCAGAACCAGTGGGAGATAGATAGATAGATAGATAGATAGATAGATAGATAGATAGATAGATAGATAATAGATACATAGATACAAAGATAGATAGATACACAGATACATAGATAGACAGATAATAAGGAATTGGCTTATGGGATTATGGAGGTCAAGAAGTCCCAATATCTGCAGTCCAAAGCCTTGGGACTCAGAAGAGCCGATGGTGTAAATTCCTGTTCGAGTCCCAGCTTGAAGACTATCAGGCAGAGAGAGCAGATTCTCTCTTGCTCAGTCTTTTTGTTCTATTCAGGCCTTCAACAGTTTAGATGAAGCCCACCTACATGGGGGAGGGCAATCTGCTTTATTCAGTCTACCAATGTAAATGTTAATCTCTTCCAGAAACACCCTCACAGACACACCCAGAATATTGTTTAACCAAATATCAGGACAAACTTTGGCCCAGTCAAGATGACACATAAGATTAATCATCACAACGTAAAACTGCTTGAAAAAATTAAGTTTGTCTTTTTAAAAAGCAGGGATAACTGTAGTACTTGCCCCAAAGGATTGTTGTAGAGAGCACTCATGCCAGTTGTTAGGTTGCTGCCTCTCAGTCCAAAACCCATCTGTCTATACTCAGTTTTGTGATGCTGAGACAGATACTATACAAACCATATTTCTTTTCTGCCAGTCGGCTCCTTGTTAGGAAGTGCCAAAGGGTACATTAGAGGGAGACTCTTGAGGCTGGAGGAGGAAGAAGGGACTTTCTCCTTGCTATGTGCTTCCCGTTGGTTTCATTTTCCTATAAATATCTTCCTTAACAACACTTCTTCACTCCAATAGTTGCAGTTTCTTCCAAAAGCAGCACATTCTGAATTGAGATTTTCATTTTTCTAGAACTTACAAACTCACCTTATCATGCCCCTTTCATAGAAACAGCACCAGCCAACTGATATGGTTTGGCTTTGTGTCCACACCCAAATCTCATCTTGAATTGTAACCCAATAATCCCCATGTGTTGAGGGAGGAACCCAGTGAGAGGTGATTGGATCATAAGAATGGATTCCCCCATGCTGTTCTCATGATAGTGAGTTAGTTCTCATGAGATCTGATGGCTTTATTAGGGGCTCTTCCTCCTTCGTTCCTTCTCTCTCCTGCTGCCTTGTGAAGAATGTGCCTGCTTCCCCTTCCACCATGACTGTAAGTTTCCTGAGGTCTCCCCAGCCGTGTAGAACTATGAGTCAATTAAACCTCATTCCTTTATATAACACCCTGTCTTGGTTAGTATCTTTATAGCAGTGTGAAAATGGACTAATATACCAACTCTGCCCCTCCCTAAAGGTCTGAGGTTCATGGAGCCACTCCTCCAAACTTAGAGTCAGCAGTACCAGCTGAGCAGTGCCCTCTTCAGAGGTCTGAGCTTCAGCTCTGATGAAAGTCTCTTTCAAGGTTTTAAGCTTTAACACTTCTGACCTCTTCCCTTTGTTTTCCCAGGGATGGTAGCTACATCCTGCAGTTGTTAATTCTGTGATGCTTTAAAGTTCTCTTTTTACCTTTTCAGTTGTTGCTGTAACGACTTTATGCCTAGGTAACAATTCTTTGTACTAAATTTTCTGTTCAAATAACTGGTGTGGTTTATGTCTCTGACTGGACCTTGTCTGATATATTATATAGCTAATATTTATTGAGTACCTGCTATGTGCTAGACCTTATTATAAGCATTTTGTGTATTTTGCCTAACTTAATCTCAATCTTAATCACTATGCTAAGGTACATGAAGTGAATATCATGATGGCTGGCCCACAGTAAATGCACCTTTAGGGTAAGACACTATTTTAGTTTGGCTCCTCCAAAAACAGAATTGAAACAAAGATTACTAGATTGTAGGTTATTTGGGGGCTAGCCTAAGTGGTAAAGTGGGAAAAGTGAGGCAGGAAGAGATAAAAACCAATAGCATGTACATTAATGAGCAGGTTACTGCTATGGACAAATGGGGCTCAATCCTACTGAGAAACCTTCTTTGAGAAGACTGGTAGAACATACTTCAGAACTATCCCACTGGAACACAGGGAGGCTAGGTCGTTTATCTACTCTCTACCACCACTGGGAACATTAACCCTTACATTTTTAGGTTAGCCAAGTAGATATTAGGTAGGGCATTAATAGCATCTGTTAAAGGTATTATCCTTGTGGGTGTGGACTACAGACTGGCCAGATGGAAGCCATGAAAAATGTTTTCCTAATACAGGTCACAAAACTGACACCGAGGTGAGGGAGAACCTATAAATAGCGCCTGGAACATAATAGGCATTCAGTAAATATTTGTTCAAGTGAACCATAGAAGACAGGAATCATCTAGGAATACTATTGGCTAACAACAAAACACCAGATAAATATTCTCTTGAGTAAAATGTAATCTTCCTTGGGAAGAAGGACTTAATTCTAACCAAGGAAACATTAAATGGCAATTAGAATATGCAGGAACTTTGAAGGAATGCCACCATGTTACCCTGGAACTCAATATAGGAAAGAGTGAGTCATGCTGCCAGGGTTACTTGCCTGTTACTGTTACTTGCCAAGTACTGTCCCTGCTCAAGGTAATACAACTAGTAAGTGATGAGTACAGAGATTTTTAAAGCCCGAGGTTTTTGAAACTTACTAAAATCAACAACAACAACAACAAAAACATTATTTGAGAAGGTGAGAGGTTGGTTTTCTAAACAGGAATATGAGATTTTTTTAAATGGGAGAGACTTAAAATATTTATATGCTGTGCATGGAAAGGTTGAAGATACAAGAATGAAAAAATAATAATATCATGGAACAGAGAAGAGATGCTGGGTACAAGGGAAGAAATAAGCCTTCAGGAGCAATAGGATACACTTCTTTCATGAGACAAGAAGGAATGGTGTAGTTGAACAGAAATACAATGTATGGTGTATTTATTTCTCAGGAAGAAAGAGGATAGGCAGTTGAGGAAATTCTACCTGATTGCTCCAAATGTCTTTGTAAGGTAAAAAGTGAGTTAATATGAGAATGACAGTAGAGGTAATGAGGTAGTAATCTCAAAGAAAGTGATGACAGGTTGAATTATCTTTTGTGTGAACTGGGAACGATCTTAGGGATGCATAGAAGGATTGTTTGACACTATTTAGGACATGCTTGAAATTGAAGAATGTGAATTTACAGCAGTTCCAACCTGCAAGTGGTTGTATGGTTTTCTGCAGGAATATAGTTGAAGAAGGCAAAGAGTTTTGCCAAGCAGATTCAATGAATGAGAGGACATGAAAGTTGAAGTTTTCAGTAAGAGGGTGGTCAAAGGTTAAAATACTAAGGGAGAAAAGATAGGACAGACAGTAAGTAATTGGAGAAGCAAAAGGGACTGATGGTTTTAATGAAGCTAAAAACTGCTGACAATAATGGAATGAGAGAATTGGAAGGAAAATCATGTTCAGAGAATAGTTTGTGGAGTTCAGAATTCACGAGATAGAGTAATTCTCCAAGATGATAAGATTCAGGTTGTGGCCATGAGTGCATAGCTCAGGTGGAGGGGAGGAAAGGCCACTGTAGATGAAGTCAGAAGAATGAGAAGCCGAGGTACTGGGTGGATTGTCACCATGGGCATTGAAGTCCCCTATCATAAGGGCAAAGTGTGAGGTGGAGAGGAAGCCATAGAGTCAGGGATCACAGTCTCCAATGAATCTTGGGAAGTGAGCAAGAGATTGATTGATGAGAGTGGCAGGGTAGAGACATGTTTTGGAAACAGCAATTAACAGTTAAAAAAAATTTCTCCCTCTAGGCCCTCTGCTAAAAAGGCTGGGAAAGTAATCCCATTGGAGAGGCCTCAGAGGAAGCAGCATCCTCAGAGCTTTCATTGTGAGTCCCCAGGCCTATAAAGCAAAATCCCAACCACATTTAGCATGAACCAACCACATTGCCTTTTACAATCTGGTCCTAAACCCACTTTTTCAGGCCACTTCTTCCACCCACACCATGGATACCTCAGGACATGTTTTAACTGACAAAATTAGAATTTAACATTTAAGTTAGAATTTAACATTTAAATAGTATCTAATCCAACTCTTTTGAGATAGGAGGGTTTTTTGGTTTGGTTTTTTGGTTTTTAACTGCTGCATGTCTATGTGGGATGATACTTAAGTGAATTTAACAATATTCAATGGGATATTATTGTTTTTGAAAGGTGATAACAAAAGCAAATACCTCTGTATTTAAAAATATAACCCTTAAGGTAACTCAAAAGTTGGACATGCTTACAAATGAGCCCTTCTCACCGCCCCTGAATCCCTGTTGAAGCTGCAATTACTTGGCTTCAATGTATCAGTCAATCAATCATAAGCAATAACTGAGCATCTATTAAAAGCAAAGAATTGTGTTTAGGTGCTGTGGGAGTTACAGAAACATAGTAAGATACAACCCATGCTTTCATAGAGCATTCAGTGTCCTTGGAAAGAGAAGATAAACATTTGAAACAACTCATAGGACAAAATGTAATTCAGTGTCAAGGCTTGAGCTGCAGGAATTAAGAGGAAAGAAAAATCATTTGATTAGGGCATTCAAGAAAAGCTTCAAGGATAAGGCAGAACTTGACATAAGCCTATAGATTCTATACTACATATAATAATAATAATAATAATAATAATATAATAATCACCACAACAATAGTAGTAACAATAGCTATCTCTTATTGAGTGTTTTTAATATTCCAGGTACTATGCTGAGTAATCATTTAAATTCCTTTTTCTCAAGCATTTCTCACAATGCTCTAAGGTGGCTACTACTCTTATCTCCATATTAGAGCTGAGGAACCTGAAGATCAAGGAGTTTTAGTGACATGCTCAAGGTAACAAAACTAGTAAGTGGTGTACCCAGGCCTTTGTTGGGCCCTGGAACCTGTGCTTCTCACACTGCACAGTGTCCTGCTTTTCGAGAGCTTCCCAGTCATACCTGATTAAGCAACTGAGAGAAAGAACAACAATAATAGTCATCATTTATTGAATGCCTAGATTATCTCTAATCCTCCATTAAGGTAGGTATATTAGTTTGCTAGGGCTGCCACAAGAAAGTATCACAAACTAGATGACTTAAACAACATGAATGAATCGTCTCAACTCACAAAATGGGAGAAAATATTTGCAAACTATACCACTGACAAGGAATTAATAACCAGGATATATAAAGAGCTCAAACAACTCAATAGGAAAAAAATCCAATAATCTGATTTTAAAATGGGCAAAAGCTCTCAATAGACATTTTTTGAAAGAAGACATGTAAATGGTAAACAGACATATGAAAAAGTGTTCAACATCACTGATCATTAGGGAAATGCAAATCAAAACTACAATGACATATCTTCTCACCCCGGTTAAAATAGCTTACATCCAAAAGATAGGCCATAACAAATGTTGGAGAGGATGTGGAGAAATGGGAACCCTTGTACACTGTTGGTGGGAATGTAAATTAGTACAGCCACTATGGAGAACAGTATGGAGGTTCCTGAAAAAAACTAAAAATAGAGCTACCATACCATCCAGCAATCCCAGTGCTGAGTGTATACTCAAAAGGAAGGAAATCAGTATACTGAAGACGTAATTACACTCCCATGTTTATTGCAGCACTATTCACAATGGGTAAGATATGGAAGCGACCTAAGTGTCCATCAACAGATGAATGGATAAAGAAAATGTGATACATAAACACAATGGAGTACTATTCAGCTTTATGAAATCCTGTCACTTGCAACAACGTGGATGGAACAGGAGATCACTATGTTAAGTGAAATCAGCCAGACATATTAAGACAGATATCTCATGTTCTTACTTATTTGTGGGATCTAAAAATCAAAACACTTGAGCCCGTGGAGATAGACAGTAGAAGGATGTTTACCAGGGGCTGGGGAGGGTAATGGGGAGTAGAGATGAAGTGGGAATGGTTAATGGGTACCAGAATATAGTTAGGTAGAATGAATAACTAGTATTTGATAGTGTAACAGGGTGATGACAGTCAACAATGTTTTATTGTAAATTTTTAAATAACTACAAGGGTATAATTGAAATGTTTGAAACATAAAGAAATGATAAATTCTTGAGATAGGTAATGCATACCCCATTTACCCTGATACAATTATTGTACATTGCATGCTTGTATCAAAATGTCTCATGTACCCCATAAATATATACATCTACTATGTACCCATAAAATTGAAAATTAAAACATTTTTTAAAACTATAAAAGAAATTTATTATGTCACGGTTCTGGTGGCTAGAAGTGCAAGATCAAGGTGTTGGCAAGATTGATTCCTACAGAGGGCTATGAGGGAGACTCTGTTCCACTTTTCTCTTCTAGCTTCTTGTGGTTTGCTGCAATCTTTATCATTCCTGGCTTATAGATGCATCACACTCATCTCTATCTTCGTCTCCAAATGGTGTGCTCTGTGTGTGTATGTCTGTCCTTCAATTTTCCCTTTTCATAAGGACACCAGTTGTATTAATCAGAGTTCTACAGAGAAACAGAACCAATATGACATATATAGATGTGTAGATATTTGAGAGAAGATTTATTAGGGAAATTGGCTCATGTGATTATGGAGGCTGAGAAGCCCCATGATATGCCATCTGTAAGCTGAAGAACCATGAAAGCTGGTAGCTTGGCTCAGTCCAATTCTAAAGGCTGACAACCTGAGGGGTGGCTGGTGCAAGTCCTGGAGTCTGAAGCCCAGAGAACCTCGAGTTCTGATGTCCAAAGGAAGGAGAAAATGGGTGTCCCAACTCCAGAAGAAAGAGAGATCACATTTTCCTTTCTTCTACCTTTTGTTCTATCCAGACCCTTAGCTGGTTAGATGGTGCCTGCCCACATTTGGCGAGGCCAGACCTTCCTTAATCAGTCCACTGATTCAAATACTAACCTGTTTTTGAAACACTGTCACAAACATGAATGAAAAAACACATACTCAGGAATAATGCTTTACCAGCTATCTGTGTATCCTTTAATCCAATCAAGTTGACGCCCAAAACTAATCATCACACCAGTCATATTAGATGAAGGTCCACTCTAACGACTTTATTTTAACTTGATCATTTACAAAGATCCTATTTCCAAATCACATCACATTCACAGGTACTGGGGGTTAAGACCTCAACAGAAAATTTGGGGAAATAAAATTTAACCCATAATAGTAGGCATCATTATCCTCATTTTACAGATGCCAAAAAGTTAAATAACTTGTCTAAGCTCATACAGCTCCTATTGCTAGAGCTAGGGATTCAGAACTGAGTCATACTAGCTCCAAAATGTTTGTCCTCTGCCTCCCCCTGACATAAAACTGATCAGGTAGCTTTTTTGCTTAAAATCTTTCCCCTCCAATGCCAAGCCTGACTTCTAAGTAGCCCCAGGCACGGGTTCTGGGCTTGGCTTGCATGCTCTATTCTGCAAAACCCATTCCTACCCAGCTTGTGGTAATAGCTGGGCTTCTGCTCCCTTCCAAGAGCACTTCCATCTCTACATTAGACCCAAGTTTAGTAATAATGTCAGTCAGTGTACTTTCACAGACACTGCCTTATTTAATTCCTAACCTTGTGAGATGATTTTGAAGTGTCTACATTTGCCAGATTAGGAAACTGAGACTCAAAATTACTAAATAACTTGCCCAATTTTACAGAGGTCTTAAATGGCATTGCTGTGATTTGAACTCAAGCCTGTCATGCTCTAAGCAAAGTCAATGCTCCCTCTACCACACCACCCTGGACTCTGGAGTCCGCACCAAACTGGGCTAGTGCTCCTGGCATTTGAGGCCTGGGGAGAGGTTCCCTAGGACTTGACATTAAGCTCTAGCCCAGAGCCTGGGGCCCTGCTGCCTGCTGTCAGCCTACCCTGATGTCCATGCTCTGCCCATTGGAGTGCCCATCTAGAGTTGAACATGTTCCCTTTGCCCTTACTCTCCCAGAGAACAGTAGTAGTTCCATACCACAGTCCCTCCCAGGCAATTTCATTCCATTGCTATGAACTGGTTCCTGCTGGCTGTATCCCAGCATATAACACAGCTGAGCGAATGCCTAGTCTATGACCCTGTTGAGTGAATGGAGCTGTTGCTGCTACCCTCGCTGTTACCCCTGGGCACCTCTGCCCAGGCAGGAAGCACAGGAAGCTGCGGCAGTGTCAGTCTCAGCATGCTGCCTGAAAAGACGCCCTCTCTCTTGCCCTCCCCTCACCGCCCCAGAACTGAGTGCCAGATCCAAGCCAATGGGGTATTTTCTGGGATAGCATTCTAAAACAAGTACAGTATCAGCAGAGCATTCTAAAACAACTACAGTATCAGCAGGAAGGAGACAAGTTTAGGGAACTAGGGTAGGTGGAGGATGAGCCCCCAGAGTTCCTGGGCACTAGGCATCAAATAGGAGACAGGAGAAAAGAGAGATAAAGTGAGGAGAGCAACATAAAACCAGAAGAGATGAAGGAAGGTGGAGAAAGGGCTTGAAAGTTCTGCTTGAAGTCTGACTCCCAGTAACTCTGAGTTCTTTAAGGGTTTTCATGTGATCTCACTAAATGGTGTGGATCTACCAGAGCAACAGGACCACCTGGTTCCCCAGAACTTCCCAAGGCTCCAAGCATGTTCCTCACTGCCATATGGGCTGTGGCCTCCCCAAGCATGTTCTTCTCTAGGCGCCGCCTCCAGATAACAGTTTCTAACATCTGGCCTCAGTGTGAGATACCAAGGCCCTTTCACAACAGGCACATAATTTTTTCTGTAAAGACATCATGGGTCTAAAGAACTTGGGATACTTGGATCTACCACTGGACATTCCCCTGGCATGGATTCTGGCAGGAAAGACTCAGGCTGGGCGATAGTCCAGGGCAGACAGTGCTGGCTGGAGTCCCAGTTCCCTGACCTGGCCCACTGCCCTCTTTGGCTATCAGACAACGTTCACAGAGTCTGCAGACATCTGTGTGCCCATAGGAACAGCTAGGGAGCTGCAGGATCTGGAGACACAAGAGGTTCCCCTTTGTCTCCTTCTGTCCTCACTAATGGCCCTTCCCAGCACAGCAGCTGGGTGTTTGGGAAGGGAGTTGGGGGAGGGATTGGCCTCTGACCAGAGGAATACAAGGCTGCCCTTAAAGAGGTGGCCCAGCTGTTGTGAGTGAACACACAGGTGCACATTGGTGGCTTTGACCCTCACGCACACTCTGGTCCCTGGCCAAGGTAAGGGCTGTAAAATGTAGCCAGGCCAGGGTAGCCCTACCCACATTTTTGGAGGACATGCCAATTTGGCTCCCAACCCTGTGTCACTGCTAGGATGTGATCCCCAGAAGGCACAGTAATTCCCACCACATCCACTGAACTCTTGGCATTATCCAGTGAAGCTTACACATGGTATCCATCTGTCGGCATTGTCACATAACATGCCCATCCACATGGGCAGTTCTCCTTCAGTGTCTTTGGACTTCTCCATGATACTCATTTCATTTGATTACCACTTCCCTTGGGCAGCTCAGTCAGTCACACCACCCCACCCCTCATTCTCCCGACTCTTCTTTCCATTGTCTGCACCCCACTCTATCACCGTGTTTCCCAGTACACACACACAAACACACACACACACTCATAATTTGCTACAAGGCCAGTATAAGTGGATTATTTTGTGCCATACATTCTAGGGGCTATTTCTGTTTTTCAATGCCCCATGATTGAGCATGGGCATGTCCCGGTAGTTCTGTGCCTCCCCGCTCCAAGTTTTGTGGCAGATTAAGAATGAGATATCCACCCCTTTCCAACCAGTCATGGATTCAGCCCCACAGTAAAGGAAACAACCTTCAGAGGTGACCCGGTGTGGATGGCAGGGCATCTTGGTTTGGTATTGACAGAGGAGGAAACTGACCTAAGAGAGGGGTTAAGTGACTTTCTCACACAATTAGTGAAAGAAGCAGAGATTGAGCCCTGATCTGATGCTTTTTTCCCCTCTACTTTTAAACCACATTATTTCTCCAGAGACAAAGCCAACAAAAGTGTGATCCAAACACCAGTGCCAGTCTGAGAACTGTTCGTTAGTGGTCCATGACGAAATAAGGAGCTTGCGCCAGAATGTAAATCAATTCACTACTTGCTTCATCAACAATCTTGCTGTGAAAATAAAATGTCAGCTGAACTAAACAGCATGCTTAGTGATTGCTGATTTACATTGGCACAAACTCTCTAGCTCAATGCCGTCCCTGTGTCCAGCAGCCCTGGTGCTGATGACTGTCCAACATGAGGTGGGATCTACTGCAGAACTGTGCCTCACCTTTTGTGTAAGAGGAATGGGTTGTGATAGAGGCTGGAGTCACGGGTCACATGGTTATGTTTAATCACAGCCCCTCAGGACTGAAAATAGCTCTGCACAGCCAAAACTAGTTCCTGGCTGCCCGAACCCAACCCTATAGATAGGGGCTACTCAAAGACCCAGACTGCAAGCGGTTTGTTGCCTTTGTGCATGAAAGTTTCGGTGCCTATCATGTGGCTGTTCCAGTCGTGGGTCTGTTGACCCTCAAGTCCGTTTCTAGCTTTTTGCCTGCTCTGCTTTGTATGGTAGGGGGTCTAACCCCTTCAGGCTCTTTCCCAGGCTGACTTCCCGCTGGGTCTAGCCAATAGGAGGCACTCACTGGAGGAAGAAGGGGGAAAAGAAAAAAGAAGCCAGATAATTTCTTTCCCCTGCTTCTCTGTGTCCCAGAGTGACCAACTTGTCCCAGTTTGTCCAGGACTCTTCTGGTTTCAGCACTGAGAGGCCAATGTCCCAGGAAGCCGTGAAAGTATCTCTGCTTCAAGCAGTTTCTCCTTCAAGGCTGAATCTCTTCTGTGGCTCCAGCCCCTGCTGGTGGCCCCTCCTTCTCTGTCCCAGAGATTGCCACTGTGATTCTAGCTTTCACTGGGTGATCCCAGCCCCTGGCTCTGTACCACTGTCCCCTCCCTTTGTCCCTCCAGCCTATGGGTGTTAGCAGCTTCCTGCTACTACTAATGTCCAGGTTGCCTCTTCAATCCGTTTTGGTTTCTTAGGTCTTCCCTGAACTGTGTCACCAATTTCAGGCATTAAATTCTCACTGTTGTTTACACTTGAAGTGGTTTCTGTTTTACTGCTTAGATTCTGACAATAATACTTACTTTATAGTGTTATCATGAGGATTAAATTAGTTAAATAAACCACTTACAGCATTGCTTGGAACATGGTAATTGCTTGTTAAATGTGAACTGCTGTTATTATTAGTGTAGTGCGAAATAACATTTATCACACGCTTGCCACGTGCCAGGCTAATCACTTTACACCCATGATCGTATTTAAGCCTTACAACCCTTCTACCTGGATGAACGTTGTTCTTGAGCTAATTGTTTAGGCAACCTGTTTGCATTTCACACCCAGAAATTCCCAGGCTCTTCTGAACCACTCCCCTTAGTGAATTCAACCATGTTTCTTATTTACTGAGCATTCTCTCAGGCTTTCAGGACACAAATAGGAATGAAATGGTAACAGGCGATACAGTCTAGTGGGAGAGACTGGTATGTCAGCCAGTTGATTCATCCAAGCAGAGGGCAGTGAAACCCAGAGATAGCAGCAGTGTGGCAAAGTAAGGAAGAGCCTGAGCTCTGGGGTTGGGCTGCCTGGGTTTTGACCTAGGCTCTGCATCTACAAATTAATACATCTACATCCACCTATCATAAGGTAGGGAAGTCATTTTTAAACTCTATGTGCCTCAGTCTCCTCACTTGGCAAAAGTACTCTTTTTATCATACCTGTCCCAAAGGGGTTATTTTAAGGATCAATGAGTTAATATTTGTCAAGTGTTTAGAATATGCACTAAATGCAATGTCTTTCTTAAGTGAAAATAAAATTAATAAGCTGAACCAATTTTAGGGGAACCCAGAGGATGGTGTCACTTGATTCTGCCTACAAGCATTCAGGAAGGCTTCACAAAGGAGGTGACATTGGAGTGGGATCTTAAAGAAGCAGTGGAAGTTTTCCAGATAAAGAAGAAAGCATCTCAAATCATCGGAAAGGCATGTGCAAAAAAGGCACAGAGTCATGAAAAAGGCTGGTATGACTGGGGAGTAATGAGAAATGAGTAGCTGGAATTTGGTGGCAGGATATGAGGCTCAACATTTAGTTTTGGATATGTTGGACAAGATCTTGAGTGTCATGCTAAGGAATTCAGATTTAATTCAGAGGAAAGGAAGGGAGAGCCAACAAAGGACTTTAAGTTTGAGAGAGTAAAATAATCAGCTTTGTTTTGTGGGCATTTCATTCTCATGACAGTGTAAATTTAAAGCTGAAAAACCTGCTCAGGTGTAATAAAAAATATAGTAAAATCAAGTAACCCCAATTGGAACAACCTAAATGTCTATCAACAATAGGATGGATACATTGTGTGTTATATTTGCACAGTGGAACACTATGCAACAGCACTGATAATGAATTACTGCTACGTGCAAAGGACATGGATGAATCTCTCAAGCCTAGTATTGAGCAAAAAAAAAAAAAACAAAAACAAACAACCCCCCCACACACACACACAGACACACAAAAGGGTGCATCCTGTATTATTCCATTTATATAAAGTTCAAAAATAGACAACACTAATCTATGCCATTAGAAGTCAATGGTTATCTCTGAGTGAGGAATAGTGATAGAAAGGGGACCCAAGTAGGGTTTCTGGGCTGCTAGTAATGTTCTCTGTCTTGAATTTGCCCTGGGTGCTGGTTTCATAGGTGTGCTCACTTTATGATCAAATTCAAGACACAGAACACTTGCACTTTAAACCAAAAACAACATGCTTTTTAGTGACATATAGTGTACATATGCAGACAAATCACTTACTGTTTCAAAGTACAAGTGGAGAATATTCAACCCTGCAGAGATCCAACCGACCTTTGACCACAGTGGGATATGAGGATCCATGAACACAGATGTCTATTACAAAGCAGCTGCCCCAAAAGAGAGAGTTTTTCTTTTAGGTATTTCCAGGTGACCCCAATATTATGCTTCTAGATGAACTCAGCTACAATTGGTTGGTCTGCATCATCACCTGTGTTTCTGAAGTTCAAATTTCAAGGACTTTAAACATTG
Organism: Homo sapiens; assembly: GCF_000001405.40. Taxonomy (NCBI): domain Eukaryota; kingdom Metazoa; phylum Chordata; class Mammalia; order Primates; family Hominidae; genus Homo; species Homo sapiens. The sequence goes on from NC_000023.11 coordinate 140,436,755, forward strand.
CCTCTAAGGAGAGACAAAGGGGACCAGGATTTGGGAAGGAAGTCAAGGGAAACTCTAGTCTTATCTATAATGGTTTAAGTCCTTACAAGGAGAAGTGTGTTTTAGTCAGGTGTTTATTGTATAGTTAACACTAAACCTGAAAAAAACCTATAGCTCTACCTAGTCATTACATGATAATGAAAAGTAGCAGATATTACTTAATCAGGATTGAAAATTACTGGACCTGGCTTATCATTATGTTAAATTAATGGCTTGCCTGTATATGTTCTTTTTTGATTGACCTTCATGTGAGAAAGGTTGATGGTGTTGGGGACAATTTGCAGATGAGAAAACTGAAGATCTGAGACATTATGTGCGTGGCTCCTGGGCAACCATTTATTAATAGTAGAAAACCACTATCATCACCCTAGTCCAAGCCACCATTATCTCATGCTTGGACAACTACATAGTTTACTAGTTGTTTCCCTAGATTTACTATGTTTCCTAATATGTTTTCTACACTGAAGCTAGAGTGATGTTTTAAGAATGCCATGTTACCCTTTGACTTTTTAATTTTTTATTCTTTTGTAGAGACAGAGTCTTGCTATCTTGTCCAGGCTGCTCTTAAACTCCTGGCCTCAAATGATCCTCCCACCTTGGCCTGCCAAAGCACTGGGATTACAGGCACCTTTTATTTACTAAACTCTTCAATGGCTTCCTAGTGATCTTAGGGTAAGGACTCAAAACATCAGCAGGACTTTGTAGGCCCATGATGGGTAGGCCCCACATGTGTATCTCTCCAGCCCCATCTCATACCATGTTCCTCCTTGTTCTTTATGCTCCAGCCACATTGAATTTTCAGTCCCAGAAACTTGCTATACCCCTTCCAACCACAGGGTCTTGGCATGTGCTGCTCCCTTTGATGTGGATGTTCTAAAATTTATTAGTTTGGCATCAGTCATTTTCCGTTCCTCCAACAAACACCTGTTAACAGGTGGACCTACCTAAGTTAGGAGCCCAATTCTCCTTGTTTCCCTTTGTGTTACTGCAGTTTGAAGCTATTTTAGTCTTTTCAAGGAAAAAATGATCCCAAAGGGACTTAAAATAACAAAGCAAGTGATTGTCAATTATGTTACTTTGAAAGGCAAATTTTGGAAAACAAAAAGCCACCCTTTGAAGAACTGTAAACATTAAAACACAATTAATAACAATAGAAGGCAATATCATCTAATGGTTTAGAAAACAGGCACTGGGGCCAGTGCAGTGGCTCACGCCTGTAATCCCAGCACTCTGGGAGGCCGAGGCAGGCAGATCACGGGGTCAAGAGATCGAGACCATCCTGGCCAACATGGTGAAACCCCGTCTCTACTAAAAATATAAAAATTAGCTGGGTGTGGTGACGCGCGCCTGTAGTCCCAGCTACTCGGGAGGCTGAGGCAGGAGAATCGCTTGAATTCGGGAGGCGGAGGTTGCAGTGAGCAGAGATCGTGCAATTGCACTCCAGCCTGGGTGACAGGGTGAGACTCCGTCAAAAAAAAAAAAGAACACACATTGGCTTCAGACAAGCCTTGGCTCTGTGAAATCCTCTCTGACTGTGTGACCTTGGGCAAGTTACTTCAGCTTGCTGAGTTTCCACCACTGTAAAATGGAGACAATACCAGAACTCACCCAAGAGGATGGTTTTGAGGATCCAATGACAGGATATATTTGATCACTTAGCTAAGTGCCTGGCACACTATAAATCTTCAACAAAGTGAGGCTACTCTAATAATTATTATATGAGAACACCTAAAAGTTTCTTCCACTCAGGCTATGAAGGCAACTGATAAAAGCAGGACAGAAAATGACATGTTCAGGAATAGCAAAAAATAAAAACAAAAACAAAAAAACTTCTTATAAAGGGCCAAAAGATGTCAGTTAACGAGCCAGGCACTGTGGCTCACACCTGTAAATACCAACATTTTGCGATGCTGAGGTGAGATCACTTGAGCCCAGGAGTTCAAAACCAAACTGGGCAACATAGTGAGACGTCGTCTCTACAAAAATTTAAAAATTAGCTGGATGTAGTGGTGCACCCCTGATCCCAGCTACTCGGAAGGCTGGGGTGGGAGGATTGCTTGGGCCCAGGAGGTCGAGGCTGCAGTGAGCCGTGATCGCCCCACTGCACTCCAGCCTGGGTGACAGAGAAAGACCCGTTCTATTTATATAAAAGAAAAAAAGAAAGGACGTCAACGGATTTCACTATTTAAATAAAGAGGACATTCATTCGACTGAGGAGTGGTTAGGAGCAAGCTTTCTTAGCCTCTCAGATCCTTAGCTTCCTTTTCAATACAAGAGGCTCTAATCCCAACATCACAGGTTGTTGTAAATTAAGTTTGCACCTCGTCATGCTTGTAAAGCACTTAGCATGACACCTGGCACATAGTAAGCGCTCAATAAACAGTAGCTGCTGTTCCCACCGATGTTGCTGCTTTTATTCTTCTTGAGCCAGAGCCTTTGCAGCCCTTAGTGTCCAGTAAAGGCTGCTGTGGTTAAAGCTCCGGGTGCATCATCGAAACCGGTTCTCAGGCTTCTAAATTCTGTGTCAAGTGAACTTCTAGGCCATTTAAAACACAAAGGCAAGGCGAGGGGGCCCCAAAAGTGCCCCAGATTTTCAAAGGGAACGCCGGCGCCTAGAAAGTTGTGATGCCCCGGGCATTCAGGGTAGCGCGGTGGGGAAGCCCGCGCCTCTCGGCTCAGACTCAGGCCGGCCGTCTCGGGGGGCGCGGCCCAGACCACCGACGCGCCTGGCGGGGGCACGAGCCGCTGGGCGTCCACTCTGCCTGGCCCCGGAGGTGTTCCCAGGTACCCGAGCCTCGCGGCGTTTTCAAGTGCTGGCTGCGAAGCTTGAAAAGGACCCGCCGCTGGGCCGGGCGTTTTGTGTTTGCCAAACAAAGCATGAAGGCAGAGTGAGTAAAGGGGGCGGACCCGGCGCGGCACAAAGGCCGGGGGCGGGCCCGGGCTGGGGAAATACAGTTCAGTGGGCCTGAATTGATACGCTCAGCCCCTAAAGCCCCGGGCTGGGCGATCACAGGGCATGAAGGCCCAGCAAAGAGCACTCTGCTGCATTGATCCAATCCCGAGCGAGCAAGCGAGAGGCTTCGAAAGGGGAGGCGGGCAAGGACCGGAGGGGGGCATACAGGGGTCTGTAGGAGCCACTGGCCGCAGTTAGGCACTTTTCTTAGAAATGAAGGAATCTCCTGGACTGGGCGAGGGCCCTCCAGATGGAGCCTGTCCTCGAACCCAAGGGGCCAGGGTAGGAATGTCTCCTCCATTTCTATGGGAAGCAAGCACGCTGCGGGGTCACCCACGACAAAGATGTTCTCTCTTCCTGTTCTGGAAAAAAATGCAGGGCGGGGGGTGGGGGGGGTGGCTGAACGTTCTCTAGGGCCCTCCACCCCACCCCCCGTATTCTGTGAGTCTGGAGATGCACAGATGACTCTGGTCCTGCACCAGGCACACACCCGGCACCTACACAGTGTCTGCCATTGTTTATTATTGGAGGGAGGGACAAATTGGATAGATGGTGGGATGGACACATGCATAGATGTGTGGTTCAACCAGATGGGTTCTGATCCCTTAGTTATTTTCTAATTCACATTTTTGACTGGGTGGTTTTGTCTCATATGAACATGGTTATGGAAGTTTTGTTTTTTCTTTGTACCTTCCTGTGTTTTCCAGATCAATGAACATGTTCACAAATTTTATAATCAGAAAAAAATCGATAAGCATTGTTTAAAATAGAAATAAAACAGACAAAAGGAAGAAGTGTCAGAGATCATGACCATGTAATAATAATGATGATACCGTACACATTACCCGTAACCAACTATTCTTAAATGCTTATATCGCACACATTGCTTTTCGCAATCACCCCATACTTAATACAGGACCCAGCACACGATACTTAATAAATGGCTGGATTTGCTCCTGCGTAGTGGCAGGCTGGTGGAATCCAATGCCTTTGAACAAATGAAGTAGCTGAGGTTCTAAGAAGCTAAGTGTTGCAGCCAGGAATGAATCTGCCAAATGCAAATCCAGGCCTCCTTCCCCAATGCCCCATAGAATCCTGAAGGGCTTCTCCAAATACAGGCTATTTTATTTCACTCTTCTGTGTTCATTTCTGGACTATGAGGCCCCAGATTTCCTTTCTGAAGACAAGGTTTGTTTGTTTTTGTCGTAATGACACACTCGGCATCATTAAGTGTCCGTGAAGAGGAATCTTTTAGTTGCATTAGAAACGTGGTTTGTGACCACTGAGAGCCTTGGGAAACGAAGCTCTCCTAGCAGGAAGAGGCAGGCTGCTAATGAAACGGCTTTCTGGGGGCGGAGTTTCTGCATTCTCTTAGGGCAGACTTGAGCATTATTGCCAAGGAAAAGCTTAGGCCATGTCTGAACTACACACACTGTGATTTGTGAGTATAAACAGTTCGGATCTGAGCAAAGCAGTTCCTACCCAGAAAGACTTTCTCATTCCTAGCTTCTTTCCTTGGTTTGTAAATTGTAACTGATACAAAATACTTTAAACTCGGCCTTGATTTGAAGTTTACTGAGGGAATCAGGCCAACTAATTGAACAAGAATATACTTTTTGAAGTTAAGTCAGCATTGTTTAAGCAGTTTTATTTGAGATCCTTCAAACAGGTTTGCACCATAATTTATTGCAATTCCTTTTTTAAAAATTTATATTGATATCAATTTTCTTGCTTGAAAGTATTATTTTCCTGTATTATATTGTCAGTCAGAACATTCATCATAGAAATAGATATCAATCTACTACTTTATTTTTAAATTTGACTCTTACACGTGGTTTTGTGAAATTCTTAAACCTCACATGAAATATTTGGCTTAAAATTGCATCATGCAGATCCATACTGATTTAGCCCATCTGTTTTGATGAAAAATTTCTTGGCTCTAGTAGGAAAGAGGGCATGGATATTTCCTTGCAATATCTTCCCCTCACTTAAAACCCTACGAATGAAATAAGATCTCAGGATTGCATGAGATAATTTACATACTAATTAGGTTGCATGGTGTAGTTAGAGAGAGAGAGAGAGAGAGAGAGAGGCTCTGGATGCTAACATGGCTTCAAACTAGTGTGATTGTAAGTTGCTTATCCTCCCTATGTCTCAGTTCACTCATCAGTCAATCACTGAGGGCCATTAAGAGGATAAAATGAGATATGATTGAAAAGAGCCTGGCATAGTAAGTGCTCAAGAATTTGTTTTCATGTTTTTCCCTATTCACAACAGCCTTTAACATCCTCCTTTGTAAAAAAGAATTGATTTCCTCACCTGTAAAATTGGGATAGTGACGCAATAAGAGTAACATAGTGCAGGATATTGAGGAAGAGCATAGATTCTGAACTCAGACTGGGTTCACATCTCAGCCACATTACTAGTTCTGTGACTTTGGGCAATTAAATCAATCTTCTTGCTCCTCATTGTCCTCCTGTGTAAAAAGGGAGTGGTCAGGGGCTCGTTGTAGTACCCATGACCCAGGGTAGTTGCCAGTATTCAGTGAATTAATGCACTCAGTATAGATCTACCTAAACTTCTTCTGCATGGCTTACTTTTGCAGCCTGTGAAAACCTGCAGATCCCTTTTCAGAATAATATTTTTAAATACATAAATGCAATACTTTGGATTACAAAGGGAAAACTAGTTATAATGAAATCAAGTTATTGACATATTTTTAAAACAAATTTGTGATATACATGCTTCCTCAGTAGCATATTGAATAAATAACAAGATTTAGCACTCTGTCTAATATCTACCAATATTTCAAAGCAATAAGGAAAGTAAGTGGTATTGTGAGATAACTACAACAACTGTAATGTACTGGAAAAGTAGCTGTGATATTTCTACTGGTAATAAAGTCACAGGTATTGCAAATATGACTTTGGTTTGTTGCCTACATTCATAATGGAAGGAAAGGCTTGCTTTCATTTAGAGGTTAGTGGAAGTTAATTTTCTAATTTTGTTGTAATTTTTCCCATCTAAGTTTATGGACACCAGATTAAGAACAAAACTCTGATTAGTACAATGCATGCTAGCTATTATTACATCAGAGACGTCATGTGGATTGGGTAAAATAATGAATGTGATGGCCATTGCAAACATCAGGCATTTAATACATGGAAGACATTTCAGTTGTTTGCAACTGTTATATTTCATGAAAGCAGTGATAGACAATATATTTTTAAAATAGGCATAGCTGTATTTTAATAAAATTTTATTTACAAAAATAAGCAGCTGGCAGGCTTGTTTGGCCCATGGACCATAGTTTGCTGGACCTTGTATTAAAACATTCTTTCTTTTTTTTTTGTTATACTTTAAGTTCTGGGATACATGTGCAGAACATGCAGGTTTGTTGCATAGGTATATATGTGCTGTGGTGGTTTGCTGCACCTATCAACCCGTCATCTAGGTTTTAAGCCCCACATGCATTAGGTATTTGTCCTAATGCTCTCCCTCCCCTTTCCCCACACCACCACAGGCCCCGGTGTATGATGTTCCCCTCCCTGTGTCCATGTGTTCTCATTGTTCATCTCCCACTTATGAGTGAGAACATGCGGTGTAAAACATTGTTTCTTGAGGAATATTGTATGCAACTTGAAACATTTCAACTTATCATACCTTGTCAAATACTTGACACAGGACTCAACTGGGAAATGCTGTGAACATCCTTTATAAAAACCAGAAAAATTGGTTTTTCTAATGATAAATGATAGGCAAATGATAGCTAATCAAATTGAATTTACTTGGTCTGTTACCTACTATAATGTCTAGAACTGCCTTGTCTATGAAAACACAGAGAAACGTAAAGCCAGTAACAATGATAATATTCTGAGTAATTAGAACCAGCAGCACGTTAATATGTGGGAAAAGTAAATGACATGGAAACCATTCATGACAATATTACCTTGTACCTGGAGCTTTCTCCAAAGGGTTGTAACTACCCTGCAGCTGTTGCTTGCTTGCTACACTGTAGGTTTTCAGTATATACTTGTCAGTTGATTGACTCTCCTGATGAGTCTCCAAGGAAGAAGAGAAGCAGACATGTATTCATTTGGAAATCTTAGTATTTCTACTGTGTAGACAGCGTTCTAGTATTTCTAGGACTGGAGGAAGGAAGGCAAAACAAGGTGAGATAGTTTAGGGTTCAACAGAATGGAAAAGGTAAGGTACTGGGATGGCTGCTGTTCAGATAGAAACATTTCATGGCGGCCGGGGGCGGTGGCTTATGCCTGTAATCCCAGCACTTTGGGAGGCCGAGGGAGGCAGATCACCAGAGGTTGGGAGTTCAAGCCCAGCCTGGCCAACATGGAGAAACCCCGTCTCTGCTAAAAATACAAAATTAGCTAGACATGGTAGTGAATGCCTGTAATCCCAGCTACTCAGGAGGCTGAGGCAGGAGAATCGCTTGAACCCAGGAGGCAGAGGTTGCCGTGAGCCAATATCACACCATTGCACTGCAGCCTGGGCAACAAGAGCAAAACTCCATCTCAAAAAAAAAAAAGAAAAAGAAACATTTCATGGCAACAAACATTATTGAGCAACTACTGAGTGCTGGGTGCTAGGATGAGATCGAAGGGGGAAAAATTACCAGTGGATTTTGCTTCTCCTACAAAAAGTTAAGTCATGTATCTATAACAGAGAAAGTGGCTGTGTTAAGGAAAGTGAGAGAACAGCTCAGGACTAGAGATGTTAAACATTCCAGCCAGCTGTGGAAGTCAAGTATCTGGAACTAATATCTTTCGGTGTCTTTGTTTCTGGCCCCAATGCCATCCATTTCCTTTTTTCCTGTTTTATTTAGCACTTGCCTTCAACTGGCAGAAAAAAAAAAAAAAGCTTCTTGTGCAAAAGTCACTGAGACATTGTAAACGAAAGGGCCCACATCATTTGTGTGCATGGTTGGACCCAAAACTGGCTTAGACACAAACACAGCAGATTATAGGCAGCCCCCACTGTATAACTTTTGGAAGATCCCATTCATGGGGTAAAAAGAACATTCCAAGGCTTCAGTCCAGGTCCCAACACTAGAAGCTGCCTTTAGCCATAGAAGTCATCACCAATGCTTTCTGCTTTCTCTACTTGTTGGGGTGGGAATACTCCTACTGCACCTGCCAGGGTAGCATGGCAGAGCTAAGCTACAACCCTGGAAGAATGTTTTTGTAGGTATCATGTTATCTGGAGTCTTGAGTTTTATAGATGCCAAGTCCTACCTGTTCTATTTTCTTAAGCTGTTGGGCCTGCCCCTATACCACACAGCTGGCACCCCTAAGGAAGTACGTGAGGGAGTTCATCTCAGTCAACCAGGCACCATTCAGATCTTTGGTCCTGAGCCATTTTTTGCTCTGCACTAATTTCCAGTATTTCTGACTTCTACCCTCATTTTTCATTGGCAGTCTCACCTTTATCCTACATTCCTCATGTTCAGTATTGCTTCCCCAGAAAACATCATTGGCTCCCTTTTTTTTACTAGTATCTAAACTCCCTTATCCTGTGGAGATGGGGCTTGATGAGGCTCTCATAGTGCCAAGAGTTGTTTGTGAGAGTATCCTGTGTATAGCTACAAAGGATGCTCAAATTGAGATGGTGTGCAGAGAGGAGAGGCAAGTGGGAACTCAAGGTCAATAAAGCAGAGAAAGGCATGAAAATGTGTCAGGAAGCTGGGTAGGCCATGAGGGGCAGTTATTGAAAGTCAAGCTATGCAGTTAGGGAATAGAGGCACAGTGAAATGAGAGTAAACATTAGCATATTGAAAGGTCAAGCGAGCAAGAGGACAAGTCTAGCTGGATATCTGAAATGAGCATTATGATTATTATTATTATTGAGACAGGGTCTCACTCTGTCACCAAGGCTGGAATACAGTGGTGCCATCACAGCTCACTGCAGCCTCTATTTCCTGGGCTCAAGTGATCCTCCCATCTCAGTCCCTCGAGTAGCTAGGACCACAAGCAGGCACCACCATGCCAGGCTAATTTTTTTATTATTATTATTTTTGTAGTGATGGGGTCTTGCCATGTTGCCCAGGTTAGTCTTGAATTCCTGGGCTCAAGTGACCCTCTTATCTTGGCCTCCCAAAGTGCTGGATTTATAGGTATGAGCACCACACCAAGCCTACCCAGGCATATTATTCATGGCCAATCTAATACCTCCTCCATCTATGGCATGGTACACAGGAGGACCTGATGGATTTAGACTGCCAAATGGCAAACACCACTGTATAAGGTAGGCTAGCCTACATTGTGCTAACTACCCACAATTTTAGTAATACACATTTCTATTTCATTCTTGCTACATGTCTTACATGGGTTGCCATCTAGAAAGAGGTTGCTTACATTAATGGCTTACCAGTCATTAAATGCTCTGGCCTAGGAGTAACTCACATCACTTCTGCTCATGGTCCATTGGCCTGAGCTAATCCTATGGTCCTGCCCATCAATACTCCATGAGCGCTAATTTAGCCACAGGCAGCACTCAGATGATATCCATGGCTACACCAGGGCCTTGACATTGACATAGCCCCTCCATGAATGGCACTTTGTCCAGGTTCACTCCAGCTCCACACTTGGGTCTTGGACAGTAAAATTTCCAATACAACAGCCCATCTGCTGGCCACATATAACATTACTCTATGGGAAAACAAACTCTGGATTTTAACAAGCCATCTCACAAATAGACCTTGAAAGCTTGCCTATTAGTAAGTTGGAAATGGCCTTAGTGATCCTAAGCCTAGGATGATCATGTGGCAAAATTGTGCCACATGCGAGCAATGACAATTTATAATAACCTCTTTCTCCCATGGTCCCTCTCCCAGTGAATGGCACCACCATGTACCCAGTTGTATAAGCCAGAACTCTCTCCTGCCTTCTTTGCCACCAATCTCTCCCTCATCCACTATGCTGCAATCCCAATGGACTTTCTTTTTTTTTTTTTTTTTTTTTTTGAGACAGAGTCTCACTCTGTCACCCAGGCTGGAGTGCAGTGGCGCGATCTCGGCTCACTGCAACCTCTGCCTCCTGGATTTAAGCGATTCTTCAGCCTCAGCCTCCTGAGTAGCTGGAATTACAGCTGCGTGCCACCATGCCCAGTTAATTTTTGTATTTGTTAGTAGAGATGGGGTTTTGCCATGTTGGCCAGGCTGGTCTCGAACTCCTGACCTCAGCCGATCCACCCGCCTTGGCCTCCCAGAGTGCTGGGATTACAGGCGTAAGCCACCGCGCCCAGCCCCAGTGGACTTTCTTCTGTTGCTTATATACTCCAAGCTTGTTCTTGTTTCCAGTCTTTGTATTTGCTGTTCTTTCTGCCTGGCATACATTTCCAAACTGCCTTTAATATTAATTTAGCTATCCCTTACCTTTAGGAATGTAGATGAACTCACCATCATTGGTTAGTGACTCAGGGCCAATCACTAGAATGGAAGCTCTCTGAAAGCAGGGACTACTGTGTACCCTTTGGAATTTAGTAAGGGCTCAATAAATGCATGCTGACTGGATGAATGCCATAGTGAGTCACCAGTGAAGGCAGTACGGAGTGCCTCTTTTCACTCTCATACTCTTGGGTGTCATGTATGACCTGTTTCACTTTACTGCCAGTTGGGGCAGTGCAAGGGTACAAGTGACTTCACAGAGTTTCCTTCCATGCTTCTGCCCCACTCCTTTGGGTGGAGATTTCAGACTCAGGAGCAGCTTCAGTGTTTTGTTTGTTTGTTTTGATTTGTTGTTGTTGTTGTTGTTTGTTTGTTTTTTTGGTGTGTTTTTGTTTTGCTTCGTTTTGTTTGTTTGTTTGTTTGTTTGTTTGTTTGTTTTGCCTATGTCTGGTTGGCTAGTAAGGTACCAGTGCTCTGGAAATGACAGACTGAAAACCTGTTCTATTATTTCTTCTGTGAAATTTTCTTTTGATATAATCATTTTGGGATCATGCATATTGTTTCAAGTACACATCTTCTAGTAGGTTGAGTTCAATGTCTGTCTCTTCCCCTTCCCTCATCCCCCACCTCACACCCACCAGACTGTAAACTACATAAAGGCAGGAATTGTGTCTATTTTTGTTTATCACTCTATTCCCAGCATCCAAAAGTAAGGCTGGCACAGAACTATTAAGCATTCAACCAATATTTGTTGAATTGATTAATGAGTCCAGAGGTGGGTTACCCCTCACTCCTAGTTTATAAACCATGTTATACACAGAAGAGAAATCCTCTTTATTTGAGCTATGATCACTGGACACCAGACTTATTTAGTTAAGGTTGATCAAGCTGTACTGAAAGGACTTCACCTGGCAAGACAGGCTGAGCTCACTTTGGTTATCCCATATGGGCCACTGGGAAGTGTCACTGGGATCTTAGAGAACAAGAATCCCAAATAACTTTCAACACATTAAGATTTATATATGGCCGAGGTGGTGGCTCATGTCTGTAATCCCAGCACTTTGGGAGGCCAAGGTGAGCAGATTGCCTGAGCTCAGGAGTTCGAGACCAGCCCGGGCAACATGGTGAAACCCTGTATTTACTAAAAATACAAAAAATTAGGTAGGTGTGGTAGTGCAGGCCTATAGACCCAGCTACTCAGGAACCTAAGAGGCTGAGGTGGGAGGATTGCTTGAGCCTGTGAGGCAGAGGTTGCAGTGAGCCAAGATTTTGCCACTGCACTCCAACAGGAGTGAGACCCTGTCTCAAAAAAAAAAAAAAAAAAAAAGTTAGATACCTCCTCCTATGATAATGATAGTGATTGCAAAAGTAATAATAACAATAACATTAAGTATCATTTATTGAGTGCTTATCATTTAAGGTGCCAAACTCCTTGCTAAGAGCTTTGCATGCATTGCCTCATTTAATCTTAACAACAGTATGAGTTCCTTCCTCTCCATGGCCTCAGTTTCTCCTGCAAGTAAGCAAGACACAACCCAATGGCAGAGAGCAGAGAGCTGAGAAGGCAATAGCCAAGAGCTGCAGCAGAAAGATTCTCTGCTCCCCAGGAGCTGGTGACCGATTCCTTTGTCTGGCTTTGTTAATGAATTCCTTAATGCTGAAAGTATTAAAAATACATTGTCAATCTATTCAGTGCTGCCAAAAGGAAATACGTCCATTTCCCACTTACCATATTGGAGTTACTTCAAACATAATTCCTATATATTCCACTGGGAAACTATTTATTGAATAAATTCAGAAATTAACAGTTGGGCTATTTATGCCTCCCTGGCAGGAGATAATTGTACATTGACAGGTAGATGATTTCTAGAGGCCTATGGACCTAGTGGGCAGATTTTAAGTAAATGGCCAACCTTCCCTTCCCTCCCCCCTCAGGCTCTTTCTGGAGAGAAAGGTGTGCTAGATGTGTCATGGAAACTTCCCGCTTGAACCTGCCTGTGTTTGCCCACCTGAGCCTCAGAGGTGTTTACCATATTGTGAGAGCTGTTATTGTGCTGTACACAAATGGAGCCCTCTTGTCTTCCACTTTCAGCATTTGATGAATTTGTTTTTGAGGCACCATCCTTCAGTACATTTCATTTGATTACTTTTCCCTTTGACTTACCTTTTTTCCAAAGCTTTCTCATTAGTCCTCATAGGAACCAAGACAAGGTGTACAATTTGGCAGCGAGGAAATTGGGATTTAATAAGTCCCCTGCACAATCCAGCATGTCTACAAATAATTTGTAGGATTAGGCTCCCCAGCCTCATTTGGAACTGGATGCAGCTGACCTGAATAATGAAAGTTATGAATCCCCTCCCAGCATTGCTTCATTAGAATCCCCTTACAAAATAAGAAATAAGACTCATCTCATCAGCTCGATTTTATGGCATCTGATTAGACCACTATTTTCTCAGCAGGTCCCTTTTCTTTAAACTGTTGACTATGGATGGCCTGCTGAATAGAATGAACTTTGGACCACTAAATTGCAGCATTATGGTTATTTTGTGTAATTTATGAAAAGCGGGAGAAGCCATGATCACTTACTTCTTGTTGCTAATGATATCACCATTTATCTGAACAGGTGTGGGTTTGGAATATTCCTCCCACTCCCGATACTCAACCTGGAACACTGCCCAAGTAGAGACCCCAAAAATGATATTTGGAGGTACTGACTCTACAGATGGCAAATTAAAAATTAATGGCACCTGCACAAGTCTTCATGAATGTCTACTATCAGCAGCCTTTCAGGAAGCTATGCATTTTAACTGTGTTTACCTAATAAGTCCCTCTATTTGTTGTTTGACTTACAATTCAACAAATTTGGTGAAAGCCTAAGTGGGCTGTCAGTGTAACAACCTCTGTTAGTACATCATCATCTCCCTATTTTGAGATATAAGGCAAGGTGTTGAAATTATGTAGTAATTATTTCAAGCATTATGATTAAAGTGGTACAACATGCCAATCTTTTCTGGTTAGTGGGAAATCCACAGTCACAACCACATTGCAAATGTAAAAGCTATCCTAAAACAAAGGCTACCTGAATCAGTGATCTTCCAAAATAGTGACTTATAAAGGCTGCAGATTATCTCTAGATGATGGCTAGATGTGGTTTTCTCAAGCATCCAGGAGCCAAGAGACCAGTGCAGTGAAGTGGTGAGCAAAGACATGCACTTCAGAGTAAGCCAGAGCTGGCATTGCATACTAGTTCTATCAGTTGATGGCTTTGCAACCTTGGGTAAGTTTTTACTCTTCTTGAGTCTTGGTCACCAATTTGGAAAAGAGGGATGCAAATGCCTCCCTCATTGGGCCATTTTAAGGGTTAAAGAAGAGAGCACATGTGAAGTGCCCTAGCACAGTGCCTGATTCACAGTAGACACTCAACAAATGTTAATGAATGTTTCCTCTAGGGGAGCAAAGCCAAGCTTTAGGGGTCAAACTTACCTGACAGACTTTCTGGTCATCACAGGACATCTCAGGACATTTCCCAAACAAAAATAGTTTTATTCAATCCTCATTTTAGAAATTAGTATTAGAATGCCTAGGGAATGGATGATAGGGCAGGTGCATGACAAACTCAGCCTGAAGTCCAAACTACAAAGGGGTTTCTTTTCTGGATGAGGCTAGGCTCAAAGCTTTTTTTGTTTATGATCTACACTGAGACATTGGACCAGCACCTTTTGTTCAAGGTGACAGTAACATAAGCCTGCTCAAATAAGTAACATTTCCCTTTGCCACTGGCTCATTTGAGTGGAATGACAAAGTTTGCTTGCGTTTGTGTGGACAGACCCACACAACCCTGGCACTGATAAATATTCAGTATGTCTTTATGTTTTCACACTAAGCAGCACTGAAAAGTGGTCAACTTTTTGTTTGTTTTTTGTTTTAGAGAGACATCTGTAATCCTGCTGATGCTCATGTGCTGAAAACTATGACCGTACTCAATAAAGAAGGAGACACAGTGTTACAGCTCTTTTGGAATTAGTCTAGCAGATTTCTCAGTTTTCACTGGAAACCCTTAAAAAGGTAGAGGAGAGAGAGGTGCGTGGAAGAGTGAGCACAAGAAAGGAGGCATCTTACAGTTTATAAACATCTGAACACTGGAGCTCTATCAAGATTCTGTTTCAATCTCTATTTGACCACATACGTGCTCTTTCAAAGTTCTGTGTTTGAAGTTATGTTAGTAACAACTGATGCCCATCCTGCAATGACAAATCCAATTCTCAGTGCAGCTCTCTGAAATAGTTTTGCTTTCTCTCTCTAGGTCTGTTCTATACTCCTAACTCTCCAGGAGTTTACAAGGAATAAAATCTCTTCCAAAAGCTTTCTGTTGCAACAACTGGACCATACTGAAAGCTGAGGCCCACAATTGCAATCTAGGTTAGCAGGTAATCATTGTTGGTGAGGTCCTCCCTTTCCCCAGGCTCGTGTTTGTATTGGGGAGCAGGAAATTTTTGCTAGAGCAGCACTGCCATCTCTCTACACTCCACCTGATTGGTGGGATGGACCAGAGAAATGGACATTCCCAACACAGTCCCTCCTTTCACATCTGCTCACCTGCCCACAGGATACTTTCCACCATGCATACTGGGCTCTGCACCAACGATTCAGCAGTGATGAAGAGGAAACTTGAACCCTTCTCTCCAGGAGCTGACACCATTTAGTGAGGAGCCAGACAAATAAATAAAGAAGGAAATGCCATTAAACGTACAGGATGACTATCACAGTGGTAAGAGGAATGAGGGAACACTCTGGGAGCATAAAGGAGGTGCATCTAACCAATTATCAACTGCATCATCAAGTATCAAGTCAGAAAGATTAGATTTCATAAACCTTGCCTCTAAGCACCAACCTGATGGTCACTCTGACAACACATATATTGAGCATCCTCTCTAGGTCAGACCTGGGCTAGGAGCTGGGGGGATATAAGGAAGACTAAGACATAGCCCATGCTCTTAAGGAGCTCACAGTCTAATGGAGAAAACCTCCAAATAAACTAACACTTTCAGCGTAGTGCAGAGATGGGGTCATGCAAAAAGAACTATAGAAAAACAGAGGTGGGGCCCCTAACACAGTGTGCAGGTCAGAGAAGGCTACTCCGAGGAGATTAGTCCTGAGCTGGTTCTGAAGGGATGAATAGAGCTTAGCTGCTTGAAAAATATGGACAAGGTCAGTCCAGACAGAGGGAACTTCATGGTCAAGAGTATGGAGATGAGCCTGAGCATGGAGGTTGGGGAATGAGGCTTGAGCAATAAGCAGGGGTCAGAGAATGAAGGACCTTATATGCCATTCTGGGTATAACTGGAAAACTTGGACTTGATCCTGTGTAAAATCAAATCAGATGTTGTGAGCCAGTGGGGGGCAATTCCAAAGACAGAGGTATAAGCCAGAGGGTGCCGGGCTATTACAGTCTAAGGGAGAAATGATGATGGCCTGAGCTAGGCCAGTAAGAGCAGCGAAAGAGAGCAGAGAGACACAGAGCTGTTTGGGAGGTAGATGGATGAGTGATTGATCGGCTGTGTGGCTAAGGCAGAGGAAGGAGTTTATGATGACTTCCAGTTTTCCAGTTTGTGTCCTGCCAGAATTGGAGATACAGAAGGAGCAGGGGTAGCAGAGGCAGGAAGGGAAGAATGAGCTCGATTTTGGACATGTCAAATTTGGGGTCCTTCTGGGTCATCCTGGTATGAGTGGCTCCCAAAGAAAGTGATTTTGCAGAAGAAGTGATGCTTGCTACTTGCTCTCCTTTACTGATATAAATTTGAAGAGGGGACATATAATCTGGCAATTTCAAATAGACATAGAAAAGACATCAAAGCAGCCAGGAACCAAGCATTAAGAACTCTCTCATATAGAGAGTGAGCAAATAAACCTCATCAGACCAGCAGACTCTGCCAACATACCCTGCATTTCCCTGTTTGATGTTCCTGCTATTCCAGTGCTGATGTCTAAGTAACTGTACCACAAAGTACACTGGGAAGGAGAACAAATGGCCAAAATTGTCTCAAGATCCCCTTTTCTTTTGACATGCACTATGACTTGTGGCAAATGGAAAATAAATAAACCCAAACATAAAAAAAGAATTGCAGGCCCATGTTCTTCTCAAGTGACTTTTAAGGGGAAACAAATGGAAATGTTCACTTTGCTCTTATTTGTATCACTTTTTAAAATAACTTTATTGATGTAGAATTCACATACTATACAATAAAATCCTCTGATGTCACTCCTAAGATGGTATGGCTGTGAGCATGAGCACAGTCACCCTGAGATGATAGTGGTTTCAGCATGGCTCTGTTTGTCTTTTTCCTTGATACCTCTGTTAAGTTGTCTGCCTCCTTCTATTAAACTACACGAATTTCTGGCCGATTGCTCAATAATTTTTCAATAATTTTGGGGGTATACATTGCTTCACAGTTTGATCCAATTACATTTAAGCAGGGGTAGCTTTATGTCGTGATTCTTTGAGGTTTGCTCTAACCCCAAGAAAACTCCTCTTAGCTGGGCCTTTCCCTGGTTCTCTCTGATAAACAAGATTGTCTGTGGTTAGGCTTTTTGCTCTGATAGATCTATCAGCCTCCCTTAATTGCTCACCATTAAAGTCTCCATCATTTTCTAGAGTATCCTTAGGCTTGAACTGCCACATACTCCTTCAAAGTCAGTTCCTTTGAGGAGAACTTCAGCTACATCTGTTCTTATGGACTGACTCTCCCCCTGGGCAAAATCTCTGAGCCACTGCTTTGAGCATTGGGAATCTCTTGCCTTGCTGGGTTGCTTCTCCCAGTATGAAACCTCTGCTCTGCAAACTAGCTGGAGTGAGAGTCATCAAGGCCCTAGTATTCTTGGCCTGTTGCACCTGGCCTATAGAGACAAGCCTAGTATATACACAAGGTCTGGGTGGAGGTAGGGAACACCCTACCTCTCAGCTGCACTCATCAGGAATTCAGCCTCTATCATTTGGAGTTGGAGAGAATGAGAAATGCTGGCAGCCAGATCCTCCTCCTGGGATGCCATATTTCTTGACTGGGATATGAGGGGAGAAAAAGCCCCATCTTCTTGACCACACCCACCCAGAGTGGAACTTCCACTAAGTTGAGCTTAGTGAGGGGCAGGTAAAAGGGAGCCACTCATGACTGAAATACCACAGACTCTTGCTGCTCTTGCTGAGATTTAGTAGATTTTCTTGAATAAATGTTTTACTTAATGGATGTCCCTAAGGTAATTTTTAGAGACTTTGAATGACTGATTTTTTAAGAACAATTTTCACCAATTATGATGGTTTCATTGAGAAGTATGTCCACAGTGCTATTCACACTGCCATTCTAGAAGTGAAACTCTTTATTACTTTTTAATCCATTATTTGTTTGTGTTTATGTAAACAAACTATTGACTTCTGAAATATATATGGAGTATGGTTTGGGAAATAAGACCAAAAGGATATCTTGCTCTTCAGCTGGAAAAGTTCAAAAAAAGTGATGAAGAAAATAATGGAGAAAGCACACGAGCTACATGGCTTTTTCATGGTAAATGGAAAATACAAAGTGTGATCTCATAGATGACCGGGTTCCAAGCTGCATAATCCCCTTTATGCACAGAAGCATAAGGAATAAATGGATTCTAAAGTAATTTGGAATAATTTTGCACATTTAAAACTATAACCTTACCTAATGCTAGATGACGAGTTAGTGGGTGCAGCGCACCAGCATGGCACATGTATACATATGTAACTAACCTGCACATTGTGCACATGTACCCTAAAACTTAAAGTATAATAATAATAAAAAAAAGAACAATGACAACAACAATAAAAAAAAAACTATAACCTTGCCAGAGATACTAGCGATGTAATTTTCACAAATGTAGTAAAAATCAATCAAGTCCAATCACTTGAACAGGATACTTGTAGTCCATTCTAACTCAACTTGTGCCCAAAGAGGAAAACAAGTAGAAGGAAAAGTATGGCCTTGTTACTTATTGATTTATGATTATTGTCAAATTATTCAATTACTTTGTACCTCAGTTACCTCATTTATTTGTTGTCTGCATCAATTGAGAGAAATTACATGAAAATGCTGAGGAGTATTATATGAGAAATAAGGCCTTTAAAGCTAGGACAAGTTTCACATATCTTGAAATGACCTTATTTTATGAAGATGGAATACTTCTTCCTAAGAGGGGAAAATAAAGGAAAGCTGCTTTTTGCCTGTGAACTGAGTTTAACTCTATGAAAAAACTTCAAGAAATAACAAGGAGTGTAATAATAGTACTTTCAATCGAAGCTTGGTTAATGTCAAAACTAAGATGTATTTCTTCTAAAACTCAACCAAAAGTCAATGCTGCATGGTTTAGCAATGAAGTACATGGGCTTGAGCCTGACTGCTTGGGCTTGGCTACTGGTTCAGCCACTTTCTAGCCAAGAGACCTTGGGCAAATTACATAACCTCTACACACCCCAGTACAATGAGTTTAATACCTTATGGGTTGTTGTGAGGCTTTAATGAATTAAAAGATGTAAAGATGCATGAGCAATGCCTGGCACAGAGTAAGGAAGTGTGAGTGATGATGATGACGGTAGTTGGGAGATTTGTCCTTGTTGAAAGCTGTTATCCTGCCCCAAATGAATCCTGTCAGATTTCCTAAAAATCTGCTGTCTTTCCTCCGAGAAGCATTATAGAAAGACAGTGGAGGAGGTGTCTCCAATGCAAAGTCATGGATCATCAAGATGGCCAATGTGAGAAAAGTCAAATCCGTTGTTCTGGGCATCAAGTTCCTAGAAATGTTGGAACTGACAGCATGTCTGATTCAGTGATGCCATTCAAGACATTTAGCCAAGGGTGATGCTCTAGGATGAAATTAAGAGGAAAATGACAAATAAACTATGGCAACTAATCAATACATAGCCCAGTATGAAGCTAATGGTCCATTTCAAGAGCAGGAGCTGGCCTTTGCAGAGCCCGCCTTTTTTTGTGGTCAGAATTGAGTCTTGTTATAATCATGTTGAGAATTGCAGAGATTAGTACCCTGAAATCATTGACATTGCACTGTGAATATTTCTTTTCCCTTGTGTCCCTTAATAGTTAGAAAATCATATATATATAACTGTATACAGTTATTGCAGTGATACTATTTTAATAATGTAGTATAATGAGATTCATTTGAAATTATACTGAAACTTTAAAATTGGGGAAGAGAGATAGACGACATTATCAGAGCTATATATGGATTCCAGATTAAATAAAAGCAGAAATATATATCTTTTATCTTCAGATTCATCTGTCTTATAATAATTGTTACTTTAGTTCCAATGTGCTTGTTAAGTCCAGCACCTCAGCCTAGTCTCCTTTTACAACCATTAACATCCTCTTGGCATGAAGTCCTGACATTTCCATCTTTTACTTTAAAACTGATTTAGTGCTGTCAGTAATCTCCCGAAAGGATTGAGATCTGTGAGCTACCCAGAATGAGTGACTGTAGGTCAGGCCACTGATCCCATCAAGAGGCATCTGTGAGCTAAACATTAGGGGGTTTTGAGCACAGAACTAGGGGATCGAGGCGGTAGTTCAGGGTCTGCCAAACCACGGGCCAAATCTAGGCCATTGCCTGGTTTTATAAATAAAGTTTTATTGAAACACAGCTATGCCCATTTATTACCTATTTCCCATGATTGCTTTCACACTGCAATGGCAGTGTTGAGTAGTTGCAAAAGAGACCATGTGGCCTACAAAGCCTAAAATATTTGTTTTCTACTCCCCTAATAGGAAAATTTGGCCAACCCATGCACTAGATGGTTGTCTGTAATTTAAAATGTTCTAGCACATTTAAAGTTGCTGAACAGGAATCTAAAATAAGCTTAGCTATATTTGTTGCCTTGATTTGTTTGCTTATAGTCAACTGTAAGCAGATGTGGCATAAACTAATAATTGGGCATTTCTTGAAAGCAGCCGAAAGTGCTTGCTTCCCTGTGAGCCTTTACTAATGCAGTCCCCTCTGCCTGGAATGTCCAACCCCACCCCACCCTCTCTCTTTTTTTCCTGTCTATTTCCTGTCAGTTTTCAGAATTCTACCTAATTCAAGCCCTGTTTGTTAAGCCTTCCCTCACCCCAGACCCCAGGCAAAAGGAACATTTCTCTCCTCTAGTTTCCAGAGCTCATGTTAAAGTCCTCTACCATGGCAGGCTCACATGAATTGTTGGTCCATCTACTCCACTATGAACTCTGCAGGGGCAGTAGCAATGTTGCATTTATTTCCATAACCTAGCCTTATAAGACTCAGTCATTTGTTAAATCTAGGCTCGTCTTTTCCCTAAGTGATTTCCCTAAGCTTGTCCCCACATTGCACACCTCATTACTTGCCTCTTGGCTTCTACTCTTACCCTCTCTAGTCTGCAGTGAGAGTGAACTTCCCTCAGGATAAATCAGGTCATTTCACTCCTCTGTTCAAAACCCTACTCTAGCTTATACTTGGAATAAAATCAAAAGGTCTACTATAGCCTGCAGGGCCCTGCATGACCTGATTCCTTGCCTGTCTCTCCACCATCATATACCTCTTACTGCTCTTTCCCATGCAAGCTGGATTCCAGGGACACTGACTTCTTTGCAGTTCCTCAAACACTCCAAGCATGCTTCTGCCTCAGGATCTTTGCATTTACTATTCCATCTTCTTGGAATACTCTTCCCCAGGTAGTTACATAGCTTGCCCCCTTACTTCATTCAACTTACCGCTCTGATATCACCTCCTCAAAGAGGCCTTCATTCTTGGAAGAAACAAAATAGCCCTTTTTGTCACTGTCTGTTCTCTTAAATTTATATTGCTTCATAGCCCTTATTACTTCCCATTAAATTTATTTGTTTACCTGCCTTCCTCAGCAGAATACAAACTCTATGAGGTTAAGAACACTGTCTTGTTTGCTGTTCTCTCTCTCTCTCTAGCGTTTGAAACAGGGCCTGGCGTCTAGTAGAGGCCCAATTACCATCTGTTGAATACAAATGAATGGAAGTCTGTTGATTCTGGCATAAGCACCGCACTGTTTTCATCATTTAAGTGTTATAATGTGTACTAATATTACTTTGTAATGAATATGAAAGTCTGTTTAGAAAGGCATGGGTTTTAAGAGGAGACAGATATTGGTTCAAATTCTGGCTCTATCAGGTGGTAGTTGCATGGCCTCGGTCAAGTGGTTTGACCTCTCTGGGCCTTAATTTCCTTGGAGTTAATCAGGGGATAATCATCCCCTCCACACAGGGTTATTATAAGGAATAAATGAGATAATACACGTATTGTGAAATTGTTTTTAGAGACAGGGTCTCGCTCTGTTGCCCAGGCTGGAGCACAGTGATGGCTCACTGCAGCCTCAAACTCCTGGGCTCAAGCATTCCTCCTTCCTCAGCCTCCTGAGTAGCTGAGACTGCAGGTACCTTCCACCATGCCCAGCTAATTTATTTTACTTTATTTTTTTTGTAGAGATGGGGTCTCGCTTTCTGGTTCAGGCTGTTCACAAACTCCTGACTTCCAAAACTCCTCCTGCCTCAACCTCCCAAAGTGCTGGGATTACAGTGATAAGCCACCATGCCCAACCATATTTTGAAATGTTTTTTAGGCAAATTATAACATATTATAAATAGTATAACCTCATTTGTTAAATTATGTGTTTCTGTTTTTAAAAATGTCTGCAAGGGTATAGCCCAAAATGTTGACAATGGTCATCAGTGGTAAGCTTGGGAGTGATTTTTATTATCTTCTTTACACTTCTGTAATTTTGTATTTGTTTTTCTTTTCACAACAAAGTACATGCTTCAATTGGCAGTGGCAAGAAGCCACTTTTATTTTGAGAAAATAAAATGCAAATAAGAGTGTACCCTTTCCACCACACTGTGTTACCCATCTACTATGGCACTCAGGCACTGATAAAATCTTGATGAGTAGGTTGGCAGGGGAGGGTGGCCAGGAAAGAGGGCCAGCAATAACTAGGAATAGAATTGGGGAATAACTCAGTTCGTTATCTTTTCTACACCATTCTCCTTGCTTAGTCAGGTTGGTAAGAGGGACACTGAGCCTCAGTTTCCTTGTCAATATCCATACTTCTGAATAGTGTGGAGATGAAATGAGGTAATTTTCCCATAGCCAAGAGAGTGTATAGGGGTTAAGAGCACAGCTCTGGAGTAGTTAGCATGAGTTTGGATCCTAAATTCCTCATTACTAACTGATGACCTTATACTTTTTGAACCTGTTTCCTCACTCCAAAATAGGGGGAATAATTTGGACCTGGAAAATTTCCTGTGAGGACTCAAGGAGCACATGGCCTGCTGAAATCCATGAACTACTAGACTGCCTCTATTCACCTGATGTCCTGCTTTTCACCCAGCCTCTTCACCGCAGCCTTTATGATGGAGAATAGAGGAGGAGGAGGGACACAGAGCCTCTTCTAACTCCAGCCACATTTACCTGGGCCTTGTTTCTAGGCAGTGGAAAGCCAGGAAGGAGAGTCAAGAAAGGTACAGATGAGTCATCAATTCCCTTTGTGCTGCTAGAACAAGTGTCAGAGGGAAGCCATGTACCTGTCTGCCCATTGACACTCAGACAACCATTGTACTATAAGAAGCACTTGGCTGCCTGACAAAGAATGGAAAATAAACATGGCAAGGCCAAGATGTCCAAGATGAGTCAACTGGGCAGTGGTGGCAGGAGAGCAACAATGAAGAGTCCTAGCGTTTTGCACAGCTTGGTAAGCATCTGGCCCCAGAGCTTATTAGGATGAGTACTGTGTCCCCGCAAACACCAGCACTCCAGCCCAGTGGATGCCTAGAACTATTCATCAAGATGAAGTGGGTTTTATTATTATGGATATTGTTAGCCACAAAACACAAAAGATGCAGAGGAGGAATGATTACTATGTTCCTCTTTTATGATATTCAATGGTTTGAGTCATGATAAGGAGGTCATCAGGATGAGAGTGGGTATCTCCCACCCCTTTCCTTTCTTTTGTAACAGAATATTGAATTGAACCCTGCAGTATGCTGGGCCCCAGGGATGCAGAGATGACGCACTGCATGCCCTGCCTTGGAGAAGAAGTCAAGTGGTGAAACCAGGCAAGTGCCATGCCATTAGAGTGCCCTGTGGTCAAGATGTACTCCAAAAGGATCTGAGACTAAATATCAGTGTGTGAGCAGCTCTACTTCCTACTGGAGGCACAAGCTGGTTCCTAAAGGATGACAAGGCACTTGCCCAGGGCAAAGGCCTTGAAATAGGTGGCCAGCAAGTGACAACTGGGTCATGGCAACCCAAATGTGTCCAGATGCCAGGAGAGGCTTAGTCAAATACAAGTCGGCATACAAATTGAGTGTCCTCTTTGAAGCTTAGAGCAGTTGAGCAGTTAGGGTAAATCTTCTTAACTTGAGGCATGCAAGGCCCTACAGATCCCCTCTCCTCGCATCTGGCTCCAGTCACCCTTTCCAACCTCATTGCCATTACTGGCTCCTATCCTACCCTCTACCCACTTCACTAAACACACCCTGTATTTTCCTGCCTTTGTGCCTTTCCAGGTACAGTCTGATCACCCAGAGTCCTCTTCTCCATCTCTGCCTCTGGTAGAGTCCAGTCAATCAATTAAGGTCAAATTCCTCCTCCAATAGACCCGACCCTTGGGGCATATCCACCATCTCTACCCACATGCCACCAGAAAGAATCAATCTCTCCTTCCCTTTTGTGCCCAGAACACTTAGTACCTCTGTTAAGAACTTGACACAACCTGCCTTGTGTAGCCAAATGGTTAAGAACACAAGCTGTGGTTTCAAGAGAGCAGACTTAGAAACACCACCTGTGTGACCTCGGGTAAATTTACTAACCATTCGAGCCCTCAGTGTCATGATCTGTATAATGAGAATGATAATAGTGTCTACTTACTGGAGTTATTTTTAGGATTATATGAGATAATGCATCTAAAGCATAGTGCCTGACACATAATAAGCATTCAATAAATTGTAGCTCATTTTGTTATATGGCCATGTTGTCCCCAACTTAAATTGTGAGCCACTAGAGATCAGGGACTATTGTTAATAGTATTATATTGTTACTGACTCTTTTTTCAGTTTGGTGACCAGTATATAGTAGGTGCTTGATAAAGATTGATAAGATCCTCTTGAATCATTGCCTTGAAGATACTGGGGTATTTCTGGAGTACTTCAAAGTTTGGGTTTATGATCTAGGATGTACCATAACCCTAAAAGCATAAGACCCATATAGCCTTCTGAATAGCCTTCTGAATTGGGGGAAACCCTTGAGAGTTGAGCTGGTATGGGCATATATTTGATAGGGCTTTTTTTCTCAGGCCATGTCAGACCAGTGAAATACTTGGGGCATGCTATAGTCTGAATATTTGTGTCTCCCCAAATTCATAGGTTGATATCCTAACCCCCAAGATGATGGTATTAGGAAGTGGAGCCTTTGGGAGATGATTGGGTTATAAGGGTAGAACCCTCATGAATGAGATTAGTGCCTTTATAAAGGAGGACCAAGATAGATTCCTTGCTCCTATTGCCATGTGAGGTTAGTGTGAAAAGACAGCTATCTATGAGTTAGAAAATGGACCCTCACCAGACACTAAATCTGCTGGCTTCTTGATCTTCAACTTGCCAGCCTCCAGAACTGTAAGCAATAAATTTCTGTTGTTTATAAGCTACCCAGTCTATGGTATTTTATCAGCCTGAAGGGACTAAGACAGGGTATGCAAGTCTATGATTCTCTAGAGCAGTCATGTGAAGTGCCTATGAGAAGGTTTTAAAGGAACACTCTAGACACCTAGAGAAAGAAAAGAGCCACTGAGATCTGCTGGGAGCAGCTGAAGGAACCACTGGGGAGAGAGCAGCAAAGGAAGAGCAGCCCCATCCTTCTGCCAAGAAGGTGATCTTGTTGAGGAGTTGGGTCGGGGCTGGTGCTGGTGTTATTTTAAATACGAGCTGAGTTTCTCAATGGGTCTGTACTGGGAGAAGCAGAGACAAACAGGGGAGGGAACAGCCACTGCCATGTGTTGTGGCTAGTCACATTATTATTATGACTATTATTATTAATTATTATTATTATTATTATTATTATTATTATTTGAGACAGAGTTTCTCTCTTTTTGCCCCAGGTGGAGTGCAATGGTGCGATCTTGGCTCACTGCAACCTCCACCTCCTGGGTTCAAGTGATTCTCCTGCCTCAGCCTCCCAAGTAGCTGGGATTACAGGTACATGCCATTACGCCCGTCTAATTTTGTATTTTTAGTAAAGACAGAGTTTCACCATATTGGCCAGGATGGTCTCAAACTCCTGACCTCAGGCGATCCACCCACCTCAGCCTTCCAAAGTGCTGGGATTCCAGGCATGAGCCCTGGCCCCAGCTCATGATGATGATGATGATGATGATGATGATTATTATTATTATTATTATTATTATTATTATTACATATTTTTTGAGACAGAGTCTCGCTCTGTCACCAGGCTGGAGTGCAGTGGTGCGATCTCGGCCCACTGCAGCCTCTGCCTCCCCAGTTCAAGCAATACTCCTGCCTCAGCCTCCTGAGTAGCTGGGACTACAGGCATGCACCACCACGCCCAGCTACTTTTTGTATTCTTAGTTGAGACAGGGTTTCACCATGTTGGCCAGGCTGGTCTCAATCTCTTGACCTCGTGATCCACACACCTCAGCCTCCCAAAGTGCTGGGATTACAAGTGTGAGCCACTGCGCCCAGCCTCATTTTTTTATTAGATTTGAACTACCCTGGCATAGACTTTATGTACTGTTCTTAGCTCTGATGCCATCTTACTTCCCCATCCTGGTTTTATCTCTGCCTCTGCTTTGCCGTCTGGTTATTTTCCCTCTCCTGTTGAAGGTGATATATTTCTTCAAACCACCACAAATCAACTTGGGCATGAGGTAAGGCATAAATAAATCATCTTTTTAAAAAAACATACATTCTCATTTGATACTCAAAACAATCCTGTGACAGATACGCTGATCCTCTGAGAGTATGAGATTTGTGCAAAATCAAAAAGATTGTAAATATCTTCTAGGTCCAAGTTTGGTACACTTTCCACTAACAAACAACCAACCTGTTGAGCCCTGACTATGTGCCAGACACTGGGTGAGGGGTTGAAGATTGAAAATTGACTTGGTGCCAAGCACATTATCTCAGTTCTGTGAGGACAGTGTTGCCATCAACCCTGAATTACAGGTGAGGAATTTGAGGCTAACCACAGTTAGGTGACTTGATGTGGTCGTACAGCAAAGCAAGTAACAGGTTCTGTCCCAGCCAGTGCTCCTTTCGCTCCCACCTAACAAAGGTAGGGAGCTCACTGATGAGAGTGTTAGTTAGAGGCTACATCCTGCCATTCACTCAGTCTGCTGGTTTTCTAGTCCCATACGTCTGTAATCAAAACACTAAGAAGTACTAACATTCCTGGACCACCCGTCAGGTGCCAGGCATCATGCTAAATACTTAACTTTCATTATCTTGTCATCCTCTGAGGCAGGTACTATTTTATTCCCTTTTCTCACTTCATTCCCTCTCCCTGTGTACTCTCATCCACAGCCACAACTACAGTTAGTACCTATGCTCAAATGAATGACAAATGTTTATATCTAGACCAGACTTTTCTGAGCATTTCACACCACTATTTCCAATTGCTTACTTAATTTTTGTTCTTGAATTTATTTGTTCATCTATTCAACAAATATTCATTGATCACCTACTATATAAAAAGCATGATTCTAGATGTTGAAGATTATAGCAGCATAAAAATAGACAAGAATCCCTTTCTCTTGGAGCTTACATTCTGGTGGGGGAATCACAGTAAGGAAGAAAAAAATGGAAAATATCTAGATAATATGAAGAACTAAGGTGA
The DNA here is from genome assembly GCF_000001405.40 of Homo sapiens. NCBI lineage: Eukaryota > Metazoa > Chordata > Mammalia > Primates > Hominidae > Homo > Homo sapiens. Next base: position 140,464,061 of record NC_000023.11, read on the forward strand.
AAAATAAAGCAGAGAAGAGGATATGAAATGTTGGAGTGGTGTTGAAATTGTAGATAGGATAGAGAGAGAAGGCCTCGCTGTTGTTGTAGTATTTGAATAAGGGAGGTGGAAGAGGTGAGAGAGGTAAGGGAAACCTCTAAAACACCTCAAACTCAATAGGACCAAAATCCAACCCGTGATTTTCTCCTTAGAACTTAATCCTTTTTCAGTGATCTCAATCTCAAGAAATGATCCCACCATCTGAGTTAGTTGAGGCAGAAACCTAGAAGCCATCCTCACTCTAAGCTCTTTCTCCCTTCCTCATACCCCTGCCAACATATCCAATCCATCAACAAGTTTTGTTGATTCTAGGCCATAACTATTTCTCTTGAGATAACACACTTTTCCCCCATCTCCATTATTACCATTGTGATCCAAGCCCATGTCATCTTTCACAGCAGCCAGAGTTAACCTTTTCCAAACTAAAATCTGGTAATGTTATCACCTCACTTAAGACTTACAATGGCATAACATTGCTCTTACTGGTAGGATGAAGACCAAACTGTTTCATGACCTGTACATAGTCTGACTCTAACCTCCTTCTCCAGTCTCCTTTCATACCAGTATTGCCCCCACTTCAAATACACATACCCACCCCCCACCCCACACACACTCTAGTCAAACTAGCTTTATTTTAGAATCTTAAATCAGTCATGTTCTTGCCAATATACATCCTGTTTACATGCTGTTCCTTCTTTCTGGAACGCCCTTCTTCACTTGTCTCAAGCCTGTCACTCTCACCTAGTTATCACCCCATTCAGAGAGCAGCCTTCCCTGACCTTCCTGACTCGGTCATGTTCTCCTGCTACAGGGTGTCATGACCCTGTGGATTTCCCCCTCCACACTTTCACAGATGCAATTTTACATCAAGTTTTGTGACTATTTGTTTAATGTCTACCTTCCCCACTGAACTGTAACTCCATGAGGACAGGGATCTATATGCTTATGATTGAAACCCCAGTGCCTAGAATAGTGCTTGGCACTTAAATAGGTGCTCAACAAATATTTGTTGAGTGAATGAATGAAAAAAATGAATGGGCCACAATTTCACAGATAAAACTGTGACTCAGAGAGGTAAAACACATTGCTCAAGGCCACATAATTGGTTAGTGACAGAGCAGGGACTTGAAATGAAATCTGTTGATTTCATTTCCCATGTTCTTTCTCCTGCCTTTTACATTTTATACTTTTAATTTCAGAAGTTTCATGTGAATACAGTCATGCAGTCCCCCAGGCTTTGTCCTTCCTAAGAAATACCACTGTTAACATTTTGGTATCTATGTTTCCAAGGCTCATTCTCTGTTTTAAAATATATATATATGTACACACACATACTCATGGATAAACATATTTTATTGGGTTTTGTATTTTAACATCAATGGAATCATACTAGGTGCATTCTTCTGATAGAATAATCTTTTATTAACATAACATTGTGCCTTTAGAGATCTTTTGTCAGTACATAAGCCTGGCACACTCCTGGCACACTCCTTTGCATATGTGAAGAGATGCTGAAACATTAAATAAATGATACATAAAATGCATGTGTCATTAAGTAATTCGTTTGTTATCAAAAGAGAGTAAGGTAACAACATTTTGGTGTAGTTCCTTTATTATTTGTCACTGTGCTACATTTTAGAAATCCACAGATGAGGAAGGCAGTTCTTGCCTGTATTCTGCCAGCATAGATAAAGCTAGGAGGAATGAGACAGCATGGTATACTTAGGGCAACAGAAGTAGCTCTGTGTTACCATAGCCTATAGTGCAAGGACAAATGTGAGAGACAAGGCTACGGACATAGGCAGGGGGTAGATTATGTAGAGCTTTATTTATAATGCTAAAGCACTGTGGCCCTTATCCTGATGGCACAGGGTACCATATAAGGATTACTGGTTAGGAATGCTTTAGCTGCAAGTAGCAGAAAATCTATTAATAATATATATTTTTTCTTAAATGTAATAAGTCTAAAGACAGGCAGTTGCTGGTTTTGCTTCAGAGGCTCAACAATGCTCTTAGAGCTGTGTTGGAAAGCCCATACAATTATGACACAGTTATAAGAAGTGCATTCAGAAAGGATCATGGTTTGAACTGGTTGAACTCATAGGACTGTATCTGCTGCCAGCTTCATCTTTTGGCCAGCCTCACCTGGCATTTGTATGTATGCCCTATCTGGGAGATTTAACATACTGCCAGGAAATGCCACTAGCCACCAAAAATGGAGGAATATAGTGGGGTCACAATCTCCATCTAGGCCTCAGGAAAAATAAAGTATTCATTATTTAACCTATGGATGATACCTTCCTAAACTACAAATATAAAAACAAATGTGGTCCAAAACATATTAAGAAGAAAGAGGAGGAGGAGGAGGAGGACAATAACAGCAATGACAGCAAGAACAAGGACAAGACATTGACAACTGGGAGTTCAGGCTCTGCCAAGATCTTCTTGATGCGAGGTGGTAGGAGACAGCTACTTCTTCCCACTCTTTCCTTATGTCTTCTGTCAGTTCAAAGAAGCCCAGGTAGTCATGAATCTGGACCTCCTCAGAGCATGAATCCTAGACTGAGTCCACAAGGGAAGTACCTGAAAAATGACTTTTTAGATGTGATTGGGGTAATTAGAATAATTGACAATGTCTCTTGACCTCTGTGAATAACTTAATTATATAATCATATATTCTTTGCCTGGCCACCCAAGAGCAAACTGGGACGGCCCCATATCTGTCCAACCCACAAGAAACAGGAGGTTGAATTGTTGGACCAAGCAGCATTTGAACCAGAATGTGGATGACGCAGACAAGGTATTCAAAGTCCTAAACTCTTTTCATCCCCAACTTCTACCTTTCTGTATTAAGGACACATAGAGATTTTTTTTAGTTGCCCTTGTATCAAAATCCAGAGGACAGGAAGGTAGTAGAGGCCATTTTTGTATTGAGAAATTAACTGCCTTTAAAACTATGGGGTTTTGTAAAGGACAAGCCCATCTCAGCCCTCTGCCCCATCTGCACATCTACCCCATTCATGTGTGACTAACAATTAGGACTTCTCAAAGTGATCTGTCCTATTTATATTAACCACCATTACTCTTTATTTTGGATGAACAGCCAAACCTTATGACTACCTGGAGGCTCTCGCTCACTATTTCGATAATGGCTTTCAAAAAAAAGACTCTCCGGAAGAAGTCTAAGTATCTATAATTTAAATAAGTGCCCCTGATTATTCTCATACGTAGTCATTGGAAACTACTGGCCTAGAGGTCATTAAGGAAAACCAAAAGACATCCTGTGGTACAAGGAAAGCTTCTCCCAGAAGGGATGACTCGCCAGGAAAACATCCAGGCATGAGACCAACTTGGTTCTATACCCACTTCTCTATCTACTCATTCATTCATGTAGCTGATCATCTAGCTAGAAACTATGATTTACAGAGTAGTTTAGGATAAGATTGAGTTCTGATGCAGGCTAATGAAGGAACTAACATATCTTAAGGAGGGGCATGATGTCATCAGATTCATTAAGTCACTCTCATTTCTTCTACTACCCCAAGCTCAAGGTTTTTCCTGGGTTTTCTCAGGGTCTTCAAGATGGTAAAACTTCTGTCGTCTTCCCTTAACTAAATGCATGTATAATATCAATGCATTTTCAAATATTTATTGAGCATTTACTATATGTGAGGTATTTTGCCTGTTTCCAGATATGTAGCAATGAACATGCTAGGCAAGAATGTTGATATCATAGAGACTTCCCTATTCCTTGCTTCCTACCCTGTGTTGCAGGCTTGAGGAAGGATCCTACAACCACAGCAGAATTTCAGGAGTAGAAGTCAGCCCTGGTACTTGGTACAGTCAATTTGCGGGTGATCAGAGGCGTACTTCTAGAAACCAACCTCTGACCTCACATGTTCTAGGATGATTTTTTTTTTAAGATGATATGGATAGCATGGCAGAGACTACTTGTTCCCCAATATTTCTTCACTCCTTCTTCCATAATAACAGAATCTTGAGCAAGTCACATGGCCACTCAGAATGGAGATTATATTTCCAGTCTCCATTGCAGAGTCAGGTTTAGCCATAAGACTAAGTTTTAGCCAGTGGGGTGTGAGCAGTAGTGGTGTGTGTGGTATGTGAGTTGTTACCTCTAATGGAAAAGACATTCCTTATCCTTCCCTTTTTCCCCTCCTCACTGGCTGGGTGTCATGGTAAGTCATCTTTGACCATACAGGTAGAGTAAGATTTTAGGGATGGCAGAGTATGATGGTAGAAGGAACTTGGGTTCCTGAATACTTCATTGAGCGGTGTTGCTGTACCGGCCCTGCACTACCTACCTCCTGATGGTTACATGAGAGAGAAAGCAACATTCATGTAGTTGAAGCCACTCTTATCTTGGATTTCTGTTACAGCAACAGAACCTATGTCCTAACTAATACTGTGTTCAATGAGAAACTCACTAATTACCAGAATGAGAATAGATTTAACAGGCTCATATAGGCAAAACCCATACAATATTGGGTTGAGGAATGTGGAAAAAGTGTGGAAGTAGAGATAGTAATTGTAGGCAACTCTTTCAAGGTCATCTGTAAAAAGAGGGACACTAAGGCATTAGCTATAGTGGATGTTGGGTGAAGAGAAGGCTATGGTTTTGGTGGAATGGTGATAAGAGAAATATGATCATGTTTCCAATATTATTGGAAGGCTCCAATAGAGAACAAGAAGTTAAAATACAGAAGAGGTGGCAAACATGGTGGCTCACGCCTGTAATCCCAGTACTTTGGGAGGCCAAGGCAGACAGATCACTTGAGGTCAGGGATTCGAGACCAGCCTCGCCAACATGACAAAACCCCAGCTCTACTAAAAATACAAAAGTTAGCTGGGCATGGTGGCGGGCACCTGTAATCTCAGCTACCAGTGAGGCTGAGGCAGGAGAATCAGTTGCAGTAGGTAGTACAGGTTACAGTAGGTAGTGCAGGTTATAGTGAGCCGAGATTACGCCTCTGCACTCCAGCTTGGGCGACAGAGGGAGACTCAGTCTCAAAAAAAAAAAAAATACAGAAATGGTGAGAGGAATCGATGGAAGCAACCCCTAATGGCTGGGCACACAGTAGCTGACACCTGTAATCCCAGCACTTTGAGAGACCCAGATGGGAGGATCACTTGAGCCCAGAAGTTCTAGATCAGCCTGGGCAACATAATGAGACCCCCATCTCTACAAAAAAGGAAAAAGAAAAATTAACTGGGTGTGGTGGCGCACACCTGTAACCCCACGGAAGGCTGAGGTGGAAGGACCACTTGAGTCTAGGAGGTCAAGGCTGCAGTGAGCCATGACCATGCCACTGCACTCCAGCCTGAGCAACAGAGTGAGACCCTGTGTCCACCTCCCTCAACACCCGGCTCAAAAAAAAAAGGAAAGAAACCCCTAAGGAGTCAGCAAGGATGAGATCCAAAACCCAGGGTGGAAAAGGGAAAGCTGGTTCTTCTGAGAAAGAAACAACAAGGAAAAGATGACTGTAGAAACAAGCAATGGCCAGGAATCTAAGGGAATTCCTCTGTGAAGGAGGAGGCAAAGCCATCTGCTGAGAGTGTAAGTAGGACATGGCTGTCAGTTCAGGGGCTTGCATTTGAGTACTGAGGTTTTGAGTTGTTGGGTAAGACAAGAAGGTGACTAAAAACAAAGAGGATTTCAGGCTGGAATTGTGGGCCCGGGTGGTTTTGCACTCTATGAGTCCACACAGTTGTATGATATTTATCTGGAAAAGATTAATTATAGAAAAAACAAAAATTTAAAGAGCGTAGACTATATAGGAGCAGAAGGCTTAAAAACCTAAGGGAGACCTTAACATAATGTGATAACATCACAGATGTTAAAAAACGGATAAAGGGTTAGAAAAGTGAAAGGAACTTCTCTCTAAAGATGCGACAGGCATTTATTCTCCCAGGCCAGGTGGAGTGCTGGGCTCTAACCAATACCATCTCATGTAACCCTCACCACAACACATGGAGATAGGGATGACTAGCTTCATTTTTCACATACGAGATGGAGTCAGGTCAGGTCATATCAATGGTGAACTACAAAGTGTAGAAGTAAGCCCCATTTTTTTCCTGATTTTAAAGTGCATGCTCCAGCCACCTCCACTCTGCTGCCTTGAACAGACCTTCCCTGGATACCGGAAAACGATGATCTATTTGAGAGGCAATTTTGCAGCAGGGAAAGTTACTGTTTTTTTATCTGCAATTTCTCATTAGTCTGGGTTTTGAAAGCCTACTTGAACCGTCTCTACTTGTTTGTGGGCTTTTTTCATTCGCATGCACTCTGACCTAAGTCGCGACGGATAACTTGTTGCCAGGATATCTCTGTAATAGCCAGAATGAAAAGTAAACAATAGCAAAACATCACATTAATCTAGCTCTTTGTGATGGCTGCATTTCTTTTTGTTAAACGCATTATTTCTGAATCTTTCTTGGGGGTGGGTCCAGGGAAGGGAGAGAGCTATTAACAACCTACTATTCTTTATTTAAAACCTCTTTATATAATATTCAACTATTGCTCTACAGACATTTAACACCCAGTCTACATCCCTTTTGGTTAAAATGCTGATGACTACATGACCAGATAAATTACAATCTTAAATAAAAGTGGGTAGGCATAGTAAACTGAAAACTGACAAGGACCTTTACAACTCTAACTTTCCAAATAATGAGAAAATTATAGGAAATAAATCTTTTTTTCTGTTGTCCCAGGTTTATTAAAAATATTGCACCATAGCAAAAAGATTCAAACAGCTCCACGTGGTATTTTAAAATTCATCCTAACTGTAGGCTGATTGACTTGCAGTTTCGGCAGACTGCCAAAGTCCAAAACCCTCAGCATTTCCTCAGTGTCCAGATCCTCTTCAATGATCTCCTGATCCAGAGTTGTGATAATTCGGAAACATAATTATCTCTCCTTTCTCTGCCCTCCTCCTGCAACTCGATGGAGATAACCCTCACTGGACCTCTCTAAATCTCTTTCATCAGATGTGTGACATAGCCTGCCATCTTGTTGTGGAGCTTCTTGTTGGGAATAATGGCAACTTCCTCGCACATGCCTTTGCTCATGTGGAAGTAGTTGCCCAGCAGGTATAGTACTTTTCAATGATGATCCAGGCTGCCTTCTTCATACTTTTGGTGCGAACGTGGTCCAGCTTGGCAGGTCCTTGCTAAAAGAGACAAATCTTTTTTTCTGAAACCGCCCATTTAGAAACATCTAGCTCTCTGACACTTTCTCACACGATCCTGCAATGAATTTGTGGGGTAGGTACTACAATTATCCCCATTGGACAGATGAGGAAACTGAAGCCCAGAGAGTTGAAGTGACTAGTGACTAATGTAAGGACACACAATGAGTGGTAGAGGCATGATTTGAACCTAAGTATGTACAGTTCACATACAGGTGATTGTTTTACTCCAGCTTTAAGAATGGGTCAGAGGCCAGGCATGGTGGTTCAAGCCTGTAATCCCAACACTTTGGGAGGCAGATGTGGGAGGATTGCTTGAGGCCAGGAATTTGAGACCAGTGTAGGCAACATGGCAAGACCTTGTCACTGCAGAAAATTTAAAAATTAGCCAGTCGTGGTAGCATGCACCTGTAGTCCTAGCTACTTGGGAGGCTGAGGCAGGAGGATCACTTGAGCTTAGGAGTTGGAGTCCAGCCTGGGCAATATGATGAGACTCTGTCTCTACAAAAATTTTAAAAATTAGCCCGGTGTGGTGGTGTGTGCCTACAGTCCCAGCTATGCAAGAGGATTGCTTGAGCCCAGGAGATTGAGGCTGCAGTGAGCTGTAGTTATACCATTGCACCCCAGCCTGGGGGACAGAGCAAGACCCTGTCTAAAAAAGGATACGTAGGCTTTCAATGTGTGGATTTTAACTTTATTTATTTGTTGAGAGACAGGATCTGGCTCCGTCACCTAGACTGGAGTATATTGGCACGATCATGGCTCACTGCAGCCTCAGCCTCCTGGGCTCAAGTGACCCTCCTGCTTCAGCCTCTCAAGTAGCTGGGACAACAGGCATGCCACCATGCCTGGCTAATTTTTTATTTTTTATTTTTTAGTAGAGATGAGGTCTCACTATGTTGCCCAGGATGGTCTCAACCTCCTGGGCTCAAGCTACACTCTCGTCTTGACCTCCCAAAGTGTTGGGATGAAGGGCATAATCCACCATGCCTGGCCTCAACATGGATTTCAGTCTTGGTAGAAGTAGACAGAAAAACTGCAAGGACATAGTAGAATTGAACATAACTATTAATGTGATTGACCTATTGACCTGTATAGAACCTTCAATAGAATACACGTTCTTTTTGAGCACATTCAAACTATGAACCGGAATAGACCATATTCTAGATGATAAAACAAATCTCAATATATTTGGAAGAATTCAAGTAATACCAAGTCTATTATATGACCATAAAGGAATTAAATTAGCAATCAATAATAGAAAAATCTCCTGAAATCCCCAAATATTTATACACTAAATAACATACTTCTAAATAAACCATGAGTGTCTAAGAAGAACTCAGAAGTGAAATTGGAAAGTAATTTGAACTGAATGCAAAGGAAAACACAAAATTTGTTGGAAACTGCTAAAGCAGTGATGAAGGGGGAATTTGTACCACTAAACACCTATGCTAGTGAAGAGGAAAGGTTTCAAATCAATGGCCTCAGCATCTACCTGCAGAAACTAGGGGAAAAAAGAGCAAATAAGCTCAAACTGAGCAGAAGAAAGGAATGGAAATGAATGAAATAGAAAACAGAAAAACAATTGAGAAAATCAATGAAACTAAAAGCTGTTTAAATAAGAATAATAAAATTGATAAATCTCTAGGCAGACTGATGAGGGAAAAAAAGAGAATACACAAATTATCAGTATCAGAAATGAAGAAAAACAACATCATGAAAGATCCTACAGACATTAAAATTTTCAGAGCCTACTATGAACAAATTTATGCCAATAATTCAATAGCTTAGATGAATGGACATTTTTTTTTTTAATTTGTGACGCAGTCTCACTTTGTTGCCCGGCCTGGAGTGTAGTGGCCTGATCTCAGCTCACTGCAATCTCTGCCTCCTGGGTTCAAGCAGTTCTCCTGCCTCAGCCTCCCGAGTAGCTGGGACTATAGGGAAGTGCCACCATGCCTGGCTAATTTTTATATTTTTAGTAGAGATAGTATTTTGCCATGTTGGCCAGGCTGGTCTTGAACTCCTGACCTCAGGTGATCTGACCACTTCAGCCTTCCAAAGTGCTGGGATTACAGGTATGAGCCACCATGCCTGGTTGACAAATTCTTGAAAGACATAAACTACCAAAGTTCCCACAGGAAGAAATAGATAACTTGAATAGTTCTATATCTATTAATGAAATTGAGTTTCTAGATAAAAACCTACCCACAAAGACAATTCCAGGCCCAGGTGCTTTCACAGGTGAAATTTATCAGACATTTAAGAAAGAAATGATAGCAATTCTATACAAAGTCTTCTAGAAAATTGAAGAGGTGCCTGTAATCCCAGCACTTTGGGAGGCCGAGATGGGCGGATCACCTGAGGTCGGGAGTTCAAGACCAGCCTGACCAACATGAAGAAACCTGTCTCTACTAAAAATACAAAATTAGCCAGGCGTGGTGGCCTGTGCCTGTAATCCCAACTACTCAGGAGGCTGAGGCAGGAGAATCACTTGAACCTGGGAGGCAGAGGTTGCGGTGAGCCAAGATCACGCCATTGCATTCCAGTCTGGGCAACAAGAGCAAAACTCCATCTAAAAAAAAAAAAGAAAAGAAAAGAAAATTGAAGAGGAGAGGATACCTCCCAACTCAATCTATGAGGCCAGCATTACCCTGTATTAGTTTTCTAGGGCTGCCATAACAAAGTACCACAAACTGGGTGGCTTACACAACAGAAATTTATTGTCTCACAGTTCTGGAAGCTAGAAGTTCACGATTAAGGTGTCAGAGACATTTTAATCAGAGCAATTTTATTTTGAATAGGGGCTGGATAAAATGAAGATGAGACTTGCTAGGCTGCATTCCCAGGAGGTTAGGCATTTATAGTCACAGGATGAGATAGAAGGTCAGCGCAAGATACAGGTCACAAAGACCCTGCTTATAAAATAGGATGCTGTAAAGAAGCCGGCCAAAACCCGCTAACATTGTTAGGCTTTGTGTCCTCACCCAAATCTCATCTTGAATTGTAATCCCCAGGTGTTGAGGGAGGGACCCTGTGGGAGTTGGTTGGATTATTGGGGTGGTTTTCCCCATGCTGTTTTCATGATAGTGAGTTCTCACGAGATCTGATGATTTTATAAATGGCAGTTTCCCTTGGACTTTTCTTCTGTCTTCTGCTGCCATATGAAGAAGGTCCTTGCTTCTTCCTCTGCTTCTGTCATCACTGTGAGTTTCCTGAGGCCTCCATGGCTGCACAGAACTGAGTCAATTAAACCTCCTTCCTACATAAATTACCCAGTCTCGAGTAGCATCTTTATAGCAGTGTAAAAATGGACTAATACCATAAATTGGTACCCAAGTAGTGAGGCACTGCTGTAAAGATACTTGAAAATGTGAAAGTGACCTTGGAACTGGGTAACAGGCACAGGGTGGAATAGTTTGGAGGGCTCAGAAGAAGACAGGAATATGTTGGAAAGTTTGGATCTTCCTAGAGACTTGTTAAATGATTTTGACCAAAATGCTGATAGTGATATGAAGAATGAAGTCCAGGCTGAGGAGGTCTCAGATGGAAATGAGGAACTTCCTGGGAAATGGAGCAAAGGTCACTCCTGCTATGCTTTATCAAGGAGACTGGTGGCATTTTGCACCTGTCCTAGAGATCTGTGGAGCTTTGAACTTGAGAGAGATGATCTGAAATTGGAACTTATGTTTAAAAGGGAAGCAGAGCATAAAAGTTTGGAAAATTTACAGCCTGGCAATGCAGTAGAAAAGAAAAACCCATTTTCCAGGAGAAATTCAAGCTGGCTGCAGATATTTGCATAAGTAACAAGGCCAAGACAATGGGGAAAATGTCTCCAGGGCATGTCAGAGACCTTCATGGCTGCCCTTCCCATAACAGGCCAGGAGGCCTAGGAGGGCAAAATGTTTTCCTGGACCAGATCCAGGGCCCCCCTGCTGTGTGGAGCCTTGGGACTTGGTGTGCTGTGTCCCAGCCACTGCAGCCATGGCTAAAAAGGGCCAAGGTACAGTTCAGGCCATTGCTTTAGAGGGTGCAGGCCCCAAGCCTTGGCAGTTTCCATATGGTGTTGGTCCTGCAGGCAGGCAAAAGTCAAGATTTGAGGTTTGGGAACCTCCACCTAGATTTCAGAGGATGTATGGAAACTACTGGATATCTAGGTGGAAGTCTGCTGCAGTGGTGGAACCCTCATGGAGAACTTCTGCTAGGGCAGTGCAGAAGGGAAATGTGGGGTCAGAGCCTCCACATAGAGTCCCCACTGGGGCAATGCCTAGTGAAGCTGTAAGAAGAGGCCACAGTCCTCCAGACCCCAGAATGGTAGTTCCACTGACAGCTTTTACTGTGTGCCTGGAAAAGCCACAGACACTGAATGCCAGCCTATGAAAGCGGCCAGAAGTGGGACTATACCCTGCAAAGCCACAGGGGCAGAGCTGCCCAAGGCCATGGGAGCCCATCTCTTGCATCAGTGTGACCCGGATTTGAGATTTGGAGTCAAAGAAGATCATTTTGGAACTTTAAGATTTAATGACTGCCCCATTGAATTTCAGACATGGATGGAGCCTGTAGCCCCTTTGTTTGGGCCAATTTCCCCCATTTGGAATGGGTGTTTTACCCAATGCCTGTACCCCCATTGTATCTAGGAAGTAACTAACTTGCTTTTGATTTTACAGGCTCCTAGGCAGAAGGGACTTGCTTGTCTCAGATAAGACTTTGGACTGTGGACTTTTGGGTTAATGCTGGAATGAATTAAGACTTTGGGGGACTGTTGGGAAGGTGTGATTGGTTTTGAAATGTGAGGACATGAGACTTGGGAGAGGCCAGGGGTGGAATGATATGGTTCAGCTTTGTATCCCCACTGAAATCTCATCTTGAATTGTAATCCCCAGGTGTTGAGGATGAGAACTGGTAGGAAGTGACTGGATCATGGGGCGGTTTCCCCCATGCTGTTTTCATGATAGTGAGGGAGTTCTCACGAGATCTGATTGTTTTATAAATGGCAGTTTCCCCTGGGCTTTTCTTCTCTTTCCTGCCACCATGTGAGGAAGATTCTTGTTTTCCCTTCCCCTTCTGCCATGATTGTGAGTTTCCTGAGGCCTCTGCAGCCATGTGGAACTGTGAGTCAATTAAATCTCTTTCCTTTATAAATTACCCAGTCTCGGGTATTTCTTTATAGCAGTGTAAGAATGGACTAATACACCCACCAAAACCAAGATGGCAAATAAAAGTGACCTCTGATCATCCTCAGTTTTTATTATACACTAATTATAATGCATTAGCCAACTAAAAGATAGTCCCACCAGTGCCATGACAGTTTACAGATACCATGGCAATGTCTGGAAGTTACCCTACATAGTCTAAAAAAGGGAGGAACCCTCAGTTCTGGGAAATCCATGCCCTTTTCCCAGAAAACTCATGAGTAATGCACCCCTTGTTTAGCATATGATCAAGAAATAACTATTAGTGTACTCAGGTGAGTAGCCCATAACGCTGCTCTGTCTATGGAGTAGCCATTCTTTTGTTTCTTTACTTTCTTAGTAAACTTGCTTTCACTTTATTCTATAGATTCACCCTAAATTCTTTCTTGCACGGTCTGTTAACAAAGGTATCAATCAGCAAGTTTGGTTCCTTCTAAGGGCTGTGAGGGAGAATCTGCTGCATGCTTCTTCCCTAGCTTCTGTGGTTCGCTGGCAATCTTTGGCTTGTAGACACATCACTCCTAGTTCTCCTCGTATCTTCACATAATGTTCTCCTTGCTTGTGTGTGTGTGTGTGCATGCGTGTGTGTGTGTCTAAATCCTCCCCCTTTTTTAAAATGAAGAGTCACATTACATTAAGGTCCCATGCTTCTCCAGTATGACCTTATAATAACATAACTGATTATATCCACAAGGACCCTTTTTGCAAATACGGTCACATTCTGAAGTACTGGAGGTTAGGCCTTCGTTATATAAATCTAGCGTACACAATCAACCCATAATACCCTGAAACAGAAACCAGCCAAAGGCATTCTAAGGAAAGAAAATTACAGTATAGTATCACTCATAAGCATGGATGCAAAAAATGTAAAGTCATACAAAGCACTAAAAGCCTATGTTAGAAAAGATTCGATTTTCAACAAATGGAATCTGACACTATATTAAAAAAATAATATATCATGACCAATTGAGATTTATTCCAGAAATGCTGGGTTGGCTTAACATTAAAAAATCAATTAATATTATTAATATAATTCACTATGTTAACAAACTATATATGTATAAGAACATATATACATATATATGTAAACATATATATGTATACACACTTATAGGTGTCTGTATGTACGATCATTGCAATATATTTGGAGTAAATATTAGATAAAAACTAACATCCATTCTTCATTTTAGAAACTCAACAAACTAGGAAAAAAATGGGAACTTCCCCAACCTGATAAAAGGCAAATATAGAAAACTTACAGCTAACATGATGATTAATAGTGAAAGACTAAATCCTTTTCCCTAAAATCAGACTCAGATGGCCGCTCACCATACTTCATTATAAATGAAGTTTCTGGCCAATAGTATCAGATAAGAAAAGGGGGTGGTGCAAAGAGAGGCAAATTGGCATGTCCCTCTTCCCCTCCCTCCACCATCAGGGCCCAGAGGGAAGCTGAGCCTACACCTACATTCAGCATCAATGAGGTGGAATGAAGCAGTGTGAAGTGAGGTTATTAGGTATTCTGATTACTCTTTCCCCAGCTGCTATCAGAGGAGCCCACTAAGAAGCTGAGCCTCCACACCTATCCAGCATCAGTGAGGTGGAACAGGGTGTGTTGTGGCAGGGCTAGTAGGCTCTCTGATTTCTGGCCTCCCCTACCAGTGGGGAGCTGAGTTCCAATGCAGGAATGAGGCTGAATGAGGCAGCACTCTGCCTTCTTCAGGAATGTGTTAATGGGGTCAGGAGGAGAACTGAACTTGCAGCTTGCAGCACTTCAATCTCTGCCTCCATCATCACATGGTATTCTCCCCTCATGTCTTTATGTCTCTATGTCTCTTCTCTACTTATAAAGATACCACTCATTTTGAATTAAGGGCTCACCTTACTCCAATATGACCTCATCTTAACTAATTACATCTGCACTAATCCTATTTTCAAATAAAGTCACATTCATAGGTACTGGGGGCTAAGACTTCAACATATATTTTTGTGGGACACAATTCAACTTATTATAATTATGTTTAATGGTTGGAGCAAAAATTATAATATCATCTAGGTGGTTTCAATATAGAGAAAATAATTATGACATTTACATTTTTTAATTGAGAAGGGCAGAGACCTAAATAGAAGTACAGTTTCAATGAGTAGAAAAATATCAAAACAAGTAGACTCAATGTTATATATTTATGTTATAATGCCTAGCTCAACTACTAAAAGAGAACTATACAAAGAGATATATTAGGAAACAAAAAGTCAAAATAGAATTCTTAAAAATGTTCAAGTAACCCACAAGAAGGCAGGCACAATGAAGAAAAGGAACAAACCAACAGAAAACAAATAATAACATGGCAGCTTAAGCACTAACATATCAAAAATTAAGTATAAATGGTTTGAATACACCAATGAAAAAACAGAGATTGAAAGAGTGGATAAGGTAAATTACCCAACTACACACTGTCTGGAAGAAACTGACTTCAAACATAATGACAAAGGTAGATAGAAAGTAAAAGAATGAAAAATATGCCATGCACAATCTAATTTTAAAAAGCAGGAGTAGGTATATTAATATTAGATAAAGTAGACTTTGGAGCAAAAGAATTGCTAGGGGCAAATTGGACATTATATAAAAATGAAAGGAACACTCCACAAGAATACGTAGTTATCCTGATATGTGTATACACCAAACAACAGAGCTTCAAAATCTATGAAACGAAAACTGATAGAAATGAAAGAAGAAATACACAAATCCACAGTAACAGTAGGGGACTTCAACACACTACTCTCATCAATCAATATAACTACTAGGCAAAAAATCAGCAAGTATGTAGGAAAACGGAACAACAGGATCAACCAATATGATCTAATTGACATATATAGAAAATACAATACTCAACCCAACAGCTGCAGAGTAAATATTTTTTTTCAGGTGCCCATGGAACATTCACCAAGAAGGACCACATCCTAGTCCATAAAACAAACCTCAGCATTTTTTTTTATAAAATGAGCATACGAAGTATGTTCTCTGACCGCAGTGGAATCAAACTAGAAGTCAACTACAGAAGGTTAACAGGAAATTATTTAAACTCTAGGAAATTAAGCAGCATACTGATAATCCATGGATCAAAGAGGAAACCTCAAAGGAAATTTTAAAAATACATAGAAGTGAATGAAAATGGAAGCACAACCTATTAAGACATATGGGACACAGCTAAGCTAAAGCTGAGAGGAAAATGCGTGGTAATAAATGCTTGCTTACAAATAAGAAAAGGTCTCAAATCAACAATCAAAGTTCCTACCTCAAGAAACTAGAAACTGAAGAACAAAATAAACCCAAAGCCAGCAGAAGGAAAAAATAATAATGATAAAAGCATAAATCTAGGAAATTGGAGAAAATAGAGAAAATTCATAAAATGAAAAGATGTTTCCCTGAAAAAAAATCAATAAAATTGATGATCTTGTACCAAGACTAACAAAATAAAGACTGAAAACACAAATAGTCAATATCAAGAATGAAATGAAAAATGTTACTACAGATCATGCAGCCATGGAAAAAATAATAAGGGACTACTATAAACAACTTTACACTCATAAATTTAACGACTTGGAAGAGATGCATCAACTCCTCCAAAACCACAAACTACCAGAATTCAGCCAAGATGAAATAGACCATATGATATTGATATTAGGATAGGCAAATATATCAATAGAACCGAATAGAGAAGTTGGCAAACTTTCTCACGGAGGGCTAGATAGTAAATATTCAGTCTCTGTTCAAACTACTCAACTCTACTGCACAAAAAGCAGCCTTAAGCCATATTTGAATCAGCATATATATGTTCCAATAAGACTTTATTTATGAATACTGAAGTCCTAATTGTATGTTTTGTGTGTCACGGAATATATTTCTTTTAATTTTTTGCAATCATTTAAAAATGCAAAAAACATCCTTAGCTTGAGAGTCAATAAAAACAGCACATAATTTGGTTGGAGACAAGTAGGATGATTCACATGGCCACAGAGACTTAAATGTGGCCACTTTACCTTAGAGGGATTTTAGGGAAGTCATCCAAAAAACTAGGTAATGGTGACGGGTGGGAGAGAACAAAACGAACCACTGATGTGGTGGCTATGGGGAACAACTTGGAGGAAGCAACCTCTCTCTGCCATGTGGGTCGACAGAATTGAATATGTGGAGAAGAGGAAGGAGTGGCAGATCTGATTGGGAAGGCTCTTTATGTGGTGTTAAAGAAACCCCCTTTCTCCAATCACAGCATCTTAGCCTCCCCACCACCACCCAAACACCAATGGAGGTGTTGGGGTTGTGTTTTGTGATGTCTCAGACACTCCAGGGCTACCATTAGCTGGAGCAGTGCCTGGATAACCAAACAAAGCTTAAGAGTGTGGCTTGGCTTTGCCCCAGGGAGGCTACATACAGGGAGGGGAAGAGCCCTGGGACAGACCACTGGGAGGTTTCAACTTGGCTGAGATTTACAAGCAAACCACAGCTATTTATCACAGATAAGGACCAACCAACCAGAAGAGTAGAACAATCAGCCACAAGTGCTCAAGATGAAAAGAAAGAGGGGACAACCCCCTGCCAGTGCAAGTGCAGAGACAGTTGCCAGGTCAGATGACCCCACCCATGCTCCTTCTCTTCTTCCCCATACATTCCCCCAAGATCACTACCCTCTCCTGGCCTGGCACAAACCCCTCCTCAGCCTGCATCCCCTATGAAGCCCCTCTTCCCATCCCATCTCTAACCTCTTCCCTTAAACCATTGCCCTTCTGCGCTCACTCTGTTGCCTTCCCAGGTACACAAGCCAGCCACGAGGATATAAATTACTCCTTTACCCTTCTGCGAGCAAAAAAAAAGTCCTCTGAAACATCTATTACCCAATCAAGAAAGCATAAGAGAGGGGAAAAAGTCAACAATAATTGTCTGTTACCACATGTTGACTAAGAAATGAAATCAGAACCAAGAGATCCCCAGAGAATGCCACCAATCCAAGTAAGCCCTGTGTGTAAGAAGGGAGGGAGGGAGGTGGAGTCCCACGGTTAGCCAGACATTCAAAATAAGGACGGGGGAAGACTGAACATGGAAGACACATTTCCTCCTCCACACTTCATCCCACAGGCAAATGGGAAAAGGGGCTTGGTGTTTCTGCATGTCGGGGTGAGGGAGCAGGTAGGAGTAGAAATGGGAAGGGCCCATCTGGGTCGAGGTGTGCTGTGTGGGCGATACCAATGTAACAGTGACAATCTTCTCACAAAGGCAGACAACAAAATCACTTCCAGGCCACCTTCCTCACAGTAGTATGTGTTGTACCTCAGCCGATGCTGTGAGCACCTGAAGGCCTCAGAAAGACCAAAAAAAGTACCCTACAGAAAGTCACCAACAATATCACCATGCAGTAAAATAATAGTGTTTGGAAGCTACAAATGCAACACCAATTGGGGCACTCACTAAGAAACTTAGGGTGGAGCAGTGGCCTTCCAAAGGCAGGGTAGTGAGAGTGGTGCCCCCACCCCAGTGCAGGCAATAATAGGTAGAATTATCTCCCTGTTTTTAGGAAATTTTATTTTTGGAGAATTTTAATAGTAGAATAAAAGTGAGTAATAGTTGATCTTGTTTTTATTAGTAGACATAGACAAACTATCTCAAAAATCTACCTAGAAAGGTGGAGGCCATAGAATAAATAAAACAATCTTGAAGAAAGAAGAATAGCATAGGAACACTGATTGTATCTAATATGAAGTCTCACTACACAGCTACAGTAATTATGACAGTGTGGCAGAGAGATAGATAACATTGATAAATAGAGCACAAAAAAGAATTCATAAATAGACTCACAAAGAAGCCCAACTTATTTTTGACATCGTTGCAAAAGCAATTCAACACCATTTTGGAGTAATTGGACACCCATAGACAATAAATAAATAACATCTATCCAAACCTTGTGCTTTAAGCAGACATTAACTCAAAATGAATCACAGACTTAATTATAAACTGTAAAACTCTAAAACTTTTAGAAAAAAAAAGCATAGGCAAGATATACGGCTTGCTGAAGATGTTTTAGACGTGATATCCAAAGCATAGCCCAAAAAAGGAAAATTTAATGAATAAGACCTCATCAAAACTAAAAGTTCTGCTCTGGGAAAGATGCTGTTAAAAGGATGAAAAGACAAGCTCCAAAGAATAAGAAAATATTGACGAACACTATCTGGCAAAGAGCTTCTATCTAGAATATATAAAGAGCTCTCAAAATTCAACAGTAAAAATAAGAAAAATTCAATTAGAAAATAAGCATTTGTGGAGATAGTTTAAGCATGCTCAGTAGCTGCTGGTAGGAAAGTAAGCAATGTGAGGGAAAAGTGCTTTGTTAACTAGACATTTCCTTAGTTATCTAATGAGAAGTACCTCTCGCTGACTGCTAAGTTTTTGCTGGCCACCTACATTTCTTTAGTCCAACAGATGGGTGAGATGTCCAGAGCCATTTTGAGGTCAGTAAACATCCCCAACTAAGAAAAAGCATGCCGGGAAATCAATTGAACACAAAGCTAGGGAATTTAACACCACTTTTCAGTTCTGTTTAGACAAAAATCTGGGTAAAATGTTTTAATTCTTTTGATTTATACTAGATAACATTATTATGATATATATTGTTATATGGATTACATTAATCGTAATATAAAGTTATGTAAATGGTAACCACAGTTTTGAAGCAAAGATTCGAATTCATTCTCTGCAGAATGCAAGTGAGTGTTTGACCCAGGACCAGAGTTATGTATGTTACTCTACTTCTCTAGGTATACACAGTGGGTGCTCAAGAAGTACTGATTGTGCATACATATTTGAATTTTTAAATTTATGTAGAAATGTATTTTCGTGAGTGGACAAATGTATCTCAAAACAAGTTCTGAAGAATATTTAATTTTTCCCACAGTAAAGGAAGGGAAAAGAAAGTGGTGCTTCTCACTCTTGATAAAATATCAGTATTCACTAGCAGGGTTCCCTCAGTCATCAACATGGATACATGATAGGTTTATCTTAAATCAACTTTTAGTATTGTATGGAGGCAAGGACACTAAGCTGGTAACCAAAAGCCCCAAGTCCTAGTCCATGCTCCACCACTAACTCCTGGTGTGGCTTTGCTGAAACTCCTTCTCCTTTCTGGGCTTGCATTTCCATCTGAAAGATGTGGGGTTTGGACTAGAATATGACATCGGCCCTTTCTTGAAATTCTGTGAGTGTGTGTGTCTGTATCTTTTTATTTATGTATTTTGGTGGATAAAAATGCTTTTTTGGGCCAGGTGTGGTGGCCCATGCCTGTAATCCCAGCACTTTGGGAGGCCAAGACAGGAGGATCACCTGAGTTCAGGAGTTTGAGACCAGCCTGACCAACATGGAGAAACCCTGTCTCTACTAAAAATACAAAACTAGCCTGGTGTGGTGGGGGGTGCCTGTAATCCCAGCTACTCAGGAGGCTGAGGCAGGAGAATTGTTTGAACCTGGGAGGCGGAGGTTGCAGTGAGCCAAGATAGTGCCATTGCACTCCAGCCTGGGCAACAAGAGTGAGACTCCATCTCAAAAAAAAAAAAAAAAAAAAAAAAGCTTTATTGATTAGGATCTATAACCTAAGCCATTACATTTAACAAAAAAAAAAAAAAAAAAAAAAAAGGCAACATGGGGAGACTCCGTCTCTACATAAAACTAGAAAATTATTAGCCCAGCATGGTGGAGTTTTCCTGTAATCCCAGCTACTTGGGAGACCGAGGTGGGAGGATTGCTTGAGCCCAAGAGTTTGAGGCTGTAGTGAGCTATGATTAGGCCATTGCACTACAGCCTGAGTGACAGGGTAACACTCGATCTCGAAAAAAAAAAAAAAGAAAGAAAAAAGAAACCCTGTTTTTTGTATGCTTAGGCACAATTAAAAGACTGAATAAATTCCATGCTCAGCGAATCACAAGAGTAGGGGATCTTGGAATCTGGCAGCTACTGATAAAGTAGTCAAAGGAAGTCACTGAGAAGCAACAGTTTCAGTAAGTAGCTTTCATATATACTGCAACTTGGAGTGTCTTGCTAATATTTGTGACTAAAGACATTGTAGCTTGTTCGGTTTAACAGTCCCTGTGGAGATCAAATGCTGGAATTTCACGAGCTTTCAAGATATTAAAATCATCATCAACAGCATGCAGCCATGTCTGTCCAAATCTCAATCTGGTCCTGAGTTTATTAGAACACAACAAATGAAGCTGAGCTCAGTGGCTGTGGGAGGTTAAGGCTTAGAGGCAATACTGGAGTTCTTATTCTATTCTTGCTGGATGTTCACCAATAGCTCTCTAGGGTCTAGGTATAACGATAAAAGAAGCTAACTTTTTCCTTTCTTTGAGAATCCTTCCCTGAAAAGAACTTCCAAGTGCCTTCCCAGACCCTCTCGGAAAGGAAGCCCCAGACCCTCTCAGGAGCCTGCCCCAGTATTGTGCAGCCCTTACTGTCCAAGCCATTTTGCTTTAGTTCTGACACGATTTCTTTGGGTTAGTGTTCAAGCTGAAGTCCTGGATCCTGGGGTCAAGGGGCCTAAGAGTCAATCATGGTGGTGACTTTAGTTCAGTGTGGATAGAGGGTTTGGTATAGATATGAGAAGAATAAGGACCTGATGACATGCCAGGAATCAAATGGGTTAAGTCTGGAGGTAGTGTGTATAAATGCGCAGGATCACAAAATGAATTGGACTAGAAATCAATGTCCCCTGTACTCCCATTGTCCAAATGGCAGAAATAGAAAAGATAAGTGGGTACTTACCCAGTGACCAGAATTCACTTTTAAAAATTCTAAGTGGCAGCTGGGCGCGATGGCTCACACCTGTAATCCCAGCACTTTGGGAGGCCGAGGCGGGCGGATCACCTGAGGTCGGAAGTTCGAGACCAGCCTGACCAACATGGAGAAACCTCATCTCTACTAAACATGGAAAATTAGTCAGGCGTGGTGGCACATGCCTGTAATCCCAGCTACTCGGGAGGCTGAGGCAGGAGAATCGTTTGAACCCGGGAGGTGGAGGTTGCAGTGAGCCAAGATCGCACCATTGCACTCCAGCCTGGGCAACAAGAGTGAAAATTCATCTCAAAAAAAAAATTATAAGTGGCAATCAGTTTGATTATATATATATGATTTTATATATGTGTGTGTGTATATATATATATATATATATGGCCATCAGTTTGATTTTATATATACATAAATATATATTTAAAATATACAGAGGTTGAATATTTATCATATATATGGGAGTGTCCATACACACACTCCCATATATATGATAAATATTCGACCTTCATATATAGATAGATACACACACACAAACACTCCCATATATATGATAAATATTCAAAATGTGTATATAACCCAAATTATATACAATATATGAAATTATATTATATATAATTATATATTAATTTATATTAATTATAAAATTGGGCTAAGCTATCTCTATAGAATAGCAGCTGGGAAGAATGTGTTGGATGACAGAATCAGGACCTGACAATGAAGTGGGATTGAGTAGCTAAATTAATCAATATGAAATTTATTGTGAGTCAACAGTGTAATGTACTCATAGACTTCCGGGGTGGTGAAACTTGCTCTTCAGTTTGGGAAAGTGAGTCCTGCTCTGCTCTGCCCTAGTCAAACCCCACCCAGTGTTCACTTCTGGCTGCTACACTGTACTGATAGATGAAGAAATATTGCAAAATTTTCTCAGGAGAGACACAAGAAAATTGAAGAGCACCTAGAACCTTCCAAATGAGAGAAAGTTGAAGGAAGTGAGAGTGATTGGCTTGGAGATGAGCAAAATTACTGCACAGTGCTGTCCTAGGATAGAGAGGAAACTCTGTAAGTCCCCACTAGGAGGAATGGGTGGCAGGTACAAAACAGAATAGTAAGAGCTTTTCAAACAGGGGCCACTTTGCCCCACAAGGTAGTGATCCGTTCATCCCTGGAGGCCTCCAAGCTGGGCATCCATTTGGCTGGGACAGTCAAATGTGACATGAATGAGATCCATGGCACATTATGTGCCTCAACATGTGGAAATAGAGTATCTCCTCTAGGAAATATGTATATAATGTAAAATTCGGTAAAAATGGATGGAAACTTTCCATAAGGCACATCTTTTCTCGGAAAGGACATAGAGATGCCCTGTGACATACCTAGAGCCAAAGAAGCCAAGAAGAGTGGCTCTTACTAAAGCAGACCTGGCCATATCATATTTTTAAGCAAGCACAACCCTGGGCAACGTCCTCTTGAGAATGGCTTACCTCCTAGTCTGCTGTGCTCTTTTCATAGTCTAGGTCCTTCCACCCTCCCCAAATGAACTGCAATTGAAGTGTTGACAGGCTTGAAGAAAGTGATCAAAAGTAGATTGAAACTCACTGTCGACAAGAATGTTCTTATGCATGGCTGAGTTGAGGGACGTCTGAGAGTTTAGACATCAGGAATTGCTCTGAGCAAACAAGTTACAATTCCCTGGGAAACTGTCTTTCGACCTCATTTGTCCCTGACAAATGTTCATCAAAGACATGCTGTAGTTCTGTGTCTTGTCCTGCAAACCATACGCCTTCCAGACACAGTAATGCTAGCTTGCTCACCAGTGGAAACATTCTTAAGATAGAAGTAAGATCTTCTCATTTCTGGAAACTATTTTTCTAAATTTTCTTTCTCTCTAGTAATTTTCTTTCCCCTTTCTTCCATCCTTTTTCATCTCAAATGAATATTTTAATGGATATGTCTTTATAATAAAGACAAAAAAGAGAATGCTTTTTAAGAATGGAAAAATCAAAGTTATTGCAGACAAGGTTGATGTGGAACATTGTTTTTTTCAGACTGTGAGAAAGTTATGGAACAACTGTTGATCTATTAAAACTTAACCTAAGGCCGGGCACGGGGACTCGCACCCGTAATCCGAGAACTTTGGGAGGCCGAGGTGGGTGGATCACCTGAGGTTGGGAGTTCAAGACCAGTCTGACCAACATGGAGAAACCCCGTCTCTACTAAAAATACAAAATTAGCTGGGCGTGGTGGTGCATGCCTGTAATTCCAGCTACTTGGGAGGCTGAGGCAGGCGAATCGCTTGAACCCAGGAGGTGGAGGTTGCAGTGAACCGAGATCACGCCATTGCCTGGGCAACAAGAGCGAAACTCTGTCTCAAAAAAAAAAAAAAAAAAAAAAAAAAAGACAACCTAGAGCTCATATTCTCGGTCTATTGTTTGTTTACTTCTTTACTCTAGTGGTTTAAATCTGCCTTAAAGACTCAAATGTTATAGAGTGTAACAACATATGGAACAGTGGAAAGTGGACTGAAAAGGAATGCCAGTGGTTCTTCATTCTGCAGCAATACCACTTAATGAATGAGCCAACCATCATGCCTTTCAGACCTTATTAGACTCTCAGGGAGCCTTCTAGGACATCTTGTCCTACCCCTTTATTTTATACCTGAGGCCCAGAGGGGAAGTTAATGAGGACTAATGAGGGGTAGACCTTAGGTTACCCAGTGACCTATTCATTAAGTGTTCTTTCCACTATACCACAGAACCCCTCAACATAAAGAAGTCACAGATTCACAGATTTGCAATAAAGCAGCCAATGACTTTATCAAGACTTTTGGTTCAAATAATAACAGCCACTATTCATTAAGTACTTTATGTGTGTTATCTCATTTATTGGGTCACAACTTGTAACAAGCAGTCTGATTCCATTTTTTGATGTTTGAGTGCTGGCAGCTTTTAAGCTTCAGCCCCCTCGTCCCACTGTTCTCCACATCTGGGCAAGCTTTTAAGAAAGCTTGGGCACTACCTCCTTTAGTTCTGGCAGGATTCAAACCACATAAGCCCCTGACCATGTGTGGGAACCCATACCCTGGTCCTACCTCCTAGCCACAATAAAACCCCCTGTCCAATCTCCTTTTCTAGCTCTCTCAAGCCAGTTTTGGGCCGGCTTGGGATGCCTGCCCTGCTCTCCCTTGGAGAGCCCCAATTATGCAATTAACAAACCTTTTCATACACTTTTTGTTTGTGTTTGGCATCATCAGTCTTGACACTGGACCAAATTTTGGGTAGATGGTCATAACAGAACTCAGAGGTATGTGCCGTTATAATCAGCATTTTGCAGATGGGGAAACTGAAGAATAGAAAGGTCAACATAATATACTGAGGCTTCTAAAAGGCTACAAAATTATAGAAACCACTTCTGAAAATAAATATACTGCTAATATTTCAATTCAGACCTAAGAAAATGTAATAGTTTGTGTGTGCTATTGAAATGTAAGTAAATAATCTATAATAAATCTTTGACTCTTAGTTAAAGTTCTTGCCCAAGGTCACACAGTTACTGATGGGGCTGGGATTGAAACCCAGGCACTAAGACTCTGGAATCTACACTCTAAGCATCTCAAACTGATATTGGTCCAATTGCAAAGCCTGTGCTCTTTCCACTACAGCAGGAAAGTAAACCTGGATTGCATAAAGCTATAGAAAGGCTGTGTCTAGAATAATAATAATAATAATAATAATAATAATAGTATATGCTAGGCATTGCTAAGTCTTTTATTTAATCTTTTCTACAACTCTGTAAAGTCAATACTATTATTGTCTTCATTTTACAGATAAGGAAATTGGAGGCTCAGAGAGCTTAGGAAATAATATCCAAGGTCACAGAGGTTCTTGCGAAGCCTCTGCTTACTACCTGTGTGACCTTGGATATTATTTGTCTTGAGAAACTACATGGGTTGATTTATTAGAGTTCATAGTCTAATGTTCATTTGGAATGTGGAGTTTTGGATTCTTCCAGGATTGTAATAATAAAGGTAATATTTTCCCTGTATTGAGTGATAAGCCCCTTATATACATTCTCCTATTTAAACTTAGAGCCATGCTATAAAGTAAGTGCCGCTATTATTCCCATTTTGCAGAAGAGGTACTTGAGTCTGAGAGAGGTTCACAAAACATATTCAATGAAAGCAAGCTAAGCTATGGACTTGGGTAGAAGCTGAAATTTAAAATCCAACTGGTTACACTGGTCAAGCTCTGAAAGACTTAACCGGCTTCACAATTTGAGCCCTAATTCTTTCCTCTCTCCACTGAAAGTACATAATATCTAGCAAGAACCTCACTATATCTTTGGGATTTTGACGCACAACCAGCTGCCCTGCCACAGCCCTCCCCACATCAGCACTTCGTGAGCCGTTGCAGCATATTCCTCCTCAGCACCTCCTGTCAGATTCCTCATTCTTGCTGATTTCAGAGCCTGCACTGTCACTGGAATTGCCCTTGCTGCTGTAGCTACTCAGGCATCACATGCTGCAAGTCCTTGTTATCTCTAGGACAGCTCTTTTTGGTATGTTAAGGACTTATTCAGTAGAAAAGGAAGAAGAAGGAAAGGAGAACCTTCTGCTGTCCATACATTTCTTCCCATGAATATCCTGGAGCTTTTAGCTCTGGAAATGGAAATCCATGTACCCAGAAAGGAGAATGCTGAATAAACATACAGAAAATGGAGAAGAATGCAGTTACTGGAGGAGGCCCAAGAGTGGTCCTCCAGGACCATAAACTCCTGCAAACAAATTCAGCCCTACAACAAAAACTGAAAAGGGGACGGAATTTCTTCTGATTTCTTTACTCCAAATTAGAATGTGATTCTCGCCACCCTATCATGCAGGAAGTCTATGTTCACACAAGATGGAGATAGTAATAGGACTCATGTTGATTCTAACAGGAATGGAGAAGCATCACCTGCAGGCTTATTTTTAAACTTCCGTTTTTCCTACCTTTGGCGAATCATAGATTTTGGGGGGCAACAGGGAGCTTAAAAGCAGTGAAGTTACTTTTGTAGGAGTAGCAAGAGCACTTGAGTTGATGGAAGGAGGTCTGGCTAAGCTTGTTAGTTGTTCCAACTCAGTCAGTGAATAGCAGTGTAATCTCAGACAAATGCGTTCCTTTCTCCTCTCAAGCCCTCCAAGTCCTACCTCATTTGAACTTCAATAATCTATGCCTTTTTTTCTTTCGTACAGCTCTAGCTCTATTTGGTTTTATTCAAGAAAACGACGAAGTGGCATCAAGTGTCTCATCATATATGCCAGGCACTGTGTAAGTTCCTCAAATGGAACTACATACAAAGAGTTTGGGAGGCACAGACAGGGATAGTCAGGGTAAGAATCTGAAAGGAGGTGCCACTGAAGCTGTGCCTCGAAGGATGAAAGGCAGAAAACAAGACCAGGCAGCCAGAGGAGCATACATTCTTCACTGCCTCGGAAATTGTAGAAGGACCTAGAAGAACCTGGTTTGTTTCAGGGAACCTGGGAATCGTGGGAAATTTGGTATTGCTCTAGAGGAAGAGTGTGTTGATATGAAACAAGACCAAGGAGCTAAGAAGTCAGGAACAGATCACGGAGGGCCTTGGATGGCTTTCCAAGGAGCTTGTATTTTGTCCTATGGGTAGCACAGGTTGCCAACAGAGTTGGTTTTTAGCAGCAGCATCACATAATCAGATTGTTTTCATAGGAAAACTGCTCTGGTTTCAATATGAAAGATGACCTGGAGCGAGGTGACCCTGGAGCCCTGGAGGCCAGTGGGATGCTAGTGCCTGCATTACATTCCAGCCAAAGACAAGGACCTTCCTGCTGAAAGACTTTAAGTTGATTACCAATGATCTCTGCCTGCTGACATTCAGGCCCCTGTTTATTCCCCTCCCCTTGAGTGTGGCCTGGACCTAATGTCTCACTCCTATAAACAGAATACAGTAAAGGTGTTGGATGACTCTTCTGAGATTAGGTTACAGAAAGGCTATGACTTCCAAAATCAGCTGCCATGTCGTGAGCGGCCCTATGGAGAGGTTCAGATGGCAAGTGGCTTATGTCTCTGGCCAAAACCTAGCTAGAACCAGAGGCCTGCCCACCAGCCACTTAAGTGAACTGGGAAGTAGATCTTCTGAGGTAAGCCAACAGCCACATCAGTTACCTTGGAAATGGATCCTACCCCAGTGGAACCTTGAGATAACTGTAGTCCTGGCTAACTCCTTGACTGCGTCCTTGTAAGAGATCCTGAACCAGGTGGGCCACACCAAAATTCCTGAGCCACAGAAACTGGAATTAACAAGTAGGGTATCTGTTGTTTTATACTGCCAACATTTGAGATAATTTCTTACACAGCAATAGATAAGTAATACAAGCCCCAATAAGGCAGTGGCAATGAAAAGCAGATGAATTCTGAAAATGTGAGCAAGCTGGGTTGGAGTGTGAGAAGGAAACAGATATCTAGGCAGACATCGACGCTGTTTAATTAAGATGGAAAATAAAGTAGGAGGTGTTGCTTTGGGGAGGAATATGATATACTAGTTTGCTGGCCAAAGTTTGAGGGCCTGTGGGACACCCCTGTAAATATACTTAGGAGGCAGCAGGATTCAAAGGGCAGAGGTTTAGGACAATCATATGGACTGGACATTTGGGAGTATTAATGTAGAGGTGGCTTAGGAAGTGCAACAGTGAAGCCCTGGAGATCCTCAACATTTCATCAAACCAGTGTTATTGTGTGTATGTGTTTTTGTGTGTACTATCTATGTATATCTTCTCCTAAGCAACTACTTCGCATCCTAAAAAAAAATTTCCTTATCTTTGCAGCCATTTTTGGGTTTTCATTTTACCTCACTGAAGACTCTAAATATGAGTGACTCTCTTCGCCTTTCAGATTAACCTGAGCCCTCTCCAAATTGGACAAGTTCCCTTTTTAAGTGTGCTGCGTAAATCTGCTGTTGATTTCTGCTGCTTGTAATTATTGGCAACATCTCTAGAGTTCATATGTTGTTTACATACTCAGCCTAATTTATTTTTCCCAAAGAAATTATACAATGTGACATAGCAGGAGAGCTTGTTAGAAGAAACACAGTACATGAAGAGTCTAGAAGATGTCAAGTTGACCCAGAGATCTTTATCAGGGGTTGGTGGTGGTGAGTGTGTTTCTAGCTAACCTGCAGAATGTAAACAGAGCCTGCAGACAGACTGAAAGACAGCTCTATCAGCTGTGCTGGAAGTGTTGACAACACTATCCTACCCAGGGTGTGAGCACAGAAGTTTGTTACCATTCCAATTTTGCTGAGCAGTTTGGGGTTTTTGACATTACAGATATCCTGTTCCTGCACAGAGTCTCACAGAAGAATCTTAAAGTTAGAAAGCACCTTAGAGGTCTTCTCAGAAAAGAATGCACAGACTACTTCTGAATGTTTGAAACTATCTACTTGCAAATAATGGTATTTCAATTGCGCAATTAATAAAGCAACAAATAGAATCATTTTCAATTGAGCAATGCTAGTAGATGGAATATGTTTTTATTAACCTACAAAACCACATTAAATTTGATGGGGCAATGGTTCATTTGAACAAAGTGATGTAGATATTAATGTGATTATATATGGAAACATATAGTACCAAACTAAAGTCACATATCAAAATCTATTCTTTTCACTTTAAAAGTTTGAGAACTGACCAGGCACGGTGGCTCATGCCTGTAATCCCAGCACTTGGGGAGGCCGAGGCGGGCAGATCACGAGGTCAGGGGTTCGAGAATAGCCTGGCCAACATGGTGAAACCCCGTCTCTACTAAAAATACAAAAATTAGCTGGGTGTGGTGGTGGGCACCTGTAATCTCAGCTACTCGGGAGGCTGAGGCAGAATTGCTTGAACCTGGGAGGCAGAGGTTGCAGTGAGCCGAGATTGCGCCACTGCCCTCCAGCCTAGGCGACAGAGCAAGACTCTGTCTCAAAAAAAAAAAAAAAAAAAAAAAAAAAAGTTTAAGAACTTAAACTCCTTTTCTTGTGCTCTCTATCTCTGTTCATGCTACCTCTCTCTCTAGTCACCCCCAACCAGGATGAAGAAGAGACTCACCCTGCTTACCTACCTCTTGATCTTACCACTTCCCATGCTCATTGCTACTGGACTCAGAGATTGCTTTCTTGCCTTAACCAAAATCAAACAGCCTCTTGGCTATTCTCTCTGCCTCTAGCCTCTTCCTTGTCCAATTTGTCCTTCACACCGTAGTCAGCTTGATCTTTATAAAGCACTGACCAAAATCATTTCATGGTTTCCACTGAGTACAGAATCAAGTCACAACCCCTTAGCATGACATTCAAGGCCCACGAATATGACGTTTTCTACCTCTCCAGCCTCATTTCCCATGACATCACTCCATCCGCTCCCTTCAAAGCCATGCTCTTTAACCACATAAAGTTCCCTGACTCCAAGATAGATGACTGTGTTATTTGCATGCTGTTCTATCAGCCCAGAATGCCCACCACCCCTTCTTTTCCTATGAAATTTCTATGTATACTATAAGGCTCAGCTTAAATATTCTCTTCTCCAGGAAGCCCCTTCTTTGACTCTCTCATGAACCCTGGCTCTACCATGGAATGGTTCCCATTTCATTTTGTCTCAAGAATGAGACCTGTTGACCTTCTCTCTCCAAACCTACATTGTGAGCCACATGACTTCCTTTTGTTCCCAGATCGTTGCACACTCTCTGACATATAGGTTGCCTCAAAAGTGTTTATAGAGTAAATAAATCATGAGCATTAGCAAAGCTTTTTAACATATTTCAAAAGTCCTTGAAGGTTTCATGTTTAGATAAAAATTGAAGTTCATTAAATGTTTTGAATACTGTTTAATAAGTATTATACATTTTTTATTTTTGCTCATCAGGGATTGTCAAGATCCACATATAAAAGCATATTTATCATTAGTTAATAAAATGTAAGAGTAAAATAAACATGGTAATTTAAACTTCAGTTACATTTGATTGACATTTTCATAGAGAATACATGCTTCAAAAAGAAACAAGCTCTTAATTACTTCTTTAAATAGGACCCTTTTGTCAATGAAAATTTTATTTAATACAGAAGTTCTCACTTTTAAAATTTTTGAGGAGAGTTGCTACCACAAGAACCCATTTTGGAATTTTAGATGTTCAGTAACTAATTCTAGACTTTTAGTAACTAAAAAGATTACTTTGTTTTTCTTTTGGGAATGTTTTGTCCTTTTCTATATACCCTCAAACTGAGAAGGTGTTTCTGGTGGAGATGGAAAGAACACATTCAGCCTTATTAAAGGCAAGTTGAGAGTAGTTGTAAAAATCATTGAACAGGGAGGGAGAATACCCAAGCTCTGGTTCATTGACTCTGGCATTAACAAGCTATGTGACCTTGTTATGCCTGTGTCTCTCTGGGCCTCAGTTTCCCTGTATGTAAAATGAGAGTGCTGGATTAGATTATTTCTGAGGACTTTTCCTGTTCTAACAGACTAGGTTAGCAGAATGCATTTGGATTTGAGGTAGCAGCTGGTTAGTACAATAGCCCCTAGCACTGGACAGCTTTCTCTCAAACACCTCTCCTAGTATCAGCCACCAGAGCCCCAGGTGTTTTTTTAAATTCAAATAGCCACTTTATTGATATATAATTTAATACCATAAAATTCATCCATGTAAAATTTAAAATTCAATGGGTTTTAGAATATTCAAAGTGGTGCAACCATCATCCCAATCAATTTTAGAACATTTTCACCATGCAAAAAAGAAACCCTGTACACATTAGCAGTAACTCTCTATTTCCTCCCAACCCCTCCAGCCATAGGCAACCGCTAATCTAATTTCTGTTTCTATAGATGTGCCTTTTCTGGATATTTATACAAATTGAATCATACAATATATAATCTTTTACAGTTGGCTTCTTTCACTTGTTAATGTTTTCAAGGTTCATCGATGTTCATCATTTATTTTTCAAAAAAACAACTTGACTGGCCATGGTGGCTCACACCTGTAATCCCAGCACTTCGGGAGAGCAAGGTGGGCAGATCACTTGAGGCCAGGAATTCGAGACCAGCCTGGCCAACATGGCAAAAACCTGTATCTACTAAAAATACAAAAATTAGCTGGGTGTGGTGGCGCATGCCTGTAGTCTCAGCTACCGGGCAGGCTGAGACAGAATTGTTTGAACCCGGGAGGTAGAGGTTACAGTGATCCGAGATCATGCCACTGCCCTCCGCCCTGGGTGACAGAAGGAGACCCTGTCTCAAAAAAATAAAGAAAAAACTTTACTTTTCAGAACAGTTTTGGATTACAGAAAAATTGGGAAGATTGTACAGAGAGTTCCCATATAATGCCATATCCCATTTCCCTTATAATTAACGTCTTACGTTAGTGTGGTACATTTGTTATAATTAATGAACCAATACTGATATGTTATTACTATATAAACTCCATACTTTATTCAGATTTCCTCAGGTTTTCCCTAAAGTCCTTTTTCTTTTCCAGGATCCTATCAGAATACCATAATACATTTACATTACAATAGTAGTCATGTCTGCTTACGCTACTTGTGGCTGTTTCTTAGCCTTTTGTTGTTTTTTGATGACCTTGACAGTTTTGAGGATTTCTGGTCAGGTGTTTTGTAGAATGTCCCTCAATTAGAATTTGTCTTATGCTTTTCTTATGATTCAACTGGGATTATTGTTTTGGGGAGGAAGACTGCAGAGGTAAAGTGCCATTCTCATCACATCATATCAAGGCTGCATGCTATCAACATGATTTATGACTGTTGATGTTGAGCTTGATAATCTGGATTTGATAGGGTTTGTCAGGTTTCTCCACTGCAGTTATCCTTTTTGCCTGTTATGCATACAGTTTTGGTAGGTACTCACTATGAGCAGCCCACACTTAAGGCATAGGGAGTTGTGCTCCACTACCCTGAGTCCAGAGTATCTACATAAATTATTTTGACTTCTTCTGCACAGATTTGTCTCTTCCTCTCCTCTCATTTATTTATTTACTTATTTATTTATATCAGTGTGGATACATGCATTTTTTAATACTTGAGGTTATAATCCGATACTGCTTTATTCATTTTGTTGCTCAAATTGTTCCAATTTGGTCACTGGGAGCTATTTTAGTTGGCTACTGTGTTCCTTTGACACAGAGCATCATTGTAGTTTATGTGTCTTCTCTCTCCCTCTCCCTATTTCTCTCTGTCTCTCTGTCTCCCTCTTTTTCCTTCCCTTACTTTCCATCACTGCAAGACGCAACAGGCTTATTTTGTATATTTCTGGCCCCAGTCCTAGAATCAGTCATTTTCCCAAAGATCCCTGGTTCCTTTTATTGAAGAATGATATTAGAAACTAAGATCTGGGCACTAGGTGTACTCATTGTAACTGGGATGTCTCTGCTTCCAGGTCCTCTCAGCTGACAGAACAAAGAAATATGTGTGTGGATCCTAGCCCCTGTATATACCAGTACTCAATTTCTTTTCATTGCAGAATACTATTCATTGTATGAATATATTGAATTTTATTTACCTATTAATCATGTAATCGACATTTAGATTGTTTCTGCTTTTGGGCTATTATGAACAGTGCTGTTACTAACATTAGTTTACAGATTTTTGCGTGAAAATATGTTTTCATTTTTCTTGGTTATTCCTTAGAGTGGAATTGCTGCTGGGTCATATGGTAAATCAATGCTGAACCTTTTAAGGTACTGCTGGACTTGTTTCAAAGAGTTTTGCACTCTCACTAGCACTGAATAAAGATTCCAATTTTCCCACATCGTTGGCAACACTTGTTATTGTCTACTTTTATATTGTTATTGTAATAACCATGTTATTTGTGAGTGGTATCTCATTGTGGTTTTGATATGCATTTCCCTGATGACTAATGATGTTTAGCATCTTTTCATGGGCTTATTGTCCATTTGTACATTTTCCCTGGGAAAAAGTGTCTACTCAGGTCCTCTGCCCATTTTTTAATTGGGTTGTGTTTGTATTATTTAGTTTCAAGAGTTTTTATATAGTCTAGACATAAACCCCTGATCAGATATATGATTTGCATATATTTTTTTCAGTTCTGCAGGTTGTCTTTTCACTTTCTCGATGGTGTTCTTTGAAGCAAAACATTTTTAATTTTTATGAAGTTCAATTTATTTATTGTTGTGTGTCTGTTTATGCTTTTGGTGTCGTATGGCTTTCTTTTCATTATTAATGGTGAAGACTGATGGTGCCTTCTTCTTCATCAAGAGCTAGCCTCAGCAATGAGAAGCATCACTCATGGTGGGAAGTACACAATCTGACCAGAGAACACTCCCTCTTTTCTGAAAGGTCAACAGAGGCTATTGAGAAAGTGATCATAATAGCTTACATAAGCCAAATGTGGTGGCATGTGCCTGTGGTCCCAGCTACTCAGGAGGCTGAGGCAGGAGGATTGCTTGAGCCCAGGAGTTTGAAGCTGCAGTGTACTATGATGGAACCTGTGAATAGTCACTGCACTCTAGGCTGGCAACATAGCGAGATCCTGTCCCTAAAAAAAAGTTTTTTTAAAAAAAAATGTACAAAGATAATAATAACTAACACATACTGCACAATGTGTGCCAGGCACTGTGCTTAGCTCTCAAAGCACCGTTTTTTATTGAATCCTTAACAACAAACTGGACACATTGTTGTCCCCACTTGACATTTCAACAAATTGAGGCTCAGAGTAAGTGATGTCCTCAGGAGCCCACAGCTGGTAAGAGATGGAGACAAAAAATTATAAATTCAGTCTTGATTTTCACTGATCCTATTGGCTTTAAGTCCCCAGGGCACCCATTCCTAAACATGCAATAAACACTCATGAATATTCTGAGAGCCTCCTATAAAATAGGCATTGTGCTGAGTATTGGTGAAGAGTAGACACGGTATCTGCCTTCATGGAGCTTACAGACTAGAAAGCAGACAAGAGGCAGAATCATACAAATAAATTAAAATGATCACTGGAATCAGTGTTGGAAAGGCACCCAGAGCTATAACAGCTTATAACAAGGAGATCCATCCTATTCTGAAGAAGGGCAACATGAAAACCTCTCTAAAAGAAGTGGTGCTAGGGCCAGGCATCGTGCCTCATGCCTGTAATCCCAGAACTTTGGAAGGCTGAGGTTGGAAGACTGCTTGAGGCCAAGAGGTGGAGACCAGCCTGGGCCACATAGCAAGACCCTGTCTCTCCAAAAATAAGAAAAGAAAAAGTGGCTGAGTGTGGTGGCTCACACCTGTAATTTCAGCACTTTGCGAAGCTGAGGCAGGAGGATTGCTTGAGCCTAGGAGTTCAAGACCACCCTGGACAACATAGTGAAGCCCCATCTCTATGAAAAAAAAAGTGATGCTTGAACTGGGATGTTCAGAAGGACACTGGACTATTTGAGAAGCAAGCTTGGAAAAGAACTTTCTAGGCAGAGGAAATAGCAAGTTCAAAAGCCCTGAGGCAAGAAAGAAACAGTGCCTTTTTGTCAATGGATGTAATTGTTAGGAAATCTGTGCTTGATGTGTGGATTTGGGGGAAATCCTACAGATGCAAAAAATAAAATATGTACTGTGCATAATAATCTTTATTTAAGACAATTACTAGACTTTAAAATGTGTTGAGATATGAAACTAACACAAACCATAATCTATTCATTCAACAAACATTTCTCAAAAGGAATCCTGGCTGAGGTTGAGCGAAGGAAGACTAAGAGGTCCAAGGAGTTGAACCCAGAGAGGTAGGTAAGAGCTGGATCAGGCAATGCTTTTGAGAGTTGGGATATTTTTTAAAGAGCAATCAATAGGAAGCCACCAGAAAGTTCTTTAAAAAGTAACAATGAAAGGATTTATGTTGGGCAAGTGGAGTGAATGTTCTAGGGATAATGGGTTGAAGCGGGCAGAGTAGAAGCAGTGAGAACAGGTAGAAGAAGGCCATGGCAGAGGTCCAACAAGAAATGACAGTAGTGGTGTGGATGAGGATGGTGACGATGGAAAGGAGAGACACAGCATGTTGTATGTATTCCACTCAGCTGGTTGGTGCTCACCTAACCTCTCCTCTGCCTGACCTGGGAACCCACCCCTGGGCTTGCTCTCTGCCCCCTTCTCAAGAGGGCAGTGAGGGTTGATTGGGCCCCTGCATTTAAGCGCCTTCTGGTTCCTCAGCGGCCCCAGCTCCCCGCAGCCCAGGCTGTTCAGCTTGGCTCCCAAGGAGGTCTTTTTCTCCAGTGAGTGGGTCTGAAGAATGACGGAGCCGCTCACTAATCTGATCCTGCTCCTGCTTACTGAGGAGGGGAATTGGCAGGGGGTTGCTCTGGTGTGCTTGTCCTGCTTGTGTTAACTGCAGGCCCCAACCTGGAGAAAAGCTAGAGGATTACTGCTCCTGGGGCTCCCTGCCCCCTCCCCATCCCAAAACAGCTGAAGGAAAGGCTTGAACTTTTCTCTTTCACAAGGAGACACAATTTTGTATTTGTGATAGGGAGAGAATATATTTTAAACCTGCCTTTTCTAGTGATAACAGGAATGCAATCCTATTAGAGAAAATTGGAAAGTATGAGAAGGATGACTAACCAGTATTCATAACACTACCCTGCATTTTTGCATGTTTCTCCAGTCGAATATACTTATTTTAAATAGTCAAGGTCATATACACTGAATATAGTTCTGTGTATCTTGCTGTTTATGCTTTGTGCTTTAAGCTTTTCCTTGTGTCATTAAAAATTTCTCTGTAAACGATTTTCATGTCTGCAAAGCAGACTTTTTAAAACATTTTACCTAACCTTTCTCCATTTGTTGGACATTTGGTCTGTTTGGAACTTTTTTGCATAAGAAGGGCTGTGATGAGTATCTTTGTTATAAATCTTTGGCTGCATTTTGGATGCGCTTCTTCAGCCCCAACCCTCACCCACTCCTAGATTTCTAGAAGGGGGATTAATGAAGGAAGTTGTATAGTCAGAAGATAGGAAAGCAAAACTCTACCTAGGGTAATTCCCACCAAAAAGTAGCTCTGCACCTATCATAGAAGCTAAAAAATGGACTAGCCATTTTCCCTCGGTAAGGACTTGATGCTTCCCACATCACATCATTCACGAAGAGGTGGCTAGTAGGAGTCTCTGTGTCAGGAATTGCCTTTCTCTAGAGGCCCCGCTGGATTATGGCTTTGAGGGGCAGCTGGGGCTGTGATTTCACTGGTTTATCTCTTGGTTTTGTGGCCGGCAGAGGAGAGAGTACCCTCCCAGGCCTGGGAGTGTGGTTCCACTGCGCCGCGGTAGAACCAGCTACGCAACCTTGAGCACCGTCATTTCCCCTTTTGGGGCCAGTTTCCTCCTATGTAAAACAAGGAAGAGGAGGGAGGAGGAATTGGAGTTTGACCAGATTTCATTATTGTTGCTGTTTAAGCAGCAGAACCCTTATTACAAATTAAACCTTATCAGAACCCCAATCTATAAAATGGATTAAGGTTCGGTTGCCCTGATAGACGTGAGTGGGGAGGAGTGGGGGAGGGGCCCCAGTTTGAAAACTCTGGCCTAGAAGATGAAAGTTTCATTCTAGTTCAGTTCCGTTCTCTTCCCTATTGCTGAAGGAAAGAAAAAAAAATCATTTTTCATCTGTATTTAAATCCTCCTAATGTGCTGATTGATGAAATCTTTTCCCTTAAGGGCAATTTGGAAATCAGACAAAGTGAAGCACAAAGCCATGGATGTTTAGAGAGAGAGTGAGCGGTATGTGAGACACACTGAAAGGGTGACCCTGGCACTTCTAAGAAGGCAGCAGCACAATGGACTCTTCGAAAGAAGCAGTGTCAGAGTTTATTCCCCTGTTGGCACCGCCTCCCACAGTGGGGGCGAATTGCTTGTTTTTACCCTCCCTTTCCTGGAGTCATTTCAGACCAAATTTGAGTCCACAATTGCTAGCAATTGGAAACCCAGAGTAACCTACGGACAGGTATTTTATTGAAGGCCAAACACGGTAAAAATATGGTGGGGGGATAGATGGGACAAAAGAGTTTCCTCTCGCCCCTGGGTTTTTGGAGCACCCGGGTTGAGGGGCCAGGGGAGATGAGGCTCACTGACCAGGCAGCTTGCAGGTTTGCTCCAATCACAGCAGCAAGGATTGAAGCACCAACCAGCCGGGAGGGGGGCGAGGTCTGTGGCCCTGGGATTGGGAGAAGGGGGAGTGGTACCAAGGCTAAGACTGAACCCGAACCCGAGCCTGGACGCGCGGCAGGACCAGGAGGAGGACTGGGTGGAGGGCAAAGCGTATGGGTCTGTAAATCAACGCCGGCCCCCTCCCACCCCATGCTGCACAGTGGGGGATGGAATGCGGGGGGTGAGGGTTGGCAGTGGAAATGTCTTAGGGGGCTGGTGCTGCCTTCCCAGGGAGACCCGACCTTTCTTGAAGAGGCGGAGTGGGTTTAGTCTCCAGGATCCGCAGTGATGTGTAAAAAGCGGGCACGACCCCCGAAGCCTCAGAAAGCCCCCTCCCCACCCCCCCACCAGGCCCTCCCCGGCCCGCAGGTGAATGACTGGCCCACACAAAGGAAGCCGGCTGGAAATGTGGAATTCGGACCAATTTACGGGAGACTCTGTCGCCTAGGGTCCCAGCGGACCTCAAGCAAAGAAACCTGTGGTCAGTAGTGGATGAGGATAAAAACAGTGCACCAGGCCAAGCTTATTGGAAAGGCTGAGTTTAGTTATTCTGGGATAGCGAGGTAACAGGATTAAAGGGATTAAGGAAATCACCTCAAACAGCTGAGGAGGGGGTAAAAAAACACTGGTTCTATTTGTTTTCTTCCTAGGCCCCAAACAGATACACTGGGGCCGTGTGGCTGGGCGCGAAACTAAAGGCCCTTCGGGGGGCACAGTGGAATGGCCAAGGGTCAGGGACTGGAGGAAAGTGGGGAGGGGGATGGAGTGGGGAGGGGGATGGAGTAGAAAGCGGGCTCGAGACTCTGGATGAAAAGGAGCCTTCTCTGGAAAACAAATAGGTGGACTGAGTTGACATGTTAAAAACAAAACGCCTGGGAGGAGTTTCGGAGATCTTTGAAAATCTAAGGAGTACTTTTTAATACCAAATCTTCCAGCGCTGAATGTTGACTCCGGCGGTTCAGCTACCAGGGTTGAAACGTATTTGTTTCCTGCTGGGGATCCCTGTAACCATTTATTTTTAATAGGATCATCGAGATTTCCGAAGGGTTTTCGTTTTGTAAATATTTCAGCTAGGCTCAAATGTCTTCCCGCCCCAGTGCACAAAGGTAAAAGTGCCCCGTTTTTGGTCGGTTTCAGCGGCCGCGCCTTTCCAGCCCCGCCTCGCGTGGCTGCGGCAGCAGACACTTTCAGCAGACGCTCACTGCGATCAACAAGTGCGCGGCCGCGGGCTCTGCGCATTAGCTACTACTGTGTGCCCGCTCTCGGGAGACGCTCCTGGAAGACTCGGAACTCTGTTCCGAGTTTCAGTTGAGAATATTGGAAGCTGGTGTATGGTGGATCACCAGTAGTTAAAAGGAAACCATTTCAGATTATGCTTGCCTCCCCCCAGGTCCCACCCCGCCCCTAGGATGGGATCTCAGTTGTAAAACCGAGTGTTGGTTCCTCCCCAACCTGCAAAAAAGTTTCAGGGCCGCAAAATTATCAGGACTCCATCATGTTGGTTATAAAATTTATTGATCTCATTTAGGAATTAAGAGTAAAAGCTTGAAAACCCTGAAACAAAGTAGCCCCTCCCCACTACCCAAACGAAATCTGAACACATTAGCGCGAAGAAATATCAAACAGATCACGGCAGAAATCACCAACTCAACATGATTGGACAGAAGCTGTCCCGCGGCCAGGGGCGGCGAGGCGGGAGACACACGCACACCTGGCTATAAATTAACATTGGCTTTAGCTGCCGCGCTGCTTGGAGCGGTCAGCGCCCCAAAAAACCACGAGGAAAACAGACGCGACACGACTGGGGGCGTAGGCGTTGCAGTTCTCCAGCTGGCCTCACCCGATACTATGTTTCTCCCATTCACTCCTTGGCTAACTGCAAACTAACAAGACAACATTTTCAAATGTAACAGAATAACCCTGGAACTCAGGAGGAGGAGTGGGGGCTGTTTTTTCTTTGCAAATAACACAGCGATTCCCAGCCTACAAAGGTGAAAGGAGCAGCGGCGTGGGGCAAGAGAGCTCTCTAGAAGTCCCATTTTCGCTGCTCCTGACTTATTTTTGCTTTTGTACAAAACCCGACAGCTACAGCAAAACTTTCAGCCCTCCCCATCATCGGTACAAGGCAACAGTCCCAGGCAAGCAAAGCTAAACAAGGCGTCCCAACTTGGGGGTGCGGGGCGGGAGTGGGGGTGGGGGTGGGGAACAAGGGTGGACGAGCGCAGGCCGGTGCTCAGATGTGGGTCAGCGGCACCGTTCCGTTGACTGCAGTCCCGGCGCCCTGGTAGTGCTGGTGCACGCCGTGCAGGCGACCGCCGGGCAGCGGAGAGGCGGCGTCGGCCGCGTCCCCGCCGGGTGGCAGGTACATGCTGATCATGTCGCGCAGGTCGCCGAGGCACGCGCGCTGAGAGTGCGATGCGATGGCGGGCGGCGGCGAGCTGGGCTCAGACTTCACTACCGAGCCCATGGGGCCCAGGCTCATGGCGGCTGCGGCCGCAGCTGCGGCCGCGGCGGTGGCGGGCTGCTGCCCGTAGGCGGCGGCCGCGGCTGCTGTGGCTGAGGGCGCCATGCCCCCGTAGCCCGAGGCGGCGGCGGCCGCGGCAGCGACGTTCATGTAGCTCTGAGCGCCGGGCGGCATCATTGGGCTGTACTGCAGGCCGGCCATGTCGTAGCGGTGCATCGGCGGCAGCGCGGGCGGCGGCGGCGGGCTGCTCATGCTCGGGGGCTGCGCGTAGCCCAGCTGCTCCTGCACCAGCGAGTACGCGCCGTTGGCCCAGCCGTTCACGTGCGTGTACGTGTCCAGGCGCTGGCCCACGCCCACCGGACTGCTGGCGGCAGCGGCTGCGGCCGCGGCAGCGGCGGCGGCGGCCGCGGCACCGGGAGGCAGGAGGCCGCTGGGCAGGGAGTACTTATCTTTCTTGAGCAGCGTCTTGGTCTTGCGGCGCGGTCGGTACTTGTAGTCCGGATACTCCTTCATGTGCACGGCGCGAAGTCGCTTGGCCTCGTCGATGAATGGTCGCTTCTCGGCGTCGGTCAGCAGTTTCCAGTCGGCGCCCAAGCGCTTGCTGATCTCAGAATTGTGCATCTTGGGGTTCTCCAGGGCCATTTTGCGCCGCTGCCCGCGGGACCATACCATGAAGGCGTTCATGGGCCGTTTCACACGGTCCTGGTCTGTACCCCCGCCACCTCCGCTCGCACCACCGCTGCTGCCGCCGCCCGAGTTCGCGCCGCCGGCTGCGTTCGCACTACTCTTGCCTGCGCCTCCCGGGGCTGCGGGGCCGCCGGTGCCCGCCGCTTGTGTGGGTGTCCCTACGGGGTTCTTGAGTTCAGTCTCCAGAAGGCTGTACATTGCCGGGGCGGGAAGAAGGTGCGCCAGCGTGGCGGGAGGAGAAGGCGCTCCCGGGGCTGGAGCGGCCACGGTGAAAAGGCCCTGGGACTCCGTCGGAGCGGAGCTTGGGGGCCTGTGGGCCAGCGAGTCCGGCGGGAAGGGTAGGCTTATCAAAATGCTCCGCGCCAAATCAGCAGGAACCCGCGGGCTTCTCGCACCTGATGAGTTCTCTCGAACAGGTCGCATTCACAGTCTGCCTGGGCTCTAGCTGGGCCCCTTATATACCTGCTCGGATTCCCCGGGGTTGGGGCT
Source organism: Homo sapiens (assembly GCF_000001405.40). NCBI lineage: Eukaryota > Metazoa > Chordata > Mammalia > Primates > Hominidae > Homo > Homo sapiens. Next base: position 140,505,127 of record NC_000023.11, read on the forward strand.
TGGTCCGCCCCTCGCAACCCGGAGGACCCGTGATTGACAGGTTCGCAGTGATGCGCCCTGGCCAATCATTACCGAGCCCCCGTTCGGCCTGGCTGGAAAAAAAAAAGTTCGGGGAGCCCTTTCGTTCACCCCACGCCCCTCTTTGGCCTAGTGACGTGGTAAGAGTTACTTAGGAGGCGGGAGTCCACGAGGCCCACTCAGAGGCCACCAATTAGGGTTTCAAAAAGTTTGAAAGAACGAAACCTGAGGAGGTGACGGGGGGAGGGGGGAGGGGGCACGCAAGCAGATTGGGGGGAGGGGGCAGAGGGGCGCCTTCGGAATTTAGAAAACAACTTTGCAACCCTGTCAAGGCAGACCGGCGCCCCATCCCCCGGCCAGCCCGCAAAGCTTCCCGTTGTCTGCACGGAGGTTTTCTGGCCGCTTCTGCTGCCAGCGCTAGGAACGCAGGGCACCACCAGCTACCCAGGCCGGCTTAGGGACTCCAGGCTCATTGGAAGTGCTCCTGGCTGCGTCTCCAAGAAGCTCTCCCTGGAATTGGCCGCTGGTTGTCCAGATCTTTCTCTAGGAGGGCCAGTGCGTCCAGGACGCAGCGTGGGTCAGGGGCCCGGGCATGGGAGACAGGCTTCAGGACTGCGGGGTGCATTCGGCTGTGAGGCTCTTGGGGGTTTGCAGGAGGGCGGGCAAGCAGTCAGTCGCCCGTCTCCTGAGCCTGTCGGAGGCGCTCGCACAAGGTGGTGTGGAAAGTATGTGTGGGACGTAGGGGGTGAACTGGCCTCCGCTCTCTCGATCCTGGCCCCCGCTTAGCGGCCCCTTTTTGTCTCTGCTCTGTGGCCATTTCGGTTTTTCCAGTCCGATGCCCCTGAGGGGGAGGGTCGGGCCCCTTGGAAAATCCGTTTTCATGGCAACACGGAGCCTCTCAGAGTGAAAGAAAAGTTTCTTGGAGGGGGGAACGTTGGCCGGAGCGGAGCCGAGGCCGTCCTCCGGGCGAACCGCCGGGCCCCCTCCACTGCCCCCGCACCTGCCGGGACCGCTGAGCGCTACTCTGGGCGCGCAGCCTCGCCGCCTCCCCCGGGAGCAGGCTCTGCTAACGGATTCCGTCCGTCTCTTTTATTGTTTTAGAGACTTCCTGAGATTCGGAGCGGGACATTCACTTGCTTGTTGGGTTATCTGCCAAAGACTAGCGGCGCGGGAACTCTGGCTGCGGGGAGAGGAAACCCCGATAATCGCCACTGCCAGCTGAAGCGAGTGGCACAGCGTTTGAAACTCTCGGAGCAGCCCGAGGTAGCGAGTGGGAATGAGAAGCCATCCCGGCAGATTTGGCAGAAACTAAAATAAGGTGTCCATACGGTGTGGGGTCTCGCCCCCCCATCATCCCTAGCCCCGTGGAAAGGTGGGGAACTAAACGGAAAGCATAATCTTAAGTGGGTGGGGGGCGCATGGGGGAATCCCAGGTTTCTAGCGTCTTAGCGTTAATGCAAGACCAGGCGATCCCGGGACTTCTGCATGCTGGGCTCTTCCCCCTTTCTCTCCACGAATTAAAAAGTACGCCTCTTCGGCTTGTTAGTGGGGTCAGGGGGGGAGTGGAGGCTCAGGGCAGGCCAGCCCCCTCTCGGCCAGGCGGACCTCTGGCAAAAGAATCCCGGCTCCCAGTCGGCATCATCTCTCGGAAGTTTGGGGTCTGGAAACTTGCCCCTTAAGTTTGTGTTCCACTTGATCTGAGTATTCTGCAGCCAAGGGCTGCAGTCAACTGGATGGGTATACGGATTTAGGGTTTTAAATGTAAGTAAACTCTCTGGAAGGCTTCTGTGTGTAGATACAGTGTGTGTGTGTGTGTGTGTGTGTGTGTGTGTGTGCGCGCGCGCGCGCGCGCGCGTAGCGAACGTGAGCTGATAAGTACGTCTCAGAAAACATAATGATTAGGCAATCCCTACCTGCACCTGTTTTCTTGGCGAAGTGGCCGACAAGGTCAAACTTTCTTAGGCAAATCCATCCTCTCCTACAGAAGCCAATGTGCAATATCTCTGCCCTCCTGCCGTCTTTCCCGCATGCCCTCTCTGGGCTTTTCTGGGCCCTGGAGGCTGTTGCTAAGTGAAGCGCGTTTTAGGAAACTACCCAACCGACGCGCGGCCTGGCGTCCAGTAGCTTCACAGATGTCAGGTTTCTTTCCAAGTTTTAGGACCCAAGTAAACGTTGCAGTGACAGCGCCTGGGCTGCATATTTCCCAAGGCAGGGGATACGGTGCTGGGCCGACACCCTCCCCGCAGCAGATTACCAGGGGAAACTAGTCACTGCTCCCAGCTGTCTGACATTTGATCACACTTAGCCCGAGGCTTAGGTGAGCTCATTTTTGCCCTACATCCTCCTGCCAGATTTACAGCAGTCTTTTGCCAGGACCAGGCACACTCTCCCAATTCTCCCGGCTTCTCGCTGAGGCCAGCTCCCTCTCGGGGGGTAGATACATAAAATCTCCGTATCTGGTGGTTCTGGGGTGATCTGCACATTCTCAAGTAAGAGCCACGCCAGATTTCCTTGGAAACTCTTGCCAGGACACTTTCTAAATACAAGCTATCATTTCAATAGACAAGCAAGGTTACCATTGCGGGCGTGGGGAGATGGGGGAAGGCTGGAAATAAATCAGTTCTTAGCCCACCTGCAGCGCAGGCTTAGCCACCAGCCCAGCGGCGCAACCTTCGCTAAGGGTCGGGAGAGGTGTCGCGACAGGTACCACAGCGCAGGAGGCCTCGGTTCCGGCTGGGGCTGCGGGAAGGCAGGGCAGCTGGCGGAGCCCCAACTCCAGTGTCTCCGACGCGCACCCTGCACCCAGCGAGGAAAGCAGAGGAACGCAGTGGGAACCAGGACCGATCCTTCAACCTCTTCAGGAGAAGAGAGCGCGCTCAGCAGCTCTCTCGCCCTCTCCAGCCTCCAAGTGCCCTTGGGCGGTTCACAGAGCTCCGGATCTGGCGCTGGGAACCCGACCAAGGCCTCCTCCCCATTCCCCCGCCCTTCCTAGAGAGCTCCCGCTCCCTCCGACTGGAGCCAGCCCTGGGGCTCCCAGAACCCAGGGCGCGACAATAGCGCCGTTTGTTGGCTTCGGTTGGAAACTTCACCCAGCGTAGCCTCTTGCCGCTTCGCCCTGCGGGGCTTGGAGGTCGCCCCAACCTTCGAAAGAGACCAAGCGGATTTGCGGCGGAGCAGATGTGATGCCTATCCTTAGAGGGCGGGTTATAGCAAAACTCCGGGACCAAGACTCTAGCGTGACTGGCCCAATGGGCTTTGGGTACATAGGGCACCCCTGCTCTGCCTTCTTCCTATTTCTAGGCTTGGCCGACATCAGGTGTCCCAAGTGCCTTATATCTGCAAAGAACACTCAGCAATTGTGCCTTAGAGCTACTGGTGGAAAGAGCAGGAAAGGAGCTGTCCCACGACTCGCGCGGAGGTATCTGCATTGATTCCTCTTCAGTAACTGCTCATAGGGGACCTTTTTCAAGGTCCCTGGCATGATTAGGACCCAACTTATTAGAAGAGGTGCCCTCAGCCGGGCGCGGTGGCTCAAGCCTGTAATACCAGCACTTTGGGAGGCCGAGGCGGGTGGATTACCTAAGGTCAGGAGCTCGAGACCAGACTGGCCTACATGGCGAAACCCCGTCTCTACTAAAAGTACAAAAATTAGCCTGGCTTGGTGGCGTGCGCCTGTAATCCCAGCTACTCAGGAGGCTGAGGCAGGAGAATCCCTTGAACCCGGGAGGCGGAGGTTGCAGTGAGCCGAGATTGCGCCACTGCACTCCAGCCAGGGCGACAAGAGCGAGAGACTCCGTCTCAAAAAAAAAAAAAAAAAAGAAAAGAAAAGAAGGAGAAGAAGAAGAAGGGTGTCCTCTGCGTGCTGGGTGGTTTGGGGCCGATGTGTGTCTGTGTCGCTTGGGGGACGGAGAGTCGGAGAGTGGGGTGGGGTGGGCGGTATTTGGGCTCGCCTGGGCCCGCTGAAGCCTGACAATAGGGTCAGCAAAGGTTGCCCTCCGGCTGTGGCCTAGCGTTCGCCTTTCAGGTTTCTCAAGTGTAGCCAAGCCCAGCTCGGGGTCTGGCTTTTAGGAAGTGAGAACAACTTATCCTGGGGACTCTCGGAGACGCCTTGATTTTCAACAGACAAACAAAACCAAAAACAAACCCGCAACAGTTTGCGTTTCTTAAAGCAGTCATTTCTATCTTTTCCCTTGAGAACACCCCTTGTCTGTTTACTCTGGCTTCTAGCCAAGATTGTGTATTTAGGCCGCTGATCGAGAGCCTTGATCAAAAAATCATAGGCTTAGGTCTATTGTAGAACCATCCCTTGTAAAAAAAAAAAAAAAAAAAGGTCAGAAAGGTCACCATCATTTCAACGGGGTGGTAGAGACAGCACCTTCCAGTTCCTGGAGCATTCAGTAGGAACCCCAGCCCCACTCCGCCAACGCGTAGCACCGTCTCCAGCGGAAGTACTCTTTCTTACAGGTCACAGAAGCAGCTGAAGACCCTAGGCTGGTGGGTGTAGATTGTAATAACTTAGTCGATGGTCTCTAAAGAAAGGTTGCTAGGAGCTGCGAGGTATGGGAAAACAAGGTCCTCGAGGTACCATAAAGTCTCCTGCGGGCTGTACAACTGTATTCTATCGTAGTTTGGTGTTGCTCTTTTTTGGGAGGGTGCGGGGGTACTTTTAAAAAAGTTTCCGCATTCAATTCACTTGGTTGGCTGAGCTGTACTTGGAAAATACACTGGGAGTCCCCTCGGCCCACACGTTGGCGCTCAGTTTCCTTCCACCCACAGAGTATTCAGGTGTTAATCACCAGCTCTCTTTTCCCTATGTGCGCAGCAACTCCAAGGAATTTGACAACCTTTGCCTTCTGCTTTTACTCGCTGACCTCACCACCCGAAAGTTGCCATTTTCCCGGAGGAAGGAAGGCTCTGCCCATGCACTGGGTCCCATTTCCAGCGGGCTTTGCTGAGCCATCGCTGTCAGCCTCTTTGCCTCTCACCCCCCTCCTACACCCGTCTTTGCCCATCCCCACAACTCTCCTCACGCGCTCAGCTCCGCAGACTGCCAAACCCCCACCCCTGCGGAGCAACTCGGGGAACTCGGCCCCCTACGTCCAGGCCTGCCCTCCCACTGGGCCTGTTGCCCTTTCCACTTCCTTTTGTGACTGCAGAGGCACAGCGCTCACCTGTACAGAGGCGAGGTGACCTGCAGGAAGCCGGGGCCAATAAAGTAATCTTAAAATCGTTATCAGTATGCAATGCTGTTTGAGTTTTTCCATGTCTCCACAATTCCATTCGGGTCCACCAGGCAAGGCAGCGCTTCTCGGGAAAGGGTGCCTGGAAAATCAGTGGACCTCCAGGCACTTCCAGCGTGACCAAGCAAAGCTATCGCCCCAACCACAGGGGGCGCAGGATGGCAGGGGGTTGGGTAGAGCATCCTGGAGAAAATTTTAAATTCGAAGGCAGCACTCAGCGGTTCCTTTTCCACTCTTTTATTTATTTCTTTGTTTTTCTTTTTATTTATCATTTTCTTTTAAGAGAGTGGAAAGCCGTGGAATTTGGTGCGCAGAATTTCTATGTTCTCTTTTCATCTCTTCAACGCCCTCATTTTTTTTTTTTTTTTTTCATTTCACTAACCTTTGTCATCCACCTGCTATGTGCTGAGTTGTGCACCAAGTACGGGACGGAGACCCTGCACTTTCCCATTCCGTATCAGATAGTGGCAATGGCTTGGGAAAGTCTCAAGAGGACTCCGGATTCGGAGAGAAAGAAATTTTCGCCTGATGCTACCCCATCCCCCTAGTTGATCTACGGAGAAATCGGGCCTCGCGAGAAGCGCAACATCTTGGACAAGGACCTGGCGTGAGCGGGGTCGCTACGCCCCGACCTGCAGGGGCCACGCTCATTCCCCAGCGCGCGCGCGCTTTCCCACGGCGGCGCAGAGTCCAGCTAGCGGAGAGGCGGAGGGGGAAGCGCCCGCGTGCCTGGAGCCCTGGCGGTCCAGCGTCCCGGCGTTGCCGTCTGAGTGGCCTAAAAGGGAGGCTCTGGGGCCGCTGCTCGCGACGGAGAGCGGGGACGCGGCCCAGGAACAGCTAACGTGCCGCTTGCTGCTTGCCAGGTATGGAGGATGCCTATCCTCAGGCAGACCCGTTTCCCCGCGGGCTGGCGGCCAGACGGCGCGACAAAATGAGATCTGTCGAGAGGTCTGGCCGTGATGGCTTTTTGGCGTCTAGGCCGCTGTCATCCCAATTCCATTTCTCCGAAAAGCATCGCCGAGTTAGGACGTCGGGGCTTTGCTAATGTGATGTTTGTGTAATTAACACCATCTCCCCTTGTTTCTGAACATATTTCCTCCCGCAGCACAGACCAGCTTTCATTTGAAAAAGCAACGGGAAGAACGTCCCAATAACCCTTTCTAATGGGAAAAAACTGCCCCTTTTGTGGAATGGTTTCTTTACAAAGCCAACAACCAACCTTATTTTCTAGTTCCAATGGCTATCCCTTTATGAGTTATATTATTAAAGAAATCCGACACTAATTGTGCCGATTTAACTTGTTAATTAGTTGCAAATAAACTATTCATTAGTGGTAAAATAAAATAAAACCCATGTGTCTAGATATCATTCCACATTCACATATTGTAGTGTCTGCATAACATAGGCATACTAAATTAAGTTCCTAAAAGGTTTCTCCTCAGGATAAATAATTAAAATATATTCTACTTTAATTGACATTATAGAGGACATAAATGAGCTTTTCCTTTTAGAAAGAAATAGCCATTTCTAAATAAAGCTTGCAGTCTGGAGAATGGAGGCTTCAGCCAAATGAATAGTCATTACTACCTTTTCAACGACGTGGGCCTTTTGATCAGAAAAGAAATTAGCTCTAAAAAACAGACAATGGAAGCCTGCCCTGCAATAGGAAGAAAATTAGACGGCCAAGGCTCTTCACAACACCTATTTCTATAAACCATAGAGCTCCTTGCTTTTCAATTACAGCTGTTCATTTCATATAAGGAAAGGGGAAAAACAGGCCTCTAATGTAAACTCGCTTTCACCATAAAGCCTTGTTCCTGGCTCACAGCCAGGCTGCCTACTTACTATTGTTTTTAGTCCTGTCATCAATTAGCTAATACTATATATTTTAAATGACTCTGGGGGTATTCACAGACTCCCTCCCCACTTCCCCACTCAGACAAAACCCAAGCTGGACTTTCATGAAAGGACTACCATTCGGTACACAGACACTTATATACATAAAGTTTAATGTTTTTATTGTTTCCAAAAAAAAAAAAAAACCATATTGAAAACCCTGCTTTGTTTTTTTTTCTATATTTCTCAGTCCATCATTGAAAGACCCAGACGAGATGATGACAGAGGGACATAAATGAGCAGCTTTCAGTATTGTTTCTAATTGTTCACAGAGCTCAATCCATCTCTAGATAATTTTGCTATGCCCTTTAGACCATAATTTGGTTTGTACATCTTTGTGTTTTAAAAATAAAATTTTTGAAATTTGCTAACCCCATTGGTTTGGTGTCATTAGATATAATTTCATTTTAGAAATATTAATTCTTTACCATTTTGGTGAAATTATCTAGCCTGCAAGAAAAAAAATTATGTTTTTATGGTGTGCTACAAAATAAAACCTTTCAATACACATAAAGTAATAATATGAGAAAAAAATTCAGTAATAATAGCAGTGAGTCTTAGTAAGCCTGTAGATATATGTTCTAGAAACATCAAAATAGAGTTATAGGCTGGGAAGGCTTTACTTCCTTTGAAAGTAAAATGCTTATCTATCTGATCTTTATAAATCACTGTATAAATTCCTTGAATAACTAAACAATAGTGCAATTCAATGGGGTTGGTTGGCGATTTTCCTGTTTAGGGTTGTGCTAATAAAATTGCTTAGAATCTTTTTAAAATACAGTTAAGGATAATTGATTTGTTCACAAAACAAAGAACATTTTAACAAAACTATAAATTCACTTAAACCAAATAACATAATAACCATGGACGGGTCCCTGAGAGGTGTCATTCCCTTGATGCTTTAAATAAAGTTAAACAGAGGTAGATGGCCAGTTTAGAAAGGATGGACGGAGTAGAGCCACTAGGATGACTATTCAAAGTATGCATTTCTGAAGAACAATGACAAAAAAGTTGCTACCAAAATGCTTCTTATGGGCCAGATGTGGTGGCCCACATCTGTAATCCTAGCACTTTGGGAGACTGAAATGTGAGGATTGCTTGAGGCTAGGGGTTCAAGACCAGCCTATGCAACATGGTGAGACCCCGTCTCTACAAAAAATAAATTTAGCCAGGCATGGTGGCATGCGCATGTAGTCCCAGCTACTCACGAAGCTGAGGTAGGAGGATTGCTTGAGCCCAGGAGGTCGAGGCTGCAGTGAGCCATGATCATGTCACTGCACTCCAGCCTGGGTGACAGAGCGACACTGTCTCAACAAAACAAAACAAAATGAAACAAAAATACTTCGTATGCTCCTGTATTCAGCATGTATTTCTTGTTGAAAATTGATGCTTCCATTTGATGGCTTCTTGTCACATTTTTATCAAAAATATGGATGAATTGGTATGTTTGCTTTTTGCTTTTGAGCATTAACTTCTTTGTTGCTTTGTTCAAATGGATGTCAGAGTGGAGTTCTTAAAAGCATTTTGCCAAAGAGTATGACATTGCCATATCTGATTTCCTTGGCAACTGGAAGAAGGTGCTTTTCCTTGGCAATCAAGTCCCTTGACTCTTCCTACCCTTGGGTTCCTATAATAAAGGGCATCATCTTACCAGTATGCAAGGGTGAGACGGTCCCTCTTGTCTATTGCATTATGATGGTGCCTGCTTTCACAGAGAATTCTGCAGGAGCCAGAGGAAAACTGCCACGTTCCCAAGGTGAAGTTTAGTGGTAGGAGTTAGCAATGTGTGGTTGCTAATCAGTAGCCTGGAAGTTGTCCAGACTGAGAGCTATGCGAGTATTTTGGTGAGTCTGATCTTATGTACTATAGCACTTGGTTTTCTTTTTGGAAAGAGGTATCAATATGTGATGTTGTGGTCAACCGAGAAGGAGTTTGAGGGAGTCCCAAAACTGCTGTCAAAGAAAACTGAAGCTTTAACTGCAGCTTTGGAAGGGGACAACATATGTAGCAGAACTATTTCTCAGGATGCTGACGTAAAATAGAGCCTGGGTGTTTCCTTGTTTTAAAATTAAGGAAACGAAGGGATCCTAATGCTTGAGAAGAAATCCCCCAGGGCAGAATCCTTGTACAGAAGCCTTGAATTGCGCCAGTCGATTTTTGTTAGATCTTGGTGAATAAGAGCACAGGCTCAAGGGTCACATGGACATAAGTAAGCAAGGTCAATAAAAATGTGTCACACTTACATTCTAGGGGAAGACGGGAACAATAAACATAAACAAATGAATAAAGAGAATTAGTGAGTGTCTGGAAGTAATAAGTGCTAGGAAGACAAAGTAGGATATGGGTCTAGAGTGTGATGGGAGTTGATGTTTTAAATAGAATGTTCAGGAAATGCCTCTTTGGGAGGTGATGCATGTGCCAAAATCTGAAGTGAGTAAGCACTCAAATAATGCCATTCATCATCATCATCATCATCATCATCATCATCATCATCATCATGACCATCACCACCACCATTACCACTGGCTGGCAGTGATTTGTAATCTCCAACCCAGCCCTAAAACTCTAAGATTGTAGGAAGAAGAGGGTGAATTTCCAGACCAGGGCTGGGATAAGCCGGGCACCTAGGGCACACAATTTAGGGAAGTACCTGCTCTTAAGGTTATACAAATGCAACCCTGAATTAAATCAATTATCTTCTTATTAATGTAGTAAAGTTGTCTGTGCTTTAACTGTTAGAAGACAACAGAACTTAGGGACTGAATGTGTCAAGACACTCCTTGATTTTCTAGCAATCAGAGACCAGGACAGTTATTTGCTTGGGTTTTGATTAGGATGATTTTTATTTATTTATTTATTTATTTATTTTTTTTGTAGACACAGGATTTCCCTCTTTCACCCAGGCTGCTGTGACATGATCACAGCTCACTGCAGGCCCGTGGCACCATGTCCAACTGTTTAAAAACTTTTTTTTTTTTGTAGAGACAGTCTCGCTATGTTGCCCAGGCTGGTCTTGAACTCCTGGCCTCAAGTGATCCTCCTGCCTTGGCTTCTCAAAGTGCTGGGTTTATAGGCATGAACCAACGTGCCCAGCCAGTTGGGGCTTTTGCACGACTGGGAGTGTGCCTCCTTAAATTTTGTGTCCTAGGTGCCTGTCTTGCCTCACATTAGTCCTGGCCCTGCTCTAGACTGGCATTTAGTAGCTTCTATGAAATTTCTAAGGGTCAAGATTCAGGTCTTAGTTTAGCTCTCTCCCCTTAATACCAAATTGCTTACCACTGAGTATGGTTTTTCACTTTAGAGTAGTGTGGTGTGGTAGGAAAAACAAATACAATGGGATTGGTCTGGTAAACCTGAATTTGAACTTGAATTTGAGCATTTACCATCTGTATGATTTGAGCAAGTTTGCAAATCTTCCTGAACCTCAGTTTTGTCATCTGATGGAGTTGGGTAGTCAGGCCTTCTTCACTGAATTAGGGTGAGGATTCAACAAGATGATACAGCTGAAAGCACCTGGTACTCTGCTTCATACAGAGCCAGCTTAATAAGAGTTGTTGTCTTGTTTTTCAACTACGCTTTCTTTTATCCCAAACAGGATTGAACATTCCTCCAGTATGGACAAGAGGGAACCATGTTTCACTTTCTTATACCCCTTACAGGGCTATGCACAGATGTTTGTGGAATGAATCATAGTATTTAAGTAAGTCGCCTTTGAATGGAAGAAAAAAAATGAATTAATTACTCCATGGTTCCAATTCTGCATTGCAGTCTCCCACATTCGACAGAGTCACTTGAGATTGTTTCTGTCAAAGCTCTCTGGAGAGCACTCACTGAGATGATGGGGGTTTTCATTTGTGACAGAGAGGCCTCTTGTGTTTAATTCTGAGATAACATAAAATACCTTTTATAATAGACACATGCCTGCTGTTAAAAATGTACAATTAATTAGTGTCATACATATTTTAAATCCTTTTTTTTGCTTAAAATATAAGGTTTAATTTTTTTTACTTTCAGAGATCAGTAGAAATATGTTCTTTCTATAGATTACTTCAGGAATCCTGCTGAATTAGGAAAGAAGTCTTGTTCCAATTTTATAGCTTTTATATTTTCTCTGAGGCCTCAGAAGTAGGCACAACTGACCAAGTGGAATAATAATAAAAAAAAAAAAAGTAATTCTAATCACCAGCACAAAGTCTTATCATTCCTCACAGTGGCTGCTGAAGAGAATTACAAAAATTAGCCAGGCGCAGTGGCTCACACCTGTAATCCCAGCACTTTGGGAGGCCGAGGAGGGTGGAACGCTTGAGCTCAGGAGTTCAAGACCAGCCTGGGCAACATGGCAAAGCCCTGTCTCTCCAAAAAAAAAAATTTCAAAAATTAGCCAGGCGTGGTAGCTTGAGCCATTAGTCCCAGTTACTTGGTAGGCTGAGGTAAGAGGTTCACTTGAACCCAGGAGGCAGGCAGAGGTTGCAGCAAGCTGTCTTCCTGCCATGACACTTCAGCCTGGATGACAGAGCAAGGCCCTGCTTCAAAAATAAGAAATAAAAGAGAATTATATAAATTATTTTAAATAAATAAATTAGAGACACTTTAGTTCTTATTAAAAAGAATCCTGACCGGGTACGGTGGCTCACGCCTGTAATCTCAGCACTTTGGGAGGCTCAGGCGAGTATATTGCCTGAGGTCAGAATTACCTGGTTGTAGTCCCAATCACCTGGGAGTTTGAGATGGGAGGATCCCTTGAGCTGGGGAAGTAGAGGCTGCAGTGAGCTATAATTGCACCACTGCACTCCAACCTTGGTGACAGAGCGAGACCTCATCTCAAAAGAAAACAAAAAGAAATAAATGAGATTATATAAACAAAGTATTGAATCAGTGCCTGATACCTAGTCATAGGACTCAGTAAATGTTAGGTTATCGTCATCACAGCAACCTTGTGAGCTATGTAGCACAGATAGGGCAAACTTATTTATATTTTAACAAATAAGTAAACAGGTTCAAAAGGATTAAGTGACTGTCTAAAAGGGTGGAGCTTGTTATTGGCAAAATCAGGCATGGAAAGGACACTTCTTGACACTGTCCAGTTATCGTTCCATGAAATTGTAATATGCACTTTGCCAATGACTGCATTTATTATTAAGTTGCATATTCTGCAGTGTTATCAGTAATTATGCCCGATTAAGAAGCATGTCATATTTTTTCTATATTTAAGTAAAGGCAAATGTCTTAATGAGCGGTGACAAATGGCAGAGGAAGCACAAGGAATGTCCCCCCATTCTAGATTATTCCCCAAGAAGTGGGCTGGAGAGAGATCTCCCCAGGTCTCAAGGTACACTAATTAGAAACATTAAAATTGACACAGTCAGATTCAGGATTAAATAGGTAAAGCAATACGCTAGTGTGAACTTCTCAGGCAGTGCACACTAATCTCTTGTGGTGACACTTATTTCCTTTCATTCTTGGCAGTCAAATGAATCCTGTATTTTGTTCCTTATCCCTGCCAGGTGGGCTTCACATGGAAGGTCATAGCAAAGCAGCCTGCTGATCTAAGCATCCAATTCACTGTCCTTGACTTTTCACTCTCCAGTGTTCATCTCTTGGCTTATGACATATATATGCCAACATGTGTTTGCTAAAGGTTCCAGGAAATTATGATGATAGTGACCACTTATTGAAACTTACTACAAGGTAACACTGTCATGACCTTTACAGGTATAACTTTGTTTGTTTAATCCTAGCAACCTGGCTAAGGTTACACATTCAGTGGCAAAACTTTGAGATTTGATCTGTCTGTAAATGATGGTTCTTTCCACTGCACTGCCCTAGAAGGGCCTGATTTTCATATTGTGTGATTTTACAAAGAGACCCTTCCTCTCTCTGGATCTCACTTTCCTGACCTGTGGAGTGAGGCAGTTGAGCTACATGCTTTGTAAGGGCCCTTTTCCTTGTAAGGTTTTGAAGATTCCAAAAGTTCCCGTATGATGCTATTTTTAACAGCACTGAAAGCTGAAGTGATGGGGTACAAAAAATAACTAGAAAGAATGAATAAAACCTATGATTTCATAGCATAACAGGGTGACTATAGTGAATAATAACTGTACATTTTTAAATAGCTTAAAGAGTGTAATTGGATTGTTTGCAACTCAATGGATAAATGCTTGAGGGGATGGATACCCCATTTTTCATGATATGCTTATTTCACATTGCATGCCTGCATCAAAACATATCATGTACCCCATAAATATATATACCTATTATGTACCCCCAAAATTAAAAATAAAAATAAACAAATAAAGCTGGAGTGGCCCTTGATTTTCTTCAGAAATGGCCATTCTCCTATTTGCACTGTTGAGAGCCATCAGTTCCAGCACTTCTGACAGAAAATTATTGTAGAAGCAGAACCAAGCTAAGAAAGCTAAATTCTAATTCTGTATCCACAGGAGAAGATGCCCTCGTCTGTGGTGGGATGGGGCAGGAAGAAAGCCTCTGGGATTGGAAGAGTAGAGGGATCAAAAAGTTACCTGGAACAGTCAACCATCTCTAGCCACCTGCTCTGCATCCTAGGTGAGCTTTGTGGGAATTTCAGGAGGGGGAGGAATTCAGGGGTGCTTTGGGTTTCAGAATGAGCAGAATAGTGGATAGTCATCTGCATTAGAGCTTCTTAAAACTTCTGCTGCCATCCTTGGTTTGTCCTTACATTTCCAGCCCTAACGATGTAGGGCTAGTCTTTGGAACTTTACAGGAGAGGCATTCATTGTGTGCTAATAAGGAAAGAGATACCACATTTGGAGATTAGATTTAGAGAGTGTTCCCACAGTAATACCCCAAATCTGAAGCATTTCTCTCCTGTGACTTCACATTAGCACTGAGAGTCAGTAGCAACCCCTGATAAAATTGGGTTCAAAGTTCCACTTACAGTATCACTTAAATTATATGACTCTCAGTTTCCATATCTGTAAAGTGCAGCTGTTGGGGGAGAGGATGTGCTGCCCTTACCTTGAATGTTTCAGCCTCCCACTGTAGAGGATCATGTTCATGTGACCTAGTTTCTATATATTTTGTTGAATAAATGCTTTTCAATTTGTTGTCTTTTGATCAATCTCCGGAGTCTTTGAATGATTTTCTTTACAAATTTTTACTGGCTTAATTGATGCATCTCCAGAAAAGAGGCTTCCTCAAGCCATTCCCAAAGTCACTGAATCTCTTTGAATGGTTTTTAGCAGGGGAGTGACATGGTCAGGTTTGTGGATTGGGATGCTCATTCTGGTTGTTAAGCATATCTCTCAGAGTGGTATGTGACTGTTAGATAAGATGGTGGATGTGAAAATGCCTGGTATATGGTTGATACTCAATAGATGCTCATTGTTTTGGATGTTAAATTGGTTGTTTCCTACCAGTCCAAGTGTGATCTTGGAGAAATTGCTTTCTGTCCCTGGATGTCAGTTTCTTCAACTGTAAAATACAGATGATCTCCCTGTTTTTTGTTTGTTTGTTTGTTTGTTTTTGTTTTTTGTTTTTTGTTTAGTTTATTCTTTTTTGTTTGTTTGTTTGTTTCTGAGACGGAGTCTCTCTCTGTCGCCAGGCTGGAGTGCAGTGGTGCGATCCCAGCTCACAGCAACCTCCAGCTCTCTGGTTCAAGCGATTCTCCTGCCTCAGCCTCCTGAGTAGCTGGGATTACAGGCATGCGCCACCACACCTAGCTTATTTTTATATTTTTAGTAGAGACGGAGTTTCACCATGTTGGCCAGAATGGTCTCGGTCTCCTCACCTTGTGATCTGCCTGCCACGGCCTCCCAAAGTGCTTTGATTGCAGGTGTGAGCCACCGTGCCCAGCCTAGTTTATTCTTTTATTCATTTATTATGATCTTTTGTTCTCCCCTTTGTCTCAGTGACCCTCAGTCCAGATAACCTGGGTTCTCCTCCAGTCTATTTCATTAGAGATTTAATATCTCTCATCTGACATAATTTTCATCTGATTTTTGCATTTCAGTTTCATTTTAAAAATATATGGTGGTATTCTCTGAAAAGAGGCAGCTGTTGTCGGTGGCCCCCAGGAATAACTCTGTAAATTACAAAGGAGACTCCATTTTAACAGGCCTATGTGGTCCCTTTTGTCCTCCTTTTGGTAAGTTATCCCTTACTTTTGAGGGCCACAAAGCATTTGCTAAAGGAGGGCATAACGAAGGTCCAGGTAGAGATTAGACATACTCTCTGACATGAAGAAACTTTCATTATGGTAGAAAGGGAATAATTGATTGCTCAGCCATTTACAGTTGTATTAAGTCAAGACGTTGGGCTGTTGTTAGTCTTGTTAAGTGCTTCTTGTTTATCAATTACTTTTTATCAGTTACTTCGACCTGGGCAGTGTGGGAGAGACAGATGCTGCTCTCCAGGAGCTCAGTCTATTAGAGGAGACATGTTGGTAACTGCAACAAAAGCCAGCCTCTCCTCAGGGTGTTTACAAAGGTGTCCTGTGCTGCAGGAGTAGAGGGGCAGGAGGGATTCATTTTGTCTGGGATGATTTAGAAAGGAGTTTTGGAGAAGCTGGGCTCTGAGTTGTAGGTTGTGCCTTGAAAAATCACAGATGGCAAGGATCCCAGATGAAGAAGCATCTAGCACAACAGCCCATGGCAAGGCACGTTTGGGAAATGGCAAGGCAATCAGTGTGGCTAAGAGGTAGAAGGTGCTGTAATGTAAGGTGGGCTTTGGGGCTAAATTGTGGAGAACATTGAAGGCCAAGCCGAGGACTTTGGCTTTGTCTGTGCAATGAGGTGCCAGCAAAGCCTCCTCCACCACCTGGTAGAATTTACATAGTGTGTCAACAGTTTTTGAACAGGATAATGATCATTATCATAGTGATGTTCGTAATCAGTTGTTCATTGTAATGAAGAAATTTGGCCATTTTTCAGTATTTCTGAGATGTCAGGCCAAAAAATAAAATGTGTTAGTAATTGTTACGCACGAGAGAGGCAACATGGGGAAGTTGTGGAGTACTGCACCAGAAAGCCAAAGCCTTGGGTTTGAGTACTGGTTCTGTGGTATGCCAGCTGTGTCCCCAGGGTTATTCACTTATTCTCTGTTGGCCTCCATGGGCTTATCTATTAAAGGGGCATGACCATTGCCTTCTCAGATAGTTATGTTATTGAAGTGATATAATAGATAAAAGCTTTTGTAAATTATAAAATACCGTCTGTAAGTGAAGAGCTGTTTTTTATGAAGAACAAAAAGTTTAAATGAAGCTGCATTCGAGAGGAGAGGTTCCTACAGGCATTTCAGTCCCTTTAACCTAAAGCCAGAAGGGGGAGGAGTTCCCTCCCACTTTCACTTCCTACCCGAGGCCTTATTTTAGTTTTTCATTTTGTATGTCTTACAATCAGTCCAGCTCTAACGTTTTTCTCCAAATCCAGCAACCTTTGAGTCTAACTTTATGCCCCGTCTAACCAATGGGCTGTGGAGCATTCATTCATTCATTCATTCATTCATTCATTCCACAAGTGTTTATTGAGTACCAACTCTTCTAGGCACTTGGAATACATCCGAGAATAAAATAAAGAGCCTTGCTCTTGTGGAGCTTACATTCCATTTGGCCTGGGGCAGGGGTGTGGGGGGCGGGGGGGCAAGCAATAAACAGCTAAACATAGTAAAGTTACAAGTATAGTATATGAGAAGATGACAAGTGCTGTGTAAGAAATAGGGCAGGGTAAGGGGAGTTGAGTGTGCTGGATGTTAGAGCAGTTTGCAATTTAAATGAAAGAAAAATCTTATGTGAAAGGACTTTGTAAATGGAAAAGTCCTAAACAAATATTCAAGATGAATACTTGTAGACTAGTTTGAAAACTGCCAAGGTTGTCTGCATCCTTTTAGAGCATCATCTGCTTCAAGGAACTTCATTCACTCATTCAATCAATCAATCAATATTTATTGAGTGCCCGCTTGGTTGAATGAATAAATGCTGATGATAATAATGATAGCTATTATTATGAAGTGCCTACTAAAGCATTATTTATGTATGTGATCTCATTTAATCCTTGTAACAACTCAGTAATGCAGACACATGTTCCCAAGTGAGCAGCACTCTGGAGTGTGGGCAATGATTCTGATTAAGGAAATCGTTCTTCATTCTGAAAAGCAAATGTGGGAACAAAATGGCTTTGATGAGGATTACTGATGTTTTTCAGGTTGTCAGGGTCAGCTGCTCAGCAAATTCTGGCAGTGACTTTCTTTCCATTCCCTTTAGTGCCATTGCTTTATCAGTAGTCACCAGTGGACTCAAGACATGGCTGTTTTAAAGAAGTTCTCTCAGCAGCTGCTGAAGTAGACAGGTTGGTGTGGTTGGTGGTCGCCTTAGCATACACAATGGAGGCCTCCTTGTGTTCAAATCCTCAATTTCATAAGGTGAAGTCATGTGTCCTTTCATTAGAGAGGAACCATATTAAGAATTATGTGAGTGAGTGGACCTTTTAGGTCTCTTCGATTCCAGCTACTAAGCGAATAACAAGTATGTTTCCAGGTTGGAAGCACTAAGAAAGGAGATGAGGAGGAAGGGACTTGGAAAAGGTAAAATTGGAAACGAGGAAGAAAAGCAGATGAAAGGCCCTGGTCACAGTTCCAGGCTAGGCTGAACTCTGCTCAGTTAGGAGAAGGACCTAGTTCACTCTCCTTCCCCCCACCCATCACTCCCCCTCTTTCCCTCCTCTCTTCCCCCTCCCATGCCCTACTTTCCTTCCCTCCCCCTCTCCTCCTTCTCTCCTAGAGCTGCAGCTCACTAAATATCTGGCTATTACTGAGCTGGAGATCCAGCTAGAGATGACACTGCTTTCTGCTGGAGAAACCAGCAGAGGATGGGCTATCAAACCCTGCCAGTTCTGCTCTTTTAATTTATAGCTTTTCATTCCATGGTTTCCTTTCTATACTCAAAGCCACTGCCTCACCATCTCTTTACTGGTTTATTAAAATAGCTTCTTAAATTCTAAGCTTTCTGCTATCCAGATGTAACCCTGCAACTTACCTGTGTGGGGTTATTCAGTGGTTCTCCACTTCCTTTAGAATAAAACTAGGCTCTTGAATGTGGCCTGCAAGGATCTTCCTGATCTGGCCTCTACCTGTCTCTTCATTCCTTCCCAGTTATGTGACTAGATCTTTATGTTTTAGCTCTAGTTTTACCTCCTCCAAGCAGAGTTCCCTGATCCCCAGGCATGGTTGTGTTCTTGCCTGTGTAGATTTTTGTATATAATGTTGCTTTAATTACAGAGTGTCTTCATTGGTTGCTTGCTTTGCTCTCTCTGCACCAGATTGCCAGTTACTTGAGATCAGCTTTACTCATTTTGTCCCCCACCTTTTGGTTTGTTCAGCCACCACATTTAACTGTGGAGTGACTTACCTTCTTGTCTGTCTGGCACACATCATTTAATTTCTCCTACCCGAGCCTTCCTTTTCAATTTAATTCATTTTAGTTCATGCCATTTACCAGATAGTGTGGCAGTTTCTGGGAACAGGAACGTAAGGAAGATATGGTTGCTGTTTGGGGGGTCTCACAGTTTCATGGGGAGACTGCTGGGGACAGAAATTCTTCATTACAGTCTGTAGAGCCTGCAGACCCTTGGGAGAATCCTCAGGCCTTTCCACCAAGTCTTCAACAGGAACAGCCCTGCTTGTCTCTTATTGTTGGGATTTTTGTAGAAGCTTTTGGAGGCAGAGGGCGGTGGGGCAGCAAAGGCAAAAAACCAAAAAGGTAGTTACTTAGATACCACTATTTTAAAGTAAAACCTACGGTGTTAAGTGCTGTAAAACAGTCTAAACAAAAGAGACACTCTGTCTTCTTGTTTGACAAAAGTCTTTTTTATTTTTTTATTTTTTTCTTGTTAAGGTCCAGCCATTCTGTTTATACTTCCAGGAAGTTTGGAGATAGATGGGTGCCCTTCCACCATTCCCACCATCTTACTGAGTGGATAAGATACTTTCCCTTTCTCCACTATTTAATTCAGAGGTCTTCAAACTTTTGGGGAGGCAACAGTTTAGCTATCTCAAAGCATAAAGCTACCCAAAGACAGGTTGTGCTAAATTCCCTGTTTGGGGCCAGAGCTAGTGGGTTCTCTCTTCTGTACAGGCAGAGCATTCTGTATTGACCTCTGCAACAGCCACTAACACAGTGTAATGCTATTGCCTATTTTGTATTCGTCAGCCCCCCACCCCTGAGATAATCCGATCCTCTTAATGGCATGGCCTTTCTGTGTGCCCTAGCAGTGGGCCCTGCAGAGAATGAGTGCTTCTTCAGGTTTGAGCAGAGAAGGGAAGAAATGGGAGAGGGGAGGGGAAGGGGAGGGGATGGTGTGGAGAAGTCTTGACCACAGAGGGCTGACTAATTGCCAGAACAAGGCCTAGGAAAGAATCTGGGCCTGAAGAGCTGAGTGGTAACGGGAGTAGTGGAGTATGTATGAGGACAGGGGAGGAGAGCAAGGGCCATGGTATTCAGGGATTCTACTCTCCAAGCGTTTCCTGATGACTTCTGTGGGAAAGCATTTCTCACTTCCTGGAATCCAGCCCTTCCCTATTTCTAGGCCTGAGCTGTGAAGGTTCAGCTGTCTTTGAAAGGGTTTCCTCTGTAACATGGGGACTCTAATCCAGAGGCTGAAGAGGAGTCACAGTCTTTCTGAGTCTAGTAAGTTGTCACTTGACCTGAAGGGTTTTAGGCAGATACTTTAGGAGAAGGTCAAATGTGGCCTTAGGGAAACTAGCATTTCCAGATCGCATGCTCAAAGCTCTGTCCAGGGTACATTCACTTGTGAGTTTATTTATCCATCCTCCATCCTATCCCCCCACCCCCGGGTCACCGCGTGTGATGTTCTTCAAGGCCTTCTCTTTACTAAATTGCTAAGAGTCAGGATTTGTATTTGAATCTGCAGCCTCATGCGGAGCAGGACAAATCTCTTCAACTTTGAACAGCCGTGATTTCATGCCACAGGAGAAGAGGATAGTTTGTTTTTTTTTTTTTTCTGATTTTGATTGATTGATATTGATATTTTAGTTACTAACGTGCTGCATTATTCTACTTTGGCCACCCTGATAATAACTTTTGATGCTTCACACAGGGAGATCACTGTTTTCCCCCACTGCTTAAGAAAGAAAAATTTTGTGAAAACTTTGGATGTGAGAGTCATGCAAAAACGCATAGCAATCATCAGGAAAATGTCTTCATTAACGCAGAAACAATGGTTCCTTACCCACCAGTATGTTAATGTATGTTAAACCAGTCTGTTGACATGTAAATTCTAATTTGCACACCTCAGGTTTTACCTGCCTCACTCACTGCTAGGACTTCTGAGGAAACCCTCTTTGAAAAAATGTTTCTAGCTTTTATGTCCTACAGTTTCCCCAACAGACAGAATTCCAACAAGCAATGACTCTGTAGGATGACTAAAGAACTGAGGCATCTGCCAAACTAAGACGTGCTTGCTTAATAAAGGAAAAAACATTCAGCCTAGTTTTCATAACATATTTTGCAATTGAGAGTTTTATTAACCATTTATCCTGTGAGCATTCAGAAAGGGTACAAGAAGAATCAAAGGATACAATTTTAGAAATCTCAATAACCATAAGTCTGCCTTAATAGTTCATGCACATCATGCATGTTGGGACCGAAAGATAGTAAGATATCTCCACTGTCTTTATTCAGTCTTATTTAATATATTATTAAAATTGGGCAAGGGACCAGCTCAGACCCGTGTATGAATGAGCATATGGCTGTTGGTCAAGTTGGCCACTGAATCCACTCACTACTGTAGCTATGGAGTAGGAGAAACTTTATTTCAGACACGCTGTCAACCAGGAATTGACTTGTCTGGACAAGACAGTTTGTTTGCTTTTATTGTCCTCAAATTAAACTACTCTCTGTCCGACTCTTCAACTTGTCTCAAATGTTTGATGAAACACTGGGAGAATTGTCAATATCGCTCAACTTCTAAGTCACTAAACATCCTAATTCTTTACATTCCTTGCAGCTGAGGCCATTTTCCTTCAGAATTCTTTCAAGCAGTTGGGAGGGTGGAGGGTTCTGTGAGACACCAGGGGGGGTTAGAGCCTTTACTTTGGCCTTGCAGACTGGTGATCGTTCTCAGCCAGAGAGAGGTGTGGAGCTTGTGTAGAGGCTTACAAAGTGCTAATGACTAAAAGAAAAATCAGCATAGGTTAATACATTCTAAAGTAGATGGAAATCCATGCATGTGGTTGCTTCAGAGCAACCCCAGTTTATTGCGCCACTGCACTCTCCAGCCTGGGCGACAGAGTGAGACTCTGTCTCAAAAAAAAAAAAAAAAAAAAAAAAAAAAACCCAGTTTATTCCATTGTTATCATACCTGCTTCCCCCAGATATACGAGCAATGCAAAAATTTTTATTGTCTTTAGTAGAGATCCCAGTTGTCGAAATTGGAGAAATTAATGTATTCTCTTGAGCCCAAACACCTGTTCATCCTGTATCCCCTACCACGAATAATCAGTTCTTGTCATGATTATGATAGGCCTGTTGAGAAAATTGCCCATCTCCTTATTATAATTTTTATGCATACTCAAAATGAATATTTAAACTGAGTTTTGTCAAGAGCTATGTCCAGTTATTAGGTATGCACAACGGTATGTGAGTAGGGTATATGCAAAATTGGGTTTTAATATAAAAATAAAATGCTGAGATTTTTGTCTCATCCTAATAAAATACCAAGAACTCCATCTACCCCTCCCTGCTTTTCTAACACTCCTAGTCACAAATATATGCTCAAAAAGAAGATAATTATCATAAGGCATCTTTATTATTACAGATTACTCGATTGTAAATCTTTCTTTGGCAAAATGACTTGATTGATTTTGGAATTTGAGCCTCTTTGTGATACACTGCTTAGAAGTGACCATTTCAGAGAAGGCAAAGGGGGACTTAGGCACACTCAGAAAAGCATGCTGAATAAATAGGGGGAATCACACTGAATTGCCAAAGATTATTTTAATGGCTCAAACCCCTTCCTGTTACGATAATTACAGGAACATCTTTAAGCTCTTCTCTGAAGAACTTGTGAATTGAAATAGAAAATGTTTTAATGAATTTAAATTATTTAAAAATTGGTATTAGAATTTTCAGGATGAATTATTTTTGTATTCCCCTCTTGTTTATTAAGCATGAGCAGTTATTAATGCATTTTTCCTCCTGTAATACACTTATTATTTGTACAATTGTGTATAGTGTTATGTCACATAGAAATATATCTCTTTAGGATGATTATTATTTTAGGAAAATATGCAGAAATCACATTGTAGCAGAAACAGCTACATTTCAAAATAACATTTATTCTTTTTCAAATTGTTTTTTATAAAAAGATCTGGTTGTAATTTCTGCCGGTAAGTTTAGTGTGGTGACAAATATTAGACTATTTTATACATCTGAGGATAGTGATACATCAGTTTCCTAATTCTAAAAGCCCTGTTATTCATCACAATGAAAACGAAGACTTCTCTCAAGCACCTGCCTGAAACAGAAGTCTTTCCGACAGACTGTGCATGACCTCTCATTAAATCAGCGTACGGAGGACTAACCAGCAGATGCTGCTGACATGAACCCAGATGTAATCTCTTTAACCTTGTCCTGTAAGGCACACACAAGTCGTGACCGGAGAATTCAAAGTAAATTAGGTTTTACATGAAAGTCTATAATCTAAATTATATTTGACTAAAATGATGCCTGATTTGTGTTTGTAATGAAATATTCCACTATGACTGTTAGCAATGATGTTTTTTTGAATGCATACACCTAAGTCTGTTTCTTCACATCCACATCTATCTTACTTTTATTTTTAAATTGCCAGCCAGTTTTTCATTGTTTCACATCCTTGAAATGAAAAGTCCTTTATAGGAGGAAGATGTATGCAAAGGAATTATTTATCAAGATAATCCACTGAGGTGACAAAGATATTTGATTTCAAGAATTCATGGAAGAAGGGTCACTTTACAAGTCCAAATATAATTGTTTTCTGTTAGAAATATTTTCTTTATATTTAGTATGAGTATTAGAGCTCCTTTATTATATGTAATCTTCATCCTGCAAGTGTTTTGTTAAATCAAATTAATCATTCTTTTTTGTTTGTTTGTTTTTGTTTTGTTTTGTTTTTATTTTGTTTTTTTGAGACAGAGTCTCACTGTCGCCCAGGCTGGAGTGCAATGGAGTGATCTCAGCCCACTGCAACCTCCACCTCCCGGGTTCAAGCAATTGTCTTGCCTCAGCCTCCCAAGTAGCTGCGATAACAGGCATGCACCACCACGCCCAGCTAATTTCAGTATTTTTAGCATAGATGGGGTTTTGCCATGTTGGCCAGGCTGGTCTTGAACTCCTGACCTCAGGTGATCCACCTGCCTGGGCCTCCCAAAGTGCTGGGATTACAGGCATGAGCCATCGCGCCTGGCCTCAAATTAATCGTTCTTAGTCAACACACTTCTTACGGAAATTCAGTTAGTCATAATAAAAAATTATAAGTCATTACCAGAATTCCTATGTTTTTACATTTTTTGTTTCTTTTCTAAACTTCCTGTTTTTAGGTATGTAATTCTTTTGTCCAAAGATAACCTACAGAAAGTTGAAAACATCTTGGCTTCAGCTACTTTTTGAGTCAGGAGCTAGTTGCAGGAAATTTTACAATTCACTTCTTAAAGCTATAGTTTTTCTTTATCTTTAACATCTCCACTCTCTCCCTGTAACCCTCAGAGGTTTGAATGAGCTAATGCCTGGGTGACCACTCCCCAACTCTCTCCCCTCACTAGCTATCACCCAGAGATTCGCTGCATGGCCTCATTGTGGGCCTGAGAAGCAAGGTATGGATGTGGGTCGAGATATTTAGTATTAGGAAACTTTAGGAACACACCCAGGAGGGAGAGAAGGAGGCTAGAGGTGTTTACAGCTTTTGGAGCCCAATGCATTTCTGGGTAAGTGAGTATTTCCAGCTATCAATTGCTGCTGATAGTGATTTGTTAAAAAAAAAAAAAAAAAAAAAAGGAAACTCAGCAATTAACACTGAGAGCACAAGTGTGCTCTTTGCTGTCCTAATCTAAAGCATTCTTCTCATGCAGTGGGTGGTTGAAGCATCCTGAAGAATTGGAATGCATACTGGATTAAGGATCTGGAGACTGGAATTCTAAATCTGTCTCTCATCTTTCAGTAGCTAGCTGTGTAGCCTTGGGGTATTTAGTCACTTTCTTGAGGTGGACATTTATGCTACTCTGCAGATGTAATAATAGGTCATCTTTTTAAAAAGTTACTAATTGAAATTTAAAAACAAATTATTGAGATGCAATTTACATTTAGTGAGGTACCCAGCTCTTAAGTGTAGAGAAAGATCAATTTTAAAATACATATACAACCCTGTGACCACCACCTATGTCAAGATATGGGACATCTCCAGTACTTCAGCAAACTCATCCTTGTGCTTCCTAAGCCACACTTTAGACCTCTATTGCTAATTGAAATTTGAGCTGGGCATTTATATGTAAACTTTGATCTCACTTAGCTGAATATAACTAGGTAGTATCCAGTCAATAAGCATCTCATAAAAGATTTTTTAAAAAAATTTACTCTGACTTTTCTTCTATTTCTTTTCTTAAGGAAGTGGAGTACAGTCATGGGTCACTTAATGACCAGGGTATGTTCTGATAAATGCTTTGTTAGGTGATTTTGTCACTGTGTGAACATCATAGCATGTACTTACACAAATCTAGATGGGATGGCCTTCTATACACCTAGGCTGTATGGTATGGCCTGTTGCTTCTAGACTACAAACCAAAGAGCATGTTATTGTACTGAATACTGTAGACAACTATAACACAATGGTATTTGTGTATCTAAACATACCTAAAGATAGAAAAGTTAAACAGTAAAACTAGAAGGGGAAGCAAACACGTCCTTCTTCACATAGTGGCAGCAAGGAGAAGTGCCAAGCAAAAGGAGAAAAAGCGCCTTATAGAACCACCAGATCTCCTGAGAACTCACTCACTATCATGAGAACAGCAGCATGGGGGTAACTGCCTCCGTGATTCAATCACCTCCCACTGGCTCTCTCCCATGACACATGGGAATTATGGGAATTACAATTCAAGATGACATTTAGGTGGGGACACAGCCAAACCGTATCACTCCCTGAGTCTTAGCTTGACTGTGAAGTCAGAACCCAGAGGGCCTCCCTTAGGTACCTGTGTGTGCAACAATAGCATCAGTACCAAGATTTCCCATGCTTACCCTCACAATTCTAGGTTTTAATGTGGGATCTGGGAAAAAAAGCAAAAGGAACTGTTTTCACACATTATGCCCAGCATAGTGTTAAAATTGCTAGCAACAGACTAACAACAGGTAATATTGATGTGGTGCTTTAGGGTTTTTTAAGGGACTTTCTTCTACATTGCCTTCTTGGGACTTCACAGCCATTCTGCAAGCATGTGTTATTCCTCTCTTTTACAGAGGTGGGTATGGAAACTCAGAGAGTGAAATGATTTGCTTAGGATCACATAGCCAGGAAGGGGAGATTTTTGAATTTCACCTTAGATTGGTCTGATTTCAAAATCACTTAACACGTTTTCCCCTTATAGGCCTTTTTTTTCTGCAGGAAAATTGTTTATGGGAGTTCCTATTTCTCTTCTTTTCCCTTTCTTACCTCACCTGGCATAGTAGTTTTGTCAGTGGTTGGGCCAGTGCAAAATGACACTGCCAACATGTGGGCAAATTACTCCTTAGGGGCATTACCCGAGAGCTGCTGGGGAAGGAAGTAATTGGTGTGGATTGGAAATGGTGTCCAAGTGAAGCAATAGAGTCTGGGCTCAAACTCAAAGGACTAACTGGGGATTTATGGGCCAGTCCCCAGATACTGCGATGCTCAGCAAGGCAGATTGCCCACCAGGATGACTGTCTTGCACTGAACATTCTCCCCTTGTGTGAGTGGGGAGGGGAGATGTCTAGATCTGCCCTGTCCAGTAAGTTAAGCCACCAGTCACATGTAGACATTTAAATTTAAATTTCGATTACTTCCAATTAAATAAAATTGAAAATTCAGTTTCTCAGTTGCACTAGGCACAAGTGTTCAATAGCCATATGATCACCATATTGATTAGTGCAGATCTAGAAGATTTCCATCATTGCAGAAAGTTCTGTTGGACAGCACTGATCTAGAATAGAACAGTGAGAGTGTCCATCTTATGTGTTGGTAATTCTCACTCAGCAGACTTAGGAGAGGTGTACTCCCTTTTCTACACGTGGAACATAAACTTTTCAAGCCCTAGGTGATGGGTTCACTCTGTGTTGTATCCACCTCCCCTAATGTAGGGTACCCAGAAGTTGAGAGTTTGCAAAGACCCACACATCATGAGGTTTGTCCAGCCTCCGTGCGTATTCACCCCGTACCTCCTCCCCACACCACCTTATGTATACTACTTTGCAACTAGGTAGTCAGTGCCTTAGGGAAGAATTGTTTCTTCTTCTCTTCTCAGCTTTGGCTATTTTCCTTGAAAGTGGAGACAGATCATCTCTTTCAGAGGAAGCAGCAATCTGTCCCTTTGTTGCCAAAATAGAAGAAAGTCCATCTTTAGGGGTCTTGAAACTGGAGTAGAAATATAAGAATTTCCACTTGAATTATATTTCTCTTTAGCCTACCTTTCCTCACTTTAATTAAACAAGATAATTTCTTAGTAAATTATATACTTAACCAATATGAGACTAACCCCCCAACCTTCAAATCAGTTCTCATTGTATTTGCAGCTTTTGGGGAGAAGGTTGTAAGGATCTTTAGAATTGGTGGTCCCGGAGATCTTTCAAGTTTAGGAGGAGAAGGTCATAAGCACCTTTTGAATTACCTAAGATTTTAGGATGTATCTTGTGTTTGTTTGCAATGCCAATAAGTACCTTTTTATGTAGAATAGCGTACTAATACTAAGAATTAAAGCCTCTTATTAACGGCAGGACATATTAAAACAATCACTAGTCATTGTTAAAATAAAGAACAGCTCATTATTTTTCATATCTTAAAGATTGAACCCTTCACCATGATTAATAAAGGATAGTTGTTATCTGCTTTGGTAACGAAAATTCATGTACAAAAGAAACACTTTGCCAAATTAAAAGTAAAATGGTAGCAAGAACACTTGTATCTGCACTGCTAATTAAAAGACTTAACTTATTAGACCTTAAGCGGGGAGGAAAAAAGAAACAAACAAGTATAATTTGCCAGATTAATTTTATGGTCTGTTCTATTTAATCAAACTATACCTTTTAGTGAAAATGACAAATCTGAGTTGTCAGAAGGTGGTAGATAAGGAAGATAAAGGTCATATATTTTAATGTCACAGAAGGTCTTATTAAAGGAACCTTAATTACATTAGGTACCCATGAAACATTAATTAAATACTGTCTGAAATAATTAGATCCACGTTACTGATGGTTTAATTAAACTCAGTTTCTTTTTTTGTAAGAAAACTAAAGGTCCAGTATCTCTGTCGGCAGCATAATTGATAATATGTCAAAAAGGCAAAATAGTAACCTTGACCAACCACAGACAGAGGGTAATATGGCTCTCAGGGCCTTCTGTGCATTAACTTCATTGTCTATGGTGGCCGGTGTCTCCAAGAAGACCTCATGATGTGTGTGCCTTTGCAAACTGTCAGCTTCTGGGGGTCCTAGCATAGGAGAGGTGAATACAAAACAGTGAATCCATCCTGTGGGGCTTAAAAAGTATATGCTCCACATGAAGAAAGGTGGTATGCTTAATACATGCACCTTTTCATTCTAGAAATGCATCCTGCCTTTTGTCATCTCTGCTTATTGTATCTCAGAAATGCCAGCACCCTTTCTGACCACTCAGTCTGCCCAGAGAGTATCATGGCATTGAACTCCTTTCCCGTATTTGTTTATTATCTCTGTGCTCCAACATTTATTTTCTTTTTTACTTGTATATCTTTGAAGTTAAAAGCATGGGCTTTGGAATCAGATTGCAGGGTTTGAATCTCAACTCTGCCACAGCTGTGTAACCTTGGGTAAGTTACTTCTTTGAATTGGTTTCCTCATCCTTAAAATATTAGATGTAATAATAGCTAATTTAAAAAGTTGTTATGAGGTTGATGCTTTAATGTATATAAAATACTTACCACAGGTGAAAAGTACATGGTAAGCCCTACAAGAATGACACAGAACATTCCGTGGTCTGCAGGATCGTGAGGATTTGAGGCCCAAATTGAGTAAGTAGGTGAATACAAGTGAAATGCCAATTTAAAAGGGAAGATGATTTTACAAAAGCAAAAATGTGGCTGGAGAAGTTATGGGCTGGTGATTTGAAATGAGCTCCAGGTCTGTTTTTTGTCTTTATGTTCAAGTCTTGGGCTGACCAAGCCATTCCCTTTCTCTGTGCTGACATATCAGGGGTTGGTAATTTGGGTAGGAGAGGAAAACGGTTTTAGTCCAATTCACCACACCCTAGGACAGCCAGCTCTTCTTTCACTTTGAATGGGACAAAATGAATCAGGATAATAGTCTTACAGTTTCTAAAGTACTTCAATGTACAGTGTCTTACTTGCTCTTCTTTACAGCCCTGTGAAGTAGGAACTGATATTAGCACCGTTTGACAGATGAGGAAATTGTGGCATGGAGAGGTTAAGACACTCGTGCACTATGGGCAAAATTTGTGACAAAGGTACTTTGGCAATATAAACCTTTTAGCACTGGGGATTTTAACTCTCTGTGCTTTGTTATCTGTGGGTGACATCACCCTCCCTGAGCTCAGCACTGTGTTATGGTTTAGAGCAGTGTGAAAACCAAGGCCTGTGGGGTTCAACCTCACCAGTCCTTGTAGTTAAGGGTAGATTTTACATCTTTAATGGGTTGCGGAAGAGAAGGAGGTGGAAGAAGAGGAAGGAGGGAGGAGGAGGTGAGGAGAAGGAGCTACCAAGACTGAATGTGGCTAATAAAGCCTCTTTAGTTCCTGGCCCTTTGCAGAAAAAGTTTGCTGACCCCTGTTTAGTGAGGTGCTTCTCAAACTTAAATGTACATAAGAATCCCCTGAGGATCTTGTTAAAATATAAATTCTGATTCAGTACGTCTGGGACAGGGCCTGAGATTTCTGCTTGTGTGAAAAGGTCCCAGGTGGCAACCATGCTGCTGGTCCTTGTGCTACACTTTGAATAGTAAGGATTCTGCCTCAGACTAACTCTGGACCCCTAACCATGCTCTTTGCTTATAGGAACATGCACTAATAATTACTCTCCATTTGCCTGTATCTTAAAATCTTTCACTTCTTTTCTGTGTTCATAGCAGATGAACTTACAGCAATTCATCTTTAAAACAGCCTTCATTTTTTCCCTCAAAAATGGTAATGGCTTCTGCCTGCTACCTCTAGCGGCATGTCAGTTCTACATGCCAGACCCAGGGTGCAGTGAGAGGAAAAGTTGGTTCCTCGTCTCTAGGAGTGTCTTTTCGAGGCCCATGCTGCTTAGTCTGGCCTTAGTTCTTTTCTCCAGCCTCTTTAGTTATGAGCCCCACTTCCATGTTAAGCATCTCTCACAGAGACCCTACTTTTCTTTCTCTGTGGCTTTTCATATGTATTATGGAATCCAGGTCTTTCCTCTAGGCTTGCCAGCCTTCTGTTTTGGCCCCTCTCAGCTCCTTCTTTTCTGTCCTTTATCTGGCTTCCCTGGCAGGAACTCTCTTCGTTTCTCTTGACTCATTCCTTGGTATGGTGGTTATTCCATTTGCACACAATTCTCATTTCATAGCTAAGCACCAAACCTCAGGAGTCTGTGTTTGAAACAGAGTGGTCTTCCCCTTCCAGAATATGGTCAGCTTCCTCCTTGTTAGAATCTGATCTATTAGATGTAGATGCCAGGCAGAGGGACTTTGACTTACTCCATTTCTGTTTCACATAATGTCTTGTTAATAATGAGTACATATTAATTACACGTATGCCACAATCATAATTTAGTTACAGTAGTTGGTACTCGGCAGTTTATCCTAGTAAAAAGTAGCATTACCAATCAACGTTACCATTGACCTGAGTTCTGGTTTAGATTGGAGTGTAGCAATTCTTACTCCAAAAAGAATGAACTCTGATTAATGTCCTACCACTCATCTCCCTGGTTTGGCCTAGGATATGTGGTATGTCATGCCATTGGATCCTTCTTGTACTCCAGAAGTCATGTCATTTTAAGCTGAGTGGCTGGCACTTTTTGCCACAACTGTTTTTTATCCTGTGGCTCTCAACTGCCTACTGCAAGTGTCTCTCAATTTATTCTGCCCTGCATTCCTTAAACAAGTCCAGAAAAGAGAAGCAATTTGCCCAAGGTCACACAGCACATTTGGTGGCAGAGAAAGACCCAGATCCTCACCTTTGTTCTTTCATTCTAACTATATTTTACTAATGAAACAGAAGAGTGGTAACCTTCATTTTTCTATTTTTCAACATATACCTGGATCAGCATAAACTTTATAGTTTTTTCCTCAATGCAGTTCTACTAACTCCCAGGTAATCTTGCATACATATATTTTTAAAATAATTTCCTTTTGGGGGAAAAAAAGAAGCCATCTTTAACCTAGAATATTTAGCTTTTTGAGTATTGATAGTAGTACATATAAATGCAAAGTCCAACAGCCTCCTGTCCTCAAACCTCCAAACTCCACAAAACCCCAGGGGAATGGTAAACTTAATTTTAGGAATAAAAAAATGTAAAAGCTAGCCAGGCTGCCATCCATCTATTCATTTGCTCATCTGTCTATCTCTAGTTTGTTAATTTCACCTCTGATAACTTTCCCCTTTAGTTCCTTTGTTTATCCCTCAGTGAGGCCACATATACAGGGAGAGGAGCCTGAGGAATTTGGGCAAGGCAGTGATCTTAGTTTCTCGGCCTGATCATTAGGTGCATAGGATCTGTGAGCTGCAAGTCGCAGTTTAGAAAATATTTCAAGTAGTTGCCAGGTGCAGTGGCTCATGCCTGTAATCCTAGCACTTTGGGAGGCCGAGGCAGACGGATCACTTGAGGCCAGGAGTTCGAGACCAACCTGGCTGACGTGGTGAAACCCCATCTCTACTAAAAATACAAAAAAAAATCAGCCGAGTGTGGTGGTGGATGCCTGTAGTCCCAGCTACTTGGGAGGCTGAGGTGGGAGAATCACTTGAACCTGGGAGGTGGAGGTTGCAGTGAGCCAAGACCACACCACTGCACTCCAGCCTGGGTGACAGAGTGAGATTCCCTCTAAAAAAAAAAAAAAAAAAAGGAAAGTTTCAAGTGGTGATTTTTTTTTTCCCAAAAGCAATTCCATTTGATTTCAATGGATAGCTGTATTGGCCATTTTTTAAAAATTTTATTTTGCATTCTCCCATTGAGGAAAAAGAAGTTGGAGGACAGAGAGAGAATATATTATTTTCATTGTTTTGTTCAAATGACAACATTCAAATTTAGACCTTTTATTTAAATCCTTGGGTTTTACTTACAGCTCAGTATAAATATTGTCATAAATTAATTGCTCTCACGGTTTGGTCGATGACCTCAGAAATGGTAGTTATGGATTGATTTCCAGAAAGCAAAAAGAATTTTTTTAAGGAATAAAATAATTAGATGCAGCAGTGTGACAGAGATAGTCATCTGTTTATATGTCTGCCCTTATGTAAGCTATATTAAATCCTAAAGAGAATAAGCAAATCTTTGATTGTTTATTTTAGAAGTCACCTTTGGCCGGGTGCGGTGGCTCACGCCTGTAATCCCAGCACTTTGGGAGGCTGAGGCGGGCGGATCACGAGGTCAGGAGATCGAGACCATCCTGGCTAACACGGTGAAACCCCGTCTCCACTAAAAATACAAAAAATTAGCCAGGCGTGGTGGCGGGCGCCTGTAGTCCCAGCTACTCGGGAGGCTGAGGCAGGAGAATGGAGTGAACCTGGGAGGTGGAGCTTGCAGTGAGCCAAGATCGTGCCACTGCACTCCAGCCTGGGCGACAGAGCGAGACTCCGTCTCAAAAAAAAAAAAAAAAAAAAAAAAAAAGTCACCTTTAAAAAGTGGGAAGTAGCTTTAGATGACTGATGTATTTCACATGTTGGTTGGAGATCTGTTACCATTGCGTGTCAACTAAAATCCTACATGTTGTTAGCTTGGATGGCTGCTCTTCAGGCAGCAGATTTGATTGTAGAGCACTTTAATGGCTTTCACACTGTGTCTGCCATGAGTCGCATGTATGCAGAGACCCTACTAAGGTCTCTGGGTTTGGAACAAAGGGACCGCACTGGATAGGTAAATGAACTCTGGAGTTTGACGGCTCCATGGCCAGCTGAGCAGACTATAGGATATCTTGCTGTTTCTCCCTTCCTAGCAATTATTCACTTAGATTTCAGGATGTTGCTTTATTCTCTAAGAAAGTCTGTAGGAAGAGGAATTCTCTCATTTACTCCCTCCCTCACTCATCTCTATTCTTCTACCCAACTTTCCCAACTGGTGACAGACTAGGGGACCTTGTTTCTTTTTTCTCTTTTTTTCTCTTGTTAAGTGTTGACATACTTATTTGCCTAGAGTAACTCAGTTAAGCCAGCCACCCAGGAGGTAGGCAGGTCACATAAGCCGAATTAACCATGACAGTTCCCAAAGCAGTATAAAGCTTTTCCCAAGAATTATCCTTTGGGCTTTTCTAATGCTAAGATATGCAGTCTCATGTGACTTATCTTGATATGGAATACAAAGCAGTTCCACACACTCAATACATTTTTTTTTTTTGAAGTAACAGAAATTTTAAATAAAAGTTATCTGTAGCCAGTGGCCTGGTCCCTGCTGGGACCCTTGTTTACCTCAGGGCAGAGAAAAAAAGGCCCTTTCTGAGATTGGGAGCTCTCTGCAGATGCAGGATGGTATATGCTGGCACCTCCTAGAGTCACCTTGAAAGGAGCATAAACCAGCATTGGGAAATAAAGTCAATTCCAAATCAGCATGTTTGTTTTTCATTTTAGCCAGGCAAAAGTAAAAACAAACCAAAGCATAACTCTCTTCACAGTGTCTTAACCCTTAATACAAAGCAGATACTTTGATTAGTTGTCACTGCAAATTGTTGAAAAGCATGCCCTCTGCGCAGGCCACCTCAAGGCTGTGGGGGCCTGTGGACCTGACAAGACTCAGAGGAGCTAGCCCTGGGGGAGGCTACACCCAGCTCAGTAGCCCCACAAGGCAGCTGGATTTCCTTTTTCCCTAGGAGCACTCACCTGCTGTATTGCCCACTTTACCATAAAGATCTTTCCTAAAAGAAGAGTGGCCAGTGAATTATGGAGCAGGAATGTAATAAGGCAGGTAGAAATGTGCCCTGTTATCAGTCACACACATTCAAGCCCAGCCTGGGACAGCATAGTAGACGAGACTATAAGCTCTGGGATCTTCTCATTCAACCAAGATTGCTTCATACAAAAGTTGACAATGCCGGCCAGAAAGCCATTGTTGATATTCAACATTTTTTAAAATAGCTGAACAGACCAGACAATAAGGCATGACAGAAAACTTGGACAGGAAGATGACTTGGAGTCTGGCTTAAGAAGGAAACATGCTATTGAAGGTAGGCAACAAACACACATTTCTAAATGTTAAATTTCTTTGAAAATAAGAATCAACTCTGCTGTTCATTTATTTTCCTCCTCTAAAGCCACAAAGCCAAGCAGAACTCAATTTCAGTTGCTCGTTAGGTTATCTCTCTAGTCTTCCTTTTTTGCACATTGAAATTCTCAAGCATGGGAACTCTATGATCCTTTCTTGCTGTTTGATCGGTCAGGGAGAAGGCTAAGAAGACACCTCGAAGGGCCTTTCATAAAGGATTTGTAGCACTGAAAGGTGTCCTGGAACCATCATAAAATCATTAATTCATTCAGCAAATATTTATTGAGTACCCACGATGAGCTATGGGGTTGCAATAGTGAACAAAATTGACATAGTCCCTGCTATGGTCACCATCCACCACTGTTCTGGCTTTAGCACTGGAAATCCCACATCTGGGAACCCCCTCAAGTCCTGAGAAAACTGGGATAGTTAGTCACCAATTCTTCCGTTCTTGAAAGCTAACACTCCATGAATTCCTGAGAGTGAGTGGGTAAATTGTGGCTACCTGAGTCCTGGTACCAAACCTGGTTCTTACCAGCTACATGATCTGTGTCAAGACACTCTGCTCATCCCCAGTTTTCTCATTTGCAAACAGGAAAAATAATATCTACCTCAAAGAGTTTCGTGTTTTGTTTTGTTTTTTTTTTTTTTTTTTGAGACGGAGTCTCGCTCTGTCACCCAGGCTACAGTGCGGTGGCGCGATCTCAGCTGACTGCAAGCTCCACCTCCTGAGTTCACGCCATTCTCCTGCCTCAGCCTCCCAAGTAGCTGGGACGACAGGCGCCCACCACCACGCCAGGCTAATCTTTTTGTATTTTCAGTACAGACAGGGTTTCACCGTGTTAGCCAGGATGGTCTCGATCTCCTGACCTCGTGTTCCACCGCCTTGGCCTCCAAAGTGCTGGGATTACAGGCATGAGCCACCACGTCCAGCCCCTCAAAGAGTTATTTTAAGATGAAATGAATGTTGTCTTTTGAGTCTGTAGGAACTGACTTTGATGACAGCTTTTCAGCCAGCAACAAAAGAGGAGATGTAGCTGTGGATGTCCCATTGGGTCTGGAAATAGAAGAGGCTGCTCTATGCTTTATTTTATTTATTTATTTATTTATTTATTTATTTATTTATTTATTTATTTATTTATTGAGATGGAGTCTTGCTCTGTCGCCCAGGCTGGAGTGCAGTGGTGAGATCTTGGCTCACTGCAAGCTCCGCCTCCTGGGTTCACGCCATTCTCCTGCCTCAGCCTCCCGAGTAGCTGGGACTACAGGCGCCCGACACCACGCCCAGCTAATTTTTTTGTATTTTTAGTAGAGACAGGATTTCAACATGTTAGCCAGGATGGTCTCAATCTCCTGACCTCGTGATCTGCCCGCCTCAGCCTCCCAAAGTGCTGGGATTACAGGCACGAGTCACCGCGCCCGGCCTCTATGCTTTATTAAATCATGATGGAACCTGCCAGAAATCTGATAATATATCTTGTTACTAGTGTTTGGATGAGGTAGGGTCTCAGGTCCATAGTACTTTGTTAGGGGAAAGGACTGACCCCCAGAGAGAGGCCCATGCTGTCTGCGGGCAGAGGCAAAAATATAGGTACCTTATTCTTCAAGTGGGGATTTGGGCTAAAGATTAAAGCATTAAAGTGAAAGAGGGACATGTATAATCCTACATTAACTCCACTTCTGTTGGGAGTTGGTTTTCACTTTTCTTCGTTAGAGTTTTAAGATTTCTTTTTTCTTTGCCAAGCTCACTCTCTCTTTCCTATAATTTATAATCTTATTTAACATGAGCATCTATTAGGCACCCAGCATATACCAGCCATTTTGCTAGGGACTGGGCTGCTGAAAGGAAGCAGATCTGGTTACTTTCCTCAAAGAGCTGACAGTCTAGTTGGAAACACATGAAACACATACTCACACACACACAAACCTCTCCCTCTCGGGCTCAAACAATCCTCCCACCTCAGCCTCCAGAGTACCTGGAACCACTAACATGCAACATAACACAAGCCTGATTTTTTAATTTTTGTAGAGATTGGGTCTTGCTATGTTACACAGGCTGATCTCAAACTATTGAGCTCAAGTGATCTGCCCACCTTGGCCTCCCAAAGTACTGGGAGTACAGGCATGAGCCACCATACCCAGCTGGACACAGAGGTTTTTGGTTTTTTAAGTTTTTTATTCCTTCCTTTGTACAGCTTCCCTCTTTTTTTTTTTTTTTAAGTAGCTCTAGGCCTTTGTTTTTTCCTGCCTTCAAATATCTCCCCTTCCCCACTTCCCCCACCTAATTTCACTTTATCTTCCATATGATGGGTGAATACCACTCGTTTCACAGGCACCACTGATATTGGTTTTCCATGCACCACATTACAAACAAATGTGGCTTTTAAGGTTGAACTTCATTAGTCCATACTAACAATGTAGGCTCTCTCATTATTAGCCAGTTATAATGCTATTTTTAAAATTTGTCGTGGGAGAAGACACTCAATTTCCATTCCTGGTGTACAAAGAGGGGGACACATTTCCTACCCTCTTTGAATTGTTTGTAACAGGTAACCTTTTAGCCTCTTCACAGTCAGCTAAAGAGCTAGGTTTCATTGGCAATGAGAGAGTATGATGGCATGAACCTTGTCCTTTCGTTAGATTCAAATGGGTTTCATTTCAACCTATTTGTCTGAATTTCTGCTGTCAGTGGGCCCTGTGCTAGGCAAGGTAGGAATCACAAAGAGAGGCAGAAGGGGGAAATACTTTTTTTTTTTCTTTTTTTGAGACAGAATCTCACTCTGTTGCCCAGGCTGGAGTGCAGTGGCATGATCTCAGCTTACTGCAACCTCTGCTTCCTGGGTTCAAGTGATTCTCCTGCCTCAGCCTCCCGAGTAGCTGGCACTATAGGCGCGTGCCACCATGTCCGGCTAATTTTTTTTGTATATATATATATATATTTTTTTTTTTTAGTGGAGACGAGGGTTTCACCATGTTGACCAGGCTGGTGTCAAACTCCTGACCTCAAGTGATCTACCCGCTTCAGCCTCCCAAAGTGCTAGGATTAAAGGCATGAGCCACCGCACCCAGCTGGGGGAAATACTTTTAATACCTGGCCAGAAAATTGAATAGGATGTTATTATGATCAGGGACCAGTACAACATGGCTTTTGCACCCTTCATTAAATTAACACATTTGCTGAGCACACTTATACAATGCCAAGGACTTTTCTTA
Source organism: Homo sapiens (assembly GCF_000001405.40). Classification (NCBI taxonomy): domain Eukaryota; kingdom Metazoa; phylum Chordata; class Mammalia; order Primates; family Hominidae; genus Homo; species Homo sapiens. Next base: position 140,542,107 of record NC_000023.11, read on the forward strand.
GGCTTGTCATTTAATATGAAGATATATAAGATCAAATATTGCTCTAAAGGAACTTATGGGCCACCAAATGGATCCACAAAAAAAAAATATGAGTATTGTATAATGGATGCTCTGAGAGGCACAGGCTAGGAATTACAGTGGGGTTTTGGGGGAAGTAGGAAGGCATTAGGGAAGGTTTCATGGGAGCTGCCTGCTCAGTGGCAGAAGTAGTCAGAGTATGTCTGCAGATCATTCAGTTGCCTTGCTACTAGAGAACCAATTATATCCCCCCACTCCTGACATTTCTTCCACATCTTCAGAAAAGCCACATTGAATCATGATCAGCTTTTCCAGTATGCCTTTTAAATTTGCTGCAGTGACTGTGTGTGTGAGCCAGTGTCCACCTTCGCTGTTTTCTAACTCTTTGCTCACCATAATTTTATGTCAACTACACTTCAAATATAGTGTAGAGGTTGAAGGACTTCTGGAAGTCCTTTTGTAACTTTTGGTTACACACATTTTCATAATAGGGTTTCATCATTATATGATGGTGGTGATGTGAATCTTTTTATTATGTTTCATCTTTTTCCATATACTCCAGAAACTGGCAATGGTTAATGGCAGAAGTGTGAGGACAAATTATCTTCCTGGTCATTTCTATTACATAAGCATTACCACTATCATATCTGTGATGTTCTAGGTGCCTTATACACATTATCACTAATTTTTATACCATCTCTATAAATTAGGTTTTATTATCTCCATTTTATGGATGAAGAATCCAAGGCACAGAGAAGTTATGTAACTCGCCTAGGGTCATCTAACTAGCAGAAGGCTCACAAGCACAAATACTATGATATAGTTAGCAAAGGCCATAGAATAAACTCTGTTGGTGTAATGGAAGCTGTCTCTACCAACTTAAAATTTTGCTTAACATAAATTATTTGTCTATGTTTTCACCCACCTGCAGTGAGAAAACATGAATATTTTCCCATGTTTAGATTCAGTTTTTCAAATTCCTTGGTAGCAGGTAGTTTGTCCTCCTATGAGTCCACATGTTCTATTTTAGATAAGATTGTATTTTATCTTTTTAAAGAAATCCCTGGGCTGGCTACTGGATGGGATTAGGTGCATGTCATTTCTCCTGCATGTGTTGCACATTGTCCAAGATCTCTGTGATGGAGCCAGATCTTGTAACTTCACAGCCACCACGTGCCCTTTCCTATGTGTACACACCACAATTCTGTCCCTAAATCAAGGCACTCTGTTAAATGTCATCTTTCTTTCCCAGTTTTAGCCCAGGATGGTGAGTAGATGGGTAAATGGGCCTTTTAGAGTGTCTCCGCTTGAAGTATAGAATTCATAATTGTAAACCATGGTCAAATAAAATTTCATTCTTATTTTTCCCCTGACCTTTGGTAAGTGAGTCTCAGCTCAGTCCTTTTGGCAGATCCTGAATTTTGGGTCAGTGCAGAACATATTCAATTTATCTACAAGGCCTAAAAGCAATCTTCCAAGCTGCTATTTGTTGATTGAGGATTACTAAATTCTTTTTTTTCTTTTTTTCTTTTCTTTTTTTTTTTTTTGTCTATTTCTCGAAATGGAGTCTTGCTCTGTCACCCAGGCTGGAGTGCAATGGCACGATCTTGGCTCACTGCAACCTCTGCCTCCTGGGTTCAAGTGATTCTCCTGCCTCTGCCTCCCGAGTAGCTGGGATTACACGCATGCGCTACCACGCCTGGCTAATTTTTCGTATTTTTAGTAGAGATGGGGTTTCACCATGTTGGCCAGGCTGGTCTCAAACTCCTGACTTTGTGATCCGCCCGCCCCGGCCTCCCAAAGTGCTGGGAGTACAGGCGTGAGCCACCGTGCCTGGCTTACTAAATTCTTTAATCATGCCTCTGGGAAGGGAAATGGAAAGGGGCGAAATGTGCATACATTTTTCTGTTGATTCAGAAAAGGCCTGTAGTGGTAGATTCAGAAAAGTACCTGCAGCTGATGATGGAACGTTGGAGACATTTCCAGTTTATTATGCTGGTGAAAGGGATGCTGTAAAAGAAGAGGGAGGAAAGTATTTTGTGGCTAAACTTACCTTCTTCAAGTGCTCGGGATCTGCGGCAGTGTGTCATCCACCCCACTGTACACATGTGCAGCCTGAGCAGGGTTGTGGGATAGAGAAGGAGACAGGTTGTTTTCATTCCTGAGCCCATATTTAACCCTTTTCCAGTTATGGCCTCTGTTTTCATTTTTTATCTTCCACCTGTTCACAGAGGATGTGGCATTGGGAATTTTTTATAAAATTTCAAAATGATCCTGAAACTATGTGATGTCTGGGGTCACCTCTTGAAGCTAAGAGGAAAAACCATCTGTCTTCTGGGGAATTCCCCAGGATTGATTTATCTTAATGAGATGTGGATAGGTGTGTTGCTCACATCTGACCCTGTTCACTCCTCTGGGATGAACACTGAATAAGTAAGATAGAAAATAATTAAGAAGGAGTCTCTAATGTTCCCTTTGGAGTTCAAAAACAAGGACATTCTTCTGCTCTTGTGACTTGGACTGTCCCATCTATTAACTAACACTTTTCTGTGTTTCATATACAGGGAGATAAGAATCCAAACCTTCAGGCTCTGAGAGGATTGCTTGAGCCCAGGAATTTGAGACTAGCCTTGGCAACATAATGAGACCCTGTCTCAATATAAATAAATAAAAAAGAATTGTACCAAACTTGCAATTACTTGTATATCACTCATTTAACAAATATTGAATGCCTACTATGTACTAGGCATGTTCCTAGGGGTTGAGCTTGCAATAGTGAACAAAACAGTTAAAAATACTACTCCTTGTAGAGCTTGCATTGTAGTTGGGCAGAAACAGGCAATAAATATTAGCTAAAATAAATTTGTGAAATACATGTAGATCCTCCCTCATACTGGCCTGAGGCTACAGAGATACCGAATACGTAGTAACTTAGAATAATTCTGGAACTTGCCTTCACTACCTAAGCTGATGAAACTCCTAGGTCCCCCTACCCAACTGGGTACTTTTGGTTCCTTAACAGACCACCAGTATTAACTTTTAAGCTTCTTGGCCCAGTCTCTTGCTGCGAACATCATGAGTTACATGGGTGAGTGCCTTACCACTTGGGAAAGCTGTATTACTGCCACCACCACTGTGACTCTTGCTTACTGTGGGATCATCTTTTTTGCCTGCACGCAAGGCTGATTATTCACCGCAGTGCAGGGCTTCCCTTTCCTCTTCCTATTTTCTCATGGTAGCTTCTGACTTTTTCCCCTCTGACCAGATTTCTACTTTTCCTTGCACACCAGATTCAGTCTTCATCTGTCTGTGATATACTATGGCTAGTGTTCCAAATCGTGCTCTTTATAACTACAAGTAGATATCAGTTAACTTTTGTTGGTTCTTTTAAAATTATTCACATATTTTCTAATAATAAAAGTAATATATATTCACTTAATAGAACTTGGAGAATACAGAAAAATGGAAAACAATCAGCAATAATATTAACACCCAGAGATACCTAACTGGCACCAGGGCCATTTCCACGGCATGCAACCTATGCAGTATCTCAGAGCCCAGTATCTAGATGGACCCTGCACTTGGTTTAATGCTCTGCTACTGCCATCGTGACATTCTTAATAACCTTTGAACAAAGATCCACACATCTTCATTTTTCACTGTGCCCTGTGAAGGATGTAGCTAGTCCTGCCTACTTTTAGCATTATTGTTGTATTCCTTCTGGCCTTCATGTATAGATTTTTAAAACAATTGTGATTATAGGGTTTGCATATTTTCGAATCCTGTTTCTTTCACTGAACATTACACAATGTGAATGTTCCTATTTCATTAGATATTATTTGAAAGTATTTTTAGTTGATGAGTGATATTTGATCACTTATTTAATCATTTTTCTGTTGTTGAACTTTTAGGTGGTTAGTTGATTCTTGAGATCTGGTTTTAGAGCTCAGTGCCAGGAACATCATGAGTGCTAAATAAATGTTAGCTATTATTATGTCTCCATGATTCCTCAGGCATTTCTGAAAATTGGTGTTCATGGTCTCTCAGGGATGAAATTCAATCATCTGTTTTCTAGGTTTGCTGTGCTTTCTGATGTCATCCAAAAACTGGGCCATTGGGTTTCCTGTGCTGGGATAATGACGGCCTTATTTCATCAACCTGGGTGATGAGATGCTGCGCTAATTCGGAGCCTGGAGTTTTGCATCTCAGAGCTTAGATCTTGATTTTCCGTTGTTGTTCCTGACCTCACCTGTGAACTCCCAACACAGTTCTTTTGGGGCCTTTGGAATTCAAATAATTTCTAGAGCTGGGAAGTGCCTTGGAAAAAATTGTGAATCCCTCACCTTGCAAATGAAGACTCTCTAGCCCCAAAGATAAAGGCTCTATCTATAATATAGGAACAGAGGTGGGATCTGAGGCTAGTTCTCTGGTACTTTTACTTCATCATTATTTAACAATGCTCATTCCTTAAGAGTGGTGGGAGGTATACTACCTTTCTCAAATTAACCTAAGAACTTCTTGAAAGTCGTAGATCAGTAAGTACTCAGCAAATGATGGTCATTTGAGGTTTCTCTATGCCCTTGTTCTTTTTCCCTGATAATGATGAATCTAGGGATGGGGGTAGGGACAGGGCAGGAATGGCTGTTAAATTCATTCCTCTTGAATCTGCTTGCTGTATCCCCTGGAAGGACAGTGCCCCTACAATTCTTGACAGATTCTTGGACAAGGAAAAAGAGTTAGTTGTTTACTGGGCATTAAGATGCTCAAAATTTTTCTAATTCTAAAACAGGTTTAGCTGCTGAAAATAGCAAAAGGGTAGGAAAAAAGGATTGTTCTTGGCTCTAGCATTAGGACCACGAGTACTTTTTTCTTTCTGCTTTTTGGAATTTCAGGTTTTTATAATGATCTTTTTTATTTTTATAGAGGAAGATATGTCTTAAGGAAGAAAAAAAAAGTGCATTTGAGTGCTTTAGTTTTCTTTTCCCCTCAGGAATGGTAATGATGTTTAGGCAAATTGCTTCCTGAACCTATAGGCCCTAGTCAGCCTCCCTGACATTCACAGTTCTGGGACACAGATGAAGGACTATTATATTAAAGCAGTTGTCTTATGGAATATCGTATCTTCTCCAAAGCCTTCTTTGGCCCCCAAACCATTTTGTTGCAGTGGTTCAGCCAGATGCTGGAAAAGTGCAATTTATTTTCTCCAAATATTTGAAAATATGGAACTGCAGCTTTTCCCTTTGTGCCCATAGCCATGTGAGGGAATTGTAGTCCCCACGGCAGTGGGACTTGTAATGCTGCTAAGAGATTCTATGGGAAGTTGAGATTCAGGGGAGACGATTATCCAGGCCGTGCTCAGAAGGGTTTGCTGACTTTGACCCGAGCCTGGCTACCCGGTGTGAATGAGGCAGTGGAATGAGGGTGAGGGGATTGCCATGATCCAGGCAAAGCATGACATCGGGGAAGGATGGACAGCTTTGGGATGGCAGGCTGCCAACCTATAGACAAGGCCCAGGCACTGGGCTGGAGATTGAGGGCAGGTATCTCTCCCTGCAGGAGACTTTTGGAGCCCTGCCTTGTTCTCCAGGACTCCAGACTAAGGCACTGAGCAGGGCAAGAGTGAGACTAAGAGCCAGGGCATCAGAATAGAGATCCAGCTACAGGACCAATGGCATGAATTTTTAGTCTATTGTTGACAGTAGGGAGAAGTCCAGTTCCTAGCATTAGGGCATAGGGTTAGCAGGGCTGGCAGCAAAGACCGACCTGGTACCAAGTCCCCCAAATATTTAATAGGGTGCATTAAATGTCACCATGTCTAGGGGCTGCAGCACTGATCCTAAACTTAGAGCTGGGGTGAGTCTGAGTGTGGGGACAGTGGTTTGCTGAGGGGGTTATTGGGGCAGAAAACAAAGCAGGTTGTTCCTTGCCTTTTGGAGGCAAAAGGGAGACCTGAACTCTATGACAGAAATTCACATAGGTCTTGAGAAGAGTAAATAGTTCTATTTAAGAAAATAATTTATCTTTTCATCAGTCATTTTACATATTTACATACAAATGTATAGTTACTGTTTATACCCAATAATTAAATTCTCTCATTAAAACCTAAGCTCCTTTCTTTGCATAGTGCATATTCTTCTCAGGGTTAGTATGCTAGGCTACGTGGCCACCTAGAATTAAATAGTCTTTTATTGCAGCCTATGGAATAATAAGTTTTGCCTAATATTAAAGGATTTTTCTAGCTCCTTCAAAAGCCTCTCAATTCACAAATTCAAGGTAAATCTGTTTTCTTTAGCATAAAGCTTTACTCTTTGTTAGGCTTTAATAGACCAATGTGACCCTGAACTGCGGACTCTAAGTTTCCTTTATCTTTCTTATTGGGTGGGTTTGTTGTCATGGGGGCAGATGTGGATGCAGGGACAGAAGGAAGAGAGAGGAGGAGGGAAAGGAAGAAGTACTGTGGTTCCAATTTAAAAAAAATGATTATGTGCAATGAAAGAGTTTTTTGTTTGTTTGTTTGTTTGTTTGTTTGTTTTCCTCAGTTTATCCAGCCTATATCAGGGCAATAGTCCTGGTGAGCAGTATAAGACAGTTATGTGTGTGATCCTGGGATCTGATTTTTAACCCATCCACCCCTGAATGGAAGATGGCAAGGATAGGTGGGCTCTGGGGGTTTCTATATAGTCAGTAGCTGCCTCCACCCAGTTGTCATGTAATATGGCACAAAAAGAGCTTAGGCATCCTCTGGTAAAAGGAATCTTTTATGAAAATATGTTTATACAAGACAAGCAATAAAAACAAAACAAAACAAAGCAACAGAAAGTTTGAGATTTTAATGGCAACTTCTTGTAATAGGAAACATTTAAGTATTAGAGTCAGGAGATTGAGTGCTGTCATGGTCATCCTAGTGCTGTCTTTTTCATGCTGTGCAACTTAGGGCAGGCCCAATAACTGCTCTGGGTCTTAATTTTTGTAGAATGCTGTGTGATAGCTGGCTCACTGAGAGGTTGATGTGATGACATGAGAAAAAGCCTAACACAGCACCTGGCACATGGTAGGCACTCAGCAGTTGTTTTCCCCCTCTTTTGTAATGTGCATGCATTGAAGCTTCAGCCCTCAGACATTTCCCATTCTTTACAGGGCTGTTGCAGGACCAGGTGGGATCTGAATTTAGAAAATGCATGTGCAGAGCCAGGTAGACAAAAGCCCCCTTTTCAGCTTCTGCTTCAAGATGACCACGCTCCATATGGCTTCACCTGCTGCGCGGTGTCATAATTGCAATCAGAATGGATCTCATTAGGGTTACAATGGCCCAGGAAAATGAAGAGTGGTTACCATAGCCCACTGCCTGGGCCTTCCAGCCGGGCAGTCCAAAAAGAAGCAGAGTCGAAAACGTTTTCTGTAATTACAGCGCCCCACGGGGCACCCCAAGGATGTTGGGAGCTTAATAAATAGCCATTGAGAATTTTTCTTTCCGTCTGCCAAGTGTTTATTACAAATAAGTGGAGGTCTGATTTAATGGCAGCGTACATGCCCCCACCCCCACCTCCCTGAAATACACACACACACACACACACACACACACACACACACACGCTTGGTGTAAAGGGGCCAGTGTGGAATGGAGTAGGGCACAGTAGCTGCATGCTTCCTGCATGAATGCACAAAAAGTTCTTAGCGAGTACTATTAGGTCTTTGCTAAATGATTAAAAAATAAACCCAACTACACTCTGTATGTGAATAGATTACAAATGGACGATTTCTCAGTTTGGGGGTAGGTGGAATGGGAGCAGGTATAATACTTTACTTTGGGGAAATGTTCTAACGGTCAAATCATTTGGAGAGGACAAAACGGATGTGGATCACTTTACTATTCACTGACCAGTGGTTTGGCCCTGGTGTCATTTGCCTTCATGTCAGTCCTGTTTGTTTTCTGAGCAATGTATCTGCAATCCCGGTATCTGCAACTAAGTAAAAGTGATGACTTTTGATTAGGGGCTGTGGATTTTTCCTAAGCAGGAGCTAAAGAGAAGGAATCCAGTAAATGATTTAATCAGGCCCAGCTTTTTTGGGAAAAGCAACATCTAACTGTCAAAGCGATAGCACAAGCATGATTTAAACAAGAGTTAATAATGTGCCTGTTTAGTGGAAAGAGTCTGTTTCTATAGTCTGTTTAACCATGTATCCATGTATGTATTGATATTTCAATCTATTGATTTATTGAAATTAATTATATGTTTGAACTGTGTCTGTTTAAAATTTTGCCTTGTGTAATGGGTGTTCCTTACCAGGATTAGGTAGAAAATGTCGTTTGCTCACTGTGAACTTTCTGAACTTTTTATTGGAGGTTGAAATATTGTGCTGCTGTGGTCAGCTCTTGTTCAGGTTCCATTTGGGGTATTAATTGCTGCTTCAACGTTAGAAGCCCTTATGGTAACTCTCTCTGCTTTGCTTTACTTTTCAGAGAAAGGGCTTTAATTTGCTTGCTCAGCCTCTTCCTTTTATTCTAAACACCGCCTGTGCCTGCCGCGTCCTCCTCTTGTGTTTCATTTTTGTTCCCAGAAGAGATGGCTTTGTATTTCTCTATGGGTAGTGAGTATCCTGGATGGGTCCACTTGCATGCAGAGCTCTGGAATTCTGTGATGTGGAGGCAGGTCCCTCAGGTCTTTTTTTTTTTAATGGAAGGCCACTAAGATGAAGAACTCTACTTGTCTCTGTGCACAAAGGAAGGTTGGGAGATGAAGGTGGTACCTCAGAAAGAGTCAAATTCTGAGATGAGAGAGAAAGAAGGGTCCCAGAGCCAATTTGATGCCTTGGTAAAGTGTTGTCTGTACAGATGGCATAAACTACGGGGAGGCACAGCAAGGTAGACACCCTTAGCCCAGCTATGTGATGTCAATTTCTCCTTGACATATGGAGCTATCCACCTGAAGAGGCTTTAGAGAGGCTATGGCCACTTCTGGGCCAAACATCCTAAATGATGTCATTCTGAGAAGGAAAAAGCCTGCTTCCACATGGAGCAAGAATTGAGAGAACTCTGAGTAATAGGAACAGAATCAGAGTCTATAATGGTTGTTGTGATGGGAATGATGGGAATGGAAGCAGTGTTTGCAGCACTGTTATAAGGTAGATCACTGGTGGTCTTAAGCCTGAGCTAAAAACAGTTATATATTACAGAGGGAAGAATTTAAAAAGGAAAGGCAGTGCAGTAGAAGAGTAGATCTGGGGCCATGATGGGAGCCCACTTTTAACAAAATTTTATTAGGCACCATTGTGTGCCAAGCATTGTGTTCGGTTCTGTTCCATCAAATCTTGAGGCATATTATGTCTGGTTCATTTCAGAAATGCTAAGATTAATCAGTTGATTCAGATAGTAACAGCTGAATCCATCCATTATAAAGTCCCCCAATAATCAATTACCTAATGATTTGAACAGCCAGAAATAGTCTTTGCCCAGGAGTGGGCTAACTCTTTCCTTTGAAAGTCAATTTCTGGCTAAGCATGGTGGCTCATGCCTGTAATCCCAAAGCCTCTGGAGGCTGACAGGGGAGGATCCTTTGAGGCCAGGAGCTCAAGACCAACCTAGGCAACATAGCGTGACCCCATCTCTACCAAAAATAAAAAAAAATTAGCCAGATGTGGTGGTGCACACCTGTGGTTCCAGCTACTCAGAAGGATGAAGCAAGAGGATGGTTTGAGCTCAGGAGTTCGAGGCTGCAGTGAGCTGTGATTGTGCCACTGCACTCCAGCCTGGGTGACAGAGTGAGACCTCACCTCTAAAACAAAATCATAATAAAAGAAAAGAAAAGCCAATTTCTGCCAGGACAAGATACTGCTCTGGCCTGTGTGGCCCTGTACTGACAGTAAGGACACTTTAAAAAGGCATAGCCACATAGAATTAATGATACTCCCTTAATATTTTACAATGTTCAAACTTCCTTGGTTGTATTTTTTTTTCACATTTGATTTGTTCAGATCCAAGCAAGATGTACACATTGCAATTGGTTGGTATGTCTCTTAAGCCTCTGTTATAACAGCACCCCCAACTTCATTTTTTTGAGACAGGGTCTTGTTCTGTCACCCAGGCTGGAGTGCAGTAGCGAGATCATAGCTCACTGCAGCCTCAGCCTCCTAGACCCAGGCAATCCTCCCACTTCAGCCTCCTGAGTAGCTGGGACTACAAGTGCGCATCACCATGCCCAGCTAATTTAAAAGTTCTTTTTAGAGATGAGACATCCCTGTGTTGCCCAGGCTGCTCTGGAATGTCTGGGCTCAAGCGATCCTCCTGCCTTGGCCTTCCAAAGTGTTGGATTACAGGTGTGAGCAAGTGCACCAGGCTGTCCATTTTTAAATGTCATTTATTTGGTGAAGAAACGAGTTTGTTTGTTCTTTAGAGTTTCCCACGTACTGGATTTGGCTGAATACATCCTCTTGGTATTGTTTAACCGATTCCTCTATATTCCATATTTTTTGTAATTAGTTAAATACAGAGGATTGATTAAAGTTGTTTTATTGATATTATTTGGCACAATTTTATAGTGGATATGTGTACTTCTATAGTTATTAGGAGGCACATATTATCTGCTTGTCCAACTTTTAGTGATGTTAAAATTAATCACTGGGTTTAGGCGCTGGCAGCTTGATCCATCAGTTATAAATTTCCCCATCAACATTTCAACTAATGGTTTGATAATTGGTGATGATCATTTCCTAGATCCATTATTTCATAAGGGCTGTAAAATGGTGATTTTCTGAGTCTATCATCCCTTCTGCCTTTATTAGCATGAATATTTTTCATAAAGAGGGACTTTTCCTCATCAACTTCCTAACTGCTTAGCTCATTTTAAAAACCTTGTTTTCTGATACATGTATTTAAAGCTATAAATTTTTGTCTGTGTTCCACACAAATTTTTGATATGTGGATATTTAAATTTCCCTTGAGTTTAAAAAATTTTATGATTTTTAAATGATTTACCTTTTAGCCCAAGGGTTTGATAGTAATATGTTATTTACCTTCCAAACATATGAGAGTATTTTTTCTTTCTCATATTTCTCAAATTCATTTTCTAATGTATTTGAGACATTCTTAGTGAGCTGCATGATTTTATCTTTCTGGAACTAGCAAGTTGCACTTCTTGAATAGGCAGACCATAAGAAAAGGTTGGATTAAGGTATAGTGATCTTATGTTGTTTGGTCAGGTAACCCGAGCTGAAAAGATTTAGCACTTAAAAGGTAAGATCTTGATTAGTTAGAGGTAAACCTGAATTGAATTCCTGTGTCTTTACCACGTGATGTCGCCAAGGAAGAATAGTGGTAATCCCTCATATGTACTCTTTACCTCGTTGTTGACAAAAACCCTCTTCATAACCTCTGTTTACTTTGATCTTCACAACAGCCTGGTGAGGTAGAGAGAAAAGTCATTTAACCTCTGTGACTTCATCTGTCAGACAGCATTACAAATACTTCCAGACCACTGTGGATTGTTGTGAGGATTAATTAATTAGAGCCAATAATCTGTTCTCTCACTTCCTCAGGGGGCTATGGCCCTGTAGTGAGATAATGGATATGAAAATACAAAGGCACACAGCTATCTGAGCAGTTGTTTTGGTAGTTGAAACAGTCTCTTGTTTCCACTCTAGGTTCCTCCTTGTGTAAGGAACATTTAGGAGAGGCTGGAAAAAGATACCATGAGTGAGCACCTGGCCTATGGCAAGTGCCTGATATATGGTCATTGATTGGTTAAATACCAAGGGACCTAACTGGCATGAGGGCAGTCTTCATGGATGTGAAGAGACCCAGTTGTGCAGGGTCTCCACTCTAAGAAGGGCCCCAAACTTAGTTTAATTCTCTACTGTTGCAATCTTGAAATTCACGAAAATTTTATTTTTGATCTTGTGTTCTATAAGTGAAGTGTGATGAAACAATGAAGCATGTGCATGAATAGTGGAGATATAGCAGGTGGTAGTGTGCACACTTGAAGGCTTAGGTTCGTAGGCATGGAAGGCCAAACAGGCATCGAGCAATTGGTCTGGCATGCACAAACAGGCCTTTGGTACAGTCTGGGGTACATGGGGCCCTAAGGTAGCCAAGCTGGGACCTGGGCCCAGAAGGATGCTGTCAATGGTGGTGGCAGCAATAGCAGAAGCAGCAGCTCTGGTAGCAGCAGGAGCTGTAGCCACAGGAACAAGGATTCCCTGTGGTGGAAGCACTGGGACTGGTGACAGGAGATGGACTTGCCTGTCTCTTAAGCCAGACCCTATGGAATCTACACAAATATTAACTCTCCATTCTGAGTACAAGGACAAGAACAACTTGCATTCAGGCATTAAACTGTCTCAGTAAGTTATGACAAAACAAGAGTGTACACATGGAGATTGTAATAATGCATATTAAGGAATTATTATAATTAGTCAGTTTATAATCTCACGTTGTGTAAATGGCTGCAACATTGCAAAGCAAATAGGCTTATAAATACAAATTAAATTTAAAGATCATCCATGGAACAAGACAAAGATGCCCACTTACACCACTTTTATTCAAATAATACTGCAAGTCCTGGCCAGAACAATTAGGCAAGGGAAAGAAATACAGGGCATCCAAATTGGAAAGGAGAAAATTAAATTAGCCTGGTTCATAGACAACACGATCTTATACTTGGAAAAAACTAAAAACTCCACCAAAAAACTGTTAGAACTGGTAAATGAATTCAGTAAAGTTGCAGGATACAAATTCAACACACAAAAACTAGTAGCGTTTATATAGGCCAACAGTGCACAATCTGAAAGGGAAATCAAGAAGTCAATCTCATTTACAATAGCTACAAAGAATATAAAATAACTAGGAATCAACTTAACTAAAGAAGTGAAAAAACTCTACAAGGAAATCTATAAAACACTAATAAAAGAAATTGAAGAGGACACAAACAAATAGAAAGACATTCCATGCTCATGGAGCAAAAGAATTAATACCTTTAAAATGACCATACTGCCCAAAGTAATGTACAGATTCAATGTAATCTCTATCAAAATACCAATTACATTCTTCACTGAAATAGAAAAAAAAATCCTAAAATTTATATGGAACTGCAAAAGACCTCAAATAACCAAAGCAATCCTGGGCGAAAAGAGCAAAGTTGGAGTCATCACACTACATGACTTTGAAATATACTACAAAGCTGTAATAACCAAATCAGCGTGGTAGTGTCATAAAGTCAAATACATAAACTTATGGAACAGAATAGTGAGCCTACATATAAATCTAAACGTTTACAGCCAACCCATTTTCGACAAAGGCACCAAGAACATACAATGGGGGAAAGGAGTATCTTTAAAAGGATGGTGCTGGAAAGCTATACAACCATATGCAGAAGAATAAAACTGACCCCACCTCTCACCATATACAAAAATCAAATCAAAGTGGATTAAAGACTTAAATCTAAATTGCAAACTATGAAACTACTAGAAGAAAACATTGGGGAAATGCTCTAGGATATTGCTCTAGGCAAATTTTTTTTGTGTGTAAGACCTCAAAAGTCCAGGCAACAAAAGCAAAAGTAGATAAATGGGATCACATCAAGCTAAAAAGTTTCTGCACAGCGAAGAAAACAGTCAACACAGTGAAGAAACAACCCACAGAAAGGGAGAAAATGTTTGCAAATTATCCATCTGGCAAGAGATTAATAACTAAAATATGTAAAGAGCTCATACAACTCAATAACCAAAAAACAAATAATCTGATTTAAAAATTGGCAAAAGATATGAATATATATTATTGAAAAGAAGACATACAAATGGCCAACAGGTATATGAAAAAATGCTCAACATTACTAATCATCAGAGAAATGCAAATCAAAAGTACAATAAGATATAATTTCATCCCAGTTAAAATGGGTTTTATCAAAAAGTCAGGGAATAATGAATACTGGAGAGGATATGGAGAAAGGGGAGCTCTCACACACTGTTAGTGAGAGTGTAAAGTAGTACAACCACTATGGAGAACAGTTTGGAGATTCCTCAAAAAACTAAAAATAGAACTACCATATGATCTAGCAATTCCACTACTGGATATTTATCCAAAAGAAAGGAAATCAATATATCAAAGAGACATCTGTACTCCCATATTCATTGCAGCATTAGTCACAATAGCCAATATTTGGAATCAACCTAAGTTCCCATCAGTGGATGAATAAAGACAATGTGAGATATAGACACACACACACACACACACACACACACACACACAATGGAATACTATTCATCCATAAAAAGGAGGAAATCCTGTCATCTATGCTACTGCATGGATGGAACTGGAGGCCATTATGTTAAGTGAAATAAGCCAAGCACAGAAAGATAAATATTGCATGTTCTGACTCATATGTGGGAGCTACAAAAGTGGATCTCATGAAGATAGAGATTAAATTCCTGGATACCAAAAGCTCAGAAGGGTAGTGGGGTGGGGAGGATGAAGAGAGGTTGATTAATGGGTACAAACACACAGATGAAAGTGTAAGACTCAGTGTTCAATAGATCAGTAGGGTGACTATAGTTTACTATAATCTATTGTACATTTCAAAATTGCTAGGAGAGAATAATTTGAATATTTCCAGTATGAAGAAAAAGCAAATATTTAAGGTGATAGATATCCCAATTGCAGTGATTTGATCTTTACAAATTATATGAATGTATTAAATTATCACACACACCTTCCAAAAATTCTATTCAACAGAAAAGAACAGTGTTTTTATGTGAACTTCGAATGAACCAATTACTGAGGAAGACAATTTTAAAATTAATTTTCCTTATAATTTAATATACAGTAATAAAATGTATAAAAAGGTGTTTTGAATTATATGCAAATCATGATACCAGTTTTGGTTTATTATACAACCACCACCAAAAATTACAGGAAATGTCAGAGGAAACATTAAAATGGTATTGTATAAATGTACATTTAAAATTAAATTCTGACTTACATATAACTGAGCTGTATGAAGAATTAAACCTTTTGAGAAAAAATGTTCCATGAGAATCATCAACTCTAGATGTTTTGAAATTTATATATTTATCACTGTTTACACAGGACATAAAAATCCTCTCATCAGCTCCATTAACAGTGGTATAAGCAGGAAGGTCCTTCTCTAAATTTGAAATTATCAATAATTATTTGTCATCATGCGTTGCCAAGAAAGACTGTTGGTACTTCCAATTATACTGATTTAAAATGAAGTTGCTAAAAGTATAAATTTTGATGATCTAATAAATAAGTTGGTAAAACAGTGAGCCAGAAAAAAATCTTATGATCAATCATCACATTAATAAAGTATTAATATTTTTTGTGTTTTATAAAATTATGACACCAAAAGTATTGTTTGCAATTTGTAAATTTATGCCACTAATCATTGTGATAGATAGAATAATTCCTTCTTTCCCCAGAGATGTTCATGTCGGGATTCTCAGAAACTGTGTATATGTTACCCTGCATGGTAAAAAGGACTCTGTAGTTGTGATTGTGGATCGTGAGATGGGGAGAGTATCCTGGCTTATGCAGGTGGCCACAATATAATCACAGAGGTCCTTATAAGGGAAAGAGGGAGGTAGGAGAATCAGAGAAGCAGATGTAATGAAGCAAGAAGTGATGTGAGGAGGGGAGAGGAAAGGGAGAGAGACCCAATGCCTCTAGTTGAGAAGACAAATAAATGAATTTTCCCCAAGGGCTCCAGAAGGAGTGCAGTCCTGCTGATATGATCCTAGGCCAAAATCCTATAGCTGTACTGTTCAATGTGGTGGCCACCAGCCAGAAGTGGGTATTGAGCTTGTTGATGTGGCTGGTCCAAACTGCAATGCTTTAACTGTAAACTAAAATGCATGCCAGATTTTAGTGACTTAGTGAAAAAAAAGAAAAAGAAAAAAAAAAAAGAAAAGACAAAGGAAAGAATATGAAACATCTTACTAATAGTTTGAAGTTATAATATTTTTGGTATATTGGGTTAAACAAAAATCTTAAAATTAAGTTCCCCTGTTTCTCTTTAAGTTTTTAATGTGACTACTAGAAAATTTAAAATTGCATATGTGGCTTACATTGCTTCTACTGGACAATGCAGCCCTGGAGAATACTTACATTTAAGTGGGCAGATTCAGAAATATTTAAGACAGACTGAGAAGGAGAATAACAAGTTTGTTTACTCTCGAAAGCCAAAGGAGCTGGGCATGGTGGCTCATGCCTGTAATCCCAGCACTTTGGGAGGCCAAGGTGGGAGGATCACTTGAGGTCAGGAGTTTGCGATCAGCCTGGCCAACATGCTGAAACCCCATTTCTACTAAAAATACAAAAATTAGTCAGGCATGGTGGCAGGCCCCTGTAGTCCCAGCTACTGGGGAGGCTGAGGCTGAGGCTGGAGAATCGCTTGAACCCGGGAGGTGGTGGTAGCAGTGAGCAGAGATCGCGCCACTGCACTCCAGCCTGGGCGACAAGAGCAAGACTCCATCTCAAAAAAAATAAAAGAAAAGAAAGAAAAAGAAAAGAAACCAAAGGAATTGAATGTATTTTTCCTTGCATTCATCTCTTATGCATATTTAGATACTTTTACATAATTGAATCGTGTACTAAATACTGTTTTTTTATGTGAACACTGCATTTATGCCTTTTCCTTCCTACTCCCTGCTACCTTTTCTAATAATCAGAGTTTCGTCTGGTGAGTATCCCTTACTTTTCTTATGTTCATACAATCTCACACCTCCCTATACTTTTTTTACATATTACCTACATATAAAGAGTTTTCTTTTTTGCCCCTTTTGGCCATTTTCTGATACACAGCTATGGGATTTTTTTCTTGTATTGATATATAATATTTTACATTTTAATGGGGTATATGTCAGTGTTTGTTACATGCATAGAATGTGTAATGATCAAGTTAGGGTACTTAGGGCATCCTACATGTTTATCATTTCTGTGTGTTGGATACACTTAAGTTCTCTCTTCTAGTTACTTTGAAATATACAAAATACTGTTGGTAAGTATAGTCATCCTACTCTGCTATCAAACATTAGAACTTATTTCTTCTATCTAACTGTATGTTTGCACCATTAACCAACTTCTCTTCATCCTTCCCCCTACCACCTACCCACCCTTCCCAGTCTTTGGTATCTATCATTCTATTCTCCATGCCTATGAGATCAAGTTGTTTTTTTTTTTCTTTTTTTAGCTCCCACATGAATGTGAATATATGATATTTGTTTTTCTATACCTGGCTTATTTCGCTTAGCATATGACCTTCAGTTCCATCCATGTTTCTGTAAGTGACAGGATTTCATTTTTATTTATACCCAAATAATATTCCATGATGTATTAACATTACATTTTCCGTATTCATCTGTTGATAGATACTTAGATGCATCTTTGCTATTGCGAGTAGTGCTGGGATAAACATGCTAATGCAAATATTCCTTTGATCAACCGATTTCTTTTCCTTTGGTTAAATACCCAGTAGTGAGATTGCCGGATTGTATGGTCGTTCGATTTTAGTTTTTTGAGAAATCTTCATAGTGTTTTCCATAATGGCTGTACTAATTTACATTGCAACCAACAGGGTATGAGTTCCCTTTTCTCCACATCCTCACTAGCATCTATTTTTTTTTCTTTTTAATAATAGTCATTTTAACTGAGGGAGATAATATCTCATTGTGGTTTTGATTTGCATTTCCCTGATGATTAGTGATGTTGAGTATTTTTTCATGTATATTTGGCCATTTGTATGCCTTTTTTTGAGAAATGTCTATTCATGTCCTTTACCCACTTTGAATGGGATTATTTGGTGTTTTACTGTTCAGTTGAGTTCCTTGTATATTCTGGATATTAGTACCCTGTTGGATGAGTAGTTTGCAAATATTTTCTCTCATTCAAGAGGTTGTCTCTTCATTCTATTGACTGTTTCTTTTGCTATGCAGAAGCCTTTTAGTTTAATATTGTCCCATTTGATTACTTTTGGTTTTGTTGTCTATGGTTTTGAAGTCTTAGCCATATAATCTTTACCTAGACCAATGTCTTGCATAATTTTTTTAGGTTTCCTTCTAGTAGTTTTAAAATTTTGGGTCTTACGTTTAAGTATTCAATTCATCTTGAGTTGGCTTTAATATATGGTGAGAGATAGGGGTCCAGTTTCATTCTTCTGCATATAATTATTGAGTTTTTCCAGCACCATTTATTGAAGAGGGTGTCTTTTCCTCAATGTGTATTCCTGGCAGCTTTGTCAAAGATCAGTTGGCTGTAAATATGTGGATTTATTTCTGGGTTCTATGTTCTGTTCCACTGGTCTATGTATCTATTTTTTATACTAAATCATGCTGTCTTGGTTACTATAGCCTTGTAATGTGTTTTGTAGTTAGGTGGTGTGATGCCTCCAGCTTTGTTCTTTTGATCAGGATTGCTTTGGCTATTCTGGCTTTTTTGGTTCAATATGAATGTTAGTGTTACAGGCCTGCCAATGCACCACAATGTAGCCATCTCTCATTGTTTGAGGTATCACCCAGAGTTCTTTGTCTCATGACCAAGAAAATTAAGAAGCATGGACACAAAGGGTGAGGTTGGAGCAAAAGTTTAATAAGCAAAAGAAGAAAGCTCTCTGCTACAGAGAGGGGGCCCAAAAGAGAGTAGCCCACTATGAGGCAGAGTCCAGGGTTTTTATGGACTAGAAAGGGGAAGAATGTGCTGACTGGTCTGCAGGCCATTCTAGAGAAAGCACCACTTAGAAAGAGGTATGATAGTGTCAAGAACCAATTGGAAGCAGAGGTGAATGCTTGGCCTGGGACCAATCATGGGCTGAAGTGATGGCTTGGCCCAGGACCTTGGCCTGGGACAAATTGGGGACTGAAGTGATGATTCACCCTATGTAAATGAAGACTTAGCCTGCAGCTAATTATAGAAAGGTAGGCATATATAAAATAGGTGAAAAGTAAGATACTAAGGCATGCCAGGGAGAGAGAAATGTGTCCAAAAAGGGGTGGAATTTGTTCATCTGGGTTCACAGAGTAAGAGTTTCCATTTAAGGATGTGGGCTCTTTCTTATCTGGGGCCTACAGTTTGATTTTCAGGCTGTTCTTTGTTTGAAGCAGTTTTACCAAGGACCCACCCTAACTGCCTGCTTGACCAGCTTCTTACTTTCTCCTCTTTCATTAGGATTGCTTTTTACTATTTCTGTGAAAAATGACATCGATATTTTGATAGGGATTGCATTGAATCTGTAATTACTTTGGAAAGTATGGCCATTTCAACAATATTAATTCTGCCAGTCCATGAGCGTGGAATGTCTTTCCATTTGTGTCCTCTTCAGTTTCTTTCAGCAGTGTTTGTAGTTTCCCTTATAGAGACTCTTCATTTCTTTGGTCAAATTTATTCCTAGATATTTTATTATATTTTTGTTGCTATTGTAAATGGGATTGTCTTCTTGATTTTATTTTTGGCTATTTCATTATTGGTGTATAGAAACAGTACAGATTTTTGTGCGTTGATTTTGTATCCTGCAAATTTACTAAATTAAAAAAATCAATTCTAAGAGTTTGTTGTTGGAGTCTTGGTTTTTCTAAATACAGTATCATGTCATCCGCAAAGAGGGACAATTTGATTTACTCTTTTTTTTTTTTTTTTTTTTGAGATGGAGTCTTGCTCTGTTGCCCAGGCTGGAGTGCAGTGGCGTGATCTCAGCTCACTGCAAGCTCCGCCTCCTGGGATCACGCCATTCTCCTGCCTCAGCCTCCTGAGTAGCTGGGATTACAGGTGCCCGCCACCACGCCCAGCTAATTTTTTGTATTTTTAGTAGAGACGGGTTTTCACCGCGTTAGCCAAGATGGTCTTGACCTCCTGACCTCATGATCTGCCCTCCTCGGCCGCCCAAAGTGCTGGGATTACAGGCGTGAGCCACCATGCCCGGCCTTGATTTCCTCTTTTAAAATTTAGATGCCTTTTATTTCTTTCTCTTCTGATTGCCCTGGCTAGGACTTCCAGTACTGTGTTGAAAAGGAATGGTGAAAATGGGCATTCTTGTCTTGTTCCAGTTCTTAGGTGAAAGGCTTTCAACTATTCCCCATTCAGTATGATCTTAGCTGTTGAGTTGTCGTATATAGCCTTCATTAATTTGAGGTATGTTCCTTCTATGCTTAGTTTGTTGAGTGTTTTTATCATGAAGATGTATTGAATTTTACCAAATACTTTTTCATGCTTAGTTTGTTGAGTGTTTTTATCACGAAGATGTATTGAATTTTACCAAATACTTTTTCTGCATCTATTGAGGTTATCATATGGTTTTTGTCCTTCATTCTGTAGATGTGATGTATCATGTTTATTGATTTACATATATTGAGCCATCCTCGCATCTCTGGTATAAATCCTACTTGATCATGGTGTATTATTATTATTTTTGATGTGCTAGTGGATTTGGTTTGCCTGTATTTTGTTAGGAATTTTTGCTAGGTTTATCAATTATGTTGTCATATGGTTTTCTTTTTTATTGTATCCTTGGCTGGTGTTCTTATTGGTTTAATACTGGCTTCAAAGAATGAGTTAGAGAACATTTTCTCCTCTTCAATTTTTTGGAATAATTTGAGGAGAATTGGTATTAGCTTTTCTTTATACATTTGGAAAAATTCAGCAGTGAATCCATCTGGTCCTGGGCTTTTCTTTGTTGAGAGATTTTTTTTTTTACTTATTCAATTTTGTTTGTCATTATTGGTCTGTTTAGGTTTTCTATTTCTTTTTTATTCAATCTTGGTACATTGTATGTTTCCAGGAATTTATCCATTCCTCTAGATTTTTCACTTTGTTAGTGTGCTATTATTCATGATAGTCTCCGATGATCTTTTGTATTTCTGTAGTATCACTTGTACTGTCTCCTTTATCATTTCTGATTTTGTTTATTTGGGTCTTCTCTCTTCTTTTCTTGGTTAGTCCAGCTAGTGGTTTATCAATTTTGTTTATCTTTTCAAAGAACCAAGGCCTTTTGTTGCATTGATCCTTCCTAATTTTTTTTTTTTTAGACTCTATTTTGTTCAGTTCTGCTGTGATCTGTGTTATTTCATCTGCTACTTTTGGGTTTGGTTTGTTCTTTACTAGTTCCTGGAGGTACATTGGTAGATTGTTTATTTGAAATATTTGTTTTTTTTTTTATGTAGGCAGATAATGTTTTATATATACTTTTCATATACTGGTGCTTTTAATTCTGTGAGATAAAATCGTAGGAGTGGGGTTGGGTGTAGTGGCTCACGCCTGTAATCCCAGCACTTTGGGAGGCTGAGAGGGGCGGATCACTTGAGGTCAGGAGTTTGAGAGCAGCCTGGCCAACATGGCGAAACCCTGTCTCTACTAAAAATACAAAAATTAGGCGTGGTGGCACAAACCTGTAATCTCAGCTACTCGGGAGGCTAAGGCAGGAGAATCATTTGAACCCCGGGGGCGGAGGTTGCAGTGAGCCGAGATCGCGCCACTACACTAAAGCCTGGCCAACAGAGCAAGACTCCATCTCAAAAAAGAAAAAAGAAAAAGAAAAAAAAATCGTAGGAGTGGGATGTCTGGCTCAAGGATATGATTTTCAAAAGCGAAATAGTAATTCTCATTTTCAATGGATGGGACTACTTTTTCCCTTACACCAGTGAAGGTGACAGCTGTAGGTGTTATCAGCCTATTTAATTTGTTATAATCTTATAGATTAAGTGTGATATCTCAGTACTGTAATTTGCATTTCTTTAACAACTTGTAAGCATATTCTCAAATGTTTACCAACCATTTGGATCTGTTCTACTGTGAATTGCTTGATTTTCTGTAGGCTCTATCTCCTTTTTTCCCTGTGTCTCTCTCTTTCTATTCTTTTAAAAAGAATATCTACATCCTGGCTAATACATTGTCAGTTATTTTAATTTTAGCAATTCTAGTGGATGTAAAGTGATATTTCTGTAGTTTTGGTTTTCATTTCCCTGACAACTAATGACACTGAGTACTTTTCATGTGCTTATTGGCCATTCACGTATCTTTTCTTGTTAATGTCTTTTGAAGTTCTTTGACCATTTAAAAATATGTAGATATTAAGTCTTTTGCTGTCATAGGTGTTTAAAATATATGTGTATGTAGATGTATCTGTATATTTAACTCATTTGTTAGTTGTCTACTAAATTTGTTTGGGACATATTTTGTCATAAAAATCTTTATTGTGATAATATATACACATACAATTTACCATTTTAATTGTTTTTGAGTGTGCAGTTCAATGGCATTAAATTCATATTCATATTGTTGTGCAGTCATCGTCTCTGTCCACCTCCAGAACTAATCATCCTCCCAAACTAAAATTCTATATCCATTAAAAATAATTAAATTTTTAATATATTCAAATATGTCAGGCTTTTCTTTTCTAGTGTCTATTTTTCTTGTCTTGTTTAAAAAGGTTTCATGCACGTCTATATTGTGTACACAATTTCTTAGTTTTTATCACATCATTTTTATTGTTTAATTTTTAAAAAATATTTAATCCACCTCAAGTTAATTTTTATACATGATGTAAGGGGAGTGGGGGAACAAACTTAATTTTCTTCCAAGTGGAGAACCCAATATATGGGCCAGTGATTACAGTAAGTATCCTTTTCCCATTGAATTGAAAGTTTGCTTTAGTCATAAACTATCATAAATACTGGAATCTATTTCTAGGAACTTTGTTCCACCAATCTAGTTGCCTGTTTCTGTGCCAGTATCATATTATTTGGTTACAGCTTAATTAATCAAACTTTATCTCACCATTCTTCATAATTTTCCTGGATCTTCTCAGATATGCATTTCTCCATCTGGATTTTAGTATTATTTTAATTAATTAAAAACACACAAACCTATTGGGGTTCTAATAGGCATGACGTTATATTTAATATTACTTTTGAGAGCATTTACATTTTATAATATCTGCTTATCTCAGAAAATAGTCTATTTTTCTATATTTTCAGATTGAATTTCATATCCTTTAATACAATTTTTATAGTTTTCTTTATCAGTTTCTGTACTTTTCATATATTTCTAAATGTTTATATGCGTGCTATTGCCAATAAAATACTTTCTCTCATTTCCACTTGATTTATTTTGCTCAGCTTAATGCCTGTGAGATTCATCTATGTTGTCGTATATGTAAGTAGTTTGTTTATTTTGATTGTTGAGTACTATTCTTATGTTTTTAATATGCCCCAGTTTATTTATCTTTTCATCTGTTGGGTTATTTCCAGTTTTTGGCTAATATGAATAAAGCAGCTTGCTATGGACAACTTTTTTACAAGGTCATTTTTTAAAATGAACATTAGTTTACATTTCACTTTGTTAACTACCTAGCTATTCAAATGCCTCTAGGTGTATGTTTGTAAGAAACCGCTCAACATTTAAGAAGGGGTTTGTATCATTTTACCCTCCCACCAGCAAAGTAGGATAATTCCATTTGCTCCACATCTAGGTCAACACTTCATGCTGTCAGTCTTTTTAATTTTAGCTATCCTAGTGGGTGTTAAGTGGTATTTCATTCTAGTTTTAAATTGTATGCTCCCAATGACTAATGCTGTTGAACACTTTTTCAGGCACTTATTGGCCATTTGTATGTCTTCCTTGGGGAGTGTCTGTTCAAAATCTTTTGCTAATTTTTAAATTGAGTTGTTTGCCTTTTTATTATTGATTTGTTGGAGTTCTTTTGTCAGTTGTATGCAGTAAGAATATTGTCTCACATTTCGGGAGGGTATTATCTTAACTGTGTACATTGAAGAATGGATGTTTATATATTTTCAATGATGTTTGATTTACCATTTTTTCCTTTGTTGCTTTAGTGCCTTTTGTATTCTTATTAGGAATCTTTATCTACATCAAAGTTGTAAAAATATGCCCCACTTTTTCTAAAGCATAATAGACTTTTAGGTCTTTGATTGATCTCAAATTAGTATTTTTTATTGAGATATAATTTACACACCATAAAATTCGCCATTAAAAATGTAAAATTCAGTAGATTTTAGTATATTCAGAAGATTGTACAACATTGTCACTAGCTAGTTTCAAAATATTATCATCAACTTAAAAATAAATTCTGTATTGATTAGCAGTCACTTCCCATTGCCCTTTCCTCCCAGTCCTTGGAAACCATTAATCTACTTTCTGTCTCCATGAATTTTCCTGTTCTGGACATTCCATATAAATGAAATTCTACAATATCTGACCTTTTGTGTCTGGCTTCTTTTACTTAACATATTGTTTTCAAGGTTTACCCATGCTGTTGCACAGTGGTCTCCAGCCTTTTTGGCACCAGGGAGCGGTTTCATGGAAGACAACGTTTCCATGGACCAGGGTGGGGGATGGTTTTGAGATGATTCAAACACACTACATATATTGTGCACTTTATTTCTGTTGTTATTACATTGTAATATATAATGAAATAATTATACAACTCACCATAATGTAGACTCAGTGGGAGCCCAGAGATTGTTTTCCTGCAGCTAGATGGTCCCATCTGGGGGTGATGCGAGGCAGTGATAGATCATCAGGCATTAGATTCTCATAAGGTGTGTACAACCTAGATCCCTTACATGCACAGTTCACAATAGGGTGAGCACTCCTATGAGAATCTAATGCCACCACTGATCTGACAGGAGGCAGTGCTCAAGCAGTATATGAGTGATGGGGAGTGGTGTAAATACAGATGAAACTTCACTCTATCGTCTGCTGGTCACCTCCTGCTGTGTGGCCCAGTTCTTAACGGGCCACAGACTGGTACTGGTCTTTGGCCAGTGGGTTGGGGACCCCTGCTGTAGAATGTATCAGTAACTTATTCTTTTTTATGGCAGAATAATATTGCACTGTATGGATATACCACAATTTGTTTAGCCGTTCATCGGTTGATGGACATGTGGGTTCTTTCCACTTTTGGGCTAACATGAATAGTGCTGCTATGGACATTTTTGTACAAGTTTCTGTTTAAACATATGTTTTCTATTCTCTTGGGTATATACTTAGATGTGGAATTGCTGGATCATATGATAACTCTGTTTTACCTTTCTTCTTTGTGTTGCCATGGCACCTTTACCATATATTAAAAATTGTATATGTGTGGATCTATTTTTGGGCTCTTTATTTATTTTTTTTATTATGGGTTCAATTTTTATTAACTAATCATTTCCAAAACCATAACTATTAATAAAATGCCTTGTGAAATATGTTTTTTTTTTAATTACACCTTAAGTTCCAGGGTACATGTGCACAACATGCAGATTAGTCACATATGTATACATGTGCCATGTTGGTGTGCTGCACCCATCAACTTGTCATTTAACATTAGGTATATCTCCCAATGCCATCCCTCCCCCTCCCCCCACCCCACAGCAGGCCCCAGTGTGTAATGTTCCCCTTCCTGTGTCCATGTGTTCTCATTGTTAAATTCCCACCTATGAGTGAGAACATGCAGTGTTTGGCTTTTTGTCCTTGCGGTAGTTTGCTGAGAATGATGGTTTCCAGCTTCATCCATGTCCCTACAAAGGACATGAACTCATCATTTTTTATGGCTGCATAGTATTCCATGGTGTATATGTGCCACATTTTCTTAATCCAGTCTATCATTGTTGGACATTTGGCTTGGTTCCAAGTCTTTGCTATTGTGAATAGTGCTGCAATAAACATACGTGTGCATGTGTCTTTATAGCAGCATGATTTATAATCCTTTGGGTATATACCCAGTAATGGGATGGCTGGGTCAAATGGTATTTCTAGTTCTAGATCCCTGAGGAATCTCCACACTGACTTCCACAATGGTTGAACTAGTTTACAGTCCCACCAACAGTGTAAAAGTGTTCCTATTTCTCCACATCCTCTCCAGCACCTGTTGTTTCCTGACTTTTTAATGATCGCCATTCTAACTGGTGTGAGATGGTATCTCATTGTGGTTTTGATTTGCATTTCTCTGATGGCCAGTGATGATGAGCATTTTTTCATGTGTCTTTTGGCTGCATAAATGTCTTCTTTTGAGAAGTGTCTGTTCATATCCTTCGCCCACTTTTTGATGGGGTTGTTTGTTTTTTTCTTGTAAATTTGTTTGAGTTCATTGTAGATTCTGGATATTAGCCCTTTGTCTGATGGGTAGATTGCAAAAATTTTCTCCCATTCTGTAGGTTGCCTGTTCACTCTGATGGTAGTTTCTTTTGCTGTGCAGAAGCTCTTTAGTTTAATTAGATCCCATTTGTCAATTTTGGCTTTTGTTGCCATTGCTTTTGGTGTTTTAGACATGAAGTCCTTGCCCATGCCTATGTCCCGAATGGTATTGCCTAGGTTTTCTTCTAGGGTTTTTATGGTTTCAGGTATTCTGTTCTATTTTAAAAACTTGTAGGTCCTGCATTAATAGTACACTGTCTTGATTATTACAGTTTTAAAGTAAATATTGAAATCTGGTTATGTATGTCCTCTAACTTTGGTCTTTTATTTCAAGATTGTTTTGTTGATACTTTCTTCTTTGCAATTTCATATACTTTTTGGAATTAGCTTGTCAGTTTCTTTCAAAATGTCTGCTGGGATTTTGTTTGTGATTTCATTAACTAAATTCTGGGAAAATAGGCATCATAATAATAATGGATCATCCAATTTTTGAATTTGGTATATATCTCCCTTTATTTGAGCCTTTCAAATAATTCTCTTAGCAATATTATTTCTTCTTTAAATGGCTGATAGAATTCACCAGTGAGACTATGAAACTAGCTGGTCCTGAACCTGGAGTTTTCTCTATGGGGAGTTTGATTTTTTTAAAACATTAGCTTTGTTGGGGTATGATTTATAATAAAACTCATCTGTTTTAGCTGCACAATTCAATGGATTTGACAAATTGTGTTCTCTGGAAATCAGGAGAGTGTTACTTCTTCCTTTCTGATTTCTATGCCTTTTATTTTGTTTTCTTACCCAATACTCTGGCTAGAACCTTCACTACACTATTGAATAGAAAGGTGAGAACAAATATCCTTGCCATTCCCTTGATCTGAGAAAGAAGGCATTCAGTCTTTCATTGTTAGGTATGATGTTCACTGTAGAATTTTTGTATAAGCCCTTTATCGGTTTGAAGAAATTCTCTTCCAGTCCTAGTGTTAGAAGTTTTTTTTTCTTTCATCCCAAATGAGATTTTAGTTATGTTAGATGTCTTCTCTGTATCTATTGGGTTGATCATACATTTTTTCTTTGTTATTCTCTTAACATAGTGGATTGCACTGAATGAATTTCAAATGTTAAATCTACCTTGCATCCCTGGGATAAACCCTTTTTGATGATAAAATAACAACACTTGTGTATATTGTTGGATACTTGATTTGCTAAAATGTGTGCATTCTTGAAGGATATTGTTATGTAGTTTTCTTTTTATGTCTTTAGTTTTGATATTGCCAGTGATGATCTCATAAAATGAGGTGAGAATGCTCTAATCTTTTCTATTTTCTGGCTGAAATTATAAAAACCTGAAAATCCTAATTTTTAACAAGGACATGGAACCTGCGCAACTTTCATGTATTGCTTGTGGGAGTCTAAATTTTTTCAGTCACTTTGCAAACTGTTTTGGCAATATTTACCAGAGATTAACATGCATTTACACTATTAACTCATTACTTTAACTCCTAGCTATACACTCAAGAGAAATGAGTGTGTATGCCCACCAAAATATATGTTCAAGAATATTCACAGAAGGTTTGTTCATGATAACAGAACTGGAAGCAACTCAAATAATCATCTATAGAAGAATGGAGAAATAAATTGTGGAATATTCATACAATGGAATTTTACAGAGCAATAATGAAGGCAAACTACTGATACATTAACATCGATGCATCAGAAACATAATGTTGAGTAAAAGAAGCCAGACCAAAAAAGTACATACTGTATGATACCATTTATATAAAATTCAAGAACTGACAAAACAAGTGTATGTGTTGAGAAATCATATTAATGATTACCTCTGGGACAAAATAGATATTGATTCTGAAAGGGCCATGAAGGATTCTCTTGGGTGATGGTAATGTTCTAATCTTGCCCTGGGTGTTGGTTACACAGGTATTACATATGTAAAAATTCATAAAACTGTAGAGTTAGAATTTAGGTGCTTTGCAGTATGTGATTTATATTTCTAATATGATAAAGCATTAATCCTGCCTGGAACTCAGTGAGACCTTCTCGGCTTGCAATTTTTTTTTTTAGGGAAAATTTTTCTTCTATTATTTGTTTTATTATTACCCTACCTGCATGTTCTTTTTCTTCCTTCCAAAACTCCTGTTATTTACAGATTAGGTATTCTATATCCATTTGTTTTCTAAGTCTCTTTTACATCTTTTTGTAGTTTCTTCTGTGTTCAGAAAGTTTTCTTTTACTCCATCTTCCGGGCCCCTAATTTTTTGTCATGACAAGCTATCAGCTTATCCTTCAATATATCTACTGAATTTTTAAATTTAAAAATACACTTTTTAGTCCAGAAAGCCTTTTTTAATATTATAATTGGATTTCCTTAACTGCACATGCTTTATTTTCTTCAAGTGATCATTTTAATTTTTTTCTTTCCCAGAGCAGGGAACATTACTGTACATTACTGGGGAGCCGCCTGTTGGCAGTACTTTATTCATTCACTTTCTGGCTGTTATATTTCCTTAGGTAGGGTGACAATATAATTTCTCATCCAGATTTTTGAGTGCAAGTGGGGGGGGGCTATTAATAATTACCAACAAATAACAATACCAACAAAGACTGTCTCATGGTGATTAGAGTATATAATTAGAGTATATAAAGTCAGCCAACCTTTATGTGCCAATTTATGGCTTGAGCCTCTGGTTCAGATGCTAGAGAATGATGAGCAACCACAATCCCGAGAATGACGGGAAACTCAGAAATCTTGGTCTCTGGAGGCAGACAATGTGCTGGATGGCAAGTTGTCAGGCTCCAGTCTTCCAAGCTGTAATGATCAGAACGGTTTCTCAGGATATTTATAATAAAGAATGTCCAGGGTAGCAGAAAAATTCAATTACACAAAGGCTGGAAAATATTTACTGAATTCACAGTTAAAATATATTGGTCTCCTTATTGAGAATAATTTCGGTAGTGTAGTAAAGGGCAAAAGCCATATTGTAGTACGTTTTACAGTGAATGAGGTCTTAAAAACACAGATGGCAAGTGTAGATTATTTATGTTTCCTTCAAAGGAGGAAGAAATGGGTGAATGTTAAGGGTACAGGTAAGGGCTTGCTCTTGAAGGGGAGGAAGGATACTCCATCACCTGAAAATGGAGGTAAGAAGGTAAGGATAGGTGTGGCTATAGATACTTTGTTATCAGACTTTTCATGAGCTAAGTAAGCTTACATATAAAAATTTAATTTTATTAAATTCAAAATTCAGAGAGTATTCACGTATAGACACTGAAAGTTCTGCGTCCACTCAGTTCTCTTCCCTATAGGCAATGATGCTATTAATTTTTATAAAATATCTTTGGAAGAATAAACAAAAAGTAAATAGCATCATTACCTGTAGGGAAGAGAACTAAGTGGATATAAAAATTTTCCATTTTTTTTATGTGGATGTACCCCAGTTTATTACATTATTCCTTTATTGTTGGACATTTATATTGATAACAAATTTTATTGTTATAATTTTTTAATATCCTTTGACAGAAATCTTCTTATATAGCTCTGATTGTTTTCATAGACTGTATATCTGGAAGTGTACTTACTGAATTATATGCTTTTAGGATTCTTGGTACTTACTGACAAATTGCTTTCCAGAAAGGTTGCAGCAGTTTACATTCCTGTTAGCAGTGTATGAGTCTATGAATGTGAGTGTGTCTGTCTCACTGCCTCCCTGCCAACCCTTACTGGCAGTATTGAATTTTAACTGTTTTCTTTGTTAATAGGTTGAAATTAGTATTTCAATTTTGTTTTACTATGTATTTGTTAGATTATTACTATTTTTGACCATCCTTTCATGTGTGAATGTACTTTTTAAACTTATTTCAACTTTGTATACCTTTTATTCCTTTTTAAACTGAGATATGCCCTTTTGTTGATTTGTAATAGCTTTTTATATTGAAAGGATATCAGTGTGAATATTATTTCTTTCTATATTATCACTTTTCAACTTTATGATTTTTTTATTTGTAAGAGATTTACATTTTCTTAAATGTTAAATATATATGCTTTTTGTGTGCTATCTTCTCTTGAAGGTTTCTTAGAAAGTCCTTGCCTTTCATGTCAGTGAAATACTAAACAAATATTTTCATTTTTGATGGTTTCGTTTTTTACCTTTTTATTCTATAATTCATCTAAAATTATTTTCGGCATGTGGTATGGTGTTAAATCCTATCTAATTTTTTGCCCCAAGATAACCATAATTTTTCAATGGTTACTCAAAGGCCAGGCCAACTATAGGCTGAAAGTCATAGTAAAAAAATAGTACATTTTAAGGATGTGATTGGTGAAGGAAAACATTCCATATGTGGTAATAGGGTGAATCTTCTGAGTGCTGATATAGTCTCTCTAGGCTGAAGTATTTAAAAGGTGGTGAGTATGTGGATATTCACTCCTTTGACCTGCTATTGCTCCTACAGTTTTAACAATTTAAAAGGCAGTAAACATGAGATGTCCTCATTTGATCTGATAAATTAATCAATGCTTGTAGGCTGAATTCATTGGCTGCTTCTGGAAGTAGCTAAGAAGAAAAGGAGGAACTAAAGTTGCTTCAGTTTGTGCACATTGTTCCCTATACAAGTGTGCCCAGTAGAGGGAGCAACTGGGCGCTGAAATCCAGTCCAGGTTCCACTTGCACTGGTTGAAGTTGCATTACTTGGAGGAAGGGGTATCTTTTTCTACTTCACACAAAGGTGCATTATGGGCTAGTGGTGCCTTGTGGTGGTGTGGTTCACTCATTTCTATCCTTGATCTTGTGCATATTCTTTGGTTTTTGTTTGCTGCTTCAGTGGTAAACCAAAGTGAAAGCAAACCTAAAACAAATCAGAGTAATTATTCTTGCCAATGTTGAAGCTTAAACAGGCCTTTATGGTCTGTCTTAGCTAATTGTATAACACTGTTTTTAAAAATGATCATTTCTCCCCTTTGGTTTGTAATGTAAACTTTAATTATCCCTCCTCCCCCCAGAAATATCTTTATTTCATTTTCAGTTCTTGATAACACATGATCATGTTGAAGCATTCGAAAAATACAGAGAATTGTATCCGCCTTCCAAGAGTAGCCATTGCTAACAATTTGGTATATATACTTCACAAATCTTTCATAAATATATAAAAAGATATTTCTTTTAATGCATATGTATCTACCTATGTCATTCTTTCTGTTTGTCTATTTCTCTATTTATCTACTTATCCCGATTGACATTGATGCTTACATGTTTTTAGTGTTATACCAAATTTTTTTTTTTTTTTTTGAGACAGAGTTTCACTCTGGTTGCCCAGGCTGGAGTGCAATGGCGGGATCTCAGCTCACCGCAACCTCTGCCTCCCGGGTTCAAGTGATTCTCCTGCCTCAGCCTCCTCAGTAGCTGAGATAATAGGCACCCACCACCATGCCCGGCTAATTTTTGTATTTTTAGTAGAGACAGGGTTTCTCCATGTTAGTCAGGCTGTTCTCGAACTCCTGACCTCAGGTGATCTGCCTGCCTTGGCCTACCAAAGTACTAGGATTACAGGCATGAGCCAGCGCGCCTGGCCTGTGTTTTACTATTATAAACTATTCTGCAGTGGTTATCCTTTTACTTGTAGCTTCTCATACACTGGGGCTATTACTTTCTTAGGATAAATTGTAAGACATGAAATTGCTGGATCAAAGCGTATGGCCATTTAAACTTATATATGTGTATATGTACATGTATATGTGTATATGTGTGTGTGTATATATATATATATATTCCTCCAAGCTGGTTGTATCAATTTACACCTCACCAATACTATAAAAGAGTATTTATTTCCTTACTCTGTTGCCTCCACTGGAGAGTGTCATGCTCTTTAATCTTCATCAGTCTGATAGACAAAATGGATATTTAGTGTAAATTAAGTGCTCAGTACATATTTACTGAATGAAAATATTGTGGTTTAATATTGGTGAAATTAACCATCAATTCAAGGGCTCAGCAAACTTTTTCTGCAGAGGACCGGGTAGTAAATATTTTTAACTTTGCAGGCCACATAGTCTCTGTTGCATCTACCCAACTCTGCCTCATTGTAGTAGGATAGCTACAATGCATAGACAATATGTAAGTGAAATGGCTGTGGCTGAGTTCCAATACGTACGAAAACTGGCAGCAGCCAGATTTGGCCCATAGGCAATAGTTTGATGATCCCTGATTTATTTATATGTTTGAGGGCCATTTAGATTACTTTTGCGAATTGCTACCTGTATCCTTTATATCTTTTTTTTATTGGGGGATTTGTTTTTTTCTTGCTGATTTGTAAGTGCTCTTTATTCTATTCCACCACAAAGTCACATTATTAATAGTCCTTTGTCTTACGCTGCAAATATTTTTTTCCAAGCTTTTTATTTGTTTACTAACTTTTCTTAAGGTTTCTTTTCCCTATATATATTTTTATTTTGTATTGAATTAAAAATCTGTCAGTCTTTTGCTTTGTGGTTTCTGGATTAATGTCTTATTAGAAAGGTCTTCCTTGCTCCAAGATTATAAAAAATTCTGTATTTTCTTCTTTTGCTTTTATTTTAACTGAAAAATATTTAAATGTTTACTACATTTGGAATTTATTTTTAATTGACATAAAAAAGATCTAACTTTAATTTTGAAGTGGATAATCTATCATTTATGCCTTGACTTGAAAAATAATTTTTATGTATTTATTTTTTTATTTGTGTCATTTTAAATTTCTTTTACATGTTTTACAGTTTTCAGTATACAGCTCTTTCATTTCATTGGTTAAATTTACTCCTAAGTATTTTGATTTTATACATATATTATAACATCACATTGTACCCCATAAATGTATACAATTATTATTTGTCAATAAAATAATGATAAAAACGAAAAAGACAAAAATATTATTGTGTAAATGGAAAACCACAAATGTAGATTTTAAATCACCTTTATTGTATACTAAATTCCCATATACACATGGGTCTGTTTCTGATCTCTGATTTTCTGACTTATGCATTATGGATTTTTTTTGTGCTATTTTATATGACATCTGTTTCACTACATTATCTAATGTATTATTGCTTGCAAAGAAAATCTTTTGAGTTTATGTATATATATAACTGAATTGTTCTTATTATTTCTAATAGTTTTTCTCTTGAATTTTCTAGGCTGTCATATCATCTGCAGACAATGATAATTTTGCCTCTTTCAAAATAAATGCCTCTTGTTGCAGTGGCTAGAATTTATATGATAATGTCGTATAATAGTGGTGATAATGGATATCCTTATTGTGTTCCTGATTTTAATAAGAGCTCTTGTGTTTCATTGCTAGGTATGTTTGATGGTAATTTTTGATAAATATTCTATCATCTTTAGAAAGATTTCTTCTTTTCCTAGTTTATTATTTTTTAAAAATAAGGATGGATTTTGAATTATCAAATGCTGTTTCGGCATCCATTGAAATGATCATATAATTTTTCTCCTTTAACCAGTTTATATAATAAATTATGTCAATAGATTTCCTAATATTGAGTCATCTTTTTTGTTAGAATCAAAATGCATTGTTCTTTTAGTTATGTATTACATTCTAATATATTGTTGGGTTATATTTGCTAATGTTTTATTTAAGATTTTTACGTTTGTATTTCTGGGGAGGTTTAGTCTGACAATAATTATTTTTGTGCTGTCTTTTTCAAGTTTTGTATTAGGCATTTGCAAATTTATGAAATAAATTGGGAACAAATTTAAATATGATATAGTTAAAATGTTAAAACGACGCAGAAAATATCTGTTCCTTGGGAGAATCATGAAAATTATCTATAAACATTTATGGATCTAGTGACCTTTGGGAGAATACATGTTTGACAACATAACCAATTTCATACTTAGTTTTTATTCATTATAGGTGTTTTATTCTTCATTTAGTCAGTTGTAGTAACGGTACTTTCTTAGAAAATCATCCATTTTATCTAGATATTCAAATTTCTTGGCATGAGTTCCTACATACAATACTCTTATTTTAAGAATGTGATTGTTTCTGGCTTTCATGTCATACCCAGTGGCAAACAAGACAGATGAGATACTTGCCTCCACGAAGTCTACATCCAGTGTTGCACATTTAGGAAGCAGACTCTGTTGCACAATGGCTAACGCATTGGACTTTAGCCTAAATCGAAAGAGATTCATTGTTGTACATTTATATTTTCTTTCTTGGATAAACTTGTTCAGTGTTTTATTTATAATTCCATAGGAAAAACATAACTTTATCATCTCTGCTGTTTTATTTCTAAGACATTATTTTTAAAATTTCAGTATTTCCATAAACATATTTTTGTTATGGGAATGTTCAAATATATACAAAAATAGAAAGAATTATGTAATAGACTCCCAGGTCCTTATCAGCTATCTTCAACAATGATAATTTATAGCCAGTCTTATTTCATTTTCACTGCCAAACCTCTACATTTTTCAAAGCAAACCCCAAACATCTTATCACTTCATCTACAAACACTTCAGAAAGTGTCTCTAACAGGTGAGTGTTTTTTTAACATAACAATACCATCGTCATTCCTAAACATTGACAATAATTTACTAATAATATTATTTGACATCAAGTCAGCATTCAAATTTCTACAATTGTCTAATAAAGTATCTTTTTACAGGTGAATCAGGACAAGCTCTACAAATTGCATTTGGTTGACATATTTCTTTCACTTTTCTATTTATTTTGAAAAATTGTAAACATATATGAAAGTGGAAACAGCAGTACAATGAAAACTTGCATACCTTCCACCAGCTTCCGTATTTGTTAATATCTTACCAAAATTGCTTTATTTCACAGTGGTATTTTTTTTTCTTTTTTTTTTTTTTTTGAGATGGAGTTTTGCTCTTGTTGCCCAGGCTGGAGTGTAATGGCACAAAATCAGCTCACTGCAACCTCCGCCTCCCAGGTTCAAGCGATTCTTCTGCCTCAGCCTCCCGAGTAGCTGGGAATGTGCCACGACACCCGGCTAATTTTTTTTTTTTTTTTTAAATTAGAGATGGTGTTTCTTCCTGCTGGTCAGGCTGGTCTTGAACTCCCGACCTCAGGTGATCCGCCCACCTCGGCCTCCCAAAGTGCTGGGATTACAGGCGTGAGCCACCGCGCCTGGCCTGTATTTTTGTTGTTTGTTTTGAGACGGAGTCTCGCTCAGCCGCCCAGGCTGGAGTGCAGTGGTGCGATCTCTACTCACTGCAATCACCGTCTCCCAGCTTCAAGCGATTCTCCCGTCTCAGCCTCCCGAGTAGCTGGGATTACAGGAACCTGCCATCATGCCCGGCCAACTTTTTTTTTTGTATTTTAGTAGAGACAGTGTTTCACCATGTTGGCCAGGCTGGTCTTGAACTCCTGACCTCAGGTGATCCACCCGCCTCAGACTCCCAAAGTGCTAGGATTACAGGCGTGAGCCATCACGCCTGGCCCACAGTGTCTTTATATGCACATATATATTCCTCTCTGTATTACTTTAAAGTAATTTGCAAACATCCGGATATTTCAGCATATTCTAGTAATAATAAAAATCCCATAGTGCCATTATAATTATTAATAATAATTCCATAATAACATGTAATATCCAGTTCATATTCAAATTTTCGCACTTAGTCACAACGTTTAAAAAAATAATACCTGGATCATGTCAAAAAGCACAGAAGCCGGCCCGGTGCGGTGGCTCATGCCTGTAATCCCAGCACTTTGGAAGGCCAAGGCAGGCAGATCGCCTGAGGTTGGGAGTTCGAGACCAGACTGACCAACATGGAGAAACCCCATCTCTGCTAAAAATACAAAAAATTAGCCGGGCGTGGTGGCACATGCCTGTAGTCCCAGCTACTCGGGAAGCTGAGGCAGAAGAACCGCTTGAACCCGGGAGGTGGAGGTTACAGTGAGCAGAGATCGTGCCATTGCACTCCAGCCTGGGCAACAAGAACGAAACTCCATCTCAAAAAAAAAAAAAAAAAAAGGCACAGAAGCACAGAAGCCAACATGAAGGGGCTCCTACTGGTTAAGTTGGGGATAATTTCATCATCAAAATAAATCCAAAGTGTGATAAAGAATGGGATATTTACATTGTTTCAATGTACCTCCCTAGTAAATACATACTAATTACAAGGGGATAAAGAATAACTTTAGAGAGACAAAGCCTGGCAAATAATACTCCAAAAAACAAGGGATATTTTTATTTTAGCTGTTTTTCCTTGAATCAATATCCAATTAATTTCACACATTGCAAATAAAATATCTCTTTAAATCTATACCAATCTTCTTATTCCTTTTTGTTCTTGCAGTACCTTTGTTGAAAAAGCATTTATCCTTTAGAACTTTCCACATTCTAAATTTGTCAGCCTTGTCTATTAACATAAACATTTTAGCTTTAATTTAATCTGTTTCTTACAGTATCTAGTCTGAAAATTGAGTTAAATTTAATACAGGTGTGTTTTAAAAATAGTTTTATAATGATAAAATTTCAAGCATATACTAAACTGGATGGAATACCACTGTTTTAATGTGACTTTTTAAAATGTTTTACTTATTAGGTGATTATACTTTAATATGCATAATGTGATTTTTTAAAAAAAGTAATTGGTTATGAATAACTTCTAAATCTTTGCTAAGAACTATCTCTAAAGTCCAACAGTTTGATTTCCAAATCAGTTTGTGTTTATAAATTCTCAAATCCTTAATATTTCGGCTAAAGAATACTGCACTTGCCAACAATAATTGGGAAATGAATCTTGCAGAGAAATGACCAGTTTTTCTCCTGTAAGCCAGTGTTTAGATTCAGCAGTCGTTTATTAGATTATTCTTGCTAAAGTAATCAGTTTTAGGGATCAGGTTAACCTGGGCACCAAGTTAACACTGGTAACAGTACGCTGGTTTCCTCTCTGTCCTTTTAATGTGGACCAGAGAACTTTATAAGCAATAGAAGAACAAATGAAATCACATTTGTGTGATGAAGACTTAAAAAGTACCTTGTCTTCTTTTTACTTAGAATGTTTTTGATGACTGGCAGTTTAGTTTTTATGTCTGAAATATTCCCCAAGTTTAATTCCAGTTTAGATTGCTTTTAAGGTGAAATTAAGTAGTCTGATTGCATTATAGCTTTCTGTTTCTTTTAAAGTGTATTTTACACTTATTGCCACAAGTTTCTCCAATATCTATCATATTGAAGTTGAACATCAGCTTTGAATACCTATAGAGAACCCTTGAGGTATCACAGATCATCAGTCTCCTTAGAACGAACACAGTTAAGACTGGAGCTGATAAAATGTTGAGATGACATTGGGAAAAAAAATGAATACAAAATTACACTTAAATTAGGTATGGAAATGAATATTTTAAAATGAGGTTTTCTCTTTCTCAAATCTTTTCAGGCAACTTACCAGAATAGGTGACATGCCAGTGCTTTTTGATTGCACCTTTTTTTTTTTGCTATACCTGGAATGCCTGAGAGCTTAAAGCAACTGCTAGCACTCAGGCAGGGCCCTCGTGCAAGTGCTGGCCCCTTAAGCTCAATCTACTTGTGGAGCTTCACAATAAACTTTCCTCAGTCCGAATTGCTTAGCTTCCAAACACAGTGGACTTTCAGTCTGTTTAATTTGACTTCTGCCATTGTAGTTTAGATGAGAGGTATGCAGGGTTTTGGTTTTTGTTTTTGTTTTCATGACAGTCAAGACCATTTTGTGGGTATGAGACACTGCAGTCACACAGGACCCTGGGCTCATAAGGACCCCATCCATGTTTGGGGTTTAATGCTTTGTGGTTACTATCTTGACATTTTTAATTTTATCGTTGGATGCATGTTTTCAGGGGAAGTGCGAGGGGAGAATGGAGCACATGCTGAGGCCTTAAAAACAGCTTCCACTAGCCGGGTGCTGTGGCACACGCCTGAAACCCCAGCACTTAGGGAGGCCGAGGTGGGCAGATCACGAGGTCAGGAGTTCGAGGCCAGCCTGACCAATATGGAGAAACCCCATCTCTACTAAAAATACAAAAATTAGCCAGGCACGGTGGCACGTGCCTGTAATCCCAGCTACTCAAGAGGCTGAGGCAGGAGAATCGCTTGAACCCAGGAGGCGGAGGTTGCAGTGAGCCGAGATCGCACCATTGCACTCCAGCCTGGGTGACAGAGGGAGACTCTGTCTCAAAAAAAAAAAAAAAAAAAAAAAGCTTCCACTGATGCTGGTTCCTGCCACCTACTGCATCCCTGGTATGGGTTTGTGGTGGTCTGCTCCCAAACCTCTGGTGCCCTGGTCCCCCCAGGGCTCTTCCTCGAGCTCTTCCTTGTCCACTTTGCCTAGTGACCACCACTGTCTTCTGCCTGGGGCAGCAAATGATTTGTGTCAGCGGAAGAGGCCCAAGTTCATCCATTGCTCTCCACTCCCAGGTAGGGGCCTGGGCCGGGGTGCAGGGAGGCGATGGTTGAGTGCACACACCTGAGGTGTCTTGTCCCACTCTGTGTGCAGCCCTGGGCTAACAGAAACTTAGCATTCAGCAGGCAGCTTGGAAGGGGTTCCCTTCAGCTACCCCTGAGCCAGGTACCTAGCATGTCCAAACACAGACGTTACAATGCCTTGGGGATTGGCCATTTGTTGTTCACTGGGGCTGCGGCCCATGGAAAGGGAAGATAGACTTCATCATCTCCAACTTGGGTCCTGCATCTTCATTTCACATTAAGTTCTGCAAATTGTACAGCTGGCCGTGACAACAGTGATTTAATACTTCCTTATCCTTAGGTACATGACCGTGTTATCCTAAGGATATAAATGTCTGGATGCTTATTGCACATGTACATATATGCCATATGTAGGTAACAACAACAATAATATGTAGGTGTGTGTAGGTAACAACAAAACCAAATCAATTAACTGTGATCTGCAAACAGGTAGTAGAATTCAGATGCTTGCCTAAATTTAACCAGTTTTGAACAAATGTTTTGGGTGTACTCACAAGCCCCGATGAGATATTAGGGAGCTGGAATAGGTGACTTTTAAGACCTGGAAAATCTTAGATTCTAGGAAAAATAAACTAGTTCTTGGTAAAATAATGTACAATATATTCACACAAAAGCGAGGTAGATGTATATGTGCAAATATGGATTGTGTCTAAAATAAATATTAAGAGAGGAAAATGTTGCAGTCAGTGGGTAGTGTATGATCTCAATGGTGCTATGGAAAGACATTCCATCACTTGTAAGACTTTTCTCATTTTAACATCTCATTTAACACCTTTAGCATCTCTGAAACATTTTTTGCTGTCACCAGGAGGCTGTTGTGTTATAATTTGCATTCCTCAAATATGCTGGACAGAAGTTGCAGAATGGGTATCGGCAGCATAGAAGAAAATCCCAGAGAAGCCAGCGGAGCACTTTACAAAAAAGAAATCCTGCATTGCCAATGCTTTTCAGAGCACACAAGAAAACATGATGAGGAAAACAAGATTGTGGTTGTTAATGACTGAATCAAAACATGATTCTGAAAAGGTGGATCCTAAATAAGTATGATTTTTTAAATGTCACGATCAAATTACTTCATTTATTTTTTACTTTTTATGCGTGTACAAAGGAGGAAACACCTGCATCTACATCTAAATACATCTTAAAATCTCTTGCAATAAATAAAAAGATTATGTCGGCCAGGTGCAGTGGCTCATGCCTGTAATCCCAGCACTTTGGGACACTGAGGCAGGCGGATCACCTGAGGTCAGGAGTTCGAGACTAGCCTGGCTAACATGGCAAAACCCCATCTCTACTAAAAATACAAAAATTAGCCAGCATGGTGGCAAGCGCCTGTAATCCCAGCTACTCAGGAGACTGAGGCAGGAGAATCACTTGAACCCAAGAGGTGGAGGTTGCAGTGAGCTGAGATCGTGCCACTGCACTCCAGCCTGGACAACAAGAGCAAAACTCCAACACACACACACACACACACACACACACACAAAACCCAAAACCAAACCAAAACAAAAAAAGATTATGTCATCATTTATTAATGAGTCCTAGTGATACATTATAGAGTAGGACATTTTATAATCTATGGTGTCTTAGTCAAATAAAATATTTAATAATTAAAATGCAATGTAAAACATAAAAATATATTTTATTTATAAATAAGCTTATAGACAAAATATATACATTTCCAGGAGGATATACCAGTTTCTGAGCTGAGAATGCAGTGACTCAAAGTTGTCAGGAATTTTGACTGTGCATCTAGGTGAATTATTTTAAAAAACAAGAAAATAAAATGTACTGAAAGCTCATAACTGACTTTTTCTTATGTGCAAGGTGTCATTTTAAAATAATGAGACTAGTCCCACAAGTTAAGCATTAAAATCACTTTCATCATAATGCGAAATGATGGTTTATGGAAAAAAAAGAAGAAAAAAGATTCAATTTGAGAAATTATATCTCTTTTTAGAGAGATCATTGACCCTACTTGGAGATGAAACCTCACACATGGTCTTGTCCAGTCAGTGGAACAGCCTTCTACCCATCCAGGATGAAGTGTCTCAGGGACTTGTGGTTGTTTTTTAAACTGCGTTCCCTGAACCTCCCCCTTCTACCAATCAATGAGCTTGGTTTGTATTTGTTTTACGGGTTGCGGTTCCACATGAGATTTTATGTGAGAGCAAAATAAAGATTTGACAACTACTTCTTACATGGGCTGAGGTTGCAGATAGATGAAAGAAGGGATGATAAATGTCCGGAGGAGTCAGACTTACACCTGGGAAGGCACAGGTATTTGTCAATTCTAAAGGCTGAGGGGATTGATTAAGAGAGTAGGTAGCAAGATATGAAGCAGATACCTTCAAGGGAGAGACAAGGAAGAGGTGCTCATCATATGTCTGGGATCAGCCTGGGATCAAGCCTGTTAACACTTTTGTCTGGGGAGGTTCTTTTCAGCCCTGTGGACTGTCACTGCCACTTCAAAGAGCCACACTGAAACTGGACAAAAGTAAACTCTCCTTGCAGTTCATGTCATGTGCAGACTTTGAGGATTAGCGTCCATTTAGTTCAGCTATTACCTTTTTTCACCTTGATAGTGTGTACTTTTCAGTGAATTTACCAGTTTTCAGTCCTAAGAACAGTGATTAAGGGCCCAGGCTCTGAAGTCACGCAGACTTGGTTTATGGTTCTAACACATACAAAGCTGTGTGTGTCCTTTAAGCAGATCATTTGACCTTTAAGGATTAGGTTCCACATCTGTAAATTGGTTGTGGTGATCCCAAGTTGCTAAGGTTACTGCTGCGGTTAAATGAGATAATGCTTGTAAAGTGCCTCATGAGTATTAGATATTCAGAAAATATTACTGCTCATATTGTTCAAGCAATGCACATAAATATTTGTCCATTTAATTTCCTTGACTGTGACTGTGTTGCAAACTAAATAGATAAAATAATTGCACAAAAGCTGAATAGCTTTACCTAGCATTCCTTCTTTGTCACGAACTTATTTCTTCACTCTCATGCCATTGCTATCCACGTTTATCAACTACCTGCTACATATATACTCCATCTCATAGGATTGTAATGATGATCAAATGAGGCAATGAGCATTTAGCATAATACTTGGCAAATAGCAACAGCTCGATAACTATTGGCTGTCATCAGTAGACAGTCTAGAGGACAGTGACTGCCTTTGGACTCAAACAGATGTGGGTTTAATTCTTAGTTCTGCTATTTATTGGCTGTGTGACATTTTGCAAGTTATTTAACCTCTCTAAGTCTTAGTTTCTTTTACAGATAATGCAAAATGAGGCTATTACTGGAACTAATGTCATAGGGATGTTGTGAGGATAAAATGATATAGTATGTGTAAAATCCTTAGCATAAGACCTGGCATACAGTAGGTGCTCAAAATGCAAATATTAACTGTAATACAGATGCTGATGGGTATAATTATGAAGTCAAGCTCACCATTGAGAGTGCAAATGAGAGGAGATAGGGGACCCTGAGGTATTGTTGCCCATGGACTGCGCAGACACTTCCATCTTCCTTTCTTACTTCCTTCTAATCCCAATACTGTGCTTTTAGACAATATGGCCACAGGGCTATTAAGATGATATTTCAGGCTATTTGCTTCTCCCATTAAATGGCTGCCAGGATTTTTCAGTTTCTTTTATTAGTAGTAGTAGTAGTAGTAGTAGTAGTAGTAGTAGTAGTAGTAGTAGTATCATTGAGATGGAGTCTCTCCCTGAGGCCCGGGCTGGAGTGCAATGGTGGGACCTCGGCTCATTACAACCCCCACTTCCCAGGTTCAAGCGATTCTCCTGCCTCAGCCTCCC
This sequence comes from Homo sapiens, assembly GCF_000001405.40. NCBI lineage: Eukaryota > Metazoa > Chordata > Mammalia > Primates > Hominidae > Homo > Homo sapiens. The sequence continues at coordinate 140,584,581 of NC_000023.11, forward strand.
AAGTAGCTGGGATTACAGGTGTCCGCCACCATACCTGGCTAATTTTTTGTATTTTTAGTAGAGACAGGGTTTCACCATATTGGCCAGGCTGATCTCGAACTCCTGACCTCGTGATCCGCCCACCTCGGCCTCCCAAAGTGCTGGGATTTCAGGTGTGAGCCACTGCGCCCGGCCAGGATTTTTCAGTTTCTGTATCTGCTCTTCTTTCTGCCATTTCTCTCACTGACTGCAGCATGTTTCCCTGCAGGCAGCTATACCTTTCACTGATTCCTTCTTCCAATGTCTTACTGCTAATTGTTAAGACAACCAAACCAGCTATCCCAGCTTGTTGCTGGGTTATGTCCAAGGGCAAATCATCTGAATATACATTTCTCCAAAGAAGATACACAAATAGCCAATAAGCAGATAAAAAGAAGCTCAACATAATTAGCTATCAGAGAAATGAAAATCAAAATTACAAGCCACTAGGATGGCTAAAATGAAAAAGATAGATAATAACAGTGTTGACAAAGATATGGAGTATTTGAAACTCTCATACATTGCTAATGGGAATGTAAAATGGTGCAGTTTCTTCCTTTGGAAAAAACAGTCTGAAGGTTTCTCAAAATGTTAAACACAGAGTTATCATATGGCCCAGCAATTCCACTTCTAGGTATATACCCAGAAGAAATGAACACATACATTCATAGATAAACTTGTACAAAAATGTTCGTAGCAGCATTGTTCATACTAGCTATAAAGTGGAAAAACCCAGATGTCTATCAGTGAAGGATGGATAGACAAAATGTGGTATATCCATATGATAAAATATTATTCAGCCATAAAAAGAATGAGGTACTGATACATGCTTCAACATGGTTGTACCTTGAAAACATGGTGTTAAGTGAAAGAAGCCAGTCACAAAAGACCACATCTTGTATGATTCTATTTGTATAAAATGTTCAGAACAGGCAATTCCATGGGAATAGAAAGCAGATTAGTGGTTGCCAGGGGCTGGGATAAGGGGGAATGGGGCAGTGACTGCTTAATGGCTTTTTGGGTGATGAAAATGTTCTGGAATTAGATAGTGGTGATGCTTGCACAAGTCTGTGAATATACTGAAAGCTACTGAATTGTACACTTTAAAGGAAAGAATTGTATAGTATAAATACAGCTGTTATAAAAAATATATAAAAGATTGTTCAGGCTTTGAATGAGGACTGGAGGAGCCCATCCTTGAGCCAAGGGCAGAGATGTGGAGCATGAACTTTGCAGCCTCATTTTAGGCCCTTCAGCGACTTTTCTGTTTTCTGATTTAAAAGTGTTTTCTAGATTGCCGATGCTGCCAGATAAATGACTTTCCTGATCTGTACTTGAGAAGGCAAATATACATTCATGTTTGTTTTTGACATACAATTTTATAAAACATAACTGTTGCTACCTTTTATGGCACCGTTCTATTCACTTATTCTGGGCTAACTTCTGGAATTCTCACTCCAACTTTTTAAGGTAGGTATTACAATTCACCCCATTTTACTGAGGAAACTGAGACACAGAGAAGTTAAGTAACTTAACCAAGGGTACGCAGCTAATAAGTAGCACAGAATTTGAACCCTGATGGTCAGCCTCCAGCACCTATGCTCCTAATTGCTACACTACATAGCCTCAAAGCCAATCTAACCTCTTGGTAAAGAGCCTCAACTCTTTATAAGGCATTGTTTTGTGTGAGGTCGAAATTATAGCTCTGTGCTGAAACTGCATGCTCATTCATAAACAACTGATGAAGTAGCGAGTCACCAATTGAAATGTGATCTTGCTTATGTGCATAGCCAAGGCAGTAACACTAATATAGCTGAGCGGGCTATTATCCCCACTAGCATACCCTTTTTTTAGATCTTTTCTTTTCCTCCTTAGGTGAGGTCTTTATTAGGTCCTGCCCACTCTGGAGGTTGCTGCTCCAAGGCCACAGCTTTCTTCCCATATGTAGACTGCTCCACACAACAAATCTCTGTCTGAAAGGTTGCACAAAAGAGGCCTGGAAAAGAAGTGGCTTAAAATGCTCAATTGCAGTGTTCTGGCAAAAGGACTAATTGGCATTTTTATTCCAAAGGGGAAAAATTGCCTAATAGCAAGAATCAGCGAGTAGTACCACCCATGCAAACTGTTCGTTCTTGTTTCAGCTCAGAGGCCTCAAGTGGGGGAAAACAGCTCTTGTTTGCTCGGTGTTTTGTGTGGTAGAATCAGACTGATGCTGTTTAAATTCGACGCACAGGCCAATTAGAATCACGAAGCAGTTCCGTCTTTTTTTTGTTATTTTTTTTCCATGGTATTTTATACTACCAAAAATACACTCTGTTAAAACTCAAACTCCCACTACCTACCTAACTTAAATGTAGAAAATAGGACGGGGATTTTTTTTTGCAAAGTCTTCTGTACATATATTTACTATAAACTGACTAGAAGATTTAAGAGTTTTAGACATCTATAAAAAATTGGGTGATTTTCTGAATCGAGTGGAAAGCAGATGGCTGTGATTTCTACGTTAATATCCAGTTGACTAGTTGTGAGTCAAATCCTGCAGAAGCAGAGCGCAGGAGGGTGGAGGTGGAGGCAAATGAGAGTAATAGAGGTAGGCTGTGAGTAGCAGAGAATTTTCTCCAGCACTTTGGGGGAAAACTGAATTTTGGACCACATATGTTAACTTATCTTTCCATTTAATTCTTTTCTAATGTATGGGGACAAAGAGAAGGTATGTTCCTGGAGGCAATTCCCTCTGTGATGTCTCTTCCTGTAGCTCTGGCCCAGATAGAGGCCTCGTAAACGTGAGGCTTAAAGTAAAGGCTCCAGCTGGGTAGAGGATGGCAAGCAACGTGGTTTGCAGATGAGATTGTGTCCTTAGCATTCGTTGTGACTTCACATATAAATCTTGTTCAAGCATTGTCATTTGTCCTAGTGTTTGGTCTTTAATTTACATGGTTCTGCATCAGTGGTGTTCCTTTCTCTCAGAAGACTCCACCTCAGCTCCTTTTCATTCATATCTTCCCGTGTCCAGATACCAACTGTTTGTCAAAGAAGAGTTCAAAACACAAATACCATTGGATTCTGCAACTTGGAAATTATGTCTTTCCTTTTCTTAAACTCCTGGAATACATTGCATATGTCTCTGTCAAGGTGTTGGCCACTTTTTACCCTGTTGCCACTGTGGAGTAGACTCCTATGGCTGGTACTAGAACTACAAGTTCTGTATCCTCCATAGTGGCTGCACAAGGGCTCAGTGTGTGGGCTGAACCAATGAACAAATGAATGTACTTCAGGGTTAAGAAATATGACTTAGTGCTTGATACTGATACTAGACTAGGTTATATCCCACCAACCATTGTGAGGGTGCCAAACACCTCTCAAACTTGATTAAACTGAGCAAAGGACAATTGGAAATTTCAGCAAGATTCTCTCCCTGTTAGTATAACTTGGGACTTTCCTCTCTATTGCCCTATACTCCTTGGCTCTTCAGTGCTCATGATGTCCCGAGAAAAGAGTGGTTTTACATAACTTATAATTCAAAAGAGTGCATTTTTCAGACACCCTCACATAGCACCATGTGTAACTCTTACACATAGTGCTTACACATGTAACTCTTACACATAGAAGAGTTACACATGGTGCTATGTGAGAGTCTCTGAAAAAGGACACATAGACCCAGCCCCTTCTCTCTGAACATGGCATTGATGCAAACATATGCAGACAATATAATTAAACATTTCAGCTCCCATGTAGGTTTATAAGAAGTTGTTTGTGTCGGAGGTTGGTGAGTGCCTGGATTGGGAGGAAGGAGGGAAGCAAGTCCTGAATCGTGCATCCATTTGCAGGTACTGAGTTCTGTTTTGTTTCCCACATATTCTGCCTTCTTCTCACTGAAGAAAGTACTTTCTAGTGCTAACATCTTGTGAGTTTGGCTTCCCTAAAACCCTGTCCCTGGGAACAAAAGAAAATTCCCCTACTCAAGGGCTGAGAGAAACAGGTCCAGATTAAAACCTTCTGGCTTCGGATTTGGATGGGGGGAACCTTTGTTTAAAAATTGATATCTTTGGAATGTAATGCTGCAAAAAAAAAAAGACGGCATCTCTTCATATTGTATCTGGTGCTTGGATTAAGAGAACTCTGTGGTATAGAAGATAGCTCCAAGTACAGGATATCAGGACATCTGGGTTTTAGCACTCATTGTGTCATCTACTCTCTATGGAGCAGCCGACAAATTGCTTTTACTTTCTTGGTACTTGGAGCCCTTGCCTCTAGACTGAAGAGTTGGACTTCATCATCTGTGGGTCTCTGCATATTTAAAATAAACTAAATTTTACCTGATTGTTTTCTCATTACTTACAGAGTGTGTTTTCTTCATTCAAAGGGGTTTGGTGGGGGATCTTCTCATACATTTTGGAATGCCTGTAGGATATATTCACTTCTTTTGGGTTGATATGAAATGTTTCATAGCCCTAAAGCAATTTACTACAGTTGACTTTACTATGTGGGGTTCCATTTCATGTTATAAAATAGAGGGAAAATTTTCTTCTGGTTTGTTGTAAGTTAGTAATATTAGACTACCTATGGCCCCCTCCTTTTGAACATCATTAGTGGAAAGAGAGGCGATAAACACTATCTTGTAACGTTCAGTTCATAACGAAGAGCATTTGGAAGCTTTTTCCAGGGTAGGTTTATGGGTGATGATTCTGTGCTGCTGTCGCCAGAAAGTGCTTGACCAACCATTGAGGAATTAAGACATAAATAGATGCTCTTTGGGTCAACTCCCTGTTCTCAAGGCCAGACACCTAGAATTCAGTCCCTATCAGGCATATCAACTGGATTTTTGTCAGAGGATTCAGTCACTCTTTTAATTGGTGACCAATTGGTATTAACTCTCCAATACTTTTGAAACTCTTGAGGATGTGAAATCCATGTTATCAATCCATCATCAGTCCATCCAACAAAAGTTTACTGTGCTCTACTCTGTACCAACCACTGTTCTACTACAACTGTGAACAGAACAGATAAGAATCTGTGACCTCTATAGAGTTTATATTTTAGTGGGGCAGTAGGGTGGCAGAGTGACAGATAATGACCTAAATAAAGAAGGAAGTATATATTAACAGTATGTTAAATGACAGTAAATACTATGAGAAAATACTAAATCCAGGGAGGTGAGTAGAGAATATTGGTAGTGGGATAGCAATTTAAATTTGCATAAACTATTTTGGAAAAAGCTAATATTTGAGGCGGTACAGAGTAGTGGTTCCAAACATGGACTTTGGAGCCAGAGTTGTTGGGTTCAGATGCAGGGTCTATTATTTTTCAGTTGTGCAACTTTGGGCAAAACTAGTGAAAATGATCTAGCCTCCAGGCTTTAGTAGGACAGTCTGGTGAAGGAGACCTGCAAATAGCTAAGAGACAGGGCAGAATGAAATGAGTGCTTCATAGAGAAATAAGCAGCAGATTGTGCGAGTTCCTTCTGGGGAATCAGAGGAGATCTCATAGAGGAATTTGAATTGGGCCTTAAATGGCCTTGAATGGACCTTAAATTGATTAAAGTTCTAGGGAGGCAGATTGACACCTAAGGTACACATCCCTAAAGGCTGCGGTTGCCCAAAGGCAGAGTGAGCTGCCTCTGGAGGTGTCGCTAGTGATGTCTGAGCCCAGGGTGACTGTCCGTTGATGAGAGAGGTAGTAGAGAAGATTCACACATTGGATGGACAAGTTGAACTTGGTGGTCTTGATTACCTTCCAACCAGAGATTCTGTGATTCTACAATATTTAAAGTGCTGCAAGCCAGATTATTCTCTTTTATATTTGAGACATCTCACTGCCTGCCCTCTACAAAGCTGTTTGCATAAACTGTAACTTCCTCTGAACAATGTTTTACTGGGACAAGTTAAATTAATCAAATCTCTGTTTGAATAATCAGAAATTCCAGATTGGTGTGCTAATATCAGTAAAGTCTTATTGTTGAGTATTTTGAACAGGTGTAGCCTCCTGAATTTGGGGTGGAGTAAAGGGCCCTGTGACTGACCTTGGAAAACTCAGCTTGTTTCTATCCAAATGTAGCTAAGACAGGTGAACTCCAAAGCTTGAGCTCACTTCTCCATTTTGCTCCCTATAGTGTGATCAGTAATAAAATCACTTGTGAAATCTGTTTGTATTTCATGTATGTGATGTCTTGTCCATTATATTATTAACTATGTGTTGCAGAAGGATGCATCAGTTACTACATGTTCTTTTATCCACGTGGCCCATGGGCCCCTTGTATTTAGTCTGTACATTTATGCAAACTGTCATGGTCATTATTGTTGGAAACCAAAATGTATGGACTAATCTATTCTTATTTTAAGGAGTGTTGTAAACTTTGACTTCATGATGTGAGAAATTTACAGTCCATAGGCTAGAGAGCCCATCTTTGCTCAGCTTAACATGTAAGCCTAGTTTCACCTTCTGTCTTTCAGGAACCCTAGGCTGTTTCTGTTTCTAGTACTAGAAGAAATAACGTTTATTCTGCCTGTATTTAAACCTCATACCTGGGCTCTGGCTCACACTGCCTTTGTAGGTGACCTGCAGGTCCCTAGGTTCTGAATATCCCAAGCTCTGTGGTTGAACTAGGCCCTCGTCTTAGGTTACCATCTTTTGATAGTTTTTTAAAATGGAATAACTTTTTGGAGTAGTCTAGGATAGAGGACTTCATTTTCCAATTCAACTGGCACTGCCAGTAAGGATTACAGGTCAGGTAAGAGAAAGCCAAACTGATCTTTATGTTAATATTTCTCATCAGCAATCAACACATGAGACATTTTATATTGTAAGTTATTTGCTTGGCTCCCCTTCCTCATCGCTTCTTCTCCTTATTCCAAACAAGATGTGTAATGCCGTTGTTCAATGGTAGTATTCTTGTAAACAACTGTATATAAGCCCCTGAGCTTAGACTTTAAAGGTAGAACATCAAGGCCCAGAAAACTTAATAATCCAATGTTCTGAAACTTCTCAGAATAAAAATTAATTCAATAAAATATGTTAAATAGCGTTTGGAGTGTGTGTGTAGTGGTGAAGAGTAGTTAATGAGTAACTGACCACACAAAGATGGAGTTGTAGGGCTCCAAGACGTGAATGGTACTGAAAGACAAGAGAAGAGGAGAGTTAAGAGCTGGGGCTGGAGGGAGACAGGGCCTGCTCAGGACTGAGTATTGTCAGTTAGACCTGCTCTTGGTTTGCCTTGCTTGGTTTCAGAGCCAGCCTCTGCAAGGAACCAGTTTTTTGTTTGTTTGTTTGTTTGTTTATTTGTTTTTTTGTTTTTTTGTTTTTTTTTTTTGCAGTCTTCTGCTTTCCAGTTCACCTTATTTTTTATTGTTCTTTCTGATTCAGAGTTTAGAGCTGTTGACCTGGTGGCTTCTTTACCTAGGGTTGAATGTTTTGGTCACTAAAATAACACATCATAGGGGCTATTTGTGTGCCTCTCTTCGTGACAGGGCATGTGTGTACAGACAGATTGGAGCTTGGAAAAGCATCCCTTTTGGCGGAGATCTCAGAACACCCGAAAGCCCTGTCTTACAAGAAAAAAAAAAAAAAATGAGACATGACAAAAATAAACCAAGCCAACCCAGAGCAAGATACTTGTTATTCATTTGTGAACTCTATGGAAATGAATAAAACCGTTTATTTTTCTTCTTGTGATTAGCTGTAAGGTCTGCTTTAAAAGACAATAAATTCACTCAAAAGTTGCTTTCAAAGATTTTTTTTTTATTGGGCAGAAAGCATCCTAATAAAAAACTGGCTATATGCAAATAAAGTCATTTCTGTTTCTGGAAATCAGGTTTATAAGCACCACAAATACATTTCAATTGATAAAGAGAGCAGTAGGTAAAAATGTATAGTCAAATACTTCCTGTTCACTTCCAACATATACATATTTTTCTAGTACATTGCTCAATTGTGAAATCAGGACGAAAGCATGCAATAAACATTTTTTTGCAGCAAATTTTAGTAAAATATCTGTAAAAAGAAGACCAAATATACCAATGTTGAATATTACAATGTATTTGATTAATTTTTTCTTCTTTTAATACAAAATTGTCAGATAATCTTGTCCTGCAAAAATACTACATTTTAAAATTCTGTGTGGTGCTATCAGGCACCCCCGGTCTCTTCGAGCTATAACTGGTACCGAGCTCGTGCTGCTTGTCAAAATTTAATGAGAGGGCCCATTCTAAAATAATTGAATTTTCATATCAGAACGAACCAGGATTACTCAGACAATAAAATTGCTGAGTCCTGTACTGTTACCGGCAAATACCTTTTGCTTTGCTCATGAAATCAGTATGTAAATGTTCAGGGTTTGTATTTAAGGCATCTTAGGCATTTGGAGTTGTAGTACTAGCAATAATTTCAAATGGTGCCGGTGATAAGTAGCTGGTTTTTTATAATGTTCAAAGTGTAATTTGTTTGGTGAATCAGGATAAGCATTTGGTTTATATTTTATATAAATGTTAATGCACTTGCAGTTTAATTATATTTCTTAACTTTCAACATTTCAGAAGTCAAATTTGAGGACTAGTCCATCAGATTGTCTTGCTTTCATAACATTCTGAAAAATGGGAGCACCCCTATGCAGTGAGTTTAAAAAGTAAGAGGTGCCTGGAAAGTTCATGATGGTATGTTTTGGAAGCTGGCAGCACTGATAATGAAGTGGGAGAAATGCCATTCCATAGGTGTGCCCTCCTGCATAATGGTGAGCTCTCTGAGACACAGCATGGAACTTGAGAGTCCTCTATCAAGAGCAAGGAAGACACCTTAGGGAGTGGCTAATTTATTTCACTTATGATAGTTGAGTTGGAGAGCAACTATTGAATAAAATAATATAATTTTTAAAATTTAACAAGAGTTTCTATAACATTGCAGTGATTGAGGGTATCAGGACAGAACAGAGCTCTTTCTAGTGTGGTAGCGAAAGTTGGTTTAAAAAGTGTTATTTTCTATATTCTTATTTTAAAATGATTTGCAGGATTGTAGCCTTTAAGCAAATGTGTACTCAATCAAAATTAGCTATGTAATTTGCAAGAGATAACAGTACTTGTCAAAATTAGAACTTTTTTTTTCATATCCCCTTCATGATATGGCTTGGTTTGGTTGAAAGAGGATTGGATAATACAGCCTTAGAGGTAGAAGACCTAGCTTTTTCTTTCTTTCATATCATAGAATGCAAGGGTTATCAAACTACAGCCTGGGGGCAAAATATGGCCTGCTGGCTGTTTTTGTAAATAACCTTTACTGAAACACAGCCAATTGTCTATTGCTGCTTTTGTGCTCCATGCGCAGAGTTGAGTAATTGCAACAGAGGTCATATGGCCTGAAAAAGTCTAAAATGTTTGCCGTCTGGCCCTTTACAGGAAAAGTTTGCAGACCCCTGATTTAGTAACCTGCCTTTAGAGGGTTATTACTTCCAAGTCTTCATTGGCGGTAGTAGTGGTGGTGGTGATGGTAATGATGATGATGATGATGATGATGATGATGATAGCTAACACATACTAACACTTAAGTACCCTAAGCACTTTGCATGTATACATTCATTTAACCCTCACAACAACCCTATATTATAGCACTGTTACTATCCCAATTTTGCATATAAGGAAAAGGAAGCAGAGAGAGGGTGAGTGATATGTTCATTCTCACTTGGCCAGTGAGTGGCAGAGCCAGGCTGTCTGGCTCAAGAACTTATGTATGCTCATCTTATTTTTGTTTTTTTTTTTTAACTTGTAATTATGAAATTTTCAAGCATAGATAAAAAGAAGACTATAATGAATCACTAAACACTCGTCATTCAGCTTCAGTAATTAATAGCATACTGCTATTTTATCTACTCACCATGTCTTCCAAATATTTGTATGCATGTAGAGCAAATTTCAAACATCATGTCATTCTATTTTCAAATACTTCAATGCATATTTCCTATATATATAACAAAAATGTCGTTATAATGTCTAACATTTCACAGTAATTTCATAATATCATCTAATGTCCAGTTCATATTAAATTTCTTCTGGTGGCCTTCAGTTTTTCTTTTGACCATTGGTTTGTTCAAATCAGAATTCAAGCAAGATCAACTCACTACATTTGGAAATTATGTCACTATGTTTCTCTGAATATATAATGGTCCCTACCCCTGCCATTTATTACTTAAGAAAATAGTTCATTTGAGCTGTGATATGTCCCACATTCCCGATTTGATCAATTACTTCTTTTTGGTTTAATTTGTTCCTCTTTTTTCCCGTATTTTTTTATACTCCTGGCTAAGTCTAGATGATTGATTAAATTAAGAGGTATTTATATGTGTGTGTTTGTGCCTGTGCATGCACATTTTTAGACTCCTTTGTAGATAGTGCTGCATATTTCCTATTGTATCACATCATGAACCGCATAATGTCTGGTTATCATCACTAAAAAGTGATGTAAACTTTTCTCAGTAGGTTCAAGTGATGTCAGTCTGATCCTGCCATTACAAAGTTTTCCCCATCAACTTTTATCTTGATAGTTTTATCATCAATTAGTGATTGTTTCCTAGATCTATTATTTCATTGAGAGTTGCAAAATGGTGGTTTTCAGAGTTTTTTCATTCCTTTTCTCTTTATTAGTTGCAATGGTTCTATAAAGAACTTTCCCTCATCAACTTTGGTTACCCTGAAGTATTGTTTGTACAGAAGCAGAATAAATGCTTCTTATCTTTTATTTGTGAATGTTCATTGTGATGACTTAGTGTCTCAGCAGCTTCTAGGTGCTCCGGTTGCTCATTGCTACTGAGTGGTCACTGCTTCTAGGCTTGTTGGTGGGAAGATCTAGAAAATATGTACTTTATAGAAAGAGAAAAATAGGCCAGGCGTGGTGGCTCACGCCTGTAATCCCAGCACTTTGGGAGGCCGAGGTGGGCGGATCACGAGGTCAGGAGATCAGGACCATCCTGGCTAACATGGTGAAACCCCGTCTCTACTAAAAATACAAAAAATTAGCCAGGTGCGGTGGCGGGCACCTGTGGTCCCAGCTACTCGGGAGGCTGAGGCAGGAGAATGGCTTGAACCCGGGAGGCGGAATTTGCAGCGAGCCAAGATCACGCCACTGCACTCCAGACTGGGCGACAGAGCGAGACTCTGTCTCAAAAAAAAAAAAAAAAAAAAAAAAAAAAAAGAGAAAAATAGATTATGATTTCATTTTGATATTTCCCATTTGCATAAGATTTCAGGATTTTTACTGAATTTCTTTGATTTTACGTTTATTTTTGTTTTATGCTGACAATCTTGGTTCCTTTTGATATGAGCATAGTTATGTGCTTATCCTATAATTTGCATAAGGTAATTAAAAAATAACATTACCAATATTACTGTTAACAGTAAGACAGTTTATGTTTTCTACTCTCTTAACCTCTATGATAAATGGCCTCTTTGTAGAATGGAAATTATAATCCTGAATCTGCCTGAAGGTTCTTATGTGGGAGCAGATGATCTGTTGAGGTATCTCCATCTGTGAGATTTCTTATAAATCAGTATTTTTTAGACAGTTTCTAAAATGTGTGAGATGGCTAGAGTGCTTGGGTTTGAGCCATAAGGTCCAAGGTCAAAATTCTTCACTGGGCTTTGATTCAGAGGTTATGATGATTTTTTGGTGTAAGAATATAGGCCCCTGCAGATACTATAAAGTTAGTAACCATAGTAAAAAACCTAAATTTTGGGATCATATAGGATAATTTATATATTGAACATTGCTTTCTGGTATATAAAACACCTTCTAATAAGTCATCTCATTTGATCTTGATATCTCTCCTAGGTGATAGGCACTATTATTATCTCTATGTTACAAGAGGATCAGAGTGGTTAAGTACTTTTCCACAGTCGCACAGCTAGTAAGTAGCAGAGTAGGGATCCAAACTGAGGTCTTTGGACTTATAACCTGGCATTCCTTCCAGCATATCAAGATTGTTAACGTATCCTAGAATGTTGTTTGCAGCCCAGTAGTGGTGACTCTATTAACTTCTCTTGCGGGGGGGATGAGGAGAGAGATGCTTTGGAAAATTTTCCTCGGCCAATGGTGCTTTTCTTTGGTAACTCTTAGGTGATCAGACCCAGAGCCGAAGGTGTGGACTTGAGTATGTTTTATGTTTACTGTTTTTATTGCTCTTCCTTTCCCACTGCAGCTTGGTTATTGGAGTTGTTTGAAGGAGCAGGAGGAGATCTGATGAAACTTCTTTCAAGTCAGAACTTAACTCTGCAGTAGCCATGCTTGTCCTGGTGTCTACTAATTAAGCACTACCAGGGTCACCTTTCACTGTTGCTTCATGTGCAGGTGCCTGCATTAGTCATTATAAAAGAACATCCTACTCTTTTTTTCTCTGTGGTAGTAGATGGAGATTTCAACTCATTTCATATTGGCAACTACTCTGCCAGAAAATAGGAACAGTTTTTCACTGTTACCTGCTTCTACCAAAAGAGTTTTTTCCCTTAAAGCTTCTTGTGAATTGATTTCAACCATTGCTTCACTGAAAATTATTAATCCTCAGGGAAATATAGGGGATTAACCACAAAATACAACCAAGTGCATGAAGTAGAGTCTGTATTCTACTAGTTTCTTCCAAGGAGCTGGGGAATATCTCAATCGGACCTGAAGGGAGGAATCCTAGAATGTTTGAGGATCTGCCATACCCATTTTGTGCCTATAATTTCAGCAAGTTGGGAGAGAGAGAGGAATGTCTGCACCATGTGCCCTGCTGACCTAGATAAGAAATCACTTTAAGGGCAAGAAGTATTTCCTTCACTGATGCTAACACCCCTCACTCTCAATTCTCACAAGGGATCTGGAATCAAAACACCTGGTTTAAATACTAACTTTATCAGTGTACATCCTTGGGAAAGTTACTTAAACTTTTTTCACTTCAGATTTCTTATTTGCCACATAGAGACAAAATAGTGCTTAGCTCATATAGTTGTAAGAATCAAAGCCATAATGCCATACAATGCTTAGCATAGACTTTAGCACATAATGTAGTTGTCACTCCAATGCTGGATGTTATTGTTTATCATGAATGTTATTGTTATTGATCATTGTGGTTATTATTTTCTTTATCAAAATAATGTTATCCAGGCCTCAAACCATCTAGTGATATAAAGTACAAATAGCAGTTGGACATTTTACTCCCCTATCTTGGTCACTTTCATTAACAAGTGTGAGTGCTTCCTTAATAACAAGCATTAGCTAAAAATGTCCCCCCTCTCCCACCACCAAATCTTCAAACAGCCTCTAGATTATTCCCTCTGCCCCTACTCTTCAGGGCTTCAACATCATGCTCATCATCCTCTTCCTTAACTTTCTTTATAGCAAAACACCTTAAGAGAGCTATTTAAATTAATCCTCCACAATTCTTCTTCTCCCCTTTTCCCTTAAACCCACTCCAGTGAGGCATTCATTCCTACCACTCCAATGAAAGTACTGTTGTCAGGAGGGGAACACCACACACTGGGGCCTGTCGGGGCGTTGGGGGCAAGGGGAGGGATAGCATTAGGAGAAATACCTAATGTAGATGATGAGTTGATGGGTGCAAGAAACCACCATGGCACATGTATACCTATGTAACAAACCTGCACGTTCTGCACATGTATCCCAGAAAGAAGAAGAAGAAGAGGAAGAGGAAGAGGAAGAGGAAGAAGAAGAAGAAAAGAAGAAGAAGGAGAAGGAGAAGAAGAAGAAGAAGAAGAAGGCAGTACTGTGGTCAAGGTCATCAGCAACTTGTACATTGCTAAATCTATTGGTCTCTTCTCTTTTTTTTTTTCCTTACAGGGCGACCTGGTAACATTTGATATGATTCTGGATTTTCTTCCTACCTCATTGACTCCTTTTCCTTAATCTCCTTTCCTGGCCCCATCTTCTTATAGCCACCTGTAAAAAAAGTGTTGGGATGCCCTACACCTGCTTCTCTATCTCTATCTATATACAGTTGACCATTGAACTACATGGGTTTGAAGTTCAATTGCATGTGGTTTTTCTCCCACCTCTGCCACCCCTGAGACAGCAAGAAGAACCCTTTGTTTTCCTCCCACTTAATGAATAGTAAACATATTTTCTCTTCCTTATGATTTTCTTAATGACATTTTCTCTGTCTTATATTATTGTAAGAATACAGCATCAAAATATAATACATACAACATACAAAAAGTAAACTAGTAGTAGTTATGTTTGATGGAGTCAAGTTTTATGCAGATTTTTGACTGCGTGGGGGACCAGGGCCCCTTAACCCTTGTGTTGTTCAAGAATCAACTTAATTCGTTTATATTGATTACATGTTGAAATGATTTGTTTTATATATTGGGTTAAAGAAAATATACTATTAATTTCATCCATTCTTTTTACTTTTTTTCAGTGCAATTACTGGAAAATTTCAGAATATATATGTGGCTTGTATTTGTAGCTTACGTTCTTTTTGACCGGACAGCACTGGCCTAGACGGAGCAACTGCTCTACATCCCTGGGTCCACCTCACTTCAGTGTCTGGTGAAATTCTCCTCATCCCTCAAGACCAACTGCTAATGTCTCTCTCCCCTTTCCTTGCTCTTTGCCACAAGCAGACAGAGTTAGCCATTCTTCCTAGTCTGCCCTGACTCTGTGCGTAAGTTGTGCTGACTTCCATAGCCCCCGACACCTAATGAGCAAAGAAAGAGGCCTGTGCCACTCCTGGGCTGTTGGTGGATTTTCTTTGTTGGTCTCCTTACAGGATTTGCTTCATCTCTCTGCTACAGCATTGCACACATTGGTTTCTAGTTATTTATTTGTAGGTCTTTCTCCCTACTCTATAATGAACTCCTAGATGTTCTGCATGGTTTCTAACTTAACTCTGATCCTCAGTGACCAGAACACCATGTTGCAGAAATTTGTGCTCATTAAGTATTACAGGGACATACAAATCGCTCTCAGTCTGCATTTCCTGCTGCCATTTGCCCCCAGCAATCCCACCTGATGACTTCCGATTTTCCCCATAGCTATTCGTTCCCTAGGTTGCAACCGGGCTCTCATTGTAACTAGTCTGATGACTCCTACTCTATTTGTGGTGTAGGCTGGCTAATCTGGACTACATCAGGTCTGGTAGCATCTCTGGTATGCAACCTGGGTGATTGGGTGTCACAGAGGGATGGGTGAGCTCCCTTGAAGGCCAGCTGGTTGTATGGCCAGTCTGTAGAGAACAGCAGTAGGCTGCTTCCTTCCTTGGCTGCAGGAGATTTTCCTGATTTGCCTTGTGGTGGGCAACCTTTCAACTTTATGGGTGATGCTGCCATGTCATTTGTAGTGAGTTAATGATGCACAGAAAGGAGAGTGGGTAGATTTGTGGCAGATATGGGTTTCCTAGCAACATCATTAGCTATGCTGGACCACCATTCAGTCAGCTTTGTCTCCTGTGGCCTGATACCATGGTGACACCACATTCTCTCTGGCCACTCCATAAACCTTGCACTTATGGCTCTCTGTCTTTAGAAGGACTGGGAAGAAAGATCACTTAGCAGTGTGCTGCTAAGATGCTGAAATCGATGGCAACGTTCCACTTTCTTTCTTTTTCCCCCGAGGCCTTTGACTGTGTACTTTGTATGATTTGTTTCCTGGGTACAGACAGCCTTGTAACCTTTTTGTCTTATAAATGCAGAATCTTTGCTGAAGCATCCCATGTCTGTCTGACCACCATGGCTGAGACTAAAGACTTGTTTACCAATAATGAAAATGGTATCATATTTATTTGGCTTAATTTCCACCCATTTTTTAAGGGACCACAGTCTTCATCAGATTTCTTTTACAATATTCCAGGAATTGTAATCTACCATTTTCTTCTGTCCTGTCCTGGTCCAGCTACTGTTGTGACTCCTCAATAGCTGAAATGATTCAGTGCTCCATTGGGCCACTGCAACAAGGCCATCATTGAGGCCACCAAAGCTGTAATGGCGTCTTTGCTTCTGCACTCCAGATGAGGACTGGCTTGTTTCTGTACACACACTGATGCCTCTCTTTTGTGTTCCAGACACTTTAGGGTTCCTTCTTCTCCACCTATCTCCTCCTCTTCTCCTGCCCCCACTTTTTCTTCTCCTGTTATGGTGGTCCCATTGCTGCAGGACTCAGGTCTGTGAAGGCTAGGCTTGGAGACAATCTGAGAGACAGATACAGTGATATTCTTAGAAAATTCTCTCCTCTCCTTTTCCAAACTGACCTACTGAACGTGTACCAAATTTAAACACCCCAGCCCTCCTTCTAATTGAAGAGTTCTTTTTAAAAGAGATTACTCAGCCCCTCAAGTAAATAGACCCTTGATGGCCCTGGCCCTGCTGGTCTTTTAGACAGGCTAAAGCTGTCATGCTCAAACTCTGCACCACTGACATGAAGGAAGGCCCATCAACTTCTCTATGTCTGTTTGGGCCTGTTTTAAAACATCATCAGTGTGGGCACAGAAGAATTCATTCTTCTCCCTGAGTCTCTCAGGAACTCTGCATGGCATCCATGTTTGGAATCCTTAGCTTACTGCCCCTATGATGCCTCCTTAGAGTATGTTGTTTCCTGCTTGTTTCTGGAGCAGAGTCTAGGTGGTAGGCACTATGAGGATGCTATGCAGAATAAGGCATGAATTCTCTTTTGAAGGAGTCTTCAGAACAGAATTTGAGATGATGTGATCAAACAAATAGGAAGAGTACTCTCTAACAGTACTTCTGCCAGGTGGTCATATGGCCTCTGCCTGGATCTTTACCAATTTTTTCAAACACAGAGCTTTCTGCTGCAGAATAATTTGAAGCATTAGACGTTTTTCCCTATTTAAAGCTGAAATCCTTGGGCAATGGGATCATAAGAAGCCCAAACTTCAGCATCATGCCATATACCCATGAAACCAACTTGAACGTATAACCCCTGAATCTAAAATAAGAGAAAAAGAAAAAGGAATTTAAATACATGGGAGAGAGAAAGTAGTAGAAAGTATGACATGTTTAAACATTATAAAGAACTAGTAAAATGCATGCTTATCAAATATCAACCAAGAAAAGTACAAAAGATATACTTATTTTAAAACATTAAAGCTTAACACCAAAATAAAGGAAATGATTTAAATTCACTGAAATATAAAATGCAAATGAACTATAGAGCAACAGTAGAGTTTTAGCCTATTTCTCAACATCTTCATGGAATTGATAAACCAATGTATATTGTGTTCAAAGTTCTGAGTTAAATCATAGGTGGGAATTGAACAATGAGAACACTTGGACACAGGGTGGGGAACATCACACACGGGGGCCTGTCGTGGGGTGGGGGGAGGGGGGAGGGATAGCGTTAGGAGAAATACCTAATGTAAATGATGAGTTAATGGGTGCAGCACACCAACATGGCACATTTATACATATGTAACAAAACTGCACGTTGTGCACATGTACCCTAGAACTTAAAGTATATATATAAAAAAAAGTTCTGAGTTAAAATACTCATCAATTTGGAATTGCATTCCTAGCTAATTTTTTTTCAAGATTGAGGACAAAATGTAAATTAATTCATAAAAGTAATGTAAAATAACTTTTAATTATTTATATCTATAAGAAACATAATAACATTTAAAATAAAATGCTGTTTCTTATTTTCTTAAAAGGCTGAAATCCATTTTCATAAAACTTGTTCCTAGCTGTGTCCTCTGTAGCCATACAAAATAAATAGAACATTTCCACTTCATGATAGCCCTTAAGATACTTGAAAACAGCTCTCATAGCTCCTCTAAGTATTTTTCCCCCAGTTGTTGTTAAAGCCGTTTTTTTTTAACACGTCATTGTAATAAGTAGAACATTTCTACTTCCTGCTAGCCCTTAAGTTATTTGGAAACAGCTCTCATAGCCTCTCGAAGTATTTTTTCCCCAGTTGTTGTTAAAGCCATTTTTTTAACATGTCATTGTCATTCTCCTCTATATATTCTTTTATTTTACAATGCCCTTGTTGTTTAGTGAAGCTTGGAAATAAATCCAGTACTGTAGGTGTGATCCGACCATCAAGAATCAAGCAAGAATATCATTTCTTATAATTTGAACTCCAGGGATAAATGCAGCACCTTTTATATTTTAGGAGCCCTTCATTAATATTCCCTTTCTATGATCCTGTCCCATGTAAGCAGAAGCTAAGAACACCAAACGCCAGCTACTTGTTCCTTCAGTACTCCCTGCATAGAGCAGTGGGATCTCTGTGGGGCCCTGGGTGAGCTAGATGACCGTGTTCTTACTATGATGTTCAACATTCATGTAGCAGCAACGGTGTTTGTTCTGTATTTATCAGGTTTGTGGTGTGATGTTGGCTATGTCTGTAGCTACAGCCAAGTTCCCTCTGTTCCTATTTTATGAGCCTAGACATCCTGATGATTCTGTAACCTGTCTGATGATCTTTCCAATGGATTTTAGTTTTGTTTAGATCAGTCACTGTCATTTTCATTTACTTGCAACTAAGAACTCTGACTGATGCAAATTCATATTAAACATAAACTTGATTAAAATTCCATGTCTCTGACATGAACGACCATTAAGCTAAGGCTGTCCGCCATCTTAATAAATATGCATTTGGTATTTTTGAACCTAAACACAAGGGGTTTTAGTTTGCTGAGGCTGCCATAACAAAATATCACCGACTGAGTGGTTTACCGACAGATTTATTTTCTCATAGTTCTGGAAACTGGAAGTCTGAGATCAAGGTGTTGGCAGGGCTAGTTTCTTCTGAGGCCCCTCTCCTTTGTTTACAGGTGGCTACCTTCTCGCTGTGTCCTCACATAGCCATCTGTTTGTCTGTGTGGGTACATGTCTGTGTGTCCAAATCTCCTCATCTTATAAGAACACCAATCATATTGGATTAGAATTCACCCTAAAGACCTTATACCTCATCTCCAAATACCATTACATTCTGAGGTACAGGAGGTTAGGACTTCAGCATATAAATTTTTTGGGGGAAGGCAATTTAGCCCCATAACACAAAGCAACCCTTGATTGTTGTTATTAAATTCACATTCTTTTGGGTATTATTTCAAACTGTATAAAGTCTTGATTCTGCTATCATCACAGATGCGATCACTCTGATTTTGTATTATCTGTACATTTAACAGCAAGTTAAATTTAATACCGTGTCTACATTGGTGATTTCAGGTTATTTTCTATGGGAGTAGGTATGAAAGGAACCTGTAATTTCTACACAGAATGACAAGCAAAAGAGATAAAATCTGAACCACTCAGAAGCTGAAGTGCAAACTGAAGCAAGAGTTTCAGGTTCAACCCTCTTTGGTCCCTGAAAGGTCAAGGTCGGCGTTTCAGGGTGTATTTTGAAAACAGTTAGTTTAAATTATTCATAAGCTGTTGAGTGGAGCCTGGTCCCAAATAGGGTAAATCAGCATGCCTACATTACACCATTTTCTGGGTTGAGATTGAATTTCTAATAGGGAGCTTTAAAGTACAGTTGTTCACATGTTACAATCTGACATACACATTCATCTTACCTAATGTTACAGTGAAAGCTTTCGTTTAGTGCTTGGTTGAAATTCAGGGTGCTTGAGTTCATAGCTGTGGTTCCCAGATTTAGCTGCAGACAAAACCCCAGTGCCCAGGTTGCATCCCATACCAGTTAAAGCAGAATGTCTGGAGGTGGGAGACAGGCATCAGTATTTCTTAAAGGTTCCCCAGATGATTTCAATGTGCTGCAGAGTTTGGGAATGACTGGTCTATAGCATTTCTCTGATTTACTCTTCTTATACCTTATTAAGTACACACAATCACACACACACATGCATACACACAGTTCATTTGGGAAGTCATGGTGACACATACAGATTATCTGCATCATTAAATTCAACTATCTGTTTCACAATTAATTTCAGAATTTGTCAGAAGATCTATAGTGAGCCAGCCTGTGTGGAGTTTCTAGTATCCTCCTTTTCCCCGATGTTTGAAAATCAGTATATCTCTTTATGGCTTGAAATCTTGTGGACCCCCTTCTGTTCTCTATGAATTATCAAAGTCTGCTGACTATATTTTTCCCTCAATTTTATTGATGTATAATTTATATACAACCAAATACATGTTTTCACAGATTTTTGAGTTTTGGCAAGTATATAAATTCTTATAATCGGGATCCCAACCAAGACAGAACATTTCTATCTTCCCAAGGATTTCCTTATCCCCCTTTGTTGCTACCTCCCACTTGCAGCCTCAAACAACCACTGATTTCTTTTACATGACTACAGATTATATTTGTCTTTTTTTTAAACCTATTCCCAAATTCAATATGCCAGGGTTTGACAACCTTCTTCTGTAAAGGGCCAGATGGAATCATATGGTGTGTACTCTTTTGCGTCTGGCTCCTTTTGCTCAATATAATGTATGTGAGATTCATCCTTCTTCTTGTGTGTGTCGGTAGCTCATTCCTTTTCATTGTTGTGTAGCATTTCATTGTATGGCTATACCACTTTGGATTGATACATTTATCTGTTGGTGGATATTTGAGTTGTTTTTCACTTTTGGGATATTATGAATAATGCTGCTATGCACGTTGGTGGATAAGTCTTTTTTCTGGTCATGTGTTTTCATCTTCCTTTGATAAAATACCTAGGGTTGAGATTGTTAAGTTTTATGGTAATGATATCTGTTTAACTTAAATATAGTCCCAAACTGTTTCAAAAGTGGCTGTAAACGTTCACTCCCAGCACCAGTGTATGGGAAACCAGTTGTTACACATCCTCACCGATACTTGGTACTTTCAGTCTTAAATTTAATCATTTTCAAGTATGTATCGGTATTTCATTGTGGTTTTAATTTGCAATTCCCTAATGACTAATGATGTGGATCGTCATCTCATGTGCTTGTTAGCCATTCTGTATCTTTTTTTGGTGAAATATATATTCATATAATTTGCCCATTTTAAAAATTAAGCTTTATGTTTTTAGATTATTGCAGATTTACATGCGGTTGTAAGAAACAATACAGCAAAAGCCCATGTACCCTTTTACCCACTTTTCTCCAATAGTAACATCTCGCAAAACTACAGCACAAAATTGTAGAGTGAGAACCAGGATATTGATATCAATACAGTCAAAATACAGAACATTTACATCACCACAAGGATCTCTTATGTTGCTCTCATCCAATCACTTCCTAACTCACCCCCTACTTAACTGCTGGCAACCACTAATCTGTTCTTCATTTCTATAATTTTGTCATTTCAAAATGTCATATAATAGAATCATACAGTATGTAACTTTTTTGGATTGGCTTTTTCACTCATCGTAATTCTCTGGAGATTCATCCAGGTTGTTGTGTAGATCAATAGTTCATTCTTTTTTATTGCTGAGTAGTATTCCATGGTATAGATGTACCACATTTGTTTAACCATTCACCTGTTGAAGGACATCTGGGTTGTTTCCACTTATGACCTAGTACAAGTAAAGCTTCTATGAACATTTATGTACAAGTTTTTGTGTAAATGCAAATTTTTAATTTTCTGAGATACTTACTGCAGGAGTACAATTGCTGGGTAGTACAATGATTATGTGTTTAATTTTATAGCAAACTACCATATGCTTTTCCAGAGTACTTGTGACATTTTAAATCCCCGCAAGCAATGGATGAGTGATCCAGTCTTGCTGCATCTTTGCAAGCATTTAATGTGGTCGCTATTTTTTACTTTAGTCATTCTGATGGGTATGTAGTGATATTTCATTGTGGTTTTAATTTGCATTTCCGTAATGCCTAATAATGTTGAACATCTTTTCACATGCTTATTTGCCATTTGTATATCTTCTTCAGTGAAATGTCTCTTCATGGTTTTTGTCAATTTTCAAATTGGACTATTTATTTGTTTGTTTTCTTAACTGCTGAGTTTTGAGAGTTCTTTATGTGTTCTAAATATGAGTCCTTTGTCGGAGATATGGTTTGCAATATTTTTTCCCACTCTGTAGCTTGTCTTTGTCTTTTCATTCTGTTCACCTGGGCAGTCACTGAACAAAAGTTTTTAATTTTGAAGTCCAATTTATTTAACTTTGCCTTTTTTGTATCATGTTTTTGCTGTCAAGTATAAGAATGTCTTACCTAGCCCTGGATCTTGAAGATTTTCTTCTATGTTTTTTTTTCTAGAAGTTGTGTAATTTTACATTTTACATTTAAGTCCGTATTAGTCCTTTTGCATTATACAAAGAAATACCTGAGGATGGGTATTTTATAAAGAAAAGAGGTTTATTTTGGCTTACAGTCCTACAGATTGTACAGGAAGTGTGATGCTAGCATCTACTTCTGGCAAGGGCCCCAGGGAGCTCACAGTCATGGCAGAAGGTGAAGATGGAGCAGGTATATCATTTGACAAGAGAGAGTGAATAGGGGAAGTGGCACAATCTTTAAAACTACCAGATCTCACATGAAATCAGAGTGAGAACTCACTTATTACCATGGGAGGGCAACAAGCCATGCATGAGGGATCTGTCCCCATGACCCAAACACCTCCCACCAGGCCCCACCTCCAACATTAAGGATGACATTTCAACATGAGATTTGGAGGGGACGAAACATCCAAACCATATCAAAGTCCATGATTCCTTTTGAGGTAATTCCTGTATAAGATGTGAGATTTAGGCCAATAATCTTTTTTAAATTTTTTGCCTATAAATGTCCAATTGCTCCAGCACCATTTGTGGAAAAGACTATTCTTCCTATTATACCTTTCTCAAAAATAATTTGGGCATATTTGTGTGGGTCTGTTTCTGAGTTCTTTATGCTATTCCATTGATGAATGTTTCTGTCCCTCTGCCAATACCACACTATCTTGATTAATGTAGTTACATGGTAGGTCTTTATATCAGGTAATGATTCCTTCTTCACAATTCTTTTACTTTTCACGATTTAGTTATTCTTAGTACTATGCCTTTTCATATAAATTTTAGAATATACTTGTCAACATTTACAAAAGCCTGTGCTGGAATTTTTATAGAAATTGCATTCAACCTATATATTAATTTGAGGAGAATTGATATCTTTATTATCCAGAGTCTTCCAAATCATGAACATGGTTCATCTCTGCATTTATTTAGGTTTACCATCTTTATGGGTTGTCTTTTATCTTTGAGTCATAAGTCTTTTATATATTATTGATAAAGTTCTTGATCAGATATATGTACTGAAAATATTTTCTTCCAGTATATGGCTTAACTTTTCATTTTCATAACAGTAGTTTTAAGAGCAGAAGATGTGAGTTTTGACAGTTAATTTTATCACTTTTTTAAGTTTATAGTTTGTGTTTTATATGCCCTAAGAAATCTTTGCCTACCGCAAGACCACATATTTTCATGTGTTATTTCTTTAAGATTTACAGTTTGAACTTTTAAATTTACTTCTGTGATCCATTTTGAGTTAATTTTTGTGTGAATGTGAGATAAAGGTTGGGGTTTATAGTTTTCCATATGGATATCAAATTTTCTGGCACCATTTGTTAAATAGACTCTACTTTCTACATTGAATACCTTGATGCCTTTGTGGAAAAAGTTTGGAAAATTTGCAGCCTGGCCATGTGGTAGAAAAGAAAAACCCATTTTTCACAACAAGAATCCAGCCTGCTACAGAAATTTGCATAAGTAAAGAGGAGCCAAATGTTAATAGCCAAGACAATGGTGAAAATGCCTTGAAGGCATTTCAGAGACCTTCATCATGGCCCCTCCCATCACAGACCCAGAGGCCTAGGAGAGAAGAATGGTTTCATGGGCCAAGCCCAGGGCCTTGTTTCCCTGCACAGCCTTGGGACACTGTTTCCTGTGTTACAGCCACTCCAGCTCCAGCTGTGGCTGAAAGGGCCCCAGATATGTCTCAGACCATTGGTCCAGAGAGTACAAGCCATAAGCTTTGATGGCTTCCATGTGGTCTCAAGCATGCAGGTGCACAGAGAGCAAGAATTGATTCTTGGGAGCCTGTGACTAGATTTCAGAGGTTGTTTGGAAATGCCTGCATGTCCAGGCAGATGTCTGCTGCAGGGGTGGAGACCTCATGGAGAACCTCAACTAGGGCAGTGCGAAGAAGAAATGTGGGTTTGGATCCCCCACACAAAGTCCCCACTTGGGCACTGCCTAAGGGAGCTATGAAAAGAGGGCCACCATCTTTCAGACCCCAGAATGGCAGATCCACCAACAGCTTGCACTGCACACCTGGAAAAGCCACAGGCACTCAACACCACCTCTTGAGAGCAACCATGGGAGCCGTGCCCTGCCGAGCCACAGGGACAGAGCTGTCCAATGCCCTGGGAGCCCAACTCTTGCACCACTGTGGCCTGGATGTGAGACATGGAGTCAAAGGAGATTATTTGGGAGTTTTAAGATTCAGTGACTGCCTTGCTAGGTTTTGGACTTGAGCAGGGCCTGTAGCCCCTCTCTTGGCTGATTTTTCCCTTTTGCAACGGGTGCATTTACCCAATGCCTGTACAACTATTATATCTCAGAAGTTCAGAAGTAACTAAATTGGTTTTCATTTTACAGGCTTATAGGTGGAAGGGACTTGCCTTGTCTCAAATGGGACTTTGGACTGTGGAATTTTGAGTTAATGCTGAAATGAGTTAAGACTTGGGTGAATTTTGAGAAGGGATGATTGTATTTGGCAATGTAAGAAGGACATGAGATTTGAGAGGTGCCCAGAGTGGAATGATATGGGTTGGATTTGTGTCCCCACCCATATCTCATGTCAAGTTATAATCCCCAGTGTTGGAGGAGGGGCCTAGTGGGAGGTGATTGGATCATGAAGGCAGATTTCCCCCTTGCCATTCTCATAATAGTGAGTGAGTTCTTAAGAGATCTGGTTGTTTAAAAGTGTGTAGCACCTCCCGCTCCACTCTCTTCCTTCTGCTTCAGCCATGAAAGATGTGCCTCCTTCCACTTCAGCCATGATGGAAAGTTTTCTGAGGACCTCACCAACCATGCTTCCTGTGCAGCCTGTGAAACCAATTAAACCTCTTTTCTTTATAAATTACCCAGTTTCAGGTATTTCTTTATCACAGTGTAGAATGGGTTAATACTGTGGTACATGTGAAGGTTTGTTATATAGGTAAACTCACATCATGTGAGTTTGTTGTACAGATTATTTCATTACCCAAGCATTAAGCCTAGTATCCAATAGTTAAACTATTGGGATTACTATTTAAAATTTCTTTTTCACATTGTTCACTGTTGGCATATGGAAATGCTACTGATTTTTGAATTTGGATTTTGTATCCTGCAACTATACTGAATTTGTTCCTCAGTTCTAATAGTTTTCTTGTGGAGTCTTCAGGTTTTTCTAAATATAAGATCATATTATCCTCAAACAAGGATAATTTGACTTCTTCCTTTCCACTTGGGATGCCGTTTATATCTTTCTCTTGTATGGTTGGTCTAGTTAGGAGCATTCGGTACTATGTATTCAACATGTAATGAATGCTCCTAACTAACTTCAGTACAAGCATTTGGTACTATGTTGAATAACTGGTGACAGCGGACATCCTTGTTGTGTTCCAGATCTTAGAGGAAAGGATTTCACCTTTGTCATTCAGGATGACACTAGTCATTGGTCTGTCATATATAGCTTTTATTATGTTGAGGTATGTCCCTTCTACACCCTGTTTTTGAAGGTTTTTATCATGAAGGGATGCTGAATTTTATGAAATGCTTTTTCAGCATCAATTGAAATGATCATATGGTTTTTATCCTTCATTTTGTTGATATGATGCAACATGTTGATTGATTTGCGTATGTTGACCCATCTTTGCATCCCAGGGGTAAATCCCATTTGGTCATGATGAATGATCTTTCTAATGTATTGACAAATTTGGTTTGTTAGTATTTTGTTGATTTTTGCATCAATATTCATCAGGGATATTGGCCTGTAGTTTTCTTTCTTTGATACATCTTTGTCTGGTATCGGTATGAGGGTAATACTGGCCTCCTAGAATGAGTTTGGGAGTGTTTCCTCCTCCTCTATTTTTAGGAATAGTTTGACTAGGATTGGTGTTATTTCTTCTTTAAATGTTTAGTAAAATGTAGCAGTGAAGCCATTGGGGCCTGGTAAGTTGTATGTAGCTAGAAATTTGCCCATTTTTTCTGGATTTTCCAATTTACTGGTATATAGCTGCTTATAGTATCCATTAATAATCCTTTGAATTTTTGCAATATTAATTATAATGCTTCCTTTTTCAGTTTGGTTTTATTTATTTGGATCTTCTCTATTTTTTTTTTCTTAGTGTGGCTAAAGGTTTGTCAATTTTTTAACTTTTCAAAAAACCAACTTTTGTTTCATTAATATTTTGTATTCTTTGTTATTTCAATTTTATTTATTTCTGCTCGGATCTTTATTATTAATTTTTGTGTAATAGTTTTGGATTTTGTTTGCTTTTGCTTTTCTAGTTCTTTAAGATGCATTGTTATATTGTTTACTTGAAGGTTTTTCTCATTATTGCTTTTGCTATATCCCATAGATTTTGGTATGTTTTATTTTCATTATCATTTGTTTCAAGAAATTTTTTAATTTCCTTCTTGCTTTCTTTATTGACCCACTGTTTATTCATGAGCATATTGTTTAATTTCTGTGCATTTTTATAGTTTCCAAAATTCCTTTTTAAAATTAATTTCTAGTTTTATTCCATTGTGGTCAGAGAAGAAGCTTGATAGTATTTCAATTTTTGAATGTTTGTGACCTAACGTGGTCTGTCTTTCAGAATGATCCATGTGCTGAGGAAAAGAATGTGTATTCTGCAGCTCTTAGATGAAATGTTCTGTAAATATCTATTAGATACATTTGGTCCATAGTGCAGATTATGTCTGACATTTCTTTGTTGACTTTGTATGAAAGATC
This sequence comes from Homo sapiens, assembly GCF_000001405.40. NCBI lineage: Eukaryota > Metazoa > Chordata > Mammalia > Primates > Hominidae > Homo > Homo sapiens. The sequence goes on from NC_000023.11 coordinate 140,611,454, forward strand.
TGTCCAATGCTGAAAGTGGAATGTTGAAGTCTCCAGCTATTATTGTATTGGGGCCTATCTCTCTCTCTCTCTCCCTCTTTCTCTCTCTCTCTCCCTTTAGCTCTAGTAATATTTTCTTTATATGTCTGGCCGCTCCAGTGCTAGGTGCAAGTATATTGAAAGTTGTTATATTCTCTTGCTGAATTGACCTCGTTTTCATTATACAGTTGACCTTCTTTGTCTTTTCTTTGAGTTTTGGTCTTGAAATCTATTTTGTCTGATAAAAGTATAGCGACTCTTGCTTTTTTTGTTGTTGTTGTTTGTTTGTTTTCATTGGCATGGAATATCTCTTTTCATCCCTTTATTTTCAGTCTATGCATGTCCTTATAGGTAAAATATGTTTCTTGTAGACAACCAATCAATGGGTCTTGTGTTTTAATCCATTCAGCCAGTCTATATCATTTGATTGGAGACAGTTGAGTCCATTTACATTCAATGTTATTATTGATAACTAAGGACTTAACCCTGCTATTTTGTTATTTGTTTTCTGGTTGTTTTGTTGTCCTCTCTTCCTTCTTTCTTTCCTTTGTGTCTTCTTCTAATGAAGGTGATTTTCTCTGGTGATATGATTTAGTTTGTTGTTTTGTATTTTTCGTGTTTCCATTGTATGTTTTTGGTTTGAGGTTGCCATCAGGCTTGCAAATACTATCTTACAACCCATTATTTTAACCTGATAACAACTTGACGCTATTTGCATAAACAAATAAGCTAAAAGAAAACTAATAAAAACTCTATGCCTTAACTTCATCCTCCAGCTTTTTAACTTTTTGTTGTTCCTATTTACATCTTATTGTGTTGACTGTACCTTGAAAAGCTGTTGTAGTTACTATTTTAGATTGGTTCAACATTTAGTCTTGCTACTTAGAGTAAGAGTAGTTTACACATCACAGTTACAGTACTATAATATTTTGTGTTTTTCTGTGTACTTACTATTACCAGTGACTTTTGTACCTTTTGGTGATTATTTATTGCTCATTAATGTCCTTTTCTTTCTGATTAAATTTCTCCCTTTAGCATTTCTTGTAGGATAGGTCTGGTATTGATGAAATCCCTCAGCTTTTGTTTGTCTGGGAAAGTCATTATTTCTTCTTGTTTGAGGGACATTTTCACCAGAGATACTATTCTAGGGTAAAACTTATTTTTCTTTAGCACTTTAAATATGTCATGCCACTTTTCTCCAGGCTTTTAAAGTTTCAACTGAAAAGTCTGCTGCCATAAGTATTCGAGTTCCTTTGTATATTATTTGTGTCTTTTCTCTTGCTGCTTTTAGAATTCTTTAGAATGCTTTTAGAATTCTTTATACTTGACCTTTAGGAGTCTGATTATTAAATGCCTTGAGATAGTCTTCTTTGGGTTAAATCTTGTTGGTGTCCTGTAACCTTCTTGTACTTGGATATTGATATCTTTCTCTAGGTTTGGGAAGTTCTGAGTCATCATTCTTTGAATAAACTTTCGACCCTTACCTCTTTCTCTACCACCTCTTTAATGCTAATAACTCTTATATTTGCCCTTTTGAGGCTTTTTTCTAGATCCTGTAGGTGTGCTTCATTGTTTTTTAATTTTTTCTTTTGTATTCTCTATATATTTTCAATTAGCCTGTCTTAAAGCTCACTAATTTTTTCTTCTGCTTGATCAATTCTGCTATTGAAGTAGTTCTGATGCATTCTTCAGTATGCCAACTGCATTTTTTAGCTCCTGGATTTTTGTTTGATTCTTATTATTTCAATCTCTTTGTTAAATTTATCTGATAGAATTCTGAATTCTTTCTCTGTGTGATCTTGAATATCTTAGAATTTTCTCAAAGCAGGCATTTTAAATTTTCTGTCTGAATGGTCACATGTCTCTCTGTTTCTCCAGGATTGGTCCACGGTGCCTTATTTTGTTCATTTGATGAGGTCATGTTTTCCTGGATGCTGTTTATGCTAGTAGATGTTCTTCGGTGTCTGGGCATTGAAGGCTTAAGCATTTATTGTAGTCTTCACTGTCTGAGCTTACTTGTAGCTATCCTTGGGAATGCTTTTCAGTATTTGAATAAACTTGGGTGTGATCTAAGCTGTATCTTCCTTAGAGGGTACCCCAAGCCCAGTAACCCTGTGGTTCTTGCAGACTCATAGAGGTACCATTTTGATAGTCTTGGACAAGATCCCAGAGAATTCTCTGGATTGCCAGGCAGAGACTCTTGTTCTTTTTTATTACTTTCTCCCAAACATAGAGTGTCTCTCTCTGTTCTGAATCTCCTAACGTTGAGGGTGGAGTGACACAAGCATCCCTGTGGCCACCACCACTATGACTGTGCTGAGTCATGTCTGAAGCCAGCACAGCTGTAGGTCTCACCCAAGTCCTGCTGTAACCATGCCCTGTCCACTGTCTATGTTCTCTTATAGGCCCTGGGGCTCTGTAATCAACTGGTGGCAAAGCCAGCCAGGCCTGTGTTTTTCCCTTCAAGGCAGTAAGGTCCCCCAAGCCCTGGGTGGGTCCAAAAGTGCCACCCAGGAGTCAGGGACTAGAGTCAAAACCTTAGAAATGTTCTATTGTCTTGTGGCTTAGTTGGCACTCAAACCACAAGGTGCAGTCCTTCCCACTCTTCCCTCCTCTTTCCAAAGGGAGAGGAGCCTCACCCCATAGCCACCATCACCACAGGCCACATGGAGTACTGCCAGACTACCACTGATGTTCCCTTAAGGCCAAAAGGCTCTTAAGTCAGCTTGTGGTGAATGCTGCCTGTCCTGGGATTCACCTTTTAGGGCAGTAGGCTCCCCTCTGGCCCAGGTCAGTTCAGAAATGCAGTCCAGGAGTCAAGTCCTAGAATTGGGGACTGCAAGAGACTACTTGGTGCTCTACCCCACTTTGGCTGAGCTGGACCTAGGGTGCAAGACAAAGTCCCCTTTACTTTTCCCTCTGCTTTTCTCAAGCAGAAGGAGTTTTGCCTCTCGTAGCCACCACAGCTGGTTATGTGCTGAGTCTCACCTAAAGTCAGCAAGTCTCAGAGGCTCACCCAAGACCCTTGATGTAGTACCTGGGTATCACTGCTGGTTATTCAGGGCACAAAGGCTCTTCAGTTAGCTGGTAATGAATGCTGCCAGGACTGGGCCCTTTCCTTCAAGGGAGTGGGTTCCCTTCTGGCCCAAGGTGTGTCTAGAAATGTTGTCTGGGAGCTAGAGCCTAGGAGGGCTCTCACAACTGCGACTGGTGCCCTGTCTGCTGTGGCTGAGCTGGTATTCTAGATGCAAGACAAAGTCCTACCCAGTCTTCTCTCTTCTCTCCTCAAGGGGAAGGAAGGGGTCTCATTTGGAACCACAAGCTGTGCAGCCTGGGGTTAAGGGAGTAGTTATGCTAGCACTCCCTTGGCTGCCCCAGCTGGTGTCTTAGTAGGTCGCATGCTCTGCCAGTCCACTGTCTCAGGACCCACTTCAGCCCTAGGACTCTCCTATGAGTTGCAGTCCTTATGGCCTTGACTGCCTTTCAGGTTTACTTGGCGACACAGAGTGCTGTAACCCTCAGTGGTGAGGTTTGCAAGAAATCAAGTCCCGACCACTGGGATCCACAATTCCCCTCTGGCTAGGGCTGTTTTACATGATCCCTCCATGAGCAGGCATTGGCTTAGTTTGGTGTGGTTTTCCTTTATGCTCTAAGAGAATAGCACTGAGTTCAGTGCTTCTTAGTTGCTGTGTTCTTCCTACCCCAGTGCACAGAGAGGCTCTCTGCACCATGCCACCGCTGCCTTGGGTTGAGGAGGGGTGGCATCAGTGATTTTGGACTGTTTTTTTTTTTTTTCTATCTCTTCAGTGCCTCTTTCAGCTATATGAAGTTAAAACCAGGTACTGTAAGTGCTCTCCTGATTTTTGGTTCTCATGAAGGTTTTTTTCTATGTGTGTGTGTAGACATTTCTAGTTGTTAAATTGTTGTCCTTTGATCCTGATCACTCTTGATAAATACCTATCCATTTAAGTATTTGCAAAAGATCAACGTTTAGCCTTCCTTATTTTCTCCTTTTTTCTTTTTATGATTTTCTATTTCATAGATTTGTACACTTATTATTATCTCTTTGATTCTACTTAATTTTGATTTAACTTGCTCATCTTTTACTACTTTCTTAAGTTCAAAACTGAGATCACTGATTTTTAAACCTTTTTTATTTTCTATTATAAACATTTAAAGCTATACATTCTCCACCAAACTCTTTCTTAGTTCCGACCCATAGATTTTAATATGTTGTGTTTTCCTTTTCCTTCAGCTCAAATATTTTGTAATTTATGTTGGGGTTTCTTTTTTGATTCATGAATTATTAAATCTGCGTTACTTAATTTCTGAATTTGCAGTGTTCTACATAATTTTTTGTTTTTTATTTCAAATTTAAATTCATTTTGGTTAGAGAAAAAACTTTTAAAATCGATTGATAATTGTTTTATGGTCTACAATATGGCCCATCATGATGAATGCTTCTGGTGTATTTGGAAAATTTTCATTTTATGCAGTTGTTGGGTGGAATTTTCTACAAATGGTTATTATATTATTTGGTTGATAGTGATACTCAAATCTTATATAGCCTCATTAATTTTCTGCTTGTCCTTTTAATTCATGAAAGAGAAGAATGTTGAAGTTTCCAACTATAATGTGGATTTGCCTATTTCTCCTTTCATTTCTTTTGGTTTTATCTTCCTTACTTTGAAGCACTCTTGTTGGATGCATAGGATTTAGGATTTAGGATTTTTAGGTCTACTTGATGATCTCACCCTTTTATCCCTATGAAATGCCCTTTTAAATTTCTGGTAATACTTTTTATTCGGAAGTCTACATTGTGTGATGTTACTGTAGCCTCTCTAGCTGTCTTATGATTAATGCCTATGTGGTATAGTTTATTCTTCATATTCAAAATAGGTGTTTTGTAGACAGCATTTCTCTTTTCATTCAGTCTGATATGCCCTGCCTGTATGTAATGTAATTATCAATGGTATCTACCAACTTGCTGGTTGCTTTCTACTCATTCCATCTTTGTTACGTTTTTTCTAAAAGAAAATATGTTTCTTTTAGAAAACATATGTTTATGTTTCCTACTTTCTTTTTATTTGTTTCTATTAAGGATTTCATATTATCTCCATTATTTGACTATTAGCTGTACTTTAAACAGTGGTTTTCCTAGAGTTTATAATGTGTATCTTAACTTATTACAGTGTACCTTTAAATGGTACAGTACAATTTTACGTGTAAGAACTTTTGACCAATATGCTTCCATTTTTCCCTTTTATCTGTTTTAGTCCATTCAGGCTGCTATAACAAAATATCTTAGACTGGGTAGTTTGTTAACAACAGAAATTTATTGCACATAGTTCTGGAGGCTGGGAAGTTGAAGATCTAGGTGCCAGCAAGCCCAGTGTCTGGGGAAACCTAGCTCTCTGTTTCATAAATGGTGCCTTCTAGCTGTGTCCTTACATGGTGGAGGTGGCAAACAAGCTCCCTTTATCCTCATTTATGAGGGCACCAATCCAATTCTTGAGTGCTTTACCCTGATGAGCTAATCACCTTCCAAAGGCCCTACCTTTTAATATCATTGCATTGAGGATTAAGTTTCAACATATGAATTTGGAGGGGACAAAATATTCAGACCCACCCTGGGCAACACAGTGAGACCCCATCTCTACAAAAAATATTTAGAAATTATCCTGGCATGGTGGCTTATGGCTGTGGTACCAGCTACTGGGAGACTGAGGTGGGAGGATCACTTGAGCGCAGGAGTTCAAGGCTGCAGTGAGACATGTTTGCACCACTGCACTCCAGCCTGGATTACTGAGTCAAACAAACAAACAAACAAACAAACATTCAAACCATAACACATCCTTTCTGCTGTTGTTGTCTTGGATTTTATTTCTATATGTGTTATATGTTTTTCTTTTAGTTAGTCAACTATCCTTTCTTAAAATTTATTGAGATCATTTTGGACTTACAGAAGAATTTCACAAATAGTACATAGGGTTTTTGTATACCCTTTATTCAGCTCCTCTAATGTTAAACTCTTACATATCCATAATACAATTATCAAAATAATAAGTTAACATTGATATACTACAATTAACCAAACCATAAACTTTCTTCAAATTCCATTAATTTTTCCACTTTTTTTTTCTGTTCTAAGATGTAATCTGAGATCCCACATTCTATTTAGTCATGTTTTTTTATTTTATTTTATTTTTTTGTTAGGTTTTTTTATTATTATACTTTAAGTTCTAGGGTACATGTGCACAACGCACAGGTTTGTTACATATGTATACATGTGCCATGTTGGTGTGCTGCACCCATTAACTCGTCATTTACATTAGGTGTATCTCCTAATGCTATCCCTCCCCCTTCACCCCACCCCACAACAGGCCCCGGTGTGTGATGTTCCCCACCCTGTGTCCAAGTGCTCTCATTGTTCACTTCCCACCTATGAGTGAGAACATGCGGTGTTTGGTTTTCTGTCCTTGCAATCGTTTGCTCAGAATGATGCTTTCCAGCTTAATCCATGTCCCTACAAAGGACATGAACTCATCCTTTTTTATGGCTGCATAGTATTCCATGGTGTATACGTGCCATATTTTCTTAATCCAGTCTATCATTGATGGACATTTGGGTTGGTTCCAAGTCTTCGCTATTGTGAATAGTGCCGCAATAAATATACATGTGCATGTGTCTTTATAGCAGCATGATTTATAATCCTTTGAGTATATGCCCAGTAATGGGATGGCTGGGTCAAATGGTATTTCTAGTTCTAGATCCCTGAGGAATCGCCACACTGACTTCCACAATGGTTGAACTAGTTTACAGTCCCACCAACAGTGTAAAAGTGTTCCTATTTCTCCACATCCTCTCCAGCACCTGTTGTTTCCTGACTTTTTAATGATCACCATTCTAACTGGTGTGAGATGGTATCTCATTATGGTTTTGATTTGCATTTCTCTGATGGCCAGGGATGATGAGCATTTTTTCATGTGTCTGTTGGATGCATAAATGTCTTCTTTTGAGAAGAGTCTGTTCATATCCTTTGCCCACTTTTTGATGGGGTTGTTTGTTTTTTTCTTGTAAATTTGTTTAAGTTCTTTGTAGATTCTGGATATTAGCCCTTTGTCAGATGGGTAGATTGCAAAAATTTTCTCCCATTCTGTAGGCTGCCTGTTTACTCTGTTGGTAGTTTCTTTTGCCGTGCAGAAACTCTTTAGTTTAATTAGAACCCATTTGTCAATTTTGGCTTTTGTTGCCATTGCTTTTGGTGTTTTAGACATGAAGTCCTTGCCCATGCCTATGTCCTGAATGGTATTGCCTAGGATTTCTTCTAGGGTTTTTATGGTTTTAGGTCTAACATTTAAGTCTTTAATCCATCTTGAATTAATTTTTGTATAAGGTGTAAGGAAGGGATCCAGTTTCAGCTTTCTACATATGGCTAGCCAGTTTTCCCAGCACCATTTATTAAAAAGGGAATCCTTTCCCCGTTTCTTGTTTTTGTCAGGTTTGTCAAAGATCAGATGGTTGTAGATGTGTGGTATTATTTCTGAGGGCTCTGTTCTCAAAGTTTAAATTGTCTTTTTTTTAGAATGTTAAAGAACGTATTCTGCTGAGATATGACTTATATACTTTATGATGAGACGTTTATGTTTATTCTGATTTTTGTTTCTCGGTACCAATGTATTTTTTTCCTGGCTGCTTATACTTATTTTTTCTCTATCACTGGTTTTTAGGAATTCCATTATGATGCGTTCAGTGTGGCTTTTTTTGTGTTTGTCCTACTTGGATTCATTGACTTTATTGAATTTATGGATTTGTAGTTTTTATTGAATTTAGATAATTTGGGGGCATTATTTCTTTAAATTTTTTTTTGTTGTTGTTCCTCAGCTTTCTGGGACTACAGTTACACATATACCAGGACCGCTTGATTTTGTTCCATAGGTTACTGAGATTCTGCTAATGTTTTGGTCTTTTTTGTCTTTATGCTTTATTTTGGATAGTTTTTTGTTGTTGTTTGTTTGTTTGTTTGTTTGTTTTTTATGTTGTTTTGCTCTTGTTGCCCAGGCTGGAGTTCAAAGGCGCAATCTCTGCTCACTGCAACCTCTGCTTCCCAGGTTCAAACGATTCTCTTGCCTCAGCTTCCCAAGGAGCTAGGAGTTCAAACAATTCTCCTGCCTCAGTCCCCCAAGGAGCTAGGATTACAGATGCACACCACCATTCCCGGCTAATTTTTGTATTTTTAGTAGAGATGAGGTTTCACCATCTTGGCCAGGCCGATCTTGAACTCCTAACCTCGTAATCCACCTGCCTCGGCCTCCTAATGTGCTGGGATTACAGGCGTGAGCCACCGCACCCAGCCTATTTTGCTTAGTTTCTATTGCTATGTCTTCAAGTTCACTATGTTTTTTTCTTCTCAGGTGTCTAATCTGCTGTTAATTTCAAGTGTATTTTTTTCATATATTTTATTTTTCTTTCAAGAAGTTTCCTTCGACTGTTTCTCATAACCATTTTTCTTCTCTTCTACTATGTTCATTTTCCTTTGAATTCTTTAATATTCTTAACACAAATACCAAATGACTGCATTATTGTTGTGAAATATTTTTAGAAATTATATAAGTATATACATTAAAAATAGAAAAAATTATTTTTGATCTTTCCTCATCCCTCATCTCTATCCTCCTAAATCTACCCCTGTCAGAGGTTGTTGGTAGAAGTGATATTTTGATGTGCATACCTAAAACTGTTTTCTATGCATTACCATACATATATGTGTTCTCAGTCAAATATATAATTACATAAAACATAAATGCGATCATCCTATATGCATATTGTTTTTCAGTTTGCTTTCGTTTTTGCCCAAAAATATATTGAATATATTGTGGGGATCTTTTCTTCTTCTTCTTCTTATTCTTCTTCTTCTTCTTTTTTTTTTTTTTTTAGAGATGAAATCTCACTCGTTGCCCAGGCTGGAGTGTGGTGGCACCATCATCAAGGCTCACTGCAGCCTTAGTCTCTCAGGCTCATGCAATCCTCCTGCCTCAGCCTCCTGAGTAGCTAAGACCACAGGTGTTTGCTACTATGCCTGGATAATATAAAAAAAATTTTTTGTAGAGATAGGGTCTCACTATGTTGCCCAGACTTTTTCATGTTAATATATGTAGATCAATTTTAATTACATTACCAATTTGTGTTTCCAGTTTTAAAAGTCATAATTTATTTAACCATTGACTTATTTAGATTATTTTCAAGTTTTTGCTCTTTCAAACAATAATGTACTGCTTTGTAAAATATCTTTGTAGATAGTTGCTACCATTATTTCTATTATAGTACCAATAGCTAGCATTTGTTGTGTGGTTAGTATTTGCCAAGTGCTATGCATAGGGCTTTACATAAATTATCTCATTTAATATTTACATCATTCAGTAGGTTCTACTATTATTATTACTACTATTATTTCCATATTGCAATGAAGTAGCTGATGCTTAGTTTTAACTAAGCATAGTTAAAACTAAGATATGTAGTTAGTGCTACATATCTGGAAAATATTGGAATCAAAATGCAAACCCAGAAAGACTTGATAATTTTTTCTTAATTAATAAACTATTACCTGTTTAGAATATTTTTGGAAGCATAGATTCAAATAAGTGGAATTGCTGGATATGTATATTTTAAATTTTGCTAGTTATTTCCATATTTCCCTCCATAAAGACTAAGCCAGTGTTTATCCTCTCAAGCTAGTCAACCCTCCCATCTCTGTAAATGTATTGTAAGTTCCACTCCACTATCTCTCCCAAATCTATCCTTTTCTTCAGAGGAAACTATGCACAGCAGTTTCATGTTCATTCTTTAAGTCTTTTTATTTACATTTGCATGTATGTATGTATGTGTAATTTTATCATTTTTTTCAAATATAAACACATACTATTTTACAACTGAAATTCCTCATTTTAGAGCTATTTCTATACAGTACCTATAGTCCTTTATCATTCTTTTTAGCAGCTGTTTAGTATTTCATTATATAACCATACCATAACTTATTTTACCATTGCACTATGTAAGTAATATTTACACATTTAAGTAATTTCCAATTTTTATATATTATAAACACTGTAAGAGTTAACATACTGTACATTTATTCCATGAGTATGTATTGAGCTTTTGCTGTTCAAGAGACACCATTCCAGGTGGTAGAGATGCAGAAATGAATTAAACATTAAAAACTCATCATCCACAGAGTTTTAATTTAAATAAAAGGACAAAATAGAATAAAAAACTAATTAAAATATTTATATAGGATAATAGATGGTAATAAATACTGTAAAAAAATCAAAGAGTGCTATGAGTGGAGGCTGAGAGTTTTAAATAGACATCAGGGCAGTGATCACTCAGAAGGTAAGATTTGAGCAAAGTCTTGAAAGAACTAAGTGTAGGAGCCATGTCTATAGCTTGAGAAAGAGCATTTCAGGCAGAAGGAAGAACAGATGCTGGGACTTGAGATGAGATCGTGTATCAGTTTGTTGCTGCACTGCTGTAAAGAAATACCTGAAACTGGATAATTTATAAAGAAAAGAGTTTTAATTGACTCATGGTTCTGCAGGCTGTACAGAAAGCATGGCTGGTGAGTCCTCAGAAAACTTTCCATCATGGTGGAAGGGGAAGAGAAGGAGGCACATCTTAGATGGCCAAAGCAGGAGGAAGAGAGGGAAGGGGGAGGCGCTACAAACGTTTAAACAACCAGATATCATGAGAACTCATTCACTATCATGAGAACAGCAAGGGGGAAATCTGCCCTGATGATCTAATCACCTCCCACCAAGCCCCTCCTCCAACATTGAGGATTACAAGTCCACCTGAGAGTTGGGCAGGGACACAAATCCAAACCATATCAGATCATGTCTAGCATTTGCAAAAAAAAAAAAAAAAAAGAAGAAGAAAGATGAAGGTGAGTGTGGCTGGAGGAGCGTGAAAAAGAGAAACCAAGAGATAGAAAGAAGTGATGAGGTCAGAGAGGTTACACGGGTCCAGGCTCTTAGAAACTGTTGTAGGGACCAGGCATGATGGCTCACACCTGCAATCCTAGCACTTTGGGAGGCTGAGGCGGGTGGATCACCTGAGGTCACGAGTTCGAGACCAGCCTGGCCAACATGGTGAAACCCCATCTCTACTAAAAATGCAAAAATTAGCCTGGTATGGTGGTGGGCGCCTATAATCCCAGCTACTCAGGAGGCTGAGGCATGAGAATCGCTTGAACCTGGGAGGCAGAGGTTGCAGTGAGTCGAGATTGTGCCATTTCACTCCAGCATGGGTGAAAGAGCAAAACTAAAAAAAAAAAAAAAAAAAAAAAAGAAGAAGAAGAAGAAGTGTAAGGATGTTAGCTTTACCCTGAGTTTGATGGGAAGCCACTGGAGGACATTAAAGCAGAGGTACGTGACATCATCTTTCTTAGTTTTTTAAAGGATCACTCTGGCTACTTTTTGAAAGAGATTAGGGAGCCCAAGTGCAACTAGGGAGATGAGATAGGAGGTTATTGCAATACTTCAGCTGAAGGATGATGAAAGTTTGAACCATGGTTGAACAATGGAGACAATGAGAAGTGTTTGGACCATACATATACAAGCATACCTAATTTTATTATGCTTCACTTTATTGTGCTTTACATATGTGTGTGTATATATATATATACATTCATATATATATATTCATATATATGAATATATAGGTATATGTATGTATATATACATATACGCATATGTACATATACATGTATACATATATGTATGTATACATGTATACGTACATATATGTATACGTACATGTATGTATATGTATATAGGTATACGTACATGTATGCATATGTATATAGGTATACGTACATGGATGTATATGTATATAGGTATACGTACATGGATGTATATGTATATATGTATACGTACATGTATGTACATGTATATATACATATAAGTATATGTGTATATGTATATATACATATTTTACAAATTGAAGGTTTGCGGCAACCCTGTGTTGAGCAAGTCTATTAGCAAATTTTCCAACACTGTGTGCTCACATTGTGTCTCTGGATCATGTTTTGAAAATTCCCACAGTATTTCAAACTTTATTATTATTATATCTGTTATGGCAATCTGTGATCAATGATTTTTGATGTTGCTATCTAATTGTTTTGAGGCATCACAAACTGAGTCCATATAAGATGACAAGATTAATTGAGAAACGTGTGTGTTTGACTATTCTACCAACCAGTTGGTCTCTCTCCCTCTCATGGAACCTCTCTATTCCCTGAGACACAATGATGCTGAAATTAGACCAAGTAATTACCTTAACAGTGGCCTCTAAGTGTTTAAGTGATAGGAAGTGTCACATGTCTCTCACTTCAAATCAAAATCTAGAAATGATTAAGTTTAGGGATGAAGGCCTGTCAAAAGACAAGATAGGCCAAAAGCTAGGCCTCTGGCATGTAACAGTCACGTAGTGAACGCAAAGGAAAAGTTCTTGAAGGAAATTAAAAGTGCTATTCCAGTGAATACACAAACAATTAAAAAAGCAAAACAGCCTTATTGCTGATATGAAAAAAGTTTGAGTGATTTGGAAGGAAGATCAAATGAGCCCCCAAATTCTCTTAAGTTAAAGCTTAATCCAGAGCAAGGCCCTAACTCTCTTTAATTCTATAAAGACTGAGAGAGGCAAGGAAGCTAGCTGCAAAAGAAAAGTTTGAAGCTAGCAGAAGTTGTCTCCAGAGGTTTAAAGAAAATAGCTGTATCCATAACATAAAAGTGCAAGGTGAAGCAGCAAGTATGATGTAGAAGCTGCAGCACATTATCCAGATGTAGCTAAGATCATTGATGAAAGTGGTTACACTAAACAACAGATTTTTAATGTAGATGAAATAACCATCTATTGGAAGAAGATAACATCTAGGACCTTCATGGATGTATTATTGCATTCTCACACTGGTAATAAAGACATATCTGAGACTGGGTAATGTATAAAGGAAAGAGGTTTAGTTGACTCACAGTTCAGCATGGCTGGGGAGGCCTCAGGAAATTTACAATCATGACACAAGGAGAAGGAAACACATCCTTCTTCACATGGTAGCAGGAAGGAGAAGTGTGGAGTGAAGAGGGGAAAACCCCCTTATAAAACCATCAGATCTTGTGATAACTCACTATCACGAGAACAGCATGGGGGGACTGCCCCCATGATCTAATCGCCTCCCACAAGGTCCCTCCCCCAACACATGGGGATTATCATTCAGATCACAATTCAAGACGAGATTTGGGTGGGGACACAGAGCCAGACCATATCAGTAGATAAAGAGGAGAAGTCAGTGCCTGGCTTCACAGTTCAAATGACAGGCTGAATCGCTTGTTAGGGGCTAATGCAGCTTGTGACTTTAACTTAAAGCCCATATTTATTTACCATTCGAAAAATCCTAAGGCTCTTAAGAATGATGCAAAATCTGCTCTGCCTATATACTATAAATGGAACAACAAAGTCTGAGTGACAGTACGTCTGTTTACAGCATGGTTTACTAAATATATAAACCCACTCTTGAGACATACTTCTCAGAAAAAAAAGATTCCTTTCAAAATGTTACTGCTCATTATATTCCCAATAGCCAAGACATGGAATCAACCTAAATGCCCATCAGTGGTAGACTGGATAAAGAAAATGTGGTCCATATACACCATGGGACACTGTGCAGCCATAAAAAAGAATGAGATCATGTCCTTTGTAGGACCATGGATGGAGCTGGAGGCCATTATTCTAAGCAAACTGACGCAGGAACGGAAAACCAAATACTGTATGTTCTCACTTATAAGTGGGAGCTAAATGATGAGAACACATGGACACAAAGAGAGGAACAACAGACACTGGGGCCTACCTGAGGGTGGAGGGTGGGAGGAGAGAGAGTGTCAGAAAAAAATAACTATTGGGTACAAGGCTTAGTACCTAGATGACAAAATAATCTGTATAACAAACCCCTGTGGCATGAGTTTACACATATAACAAACCTACACATGTGCCCATGAACCTAAAATAAAAGTTCTTAAAAAATATATTACTGCTCATTGACAGTGTACCTTGTCACCCAAGAGCTCTGATGAAGGTACACCAGGAATTTGTGTTTTAATGCCTGCTAGTACATCTATTCTGCAGCCCAGGGATCAAAGACTAATTTCAATTTTCAAGACTTACTATTTAATAAATATATTTCATAAAGCTGTATAGCTGCCAATTCATCTTAACAGGATTTTGGAAGAAGTTAATTCCAACCTTTATGGATGACTTTGAGGAGTTCAAGAGTTTAAAGGAGAAAGTAACACAGATATGGTGAAAATAGCAAGAGAACTAGAATTAGAAGTGAAGCCTGAAGATGTAACTGAACTGATGCAATCTCATTATATACCTTGAATAGATGAGGAGCTGCTGCTTACAAATGACCAAAGAAAATGGTTTCTTGAGATGCAATCTACTTGTGATGAAGACGCTGTTAACATTATTGAAATGACAACAGAGGATTTAGAATATTCTATAAATTTAGTCGATAAAGCAGTGGCAGAATTTGGGAGGACTTTCTCAAATTTTGAAAGACTTTCTAGTGTGAATAAAATGCTATCAAACAGTATCACATGCTACAGGGAAATATTTCATGAAAAGAAGAGTCCATCAATGAAGTAAACTTCATTTTTTTCTTATTTTTTCAAATTGCCACAGCCACATCCACCTTCAGCAACTAACATCTTTATAAGTTAGGAGGCACCAACACTGAGGGAAGACCCTCCACTAACAAAAAGATTATGACTGGCTAAAGACTCAGATGATTGTTAGCATTCTTATCAATGAAGTATTTTTCAGTTAGGATATGTAAATGTTTTAGACATATAATGCTATTGCATACTTAATAGACTGCAGTATAATGTAAGCATAATTTTTATATGCATCAGGAAGCCAAAAACTTCATGTGACTTTCTTTATTGTGATATTTGCTTTATTGAAGTGGTCTGGAACTGAATCTACATGCCTGTACTTTGAAGGTAGTACCAATAGGATTTGCTGCTGAAGTAGATATGAAGTGTGAGAGAAAGCAAGGAATAAAGAATAACTCCAGTGTTTCTGAAGACATTTCCATTCCTATGGTCTAAATGTTCGTGTCCGCCAAAATGTATATGTTGAATCCTAATCCCCAATGCAATAGTATTAAGAAATGGGGCCTTTGGGAGGTTACCAGGTCATGAGGGCAGAGCTCTTATGAACAGAATTAGCACCCTTATAAACAAGGTCCAATGGAGTTTGTTTGTCTTTTCTACCATATGAAGACACAGTGAGAAGGCACCATCTATGAATCAGAGAGTGAGCCCTTACGGAATGCCAAATATACTGGTGCCTTGTTTGTGGACTTTCCAGCAAAATAAATTGCTGTTGATTATAAGCTACCCAGTTTAGTGTATTTTGTTATAGCAGCCTGAATGGACTAAGATACCCATCAGCTGAGATGTGGAAGACCACTGGGAAGAACAGCTTTGGGGATGTAAGTTTGACTTTTGAATGATAAATATGAGATGAGTATTACACATATAATTAGAGCTGTTGTAAATACAAATATAGAGTTTAGGCGAGAAGTATGTACTGGAAGTTGTCAAAATGTATTTATTTTTTGTATATACGTGTCTAATTGTTCCAAACTCAATTGTTGAAAAGACTATCGTTTGTCCTATAATGTTTCCTTACATTTTGATCTATAATCAGTTGTCTATATAGGCATGTATGTGTGGATCTCTTTCTGAACTCTGTTCTGTTCCATAGATATAGTTCTGTCAATGGAATAGAAATACCAATACCACACTTTCTTAATTATATTAAGTAAGAGTAGTTTTTATTAAGTAGGAATCATTGTATTAATTTCACACAGAAAAGACTTCAAAGCAAGAACAGTTATCGGGGAAAAAGAGGGACATTATATAATGATAAACAGGTCAATTCTCCAAGAGAATATAACAGTCCTTAATGTGTATGCATCTAATGACAGAGCATCAAAATATGTGAGGCAAAAACTGATAGAACTGCCAGGAGAAATAGATGAATTTACTATTATACTCGGAGGCTTCAACACCCCCTTGTGAAAAATGGACAGATATAGCAGGCAGAAAAACAGTAAGAACATAGTTGAATTCCACAAAACTATTAATCAGTGAATATAATTGATATCTATAACTACTTCATTCAAAAACAGAAGAATACCCATTCTTTTTAAGTTTACGTGGAAATATCACCAAGATAGATCACATTCTGGGCCATAAAACACACCTCAACTGATTTAAAAATAATAGAAATCATACAGTGTTTGCCCTCAGACTACAATGAGACTAAACTACAATTTATTTATTTATTTCATTTATTTATTTATTTTTTTCAGACGGAGTCTTGCTCTGACACCAGGCTGGAGTGTAGTTGTGCGATCTTGGCTCACTGCAACCTCCGTCTCCCGGGTTCAGGCAATTCTCCTGCCTCAGCCTCCCGAGTAGCTGGGACTACAGGTGCATGCCACCACACCAAGCTAATTTTTGTATTTTTAGTAGAGATGGGGTTTCACCATGTTGGCCAGGATGGTCTTGATCTCCTGACCTCGTGATCTGCCCGCCTCGGCTTCCCAAAGTGCTGGGATTACCGACGTAAGCCACTGCACCCAGCCTAAACTATAATTTAATAACAGAAAGATAACTGGAAAATCCCAAGATACATAGAGATTAAGCAAAACGCTTCTAAATAACACAGGTCAGAGACAAAAATCTCAAGAGAAATGTAAAAACATTTTGAACTAAATGAAAATGGAAGCAAAATTTATCAAAAATTGTGGGATACAGTGAAAGCAGTGCTTAGAGCACAACTTATAGCATACATTGAAAAAGTAGAAAGATCTAAAATCAATCATTTATGTTATCACCATAGGAAACTAGAAAAAAGAGCAAATTAAATTCAAAGTAAGCAGAAAAGTAATAATAAAAATCAGAATATAAATCAATGAAATTGAAAATAGGAAATTGATAGAAAAAAATCAGTGAAACCAAAAGCTGATTCTTTGAAAAGAACAGTGTAATTGATAAGCCTCTAGTCATGCTCACTGAGACAAAAGAGAGGACACGAATTACTAATATCAGAAATGAAAGAGGATCCCTACAGACCCTATGGTCATTAAATGGATAATCAAGGAATACTATGAACAACTCTCTGCTCACAAAATTGATAACCTAGATGAAATGGACCAATTCCTTAAAAGACACAATCTGCCAAAACTCACACAAGAAGAAATAGTCTGAATTAGCCTATAGCTATTAAAGAAATGGTGTCAATAATTAATAACCTTCCCAAACAGAAATCACTAGGCTCAAACGGGTTCACTGGTGAGCTCTACAAAACATTTACGGAACAAGTTATACCAATTCTCTACAATCTCAGATGACAGAAGTAGAGGGAATACTCTCTAACTTATTCTATGAGGCCAATATTATGCTAATACCAAACCAGACAAAGATCATCACCAGAAAAGAGAACTACAAATATTTCTCGTGAACATAGACACAAAAAATTTGAAGAAAACATCAACAAATCAAATCATATGATGTATAAAAATAATATACTGTGACCAAGTAGGATTTATCCTAGGACTGCATGGTTGGTTCAACATTTGAAAATCAATTAATGTAATCCAGTACATCAACAGGATAAAGAAGAAATACCACATGATTCTACCAATAGATGCAGAAAAAGCATTTGACAAATCCAACACCCATTCAGTGTAAAAACTCTCATTAACTAGGAACAGAGGGAAACTTCTTCAATTTCCTAAAGTATATCCACAAAATGCTTACAGCTAACATCATATTTGATGGTGAGAAAATAGAAACTTTTCCAGTACAATCAGGAACAGGGCAAGCATGTTTCATCATTCCTTTTCAGCATCTTCCTAGAAGTCTAAGCCAATGCAAGAAGATGAGAAAAGGAAATAGAACACATATAAATTGGGAAGGAAGAAATAAAACTGTCTTTCAAGATGCCATAATCATCTATGTAGAAAATCAACAAGAATCGACAAAAAAATTCCTGGAACTAAGCAATGATAGCAAGGTTGCCGTAAACTTTGGTGGGGGATATTGATAATGGGAGATGCTGTGCCTGTATAGAGGCAAGGGTAATATGGAAAATTTCTGCACTTTCCTCTTACTTTTGTTGTGAACCTAAAACCACCCTAAGTCTTTAATTAAAAAAAAGTTGACAATTGCACCACCAAGGACTGAAATAACTGTGTTTGGAGACTATAAACCCAAAGCATTGTGTGCAGATATTTGTTTCACTTTTATTGAGGTATAATTGCCAAATAAAAATTGTATAATTTTAGCTCTACAACATGGTGTTTTTATGTACATATACATAGTGAAGTGATTACCATAATCAAGCTAATTAACATATCCATCTCCTCACATAGTTACCTTGTTATTTTATTTTTTTTGCTTGTGGTGAAAACACTTCAGATCTACTCTCTTAGAAAATTTCAACTTATTATTATTATTATTAATTTCTTTTTGAGACAGGATCTCACTTTGTTGCCCAGGCTGGAGCAGAGTGGCGAGATCACAGCTCGCCGCAGCCTCAACCTCCCAGGCTCAAGTGATTCTCCTCCCTTAGCCTCTTGAGTAGCTAGGACTACAGGTGTGCACCACTACATGCTCAGCTAATTTTTTAAAAAAATTATTTTGCAGAAATGGGGTTCCACTCTGTGGCCCAGACTGGTTTCAAACTCCCGACCTCAAGCAATTCTCCTACTTCAGCCTCCCAAAGTGCTGAGATTACAAGACTGAGCAACTGTGCCTGGCATGTAGTTATTATTAACTGTAATCACCATGCCATACATTAGATCTCTAGAACTTATTCATCCTGAATAATTGAAACTTTGTACCCTTTGGTCAACATCTCCCTATTTCCCCCACTCTCCAAGCCCCTGGGCAACCAGATTCTACTCTCTGCTTCCATGAGTTCTAGTTTTTAGACTCCACATATATGTGAGATAATGCAGTTTTCTTCCTTCTACGTCTGGCTTATTTCACTTACCATGATGTTCTCCAGATTTATTCACATTGTCTCAAATGGCAGAATTTCCTTCATCTTTTTTTTTTTAAGCTGAATAGTATTCTATACAAAAGGATTGAACCAAGTAAAAACCAGTCCTGCTTTTATTATTACCTATATACTAGAGTATTTCTCAATAAAGTCAGTATTTATTGCATTTTTTGATGGCTAATGATGTTGAACAATTTTCATTGCTTTTGCCATGTTCAGTTAAATATGTATTCATGTCTGGCCTATTTTCTAATTAAATTTTTGAGAGTCCTATGTATATTTTGTATACACATATTCATGTATGCTATGTATATTCTGTGTATACATATGAATATATGTATATTTATAAAAATCCTTTGTTGGATAAGTGGTTTACAAAATTTTTTTCAAGGAGTAGCTTACATTTTTATTGCCTTCTCAGGGATTTTTAAGCACAAAAGTCATAAATTTTGATGAAGTAAAAATTTGTTAACCTTTTCTTTTGTGAATCATGCTTTTGGTGTCAAATTTAGGAACTGTTTTCCAAGCCCTGTGTACCAATGTTTTTATTCTATGTTTTTGTCTTAAAGTTTATAAAATTTTCCATGTTCATTTAAGAGTGTGATCAATTTTGAATTAATGTTTGCAAAAAATGTAAGGATCAAAGTTTAATTTTTCCTATGGAAAATAATTTTGAGGGAGCTTTTAAATTAGAAATTTATGAATTAGAAATTTTGAATTTTGAATTATGAATTTTTAAATTAGAAATTTAAATTAATTTCTTTAATGGACTATAAGACTATTCAGATTGTTTATTTCAACTCAACTCATTGATTAAATTTTTGATGTTTTGTAGTTTTCAAGGAATTAGTTCATTTGGTTTAAGTTGTCAAATTTATGAGTGTAAAGTTATTTATATTCCCTTATTATCCTGGCTTCAGGATCTGTAGTGATATACCCTATTTTATTATTGATAGTTGTAATTTGTGTCTTTTATTTTTTATTCTTCATCAGTCTTGTTAGAGGTTTTTTTTTAAGGAACCAGTTTTTTCATAAATAATTGTTTTCTTGTTTTCAATTTTCATTGATTTCCGTTATTTCATTCTTTATGTTTGTGCTGGATTTATTTTGCTCTTCTTTTTTTTTCTAGTTTCATGAAGTAGGAGCCTAAATTATTGATTTGAGACCTTTATTGTTTCTAGCAAAAATATCTAGTTCTCTAAATTGCCCTGTCAGTACTGCTTCAGCTGTATCCTACAAATTTTGATATATTGTATTTTCAATTTTATGCACTTTTGTAGGCCACTATTACACTGATACCACAATTACACAAAAAAGTACAAAAAACCCACACCAAAACTGTAAGTGTATACAGATTATTAGCAAATTGAGTCCATCATGTAAAAAAAATTATAAACCGTAGCCAAGTAAAATTTACTCCAGGTATAAAAGATGTACTCAAAATTCAAAAATCAATCCATGTAATCTACCATATCAGCAGGCCAGAGAAGAAATATATAATTTAAAAAATGCATGAGTAAACCAGATAGTCTATTATATTCACCAATTCTGATATTCTTTTCTTTCAGAAGTTTCAAACTCTCTTATGTCACAATTTATTTCTGTTTAGACATCTTCATAAAACCATTTCTAATGGTAACTTTTTTGGTGGGGTGGGACCAGATTCTTAGCTTTCCTGTCTGAGAATGTCTTTATTTCACTTGTATTTCTAAAGAGTATTTTCATGTGATATTGAATTTGTGGATAACTGGCCCCTTCTGGCACTGTTAGGTGGGAGTGGAGGCTCTAATCATTGCCAAACCCTGCTGATGTTACCCTGGTAGGAGATGTGAGCACTGCCTGCCTGTGCTGAGCAGAGGATGAAATAACAGCTCCCTGCTCAGGCCCCACTGAAATCAGGGTGGGGATGCAGTTTTTCCACTGTGAAGATTAATGGGATTGCTGGATTGTATGGTAAGATTATGATTAACTTTATAAGAAACTGCCAAAGTGTTTTATAAAGTAGTTGTGCTCTTTTGCATTTCCACCTGCCCAGCATGAGAGTTTCGGTAGCTCCACATTCTCACCAACACTTGTAATACCACTTGGATTTCTGTGTACTAGATTTAAAAATAAGTTATACTGTTAGTTTTAAAATTTATAATTAACACTTAAACATTAAGAAACCAAAAAAGCAATACTTGATCTCTTTAATGCCTTCAAGTGTCCCTTGGTAGTAGTATTCTTTCACAGAAAAAATAAATAAAAACAAACAGGAAGAAATCTCTCAGACCTATTTTCATAGCACCTGTCCCCCTTCTTAAACACAATCAGGGAGCTCTCAGATCCAAGATGGCCAAATAGGAACAGCTCCAGTCTACAGCCCCCAGTGTGAGTGATGCAGAAGACAGGTGATTTCTGCATTTCCAAATGAGGTACTGGGTTCATCTCACTGGGACTTGTTGGACAGTGGGTGCAGCCCATGGAGTGTGAGCCAAAGTAAGGTGGGGCATCACCTCACCCGGGAAGTGCAAGGGGTCAGGGAATTCCCTTTCCTAGCAAAGGGAAGCCGTGTCAGACAGTACCTGGAAAATCGGGACACTCCCACCCTAATACTGTGCTTTTCCAATGGTCTTAGCCAACGGCGCACCAGGAGATTATATCCTGCACATGGCTCGGTGGGTCCCACAACCACGGAGCCTTGCTCACTGCTAGCACAGCAGTCCAAGATTGAACTGAGAGGCGGCAGCGAGGCTGGGGGAGGGGCGTCTGCCATTTCTGAGGCTTGACAAGGTAAACTAAATGGCCAGGAAGCTCAAAATGGGTGGAGCCCACCGCAGCTCAAGGAGGCCTGCCTGCCTCTGTAGACTCCACCTCTGGGGTCAGGGCATAGGTGAATAAAAGGCAGCAGAAACTGCTGCAGACTTAAACCTCCCTGTCTGCCAGCTTTGAAGAGAGTAGTGGTTCTCCCAGCACAGATTTTGAGATCTGAGAATGGACAGACTGCCTCCTCAAGTGGGTCCCTGACCCCTGAGTAGCCTAACTGGGAGACACCTACCAGTAGGGACTGACTGACACCTCATACAGCCAGGTGCCCCTCTGAGACGAAGCTTCCAGAGGAAGGATCAGGCAGCAACATTTGCTGTTCTGCAATATTTGCTGTTCTGCAGCCTCCGCTGGTGATACCCAGGCAAACAGGGTCTGGAGAGGACCTCTAGCAAACTCCAACAGACCTGCAGCTGAGGGTCCTGACTGTTAAAAGGAAAACTAACAAACAGAAAGGAATAGCATCAACATCAACAAAAAGGACATCCACACCAAAACCCCATCTGTAGGTCACCATCCTCAAAGACCAAAGGTAGATAAAACCACAAAGATGGGGAGAAACCAGAGCAGAAAAGCTGAAAAATTCTAGAAATCAGAGTGCCTCTTCTCCTCCAAAGGATTACATCTCCTCGCCAGCAACAGAACAAAGCTGGACAGGGAATGACTTTGATGAATTGACAGAAGTAGGCTTCAGAAGATCGATAATAACAAAATTCTCTGAGCTAAAGGAGGATGTTCGAACCCATTGCAAAGAAGCTAAAAATCTTGAAAAAAGATTAGAAGAATGGCTAACTAGAATAAACAGCGTAGAGAAGTCCTTAAATGACCTGATGGAGCTGAAAACCATCGCACAAGAACTACGTGACACATGCACAAGCTTCAGTAGCCGATTCAATCAAGTGGAAGAAAGGGTATCAGTGATTGGAGATCAAATGAATGAAATGAAGTGAGAAGAGAAGTTCAGACAAAAAAGAGTAAAAAGAAATGAACAAAGCCTCCAAGAATTATGGGACTATGTGAAAAGATCAAATCTATGTTTGATTGGTGTACCTGAAAGTGATGGGGAGAATGGAACCAAGTTGGAAAACACTCTTCAGGATATTACCCAAGAGAACTTCCCCAACCTAGCAAGGCAGGCCAACGTTCAAATTCAGGAAATACAGAGAACGCCACAAAGATACTCCTCGAGAAAAGCAACCCCAAGACACATAATTGTCAGATTCACCAAGGTTGAAATGAAGGAAAAAATGTTAAGGGCAGCCAGAGAGAAAGGTTGGGTTACCCACAAAGGGAAGCCCATCAGACTAACAGCTGATCTCTCGGCAGAAACTCTACAAGCCAGAAGAGAGTGGGGGCCAATATTCAACATTCTTAAAGAAAAGAATTTTCAACCCAGAATTTCATATCCAGCCACACTAAGCTTCATAAGTGAAGGAGAAATAAAGTCCTTTACAGACAAGCAAATGCTGAGAGATTTTGTCACCACCAGGCCTGCCTTACAAGAGCTCCTGAAGGAAGCACTAAACATGGAAAGGAACAACCAGTACCAGCCACTGCAAAAACATGCCAGATTGTAAAGACCATCAATGCTAGGAAGAAACTGCATCAACTCACGAGCAAAATAACCAGCTAACATCATAATGACAGGATCAAATTCACACATAACAATATTAACCTTAAATGTAAATGGGCTAAATGCCCCAATTAAAAGACACAGACTGGCGAATTGGATAAAGAGTCAAGACCCATCAGTGTGCTGTATTCAGGAGACCCATCTCACATGCAGAGACACACATAGGCTCAAAATAAAGGGATGGAGGAAGATCTACCAAGCAAATGGAAAACACAAAAAAGCAGGGGTTGCTATCCTAGTCTCTGATAAAACAGAGTTGAAACCAACAAAGATCAAAAGAGACAAAGAAGGCCATTACATAATGGTAAAGGGATCAATTCAACAAGAAGCACTAACTATCCTAAATATATATGCACCCAATACAGGAGCACCCAGATTCATAAAGCAAGTCCTTAGAGACCTACAAAGAGACTTAGACTTCTGCACAATAATAATGGGAGACTTTAACACCCCACTGTCAACATTAGACAGATCAATGAGACAGAAAGTTAACAAGGATATCCAGGACTTGAACTCAGCTCTGCACCAAGCAGACCTAATAGACAGCTACAGAACTCTCCACCCCAAATCAACAGAATATACATTCTTCTCAGCACCACATCACACTCATTCCAAAATTGACCACATAGTTGGAAGTAAAGCACTCCTCAGCATACGTAAAAGAACAGAAATTATAACAAACTGTCTCTCAGACCACAGTGCAATCAAACTAGAACTCAGGATTAGGAAACTCACTCAAAATCGCACAACTACATGGAAACTGAACAACTTGCTCCTGAATGACTACTGGGTACATAACGAAATGAAGGCAGAAATAAAGATGTTCTTTGAAACCAACGAGAACAAAGACACAACATACCAGAATCTCTGGGACACATTTAAAGCAGTGTGTAGAGGGAAATTTATAACACTAAATGCCCACAAGACAAAGCAAGAAAGATCTAAAATTGACACCCTAACATCACAATTAAAAGAACCAGAGAAGCAAGAGCAAACACATTCAAAAGCTAGCAGAAGGCAAGAAATTACTAAGATCAGAGCACAACTGAAGGAGATAGAGACACAAAAAAAAAACCTTCAAAAAATCAATGAATCCAGGAGCTGGTTTTTTGAAAAGATCAACAAAATAGATAAACTGCTAGCAAGACTAATAAAGAAGAAAAGAGAAGAATCATATAGATGCAATAAAAAATGATAAAGGGGATATCACCACCGATCCCACAGAAATACAAACTACCATCAGAGAATACTATAAACACCGCTACACAAATAAACTACAAAATCTAGAAGAAATGGATAAATTCCTGGACACATACACCCTCCCAAGACTAAACCAGGAAGAAGGTGAATCCCTGAATAGGCCAATAACAGGCTCTGAAATTGAGGCAATAATTAATAGCCTACCCAACAAAAAAAAAGTCCAGGACCAGATGGATTCACAGCCAAATTCTACCAGAAGCACAAAGAGGAGCTGGTACCATTCCTTCTGAAACTATTCCAATCAACAGAAAAGGAGGGAATCCCCATTAACTCATTTTATGAGGCCAGCATCATCCTGATTCCAAATCCTGACAGAGACACAACAAAAAAAGAGAATTTTAGACCAATATCCCTAATGAACATAGATGCAAAAATCCTCAATAAAATAGTGGCAAACCGAATCCAGCAGCACATCAAAAAGCTTATCCACCAGGATCAAGTTGGCTTCATCCCTGGGATGCAAGGCTGGTTCAACATATGCAAATCAATAAACATAATCCATCATATAAACAGAACCAAGGACAAAAACCACATGATTATCTCAATAGATGCAGAAAAGGCCTTTGACAAAATTCAACAGCCCTTCATGCTAAAAACTCTCAATAAACTAAGTATCAATGGAATGTATCTCAAAATAATAAGAGCTATTTATGACAAACCCACAGCCAATATCATGCTGAATGGGAAAAAACTGGAAGCGTTCCCTTTGAAAACTGGCACAAGACAGGGATGCCCTCTCTCACCACTCCTATTCAACATAGAGTTGGGAGTTCTGGCCAGGGCAATCAGGCAGCAGAAAGAAATAAAAGGTATTCAATTAGGAAAAGAAGAAGTCAAATTGTCCCTGTTTGCAGACGACATGATTGTATACTTAGAAAACCCCATTGTCTCAGCCCAAAATCTCCTTCAGCTGATAAGCAACTTCAGCAAAGTCTCAGCATACAAAATCAATGTGCAGAAATCACAAGCATTCCTATACACCATTAACAGACAAACAGCCAAATCATGAGTGAACTCCCATTCACAATTGCTTCAAAGAGAATAAAATAGCTAGGAATCCAACTTACATGGATGTGAAGGACCTCTTCAAGGAGAACTACAAACCGCTGCTCAACTAAACAAAAGAGGACACAAACAAATGGAAGAACATTCTATGCTCATGTACAGGAAGAATCAATATCATGAAAATGGCCATACTGCCCAAGGTAATTTATAGATTCAATGCCATCCCCATCAAGCTACCAATGACTTTCTTCACAGAATTGGAATAAACTACTTTAAAGTTCATATGGAACCAAAAAAGAGCCCACATTGCCAAGTCAATCCTAAGCCAAAAGAACAAAGCTGGAGGCATCACACTACCTGACTTCAAACTATACTACAAGGCTACAGTAACCAAAACAGCATGGTACTGGTACCAAAACAGAGATATCGACCAATGGAACAGAACAGAGCCCTCAGAAATAATACCACACATCTACAACCATCTGATCTTTGACAAACCTGACAAAAACAAGAAACGGGGAAAGGATTCCCTATTTAATAAATGGCGCTGGGAAAACTGGCTAGCCATATGTAGAAAGCTGAAACTGGATCCCTCCCTTACACCTTATACAAAAATTAATTCAAGATGGATTAAAGACTTAAATGTTAGACCTAAAACCATAAAAACCCTAGAAGAAATCCTAGGCAATACCATTCAGGACATAGGCATGGGCAAGGACTTCATGAATAAAACACCAAAAGCAATGGCAACAAAAGCCAAAATTGACTAATGGGACCTAATTAAACTAAAGAACTTCTGCATAGCAAAAGAAACTACCATCAGAGTGAACAGGCAACCTACAGAATGGGAGAAAATTTTTGCAATCTACCCATCTGACAAAGGGCTAATATCCAGAATCCACAAAGAACTTAAATAAATGTACAAGAAAAAATCAAACAACCTCATCAAAAAGTGGGCCAAGGATATGAACAGACACTTCTCAAAAGAAGACATTTATGCAGCCAACAGACACATGAAAAAATGCTCATCATCCCTGGCCATCAGAGAAATGCAAATCAAAACCACAATGAGATACCATCTCACACCAGTTAGAATGGCGATCATTAAAAAGTCAGGAAACAACAGGTGCTGGAGCGGATGTGGAGAAATAGGAACGCTTTTACACTGTTGGTGGGAGTGTAAACTAGTTCAGCCATTGTGGAAGACAGTGTGGCGATTCCTCAAGGATCTAGAACCAGAAATACCATTTGACCCAGTCATCCCATTACTGGGCATATACTCAAAGGATTATAAATCATGCTGCTATAAAGACACATGCACATGTATGTTTATTGCGGCACTATTCACAATAGCAAAGACTTGGAACCAACCCAAATGTACACCAGTGATAGACTGGATTAAGAAAATGTGGCACATATACACCATGGAATACTATGCAGCTATGAAAAAGGATGAGTTCATGTCCTTTGTAGGGACATGGATGAAGCTGGAAACCATCATTCTGAGCTAACTGTCACAAGGACAGAAAACCAAACACCGCATATTCTCACTCATAGGTGGGAATTGAACAATGAGAACGTTTGGACACAGGGTGGGGAACATCACACACCCAGGGCCTGTCGTGGGGTGGGCGTAGGGGGGAGGGTTAGCATTAGGAGAAATACCTAATGTAAATGACGAGTTAATGGGTGCAGCACACTAACATGGCACATGTATACATATGTAACAAACCTGCACTTTGTGCACATGTACCCTAGAACTTAAAGTATAATTTAAAAAGATATAAATAAATAAATAACAAGGAAAGAAAACACAATCAGGTCCAGAGAAAGGACCTGAGGGCATAATTACCTAAGATTACTCAGTTAACTCAGTTTATATTTTGATATTCCAGAGAGCTACTTTTGAGTACGATATGGCAAGAAATCCAATTCTAATTCATAAAATCAGATGCTATTCTCTCATAATTTATTACACAATTCTTACATCCCATGTCATAGGTATTTGACACAATATTTAGTGAGGACACCCTTGAACATCCAGTTCAGAGTAAGTTTAGGAAAAAACATGGAAGCTACCATCTCTGTTTATGTCTATAAAGAAAATATATTATTCCTTACCAATAACTTCTTTTTTTTTTTTTTTTTTTGAGACAGAGTCTTGCTCTGTCACCCAGGCTGGACTGCAGTCGTGCGATCTTGGCTCACCGCAACCTCTGTCTCCCGGGTTCAAGCGATTCTCCTGCCTCAGCCTCCCGAGTAGCTGGGATTATAGGCACCCGCCACCACATCCGGCTAATTTTTGTATTTTTAGTAGAGACTGGGTTTCACCACGTTGGCCAGGCTGGTCTCAAACTCCTGACCTCATGTGATCCGCCCACCTGGGCCTCCCAAAGTGCTGGGATTACAGGCGTGAGCCACCGTGCCCGGCCTGTGTCATCCATTTTTTCACAGAGACTTTGTGGATGTGGACTGTGCATGTTGCAAAAATATCTTCCCCTCCTAGTCTGCTTTCTGCTTTCTGCATATAACCCCTCATTGAGAGTTTCCTTTGGTCCACTTTATGGTTGTCTGGTTTGAGTCTAAGGATCCATTATTTATGGGTCTTCTCTTGTATGTATTTATTCTCAGGGCTGGGGCTATTTACGGACTGACATCTGAAGTCTTTCAATTGCCATAGTAGAGGAGGAATGGTTCTCAAGGCTGATTGCTTTGGGGAATTGATATGGATTATTTCTGGTGCATTGCTTTGCCATATAAAAAGTTTTGTGGAGATATGCCATTTGCTGAAATTCATTCTGACCTAGGCCTTGAGTTTCTCAGCCCTGCCTTCCTCTGCCCATGTTTTTACTGCCTGGGAACCTGAACTCCAGATATAATTTGTTCTACTTTGGTAGCACCAAAGAGACCTAGAGAGAACCTGGAAAGACTCAGAAACAAGACGGTTGGGAGATAGAACCCCTAGCCTTGCCCAGGCTCAACAAAGACTTTTATGCACATGGTATGGTTTCAGGGACATCTGGCAGTGCCATCAGTCATTATCTTCCCTCTTCTTCCAGGTACCAACATCTTTCAACTTTGAGGACACTAACGGAGAGCTTGCCTACATGGAAGACTGTACTCCAGCTTTTATTTATATAACCTAGTTCTGAATAGGAATGTAGGTGATAAAGAACACTTTTCCCACCAGCACCTTCAAACTCATCACTTCCTCTGTATCCAGACGTGTTCCTCTTATCAACTTACCCTAGTATACATTGTGGGGTCATCACGGTTCTCTCCTACATCATTTAAGATTATGAATTTTGAAAAGTGTTTTCATTTACATGAGCTTATCTGATTCTTACCCCAGAATTGATATGGTTATTCCCATTTTTTATACAAGGAAACGGTTTTCGAACATTTTAAAAGAATTGCTCAAGATAACACAAGTATAAAGTGAGAGAGGAAAGGGAATTCACATCTTGCTCTTGTATGGTCAGAGATTCTCCCACTCTGAGATATCACCTTTCTTCATTCCCATGGCCAATCTGTCTCTAGATCCCATCATTTGTTCTTTTGCTGTAACTATTGGATTTGCCCCTTCCTGTCCATTCCCCATGGCCACTCCTTTTCCCAGGTCTTTATCACCTCAGCTGGAGAGAGTGGCCTCTTAGGGAGGCCATTGACAACTAAGTTGTTGCCATCCTGCTCTGAAATCTGAATTTTAGCTATATCTGAAATCACATCACCTATGTAGAGGCATACAAACTTAAAAGTCTGGTTGCCTTTTTCTTCCTTCTAGTATTGCTGACAATAAATAATTTATATATAATATTATATGTGTATATACACACACATACATATAAATCCAAGTCTGAAATTTATATATAAACACACACGCACATATGTGTACTATATGTGTATACATATATATGTATATGTGACACACGTGTATGTATACCATATATCATACTTATCATATATGTTATGTATGATACATGTATCTATACATGTATAACATATAATATAGTATATACATTACATATAAGTGTTATGTTCTTATATATCCACACATATATATATACACACACACCAGGTGTCTATACAGAGATTCTTTGATTATGGAAATGAGAAAGGACCGAATGGCTAAATGACTACTACAAAGGTTCAGTGGGGAATGTTTTGTCGTTTTGTTTTGAGTTGAGTTGTTCTGAACCTTTGGCCTCTGATGGCAGTTCAGTAAGTTAGCTGTTTTATATCTCTCACCTTATGCTTGGTTTTGTTTCAATTTTGAATTTTCTTAGTATCACTTAACTCACATCCTTTTAAAAGCTATTTTGTAATAATATGTCACTTACATGTAAACTTAGGGCCTTTTCTTGTTTGCCATAAAAGCATGATCATTGGTATGTATCAGCCGAAATATGTGTTTTGTCGTTCTACTAAGAGGTAAAGAGTCACTAATATAATAATAATCTTATAATAATCTTAGCCCTAAAAGACTTCAATACTTCTTTGCTTATCTTTGGTCAGCTTTGGTATAGAGCTCTAATTATATAAAAAATGAAACTATCATAATGTCAACCACATTTAACCTTCTTGATATCCCATAATTCTTTGCACTAAGGGCGCAAGGCCAGGTCTTTGCTGACTGCTTGATAACTGAATGAGTGATTATTCTCCTTGTTAATGGACAATGATATAGAAAACTCTCCCATATGTACAGAATATTAATGAGAAGCTGCACAAGCTGAGATAAGACTATAAGATGCTGCAAGCAATCACTTATAAGAACATTATAAAAAATATTACTCGTCAGGGATGTAGCCAGATGCAGGGTCTCCGTGTGACGAATGAGGAGGAAAAAGGCAAGACACTCTTTCTCACATGAATGACTGAGTAATTCACAAACAAAAATGTTGCCTTCATGGTTTCCAATATTGAGTTTTCCATTTAAATTTTTCAAAAAATAACAAACTTCATCAGAAGACGTTGCAGATTTTGAAATAGGAAGGGGAAACCTCCTGCCTCCTTCTCTGCCTCTTAAATGCTTTCTGTGCCAGGTGCAGTGTGTCAAGCATTTGTCCTTCATGAAAAATGACACCTGGATGACTGCTAAAGAAATTTCAACCAACTCTAAAAACTGGCCCATTTATAACACTGCTATTTTTCCAGTTTGGTTTGTAATTTTAGGTATTGTCTCTAATTGGAAAACTTGGAAAAGCCATTCTTCTAGTCTGAATTTTTGGATGATATGCTAAAAGAAGGAGAATGTTCATTGGATATTGCTTAATTCTCCAATTTGATTCACTTGGGCTCTGTACATAAGATCTTTGAGTCAGTTCTCCTAATAGACTCGTGGAACATCACAGCCACAAGAGGCTGAGAGATCATCTAAGCCTGTTTTTCTCAACTGAGTAATGTAGAAACCTCTTTTAAAGGGGAAAAGAATCTTATTGATCCCCAGCGTAGACTTGAATTACATTTTGAATGCTGTCAAAATAAGAATGTAAAGTTACATAATGAAATGTGTAATGTAAAATGTAAGATATTTGTATAGATATTTATTTTAAGTAATACACATAAAACTAGTTATAAACTCCTTAGAACACATGTGATAATTCCCTTCTTCCACCTTTTTCTTTGAGTCAAAGGACACCTGCATTGTATACAGGGTCTTTCTTTCGCAGGAACACAACTTTTGTCTAACATGTCCCCTTTTGTGGGATTTTTTGTCTAGCTTCTAACAATTACAACAACACTCTACTTGGTGTCAATTCAACTGTTAACGCAAACATATAAGTGGGCAGAAAAATAGCATGGTAGTACTTGATTATAAAAATGTACCTTTGGAAAATTTTAAGTAAGTTATTATAGAAATGAAAATACAAAAATAGAATATTCTAATAATAACAGACAAACCATCTCCTCTAATGCGTCTGCAGCAGCTAGTTTGAAAAACATCAGTTTAGACCAACCTTCTCATTTTACAAGAGTAAAACTGTTAATCAAGGTCATAAACAAGCCAGATGTAGAGCTGTAACCAGAATCCAGAATTGAGATCAGTTTCTTTTAGTCTTTTTTTTTTTAAATTTCATATTTACTGAACTTAAAATGCAATTCGGAAGAACAGTATAGGCAATTTTATGAAAACATTAAAAATGATCAAATTATCAATTCTTTAGGAATACCCTTGACATTGTACGAGAGACAGATATCGTTAAGAAATTGATTGAAGTATTTAATGGTGTATGAAGAATAATTATTCTGCTTTTTATGTTTAATAGTTAGAAAATCAACATAAAGAATATCCCCCATTTTATTCTAATGGTCATGCATACGTTTTATTTTTTCAAAAAAAATTTTTGAAAACAAGTTTGAATAGAACTATTTTATAGGCCCACTAATTTAATAAAATTAATTTGTTGGTCAGTAAATACATATTTCAAAAATTATATAATTATAATTTTTAAAAGTTACTCTAAAAATGTCCCAGTTTGAAGATAAGTTATATGGTTATTCTAGAGATGAGAATGACCAGTCCCACTGGAAATCCACAAGCTGAAAGTGAGGGAAGAGGAACTTGCCAAAGGGAAATAAAAAGGATGGAATGGATTCTGGGTTGGCAAAACCAACTGTGTGCACTATACCCAAGTACCAGATCAGGACTTAGGTTTTCTGGCCTGAACTCTGATGCTCCAGTACTGAATTTCATTTTCCACTGTCCCCCACTCCCTTAAGTTATAACATTTCTTCCCCTTGCTCCTCAGGTAGCCAACTTCTCCATGCAGCTCCAAAGAGCACAGCTTCCCTAATTCCCGATAGCAGCCAAGAGAGGTTTCTTCTGTAAACATTTTTTGCAACAAGCTCAAACCACTTCAAAACAAATTCAAAGCTTAAATCATTGTGAAACCAGTTTCTTGATCTTTAGTACGGTAAATGCTTTGCAAAGCCATACTGCTTTTGTTTGTATAATTTAAATTTACCCGCACCTGAGACTAAGATCAGAGTAATGCCACTTTGTGTTGTGTTCCATAATGCTTGGAGTTTTGTATCACTGGGGACCTGGGAAGCTTTTGTCTGTTCACTGTTGTTAGCTGCTTTTTACGTGTTAGCTACTTTACTCTTATTTGTTTTTATATTAGTGTAATGTCTTATTTCTGTTGTTGCCATCAGTGTTCAAAGTATGAGAAACAGGAGTTAATAGGAAAAGTTTCTGGGTGGGGTGGGGGTGGAAAGCGTGTTAGGAAAAAAGATCAAGGTTCCCAGACGCAGTGCATTTGGCCAAGGCAAACTGAATTTAAATAGTTGGAGCAGTAACAAGAATCTCAGATTTATAGATAGCTGCTATCCTTGAGGTCCTAAATCCCACCTTTGGTGCCAAAAATAAAATAAAAGGGACAAAATAATATGGGCCACTGGATGAGGCATTAACTACATTGCCTCCCTGAACCTCAGTTTCCCATATGTATGATGGGGCAGTGGGTAAAGTGATCTCTAAGAACTTTCAGCTCTGATGTTATGGCTGTTGTAAGTCAGCAGTTTAATTGTTGCTCCACGCTTTTCACTGTACTTCCTCCTATAATTTGGCTCCAAGTTTTGACTGAAATACAATATAACCAAATGAAATATAGTTTGCTCTGAGCCTTTTTTGATGCCCTTAACCTCAGAGAGACATTAGGTGTTTCATATTATATTATTAGGTAGATTGATAACAACTTCACTGGATTCTAATTTTACCTGATATCCCTTCTATTTTGTTTTTAATTCTAAATTAAATTTAGGTTAATAGGTTTTGAGTAGAGTTTTGTACCATGTTGTACATGTATAAAGGCAGAGATTATAGAAATAATTTTTGTAGGTGATGCCATCAAATGAACATGCAGTGATGTTTATATGACACCTTGAAGGATGGGCAATAAATAAAAAATGGAGGGGGTTTCAGGTTTGGGAGGGGGCTGGCTGAATGGGCCTGGCTTGTTCATGGAACACTAAAGAGCAAGGGAGTGGTGGGGAGTAGGGAGAATTGCAGCAAGACTTTCCCAGAGTTGCCAGACCATGAAGGGCCTTGAATGATAGGCAGGGGAGCTTGATAAGCGGACCAAAGAATCCATCAGAGTATTCTGTTGTTTGTGTATAGATGTTCGCAGCTAAGCATTAAATAATGAGTCCCAATTAGTGTCTTTCAGGTCAGTTGGTTTTGTCTGTCCTTTGGGGATGATGTGTTCTCTTCCTCTTATAAATCTCTCTGAGCACTTCGTCTCCTCTTAGAGAGTTCTTTGAGTGGCCTAGAAGAACTCACTTAGGCTTCAGTTTCTTCATCTGTTAAATGAGGCCATGGAACTAGCTTGGGTGGTCATGATTCATTCTCAGCCTCTCAGTCTCTCTGTCTTCCCTAATACACCCCAGGGATGGTATAATCTCATCAGTGAAGAGTCTTACTACAGCAGTGATTATCTACTTATGTGGAGGTGAGGGGGCGGGGATGTATGTAGCTTAGCAAAATAAATCTCACAGATGATTCTCCCACCAACTTTAAAATCATCACACCTGATAATTTCTAAAAGTTTTTCCCAGACATGACTTTCTGATTTATGGTCCCAGTTCATGAAAAAAAAAATCAATCTGGTCGCTTTGCAGAATATGTAGGAAAAAATAATCATATTTTCAACATTTTTTATTATTTTGGTTGCAAGTAACAGAATACCCAACTAAAAGTGGCTGTATAACAAGAATATTTTATACCTCACATCCAGAGGTATGGTAGTTGGAGGATTACTTGATTCAGTGGCTCAATAGTGTTATCAGAACTATGAGTTTTTTTATCTTTCTCCTCTGTTATCCTCAGTATGTTGATGGTATCTCTCTTCTTGTTTGTGAGATGGTTGCAGCAGCTCCAGACATCATATGCAGAAAAGCCATGTTGAATGAAGAGGAAGAAGGGACATTTCTTATTTTGTTTTTTTATTATGAAGGAAAATCTGCCCCAGACAACTTCCCTCAGCTTCCATTGGCCACATAAGCAATGGTCACATAGCCCCTTCCTAGCTGCAAGAGAGGATTAGAATGTGAGAATCTGGCACATTCAGGTTATAGAGAGGGAGGTGGTTCTTTCTGAATGGGAGGGAGGGGGAGGGGAATGGGTGCTGGGATAGCAACTGATAGCGCTGCCCAATAAGTCCTTTTTCCAACACTCATCTTAAGACCCCCCTTTTCCTTTATGTAGCTGATGGCTAATTAAAGCTAAGTATTTAGCATAAATCAGGGCTTTTGTGAATTATCTGAATAATTAGACTCATTGTACATTCAGGGCCCTTATTTTATTTCATCTAAAAGTTTAATGATAAATGGGCTTCCATTGCCCAAAATGAGCTTCTCTGGTACTGAAACTGGATGTAATTTTTTATTGAATTGGGCTTTAGGAAAATAACTTAAAATGTACAGGGACTGTGATAAAGAGCAGCTTAAATTCCCAATTTTTTTTTCTTTTTGCTTTACAAATCGACATCAGCTACCAAAAATAAGACCAGATTAAATGGGTACGTGAATATTTAATGTAAAATTAGGAATATGTTGCTAAAAATCAGGAGAGAGTTTAGAGATATAACCATGAATAAATTGTGAAATATCAGCTTACTTCTCTGCTGCAACACTGGCCTAAAGAAGCTTTTCTGTTTCCCCAGCAACCTCGCGTGGCATTAGCTTGCTTCCCTCAGAGTAAATTAAATGTGATTTTCAAGTACTACACTTCATTATTTCAGAAATCACAATACCTTGCAGAAATAAGAACATTTCATAAATCACATTGGAGTTTATTTTTTAAGCCAGAGCAGAGAAAGTATTTATTTGGAAATTTTTTTTCTTTAAAATCTACTGAATTTCCGAGGGCTTATAAATTATCTCTCTGATGAGCTGGTAAATGGGACATAGCATGCTTTATTTACTTAAAATGTATTAGTAATTGCCCAATCATATTTTTAAAAGAGTTTTAGTTATCAGTGATGTGAAAAAGATAAAAGCCACATCTCAAATGAACCATATAATTTTATGATCAAAAGTTCCAGAGGACTAAAAATATCATATTAATGCTAACAATCATTTTCTAAAGTAAAACTCTCACATTCATGCATCTGATCACTTGTAAACAATGTGTCCCCAAAGTTGTAGCATATCTTATGTATGATACACACATGCACCCACCCACATATCTATATTCCATGCTGTATTTACCCAGAACTGGTCTATTTTAAATTTTGGATAAATGATTATTTTAACACCTGACCTATCTGCATCCATATTACTTCTGGTGTTTAAAAAATATCTTATATCTGAAATTGACGTAACTTGATTTTTCAAACTATTTAGTAACCAGTTGTTAAAGTGCTTTTGAAGCTAACCTGTGTCTCCATTATATTACTTAGCACAGTTGGCCTGAGTTAGGAGTTATTCAGGTAAGTGACTGACTTCAGGTGCTGTCAGGTGAGTGACTTGACAGCAGGAAGGATATTTGGTTTATTTGAGTTATCATCCATAGAGGCTAGCAAGATGGCTGTGTGAATTCATTGATAATGGTTCTTCGACCAAGTGGGTTAATTTTTGAATAGAGCCAAGGTTTGCTTTTCTCCAGAGAAAGTAAGAATAGAGTACTTTCACTCCTGAGGGAGTGTAAGATGATCCATCAGGAAGTAGAAAGAAAATATTAAAACATTTATTTTGATTTAAAAAAAGAATAGTAAAAGTTAATATGTGATTTGCTAGTAGTCTAAGCATAAAATTCAATACATATAATTAAATACGCACATAGTAGGAGTGCATGCTCAGATTTTATCACTGGTAGGGGTAAACATGACAGAGGTTTGGAGATCACTGTTTTAGTTACAGAATGTCCAGGTAGGCTGATTTCTGCTGTCCTTCAAGCTACCCTGAAGTGCTGATGGATGCCCCAGATTGTACCACATGGCCTCTTTCTTTATCAGGAGTATAGACTTAGGAGCCATTCAGATCTGAATTTGAATCTTAGCACTCCCACTAATTGTGTGACCTTGGATAAAACAGTTCTTTTCTCAGTTTTCTTATCTTTAAAATGAGGATTAAAATGCTTCACGTACAGAGTATTGTGAGCATTAATAGAGATATAAAGCAATTGATAGATGGTTGAAATTCGGCAAATATTAGCTGCTTTCAAAGTATGTTAAAATTTTAAATATGTGAGCTGTTATTTGTCATCAGTACTTTTGCATAAATGAGTATGGGATTCTTTTTTCTTTTTTACTGTGGCAAAATACAACTAAATCTGACCATTTTAACCATTTTAAAGTGAGCAATTCAGTGGTGTTTAGGACATTCACAAGTTGTGTAAACAGCACCACTATCAAATTCCAGAACTTTTTCATCACTCCACATGAAAACCCCATACTAATTAAGCAGTTACTCACTAATTTCTCCTTCACCCAGCCCTTGGCAGCCACTAATCTGCTTTGTGTCTTTATTGTGTCTGCCTATTCTGAACATTTCATGTAAGTGGGATCATAATATGTGCTGTCTTTTGTGTGAATGGCTTTTTTTTTTTTTTTTTTTTTTTTTTTGGCAGAGTTTCACTCATCTCACCCAGGCTGGAGTGCAATGGCACAGTCTCAGTTCACTGGAACCTCCTCTTCCCGGGTTCAATCGATTCTCCTGCCTCAGCCTCCCAAGTAGCTGCGACTACAGGCACCTGCCACCATGCCCAGCTGATTTTTGTAATTTTAGTAGAGACGAGGTTTCACCATGTTGGCCAGGCTGGTCTCGATCTCCTGACCTCAACTGATTCGCCTGCCACGGCCTCCCAAAGTGCCGGGATTAGAGGTGTGAGCCACCACACCTGGCCATGAATGGCTTCTTTTACTTAGCATCATGTTTTCTAGTTTCATCCACATTGTAGCACGTATCAATACTTAATTCCCTCCATTTTGTTTTTTTTAAGTCAAGGTCTCTCCCTGGCACTCATGCTGGAGTGCAGTGGCACGCTCATGGCTCACCACAGCCTCGACCTCTCGGGCTCAAGCGATCCTCCCACTTCAACCTTCCGAGTATCTGGGACTGCAGGTGTGCACCACCATGCATGGCTAATATTTCTGTATTTTTTTGTAAAGCCGGGATTTCGCCATGTTGCCCAGGCTGGTCTCGAACACCAGGGCTTAAGCAGTTCACCCACCTTGGCCTCCCAGTGTTCTAGGAGTAATATCTCTTTGTATGAATACATCACATTTTGCTTATCCAACCGTCAGCTGATGGACATTTGAGTTGTTTCCACTTTTTGGCTACTGTGAATAATACTGCTATGAACATTTGTGTATCTATCTTTGTGTGGACTATACTTTCAATTCTGTCATGTATAGGAATAGAATTGGTGGGTCATAGGCCGGGTGCAGTGGCTCACTCCTGTAATCCCAGCACTTTGGGAGGCCGAGGCGGGCAGATCACGAGGTCAGGAGTTCAAGACCAGCCTGACCAACATGGTGAAACCCCGTCTCTACTAAAAATGCAAAAGTTAACTGGGCATGGTGGTAGGTGCCTGTAGTCCCAGCTACTTGGGAGGCTGAGGCAGGAGAATGGCGTGAACCCGGGAGACGAAGGTTGCAGTGAGCCGAGATCGCGCCACTGCACTCCAGCCTGGGCGACAGAGCGAGACTCCGTCTCAAAAAAAAAAAAAAAAAAATTGCTGGGTCGTATGGTAATTTTACGTTTCACCTTGTGAGGAACTTGGGATTCTTTTCTCAAACCCATACTTTGTCAACTCTGTATTTCAGAGAAGATCCTGCCTGCATGCAGCCAAAATTAATCCAAATATGTCTTATGATGCAGATGACAACTACTTTGTCTTTACACTCCTTAGTGTTCTCTAGTGCTCCCTAGTGCCTAGGCTATTTCCTGGTAGTTTGAGGTGGCACATTGGATACTGAAGAATAATATCAACTTGTATGATGGCAAACTCATATCTGTTCCTCTAGCCCATACTGCTGTGGGATCCCTGAAAGAGGGGCTCCTGTCTTGGCATCATGCTTAGCAAGCCTCCATGCTGACCCTCCTTTGCCTGTACTCCCCTTATGGGGCAAGGAGATTCTGAGGGATGAAGAAGGTGAGCACCCCTAGAGCCCATGCCTCTCCTATACTCCACTCCAGGTACCTAGGACACAGAAATTCTCCTCCCAAACAGCCCTGAGCCTGCCTCCAGGGCATACATGAGCCTCATCCCAGGGCGTATTCTCCCAGTGGTGGACCGTGACACTGGCATATGTACCGCTAGGCCTTGGCAGGAGTCAAGGGCCTCTTGAACCTGCAGGCTAGGGTCTCTGCACGTAAGAATCCTCTTGTAAGTGTAGAGCCCACATAGGAATGTGAAGAGAAGAGGGGGTGGTCTGGGTATTACTGGTTGGTGTTCCCTTCATTACCACATTCTGACCCCACACTCCTAGGAACTTGAGAATTCTCTGTTTGAAACTGGCCTTCTGCAGTGCTGCAGGTGTTGTTATTTCATTTTACCCAAAATTCTCAAGAGTCGTTTGGCTCAGGCGCATCTTTAAGGAGTACAAGTGTTTTTCCTGGTAGGTCCTATTCTCACAAAATCCTCCTAATTCTGGGAAGGGTTTACCCAATGTTCATATTATTACTAGAAGAAAGGGCAGCATCATGTTGTTGAACGGTAGCACCACCAAGAAGAGACTCATGTCTCTGCCTCCTCCTTCAGTGAGTTAGCCATTTGATAGCATATCCCATCCTCCCTGTCCAAGCACATAAGCCTTAAATCACAAATTCTCTTGAATTGCAGCCCTAGGGCTATTTTTCAGTGACTGGTAGATAAGTTGGACCATTCTACCTTGTTTTCCAAAAGACAATGTATTTTTCTTATTTGCATAAAACTGAAAGTCCCACTCTAGCTATTATAAAATTAGAACTCTGCCCTGATAATTTTAAGCTAATATTTAACATTTGGCAAAAAAGATATGGGACAGAAGAGGACTTAGTTTGTTCTTTAATATTCTAGAGTCTCCTTTCTGTTATTAGCGGCACTCCCACTTAGGGTTACTGAAGTCACAGATAACTTTTGGCCATTTGTAGATAATTTTCCATTACACATTAAGCCCAAACTCATGGATTTGTGAATTTGTCACTGTAAAATAATATTCCCTTTGACCTACTCAGTACTCTTGCTGAGCACCTGCTCTTCCTCTGTGACCTAGAGGAATAACAGAGTTCCTTGGTTGGTGAAGAGATGACTTCCTCACAGATCAGCTGAGTGTGTGTGAGTCCTTTATGAGACCTGAAACAAACTAGCCTAAGCTGGCCTTGAATGATCCTCTGTCCCTGTCCCTGACACTTTTTTTTTTTTTTTTTTTTTTTGAGACGGAGTTTCACTCTTGTTGCCCAGGCTGTAGTGCAATGGTGTGATCTCGGCTCACTACAGTCTGCACTTTCCGGGTTCAAGTGATTCTCCCGTCTCAGCCTCTCGAGTAGCTGGGATTACAGGCACCTGCCATCACACCTGGTTACTTTTTGTATTTTTAGTAGAGATGAAGTTTCACCATGTTGGCCAGGCTGGTATCAAACTCCTGTCCTCAGGTGATCCACCCGATTCGGCCTCCTGAAGTGCTGGGATATACAGGCGTAAGCCACTGCGCCCAGCCATCCCTGGCACTTTCAAAAAGACAGTTTGAATGAATGTTATTAATGCCAAAGTCATATGTCTCATAAAGAAAGGTCAAATACAAAATAAATCACTTCATTTATGTATTCATCTTCCGTGTGTTCAGCTCAAGCCCTCTGCTAGGATATAGCGATCCGGAGATGAATGACATGAGTCTGTGCTATAGACTCATAGGCTGCCCAGACTAGGAGGGCCCTTTAAGATTATGTCATCTAGGGCCGGGCACGGTGGCTTACGCCTGTAATCCCAGCACTTTGGGAGGCTGAGGTGGGCAGATCACTTGAGATCAGGAGTTCAAGACCAGTCTAGACAACATGGCAAAACCCTGTCTCTCTACTAAAAATACAAAAAATTACCCAGGTGTGGTGGCTCGTGCCTGTAATCCCAGCTACTCAGGAGCTGAGGCAGGAGAATCGCTTGAACCCGGGAGGTGGAGGTTGCAGTGAGCCAAGATCACGCCACTGCACTCCAGCCTGGCCACAGAGCGAGACTCCGTCTAAAAAAAATAAAAATAAATTAAAAAAATTTAAAAAAATGATGTCATCTTACAGATAAGGGGACTGCTACTGATTTTTTTCTGGGCTCTCTTAACTTGTATTTCTTTAACACTCTTGCTATCATATGACTACCCTGATGCATGGCTGTAACTCAAGGGCTTAAGACTGCTCACCTGAGATGCCTTAGGTTATTTGCATATGCCTTGGGAAGCTGGGAGCCCCATGCCTAAGTATGGGAGCAGGAAACATGTTCTCAGCTTGTTGAGGTCAGTGGCATTCCCCCTCATCAAACAGGCTGTGAATTTGGTGAGCTTTGTGTATTCTCTGTCACACTGAATCTCACAGGGTGCTGTGGCACACTGGTATACTGCACGTCCATTACAGCTACATAATCAACATGTGACTTACTGACTTATTTTTTTTCGAATTTTATTGAAGTATAATTGACAAAAATTATGCATTTAAGGTGTACAGGGCCAGGCATAAGGGCTTATACCTGTAATTCCAGCACTTTGGGAGCCTGAGGTGGGAGAATTGCTTGAGTCCAGGAGTTCGAGACCAGCCTGGGCAACATAGGGAGATCCTGTCTCTACAAAATAATAATAATAAAAATAGCCAGTCGTGTTGGCATGTACCTGTAGTCCCGGCTACTTGGGAGGCTGAAGCAGGAGGATGTCATGAGCCCAGGAGTTGGAGGTTGCCTTGAGCTATGATTGCACAACTGCACTCCAGCCTGGGTGACAGAGAGAGACCCTGTTTAAAAAAAAAAAAAAAAAAGCGACGTTTTGATATACACGTACATTGTAAAATAATTACTACAATCAAGCTAATTAACTATGTGAGGTAACTATGTCACCTCACATAGTTAACATTAGCATACCACTTATTTTTACTATGACTGAGGCTCAACGCTGCTGGGAATGGTCTTCCAGATGAGGCATGAACTGGATTAGTGAGGCGTTGTGGGTACCAGTGACCATGAGAAGAAGTAACAGGCAGAACTTAATTCAGGCCAGCACCAAGGGAAACATAGTGCAGAGCTTGGCATATGTTAAGAATTTGTCTGAGGCATGTTTGAGAGAGCACTGCTATCAAAGTAGTAAGTAGTTCCATCCAAACAGCCAGATGGGTGTGCAATAAGTGTGGATGTATTCCTAAACATAGATAAATAGTCATTGTAAGGCCATTATCATTCACATGCTTTGGGCTGTTCTGAATCCTTTGATCTCTTTACATGTGTCATCTAAGATATAGTACTTGTTGGTGTGCCTTGCTCACAGAACAGCTGAGAAACCCTATTCTAGTGAAACCTGCTTCTGCTTGCTGATGAACTATTATTGAAGCCCTGTGGAAAATGTTAGGAGTAAATTCAGGGAAGAGACAGGTCCTGTCTGGCTGGGATAACTAGGAAAGGTTTCATAGGCAGGTTTTGTATCTAAGCTAGACCTTCAAACCACTTGCACAAGTACAGGATGGAAGAGATGGACTTAGCGGTGACCATGTGAAAAAAGATTTGGAGTTTTAATCAACAGTGAGACCATAAATTAAATGTCTTCTTTAAAACGTTATCAATACTTCCTTTGTGTGGGAAATTAGCTAGGTGCTGGAGACAGGGAGTTCCATCAGGCTTTTGTCATGCTCTGGAGTTTAGTTGGGGAAGATATGCTAATAGACAGCTGTTACAGATGTGAAACTACCTGCCCATTTGGGACCTGAAAGCAATTTGGAGGGCCTGGCGCACAGGGCTCAAGCAGCCTGCAGTAAGAATTGAGGCTGAGGCCATGAGCAGAGGTCTTATCATTGAGGGCCTTGTCAAACATTTTAAAGAGTTTGTGCTTGATCATATATGAATCAAGAATGCAAGATGTGATTGCCCAAGAATTTACCATATTTTCACCATTTAAATATGCCATTGATTGCCATTTGCATCATTGATCTAAAATGATCTTTGTTGGAAAACATAAAGTGTTACACATTAAATAGATGCAGTTATTTCTCCCTTCCAGATACATTAAAATGCAAAAAGTAATGACCCTCAACATTGAAGAAATATAATTATTTGATGTTAGGCTGTATTAATTGAAGTTTAGGGTCTGCAGTGATGGAGATGTTACTTGCATTGCCGATCACAGTGAGCCTATGTGCATTTATGGTTCATTTTAAAAGAAACATCTAGGCTGGGTTTGGTGGCTCAGGCCTGTAATTCCAGCACTTTGGGAGGCTGAGGTGGGAGGATCACTTGAGGCCAGAAGTTTGAGGCTGCAGCGAGCTAGGATTGCGCCACTGCATTCCAGCCTGGATGATGGAGTGAGAGCCTGTCTCTAAATAAGTAAGTAAATAAACAAACAAACAAACAAACATCTACACAAACTAAGTGCATTGGAAGAAAAATGACTAGGCTAGAGAATGACTCCACCATTCCCTATGCAAAAAAACACAGTAATCATGTGTGCTCTTGTAGTACTCCACACTTCATCTATCCCTGGAACTTTCTTCCCACACTCAAGACCAGGATTTATCTGTCTTCCTCACTAGACACTTAAGATTCATGAGGCAGGGAGTGCTGTTCCCTACCATATCCCTGGCACTAGCACAGTGCTTGTCTTATATTTGACACTTAATATATGTTGAATGAATGAATGAGTGAATGAGAGGCTAAGGGTTGGGGGTGGAGGTGGGGAGAGAGAGTACTGTTAAATCTTGGGAAGCATAGTATGCAGAAGTGGTAACATGCTTTTTTCCATAGAGTTGCCTTCATAAAATGAGGCCCAGTCGGAAACAGAACTCTTATCCCTTCTAGTTGCCCCAAACTACAAAATGAGTAGTTTATGTACTGTAGCAATGTAACTTTATTTGGGGCAATCTGATGATTACTATAGTCAGTCTTTCCTGAAAATATTGCATATATACTCATACAAGCAAAGCTTGAAGAAAATATCAAGGGGTTCAATAAACCTTCGACAGCCCATTTGTTGACCCCAGGTAAGAACCTCAATTCTGGCACTTTGCAGTTACAAAGCACATTATCTCAGGAGTAGCAACACTGTGGAGACAGCAAGGCCACACTATGGAACCCATCGTTCAGGTGAAGAAAATGAAGCTGAGAGAAGTTAAGTGATTGGCCCAAGGTCACATAGCTAATAAATACTGAAGCTGGGATGTGAGTCCAGTTGTGTCTGACTCTGGATTCCAGAGGCTCTACAGTGCACTGCTGTGAGTTTGGTGTCCAAGGTGCTCAAACAGGCTGTGGTACCTCTTGGCAGGCATATAGAAGTGACATGAACATTAAAAGGGTGGATGTTGGCTGGGCGCAGTGGTTCATGCCTGTAATCCCAGCACTTCGAGAGGCCGAAGTGGGTGGATCACGAGGTCAGGAGTTCGAGACCAGCCTGACCAAGATGGTGAAACCCCGTCTTTACTAAAAATACAAAAATTAGCTGGGCACGGTGGTGGGCTAATCCCAGCTACTCGGGAGGCTGAGGCAAGAGAATTGCTTGAACCCAGGAGGCGGAGGTTGCAGTGAGCCAAGATCACACCACTGCACTCTACCCTGGGCAACAGAGCTCAAAAAAAAAAAAAAAAAAAAAAAGGGTGGAC
This sequence comes from Homo sapiens, assembly GCF_000001405.40. Taxonomy (NCBI): domain Eukaryota; kingdom Metazoa; phylum Chordata; class Mammalia; order Primates; family Hominidae; genus Homo; species Homo sapiens. The sequence continues at coordinate 140,656,062 of NC_000023.11, forward strand.
GTGAAATACTTCATAAATGTTCATAAATGTGTAAAATGCTTTACAAATCACACAATGCTGGATGCATGCATACTTACCATCAGAGAAGCTGTGGGGCATAGTGCGGAAGGAGACAGACTATCCATTGAATCCCGTTTTGGGCATTTAGCAGATGTGTGACCTTGGGCACGTTATTTAACTTCTTTATGTTTCAGTTTCTTTAACTGTAAAATAGAAGTAATAATAATAATACTTATGTGTTAGTGAGAGGCTCAAATGAGATAATATGTATACAGTGCCTAGTACAGCACCTCAAAATTGGTAAGAACTCAATAAAGTGTAACTGTTCTCAATAAATGACATCTAGCATTGAAGTCACTATGATTATTATTTGAAGTAATTTTAATTTTAATAACTCCTTTACTCTCTAAGGAGGGACTCCTATCCTTCATGATCAGTTCTCTGAAGAAGTTTTTCTGCACCTTTATAAATCCAAGTTGTGAGGCTGTATGGAGATGCTGCTTCAACCCATGCCACAATCTACACTGGCCTATTCAGATTTTGTTTTTTCTTTTAAGAGCAAAAAAGATCAGGTTAAAAAATAGTGAAAATACTGACCATAATTTGTATCATTTTAGTGGACAAAAAAACTTAAATTTAATATTTGTAGTTTGACAGTAAAATAATATACCTGTAATTTGCCTAATTTAAAGCAGCCTCAAGAAAGGGAAAGCAGACAATTCAGCATGCCCTTTAAGAGTAGGCATTTAGCAGGTGTGGCGGCGGGTGCCTGTAGTCCCAGCTACTCGGGATGCTGAGGCAGGAGAATCGCTTGAACTCGGGAGGCGGAGATTGCAGTGAGCTGAGATGGCACCACTGCACACCATCTTTGGCAACAGAATGAGACTCCGTCTCAAAAAAAAAAAAAAAAGTGGGCATTTAGGCTGGGCTTGGTGGCATGTGCCTGTAATCCCAGTGCTTTGGGAGGATCCCTTGAGCCTAGGAGTTCCAAGGCTGCAGTGAGCTATGATCAGGCCACTGCACCCCAGCCTGGGTGGCACAGTGAGACCCAGCTTCAGGAAAAAAAGAAAGAAAAAATAGACTTTCCATCCAATTGACTGAATTTTAAAAATATCTATAGAAGACATGGAGGTATTGATAGCATAAGTCAAGAATTCTCCATTTTGGAATGCTGGACATTGGGGAGATAAGAGTGAGGTGACAGCTAGTGTGCTGGGAATTGTACAAAACCAGTACTGACAACTTCTGACATCCTACAGTAAAACAGAAGCAGTATTCAATTTTCCTATGTTGCCACTAATATCTGTGAATTATCTGTTTTGTCAAATAGTTGTTCAATTAGGAAGACAGTTGACAAATATTTCCCTTTTAGATTTGAATGGCAGATAGCATTTACATTGAAAGTGGCATCATAACGTTTTGACAAAATGATGTCAGGAGGGTTTATCCCAGTTAAATTTTTCTAAGCTTTTTTCCTTTCCTTCGAGTGAAAGCAGCTGGAATGCAGTCTGGCTATGTGTCATATTTTTTCATTTCAGCCTACTCTATATGTTTCTGTACACTACTGAATTGCCAGTGTCAGGAAATATACTGGCAAAATCCATTTGGCTTAATTTTTAACTATCTTTGCTTTTATAGGATTTGAGAACGATTCTTTTAGGCTTTGAATAATGTAAACTACCAACCAAGATGCCAAATTTATCATTGACGCTTTATTTTTTTCCTTCCAAAATGCAAGTTTTTTTTTAGATTTGCAAACTTTCTATGGCTCTTGCAAGGGAGATCATCAGATGCAGAAAATTAACTCATGTTTTTATAGATGCAAAAAAAATGGGGGGAGAGACTTGGAACTTTACAAGTGCTGGCAATTAAAATGATCACATAGTTTTTATCTTTGCATTTAAAGTGGAGAGTTGAGGCAACTATCTAAGAGGGAGGAAAGTCTTACATTTACATCAATTATTTGGTTTAAAGGCTTGCTTACTCCCCTCCTTGAATGTCACGGACAGGGGCTTCCTTTGGTCAAGGCCAAGTTTGCATTTGCTGAGCTATAAAGGGAAGTAAGTACTCAGCTATGGTCTTTCTATTCAGTGTCCTTCCTACCTTTATTGCAATATTTCATCTGTATAATAGGAATATCAGCAAAGCTCAAAATAACTGGCTGTATTCCTTGGAAACGCACAGTTAGCAGACATATAGTATTAGAAAGAAACCTATACAAGTGATGCCTTAAAATTTAGGGTGCTAGTATTTATTTCTGTTTGTTTTGATTCTATTCCCCATCACACAAAAGAGGGAAGATATTTGGCATTAAAAGTATCTGACTTTGGCCTGTGTTTGAATAATCCTTCAGGCATTATTGTAATTAAGGGGACTGCCCTTTGATTCTTCTCTATTACTACCACTTTCCAAATGGAGTTTGTTTTGTTTGTTTGTTTTTTGCATCACAAAAGAAAGTGAAAGTGTTGGAAATTAGTAAGGATTAACATATACACTTCTTCCTGCCATTTCTTATGCCTGGTTGCCAAAGCTCTGCACTGAGTAAAACGGAAAAATATTGTCAAAAAGATACAAACATTGAAGTCTATAATACAATATAGAGTCTATATTACACATAGGCAGGCAGTAGCTTTTGGAAGAGAGCTATCAGCTCACATCGACTTAGGAGGAATTTCCTCATGTTATTTTAATATGAAATGGTGTGAGTGACTATTTAGAATAGAGAAAGGACTACCACTGAGGAGATTCCAGTACTACAAACAGAGATAGTCTGCTATTGTTGCTTGCAATTGTTTCTTTTTACAGGGGATTGTATTTTGTCAAAATGATGATGAATGGTGTTCTAGAAATGTATTAATTGAGCGTACTAAAAATAAGATCCTCTATTTTTGCAAGAAATAACAGGTGAAAAGATGAGTACTCAGTGATGAATGGACCCCGTGCTTGTTGAGTAGAATAGTGTTTTGTTACCTGGACCTATTTAATTTTTCTGTCTCTGTTGCAATCATTAAAGAGCACAATCATCGTCTTGTTCTTTTTTCTTTCTTCCTCTTTAAAATTTGGTCTATCATGGGTTTGTTCTTTATCAAGACACCAAAAGTCTCTTGAGTGATAAGGATGAGTTTTCTTGTATCACATGCCTTTAGGAGAATGTAGATAGGGACTTAAATGGTGATTGCCTTTCTCGTCTATTTGCGGGGAGAGATGTAGGATTGGTTACTTTGGTCCTGTAGCTGGGAATCTTGTGGTCTGCTATGCCATCCACTCTGGAATTCAGTTTAATTCACTTCATTTTCATATCAAGCAATTTGGGAGAGTGCTGGGCTATGCCCCAAACAGCTCTGACCCCTGAGAGGTGAGGGAATCACTCAATCCAATAGTTACCTGCCTCCCCTCCTCACTTCCCAAACAGAGTTTGAACAATAGTGCCTCTTCCCATCACAGATGCAACAACAACAACAACAACAAAACAAAACAAAAAACAAAAACAAACAAACAAACAAAAAACCCTGCTTGCCACTTGCTGAGAGAAGACGTTTGCCACTCTGCAGGGAGAGGGCTAGAGTTGGTGGTGGGGGGGGAGTGGGTTGTCCTTAGGCCAAGACCACCCAAGCATTCTTAGTAGTTTTGGGACCCAGCCTAGGATGTGGATAAGAGGGAGGAAAATGTTGAAGAAATGCTGTGAGGGATTTCAGAATGTTGACTTGCACTCACTTAGGCTTTCCCACGGCAGTGGATTTCAGTCTAGCTGAGCTCTCAGTTACTTGAAGTTAGAAGAAAGCAGCATGAAGGAGTGGAAAGAGCCTGGAATTTAGAGTCAGTGGGCCAGTACCTGAGCCCCTGCTCTGTGACTCAAGCAAGTCATTGCACCTCTCTGAGTCCTACCAACTTTACAGGGTATGGTGAATGTCTAATCCAACAAGAAACTTCAAAACACTTTCTAAAACCATAAAACACTAAATCAATGTTGCTTATTTGTGTGAGAGCTCAGGAGTAGAAATGTAGATTTGAGCCATCAATAGAAATGTGAGAATGAAAGGCTGAGAGAAGTCTTATGAGATTTTCCTGACAATTCAACTCTTTAAAATGATCAGATGCGATAAACCCAGTTTTTCTCATACCAAGTTTTGCTTTTCCTGTTGTTGACTTTCCTTAACAATCTTTCCCCTTGACAGTGAATTTTAGACCTTCCCTTACAAAGCCACAAGCCTGGCAGGTAGACTTCTCCCCCAATTTCAGTTACATGTATCTGTTCAAAAAGAGACTTTTGTTGATCAGCCTTGCCACACTGTCCATTTATTTTATGGGACATCTCTTCCTGAGCCTCCAAAGTTAAGCAGAGGGACCTCTTTGCCCCAGCACCTGAGAGGACTTGCCACCACAGTGGGGCTCCCTGCAGTTGGAGAGGAGGTAGAGGGTGGGGGTACAGCCCCTTGCTCTCTAGGTGGGGAAGAAGAATAAAGATGAAAATGGAGAATTAAAATTCATTTCCAAAGCTCTAAACTTTAGATATTGGCTCTTCCTTACTTGATAGGTAAATCCTACAAATGTTTGTGATTCAGTGGGTTTAATAAATGATTGAAGGGAGGATCAGGGTAGGAGGCACTGAAAATTATGAACTGCAGCTAGATTAAATTATCTACAATACATAACTCGAAACAGTCATTTCACCTCAGGCTAAGGCTTTCGTCACAAAGCATACAATGATTTTTTTGTTATTTTAATGACAGCTTTCAGAAAACATCATAAATCCATAATGTAAATGAAGTAAAATTGCCAAGCAGGGAGAGTCTCCTGTACAACAAACGAAACCTGGAACATACTAGTGAATAGTAATAAAAGCTATAGCTATAAGTATAGATATATAGAAATACATTAAGAGGAATAGCCGCTTTATTCCCTGTCATTTTTGCATACTATGAAGAGTCAGAGTGCTATTATTTGATAGGCGGTATTATTTGGAGGCAGGTGTTAGACATGCAATTATCATAAAGACTCTATGCGGTGGATGACCAGATCATACAAATCTGTCTTTATTCTAATATAGTTTACAGAGTTTTTTCTGACAAATTACACTACACTTTATGGAAATATAACATTTTGTATGAATGGGAAGGATAAGCCTGGTTGCATGCTAATGAGGGAGACAAAGTAGCCTCACTCTTATTTGCAACTGGCTCAGACCTTTCCATTAGCAAATTAAAATCTGTTCAAATTTATTTACTAATATATTAGGAGAAGCTTCTGGCTAACCCCTTCACCTATATTATAGAGCAAACAACTGTAGCAGTGAAAATAATTAATAGCATGTAATGCACCTCCTGCTTATTTCTTCTTCATGCCCAGGGGTCAGCTGTATAGTGGGTTTGCCATCTGCATTTGGTTACAAGGGCATATTTACTTAAAAATTATCAATTATAGTTTTAAATGGCTTTCCTTAATTGTGTTCTTCTTATTCAAGTGTGATACGTATATATATGCTTTGTGTTTATTTGTATATTATATCACCTGCTCCTGACCAATTCTGGGAGGAGCCTATTCATTTGAAAATAATGTCTCCTGAAGTCTGTTACATTGTTTGTGTTTACCGCATAATCACAAGAGCCATAGCTTTGTTCATCCTCATTATACTAATACTGAAACGATTAGTGTTCCATCTCTGTATCTAGGAGAAACCTCTCAATTATCTTGCACATCCTTGTAAGGGAGGTTGGGTTGCTAATGGGCCTGAAATTTGCAATATGAAAGTCGGTCAGCCAGGCTGTGCAGGAGTAGATGAATGGACTGAGCTTTGCTGACCTCTGCTGTCTACTTTAAAAGGCAGTGATGTTTTTTTCTCAAGGCAGAGTTGTTTTGAGGTGTTTTTGAATGTCTCATTTATGGAAGAGATTATCATAATTTTGAGCAATAGAGGTGAAAAAGTTCTGTCGGGATAGCAGGTGTATGTAGATAGTACCAGAAGAATATGGTCTATGTCTGTCTCATCCAAGAGCCAAGCCCATGCATCTTTCACAGATATAATTCAAAATTGGAGGCCAGGAATTTTCACAAGTGCCATGATATCCCTTTGTTGCAATTTTTCAAAATCTTTGTCAGAAAATTCTCGAATATTCCAGTGGTTCAGAATAATACCTGTTGTTGGATGGCTTTATGATAAGAAGGTCTTCCAGGTAAAAGTAAGGCTCAAAGAGAAGGGGTGGAAATTGAATTATAAATTATGGAATTGGTTTGGGGTACAGAAGTGCAGAGGAGCTGGGTGAAAGGGAGACAATTAACTTCCTCAGGAGAGGATTTTTTTTTTTCTCCTGGCTCAAGTCTACCTGCGTGTGAACTTCAGAAGCAATCATAAGTTGGGGTGGTGAAAAGTCAGGACAGATTCTCGGATGAACTATCTGAGCATCCATTATGCCAGCATCCCCACATTTCTACACACCAAAAAGTAGGGCCAAGAAGAGTTCTTTTCCTTGGCTACTCCAGCATAATCCTGCAAGGATAGTTGTGGCTCTATTTCCTGTTTCTTTCTAACCCAGGCTAGGCAGATGCCTTGAATCACAGCAGTCCTTTCTATTTGTGTGGCACTCTAGGATTGTACATCTCTTAAATGTGGAGGAAGTGGTTTTTCCCTGTTTTGCAGATGAGCAAACAGGTATGGAAATTAAATGACATGATAAAAGTCACTATTGGATTGATACGATACATGAGAGCAGTTAAATAGAACCAGACCCCCGAACTTCAGAGATTTCAAAAAGGCATTTATCTCTGGAAGGATTCTGAAGTAAGAAATTCTCATGAAATATACATCATGCACAACACCACCTCTTTCCCTGAAATGCTCATTGCTTCCTTGCTTTCTCCCCTTTCTACCCTTCTACTCCTGTCTCTAAATTCTTGGCCAGTGCCTTTCCTCTTCTTCCCTGCTTCTCCTGCGGCCACTGCCAACTCTTCCTTTGACTCTACACAAAGCTCAAGGAGCCACGTCATGCCCCTTCCAGGTTGGGATCCATACTCCTCTTCTGAAGAAAAATTAAGACTTGTTATTCTACGAGAAATGAATGTTTTGCTAATTAGAGTAAATTGCTGTGTTGATGCCATAAGTGGAACTACTTTGGCCTGTAAGATTTTTCCCAAATGGTTATGAGCTTCCTTTTTATGTATAGGATTATGATCTCTACTGAGAGACAGCATAGCACTGTAGACTCACACGGCTGTTCCTTGACAGGTTGCAATCGGTCTTTTGATTTTGCTGATTGTGTGCTTTCTCTGCAGTAACAAACAGAAGCATTGTCCATAGTTCAGTTATTCTTACCCTAGGGGCTATAGCAGGCATTTACTGTGGACTAAATAATAACATCTCAGGAACATAAACATACTGTAGTTTTGGGGGAAAAAAAGTACATAAATGTTATGTTTAAATAAATAGAAATTGATTTTAAAGCATTACTAAATGTATAGTAGCAATATATCAGTAAAGAGTTAATGGTCAGATACAGCTATCATGTGGAAGTCAATGAAACATTTCAGTGTTAAAATGATCTTCTAATATTTACAAAACTTGAGAATCTACAGCAAAAAGAACCGAGCTGAAACAGAGGACCCAGGTTCTAACTGTGGCTCAGTTACAAATTCTGGATCTATTATATACTGAGTGATTTGGAGGAAGTGAGTTATTCTTCAGTCCTGTATTTTCCCAGTCTAATAAAAAATTATTTGTTTTACTAAATATTTCTTGAGATTCTATTATACTGTTAAATATTGCTAATATATTTAGCGATATGCCATTCATCAGCCTTTCTAACATTGATAATGGCCCTGTGAGGAAGGTATTATTATCTCTTCTTTACAGAAAATTAATTCATGTGTTTATAAAGGAAAGGAAACTGAAGCACATATAAGGAATATTTATTCTTTCCTATTATTATGAAGTTTTTCTTTTTTAAAGATCTTTACTTCATGTAGAATTCACTGTAGCATGCTGTTCAGATTTTAATTAACTAAAGTTTTCCAAATAATGTTGATTCTCCAATTGCTATTTACTGAGTCCTTTCATCACTTATTTCAAATGGAAGCTTTATCACATCCTGGATTTCCATATATAAAGGATCTGCTTCTAGACTCTATTCTGGAGCCAGGAGCAGTGGCTTGCGCCTGTAATCCCAGCATTTTGGGAGGCCAAGGCAGGTGGATCACTTGAGGCCAGGAGTTCAAGACCAGCCTGGCCAATATGGTGAAACCCCGTCTCTACTAAAAATACAAAAATTAGCTGGGCATGGTGGCACACGCCAGTAATCCCAGCTACTCGGGAGGCTGAGGCATGAGAATGGCTTGAACCTGGGAGGTGGAGGTTGCAGTGAGCCAAGATCACACCACTGCACTCCAGCCTGGGTAACAGAGTGAGACTTTGTCTCAAGAAAACAAAAAGTCTATTCTAGTTCATTGATCTAGCTACCTAGCCCTCTGCCATTTTATTGTTAAAATGACTGTAATTTAAAATGTTTTGATATTTTTGTAGAACATGTCCATTTCTTATTTTTTGTTAATATTTTCTAGAGGCTAAAAAGTCCAGGCCATTCTTGATATTTTTTTCTGGGTGTGTGATTCGGTGGATATTTTCAAGTTTTGTTGGGAAAAAATTTCATTAGTTTAAAATTAATCTGTAGAGAACTAACTTTTCCAGACCATAGTCTATCTCTCCATTTATCATCACCATCTTTCATATCCTTCAGTAAAGTAACATCGTTGCATTCTTACATGCAATTATTATTATTGCTATTGTGAATAGGTAGAGATAGCTTTTAAATAATGGATAAAATTTGGATTTGGGAAACAAAAAGAGTACAGACAAAGACTTAGTAAAGACAATAGGCATGTAGTGTCTGGGAGAAACTAAGGGTTAATCATTGTGTAGGCAAGCTATATGGGTGGCTCCTTATTATCTCCAGAATAAATTTTGCTTGCCTTACCTTTTTGATAGGGCTATTATGAGGGTACTTGAAACGTGTGAAATATATGAAAATTAGTCTTCTAGTCTGATGCAAAATAAGCTGAATTGTTGAGAACTGTTTAAGTGTTAGATGAACACATTCTGACACCTTGTGGTCATTTAAGGGTATGTGTGATATTGTAATTCCATTGGTTGACCTTGAGAGCGTATGTGTTGTACACAGAATCATATTCAGAGTTAAAAGAGGATTTAGGGATGACCTAGCCAACTTTCTTGTTTTACACATGAGGAAAGTGAGGGCCCGAGAGTTCATGAACCCTGCCCAAGCTCACATAGCTGCTTACCAACAGAGGTGGAATTAATTATTCTGGCCTGTTATTGTTTGTCTCTATCATGTTCAATTTCTATAATTTTATAATTACAGAAAAAAATAATTTTAAAAGTGTTATAATTTTAGATCCCGGAGAACCATCTCTACATGGTTGTTATCTCAGAAAAATGTAGATCATTTATGTGGTGGGGGGCGGTGGTTGTGGTGTTTTCTTCAGATGGGAAGGAGGAGTAGGGCTGGTTTCTGAGTGTCCTTAAAACTGGCAAAATAATGAACCCTGAAAGATTTGGTCATCCTGACTCAGTGCAGTAGAGCTACACAACTCTCTGGGCCGCAGGAACCTAGAATGTTTTCCAAGCCGTTCACAGGGTTTTAATAGCCCAAGGAGGCCTGTATCTTCCAAGAAAGGGTATACACGCTTCAGTATGCTTCCTGCTCTCATTCCTTAGAAGTGTAGCCCCAGCCTTAATGTAGTGATGGATTCAGAGCACAGCAGCTGGGTCTATTGGTTATTCTCACTCTCTGCTGATGAGGATCTGAAAGGTGCATTCTCATGACTGCAGTAGTCCTTCTATTGCTTTGCAAAGATCAACCTCTCCACTACAGGTTCAGGGAGCAGCTGCTCCATGGTTCCTGTGCACTTTTTTTCTGAGTAGAAATCAGAAGAGAGAGATTAGTGGGATGACCTTCAACCCTACTCACTGCAGTTGGTCTTGGGGCCAGAATGGGTCCTCATCCTCTCCTTCTTCCACCATTCATTCTAAATTCACCGCTTCCTTAGCTATCTCCTCAGCAGGTCTTGCTGACTTACCCGGCGGTGTGACCTAAACCTTCATTCTTGAGCGGTCTGAGACCTTCTCAGTCTGGAATTGCTGTACTTCCCTATTCAGTTAGAATGGGGCAAGGGAATACCAGGAGGTACCCAGCTGGAGAAGGCAGCATCACATTGAGGTCTTTAGTACATACACCGCATTTCTCAGGATGACACCCCATCCTTTCAGAGCATTGCCTCCAAACGGGTGCTTCAGCTGTGTCTCTAAAAGACTGTCTGAGTCTGGCTTCTTTTGAATAGTGTGGTGTATGACATATCTAGTAGGTCCCATGGTCACGGTTCCACCCCCACATCCTTCTTAGTGTGAATTGAGTGGTCTGGTTGCATGCTCTACTGTGTGGAATTCCATGCCTGTGCATTCTGTAAGGCCCAGAATGGTGGTGCTGGCTGAGGCTTTGCTGGGGGAAAAGAAAATCTATTGCGAGGATATGTATCTATCCCTGTCAGTATGAATCGCTGCCCTATCCCGGATAGGAGGGCCCAATTAAAGTCATTGCCGAGGAATCGTATCATATCAGGAGCATAGAGTTGGTCTCTTTTGCTGACAGTTTGGACATTGAGAGGCAATAGCTAGTTTGGCCGTGGCGAGTGGGAGATCTTGCTGCTGGGCCCATATGCAGCCTCTGTCTTTGCCAATGTCATTGTTCCATTCATGTGCCCATCCTGACAGTTCTAAACTGGCCAGTGAGAAAAGATAGCTATTACTAACTGACCAACTTATCTTCCTCCTTGGTAACTGTGGCTTCACAGTAAATTTTTAAATTAGGAAGTGTAAGTCCTCTAATTTTGTTGTTTTTCAAGATTGTTTTGCCTATTAGAGTTCTATTGCATTTTTATGTAAATTTTAGGGTGTCTCAGTTTCTGCAAAAAAAAAAATTAAAATAAAGGCCTGCTGAGATTTTGATAGAGATTGCATTGAGTCAATTTGGGGACAATTCCCATTTAATAATATTGAGTCTTTCGATCCACAAACATAGACAATTTCTCCATTTGTTTAAATCTTCTGTAATTTCTCTCAGCATTGTTTTGTACTTTTTTAGTGCACATGCCTTGCACTTGTACAAGTGTATATATTGAGTGTTTTTTCAAAATAATGAAAGGATATTGGATATTGTCAAATGTTTTTCCTATGTCTATTGATATGAGCATTTTTTTCTTTATTCAACTAATATGGTGTATTACAATGACTGATTTTTGTATTTTTGAACCAACTTTGCATTTCTGTGATAAATTCTATTGGCTATGTCCTTTTTGTGTGCTGCTACTCACTGGAGTATTTCATTGAGAATTTTGTGTCTATATTCATAAATTATATTGGTCTGCAGTACTATTTTCTTATAATGCTTTTGGTTTTGGTATCAGAGTAATACTAGCCTCATAGAATGTGTTAGGAAATATTCCCTCTTCCTCCATTTTTTGGAAGAGTTTGTGTATAATTAATGCTAATTCCTCTTCAGATGTTTGGCACAGTTCCCAAGTGGAGTCATTCGGACCTGGACTTCTCTTTGTGGGAGGTTTTAAAATTACTAATTCAATCTCATTACTGGCTATAGGTCAATTCAGATTTTCTATTTTTATTTTAGTCAATTCCAGTAGTTCGAATTTTTCTAGGAATTTTTCCCTTTTTAATTTTTGAGACAGGGTCTCACTCCATCACCCAGGCCAGGGTGCAGTGGCACAATCTTGGCTCACTGCAACCTCAGCCTCCCAGGCTCGAGCAATCCTCCAACCTCAGCCTCCCAAGTAGCTGGGGCTACTGACATACACCAACATGCCTGGATAATTTTTGTATTTTTTGTAGAGACAGGTTTTTGCCATGTTGCCGAGGCTGGTGTCTTACCACTGGGCTCAAGTGATCCTCCTGCCTCAGCCACCCAAAATGCTGGGATTACAGGCATGAGCCACTGCCCCTACCAATTTTTCCTTTTTGTTTTCTAATTTGTTTGGACACAGTTGTTCATAGTATTCCCTCATAATCCTTTCAATTTTTTATTTTTTATTTTTTTTTTTGAGATGGAGTTTTGCTCTGCTGCCCAGGCTGGAGTGCAGTAGTGTGATCTCTGCTCACTGCAATCTCCACCTCCCGAATTCAAGTGATTATCCTGCCTCAGCCTCCCGAGTAGCAGGGATTACAGGCTCCCACTACCACACCCGGCTAATTTTTGTATTTCTAGTAGAGACGAGGTTTCACTATGTTGGCCAGGCTGGTCTCAAACTCCCAACTTCAGCTGATTCACCCGCCTTGGCCTCCCAAAGTGCTGGGATTACAGGCATGAGCCACTGTGCCCAGCCAATCCTTTTAATTTTTTAAAAAATTATTTATTTCTTGAGACAGAGTCTCACTCTGTCACCCAGGCTGGAGTGCAGTGGTAAGATCTGTGCTCATTGCAACCTCTGCCTCCTTGGTTCAAGGGATCCTCCTACCTCAGCTGCCCAAGTAGCTAGGACCACAAGCATGTGTCATCACACCCAACTAATTTTTGTATTTTGTTGCAGAGACAGGGTTTCGCCATGTTGCCCAGGCTGGTCTCGAACTCCTGGGCTCAAGTAATCCTCCGGCGTTGGCCTCCCAAAGTGCTGGGATTAGAGGTGAGAGCCACTGAGCCCGACCTACCCTTTTAATTTTTGGAAGCTAAGTGATGATGTCTCCTCTTTCATTCCTGACTGGTAATCCATGTGTTCTTTTTGACTAGGTTGGTTTTGCTAAAGGTTGTCATTTATTATTCAATCATTTCAAAGAACCAATTTTGATTTCATTCATTGTATTTATTTTTCTCTTTCTAGTTTACTGATCTCCACTTTTATCTTTATTATTTTCTTCGTACTGCATTCTTTGTGTTTAGTTTGCTCTTTTTCTAGTTTTCTTAAGATGAAGTTAGGTTGATAGCTTGAGATGTTTCCTTTTCTAATACAGATGCTCTGAGCTATAGATTACCCTCTAAGCACTACTTTACTACATCCCATACATTTGCTATGTTGTATTTTTGTTCTTGTCCAATTCAAAATATACCCAATGTTCCCTTGTGATTTGTTATTTGACATTTGACCCGTGAGTTATTTGTAGGTGCATTATTCATTTTCCACATATTTGGCAATTTCCCAAATTTCCTTCTGTTGTTGATTTCTCATTTAATTCCATTTTGATTCGAGAACATACTTTGTATAATTTCAGTCCTTTTAAATTTATTGAGATTTCCTGCATGACCTGTCCTGGAGGATGCACCATGTGCCCTTGAAATGTGTGTTCTGCTGTTGGTGCCTAGGGGGTTCTATAGATGCCAGGTTTAGCTTGTCAATAGTTTTGTTCTAGTCTTCTATATACTGGCTGATTTTCTGTGCAGCAATTATTGAGAAGAGGATATTAAAGTCTCTGACTATTACTGTTGAATTGTCTGTTTTTCCCTTCAATTCTGTCAGCTTTTTTTTCAAGTATTTTGGAATTGTGTTATTAAGCGTGTATTTTTCATTGTTACAGCTTCCCGATGAATTGACATTTTATTATCACAAAACATTCCTTTGTCTCTAGTAATTTTTGTATTAAATTTACTACAATCAAAAGTGTGTTTCTTGGCCTGGTGCAGTGGCTCACACCTGTAACCCCAGCACTTTAGGAGGCGGAGGTGGGCAGATCACCTGAGGTCAGGAGTTAGAGACCAGCCTGGCCAACATGGTGAAACCTCATTTCTACTAAAACTACAAAAATTAGCCAGGTGTGGTGGCAGGTGCCTGTAATCTCAGCTACTCGGGAGGCTGAGGCAGGAGAATCGTTTGAACCTGGGAGGCGGAGGTTGCGGTGAGCTGAGATTGCGCCATTTACACTCCAGCCTGGGCAACAGAGTGACTCTGTCTTTAAAAAAAAAAAAAAAAAAAAAAAAAGTGTTTCTTATGAACAGCCCAGAGTTGGATTGTGTTTTTTAAATTCAATCTGAGAGTTTGCCTTTTGATTTATGTTTAGTCCTTTAACATTTAATGTAATTATTCATATGATTGAACTTGCGTCTGCCATTTTGTTACTTGTTTTCTATGTCAAATGTTTGTCTTATTTCTCTGTTCCTCCTTTACTACTTTGTGATAGATATTTTCTAGTATAACATTTCAATTCATTTGTTGATTAAAATATATATATATATAATTATTTCCTTAATCGTTTCTCTGGGCATTAGAGTATGCATCTTATCACAACCTAATTCAATTAATACTTAGTTCCAGTAAAATATAGAAATTTTCTTTAATATTGTTCTACTCCCTCACTACACATTTTTGGTATTATTTTCATATATCTTACATCTTTATATGTTATAAGCCCAGACATATAACTTGATGATTATTATTGTATGCAATTGTATCATAAATAAGGTAAGAGAAAGTGAAAGGTGTATTTATACAGTCTTTATAGTTACCTACATCATTACCTTTACTGAAGAATTGTTTTTTCATGTGAATTCGACTCACCATCTGGCATTACTTCCTTTCAGCTTGAGAGACTTACTTAGTATTTCTCATTGGTCAGATGTGCTAGTGATGAATTCTCTCAGTCTTTGTGCTTTTAGGAATATCTTTATTTCTCCATATTTGAAAGATAGTTTTCCTGGATATATGCTTATTGTTTGGCAGAGATTTTTTTTTCTTTCTTTCTTTCTGGTATTTGAGTATATCTCCCATTGCCTTCTGTCTGCCATTGCTTTTGATGCAAATTCAACTGGTAATCAGATTACAGTTCTCTTCCATGATCAGGTTTTTTAAAAAATGCTTTCAACATTTTCCTTATGAAGTATCTAGGTGTGGATCTCTGTGTTTATCCCATTTAGAGATCGTTCAGATTTTTGCATATACAGATTAATGTTTTTCAGCAAATATGGGATTTTCAGCCATTCTTTCTTTATATATTTTTCTTCTAGTTTCTCTTCTCCTGAGACTCTCTTTCTACCTACTTTGGTGGCTTGATAGTGACTCTCAGGTCTCTAAGGCTGTGTTCTTTTTCCTTCATTCTTATTTCTGTTCTTCAGACTGGATAATCTCTACTGATCTACTTTTAGATTTGCAGATTCTTTCTTCTGCCATCTCAAATCTGCCATTGAACATGTCCAGTAAATTATTTACTTCAGTTATTGTACTTTGCAACTTGGTTCTTTTGAAAATGTATATCTCTCTATTGATATTTTTAATTGGATGAGTTATTATACTCATATTTTCATTAATTCTTAAGAAGTGCTTCCTTTTATTTTTTATAAAAATATTTATAACCATGGCTTTGAAGTTTTGTTCAACTTCATGGCCTATTTGACACATTTTCTATAGACTGCTTTTCTTCCTGTTTATGGGGACACTCTTCTCTGTTTCCTTTCTATGTTCTGTAAGATTTTGATGAAAACTAGACAATTTAGATATAATATTGTGGGAAATACAGATTCTCCTTGGAGTATGTTGTTGTTGCTTTTTCTTATCTTTTCAGTTTGTTTAGTAACTTGCCTGAACTAATTTTTAAAGAGATTATCTTCTCTGTAGTGTCTTTATTGATTGTTTAAATTCTTGTTTTACAGTTTTTTTTTTAAGTTTGGCTCCCGAGGAACTGTGACTGGATCAATAAGCACAGTGGACAGCCAGTTATTATTCAGAGGTTTGCTTAAACAACTTGAGCCAGTAAGGCTTCCACCCTTGCAAACTGATATATGAAATTCAGTTTGGAAGCTAAATTGGAGAATTTCAAAATTCAGACAGTTTATAAGTTGGCCCCAAGTTTTACTTTCTGCTGGGTCTTCTCCTGTCTTCTCTGCACATGTGCAAGATCTTAGATTCAATCAGGCCTACTAGTAGATCTCTGAGATCTTCTCCTGTCTCTTCTAAGTAGAAGCAGCCTTACACATTTGCAGAGCCTTCCAAATCACCAGAGATACCTGGTAGCTTGTCAAGGCCCACTGTGGCTCTTATTTTCCTGTTAAATTTTGGGCTGTTTTGTTGATGACCTCGAGCAGTATTGCAGCCTCAAGCAGCTGCGACATTGGCCTTCTCTGACACTGAAAGCCATTATTTTTGACAATGCCCCTGGGTTTGGAGCTTTTTCTCTACTCCAAATCAAGTCAGTACCCTCTGGCAGTAGAGCTCCTGGTTTCACAGCTTGCCTTGCTCTGGTAGAATTACTGTGATGGCAGCCGGGTGGTTGAGAGGTCAACACCAGAGACCCCCCTGTTCTTGCCAAAGTTCAGTACTTTTTCTTATGTAAATGCTTTTCAATCTGTGGGATGCCTCTGGTCAATAGACAGAGTCCTGAAATAGCTGTTTTTGAAAATTTTTTGAGTGTCATCATTGCCTTTGAGGAAGGGATTTGCTGAGCTCCTCACTCTATCATTCTCACATTCCTGCTCCCTCCCACAGTTCCTTTATTTCTACCTCTGCCATCTGTTAGGACAACTCAAGTATTTCCTTATTGGCGAGTATTGGCCATGGCTTTTTCCAGGCTTCTAAGATACTCCCAGTAACATATATGCCTGCACTCATGAGGTTCTTGTTGGTGTTCAATGTCATGGTAAGAAAGTGCTCCCTGGTCAATGAACTCTTGATTATACAATTTTACACTCTAGCTCCCAGAACAGTCTCAATATCCAATCCCAGGCATACTCATATAGATCCCCTGGATCCTGAAGATACACACAGGCTAATCTTTGCAGTTTAGTGTCTAGCCAGGTTGTTTGCTTATCAGGTCCAGCACATCCTCATCTGGGTGATGCTTGGATTTAACCTTTGTTATTGGTCTGGCAGTTAGGAGAGAAGGTGAAGGCAGTTCTTTAGTGGGACGTCATTTTCTTGCAAGGGAGAAGCCTCTGTAGCACCTTCTAAGCACAACCAAAGCACTGGCACTTATTAAGGAAGGCGGGGCTAGCTCTGCAATCCCAGAGTGTTCAAGGTGTGTGTGTGGTTGGGGGTGGTGGTGGTGATGGAGAGGACTGCAGAGTCAACATCTTCTGGGATTTTATTTAGATCTTCTCGTTGCATAGATCAGTGGACCAGGCTTCCTTGCCCAGGGTACTAGCATTCACATAGCTGATTTTGCCTTGGCTGATCACTCAAATATCTCTGACTCAGCAACTCAAACAATCAGGCCTTTAGTTTTGTTTGCTCTTCACTGCAAGAGATAAGAGCCTCTTTGTAAGCTACTACCAAGGCCTTGTTGTTATCACACTTAGCCATTAACTGCTTGTTAGAGGCCCACAATCTCCCATTATCTCTCTTTAGCGCATATGTATAGCTTATCAGTAACCAGCCAACTCTTCTGTTTTTTTAGGCATTATTATACCCATATCTTGCAAATGCCTAAATCATCACACCTGCAACAGCATTTCCCTCCACTAGGACATTTTCCAGGTCAGCACTGGGGAAACCTGTAGCAATTGAGCCACCACCTTGTGCCCGTGTTCCATCTACTATGCAGGATGGTGTCCTCTTCCCTCGTGGGCAGTGAGCGAGCCAGTCTAACGTCCCCATTTTACTGCCTTTTTTCCACCCTCCTGCCACTCTTGGTACCGTTTGTGCTATTTCAGGTACCCGAGAAGCAGATGCCAAAATGGGATTAGACATGCAAGAGGGTTATTAGGGAAAATACCTATAAAGGAAAATGTGAAGGTTGCCAGAGAAGTGGGCAGAGCTGAAAGATCATGATGCAGGTTGACCGTTGTGAAGGAGCAAGAGAAGAAGGTTGAGTGGAAGAATGTGAGACTCAGTGCAAAGGATCCTTGAACCAAAGCCAGGTGTCGGAGGAGTCCTGCCTCTCCCAGGAATGACTTGCATTAGTACCCCTCTCACAGTAGGTAGCTAGTCAGACATGAGCAGGGCAGGAGAGGGCTTCCCTATACCAGGAATGTCAGGTGAACATCAGGTGATGGTCAGGCAGTTGTTAAGCTGACTCTCTAAAATAATTATTGGTCGCAGCTGGCACCAGGGCAAGGCGGTCTCCCAATAGATAGAAAACGCCTGAAGCTGGTGATCAGCAGCTTCCCAATAAGATCTCAGGATTTGGGCAGTTGGGCTCAAGCATGTGCACTAAGAGGCAAAATGGCAAAGTTTATCTGGCATAAGACGTTCTTCTAAGAACATTCAACTGGTAAGGGAAGAATGCCTCAAGTGGGCATGTGTACACCTCCAGTAAACACACTGCTCATGCGGCCCCTCCCAAGTGCTGGCAGGCCACTGTGCATGCGGACAGCCCATTCCAAGGGAAGAATCAGGGGAGAAGATACGCAGACCCTGGAAGAATCCCAGTGAATAAAACCCCAAGTCAAAGGTCAAGCCATGCACTTGATCTCTCAAGTCACCTGCTTGGCCCTCTTTCAAGTGTACTTCCTTTCACTGCTACTCCAAAGGTTTTTATTAAACTTTCACTCCTGCTGTAAAACTTGCCTCTGCCTTATGCCCCTTGGTCGAATTATTTCTTCTGAGGAGGCAAGAATTGAGGTTGCTGCAGATCCATATGGATTCACTGCTGGTAACATCCCTGCCTCATTCAGTTACTGTCTAGGAGCAGGTAATGAGAAGTGTGGCTTCAGTGCAAATACAGTGATAGATTTCAGAGCCCAGCAGCTGTGTGAGTGAAATATATTCCCCGTAGTTTGAATGCTGAGAGGCACAGAAAAAAAAAGAGGAGATTTCATGGCTACCACAAGTATTCTTTATTTTCTTTTCTTTAATAGCTTTTCCAACTTCTCATTTTCACTTAATCTCTTCTTTTCCATACTGATCTTCCTTTTTTATTTTATTACCAGCATTTATACAAAATATGATTGAGCTAATAATTGTTGAGGAGTAAAAACAAGTACAAAAAGGGCGAGATAAAAGTAGGGAAATATAAAAATATGAACAGTGGAATTTTGAGGGAATAATATGTGCCAATTGTCTAAAAAGGATGTTGAAAATAGAATTTTATGCTCAACTTCCCTAGTCACTAGAGAAATGTGAAACAAAACGAGAATGAGATACCATCTCACACCAGTCAGACTGGCTATGACTGAAAAGTCAAAAACTAACAGATGCTGGTGAGGGTGTGGAAAAAAGGGAGCTTATATATTGCTGATGGGAATGTAAATTAATTCAGCCATTGTGGAAAGCAGTTTGGCGATTTCTCAAGGAACATAAAACATAACTACCATTCGACCCAGCAATCCTATATACTCAAAGGAATATAAAATCCTATATACCCAAAGGAATACAAATTGTTCTACCATAAGGACACATGCATGTGTATGTTCATTGCAGCAATATTCACCATAGCAAAGACATGGAATCAACCTAAATGCACATCAACAGTAGACTGGATAAAGAAAATGTGGTGCATATACACCATGAAATACTATGCAGTCATAAAAGAGAACAAAATCATGTCCTTTTCAGCAACATGGATGAAGCTGGAGGCCATTATCCTAAGCAAACTAATGCAAGAACAGAAAATCAAATACCGCACGTTGTCACTTATAAGTGGGAGCTAAAAGTTGAGTGCACATGGACACAAAGAAGGGAACAGTAGGCACTTACCAGAGCCTACTTAGGGGTGGAGGGTGAGAAGAGAGTGAGGCTCTAAGTATAATAAGTATAATAAGTATAGTACCTATCAAGTACTATATGTATTACCTGGGTGATGAAATAATCTGTAGACCAAACCCCTGTGACATGCAATTTACCTTTATAACAATTCTGCACATGTACCTCTGAAAAGCAAATGAAAGTTAGAAAAATAAAAATTGAATTTTAAAATTGGGGCTGCGCATGGTGGCTCATGCCTATAATCCCTGCATTTTGGGAGGCTGAGGCAAGAGAATTGCTTTAGGCCAAGAGTTCGAGACCAGCCTGGGCAGCAATACCTCATCTCTACAAAAAATAAAAATTAAAAATAAATAAATTCGATTTTCCACTTTCCTAAAAATTTGTTAAGTGTATAAATAAGTTCTTAACTTATGCTAGAAACAATATAAATTTTTTATTTCCTATGGAGTATGACAAGGGCCATCTACTTCAGTAAACGTCTATTATCTCTTTGTCTCTTGGGCCTTTTATCCATGCCTTTGAATGATTTTCTGTGTATGTGTTCGATTGTCAAAGATATAACCTATGCATGCCCTAATTAATGTGTCTTAAAAGTGCACTTTGCTATTGAAATGTTTTCGCTTTAGATTTTCTGAAACAAGTATCCTGAAATATTAGAACTTTCAAAAGCAGGTTTATATGATCATACATGTTGTACTCTTATTACTATTACATGCAGAATATTTTTTAATCACAGGCATGTCTCCAATATAGGGATATTTCACTGGGGATGAATGTTTTCCCTAATATTCTCTAATGTTTGTTCAAGGATACACTTAAGTGGGCTTGAATCATGTTTTTTATATCAGATTGAGGCAGTTGGCATGGGTGGAAGAGGTACCATCTGTGTTCTAACAGCAGGAAGAGCACCACATCAATGTGTATGTCTATCGGAAATGCTTTGCCTAAGAAAACAGTTCAGCGAACTCTGCTTTAGATGCTCGGAATTTCCCTGCAAAAATGAAGCAAGCAACCAAATAAGCTGTCTCTGAGCATAACTTGATGAAAACTGCTTCATTTCTGTGGCTGTAGCCTTGATGTTAATCTTTATTACCTCTACCTCTAACTGCATTAAGTCCCATTTAGCTTTCTTGTAACCGGGGATCTGACAAATTGAACTGGTAGATTTCCTACCTGAGAAAAAGAACATTTCTAGTAGCTTTTTAAGTTCTGTGGGCACAGTTTTGTCCTCCTAGCTAACTTCTCCCACTACTAATAATAGTATTTTAACATTTCGATACAGCTAATTGAGATCTTTTCTCAAACTGTTCCAGACAACTAGACATATTAACATATATGAATATAAGAATAAACTGTAACCGAGAACTATCATGTCTTAATCGTGTGACTATTTTATTGGAAAGCTATAAAACCATTTGCATGAGTCTCTTGTGAGTTGGGGTTAGAGGGAGAGAAAGGCAGAAATGGACCTTTAAACCATTATAGTCAGGTCTCAGATTTCTTTCTTTTTTTTTTTTTTTTTTTTTTTGAGACAAAGTTATACTCTGTCACCCAGGCTGGAGTGCAGTGGCCCAGTCTCAGCTCACCATAACCTCTGCCTCCTTGCTTCAAGCGATTCTCCTGCCTCAGCCTCCCAAGTAGCTGGGATTACAGGTGCCTGCCACCACACCTGGCAAATTTTTGTATTTTTAGTAGAGATGGGGTTTCACCATGTTTGTCCAGGCTGGTCTCAAACTCCCAACCTCAGGTGATCCGCCATCAAATTTCTGTGTTGATAAGTAAGAAAGGCATGTCTCTGATAATACCAAAGAGTGGATCATCCAACAGCTGTTTCTCTTTGATGTGAAAATGTATAATAGAAAATTTTACTTTTTCCTAACCTACTGACTTTCTTAATTCTCTTCGACTTATGTAATGAAAAGTAATTTTTTGACTTAGCTTATTTGTATTCAAAGAGCCAGAGATGAGAAGAGAGAGGGCACTTCAGAAGCATATTGGTTGCTTGGGAAGAATTTGGCCTGTACTAAACATTATTAAAGATGCTCAAGAAATTGGGTAAGCCAAATATGAAAACCATGAGAGATTACCTTAACTCAATTCTTTAATTGAGCAGTGAATCTTCAGAGGGATAGTCTATTTAATTTTTAGATAATTACTTTGGAAACTTTATGCTTGTGTTGATATTTATATGTACTAATGAGATACACAAATAATTGCAGCTTTGACTAAATTGGATCAATGTAGATTTAGTTAACCCAGATATCTAAATAACCAAGCTAGGTAATCCAGAGACAAACATTCTAGTTATCTCTTCTCAGCAGCAAGATTCCTTTGATTTTTGTTTTCCATCTTATTTTGCCTACATTTGCTTATGACAAAGTAATCCTAAAATGGCTACCTGAAAATACACTTACATGGCAATATACTCTCTCTCTCTCTTTTTTTTTTTTTTTTTCCCTTTTTGAGACGGAGTCTCCCTCTGTCACCCAAGCTGGAATGCAATGGCGTGATCTCAGCTCACTGCAACCTCCACCTCCTGGGTTCCAGTGATTCTCCTGCCTCAGCTTCCCAAGTAGCTGGGATTACAGACAGGCACCACCACACCTGGCTACTTTTTTTGTACTTTTAGTAGAGACAGGGTTTCACCATGTTGGCCAGGCTGGTCTCAAACTCCTGACCTCAGGTGATCTGTCCACCTTGGCCTCCTAAAATGCTGGGATTACAGGTGTGAGCCACCACGCCCAGCCTATACTCCTTTTTTTAACTTAATTTTAGTAGAACAAATAAGTTTGTACTTCTTCAGACATTGATGCAGCCAACAGACACATGAAAAAATGCTCACCATCACCGGCCATCAGAGAAATGCAAATCAAAACCACAATGAGATACCATCTCACACCAGTTAGAATGGCGACCATTAAAAAGTCAGGAAACGACAGGTGCTGGAGAGGATGTGGAGAAATAGGAACACTTTTACACTGTTGGTGGAACTGTAAACTACTTCAACCATTGTGCAAGACAGTGTGGCGATTCCTCAAGGATCTAGAACTAGAAATACCATTTGACCCAGCCATCCCATTACTGGGTATATACCCAAAGGATTATAAATCATTCTGCTATCAAGACACATGCACACGTATATTTATTGCAGCACTATTCACAATAGCAAAGACTTGGAACCAACCCAGATGTCCACCAATGATATACTGCATTAAGAAAATGTGGCACATATACACCATGGAATACTATGCAGCCATAAAAAAGGATGAGTTCATGTCCTTCGTAGGGACATGAATAAAGCTGGAAACCATCACTCTGAGCTAACTATCGCAAGGACAGAAAACCAAACACTGCATGTTCTCATTCATAGGTGAGAATTGAACAGTGAGAACACTTGGACACAGGGTGGGGAACATCACACACCAGGGCCTGTCGGGGGTCGGGGGAGGAGGGAGGGATAGCATTATGAGAAATACCTAATGTAAATGACGAGTTAATGGGTGCAGCACACCAACATGGCACATGTATACATATGTAACAAACCTGCACGTTGTGCACATGTACCTTAGAACTTAAGGTATAATAATAAAAAAATAAGTTTGTACTTCTTCAAACTGGTCATGATGTTATATATATGAATAAGGAGTATAAGAAACTTATGTGGGTCTTGTTCACAGTCTACCTTTTCTGCTAATAATATGATGATACTTTGTGGCTCACTCTGTCTCATATAATTTCAGGGTGATAGTACCTTTTGAAACAAATTGAGCTTCACCACCAGCTTGATATGTGCAAACAGCGTGATCTATATGCAACAACAACAACAAAAACATGACATTGTCACAGGCTGAGCTGATGAGGATAGGAGTCTAGGGCAAAAGAGAGGTAGTTGTCCTTCTCTGCTCTGTACTGCTAAGACTTCAGCTGGAGTATGTTTCTTTTATGGCACTGTATTTCAGGTGGGATGTTGGGGTGATGGCCAGCAACTTAAACAGTGGCTTTCAAACTTTTGACCAAATACATTTGGCATCACAACCAAATATTTGTATTGGTGTGTGTGTAATTGAAAAGTTTTACAAAGCATATATTACATGCGATGCACCAAAATGTTTTCTATTCTCAGTTATATTAAGTTCTGATTTATTTTTGAAAAACTGATATCATGGTGCAACTCAGGAGTAAATCCCCACATTTTGAAAAACACTGATCTGAAACACTTATTTTACTATAATAATTTAGTGATTGTTATCATCATTATCAGCATTATTTGACAATAAATAAGACCTTAGTTGAGGTGTAGTTGGTTACTTAATGGATAATGTATGCTGTTTAGTATATACAGTCATTTGACGGGGAGACGCTTGTGAGAAATGCATGAAGTGATTTCATTGTTATGTTAACATCATAATGTACTTATACAAACTTAGGTGGTATAGCCTACTACACACCTAGGCTATATGGTGTAGCCTATTGTTCCTAGGCTACACACCTGTATAGTGTGTGACTGTACTGAATACTGGAGGCAGTTGTAACATGATGATACATATTTGTGTATCTAAACATAAAAAAGGTACTGTAGGCTGGGTGATGTGGCTCATGCCTGTAATCCCAGTACTTTGGGAGGCCGAGGTGGACAGATCACTTGAGGCCAGGGGTTGGAGACCAGACTGGCCAACCTAGTCAAACCCCATTTCTACTAAAAATACAAAAATTAGCCAGGCATGGTGGCGGGTGCCTGTAATCCCAGCTACTCGGGAGGCTGAGGCAGGAGAATCACTTGAATCCAGGAGGCAGAGTTTGCAGTGAACTGAGATGGCGCCACTGCACTCCAGCCTGGACAACAAAGTGAGGCTCTGTCTCAAAAAAAAAAAAAAAAAAAAAAGAAAGAAAGAAAGGAAAAGAAAAAGGTACTGTAAAAATATGTTATTATAATCTTATGGAATCACTGTTCTATATGTAGTCTGCCATTGACTGAAATGTCATTATATGATACATGACTGTACCTACATGTTGCCAAAAAATAATCATTCCATGTTTCAGGGAAATGCGGTGGCTGGCTATATATACAATTAAAATTACTTAAGGAAGGGGTTGTCTATGTGCAATCACTGCTAAAAATGAAGTCCCCATGATGATTTTATTTTAACTTTGTCTATCAGTAACATTTGTTAGTCCTACAGTTATTAGAAAATCAGATATACTGAAAGAAGATATATCACTTTAAATAAATATAGAAAGGAAACTAGATTGCACAGCCTTGTCTAAGCCAATACAAATTAAATTCCTGCTGAATGCCTGGCTCTCTTATTCCATCTGCCCTTGTCTCTAGCCAAAACACTTCTTTCCTGCCTCGTAGAATCTGAATTCTAATGACATTTGCAATCTATTTGGTTAAAAGACGAGTGGCCATACTTTTTTGATCAAATATACATTTATTGCCTCAATTTGTGTGGTACTGTAATGAAAAGGCATTATAGGACAATCGCAAATTAAATTTCATCAATCCATATTCCCAATGTCCCATTTGATGTATCTTTTAGGTACAGCATATGCTATATCTTCATCCCTCTGTTGTAATTTCTGAGATAATATTTCCATTTTTCATTGTACCTGGAATAAAACAATAAAAAAGTTATAGTTGGCATAAATTAAATAAAAGTGCAAGAGGTGACATAAATATATTATTCATTCCTTAAATCTGTTAATTTGGGTTGGCTGTCATTAGCCCCACCCTTCGCCTTCCCTCTCGTTCTGTCTCTTCATTGGTAAAGGATGAGCTAGCTTAGCCTACTAGAGCTGAAAAAAACCCTGAGGTGCATGACATCAAACAGAAAGAGAGAATGGCATGATAAAAATAACATGGGCTACACAAAGCAAATATACTAAAATGTTTAATTTCAGGATCTAGGTGATGGGTGTGTTGGTGTACAATTCTTTTAATTTTTCTGTATATTTAAAAATTGTCATTAAAAATGTTAGAAAAGGCTGGGTGTGATGGCTTACACCTGTAATCCTAGCACTTTGGGAGGCTGAGGCAGTCGGATCACTTGAGGTCAGGAGTTTGAAACCAGCCTGGCTAACATGGTGAAACCCCATCTCTATTAAAAATACAAAAAATTAGCTGGGTGTGGTGGCGAGCACCTGTAATCCCAGCTACTCAGGAGTCTGAGGCAGGAGAATTGCTTGAACCTGGGAGGCGGAGGTTGCAGTGAGCCAAGATTGCACCACTGCACTCCAGCCTGGGCAACAGAGCGAGACTCCATCTCAGAAAAAAATGTTAGAAAAAATGTGGTTCAGGTAAGATTAGGACTGAGAATTAACTATGAAATGGCAATGTGGAGGTAATTGGAAATATTGGTAAGGAAAGTTTTGGTGGAGTTGTGAGAATACAAGCCTGGTTGGAATGTATTCAAGAGAAAAGAAGAGGAAAGGACCTGGAAACCGTGAGTTTTAGCAGCTGTTTTGAGGAGCTTTACTGTAAAGGGACAAGAAATTTACTGGGAATGGAGCAATAGCTGGAGAGAGCTGAGGGAGGAAGATGGGAGAAATGACAGCATGCTTTTATGCTAAAGGCAATGAACTAGTAGAGAGGTAAAAACATCATGATTCATGAAAGGAAAAGAATAATAGGAGGGATATCCTTGAGTTGGTGTTGGTGGACAAAATGTTGTGCATAGGTGAAGGGGTTGGCCTAAACATGTACAGTTCATCTATAACAACAGGAGGGAAGGCAGAGAATATGTACAGATGCAAGTCAAATGGAGTGATGGAAGTTTATGGAAGTTCCCTTTTGATTACTGTTGCGGGAAGTCAGGGACCCTGAATGGAGGGACCGGCTGGAGCTGCAGTGGAGGAACATAAATTGTGAAGATTTCATGGACATTTATCAGTTCCCAAATAATACTTTTATAATTTCTTATGCCTGTCTTTACTTTAATCTCTTAATCCTGTTATCTTCATAAGCTGAGGATATACATCACCTCAGGACCACTGTGATAATTGTGTTAATTGTACAAATTGATTGTACAACATGTGTGTTTGAACAATATGAAATCAGTGCACCTTGAAAAAGAACAGAATAATAGTGATTTTTAGGGAACAAGGGAAGACAACCATAAGGTCTGACTGCCTGTGGGGTCGGGCAAAAAGAGCCGTATTTTTCTTCTCACAGAGAGCCTATAAATGGGTGTGCAAGTAGGGAAGATATTGCTAAATTCCTTTCTAGCAAGGAATATTACTACTAATACCCTGGGAAAGGAATGCATTCCTGGGGGAAGGTCTATAAACAGCCGCTCTGGGAATATCTGTCTTGTGCAGTTGAGACAAGGACTGAGATACACCCTGCAGTATCCTCAGGCTTACTAGGGTGGAGAAAAACGTTGCCCTGGTAAATTTGTGGTCAGACCGGTTCTCTGCTCTCGAACCCTCTTTTCTTTTGTTTAAGATGTTTATCAAGACAATACGTGCACCGCTGAACATAGACCCTCATCAGTGTTCTGCTTTTGCTCTTTGCCCTGTGATCTTTGTTAGACCCTTATTAGTAGTTCTGCTTTTTGCCCTTTGAAGCATGTGATCTTTGTACCTACTTCCTGTTCTTACACCCCCTCCCCTTTTGAAACCCTTAATAAAAATTTGCTGGTCTGAGACTTAGGTGGGCATCACGGTCCTACCGATATGTGATGTCACCCCCGGCGGCCCAGCTGTAAAATTCCCCTCTTTATACTGTCTCTCTTTATTTCTCAGCCGGCCGACACTTATGGAAAATAGAAAGAACCTATGTTGAAATATTGGGGGTGGGTTCCCCCAGTAGATTACTTGTATTTTCTCAGTGAAAGAAGAAACAAGATCATCATCTGAGAGTGAGGCTGTGGGAAACTATGTTAAGGATTTGAGAAGAGAGGAAAATATATGAGATATTCTTCTAGGAAAATGGGAGTGTACATGGACTCAGGAAATTAAATAGTATATATATATGTTTTTAAAGAAAAACATCCTAAGAGTTGAATTGCTGGGTAAAAAACTGTATACAGATTCCCTTCTTTTGATAGCTATTGACAAGTTACTGCTACAAAAATTATTTCTTTCTGTTGATAGATGTTGACAAATTACCTCTATAAAAATTATACTTATGGCCAGGCACAGTGGCTCATTCCTGTAATCCCAGCACTTTGGGAGGCCAAGGCGGGTGGATCACTTGAGGTCAGGAGCTCAAGATCAGCCTGGCAAACAAAATGAAACCCCGTCTCTACTAAAAATACAAAAACTAGCCAGACATGGTGACAGGTTCTTGTAATCCCAGCTACTTGGGAGTCTGAGGCAGGAGAGTCGCCTGAACCTGGAAAGCAGAGGTTGCAGTGAGCTGAGATTGCGCCACTGCACTCCAGCCTAGGTGACAGAGTGAGACTTTGTCTCAAAAAATATATAAAAAAATAAAAATTATACTCCTACAAATAATATACGAACTTACATTTCCCCATTACTGTTACAGCACAGTATATTATCAAACATACTGACCTTTTTCAATATGATAGCTGAGAATCAGTGCTTCAGTTTACCTTTAGTTTGTATATGTCTTATTATGCCTGAGATAAGCATCTTTTCATATGATTAAGAGTCAGAGGTTATAGATGAAAACTGGATTTTCTAGGGAACCACTTCTCAATCTGATGAGGTAAAGTATTCTATTTTCTGCCTCCATGACTAGACCTACACTGGTACCCAGAGCCCAGGATCACAGAAACTTTGGAGTCAAAAGTTCTTAGAAGAGGATTAAGAAGAGTTTTTAGATTTTGTCTAGGATCTCAAGAAACAAGTTAGTGTTAGAATAAGGACCACAATCCACAACTTCTGACATGTGGCCAGGATTCAAGCTCTGTGCTCGATGCTTGGGAAGGACAAAGATTTTGAAGCAGGCAAGTGATGAAACATTCATACCTGAACTTTAGAAAGATGAATAAACCCACGTGTTTTACAGTGAGCGAGAATGGATTAGGAGCAGTGGCTTGCTCATAGCGGGCATTTAGTAAACATATAAAAGAAAAAGAAAAAGGGTCCAATCTAGGAAGAGAGAAACCTTGCAAGACACAGTTGTGTCCCACTGGCCCAAAGAACTCTGAATCAAGTAGCCTTATAGGGTTCCAGCAGAGAAAGCCAAGACAGAAGAAAAAAATGCCGGAAGTGCTGCTCACAGTAGTGCTGCATATGATTGCACAATTTGCATTGCACAAAGGTACCTGGTGGGTAAGAGCAGGCAGTAAGGCCTGGAATTAAGTCTGTATTGTGTTTGCTATGCCATGAGCCCACAGAGCTATGTAAGCCCACAGAGGGTTCTCATTCCTAATACGTCCCACAAGAGAGAGTGAGTGCTTTACTGATCTGTTAATCCAGAGAGGTGTCGTTTTCCAATCTATCTGTTGAGAGGGAGCACCTCTCTCTAATTTGCATAAATGTGCTCTGTGTATGCTAGTGGTGGCCACACAGGTCCCTCTTGGAGTCATGTAGCCCAATGCCCATGGCAATGGCTATGGTTCCCCACCCATCCTCCAGGTCTTCCACCTTCTGTACTGCTCCAGGAATTGTATAAAATGGCTGGATGCAGGGATCCCAGTTAGAAGTCTGTTGAGGGAAATCAGAGAGTAGACAAAGGATAGAGATAGATTCAGGAAGATAAGGAAATAATTTGGTATTATACAAGGATCCTATAATGTCGTTTTCAAATAGCAAAAATGCTAAATGCTAATAAACATAATGTAATGCATTCCAATGTTCAGTAGAATAGTTTTGCTGCACTTGCAAAATTATGAGGGAATATTCATATTGAATGTTTATCATCAGTAATATGGAACATTAGCAATTGATTCAATTTGATTTCTGGTCTGCTCCTGTTATAGTATACATTGGGAAACATCTTCCTGGGTTGAGGACCTGGAGGGAAGCTTGTGTTTTCATCAGAAGGTCAGAAAGCCAGTGTCAGGGAGGGATCAGGAGTGTCACTAATTAAATGATATATTGTGTAGATTTCACCTTCTTTGTAATAAATTGAATCATTTTGCATACCACATAACTCCAACAAAGATCTCTTTCCTGACTTTTCCAATTATCAGGTGTTGACTCCTGTCTTTTGAAATAAACAAAATACCAACTAGCATTCAAACAAAAAAGCAGCAAGCACGGTAGTGCCTGCCTATAGTCCCAGCTATTCCTTGTAGTCCCAGTTACTTGGGAGGCTGAGGCAGGACGAGCATTTGAACCCAGGAGTTTGAGTCCAGCCTAAGCAGCAGCAAGAACCTGTCTCTAAAAAAAGAACAAAACAAAGCAAACAAATAAAAACCTAAAAATGCAAAGCAGAAGACAAATAACTTCGAAGAAACAACAGATGCTGGAGAGGCTGTGGAGAAATAGGAATGCTTTTACACTGTTGGTGGGAGTGTAAATTAGTTCAACTAATGTGGAAGACAGTGCGGTGATTCCTCAAGGATCTAGAATCAGAAATACCACTTGACCCAGCAACCGCATTACTGGGTATTTACCCAAAGGATTGTAAGTCATTCTACTATACAGACACATGCACACGTATGTTTATTGCAACACTATTTACAATAGCAAAGACTTGGAACCAACCCTAATGCCCATCAATGATAGATTGGATAAAGAAAATGTGGTACATATACACCATGGAATACTATGCAGCCATAAAAAAGAATGAGTTCAAGGCTGGGAATGGTGGCTCACACCTGTAGTCCCAGCACTTTGGGAGGACGAGGCAGTTGGATCAGGAGGTCAGGAGTTCAAGACCAACCTGGTCAAGATGGTGAAACCCTGTCTCTATTAAAAATGCAAAAAAATTAGCTGGGCATGGTCGTGGGCGCCTGTAATCTCAGCTACTCGGAGGCTGAGGCAGATAATTGCTTGAACCTGGGAGGCAGGGGTTGCAGTTAGCCAAGATCGCACCACTACACTCCAGCCTGGGCAACAGAGCAAGACTCAGTCTCAAAAAAAAAAAAAAAAGAAAAGAAAAGAATGAGTCATGTTCTTTGCAGGTACATGGATGAAGCTAGAAGCCATCATTCTCAGCAAACTAACACAGGAACAGAAAACCAAACACTGCATGTTCTCACCCATAAGTGGAAGTTGAACAATGAGAACACATGGGCACAGGGAGGGAAACATCACACACTGGGGCCTGTCAGGAGATGTGGAGAAAGGGGAGGGAAAGCATTAGGACAAATACTTAATGCATGTGGGGCTTAAAACCTAGATGACGGGTTGATGGGTGCAGCAAACCACCATGGCACATGTATACCTATGTAACAAACCTGCATGTTCACCACATGTATCCCAGAACTTAAAGTAAAATTTAAAACAAAGAAAGCTGTACATTTGCAAATTGTCTATGTCTGAACTAATATTCCCTGCCAATTAAAACACATAAAACACATACGTCAAATTACAATTAAAGTCATACAGCTATGTTCATATAATCTGCTTGTAATCAAGTTTTTTTTTGGGTGTTAAGCAAAAACAAGTGAAAGAGAACAAAGCAGGAATCCCTAAAGAGAATGGTCAGTTTATAGACATGAAAGATTACAGTATTTAATACCTAGCAAATACCCATCCAATTATTGTATTTTATGTACAGTGCTGTTAACCTATAAACAAAGACAGAATCACACAGCATACAAAAGAAGCCCTAACCTATCTTTTGAAATAACTGTAATCTCACTGAATGTGAAGAATGCATTAATTTACCTCAGTAGTTTGAAGAAAATTCATTATCTTGATGTGTTCTGTTTTTATCCTTTTGTCCGGATGGTGGTCCATTGAATTTTATGGGTGCTGCAAAATATTTTTGAGAACTTACTGTCTTGAGAATACTTAACAGTGAAATATAATTACCCCCAGGAACAACTTTTGCTTCCCCAATGCTTAATGTTATTCTTTAAGCCTGTTAGTTGTCCTGTTGAATTTCACTCACCTGAATAAGCCAAGTGTACATGAAGTTGGTATTCCACTAAAAATACAAAAATAAGAAAATAAAAGAACATTGGAATTTTGTTTATTATTTAAATATTTTTTTTGTCCTATGGACAAAAGGAGAAGTTTAACTCTAGTCCAATTATCTGCCCTTTCTCTCTCCTTCGAATGAAAATGATCTCCTTTCAGGATTATGAAGTGAAACCACCAATATGAAGTCAGCATACGTCATCATAATGATGATAATGATCGTCATCATAATGATGATAATGATTGTCATCATAATGATGACGGCTTGGTCTTAGAACCAAGCCAGCTAATGGAGTAACTAAGAGAACGAGGAGGTGGGCCTAGATGGTTGCTTAGGGATTGTAGTTGGCCTGTGGAGTTAGGGGTGAATGATACTAGGTCCCTGTCCTCAGGGAGGTTGTGGTTCAGTAACAGAAGGCAGTCACCTAATTCAGAGTGGCACACATCACCAGAAGGAAATAGAGAAGGCAGTAGAATATAAATAGGAGGGATTCTGTGGTCAAAATGCCTGGATTCTAATCCTGCTCCTTCGCTTACTAGTTGTTGATTTCAAGAAAGTTACTTGCACACTGAACCTCGGCTTTCTCATCTGTGAAATGGGGATAATAAATAGTACTTCTCTCATAGGGTTACTGTGATGGTTAAATAAGACAATCAGTGTCCATATACCAGTAACTGTCACTGAACAAATTTCAGTTATTATATATGATTATATATACCAGATAATAAATATATCAAAAACTATATATCTCTATATAAAAATGCCAGATATTATTTATGATAACATCTGTATCAATTTATTCAATAAATCAACAACTGAGTACACCTCAATCCTCTAGGATAATATTCAGAGACTTAGACCCAATCGGCTATCTCCCAGTTTCCTCTGGGAGACAAATTGAATAATCCCAAAATGGGGGCTTTAGGAAGTAATTCGGCTTGAGATAACATAATTAATGCAATATTTGTGATATATTCAATAGCTCATTTCAGATAATAAAATGTTGGCATTCTTCCAGTCTAGTGACTTCCAAACCTGCCTCTACGTCCTAATCCCTGATTTTAAAATTTCTCATGGTGATTTTGAAGCATAGTTTTTGAAGTCTGGCCCCCTTGTGTGACTGATAAGGAAATTCTTGCAGTAATGTTTCAACCTCCCTGTCCAGCTTATCCATTCTGTCTTTAAGAATGTTTCTCTTACTTCTATGAAAGGGTCCTCTTTGGGGTTAATTTTCTGCCGTAAGGTTAATTATGCATCTTTCATTTCTTTACTCCCTCTAGTTGGGCTACAACCTCCTACAAACGCGATTAGCCCTACTCCAGAATCTGGGACTAGTATGGGCTCTAGAGAGAGTACTAGAGGGGCCTTTGTACCCATACTCAATACTGCTAGTCTCATTACAATCCTACTTTTGACCATAAACCCTAGCTATTTTAACTGAGCTCTTACATTGGTTCTTGTGTTATTAACAGAAACCCTTGCCTTGGTTCACTACTCTCGGGACCAGGGTTCTGCTTTATTGTTAAAAGTTCCCTTTCTTTGACTAGAGTCTTTGTTTGCTGCTTTTTTTTTTTTTTTTTTTTTTTTTTGAGACGGAGTTTTGCTCTTGTTGCCCAGGCTGGAGTGCAATGGCGCAATCTCAGCTCACTGCAACCTCCGCCTCCTGGGTTCAAGCGATTCTCCTGCCTCAGCCTCCTGAGTAGCTGGGATTACAGGCATTCGCCACCATGCCCGGTTAATTTTGCATTTTTTAATAGAGACGGGGTTTCTCCATGTTGGTCAGGCTGGTCTCGAACTCCCGACCTCAGGTGATCTGCCAGCCTCGGCCTCCCAAAGTGCTGGGATTACAGGCGTGAGCCACCACACCCGGCTATTTGCTGCTCTTTAAGTCTCTGTAGTCTGGCTTCCACCCTCTTTTTGCCACTGATACCCTTACTTCTCTTTCTATGATCCTTTCTCCTTATGTTGTATTGGAAGATAATACTGATTAATACCCATGGCTAGTTGAATTGCTGTGAGAACATTAAATAAGCATTATAGGCCAAAGTTGTTTTGATATTTACCCAGCTCTTTTAGGTTGTTGGTGCTATTTGCTGAACCATGACTGAGCCTACTGCAGTCCAGTTGCTTCTTTGAAGTCTAGTCCATTATGTAGCCTCAATAGGGAAGTCATAGACAACAAGTATGACAGAGTACACTCTATATGTATGCTTCATGGCAGCATGCAGCATGTAGAAACAAGGAGACAGCAAATTGGCCTAAGATTGAGGTTGGATGTGGAAGGGATGCATTTTGATGAAAGACGTCAATTACACTGCACAAGATGGAGGAGGATATATGTTTGAATGGAAGTATGTCACGTGAAAAGTTCTGGAAATTTGAGTTAAACACAGAGCAGCAATTTAGCAGAGCTACTAAAAATAGTTTAAACAATTCTAGGCTACATTGGTTTCATTTAATCCTTACAACAAGTCATTACAACACAAGCATTAATGGGTATAGTCTCTATTTTATAGATGAAGATATTGGTGGTTAGTGAGGTCCATTAACTTGTCCAAGATTATACATTCAACCCCATGATAATCTTAATTATTCTCATGGCTTGAATTGTCATTTATAGGCTGATGACTCCCAGTTATATCTGTCATTCAGACCTCTCCTGTGAATCTGTATCTACCCTCCTATACAACATCTCCAATAGAATATAAAATTCAATATTTCCAAAGCAAAACTCCTGTTTTATAGTTTCCTCCCACAAATCTGTTTCTCTTGTACCCCTATCAATTACCTGTTACCACCATCCACCTAGTCACTTATGTCCATAAACTAGCAATCATCCTAGGTTTCTTTTCCCCCTTATTGCAGCAATAATATCCTGCTGACTGTACCTCTAAAATGTATTCTGGATTAGAACCTTTGTCACCACCTATTCTTTTACCTAAATCAATCCATCAACATCTTTTGCATGGACTACTGCAAAAAGCCTTTGTACAGCTTTCCCTGCTTCCACACTTGCCAGGTTACAATCCATTCTCAACACAGTAGCCAAAGCTATAATTTAAAAATATATATATCTATTGGCCAGGTGCAGTGGCTCACGCCTGTAATCCCAGCACTTGGGGAGTCCGAGGCGGGTGGATCACGAGGTTGGGAGTTCAAGACTAGCCTGGCCAAGATGGTGAAAGCCCGTCTCTACTAAAAATACAAAAATTAGCTGTGGGTGGTGGCGGGCGCCTGTAGCCCCAGCTACTCGGGAGGCTGAGGGAGAGAATTACTTGAACCTGGGAGGCAGAGGTTGCAGTGAGCCGAGAATATGCCACTGCCCTCCGGCCTGGGCAACAGAGCGAGACTCCGCCTCAAATATATTCTTTGCTAAAGAGCTTGCAGTAGCTTTGCATTTTCTGACCAACCCAACTTGGGCCCATCTTCCTGCCTGTCACAACAAAGCCAAACACTGACATTGGAATTTGTAGTGAAAAAAGGGAGGCATTTATTGCAGGGCCCCAAGCAAGGAAAAATAGGCAGCTTATGGTTAAGACCCAAACTCCCTGATGGCTTAAGGGTTTTTAAAGGCAGGGAGGCAGAGATCACAGACAACGTAAAAAATCGATACATGAAAGCTATACATTGGTTTGACCTCAAAAGGTGGGACACCTTAAAGCAGGGGCCCACAGGTTATAGGTGGATTCAAAGATTTTCTGATTTGCAATTGCTTAAGGAGGTAAAGCTTTGTCAAAAATTTGGCCGGGTGCGGTGGCTCACGCCTATAATCCCAGCACTTTGGGAGGCCGAGGTGGGCGGATCACGAGGTCAAGAGATCGAGACCATCCTGGCCAACTTGGTGAAACCCCGTCTCTACTAAAAATACAAAAATTAGCCGGACATGGTGGCAGGTGCCTGTAATCCCAGCTACTCAGGAGGCTGGGGCAGGAGAATTGCTTGAACCCGGGAGGTGGAAGTTGCAGTGAGCCGAGATCGTGCCACTGCATTCCAGCCTGGCGACAGAGTGAGACTCTGTCTCAAAAAAGAAAAAAAAGCAAGACCAAAAAAAAATTGGCATCAGCAGAAAGGAATGTTGAGCTCTGGCCTGTGGGTGTGACTTCCTCCAGGCCCCACAGGAAGAAACTCAGAACACAGAATGGACATCAGAGTTCAGTCCTCAGTTCCCTTATCTGAGGTCTACCTGCCAGCAGATGGCATTTTTCCATTGGTAGGGGGTCCAGTTTTCTGAAGAACAACTCAGGGACATATGTTAAGATATTATCTTTAGGCTGGGCATGGTGGCTCATGCCTGTAATCCCAATACTTTGGGAGGCCAAGGCAGGTGGACCACCTGAGGTCGGGAGTTCGAGACCAGCCTGACCAACATAGAGAAACCCCGTCTCTACTAAAAATACAAAAT
Organism: Homo sapiens; assembly: GCF_000001405.40. Lineage (NCBI taxonomy): Eukaryota > Metazoa > Chordata > Mammalia > Primates > Hominidae > Homo > Homo sapiens. Next base: position 140,692,100 of record NC_000023.11, read on the forward strand.
TAGCCAGGTGTGGTGGCGCATGCCTGTAATCCCAGGTACTCGGGAGGCTGAGGCAGGAGAACCACTTGAACCCAGGAGGTGGAGGTTGCGGTGAGCTGAGATCTCACCATTGCACTCTGGCCTGGGCAGCAAGCACAAAATTCCGTCTCAAAAAAAAAAAAGATATTATTTTTATTTTCTATACTGAATTAAACACATTATGACTCGAACTTCCTTGGCTACTATTGTAGGCTACTATAGGCTACTATTGTAGGCTACTATAGTCTACTATTACCTTCTGGCTTATCAGGTTGCTCACTTACTTCTCAAGGCTAGCTAGGTGCCTGGAATTTCCCTTGAAGGAACTCAAGATTTTCCTTTATTTCCATTCTTCGGTTGGGAAGGCGCATGGCAGGCCCCTAAGAGGGGTCCCTACTCCATCTCAAATGAAATTAGATATCCAAGTTCATTTCTATTGCTAGTAAAGCCCTACATGACCTGGCCCTTGCTCACCTTTTTTGTCTTATCTCCTATCATTTTCCATCTTTTGGTCCCTGGATATGTCAAGCTCATTCAGTCTCAGGATCTTCGCATTAGTTGTTCCTTCAGCCCAGGGAGTACTTCCACATGTAAGTTTCTTGGTTTACTCTTGTCATTAGGACTCACTTCAAATGTCACTCTCTGAGTGGCCTTTCCTGACTACCTAGGCTGCATATATCACTCTGCTTTATTTTATTTGTAGTGCTCATTGTCATCTTACATTTTTGTTCGTTTGTTTGTTTTTTGAGGCACAATCTCGTTCCGCTGCCCTGGCTGGGGTGCAGTGGCGCGATCTCAGTTCACTGCAACCTCTGCCTTTTGGGTTCAAGCAATTCTCGTGCCTCAGCCACCTGAGTAGCTGGGATTACAGGTGCGTGGCACTGCACCTGACTGATTTTTGTATTTTTAGTAGAGACAAGGTTTCACCATGTTGACCAGGCTGGTCCCGAACTCCTGGCCTCAGGTGATCTGCCCATCTCTGCCTCCCAAGGTGCTGGGATTACAGGTGTGAGCCACTGCACCCAGCTTATTATCTTACATTCTTATTATTTGTTTGATTCCTTGTCAAACTCATAAGCTCTTTCAAGTCATGGACCTTGTCTGTCTTTTTTGCTGTTTTACGTCAGAATCTAATACAGTGCCAGGTTTTCCCCATTACCCCATGCTTTGCTATATAGTGTCTAAAAGTGTTCTTGATCATCGGAAGTAACAATATTCGTCTTTTCTGTGTTTTTCAGCCAAATGCTGGATTATTTTGGTGAATTTTTAGCACCATTCTCTGGAGGACACACTAGACAGTCTCCAGAGGAGGATATTAAAAATGGTGAGAACTTTGAAACTTTAACATAGAAGAAACGGATCATGAATTTATATGTTTAATCTGGAGAAGGGCCAGGCACGGTGGCTCACGCCTGTAATCCCAGCACTTTGAGAGGCTGAGGAGGGCAGATCACGAGGTCAAGAGTTCGAGACCAGCCTGGCCAACATGGTGAAACCCGGTCTCTACTAAAAATACAAAAATTAGCTGGGCGTGGTGGCACATGCCTGTAATCCCAGCTACTTGGGAGGCTGAGGCAGGAGAATCCCTTGAACCCGGGAGGCGGAGGTTGCAGTGAGCCGAGATCGTGCCATTGCACTCCATCCTTGGCAACAGAGCAAGACTCCATCTAAAAACAAAAATAAAAACAAAAACAACAACAGCAAAACCTAATCTGGAGAAGGGCAGACTAAAGACAGCCATCTCACTTTCATCACTATTTCTTATTCTTCTCTTGCTCATTTGTGCTCTCTCAATCTTCCCAATTTTTTAGTCATTACTGCTTCCAGTTGTGTTAAGGATAAGTCTGAATTCTGGACCTTCTTTTCTCTTTGAATCCAGATGGAAATTAAAGTTTTGTCCAAATTCTCAGCAGAAAAGTTGAGCTACCTAGGTGACCTGTGATTTTACTCGTGCTGTACTGACATGGGTACAATGCTTTGCTAGAAGATATGTTCTGATAAATGCAGATGGCTGGAACATTCAATTGACTCACCTTTAATGTAAAGTACTTAAATGCATTATATTCTTAGATTTTGTATGTATTAGGTTGAAAACACCACCATCTTCCCTTTTATTAACTGGTCTAAAATAAATTCGGTTTTTTGTTTTGTTTTGTTTTTCTAAGCAACACTAGGGATGGGCACATCAACAGATCAGGATAAAACCACAGTGGAATGTGGTTCCAATTCTGTTTTGCTGAATGAACTCTCGATTTTGTGAGTCCTTCTCTGGAGACTAGATCCTATTTTTCCAATAGAATAGGTCTTGAATATTTTACTGTGCTGTGGAAGTAGCAAGTCTGCTTTTGAATCTGTCAGTGTGCCTGCCGTGGCTTAGTGGTACTGTTCTCCTTATGCCAAATGGGGACTCATATCAGCTCCAGCCTCCCAGGCATCTCACACAAACTGTACTATTGATGACCTGCCTTAACAGTCTAGAGTCCCAGACTACTATCTTTGAGGATCCTCCCCAAACAGTTCATTTAATTTCAGATATTTTATTTAAAGTGGGTTGCACTTTAATCCAGGAATAATTTAGGTCAAGCCTAGAATAGAGTCATTTCTTTGGTATAAATATTCTTTCCAGAGCTCTCCAAGAAAAATGCTTGGCTGGGCACGGTGGCTCAGGCCTGTAATCCCAACACTTTGGGAGGCTGAGGAGAGTGGATCACTTGAGGTCCGGAGTTTGAGACCAGCCTGGACAAAATGGCGAAACCCCGTCTCTACTAAAAATGCAAAAATTAGCCGTGCATGGTGGCGGGTGCCTGTAATCCCAACTACTCGGGAGGCTGAGGCAGGAGAATCACTTGAACCCAGGAGGTGGAGGTTGCAGTGAGCCGAGATCGCACCACTGCACTCCAGCCTGGGCGACAGAGCAAGACTCCATCTCAAAAAAAAAAAAGGGGAAAAAATAGAAAGAAAATAAAAATTCTTATATTTTTGTTTTAATTATTTATTTATTTTTGAGATAGAGTCTTGCTCTGTCACCCCGGCTGGAGTGCAGTGGTGCGATCTCGGCTCATTGCAACCTCCACCTCCCGGGTTCATGGGATTCTCCTGCCTCAGCCTCCCAAGTAGCTGGGATTACAGGCGCCCACCACCACACCCAGCTAATTTTTGTATTTTTAGTAGAGACCCAGTTTCACCATGTTGGCCAGGCTGGACTTGACCTCCATCTGCCTTGGCCTCTCAAAGTGCTGGGGTTCCAGGCATGAGCCACTGCACCTGGCCCCAGAATAGAGTCTAGGAGCAGATCCTTTATACATGGAAATTCAGTATGTGATAAAGATTCCATTTAAAATAAGTGATGAAAGAACTCAGTAAATAGCAATTGGAGAATCAACATTATTTGGAAAACTTAATTAAAATCCTAACAGCATGCTACAGTGAATTCCAGATGAAGTAAAGATCTTAAAAAAAAAAAAAACTTCATAATTGTGGGAAAGAATAAATATTCTGTCTATGTGCCAGGAGAAGTGCAGAACGAAGCGGGGAAAAGCCCCTTATAAAACCACCAGATCTCGTGAGAACTCAGTCACTATCATGAGAACAGCAGCATAGGGGTAATCGCCCCCATGATTCAATTACCTTCCACAGGATCCCTCCCACAACACGTGGGGATTATAGGAACTACAATTCAAGATGAGATTTTGGTTGGGACAGAGCCTAACCATATCATTCCACCCCTGATCCCTCCCAAATCTCATGTTCTTACATTTCAAAACACAATCATGCCTTCTCAACAGCCCCCCAAAGTCTTAACTTATTCCAGCATTAACTCAAAAGTGCAAGTCCAAAGTCTCATCTAAGACAAGACAAGTCCCTTCTGCCTGTGAGCCTGTGAAATGAAAAGAAGGTTAGTTACTTTCTAGATAGAATGGGGGTACAGGAATTGGGTAAATACATCCATGCTAAATGGGAGAAATTGGCCAAAACAAAGAGGCTACAGGCCCCATGCAAGTCTGAAATCCAATAGGGCAGTCATTAAACCTTAAAGTTCCAAAATGATCTCCTTTGACTTCACGTCTCACATCCAGGTCATGCTGATGCAAGAGGTGGGCTCCCACTACCTTGGGGAGCTCCATGCCTCTGGCTTTGCAGGGTACAGCCCTACTTCTGGTACCAATTTACTATGTTAATTCATTTTCACGCTGCTTATAAAGACATATATGAGACTGGGTAATTTATAAAGGAAAGAGGTTTAATTAACTGACACTTCAGCATGGCTGGGGAGGCCTTAGGAAGCTTACAATAAGGGCAGAAGGGGAAGCAAACATGTCCTTCTTTACATGGCAGCAGCAAGGAGAAATGCTGAGCAAAAGGGGGAAAAGCCCCATACAAAACCATCAGATCTCATGAGAACTCACTCACTATCATAAGAACAACATGGGGGGTAACTGCCCCCATGATTTAATTACCTTCCACTGGGTCCCTCCCATGACATGTGAGGATTATGAGAACTACAATTCAAGATGCGATTTGGGTGGGGACACAGCCAAACCATATCAGTATGGGAGGGTGCAGAGCAAGCAGAAAGTCCTAGGCTCACCAGAACCAGGGAGGTGATTGAGAAACTGCCTCCTGACAGCCTCTTCCTAGATAGGGAAATGGGCAAGACATGGCTTTGTGACAACTCCTCACAAGACTTCCTATTTTGCTGTGCTTTTGAGAAGATCAAAGGGTATTCCACCAAGAGTTCCATCAGACTGCGGTTGAGCCTCGCTTAGGTGGCCTATGTGGAGATATATAACATTGCCAGAGTTTCCTGACACCCTTTATCAGATTAAGGAAGTTTCTTGCTATACCTAATTTTCTTTTCTTTCTTTTTTTTTTTTTTTTTTTTGAGACGGAGTTTTGCTCCTGTTGTTGTTGCCCAGGCTGGAGTACAGTGGCACGATCTTGGCTCACTGCAACCTCTGCCTCCGGGGTTCAAGCAATTCTCCTGCCTCAGCCTCCTGAGTAGCTGAGATTACAGGAGTACACAACCATGCCCAGCTAATTTTTTGTATTTTTAGTAGAGACGGGGTTTCATCATGTTGGCCAGGCTGGTCTCGAACTCCTGACCTCAGGTGATCCACCCGCCTTGGCCTCCTAAAGTGCAGGGATTACAGGCGTTAGCCACCATGCCCAGCCTGCTATACCTAATTTTTTAAGAGTTTTAACATGAATAAATATTGAATTTTATCAAATATCACTTTTTTCTTCTATTGACAGGAACATTTTTTTCTCATTGAAATTGCTGCTCTGTCTGAAATGCTCTCCTTCCTCCTCAACTTTTCTAAAATCCATTCATCTCTCAATATTCAACTTGCATTTTGCCTCTAGCCTGGAAGCCTTCTCAGATGTTTCTTCCCCACTTAGGTACCTCTTATCTGTCTCCTCCACAATCTTCACTATACCTCTATCAGAGTATTTACTACACTGTATTATTTAATTTGTTTTATTTCTCTGTCTTGTCCAGTTAACTTTGAGCTCTTCAAAGCCAGGGGCTGTGTCTTATTCTTTTCTATATCCCTAATACAAGGATTGTCTTATAAGAATCATGCAACTAATGTTTGTACAATATATTTACTGCTCATTCGTTCAACAAATAGTTATTAATCATCCTGTGTTCTAGGATTTGTGGGTGAACATGACAAAAGAGGGGATGAATAAGCCTGTAGGTGGCAGTATTAGTGACAGCCACTGAGTAGAACTGGAGAAGGAAGAGGCTGACATGAAGATGACCGCCCTAAGTCTTTTAATTTCTTCTGTTCAGCATATTCCTGTTGGGAAATGAGGGGTAGAATTTGGACAGGTAGAGCTAGTATGTGGGCGCATGGAGCCAGAATTCCAACCCAAACCTGAGCCCCAAATCCATGTTCTTTACGACTTGATTCCTCTCTTGCCCTTAGGAATGATTGCACAGTTCTGGCTCTGAAATGCCATAAAGCAGACATCTCAATGAAGGTGAAAGACACTCATCCAGATGCATACATAATAAGCAAATCATCAACCACAGGTAATAACACATAACTGCCAATTTACCTTTTGTGAAGGCTGGCACTTTTCTAAGGAATGATTTTTTAGAGATTACTTTCCTTTAGGTTACTTACCAGTTAATTGTGTGCCCCTGAGAATGTTATTTTAGTTTTGAAATGAAAGTTATTTCATTTTATTTTATTATTTTTACTTTTTTGAGATGGAGTCTCGCTCTGTCCCCCAGGCTGGAGTGCAATGGCGCCATCTTGGCTCACTGCAACCTCCACCTCCCAGGTTCAAGTGATTTTTCTGCCTCAGCCTCCCAAGTAGCTGGGGCTACAGGTGCCCGCCACCATGCACGGCTAATTTTTGTATTTTTGGTAGAGATGAGGTTTCACTATGTTGGCCAGGCTGGTCTCGAACTCCTGACCTCAGGTGATCCACTTGCCTCGGCCTCCCACAGTGCTAGGATTACAGGTGTGAGCCACCGCGCCTGGCTGAAATGAAAGTTATTTTAAATTTGAGATGTCCATTAAAAGAAAACTTTAAAGGAACTGGAATTTGATGAAAGTTACCTCATAAAGTAATTGAAAGGACTAAAGATGAGAGAATGCATATGAAATAACTTAGCATAGTGACTGACACTAGGTAGGAACTGTAGAGATGTTTGCTTTAGTCAATTGTGCGCATTTTATTTGAGGTCCCCCTCCTGTGCGACTACACTCCGTTGCATGTCTTGTTTGATACATTATACCTAAGTATTTCATATATGAAGATGAAAGGAAGCAAGAATTAGTGGAAAGAATATGGTTTTGGAATAAAAACAGATCTCGGTTTGACTGCTGATTCTGTCATTTCTTGTGTGTCCTATGCAGGTCACTTACTTTCGCTTAGCTTCAGTTTCCCAATATGAAAAAATAGGGTGAGTAGGAATTACCTTGCATGGTTGTGATGAAGATTAAATGAGATAATGTCTATAAATTGTGATGTTTGACACATTATAGCATTATTAATATGGCACTGACATAGCAACCTTAGTTGTTATGTGCTTCAATTCTTTTTCAAATAATAAGGGGCTTCCCTTGTGTTCCTCAGTGGGCTGGAATTTAGTGTGTGGAATATATGGTCCATGGACAAAGCTAACTGGTAAATATAGAGATCAAATCCTTGATGGGTTATCTTTGATTGCCTCAAGAGCTGGCCAACCCAGATGTATTTTTGTCCTTCAAAAAACAGTAGTGAAGGGTGCAGTAGTGTTCAAGAAACATGAATTCTCCTTCAAAAAGCAGTAAGATTTCTCTGTATTAATTTAGAACATTTTTACTTCTTTTTTTTGAGACAGAGTCTCACTCTGTCACCCAGGCTGGAGTGCAATGGTGCATGGTCTCGGCTCACTGCAATCTCCACCTCCCGGATTCAAGCGATTCTTCCACCTCAGCCTCCCGAGTAGCTGGGACTACAGACGCGTGCCACTACACCCAGCTAATTTTTGTGTTTTTAGTAGAAACAGGGTTTCACTATGTTGGCCAGGCTGGTCTCAAACTCCTGACCTCGTGATCCGCCCGCCTTGGCCTCCCAAAGTGCTGGGATTACAGGCCATTTTTACTTTTCAAAACTGTTCATTGTATAAGTAAAAAATAGTAATTTGCAAGTGGGCACCTAAATTTGGTGTTCAAATGATGTGATTCAGACCAATCTTGCTGAAAACAATTAAAAATGCTAGACTATAGTTAACAGCAATATATAGTTTCAAATAGCTATGGGGATATTGGACATTCCCAACAGAAAGAAATGATAAATGTGTGAGATGATGCATATGCTAATTACCCTGATCTGATCACTATACGTTATATGTATTTAAGGACTATTATGTATCCCATGAATATGTACAATTATTATTTGTCAATTTAACAAAATTAAAAAGAAAAACAAATATTTGCGATGTGCTTTTTTTTTTTTTTTTTTGAGACAGAGTCTTGCTCTGTCACCCAGGCCGGAGTGCAGTGGCACGATCATAGCTCAGTGCAGTCTCGACCTCTCAGGCTCAAGCAGTTCTCTCACCTCAGCCTCCTTAGTAGCTGGGACTAGGTGCCACCTCACCTGGCTAATTTTTAAAATTTTTTTAGAGTCAGAGTTTTGCTATGTGACCCAGGATGGTCTTGAACTCCTGTGTTCCAGTGATCCTCCTACTTCGGGCTCCTAATGTGCTGGAATTACAGGCATGAGTGATTACGCCTGGCCTACCTTTCTGAAAGTATGGAAAAGTTGACTAGATAGTAAGGAGCTACAAGGCAAAATATCTAAGTGAAAGTGAGAACTTGAAAAGAAAAGGGAACACAAACTATCCTTGCACTGAGAATAGTTGTCAAACTCAGCTCCAGTTTTCATGGCCTTACAAAGCTTCAGTTTCAACTGAATTTGAGCTTCAGTTTTCATGGCCTTACAAAGTGATGGGGACAGAGGTCAAGCAAATCTCAACAATGTTTAAAGGACTGAAATAGTGTAAAGTTTTTTTTTCTGATTGCAATTCAATTAATCCAGAAACCAATAACAAAAGTGGAAACATTCTATGAATTTGGAAATTAAGAATTACATTTCTAGGCTGGGTGCGGCAGCTCACACCTGTAATCCCAGCACTTTGGGAGGCCGAGGCAGGCGGATCACGAGGTCAGGAGTTCAAGACCAGCCTGGTCAAGATGGTGAAACCCTGTCTCTACTACAAATACAAAAATTAGCCAGTCGCGGTGGCAGGCGCCTGTAATCCCAGCTACTTGGGCGGCTGAGGCAGGAGAATCACTTGAACCCGGGTGGCAGAGGTTGCAGTGAGCCAAGATCGTGCCACTGCACTCCTGCCTGGGCGATAGAGTGAGACTCCATTTAAAAAAAAAAAAAAAAGGAGCCTAAATGGATACAGACAGTTTATTACTAACACAGACAGCATAAACAAGAATATCATGGCGTCAGCTCCCCACATCCTTAGTTCCACAGGATTACAGTGAACCAGAGGCTTCAGATGACAGATGGCATGAGCAGTGGGTTACTCTGTCATGGAAGAACTATTCCTATACTATGTCAAAGTGGTTCTATAGCCTGAAGTTGCACCATAAGAGAAGCAGCAAGATAGAAAATCCCATGCCTCAGCAGAATAAGGAAGGTGGATGAGAACTGTCTTTTGGCAGCCTCCCACAAGATAGGGAGACCGAAAGAAACAGCCCTCACAAGACCACTTATCTTATCATATCCCAGGGAGAATTACAGGCCACTTCGCCAAGATTTAGGTCAGCTTCCAGTTGAGCCTTGCCTATATAGCCTATGGAAAGATGCAAAAGATTATCAGGACATCTCAGCAGTGGCATTCCCCTATAATCAAGAACAAATACTGAAAATTAAGGGAAATACCTTTGAACTCTATTTATACACAATAATACAAAAATGTTTTATTTTATTTATGACAATAACATTATAGTAATATTTAATAGGTCATTTGTCAAATTCGGTATTATTAGAAATCCTTCAGACGCGGTAAATTAGCACTTTACCACTAGATGGCACATGACAAATACAGTTGTCCTGTGTATCTGTGGAGGATTGGTTCCAGAACCTCCCACGGTTTCCGAAGTGTGCATATGCTCAAGTCTGATATAAAATGGCGTAGTGTCTGCCTATGTCCTACGGATTTCCTCCTGTATAATTTCAAGGATCTCTAGATTACGTATTAGAGCTAAGATAATGTAAATGCCATGTAAATGGTTGTTACGTAGGCATAACTTGCTGATATCCCAGGTTCAGTTCAATATCCACACCATTGCAATAAAGCAAATATCACAGTAAAGCAAGTCACACAAATGTTTTGATTTCCCAGTGCATACAAAAGGTATGTTTATACTGTACCGTAGTCTATTAAATGTGCAATACTACTATGCCTAAAAAAAAGTACATACCGTAACTTAAAAAATACTTTATTGATAAAAATGCTAACAATCATCTGAGCCTTTAGCGAGACATAATCATTTTGCTGGTGGAAGGTGGGTCTTGCCTGATGTTGATTGCTGATGACTGATCAGGGTGGTGGTTACTGAAGGGTGATGTGGCTGTGGCAATATCTTAAAATAAGAACAACGAGGCCAGGTGCAGTGGCTTACATCTAAAATTCCAGCACTTTGGGAGGCCAAGGTGGGCAGATCGTTTGAGTTCAGGTGTTTGAGACCAGCCCGAGCAACGTGGTAAAACCCCATCTCTACAAAAAATACAAAAAGAATTAGCCAGGCGTGGTGGCACGCGCCTGTAGTCCCAGCTACTCAGGAGGCTGAGGTTGGTGGATCTCTTGAGCCTAGGAGGTTGATGTTGCAGTGAGTGGAGATCATGCCACTGCACTCCAGACTGGGTGACAGAGGGAGACCCTTTCTCTGAAAAAAAACAAAAACAAAAACAAAAACAAACAAACAAAAAAAAACAATGAAGTTTGCCACATTTATTGGCTCCTCCTTTCACAAGAGATTTCTTTGTACAATGTGATGTTATTTGATCGCATTTTACCCACAGCAAAACTTTTTTCATGGCTCATGCCTATAATCCAGCACTTCGGGAGGCCAAGGTAGGCGGATCATGAGGTCAGGAGTTCAAGACCAGCCTGGCCAATATGGTGAAACACTGTCTCTACTGAAAATACAAAACTTAGCCGGGTGCAGTGGTGAGTGCCTGTAATCCCAGCTACTCAGGATGCTGAGGCAGGAGAATTGCTTGAATCCGGGAGGCGGAAGTTTCAGTGAGCCAAGATTGCGCCACTGCACTCCAGCCTGGGTGACAGAGCAAGATTCCATCTCGAAAAAAACAAACAAACAAACCAAAAAAACTTCTTTCAAGATTTGAGTCAATCCTCTGAAACCATGCTGCTGCTTTATCAACTAAGTTTATGGAATATTTTAAATCCTTTGTAATAATGTCAATAATATTCACAGCATCTTCTCCAGGAGAAGATACTATCTCAAGAAACCACTTTCTTTACTCATCTGTAAGAAGCAACTCCTCATCCATTCAAGATTTATCATGAGATTGCAACAATTCAGTTACATCTTCAGGCTCTACTTCTAATTCTAGTTCTCTTGTTATTTCCACCACGTCTACAGGTAACTCCTCTACTGATGTATTGAGCCTCTCAAAGTTATTCATGAGGATTGGAATCAAGTTCTTCCAAACCCGTGTTAATATGTTGATATTCTCCTCCCATGAATCACATGGATCACAAATGTTCTCTTTTTTTTTTTTTTTTTTTTTTTGAGACTGAGTCTTGCTCTATCGCCCAGGCTGGAGTGCAGTGGCACAATCTTGGCTCACTGCAACCTCCGCCTCCCAGGTTCAGGCGATTCTTGTGCTTCAGGCTCCCGAGTAGCTGGGATTACAGGCGTGCACCACCACGCCCAGCTAATTTTTGTATTTTTTAATAGAGATGGGGTTTCACCATGTTGGCGGGGCTGGTCTCAAACTCCTGACCTCAATTGATCTGCCCGCCTTGGCCTCCCAAAGTGTTGGGATTACAGGCGTGAGCCACCGTGCCCAGCCACAAATGTTCTTAATAGCATGAATCACAAGTGTTGATAATGGCTTCTAGAATGGTGATTTATTTCCAGAAGGTTTTCAATTGACTTTGCTCAGATTCATCAAAGGATAACTATCTATGGCATCTATAAACTTATGAAATTTATTTCTTAAATTATGAGACTTGAAAGTCAAAGTTACTTCTTGATCCATGGGCTGCAAAATGGATATTGTGTTAGCAGGCATGAACACAACATTCATCTCCTTGGACACCTTCATCAGAGCTCTTGGGTGGATAGGTGCATTGTCATTGAGCAGCAATATTTTGAAAAGAATCTTATTTTTTCTGAGCAGTGTGTTTCAATAGTCGGCTTAAAATATTCAGTAAACTATGCTGTAAATAGACGTGATGTCATCCAGGCTTTGTTTTTCCATTTACAGAGCACAGGCAGAGTGGATGTGGCATAATTCTTCAGAGCCCTAGGGTTATCAGAATGGTAAATGAGCATTGGCTTCAACTTAAAGTCACCAGCTGCATTAATCCCTAACAAGAGATCCAGTCTGTCATTTCAAGATTTGAAGCCAGGTATTGATTTATTCTACCTATTAAAGTCCCAGATGACATCTTCTCTTAATAGAAGGTTGTTACGTCTACACTGAAAATGTGTTCTTCAGTGTAGCTACTTTCATCAATGATCTTAGCTAGATCTTCTGGATAACTTGCTACAGCTTCTCCATCAGCACTTGCTGCTTCACCTTGCACTTTTATGCTATAGAGACTGCTTCTTTCCTTAAACTTGTGAACCAACCTTTGCTACCTTCAAATTTTCCTTCTACAGCTTCCTCACCTCTTAGGAGACGAAGGCTAGGGCCTTCACAGAATTGAAGAGAATTAGGGCCTTGCTCTGGATTAGGATTTGGCTTAAAGGAATATTGTGGCTAGTTTGATCTATCCGGACCACTCAAACTTTGTCTATATCAACAATAAGGCTGTTTCGCTTTCTTATCTTTCGTGTATTGACTGGAGTAGCACTTTTAATTTCCTTCAAGAGTGTTTCCTTTGTATTCACTATTTGGCTGTTTGGTGCCAGAGCCTTTGCTCTCAGCCTGTCTCGGCTTTTCACATGCCCTTTTCACTAATCTTATTCATTTTTAGCTTTAGATTTAGAGTGAGAGATGTGGGAGGACTCTTTCACTCGAACATTTAAAGGTCGTTGTTGGATTATTAATTGGCCTAATTTCATTATTGTTTTGTCTCAGGGAATAGGAAATCTAGAAGAGAGAGAGAGAGATGGGAAAACAGCAGGGTGGTAGAGCAGTCAGAACACACACAACATTGATCAATTAAGTTCCCCCCTTTATTTGTTTTTTTGAGATGGAGTCTCACTCTGTTGCCCAGGCTGGAGTGCAGTGGCACGATCTCAGCTCACTACAACCTCTGCCTTCCAGGTTCAAGCAATTCTCCTGCCTCAGCCTTCTGAGTAGCTGAGATTATAGGCACGCAACACCATGCCCAACTATTTTTTTTTTTTTTTTTTTTTTTTGTATTTTAGTAGAGACGGGATTTCACCATGTTGGCCAGTCTGGTCTCGAACTCCTGACCCCATGATCTGTCCGCCTTGGCCTCCCAAAGTGCTGGGTCCTGACCTCATGATCCGCCTGCCTCAGCCTCCCAAAGTGCTGGGATTACAGGTGTGAGCCACCGCACCTGGCCTAAGTTCCCCTTTTATATGGGCACAGTTTATGGCGCCCCCAAATAATTACAATAGTAACATCGAAGATCACTAATCACAGATCATCATAACAGATATAATGATAATGAAAAAGTTTGAAATATAGCAAGAATTACCAAAATGTGACAGAGACACCAAGTGAGCACATGTTGGAAAAATGGCACCAATAGCCTTGCTAGATGCAGAGTTGCCACAAACATTAAATTTGTAAAAAATGCAAGATTTACAAAGTGCAATAAAGTGATGTGTAACAAAATGAGGTATGTCTATATGGTATTATTTAGGGAATAATGACACAGAAAAAAAGTCTATACATGTCCAGTGCAGATGGATTTTTAAAAAATATTTTCAATTTTGAATTCACAGATGAAGAACTCGTGGATATGGAAGACCAGTTGTGTTCATCCTCCATCTGGTCAGTATGGAAAGTTCTTTCTCTAACTTAGGAATTACAAACCTGATTATCATTAATTTCAAAATGTATATGAATTTTAACTTTAAATATAATTATTGTGCAATAATTCTTTTTCTGAAAGTATTTTCCTCTTTATTTTCTAAATTTACCTTTTAATAATTTTTTTCTTTTTCTTTCTTTTTTCTTTTTCTTTTTTGAGGTGAGGTCTCACTCTGTCGCCCAGGCTGGAGTGCAGTGGCACGATCTCAGCTCACTGCAACCTCTGCCTCTCATGTTCAGGCGATTCTCCCACTTCAGCCTCCTCAATAGCAGGCACGTGCCTGCCACCATGCCCAGCTAATTTTGTTGTTCTTTTGTTTTTGAGACAGAGTCTCGCTCTGTCGCCCAGTCTGGAGTGCAGTGGCTCGATCTTGGCTCACTGCAACCTCCGCCTCCTGGGTGCAAGCAATTCTCCTGTCTCAGCCTCCCAAGTAGCTGGGACTACAGGCGCACACCACCACACCCAGCTAATTTTTGTATTTTTTAGTAGAGATGAGGTGTCACCATATCAGTCAGGCTGGTCTCGAACTCCTGACCTCAGGTCATGCACCTGCCTCAGCCTCCCAAAGTGCTGGAATTATCGGTGTAAGCCACCGTGCCTGGCCCTAATTTTTGTATTTTTAGTAGAGATGGAGTTTTACCATGTTGGCCAGACTGGTCTTGAACTCCTAACCTCAGGTGATCCGTCTGCCTCTGCCTCCCAAAGTGCTGGGATTACAGACATAAGCCACCGCGCCAGGCCATTAATTTTTTTTTTCATTTAAAATACTTCAAGCCTACAGAAAAGCTCAAAAAATAACACAGTGAACACCTGTGTATACTTGACCTAGATTTACCAATGATTAACCTATTGCTACATTGCATTTGGTAGTTGTATCTTTTTAATCTTCATTAATCTAGGATAGTTTCCCTGCCCTCCCACTTTTTAAAAATAGTTTGATGGTTCAGGCCAGCTGTCTTCTAGATTGTTCCACAATCTGGATTTAATGATTGATTCTTCAGATAAAATATTTTTGGCTAGTACTTAAATAGATGACGTGTGCTTCCCATTTCATCACATCAAAAGGCACATTTCAGTTTGTGCTATTATTGGTGACATGAAGTTTAATCAGTTAAGGCAGGGGTATTCCAAATCACTCCATTGAAAATGCACATTTTTCTCTTTTATATTTAATTAGTAGCCTATGGGCAATACTTAAAAGTCCTGTGAATATTCTCTTCCCCGGTGTTTTGCCTAATGGTTTTGGTATGCATTGACGATTCTTGCCTAAACCTGTTATTATACTGATGGTTTCTTTTCTTTTCTTTTCTTTTTTTCTTTTTTTTTTTTCTTCGGAGACGGAGTCCCTCTCTGTCACCCAGGCTGGAGTGTAGTGGCGCGATCTCAGCTCACTGCAACCTCTGCCTCCAGAGTTCAAGCAATTCTCCTGCCTCAGCCTCTCGAGTAGCTGGGATTACAGGCACCTGCCACCATGACTAGCTAATTTTTGTATTTTTAGTAGAGACGAAGTTTCACCATGTTGGCCAGGCTGGTCTCGAACTCCTGACCTCAGGAGATCCACCTGTGTCGGCCTCCCAAAGTGCTGGGATTACAGGCAAAGTGCTGGGATTACAGGCATGAGCCACCGTGCCCGGCCTATACTGAAGGTTTCTAAATGGTCAGTTACAAATTCTGTCATTCCTTACAAATATATCTCCTTTTAGAAAAAAGCAGTTTCTTTTCTTTTCTGTTATTCTTTTAGAACAAAGCAGTTACCCTCTCCATTACCACTTTTTCTTTTTTACTATCACTGTGGACTCACGGATTTTTTTATTCTATGTTTTATAGTCAACGACCATTATTATTCCTTTTGATGATCAAATTGTACCAGAGTTAGCCAGTGAGAGCCCTTTCAAGACATCTCCTGTGTCTTTTTGATGTGTTCTCATCATTCTTCAAGTGCTTTTTGGCTTATAATACAAGATACTTCAAGTTCACTTGTATTTTTCCTGCCCCATGTATAGCGTCAGCTATTTTTCCAGTAAACCTTGGTTTCTTTTAGTAGACAACAGTATTTAGAAACTAATACCTGGGCATTAGATGTACTCATTGCTGCTGGTGTGTCATATTAATTGCTACTGGAGTGTCATTGCCTCCTTTCTGTGGACAGACCTAGTAAGATTTGTCTTAGGAAATCATGAGTTCATACTAAAAATTCCGATTCAAATCCGTCACCAAAGGTTTCTTTAGGATTCTCTTCACTTTCTCAGATTCATATTTGTATCTCCTTTCTCCTATAGTGAGAACTCTGGTTCCAAAAATACCCCCAAAAAATGCATTTACTCGTTTGTTCTAACCATGCAGAATATACACACGTGGTGTGTGTGTGTGTGTGTGTGTGTGTGTGTGTATGTATGTATGTGTCATAGTTTTAGAATTTACTTCTCCAATAACATTACCAATAATACAGATTATATTTAAGTTTTCTGGTCAGAACCAAATGATGACGTTTGTTAAAAATACAGATTTCTGGGCTTGTCCCTAGCCTGCCAAAACAGAATACTTGGGAATAGGTCCCTTTAGTCCTCATTTTAAAAAATTAACACTCCAGGTGATTTAGAAGAACTCTGATGTTTGTGATTCAATGATGTGATGAGGAGCTTGAGCTTTAAGTAAGAAAGGTTGGTATCCTCGTTCTGTTACTTAGTCTTTTCAGGTTCATCACCTGGTACTTAGAAAAGTGCCTGACCTATAATAAATACATAATAAAGGTACTGATCTTTTTTTATTATAAGGTACTGAACTGGATTGCCACATATTTCCTATCTGGCAGAAATTAAATTAGTTTTAAAAGCAGTTTATGTAATGATGTAATGTTGAAAAGTTGTTCTGAAGTGAATACATTTGTGAAAATAGAAGTAAAAATTTTCTAAAAGCTACACTGTAAAGATAAGTGTGCATGATCAGTTGAGATGTACGAATATATGTTTGTATATTTTAACATTATATATGTGTTTCTTTACTTCTTCCACCCATCGGGAGTCCAGTATTTTGGGGCAGATTATGTAACAATTCTAATGATAACGTTACCCAAAACTGATGAAAAAAAGAATAACTTCGACAAAATACTTCTATTTTGCAGCCTGTGCATATTATTACCTTATGAACTTATAAAGGGAGGATGGACTATTTTTTATTCACTTTTATAATCCCTGTCCCCACCACCATATTTTGACTGTGGTATTACAGGAATACCTCATTTTGTTGCACGACACGTATTTGTGGAGTGAATGAATCGTTCTTTCTCTCTTTTTTATTGTAGGAAAAATATGTAACAAAAAATTTCCACTTGATTTTAACTGTACAGTTTGGTAGCATTGAGCACATTCATATTAGAACAGGGTTCTACCGACAGCATTGTACCAAGTGAGGGAACCAAAAAATTTTCTGCTTTTCATTGTGGAATGTCATTTGAATCAGAAATCTTCTGGGGACTTTGTTATTTGAATTTCTAACTTTCCTTATTACTTGCCTGGGAGAAAACACATATTGAACAACAAAATGGTAATGTTCATCCTCAGAGACTAGACCTTGTCAATGTTCTCTGATGCCTAGTAGGACCACTGCAGGAAAAAAAAAAAAGTTAATGAGACTGTTGCTAGGAGACGGGAGAGCCAAAAGCTCATAGTCTTGTAGGGGTTCCTCTGGAAATCAAGGCAACTTAAGTGTGTTTTGGATTAGAGGTTTAGCTATTAAAATCTGCCCTTTGAAGAGCATGCACATTTTAGCATATAATGTTTAGTATGATTTCATGTTTTTGGAGAATTTTTGAGGATAATCTCAAGGCATTTCATTTCTTTCCATAGGGATAATCCCTTTTTTTCAGAGTACATCTCATTTCCAAGTGGCTGTTGCGCTGCTGTTTGCCCCCACTCCTTCAGTGCGACAGACAGCCTCAGAGCTGGTGGGGAGACAGCATGCCACTGGTAAGTAGCTGAGAAATATTTTGTAAAATAGATATCCAGACTAAGATTTTTAAAGCAAGCGACATGTTTTGAGGGAATAGAATAATGCAAAATTGTGTAGGAATCTCTGATTCTAATCAGCAGCATTGGGAAATGGATTAATTAAATTCTAAATATTCCCTGGTCATTTTTCTAGTTTAAAGCTTGTTTCTTAAATGATGGAGTTGCTAGGAGGCAATATAGAAACTTTCCCCTTGTGATTCTTGTAAAATATTTCCTAAAATAAGATTTAATGAAGATGTTACTAAATTGGAGAATTGCTTTCAGAATTGTACCTCAGCTTTACGATATTTGTATTTGACGTGATGAAATGGGTTATGATTCAAGATGTTCTCAAACCTGGTTTATTTTCTCAGTGCTGGGAGAGCATAAGAAAAATATTACTTTGCAATGCAGAAAAGGATACGATGCCTCATTTTTTTAAATTAAGAAAGTCGTGTGACGGGATGTCTGTACTAGAGAGAAAATGAGGAAGAGGGCAGTTTGTAATAATGTTCAGATTGATTGC
This sequence comes from Homo sapiens, assembly GCF_000001405.40. Lineage (NCBI taxonomy): Eukaryota > Metazoa > Chordata > Mammalia > Primates > Hominidae > Homo > Homo sapiens. The sequence continues at coordinate 140,710,353 of NC_000023.11, forward strand.
TTCATGTGAGATATGAAAGTGTATTCAATGAGAAACATTAAAATTTGACTTTAGGATGAAAAAATCATGAAAAAGTAATAATGAATATTATGATCGTGCTTTCATTGGAAAAAATTAATTTGTATTTTTGGACAGCGATTTATACAGTAAAGACAAGAGTGTTCTCGGTGCTTCTTTTTTTGAAAAGGGATGTGAGATGGATAGCAGAGATTCTTATCAACGAAGCTTTAATGTTTGTTTCTGAAACATTCCTGAAAACAGAGCTTTTGTAGCTCTGTTTCTGCAAGAAAAACGAAAAAAAAAAGTGAAGTGGTGGTTTATTCCTTTGAAATTCAAACTGGCCCTTGAACGTGAGGAAAAGAAAAATGATAGATAAATAGATTTCGTTTTTGAGTTAGATGACAAAGCAGCAGCAATCAAGGAGGAAAAATAAGAATGAAAAAGCTTAAAAGAAAGTCCTCAAGATGGGCCATTTTCCCAAGTTGAACATGTCTGCTGGTAGCATGTTTTGCAGAGGGAAAGGGAGAGAACATACTGGAGGCAAAGGGAGGGGGTGTTGAACAGAGCACTGCGGCAAAGAGAGTGACTGACGCATCCAGGGACATGTGACCATTCTCTGGTGTAGCGAAGAAAATTTGCCAGGACTCCATCTTGTATAAGACATTCTATACATACTGACATGCAAATAATGCTATAATCTTTCTGTAGTACATAATGAGCTCGTTTTGCGTGATCCTCCACTGGTGTATATTGGTATTTTGTCTTTGCTTCTACGCCTTCCTCTCTGTGCTTCCAGTGCTTTTATACACTTACTAAAATATTAAAAATGATGTTTTCCCCTTTATTATAAAAATATCATAGTCATTGTAGTAAATTTTGAATAATGTAAAGATGATTATAAAAATTACCCATAATCCCGTAACTTAGAGATAATTACTATTAATCTTATTACTGTCAGTCTCTTTTCTCTGAATATATGCAAATAAATGCATAGAAATATATATTTTATACAAAATGAAGATCACATGTACATACAATTTTTAGCCTGTTTGATCCATTAAATATATATTGGGAGCAATTCCCCATATTTTAAAATATTCCACAAGAATGTGGTGTTTTGTGGATGTATAATTTTCTATCATATAGATGTCCCACTAAATGTCCAATTATTGAATGTTTATATGTGCATTATTTTTGCTGTTATAAATAACTGAAGGAATATCTTTCCATATAAATATCTGTGTGCTTTTCTGGTTTTTTCTCCCTAGGAAAAATTCGTAGACATGGAATTCCTGGATCAAATGGTATGAAACAATTTAAGGTTTCTTCCCCCCAACACCTATCACCTAATTTATTTATTATATGTGGTATAAACATTATTTTCCAGCCATTGTTTTCCTATTAATTTTTACCATTTATGGTGGTGATTTTTTGATATTTTACAGTTTTACATGTTAGATTTCCATATCTGACCATTTTAAGTGTTGTGATTTTTTTCTTTCCTTTGATTAGTGTATTCACCTGTATTTTTTTCTAGTTATTTAATTGCTTCATTTTTTACAATTAACTCCTTAATCCACCTAGAATTCATTTTGATATATGGTATACAGTAGGATTTAATTTTTTTTCCCCCTAATAGGTCACCGATTGTTTCAGCATCACTTATTGAATAATCCAACGCAACAACTGTTCTTCCATTAGATAGGGTGTAGCTTTCCACAGGTCGGCCATTTTCTCTTTACCCAAGATGGTTACATTTTGCAATGGTACTCCTACCTTCCTGCAGCTTCTGACAGCATACTAGAGCACCATGTTTGTGCTTGTGCGTTTCAAAAATCCTAGGCACATGCAGATTAGGGCAGTATTTTAAACAGGATTTTTTTTTTCATTTTAAATATGTTAAGTTTGTCACATTCTTGTTGCAAATTAAAATTAAGGAATCCAAATATATGAAACCACGGTTTCAGGTGTGCTATTCCTCTTAGGCGCACCTGATATCCCAATTGTGTGTTAAAAAAAAAAATACCCCCGGGGTTAAAGTTCCTCCTTCAACCTCTTTTTTTTTTTTTTTTTTACTCTTCAGATACTCAAAGAGTTAAAGTTGGCTCGACTCAGTTCTTGGAATTTTCTAGAATGATATAAGAGGGAAATACAAGAAATGTATGAGGAGTAGAAGTAAATAATGTTTGCCAGCCTGTTGCTGGCCGTAGTCTCATGTAGGGATTTAAAGGAGCTAGGGTGAGTCCTAACCCATGCCACCACTGCCACTACCTCTTCTAGATAGGGACACACCCCAGTGAGCCACCTCTTTTCACTGCAGGTGTAAGGCTCAAGACATAAGGCAAGGAGTTTTTTAGTAGGAGATGGGTTAAATATTGCCCAGAGAAATCTGACAATTAAAATCACTTGCTACCTATTACCAACCCTCTCCCGGGCCCCCAACGAAGCTTTCTCTCTCTATTGACTTCTGCACCGGGCCTCTTAGCTTTACTGATTCTGGGGGGGAAAAAAAAGGGCGGGGGGAGGATGGCGCGTGAGTGGGAGGCTGCCTTGCCTGCGGTTATTGCAAGGGGCTCCTTTGGCTCACAGCCTCAGTCCCAGTAGTTTCCTGACTTGCCGCATTAGACTGTGTTTTGTTTATGAGGAGGCTGGTTTCCCTGGCAATGGCAGCTCGCCAGTGCATGCGCATTTGCTCCACTGCAGTAGCAGAATGCGGCTGTGGGGCCAGGGGAGGGGTCCTGAGGGCCGCAGTGGCTGGAGTTATTTGGCAGACATGACGTCAGTTTTTCTGAGCTAAACTGCCATCGTTACTGTATATGGAGCATTTTTTTTTTTTTAAATAAAGCTTGGAAGGCTTTTAGCCACTCCTTTTCTTTCCTCCCAAATTAACTGCTCTCTATATGCTCACCAGTGACCACGAAGGCTTTCTAAGGTTTGAGGCCACCGATGCCCTCAGGGCCCCGAGGGGAATCATAATAGTATGAGAACAGGAAACAGACTGCCTGGTTTCAGACCTCGGCTGCTTGCTAGTTGCATGACTGTGGGACGGGTTACTTAAATCTCTTCGTTTCCTCAGATGTAAAATGGGGATGCTAACAGCATGTTTAGAACAGTGTCTGGCACATAGTAACCATTATGTAAGTGTTGTCTATTATTATTTGTAGATACTAAGGGGGACTTGCCTGGAAGCAGACTTGTGTCCGCAGTATACAAACTCACCCTTTAATGCACACACTGACCAGATAACACAAACACATTTACCCCCACAGCACCTAGACTCTTCTCACAGTACACACACTTGCCTTCCAGTACACAGACATATCCAAAGGCACACCGACAAGCACCACAGCAAAAAGATGTTCCCCAGAACACATGGACACCCCAATCCCCGTATCATTAGACTCTCCCAGAGGCACGTATGTACTGCTTAATGCAGAGACTCACCTGAGGCACACTGATGCACCCCGCATGACACAGACTTGCCCCCCCATAAGGACTCTACTATGACACACAGACAATCCCAACATCACACACTGTTCCCACATCACACGAACCCATTTTAGGAAACACACAGCATACAGACTTACCCCATAGAACACGGCTTCCCCGACAAGCACACATACTCTCAAGGCCAGTAGACTCACCCCACAGCACACAGACTTTCTCTAGAGTGTACAGCTTCTTCCCACAGCAAACAGACTCTCCCCAGGGCACACAGACACCCCTGACATCACATACTCTCACCACAGACCATAGACTCGTCCTAGAGCACAGGGACTCTTGCCAATGAAACAGACTTTCCCGAGAATAGACTCATGAGACAGCTTGAAGACCCGCATCATGACACAAAGACTCTCCCACAACAGACAGACTCACCCCATTGTGTACAGACAAGCACCATAGGCCACAGACCATCACCTCAGGACACAGACTTGCCCAGCACCACACAGACACTCTGCAGAGCACGTAGAGTCACCCCGCAAAGCACAGACTAAACCCATACTACAGAGACTCTCCCTATAGCTTTCAGACAAGTTTACCCCACCACAGAGACATGCAACGGTACATCTTACAACATATATCACTCCTTGATGCACACAATTGTGCCACAGCACACAAACTTGTCCTACAGTGCACAAATTCATGTCACAAAAGACACACTCACCACACAATACAAATACTTGCTCCAGCCGGACGCGGTGGCTCACGCCTGTTATCCCAGCACTTTGGGAGGCCTAGGCAGGTGGATCACCTGACGTTGGGAGTTCGAGACCAGTCTCACCAACATGGAGAAACCCCGTCTCCACTAAAAATACAAAATTAGCCGGGCATGGTGGTGCATGCCTGTAATCTCAGCTGCTCCGGAGGCTGAGGCAGGAGAATCGCTTGAACCCAAGAGGCGGAGGTTGCAGTGAGCCAAGATTGTGCCACTGCACTCCAGCCTGGGCAACAAGGGCAAAACTTTGCCTCAAAAAAAATAAAAAAATAAAAAAAAAAACAACCCAGCAACAAAAACAAACAAAAAAAAACAATTACTTGCTCCAGAGTTCACTCATTTGCCCTAAAATATCTAGACCTTACCCCAGAGTTACCACACAATGCATGCTGTGTCCCTGCATCACCAAAATACAACTCAAACTCCTCAGACACACTCTGATAAATAGACATACCTGACAATGTACAGCTTGGCATCATAGCAGGAAAAACTGGCTCTACAACAGATTTATTCTACAACAGACACACTCAGGCTGTAGAGACACCTAATCTTTCTTTAAGGTATTCAGACCCACCCTTTTGGGCACAGTCACAGATGTGATCCAGGATACCCTCACCCATCCCACAATACTGATGCAACCCACAGCGTACAAACACATCCCACAGCATAACACTCTAAGCCCACAGTGCTCAGAAATGTCAGGCACACATTTGCCATACAGATTTACTTCACACACAAAAAACACAGCCAGGTGGGTGGCTCATGCCTGTAATCCCAGCACTTTGGGAGTCCGAGGCGGGCGGATCACAAGGTCAGGGGTTCAGGACCAGCCTGTCCAACATGGTGAAACCCCGTCTCTACTAAAAATACAAAAAAATTAGCCGGGCATGGTGGCACATGCTTGTAGTCCCAGCTACTCGGGAGGCTGAGGCAGGAGAATCACTTGAACCCAGGAGGTGGAGGTTGCAGTGAGCCGAGATCATGCCATTGCACTCCACCTTGGGCAACAGAGTGAGACTTCGTCTAAAAAAAAAAGAAAGAAAGAAAGAAACAAACAAGAAAACAACAACAAAAAACACTTCTTATAGTGCCTATACAATGCAAACATGTATCCCAAAATATATGAAACTATTTGCTATGTCACTCTTAGGTTTACCCCAAAGCACATAGACCGTTTTCACTGCTCAAGCTGCTGCCTACAAAACAGGAGATGCCAAGCCATGCACAGAAATTCACCAAAATGCACAGATTCACCTATCAATATACATACTTGCCTCACAACTCACACAAACACCACCGAGCACTGAGACTCACCCTAAATGTACAGACAAGCCCTTCAGGGCACAGACTTACTCTGTAACATACTAAATCACATCCCCCATACTTAGATGTGCCTTATGATTCACAGTGATGCGTGTAAACACATAGATTGCTTCCACAATGCACAGAATTGCATCATAACACAGACTTACTCTACAGTGCAAAACTGACAGTGCACATAAACATTTCCCAGTCGGCTAGACACACAACACACATATTACTCCTACAATGTAAAGATTTCCATCACGGTGGACAGACGTGCTTTTCCATGCTGTTGAGCTACAACTCTGGCCTACAACAACAGAAATACAGCTTGTGTAATAGTTACCAGCAAGGCCTCTAGACCCATACTAACTGGGTTTGAATCAAGGTCCCGTCCCTTGCTGATTGTATCACCTTGGGTAAGTATATTTCTTTGTTCTTTAGTTTGTGCAACTGTAAAACAAAGATAAGAGTAGTGCCTACTTCAAAGAGTTGTTGTGAGTAATAAATACGTTAAGATTTGTTAAGTGCTTAGTACAGTGCCTGGTACATAGTGACTATTAGAATTGTTAATGTATATTACAACCATCACTATCATTACTACCAAAACAAAAAAGGCCTACCCCAGATATCTAGAATCATCTGACAACAAGAAGGCTCACCATATAATATATAGATTAGCCCTAGAACGTCTAGAAACACTCGACAGCACACAGACACCCCGCCATAGTACCCACATACCCTACAGACCAGAACCCTAACCAGATATCACTCACAACACACAGAATTGCATCACTAGTAACAAATTTGTGCACAGGCTTGCTCTATAACACATCCCACAATACCCAGACTGGAAGCCAGGCTGTGTGTTGTACCCAACCTCACCCCACAAGGCACAGGCCCACAACATACACACACACACACACACACACACACACACACACAGACACACACACATCCTAACCTCATAGATATGCCCTACATCATACAAACACACCCTATCACACATATTTTTGTTTCACAACATGTGGATACCCCTGCTCTTCACAAACATGTTCCTAAATACATGCTCCTAAAATTGGCAGCATCACATGATAACACAGAGCCCCCATTCCACAACATTTTTTTTTTTGAGACGGTGTCTCACTCTGTTGCCCAGGCTGGAGTGCAGTGGCGCAATCTCGGCTCACTGCAGCCTCCGCCTCCCAGGTTCAAGCAATTCTCCTGCCTCAGCCTCCCGAGTAGCTGGGAATACAGGCGCGTCCATGCCTGGCTAATTTTTTTGTATTTTTAGTAGAGACAGGGTTTCATCATGTTGGCCAGGATGGTCTTGATCTCCTGACCCCGTGATCCACCTGCCTCAGGCTCCCAAAGTGCTGGGATAACAGGCGTGAGCGACCGCCCCTGGCCACAACGCATTTTACACTTACCTCATGCTTGTCCCATAAAGAACTACATGCCCCACATCGCCTAAGTTGCCCATAAATCTGACTTACCGAACACTGCCACACGTATGACCAGGCCCCATACCACACAGATTTGCTCTGTAATACCTAGATAAGTCCTAACATGCAGAGATCACCCCTAAACACAAAACCATCCCAACTGCACAGCGTCATATCACAACAGACACACACACTCATCCCATAACATGCAGACTTGCACGAAAACACCCAGACTCCCACAAAGCAAACCCACGCCCACAATGCTAATACCACACAACGCCCAGACTGGCACAAGACAAAGACTAGCCTCAACTCATCTAGTCTCAACCCACATGATATAAAACTTGCTCTACAATGGTTAAAAGCTTATATTCAGGTCTCAGACTGTCTGAGTTCCAATCCCACATGCATCACTTACTAGTTGTGTGACCTCGGAAAGGTTTCTTGAACTCTCTGTGCCCCAGTTTTCTCAGCTACTTGTTAGGAATAATAATGTAATAGGGGTACTTACCTCTTATAGCTGTTAAGAGAAATAAATGGGCTGGGCGTGGTGGGTCACACCTGTAATTCCAGCACTTTGGGAGGCCGAGACGGGTGGATTAGCTGAGGTCGGGAGTTCGAGACCAGCCTGACCAACATGGAGAAACCCCATCTTTACTAAAAATACAAAATTAGCCGGGTGTGGTGGCACACACCTGTAATCCCAGCTACTTGGGAGGCCGAGGCAGGAGAATCGCTTGAACCTGGGAGGCAGAGGTTGCGGTGAGCCAAGATCATGCCATTGCACTTCAGCCTGGGCAACAAGAGCGAAACTCCGTCTCAAAGAAAAAAAAAGAGGAATAAATGAGTTAATGCCTATAAAGTGTTTAGAGCAATGCTTGGTAAAGAGTCAGCGTTATTGGTGTTACCTGATCAGGTTGTCATTGTTGTCATTACTCCACACGAAATTGGACCATAAAGGTAAGACTCAATCTAAAACAACTCGAATCAACCCACAATGCATAGAATATCCCTCATAAAGCACAGAATTGCATCATAGTGAATACTCTCACCGCTCTTTTCCTATAACACCCATCCCATATTGACTGCACCTATTCTTTTTTTTTTTTTTTTTGAGATGGAGTCTCGCTCTTGTTGCCCAGGTTGGAGTGCAGTGGCGTGATCTCGGCTTATTGCAACCTCCGCATCCTGGGTTCAAGCAATTCTCCTGCCTCAGCCTCCCGACTAGCTGGGATTACAGGCCCGCCACCACAAGCGGCTAATTTTTGTACTTTTAGTAGAGATGGGGTTTCGCCATGCTGGCCAGGCTGTTCTCGAACTCCTGACCTCAGGTGATCCACCCATCTCTGTCTCCCAAAGTGCTGGGATTACAGGCATGAGCCACCGCGCCCAGCCTGACTGTACCTATTCCGTAACGCCTAGAAGCATCTATCATATAGAGTTTCTGCATAACACCTAGACTTATCACACAACAGCTAGACACGCTACAATGCACAACATACCCAACAAACAGAAACTCATTCATGAAAAGACTCATCTCAGTTTAAGCAAATGCACTCTATCATACACATACGTGCTCTACAATACACATACTCACCCCAGAACACCACATTGGCTCCACAACACAAGGAACTCACTTCAAAATCTCTAGAAACAATCCACAAGCCATAGACTTCTCCAATATGCAGAACAGCATCACACCACATAAACTTGACTACAATTAACAGACAAGAAACCAGGACATGTGCCATAACACATACATTATCCCCGTGACATAAATACTGGTCCAGCAAAATACTGTCTTCCCTATACAACACTAAGATGTGCTTCATAAAATACAAACTTGTTTGACAACACAAATTAAAATATTTCAGAATGCACATATATACTCCATAACACACAGACTTGCTCTACAACACACCGACACACCCCATATCACCCAGATGTGACCCAAAACACACAGCAATACCCGATAAACAGTCACTCCTTTTTTTTTTCTTTGAGATGGAGTCTTACTCTGTTGCCCGGGCTGGAGTGCGGTGGCATGATCTCAGATCACTGCGACCTCTGCCTCCCAGGTTCTAGCGATTCTTCTGCTGCAGCATCCCCAGTAGCTGGGACTACAGGTGTGCACCACCACGCCCAGCTAATTTTTGTATTTTTAGTAGAGACTAGGTTTCATTTTGGCCAGGCTGGTCTCGAACTCCTGACCTCAGCTGATCCACCTGCCTCGGCCTCCCAAAGTGCTGGAATTATAGGCGTGAGCCACCACGCCTGGCCTCAGTCTCTCCTTTTAACACACAGACTGGCCACACAAAATAGCTTCTTCCTGCCACGACTTCCCTCACAGCAGCACATCCCACAAAGGATGGTCCACATACAGAGAAACACAATGTGCAGATATGTTCTGCAACACACAGCCTTCCTGGACAAGACCTAGACTCGCCCGGAAACACCCAGATCCATTTTACATTTTAAAGACTCACATCCCAGGCCAGGTGTGGTGGCTCACGCCTGTAATCCCCGCACTTTGGGAGGCCGAGGTAGGCGGATCACAAGGTTAGGAGTTTGAGACCAGCCTGGCCAACATGGTGAAACCCTGACTCTACTAAAAATACAAAAATTAGCCGGGCATGGTGGCGGGCACCTGTAATCCCAGTACTCAGGAGGTTGAGGCAGGAGAATCGCTTGAACCTGGGAGGCGGAGGTTGCGGTGAGCCAAGACCGCACCATTGCCCTCCAGCCTGGGCGACAGAGCAAGACTCCGTCTCAAAAAAAAAAAAAAAAACTCATATCCCAGATTAGTCTGCCAACCCATGGACATGCTCCACAATGCATGGATAGAACCACAATGCATGGACATGCCTTACAACACATGGAACTACACAGGCTCTACCTTTAACACACAAACTGTCTCCATAAAACACTTCCTTGTCTCTTCAAAACTTAGTTTAAAATCAGAAGAAATGCTCAAAAATACACATAGACTCAACAAGGCCTGGACATACCCCACTTCAACTAGCCTTGTCTTGTAACACTGAGACTCATCTGAAACATAGAGATACATTATGCCACACCTAGAATGACCCCCCAGAAACCAGACTAGCTCCAGAACACCCAAATAGGAGCCACAGTATATGGACATAACCCTACATATACAAATCCTTCCTACAACATAACGACTAATCCCACAAAACACTTTCTTGCTCCATAACACCAACACTTACCTCCCTGTGCATAGAATCGCTGGACAATACAGACACTTCTTACAATTACAGATATGATTCACAATACTAAGACTTGCTGTAACACATGCCAACTTCTCCAAGCCACACAGAATCACAACATTGTATGTATTATCGGACATGTCCGTATATTTTGGGGACAACTGAACTTATCCCATGACACCCAGGCCTTCCCCAAAATACATGGACGTGTCCCATCATACATATAATTTCCAGACAACAAAGACTGGTCCTGAAAAATAGGTTTTTTATTTCATAACACCAACGCTTAGCTGAGAGCACGCAGAAGTGCTGAGCAAAACATGCGTAAAACCCCACGATGCACAGACATGCCCTACAACACCCAAAGTCACTTCATAACACACAATCTCACTGCAACACACCAACCCAGGGACTTACCCTGAGACACTCAGACTAACACATCACATCCAGATCTACCCCCACCTAACCCTAATTGCCCCATGTCACCAGACTTACGTTGCAATAGCCAGACTTGACCTGCAATAGTCTGATTTGTCCCCTAACAACTAGACAAGACTATCCACACAATACATACAAAGACCCCCAAAATGTTTGCTTGTCTCCACAACACTGACAGTTTCTTAAGAACACACACAGATGCTGGAAAATACACAACCAAGTCCTGCAGCACTAAGATATGTGCCTGTAATACCTAGATTTGCCACACAACACCCAGAATGGCCCTGCAAAACTCCAGAATGCACCACAACAAGAATACATGCCTTGTGACACCAGAGCACGCCTTACAGCAGTCCCCAACCTGTTTGGCACCAGGGACCACTTTTGTGGAAGACAGTTTTTCCACGGACTGGGGGTGAGGTGGGAGGGGTGGTTTTGGGATGAAACTGTTCTGCCTCAGATCATCAGGCATTAGATTCTCATAAGGAGTGCACAACCCTGATCCCTCTCATGCACGGTTCACAATAGGGTTCACACTCTTGTGAGAATCTAATGCTGTAGCTGATCTGACAGGAGGCAGAGCTCAGGTGGTAATGCTTGCTCACTCACTGCTCGCCTCCTGCTGTGTGGCCTGGTTCCTAGCAGGCCATGGAGTGGTACTGGTCCGTGGCCCAGGGGTTAGGGACCCCTGCCTTACACCACATGGCGTGCTCCATAATACACAAACCATCCTAATAACATAGACTGACTCTATACTTACTTGCCTCAATAACATTAAGACACACCTTAGACCACATAAAAATGTTAGATAACATACAGAAAAAAACACATAAATAACAGACATGCCCTATAACACTTACACTCGCCTCATAGCACTCAGGTTCTCCTGTGACAGCTGGATTTACCCCCAAAATACCTAGACCTACCCCAAAGCACCCAGACATGCCCCACATAACCAGAAACATCACATATCACTCAAACACCTTCCAACAATCAGACTTGCCTGGCAACCCAGACTGTCCTACAATACACAGTAATGGCCCACAGCCAAGAGACTTCTCACAACTTACAGACTGGCCACAAAAAGCATCTTTTTGCTTTCACAACATCAAGACTTTCCACACAGCACATAGAAACAATGGACAAAGTTCAGAAAACCCCAGAGTGTAGTGGTATGCCTCATAACATCCAGAGTCACCCCATAACACAGGACCTAGACTGGCCCGATAAGATAGAATTAATACCCGCAATAAACAAACATGCCCTCTAATATATGAATTCATCACACAACACGCACACTGTCCCCACAAACACCTTTTTGGTGTCAAGAAGAAAAAGACTAGCTTCACTGAACAGAGAAATGCTGGACAGTGCACCTGCAGTTAAAAAAAAAAAAAAACAACCTCACAGACACAGCATTCATCACCCGAATCTGTTACAAAGTAACAGGCATCATCTTCTGACACACATATTTACCCCCCAGCACCAGAGTAGCTCCATAAAATACCTTCTTGCTTTTACAGTGCGAAGACTCGCCTCATAGCACAAGTCTGACATGCTGGAGAACACTCAGACAAAATCCTTAACATACATAAATATCACCCGGATTCCCTCCACAACATGAAATCTAACCCCATGAAACCCATGATAGTCCACAAAACCAGACACGCCTTATATCACCCAGTCTAGCTTCACAACAGCCAGGCATAATGCAAACTCGCCCCCGCAACTCATGAAAATACTCCACACCCAACAAACCTTCCCCCAACACAGAAACTTGCCGGGCAAAACAAATGCAATGGCTCATGCCTGTAATCCCATCACTTTGGGAGGCTGAGGCGGGCGGATCACCTGAGGTGGGGAATTTGAAACCAGCCTGACCAACATGGAGAAACCCCGTCTCTACTAAAAATACAAAATTAGTCGAGCGTGGTGGCACACGCCTGTAATCCCAGCTACTCGGGAGGCTGAGGCAGGAGAATCGCTTGAACCCGGGAGGCAGAGGTTGCAGTGTTGTGCCATTACACTCCAGCCTGGGCAACAGAGGGAAACTCCATCTCAAAAAAAAAAAAAGAAAAGAAAAGAAAAAAACTTCATGACACTCTCACACCAAGACTTGCTTCAGAGCACACACAAAAGATATAAAAGGATTGAAAACATACAGAACAACTTTGCAATGTGCAGATATACAGCAGTACTCACCTCAAATTACAGAAAGTCATACAACAAGATCCCTGCTGGTTCCATGATACACACATTCCATACACAGACACAGACACATTCCATACACACACACACATTCCATACACGTGCACACACACATTCCATACACACAGACACACATTCCATACACACAGACACATATTCGATACATTCCACACACACACACATTCCATACACACACATTCCATACACACACATTCCATACACACACATTCCATACACACACATTCCATACATACACACACATTCCACACACACACATTCCATACACATACACACACATTCCATACACGCACACACACATTCCATACACACAAACATTCCATACACACACACACATTCCATACACATACACAGACACACATTCCATACACACACACACATTCCATACACAGACACACATTCCATAAACACACACACATTCCATACACACACACATTCCATACACACACACATTCCATATACACACATTCCATACACACACATAGACACACATTCCATATACACACACGCCATACACACATTCCAAACACACACACACATTCCATACACACACATATTCCATACACACACATTCCATACACACATACATACACACACACATACACAGACACACATTCCATGCACACACACACATTCCATACACACACACATTCCATACACACACCTTCCATAGCAACAGACACACGCTCCATACACACACATTGCATACACATACACACACATTCCATACACACACATTCCATACACATGCACAGTTACCCATTCCATACACACACACATTCCATACACAGACACACACCATACACACACACAGACACACATTCCATACACACACACATTCTGTATGCACACACACACATTCCATACCCACACACACACATTCGATACGCACATATATTCCATATACACACACACATTCCATACACAGACACATTCCATACACACACAGACACATTCCATACACATACACAGACACATTCTGTACACACAGACACACATTCCATACACAGACACATTCCATACACACACAGACACATTCCATACACATACACAGACACATTCTGTACACACAGACACACATTCCATACACACACACATTCAGACACATTCCATACTCACACACACACTTTCCATACACATACACAGACATGCATTCCATACACACACACACAGTCCATGCACACACACAAACACATTCCATACACATACACACATTCCACACACATACACACACAGACATTCCATACACACACAGAGGCATATTCCATACATACACACACACACATTCCATACACACACACATTCCATACACACACATTCCACACACACATTCCATACACACACACACTTCCATACACAGAGACACATTCCATACACGCACAGACACACATTCTGTACACACACACACAAACACATATTCCGTGTACACACACTTCCATACACACAGAGACACGTTCCATGCCCACACATTCCATACACACACAGACACATCCAGTACACACACACACAGACACATTCCATATACACACACACATTCCCTACATACACACACAGACACATTCCATACACACACCCATACTCATTCCATACACACAGAGACACATTCCATACACACACGCACACATTCCACACGCACACACATTCCATATACACACACAGACACATTCCATACACACACATTCCATACACACACACACACATTCCATATACACATACACATTCCGTATACACACACAGACTCATTCCATACACACACAGAGACACATTCCATTACACACACTCAGACACATTCCACACACACACATTCATACACACACACATTCCATACACACACACAGAATCATTCCATACACACACAGACACATTCCATACACACAGACACACATTTGATACACACACACATTCCATATACACACACATTCCATACACACACATTGCATACCAACACACACACATTCCATACACATACACAGACACACATTCCATACACACACAAACACATTCCGTACACATACTCAGACACACATTCCATACACACACACACATTCCGTACACACACACAGTCACACATTCCATACACACACACATTCCATACGCACAAACACATTCCATACACACACACATATTCCATAAACACAAACACATTCCATACACACACACAGACTAATTCCATACACAGAGACACATTCCATACACTTACGCAGACACATTCCACACACACACACATTCCATGCACACACATAGACTCATTCCGTACACACACATAGACACATTCCATACACACACAGACACATTCCATATGCATACGCAGGTATGTCCCCAAAGAAATAGATTGTCTCCATCATATGCACATTAACCCAACGAAATACTTTTGGAGCTCTGTAACACCCAAACTTGACTCACAACACACATGAACACTGAACCACACAAATGAAACCTACACTACCCAGACATACCCATTGTTTGAAGACTTGCTGCAAAATACCCAGCCTTACGCCATGATATACAGACTTGGCCCATTGACCTATACCTACCTTGAATCACAGGGACTGATAGAGCAACACTCAGATGTGGCCCACAACCACAGATATGCCCTACCAAACAACTTTTTGTCTTCATAACATGAAGGCTTACCTCACAGAACACAGAAAGGATGAACAACACAGACAAATCAGACAACGCAGAAACACATCCCATGACACCCAGACTTGCTGCACAGCATTCAGACTCACACTATGACACTCATACTCACTCAATAACACTGATTGCTTCACAACATACGCACATAGCCCAAAACACACAAACATCATCCACAACTAACAGACATGTCCTACAATACAGGGGCATGCCACACAATTCACAAACTTTTTCTACACTGCCAACACTTGTCTCACATAACACACACAAATAAAAAAAAACCACAAAGACATGCTCCATAGCACCCAGACTCGCTTCACTACTTTCAGACTTACCTTATGGCACCCACACGTACCTTATATCATACACATTTACCCTGCAACACTCAGCCTGGCCACAGAATATATTTACATGTCCATGCCCCACAACGCACGCACATGCCTTCCAACACATGGACACACCCAAAATACACAAACGTTTTACACGACATACACTGACCCCAAAGAATGGCATCATAATGCACAATTATAACCAACTCAGATCTACCCTACAGAACAAAGACTCACCTCCCATACTTATCACACAATTCCTAAATTTACACCAAACACTCACACTCATCCCAAAATGCATAAACCCACCCCAGAACACATGCAGCACAACACGTAGATTTGCCCTCACTTAGAATAAATTCACAGCTCACACTTGTCACCCAATGGCCAGACACACCTTACAATGTACAGACAACTCTTTCACAACGTAGACATTGCCTAAGCAATGCACAGAATTCCATAACATCACGAGCTCTTCCTACAATGGCGACTTACCTCACAGCACCCCAGATTGCATCAGAGCAGACACTCCACCCAAGATATACGGCTTCTTCCACACCTCCTGGATACACCTCACAATACAGAAACATGCCTTGTAAGATATAGATTTCTCAGAACCATGAAGTATTGCATAAGAACTTATAAGCATTTCTCAAAACATATACTCCATAATTAATGGATACACAACATCTGCTCACATTCTCAAACACAGACTTGCCTTCCTCCCCATCACCCGCTGCCAGCATAGTCTTGTGCAGCAGGTCTAAGATGTACTGCAGAAAACAGACTTGCCCCACTCTGTATGGAGTTCTACCCAACTTTCAAATTCATTCTACAATGCACGGACCTTCCCTCTTACCTATAGCATTATCCCACAATGCAGAGACTTACCCACAAAGCAAATGATTACCTCAGAATGCACAGAGCCACCAGACCTGCACCCAAACACACAGACATGTACCACAACACCAAGAAACACTCCACAACATGCATATGAGCCCACATTGGTGTCTCCATAACTTCCACACTAACCACTCAACACCTAGACCAACTTACTATGTCATACATGCTCCATGACATAAGACTCCCAGCACAGCCCATGGAACCCCGTCACAATGAACAATTATTATTTTTTTAAGATGGATTTTCGCTCTTGTTGCCCAGGCCGGAGCGCAGTGGCGTGATCTCGGCTCACTGCAACCTCCGCCTCCTGGGTTCAAGCGATTTTCCTGTCTCAGCCTCCTGAGTAGCTGGGATTACAGGTGCCCGCCACTACGCCTGGCTAATTTTTGGTATTTTTAATAGAGACGGGGTTTCACCATGTTGGCCAGGCTGGTCTGGAACTCCTGACCTCAGGTGATCTGCCCACCTTGGCCTCCCAAAGTGCTGGGATTACAGGCGTGAGCCACCACGCCCGACCGTGAACAATTTTACCTCACAGTGCAAAAATTCACAAAATGCCAAGACTTACCCCACAGCTAATCCAATATTACCGTAACACCTAAAGTTGCCTGAAGAGCCAGTCATGTACCAGAGTACTACACATATTCCTCACAATGCCTACAGTGAACCTACAAGAAACTGACTTGCCCTGTATTGCTCATACTCACACCAGGACATGCCCTATAACCCACAGATAAGTTCCATAATGCAAAAATCTCCCTAACAATACACAGCCTCACTCTACAACAGACAATTATTCCACTATGAGAAGAAGAGATCCCAAATATCCAGCCTTACCCATGAACTCACAGTCTTGCCACACCACATTAAGACATGTCTTACAGGCCGGGCGTGGTGGCTCACGCCTGTAATCCCAGCACCTTGGGAGGCCGAGACGGGCGGATCACCTGACATTGGGAGTTCGAGATCAGCCTGACCAACATGGGGAAACCCCATCTCTACTAAAAATACAAAATTAACTGGGCATGGTGGCGCATGCCTGTAATCCCAGCTACTCGGGAGGCTGAGGCAGGAGACTCACTTAAACCTGGGAGGTGGAGGTTGCACTGAGCTGAGATCACACCATTGCACTCCAGCCTGGGCAACAAGAGTGAAACTCTGTCTCAAAAAAAAAAAAAAAGAAAGAAAGAAAAAGACATGTTATCTTATAATGCACAAACTAACTCCACAGTACTTAGATACAACTTACAGAGGACACATGTACCCTATGACAGAAAGGTTTTCCTACAAACACAAAATTGCATTCTGATGCACAGATTTACCCCCAAATGCACAAAATCACTCTGCAATGCAAATGCCCCACAAAAAACCATGTGCCCCCCAACACCCAGAATTACCCCAGGACTCACAGACTTGCACCACAGGATCAAGACCTACCCCATATTGTACGGATACGCTCCTCACCAGGCATGCCTTTTACAATGCAGCCTCACCCCACGAGGTACCCTTGACTGAAACCCTAGATACAGCCTACAGTGTACTTACCCCCACAACAACGTGGAAAACTTTCTAATGAAAGGTGTGTCCTTCAATGTACAAAATATCTTGCAAATTCATAGACATTCCCCACAGTCTCAGAATTGCCACATCATTTTCAGACTTTCTTCCAAATGCAGACTTACTCTAAAACACTTAGAATCAAATTAGACATACAGACTCAACCCATGTGAGATTCTCCCCACAGTGCACTAACGTGCTCCACAACACTCAGACTCTCCTAGAACACACAGAATCTCATCACAACCTCACACCACCCCACAACGCCAATAAGTGACCTACAAAACATAAAAATGTACGTGACAATTCACAACAAGCATCACAATGTACAGATTTGCCGCACAACACTGAGACACACACCCTGTCATCCACAGACACATCCTATCACATGAAATCACCCCACAAAACAAGCCATCACACAACACAAAAACCCACAGTTCAAGACATGCTTAATTATAACTTGACATACCCCACAACACACAAAATTGCATTATAATGCAGGCTGACCTTGTAGCACACAGAGCGGTCCTATAGTATTATACAAACACAACCTTCGCCTGCACCCCAGAATTGCCTCTAACCACCCACATTCTCTTTACAACACCAAGACACACCTCATATCACATCGAGAATCAGCCTGTATCATATAGTATTGCCCGAAAATGCACAGAATTGGACCGCAAGTTCCAGAAATGCCATACTAGGTGCAGACAGAGCCTCATTCCTGAGGGACTACCACCCTCAGAAAAAAAAACAAACCACAAACACATAGATTTCCTGTAACGCAGAGACACACTATAAAATGCAAAGATTGCCCCATCACATGGAGATTTACTATAGCTGTCCAGAATCAACCCATAAAATATATAGTCTCACCGCATGACTTCAAGACATATCCCACAATATACAGACTGTCATGTATAGACCACAACACCTGGACATGCCCTACAATGTGAGGACATGATCCACACTCTGTAGACTACCCGAGCACTGCATATAATTGAATCCAGAAAATCATAATCATAAAAGTCACAGCACCTAGAATCACTCCCACAAAGCATGCTCACCCCAAACCAGATGCCGATGACCAACTGGGTCCATGCTTTATAGAGATAGCCTATGGTAAAAAGGAATTTGAGAGGTAAAAAGGAATTTGAGGAGAAAAAAGAAAAAATATATAGAAATATACGACAATCCACAGCTTTCCCATGTGCCATTTATATATGCCTCTTCTTTTCTTTTTTCTTTTTTTTTTTTTTTTTTGAGACGGAGTCTTGCTTTGTCACCAGGCTGGAGTGCAGTGGCACAATCTTGGCTGACTGCAACCTCCGCCTCCCGGGTTCAAGCGATTCTCCTGCCTCAGCCTCCCCAGTAGCTGAGACTACAGGCGCACGCCACCGTGCCCAACTAATTTTTGTATTTTTAGTAGAGACGGGGTTTTACCATGTTGGCCAAGATGGTCTCCATCTCTTGACCTAGTGATCCCCCCGCCTCGGCCTCCCAGTGCGCTGGGATTACAGGCATGAGACACTGCACCTGGCCTTTATATATGTCTCTTTTAATGTAGAGAACAGCCTCGCAGTGAAGACATGTATCCCACTTGGCACAGATCGGCACCACAAGAAACTCCCTCACAGGACCTACACTTCCCTATACTTTGAATAACCCACATACTTGATCATCACCCACTTTCCTATCAGAACGACTCATGCCAAAACATAAAGCTCATTATTCCAAAACACATAGAACCAACTCCCAATGCAAAGAGACTTCCCTTGTAACAAAAAGATGTTCTCTGCCACACTGAGACTTACCTCACCTCACCAGACTTGACCCACAACATCTAGCCTTGCACCACTACACAGAGACATGTCATTTCACCGAGAAACTAGCCCCAGAACACTCAGGCTTGCCTCATGGTCGTTATATACTCATACCTTAGACTCATATCATGATGCGGAACAGGCATATACAGGGAAAATGTAATCCACAACGCACATGCTCAGTCCACAACGCATAGACTTGCCCCATATTTCACAGCTAGCTCCCATAATTCCCAGACTTGTTACACAATACTCGGAAGGCCTTACAACACCTAGAAAAAGCAGCATGATAGGTATGCTCACTCTAGAACATTCAGATTCACTTCATAAGGGACAAACTCAGTCAGTTACATTGAATACCCAACACCATATTGTTTGCTCCACAGAATATGAGAGAGGGCCTACATGCTCACACAGAGCTTTGACAAGTGACTTCATTTCTTTCTTTCTTTCTTTTTTTTTTTGAGATGGAGTCTTGCTCTGCTGCCCAGGCTGGAGTGCAGTGGTGCAATCTCGGCTCACTGTAACCTCCATCTCCCGGGTTCAAGCACTTCTTCTGCCTCGGCCTCCCAAGTAGCTGGGATTACAGGTGCGTGCCACCAGACCCAGCTAATTTTTTATATTTCTGGTAAAGACGGAGTTTCATCATATTGGCCAGGCTGGTCTCGAACTCCTGACCTGGTGATCCACCTGCCTTGGCCTCCCAAAGTGCTGGGATTACAGGCATTAGCTAGCACGCCCAGCCAACTTCATTTCTTTGAGTCTGTTTACCTATTTGTAAACATGGATGCAATATTTACTTTTAGACTATTCCAAGGATTAAATGAGATAACTTCAGGAAAGAATCAAGGTTCAGAACATAGAATTTAGAGGCAGACTTGCCTGCTTCCAATCCTGGCTCTACCACTCCCTGGGGCTATTACCTGGGCACATTAGGTATTGAAATGCTCTGTGGTAGAGCACAAGGAATATGAGTTTGGTGTCTGTCAGACCTGGTTTTGAATTCTGTCTCTGCCACTTACTGGCCATATGACCTTAGGCAAGGTACTTTAATTCACCAATCTTCAGCTCCTCACTTATAAATTGGGGATGATGGTGTTCCCTGCCTTCGAGGCTGTTGTAAGGATTAAATGATGCCTGGCATCTTAATCTAACAAGCAAGAATGTACAGGCACAGACACCGACTCACACCCAATGCGTGAATATATGTATATTATGTACACATGGATACATAGACATGCAGAAGCTCACAGAGATGAATATTTGCAAGCAGTAAACATAAGGACAAAACGTCCACATGGACACAGATGCCATTTTGTATGCCTGGACTCGTGCAGAGATAAATACAGGTGAATACAGATACAGTCCCACAAACTTACATATGTACACCTAGACATGGCTACAGCCCCCAAACAAGACAGGATTTCACCCACTTAAATGATGACACACTCAAAACCCCCATTACAGGCAAGGCGTGGCAGTTCGTGCCTGTAATCCCAGCACTTTGAGAGGCTGAGGCGGGTGGATCACCCGAGGTCAGGAGTTTGAGACCAGACAGGCCAACATGGTGAAACCCCGTCTCCACTAAAAATTCAAAAATTAGCTGGGCGTGGTGGCAGGCGCCTGTAATCCCAGCTACTTGGGAGGCTGAGGCAGGAGAATCGCTTGAACCCGGGAGGCAGAGGTTGCAGTGAGCCGAGATCGAGCCATTGCACTCCAGCCTGGGCGACAAGAGTGAAACTCCACCTCAAAAAACAACAACAAAAAACAAAAACAAAAAAAACCATTACAGGCCCATGCATAAAGAGCTCTATAAATGTACTTGCATATATAGACATTTAAATGCACAGGCAGATGTACACTCAGATGCCATGTATACCCACACAGAAATACCGAAGCAGACTACATCCTAAGCATGTAAGAGACATACACATATATCTATAGATAATACCTACCTAAACACACTTTAGACATGCATATGTACATATAGACATCCACTGGCACACAAATGCACAGATGTACAGACTTGCACCCTCACGTGTCAACATACACACACGTTGGCATGCACATATCCACACTGTTCTACAAATCTATGTTCGTGACATACAAGTCCTAAATGCACATTGAATATATGTATATACACGTATACATGTGCCAGTGTAGGTATATGGATGCATTTATAGACTTAATCATGCCACAAACAGAAACAGATTTACACACGCACAGACATTAGAGACACATGCAATTTATACATATGAAAAGCAGAGACACCTAACCACGAAGAAGCACCTTTACAAAGGTGGCTATGACTTTTTTTTTTTTTTCTGAGACAGAGTCTTGCTCTGTCATCCAGGCTGGAGTGCAGTGGCGTGATCTCAGCTCACTGTAACCTCCACCTCCCAGGTTCAAGCAGTTCTCTGCCTCAGCCTCCTAAGTAGCTGGGATTACTGGCACCCACCACCACGCCTGGCTAATTTTTGTATTTTTAGTAGAGACGGGGTTTCACCATCTTAGCTAGGCTGGTCTCAAACTCCTGACCTCAGGTGATCCACCCGTCTTGGTCTCCCGAAGTGCTGGGATTACAGGCATGAGCCACTGCGCCCAGCCGAGGCTGTGACTTTTAACGTGTCCTTGTCTTAGTCTCTTCAAGAGAGAATGAAAATTATCAAGCTCCTGCTAAATACACTGTGTAAAAGTAGATGTGGACATTACCAGAAGGATCTCTAAAAGATTTTGAGTTCACATGTGAGTATGCACACACCTCACAAACCCACGTGCACATGCGCTTTCGCGTGCACAGAATCAGAGATATAGCATCACATGGAATCACAGAAATAGAAACATGTGCATAGCCACATATAGAAAGATACATGGACAGACACACACCCCACTGAAATGTCAAACTGTAATATTTAAATGCATGTCTATTGAAGTTAAAAAAAAAAACCTGCATTTTTATCCCAGCTCCATCACTTACTAGTTCAATGATTTGAGGTCATTTTCTTGTCTTCTCACCTGTAACATGAGAGTAATATTAGCACCTATCTTTTAGAGTTCTTTGAAGATGTAGTGAAATGAAGGGCTTAGCCCAGTGCTTAGAATGTCATAGATGTTGCTGCTTATTGCTGTTATCTTTTGGTTTTGGTACAAAGTGCTTAGCTAGATAGGATTTGGTTTTTGTGGTCAAACTGCATGATTATATCATAGAGATGTATTAATCAACTTTTTTTGTAAAGGTATTAATAAAGAATAATTTATTAATGTAATATAGATTACATCCACAAACAAGGTCATTTCTGAAATTCTCAGCGGTGATAAGGGATTATTACTGTCTCTGGCAAATGGAAAGACCTGAAACAAATATTTCCTGCTAGTGTGGTTTGTTGTTATTACTGTCGTTAGTATTCTTTTCCTCTTTTCAGGAGGAGATGGAAGATTGAGAGCAGAGTGCAAGAATGGGAAGAGGGCTTCGTGCCCTGTGCACGTTTGCCACCTAGTGACCAAACTGAGTAAGTACCGTATTTGTGGATTGCTCAGAAACGTCCCTAAAACTTCACTCATTGCAAGGTTGTGTAACCACCCTGGTGAATAAGCACGTATACATCAAGTTATAGCGATTTCTGCTACATATGTAGAAATTTTTAAAAAGTCATAAAATAAAAAGAAATCTTTCTCTCTAACTTTTCCCCCTGCCGTCCCAAATTTCCCCGTGGAATTCATTGAGACCGTGTTCTATAGCAGTGATCTTTGTACTTTCTAATTATTTACCACCTAACATCATTTTGGAAAATGGTCTACTCCATCACACATCTTGAAGTGAACACCTGAAATTTCTTATCATAAATTTAAGTATTTGTAACATATTTCCAGCATATTATGAATACTCCGACTTTTAAATAAATTGGTTTCATCAAATTTTTGCATGCAATGAAATAAAAATACCATACCCATTTGATATTCATAATTGTTGATTTAAAAAAACATGAACAAGGTCTTCTTTAGCAGTCAGAAATTTTACGTAATGTTTCTATCTCCTTGAACTTGCCATTCCATTCAACTTCCCTCACATAATGTATAATAATGAATACATTTTCAATATTTAAAGGCCCCTTATTCGTCACCTTACCATACATGCCTGCAAAAAGCATACAAGAATTGAAAAAAAATTTCTGTGACTCTATGCCTCAAAAGATTAAAATTTTTATCATAAATTTATTAGTAGTACACAATCAGAAGAACTTAAAATATTACACATTTGGTAAGTAATCAGTAAAATGAAAAGTAAAATTGGTTGGAAATACATCTTTTTTTTTTTTTTTTTTTTGAGACAGAGTCTTGCTCTGTCACCAAGGCTGGAGTGCAGTGGCGCAATTTCACCTCACTGTAACCGCCACCTTCCAGGTTCAAGCAATTCTCGTGCCTCAGCCTCCTGAGTAGCTGGGATTACAGGCACGTGCCACCACGCCCGGCTAATTTTTTTTGTATTTTTAGTAGAGACAGGGTTTCACCATGTTGGCCAGGCTGGTCTCAAACTCTCGATCTCAGGTGATCCGCTCGCCTCAGCCTCCCAAAGTGCTGGGATTACAGGCATGAGCCACCCTGTCTGGCCAAAAATACATCTCTTAAGTGAATATGATTTTATTTTCCCCAAACTAATTTTTGAATCGGAGAATGACTCTTACTTATTTCTAATGAGCCAGACTTCAGTTCCTGTCCTTCATTTTTATAGATAAAAGAACTCAGAAAATTTTGTTCCCATAAATAATCATGTAGTGACCTGTCATCAAAAATAATTTTTAATGATTAAAAAAATTTTAACTAAATTTTTGATGTTTAACAGACAACTTGATTAGACCCATCTTTAATTCTGTGAAAGCAAAGAAACCCTCTGATTTACTAAAGGATTTGTTGTTCAGTCACTTTTTTTCTGTTTCTGGGAAGTTTACTAAAATGGCTTTCCCCAAATTTATTACATAACTATTATATGTTATATTTTCATTTGAGGCATTATTTAAAATTCATTATACACATAAAAGGTTGTGAAAATCAAAGTACTTAGATCAATATGTCTTTGCCAATACGATAATTTTGATAAAATGGTATTTATTTATTTATTTATTTATTTATTGAGACAGAGTTTCGCTCTTGTTGCCCAGGCTGGAGTGCAATGGCGCAATCTCGGCTCACTGCAACCTCTGCCTTCCGGGTTCAAGCGATTCTCCTGCCTCAGCCTCCCAAGTAGCTGGGATTGCATGCATGTGCCACCACGCCCAACTAATTTTTGTATATTTAGCAGAGACGGGGTTTTCCATGTTTGTCAGGCTGGTCTCGATCTCCCAACCTCAGATGATCTGCCTGCCTTGGCCTCCCAAAGTGCTGGGATTACAGGCATGAGTCACCACGCCCAGCCTTTAATTTATTATATTCTATAAATATAAGAACTTGAGGCTACAGATTTGAATTAACAATTTTATAGGAAATATTCATAATTTATTTGGCAAAGGCAGTATTCATATAAAAATAATCAACAAAATCAGATTTACTTTCAGAAAAAGTGTCTGACTTCATTTTTCAAGGAAAAAATATTAATATACGTTTTGAGGTGCATTATTAAAACCATGGATAAATCAATTATGGAGCACCTTGTTAAATAACTAGCAAAGTAAATATCATATTAAAATAAATATGAGGCTTTTATCCACTTCAAAATAAATTAAGAAATTAAATAATAACTTTGTTTCTGATATATAATTTTAAATTAAACAATGTAGTATGTGGTTACCATTATAAGTCATACATGAAACAAGGAATCTGAAGGTAGGCAGAATTTCTCATGTAAATATGTATGTATGTGTTTTTAGAACATTGGAGTTGAATTTCTTGGAATAATTGACTAAGAATAGCATATACATTTTTTTTTCAAATCCATAAACTTCATTAGACCATAGAATTAAAGTTTTCTTTTTCTTTTCTTCTTCTTCTTTTTTTTTTTTTTTTTTTGAGACAGAGACTCGTTCTGTTGCCAGCCTGGAGTGCAGTGAGTTGATCTCGGCTCACTGCAACCTCCCCCTCCCAGGTTCAAGCTATTCTCCTGCCTCAGCCTCCCGAGTAGCTGGGATTACAGGTGCCCTCCATCACGCCCAGCTAATTTTTGTATGTTTAGTAGAGACGGTGTTTCACCATGTTGGCCAGGATGGTCTCGATCTCCTGACCTCGTGATCCGCCCATCTAGGCCTCCCAAAGTGCTGGCATTATAGGCATGAGCCACTGTACTCGGCCTAGTATCAAACTTTTTAACGATATTTTATGAAAGAGTCTAAAAAATACTTGCTAAATATAAAACTAGCATATCATTTTATTTTTGATAATAGGAGGTAGAAAGTATAAAGGTTATTTATAAAATGAAATGAAGATTGATGCTTTTTTCTTTTTTCTTTTTCTTTTCTTTTTTTTTTTTTTCTGGAGTCAGAGTCTCACTCTTTTGCCCAGGCTGGAGTGCAGTGGTGCAATCTCGGCTCATTGCACCCTCTGCCTCCCGGATTCAAGTGAGTCTCGTGCCTCAGCCTCCCGAGTAGCTGTGATTATAGGTGCGAGCCGCGACACCTGGTTAATTTTTGTCTTTTTAATAGAGGCAGGGTTTCACCATGTTGCCCAGGCTGGTCTCGAGCTCCTAGACTCAAGCAATCCATTTGCCTCGGCCTCCCAAAGTGCTGGCATTACAAGCTTTAGCCACCGCAGTCGGCTGAGGATTGATTTTAATTGGAAAAGATATTTTACGATACAGTCTGAGAAAACAGGTTCTAACAAGTTTAATACAATGATCACATAATTTCTGAAATAAATTACATAATTTCTTATTTAATTTTTAACTTTTTAAATAATTTTGATACATTTGTACATACTTATGAGGTACATGTGAAATTTTGTTACATGCCTAGAATTTGTAATGATCAGGTCAAGGTATTTAGGGTAGCTATCACCTGAGTATTTATCATTTCTCTGTGTTAGGTACATTTCAGCTCCTCTCGTCTAGCCATTCTGAAAAACACAATGCATTGTTGTTACCTATAGTCACCTTACTATGCTATCCAACACTAGAACTTATTCCTTCTATTTAACTGTGTGTTCGTATCAATTAATAAGCCTCTCTTCATCCCTCCCCTCCTGCCTATACAGCCTTCCCAGTCTCTGGTGTCTATTATTCTACTCTCTACCTCCATGAGATCAACTTTTTTAGCTCCCACATATGAGTGAGAATATGTACTGTTTGTCTTTTTGTGCCTGGTTTATTTTACTTAAGATAATGACTTCCAGTTCCATCCATGTTGCTGCAAATGATAGGATTTCATTCCTTTTTATGACCCAGTAGTATTCCATGGTTTATATGTACCACGTTTTCTTTATCCATTCATCTGTGGATGGACACTTAGGTTGATTCCATATCTTTGCTATTGTGAATAGTGCTGCAATAAACATGGGAGTGCATGTATCTCTTTGATATATTAATTTCTATTCCTTTAGGTAAATACCCAGTGGTGGTATTGCCCATTTCTATACATAAGTTTTACCAAAGTCTAAATATTTTTTAGTACTAGAATACAGTCCAATTGTGTTGAAAAGAATCAGTGTCAGCAATATATACTGCAACTAGTTAGGAGATGCTCTTTTTTTTCCCAGTTGATGACACACGTTTGTGATTAATGTTGAGAATAGATGGAAAATAATGCTTAATTTTAAGCATGTGGGAAAAAATGGTGTTCTTAGGTAGATTCATTTTAAGAGAGAATACACGTAAGAGTTGAGCACCTGAAAGTGGATTCATTGATACTGTTCCTACTCACATACTTCTTGAAAAGAATTTGTGTAACAGTAGCCTAGTGTGAAGACCACCGTTCTAGTCTGTCTCCTGCAAGATTGTTCCAGAACAATATATTGTTGTAATTGTTGGAATAACCCATTTATTGTAGTTTATGTTCACAACCATGCAATGGAAGTAGTTGTCACTTTTGAATTTCTGCCAGATGCTTCTGTGAGTGATCATGTTTGAGCAAAATGTCCTGGAAGGGATGTTTTTGTTTTGTTGATAAATACATATTTTGACTAAACTTGTTTTGTCCAGTTTGGGAGCCACAATCACATGTGGCTATTTAACATTTAAAATGTGGCTAGTACAAACAGATATGCTGTAAGTATAGAATACATACTGGATTTCAAGGACAGGACACATAAAGTATTTCACTAATATTTTATGTTAATTACATGTTGAAATAATATTTTGATGATATAGAATTAAATAGTACATTTCACTAAAATTAATTTTACCTGATTTTTAGACTTTTAAAAAATGTTGCAACAAGAAAATTTAAAATTACTTGTGAAGCTCACATTGTATATATTATATGACAGTGCTGGTCTAAAGTTTATATTGGAAATCTCTCTAAGTTTCCCTAAAACCACTTCTATGGAAAAAATTGATTTTCCACTAATCTGGTTCAGTATACTGCTATTCTGATGTAACGTGTGCCTTTTACTAGTTTTTGGGTTTCCATATTGGGGGATTTTTAGTAGTAAGCAAGAAAAAGTTTAAAAAGTAATATTCCAGTAAGAATATTGGAAAAAACATCTATTAGTACCTAGACGCTTTCCCATATGAACTTTGAAAGGCTTCTTGGTGGTTACATGTGAAGCTTTTCAGACTCTTCATAATTCCAGTGGTGGATAATGCATTCTATTGAAGACATGAAGTATTTAATCACATCTGATTTCTTTTTTTTTCTTTTTGAGATGGAGTTTCGCTCTTGTTGCCCAGGCTGGAGTGCAATGGTATGATCTTGGATCACAGCAACTTCCGCCTCCCGGGTTCAAGCGATTCTCCTGCCTCAGTCTCCCTAGTAGCTGGGATTACAGGCATGCACCACCACGCCCGGCTAATTTTTTGGATTTTTAGTAGAGATGGGGTTTCTCCATGTTGGTCAGGCTAGTCTCGAATTCCTGACCTCAGGTGATCTGCCTGCCTTGGCCTCCCAAAGTGCTGGGATCACAGCCGTAAGCCGCCACCCCCATCCACATGTGAAACTTTTTTATGTAATTATTTTTATGTAACATTAAGAGAAAAATACACTTCCAGATAAACTATGATGTAATGCTTTCATATTCATAGAATTTTAATTTTATACTTACTAATGAGCTCTTTTAGACTTATTTAGATATATATTTTTATTATGTATCATGATATAACAACAGCCGTGACCAAATTTGAGCATAAACAGACAATGTCTACCCCTATTCAACCACCTTCTGGCCCACAGTGACTGTAAAATTCCATTGATTATAAGATCCATTCTGATTTCAGTAATATGAAGTGTGATTAAAAAAAAATATGCATCCTAGAATTGATTAAATACACCAAGTCATTTATCAAGAGAAAAGGATCATGGAGGGCAGAAAGTCAAACTGGAAGACATTGGCCTAATGAAAACACCTTTTCTATATATTATCGTATTTACAAAACTTAAAATGTGATTCTCTTTAAAATTTTATCAGAGTCCTCTTAAATAACATTTCATTATACATCTCCTCATAATTGGTATTTCATGGTTTTCCTGGCATTCTGTTCTTTGTTTCCTGGTTTGGAAGTGGGAGGGCTAGGGAAGAATGGTGACATGTGGGGCCAGGGCTGGGACAGACCAGATCTCTCCAGACTGAAAAGGTCTAGTACCTCCATTGGGAGAACTGCTTAGCACTGTCTTGTGTGAAGCTATGACTTCAATGACTCTGTTTTTCTTCATAAGTAAGCTGACAGATGGAGTTCTCCTCGTCAAGGCTTAGTTTAGTCTTAACATAATCAGTATACCTTTTCTTGACTGAAGGGTCTAAGAAGGGAAGGAATGAAGATTGAGCAGCTTCTCTAGTTTTTGTTTTATATTATATTTGGGAGGTCAGCAGGATGCATCAAAATTTCACAGGAAGTACATTATCTCAAGAATCAATAACATAAAATCGAGATTTGTCAACCAGGAATTATGGCACATCCCTGATTCTAATGATACTCTTGATGATATGAGATTTACAAGAAGTAACAAAGTGAATGTTTTTTTTTTGCAACGAGAAGAATAAGAGAACCAATGACCTGTTTTCTCTCTTGTCCCTACAGTGAAACCTTACATTAAGACTTAGGTATTTCTTGAGGGTTTAGAAGCAAGGCCAACTTCATGAGCAAAAGGGGCTTTTGCACAGGGCCCCTTGCTTACAAAGGTTCCATACTTGGCTTAATGCTCTGCTGTCACTGTCTTGAAATTCTTAATAATTTTTGAAAAAGGGGCCCCACATTTTCATTTTGCACTAGGCCCCACCAATTATGTAGCTGATTCCATTCAAAAGGAGATACTTGCCAGTGAACAATTAACTGAAGATGCAAAATAAAATTAGAAGCATTCCTCATGTGCACTGAATTCTTGCTGTCAGCTCATAACATAGGATTCATAAGCTATTATTGCTGCTATTGTGTTGTTAGGAATCATAGTTGTAGAACAGGGGTAGTTAGTACAACTCAACAGTACCTTATATTGACTCCTTATTTTTCCATGATACAACCTGGGGCATCTTCTGTGTTTCTAGTTTCTCATCTATAAAATGTCTGTGACATTACACTTGCCCTGCTTAACCCCAGATAAGGCAATTGTTAGAATCAAATTGAAATTCCAGTGAAAGTACATTGTGACCTGCAACAGTTGAAACAGTAAAGGTTGAAACAGATGTAAAAGATGATTTATTCCTCTCTAGAGCTTGGAGCCTACGTGGCAAGCACCAGCCAGGGGCTCTAGGGATCTGAATTAGACTCAGTAGTGAGGCTGCTCTGACCCATGAATACAGAGTAAATATTCCAGTGGGTACTAGAGCCAGGAAATCATGCCTTTAAAATTTCAAGAGTCCAACCAGGGCATCCCACTGTTGTCAAAAGGGCTGGGTTGAGGCACCTGGATGCAAATTGCAGAAATGCACATAGGGTTAGAGGGTTTGGAAGAGAGAAGAGGAAGTGCAGCTTGAAGAGATCCTCTGAGCCACTGGGGCATGGTCACAAGCACTTGTCTTGGACACCAAGATGAAGGAGGGAATGGCCAAGGGTGCCCGCCATCTCAGACTAACAGAAGTTTTCCTGTTACCCAGAAGAGAATTGTATTCAGAGCTGCCATTACCTGAGTAAGGAAAGGACTCTTTTGTCTCTATTGTATGAGGGAACTCATTTTCTTGGTTGTAAAGGGGAATAGCTCATAATAGAGACCTTGGGGAAGTCAGGAAATACCAGATGGCTCCAAATGCAAGAATGCCTATAGATGATTGCCTTCTGTAGTACATCCTGAGGTCTTAAACAATTACAGCATCTTGCTATGAAATGCAATGGACAGAGGTGAAAGTAGCAGTTCAGATGAGGCCACAGAAAATGCCAGTTGAAAGATGATTTGCAAATAATCTTGGCAATGCTTTTTCTCACTGATGGGAGATGGCGAACAACAGTTTGCTTTATTTCACACTGTCCCTTCGGCATTGCTGGCAAAATGGGCAGTGTGCTCCTCCCTGTCTCTCAGCTCTCATCAGTCCCAGGTAATCAACTTAATTTAACCTCACTGCATCTTTGTAGGGAACTTCTAATCTATCTTTACAGTAAATAGACTGAATATATTGGTTACATCTTACCTAAAGAAAGCTTTCCCAGGGGCACTTTGTTTTGCAAAAGTTTATTGGAAAATTTTTGTGTAAGTTGGATTATGGTTAAAATTATTGAGTGGAGCTTATTAAAAGGTTTTGTGCTGAATATCTTGAAAAACCACCAATTGCACCTGATATATATTTTTTAATATGTAGGGCTCTTAGCTTGATTAGTGTAGGGTACACTCTTGGGATTTCTATGAGAGAGGAAGGTCAAAATCTTCAAGTAAGTGACTTTCCTATTGGCAAAGTGAGGATTATTAATTCACGGTTAATTTGAGCTTTGCTCTTAGATTTGTACATTGAATCCAGGGTACTCAAAAGCGGACAGAAACACTTTTATTTTTCCTGCATCCCCCCAGGTAGATCCAAGTAGACAACTTTTTAACTTTCCTTTTTCTGTACTATATTTTGCCCTACTGAAATGTGGTCTCTTTTGCAAGTACATAAAAAAAATCAAACTACTTAAATCCCCTAAAGAGAGAGTATGCATTCAGGCAGTGATTCTATATCCTGAGATTTGTTCATATTCATGTAGGCAGAAAATTCCGGCACGACAACAAGGTATCCCTCTAAAATACGTATATGGAAAGCAATTAGTGTGACTTTGAGCTGACAAAACACTCGGTGAATAGCAGAAAGAATATTTCTTGGTAAGGCCTTATGGTAGAAGGTGATAGAGAGAGAGAGAGAGAGAGAGAGAGAGAGAGAGAGAGAGGAAGGAAGGAAGGAAGGAAAGGAAAGGAAAAGGGAAAGGGAAAGGGAAAAGAAAAGAAAGTGGCCAGGCGCGTATTGGCTCACACCTGTAATCCCGGCACTTTGGGAGGCCAAGGAGAGCGGATCATCAGAGATCAGGAGTTCGAGACCAGGCTAGCCAACATGGTGAAACCCCGTCTCTACTAAAAATACAAAAATTAGCTGGGCATAGTGGCGGGCACCTGTAATTCCAGCTATTCGGGAGGCTGAGGCAGGAGAATTGCTTAAACCCAGGAGACAGAGGTTGCAATGAGCCAAGATCACACCATTGCACTCCAGCCTGGGCGACAGAGCAAAACGCTGTCTCAAAAAAAAAAAAAAAAAAAAAAAAAAAAAAAAAAAAGAAATAGAGATTTATATCTGGTAAAATGTCAGGTATTTGTTATTAGGTCATTTTGATTAGACAGGGACACGCAGATGAGAGACGGAGAAGTAACAGGAAGTTTTGACAAACTTCGACACTTGGAATCAGGGCTTAAGGATGATAGCCGCAAGCTTATCAGCTTCTGCAGTAAGAGAGTTTTTTTATGTTTATTCTGCTTTAATTGCACAGTAGTGAGACAATCCCTTTCTACCCTGAATAGTAATGCATTTCACTTGTCCAACTTTATATTACCCAACATGAGTTGCGTGTGAATTTTTACAAAAAAAAAGGTAAAGACAGCCTTCCCAACTAATGATACAGTTATAAGACATTAAAATATTTGCACAGAGAAAGCAAGAAAATCTTTATTATGGGGCTTGCACAGAGTCTAGTTAATCTGGCAGTATTCATGTACCATATTGTGAAGATACAAGCACGTGACCCTGCGAGCAGTTACATCAATAGTCATTTTGAAGGATTTTTGCTGTTAGGTACAGGGAAGCCTTCCCCAAAAGAAAGTCGAGAGGCTTTCCCTCCACCTCCTCCTCTTGACCTTGGAGTTGCTAAAATTTTTAGGTGTTGCTACTGACTGTGTAGACCTGGGAATATCAGAAATTGCTGAAATTGTTTCTTGTACGTGCAGAAAGAAGGATAGGAATGTAGTATTTTAGGAGTGAGCATTCATGAAAAGGCTGTTTCCTGGCTAAAATGATACAGTATATTTGGTTGCATATTTCTGTTGGGAAATGAGGAAGAGGGGTTTATTGCATTGTGTCAGAATGCAAGGGTAAGGTAGGTAGGAGTATTTGCATCATTTTGATTTTTTTGCACCTGAGTTTGTACACTAGGTTCAGGCTGCCACAAGGGCTGCAAACCTGGCAAACCAATAGCAAAGAGCCAACTTCTGATCTGTTACTGGTTCAGATCAGAGACTTCCAGCTGCTTCACAACTTGGCTTGGGGAGGATGAGTCACAATCTAGATCAGTTAGGGAGATAGGAGGTAAAGATGTGGTTGGACATCTGCATTTGTGGTAAAGAGAGCTTGAGCATTACTTCTAAACCTGTGCATTTTGAGAGGCTTTCATCACAAAGGAGCCCACAGAGGGGAGTTGATTGCTGTGCAGAGGTCTTGGTTCAAGCATAAAGATGCTTGTATGTGAGAAGCTGGTAGTGGGAAACATTCTCTGGAGGGCTTTGTGAGCTAGATGGATGATTGTCATCTGTGCAGGTGCCTATAGGTAAATTAGGTCAAGCCCAGCTCTAGTTTGGATTAGAGCTTTTTTTTGGGGGGGGGGGTGGGGGGAGGAGATGGAGTCTTGCTTTGTCGCCCAGGCCGGAGGGTAGTGGTGCGATCTTGGCTCACTGCAACCTCTGCCTCCCAGGTGCAAGCGATTCTTCTGCCTCAGCCTCCCTAGTAGCTGGGATTACAGATGCACACCACCATGCCCAGCTAATTTTTGTATTTTTAGTAGAGACTGGGTTTCACCATATTGGCCAGGCTGGTCTCGAACTCCTGACCTTGTGATCCATTTTTCCACCCCCGCCCCAACCCGGCCTCCCAAAGTGTTGGGATTACAGGCATGAGCCACCGCATCCAGCTGGACCAGAGCTTTTTTAAGCTACCTGCAGCATTGTCTAAAATCCCTGCTGTGTTCCCAGACCAACCAAGAGAGGCCACACCTGTCAGCGAAGGTAGGTTGAAAGCTAAGCAATGACCTCACTTATGATATAGGAAAAATTTCCAGTGCTTCCCCTAGACCCCAGTTGAGACCGAGGACAAGACAAGGGAAGGTGATGATATAGTCTTAAGAGTTGCAAACAACCCTTAAAGGCCATTTAGTGTAATCGCTATATCTCAGTTTTGAAATTCCCAATAAAATATCTCTCCTACCTCTGCTTGAACATCTCCAGTACTGGGGAGCTTGGTGTTTTCTAAGGTAGCCCATTCAGTCTCTGGCCATATTCATTAGATAACTCTTCCTCACATTGAACTGAAATCTGCCTCCTTTGATAGAGGTTCTGATCTCTTGGGCAAGTCACCTCCTGCGGATATATGACCCTTTTGATACTTGAAGACAGCACCTATGTTTCATTTAACTCTTTGCTTAGCTAAGTTTTTCTCAATCCTCATTTGACAATTTTGAGGCTTCTGTTATCCATGCTTTTTCCTCTCAACAGTCCATAGGCCAGGGTACCAAAGTCTGACATAGCATTCCTGGTGAGTCTGACCATTCATTCCCTAAGCTGAACATCATTTCTCTATTGACCACATGACATGGTCAGATTGCATTGTCGATTCAGCCGTAGTTTCCAGACAGTCTAAACCCAGCTGGAAGATGCCCCAATGCTGCTTCACTAAGAACTACAGGGATAACCAGTGCTTCCAACCAAAAGTATTTCACTACTGAATGTAGGTCCTGGTGACACAGCAAGTAATAAAGTGGAGGGTAGAAAGTTATCTGGTTATATTTTTTGTTGATAACTTTAGTGTCTATTTTTCTTCCCTATATTATCCCTAGTTTATCCACTGGTCATTTCATATGCTGCCTGGGACCAGGCCCAAGAAAATATGGAAAAATGCAACTTACATAAGATTGAGGAATTTTATTAGTCATATACACTGCTCACAACAAATCAGGAGTGAACTTGAAACTGCCTTTCTCTCTTCACGCCTCCCTCCCCAGCCACAGTGTTAGGAATGAATGACACTGCCTGCAAATAGAGGAAAAGAGAACTTGGTCACTTAAAAATATAGCATTCTAATTTTTTCTTCCACTAGGTTAGAAAATATTTATTTGATTAACAAACTGTAGTAGTATATATTTATGGGGTACCATGTGATGTTTTGATATATGTTGACATTGTGGAATGATTAACTCAAACTGACAAATCCATTACCTCACATACTTAATCTTTTTCGTGTTGAAAACATTTAAAATCTACTCTTTTAACTACTTAACTTTTTGTGGTGAAACATTTAAAATATACAATGCATAATTATTTATTACAGTCACCATTCTGTGAAATAGATCACTAAAGCTTATTCCTCCTGTCTAACTGAAACTTTGTATCCTTTGATCAACATCTCCCCTTTCCCCGTTCCTCTAGATTTTAACTAAGTTTGTTCACTACATGGGCTAAAAAGTGCGATATATTCTTTATCTAATTAACTAAATAATAATCCCCAGTAGAATGTAAAGAAAATGTGATTTGGCAGATTTATGCTTCATATAGTTGGATGAGAGAGGGATCCAGTGTGAAGTTACATTTTGAGAATATTCACATTCCTGATGGATTTGTACAAGTAGCACACATCACAATGATCACTCACTTACAATCATGTAATCAACACTTCATACAAGGGCTAAACTAAAAATTATAAGATAGGTGACAGCTACTAATGTATTTATGGAGGCAACAGAACAAACTATTTGGTATTAGAAATGTGTTGAGTAAAAAGAGCCGTGTGCTTGCTGGGAGCAACTAATGAAGAGTTTGCTTACATTGTCCCATATTTATGATTATGTGTTCTATCACCCTCCCACTCCACCCGTGACATTTACTATATTTACTGTTCTAACTCCTTTCCTGAGACTGGAGCTCCTGCAGTATCTACCTTACAAACTGCATTTCGTCACACACACTGACTCACTCCAAAGCCAGTTTCAAATATGGTTCCTTCTTTTGGCCCTAAGATTTGAAAGACAGGGCATGTAAGTTTCTAAAGCACAACTGAATCCATCTTAACAAGGAAAGGTAAATACATTTTCCCTGCAGTTTCAAAATTTTCCACAATAAATGCATAGGAGTTTTCTTAGTAGGAAAAATAATAAATGCAACAAAAACTTTGTTGTATTTGGAAGTGTTCTGAAAAAACATTTAGGTATGGGGTAAGATGGGCTGGAATTTGCATTTTTTTCAAAGTTTGGAAATCTCTGAACTGATGAATAAAGAATTACATCGGGCTGGGCACGGTGGCTCATG
Organism: Homo sapiens; assembly: GCF_000001405.40. Classification (NCBI taxonomy): domain Eukaryota; kingdom Metazoa; phylum Chordata; class Mammalia; order Primates; family Hominidae; genus Homo; species Homo sapiens. The sequence goes on from NC_000023.11 coordinate 140,747,267, forward strand.
CCTGTAATCCCAGCACTTTGGGAGGCCAAGGCGGGTGGATTTCCTGAGGTCAGGAGCTCGAGACCAGCCTGGCCAACATGGTGAAACCCTGTCTCTACTAAAAATACAAAAATTAGCCGGGCATGGTGGCTGGAGAGCCTGTAATCCCGGCTACTCGGGAGATTGAGGCAGGAGAATCGCTTGAACCCGGGAGAAGGAGGTTGCAGTGAGCTGAGATCGCGCCATTGCACTCCAGCCTGGGCGGGAAGAGCCAAACTCCATCCAAAAAAAAAAAAAAAAAAGGAATTACATTGGCCTTCACTGAATTCTGGCCTGGCTTTTCATGCAGAACAGTACAGGCATTGTAAACATGTGAAGCCAGGTGTACTGGCTTTGATTTTTGTTTTCCTCCAGCTGGCAGTGGGCTAGGATGGCTGTGCCCAACTATCTTCACTAAGAGTTGCCTTATTTTTGAAGACGTGGAATTAGCTATGGAAAGCAAAATTCCTCTGGCTGTGCCTTTGGTGCCTTGACCTATTTGGCCACATCCCATCCCTGCCCTGGACTCTTCTCTCCTCTTTGTCCAACAGTTTTTTTCTGAGACAGAGTTTCACTCTTGTCGCCCAGGCTGAAGTGCAATGGCGTGATCTCGGCTCACTGCAACCTCCGCCTCCTGGGTTCAAGTGATTCTCCTGTCTCAGCCTCCCGAGTAGCTGGGCTTACAGGCGTGTGCCACCATGCCCAGCTAATTTTTGTATTTTTAGTAGAGACGGGGTTTCGCCATGTTGGCCAGGCTGGTCTCGAGCTCCTGACCTCAGGTGATCTGCCCGCCTCAGCCTCTCAAAGTGCTGGGATTACAGGTGTGAGCCACCATGCCTGGCCTATCCAACAGTTTCTAAGGACCAGAGTAGACAGTGGATGACAACATCTTATGCAGTTAAAGGGGCATTTCATGATCCTTTACAGATAAACAAACTGGGATAGAAGAATATAAAATATTAACTTCCACCCCAAAAGAAGCCACCTCATTTTTGTTTTAATGAAAGTTTGTTAAAGTGATGAGGTTACAAATTAATATAAATGTTTGGGAAAATATGCTTCTTGTTTAGAGAAAGTGGGACCATAAACCAGCAAAAGTATTTCACTGAATTTCACTTTAATGGCTGCAGGTGAACACTTGATCTGAGAGTGGTACAGATCTCTTTGTCTTTCTATTCACCCTCTTTCTCTTCCCTCAACCTAATCAGTTAAAGGTCAGCTCTCTGACATAATTGCAATCCATTTTATTCAGACAATGAAACATCTTATTATTGAGTGCCAGATAAGTACCCCATTGCTATCTACCATCAAACAGGAAGTCAGAAAATAAATTCAACATCTAACTCCACTATTAACTAGTTGGGTGATCTTTATCTCATTGCCAGTTTTCTCCTTTTTAAAATGGGAAGAACAACAATATTTGCTGTGGCTTCTTCACAGGGTTATTGTGAGGGCAAGTGAGAAAATAGGCATAAACACACATTATAAAATAAAATATGATATATATATTTTATATATGATATATTTTATCTATGATATATTTTATCTATGATATATATATTTTATATATATGATATATATAAAATGTATATAAAAATATATAAAATAAAATATATATATTTTATAAACTAAAATATGATATATTTATATATTGTGAAGTATTATAATTGTTAATTGTAATAATAAGTATAAGTAACTTTTTAGATGTGGAAGACAATATTGCATTTAATATTAGTGGCATTTATTGGTCCAGTGAAATTATTACAACTGTAGATTTTAGTGTATACTTCTGATTCTCAGATAAAATTTGCAGACATGTTTTGATGTACTTTATGAAGATAAGAGTAATTCAGCTGAATTAGACTCTAGCTTTTTCTTACAACTGGTCACTTTTCATGAGTGTAAAAACAGGTGGTTTATCCAATTCTGAAATACCTTTTAGGTGACAACCCTGTAACATTTCATATGTGAGGCGGTTGTCTAGATGTTACATTCCAGATATCTATAGTTTAAAGAATATAAAACTTTTTAACATTAGGAATTTGCCAAAAACATTCTGTAATCATCCTGAGTAACAGGGATGGGAAAGTTTTTGTGATACGTTTTATTTTCTCTAATCTTGAAGTTAAACTAATTGGTCCAATTTTTAAAATAGTGAATAACAAAGACTGGAGGAGCCAGAATAGAGGAGCAACTTGAGGCTCAGTGAACTGCCCAGATATCAAGGAAGAAGGAGGCACACAGTATGCAGATTCTCCAGGGGAGAAGACTTAGAGTCTCTACAAATTATAAGAAGTAGGGGAGGAGGAAAGACAGTGATGGAAGGAGGAAGAGAAGTAATGTTTGTGGGTAACTACTTGACAAGTATTTTAAGTTTTGCAGTTTTAATTTAGTTTAGTTTAATTGAATTTTTGAGACAGGGTCTTGCTGTGTCTCCCAAGCTGGGGTACAGTGGCACAGTCAAGGCTCACTGCAGCCTTGACCTCCTGGACTCAAGTGATTTTCCCACCTTAGCTGCCTGAGTAATTGGGACCACAGGCTCCCATCACCTTGCCTGGCTAATTTTAAACATTTTTTTGAAAAGTTTTTTGTAGAGACGAGGTCTCCCTGTGTTGCCCAGGCTGGTCTCAAACTCCTGGGCGCAAGTGATCCTCCTGCTTTCGCCTCCTCAAAGTGTTGGTATTACAGGTGTGAGACACCACGCCTGGCCAAGTTTGGAAGTTTTAAAAACATGTTCTACAAGTCCATCAATGAATGAATAGATAAAGAAAATCTGGTATATATACACAATAGAATACAATTCAGCCATAAAAAAGAAAATCTTGTCATTTGGGACAACATGGATGAACCTGGAGAACATTATGTTAAATAAAATAAGCCAGACATAGAAGATAAATACTGTTTTGTCTTCATATGTGGAGTGTAAAAAAAGTTGAACTCATGGGAGCAGAGAGTAGAATGATGTTTGCCAGGGGCTGGGGTAAGGAGGAGACGTTTGTCAAAGGATCCAAAATTTCAGTTAGACAGGAGGAATAAGTTCAAGAGATCTATTGTACAACATGGTGAATGTGGTGAATAACAATATATTGTATTCTTGAAAATTGTCAAGAGTAGATTTTAAGCGTTGTCACCACAAAAATAACTATGTGAGGTAATACATATGTTAATTAGTTAACATATGTAATATGTAATACATATTAAATGTATTACATGTTAAAATGTAATACATTTCACACTGTATACATGTTTCAATAAAGCATCATATACACAATAAATATATGCCATTTTTGGTCAACTAAAAATAAGTTAATTTTTAAAAACCATGTCTATTGATAGAGGACTGTTTTTTATTTCAATAGCTTTTGGGGTACAGGTGGTTTTTGGTTACATGGATAAGTTATTTGGTGGTGATTTCTGAGAGTTTGGTGCATCCGTCACCTGAGCAGTGTACACTGTACCTAATATGTAGTCTTTTATTGCTCACTCTCCACACATCCTTTCCCGGTGAGTCTCCAAAGTCCATTATATCATTCTTATGCCTTTGCATCCTCATAGCTCAGCTCCCACTTATTAGTGGGAATGTACAATATTTGGTTTTCCATTCCTGAGTTACTTCACTTAGAATAATGGCCTCCAGCTGCATCCAAGTTTCTGCAAAAGACATTATTTCATTGTTTTTATGGCTGAGTAGTATTCCATGGTGCATATATACCACATGTTCTTTATGCATTCATTGGTTGATGAAGACGTAGATTGGTTTCATATTTTTGCAATTGTGAATTGTACTGCTATTAATATAAATGTCTGTGCATGTGTCTCTTTGTATAATTGCTTATTTTGTTTTGGGTAAATGCCCAGTTGTGGGATTGTTGGATCAAATGGAAGTTCTACTTTCAGTTCTTTAAGGAATCTCAATACCGTTTTCCATAGTGGTTATACTAGTTTACATTCCCACCAGCAGTGTAAAAGTTCTCCCTTTTTATCACATCCATGCCAACATCTTTTTTTTTTTTTTTTTAATTATGGCCATTTTTGCACAAGTAAGGTGGTATTTCATGGTGGTTTTAATTTGCATTTCCCTGATAATTGGTGATGTTGAGCATTTTTTCATATGTTTGTTGGCTGTTTGTATATCCGATAGAGGACTATTTAATCTGGGAAATAATCACCGTGAGACCAAAGCAAGATGCATATGATATAAAATAAGACTTCATAACCTAAACCGATCTGCCAGTGGGAAGAATACATTTTGAAGAGGCTTCAGTGTCTTTCCATGGCTGGATCAACAATCTGCTGAGGTAGAATTTCAGAGGAAACAAGAATAGTTTTGTAGTCAATGCAGGGTATTAAGGGCCTCCTGAAGAGATTAAATGAAAACCTTATTGTAGTCCACTACTACTTTATTAATGTGGCAGGCATATTTTGCTTTTCAAATTTTTCATTTAATCTTGTATTTGTGAATATTACTAAATGTCTTGGGATTAAGGACTTTTAAAAAGCCTTGTTTACAAAGCCCGTTATTCAGTTCCCTGCAGCAACTCAGAAAGGAGTCTATATATCCACCCTACAGGCCTCCTTATTACATAGAAGTTTAAAAAAGGAAAAGGAGAGCTGGAAGTTTTAGGAGGAACTTGGCCAAAAGGAAGAGAGATGTTTGCAATCGCTCCTTCACCTTTGCCACAACCATTTTCATATCCCTCTCCCTTGATCCCTTGGTGATGATTATCTTAGGGACAGGACACAGTAGTAGCTCCCCCTAGCTCTGGCTTCTTCCAGTTCTTTAGGCTTTTCTCCCACTCTGACTGCCACTGCCTTTGCCTGTGGTGCTGCTTTTCCTCAATTGGGCTGTTTAAAGCCCATCCCATCTGTTAAAGCTCATCTCAAATGCATCCCTGTCATCCCTTCCACCATGAGCAAGAAACAAATTTTTCAGCAATCTCTGCTATTTCCACGTCTGAATAGTCAGTAGCGACATCACAAAATCCTGTCAACTCCAAGGTCTGGAGGAGGAGGGAGAGGGAACAAAGCCCCTAGATGTTTTGTGAGGAAGGGCCTGTCTGTCTCTAACATCAACAATACTTCACTTGTCTATTGGGTCCAACCACCAGGCATAGTCATTTGCTTATATCTTCACAATGTGGTACATGAATATGGCCAGGTTAACTGGGCTCTGTGCAAGCCCCATGGTAAAGATTCCCTGGCTTTCTCTGTGTGAACAGCTTGTAAAAGTATCATTGATTATGAGGCTGTTTTTCACTTTTTTTGTAAAAAACTCATGCCCAAATCATATCAGGTAATGTAAAGCTGGACAAGCAAGAATGCATTACTTTTCTAGGGGAATGGAAATTTTCTCACCACTGTGCAATTAAAGCAGAATAAAGAGAAAACACTCTTGCTTCAGAAACTGGTAAGACCTTAGCTTTCATTCTTAGTCCTGATTTCAAGTATTTGAGTTTGTCAAAACTGCCTGTCACTTGTCCTTCCCTCATCTGTGTGTCCTTTTCTCACATACATCTACTCAAAATGATATAATGACTACATTCAACTGGGAGCCTCCTGAGTTAATTCGGCCCTTTAGCCATCTCATGCTTAGTGTGCTGAAATTGATGGTTGAGGAGGCATCAAATAAGCTATCTACATCAAATAAGCCTGCTACAACCAGAAAAAAATCCCAACAAAGTAAGAATTAGTTATTTTAATTATTTAACATAAAATGTAAAGTTTCTGATATATTTGGCTAGATGATATGATTAAATTGCTGATAACATAATTTTGTTTGTTACATACATAAATAGAAAAGGAAGATCAGTTTCTTTGTTGTTTTCAGGATTAAATACTTTTTCGAAAATTAAGAAAAGGGAAAATTAGGACAGATGCCACCTTTTCAACTACCAGTCTCTTTCAGGATAGTGAGAGCAGACTAAGATTCCAGAGTCTGTACTAATTAGAGTCTATGCTACTAATTATCAGTATAATTTGGGATAAGCCTTCCACTCTTGGGCCTCAATTACCTTGTTAGTAGATCAAGACATTGGACCAAATATCTATGGGCACTTTCAGCTTTGAGTGTTTGTAACTTCGTGAAACATCTTCGCCTTTATTTTTTTATACAGGGCCATGTTGGAGTGATAACCAATAGGGAAGTAACAGCCATATACTTTTGGGGGGTATGTCTTTGAGCATAATCTCATGGTGGAAGAGTGCCTTAGCTTCTAGAGCTGTGTTGTCTAGTACCGAGGATGTGCTATATATGGAAAATACGTACCACATTTCCAAGACTTCTTCTGAAAATTTTATAAAATATCCCGTTATTTTTTATCTTTATTATATGTGGAAATGATAACATTTTGGATATGTTTCGTTATATGAAATACGTTATAAAAATAATTTACCTGTTACTTTTCACTTTTTAAAATATGCTATTCCAAATATTGAAAATGATACCCATGGTGCCTATATTTCTTTTCTTTTCTTTCTTTCTTTCTTTTTTTTTTTTTTTTTTTTTTTTTGAGGTGGAGTCTTGCTCTGTCGCCCAGGCTGAAGTGCAGTGGCATGATCTCGGCTCACTGCAACCTCTGCCTCCCAGGTTCAAGCAGTTCTCCTGCCTCAGCCTGCCGAGTAGTTGGGATTACAGGCGCACGCCACCACGCCCGGCTAATTTTTGTATTTTTAGTAGAGATGGGGTTTCACCATGTTGGCCAAGATGGTCTCGATCTCTTGATCTTGTGATCTGCCCACCTTGGCCTCCCAAAGTGCTGGGATTACAAGCGCGGGCCACCGCGTCCGGCTAGCTCCTATATTTCTATTGGACAATCCTGGTCTAGACAGTTATTCCTGTTATATTTGACCTGAGTTCCAGTTCAAAAACCTCCCAAGGTTGAAACCATCCAAACTAGTGGCACTTAGTCTTGGATGCACACTGGAATCACACTGGCATATTATGAAAAATAATGATCCCTTCCTCCCCATGGTTCTAATTAAACTGACTCACAGTGACCTTTCTTATGTGCTCTGAATTTTTTCCATAAGGCCATGGGTGGTGTAATCATAAAAAAAAAGACTTTGTTATATGAATGCCAGAAACTTGTGTACATCCAAATTGGACAGCTACTGGATTAAGGGGGCATGAATCACTGAAGCAGGCTGAGCCCTGACTCTTAACCAGTCTCAAGGGCAAAACTGTTTCTCTCTTCAGTACTCAAAAATCTAGCAAACAGACAGGAAATCGTACCTTGAATTAATTCTGTCTTAGCTGCTGCTTCTTGTTTGAGTTTCTGAAAATCAGCTTATTATACTGCATCTTGTCTCCCAGGGAGATACTTGACATTGCTTGGTCTGTTTTCAGAGGGGAAAATGGAGCTCAAGGAGTGTGGCTATCTCCTAGGTAAAGAAAATTTCTTCCAGCAGATTTTTTTTTTTCTACTGGGGGATTTTTTTGGACTCCTAATATATTGAAGGAAGTAAAAGTAGACAATGTGGCTTGATAGAAATTGGACGGACCTCTAACATGGAGCAAGCAGCCATCGATTTCATGTTGATTTCTGATAGCATAGGCTGTTTTTTTTTTAGCCTCACCCTCAAATTTTGGGGTTCACCCTCACTGAAGTCTGCCATCCCTATATGCTCATAAGATCTATAGTTACTTGTGGTTGGGTCCTAGATATGGGCCTTAGGTAAGAAGGGAAGCTGCTCCTTTCCTTTCCTAGTTGTCCTCTTGATTCTCAGAGCCGTAGGTACTTGCCCAACTTCTATGGTTGACTAAAATCGGAGTCCCGGTAATGAATTTAGAACAGATTTTCAAAATAACTAAAAACCTAGGCTTTTAAATCAGACTCTATTGAATTGTATCTTCTGATCCTGGTAAGTCACAGAACTTCCTGACACTACAGGTGCTTGAAAAAGAGGTGCTGAGCTACTGTGATCATGAATGTCCATATTTGGTGCCATCTTTAGTGGTGGTAATATCTTGGCAAGGTAGTAGAGAGTTGATAAAAGCTCCAGTAAATAATCCTGTGTGTCCACAGTGCCTTAAAACTCTACCAATCCTCTGCCCAAGGTTTTTGATCAAATACTACTTCCCTGAGTGCAAGATTAAGTTAAAGGTGTATTCGTTGTTTGAGTTGTTTTGGAGTGGCTCTGCCACTTACTAGCTATATGGCCTTGGGTAAGTAACTTAACTTCTCTGAGCTCCACTTGTAAAATAGGAATCATAATATCCACTGCATAGTTTTGTGAAGCTTTCATGAGTTGCTCTACCTATTTTCCACACTTTGCACGGTGATGCCTCCAGAACAGAAGCTAAAGAAATGTTTGTAGAATGAATAGATGAATTTATGAATATTAATCTTGTGAAAGTATATGCTTACAGAATTGCCCTCTGTTTGGGTCAGTCTAAAGGTACCAGAGTTTAATTTGGTAGCTAATTGTCAAAGCCTAATTAGTTTCTCTATCAAATACTTAGACTCAGCCTATCTCCATTCCCCTGGCATTTTCATAAAATAGAGGCTAGACATTGATGGGAAGCTGGGAAAAGCACCTTCTACCACAGTACACATTTTGCAGAGATAGAGATATTTTAGGGGGGTCAGATTGTCCCTAAATATGAAAGATAAATGAGGGTAAGTTCTAGTCAAATATAAATAAATTTTACTAAATAAGGAGTCATTAAAATGGACAAGTACATATTGGATCAGTATTTAAATATTATTGAGACATGTACATGTAAGTGCTTGAAAAAAAAGTAGAATTCTCTGAACTACTTATATAAACCCCTGCCCAAAATAGAACAATAAGTAACTAGGGCCTAACTTTTTTAGAACAGCTGTAAGGGGATAGTACTATTAAGTCATCAAAGAGACATTACATGGAGCCATGGATTTAGATTATTTTTTGTGTCAGGTAAAGTTTGAAAAGATAAAATCACTGTTTGTTTTTTAGGACAGATTTTCTGCAAGTCCATTGTCATACTACAGTCATAACCTAAATCACATTTGAATGAAACTTTGAAATGAATGAAACTGGAAACCTCTTGTACTTAGGTAGTTGTGGCTACAGTGAATAAAAATGACATGCTTTGCAGTTATGTAAAGTGTAGAAAGACTCAAGATCGAATGCCAATTAATAAAGCCAAGTCACCTGCACAGCTTCATTTTATTATTTTTTAATCTCATAAATTATTTTCTCTTGGCATCTCCATCCTAGAAGCTCTATGGAATAGGGGAAGGGAGCAGGAACTTGCAAGTGTATCGGGACGGAGTGAGAAAGAGAAAAGTAGATGCAACCAGAGTAAGGAGGCTGGATGTACAGCCAGTCCAGAAGGTGCTATGGTGAGCTGGTTCACAGAGTCATTTGGGGCTTTACCCTAGCCCACATGCATAGGCAAACATAAAAACATATGCATTCACAATGTCATTATTTTCAATTTAGTTAACAGCTTTTCAAATCAACATGGTGTTTCATAGCAATTAACTGTAATTACAAATCCAAGAAACATTTTTTTTTTCTGGGTAATTACTTTCCTGATTCTTGTTCCATCATTTTCATTTAATTCTGAAAAAAATTTAACTGCCATTTTGACAAGTGTTTAGTGTTTTTAAACTGATTGTGTATACCCTATTACATAAGTACTTTATGCATACATTTCTACACACTTTTCCCCAATCCAAAAATGTCTATAAATGTTTGCAGCGACTCCCTATCTGGAGGCTGGTTGCACACTTACTCTCATGCCTATGATTGCTTGGAAGGGACTGTCACCACTGCCAAGGAAGAACGTTTTTGACAATAGAACTGCCAATTAATCAGTGGCAGACGAGAGAAGAATTGGCTCCATATTTTCTGATGGCGACTGGCCACTTGGCAGCCAGCCACCAAGTGAGTTATTGATCCATTGGAACTCAGCCTACTTGGATTGCCATGATGGGGTTTCTGTCAGCAGGTTATTACAACCGTGCGCCTTGAGGAGATGAAAAAAATTTAAAAAGACAAACTTAACAGGTTTAAACTATCTAAAGTGAACTATATGATAGGCATTGGCAAGCTGAATGGCAGAAATACTGACCCCTTGGATTTAGATGTATTGAATGAGTCTCTGAAATTCAATTAACTGGCCCAGATAGCAACTGAAATGCTGTTTGTGGTGAGGAGGGAGAAGATTAAACAGTACTGATACTTGCAATGAGTTCTTAATTAGAAGGGCAGAATAAACGGAGGGACACCAAAGAGATAGGATCAAGCTCCAGTTCAGATGCTTATGAGCTGTGTGACTTCTGTTTGTATAATTCTTTTTGTTTTGTTTTTTGAGACAGAGTCTCCCTCTGTCACCCAGGCTGTAGTGCAGAGGCGCAATCTCGGCTCACTGCAACCTCCGCCTCCTGGGTTCAAGCGATTCTCCTGTCTCAGCCTCCCAAGTAGCTGGGATTACAGACAAGCACCAGCACGTCCAGCTAATTTTTGTATTTTTAGTAGAGACAGGGTTTCACCATATGGGCCAGGCTAGTCTCGAACTCCTGACCTCAAGAGATCCACCCATCTCGGCCTCCCAAAGTGCTGGGATTACAGGCGTGAGACACCACATCCAGCCTCTTTGTACATGTTTTTTAGCGGGATAAATTATATCATGTGTGTCAAAGCATCTAGGACTGTACTTGACACTGAGTTGGTTCTCTGAAATGTCATTTCTCTTTTTTCCTATAAATCTTAGGGTTGTGTTATTTTATAAAGAACCGAGTTTTGAGGATCATTTCATTCTCAGAAAATTTATTTTTATGTATTCATGATGGCATAGGAATGACTAATTATTAACCTGTAGACCTATGTCTTTTTTATGAACTTTTAAAACCTTTCTACCATTGTGCTATAATATAAGCATTTTAACCTATTATTTATCTTACCAGGTGCTAAGATAATGACCAGGTGCTGTAATTATTTTATTTTAAAATTATCAATTATTTTATTTTCAATGATTTAAAATTGTGATGTGAAAGGAATACTAGAATTGGAATACAATTGCACTGGCCAATAAATGCAGATTTTTCTAGAATATGTTCAGCTATTGTGTAAAAATGATGTATGAAAGCTACATTTTCCTTTTTTTTTTTTTTTTTTTTGACAGAGTTTTGCTCTTGTCTCCCAGGCTAGAGTGCAATAGTGTGATCTCAGCTCACTGCAGCCTCCGCCTCCCAGGTTCAAGTGATTCTCCTGCCCCAGCCTCCCGAGTAGCAGGGATTACAGGTGCCCGTCACCATGCCTGGCTAATTTTTGTTTTTATTTTTAGTAGAGACAGGGTTTCGCCGTGTTGGCCAGGCTGGTCTCGAACTCCTGACCTCAGGTGATCCACCCGCCTTGGACTCCCAAAGTGCTGGGATTACAGGCGTGAGCCACCGTCCCTGGCTGAAAGTTATATTTTCCTTATAGGTTTTTATCCCTTTGTTCTATTCTCTTGGAAGACGTTGATATTTGCTCTCCTAATTTCTACCGTGGCAAGGCAAAGAACAATGAATTACCTCTAATGGTGCTACTGACAGTGACAACTGATGGCTGCTTGTCTGTATTGGTGTGAATGATAAGCCTGGTAAGCTCACAGCCATTCTATCACACACAACTCACCTCAGCCTAGATGGCTGATTTCTCCATGGCTCAGCTTCTTTCATTTATTTTATTTTATTTTTCTTTTCTTTTCTTTTTTTTTTTTTTTTTGAGATAGAGTTTTGCTGTTGTTGCCCAGGCTGGAGTGCAATGGCATGATCTCGGCTCACTGCAACCTCCACCTCCCGGGTTCAAGCGATTCTCCTGCCTCAGCCTCCCGAATAGCTGGGATTACGGGCATGTGCCACCATGCCCAGTTAATTTTGTATTTTTTTTTTTTTTAAGTAGAGATGGGGTTTCTCCATGTTGGTCAGGCTGGTCTCGAACTCCCGACCTCAGGTGATCTGCCCACCTCGGCCTCCCAGAGTGCTGGGATTACAGGCATGAGCCATCACCCCAGGCCTCTTTTCTTTCTTTCTTTCCTTCCTTCCTTCCTTCCTTCCTTCCTTCCTTCCTTCCTTCCTTCCTTCCTTCCTTTCTTTCTTTCTTTCTTTCTTTTTAAAAGAGATGGACTCTCACTCTGTTGCCCAGGCTGGTGTGCAGTGGCTCAATCATAGCTCACTGCAGCTGCCAACTCCTGGGTGTAAGTCATTCTCCCGCCTCAGCCTCCAGAGAAGCTGGGACTACAGGCACGCAGCACCATGCCTAGCTAATTAAATTTTTTTTTTTGTTTACAGGTTGGGTTTCACTATGTTGCCCAGGCTGGTCTCAAACTCCTGGACTCAAGTGATCTTCCTGCCTCCCTCCCAAGTCACTGGGATTGCAGTTGCAAGTCATCATGTTTGGCTCGTGTATTCTTTGGGAACACCTATGAGCCCAGCATTAAGGGGCTACACTCATTGTGACAAATAATTCATTCAGAAAGTATTTATTGAGTCTATTTACTGGACCAGAGACTCTGCTAGGTGACAGGACCATGGAGATACCCCTAAGACATAGCTCCAACCATAGGGTGCTGATAGTCTAACAAGGGAGCTAAGACCTGTCTGTAGATAACTCTAAAACAAAATAACCCAAGTGTCACAAGGAAGAAAAAAATTGCTCTTGGAGTTGAGAGAAGGAAGGAAGTTGGGGAAATTCAGGAAAGGCTTGACTCTTTTTTTCATTCATTCAACATACACAGGAAAATGAGACTATACTAGGCTGGTAATACAAAGACAAAACACTATTTGATCTCAAGGAGTTTATCCTCTAGGGAAGGCAGATACTCAGACTAGTAACAGCATCCTGGGATAAGGTTAAGTGTTATGGACAACTGAGGTAAGAACAAAGTGATGTGGGAGCCTGGGGATTGCTCTCTTTAAGGAAAACAAGGAAGGAGTCATGGTCTAAGCACTCATTGAACTGGGTTTTCTTCAGTGAGCATATAGTCTAGTGAATGTGACTGCCACGCCCATGAATAATTCCAATACCAGGTAGAAAATGCCGAGTGCCCTACAAGAAACTCAGACATAGGGCTATAAAGTAGGTTCAGAGGTGAGTGTGTTTACTTCTAGCTGGGGTCTCAGATAAGGATTTACCAAATAGATCAGATTGGAGGTGAGCTTTAAAAGCTAAGCAGAAGTTCAACAGGGAAAGGAGTGAGGGATGTGGTAAAACAGAAGAAATAGCTTGAATAGGCCGGGCGCGGTGGCTCACGCTTGTAATCCCAGCACTTTGGGAGGCCGAGGCGGGTGGATCACCTGAGGACAGGAGTTCAAGACTAGCCTTACCAACATGGAGAAACCCTGTCTCTACTAAAAATACAACGATTAGCTGGGCATGGTGGCATGCGCCTGTAATCCCAGCTACTTGGGAAGCTGAGGCAGGAGAATCACTTGAACCCGGGAGGCAGAGGTTGCAGTGAGCAACCTATATATAATATATATATATCTGGTCCTCAACAGCTAAAAATGGCCTAGCCAGAATGTTGGCAGCCAAGGCAAGTTGGGCAACCAATACAATGTCATGTCCGAGCTAGAGAGTTTCAAAGAGCTCCTCCATGTATGATATAAATCACATCAGGAGAGCTTGCAAACAGTAAGGTTCACCTGTGGTTAAACTTAAGGCTGTTCATAAAGTCTAGCAATAAAACTATTTCTTTCCCATGTACCAGGTGTCTTAGTTTTCACACTCCCACCACAACTTGAAATGTTTAATATGAAAGTGTGACTATCTGCAAGTAACACTAAAATATTGTCCCAGGAGGCTTGTTCACAAGAAATAGGCACAGCCTGGGAACAATGATCTGCAAAGCTCTGGAACCTGCTTTTGTTTGCATTTACCCTCCTTGTAGTTTTGGACACACTCAAGTACAGCTGCATTTAGCAGCTGGTCCATGATTTGGTCTATTCTCATTGTGTCCCAAACTGCAGACTCTGCAGATGAATGTCAGTGTAAACATGACTCTTTCTGATGGGTTGCCCTAACCTTTGGTTCATTTAATCTGGTACTTGGTCATCACTAAGCACAAAGGCTGCTGTTACAAGACAGAGACATCTTAGTGAGTACTGGAAACACCCACAAATCTTCCCTCTCAAATGAGCTTTAGCACGTGAGCTCTGAGGTCCCTTTGCAGATTCACAAGCAGCTGGAAGTTTCTGAGACACTGAACAATTAAAATGGACCTCTTCTTGAGAACTCTGTGGCTTACACTGTCGAAGCTCTAAGCAAACGTTGTTTTGTAGGTTCAAAAGTTGGAACTCATACTGAATTGGAAAAATTATTGTATGTCTTAATCAGAAAAGGATTTAGGGTAGCTAGTAGCAGGCATTCTGCCAGGAGTCTCACAGCCCTCCAAGGTTTAAGCCTTAAGTATCTTCTTCCCAATTTATGTGTCGTGCATCATAAAATGGGTCTAAGATAACAACATGTTTAGATAAACATTAATTAAACCTTTAGCTAAAAAAATTGTTTGCCTCCTTAGAATATTTGTTGGAGAGGGGATGTTTTGGATGGGTCCTGTTTGTTTGAAAAGACTACTCAAGGGAGTTTCCCAAAATAAATGTCCTTGTGGCAGAGACTCAAAATCATTCATAGAATAGAACTGGAAATGTAGAAATGAGAGAGCCCAAATTCAGAGGTGTTAGGTTCAGCAAACAGAGCATGACGTTTGGTTCGAGCCCACCTGTAGGACCTTGAGTAAGCCAATGTTTACACTCAGTTTCTGCATCTGAAAAAATATGGCAAAGAAGATGTGCTTACATCACAGAATTGTGGTGAGGGAGGATTAACTAAAATACTATACTTTGGGAAATAGTTTGTAAATTTCAAAGTGCCATTAAAATGTAATGAATTACTATTATAATCATCACTGTCTGAGGTCCTACAGCTTATAGCGACCTCGTCAGTTTTTCGAAAAGAGAGAGAGAGAGAGAGAGAGAGAGAGAGAGAGCACTCTTATCTTTCCCCACTAGATGGCAGGCGAGCCACTTGGTAAAGTACTGATTGGCTTAGGACTCTAGAAACCACAGCAGGATTTTGGTTTGTGAAGCAGCGTAGCAATGGACAAAGGGTGAATTAGAAGTCATGAAAAGCAGAGACAGCCTGTATCCCATCGGTTTGCAGTTTACCAGCATTTCGTGTGTATGAAAACATGGTCTTTTTCTTTTGACTGTGAGAAAAATGATAGCTAAACAAATAATTTATCTAAGAAGGAAAATGTTGAGCCCACTCAATTACAGCTAACAGACTTAACGATTATTTGTAACACCACTTTATAGGTAATGTCTTCATCTATATCAGGGATTGACAAACTGCTTCTGTAACAGTAAATATTTCTGGCTGTGAGGGTTAAATGGTTTATGTTGAAACTATTCAGCTTTGCCACTAGCAGAAAAGCAGCTTGAGACAATATGAAAATAAGTGGGCATGAATAGGTTACTATAAACGTTTATTTATGGACACCGAATTTTGAAATTCACATAACTTACACTTGTCACAAAATATTCTTCTTTTGATATTTTTTGAGCACTAAAAAATGTAAACATTATTTTTAGGTGAAAGATTGTACAAAAAATGACCATAGGCGTGATTTGACTGGCAAGCAGTAGTTTGCAGATCCCTGGGCTAATGTTAAAGACTTCTTAGCTATCAGATTAGCAGTCTCCTTAATCTATATATTTATAACTCTCATAACACATATTTCAATGTGGTTAGTATATTTTTTGCATGTATAAATTACTAAAAATCCATGTGATATTTTTGCCTACATCTGTTATTGTCTTGTTTGTTAAAGACTATAGACAAAAAAATTCAAGTAGTAGGCCAGGCGCGGTGGCTCACGCCTGTAATCCCAGCATTTTGGGAGGCCAAGGCGGGCAGATCACCTGAGGTCAGGAGTTCAAAACCAGCCTGGCCAACATGGTGAAACCCCGTCTCTATTAAAACAAAAAAATACAAATATTAGCCAGGCATAGTGGCGGGTGCCTGTAATCTCAGCTACTTAGGAGGCTGAGGCAGGAGAATCGCTTGAACCCAGGAGGCAGAGGTTGCAGTGAGCCGAGATTGTGCCACTGCACTCCAGCCTGGGTGACAGAGGGAGACTCTGTCTCAAAAAAAAAAAAAAAAAAAATTCTAGTAGTTGGTGCATTGTTCTTGGGTTTGTCAGAAAGAAAGCACACAGTTAAATGTGAATTTCAGTTAAAAAACTAAAAACAAAAGGGATTCACTGCTTTCTCTGAGACTCAATTTTAACTGGGTGAACTAAATTGCTAAGTCTGATATTTGTTCTTGTACTGACCGATCCTCATTTATTAAGGCCTTAATAAATGAAGTTGAATATCTGAAGACAAGACTTCTCCAGTAAAATATGTCTTTGGGGAATTGGGAGAAATATGGATCTTCACTGGCCTGGTTGTTTTCCGTGCACTTTAACGCATTAAAACAACTGTATGGCATTAACAGCTGTTTTTCACATCCATTTTCTAGAAGAACAAATTCTGAGCTGCCAGTCTCAGTTGAACAAGCCATTTAAAATGCTTTGTAAGAATCTCAGAGTAACCTGTGGACAAGCACTTGCCATTTTATGTTGCGAAGGGCTTCAGAGAAATTTGAGGTCTTATAAAGGAATTGAGTAGGAACAGCAAATAAAATCCTCCCAGGCTGGCGTTCTGTGAAACTGAGCTTCCTTCAGGCCGTTTCACAACAGAAACTCGGTCCTCCTCTGAAAGCTTTTTTATACCCCTTGATGGAGGTGTCAAGCGTGCACAGGCAGCAATTCGTAGGGCCTGCTTTAGAGAGGTTTCTTTTTGTGTGTATCTGTTAGGATTCACTACTGGTATTAAATATTAACCCACATTTAATTTGCCTCGTGACTTTTCACGACAGATATTGAATGTTAAATACTCTCCAAATCGGATGTTTTTTCCAGTTTTAAGATTTGACGCCCTTATGATCGAATCCATCCACGACTTTTACAGTTATTGAATAACCAACAGACCCTTGGAGGGTCTCTTACCGCTCTGGACTTGAGTTGGTTAATTCCGCTGCAGAGACGGAGTGGGGCGGGGGCGGGGGTGGGGGTGGGGGTGGGGGTGAGTGGTGTAACTGAGGAAGAGTCCCTGGCATACTGCAACTAGGTCAGAAGTGACAGCATTCAGCCCTCCCCTCCTTAGGGAGTGGGGTAAGGGGGCGACCCCGCCCAGTGCAGAGGGTGGCGAGTCAGGAGCCGACGAATGCTGGAGAGGCCATCCGCAGGGGCGGGTCTCTCCAGAGAGCAGCCGGGTGACAACGTGGCACAGAACGGCACTGCATCGGAGTAGGCACACTGCAAAGACGAGACGAGTCCTCCCCAGAGAGGGGAGGCGGTTAAGGAGAGGAGATTGCGTGGCTCGGAGCAGCCAGACCCGGTAAGCCGACTCCTTCCCGTATTCCGCTTTAACCAAGCTTGTTTCCCTGGCGGCCCCACAAATTCCCTGAGCGGAGCGTCTTCGCTGGCTCGCAGCCAGCCAGTCAGAGCCCACCTCTGCGACCTCCTCCTCCTTCCCATCCTGAGGGCTCCTGCCTCGGCTCCCGGCTTCCTCCTCCGGGCTATCTTTTACCCCTTCGGTAGCTGGAAAATCGCCCTCACTCAATCACCACGGTGGTAAATAGGGCAAAACGAGCAAGGCACTCGCCTCGGGTGCAAAATTTAAGGCGGCACCAAGATACTCAGTAATCAAGATAAAACTGTTCATGCAGTCTCTTTAAAATTCAAAGTTATAGCCAAAATTCCGCAAGAAGCTAGATAAGAAATATTAAATAAGGGCAAGCTCAGACCTTGCACTTGAACGACTTAGCCTCACTTGCCTCACCCGAATCCCCGACGCAGCTAATCAACTCTGAAGTGATTCCCTCCTCTCCGTGGTGCCACGTAGTAGACCTCCGGTTTTCGTTGTGTATACGCCTTCCTGGTTGTGTGGGAAGGGGCAGGGACTGAGCCTCAAGTAGCGCAGCCCAGTGCTTTGTTCACCGAGGCCCTGGGGTCAACGTGGATTTTGGAGTAGCCCAAAGCTGAGAGCTTATGCAGCCGCCCCAAGTTGCAAAGCTTTGCATTGGAACCGCCCGATCCCCACAGAAGCAAAGTTCGAGGGGAAACTGCACTCCCTTAATTAGTATTTAGGAACCCCTTCAATAATTGAATTGAGTATAAAATCTTTAAAGTAACTACAAATAGCAGGGAACGGCTTTTGGAATTGTTTTTCTAGAAGAGGGACGCCTCTATGCTTAGAGATTCCTTGTTCCTCTCTAGCTTCCCATGTGTATTTGGTGGTATGGCAGTTCAGTCTGAAGTTGCAATGATACAAGCACCTTTAATGAGGATCACACTCAATAACTTAGGAAGCACCATTTACCTCTCCTAGTAAGTGACTAGACACTGTTAGGTGCTGGCTAAAAGGGGTTTTCAATTCTTACCCCTAGAGCCATTTAATGCTGATCTTGAATTGTTTGCTGCTATTACCGTTAAGGGAGGCGACAAGGGGGGCAAGTAGCTCCGGAGTAGGGGATGGACTGGTTTTATTTATAAATGCTTCTTTTTGTCTTATGCGGGCCAGTGAAAAATGAGGTAAGAGGAAGATCTGTAAAAGATCTGGAGAAGATCAGGAAACGATTGTTCAAATCCGTGTGCCTTTTCTTAAAATCTTTTGAGGTTTTGGGCTTGACCAGCTCTTCAAAAGGAAGAAAAGGGCACATGTGATCCCTGGCCTGCTAAACAGAGTTTGCTTCCCTTGAGGAGGTATCAAGCCAAATTCTACTTAACCTGGAATGGGGAAAAGGTGGGCAGAACGGTCATTGTCGGCATCGCCAAACGGGGGTCACGGCAGATCCCCTTAGCTGTTGGATTTCTTATAGGCCTGGTTTAGCTGTTCCACGCTGTAGCCAGCAGAGGGCACTGTTGCTACATAGAATCTTTTTTGACTGTTTTTGGTGGTGAATTTTCAGAGCTATTTAAAAAACTTCCATCCAGTAAGAAGTATGAACGATTTTCCATGAAATTTTAATGTGAAAAATAGATTATTATTAAAAACTGATGGATGTCTATTTGGTTGTTAACCCATTGAACCATAGAAAGAGAGTGAAGATGTTCCATAACAATCAAAGATTAAAATAGCAAGAACAAAAAATAAATGTGATAATAAATATCAGCATCATATCCCTCAATTGTTTCGAACATAAGTAGTTAGGGCTTTTGCTCATAGGGATGATACTTAAATTTTCAAATGAAGAAAGTTGATTTGTGAATTTATATTACTCATTTGGAAGAATGAAAACTGGGATATGCATGGTCATGTGATCTTATAATGTACAATTCAGTTTTCTACATAGAAGTCTCCAGTAAAATATGCTTCTACGTGCAGTGGGAATTTAAAAATTAACAATGTAAAAGATGTATAATTAATTATCATAAATGAAATAACAAAGAAAGAATGTGTATGATTCTGAGTAGGATTAGAATTGAAATCTGTTCGTTATGTTTAGGTAATATTTGTAGAAATTTAATGGAAGAGTTGTATCGATACTAATTTATTTCTTACCGTTTTGATAGGAATATGTGGAACAAAAAGAAAATTCATATTGTAGAAACTTAGACTCACATTTTGTGTTAGAACCTATGAGCTACTCTGGGTGTTTTATTTTAAGATGGTTTTTGCTCATTGTTATGCTACAGGTATTATCATACATCTTTTCTAAAGGTGGAGGCCTTCTTTTTTATTTAACCAGAAGTTTCTTGTGTTAGGATGATTTTGAGCAGTTAAGAATTGCAAGAAAAAATCTTAACATCATTAGTTTCAAGTGCATTGTAATGGATGAGTGTGTCATCTAGAGCAAGATTGCATAGCTGTACATTTTGGGCTTTCCTGCTTAATAAATGTGTGACCTCAGACAGATTATGTAACTTGTCTGAGCTTCAATTTCCTCATCTATAAAATAATAATAATAATGCCTAACACATAGGGTTGTATTAAATATTAAGTGAGTTAATATATGTAAAGCAGCTAGAACAGTGCCTGGCCCAGAAAAATTCACTTTATTAGTGTTATTTACCTATTATTTTTTTCCATTTTTGTTAATAATATTTGAACATGATGCATTAATTTCCCCTTAGTTTATTGTTTAGCTCTAGAGCTGCTTAGATTCATTTGCATATAATATTGCTTATTTAATTTTAAAGAAGTGGTTCTATGCACATTTAGTAACTTACGCCTCTTAAACATTGGCTATGCAAGAGAATTCTTGAATAATTTCATGAAGCACTCTTTGTCTCTTACTCAGAGTAGAATATTTTGAAGACATCTTTTCTCTGAAGTTTTTAGACAAGCTATAAACTAGTTTGTATTAGTCAGAGTTCTCCAGTGAGACAGAACCAATGGGATAGCTAGCTAGATAGATAGATAGAGGAGAGGGGATTTATTAGAGAAATTTGTTCATGTGGTTATGGAGGATGAGAAGGCCAAGACTGAGGGACTGACAATTGGCAAGGGCTTTCTTGCTGTGTCATCCCATGGCAAAGGAGAGAGAGGCCAAACTTGCCCTTTTGTAAGGAATCCATTCCCATGAAATGCCATTCCCATGAATGGCATTAATCTATTCATGACGGTGGAGCCTAACCACCTCTTAAAGATCTCACCTCTTAATACTGTTACAGTGGCAATTACGTTTCAACATGAGTTTTGGAGGAGACAGACATTCAAACCATAACGCAGCTCCATGACAGAATTTTCACATGCTCCAGAATGTGAATGACAGCTACTCATTTTAAGGGAAAACAGCTTAGTTTAGTGTAAAAAACATGGATATTGGAGTCTGGAGCTTGGACGCTAGCTGTGTGACTTTGGACATGCCACATGTCATCTTTGAGCTTCTGCTTTTTCAAATACAAGGATGTTGTAAGGCCAAAATATGATCAGGTTGTAAAGGGTTTGCCACATACTGAGTGCTCACATCAAAACATATTAGTTCCATTTCCTTGACCTTACTCCCTTTCTCCTTTGATAATGCTTCATTCAAGGGTAGATCGAAGACCTCAGGACCAAGGAGGAAATGAAATGTTAAGAAGATTTGACTGTAACAAAAGGGTTAGTGTTAACACATCCATTCTGTACCTATACAATAGAAGTGCAATAGTAATCTTAGAAGCTGTGAAAGAGCACTGCTGCTTCCTCTCTCTGGGCCTCTGAATTAATCAATGATGTAATATATATAACACATATAATATATATACTATATTATATATTTATTATATATACTATATTATATATTTATTATATATAAATATATATTTATCACATAATAAATATATATACTATATAATATATTTATTATATATAATAAATCTATAATAAATATACATACTATATAATATATTTATTATATAATAAATATATATTTAATTAAATATATAATTAAATATATAACATATTTATCATATATAATAAAATATATTATATATATTTGTATATGTATAGATTAGTGTATAAGTATATATATTTGTATATATTATATATATATTTGTACTAATATACATACACAAATACATATTAGTATAGGACCTAGTTACTGCCTCTAAGGCTTCATGTCTTTCTGATGGTCATATAATGGAATGAATGGGACTTGAGTTGGATGATGAGATTCCATAGATAGAAAGGAAAGAGGGAGCATTCCAACTAGAAGGAATGGTGTGAGGAGAGGTACAAATGTGATTTTGGTCAGGAGCCAATAAGTAAACTAGTCTTTCCAGAGAACCTTTCTTGGGGAAGGTGCCTTGTAGTGCCCACAAATGCAGGAAGCAAGAATTAGGACAAGGTCACCGATGGTCAGTTCAGAAGGCTTATTGAGTAAGCACAACACAGCAGAGGTACTGTTTGGGGAATAAAAAGCTGGTGGCTATGAGGGTGGACTTGGTTATGGCAAAGTTAGTCAGGAAACTATTTTAACAGTCTGGGGCCAGATCATGGAGGGCCTCATAGGCCCCAATTGCTCCTTCATCTACATTTGCTTCAGCTTTTACATCTTTCTAGACCAGTCCTGTTGTTTTACAGCTGTCTTCCATTTCAGTCTTAGATTCTGTCTTCTATTTGCAAGTGGCAATTCTAAAATCCCATTTGATTTCCATAGCATCTAATAAAATTCGGTTTTTTCTCCACCCCACCCCCCCCATGAAAGCAAATTTTCCATACATTTTGTATGCCAAAACCTAGTAACAAGGAAGAATAGGTCAGATTAATCCTAAATATCTGCTGTTTTATTCACTGCAAACATAAACCCTTTCGTTAATATCAAGACAGCTAAACAACTCCACCTCATCTAAGAAATCTGGCATCTGAAGCCCTTTATGATTTGCCTCAACAAATCTTTTACAGTTTTATTTTTACTGCCCACTTCAGCCGTCCTTTGTTTCAGCTTCATCCCTCATCTAATTCCACGCGTACCCAGCAATTTCGTGCCTCCGCCTTTGTCCCTTCCACCTGCTTGCCTTCTCCTCCACACCCTAAAAATTCTACCCATTCTTCAAGGTCCCATTCAAATGCTACTCCTTTTGAGAGCATTGCATGCTGGTCTTACTTTCTGTACTATAAACATTTATGCTATAAAATGAGGACCTATTCTATTCCAGTTACCGTCAAGGCATTCCCAAATGATTAAAACACAGGGAAACAGATGGCACTATAGTGAAATATCCTAAGTGCTGTAATCAGAGTAGGCATTGGAGGAAGGCTCTGAGAGTTTCCATCATCAATTCAAAGCCAGCAGGAGGGATCAGGGAAAGCTTCCTGGAAGAGGTGGCATCAGAGGCGTTTGAACCAGAGTGACTCCATCTTGAGTAGGGGCTGGGTAAAATAAGGCTGAGACCTACTGGGCTGCATTCCCAGGAGGTTAAGGCATTCTTAATCACAGGATGAGATAGGAGGTCAGCACAAGATACAGGTCACAAAGACCTTGCTGATAAAACAGCATGTGGTAAAGAAGCCGGCCAGAACTCACCAAAACCAATATGGCGATGAAAGTGACCTCTGGTCGTCCTCACTGCTCATTGTATGCTAATTATAATGCCCACCAAGCACCTGGATTTAAAAATTGGTAACTATTTAGCCAGGTGTGGTGGCTCACGCCTATAATCACAGCTACTTCGGAGGCTGAGGCAGTTGCAGTGAGCCAAGATCACGCCACTGCACTCCAGCCTGGGCGACAGAGTGAGACTCCATCTCAAAACAACAACATAAAAATTGTTAACATTTTTCCATAAAATAAATTACTGATAACATTGTATATCTATTTGCTTCAGTTCCTCCCTCGACAAAACATATATTTATTTATGTTACCACAGTTCCATTACTGCACCCAATAGAATCAACAGCAGTGGCCGAATGTCATCTAACAGCCTACTCATGCTCCGATTCCCTCAGTTCTTCCAAAACTATGAGTGACTATTTATTTATTAATTATTAGTGAAGCGTTATCAGAAGATCTGAGATCCGAGAACTTGGTACTGTTGTTCACTTGATATGAGTCGTAGTATGGATTGGTAGACGAACAAAACTTAAGACAACAAAATAGATAGTAATTATTTATTTGAAAACATTTTCCTCTCAAAGCTACACTAACCCAAAGAAACTGCGGGATCAACTAAGATCAGCTTGAGGACTCAACCTGGTTACCCAGGAGTTATGGCACTACCAGAAACTCTCAGGCTCTAGAGAGAAAAAAGACTACTGGGAGAGAACTCCAGACACTTGTGGATGGATAGTCAGATGTTTATTCCAACACCATTTTTTGAGTAGTCCATCCTTTCCTTAATGTTCGGAAATACTACCAGACAACTGTAAAAATATTAAAAATGAATAAGTGAACATATTTGTATTATCTTATTGGGGGAAAGACTTTTCAAAGCAAGGCAGAAACAGTTGACTACATAAATACTTGAAGCAACTTTATGGCAAAAGACAAAAGCAATAAAATTCGAAAGTAAATGACATGCTCGGAAAAAATATTTGCAATATAGAGAGGATTAAAAATAAGTTCTCTAAAATGTTAACAGTACCTATAAATCAGTAAGAAAAAAATATAACGTGGAAAAAGGATAAGAACAAGTATTTAAAGAGGAAAGGTGATGAAAGAAATCAATTAAAACAAAAATTAGATACCTTGTGATTTACCTTCTAATTGATACAAGTCACAAATGTTGATTATGTGTCATGTTGGTAAGTACATGAGAGGAAAGAACTGTCATTTGCTTTTAGCATACAAATTGGTACAACCTTTGCAAGGGCAATTTGGCATATATACACACACACACACACACACACACACACACACATACATATATGTGTGTGTGTGTATATATATATATATATATATTTTTTTTTTTTGAGACGGAATCTTACTCTGTCACCCAGGCTGGAGTGCAGTGGTGTGATCTCGGCTCACTGCAACCTCTGCCCCCTGGGTTCAAGTGATTCTCCTGCCTCAGCCTCCCAAGTAGCTGGGATTATAGGCATGTGCCACCATGCCCAGCTAATTTTTTTGCATTTTTAGTAGAGACGGGGTTTCGCCACATTGGCCAGGCTGGTCTCAAACTCCTGACCTCGTGATCCCCCTGCCTCAGCCACCCAAAGTGCCGGGATTACAGGCGTGAGCCACCATGCCCGGCCCTGGCATATATTTTTATTACTCCAAATTTATAAGCTACTCATTTAGATTGCCTCTGTTCCTGACCTCATTTCCTATTTTTATGTTTGCTTTTTCCTAGATGGTGTGCTTCTCACCTCAGCGTGATAGCCTGACCTTGACTCCTGAGTTCCACGATCGCTTCACAACTGCAAGTCACCATCATACAAAATTTGAGTTTCCCTAAGTCCGCGCCTTTGAGAGCTTTGGAACGATATGCAAGTTCAAGTCACCATCCTGTTTCTTGCTACCTCCTGTGAGAAGACCAACATTTGGGTTACACTTGTTTCTACTCTTGTTCTTCTGCTTGTTATTGTTGCCTCTGCAGCCATTGATCACACACGTGTTGTCATACAAAAACTGGTTAGCCTTTTTATTTGTCTTGTGAATTTTATCATTTGGTTCTTAAGTATTACAAATTAATATTGTGTACTCTCATTGATATACAACTTGCAGTCATTGTAAATATGCGTGAGTTAGGGGTGAGAATGGCATGCAAGCAAAAGAACAAGGAGAGGGATGATAGAGATGCAAGAAGAGTAAAGAGGGCAAGAAAGTTTATGTTAATAGCGAACACAATGAAAGTTCTTTAAATGCTTGATAATGGTGAAAGCAACACTTCCTAGGGCATATTTTTGGTGTTAATGAACCTACACATCATACAATAAAGAAAATTGAGAAAGCAGTTGGGGCCAGTGAATCGGGGGCACACAAGAATCACTGAGAAAATCATACACAACTCAAAATGCCACAATAGGGAAAATATAAAGAGATTTGCACTTGTGGCTTCTAAAACAGAGAAGGTTGAATAGGTCTCTTTCTGTGTGTAAAATCTGCCAGTGAGCATCACAAAAATGCAAATTTAAATTTCAATCTGGATGGAAAGTTATAAAATTCATTGCAAGTAATGGGTGGTTGGGTAGGTTTAAGAAATGCCAGGTGGGTGGATCACTTGAGGTCTGGAGTTTGCAACTAGCCTGGCCAACATGGTGAAACCTTGTCTCTACTAAAAATACAAAAATTAGCCAGGATTGGTGGCGGGTACCTGTAATCTCAGCTACTCAGGAGGCTGAGGCAGGAGAATCGCTTGAACCTAGGAGGCAGAGGTTGCAGTGAGCTGAGATCGTGCCATCGCACTCCAGCCTGGGTGACGAGAGCAAAGCTCTGTCTCAAAAAAAGAAAAGAAGAGAAGAGAAAAGAGAAGAGAAGAAAGAAGAGAAGAGAAGAGAAGAGAAGCTGTGGCCTGTAATGAAAAGAAGTGGAGAAGTGACTGTCAGAGGAAGCAGATTAAGGAGCTGCCGGAGAGTATCCTGAATACCTGAAGAAGACGATTGAGGACAATGGCAATTTGCCTGAGCAGGTTGTCAGTGCTGCTGAAACTCTGGAAGCAAATGCCTACTTGCACATCTATTGCAAAGCATGAGAAAAGGACCAGAGGCTTCAAGCCTGGAAAAGACAAACTCAAAGTTCTGCTTTGTTCCAGTGTGTTCTGATTAAACCCATGTTGCTTTACAGATTCCAAAATTGTTACCTTCTTTAAAGAGAAAGCCAGAAACACTTTTCTGTGTACATGAAGGGAAACCATGAAATATGGATCACTGAGAAACTCTTTTTGAACTGGTCTTTGAAGTGTTTTGTTCTGAGGTTAAATAACATTTAAATGAAAAAAAAATCTTGACTTCACAGTGTTGTGATTCTGGACACTGCTCCTACAGACAAAAATGCAGTCATAAATGCTGCTCCTTGTGTTCAAGTCATCTCCATTACCCCCAGTACGACTCCACTCCTTCAACTCTTGCATCTGAGAGTGCTAGCGATGTACTGTGCTCTGCATGTATTTTGACTACCTGAAGATCTTATCAGAGACACCAGAACTTTACCATGAAAGTGGCTTGGCAACATTTCTCCGTTTGTAATGCTTTAACAGGTGTAGAAGAATCAGTGAGACAAATAAAACAATCAATACTTAATGAAGTCTGGCAGAAATTTTGGAATGAGGTTGTGACTGATTTGGAAGGTTTCCTTCCAGTGGTAGAAGAAATTGAAAATATTGTAACATCTGCAAACCATTTGAATAGTGAAGGCCTTGAAGACATTGAGTTAAGTGACATTACTGAATTGTTAGACTCTCACCTTCAAAAGATAGTTGAGAAATATTTTGGAGATGTGATCACATCAAAAGGCAATAGAAGAAGCCAGCATAGGTTAACATCCAGAACTCTAAGAATGTTCAAGTATCTACTCCACAAATGAAATTGTCACAATGATTCAAAAGAAAGAGATCCTTTGGTGGGCTACATATTGACTTTCAGGTAAGGCTTAGATGATTACTTACAATCCTATAAAGCAGTAGTAATAAACTTCCAAACAAACACCGATAAGTATTTTCTCTCTGCTTACTTGACAGGGGAGAAGAGGTTGACATTAGGCCATGTCATTCAAACCCGTTCTGCAAACAGGAAAACAGGAAGTAGAAACGCCGCACACAGATAGTTAAACCTTGGGATTCAGACTCTGATGGCTCTGATGATATGGTGATTTGTGTGCTGGGGATGAAAGAGGAGCAGAAGACTGAGCTTACATCTCTTCAGACGAAATGCAATTTTCTCTATTCTTTCCCTGTTACTATTGTTACGACCAAGCATTTTCATTGATCCATTATCATCTTCATCTTGAGATCACAAAGGAAGTTAATTGCCTGATATCCACTCTTGTTAATATAAAATATCAATGATATTTATTTTATTGTTTTAGTTTGGTGAACAAACTGATTGTCTAGGCTTTCATAATACTCATGTCCTTGCCTCATTTTTTCCTAAAAAGTCTTAAATTCCTCCAACATGGGTACTCTGAGAGTTTCGGGAACTCAACTATAGCATTTAAGGAGTGGGCTGCTACTGTACTTGGCTGGATAATTTGATTTTGTACTCCTGAAATTTGTTTTAATTCTGATTAAGCCTAACTTGCGATCTCACCAGAAAGGATTAGTTTGGTATAAGTTAAATTAATTTCTTTTCCAGCAATTGTATATGTTAGCTATTGGCTGATCCTGAAAAGCAGTATATTTATGTTAAATTTCCAGATTTCCTTTGGTAGCTAATCAAGGAGGAACAGCTGCTAGAGTTCATTTTCATAGATTCTTTCTGTTCTCATATCTGGCCTCCTCAGTGATTTGAAGAATTGAATATCCTCCAAAAAATGGATATTATTACCTCCTGTTCTCTGATGGTGATGGAGACTTCATTCTCAGATTGTTTTTAAATTCCTTTCATAATTCCATATATTTACTTCATTTGATTCAATTGTGTTACAAAAGTTATTGTCATGGTTGTTTTAATTTTGGATGTTTGGAATTTTCCAGGCAGATTTAACAGAGGAAAAAAAACCACAAAGCCAGAGATACGACGCTGTTATCTTGTTCTAAGAATTTTGGGCAAAGGCATAGGCTGAACCTGCCTGTTCTTTTGGCTGCTTTACACATTCCCAACTGATGTCCATTTTGAACTCAGTTGGACAGTTATTCTGGGGAATAGAGAGGAAGTCCAAATAACATCGCTGTTGTTTCTGTCTTAATTGCTGTTTGTGCCGGATTCACAGCACTGGCCTCATCATTATATCTGATAATGATGCACAGAAAACCTGAATAGAGAAAAGAAGAAAGATAATTCATTGGCATGTGCTTGCCAAAAAGAGACTTTATATAACTTGAGAAAGCATAAAGACAACCTGGAATGAGGAAATGTATGTACAGTAATGAAAAAAAAATGCTTTAAACAGCTGTGTCAAAAACTGACATCAGAGAGTAAATTGAATTTGGTTTTGTAGGAAGCAGGAAGCAAGCCCACTCAAACGTTGAAATTTGGCATGAGGGAGTCCAGTAACTTTCTCCTCAATCTGTGAACTATATGTGAGTTTGATATTTTGAAGGAAAAGGAAAAAAAAAAGTTTAAAAGGGCTTCTGCACAGCAAATGAAACTAGCATCAGAATGAACAGGCAACCAAAAGAATGGGAGAAAAATTTTGCAATCTACCCATCTGACAAAGGTCTAATATCCAGAATCTGCAAGGAACTTCAACAAATTTACAAGAAAAAACAACCCCATCAAAAAGTGGGCAAATGATATGAACAGACACTTCTCAAAAGAAGACACTTACGCAGCCAACAAACATGAAAAAAAGCTCATCATCACTGATCATTAGAGAAATGCCAATCAAAACCACAATGAGAGCCAGACTGGGATCCGGTGCGGAGAGCCCCTCATCCTGGAAAATTGGCCTCGGCCAGAAAGGCAGCCACCCCCTCGCCCATCATGCATAACACGTTCGTGAAGAACCTGGCGCTAAACCATTCCTAGGCAACCTGTTTCTGGGTCAGGGTTTCGTGAGTAGCAGAGCAGATTCCTCGTTGCCATCTATTGAAAGTGAGCCCTCCACACAAGGGTTTGTCTGCCTGCGTGCTCAGGGGGCCGTTGGACCCGCGCGTCCGGCGCTGTCCCTCTTCCTTCCTTCCTCCCGCCACCCGCCGGGGTCCTCGTTACCCAAGCCCGCGCGTGACCACCCACTCCGGGGGTGTCGCGCGCTGGCCTGTCCGCATCCGCCGCGCGTTAGGCCAGTCAGGATGGCGATTATTAAAAAGTCAGGAAAGGATAGATGCCGGAGAGGATGTGGAGAATAGGAACGTTTTTACACTGTCGGTGGGAGTGTAAATTAGTTTAACCACTGTGGAAGACAGTGTGGCGATTCCTCAAGGATCTAGAACCAGAAATACCATTTGACCCAGCAATCCCATTACTAGGTATATACCCAAAAGATTATAGATTATTCTATTATAAAGACATGCACACATATGTTTGTTGCAGCACTATTTACAATAGCAAAGACTTGGAACCAACCCGAATGCCCATCAATGATAGACTGGATAAAGAAAATGTGGCACATATACAACATGGAATATACTGCAGCCATAAAAATGAATTGAGATCATGCCCTTTGTGGGTACATGGATGAAGCTGGAAGCCATCATTCTCAGCAAACTAACACAGGAACAGAGAACCAAACACCACATGTTCTTACTCATAAGTGGGAGTTGAACAATGAGGACACATGGACACTGGGAGGGGAACAACACACACAGGGGCCTGTTGGGGGGTGGGGGGCAAGGGGAGGGAGAGCATTAGGACAAATACCTAATGCATACGGGGCTTAAAACCTAGATGAAGGGTTGATGGGTGCAGCGAACCACCATGGCACATGTATACCTATGTAACAAACCTGCACGTTCTGCACATGTATCTTGGAACTTAATAATAATTTTAAAAAGGGCTTGCTTGCATGGTTATGGTTGAGACTACAGATATTCTTCAACACGCTCAAATGAGGAAGATGAGGGTTGAAAACCCATTGTAGGATGCTGTGGATCTAGGATTCGCCACAGTTCCAGGAGAGCTTACGCTCTTGATCTAAACCACAGTTGTTCTCAACACTGACTGTGTATCAGAGTAATGATAGAAAGCGTTGAAAAATATAGATTTCCAGGAACTGCACAAAGACCTGCTGAATCAGGGATAGGGCCAGAATCTGTATATTTCAAAATTTCCTTCAGCGTTTCTTTATATAGCCATGGTTTTCAAACTGCCGCTCTAAAGCTAGGGAAAATTATGATAGAAAATATAAATGGTAGTGGGCCCAGGAACTAGGAAACCTTGATTCAAAGTGTTTGTTCTGCCACTAGTTCAATGAATGGTCTTATTCAAGTCACTCCTGCCTTTGTCTTTCAAATGAGAGAATAAGACCACTTGGTGTCTAAAGTCTTTCTATCTCTGACATTACCTTGAGAGAAAGGTGCATCAACCACAATGGTTGATTTTGAGAATATCTAAACTTTTTCATAGAGACCAAAGTAAATAGGATTATTATTGCATTGTGTAATTGTGCTCATGGTTCAAGTTTTACCATGTTTTAGTCCCTCCCAGAAAAGGAAGTAGGGCATAATGCCATAGAAACAAGGCAAATATAAACACCAACTCTCTGAAAGGAAAGAGAGGCAGTACCTACTGGGAGTTTCTTTTTCTATGATAATTGTTTTTATTTCCCCTCTGGGTTATAGGTTTTGGGAAAAATAATGCACAGATATTGTGTGTAAAATGCTAATATTTTGTATCTATTGTTTCCATAAACCAAAACAGAGAACCCTGTATGGTGAATGCTTTAAGTTTTCATAGGTCATTTGCTTCTTCTTAGTCACATCTACAGGTAAATATTTTTAAATCAATGATCTTTTCCTCAGTATAATCAGTGGTTCTATATGACTTTAAAGAATGAGCTGTTTTGGCTGGGCGTGGTGGCTCACGCCTGTAATCCCAGCACTTTGGGAGGCCGAGGCGGGCAGATCACGAGGTCAAGAGATCGAGACCATCCTGGCCAACATGGTGAAACCCCATCTCTACTAAAAATATAAAAATTAGCTGGGCGTGGTGGTGCATGCCTGTAACTCCAGCTACTGGTAAGTCTGAGGCAGGAGAATCACTTAAACCTGGGAGGCGGAGGTTGCAGTGAGCCAAGATCGCACCACTGCACTCCAGCCTGGCAACAGGATGAGACTCTGTCTAAACAAACAAACAAAGAAAAAAAAAAAAAAAAAGAACTGTTTTGATAATTTTACCATTTACTGAGATTACTACCTTGGCCATTTTTTTATTTATTTTGACCAGAATTAGAGAAATAAAAGGTTAAATTGAATTGCATCAACTAGGAACTCTTAATATAAATAATAAAATGAGAAATTGACTATTATATGATCTTAGTTGTCATAGAAATACTTTGACTTTGGCTTGATGTATGGAAACATTTATCTAGGGCCCAGGTCATTTGAAATAAAATATTGAGATAAATCTAATTATTGTTTAAGACAATATCCAGTTAAAACAACCTAAGAAGTATCACTGATGAGAGTCAAAGAACATTTTACTGTGGTTGAGTTGAACAGGTCAGCAAAACTTGTAGGAGGATGAGAAAGTTTGATATACGCTAAAGGTAGAAATAGAAGTTAATGACAACACTGCCATGTAAATGGGTGTTTTTTTCTTCTTTAAGAAAAGCCCCCCAAATATCAAAGCTGAGGTTTCTTTTAGTATGTTTTATGCACAGTTTGAGTGGAGAGAACCTGTTGTCAAATGGCTTGGGTAAATTCTTGAGCTCAGTATTACAAAGTGCATGGAAATTTCGTTCTTTATAGACATGTTTAACCACTGTGGCAAAAAGAAAAAAAAGGAGGGGTGGGGAGAAAGGGCAGCCCAGGCTGATGAGATGTGAAGAATATGTTAGGAAACTTGTATTACATTTAAAAAGAACTTTTTGTTTAAAATCTTTTAAGTTCAAAATGCAGAGAAAGCTCTTTAAATTACACATTTGGATTACATAGCTTCTACCACCCGAATGCTAATAAAGGGTTTTGACAGTATATATAGTCTAAAAGCTTGCGTGAACAAGGTTTATGATGTGAAATGCATTGATTACTGAACTTTACATAGTATTATTACCTTTTAATGGCCTTTGATGTCAGTGTGTTATGGTTGCTTAAGAATTCAGAAATATGATGTACTATGAACAGAGTGTATATATTACTGGGAAGTATAAAATCAAATAGAAAATAGATGAAAGAATTAGTATCATTAGCATAAATAACAAATATTGAGAAATTAAGTATGAATCTATTGTGTTTGAGACACTGCATTTCATCTTTCTTGCATTGCTACGTAAAGCCAAAGATATAATTAACTCATCTTTGCAAACACCTAGAATTGGTTCTTGACTACTTGGCAGTGGTATGGTGAGTGTCACAATGATAAGAAAATGGGACTTAAAGTGAGATCTTTGCCACTGACTTCTTGTCTGCTCTGGGCTGGGGGCACCCTCTTTTTGGGTGAGTGGTGCTTAGTCCTGGCAGTACAACCCCTGGGTTATTGGGTTGTGGAGAATCAGCACGGAGGCAAGGTTTTGTAATCACACGGATCTGCTTTCAAATCCTGCCTCTACCAATTACCAGCTGTGTGACTGTGGGCATATTTCTTAACCATTCCAGACTTCAGTTTCTGATCTGTAAAATGCAGTCAAAATACCTGCATTATAGGATTGCTATAAGATTATATGAAATGCTTAGTACAGTGCCTGGCACATAGTAAGCGCTCAATAAATTGTTGTGATTATTATTATTATTATAACATGAATAAGCATTATGCAACCAGAATATGAGAGTTTGCGCCTATCTTTGCA
The DNA here is from genome assembly GCF_000001405.40 of Homo sapiens. Taxonomy (NCBI): domain Eukaryota; kingdom Metazoa; phylum Chordata; class Mammalia; order Primates; family Hominidae; genus Homo; species Homo sapiens. The sequence continues at coordinate 140,780,267 of NC_000023.11, forward strand.
AAATTTTCACACTTTGATACTTAATTTCCCTCAAATTAAGGTATGCATGATGGTTTTAAGATGAGAGAAGGAAGTTTAAAAATGAGTTTTAGTATTTCTTTTTGTTTGCTGATGAGGGATACATGAAACAATAATTTCCTTGTCTGTAAGTTACTCCCTGATCTGCAGTGATTCTTTATGCTATAATGTGGTTATCATTACTGACATTTATTTGTGTAGTGACTAGAGGTAATCTCAGTTTTGGACATGGATGAGTTCTTATTCTCTAGAAAATAATCCATCCACTTGTTTCCACTTTAAAGAAAATTAGGTAACTGTGATATAGGGGTAAAGATAAAGCTAAATAGGGCCTGCTTTGCTTGACCACCAAAATATTAGCTCAGCTGCCTTTTGAGAGAATTTGTGTAAGTCTACGTAATCTTACTAGGCAAGGAAAATTCCTCACAGCTGGCTTCTGAACTTCTTTGAATTTCATGTATTCTATGATGGCATTCAAGAAGTTTAAAATAGTGTTATTCAGAATCCTAAGTATTCATCATAACTGATGCTGTGTCTGCTGAGTGACAGAAACGTCACTGCCTTAATTCTAGCCCCCACTACCACTTACCTGCATAACTGTATTAGCCTCACATCCCAACCCTTTAAGTGTTTTAGCTTGGGGTATTAGGTGTTCTACTGTACGTATCTAGTAGTCTTTGCTATTCAGCACCTTGCTGCTCAACTGGCTTTCCTTATGTACGGTTCTGATTCCAATACCTCCTGGTTCATAGACGTTTAATAACCACCCATTGTCTATATATTCCACTACTTGATCTTTAAATCATGCATGGCCTAGTTCCAGTGTACTTTCCCAGTTTTGTATGCCAGTGTTCTCTTTCATGTAATACATGTGATAGTTCCTGACTTCCTCAGCTTTATCTAAGTACTAAGGGCCTTCAGCGCATAGCTCAAGTCTAATCCCTGAAGCTTGTCACTTAAGGTCTTTGTCACTTAAGAAATTACATGTATTACCTGAAGCCAGGGTGCCTGAGAAGAGCCTACCAAGCTATAATCTTTTTCCTGTTCCCCTCCATATATGTCCAGTCTGTAGGGGTGGGTTTCTTCTCTAATTTACTTAAGCTTCCAGCCTATTTAATTAAATTAGGACATCCTCATTGATCCTCAGCCCTGTTGGTTGGGCCCCTGAATGCAACCCATTTAATTTTGGCTCTGAATACAAGGCTCCCTGTTTGGGCAATTGTCCAAACAATTGCCTAGAGATCTAAATTCTTAGGTTCTTGCCAGTTTCATCTCCTATCATTACAGCACATGATATTGTTATTTACCATTCGGCTTCAATTTTCTCTGCTTGTTCTCTATGTGAGAACAAGTTCTCTTGTTCTCTGCTTGTTCTCATATGTGAATGCTAGCCTGGAATGTACTTAACTTTACCATATCCTTGATTTGGCGTTAGAGCAGGGCATAGCAAACTAAGGCCCTTGGGCCAATGCAGCCCAACCATTTTTTTTAAGTAAAGTTTTAATGCAGCACAGCCATCCCCATTCATTTACTTACTGTCTGTGACTGCACTACAATGGGAGAGTTGAGTAGTTGCAACAGAGACAATGTAACCTGTAAAGCCTTAAATATTTACTTCTGAACCTTTACAGAAAATGTTTGTTGATCCCTGATCTAAAGCCAAGCAGTTCTCTCGACCTAGATACTGCTTATTCTTTGATAATTTCCCATTCCCATCTTGTTAACCAATAAGGCCAGTTCATTGAGACTATGAAGATAGCTTCCAACCCATTCAAACTATTTGCTTTTTCTTGAATTTCCCTGCCTTCTCTTTCTCACCTTCCTAGAATGCTATTTCCTTGTGTTTTGCTTTTTAGCAGAAGAGATGAAATAGTATTAAAGACTGTAAGAGTAGTCTCATGATGTCTTTTAATTTAATATCTAGGCCCTAATACACAACTCTTTGAATATTGCTACTATCTTTCAGCATGACTTTCCAATACCATTAAGATTAAGCCTTTCTGTTCTTCAGTTTCTCTAACTCAAGTCTTCTAAGCTCCACAGCTTCCAACATCTTTAATTACCAGATCTTCCCAATATTATAACATCCGTGCATTCCAGTCCCTGTCCTGCAGCATCTCCAATGCCCTTGTTTTCTAAACTTCCCAGTATTCAAGTCATTAAAAATTTAGGTCTTCTAATATCTCCAACAACCCATCTTCAAAGTCCAGGTCTTGTCTTTCAGAATCCAGAGTTCTAAATTACAAGTCTTCCATGGTCCTAATCCTCCAATGTCTCCTATATACAGGTCTTCTAGAGGCTATGTATTTCATAGTGTTTAAGTCTAGATTCTTCAATGTCTTCCAGCACTTACATCATTCAGTTTTTACATTTTTAAATGTCTCCTACTTTCTAGTTTTACAGTGTATTTTTATCGCCAATTCCTCCAATGCCCAAGTCTTTAAATACCTGCAAGAACTTTCAGGTACATCAATATCCTCAATGTCTGAATGAATAGACCTCTTAATATCCTGGTCTCATATTGTCCAGGCTGCCAGTATTCTTGACATCCAGCATCTTTAAAATTTAATTCTTCCAAACTGTCTTTTTGACATAAATATGTCAATATCCATGCTTACCAATGTCTCCCAATATCCAGGGCTTCTCATTTTAGGATTTATAAATGTCTACATCTGCTGTTGTTTATATCTGCCAGTATTTAGGAGTTCCAAGGTACAGGACTTACAATATCTCTAATTTCCAGAGATTTCAGTGTCTATGACTTCCAATATTCAATATCCCAATGTTCAGGGCCTCCAGAAATATCAATGTCCAGAGTAACCAATGTCTTCAAAATCCAAGGCTTGCAATGTCTCCAATATCCTGTGCTTACAATGTTTCCAATGTCCAGGGTTTCCGATGGCACCTGTGTCAAGGTCTTCCAACAACTCCGGGTCTTCCAGCGACTTCAAGTCTTCCAATAATCTCAAGGTCTTCCAGATAATCCTGAGCTTCCAGAAAATCCACATCTTCCAGACAATCCATGTCTTCCGGACAATCCATGTCTTCCAAGAAGCTCCAAGTCTTCCAGTAAATCAAGTCTTCCAGCAAATCCAGTCTTCCAGCAATTACTGGTCTTCCACCAAATCCAGATCTTCCAGGAAAATCCACGTCTTCCAGGAAATCCATGTCTTCCAATAATTTCAAGGTCTTCCATCAAATACAGATCTTCCAGCTAATCCATGTCTTCCAGAAAAATCTGTGTCTTCCACCAAATCCAAGTCTTCCAGTAAATCTAGTTCTTCCAGAAAAATCTAGATCTTCCAGTCAATCAGTGTCTTCCAGAAAGAAATCCAGGTCTTCCAGTCAATCAGTGTCTTCCAGAAAGAAATCCAGGTCTTCCAGTCAGTCAGTGTCTTCCAGAAAAATCTACGTCTTCCACCAAATCCAGGTCTTCCAGTCAATCCACATCTTCCGGAAAAAATCCAGGTCTTCCAGCCAATATATGTCTTCCTGAAGATCCACGTCTTCCAGAAAATCCATGTCTTCCAGAAAATCCATGTCTTCCAGTAACCTCCCAGTCTTCCAGAAAATCCACGTCTTCCCAACAATCCAAGTCTTCCGGATAATTTGGGTCTTCCTGAAAATCTACGTCTTCCAAAAAAGCCATGTCTTCCAGAAAATCCACATCTTCCAATGGCCTCCAGGTCTTCCAGACTATCCATGTCTTCCAGAAAATCCTTGTCTTCCCTTAAATCTATAGCTTCCAAAAAATCCGGGTCTTCCAGGAAATCCGTGTCTTCCAGCAAGTCCACGTCTTCCAACAAAGCCATGTCTTCCAGACTATCCATGTCTTCCAGAAAATCCTTGTCTTCCCTCAAATCCATAGCTTCCGAAAAATCCAGGTCTTCCAGGAAATCCGTGTCTTCCAGCAAATCCACGTCTTCCAACAAAGCCATGTCTTCCATCAAATTAATGTCTTCCAGCCTACTTGTGTCTTCCAACAAAGGTACGTCTTCCAACAAAGGTACGTCTTCCAACAAAGGTATGTCTTCCAACAAAGGTACGTCTTCCAGAAAATCCACGTCTTCCAACCAAGCCATGTCTTCCAGAAAATCCACGTCTTCCAGAAAATATATGTCTTCCAACTAAGCTACGTCTTCCAACAAATCCATGTCTTCCTATATCTCCAGGTCTTCCAGCATCTCCAGGGCTTCCAGCATCTGCTCGTCTTCCAACATCTCCACGTCTTCCAGCATCTCTGTGTCTTCCAGCATCTTCATGTCTTCCAACAACTACCCAGTCTTCCATCAACTGGCTCAATATCCATGTCTTCCAACGTCTCCAGTGTGCTGATCTTCTGACATTCAGGTCTTCCAGTGTCTGCAATATCCAGGTATTCTAACATGTTCTATAGTCCAGATCTTCCAGCCTTTCCCCAGGTCCAGGCCTTTTCAAATCTAGGCTTCCCCTGTCTGAGCCTTCCCATGTTAAAATCACTCTACAGAAAAATCTTCCAACTCAACTATTTCTGCTTCTAGTTGAATTAGCTTCAAAAACATTTAATGGGACATTCCTCCTTATAGACCAGATCTTATGAACCAACAGTACTGCAGTTTGTGTTTTTTACTATTAGGAAATGTGTGTTTAATCCCTACAACTTTTAAAAGTAATGTCCATAATAAAACTTCTGCAGAATAAACAGATAGGACTGCTGCAATAAATTTTACTACTTCACTAGTGCTTACGGTTTTTATACAGTTTACTATGTTTAGGTCTAAGTGAAATTTTTATTTAATGAGAAAAATTCCTGTTTAAGACTGGTATTTTAGGTAAAGTTAACATGTAGAGTATTATTTGTCCATTTTAAATGATATTAATTTTTATCATTGGTCTTACATGACCAAAGAATAATAATAATATAATAATAATAATAATAATAATAACAACAACAACACTTAACATAGCATTTGCTACATCCAGGCACTGTTCTCAGATCCTTACATGCATTAACTCATTTAATCTATTTAATCTTCACAACAACCCATTGAAGCTAGGTACCATCATTATCCCTATTTTACAGATGAGGAAACTGGCACACAGAGGTGAAGTAAATTTTGTCCACAGGACACAACTACTAAATAATGGAGCCAGATTTAAACCCGGCTAGCCTGTTGTGAGAGTCCATGATTGTAACCACTATGCTATAATATCTGCTGTTTAAAATCATGATAGAATGATGTGATCCAAAGGTTGATTGCTTCCACATTTTGTGTAGAATATTATACAATCCCGTATACAAATGGTCTCGCTTGATCCTGTCACTGCCAGAGTCTGTTTGTATGCACAGCTTTTATTCCCCAACCAGCTACTACCATTCCCTTGGACCTGTATATGGAAGTAGGTGCAAACACTTTCTGATACCATTTTCAGTTTTGGCAGGAAGAATATAAGGAAGCACTGAGTTCAATTACCCTTTGCTTCAGAATCATATTCATAGCTCCATGCTTCGAGTACTGGTGCTTGGAATTTAACTCTTCTATCTATTTGAATCCCCTTTTACTGACTTTTGTCCAGTTTGCACCTTACTATGTGGAGCACTTACCATTAGTTTGTTTCTAACCTCCAGCATCTACCTGCTTCAAATATCGCAACCTCCTGGGTTCCTGGCCACTGCCTTGTATCCGACTAATGGTAGCTGCAACTCCTTAAATCCCAGCATGCTGATCTGGAGAACCAAGTAGTTGGTTCTCTAAGTCTCAGCTCCCACCAGGTGCCTTCAGCAATGTTGCTACCCATGCTTCTGGCTGGCATGAAAAGCATGAAAACCACATAATTAAATTTTTACAGTTAGGCAGGGACTCTCTAAAGATTTAAAATCCTCTATGTGATAACAAAAAGGAACAATGATAATGCCAATTAAAATAGAAATACCTTCTGAATGTCTAATGATTTATACTTTACAAAGTGCTGTCACCTCATTCATTCAACAAATATTTATTGAGCGCTAACTGTATGCCAGGCATGTTTTGATAAAGCTTAAAATCGTCTGTGGGAAACAACATACAGATAATTGGAAAATTATTTATCAATTGTTAAGGCCATGAAGAAAAAGTAACTGAGAGTCTGGAAAATCAAGGAAAGCATTCCTAAAGAAGTAATATTTATTGTGACTCTGAAGAATCTATATTGTCATTTGGTTCTCACAATATAGCCTTGTGACTTAAATAAAACAGATTTTTTGTATATCAGTTTTACTAATCTGAGTGCTAACAATAGCCATGGGACCCAGCTGTTTTGACCTCTTTATTTTCCCTGCTACTCATTTTGCCTTAAAATATATATGAAGTACTATTTGAAAATTTATATCAAGGGATATAAAAATGTACTTTTTGGTTTAGTATATTCCACTTCAAGGAATCTGTCCAAGGAAATTATCTAAAATGTGGATAATTCACACACAAAGATACTCCTCACATAGTTATTTGGTATAGTGAAAAACAGAAAAACCTTAGTCTAACATTCAGGGAATGATTAAGTAAATGTGCCATGTACCTATGATGGAATATTCTTCCATTAAAATGCTATGGCATATTCATTTTATAAGTTAAGTGAAAAATCATCAGCATACAAGGTTACATAAAGTGTGATGGCAACTATTTTAAAATATATAATCAGTGACAAATGACTAGAAGTAAATGTATTGGGGACTGTAAACTAATTATTACTGGATGGGTTGCATTATGTATGATTTTATTTTCTTCTATATATTCTTTTAAGTTCTTACAATGTACAGGTATTTTCTATTCAGGAAAAATATTTAAACAATTGTGCACAAAACTATTCATCTTTTTTCTTGTACATGGAATCAAGCTTTACTGTTGGAAACACTTCAAAATATATGTTAGCAAAGTGAAAAAAAACAAATTCTCAAATAATTTCAGTATCTAGAGATAATCACTGTAAGGATTTTCGTGTATGCTCTTGTAGGCACTTTTACTAGCATATTTTCTTGTACAAAATGTAATCATACTGCAATTTAACCTATTTCTTTCTTACACTTAATAAATTGTGAACAACTTTCTATGTCAGTAACTGTGCAGCTATGTAATAATTTTAATATATAATTTACTTACTCCATCTCCTATTGGTGAGCATTAAGTTCCTTCCAATTTTCTTGTATTATAAAAACTTCTGTGATCAGCACATACTTTATGTAAGGTGTGAAGAACACAAACTGTGTCATTCTACGTGGTGTTCCTGTACATATTTGTGTGCAGATGTGTTTGGGTATTACTTAGGATAAATTTCTAAAAGGAGAGTTGCTGAGCCAAACAAGACCATGTGCATCATAATGTTCATCACAGCAAAAAAATTACAAGCAATCATGTGTCTAACAGTTGGGGTGGTTAGAAAATTATATTGTAACTATCTAATGGAATACTGTGTGGTCATTTAAATTTATATCATGGAAGAATATTTACCAAAATGGGAATATGTTCATAAGGTATCATCAGTGAGAGAAATAGGTCACAAAAAATACGTATAATATTCATGTTTCATAGAAGGAAAACTAAATACCTTCGGGAAAATAACTAGAAGATACACACTAAAATGTTGTTAGTAGTAAAAGTCCCAAAAAGAAAATGGATAAATCATGGTATATTTCACGTAAAATATTATATAGTCATTATATGAATGTTCTACAGCTACACATAACAATATGGGTAGATTTTACTTCTAGAATATTAAGATATCAAGTCTCAAAAGACTACATATAGTAGGATATCCTTTTTATATTATTCAAAAACAGGTAAAACTAAGCACTATATTATTTAGGGCTACATACACATAGCATACAAATAATTTATTAAAAAGCAAAAAAAAAATTGAAGATGATGGTCACTGGGGTTGAGGAAATAGGGTCAGAATATGGGAGGACAATGTACATGAATTCATATTATGGTTAACATTCTAGTACTCGTGTGTTGGGTAGTGGTTGGTGTCATTATGTAATTGAAATCCCATTATTATTTAATAATTTTATGATTATTATTAACATTAAATAAAAAGGCAAGTTAATGAGTAAAAATAAAAGAGGGCCTTGCATGAATCAATGAGACACTGTGCACAATCTAAGGATTATTAATCCCTTTCTGTACATTTGTCTTTCATTATTTTTTAAAGTAATTTATCTGTGGGTAGTAAGACTACATGGGATTTTTATTCTCTTTTGGTTCTTTGCTCTCGAAATGTTCTATTTTGAACATGTGTTATTTTCAAAATTAAAATATATTTAAACTTTATGTTAATGTGTTTTTATTGATATAGGAAAATACAATATTATATTTATTGAAAAACAAGCTCAAAATTACATAGCGCATGATCCAAAATATGTTGAAAATACATAACAGGGAGTGAAAAGAAAAGTGTTGATATGTTAACAATAGTTGCTTCTGTGTAGTCAGATTTCAAATCACTTTTTTTCTGTTTCCATATATACACATATATGTGTATATATGTATATTCCATATATACACATATATGTATCTATATTCCATATATACACATATATGTATATATGTATATTCCATATATGCATATTCCATATATATACACATATATACACATATATGTGTATATATATATATGTGTGTGTGTGTGTGTGTGTTTTATAGGGTGGGCTTATTTTTTGTTATAAAAGTAATATATGTTTATAGTAAAAAGTAAAAAAAAGCAGTAGTGTATAAAGTAAAAAGTGAAAATATCCTTCTCCTAATCCTATCTATCTCCCAGAGATAGCCATGACTCTTTGTTTTGTTACCTTCCTCATACTTTTTTTATTTACTTGAATGTATTCTCATGTGTTTTAGAAAATGAAAATACGTAACGGAGTGAGAAGAAAAGTGTTGATATGTTATTATTAACATTAAATGTTATAATAATAGAATAATAATATTATTAACATTAAATTAACATCCTATACATATATTCTACAACTTGCTTTTTTCCTGCTCTGTAGAAAGTCATTTTATAAAACAGCTACAGGAAATTTCAGAGTAGGGTGTACTGTATTATTTATTCAATTCTTTCCACATTAGATCTTTAGGTTGTTAACAGTTTGTAGCTATTATAGATAATGCTATATAAAGCATCTTTACAATCTATTATTTATTTAATTCTTTCCACATGATCTTTTGGTTGTTAACAGTTTGTTGCTAATATAGATAATGATATATAAAGCATCTTTACAATTTTTTTGCACTTTTACAAGGATTTTAAAGAGCTAGTACCTGAGAAATAAAATTTCTGGATCAACATGTTTGAGCTAAATTGCCCTCCTGGCATGCTGAATGCTATTATTTTTGACTTTTGTCAGTATTTTGGATGGAAAATCTAATCTCATTCCTTTAAATTATTTTTCTCTAATAATTTGTAAAGTTAAGCAACTTTTCATACATTTACTAGCTATTTTTATTTCTTCTTTAAGAAATTGCTTGTTTGTATCCTTTACCTATTCTTTTGTTGTGTCATTTGTCTTTTTTTATTATTAATTTGTAGATCTCTGGATATTGGAGCTGATATCCTTTTGTCTGGTGTATATTGCAAATGTTTATCATTTGTCTTTTAAATTTATTCATGGTGCTATTTACTATAAAGAAGATTTAATTATGTAAATAGACAAACATTTTAATCTTTTATAGTTTCTTGTTTTTGTTTCATATTTAGATAGGCTTCTGCACTCCCAAGATTAAAAAAGTATTCTCCTATATATTCTTCTAATCAAAAAATATATTTTTTGAGATATCGTCTTTCTGTGTTGTCCACACTGGTCTTGAACTCTTGGGCCAAAGAGATCTTCTTGCCTCAGCCTCCCGAGTAGCTGGGACTACAGGTGTGGGCCAGTGTGCCTGGTTCTTCCAATATTTTGTACGTTCTTATTGCTTAGTACTCTATGTAGAATTGGCTTTTCTTTTATAAGTGTTTCTATGGTACAAAGTAGGAATCTAAGCTTATTTTTTTTCAGAAGAGAGAGTCAGTTTTTTTCAACTTACTTATTCAATTGAATTATTTCCATACTGATTTGGAATTCTCTTTTTATCATGAACTATATGGGTATATTTTTTTGTTTCTTTTCTGTTCAACTGATAATATTTCTCTAGTACTGAGCTAGTACCTCACTGCTTTAATTACTGTAGCATTATGTTTTGACATATGATGGGACTGCTTCCCCTACATTATTATTTTTTTCAGAATTTTTCGCTATTCTTGTGCATCCCATTTTTCCAGATTAATTTTAAAATTAACTCATGAATGCCCATAAAAAATTAATCCCTTGGAAATGCTTCAGACCTTTGAGTAACATGTCAAGAACTGCCATCTTTATGATAGTGGGTTTTGCATCTAGTAACGAGGGATCTGTCTCAATTTATTTAAATTTACTGTAGTCTCCATTTAGATATTAAAAGAATTGTTAGGCTTATTTGTTTATAGTTTTAATTCCTCTTACGTGAATGATATTGCATTTTAAAAATTCATTATCATTAGTGCATAGAAAAGCTATTTAATATTTATCTTGTATCCAGGTATCATATTGAACTCTATTCCTAGCTCTAACAGTAGTTTTTATTTTCATTTGATTATCTTGATTTCTTAGATACACAATCATGCCATTTGTAAATAATAAAACATTTGTCTTTTCCTTGCTAATGTTTGTATCTATTTTTTTTTCTTTTAGCACATTGGTAAAGACTTTATAACTTCCAGGACAATGCAGATTGATGTTGATTAATAAAGAGCAGGCAACCTTCTGTTTTTGGCTCTAATAGAAATGCCTCATTGTTTAACTATTATAATTGCCATTGTTTCTGATAAATGCCCCTTTTCAAGTTATGGAAATGCCCTTCTGTTCTTGATTGACTTATAATTTTATCAGGGATGGATAAAGAATGTTATCAAGATGCCTCTTCTGGCATCTGACAAGCTGATATCCAGGTGATGATATGGTTATTCTCTCTAATCCATTAATGTAGTTAATTACATAATGTTGAGCTATTCTTAGATTCCTGGAATAAAACTGATTTGGTAATGGTGTTTTGGTATGTCATTATTTTATTTAGGATATAAAACTCTATATTAACAAATGCCTATAGAAGTGCCCTATTACCTCTTTCACATCATGGCACCCTGGGGTAAATAGACAAGATTGCTCAGGGCAAAGGCAACTTGGCTTCACAGGATCTGCCTGGTTGACCCAACGTCTTAGGAGATAAAGATTACAGTACACATACAACCCATTCACAGGACACCAGTGTGCTGAGGTACACTTGTTGGGAAACTCTTATTTATTGTTTTCCTTTCTGCGATACCCCTTTCCTGATTTGATATTAGGATTATGATATTTTTGTGAATAAAGATTTTTCTTTTTCCACAATGTAAATAACTTAGACACAAGTTGTTCCTTAAACAATTGGTAACACTCACCAATATAACTGTTTTGTCCTAGTACATGCTTGGGGCCTAGAAATTTAAATCTTTCCACTTCTTGTATGATTATTTTATCCAAGATTTTCTCCTCTTCTGGAGTCAATTTTGTCAAAACTGTCCATTTCATCTGGATTTTCAAATGTATTGATTGGAAATTACACATAATACTTCCTAATGTGCCTTAATTTGCATATATGTGGCTATATGCTTTTTTATTTTCTCTGGTACGACTTTCCTTAGATTTGTATATTTTATTTTCAGTTATCTATTTTTTTAAAATACCAAGTGTTTTCAAATATCACTTTCTGCTTTTGTAAATTCCTTCTTGTTACATTCTTTAGTTCTGTTTGATCTCTTTCTAGATTCTCTAGGTAATGTTTAGTTTACTTTTAATTCTTTCTTTTCTGTTTAGTGCATTTAAGTTAAGTTAAAAAATTTCCTCTAAATACATGTTTGATTGTACCCCATAGTTTTCAGCATTTTCATGTTTGTTTGTTTGTTTGTTTGTCACCTCATATTTAAAGCTTTGTTTTCCTGTTTAATTCAAGAGTTATTTAGAAGTGTATATATTTCAGTGTGGTTAGGTTTTAGTTGATGTTTTGCTTCCTATCCCCTTTTCCCTTAATTACTACTTATACTATCTCATGGATGGAGAATGTTTCTTGCATGAGTTATACCTCTTGGAATATTTTCTTCGTATTCTATATGAAATTTTTATAAATATTCCATGAACAATTGGAGAAAATATATATTTTTTGTTGGGGTAAATATTATATCATGCTTCTACAAATTAAGTCAAATTAGTTCATTGTTATTCAAATTTTCTATTTTTGTCTGATTTATCTAAATTTTCTAATAAAAATATATAAAATGTCTCACTTCATGGTTTTATTACAGTCTCCTATTTCTAACTTTTTTGGCTTGACATATTTGAAATTGCTTTTCAGGGTTTTTTTAATGATTATCTTATTGGATTGTATTAGTTCACAATGTATATTAATTCAAAAAGATACCTTCCTTGATTTATTTAATGATTTTTGTTTTGACTCTTCTATGCTACCTCTACTTTATCTTTGTTACCATTTGCCTACTATATTCATACCAGTATTTTCAGCTTTTCTCTGTTGTTTTGGTTTGGGTATATCTTTTCAAGACTGCATGTGATGAGTTTTTTTACTCGATCTCGCAATGTCTGCCTTAATATTTCACAATTAAACCTTTCATATTTATTATAATTTGGTAATATTCATTAATTTTTCTGTCTTTTTAAAGTCTTGATAGATTTGTCAAAGTATATGTACTTTTTCCTATGCTGGTTTAGAAGTTCGAAATATCACTTCTAATAGTAATTATGCTCAAATAGGTACACATATACATACATATTTATTTTTTACTTTATATACTTTTGTGCAATTGGAACTTTTGAAGTATGTAATATTTTTGTAATAAAAAAAGAGGAAAGAAACATCTGCTTTTTAATGTGTCTAGTATTTGTTCCTTTGTCACCAATCTCATTCCCCTTGCTTGGTCTATCGTCATCCAAATTTTAGGTCCTTCCACAAATCTCTCAGTCTCTCACTACTGCCCATCCTGTTTATTGCTACCAGATTAATCTCTTTAAGTATCATTTTTTCATATCACTCAAAAACATACAATTCAAGTTTCATCATTAAATCTAAACATCCACATGTGCCCTCCAAGTGCCCATGACCTTCCCTACATAATCATCTTTGTTTTCTACTTGCCCATGGGTTATCTACTCTAGTCAGACTGGTTTTCTCACTACCGCATACATCAGTATCTGTTCCCTCCTTTACTTTCATTGATGTTGTTCTCTAAACTTTTTCTGTTTTCTCAGAGTCCTACCCAACCATATCTCTCTCAGAAGATTTGTTATTCTGTTCCAATAGTTTTCCATCAGGGAACACCTACATCTTCAGGAAGGAGAAATAGTCTGGTTACAAAACTGTGGGAACAAACTTTATTTTTGACCCTGAAACCTTCAAACATTTTATTTTGATTGAAAAGAGACATTTTGACCATATATTAAAATTATTTATTAGGTTGGTGCAAAAGTAATTTAATTGTGGTTTTTGCTATTAAAAGAAATGGCAAAAATTACAATTACTTTTTCACCAAACTAATAACTTTGAGATTGATATTAACCCCTCACCCCAAACCAGAATTTCCCTTACGCTTCTACCTTAGTAGCAGTGTTGGTCACCATCACCTCAATTTAAATATTTTCCCCAGTTTATGCACTTTTTGAATCCCCCCTACCAGAGGAAAGTCAGTCTTTCACTTCTTTGAGAGCTGGTTTGACCATGCTAGCATTTACTTCATGATCTTGAGCTCCTCTGGAAGTTTCTATCAGTTTCTCCAGGACTGAGATGATTCCAACAGGGCCTTTGCTTTCATTTCAGTCAGTGTGGCCCTTCCTGTCCTGGAATGAAACAAGTAATGGGGCCCAAGAACTGTAGGCACTGAAAAAATGTACATTTTCTTACTGGTATCACGAATTAATCAGCTTTCTATGATGCTTCTACCCAACAAGATGAGGTCTTTAGCATACTTTGTATTTTCAATACTTTCACTTCTTCCCCTAACACCTCCTTCAGATGACTCTGCCTGCAAAGTTCCTAATAGAGAGAACAGCTGCAAGCAGTACTATCCTCGCGAGGTGGAGCTCTTTTGGAACAAAAAAGCTGAATTCTTGCTGAATCACTGACCTTTTTCTAGATTTTAAAATAATTTTGTTTGTTTACACTATGCATTTTTATTTTAGGACCTTTACTTAATTTTCTTAGTTTTAAAAATTTACTTAGTTTTCTTAATTTCATAGCCACATTAACAGTAATTATTGAGACAATATGTTTTCCTTGTGACCACTGTGAGCACTAAGTCGTCTCCCTTATTGCATGTATTAGTTCGTTTTAACACTGCTGATAAAGACATACCCAAGACTGGGTAATTTATAAAGAAAGAAAGGTTTAATGGTCTCACAGTTCCATGTAGCTGGGGAGGCCTCACAATCATGGTAGAAGGCGAAAGGCACTTCTTATGTGGTGGCGGCAAGAGAGAATGAGAACCAAGCGAAAGGGGTTTCCCCTTATATAACCATCAGATCTCATGAGACTTGTTCACTATTACAGGAACAGTATGGGGGAACCACCCTCATGATTCAATTATCTCCCAAAGGGTCCTTCCCACAACACATGGGAATTAAGGGAGCTACAATTCAAGATGATATCTGGGTGGGGAAGCCAAACCATATCATCCTGCCCCTGCCCTCCACCCAAATCTCATGTCTACACATTTCAAAACAAATCATGCCTTCCCAACAGTCCCCCATAGTCTTAAATCATTTCAGCATTAACTCAAAAGTCCACAGTCCAAAGTCTCATCCCATACAAGTCAAGTCCCTTCTGCCGATAAGCCTGTAAAATCAGAAGCAGGTTAGTTACTTCCTAGATACAATGGGGGTACAGGCATTGGATAAATACACCCGTTCCTAATGGGAGAAATGAGCCAAGACGAAGGGGCTAAAGGCCCCATGCAAGTCTGAAATCAAGTAGGGCAGTCAAATCTTAAAGCTCCAGAATGATCTCCTTTGACTCTATGTCTCACAACCAGGTCACACTGATGTAAGAAGTGGGTTTTCATGGTCTTGGACAGCTCTACTCCTGTGGTTTTGCCTGGTACAGCCCACCCCCCGGCTGCTTTCACAGGCTGGTGTTGAGTGTCTGCAGCTTTTCCAGGCACACAGTGAAAGCTGTTGGTGGATCTACCATTCTGGAGTCTGGAGGACAGTGGCCCTCTTCTCACAGCTTCACTAGGCAGTGCCCCACGGGGGACTCAGTGCGGGCTTGAACCCCACATTTTCCTTCCCCATTGCCCTAGCAGAAGTTTTCTGTGAGGGCCTTGCCCCTGCAGCAAATTTCTGCCTGGACATCCAGGAGTTTCCATATATCCTCGGAAATCTAGACGGAGGTTCCCAGACCTCAATTCTTGACTTCTGGGCACCTGCAGGCTTAATGCCATGTGGAAGCTGCCAAGGCTTTGGGCTGGCACCCTCTGAAGCCACAGCCTGAGCTGTACCTTGGCCTTTTTTAGTCACAGCTAAAGCAGCTGGGTCACCAGGCATCAAGGCCCTAGGCTGCACACAGCAAGGGGGCCCTGGACCCAGCCCACGAAACCATTATTTCCCCCTAGGACTCTGGGCCTGTGATGGGACTGGTTACTGCAAAGGTCTCTCACATGCCCTGGAGACATTTTCCCTATTGTCTTGGTGATTAACATTTGGCTCCTTGTTACTTATGCAAATTTCTGAAGCCAGCTTGAATTTCTCCCCAGAAAATGGGTTTTTCTTTTCTATTGCATCATCAGGCTGCAAATTTTCTGAATTTTTATGCTCTGTTTCCATTTTAAAACTGAATGCCCTTAACAGCACACAAGTCACATCCTGAATGCTTTGCTGCTTAGAAATTTATTCTGCCAGACACCCTAAATCATCTCCTGCAAGTTCAAAATTCCACAATCTCTAGGGCAGGGGCAAAATGCTGCCAGTCTCTTTGCTAAAACATAGCAAGAGTCACCTTTGCTACAGTTTCCAACAAGTTCCTCATCTCTATCTGAGACCACCTCAGTCTGGATTTCGTTGTATATATCATTATCAGCATTTTGGTCAAAGCCATTCAACAAGTCTCTAGGAAGTTCCAAACTTTCCCACATTTTCCTGTCTTCTTCTGAGCCCTGGAAAATGTTCCAACTTCTGCGTGTTACCCAGTTCCAAATTTGCTTCCACATTTTTGGGTATCTTTACTGCAGCACCTCACTCTACTAGTACCAGTTTGCTGTATTAGTCTGTTTTCATGCTACTGATAAAAATATACTCGAGACTGGGTAATTTGTAAAGAAAAGGAGGTTTAATGAACTCACAGTTCCACGTGGCTGAGGAGGCCTCACAGTCATAGTGGAAGGTAAAAGGCACTTCTTACATGGAAGTATGAGAACCAAGCAAAAGGGGTTTCCCCTTATAAATCCATCAGATCTTGTGAGACTTATTCACTATCACGAGAACAGTATGTGGGAAACCATCCCCATGATTCAATTATCTCCTGCCGGGTCCCTCTCACAACATGTGGGAATTATGGGAGCTACAATTTAAGGTTAGATTTGGGTGGGCACAAAGCCAAACTATATCACTGCATACATTTCTAGTTTTTGGTGACTGAAGCATATACTTTTTTCCTGAGTGGTGGTATAAAGTCTGAGTTTTTCATTGCTCAACAAACCTTCTCTTCAGTACCTAGGATTCCTGGGGAAGTGTAGCTGCAAATGTCCACACAGGATGGGATTCTGACACATTTAAACTCACTGTTGTACCATCACCTCTTTATATGTGGTATTATGTCATTCAGAAAGAACTTGCACAATATATATGGTTTTATTTTGACTCATTCTCACCATCAAAAAGGTTCTGCCCTCATTAACAATGTGAATACCCAAGTGCCCATGCAATATCTGCCCCCATGTTCCCAGTAGCCGAGAAAGTACACAGATCTGAGTTAATATCTAGACTCAGATGGACCTGATAAAAATTTGTCTGAGGATCGTAATCGTACATGCATTTTCCACAGCACAGCCCCTGACCCTTGGTAGATTTTGATATCTAGCTACAGTGGTTTGTACTGGTGCCCCAATCTAATGACATATTATATAAAACTTGTTTCTTGCTTACTTCATGTTGTCCTCTTAAGCATTACCATGGACTTTTGGCCTTTCGTAGACCACTGATTCCAGGTGATCATAATCACCTTTTTAAAGTTCAAATTTTCACAGACTAGTGGGCACAATTTTAAGCTGGCTCCTTTGTCACAACTTCCAGACATCTTTGAAAGTCATCTTGCTTCCTCACAAGAACAGGAGGCTTCCAGCCCATTTTAAAGTATGCAACTTTCTAAGGATTCCAGTTTTGTTTTAGAAAAAAAAAAAGACCAAATTCAGTATGCTGGGAGTTGAAATTATTTCACGAGTGCTTAAGGTGGAACAGGGTAAAATGGAGGCTACTATCCACTTTCACAGTGGATCAAAAGTATTATTTTTTTCAAAAACACATCACAATTTCACATTGTTGCTGTTAAGTCATTGTTTCTTTTTTACCTGGTTTAATGTGAGTTTATTAATTCAATCTTTCATTTGCATTTTTGTGCTACCAGTTTTTCTCCTTTTCCATTGCCTTTATTTTACCATGTTATGTGTTATAAAACCATACCATGTATTCAAATTACAGTGTTGTTCTCCTCACTCACATTTAGCAACCTCCTTTTTTTTCTCATTTTTTTCTCTAATAGCTTATGTTTCTTAAAAGTGGTCACAATTTGGGTAGCTTTAGACCATCTCCGTTATGATCACTCAGACTCCAGCTATAGCCAAAGAAAAATCCGTATCTTCCTCTAGGGAATACAAAAACATAAATAGGTGAAAAAATCATACTTTATCTAAAAGTTCCCTTTGTTGATTTAGTTTGAAGTTAATTCACATTTTTTTAATTGCATGCAGGCAGCTTTAATGTTCAACGCCGATTTCTTTTAAAAGTCTTTAGATAAATGCAGCTATTTATCATCTCATTGAGGTACCAGCTTATCTTTGCAAATGGCAATTTAAAATACTAGAAATATAGCCACATTCATGTCACAAATTGTCAGACATTAAAATTTTTATCCAGAAATTTCAAGTGGGATTATTTGTGTACATGAGTATAATTCACAGTATTATTTATCATAAGCACCAACTCACAAAACCAGAAATTTAAGATAAGAAACTTCAATTTCAATTTTATGTTCATGTCACATTCATTACTGTCTTGGTCCATTCAGACTGCTACAGCAAAATACCATATACTCGGTGGCTTATAAACAACAGAAACTTATTTCTCATGGTTCTGGAGACTGGGGAGTCCAAGATTAAGGCAGTTTCAGTGCCTGGTGAGGGCCCACTTTCTGGTTCATAGATGGCACCTTCTGGCTGTTTCCTCACATGGTATAAAAGTTAAGGCAGCTCTCTGAGGCCCCTTTTAGGAGAGCACTAATCCCACTCATTAGGGCTCTGTCCTGATATTCTAATCACCTTTCAAGAGGCCCTATCTCTGAATATCATCACAGTGGTGATTATGTTTCAACATATAAATTTTGTGGGGGACATAAACATTCAGAACATAGTACTTACCCTCCTTTTATAATCCTTCCCCTCCTCTCACCAATCTGGGTATTGGTATATTTTACAGGGTTTCTTATAAAAGCAAGGACAAAACAACCATTTAAAATTTTAGTGTAAAGATAAACTGTTTTTCATGGCTTAAGTTATTTCATCTCTATAAACCCTATTTTGAGTTTCTGGGTAACTTAATGGTCACTGCAGAAAAGAAATACTGTGCACTTTCTTCCAGATTACTTGGTTGCTAGAACCTGTATTACCTCCCTATTTCAGTATAACAAACCACTTGAAATTTCATGGCTTAAATTAATAACCCTTTATTTTTGCTCATGAGTCTATGAGTCATCTTTTTCTCATCTTGGCTAGACTATGTGTCAGCAGTCAGCTGTGGGTAAGGTAGGAAGGAAGCTCTGTTGATCTTGGTTGGGTTGTCTTACATATTTGGGAATGTGCTGGAATAGCCAGGCTCCCATCCACATGGTTTTTCTTCCTCCAGCAGGCTAGTGCAGACTTGTTTTCATGGCATGGCAGAGTTTCAAGAGGGAAAGCAGAAGCGTACAATGCCTCTTGAGGCCTGTAGATGGAAATGGCATGCCATCACTTCTGCCACTTTCGGTTGACCAAAGCAAGCTACAATGCCATCCCAGATTCAAGGCGTGGGGAAGTAAACTCCACCCTTTATTCTGGAGAACTGCAAAGTCACTTTGCAACAGGTGTGAATATAGGGAGTCTATTAATAATGACCATCACCGCAGTTAATCTACCACAGTTTACCTTCTGCCCCCAATTAACCTCATCAACTCACATGCAAAATACACACTCCCCTATGAAGAAGTTCATCTGCCCTTCACACACTGGACATACAATGGTGTGGCAGACATGAGGCAGCCACAGTAAATTCTCTCATACCAAAAGAAGAATGAAAGGCACATAACAGTCACTGATCTATAACAACTATAAAATTTCAGAAGAATGCCAAGGGACAAGGTATGTCCTTGATTACAGTCTGGTTCTAATCACTGTAAGAGGCACCACGGTTTATCGTTCTCCATGGATCTTGACTCTGCCCTCTAACAATATCTCAGATATTCTTTCTCTTCTTCTATTCTGGGCCATTGGCAAAGAATATGTTGGAAGATATGCTCTTTGACCAACTTTCTTAGTGTGCTTTCTGTTCATAGAAATTTGGAGCCCAAGAATCCATTTGCATTCTGAATTATTTAGTCTCTTTTAGTCTAGATTGGCAGCACTTTTACCAGCACAGACCCTCAAAATTTTGTGGGTTTTCTATGAATCTGAATCTACTTCACTGGACAAAAGCCATACCTAAAAATCTTTTAGAGACCAGCATTATCTCCACATGTAATCCCATCTACTTTGAGCATATCAGTCTGCTGTGGGCCAATACCAGACACCACTTAAATTCTTTCAGAGATATTATCAAAGTGTCTTACAGTTATAACTTTGATTATATCTTTATAAAGAGATCATGTCTTTTTGGCAATGCCTTTAATTTGATGTTTTACTGGATTGAGGGGTTGGAGAAAAAAAACAGTTTATGTTTCAACTTAGTAAGTTCTGGCTCTTCTGTGCTCCCTCTAAATTCAGCTTACAAACTGTCCAGGTCTTTCTTTACCTCATGTTGTTCTTGCTGTACCTTGTCACACACAGCTATGGGTAACCAAGTGATATTTTCAATGTTCTGTGTGGAGATTTCCTCAGCCTCAGTTTCAATTTGCCTTAGATTAGGGTTTCAGTTGCCTTTGCCTTTCTAGGCCTTGATTTTCTGTGAAGTTTCTCATGTTAGTCTATAATTTCTCCTTCCTCACTGCTCTCCTCTTCAATGTACACATAACTTTAAACCTGAGAAGTAGACTTGGGATGCTATTCACATGATATTAGTTGACTTCCTCTCCTATCTTTGATTGCCTTTTTCACAATAGGCTTTGTCTAAAAGCCAGTTTGTAATACCTTTTGGGAAATTTCCCCAAACCTGAAAACATTTTACTCTTTTCCTTTCATGATCTCTTAACATTCATTTTTATAAAAAGAAAGGCAGAATGCTTTTCACCATGCTACTGCCACCTACCCACCCGTGCACTTGGCTTAGTAGCCACAGAAGCCAAGGTTTCAAGTGAACATTTTAACATGACATTGAAGGCAAAGGGGAAAAATTCTCCCTAAGATTTCTAGCCATGAAATGAACGTCTGGGAAAAATTGTTTTTTTTTTTTCCTCTGGGTGTCTTGTCTTTTTTATCTCAACCAGGTACTGACCAGCACAATCACCTTTATTCTTAAACAAATAAAGTCTGAAACACAGTAGTTGGTTGTTTAATGCTTTAGTTGAATTATCTCAATATCATTTGAACTTGGTACTGTTATTTTTCCATTTAGAAACTACCTTCTGTAGAAAACTTTTTCTGAAATATTTTTCTGTGAATTAAAAAAGAAAACAAAATTTGTTTTTAACATACTTGCACAAATCGCAGTACGCCAGGGCCATAGTTCTCTTTCAGATTTTTTCCTTTTATTTTTAGTTGACATGTAATAATTGTATATGTATATGGGATACAGAATGATATTTTGAGATATATATATACAATGTGCAATAATCAAATCAGAGTAATATATCCATCACCTCAAAAATTCATTATTTCTTTGTGTTGAGAATGTTCAAGAATCTTCTCTTTTAGGTTTTTGAAAATATACAATAAATTATTGTTAACCATAGTCACCCTACAGTGCTATAGAACACCAGAACCTAGTCTTCCTATCCAGCTATAAGTTTTTATCTGTTAACTACCCTCTCCCCTCACCTTCAGATTGTCTTTGTAAAAATCAATTACCTTTTATATGTTAAAGCATCGTATTTGCAGTTTTTAAAAATATAGTCTTTAATTTTTTTCCTTTTTTTTTTTTTTTTTGAGATGGAGCCTCGCCGTGTCACCCAGGCTGGAGTGCAGTGGTGCGATCTCGGCTCACTGCAAGCTCTGCCTCCCGGGTTCACATCATTCTCCTTCTCCTGCCTCAGCCTCCTGGGTAGCTGGGACTACAAGTGTCCGCCACCACGCCCAGCTAAATTTTTGTATTTTTAGTAGAGACAGGGTTTCACCGTGTTAACTAGGATGGTCTCGATCTCCTGACCTGGTGATCCGCCCGCCTCGGCCTCCAAAGTGCTGGGATTACAGGCATAAGCCACACGTCTGGCCTTTTTTTCCTTTCAATTAAAGCATTTATTGGCTCTTCTCTCATTCTGTCTCTCCTCTAAATCCTCCACCTTCTTTAATTATCTTTTGGATCCAACTGATTCCAGTTAAGGAAAGAGTTGATGAATTCTACTATTTTATAGTCCCTCTCCCCAAGGAAAATTCCACAGTAATCTAGCAGTCTCTTGACTTAGGCTATTGAGTTTTCACACAGTTAACCTCCTATCACAATTTTTTTTAACAATTTATTTATTTATTTATTTTATTATACTTTAGGTTCTAGGGTACATGTGCACAACGTGCAGGTTTGTTACATATGTATACATGTGCCGTGTTGGCTTGCTGCACCCATTAACTCGTCATTTACATTAGGTATTTCTCATAATGCTATCCCTCCCCTAGCCCCCCACACCCCAACAGGCCCCAGTGTGTGATGTTCCCCGCCCTATGTCCAAGTGTTCTCACTGTTCAATTCCCACCTATGAGTGAGAACATGTGGTGTTTGGTTTTCTGTCCTTGCGATAGTTTGCTCAGAATGATGGTTTCCAGCTTCATCCATGTCCCTACAAAGGACATGAACTCATCCTTTTTTATGGCTGCATAGTATTCCATGGTGTTTATGTGCCACATTTTCTTAATCCAGTCTATCCTTGATGGACATTTGGGTTGGTTCCAAGTCTTTGCTATTGTGAATAGTGCCGCAATAAACATGTTTCCTATCACAATTTTTAATTTTATTATTTCTTTCATTTCCTTGCCAACCGTTTTTATCTCAACCAGCTACCAACCAGCAGTTACGTTATTCCTAAAAAAAAAAAAAAATCATGTCTGAAACACGGTAGTTGGTTGTTTGATGCTGTGGTCGAATTGTCTCAAGATCATTTCAGTTTGCCATTGTTCCCAATTTCTTCCCAAATCTTATGGTGGTTGTGGTGTGTTTATTTAGGCTAGTCCCACTTCTAATATTAACTACAGTATTTCAGAGAGTTATGAAGTGGTGGAAAGAGAGACCACATAGAAAATCACTCATGCACACCCACACAGGTACACATGCACCTGGTAGGATTTGATATTGCCCTGATTGGTTTATGTAAGAATTCAGAATAATATTGGAAGCAAGGTAAATATCAAAACTGGGGACATATGCAGCCAATATCCTACCAGCTTCCATTGGCGCCCAGAGTCCCTTTCAGGGGTACAGTTGCCATTGACATTGTTCATACAGAAAAGAATCATGACAGACATGAGAAGCTCAAGTGTTCCTGAATTGTCTTCCTATCATTCAGAAGAATTATGTCACTATTCAGGAACAGTATTGTTACAGACTGAATTGTGTCCCCTCAAAATTTGTAAAGACCTAAACCCGCAGTACCTCCGAATGTGGTTGTATTTGGAGACAGGACCTTTAAAGAGGCAATTAAGTTAAAATGAGGCCATTAGAGTGAGCTCTAACCCAATCTGACTGGTGTCTTCAAAAGAACAAATTAGGATATACGGAGAGACACCAGGGATGTACACATACACACAGATGAAAGTCCATGTGAAAACACAGCTAAAAGGAGGTCATCTGCAAACCAAGGAGAGAGGCCTCAGAAGAAACCAAACTTGCTGACAGGAGGCTCAGACTTGTAGCCTCCAGAATTGTGAGAAAATACATTTCTGTTATTTAAGCTACCCAGTCTACTGAAGTTTGTTATGACAGCCCAAGCAAACAAACACAAGTATACAAAATTAATCAATGAGCTTTCATTGAAGAGACTATTTTCAAATAAAATCCCCACGTTACTGGAAATTGTCTCTGCCCCTATGTGATAGCTTTCTGGTATATCCAAAATTTGTTTTCTTTCAGAATGGTATTTTGGACTCAAAATCCTTCGATTTCATAATTCCATAAACACTATCCCAATGTCTATTAGCAGTCCCCATTGTGAGTGGAGAATTCAATACCAGGTAATAGTTCTAACCTTTTATTCCGCTCTTTGATTTCTTACATGATTTTCTCTTTATAATTTACAAAGCATGGGCATCTGTTAACTTTTGTTGTATAAGAAACCATATGAAAACTTTGTGGCTTAATAAAGGAGTAACAGAAGATGCGCTTCCCTGCCTGAAGACTATTACTGTGAAAAAAATGCTGAAAAAGTGACTCACTATGATATATTGCTGCAAGGCCAAAATTATTCCCCTTTGACTATTCACACCCTTTTGCAATGTGACTGAAGTCCCTCTTAGTGAAAGTGAAATTTATATCCCCACCACTTGAATCTGAATTGCCCTTATGACTTGCTTTGGCTAATAAAATGTGGTGGAAGTGACATCATGCTAGTTCCAAGCTATGTCTTGAGAGACCTTGCAAGCCCAGCCCAGTCTGCTGGTGGGTGAAAAGTCAAGTGGAGCAGACATGAGCCATTATATCTGAGGCCTTCCTAGCACCCAGCTGACCTACCAGGTGATCACAGGCACATGAGCGATCCCAGCTAAGATCAATACATTTACCCAGCTGAGCTCAAAGCAAATTGCCAACCCACAGACTTGAAGGAGCTAAAGGAAGTAATTCTGTGGATAGGCAATGGAAGAGAAGAGTATTCCAGGCAAAGGCCTTAAGTTGAGAACATGTCTGCCATTCCTGAAGAATAGCAAGGAGGACAGTTTGGCTGGAGGTAAGTAAGTGATAAAGGGAGAGGCAGGGGATATATCAGCAGGAAGAAAATGGTAGATTGTAAAAATGGCCATGCATTTTTCCCATTTCTGCATGTTTGCCCCTGCAATATGATATTGCAGATACTCCCATCAAGAAGCAGACTCCTCCATTTCCTTTTCTTTATCCATTTTTCCTTTTCTTTCTTTCTTTACCCATGTATTATTAGTCCATTCTCACACTGCTAATAAAGACATACCTGAGACTGGGTAATTTATAAAGAAAAGACGTTGAGTTGACTCACAGTTTCAAAGGACTGTGGAGGCCTCAGGAAACCTACAATCATGGTGGAAGGGGAAGCAAACACGTCCCATCTTCACATGATGGCAGGAAGGAGAAGTGCTAAGCAAAAGGGGAAAAAGCCCCTTATAAAGCCATCAAATCTCATGAGAACTCACTATCAGGAGAACAAAATGAGGGTAACCACCCACATAATTAAATTACCTCCCACTGGGTCCCTCCAATGACATGTGGGGATTATGGGAACTACAACTCAAGGTGAGATTTGAGCAGGGACACAGAGCTAAACCATATCATTCTGCCACCAGCCCTTCCCAAGTCTCATGTCCTCACATTTCAAAACACAATCATGCCCTTCCAACAGTCCCACAAAGTCTTAATTCATTTCAGCATTAACTCAAATGACCAAGTCCAAAGTGTCATCTGAGACAAGGCAAGTCCCTTCCACCTAGGAGCCTGTAAAATCAAATGCAAGTTAGTTACTTCCTAGGTACAATGGTGGTATAGACACTGGGTAAATACACCTATTCCAAATGGGAGAAATTGGTCAAAACAAAGGGGCTACAGGCCCCATGCAAGTCCGAAATCCATTAGGGCAGTCATTAAGTTTTAAAGTTCCAAAATGATCTCCTTTGACTCCATGTCCTACATCCAGGGCATGTTGATGCAAGAGGTGGGCTTCCAAGGCCTCAGAAAGCTCTGCCCATGTGGCTTTGCAGGGTACAGCTCCCCTCCTGGCTGTTTTCACAAGCTGGCATTGAGTGTCTGCAGCTTTTCCAGGCACATGGTGCAAGCTATCAGTCGTTCTACCATTCTAGGGTCTGGAGGACAGTGGCCCTTTTCTCACAGCTCCACCAGGAAGTACCCCAGTGGGGACTCTGTGTGGGGGCTGTGACCCCACATTTTCCTACTGCACTGACCTAGCAGAGGTTCTCCATGAGGGCTCTACCCCTGCAGAAAACTTCTGCCTGGATATACAAGAATTTTCACACATCCTCTGAAATCTAGGCAGAGGATCCTAAACCTCAATTCTTGACTTCTATGCACCCACAGGTTCAACACCATGTGTAACCTGCCAAGGCTTGGGGCTTGCACCCTCTGAAGTAATGACCTGAGCTGTACGTTGACCCCTTTTAGCAATAGCTGGAACACAGGGCACCAAGTCTTGAGACTGCATAAAGCTGCAAGGCCCTGGGCTCAGCCCATGAAACCATTTTTTCCTTTTAGGCCTCTCGACCTGTGATGGGAGGGGATGATGCTATGAAGATCTCTGACATGCCCTGGAGACATTTTTCCCATTGTCTTGGTGATTAACATTTGACTCCTCATTACTTTTGCAAATTTCTGTAGCCAGCTTGAATTTCTCTTCAGAAAATGGATTTTTCTTTTCTATTGCATCATCAGACTGCAAATTTTTCACACTTTTATGCTTTGCTTCCCATTTAAACATAAGTTCCAATTCCAAATCATATCTTTGTGAATACATAAAACTGAATGCTTTTAACAGCACCCAAGTCACATCTTGAATGCTTTGGTGTTTGGAAATTTCTTCCATCAGATACCCTAAATTATTTCTCTCAAGGTCAAAGTTCCACAGATCTCTAGGGCAGGGGCAAAATGCTGTCAGTCTCCTTGCTAAAGCATAACAAGAGTCAGCTTTGCTCCAGTTCCCAAAAAGCTCCTCATCTCCATCTGAGACCAACTCAACCTGGACTTCATTGTCCATATCACTATCAGCATTTTGGTCAAAGCCATCCAACAAGTCTCTAGGAAGTTCCAAGCTTTGTTATATCTTCCTGTTTTCTAAGCCCTCCAAGTCTATAGGAAGTTTCAAAATTTCCCACATTTTCCTGTCTTTTTCTGAGCCCTCCAAGCTGTTCCAACCTCTGTCTGTTACTCAGTTACATAGTCGCTTCCACAGTTTTGGGTATCCTTATAACAGCATTCCATTATACTGATTTCAATTCACTGTATTAGTCCATTCTCAGGCTTCTAATAAAGACATACCCAAGACTGGGTAATTTATAAAGAAAAGAGGTTGAATAGACTCACAGTTCCACAGGGCAGGGGTGGCCTCAGGAAACTTAAAATCATGGCAGAAGGGGAAGCAAGGATGTCCTTTTTCATATAGTGGCAGGAAGGAGATGTGCCGAGCAAAAGTGGGAAAAGCCTCTTATAAAACCAGCAGATCTTGTGAGAACTCACTATCAGGAGAACAGCATGAGGGTAACCACCCCCACGATTAAATTACCTCCTACTGGGTTCCTCCCACAACACGTGGAGATTATGGGAACTACAATTCAAGGTGAGATTTGAGAGGGGACACAGAGCCAAACCATACCAACCCATTGTCTTTTTTTTTTCTTTATCATTTAGAATTCCTGTAAGACAGACATTGACTCACTTATCTTTCAGTTGTCCTCTTCTGAATTGTTCATGTTAATCATCAATGACCACAACATAAGTACTACTCCTGTTGTTTCTCACTCTGGATCACATATTAATAATATCAAATTGTCTATTTAAGAAACAATTCAATAGAAAATCAGTCCTTGTAATTTGGTGTACTGTAATTTGTAGTATCTGACCTTGTGATTTTTAAAAAAGAGGCTCCTGTTTAAGCACTGCTTGATTTCTGACTCTTTGGCATCTTAATGCTTGTAGCAGGGCTTTCCTGATTAGCAATCATAGAGGCCTCTTGCTGAACCTCAGATACAGCTGCATTGCAGCATATTTTTAGGAATGTTTCCCTCCTGACTCTCAAAGTAAATCTCATGGATCTTACATAGTTTATATTTTGGGTTACACTATTCTAAATATACTTTACAAATTTGGTAAAAATGCATCCAGTCATTGTCATATGATACTGATATGTATTGGTAAACAATTCAACACAGTATTATTTATAATTTTTAAAAATTGAAAACCTAATAAAAACCTTTTGGCATATTATATAGTACATATTCTGACATTTGTGTAGTGGAAGGATACAACATTATACCATATGAATTTTCCTTTTTTTTTTTTTTTTTTTTTTTTGAGACAGAGTCTTGCCCTGTTGCTCAGGATGGAGCAGTGCAATTGCGTGATTTAGGCCCACTGCAACTTCGACCTCCCAGGTTTAAGTGATTCTTGTGCCTCAACCTCTCTAGTAGCTGGGAGTACAGGCCTGCACCACCATGACCAGCTATTTTTTTTTTTTTAAGTAGAGATGGGATTTCACCATGTTGGCCAAACTGGTCTTGAACTCCTGGCCTCAAGTGATCCACCCTCCTCAGCCTCCCAAAGTGCTGGGATTACAGATGTGAGCCACCAAGCCTGGCCTTATACTCTTTGAATTTTCTAACCACGTGTGTGACATTTTTAAAATGCAACTCAGGTTAACTGTTAGTGGCATTATGAGGATCTTTTGTTCCCTCCCTTTTACATATTTAATTGAAATAAAACAAACGAAACATTATTTAAAAAGCAAATTATGCATTATTAGCTCAATATAGAAAAAATGGAAGAAAATATGCCAAAATGTTATTGGTGATTATTTCTGGATTATGGATGGTTTTTATTTTTTGTTTCAATAGTTTTTCTGGTACTGGTAGTTTTGGGTTATATTGAAAATTTCTTTAGTGGTAATTTATGAAATTTTAGTGCACTTGTCACCTGAACAGTGTACATTGTACCCAATATGTAGTCTTCTATCACTCACCCACCCCAGCCTTTCCTGCAGTCACCAAAGTCCATTATATTATTCTTATGCCTTTGCATCCTCATTGCTTATCTTCCACTTATAAGTGAGAACATACAATATCTGGTTTTCCATTCCTGAGTTACTTCACTTAGAATAATGGCCTCCAGCTGCATCCAAGTTGCTACAAAAGACATTATTTCATTGTTTTTATGGCTGAGTAGTATTCCATGCTGTATATATACCACATTTTCTTTATGTACTCATTGGTTGATGGACACTTAGGTTGATTCGATATCTTTGCAGTTGCAAATTGTGCTGCTATAAACATGGGTGTGCATGAGTCTTTTTTATGTAATGACTTATTTTCCTTTGGGTATATACCCAGTAGTGGGATTGCTGGATTGAATGGTAGTTCTACTTTTAGCTCTTTAAGGAATCTCCATACTCTTTTCAATAGTGGTTGTACCACTTTATATTCCCACCAGCACTGTAAAAGTGTTCCCTTTTCACCACATCCACACCAACATCTATTATTTTTTAATATTTAATTTATGGCCATTCTTACAAAAGTAAAGCAATATTTCATTGTGGTTTTAATTAGCATTTCTTTGATGATTAATGATGTGCATTTTTTCATATGTTTGTTGGCTGTTTGTATATCTTCTTTTGAGAAATGTCTATTCATGTTTGTATTAGTCCATTCTCTCATTGCTATAAAGAACTACCCGAAACTGGGTAATTTATGAAGAAGAGAGGTTTAATTGACTCACATTTATGCAGGCTGTACAGAAAGCATGGCTGGGGAAGCCTCAGGAAACTTACAATCATGGCAGAAGGCAAAAGGGAAGCAGGCACATCTTCACATGGTGGAGTAGGAGAGAGAGAAAGAATGAAGGGTGAAGTGTTACAGACTTTCAAACAACCAGGTTTCATGAGAACTCACTCATTTTCACGAGAACAGCAAGGGTAAAATTTGCCCCCATGATCCAATGGTCTCCCACCAGGTCCCTCCCTCAACACTGGGGATTACAATTTAACAAGAGATTTGGGTGGGGACACAGAGCCAAACCCTATCAATGTTCTCTGCCCACTTTTTGATGGGATTATTTCTTATAGTCTGGCTGATTTATTTGAGTTCCTTGTAGATTCTGGATACTAGTCCTTTGTCAGATGCATAGTTTGTGAATATTTTCTTCCATTCTGTGGTTTGTCTGTTTGCTGATTATTTCTTTTGCTGTGCTGAAGCTTTTTAGTTTAATTATGTCCCATTTATTTATTTTTGTTCTTTTGCATTTGCTTTTGGGGTCTTAGTCATAAATTTTTTTGCCTAAGCCAATACCCAGACAAGTTTCTCCAATGTTAGAATTTTTATAGTTTCAGGCCTTAAATTTAAGTCTTTGATCCATGTTGAGTTGAGTTTTGTACAAGGTGAGAGATGGGAATCGAGTTTCTGTCTTCTACATATAAGTTTCCTGTTTTCCCAGCACCATTTATTGAATAGGGTTTCCATTCCCTAATTCATGTTTTTGTATGCTTTGTTGAAGATCAGTTGGATGTAAGTGTTTGGCTTCATTTCTGAGTTCTCTACTCTGTTCCATTGGTCTACATGCCTATTTTTATAGCAGTACAATGCTTTTTTGGTTACTATAACCGTGTAGTATAATTTGAAGTCACATAATGTTATGCCTCCAGATTTTTTTTTCTTAGTATTGCTTCGGCTATGTGGGCTTTTTTTTTGGTTCCATATGAATTTTAGGATTGTTTTTCTAGTTCTGTGAAGAATGATGATACTATTTTTATGGGAATTGCATTGAATCTGTAGATTGCTTTTGGCAGTATGGCCATTTTCACAGTATTGATTCTACCCATCTATAAGCATGGGATAGGGTTCCATTTGTTTGTGTCATCTATGATTTCTTTTATCAGTGTTTTGTAGTTTTTCTTGTAGAGATCTTATACTTTCTTGGTTAAGTATTTTCCTAATTATTATTTTTCAGCTGTTGTAAAAGGGATTGAGTTCTTGATTTGATTTTCATCTTGGTTCTCATTGGAGTATAGCAGTGCTACTAATTTATGTACATTGATTTTGTATCCTGAGACTTTGCTGAATTCATTTATGAGATCTAAGAGCTTTTTGGATGAGTCTTTAGGGTTTTCTAGG
Source organism: Homo sapiens (assembly GCF_000001405.40). Classification (NCBI taxonomy): domain Eukaryota; kingdom Metazoa; phylum Chordata; class Mammalia; order Primates; family Hominidae; genus Homo; species Homo sapiens. Next base: position 140,810,957 of record NC_000023.11, read on the forward strand.
TATGTGATCATATCATTAGTGAACAGCAATGGTTTGACTTCCTCTTATCCAATTTGGATGCCTTTTATTTCTCTCTCATCTGATTGCTCTGGCTAGAACTTCCAGTACTATGTTGAATAGAAGTGGTGAAAGTGGACATCCTTGTTTTGTTCCAATTCTCAGAGGGAATGTTTTTAACTTTTCTCCATTTAGTATGATGTTGGCTGTGGGTTTGTCATAGATTTCTCTTATTACTTTGAGGTAAGTCTCTTCTATGCCTATTTTGAGATTTTTTTTCCAGAAAGGGATGCTGGATTTTATAAAATGCTTTCTCTGCTTCTATTGAAATAACTATATGATTTTTGTTTTAATTCTGTTTATGTGATATAACACATTTATTGACTTGTGTATATTAAACTATCCCTGCATCACTGGGATGGAGCACACTTGATCATGATGTATTATCTGTTTGACGTGCTGTTGGATTTGGTTAGCTAGTATTGTGTGGAGGAGTTTTGCATCTATGTTCATCAGAGATATTGGTTTGTAGTTTCTTTTTTTGTTATGTCCTTTCCAGGTTTTGGTATTAGGGTTATACTGGCTTCATAGAATGATTTAGGAAGTATTCTGTCTTTATCTTTTGGAATAGTTTCAGTATGACTGGTACCATTTCTTCTTTGAACGTCTGGGAGAATTCAGCTGTGAATCCATCTGGACTTTTTTTGGCATTTTAAGATTACTGATTCAATTTTGCTGCTTGTTATTGGTCTGTTAAGGGTTTCTATTTCTTCCTGATTTAATGTAGGAGGATTGTAAAATTCCAGAAATTTATCCATTTCCTCTAGATTTTCTGGTTTGTGCATGTAAAGGTGTTCATAGTAGCCTCGAATGACCTTTTGTATTTCTGTGGTATCAGTTGTAGTATCTCCCATTTTGTTTCTAATTGAGCTTATTTGGATCTTCTCTCTTTTCCTGGTTAATCTTGCTAATGGTCTATCAATTTCATTCAAACTTTCCAGTCTTTTTTTTTGTTTCAATTTCATTTAGTTGTGCTCTGATCTTTGTTATTTCTTTATTTCTTCTCAGTTTGGGTTTAGTTTGTTCTTATTTCCCTAGTTCCTTAAAGTATGACATTAGAGTGTCAATTTGTGCTCTTTAAAACTTTTCAATGTAGGCAATTAAAGCTATGAATTTTCCTCTTAGCACTGCTTTGGCTGTACCTTAGAGGTTTTGATAAGTTGTGTCACTATTATTCATTTCAAAGAATTTTTATATTTCCATCTTTATTTCATTGTTAACCCCCAAATCATTCAAGAGCAGATTATTTAATTTCCATACATTTGTGTAGTTTTGAATGTTCCTTTTGGAGTTGATTTCCAGTTTTATTCCACTGTGGTATCAGAAGATACTTGATATGATTTTCATTTTCTTAAATTTATTGAGACTTGTTTTGTGGCCTATCATATGGTCTATCTTGGAGAATGTTCCATGTGCTCATGAGAAGAATGTATATTCTACAGTTGTTGGGTAGAATGTGCTGTAAATATCTGTTAAATCCATTTCTTCTGGGGTATAGTTTAAGACCATTGTAGCTTTGTTGACTTTCTGTCTTGATGGTCTGTCTAGTACTGTCAGTGGAATATTGAAGCCCCCCACTATTACCGTGTTGCTATCTATCTCATTTCTTAGATCTGGTAGAAATTGTTTTATAAATCTGGGAGTGCCAGTGTGCATATAAATTTAGGATTATCATATCTTCTTGTTGGACTGAACCTTTTATCATTATATAATTCTTCATCTTACTGTTGTTCATCTTACTGTTGTTGCTTTAAAGTCTGTTTTCTCTGTTATAAGAATAGAGCTATTCCTGCTCATTTTTGGTTTCCATTCGTGTGGAATATCTTTTTTCATCCCTTTACGTTAAGTTTATACGAGTCCTTATGTGTTAGATGAATCTTTTGAAGACAGTAGATATTTGGTTGTTGTTTTTCTTATCGATTTGTCTATTCTGTATCTTTAAAGTGGAGCATGTAGGTCATTTACATTCAGCATTAGTATTGAGATGTGAGGTACTGTTCTATTCCTTATGCTATTTGTTGCCTGAATACCTTGTAGTTTTTTTTTTTATTGTGTTATTGTTTTATAGGCCCCATAAGATTTATGCTTTAAAGAGGCTCTAGGCCCCATAAGATTTATGCTTTAAAGAGGCTCTATGCTGGTGTATTTTGAAGTTTTGTTTCAAGATTTATAACTCCTTTATAACATTTTTTGTAGTGGCTGGTTTTGTAGTGGAAAATTCCCTCGGCATTTGTTTGTCTGAAAAAGACTTTAACTCTCCCTCATTTATGAAGCTTAGTTTTGCTGGATACAAAAGTTGTGGCTGAAAATCAAGTTGTTTAAAGAGACTAATGATAGGACCCTAATCTCTTCTTGCTTGTAAGGTTCCTGTTGAGAAATCTGCTGTTAGTCTGATAGGTTTTTTTTTTTTTTAATAGATTACCTGGTGTTTTTGTTTCACAACTGTTAAAATTCTTTCCTTCATGTTGACTTTAAACAGCCTGATGACCATGTACCTTGTTAGTAATCTTTTTGCAATAAATTTCCCAGGAGTTTGTTGAGTTTCTTGTATTTGGATATCCAGATCTCTAGCAATACCAGGGAAAATTTTCTCAATTATTCCCTCAAATATGTTTTCCAAACTTTTAGACTTCTCTTTTCCCTCAGGAACACCAGTTATTCTTAGATTTGGCCATTTAAAATAATCTCATATTTCTTGGAGACTTTGTTCATTTCTTTTGATTCTTTTTTTTTTATCTTTGTCTGATTGGGTTAGTTCAAAAGCTTGTCTTCAAGCTCTGAAATTCCTTCTTCTATTGGTTCTATTGTATTGTTGAAACTTTCCACTGCATTTTGTATTTTCCTAAGTGTATTGTTTATTTCTAGATGTTCTGATTGGTTGGTTTTTCTTTATGATATCTGTCTCCCTGGAAAATTTTTCATTAATATCCTGACTTTATTACTTTATTTATGTTGGTTTTTATCTTTCTTTGGTATCTTCTTGAGTATCTTAATAATCAACCTTCTGAATCTGGCATTTCACAGGTTTGAATCCATTGCTGAGGAGCCAGTATGATCCATTGGGGGTGTTATAGAACCTTGTTTTGTTATATTAGCAGAATTAATTTTCTGATTCCTTCTCATTTAGGTGGACTATTTATTCAAGTAGTTCTTGAATTTATTTTTGATTTGACTGTGTTCTTTTTTAATTTCATTTTTCCCTCCTAAGGATCTGGCTTTAATGTTTACAGTTTACTATACCCAAATTTGATTCTTGCTGCTTTTAGGGGTGAAGACGCTGTATGAGTTCCTTAGTTATAGAGAGTCTTTGTGCACTGACTTTCCCAGATGCTGGTTGCAGTAGTTATGTACTTGGTGTGTGGGCAAGTTCATTGTCTCTTATGGGGTTGGAATGTCAGAGATCTCTTGAAGCCTATCTCATTCTCTTGTGTTGTACACTTTATTTTTCTTCAGTATTTTATTTAGTGAGTTGATTATGTAGGCTTCAGGATCGTAGGGGAGGTATCCCTGGGTAGGCACCAGTTGTAGCTAAAGCAGATGGATAGACGTAATACCAAAGGTGTGCAGAGGTCCAGGCTTGATGAAGATGGCTGAGGGAGCTCTCTATTAGATGTGCTGAGGTTTTATCAGAGTAAAGGGTAGGAGCTACATCAGGTCCCCTGCCAGGCCAGCAGGAAAGCTATCCACTTCCTGGCCTCACTGCTGTCCCAGTGTTCCAGCTATTGAGATCAGACAGGCGCCTCTTTTCATCTGCAGGAATATTGATGTTCCAAGTGTGAAAGAATTGGGACTCTGCCTCTTGTGCATGCCTGAATCTGGGGAGTGCTCCTCCTGTGGGGCTGCAATCACCCTGAATTGTTCCAGGAAGGCTGTCTATAGGTGCATCTATGCTGTGTTCCCATGGGAGAAGCTGCAGCTGTGTCTGCAGTGGTGTGCAAGCGGGGAACAAGGACCCCTTCTCCAACACCCTTCATGATCATAGAGGCTGCCTACCTATTGGGTAGAGGTGCAGACTTTCCCTACTGTGCCCAGCGCTGCAATTGTGTCTCTGCTGTAAGAAAATTTCCACCAATGAAAAAATCTGGGACACAAGGCCTGCCATTCAGATTCTTTTGTCCCATGGGGCATTCCCCTAATGTGGTGCTCTCCCTCTTCCCGTAGGAATGGGACTTCCTGAGAGCCAGAATACAGTGATTGTTATTGCTCTTCTAGGTCTAGCCACCCAATGGGGCTACTTGACTCTGGGTTGGTGCTGGGAAATATCTGCAACAGATCCACTGATGTGACCTGTTCAGTTCTCCCAGCCGTGGATACCAGCGCCTGCTCTGATGGAGGAGGCAGGGGAGCAGTGTAGACTCTGTGAGATTTCTTAGTTGTAGATAGGCTTAGTGTGCTGGCTTTCTCAAATGCTGGTTATAATAGTAGTGAACTTGTCATGTGGACAGACTGAGGACCTCTAGTTACTCACACTGTTGCGGGCAGTGGTGATAGCTGAGGTCATGCAACCATTTTCTTCTTGAGTGCAGTGTTATTCTACCTAGAGGTGCTGTAATGGCCTGTGTTGGTTGGTCTCCAGCCAGGAGGTGGCACTTGCAAAAGAGCATCAGCTACAGTAGTAACAGTGGGATTTGAGTTGCGCTAAGTTTCCCAGAGGAAATATTCTGTTTTCTCAGGTGATGAGTGGGGCTATAAAGCTCCTAAAAGTTTATTTCTTTTGTGTTAAGCTACCGGGGTGGGTGGAGGGATATCATCAGATAGGGGCAGGGTTAGGTGGGTCTGAGCTCTCATTCTCTTTGAGTGGGGCAGGCCACAGCCCCTGTGAAGGATGGGGGTGGTTCCCAGGCCACTAGGGTAATGTTCTGGAGGAAGGTATAAGTGCCTCTGCTGCACAGAAGAGTTTGCAAAGGGAGTCTGGAGTAGCAGGCTGCAACAGTAAGCCTTACCCAGCTCCCACGCAGTTGGGGAGGCCAGTCTCACTCCTGTAGTGCTCTTCTAACAGCACCTGGTTTAGATCCAGGCATTCTGCGCACAGATCTCAGACATGCCCCAGGCCAAGAGACAGCAACCACGGCTTGCAAACCATGCTCCTCCCTGTCTGCCCGCAGGGCAGGGTGCCAAACTTCTGTGCTGAAGTTTGAATGCTTCTATACTTCTGAGTCTGAAGCATACTTCCTGCTTGATCCCCGGGGTCTGATCAAGGGAATTGGTCCCCACTTGAGATTATATCACAAAATTCGTTTGGGAGCTTCTTTCACTCTGCAACCCCTTCCTGAGCTTGTTGGCTGTCTTCGCTGAGGGCCCCTGTGAGATATAGTCGGGAAACCTTCCTTATTATATATAGTCAGGAATAGGTTCTCTATTCCCTAGGGATAGGAATGCCTGCAAGGCACTTTCTGCTGCTGCTTCTACTTTTATGTTTTACACCGCTCCCTAAATCCATCCCAGCTCTGTGTAGGGTTAAGGCCTTCTCCCATGGTCTGAATTTTCAGATTCCCCAGTGGGGATGTATGCTCAGAGGCAGACTCTCCCCTTCTCACACTCTGGGAATTTACAGGTGTTTTGCCTGTCTCACTGAGTATGTTGCAGCCTGCCACTTCTTTCAAAGGATCTGTAGATTCTTTCAGTTTTCCTGTTAAGTTCCTGTGTTGGTTCTCGGGGGAAAAAATAGTGTGAATTTCTATCCACTATTCTGTCTTTCCAGGTGGGAGAGCCACACTAAAACTGCCTCCAACCTGCCATCTTTTTTTTTTTTTTTTTTTTTTTTTGAGATGGAGTCTCGCTCTGTCGCCCAGGCTGGAGTGCAGTGGCGCAATCTCGGCTCGCCGCAAGCTCCACCTCCCAGGTTCACGCCATTCTCCTGCCTCAGCCTCCCGAGTAGCTGGGACTACAGGGGCCCGCCACCACGCCCGGCTAATTTTTTGTATTTTTAGTAGAGACGGGGTTTCACCGTGTTAGCCAGGATGGTCTCGATCTCCTGACCTCGTGATCCGCCTGCCTCGGCCTTCCAAAGTGCTGGGATTACAGGGGTGAGCCACCGCGCCCGGCCACCAATCTGCCATCTTAAAAAAAAAAAAAAACTAATTATGGATTTTTTTTGTATCATCCAACAAAATGTTTAACTTTTATTTTAATTGCAGGGGTGCAGGTGCAGGTTTGTCATATAGGTAAATTGTGTGTTACAGGGCTTTTGTGTAAAACTTATTTTGTAGCCCAGATAATAAACATAGTGATTGGCTCTGATGACTGGAGGAACACCAGGGTCCTTGGTCTCATGCTGATAGGATTAACAACACGGACACGCGTGGAGTGGTTTTAAGGAGCAACAAGTTTAATAGGCAAGAAGGATGGAAGAAAGAAGAGAACAGCTCCCTGTACAGAGACAAGGGAGGGGGGCTTGGAACAAAAAGAAACCCCATGTGCGGCAGAAAGGCAGTCCATTATATCTGGAGGCTGGAGGAGGTGGTGTCTTGTTTGCATAGGGCCCAAGGGATTGGTTTGACCAGGTGTGTCATTCACGTAGCCCGTGAAAAACCCGGCCCACCCAACTTAGTCCTTTAATATGCAAATGTGGGTGGCCATGATGCTTTGAACACATGGTGTTATCTGGAGGTGGCCATCACACTTGGCACAGGTGGTGACAAGAAAAAGGCAGGAATCACCATATTGGGTGAACCCAGTTTCTAATGGCAGGCATTTGCATATCAAAGCTTGCCGGCCTGGCCCTTCAAGCCACCTATTCTGTTAGAAAAGAGATGGTTCGGGGGTTGTTTCTTATTACAGGAAAATTTCCACTGAGAACCTATCCTACCTAAAATAATTTCTCAATAACTCCTGTATTACTCCCCCCTCAAAGAGAAGTAAACCTAACTGCTGTTAGGAGGTGTTGGGTGATGATTCTTTCTGGCTACTTCCTGCCTAAAAGGAGCCCGTGTGTGGCTCTGCTCGCAGCGCCATTTGGAGTTTTATTGCTTCCAGGTGAAAAGAGATAAATTTTTACAAGAAGTTTTAAAATATAGGGTTAGAATATGAGTATTAACGTTACCACCATTAGTGGGGGTCCTATAGAACCTAACTGACAGAGTTTGACACTTGTTAGATACACCAATGGATTGCAATACCGATTTGCCTCCACTAGATGTCAATGTACATTACCAGAAATGTTAATATAAAAGCTACTTTTTCCTAGAGAAAAGCATACATTTCCCCCTTGATTTGCCATTAGAGAATAACTTTAGTCTTAGGCCATCTTTTTAACTTGCAATATGATAGGGAGAAATACGTTATTGGCTGGCTAAAATAATTTTAGCGTTAATTTTGACAGTTCCTTTCCTTTAATTATTAGAGTTTTTCATGACTTTCACAGACCCTCTCACAACATCCTTAAACTTTCTCACTTGTCCTAAACGTCTTTCCCTTAAACAACCAGTCATTTCCTTTTAGGACAAGTATTTACCATACAAAATCCTTTCTTATATAAAATTTCTTTCTTTATAACCTTCTTTTCATAGCTTAGAGTGCCTTATATTACCAACCTTTAGTAAAAAGTCCTATTAAACGTAATGATAGTAAAACTTTTATGCTTGCAATTATACAGCAATTATAATTTTACAAACAGAATTCCACATTGTGGGTGCTGCCACAGTGCATAGTTCTATTGCAAATAGTAGCATGACCTATAACAATTTTCACAAGAGTGGCATGGTAAATAATTGTCATTTAAAACTTTACTTGCCCAGATATAACATTTCCCTTTGGAGATTTACAAAGTTACAAATGCGATTCTAGGAATAATTAAATCTCCCTGCAAATATGCATTAAGAAGAAGTTCTAATATTTGGTGGCAAATTTTGAGAGGAAAGGACAGAAATGACAAAAAGTATCTATTGAGGTAAAGGTGGGACTCAGTAAGATGAGTAGCCCTCACTCAGTTTCTTATCTTTTATGATTTTTAGGTTAAGATCTTCTATTTCTCCACACTGATATTCAGGACGTTCCTCTGGGCTGTCAAGGGTTGCTCCCTCAGCTCTTCAGGCTTTGAATTGAGTGTGATGTATCCAGGAGTTGATTCCTGTAACGTTTACTGCCAAGAAGGTTGAAAGAAGAACAGTGGAGGTCCCTTCCCAGGTTGGCTTATGGAAGGAGAGAGATGAGAATTTTCACTAATACCAAATTTCCTGGGTTAAAGAAAGGTGGTTTTATTTCCTGGGGTTGGTCTTCTGCTAGTTGTGTTCATTCTTGTTGGAAGTGAGCTAGAGAGGTTACATGCTTAACCAATGTGGAGGTTTTCTGCCTGAAAACAATCTCTGAGCACATTGATAAGTTTTATCCTTTCTCCAGTGAAAAGCTTGGGGAAGGATTTTAAGGACCTTCATTGGCTGGAGGCTGGCAAATAGAGTTTGCCATCCTGAGGGCTAAAAAGTATGCCCTTGAGAAGTGGCCTATTCTATTTCTGCAGGGGAATACTGAGGTTTAATTTCTTTTATGGAGACCTCCTAGATTAGAAGGGCTTGAAGTGTGTTAGTGCCTTGAGGCTTCCTTGCCTTTGACTTAGATGCCTGATCAGCTCATCTATTTTCCTTGGCTACCTCATCTGTTCCCTTTCAATGTTCCCTGCAATACATCCCTGCTATTTCTCATGGAAGAAAAACTGAGGATAATAACCTGCTAGTTTCCTGGTAATATTTTATAGGAGATCCATTAGTGGTAAGAAAACTCCTTTCCTTTTCAATGGCAGCATGAGCATGGAAAATCAGGAAGGCATACTTGGAGTCAGTATAAATGTTAGTTACCTTTCCCTTGCTTAATTTAAGTGCTTTTGTAAGAGCTATTAGCTCAGCTAATAGAGCGCTTATGTTTGGGGACAGTGACTACTGCTTATCCTGCCTTACGTACTTCTTGCTTTACCAGCTGTTTGCTAGCTAAAAGCTCCCCCCAGAGAACTGTGATCCTGCCACATTATATGGGGTGTAAACAGTTCAATTATGTCCTGGGGTTAACTTGGAGGCTTTTCTGACTAATAAAGCTATCACGACAATGGCTTGGAAGCATGTATAAATAGGTCCTTCTAACTACAACCAAGGTGGAGAGAAATATTGGATTAGGGTTTTTCCTGAGATGCCAATTACGGTCAGGCTATAGGAAGAGGAGAGACCTGAATTAGAGAGAAAAAAAAGAGAGAGACTGGCTCTAGTGTTTAGAAAGAGGTCCGCTTTCCTTTCTTCAATTTCCAGAATCACCTGGGACTCCTGTGCTATGATGGCAGTTTGAGTTGCTGGAGCCGAGTTTTGAGCCACGGGATACATCGGTCCTGCTGTACCATCTGTGAGATTGGTCCTGAACCCAGTGACCTCCGCCTCTGGGGGCAGTTCTGTCTCCAGTGGTTTTCGCCACAGGCTGGACGGGGTCAAGGTGGCTTCATCTTGCTGCCTGGGAATTCCTTTTTAAAATGCCCTGGTCAGCCACACGAATAGCAACTAGCGGATGCACCTTGGGGATCCTGGACTTTGCAAGCCTGCAAAGCTTCTGCTAGAGCCTTTGTCCTTCTCATGAGCTTTCTCTTTCTTTTGGGCCTCCTCCCGGTCCCTATTATAAGAGACCGAAGTGGCCACCTTCAGGAGGTTCTCTAAAGTGCTGTTCGGTCCTACAGCTTGCTTCTGTAGTTTTCTTCTAATATTGGGAGTTGCCTGTGTAATAAACTTGTCCTTCAGGATAAGCTGTCCCTTAACTGGATCAGGGGATAAAGAGGTGTGTTCTATTAGTGCCTCTCTCAGCCTTTCCATAAAGGCTACAGGATTCGCACTTGGCTTTTGATCTATTATAGACAGTTTAGAGTAATTGAGAGGTTTGACCCTGGTTTTCCGTAGGGCTTCTAAACTGCATATTAAAAACACTTCCTTTTCCATTCATTCTCTGAGCTATTTCCCCAGTACTATAGCATTTCCTGATCTTGCCTAACGGGATTACTTCCCTAGGCTGTAAAAATTCCCACACACTCAACACACAGGGAGTAAGAGACTGCAGATAGAGAAAGAAGGAAAGAAAGAAAGTTTTGCGACAGGATAGCTGGAAGACAGCCTTGAGATTAAAACAGATTTGAGGTTGAGATTCGCTCCATACTCACCACTCTGAAGAATGAATTCCAGGCCCATGCACCAAAATAATGACTCTGATGACTGAAGGAACAGCAGGGTCCTTGGCCTCGCGCAGATAGGAGTAACAACATGGACACACGTGGAGTGGTTTTAAGGAGCGAAAAGTTTAATAGGCAAGAAAGAAGGAAGAAAGAAGAGAACAGCTCTCCCACACAGAGACAAGAGCGGGGGACTTGGAACAAAGAGAAACCCCGTGTGTGGCAGAAAGGCAGTCCATTATATCAGGAGGCTGGGGGAGGGGGTGTCTTGTTTGCATAGGGCCCAGAGGATTGGTTTGACCAGGTGTGTCATTCACATAGCTTGCCAAAAACCTGGCCCTCCCAACTTAGTCCTTTAATATGCAAATGTGGGTCATCAGGATGTTTTGAACACATGGTGTTATCTGGAGGTGGCCATCACACTTGGCACAGGTGGTGACAAGAAGAGGGCAGGAATCACCATATTGGGTGAACCCAGTTTCGAATGGCCTGCATTTGCATATCAAAGCTTGACAGCCCAGCCCTTCAAGCCACCTTTTCTGTTAGAAAAGAAATGGTTCGGGGGTTGTTTCTTATTACAGGAAAATTTCCACTGAGAACATTTACCCTTACTATCTGCCTAAAATCATTTCTTATTAACTCTTGTATTAATCTTACCCAATAGGTAGTTTTTTGATCCTCACCCTCCTCCCACCCTCCATCCTCAAGTAGGCCCTGGGGTCTATTGTTTCCTTCTTTGTGTCCTTGTGTATTCAATGTTTAGCCCCCACTTACAAGTGAGAACAAGCTTAGTATTTGGTTTTCTGTTCCTGCATTAGTTCCCATAGGATAATGGCCTCCAGCTTCATCCATGTTGCTGCAAAGGACATGATTGCATTCTTTATTATGGCTGAATAGTATTCCATGTTGTATATGTACTTCGTTTTCTTTATCCAGCTCATGATTAATGGACATCTAGATTGATTCCATGTCATTCCCTGAGCTGTTGTGAGTAGTGTTGCAATAAACATGTATGCATGCATCTTTATGGTAGATGGATTTATAATCCTTTAGGTATATACTCAATATTGGGATTGCTGGGTCAAACTGTAGTTCTGTTTTAAGTTATTTGAGAAATTTCTGAACTGTTTTTCACAGTGACTGAACTAAGTTTTATTCTCACCAGCAGTGTATAAGCATTTCCTTTTCTTCACAACCTCACCAACATCTGTTATTTTTTGACTTTTTAATAACAGTAATTCTGACAGGTGTCAGATGGTATCTCATTGTGGTTTTGATTTGCATTTCTCTGTTTAGTGATGTTGAGCATTTTTTCATATAATTGTTGGTCACGTGTATGTTGTCTTTTGAAAAGTGTCTGTTCATGTCTTTGCCTACTTTTTAATAAGGTTGTTTCTCCCTTGATAATGTTTTTAAGTGTCCTTGATAGTGTTCATTTGAGATTCTTCTAACTTTTTGATGTGAGTGTTTAGCAGTATAAACTTTCCTCTTACCACCGCTCTAGCTGTGTCCCAGAGATTGTGGTATGTTGTATTTTTGCTCTCATTTGTTTCAAAGAATTGCTTGATTTCTGCCTTAATTTTATTGTTTACTCAAAAGTCATTGAGAGAAAAGGTTGCTTAATTTCCATGTAATTGTATGGTTTTGAGAAACATTCTTAGTATTCATTTCTATTTTTATTGCACTGTGGTCTGAGAGTATGTTTGATATGATTTTGGTTTTGAAAACATTTCCTGAAAATTGTTTTATGGCTGATTGTGTGGTCAATTTTAGAGTGTGTGCCACGTGGAAATGAGAAGAATGTATATTCTGTTGTTTTTGAGTGGAGAGTTCTGTAGATGTCTCTTAGGTATATTTGGTCAAGTGTGGAGTTCAAGTCCCGAATATCTTTGTCAGTTTTCTGCCTCAATGATCTCTCTAATACTCTGTGTGGTGTTTCAGTTCTCCACCATTATTCTGTGGTTATCTAAGTATCTTTGTAGGTCTCTAGGAACTTCTTTTATGAATATCGGTGCTCTTGTGTTGGCTGCATATATATTTAGCATGGTGAAGTCTTCTTGTTGAATTGAATCTTTTAACAAAATGTAATGCCCTTCTTTGTCTTTTTGGATTTTTGTTGCTTTAAACTCTGTTTCATCTGAAAGTAGAATAGCAATTCCTCCTTTTTTGTGTTTTCCATTTGCTTGGTAGATTTGGCATGCTCTAACTCTGGGAGGCTGGTTCTAGACCCCCAACTTGGATTCCTTGCCTCTTGAGGTTCGAAACCTGTTTTTGTTGGAGAGGCCAAAGTGATCTGCTCTGTAGACCACAACACTTTGATGGGGATGTGCTGGCCAAAGTGTTTCACACAGGCAGTGCCAGCCAGATCTGTGCTCACTTACATGTGCCAGCAGATGCAGTGGCACAGAGGGGTGCCCGCATGGGGGTGGGGTATGGGCAGCATGGCAGACATGGCATGGCAGGGACAGGGCACCAGTATGGGTGTGGTCCTGGCACCTGTGCATGCATTAGCACTGCAGCAGTGGAAGTGGTGCAGTGGGCTGCCTGTGCCTCAGTGGGACTGGGGAGCTGGTAGTGTTGGTGAGAGTGGCAGGGTGTGCACATGCCAACACGGTGGGAGGCTGGATTGGGGGAGGAGTGGAAAGGGCCATCCACTTTTTCCCCTTTCAGTCCAGGATCTGTGCCCTCCCTTCATCCACTCTCAGTGCCTTCCCTCTGAAGATCTGCTCAGAGTGTGCCAGTCTTCCCAATGTTCCTGTCTCTCAGTGGGATTTGTTCCTTCCGGCTGCATCTAGTTGGCTATCTTGGCTCCCTCTCTTCTTCAAAATTTTCAAAGAGCATGTATTTTCTGAGCAGAATATAATAAACATTTTAATGAAAGTAAATTTCACGTAACGAACAAGAATATACGACTTATATATTGTGTTTATACTGTATAATTTATGAGTTTATCATTATTATATTGGTACCTGAAAATGTTTTTCACTATAAAGGATAACTGATGCATTTCTAGAATCATTTATCATCATAATGTTGGTGCTGGAAATCATTGGTTTCCTTTCCCTTTACTAAGGAATGGTTGACCTATTTCTGAAATAGTTAGGGAAGACAACTATGGCTTTGCTAAAAGTGATTAGGTTTTAAATGAGGAAAATATTTAGACTGTACTCACACTGTGGCCCGGGAGCAAAGTGGTTTCTCTCCCCTCTGAACTCTTGGAAGGCTTATTGTGCATATTACTCATTGAGCACATGTCCTTTACTCCAGTACTTACAATAAGGTGGTTTCACGGTTCCATTTCTTAAAAATCATCATATTGTGTATAACGGCTAGTGCAAAATAGTCACTTAAATTAATATGTGATGTCTAATGAAAAAAGTCGGGTAGCCTGTTTTATGCTGTTACTGGACTGGTTATTTGACACAGTGAACTTGCTCTTTCACCATCATCGAGGCTTAGATAATAATGAATAATATTAGGAAATCAAGACACAGAAAGGTTATTTGTACCTTGGGCAAAATCACATAGCTCAAAATTGAGAGGGTTATCTCTTACTCCATTTTGTGCTGCTATAATAGAATACGTGAGACTGGGTTATTCGTTTATCTTATTTTATTTTTAAAACTTTTAATGTTAGGTCTAGGGGTATATGTGGAGGTTTGTTATTTGGTAAATTAATGTCGCAGGGATTTATTGTACAGATTATTTCATCACTCAGGCACTAAGCCTAGTATGCAATAGTTATTTTTTTCTGCTCATCTCCATCCTCTCACCCTCCACCCTCATAGGCCCCAGTGTCTCTTGTTCCCATCTTTGTGGCCATATGGTCTTACCATTTAGCTTCCACTTATAAGTGAGAATATACAGTATTTGGTTTTCTGTTCCTGCATTAGTTTACTGAGGATTATGGCCTCCAGCTCCATCCATGTTCCTGCAAAGGACATGATCTTGTTTTTTCATGGCTGCACAGTATTGCGTGGAGTATATGTACCACATTTTCTTCATCCAGTCTACTGTTGATGGGCATTTAGGTGGATTCCATGTCTTTGCTATTGTGAAAAGCACTGTGATGAACATACAAGTGAAGTGCATATGTCTTTTTGGTAGACTGATTTATTTTCCTCCGGGTATGTGCCCAGTAATGGGATTGCTGGGTCAAACTGTAGTTCTGTTTTCAGCTCTTTGAGGAATTGCCACACTGCTTTCTACAATGGTTTAAATAATTTACTCTGTCATCAACAGCGTATAAGTGTCCCCTTTCCTCTGCAACCTCATCAGCATCTGTTATTTTTTGACTTTTTAATAATAGCCATTCTGACTGGTGTGAGATGGCGTCTCATTATGGTTTTGATTTGCATTAATGCTTGTTGGCTGTATGTATGTCTTCTTTCGAAAAGTGAGACTGGGTAATTTATAATGAACAGAAATCTATTAGCTCAAAGTTCTAGAGAACTGGAAGTTCAAGGTCAAGGTACAGCATCTGGCAAGGACCTTCTTTCTGGGTCATTACATGGTGGAAGGTGGAAAGACAAGTGCATAAAAGAGGAAGCCAAACTTGCCCATTTATAATAACATTAATATCACCCATAAGGGCACAGTCCCTATGGCCTAATGACCTTTCCAATGTCCCAACTCTTAACACTGTTACAATGTCAGTTAACGTTCAACTTGAGTTTTGGAGGCAATGAACATTCAAACCACAGCTGTTGGGATGTAAACTCGGATTATCTGGCTGTAGAACTTGGGGTCTTTACCACTCATCTCTAGGTTAAGCTGCCTGACATATTAAGCTGGAAAAACAGAAAACATTAGCCCAAATGTATTCAGACAGTGTATTACTTACATAGACAGCAAAAGCATGATCAGTATATTGTCAGCTCCCCATATTGCTTGTCCCACAGGAGGACACCAAAACAAAAGTGGCCAGATCACAGGTAATATGAGTGGTGGGGTACTCTGTTGATGAGTAGCCAATTGCACATAATAGCTAAGCGGTGTTATAGCTTACTACTCTCCTTTAAGGGAGCGGACACAGAGCAGTCCTCTATGCTCTGTCTAGATAAAATCTGTTGAGTGGGCCAATGAGGCACCTCATTTGAGCAAGTGAGAGGAAACAGATGTTGTAGATAAGGAACTTGTTCTGTTTACTGAGCACCATGCTATATATATATATATATATATATATATATATATATATATATATACACACACAGAGAGAGAGAGAGAGAGAGAGAGAGAGAGAGGGAGAGAGAGAGATGGAATTTCACTCTTGTTGCCCAGGCTGGAGTGCAATGGCGCAATCTTGGCTCACTGCAACCTCTGCCTCCCCGGTTCAAACGATTCTCTTGCCTCAGCCTCTCAAGTAGCTGGGATTATAGGCATGCGCCACCATGCCCAGCTAATTTTGTGTTTTTAGTAGAGACGGGGCTCCTCCATCTTGGTCAGGCTGGTCTTGAACTCCCGACCTCAGGTGATCTGCCTGCCTTGGCTTCCCAAAGTGCTGGGATTACAGGCGTGAGCCACCGAGCCCGGCCCATGTAATATTTTTAGTAAGGATTACAGTAGATGTTGAATCCAAATCGGAGAAAAGGTTTGATTGGCTATTATTATACAATTATATTATCTGCCTTTGAAAGTTTAGAAAGATATATTGTGGCAGTCAGCTTCTATGAAGTCATCAAAAAGACTAATGCTCCTGTCATTGCTGTGCAATTCTATTTTCAAGACAATTTTTTTTCAGTTAGCCTACTTGCTTAGTTTGCCTAAAATAAACTTGTACAATTGTCTTCACAAAACCATAGAAATGACTCTATAGCTATTATAATATCTTAGTATGTAATAGTTTAATATAAATTTGAGAAGGAAAATATGAAAAATCATGTTTATAAATAGTGGAAGATGGCTGTAATGTGGAAGTTCTCCCAGATTACATTTCTTTTTCTTACAAATATGAATACATCACGGATGAAGAGCTAACATGAGTTAATATCCATACATTTTAATAACAAAAATGGGAATTTTTTGCAATAATGCCTTGTCTAGATTACTGTTTATTTCAGAGAAAACCTTGGCATTAACCAAATTGATGTAGACCCCATATAGGCAATACATTTGCTGAACCTTACACACAAACAAACACAAAACACAAACCCAAATTAAGATGACTACTGGACAGGGATTCAGATGACTTCTGATTCCAAGACTAACTCACTGATCTGAACCACCATTTCCTTGTCTTTCAACTGTGGGGCTTTGACTGAAAAATCTCTAAGGGATCTTCCAGTTCTGACATACTTAATCTAAGATTTTATTAATGTACCATAATGCATTAACATTTTTTTGCTGGTAGTTCTTTACAAAAGTAATATATTCAATACATAGTGTTCTATTGCTATCTCAATGAACCATAATTGTTTATTACTCTAGTAAGTATCAAATATTGAGGTTAACTAAACCCACAGGAGAAAATGTATTATTTATGCAATTCACACCTCTGGACAAATCTCAATCACTGCTTCCTGGAAGGCAGTAATGGTTGTAATAAACCGATAGGACTGTAGTCCAAACATAACAATGGCCTGTTACGGAATTGTAAAAATACTTGAATTGATGAGTTCGCTATTTGATGTTTCATACTTGCAAATGTTAACTCACATTTTGAAAAACTCACTAGGTTTTTATCTGTGATAAATACACAAATTAAAGGCATATTTGCAAAGTGGTAGCTTTTATTTTTAAGAGGGTCTCACCCAAAGCTCTGCCTTGCTTTTCAGTAAATGAGTCTTGCAAGGCCTACTGGGGTATTAGAAATCCAGCAAATGAATTCACAACCTTGGCTTCCAGAAATGTCCTTGAAAAACTGGAGGTCATGCTCTTTGCTTATTTTTATTTTTCTTTAGCTGACAAAGCAATTAAGAAGGAATTTCTGGTTTTATACTTCATTGCCTCTGAGCTGGCTTTCATATTTAGTTGTTGTGCTGGATACATTCTTAATAATTTAATATTTGAAGCTAAAAAGATGCAGACATTCTGATACGGAAAATCAAAATTGCAATTAAACTACTGTTGAGTCACTCATTAGGAAGATATCTTTTGAAGTATTAGAGTAAAGAATAAAATTGCCTTAGGGTTATTCTTTCAACAGGTTTGGTTTATTTGACTACAAAGGCATTGTTTTTGAATGTGTAATACAAGGCAATATTAATCTTGTGACTTAATTTAGTCACAAAGAAAGAAAGCCATATTGGTAAAAGGCCTGTGTAACAAGCAATATCAATGACATTGAGAATCATAGTCTCACACATAACGTGATTCTAGTGCACTAAGCACACAATTTACTTTAATTGTTAGTGTAAATACAATCTCCATTAGCATGAATTTTTTCCAAGATCATATATAATAAATTCCTGATAAAATATATTTTAATCTCAGCCTTAGCAAGGCAGAGAAGTGGCTGGTAGAGAAAGCCGTGACTTGGCTTCTATTCTTACCTCTGCTACAATTTAATAGTTATTACTTTGGGCTAGTTCTTTCCTTGCCATAGTTCTCAGTTTCCTCATTTGTAACATGACTAGATGTCTTTAAACGGAGTCTCAAAATATGGTCGCACGTCCACTGCTGGGCAATAAGTATTCATCTGATGGGTTATAAATGAATTTTAAACTATAATTCAAGGAATGGATCTTTCCTTGGTTATTGAAGGCAAATGGTGCAGAATTCCATAGACTATAATTTTATTTATGATTAGAAGAACTTACTTTTTAAACACTCATATAGAGTACTATATGCATGGCACTGCTCTAAGCAATTTACAAATATGAATTAAACATATTTAACCCTCATAACAACCCTGTGGGTAGAAGATATGTTTATTGTCCCCATTTTATGGATGGAAAACAGAGGTACAGAGAAGTTAGGTAATCTGCTTCAAGAACACACAGCTAGTAAATGGCAGAGTTGGGATTCAAACCTCAGCAGGCTGGCTCCAGAGTCCTTGCTCTTAACCACTATCTAATACTACTAACTTTCTAAGAGAGCAATTAAAAATTTCTCAAACTTGAGGCCGGGTGTGGTGGCTCACACCTGTAATCCCAGCACTTTGGGAGGCCAAGGCGGGCGGATCACGAGGTCAGGAGATCGAGACCATCCTGGCTGACACAGTGAAACCCCGTCTCTACTAAAAAAAACACAAAAAATTAGCTGGGTGTGGTGGTGGGTGCCTGTAGTCCCAGCTACTCAGGAGGCTGAGGCAGGAGAATGGCACGTGAACCCGGGAGGCAGAGCTTGCAGTGAGCCAAGATCGCGCCACTGCACTCCAGCCTGGGTGACAAAGTAAGACTCCGTCTCAAAAAAAAAAAAAAAAAAAAATATATATATATATATATATATATATATATATATATATATATATATTTCTCAAACTTGATATTCATAAGCTAAGATAAATAAGTTGCTTAAGTCTACTGAACACTGAAATTCAGGATTGTGAGGCTCTCACTTCCGCATGCTCACACACAGCTGGCTGCTGGAGTTCTCAAATGTCTTCCTATAAACAGCAGTTCATTTTCAATGTTGTCCTGTGTAGGTTGTGGTTTACCACGGCTATTTTCGTGCATTTTAACTTTAACTTACTTATGGTGTGTTTTGATGAATATTTTCATCGACAATGTGCTTTCATTCATTATTAGCTTTCATATCATCCCTATTTAGACTTACCAACAGTAAGAAAGAGGCCCATTGCTGAGCCATATAGCTCTTGATGACCTCTCTTAGCTATCAAAGATTGTAAAAGCTTTGAGATTACATACTTCTTGTAAAGGCTCAGTTTAGGCCTGGTGCGGTAGCTCACGCCTGTAATCCCAGCACTTTGGGAGGCCGAGGCAGGCAGATTACGAGGTCAGGAGTTCGAGACCAGCCTGGCCAGCATGGTGAAACCCCATTTCTACTAAAAATACAAAAAATTAGCCGGGCATGGTGGTGTGCGCTTGTAGTCCTAGCTACTTGGGAGGCAGAGGCAGGAAAATTGCTTGAACCTGGCAGGCAGAGGTTGCAGTGAGCCGAGATCGTGCCATTGCACTGCAGCCTGGGCAACAGAGCCAGACTCTGTGTCAAAAAAACAAAACAAAAGGCTCAGTTTTGTGTTCTCATTCTCTTTATGTCCTCTACTGGCAGGGCAGAGAGGATGGGGGAGTTGTGTATTCTTCCAGGTTCAACTTATTCCTCCAGTTACTCGTAGGCAATTTTAGGAAGATCCAGCACAGTGGAAAGTGTGCTGCAAATGTAAATTGTTATATGGTGCCATATTTTTACTTCTCGAAACCAACACAACCTATTTGAAAATGTAGTTACTAATATTAATGATAGAAAAACAAATATAGTTCAGTTTATGCTTTTTCTGACAGTTACAAAGGTCTAGATCTGATCTATTACTTTTGCAGCAAAATCTGTAGTCCCTGTGAAACTGCATGTCTTAGATTTCAGGTGTGGTGGGTTCAGGAATAAAAGATCAATGTATCCAGTATGTCTCAAAGTAGAACAATTTCCATGACAACTTGTTCAGCCTTCTTTAACAAAACATTTTCACAGTTCATATGCAGAATCAACATTCTGTTGTTTGGCTCCCAGTGTATTAGTTTGTGTATGAGCTCTTATATGTTTTAATTCCGGTATCACATGGTGATATTTTTAAATATAGCAAAATAATGCTATTACTGGACTATAAAATAACTCATTATAAATTCAGTCATTGGTTTTATGATTAACAAATAGTATATATTTAGATTAATGTGCGAATAGTAGGTCCATTGATATCATCATCAAAAACAAAGATAAATGAAGCCCCTACTATAGGCAGGCATACAATGAGGTGTGCCCTATCAGTCTTTGAGTGCTAAGGGATTGTCATCTTTTTGGGGAGATAACATATGTATATGAAGTAAGTCAGAAATACCAAGGGGCCAAAGCAGTGATGCAAGCATTACGTGATAGAAAAGTTCAGAGGAATGAGTGGTTGTTGAGTACAGGGTGCTTAAGAGTGGCTTCAAAGAGGAGACAAGCCTTGAACCAGACACTGAATTTTTCTGTCCTGTTTTTCTGTCTAAACCTACGGAAAGTGCTACATTAGGATATGTATTAGAGTTCTCCAGAGAAACAGAACCAATAAGATATATATAGATATTTAAGAGGAGATTTATTATGGGAATTGGCTCATGTGATTATGGAAGCTGAGAAGTTCCAGGATCTGCCACCTACAAACTGGAGAACCAGGAAAGCCAGTGGTGGAATTCAGTCCTAATTCAAAGGGCCTAGAACCAGGGGAGCTGATGGTATAACTTCTAGTCTGAATCCAAAGGCCTGAGATTCAGGGACAAGAGAAGATCCAAGGACAAGAGAAGATGGATATCCCAGTTCCAGAAGAGAGAGAGTAAATTTGCCTTTCCTCCACCTTTTTGTTCTATTTGGGCACTCAACGGATTGGATTATGCCCACCTGTGTTGGTGAGGACAGTCTTCTTGACTCAGTCTACTGATTTAAATGCTAATCTCTTCTGGAAATACCCTCACAGGCACATCCAAAAATAATGTTTTACCGCTTATCTGGGTATCCAAGGTTTGAATCATAATCCCAAAAGACACAATCCTGAATGCCATCATCGCACATGTTGAAATCTTGAGTAGTCAAAATACCTAAAGTAAAAATCCTTAAAGTCTAAAATGCCTAATGTCTAAAATCCCAAAAGTCACAACTACAGAATAATTGCATCATAGCAGCTGGAATTATTACTTTGTAGCAAGATCTTGGCTCACTGCAACCTCTGCCTCCTGGGTTCAAGTGATTCTCCTGCTTCAGCCTCCCTAGTAGCTGGGACTACAGGTGCGCGCCACAACGCCCAGCTAATTTTTGTATTTTTAGTAGACATGGGGTTTCACCATGTTGGCCAGGATGGTCTCGATCTCTTTATCTCATGATCTTCCCACCTTGGCCTCCCAAAGTGTTGGGATTACAGGCGTGAGCCACCACACCAGCCTGTATTGTCTTTATGCTGAAGAAAATGGATTTCAATCGAATCCCCAACCCATAACAACAGATTTGGAATTAGGTATGATCAAAGTTTCTAAAATTGAATTTCAAGGTGGTATCAATAAGCTTTTTTTTTCTTTCATTCAGCTCAATGCATTTGACAGAAAATTCAGGTAAGTAGATTGGCCACACAATATGGAAACGATAAAAACTTCAGTTTAAAAATGTGTTATTTGCCTGCATTGGCATTTCTTCCAGTTGATGACATTTCAGGAGTTTTAAAAAAAATTTTATTTTGAGACAGAGTCTCATTCTGTCACCCAGGCTGGAGTACAGTGACACAATCACAGCTCACTGCAGCCTCAAATTCCTGGGATCAAGCAATTCTCCCACCTCAGCCTCCTGAGTAGCTAGGTCTCCAGGCAGGCACCATTATGCTGGTGAATTTGTGTATTTTTTTGTAGAGACGGGGTTTTGCCATGTTGCCCAGGCTGGTCTCAAGCTTCTGGGCTCAAGAGATCTGCCTGCCTTGGCATTCCAAAATGCTGGGATTACAGGCATGAGCCACTGAGCTTTTAATAAATTAAAGCCTCATTTGCCTGAAGAAGCCAGAGACGTTACTGACTGGTTCAAGAATAATTATGTGCATGGCAAGACAAGTAGATACTTATGCAATGGTGTTACTGTTTGATCACCAGTATTGTTTCTGCCAAAAGTGTGGTCTTTATATGAGTGCATGTGAAATTTCTGCATAACCCAAATAACATAGAAGCATGGCAAAGAAGATCGGAAAATTTAACAGGGAATGCTCCTGTCAGTGTATGTTGAATTAAAGAAGAATTTCAAAAAGAGCAGTGCCACATAGAAAATGAATGTGAATGTGTTCTCCAAGAAGGGCCATGTCCTAAAGGAAAACAGCAGCAGCTGGGCGCGGTGGCTCACGCCTGTAATCCCAGCACTTTGGGAGGCCGAGGCGGGTGGATCACGAGGTCAGGAGATGGAGACCATCCTGGCTAACACAGTGAAACCTCGTCTCTACTGAAAATACAAAAAATTAGCCTGGCGTAGTGGCACGCACCTGTAGTCCCAGCTACTCGGGAGGCTGAAGCAGGAGAATCGCTTGAACCCAGGAGATGGAGGTTACAGTAAGCTGAGATTGTGCCACTGCAGTCCAGCCTGGGCAATAAGAGCGAAACTCCGAGGAAGGAAGGAAGGAAGGAAGGAAGGAAGGAAGGAAGGAAGGAAGGAAGGGAGGAAGGGAGGGAGGGAGGGAGGGGAGAAGAGAGAGAGAGAGAGAGAGAAAGAAAGAGAGAGAGAGAAAGGAAAAGAAAGAAGAAAAAGAAAAGAAAGAAGAAAGAAGAAGAAAAGAAAGAAAGAAAGAAAACAGTGGCTATTTCTTGTGATGCACGACTTCAAAATATACTTAATGATTGTGAAAGTCAGCCAGGTCTTATGAACTATCTGTGTGCAACTGCCCATAATCTAACCCTGCAATACATTTTTTCATATGTTAAATTTTCATTTTTAATTTCTGGTTTGTTTTGTTTTTGTTTTTTCTTCTTTTTTTAAAAGTTTTCTTTTTCCACTATTTTAAATTGTCAGCATTATTTTTTACATTCTACTATGGTTCATCTTTGCATTATTTTCGATACTGGAGGTAGAAATTGTGTAAAGACTTTTGGAGAGTTCTAATTCATTGTATGCATTGTTTTGCTAATGCGTCTCCATGAAAGGGTATCATCACAGCATTAACTTTGTGTGTAGTAAGCGTTATGCGTGTATGTAAAAACACTGAAACTTCTTCAGTAAATGAAGAGATGCCCTTTTTGTACATCTGCATTTGTGCACAGTAAAATTTCTTGAGATCTTGGCTCTTGGTGTGTTTGGTGATGTGATGGTGGTCCATTGCAATTTTTGATCCATCTCCTCAAAACACTTAGGTTGTCTGTCATAGTGTTTCAGATGACTGTGTTATAAAACGGGACAGACAATTACCAACCAAAGTGATATGCATTTATACATTTTTTGACCTATTTCTTTATGAATAGGGTTTATCTGCTCATAACTATCTGTGTGACAGATATATCTGTATATTAGGTAGTGTTCGTGTTTGCAAAAATATGTAAGTTATTACTGCTTATTTTATTATGTAAACTGGCTTATGAAGTGTTCTGTCATGTTTTAATGTTTCTCAAATAAATTACCCTTAAAAATAGGGAATTTATTTAATATGTAAATAAATATCTTTAAAATTTTTTTTAAATTTTTTTTCCAAATTCATATTTTTGGGATTTTGATCTTCCAGTGTGTCAACATTCCAAATTATGACATTTGGGATTGTGTGCCAATCCCACAATCAAATTAACCATCACTACATCTTAAAACATTTTAAGTCAAACCTACCACTCTACTGCTTAAAATCTTCTAAGAACTTTCCATTAGCAATCAGAGAAGCATCTATTCTCCTTTTTGTGGTCTACAAAATTTTCTGTGATCTGGCCTCTGCCTACTTCGCTAACCTTATCACCTATGTGCCCCTACATTTGCTCTGCTCCAGCCGCACTGGCTTTCTCTTTGACTGAACATGTCAATCCCATTCCTACCTCAAAGTCTTTTTTTTTTTTTTTTTTTTTTTTGAGATAGAGTCTTGCTCTGTCGCAAGGCTGGAATGCAGTGACACGATCTCGGCTCACAGTAAACTCCGCCTCCCGGGTTCAAATGATTCTCCTGCCTCAGCCTCCCGAGTAGCTGGGATTACAGGTAGGTGCCACCACACCCAGCTAATTTTTGTATTTTTAGTAGAGACGGGGTTTCACCATGTTGGCCAGGATGGTCTCGATCTCCTGACCTTGTGATCCGCCCACCTTGGCCTCCCAAAGTGCTGGGATTACAGGTGTGAGCCACCGCGCCTGGCCACCCCGAAGTCTTTTAAATTGCTGTTCTTTCTCCCTGGCATGCTATTCCTTTGTCTTTTCAGAGGGATGACTCCTTCTTGTCATACAGGTTTCAAGTCAAGTATTACTATCTCCTCAGTGAAGCCTTCTCTGCCCACCCAAGCTAAAGCATCCCTCGCAGTCTTCTTTCTACACTACTCTGTCTTCTGCAGTGCATGCATCAATATCTAAAATTATCTGATATATTTATGTATACATGTTTGTTACAGTCTTTCCTCAGGGGATTATGAGCAGTAACTGCCTTTTTTGTTGCTCTGTCACTTAGAGAGACTTTCCATTCGAGCAACAGAAGGCTCAATTTACTAAGCCAGTATACTGGCTTAAACCATAAGGAGATTTATTATTGCATACGACACAAAGTTCAGGGCCCAAGTGGTCACAGAATTGGTTATAACCGTGACTTAGCAATACTATCAGGGACCCAGGTCCTTTCCATCTATTTATTTGACCATCTTCAGTCTCAGGCTTATCCTCTCATGGAGGAAAAAGGTGGCTTTAAGTGGCTTCAAGAACAGTAGCCTCACAAGGCCCCACCCAAAAGCCTGAGAAGGGAATGATCCTTCCTTAAGACTCTTTCCAAGAGGAAAGGGGAAGCCTTTCCCAAAATATCCTTCCCCTTACGTTTCACTGGCCAGTAAATTTGTTAATTAACCCTTATGCTAGATATGTACAACAGAGAAGACAAGCAAAATCCTTGATCTTATGCAATGATATTTACTGGGGTCTCTAAGGTGACAGGCACCCTTTTCCCCCATCTGTTTCAAAACAATTTGAGAGAACAAACATATGGCAGGTGGAGTCAAAATATTATCTTTATTACCTTTCTAGGCCAGCTTGGAATATGTGGCTTTAGCTCTGCTAGCAAACTGTGCTTGTTAGTATAGAACCTCTGAAATAGGCAGATTTACCCACCTAGTCACAATACTCTAAGCCCGGATACTCTCCCTACCCTCTTAAAGGGGCAGAATCCCTGTAGTAGCAGAGAACAGCAAGAAGCAAGGAGAAGAGATTCAGAGATGAGCTTGATTGTCTCATATTTACCAATTAGACAAGTCACTTCACTTCCCCAAGGGCAGATTGAGTAAATGAGTGGAGAGAGACCAAGAAAATATCTCCAAACTTAAATCAGAAGTGGGGAAAGGTATTTTTCCTCTAACAGATCTTAATTATTATTGAGTTTTTCTTCCACCAGAAAGTGGGAATCAATCAATGAGGTAAGTGGGCTACAGTGTCTTTTGTTCAGCCTAAGTGAATTTTAGACAATAACGTTTTAGAATTGCTTTCTAGTAAAAATGTCTTTGTTACGTAAAGCCATACTTTAACATAATGTGGACAAGTGGATGATATAATTGCATTTTGTTTGCATGTTCGTATGCTTGTTACATACACATTGTGTGGTTTTTCTTGTCCTTTAGCTCTTTGTTGCCACTACTGGGGCCTCCACACGTGAACATTTGCAGCCAAAATAGACCAAGTAGTTTCTGAGGCAGGAGAATCAGAGGAAATAGCCAAATCATAGATGAGAAAAGCAAGACATCAGAGCCGCAAAAATGGTACAAAGTTTGGGTTCAAGATGTTAGATGAGACTATAAATAACATAACAAGTCGCCAGGGTCAAATCTGGGATAAGAAGAACCACTTAGGACACTGAATAAAAGATAGGTTGCTGAAGCAGATCAGAACAGAGACTACGGATAAATGATAGGATACCACTACATTGTGGGTGGAGTGCGGGTGGCCTGACTCTATGTCGTGAACATGATTGCTTAAAGGAGCTTTGCAGGGCTAGATACCAGCTGTATTCAACACATGCTCTATGAAATCCTGGGAAGGAGTGGGTCATCTTTCCACACTTTCTTGGATTGCCTGTATAAGCCAGGCTTCTGTATGGTTGGGTAGGAAATGGATTGCTTAAACATGATGCTAGTTAGAGCTAGCTTCTAAGTAGCTTTCATAACCATCCTGGAAGCTGTTGGACAGCGTAGTAATTTGGCAGATTTCTAGGTTGGCACTGTTAGCATCTTCCCCAAGCTGGGCTCTAGAATTGTGTAAGAAGGCTTGAGAAGATTCTTTCTGTGAGTCTCTCTCCATGCGGTAAGCTATGAAATACATTCACATTTTTTTATAATAATCATTACATATCATATCAAAAAACCCACTTGGTTGTGTTTGTGGGAGTGCCCATCACTTCTACCCTAGCAAACTTTTGTTAAAATTTTTCACTTCCGTTTATGTGCAAGTATCTACAGATTTGCTCAGGATATCTCATTTCCTTCAGATTTTCCTGTTGAAATGTTCAGTAAGAATTATTTTGCAGAAATGCCAAGAAATGAGTTTTTGATTAAGATTGTAATTTTCTCACGAATGGTGCAAGAGAATAAATTTGTTGTTTGTAGCCAGGCTTCCAAAGGGATATCTCATTTAAAAGTTTAATACCAGAATTGAGGGAGGTATGTGACTGAGACCCATACATGTTTCGCTTTCTGAAAATTTTATTTTTATTTTTGATGAAAAAATTAGGCTAAATTATGAAAATTGTAGCATTTTAATTTTAATTTCTTTAAAAATAAATAATATATTAGCTATTCTGCCCCACAGGGAAGAATATAATTGAAATACTGAATTCATTTCTTTGAGACAGAAATAGTAAGAAGTAATGGCATATTCTGACACCTTAGCTGCTTTTTTGAATCCCTGGGAGACTTGGTGGGTTGACGTAACACTGTCACATTTTTGTTAGAAAGAAACATCTTCCTTCTGTTATTTGCCAAAAGCTATTTATTTCCACTTTAGTCTATGTTTCAGATGATTCTGTATCTAGCTAATATAAGATCATCTTTGAGGTCTATTAAGAAGCTTTGAATACATAATGGAGATTTAAAAATTAATATTATAATTTTCTTTGTAAAACAGTGCAGTCCTCTGATGAAACAGAAAACTTTAAGAGTCCAGGAGTGGCCTATCTAGTGGTATTGGCAGGACAGAAATGGGTAGACACAAGATAACAACACTCATGATTTTGAGTTGATGATGTCAATATAATATTTATAACATTCTCTCACTAATTCTTTACTAAATACTGTTGTAATAACTGCTGTTAAAGGGCCATTAGGCCATGCAATGCACTGTTTGGTAATTGTTTATGTGTTTACCTTCTTCTCTGAAGTGTGAGTTTTTTTATGTTTCATTTGTTTTTCCATCCCCTACAGTGTTAAACTCAGTGCCAGGCCCAATGTAGTCACTCTGAAAATGTCCACTGTTTGCTTTGTAAAGGAAAATAGTACTGGATTCATTATTCTTATTGTGATGTCAGAATTGTCAAAGTGTAAACTTCATACTAACACTGAGGTATTAAAAAGTTGCCACGTGCCCATTCTTTTTCCAAGCAGATGCATTGCTGTTAACTTCAGCTATGGGTTCTATCCTATCCTAAATTGCATGTACTCAGGGGAAAGGTGCATGATTGTGCATTTGTTAACCTCTGTGTATATGGGACTAATATTTGAGGGCAATAGTAAGATGGATGATGTTTAAGTCTTCTAGGTCCCCCATGGGAAAGAAGAGTGAAAGTAATCAGTTATCAGGTCATCTAGCTCTCCATACTCCATCTGGCCCACTAGGCCCAAGGCTGCTGGCTTGCTGGGATTTGAACTCTTCTCTTGCTAATGCATATAAAAACAATTTCCTGCTTATATCCCATTTTGTTACTTTCTGAAGCAAGCTTCTGCTGTGGCTTATAAGAAGTTGTTTTACATTTTGTCATACAGGTATACATGTTGAGAGTGGGGATGGAGTGATATTTTATATTCCAATAGCGTAAGTATAACAAGTTCCCAAATGTCTGCTTTGGCAATTTGACATCAAACGGAGGCTGCTTGCCATAGAGCCTTGTGTGAGGCTGTTTGCCTGGAACATCTTTTGCTTTTACTATTCTTCTGGCATGGTTGCCAACGTGTAGCATTGGAGGATCACTTCCCATCTTTATAACTTACCTGGGTTATCTATCGAATACTAGTGTAATTTACAATTTAAGATAGATGGTGCCTGGAAAATATATGTACCACAACTTAGGTATCCAAATGAGAATATTCAGCTCCTTCTAAAGATCCTTACATTTCTCAAAATATGTTCAGAATTCCTTTTACTTTTAGAGGCAGTGATCTATCCAAACAAGGACATTTTTCTTATAACTTTAAAATGCATGTTGGACTGACAATATTATTACCTACCTGATTCAGCATGTTTGGTTGAGTCATTTTTAAGTATTTCCAGAAATCAAAAATGGGATCATTGAATGAAGAGTTGCTACCAGTGAGGAGAAACAAGTGAACCAATGAACAAACCCCTATGAAGCATCATCCAAGTGAGTGACAAACACATTTGGAGTTGTGGCAGCAGCATTGCAATCACTACATGTCTTCCTATGGAGATGAATTCTAAGTTAACAGTGATCATCTCCAAAATTGCATACTAGATAGGAATGAACCTCAGACACCAGGAAAACTGTGGCATGACCTGTGCAACTATTTTATTGACCAAGCTGGACTTAATGGGGGGGTGAAATAATGAAAACACTTTAATTTCTCCAATTAGTGACTTTCAATTGCATTCTATGAGAGCTCCCTTTCTCCTCATGGACAGAATCTCAGGCAGATTCCATAGCTTTGTCAGTCACTTCCAGTTTTTAATGAGAAATCTCAGCCTAAAGTATTAAAAAGCCTAAAGTATTAAAAAGTATTTATCTGACTAGATAAAAGCAGGAACTCGGGTCTTTTTTTAAATTTTATTATTATTATACTTTAAGTTTTAGGGTACATGTGCACAATGTGCAGGTTAGTTACATATGTATACATGTGCCATGCTGGTGTGCTGCACCCATTAACTCGTCATTAAGCATTAGGTATATCTCCTAATGCTATCCCTCCCCGCTCCCCCAACCCCACAACAGACCCCGGAGTGTGATGTTCCCCTTCCTGTGTCCATGTGTTCTCATTGTTCAATTCCCACCTATGAGTGAGAACATGCAGTGTTTGGTTTTTTGTCCTTGAGATAGTTTGCTGAGAATGATGGTTTCCAGTTTCATCCATGTCCCTACAAAGGACATGAATTCATCCTTTTTTATGGCTGCACAGTATTCCATGGTGTATATGTGCCACATTTTCTTAATCCAGTCTATCATTGGTGGACATTTGGGTTGGTTCCAAGTCTTTGCTATTGTGAATAGTGCCGCAATAAACATATGTGTGCATGTGTCTTTATAGCAGCATGATTTATAATCCTTTGGGTATATACCCAGTAATGGGATGGCTGGGTCAAATGGTATTTCTAGTTCTAGATCCCTGAGGAATCACCACACTGACTTCCACAATGGTTGAACTAGTTTACAGTCCCACCAACAGTGTAAAAGTGTTCCTATTTCTTCACATCCTCTCCAAAGCTTCTCTACTTCCTTATAGCTTTTGGCTCAACCTAGACTCAGAAGAATCTAGTCAGAAACGTGGAGCTGGTTCAGATTGTGATTCCCAGAAGCAAATTCTGAGCTGGGAATAGACAAACAGAAGGCTTATTAGAGAGTGCCTTTGGGAGCAACACCTGTGGATAGAAATAAATGGAAAGAAGCAGTATTATACAGGAGGAGTTAAGCTGCAGGACATCCCAGCAGAGGTCTTGGCCAACCCAATGGGAAACTCTGAAGCTGAGATGACCCATCAGAGTTGTCCAGTGTTGGGTGAGGGAGCCAGGCATTTATACCTTGTATGTATCCGTCATTGAATGTAGGTCACTCTTCCCTGAAAGAAGGCGTGACTTGGGGAAAGGTGGCTTTTTGCAGCTGTGGTAATCCTCATAAAGGGGCAGAGAGCCAAGGGCTGTCAACTGGCAGCACTCCTGGGAGAGTAAGCCCTTCATTTCATTTCATTTCTTTCTTTTCTTTTTTTTTTTTTTTTTGAGATGGAGTCTCACTCTGTCACCCAGGCTGGAGTGCAGTGGCGTGATCTCGGGTCACTGTAACCTCCACCTCCTGGGTTCAAGTGATTCTCCTGCCTCAGCCTTCCGAGTAGCTGAGATTACAGGCACACACCGCCATGCCCAGCTAATTTTTTGTATTTTTAGTAGAGACGGGGTTTCACCATGTTAGCCAGGATGGTCTTGATTTCCTGACCTTGTGATCTGCCCGCCTCGGCCTCCCAAAGGGCTGGGATTATAGGCATGAGCCACTGCGCCCGGCCTAGCCCTTCATTTCTGAATGAGAAACTGGGCAGCACATGATGGAGTCCACCAAAGGGACAGAGTCTTTCTTTTCTTCATTCTCATCAGCTTTTGCCACCCTCCCCTTCCAAGCATTATGCTTCTTCTGGCTTCACTTCCACCTGCCAGATAGGATGGAGGAAAGGAAATGGGCAAAGCTTTACCTGACTGTACAGTGTTTATCTTGCATTGGTCTGCTGTGGATGTGACACACACCCCAATGCTGACTCTTCCTCTTGTACAGTGCTTTTAAGAACTCTCTGGAGACACTCCACCATGGGATCATCCCACTGCATCATCTCTATCATGGGTGATATACCCTCTAAGCTGACTACCTTTGACTCTACCCACCCCTCTCCTGCTTCTGGGAATACAACTGATGCCTGCTTTTTTTGGGGGGATATCCCTGCCATGGCAGGCAGATCTCTTGGGCTAGGCCCCTTCCGCATGATTCACATCCGTCAATCTTCCTCAGTGTTTATTGTTGCCCATGGAAAATATTTTCACCTACCAAACTCTGGCCATGTCGGCCACTCCAGCTATAGTCCACCCTAATTTATCTTTCATCTTTAGATTCCAGATGACAGCAGAGACCAGTTTACACATTACTTAACCTTCAAGAGATATACAACAAGCTCTCCCATTCATTTTCTTGAAGTCTTCTTACTTGGCTGAAGACTATTCCTCTGGGACAGGTCACTGTGCTCAGGGTAATAAAGGATAGGATGGTGTTTCCTTTTGAATCCTCAATGCATTAAATCCTAATGAGCTGCCGATTAGGTGAAATCCCTGAGTTTTGAGGGAACATGTAATCTCTAGCAAATTTCTTAAATAACTGGGCACGATTCCCTTTAGAGGCACTCTTCTATGAAGGCCAGGGCTTGTGTATGCTGCCTTTGTAGGAATGGGGATATGGCTTCAGACTTAACATCTCATTAACAGGGGACTTGTACTATGCCATCCTTTTCCAATAAGGAGTCTAGGCCAGCCTGGCTTTGTATGTATGTGAGACAAGTGCTGCCTGTACCGTGTGATCTCACTGTCTCTGAAAGGCACCTGCAGAGAATTAAAATAGCCATAGTTTGTCAATAAATGATCAGTGGTGTACTGGGTTGGTGATGACAGGTGGGTAGTTAGACCTTAGGGATATATGTCACAATTGTGGCTTTTCATAAAGCTTGAGAACCCCTTATATAGTAGAATGAATATGCTCTGTGGTGTAAGAAGATTTGGGTTTAAGTTCTGATTGTGTACTCTGAGCTAGATCACATAATCTACCTAAAATCCATTTTCTTCATCTATAAAACTGAATTAATAATACTAGCGCTATTAGACTCACAGGGATGTAATGGAGACCAAATGTAATGACAGGTGTGAAACTAATGCAGTAGAAATATAAAAAAGAATATTATTATACATGTTTAGAGTGTTTGAACCCGCTCTATACTAAGGATGAGAAAGAAGCCTTTTATCTGTTATGTCACACTTTCTTGATGTTATTTTGGCTCAAATATAAAAACTCTATTACATAACTATGCAGACTCCAACCACATTGAAAGAAAATTATTTAAATAGGGTAATTTTTCAGGATGCTGCAGAAGCTGCAAGTAGTAACTAGTGGCATGATTTGCAACTAAGATCCAACATTATCTTCAAAAGTTACTTATTTGGAACAGTGCTCCAGGAAATCTAATTTGAGATTATTTAAATGTCAGCAAATTAAGGGGCCCAGGTGATTAAATATAGTGTACAGATATTAAGAGCTTCAGGGATGAAGAACAAGATCATTCTTCTCATTCTGATTAAGAATTGCTACACAGAGTTCTTTTTATAGTGTAGTAGATATTAATAAGAGCTCCTCCTTTTACTGTATACTTCTGGAAGCTCGATAGTGAATTGGAAGGGTGGAGAGAAGGGAAAATGATAGTTTTTGGTATTCTTATGACATCTGATAGCTTTCCTTTGCCTTTAAGCTAAAACCTACTGAAAACTAAGTTGTAGAACTGATATGGCTTGGACATGTGTCCCCATTCAAGTTTCACGTTGAATTATAATTCCCAGTGTTAGAACTGGGGCCTGGTGGGAGGTGATTGCATCATGGGGGTAGATTTCTTATGAATGGTTTACACCATCCCCTGCATGCTGTCCTGGAGATAGTGAATGAGTTCTTGTGAGAATTATTTAAAAGTGTGTGGCACCTCTCTTGCTTCTGTCATGGCCACGTGACATGGCTGCTCTCCCTTCATCTTCTGCCGTGATTGTAAGGTTCCTGAGGCCACCCCGGAAGCTGAGGGGATGCCAGCACCCTGCTTCCTATAATAGCCTGCAGAACCAGGAGCCAATTGCATGTCGTTTCTTTATAAATTACCCAGTCTGAGATATTTCTTTATAGCAATGTGAGAACGGCCTAACACAAGAAGGTATTGTAAAATTTTTGAAATTTTCAGCTATGGCTTCTGCTCCAAGACTCATTTGTGGCCACAGTAAATTAACATTTAAAACATTTATTGAATATTTACACTATGTTAAGCAACAGGAATGGAGGGAGAAGAGAACTCACAGAAGAATGATGGTGTGACTCCTTTGCGGAGAGTGTCTCTCAGTGTAGGGCAAATGTTCTGGAACTTTAGTAAGCCTAAGAATTGCCTGGAGAGCTCATGCAAATACAGATTTTCAGCATTCACCCACAGAGCTTTTGACTCCGTGGAGTTGCGTTGGATCTCAGGAATCTTAATTACTACCCAAAACATCAGGTAATTCTTATACACATTCTAAAAAACACTAGTCTGGAGAAAACATCGTATAGGTACAAAGAATTGTGGTCAAAGCAAACTTACAGAGCCTAATGGGAGTATGGCGATGACTTGTGACTGACAAAATCTAAAGAAATCTGCAAAAGGAAGTGTAGTTTGAGCTGGAGAATGGGGGATGGGTAGGACTGCTACAGGTGAAAATAGTGAGATGGGGATGAGGAGAATTGGAGAGGCGGTAGGGAGGAGGCACTCCAGGAGGAGGGTTAGCAATTTTAAAAGTACATAATGTGAAAGCATTTAGGCCAATGGCATATAATCTGATGAAGTTGAATTGTAACATGCCTATAAAATTGTACTGCATTAAACAGAATGTTTGTGTCCCCCCAAAATTCATATGTTGAAATCCTAATCCCCAACGTGATGATATTAGGTGGTAGAATCTTTGGTAGGTGATTGGGTCAGGAAGGCAGAAATCTCATGAATAAAACTGATGCCTTATAAAAGAGACTCCAAAGGGCTCCCTTGCCCTGGAGAGTTTCTTCACCTCTTCTGCCATATAAGGACACAGTAAGAAGATGATCTATGAACCAGGAAATCAACCCTCTCCCGACACTGAATCTGTCAGCAGCTTAATCTTGGAATTTGCGGCCTCCATAACTGTAAGAAATAAATTTCTGTTATTTGTAAACTACCCGGTCTATGTTAGTTATAGCAGCTTGAATGGACTAAGATAAACGTTGGTACTGAGACAGGAGGTACTGCTATAACAAATAACTAAAAATGTGGAATTGGCTTTGGAATTGAGTGATGGGTAGAGGATAGAAGAGTTTTGAAGTGCATGCTATAAAAAGCCTACATTGTCATAAACAATCATTAAAAGCAATGATGGTGAGGGCTCCAAAAGAAAAGAGAAGAGGTGGAGAGAGAACCTCAATTTTCTTAGAAAATACCTAGGTAATTATGAACAGAATTTTGGTAGAATTATGAACAATAAAAGCCATTCTGATAAGATTGCAAGTGGAAATGAGAAACTTTATTGGAAACTGGGAAAAAGACAATTTTTATTATAAAGTGACAAAGAGCATGGCTGTACTGTGTTTATGTTCTAGTGTTTTGTGGAAGGTAGAACTTGTGAGCAATGAAATTAGATACTTAGCTGAAGATGTTCCTAAACAAAATTAATCCTTAGGACTTTTTTTTTTTTTTTTGAGATGGAGTCTCACTCTGTTGTCCAGACTGGAGTGCAATGGCACAATCCTGGCTCACTGAAACCTCTGCCTTCCAGGTTCCAGCAATTCTCCTGCCTCAGCCTTCCAAGTAGCAGGGATTATGGGTGTGTGCCACCATGCCTGATTAATTTTTGTATTTTTAGTAGAGGTGAGGTTTCACCATCTTGGTCAGGCTGGTCTTGAACTCCTGACCTCAAGTGATCTGCATGCCTCAGCCTCCCAAAGTGCTGGGATTACAGGTGTGAGCCACTATGCGCAGCCCCTCATGACTTTGTATATTAAAATGCAAAAAGAGAGAAACAACTTAAAGACAGAATTGTTGAGCAGTAAGAAAGCAGAACTTAAAGATTTAAAAAATTCTCAGCCTATCCATATTGCAAAAAATGAGAGTATGTGTTTGGGAGAGAACACTAAGGGTGTGGCCGAGGGCTGTGGTTGTTTTGGTGGTAGAGGCAAGAGGCAATGCAGGTGGTGGTGCTGCTCACTAAGACGCAGAACACACCCATGATTTGTTAGGCAGTAAAAGGTGTTGTGTTAGGCACCATGTTTGTTATGCATTCAGTTTTTAAGTTAAAATTTTTAATTCAAATCAGATATTACATTGCTCAAAAGTTAATTTATATTACAAGTATTGAGAGGAACAACAGAAATCCCTTACTCCCACCGCGTACTCCTGTCCTGTTCGCCAGAGGCAACCACTCTTATCTCTTTGGGCTTTTTTCTTGTTCCCTGATCTTGTATGTTTTTCTATATTTCTTAGTACTTTGCTTTTATTGCTACTTTTCTTTCCGTAGAGACAGGGTCTCACTCTGTTGCCCAGGCTAGTCTTGAACTCCTTGCCTCATGTGATCTCCCAACTCAGCCTCCTGAGTAGTTAGGGTTATAGGTGTGTGCCACCACACCTGGTTAATTTTTTATATTGGTTTTGTAGAGATGGGGTCTTGCTGTGTTGGCCAGGCTGGTCTCAAACTCCTGGCCTCAAGCAATTCTCTCACTTCAGCCTCCAAAAGCATTGGGATTACAGGCATAAGCCACTTTGCCCAGCCTGACAGCTACTTCTTAATTTTTACATTTTAGATGTTATTCATTAACTCTCAACTATGAAAAACAGGATTTATTTTTCTTAGAGCCCCTGTCTTAGTCCATTTTCTGCTGCAATAACAGAATGCCAAAGACTGGATAACTTATGCACAATAGAAATTTATTTCTCATGGTTCTAGAAGCTGGGAAGTCCAATATCAAGTGCCTACATCTGGTGAGTACCTTCCTGATGCATCATCCCATGGCAGAATATGGAAGGGCAAAGGAGGGCAAGGGCAAGAGCAAAAGATTGAACTTGCAGCTTCAAGCCCTTTTATAATTGTCATGACTCCATTCGTGAGGGTGGGGAGCTCATGACCCAAACACCTTCCTTTAGGCTCCACCTCCCAACATTGTTGCATTGGGGATTAAGTTTCCAACAGATGCTTTTTGGGAGACACATTCAAACCATAGCAACCTCCTATATCCATACCCCCATTTTCTAAATAGTTATATTATCATCTTAAAATCAATATTATCTTTGCAAACATTTTGATTATGTAAATATTGTACATGGCTGAGCCATATTTTGTACTGACTTTTAAAGTACTTTACATAGAGTTAATAATTCCCTTGTTTCCTATTTCTTTGCTTTATTTATATAGAACTCATTAGATTTTCCCTAAATTTTATAGCAGATAGTTAAAACCCCTTTTTGCAATCAAACATATCAGGTATTCTATCAGCTCCTTCTCTTTTTTCTTCCACACTTCCTCCCATCTACTCATGCCCTCTTCCTCTCACATTCCTTGCTCCAATCTGGACTAATCGCTCTCTAAACCAGTTCCACATGTGCCATTCTGGGGGCTTTTCCTCATCATCGTCTGGGAAATTTTCTTCACCTCTTTTTTGCATTGATCTCCACTTTCCTAGACCCCACCTCTTACTCATTACTGGTTTGCTTGCTTTTTTTGATGCAGCTTATCTTTAAACAGCTTGCTAAGAAGGGTTCATCAGTCCATTTTCAAATAGCTTGCTAAGAATGTTAATCAACTTTTTGATATTTTGAATAAATAAATATTTATTCTGATTTAAGGCTTTTGATATTACATTTTGTGCTGGACACTCAGTGGGTCCTCCTAATGTGGAAATATATCTTTTAGTTCTAGGAAGTTTTCTTGTATTATTTCTTTTATTTCCTCCCCCTTCTTTGCCTTGCTTTTTATTTCTGAAATTTCTATTATTTGGGTATTGGTTCCTTCGATTGATTATTTAATTTTCTTATATTTCTTCACTTTAGTGTATCTTGGTGTTTTGTTATACTTTGGGAAATACTCTCACCTTTATCTTCCACCACTTACAATGGATTTTTAATTTTTATTATTTTTATTTTTTGAGACTGAGTCTCACTCTGTCACTCAGGCTGGAGTGCAGTGGCACAATCTTGGCTCACTGCAACCTCTTCCTCCCGAGTTCAAGCAATTCTCCTTCATCAGCCTCCAGAGTAGCTGTTTTGTTAATGGTGACCCTGAATGCATGCGTTTTAATGGGGATATAGTTTTACAACCCTAGACAGCATTGATTCCTTGGATTTCTTCTAGTTTCTGCCACTACCTAATATTTTATTTTATTATTTTATTAATTTTTTAGATACAGGGTCTTGCTCTGTTGCCCCAACTGAATTGCAGTGGCATGATCATAGTTCACATTTTTGAATGCCTGGGCTCAAGTGATCCTCTTGCCTCAACCTCCTAAAGTACCTGGATTACAGGTGTGAACCACTGCACCTGGCCTACCTAATTTTTATTGTACCTGGTTTCAACTATTTATCATATTGTTTGGGATGATAGAATCATTATGATTTGAAATGATGAAGTTCTGAACTACCTCCCTTTCCCCAGTCCCAAATCTGAACAAGCAAAGCCTTAGAGGCCACTGGAATAATCTGTCTTCTTTTCCCCTTAGAGCAATGGGGAGCCATCAAAGTGTTTCAGCAACAACATGACATGATGGAGTTTTTGTTTTTGGAAAAACAAAAACAAACAAACAAAAAACCCCACTCTGTTTGATGTACGGAGAATAAATACGAGGAGTTTGAGGTAAGAGACAGAAACCATCTACGAGGCTTTTGTGGTAAAGGGATTGAGAGATGATGATAAACTAGGTTAAAGTTGATGGAGATGGAGGAAACAAAGCAAATTTGAGCTATTTTGTAGGCAGAATCAATAGGATATGGTGATGGATTGAATGCAGGCAGTAAAAGAGAGGGAAGTATCAAGCTTGAGTCCCAGCCATCTGGTGTAGGTAACTGGTTGAATATTGATGCCACTCACCCAGATAAAAAACAAAGAAGGAGGAGAGCAATTTTTTTTTTTTTAAAAATGTTTATTTTGCTCTGTTTTGTTTTTGTCAAGGGTGGGGAATGAAACTGAGTCCAGTCTAGGCATACCGAATTGAAGATGCATATGGGGTATACAAGTAAAGATGTTCAATGAACATCTGGAAATACAATAGACTATTCTTTGGTTTCCAGCTATGGCTATAGAATCCAGAACTTCCTACAGCAACATTATTGCAATTTGTGTTTTCAAAGGCTTTTTACCATGGCCAAATTTCACAAAAGAAACATATATTGCGCAATGAGTTAAAAATAAATGTCCACAATAGAGCGCTGTTCTGACCATCCTGATCTCTCATTAGTTGATGACGGTATTTTAAAAATGCCACTCCATTGGTAGATTCAGGGTTGTATCCCTATTTTGGGAATGATACGTATTTACTTGAATCTATATCCAGAAGAACACTGTTTACATGACTTAATTTAGTTCTGAATTTTGTGCCTTGTTACTCTGTTTAATGGTGCCAAGCTATTTAGAAGCAGTAGGTAAACAATACATCTCTAAGCTTGGATCGCCTGTTTATAGTCAATTGACTTCTACCATCAGGAGATGGAAAATTAATGAACTCTATCTTTTCTGTGAGAACAAATTTTACTCAGTTCTTTTAAGTTGTTGTGAAGAATTCCTCGGACAGTTTTCAATCAGCCAGGACTTCCTAAGATGTTTTAAACTTAGGGAACCCCTGTTCTTCAGGACATAGGTTTGCAATCTGTGAGCTTTGCTAGTATGCTTTATGTAGACAGTAGCTTGAGGAGCATTTTGGTCAATTTCTCACTTTGTTTTTCCAAGCTCAAATAACTTTGATTTGTATTCAGAATAAGCAGTTGGAGCTGTTTATGGCAGTTTTCTTTCTTTCTTTTACGTCTTTATTTTGTCTAGGATCTCTCAGGATATTTGCAAGGATATAGTCCTAAAAATAGCTTGTCTCTAAAGTGAACTTTTATAATACTATGCTAAATATTTTGATGTCTGTTCAGCTGTGGAGAACCATTCATCTGTTCTATTCAAACTATTTTTTCTGATTATTGAAAATGAGAATATAATTATTATTTCTTAACCACCATCAGTACTTTTTCTGGGATACAAAGTATTGCTATTTCTATACAACATAATTTTTGACTA
Organism: Homo sapiens; assembly: GCF_000001405.40. Lineage (NCBI taxonomy): Eukaryota > Metazoa > Chordata > Mammalia > Primates > Hominidae > Homo > Homo sapiens. Next base: position 140,849,885 of record NC_000023.11, read on the forward strand.
ATTAATTAGAATGTATGCCTATAATGTCAAGAATGTTTTCCTCTATATTTAGAAAGAGGACAAGAACATTTTTAGACTTCTTAACATTCAAATTCTTTGCAGGCCTGGTTGTATGTCTAGTCTGGGCCTTAACAGATCATGTTGAGAATAAATTACTTACTGATAATAGATGACAAATAACTGTAAGTATTCGGTGTCTAATAACCTGAGATCTTTTCATCCCAAAAGATGAGTGGGTTAGCAAAAAGTGAAAGATAAACCATGATAACATTAAAAAAGTTAATCAAATTAGTTATGGTATAGTTTTCAGGAACCAGATGAGGACACCAAGGAGCCTTTCCAACCTTATGGGTTTTTTTGTTTTTTTATTTTTATTTTTTTTTTGAGTGTATTGTTGGCTAGAGAAGGTCAGAGTCAAGATGATTCCAGTAAAATTTCAATGACATGCAATGAATAAAGTCAGAGAGGGTGGGACTCAGAATCAGAGACAGAAGAAATCTGAAGAAGGCAGGCTTTATTAATGGCGACCTAGAAACTAAAATCCAGAGCGGGAGAGGAAAGGTACGAGATGCATATAATACCAGAGAGGTCCCAAGAAGAGGAATGGCAGGTTCCTGTGAGGCTGTAATACTGTAAGGGACCACTCTGGCTGGTGCCACAATCTATAATCCAGGCTCAAATATTTCCCTGACTACCTTGGTTATAGCTAAGTCTCCACGAGGTTACAGGTACAGGTTGAGGAAACTATAACAGTATGATAGGAGGTAGATCATGACAGTTACCACTGTGTTCATGAAACCTACCTGTGTCTTTAGCAACTGGAAGTTAAGTTTGACACCTAGCCATCTGGAGCCCACTAGACAACCAAGAAAAATGGGGCAAAAAAAATAAGCTATGGTTTTTTATAGTTGATTCTATACAGGTAGGGAAACTGAGAGCAGCTCAGATCCCTCAGGAATGAAAATTAAGTCATACCACCCAGGTGAACATCAGAAAATAGCTACCTACCAGGGGTATTGACAGGTACCAGAAAAAATGGTGTTTATATACAATCTTATGAATTATATATTTTATGCATATTTAGTACAAGTAATCTTGGTCATGGAGTGTTTAAATAGTAATATCCTAAGATATTTTGCCTTGGTTAGGAGTGGGTTACATTTCATTGTGTTATCCAAGAGGTATCAGGGCACTCTACAAAAGGCAAATCTTGTAAATCCCACTTGGATTACAAGTAGGAAGAGACTTCTAGCCAAAGTGGATATAAACCACTGTCTGCTTTGTCTCCTAATCCTTGTTGCTGTGTTCAGAAGCATGTGGTGCTTTGCGGAAAGACTGCAATTATCCAAAAGTCCATAAGCCCAGAATACACAGGTTAAATATATACATAGTTAATCTTGCCCTTTATTCCACATTCTCTATTCCTCTCTTGAGGTGTTTTGATCTTGTTTCCATGGCCTATAATAAGCTTCGCTGGTGTCCTGAATTTCCTGTCATATGCTGATAGAAGATATCACTAATTAATTATGGTATGCTTTCTCAGTGAGCTAGATCAGGCTATATACCCCTCAGCAGAGTGCTCCAGATAGCTACTATAAGTTGTTTGGCTTGGAGCTTAAGACAAAAACTATTTGATGTATTGGGTGTATAGTAACAGGAAAAAGAATTAGAAACAACTATAGGAAGGCTTGATCACCTGCTTACTCATTTCTTAGTATGCTTTCAGCAAAGGTAGAAGGGTAGACATTTCTGTCTATATATTCTAATGTTAGGAGATAAAAAATAATACATGCAGAATGAGGGTCAGTAGAGCAAAGAGTAAAATAAGCCATTAACTAAATGAGGACAGTGATCTTCTAATTCACCCAATACTAGGAAAGACTGCTTAATAAGTACCCATAGTGTTAAATCAATAGATAAGTACTAAGAAATGCAATTCTATGGCAACTAATCACCCAGGAAAAAGATAGGGTGACGATAGAGATAAAATAAGCCATATTACAGCACCCTTAGAAAGTACTTCAACTACACCACTGTGGGATTATAATATAAATAATTAATAATTAAAAATACCAATTTAGAATGCAAGAAGCTAGGAAAAAAGGCAAATTCAACAATTTCCTTTTATGTTAACACTAAATAAACTTTATTTTCCCATTAATGAGCTACAACAACTGTGGCACTAACCATTAACGTCACTGGAATCAAGACTCTTTAGACCCAGTGTTTATCTCCAACTCCACCAGATTCAATTGCCCCAAACTTGTTGAAGGAACACTGAGGAGAAATTTGTCTATACTGCTCACATCTGCTAAAAATTAAGAGCTAAATTTTTCTAGCTTCTGTAAATGCAGTGCAGACTTTTATCTCAGTAATGTTGCAGAAGAGGAATATAAAATAATGATGCTTTAAAAAAGAAAAAAAATCAGAACCCTTTACTTCAAAACTGTTTCATTACAAAACCATATACCAATTCAGCAGGCACCGGAAGTGTTTTTGGGACTTCTTGGGAAATGCTTCATAGGATGCTGATGAGTCAAAACATTAAACATTGTCTTTTAATATAATATTTTTAACCTAAAATAATAATGTCCATATTATTCACCTTCTCTTTTGACTATTTTTGGTTCAGAGAGACTTTTTGGTAGTTTCTTTTCTTTTTTCTTTCTTTCTTTTTTTTTTTTTTTTCTTAGACGGAGTCTTGTTCTATCGCCCAGGCTAGAGTGCAGTGGTGTGACTTTGGCTCACTGCAACTTCTGCCTCCCTGGTTCAAGTGATTCTCCTGCCTCAGCCTCCCAAGTAGCTGGGACTACAGGTGCGTGCCACCACGCCCGGCAAATTTTTGGTATTTTTAGTGGAGATGGGGTTTCACTGTGTTAGATAGGATGCTCTCCATCTCCTCACCTTGTGATCCACCCGCCTCGGCCTCCCAAATTGCTGGGATTACAGGCGTGAGCCACCGTGCCCAGCCGAGACTTTTTGGTGATTTCTAAAAGGTAAGTTCATCCTTAAAGTTAGTGTTCAGTATTGCTGAAGAGGGTCAAACAATGTTCCCAATGTTTGAAGACAATCCTAATGAAGATCTCCCTAAGTTCTTTGTGTGATGGTTGCTTCCCTGAATTGTGTGTAGCTTCCCCATGTAAGAAATGAGTAACCTTTATTCATATATTTATTCTCTTATTCATTTCACAAAAATATACTGAGTACCTACTCTGTTCCAGGTACTGATCTAGATGCTCAGGATGCAGGAATAAACCAAAAGAGACAAAGGTTTCTGCTGTCCTTTATATAGATTACAGCCAAGTGAGGGAAGACAGACAATAGGCAATAAACACTAATAAATAAATAATATATATCAGAAGGTGATAAGTGCTACTGAGAAAAGAAAAGATAAAGAAAGGGAAGAGGAATGAAAGCTATGAAGTTTTGGAATGGAAAGTTGTATTAATGAAAAGCTAATATTTGAGCTCAGAGTTAAAGTGGTGAAAAAGCCTGCTATCTGGATATCTGGGATAACTGCTATAGGCACAGAAAAAAAAACTAGAGAACATTCCTGATAGCATGAAAGAACAACAAAATCAATGAAGATGAAATAGAGTGAATAAGGGGGAGAGTAAAGGAGATGAAGGCAGAGTCATAATAGCACAGGCCAGGTTATGATGAGTTAGGTAGGTCGCTTGGCTTTTATTCTGAGTAATTTGGGGAACCACTGCAGTATTTTGACCAGAGATGTTATATGACCTGATTTGCTTTTTAAAAAGACAGTCCTGGGTGTTCCACTTCTGCTATGGCTGAGTAGTTCCTACTGGATCTCACCCTTCATAACAACTAGAAATGATTGAACAAAAGCAGGAGTTGTGAGTGTGTGGAGGATTGACACTTGAAAGAAGTGATGGCATCGGGTGAGATTCCTAAGTTCTAGCCACTTTACACTGCTACCTTCAGCCTGTTTCCAGACTTTAGCAGTATAAAGTGGCTGGAACTCTGATGGAAAATCTGCAGTCACACAGGCTTAACGAATTAGAGTACAGAGTCTGGAGCAAGCACAGCCATTGCGTCTCTGGCTGACCATTGAATCACACATGTGCAGGGCAGATTCAAAGCAGCCCAGCTGAAGGTTAAAAAAAAAAAAAAAAAAGAAAAAGAAAAAGAAATTAAATGAGACTTGAGCTGTAACCCAAAAGAGACTTGTTGGAAAATCAAAGGAAATATCTACTAGGGAAGAAAGGGAAGTCTCTACTGAGGAGGTAACATTGATGCAGAAATCTAATGGCTGAGAAAGAGCCAGCCATTGAAGGCAGGAGGAATGTGGGCAAGCTAAACAGGATTCCAGGCTTTGGGAACACCATAGCGAGAGAGTCAAAGGCAGGAAAGAGCGTGGTGTTTTCCAGGAAATGAAAGGAGGCAAAATGTGGAAGATATGAATGAGGGAGAGGGACAATTTATTACAAAACAGTAGCTGCTCTAAATTTTTATTATATACTCACCACTGTAGGGAGATAAAGAAAAAGCACTAAAGTTGATATCTATCCTTAAGGTACTTACAGTCATATCAGAGAGACAAGATTGGTGATGTCAATGAAACAACTAACCTTCAGCACCAGACAGCATGTAGTTGGTCAATGCTCTGAGTATTCAAAATACATTTGCAAGCAAGTATCATCTCATTTGACCCTCATAATAGCCCTAGGGAGCAGGTAGAATTATTACAACTATGTTTATTTAACCCAGTTATTCTCTCTCTCTCCTTCTCCCTCCCTGCCTCCTCACTAACTATATGCCCTATGAAGGCATGGGCCACACTTGTTTCTCTTACGACTGTACCCTCCTCAGCACCAGGCACAGCTCTGAGTTCAGTGTATTGCTCAGTAAATCTTTGTTAAGTGCATGAGTTTTACAGATTGGGAAGCCAAGGGTTTGAGGGGAAAGAACGTAAATGCTCAAGGGAACACAGCATGTCTATGATAGAATTAATTCGACTTCATGGCGGTCATATCCTAGGCTAGTATTATAACTTGGCCAGTGATTTTCAATTCTCCTTGCCTCCCTTCTCTGCTTCCTCCCCTCTGCTTCGTTGTTTCCTCCTTTCCTTCCTTCCTTCAAATAGCAGAAACTTTTGTTTTCAAACAAAATTTTACTCACCTGGATGTAGAAAACAGACAACATTTGTTATAAATGTATCATAGATACTTTATAATTCCAGTGTGTAATTTTAGGAATTACGATTAATGTCAGTCAATGAGAAGGATGAAAGTTGTTTAATGAACATAAAAATTAGATGCAGGTAGCAGTCATCTGACAGCCTCACTATCCAATTTATTAACTAATTTTGTTTTGAATGCCCAGTATTGAGAAAGTCCACATGAATCTAAAAGTATAGTAGCTGCAAATGGTAGCAGGTGTTAATTATAGATTTCCAGCAATCTCAAAATGCTTAAATTTCACTAATCCTGAGGCTTGAGAGATTAAAAGAGGACATCTTTATTTTAAACTTGAATCACTAGCAACAGCACCTAATTGTTAACTCACAAGCCTGCTTCAATGTTCTATAGTATGATGATAGTGTCATCATCCAACATGGTCCATGCCCCTTTGTAACTGCATAACTGACTATCATGTGAATTTAGAGCAAGCACTGGTAATGCAGCTGTGCCTTGCCTTGCGTTGCATTGGGCCCCGCACATGTGTTCGGTAATCCTCTTCTCATTTGTGCAATTTTGTGGAAGTGGACCAGCACAGGACTGAAATAAAAAGGTAAATGAGAACTCATAACTCTCTAATAAATGACATATGTCTAAGAAGCTCAAATTTATACCAGATCTAATGGGAAGAACTTTATTCCAAGGTCTGCTCCCAAACCTGCCTCACCGTACCACGCAAGGAAACTATCTACGACTTTCAACCTGCTCAAGCATGGCACATTTGAGCGAGCATATTATGTTTACTACAGTTTAACAAATAGTTTAGAGTGCTTTTCTAACATTAAATTCAACTCACATATTTGTACTCTTGAAACACCCAAGAGTTCTGCAGAACTCTGTTTGAAATCCAGGCCCTACAGCACTATGCTTCACCATAAGCTATCTCAAACTTAGGTAGACTGACTGTGGTGAAGTCTGTCCAGCCCTAGCAGTGAGGCATTATAAGAAATTTCGTATAGTCTTCAAGACGGGTATGTGCATTTTGCCAACAATCTCAGCACAGACAATGGAAACAAAGTCTTTTGCGCTCCAGTTGAAATGTAATCTCTCTGCCCATCAAAATTCAGTGGGGCAACCAAAGGAATATCTGAATTTGTATAGAGTTATTATTTCCCTTTCCAGTTTACTTATCATTAATCTGTAAAGAGACATTCTAGAATTTTGAGAGTTGAAGACTATTTGAAAAAAATAGGTTATTTAGTTTTATTAACTTAATTTTGCATAAGTAATTTCTCGGAAAGGTCTGTAACTAACACTCATTAGTCTTTATTTTTGTCAACTAAATAAAGCTGTTTTTACTGTTGTAAAATGTACAAGTTTAAGTTTACAAGAAAAGGAAGCTGAACATACTTTGTAGGGAAGGGAATATGTGTGAGAGACAGACAGGCAAAGGAGCTGGACAAGGGAGTTAGGTGGTTTGCTTTTTTTCTGCCTTAACAGACCTGAGAGTTAAACACCTCTCTTAGCAGTGGTGGATCATGATGCAGTGATTCTCTGAATAAAGATGGGAATGAGGACATATAAAATTTGAGTGGGTCTTGTGTGTGTGGCTTGAAGAACTCACCCTTCCCCTGGTAATTAGGTAATTATAGTGTGAATGCTCCCTCATAGCTTCTCAATCTACTCAAATCCTATCTCGCTTTCTGAAGTGCCTCCTCCATAAAGACTTTCCTGACCTTTCTTATTCTTATTCGTCAGCCATTTGTCCCTTCTCTAAATTTCTATAAAAGTTATAGAATCAGTGCCACTTAACATAGCTAAATGAGGAAACAGAAAGTGTACTTAATTAGGAGTTAGAAGGCATAGGTGTGGGCTTGTGCCCCCACTGGGCAAGTAACTTCCTTATTTTGATTTCCATCTATTAAATGAGGATGGTAGTAATAATTCTACCTGCTTTCTAGGGCTATTGTGAGGGTCAAATAAGATGATTCTTACAAATGTATTTTGAACACTCAGAGCATTGGCTAATTACATGCTGTCCAGGGTTGGAGGTTGGAGATAAGACATTAGCAGTCTTATCTCCCTGATATAATTGTAAGTACCTTGAAGATAGAGATCAACATTAATGCTTTTGCTTCATCTCTCTACAGTGGTGAAACCACAATAAATATTTAGAACCATTATTGTTAATCATTTCCATTTACATAGTGCTTTATAATTGCTGAAGCAATTTCACAAACATTACATTCATGGTGTATCTTCATTATTATAAGCCAGAAGATCAAGATTTTGAGAGACACAGTGACTTTCTTAAGGCCTCACAGAAGAGCTTTTGGAACTATCATACAGGTCTGCAGATTTATTATCTATGGCTCTTTTCACTGTGTGATTAACTTTTTGTAATCTGGGCAGTACCGAAGAGATGCTTTATTCTAGGTAGTTCATGAGGCTCTGGTTATAGAAGGAATTTGACTTTGTAAACCGTGTAAGTCCTCTGGAAGTGGCATTATTCATTCTCTACAGCTGGTTGTTCCTGTGCCTTTGACAGCTTTATTTTCTCTTTCATTATAACAGCAAAGGTAGTTAGTGCATGGCACATGCCCAGGGTGACATATGGTTTGGGGCTTCTCCATTTCGACAGAGTCAATTCTTATCTTTTGAGATTGTGAATTATCCAACGTCACTGTTGGGATGTTCTTGTCCTTTTTCCTGTCATTCACTTTTTGTACATGTCACTATGAGCTTGAATTCTGATCCGAATGTAGCTAAGAAAGAGTGAGAGAGGATGACTGATTTCAATTCTAAATGTGATATTTTTAACCACCCTGCAAAAACGTTTTAGAGAAAAGTTTGAAGTTATTGGACAAAAATAAATTTTTAAATTATCAGGATAGTTTTTTCCCCTGCACATTCTCCTGGTCCTAATTAATACTGACTCTGTCATCCAAATTAATTCCAAACAAAAGTAAACAGTCAATGAAAAACATTATATCCTAACTATTGCAATTAAAATCTAAATTTAGATCAGAACATGCTCCTTAAATCACCCCAGAGTTTGACTAGGAATGAGGGTAATAGGGATGCAGTGAGCTACTGACAAGACCCTAGCACAATTCTCATCAATTTCTATAATGATTTTGACATTTCATCAAAGCTCAGGAGGAAATTAAGCAATTATTTATTTGACTTTAAAAATCACAGGGTGTCAGAATGTACTCAAGTGACTGGAAATGAAATGCTCTGAAAGAGAAGAACTGCAGCAGGTATATCGCAACTGAAATTAGAGCAAGTGTCACTATGTCAGCTGCAAAGTGACAGGTCTTACGCAGGGTGCTTCAGGTTAATGAGTGATATTTCATTTGGCCGGAGTGACCAGAAAGCTTCAATAATGTAATTTCATCTTAGAAAAGAACTACTTGAAACAAAAGTCTATAGGAAGCTGATGTAGTTTTAAAAGCGGTGAAATTACCATGCAGCTGGAAGGGCGGATCAAGATGGCTGAATAGAGGGCTCCACCAATTGTTCTCCCTGCAGGAACACCACATATAACAACTATCTACACAAAAAGCACTTTCTTAAGAACCAAAAATCAGGTAGTTACCAGCACTGCCACAGTGGGGTCCTGGATTCTAGGTCCCTGATTCTATGCCTTGGCTCTTGGATGGCATTTCTGGAGCTGCCCTGGGCAAGAAGGTAGCCTGCTGCCCTAAAGGGTGAGTACCAGGCCTGGAAGCATTCACCAAAAGCTGACTAAAGAGCTTTTGGGCTTTAAGTGAACATCAGTGGTAGCCTGGCAATATTCTCCATGGGCCTGTGGTGGTGGTGGCCATTGGGTAAAGGTCTTTTGCCTGTGGAAAGGGGAAGGAAGAGTGAGAAGGACTGTGTTTCATGGTTTGAGTGCCAGTTCAGCCATAGTACAATAGGATTCCAGGTAGATTTCTGAGGTTTCTGACTACTGTTCCTGGCTCTCTGCATCTCTGGACCTGCCAGGAGCCTGAGGGAACTTACCACCACGAAGGGAAGGACACAGGCCTGGTAGGCTTCACCACCTGCTGATTGTAGAGTCCTAGGGACTTAAGTGAACATAGGTGATAGCCAGGTAATGGTAACAGTGGGTGAGACCCAGTGCTGTGATAGCAATATGACTGCTCATGTCAACCTACCCCCAGCTCAAGGTGGCTCAGCACAGAGGGAGAGACTCCATTTATTTGGGAGAAAGTAAGGGAAGACAACAAGAGTGTTTCCCTGGTAATCAAGAGAATTCTTCTGGATCTTATCCAAGACCACTATGCTGATACCTCTACTAGTCTGCAAGAACCAGATGGTTACTGGGTTTGGGTTGCCCCTTAGTGCAGATATGGCTTAGATCACAACATCCAAGTCCTTTCAAATACTTGGAAAGTCTTTCCAAGAAGGATTGCTACAAACGAGCCCAGACTGTGGAGACTAAAATAAATACCTAACTCTTCAATGCCCAGACACCAACAGACATCCACAAGTATCAAGACGACCCAAGAAAACATGACTTCACCAAACAAACTAAATAAGGCACCAGGCACAAATTCTGGAGAAACAGAGATATGTGACCTTTCAAACAGATAATTCAAAATAGCTGTTTTGAGGAAACTCAAAGAAATTCAAGACAACACAGAGAAGGAATTCAGAATTTTATCAGATAAATTTAACAAAGAGATTGAAATAATTTTAAAAAATCAAGCAGAAATTCTAGAGTTAGAAAATGCAACAGGCATACTGAAGTATTCATCAGAGTCTTTTAAGAGCAGAACCGATAAATCAGAAAAAAGAATTAATGAGCTTGAAGACAGGCTAATTTAAAATACACAGTCAGAGGGGACAAAAGAAAAAAGAGTAAATAAATAAAGCACACATACAGGATCTAGAAAATAGCCACAAAATGGCAAATCTGAGAGTTATTGGCTTTAAAGAGAAAGTAGAGAAGGAGATGGGGTAGAAAGTTGATTCGAACAAATAATAACACAGGACATCCCAAACCTAGAGAAAGATACCAATATCTAAGTACGAGAAGGATACAGAACACCAAGCAAATTTAACCCAAAGAAGACTACCTCAAGGCATTTAATACTCAAACTCCCAAAGGTCAAGGATAAAGAAAGGATCCTAAAATCAGCAAGAGAAAAGAAATAAATAACATCCAATGGAACTTCAATACGTCTGTCAGCAGACTTTTCAGTGGAAACCTTACAGGCCAAGTGAGAGTGACATGACATATTTAAAGTGCTGAAAGGAAAAAAAAAAACAAAAACTTTTACCCTAGAATAGCATATCCAGCAAAAGTATCCTTCAAACATGAAGGAGAAATAAAGACTTTCCCAGACAAACAAAAGCTGAGGGATTTCATCAATACCAGATTTGTCCTACAAGAAATGTTAGGATTAAGGGCCAAGATGGCTGACTAGAAACAGCTGTAGTTGGAGGCTCCCACTGAGAAGAATGAAAATGGCAAGGGAATCCTGCACCAGCAACTGAGGTATTCAAGTTCTCTCATTGGGACTGACTAGGCAGTTGGCATGACTTACGGAGAGCGAGGGAAAGTAGGGTGGTGCAAAGGCCCACCTGGGAGTCACATGGGGCAAGGGGTACTACCATCTCCAGCAAAGGGAGGCGATGAGCGATTGTGCTACCCTTATCAGGAAGCCATGCTTTTGCCATGGATCTGCACAACCTGTGGATCAGGGGATCTCCCTCGTGAGCCCACACCACCAGGGCCTTGGGTCCCAAGCACAGAGCTGTGCAGATTCTTGGTGGCCACACGGCTAGAGACTAAGACTACTGAGTACCCAGGGGGAGGGGTGGCCATCATCACTGCGGTCGCGTTCTGCCTAAGACTGCTGAGCCCCCCGGAGGAGGGGTGGCTGTCATCACTGTGGCTGCCAGCTGCCTGCGACGACTGAACTCCTGCAGGGAGGTGTGGCTGCCATCACTGTGGCTCCAGTCTGCCATTTTTCCCCTGCCAGTGCCAGGGAAACGGGATGATTTTGATCCAGGAGGAATTCCCCACAGCACAGCAGCTGTGGCAGATCATGGCCAGACTGCCTCTTTGGGCCAGACCCTGACCCATCCCTCCTCACTGGGCAAGGCCTCTCTGCAGGAATTTCAGCAAATCCAGCTGACACTCAGGGGTTCAGGGATAGAGCTCTGATCTCCTTGGGACTGAGCCCCTGCAGGGAGTGGTAGCAACGATCTCTGTGGATCAGCAGACTTAGTCTTTTCCCCTGCTGGCTCTGAGGAATCGAGGCAGTCCGGACCAGTGTGATTCCCCCAGTGCAATACACCGTCTCTGCCAAGGGGCAGCCCGAGTGCTTCATTAAGTGGGTCCCAGATCCCGTGCCTCCTGATTGGGTGAGATCCCCCAACAGGGGTCGCCAGACACCTTATACAGGAGAGTTCCTGCTGGCATCAGGTCCATGCCCCTCTAGGGCAGAAATGCCAGAGGAAGGAGCAGGCAGCCATCTTTGCTGTTCTGCAGCCTCCACTGGTGACACCCCCAGGTGTGAGAGTGATCCAGGTGAATAGGGCCTAGCGTGGACCCCCAGCAATTTTAATGTAACATGTAATGTACATCTAATGTTTAATTTTATAGAAAAATTTAGACTTTATATGTCAAAAACAAAAATTAACTTAATCCACTGTTCCAGTGCAATTCAATATTTTGATGTATATTCTTCTGGACTCCTTTAGTATTAGATAGAAAAATCTTATCAGGCTATTATTATACCATTTCATAATCTGCTATTCCCACTTGAGGACACCTTTCCAGTCATCCTCATAACCGTATTGTATGGTCTTGAGTGCTATAGGAATTCATACTACGCCTATGCTCTTAATATTACAATCTGGAATATTTGTCACCTATACAAATAAGAAATTCTACCACTGGATATTCTTACAGTGTGTTCTAAAGAAATCTATGTGACACAGTTTGTGAGCATTTTCCTTTGCATTCAAATATTCCAGAATGATTCTTTTGTTTCTTAGCACCTTTGGGGGCTAGGTAGCAACCTTGTTATCCAGATTGCTCATTTATATGGTGATTGTTTGATATTAGTAATCTAAGCTGAAAATGTCAAAAATCCATTTTCATGTTACTGGTCTCTTGGCCTATGATTGACAGCTAAATATTTACTCACCAATTGTATTTGCTGATAATACTTCTGAGTCAGTAAGTGACTGATTATGTAGCTTTATTTCTCATCACACCTATGAAAAGGATATCCTTTAAGAAGCTACTTCAAATTTTATATTTTTTCTTTATTTCGTCTTCTATCATGATTTTCAAAAAAGTAATTGGTGTTATTTTGTGTAGCCATTGTGCTCTAAGATGGGTCTTTTTAATTTTTAGGAATGTCTTTGGTCTTCTCAAGGTCAGACCAATTTTTAAATATAATTTTTCTGAATATCATGTTTTAGTGTTCTGAGAAAGTAGAAATAATGATCCTGAGGGGCAAAGACTTCTGAAACCCTTTCTGATGGAAACTATGGTTCACAATGATTAAAGTCTCCTCCTGGTCTGTGACTTTCTTTGAAAGGCTTAAAAGCACACTGTTCCTCCCCTGAGTGTATTTCTTAAAGAAATTCTTGCACACCTGCACAGAAAGTATGTACCAGAATGTTCATTTTATCATTATCAGTGATAGCAATAAAATTGTGTCTAAATGTTCCATCAATGGGAAAAGAGATAAATAAATAAGGTATATTTGGAATGGAATGAACTCCAAATAAGGTATATTTGGAAAGGAAGCTATGGAATGAACTCCATAGCGACATCCATCAGCATGGGTGAATCTCAAAACTGCAAAGCAAAAATTGCTGGATGATAAATGTGGTGGGATAACATTTATACAAAGTCTTAAGTCATGCAAAATGTGTCTGTTTGGATAAGCTAGGTAATGCTGCCTTAACACTCCCAAATCTCAGTTGCTTAATGCCATGATACGTTTAGCACAGATTATCTGGAGGCCTCCGTTCGTGGGTCACTCAGAGTCTCAGGTTGATATAGGTTTCATCTTATCACGTGTTTCACTGATCACTCAACCAGTGGGAAGCAGATAAAGTGATTTTCATGGTAGCTTTTAAAGCTTCTGCCTGGAAGTGACGCATTTCATTTTTCCTCGTATTTCATTGTCCAAAGCAAATCACACAGTAACGCTAAACTTTAATAGGACTGGGAAGTTTAATTTTCCCATGTAATTTGAGGGGAAATCACTCCAAATATTTGTTAAATAATTCAAATAACTACGAGACTAAATAACACTCTACACTGCATATATGGGTATACACAAATGTAATAAAAGTATATTTACATAAAGTTCAAATTAGCAATACCCCTGTGGAAAAAAGAAAGGAAGAGAATGGAATGGGATGAGAATGCTGGATAACTCAGGTTGGGTTTACACCATGGGGAAACAAAAGATCAGGGAGAAGAAGGGAAATATTCTCCTGGTATCTTCTCTGTGAAATCATCTCAAACTGACTATGTCCCTTGACTAAAGGTCTCTGCAACTCTCAATGTGGCTAATTCTACAAGATACTTCTTTGGATTCCAGGCGCCTTTCTCTCTCCTATGCCTTTGGGCCTAGGTGTTAATACCTAAGTTGCTACTAGCCCCAAGTTTCTGCACCATCCAGTGTGGTTTTCTTATACCCACATCTTTGTAAATAGTCCCCTTTTCCAAAAACTCTCCTGGAACGATCCTATACTGAGTGTATCACTGTGTTTCTTATTGGGGACCAGATGGATAAACAAGGGACTTCACTTATATCTATAATAATTTATTTTATATGCTGGCTTGTGGGCACATTGGCATTCATTATAATAGTCTCTATGCTTTTCGTAGGTACATAATATTTGAGGATTAAAGAATAAGCTGAAATAACTTGAAAACATAGTGTAAACATCACAATCCACTCTTCCAAAAAAACCTTTAGAATGCCACTTTTTAAAACGTAGTGGATTGATGGTTACATGGTAATTAAAGTTCACTTTTGTTCCTGTTACCTTTGTGATTTTTCTAGATTTACAAGTTTTCAACATTGAGCATATCATTACTTTTTTGCATTTAAAATGTTATTTGATAATAATGCTGACTAAAACAACTTTGAATTCTTTTAGAAAAGAGATACATAATTTGATCTCATTTTCATAATAAAAATGTGCAATAAGGATTCTATTAAGTGACCTCTAAGTGGTTTCTGGTTCATCTGTAAAATATACAGTACTCAGCACACATAAAACTCAGGGCTGGTAGCTATCCCTTCTGTATGCCTATGTGACCCTTCTCCCGCTAATGGAGTTACATATACTTATCAAAAATCAGTTGTATAATTTGAATTCAAGTAATGTGATACCCCCAGTTTTGTTCTTCAAGCCTATAGTAACCAAAACAGCATGGTACTGATATAAAAATAGATACATATAAATCAATGGAACAGAATAAAGAACTCAGAAATAAGACCACATATTAGGAGGGAGCCGGCATGACGGATTAGGCACAGCGAGGAGAAACATCTCTCACCAAAGGCCTGAGACATCAGGAAGACTGGCACACTCTGAGCAGATCTTCAGACGGAAGGCATTGAGAGTGGATGAAGGGAGGATGCAGACAATGGACGAAGAGAGAGGAAGCTGGGAACCCTGTGTGGGGCTGCCAAACACTGGGATGTTTGGCCCCAAGTGCCTCCTGAGGAAGGGGTGAGTTGAACAGGTGAGGACTGGCCCACTCTTACCACAGACCTCCAGAATCCTAGCAGCAGGAGACCTCATGACTTCCATGGACACTTGGGCTGACAAGGAGAGCAAACTGGAAAGGTGGCAAGGGCAGGACTCTAGCTTCTACAGAGCCCAGAGGGTTTGGCATGGGAATAGCTGCAGTGGAGCACAAGGATACCCATCTCCAAAGGCTTGCCAAGCTCCTCTAGGTGGCTTAGGCTTTTGGTGACTGTCATACCTGGACGGAGCATGGTAATCTTGCCTGTGGGACAGGGCTAGTCCAGTCTGAGCACCCCCTCATCTGTTGATCTATCCTGGGGCCCCAGCCAAAGGCCACCCTCTTGCAGTACAGCTTCAGATGCCCTACCAAGGTGCTTCCCAGGGGCCCTCATTATAGCTCCTTCTCTGGCAGACCATGTCTAATCATCAGAGAGCTCCAGGAGCCCGCCTGGAACCTCCCCCAACCGCAGTCGCTACCTGCTGCTTTGTTGGCAAGAACTTGCTCTTGAGCCCACTCCCCACTAATTCGCCAGCACATGCACGTGGGTGGACCTTGCCTCCCTTCTCATGACAGTGCACATGCACAAACACCTCACCACCCCACTACTTCCTGGTGAGTAAGCACACCTGGCTGCCTTACCCACCCTCACTGGCACGCTGCTACCACTGAGGTGGTAGCCCTCTGTGCTGCCACCACTACTGCTGGCACAAGTGTGTGCAGAGATGATGGAACCACACCCCTGCACCAGCTGGTGTCATGCCCCCACTGTGTTGCACCTGCTGCTGGTGCAAGATCCTGCACAGACACTGGCAACCCTGCCACCACCCTACCCCTGCTGCTGGCCTACACCTTCCTTCACGTTGGCACTCTGCTGTGCTGTTGTGGCTGCTGGCATGTGCAAGTGAGCATGTTTACCACTGCCACTGCCACTGCCACTGCCCCTGTGAAGCACTTTGGCTGGCACACCCCATGAGTGTTGGGGCCAGTGGTCTGCAAACACCCTGGCCCCTCCAGTGCATCAGGTTCCTAACCTCAAGACATCAGAGATCAAGTCCACGGGTCCAATACCAGTCCCCAGAGTTATAGCACACAGCCCAGGAGTGCTGAGGTGAGCTTCGGCACCCTGAAATCTTCCAGTATTGGAGCCAGTTGACAGAACCCACCTTATACCACAATCATACCACCAAAGGCATAAAAGAAGATAAAAACAACAACAACAAAAAATTCCACACAAAGGACAGCAGCTTCAAGGATTAAAGGAACATCAGTGCACATAGATGAGAAAGAATGAGCACAAGAACTCTGGCACCTCAAAAAGCCAGAAATGTCTCCTTACATCTAAACAACCACACTAGTTCCCCTGCAATGGTTCTTAACCAGGCAGACACGGCTGAAATGACAGACCTTGAATTCAGAATGTGGAAAGGAATGAAGATCATTGAGATTCAGGAGAAAGTCAAAACCCAATTGAAAAAACCTAAGGAATATAGTAAAATGATACAGGAGCTGAAAGAGGAAATGGCCACTAAAAAAAAAAAAAAAACTAATCTGATGGAGCTGAAAAACACATTACAATAATTTAATAACATAACTGCAATTATTAACAGCAAATAGACCAAGTGGAGGAAAGAATCTCAGAGCTTGAAGACTGGCTTTAAAACTGAACTCAGCCTGACAAAAATTTTAAAAAAGAATGAAAAAGAATAAACAAAACCTCCGAAAAATATAGGATTATGTAAGGATACCAAATCTATGACTCATTGGCATCCTTGAATGAGAAGGAGAGAAAGCAAGCAATTTGGAAAATATATTTGAGGATATTGTCCATGAAAATTTCCCCAACCTCACTAGAGAGGCCAACATGCAAATTCAGGAAATCCAGAGAACCACTGCAAGATGCTATGCAAGATGGCCATTCTCAAGACACATAGTCATCAGATTGCCCAAGGCTGACACAAGAGAAAAAAATGGACATAATAGACATCTACAATACACTCCACCTCAAAACAACAGAATATACATTCTCATGTGCACATGCCACATACTCTAAAATTGACCACACAATTGGCCATAAAACAATCCTTAGCAAGTTCCAAAAAGCCAAAATCATACCAACCATACTTTCAGAACACAATGCAATAAAAATAGAAATCAACATTAAGAAGATCTCTGACAATCATATAACTACATGGACATTAAACAACCTGTTCCTTAATGACTTCTAGATAAACAATGAAATTAAGGCAGAAATCAAGAAATTCTTTGAAGCAAATGAAAACAAAAATATAACAAACCATAATCTCTGGGACACAACTAAAGCAATGTTAAGAAGAAAGTTTACAGTGTTAAATAACCGCATCGAAAAATTAGGAAGGTCTCAAATTAACATCCTACTATCACACCTTGAAGAACTAGAAAAATAAAAGTAAACCAACCCCAAAGCTAGCAGAAGAAATCAGAGCTGAACCGAGTAAAGTTGATACCCAAAAAACCATAGAAAGGATCAACAAATCCAGAGGTTGATTCTTTGAAAGAATGAATAAGATTCGTAGACTGCTAGCTAGATTAATAAAGAAAAAAACAAACAGAGAGGATCCAGATAAACACAATTAGAAATGACAAAGAAGATGTTATTGACAACCCTACAGGAAAAAGAAAAACCCAGAGACTGTTATGAATACCTCTATGCACACAAACTGGAATACCGTCAAGAAATGGATAAATTCCTGGAACCATATAACCTCACAAGATTGAACCAGGAAGAAATAGAAACCCCGAACAAACCAATAATGAGTTCTGGAATTGAATCAGTAATAAATATCTAACAACCAGAAAAAGTCCAGGTCCAGACAAATGCACAGCTGAATTTTACCAGATGTATAAAGACGAACTGGTACAATTCCTACTGAAAGTATTCAAATAAATTGAGGAGAAGAGACTCCTCCCTAACTCATTCTATGAGGCCAGCATTATCCTAATAGCTAACCCTGGCAGAGACACAACAAAAAAGAAAATTTCAGGCCAATATCCTTGATGAACATAGATGCAAAAATCTTCAACAAAATACTAGCAAACTGAATCCAGCATCACATCACAAAGGCAATCCACCATAATCGAATAGGTTTTATCCCTTGGATGCAGGGTTGGTTCAACATATGCAAATCAATAAATGTGATTCATCACATAAACAAACAAAAACAAAAAACACATGATCATCTCAGTAGATGCAGAAAAGACTTTTGATAAAATTTAACATCCTTTCATGTTAAAAACCCTCAGCACAGTAGGTATTGAAGGAACATACCCCCAAATAATAGAGCCATCTATGACTAACCCACAACCAACATCATACTGAATGGGCAAAAGCTGAAAGCACTCCTCTTGAGAACTGAAACAATACAGGAATGTCCACTTTTACTACTCCTATTCAACATAGTACTGGAAGTCCCAGCCACAGCCATTAGGCAAGAGAAAGAAATAAAAGGCATCCAAATAGGAATAGAGGAAGTCAAACTATCTCTGTTGGCAGATGATATGATTTTATACCCAGAAAACCTCATATTCTCTGTCCAAAGGCTCCTAGATCTGATGAACAACTTCAGGAAAGTTTCAGGATACAAAATCACTGTACAAGAATCAGTAGCATTTCTATACACCAACAATGTCCAAGCTGAGTGTCAAATCAAGAACACTTTCCTAATCACAATAGCCAAACAAAAAATACCTAGGAATAGAGCGAACCAGGGAGGTGAATGATCTCTACAAGGAGAACTAAAAAACACTGCCGAAAAAACTCATAGATGACAAAAATAAATGCAAAAACATTCTGTGTCCATGGATAGGAAAAATCAGTATTGTTAAAATAACCATACTGCCCTAAGTGATTTACACATTCAATTCTATTCCTATCAAACTACCAATGACATTCTTCACAGAATTAGAAAAACCTATTTTAAAATTCATATGAAACAAAAAATGAGCCTGAATAGTGAAAGCAATTCTAAGCAAAAGACCAAAGCTAAAGGCATCACATTACTGAACTTCAAACTATACTACAAGGCTACAGTTACCAACACAGCATGATAATGGCACAAAAACAGACACATAGATCAATGTAACAGAATAGAAAACCCAGAAATATAGACTCACACCTAGAGCCATCTGGTCTTTTTTGACAAAGTCAACAAAAACAAGCAATGGGGAAAGGACACCCTATTCAATTAATGGTGCTGGGATAACTGGTTAGCCATCTGCAGAAGATTGAAACTGGATCCTTTCTTTACACCATATACAAAAATCAACTTGAGATGAATTAATGGCAAAATGTGAAACCAAAAACTATAAAAAACCTTGAAGAAGACCTAGGAAATGCCATTCTGGACATAAGCCCTGGGAAAGATTTCAGGATAAAGATGCCAAAAGCAATTGCAACACAAACAAATATTGACACATGGGACTAATTAAACTAAAGAGCTTCTGCACAGCACATAAACCATCAACAGTGTAAACAGACAGCGCACAAAATGGGAGAAAATATTTGCAAACTATTCATCTGACAAAGATCTAATATCCAGAATTTATAAGAAACTTAAACAAATGACAAGCCAAAAATGAACAACTCCATTAAAAAGTCGGAAAAGCACATGAACACACACTTTTCAAAAGAAGACAAACATGTGCCCAACAAGCATTTGAAAAAATGCTGAACATTACTAATCATTAGAAAAAGGCAAATCAAAATTACAATGTGATACAATCACACCAGCCAGAATGACTATTATTAAAAAGTCAAGAAAATAACAGATACTGGCAAGGTTGCGGAGAAAAGAGAATGCTTATACATTGTTGGTGGGAATATAAATTAGTTCAGTCACTGTGGAAAGCAGTTTCGAGATTTCTCAAAGAACTTAAAATAGAACTACCATTCAACACAGTAATCCCTTTTTGGGGTATATATCC
Source organism: Homo sapiens (assembly GCF_000001405.40). Taxonomy (NCBI): domain Eukaryota; kingdom Metazoa; phylum Chordata; class Mammalia; order Primates; family Hominidae; genus Homo; species Homo sapiens. Next base: position 140,869,733 of record NC_000023.11, read on the forward strand.
AAAGTAAAAGTGAATAATTTTACCATAAATACACATAAACATATATGTTCATTGCAGAACTATTCACAATAGTAAGGACATGGAATTATCCTAAATGTCCATCAACGGCAGGCTGGATAGAAAATGTGGTATATATATACCACGGAATACTATGCAGCCATAAAAAAGAATGAGATTATATCTTTTGCAGCAACATGGGTAGATCTGGAGGCTATTATCCTGATCAAACTAATGCAGGAACAGAAAACTAAATACCACGTGTTTTCACTTATAAGTGGGAGCTAAACTCTGAGTACACATGGACACAGGAGAAAAAACAATAGACACTGGGGCCTACTTGAGGGTGGAGGCTTAGAGGAGGGTGAGGAGTGAAAAACTACCTATTGGGTACTAGGCTTAGTACCTAGGTGACAAAATAATCTGTACACCAAATCCTCATGACATGCAATTTACCTATATAAAAAACTTGCACATGTACCCCGAAACTAAAATGCAAGTTAAGAAAAATGAAGCCACATATTTGCAGCCAACTGGTCTTTGACAAAATTGACAAGAATATAAAAGGACACCCTCTACAATCAATGTTGCTGAGAAAATAAGATCGCCATATGCAAAAGAATGAAACTGGACCCCCCTCTCTCTCCATATATAAAAATTAACTCAAGATGGATTAAAATGTAAGACCTGAGACTATACAAATACTAAAAGAAAACCTAGGAAAAACTCTTTCAGACATCAGTCTAGGCAAATAATTCCTGATGAAGACCTCAAAAGCACAGGCAACAAAACTAAAAATAGACAAGTGGGTCTCAACCTAAACAGCTTCTCACAGCAAAAGAAATTATCAACAGAGTGAACAGGCAACCTACAGAAAGAGAGAGCATATTTTCAAACTAAGCATCTGACAGAGGACAAATACCCAGGATTTACAAAAAACTCATACAACTCAACAAAACAAAAAAATAAATAATCCCATTAAAAATTGGGCACAGGACCTGAGTAGAGATATTTGAAAAGAAGACATACAAATGGCCAACAGGTATATGAAAAAATCACTTCATATAATCGCTTCACATCACTAATCATCAGAGAAACACAAATTAAAACCATAATGGGATATCATCTTACACCCATCAGAATTTCTATTATTATTATTATTATTTTTAATTTTGACTTTATAGATTCAGGGATTACATGTGTAGGTTTGTTATACCGATAGATCATTTGATGCGGAATTTGGAGTAGAATTGACTCTGTCACCCAGGCATTGATCATAGTACCCAGCAGGTAGTTTTTCTGCCTTTCCTCCTGACCCCCTTCCCCCTCTAGTAGTCCACACTGTCTATTGTTCTCATTTTTGTGTCCATGTGTATCCATGTGTACTCCCACTTATACGTGAAAAAATGCAGTATTTGGTCTTCTGTTCTTGCATTAATTCGCTTAGGATAATAGCCTCTAGCAGCAGCCATGTTGCTGTAATGAACATAATTTCATTCTTTTTTACAGCTGTGTAGTATTCCACGGTGTATGTGTACGACATTTCCTTATCTGATCCACTGTCAATGGGCATTTAGGTTGATTTTATGTCTTTGCTATTGTGAATAGTATTGCAGTGAACTTATAAATACATGTGTCTTTTTGGTAGAATGACTTATTTTCCTTTGGGTATATACCCAAAAGTGAGATTACTGGATCAAATGGTAGTTCTGTTTTAAGTTCTTTGAGAAATCTTTACACTGCTTTCCATAGTGGTTGAGCTAATTTACATTCCCACCAACAGCATATAAGCATTCGTTTTTCTCTACGACCTTGCCAACATCTGCTATTTTTGGAGTTTTTAATAGCCATTCTGACTGGTTTGAGGTAGTAGCTCATTGTGGTTTGAATTTGCATCTCTCTGATGATTACTGCTGTTGAACATTTTTTCATATGTTTGTTGGCCACTTGTATGTCTTCTTTTGAGAAGTGTCTGTTCATGTCCTTTGCCCACTTTTTAATGGGGTTGTTTGTTTTTTGTTTGCTAATTTTTCTAAGTTTCTTACAGATTTCAGATATTAGACCTTCATTGGATAGATAGTTTGTTAACATTTTCTCCTATTCTCTAGGTTGTGGGTTTGCTTTGTTGATAGCTTCTTTTGCTGTGCAGAAGATATTTGGTTTAATTAGGTCCCAGTTGTTAATTTTTGTTTTGGTTTCAATTGCTTTTGAGGCCTTATCATAAATTCTTTGCTGAGGCTGACGTCCAGAATGGTATTTCTTTTTGTTTGTTTGTTTTTTGGGACAGAGTCTCACTCTGTCACCCAGACTGGAGTACAGTGGTGCAATCTCGACTCACTACGACCTCCGCCTCCTGGGTTCAAGTGATTCTTGTGCCTCAGCCTCCTGAGTAGCTGGGATTACAGGAATGTGCCATCATGCTTGGCTAATTTTTGTATTTTTAGTAGAGACACGGTTTTGCCATGTTGGCCAGGCTGGTCTTGAACTCCTGGCCTCAAGTGATCCTCCTGGCTCAGCCTCCCAAAGTTCTGGGATTACAGGTGTGAGTCACTGCACCCAGCCCAGTATGGTATTTCTTAGATGTATTAGTCCATTCTTACATTGCCATAAAGGGATACCTGACACTGGGTAATTTATACAGAAAAAAGGTTTAATTGGCTCACAGTTCTGCAGGCTGTACAGGAAGCATGATGCTGACATTCACTGAGCTTCTGGGGAGACCTCAGTAAGCTTATAATCATGGCATAAGGTGACCGCGTAGCAGGCATGCCTTACATAGCAGGACCAGGAGCGAGAGAGAGTGAGTGGGGAGGTGCTACACACTTTTAAACAACCAGATCTCACAAGAAATCACTCACTAACACGAGGACAGTGCCAAGGGGGTGGTGCTGAACCATTCATGAGAAACATTTCCATGATCCAATCACCTCCCACCAAGCCCCGCCTCCAACATGGGAGATGACAATTCGACATGAGATTTGGGCAGGAACACATATCCAAACCATATCACTAGGTTTTCTTCTAGGATTTTTACAGTTTGTGGTCTTACATTTAAATCTTTTACCTATCTTGAGTTAAATTTTGTATATGATGAAAAGTAGGAGGTTGGGTTTCATTCTTCTTCATATGGCTAGAGAATGGGTATTAAAAAGTGAAAACAATAACTGATGTTGGTGAGGGTGCAGAGAAGGAACTCTGATGCACTGTTTGTGATAATATAAAGTAATATAACCTCTGTGGAAAACAGTATGAAGATTTCTCAAAGAACTAAAGGTAGAACTACCATTCAGTCCAACAATCCCACTACTAGGCATCTGCCCAAAACAAAACAAATCATTATATAAAAAAGATATCTGTGCCTGTACGTTTATCACAGTACTATTTACTATTGCAAAGATGTGGAATCAATCTAAGTGTCCATCAATTGATGACAAGATAAAGAAAACGTGAAATATATATATGTGTGTATGTATATATATATATATATAATTGAATACTATTCAGCCATAAAAAGAATAAAATCATGCCATTCGCAACAACATAGATGAAACAGAGGCCATTATATCAAGTGAAACAAGTCAGACATGGAAAAATAAATACTGCATGTTCTCACTTATAAGTGGAAGGTAAATACTGTGTACCCAAGGATGTAGAGTGTGAAATGATAGACAACGGAGACTTGGAAGAGTGTGGGAGTTGGGCGGGGGGGGGAGATGATGATAAATGACTTGATGTGTACAATGTATATTATTCTGATGATAGACACCCTAACAGTCCTGACTTCACCACTACACAATCTATGCATGTAGCAAAATTACACTTGTAACCCATAAATTTATACAAAAAAGAGAATAATTTATATCTTTACACAAACCTTTTAACAGGCTAGTTTAAGTTTGACATTATAGTTACTTATTTAATTAAATATTATGGAAACCAGTGAGATATAGCTGTAAAAACAGAGGTTCTTTTTCTTGTAGAGAAGCTCAGTTAAAAAGCTGTAGAAAGACACAAAGTAAACATCTTTTAAAAATTCTGTATTAGTTATATAGAGAGGAAAATAAAATGTTAGAAAAAGCAATTACAAAAAAAATCAAGGTTTTTCTCAGATTGTTCTGCGTCTTTAAAATTTATTGTTCCCATTCAAGTAAACGTAATCAGAATTTATAGTGTATTTGCTATGAGTGAGCATTTCATAAGAAAGACTAACAGAGATCCAATCATTGGATGTATCTCCAAGAGAAGATCTTGGTTTCACATCATAAGACTGGCAAAGAATTGTCCTCTTTGATGTTTTATGTTAAGAATATGGGGAAAATACAACATTCTAATAAAAAATTTAAAGAAGACCTAAATAAATGGAGATATGCATATGCATGGATAGGAAGACTCAATATTGTCAAGATGTTAGTTATTCCTAACTTGATATATAGATTCAATACCATCCCAATCAAAATCCTGGGAAGTTATTTTGTGGATATTGACAAACTTATTCTAAAATGTATATGGAAAGGCAAAAGACAAGAATAGATAACACAGTATTGAAGAACAAAGTTGGAGAACTGATACTACAAAACTTTACTTACTACAAAGCCACAGTAATTAAGAGTGTGCAATTGATGTTAGAACAGAAAATTGATAAATGAAACAGAATAGAGAGCCCAGAAATAGACCCACATAAATACACTCAACTGATATTTGACAAAGAAGCAAAGGCATACAATGGAGAAAAGACAGTCTTTTCAACAAATGTTGTAGGAATAACTGGACATCCACATGCAAAAAAATGAACCTAGGTCCAAAACTTACACCCTTCACAAAAATTAACTAGAAATGGATCACAGACCTGAAAGTAAAATGCAAAACTATTAGACTCTTAGAAAATAACATAGGAGAAAATGTAGCTAAACTTGGGTTTGGAGATGACTTTTTTGATATGACACCTACGGCATGATCCATGACAGAAAGAATTGATAAGCTGTACTTCATTAAAATTAAATTTTCTGCTTTGTGAGAGACACTGTCAAGAAATGAAAATAAAAGCCACAGAATAGGAGAAAATATCTGCAAAACAATGATCTGCTAAGTGACTGTTATCCAAAATATACCAAGGCCTCTTAAAACTCAAAAATAAGAAAACAAACAACCCAATTTAAAAAATTGGCCAATTGAATTTAGCAGATACCTCACCAAGGAAGATCTACAGATGGCAAATAAGCATATGAAAAGATGCTTCACATCTGATATTATCAAGGAAATCCAAATTAAAACAACAATGAGATACTACCACACACCTATTAGAATGGCCAGAACGCAGAACACTAACCACAATAAATCCTGGTGAAGATGTGGAGCAAGAGGAACTCTCATTCATTGCTGGGAGGAATGCAGAATGGCACAATTACTTTGGAAGACAGTTTGGCAGTTTCTTACAAAACTAGACATACTCTTACCATATGATCAAGCAATCCCACTCCTTGGTATTTACCCAAAGGAACTGAAAAAACCTGCACCTGGATGTTTATAGCAGCTAAATTCATAATTGCTAAAACTTGGAAGCAACCAAGATGTCCTTCAGTATGTGAATGGATAAATGAAGTTTGGTATATCCAGTTAATGGAATATTATTCAGCATTAAAATAAAATGAGCTAAGAAGCCATGAAAACACATGGAGAAAATGAAAACACATATTAATAAGAGAAAAATAGCCAATCTGAAAGGCTACATACTGTTAGATTCCCACTATATGACATTCTGGGAAAAGCAAAACTAGGGAGACAGTGAAAAGATCAGTGTTTTCAAGGGGGTAGTTGGGAGGTAAGGATGAAAAGGTGGGGCACACAGGATTGTTAGGGCAATGAAACTATTCTGTATGGTACAATAATGGTGGATACACGTCATTATATATTTGTTCAAACCCATAAAATGCCTGACTCCAAGAGTGAAGCCTAATGTAAACTATAGACTTTGGGTGACAATGATGTGTCGGTGTAGCTTCATCTATTGTAACAAGTGTGCCACTCTGGTACGGTGTTAATAATGGGGGTAGGTAGGCATGTGTAAGGGAAGAGCGTATGTAGAAAATCTCCGTACCTTCCACTCAATTTTGCTGTGAACCTGAAACTGCTCTAAAAATAAAGTCTGTTCAAACATTTATTATACTTTCTGATTCTTGTTTTAACTGACTTCTTGTGCTAACTATATTAAATAAGAAGTCTTCTTTTCTATTTGCATGGAAGAAAGGCTGAGAGGAAATATATCAATATTTTAAACAATCTAATCCCTAGGTGGTTGTGATATTGTGAAATATAGGCTGAGTATCACTTATCCAAAATGCTTGGGACCAGAAATGTTTGGATTTCACATTTTTTAGGTTTTTGGAGTATTTACTTTACACCAGTATTTAGCTTACATCAGTTGAGCATCCCAAATCTGAAAATCCAAAATGCTCCAATGAACATTTTCATTGCGCATCAAGTCAGCGTTCAAAAAGCTTCAGATTTTGTAGCATTTTAGATTTAGGATGCTCAACCTGTATGTATTTGGCTCTTATCTCAGCTTCCTAGTAAAAAATTCCTACAATCCTTGGAGACTTCGGAGTAATAAGTGTGTCTTTTATATGCTACTGAGATGACTGGTGGCTGGGGGGCCCCTAAACAGCTTCAAGATGGGAGCGCATCACCAGAAAGACCAAGGCATGATTGCTGGGTTGGAACTTTCAGCTGTACCCCCTTTCCTCATCTCCAGGGAGGGGAGAGGGCTGAAGCTTGAGTTGATCACCAATGGCCAATGATGGAATCAATCATGCCTAAGTAATGAATCCTCCATAAAAACCCAGAAGGACGGGGTTTGAAGGAGCTTTCCATCTTTACTGAACACGTGGAAGTTCCTGGAGGGTGGTGTACCCAGAGGGAGCACGGAAGCTCCGCGCCCCTCCCCCCATGCCTTGCCCTAGGCATCTCTCTTCCATCTGGCTGTTCATCTGTATCCTTTATAAAATCCTTAATAATAAACAGGTAAATGTAAATAAAGAAACTTCCTTGAGTTCTACGAACCACTCTAGCAAATATTCCAACCGGAGGAGGTGGCTGTGGTAACCCCAGTTTACAGAAGCACAGACCATAACCTGGGGCTTGCAATTGGCATTTGAAGTGGGAAGCAGTCTTAAAGGATTAAACTTTCAACCTGTGGAGTGTGATGCTATGCTATTTCCAGGTTGATGGTGTCAGATAGTATCAAATGTTGAGTTACAGGACACACAGCTGCTGTCCACTGCAGAATTGGTTGCTGATAGGGAGAAATCTCTACATATTTTGGTGACCAGAGTGAAGTGTTGTGCTCAGTGAGTATATGAGAGTAGGAAAAAAAAGACACATTGGCTTTGGTTTTTCCTATATCTCTTACCCATGGTAGATTGCAGCTGAATTTTTATTTTCTTTATATTTTTCAATTTTTCATATTTTTACAATAAATGTTTATATTTTAAAAGGTTATCTAACAGTCATTGCATGTAACATAGAAGAGTAAAAGTAGTTTAGGCGACAGTGTAATTCCTTAGTATTCACCTCAAAAACCTATCATACTGACAGTTGTAATATTAACCTATATTTGAAATTAGTATCCTGTCCTGGTGTTACTACTTTGATAACCCTGCAAGTTTTTGGTTTGTTGTTTTGTTCCTTTGCCCTGAGGAAATAGCTGCCTGGACTTCCTTTCTGTTGTTCGTATGATGTACTATGGATTCTAGAGAATTTTATGTCTTATTGTAAGTATGGCAAAAATTGCCTGCTTGTTATAAATATCAATTTATTGGGAGATATTCATAACGTTGAGTTTAGGCACTGTCTGTAAATCCACTCCTTCCTCTCTTGCCTGAAGATATACTTGGGAATAGAGTGTTTCATCACTTAAGAAATTTTCCATAAAATATTAGAAATAAATAAGGGAAGAAAGAAGTACACTCTACTGAAATGTATTGAGTATAATTATGTAAGTGTACTACAGAAACTGAACTTGGGAGAGAAAAGAGCAGAGATTTTTCTAAGATGCTCCAAGGGAAATAGAAAAATGTCACATTTTAGTGACAGACAGAAAATTAGAAATAAAATGTTCAGAAACTTCATCAACCAATGGGTGCGACTTTTCAGAATCTATTTGTTTCTAATAAAATACCAGTCGGTGCCAGAATGAAGTCGGGCCTTTACCCAGTTACCTTATCCTTGTTTGGCTTGCCTTAGTTGGACCCCATCGGCTACCAATTTGCGATACACACTTCTAGCACAATGACTTATGTAATGAGAAGAGTCATGTGTTATTCTGATGTTGAAAGTAAACTTCGGTGCCCTCATCTCAGTTCATTTTTATTCTTGAGTACTTACTGTGTCAAGTCGTGTGCTTAATTTTGGAATGTACAATCTAAAAGAGAAGACTCACATACACACAAACAATGCTAAACTCAAGCAAGCTGTGATAGACAACGGAAGGGCAAAGTAATGCCAAGACATGAGGGACAGCAGTTTGGAGAATGGAGAGGAAGACAGTGGCATCTGAGGTGAGCTTTGAAGGGTGATTAGCACTCAAGATCTGGTGAGATGTCCATTCTGCTCAGCACTGTGGCTTTCTGAGGTGGCAAAGTGATGATCCCAGGAAGTGAGGTGAAGGCTTCTTTATCTCACCAGACTGAAAGGTTTAATTTTTGAATCAAGGTTGGAGCTCAAGAGAGCTGTGCTTTAAGAGGAATGTTCTGCCCTTGAGAGTGGAGTGCACTGAGGAAAGGACAATTCTGGAGAAATCACCCTTTTCTGTCAACCCTCCAACCTTATCACTCCTGGCCCCAAATGCCTCCATTTAGCATACCCTCCAAATGAGTTAAAAAAATCACAGCACTTAACTCTGCTCTATCTAGCATTGATTTTTTTATTAGGTGCTTACATCAGGACATTCATCAGATTCTCATTTACCTGGATCCTGTGGGTTCAAGAGGAAAAATGCAATCATGTTGTCTCAAAAATGTATCAAAAAGATCAAAGTTTCTGGTTCTATCCTTCATCTTTCTTCTCTTAAAATACATAAAGAATAAAGAATTATTGAAAGTACAGTATATATGGGTTTTCTGAGTATGGAGTTCTCTACTTTTAAAAAGAATCCTAATAGCTTTTTTTTGGGGGGGGTGCATACGTAGTTAACTATTATCATCAGTTTTAATTGGGTTGAACAAAGGGGTGGAAAACCCAAAGAGGCAGATAATTAAAAATCTTTGTTATTCAACTTTGGGAATCATTCCTAAAATATCTTTCTCATATAAAAAGAACAGCCTGAGGATGTGAAAAGCAAGGTTTATATTTGCCTTCTTCCATTTAGGAGGAATAAAGTACTGCCCTCTACAGCATCCATCTATATTTTTAAAATATTGAAGACAGTGTGACATTCACTTAGAACCATGTAGTTTATACTACTTGGTTTACTGTCTCAGCATCTCATTCTGTCTTGGGAACATCTCTATCTTCTTGAAAGGAAATGTCTTTATCCTCTCAATTAAACCATGTTGTCTCAGTAGAGCAGGCAAGTGTCCTTGGCCACAGGGGTGGGATACTGAACTTTGAAAAAATTATAAAGTTAAAACAACTATGTATTTTATTTATAGTTCAGAATCATTGGCAAATCAAATGATTCAATAACAAATATTTACAGTGCACACTGTACTTCAAGCAATATGTAGACACTGTGGATACAGTGGGAGACATGACATAGTCTTTGCACACATAGAGTTTATTGTCAAATGAAGGATACAGACAAGTAAACTATCAAACACAGCTTGTAAATTAATGCTATATTGAGAGGGGGAACACAAAGGGAGGTAGAAGCACAAAAAAGAATGCTTAACCTAGCCTGGGCTTGGAAAGATGTGGGATGGAGATGGGATAGATTATTCAACACTTTTCTATATCAGTTTAGCTATGATTACTCTCATTTAATCTGTCAAAGTGGTTGCTTGTAATGGATTTATTTGCCCTGAGAGCTATCCCTCATTTATCCTCTGCTGTGCCTCATAATATACACAGGCTGACCCCTGAAGATTGCAATTCCTAGACTAGTTAACATTTTGTGGCCATCTTGGTTCAACCAACAGGCAGAAAAACAGGAGATTAGAACCCAGGAGGATGGAGCGGACAGTTTTTCTCCATCTTCTGCATCAGGTGGGGCTTTCCTTCAATGGCTACATATTATTCATGACTCTAGGCCCATCAAATTAGCCCGCCATGACATGAGATCCTATGGAACCCAACACCTGGGCTCCAATAACACTGTCTCCTCTCTTTGTCTTTCCAGCCTAGAGTTGAGAGTGACTTCCTCATGTTGAAAACTGTTGGGTTCTCCAATTCTCCTGTTTGGCTTCTCCATCTCTTGTATAATCAGTTCCCTGAATTAAATTCTCTCTTGGGAGGGTAGAGATCATCATGGCGGATGGGAAGCAGGACTAGATTGCAGCTCCAGACAGAGCAGTGTGTGGAGGCTCGCATGGTGAATTTTAGCTCCAGATCGACTGCAAGAACAAACCAGCAATCCCAAGAGGATCCACAGACTCTATGAAGGAAGTGGACTGCCCCTGCAGGACCTGGGAGATACCCCAAATACTGTGAGTGCCCCAACTGCGGAAGTGGAAAAGGGAGACCCTCCTCTCCCAAACACACATCCCCACTGGAGAAGCTGAATGTCTGTTTGTGGGAGAAGTTTCCGACTTTACCTGGAGCTGAGTCAATTTGGGGAGCTGAGTCAATTTGGAGAGCTGAGCAAAATACAAGGGTAAAGGAAGTAGCAGAAAGGCCCTGGGAGCTCTCTGGGTCCCTGAGCAGGTCATTCCTGCCTGGCACCACAGGGATCCATCCAGAGGGCAGCCAGAGAGGCAGGGGGTAAAACTCCAAAGGGAGAAGGAAATCTCTAGCTGGACTTTGTAACAATTTGAACCGGGTGAGAAGCCTCCTGGCCAGAACTTGGGGGAAGTTGCAAATCTGGTGTGCAGACTCCACAGGCGGGGATAGAACCTTTTCTTTTGCAGCTGGGAGGCGGGTAGCCTGGGGCACATTTTCAAGCCCATCTCGCCCACCACCTGGAAGTGGACCCAGGGCTGTTGGGTGGGGCATGGTGGGAATGAGACCAGCTCTTTGGTTTGTGTGGGAGCTGGGTGAGGCCTGTGACTGCTGGCTTTCCCCCAAAACCTGCGTAACTCAGCAGTGACAGCCATAATCCTCCTAGGTACGCAACTCCAGTGACCTGGGAATCTCACTCCCATCCCCCCACAGCAGCTGCAGTAAGACCCGCCCAAGGATGCCCACTCTCACCACTCCTCTTCAACATAGTACTGGAAGTCCTAGCCAGAGCAGTCAGACAAGAGAAAGAAATAAAGGGCATGCAAATCGGTAAAGAGGAAGTCAAACTGTCACTGTTTGCTGACAGTATGATCATTTACCTTGAAAACCCTAAGGACTCCTCCAGAAAGCTCTGAGAACTGATAAAATAATTCAACAACGTTTCCAGATACAAGATTAATGTACACAAATCAGTAGCTCTTCTATATACCAACAGCGACCAAGTGGAGAATCAAGTCAAGAACTCAACCCCTTTTACAATAGCTGCAAAAATAAAATAAAATAAAATACTTAGGAATACACCTAACCAAGGAATCCAAAGACCTCTACAAGGAAAACTACAAAACACTTCTGAAAGAAATCATAGATGACATGAACAAGTGGAAACACACCCCATGCTCATGGACGGGTAGAATCAAAATTGTGAAAATGGTCATACTGCCAAAAGCAATCTACAAATTCAACGCAATTCCCATGAAAATACCACCATCATTCTTCACAGAATTAGAAAAACAAATTCTAAAATGTATATGGAAACAAAAAAGAGTCTGCACAGCCATGGGCTCTCCATTCTGTTCCATTGGTCTACATATCTGTTTTTATACCAATACCACGCTCTTTTTGTTCCTATAACTCTGTAGGATAATTTGCAGTCGGATAATGTGATTCCTCCAGTTTTGTTCCTTTTGCTTAGGATCCTTTTGGCTACTCTGGGTCTTCTGTGGTTCCATATAAGTTGTAGGATTGTTTTTTCTATTTCTGTGAAGAATATCATTGGTATTTTGATAAGGATAGCATTCAATCTGTTTATTGTTTTTGGTAGTATGGGCATTTTAACAACATTGATTCTTTGAATTTATGAATATGAAATATTGTTCCATTTTTTGGTGTTGTCTTCAATTTCTTTAAGGTACTGGTATAAAAACAGATATATAGACCAATGGAACAGAATCAACCAGAATCAAATCCACACACCTACGGTGAACTCATTTTCAACAAAGAAGTCAAGAACATACACTGGGGGAAAAGATGGTCTTTTCAATAAATAGTGCTGGGAAAATATCTGCAAACTATGCATCTGACAAAGGTCTAATATCCAGCATCTATAAGAAACTTAAATCTACAAGAGAAAAACAACCCCATTAAAAAGTGGGCAAAGGACATGAACAGACACTTTACAATAGAAGACATACATGTTGCCAACAAGCATATGACAAAAATCTCAATATTGCTGATTATTAGAGAATGCAAATAAAAACCACAATGAGATATCATCTCACACCAGTCAGAATGGCTATTATATAAAAAATTTAAAAATACCAGGGGCTGGCAAGGTTGCGGAGAAAAGGGAACACTTACACGCTGTTGGTGGGAGTGTAAATCAGTTTAACCATTGTGGGAAGCAGTAGGGCAATTCCTCTAAGTGCTGAAAGCAGGACTGCCATTTGACCCAGCGATCCCATTACCGTGAATAATGTATATTCCCAGAAAAATATAAATCATTCTACCATAAAGACTCATGCATGTGAATGTTCATTGCAGCACCATTCACAATAGCAAACATGGAATCAACCTAAATGCCCATCAATGACAGATTAGGTAAAGAAAATGTGGTACATACACACCATGGAATACTATGAAGCCATAAAAAAGAATGAGCTCATGTCCTTTAGCAAGAACATGGATGGAGCTGGAGGCCATTATCCTTAGCAAACTAATTCAGGAACAGGAAACCAAATGCTGCGTGTTCTCACTTACTAGTGGGAGCTAAATGATGAGAACATATGGCTGCAAAGAGGGGAACAACAGATACTGGAGCCTCCTTAAGGGTAGAGAGTGGGAGGAGGGAGAGGATCAGAAAAAATAACTATTGGGTACTAGGCTTATTTCCTGGGTGACAAAATAACCTGTACAACAAATCCCTGTGACATGAGTTTACCTGTATAACAAACCTGCACTTGTTCCCCTGAACCTAAAATAAAAGTTAATAAAAAATTAAGAAAAATAAAAAGTATAAGGCCATTAGACAAATGTGAAAAATAACTGGATATTTGATATCAATGACACATATAATTCTTTAGTACTAGTAATTGTTTTCTGTTTATGTTTTATAAAAGAGTCTATCTCGCGAAAACGCATATTTAGAGAAGAAATGGTGTGATGTCTTGGATTTGCTTTGCATGATTCGAGCAGCAGAGATTTCAATGGTGAGGAGGGGTGTCTATTTAGAATCAGATTGGCTATGTATTGATGATTGTTGATATTGAGTATACCACTAACTAGGTAGCTTAATACAACATAAATGTATCATCTTTTATTCCTGGAAGCTAGAAATCTAAAATTAAGTTATCGGCAGGGCCACAATCCCCCTGAATTCCTTGCCTCTTCTTAATTTCTGGTGGTTTGCTGGCAATTGCTGCTATTCCTTGGCTTCTACATGCGTTACTCAAATACTCCATCTTCCCATGGTGTTCTTCCTATGCTTTTGTCCTAACACGAACATCTACTAATAAGCACAGAAGTCATATTGAATTAGGGGACCTTTCTACTCCAGTATGACCCTATCTTAACTAATTACATATGTAATGATGCTATTTCTAGAAAAGGTCATATTTTAAGGTACTGGGGGTCAGTACTTCAACATAGCTTCTTGGGAAAGAATTAAACTTATAACACCCACATATGTGATAACTTATATGAAACGGGCCAGTTCCTTGAAAGACATAAACTACCATACTTAGACAAGGAGAAATAGATAATCTGAATAGGTGTGCATTTATCAAATAAATTTAATCAATAATAAACAACCTTCCAAAGCACCAGGCTCAGATGGTTTCACTGGTGAATTCTACTAAACATTTATGGATAACATAATACCAATTCTCTACATGGCAAAGGGAATATTTTTAACTTATTCCTGGAGCAAACAATATCTTTATGTCAAAATCAGATAAAGATTTTACATAAAGTTAAACTACAAACCAATGTCTCTCATGAACATGGACCCAATAATCCTCAATGAATGACAAGAAAATCCAACTCTACAATGTATAAAAAGAATTTTACAATATGACCAAGTGGGATTTATTCCAAGCACGCAAAGCTGCTTTAACATTTTAAAATCAATCAATATAGTTTACCATGTCAACAGGTAAGAAAACAAAAATTATGTGATCATATCAATTGATTCAGAAGAAGCATTTGACAAAATCTAAATCTCATTTATGATAAAAGACCCCAGCAAATTAAGAGTAGAAGGAAACTTCCTCAACTTGACAAAGAACATCCACAATTAACCTACAACTGACACTGTATTTAATGGTGGGAGACTAGAAACTTTCCTACTAAAATCAGAATCAAGTCAAGAATATTCTCTCGGCCGGGCGCCGTGTCTCATGCCTGTAATCCCAGAACTTTGGGAGGCCGAGGCGGGCGGATCACGAGGTTAGGAGATCGAGACCATCCTGGCTAACATGGTGAAACCCCGTCTCTACTAAAAATATTTTAAAAAGGTTAGCCGGGCGTGGTGGCGGGCGCCTGTAGTCCCAGCTACTCGGGAGGTTGAGGCAGGAGAATGGCGTGAACCCGGGAGGCGGAGCTTGCAGTGAGCCGAGATCGCGCCACTGCACTCCAGCCTGGGAGACAGAGTGAGACTCCGTCTCAAAAAAAAAAAAAAAAAAAAAAAAGAATGTTCTCTCTCACCACTACTATCCTATGCTGGAAGTCTTAGTGCATTAAGAAAATTTTTAAAAAGGCATACATATTGGAAAGGAAGAAATAAAACTATATTTATTTGCAGACATGTTTGTCTATTTTCAAAGCATAAGTGAATCTACAAAAAGCTCCCTTAACTGATAAGAAGGCTAACAATGTTGCAGAATACAAGGTCAATATACAAAAGTCAATTGCTTTTCTATATACCAGCAATCAATGGTTGGGATTTAAAATTTTTAAAATATAATTTGCAATAGCACCCCAAATTAAAATATTTAGATATAAATATAACAAATGTGTGCAAAATCCCCAAGTTGAAAGCCATGAAACATTTCTGAAAGAAGTAAAACCAGATCTATATAGAGACATATTATAATCATGGGTTGGAAGACAACATATTAAAGGCGCCAATTTTCCCCAAATTGATATCTATTTTTAATATAATTACCATAAAAATCTCACCAGGATTTTTTGTAAATACAGACAAGATGGTTATAAAATTTCAAGTGGCAAAGCAAAGGACTAGAATAACCAAAATAATTTTGAAAAAAAGGATGAACTGGTAAAAATCAGTCAACCTCATTTTCAAGAATTATTTTATAGCTACAGTAATGAACACTGTATGAGACTGTTGGAGGGATAGTAACACAGGTCAATGGAATAGAAATACCTACTCAGAAATAGACCCACACAAATATGTCCAGGTGA
The DNA here is from genome assembly GCF_000001405.40 of Homo sapiens. Lineage (NCBI taxonomy): Eukaryota > Metazoa > Chordata > Mammalia > Primates > Hominidae > Homo > Homo sapiens. The sequence continues at coordinate 140,885,519 of NC_000023.11, forward strand.
TTTTTGACAAATGTACAAAAGCAATTTAATAGGGAATGAAGAGCTTTTTCAATAAATAGTACCTGAGTATTTGGACATTCACTGGCAAAAAAGGGAACACTGGCCTAAACATTAAAACTTATACAGAAATTAGCTAAAATGGATCATGAACTTAACTGTAAAATGAAAAATTATAAAACTTTTAGAAAAAATAAGTAGGAATAAATCTGTAGGATCTAGGGCTTGGCAGAGTTCTCACCCTTCACACCAAAGTATGATCCATAAGAGAAATGATTTATAAGTTGTGCCTCATGAAAATGAAAATTTACTCTGCAAATAACTCTTTTAAGAAGATGACAAGACAAGCAACAGACTGGGAGAAAATATTTGCAAAATACATATCTGATAAAGAACTCATATCTAGAATATATAAATAACTGAAAATTTAATAGCAATAAAACTCTACATTTAATTAGAAAATGAGTGAATGACATTGCTATGGTTTGGATGTTAGTCCTCCAAACCTCATGTAGAAATCTGATCCACAATGTTGGAGACGGGGGCCTAATGGGAGGTGTTTCCATCTTGAAGGCAGATCCCTCATGAATAGATGAATGCCCTCCCTTGGGGGTGAGTTCTCACTCTACTCATTCTTGAGAGAGCTGGTTGTTAAAAACAACCTGGCTTCTTGTTAAAAAGAGCCTCCTGCCTTTCCCTCTTGCTTCCTCTTTTGCCATGTGATTTCTGCATATGCCAGGCTCCTTTTCTGTCCACCTTCCACCATGAGTGAAAGCAGTCTGAGGCCTTCACCAATCTGTAACTTTCCAGACATTAGAATCATGAGCCAGAAAAACTTTTTCTTTGTAAATTACTCAGTGTCAGGTATTCTATTATAGCAACACAAAATAGACTAAGACAGACATAAAGATACATTTTATTGAGTATATACAGATGGGTAATAAGCACATGAAAAGATGTGCTGAGCATCAGGGAAATTGAAATTAAAACCATAGTAAGACACCACTACACACCTATCAGAATGACTAAAATAAGAATAGTGACAACACCGATTGCTTCAATTACTTGTAATTATTACTTAGACACTTTTTTTTTGAGACAAAGTCTCGCTTTGTTGCCCAGGCTGGAGTGCAGTGGCACAATCTCAGCTCACTGAGACCTCCACCTCCCGGGTTCAAGCAATTCTCCTGCCTCAGCCTCCCAAGTAGCTGGGATTACCCATCACGCCTGGCTGATTTTTTGTATTTTTAGTAGAGATGGGTTTTTGCCATGTTGACCAGGCTAGTCTGGAACTCTCGAACTCAGATGATCCACCCGCCTTGGCCTCCCAAAGTGCTAGGATTACAGGCGTAAGCCAAAGTGTCTGGCCTTATACACTGTTGAATTCTATGAGGTATACCTATTTTCCCATTTTGAGCTCTTATTAATGAAGCTGGTATAAACATTTGGCATTCCCACTGAATGTCAAATGTTCAGTAGGGAATGGCTAAACAAACTGTAGTACATCCATACTATGGAACACTACTCAGAAAAAAAAAAAAGGAATGAACTATTGATGCACACAGCAACTTGAAAAGATCTTCAGAGAATTTTGATGAGTGAAATGGTTATATAGTATATGACTCCATTTATATGCATTCTTGAAATAAAAGTAACACCTTTATAGAAGTGGAAAACAGATTAATGGTTGATAGGGATTAAGGAGGGTTAGAGACTGAGGGGTAGTAAACATAGTTATAAAAGGGCAACAGGAGTAATTCTTGCCATGATGCAAGTATTCTGTATGTTGACTGTATACTGTACTATAGCTTTCAAGATGTTACTTATTGGAGAAACTGGGTCAACAGTATATGGTATCGCTCTGCATTATTTCTTACAACTGCATGTAAATCCACAATTATGTCAAAATAAAAAGATTAGTAATAATAACATAAACCTAGTTTGGAATTTTATATGACAAATAACCCAATTTCTTCAACACAAAGAAAAAAAAGATGGAGGAGGAACCTGTAGATTTAAAAAGATTTAAGAGATATATCAGCCAACTTCAATATTTGAAGCTCATTAAGATCCTGATATGAACAAGTAAACTTTAAAAATAATAAAATAAGAGGAAAATTTGAACACTGATTATGAATCTCATGATATTAATGAATTGATATTTCTAAGTGTGATAATGGCATAGCAGTTTTGTTTAAAAGTTAGTCTTTATATTTTAGAGATGCACACACAAATATTTGTTAATTAAATAATATTTGGTCTAGAATTTGCTTCAAAATAATCTTCATGGGTGGGTGGGCAAAATTTCCTAAGAGTCTCATTTCCTCTTGACATGTACTGTATCAACTCTTTCCCTGGAGTATCAGTGAGACCTGTGAATATGAAAAGATATCACTTTCATGATTATGTTATGTTATATGGATAAGACACTTTTAAGATGTAATTAAGATGCCTAATCAGCTGACTCTGAGTTTAAAAAAGGGAGATTTTCCTGGGTGGGCCTCACCTAATCAGTACAGCCATGAAAAGAGACAAGAAGTAGCAGCAGATGCTTTCCTGCTGTGCTTGAAGAAGCAAACACTTGTGTCGTGAATTGCCTATGTAGAGGGCCATGTGCCAGGGACCTAAGAGCAGACTCTAGGCGCTGATAGTGGTCCCTGCCTGATAGGCAGAAAGAAAATGGAGACTCCAGTCCTGTAACTATAAGGAATTGAGTTGTGCCAATAATCGCATGTGCTTGGCAGAGGACCCCAAGCCCCACATGAGATTGCTACTCCAGGGAATACTTTACTGCCTAGTAAGACCATAACGCAGAGAATCTAGTTATACCATTTACAGACTTCTGACTTTCTGTGAGATAATAAATGACCTCTAAGAGTATTAATAATTGACTACATAGTGATAGAAAACTAATACTGGAGAGCATAGATAAAACAAAATTAGCCGTGAGTTTATCACGGTAGAAACTGCATGATAGCTGCATGGGTTTCATTGGGCTATTCTCCCTACTTTTGTATATGTATTCTTCTTTTTTTCAATCAAAAATTTTAAAAATTCTCATGTTTTATGCTAAATGCTTCAGATGATGGAAGTTGGTTGATGAATAGCATGGTTTCTAAGACTGACCGCCTTCTCTGAGGAGAGTAGAGCCTTAGCCTCAGTGTGCACACGACTTTAAAGGAAGCAGGCCTGGTGCTTGCCCCAGAAACTCAGCTTGCCTGCTGCATTGCTGGTTATTTTTTTAGTTTATTTTCCAACTTACGGTAACTATGAACTTTTGGTATAGGATTGCTAGAGGTGAGGGTGTGTGTGTGTGTATGCATGTGCGTGCGCGTGTGTTTACAGGCATATGTGTACGCATACGTGAATGTATAAAACTGGTAAATAAACCAATAACAAAAAACTAAAGCAACTAGAAATAGAAATTGTATTTAATTTTAGGCATTGTTTAGATGGTTAAAATGCTGGAACTCTACTTATAAACCTATAAACTCAGTTGTATATAAGTATAAAAGTTGTCTGGTAGAAAAAAAAATAATGGAAGAAGGGACCAGTATTTTACTTGGGTGCCTCAGTATGTTAAAGATGGAACCTTAGGCCACATAAGCTTTGCTTCTTCCTTCTATGAAGCATCACCTGTGTTAAATGCTAAAATATGTAACCATAGTCCACTTGGCTTTCAATTTTTCCTTCTATAAAATAGAACTAGAACCACCTGCCTTACCTACCTTATCTGGGGCTTTATGTAAGGTCACAGTAGGCAGAAAATGAAACTTCCACCTCTCCCCCTCCCTCAAATGGAAAAATTATTTAATAGTTGTATCTAGAATTTATATCACAAACAGGCAGAGTTTGTTACATTCTAAAAGAGTCAATTCACAAAAACACAGAAGAATAGAATCTACTCTAAGCAATAATTCCTTCTCCAATAATTTTACCAAGAAGGTAAACACTTTCCATTTTGAAACATGCACTACCTCCTGAGCAGCAGCAGCCTAAAGGAGTGGTTTGGGGCCTTTAGCTCCCCCGCCACCCAATATCTATCACCTTTCCCCAATTCACTGATATGAACAAATAATGTTTTTACAATGTACACCAATTTCTATGTAAATGTAGGGTCCAATCGAGTCCCTTAGCCATCCACTTTTGACTAGAATGTCATATCCAAATCTCTCCCAGATAAAAATTATGGAGCTGTCATTATTATGAAAGTGTAGCCACACCAGACCAATCTGGTTCAAGTTTTATGTAACAAAGTTGTGAGCTGTTTTTCAGTTGCCATGAACTCTTAGGTCATGTAATCTGAGCATGCCCAGATGAACCAAGCATGCATTCACAGGAGGAACTTAAATTCTCAGACCCAGGAGCAGGGATTGAACTAAAAAGTGGATACCACATGGCAGGATCCAGGGTCCAACCAGATTAAACTCTGGTGTCATCCCATGGCAGGACACAGTCAGATAATGCCTCCCAGCATTACATAATTGCAAGATCCAATCAGATCATGTCTCATTGCCCTATGCTTATAAAACCTGACCCAGCCCCTAGCTCCAGGAGACACTGCTTTGGGAACTGTCCCCAGTGTTCTCCTTATTTGTTGCAAGTAATAAAAATCCCCTTGTTAGATTCTCCTTGATTGTGGTTATTGGGTTAACACCTGCCACGTGACTGAACCCACTCATTGTGGTAATAAAAGTACACCAGGTCTCAGTCCAGTTTGACTATTAGAAAGAACATTCTGACTTTGAGCCAAAGTTTACTTAACTTTTAATTTTGCCCTTTAGTTCCATTTTCCTACCCATATCATGACTGCTGGAAATAAACAAGCTAATCTTTCTGCCTCCAAAGCTTTTGACATATCTTACCTTCAACTCTCATGCCTGTGTCAAAGAAGAATTTTCAGTGACCCTGAGTAACATGCAAGAAATGGCAAGTTTAGGCATGGGTCACATAATTATTGCCCAAGAAGTTCTCAATGGGGCTGGGACGAGAATCTGGAACAGTCAAGGTAATACAAACTTCAAGGAGACCCATCCATCATGTCAAGAAAATCTAAACCACAATTCTTTAGGATGCAGATTGATATTAACAACACAAATCATGTAGCTGTAAACATCTTTGCAAACATGTTAGAGAGAGTAAGGTGAATCTCCTTGGAGGACTATTAAGATAGGTTTGAAGGTAATATGTGGCTATGACAAAAAAAACCCAGAAATTTCCTGAAAGAAACAATAATCAGTTCAGGGCTACAGCGAGCTATAAATATTTCACATCATGCTGTGTCTGGAAAAAAATGTCTTGACTTACCAGCACCCAGGCTCCTTTCTTATGTAACTTTCTCAACATAAATGTTCAGGCATTTTATAAATAGTTGAGACATTCAAAAATAGGGAGAGAAATTTAAAGCTAGGACTTCATGAAATTCCCAAATAGGGAAAAGGATGGCTTACATGTCTCTTTTTAACCTGTGTAAACCTGATTGTAAGATGCTAGTGAGCACTAAAAACAGAAGCAGTTTGTATTTAAAGAAAGTGAAGAGAAAACGAAAATACAAATCCTCATCTTGAAATGATGGTGGAATCTGCCTTTCATCTCCTACAGAAAAGAGCCTGAAGTTAGGAATTTCCTCTTCAGACCTGAGACCTCATTTGTTCTAATTAAATTTGTAATTTTTAAAAGGACCATCATGCTTGGTACCAAAACACAGGGAGTGTACAAGTCGCCAGATGACACTTTATGGTCCTCTCCAATTTGTAGATCATAGAAAAAAATAAGCTTGTACTTCAGGCTAGAATCTTTCTAAATCACACATCATTTTCACACTAAGGGTAGCCTAGGCAGAGAAAAAGACCGCTTCAGAGCAGATGTAAATTAAATTATGTTTAAAAAACATTTCGTCTTTCTCAAACATTTACCGAGCACCTACCACGAATTAAGCACCATGGTAGGCGCTAAATATACAAAATCACAATTCATATGACTAAAAGGCTCACGCCATAGTAGAAGAGACAAAACCTGTAAATAAGTTCTTATAATACACTGACAGAATTGTTATGGACCGATCCAATGTAGTGCTATAGGAACACAGAGGATACGATGCTTGGAGAATTGAGTCACAGAAGAAATGATGCTGTTGCACTCTTGACAAATGATTAGAATTTGGCCAGGAGAAGAAAGAACACTCCAGACAGAAAGATTAGTAGATTTGTAAAGGGCACAGAGACCTGAAATAAAATTGTGTGTTGAGAAAATATAACATGTGGTTTTGTCTGACAGGTTGCATAAGACACATAAGGGGAAAGAGATGTTCCATACTTTTTTAAAAAAAATAAGCAGAAAGATGACAGTATGGTGGAGCATATTGATGAAGAAAGAGAGTAGCACAAGATGAGTGTACACAAATGGGCAAGGGACAGATCATAAAAGGGCATTTACAACCACAGTAAGGATTATGAACTTTCATGAGAGCAGTGGGAGGGTCAACTACAAATATTAAGCAGGAGAGTGACACAATCAGATCTGTATTTTATGACAATGACTGGCTTCAGTGTGGAGAACAGCTGGAAGATGGCAGGAGTGAAAATGGGGAGACCTGTCAGGAATCCATGTTAACAATAAAGGCCAGAGCGTATAAGAATCTGAACTAGAATGGTAGTAGGAATGAAAGAGTAGAAAGATTAGAGTACAGTCATCAGTATTTAATATGGTCAGCCATTTTAATTTTAGCCATTTAGTAAGTGTGTAATGGTATTTCATTATGACTTTCATTTGCATTTTCCAAATAAATATGTTGAACATCTTTTTGTATTCCTATTGCCTATTTGTATATCTTATTTGATGATGTGTCTGTTCAAATTCTTTACCCATTTTTCGAATAAGATTGTTTTCTTATTGTTGTTTTGAGAATTCTGTATATATAGGTTGGTGCTAACGTAATTGTGGTTTTTGTATTATTGGAATTTGCCATTTGATATTGGAATACATTATTAAATAAATGTGGTTATGGTATACATCATTTTAATGGGCATTTCTCACTTTATGGTTTTTTGCTAATGACTTACTACTTGTTGTTTATTTAATGTTTATTTTAGACTACAGAAATGATGTTAGACAAAAAGCAAATTAGAGCAATTTTCTCATTTGAGTTCCAAATGGGTCGTAAGGCAGCGGAGACAACTCACAACATCAACAATGTATTTGGCCCAGGAACTGCTAACGAATGTGCAGTGCAGTGGTGGTTCAAGGAGTTCTGCAAAGGAGACCCGAGCCTTGAAGATGAAGAGCGTAGTGGCCGGCCATCAGAAGTTGACAACGACCAGTTGAGAGCAATCGTCAACGCTGATCCTCTTACAACTACATGGGAAATTGCCAAATAACTCCATGTCGACCATTCTATATTCCTTTGGCCTTTGAGGCAAATTGGAAAAGTGAAAAAGCTTGGTAAGTGGGTGCCTCATGTGCTGAGTGAAAATCAAAAAAATTGTCATTTTGAAGTGTCATATTCTCTTATTCTATGCAACAACAACGAACCTTTTCTCAATTGGATTGTGACATGCGACGAAAAGTGGATTTTATACGACAACCGGCAACGACCAGCTCAGTAGTTGGACTGAGAAGAAGCTCCAAAGCACTTCCCAAAGCCTAACGTGAACCAAAAAAAGGTCATGGTCACTGTTTGGTGGTCTGCTGCCTGTCTGGTCCACTACAGCTTTCTGAATTCCAGCGAAACCATTACATCTGAGAAGTATGCTCAGCAAATCAATGAGATGCACCGGAAACTGCAACACCTGTAGTCAGCATTGGTCAAGAGAAAGGGCCCAATTCTTCTCCATGACAATCCCCAACCACAGGTCACACAACCAAAGTCAAAAGTTGAATAAATTGGGCTATGAAGTTTTGCCTCATCCACCATATGCACCTGACCTCCCACCAACTGACTACCACTTCTTCAAGCATCTCGACAACTTTTTGCAGGGAAAACTTTTCCATAACCAGCAGGATGCAGAAAATGCTTTCCAAGATTTCCTCAAATCCCAATGCACGGATTTTTATGCTACAGGAATAAACAAACTTATTTCTCATTGGAAAAAAATGTGTTGATTGTAATGGTTTCTATTTTTATTAATAAAGCTGTGTTTGAATCTAGTTATAATGACTTAAAATTCAGTCTGAAACTGCAATTACTTTTGCACCAGCCTAATATATTGAATACAAGTTTTTCATTGGTTATGTGATTTTTGAAATATTTTCTCCCAGGCTTTGACTTGCATTTTCATTCTCTTAACAATGTCTTTTGGGAAGATTTTTAAATTACTTTGTTAAAGTCCAATCTGAGGAGAGCAAAAATATCTGGCGACCATGAAGCAGGTGCTGGAGACAAGAACTCTTTATCAGAGGAATTTAGAAGTAATTAGACTCCCTATTATCTAAAGACACTTGTTTCCAGGCCTCTTTTCACCTTAAAATTTATAAGTAACTTAAAATTTATAAGTAACTAGAATTTGTATACATCTCTGGAATGCATGCATGCCAAAACTCACTGTGCAACCCTTGAACCCTTGTCAACATTAAGGCACCAAAATGTCTACAAATGTAATGATTTATTGTGCAAATTACCCTTCAGCTCCCACATTAAGGTCCATAAATAGCTCTAAGGAAAAGTCCACCGTGGCTGGCTCAGTCCTCTCACGGAGGCGCCCCGCTGCACTCTTCTGCAGCATTCTTTCTTTCTAATAAAACTTTCCGTTTTCAAACTTATACTGTTGTCAGTAAATTCTTCTTACCAACCCACGAGTCAACCACTTTCCTATGCCTGGGCTCTGGCACAATCAATCAATTTTTTTGTATGGACTTGATGTTTTAGTATCATGTCTGAAAAATTATCTAACTTAAGATCACAAAGATGTCCTTTCATGCTCTGTTCTAGAAGTTTCATAGTTTTAAGGTTTACATTTAGGTTTATAGTTCATTTTGAGCTAATTTTTAGATATGGTATAAGGTATAAATCCAATGATTTTATTTCTTCTTTTTTTGCACATGGCTATCTAATTGTTCCAATACCATTTATGGAAGAAACCATCATATCACCACAGCATTGCTTTGTATTTTTGTTAACGATCAGTTGTTTATATGAGTATGTGCTTATTTTCCAAGTATGTATTTTGTTCCATTGATATATTTGCTTACCTTTGTGGCAATACTATGCTGTATTGCCTAATGCAGCTTTATAATAAATCTTGAAATCTGATAGTATCTTACAGCTTTGTTCTTTTTCAAAGTTATTTAGGCTACTCTAAATTATTAGCATTTCTGTACAAATTTTATTGGCAGCTTGAGATAGCTGCAAAATGTTTACTTGGCATTTGATAGAGTTTGCATTGAAGCTATAGATGAAGTAATGAAGAAATAACACCTTGACAATATTGAGTCTTCCAATCCATGAACATAGAATATGTTTCTATTTGTATAGCTCCTTAAAAAAAAAATCTTTCATCAGTGCTTTTTTTTTAACAGGAAAGTGGGTCCCAATTCAGACCCCAAGAGAGGGTTCTTGGATCTGGTGCAAGAAAGAATTCAGGGCAAGCCTATAGAGTAAAGTGAAAGCAAGTTTATTAAGAAAGTAAAGGAAGTAAAGAATGGCTACTCCATAGACAGAGCAGCTCCAAGGGCTGCTGGTTGCCCATTTTTACGGTTATTGCTTGATGATATGCTAAACAAGGGGTGGGTTATTCATGCCTCCCTTTTTTAGACCATATAGGGTAACTTCCTGACGTTGTCATGGCATTTGTAAACTGTCATGGTGCTGGTGGGAGTGTAGCAGTGAGGACGATCAGAGGTTACTCTTGTGGCCACCTTGGTTTTGTTGGGGTTTAGGTTGGCTTCTTGAATGCAACCTGTTTTATCAGTAAGGTCTTTATGACCTGTATCTTGTGCCGACCTCCTATCTCATCCTGTGACTTAGAATGCCTTAACCATCTGGGAATGCAGCCCAGTAGGTCTCAGCCTCATTCTACCCAGCTCCCATTCAAGATAGTCTTGCTCTGGTTCACACACCTCTGACATTCCCCCTCCCTTTTATAAGAGAACACTTAATCGTAAGGGTTGCAGAGGGAGGAAGATTCATATTTTGGGCTGGCTGTGGTGGCTCACGCCTGTAATCCCAGCACTCTGGGAGACCAAGGCAGGCAGATCACGAGGTCAGGAGATGGAAACCATCCTGGCTAACATGGTGAAACCCTGTCTCTACTAAAATACAAAAACTTAGCCAGGCGTGGTGGCATGCGCCTGTAGTCCCAGCTACTTGGGAGGCTGAGGCAGGAGAATGGCGTGAACCAGGGAGGTGGAGCTTGCAGTGAGCCGAGATGGCACCACTGCACTCCAGCCTGGGCGACAGAGCGAGACTGCGTCTCAAAAAATAAAAAAAAAAAATCCTATTCTGTAACTTCTTCATGCTGAATAAAGGCAATGATATTCTTGCCTAACTATTAGGGTCTCTTGTATTCAGGGTAGAGAGGAGGTTAGTCAGAAAGCATCAGTATGCTGAAGGCCGTTCATAACTCTTGAGTTCCAACAAAAAGTGATATCTGGAAGATTAATAAGTATTCAGTTGAAGAAAATGTTGAGTAAGCTTATTCTTATTCCTACACAAAAAGCACAATAGCAATATATTTTCCAACAATAAAACAAAATAAGTAAAATCATTCCAAGTAAACTAAATTAGAGGGCTTTCCAAGAACTGTGCAACTGTTGGAACCAAGTTGATATGGGGTTACTAGGCAATTCCAATACATGCCCAGAATTAGAGTACTGATCTAGATTATTACATTACCCATCCCTCTTGTTTCTTCTGAGCAGCAGTTAGAGATCACTGGCTGGTTCACAGGAATAAGCAGAGCTAGTCTAAATTGTAGAAACAAACTTATAAACAACTGATGAGACTAGAATTTAATAACAAGTGTACCATGCTTTGTGAAACAGAATTTCTCTCTCCAGTTTTTCCATTTTTACCAAAGACAAATCATGGTAAGAAGACTGACTTGCTTTATTATACTTGGCCTGATTATTTGTATAAAGTGCAGCAAGAATAATTATTTTCCACATAAGCTCTTTTTTAAATTGGCTTAGATGGAACTCTGTCCCATAGAAGAAATCATAGATAAGACTTTTTTAGAGCTGAACCCAGCCATGGGTTTGTACTTTCAAATACCTATAAGTTGGGTAAATTCCCCTCCTCTTGAGGTGCCAAGATGACTTGGGGCTCCTGGACGTGTTAGAAAGTGACATTCTTTATTTACCACAGGTCAGAAACCCTGAACAGAGACTGTGTAAGCAAGGTATGAGGCCAGTATCCCAAGGGGCTTTTGTTGGCTTTACAAGTTAAATTTGATTCCTTAAAGGAAAGCATGCCATTCCCGTCAAAGCCTTGGAAAAATAATGAGTTTCTCCAATTGTGTCCTGTTGCAAAAGAAAAAAGATTCTGATTGAACTTATGCAAATAACTATATTGCCATAAGTTAAGAATACTCACAACTGGTTTCCAAATTCTAGAGAAATTAAGTAGAGAGAAACAAATATGCCCTAAATTTTGTTCACAGGAGTATACTCTACTCAATTGCTAAAAGCTGTAAATGACTTAAAATAAAAGTTTCCTTGACTTGGAAAAACAAAACAAAGGATCAGCAACGTTTTAAGCAAAAAGTTTAAAAGATCACTTCAGATTTCCTTAGTTTATGCAGTTAAGTTTTGTTCTGCTTGTATTCATGAACATTTCAGGTCTCTATGAGAGTTCTAAAAATTTTTTTTCCTTTATTCTGATGTTATAATCTCCAAAGTTACCAGAAACCTGCATTTAAGAACACCTGCTAGATTTCTACAGTTGATTAAAAACCACCTCCTAAAGATGACCAAAACAAGGCAACAATTGTCTGTGGCTGACAAAATGTTTTAGGGCAGCCACAGTCAAAGACACAATTGACAAGGAAACTTGGTTACGTCTGTGGCATACAAAAATTTATGTAACAATTATAATTGTTAATAACATATACTAAGTTAAATTACAATTACAGGAGTTTCCCATAATTTTGGAAAATATACCAATAACACATTTATACAAATATAGCCCAAGGAAAGCCAAACACCGCTTTATATTTAACAATGTTTCCTGTATGATTTTTATACCAATTAAGCCAAGCATCACTTTTACATTAGTGCACTATTGATGTCAAACCCCATTCTTAATAAAACCTTATAGACAAATGTATTCAATCTTAATCAGTTTTACCATAAGATATGATTTTCATAAACATTTTATAACCCTTTACAAACTTTTGTAAAAGAGATCATAAGCAGATTTTTGCTTTAAGAAAAACCTGTTGCACTCTTATTCCAATGTTTAATTTACTGAAAAACTGAACACCCTTTTAACTTTAGCCAATGCGTTCACACACAGAATTTCTTTTACAACTAATTTTTTACAAACCTTCCACAACTTGCTTAAACCTTCAGCTTTATTCTAACTTAAAACAATCCTTCAGCCATTTAATTTAGGCAAGAAAAATCCACATTCCTGTGATTTCCTATAATGTTTTACCAAAAGTACATTCTACTTTCCTTACACACCTTGTGTGGAGAACTTCCTTTTCAGCAGTCTCAAATACGTGTTGCACTCTTAACTCTTAGCAACTTTTCCTTTTGGTGAAAACCTTGGCAAGTAAGGGATTTTCATTATGTACTAGGTGTGGAGCCTAGGATCCAGAAAGAAGTGCAGATAAAGTCTGACTCTTTCCAGTGTTTAATTCCACATGTCTCAGGCCTTACCTAGCTATAAAGCAGGCAAGTTGTACAGTTACGAGTCACAGTGGCATTTTATGAAGCATTTAGGAGGCTCAATCACCTTTAAATTGTACAACATTTCTTTTATAAATTCCCTTTTTTTTTTAAGCAACCAGTCATTTTACTTTAGGACAAGAATTTACCATACAAGATCCTTTCTTATATAAAATGTCTTTTCTTTATAACCTTCTTTGCAAAGCTAGGGGGCATGGCTAAATCCACATGTCCCCAGGCCTTATGTAGAATGGAATGGCTTCAGCGTACATTGAACAAATTTTAAAAGTCAAAGAAGCAGTTTATGACCTTAAAGCATTTAGCAAACCTAATATCTGACCTGCATAATTTAGAACAAATGTTTATTTTGTGAAGATATATTTGTTTTACCAATAATCTTTAAAACTATCTTTATTTCCCAAAGACTACTTAAGTCACATGAATGAAATAAAAGGCATTACACTTTTTATTTTTCTAACAAAATGTCTGATTTGACCTCTTATTATTATTAAACCAATTAATCAAAGCTCTTTCATATATAAACATCACACACATAATACATATAAATACACAGACAGAAGAAGATAACGAACTCATCCCCTAAGCCAGGAATCGAACTCTGAACCCAGGCTGTCATTGTGATGGTGGAGACCAAGAGAAAGTACTGCCAGGTCAGGGGGATCACAAGGTCAGGAGATTGAGACCATCCTGGCTAACACGGTGAAACCCCATCTCTACTAAAAATACAAAAAATTAACCGGGCGTCGTGGCAGGCGCCTGTAGTCCCAGCTACTTGGGAGGCTGAGGCAGGAGAATGGCATGAACCCGGGAGGCAGAGCTTGCAGTGAGCCGAGATTGCGCCACTGCACTCCAGCCTGGGCGACAGAGCAAGACTCCGTCTCAAAAAAAAAAAAAAAAAAAAAAAGAAAGTACTGCCAGGTGGTTACAAGGTCAAGCTCCCAAGGACATACAAGACCAGAGGGAAACCTCATCGGTTTTTTGTTGTTGTTGTTGTTGTTGTTGTTGTTTTTTCAGGAACCTGCAGTAACGTTTATAACTGACCAGTTTGCTGGGCCATCTTGAACAGCAGGCTTACAGGTGTCCTAGGCCCACATTCTGTCCTAAGGTACTGCTCTCCATTATAGAATACAGAAAGACACACAAAGCATGCCAAAATAGCTACAGCTTAAGACTAGCCTCACAAATCCTTTTTTCCCATTAATCAAAACTTTACAGGAGACAAACAGTGATTTTTACCATTCATTCAACCAGTTTGCACAGAGAGAGAGATAGAGAGAGAGACAGTGACACAGAGAAGAGAAAAGCATTGCCTGAGGCAGGATGGGGAAGGCAAGCCGCTCAGGGAGGACAGAGAAAGACCCACCCATTGCAGTGGCACTGAAAAATTCAGGCGGCCACTTGTCGGTAGCAAAGGGATAAGTTTCCAACCGTCCCATCAGCTCTCAAGTTTCCCCTTTTTGGGGAGGAAAAAGTTCCCCATGTCCCACACTCCTGTGCATGCCTAACCTTGTCACCCACTGCCGTCAGCAAATAGTACACGGCAGGTTAATCCAAAGAGAATAGCAGTTAGCATCCCATATTGCCAAACCTGTTCTTAGGCGAAAGGGACTTTACCAATAGGGACTTTACTGAGAGGGGCCTCTAACCCCCTAAATCTTAGAAAGGACTCTAACCCTCCTAAGTTGGGCCTCTAGCCCAAGGTCAGTCAAGCATCTTTGCCTTTTATTAACAGGGGCCTTTAACCCACCCTGTCTTAGGAGAGACTCTAACTCCCCTAAGTTGGGCCTCTAACCCGATCCCATACTTTACTGGGGTATATGCACCCCACTTACCCAAAGTCAGCCAATCAGTGCTGCAGTCTACTTCCTTTGAGTCAGGAAGTTTCCTCAGTATCGTCCCTTTTGTGATTCTCGAGAAAGATGTTACCAGACCGCACCACTTACCCAAAGTTAGCCTTTGGGTTGGGAGTTTAGCACTATAGTCCATTTCATGGTTGCCAGAAAGATATTACAGAAAAGGGGTCCCGATCCAGACCCCAAGAGAGGGTTCTTGGATCTGGTGCAAGAAAGAATTCAGGGCGAGTCCATAAAGTGAAAGCAAGTTTATTAAGAAAGTAAAGGAATAAAAGAATGGCTACTCCATAGACAGAGCAGCCCTGAGGGCTGCTGATTACCCATTTTTACGGTTATTGCTTGATGATATGCTAAACAAGGGGTGGGTTATTCATCCCTCCCCTTTTTAGACCATATAGGGTAACTTCCTGACGTTGTCATGGCATTTGTAAACTGTCATGGCGCTGGTGGGAGTGTAGCAGTGAGGACGATCAGAGGTTACTCTTGTGGCCATCTTGGTTTTGTTGGGGTTTGGTTGGCTTCTTGAATGCAACCTGTTTTATCAGTAAGGTCTTTATGACCCGTATCTTGTGCCGACCTCCTATCTCATCCTGTGACTTAGAATGCCTTAACCATCTGGAAATGCAGCCCAGTAGGTCTCAGCCTCATTTTACCCAGCTCCTATTCAAGATGGTGTTGCTCTGGTTCACACACCTCTTACACTTTGTAAGTTTCTGCATATAGTTCCTGCACATATTTTGTTAGATATACCCAAATACTTCACTTTTTGGTTCTATTGCAAATGCTATTTTTTAAGATGTCAAATGTTAATTTCCAGTTTTTCATTGCTGGAATACAGGAATGCAATTGACTTTTGAATATTGTCCTTGCATCCCTTTGTATCCTACAACTTTGCTAAACTCAGCTTTCATTTACAGAAATTTTTGTTTTTAGATTAAGATTTTTGTGTAGACAATCATGTCATTTGTGAATAAAGACAGTTTTATTTCTTCTTTTCTAGTGTGTATGTCTTTTATTTCTTTTTCTTACCTTATTGTACCAGTTAGGTCTTACTCTAAGTTAAAAAGTTACTATTTTATTCAGGGCCCTGGGATCTGTTTTCAAGGATACATTTTAAAAGTTTCGGCCAGGCGGTGGCTCACACCTGTAATGCCAGCACTTTGGGAGGCCAAGGCGGGCGGATCACGAGGTCAATAGATCGAGACCATCCTGGCTAACATGGTGAAACCCCGTCTCTACTAAAAATACAAAAAAATTAGCCAGGAGTGGTGGTGGGCGCCTGTAGTCCCAGCTACTCAGGAGGCTGAGGCAGGAGAATGGCGTGAACCCAGGAGGTGGAGCTTGCAGTGAGTCAAGATCGCACCACTGCACTCCAGCCTGGGCAACAGAGCGAGACTCTGTTTCAAAAAAAAATTTTTTTAAAAAGTTTCAAGCAGTTACTTATTGGGTGATAGTCTGATTATTCAAAGAGCCTCCAACATTTCTTTTTTTTTTTTAAATTATACTTTAAGTTCTAGGGTACATGTGTACAACGTGCAGGTTTGTTACATATGTATACGTGTGCCATGTTGGTGTGCTATAAATCATGCTGCTATAAAGACACATGCACACATATGTTTATTGCGGCACTATTCACAATAGCAAAGACTTGGAACCAACCCAAACGTCCATCAATTTTAGACTGGATTAAGAAAATGTGGTGCATATACACCATGGAATGCTATACAGCCATAAAAAGGATGAGTTCACGTCCTTTGTAGGGACATGGATGAAACTGGAAACCATCATTCTCAGCAAACTATCACAAGGACAAAAAACCAAACACCGCATGTTCTCACTCATAGGTGGGAAATGAACAATGAGAACACTTGGACACAGGAAGGGGAACATCACACACCGGGGCCTGTTGTGGGGTGGGGGGAGGGGGGAGGAATAGCATTAGGAGATACACCTAATGTAAATGATGAGTTAATGGGTGCGGCACACCAACATTTCTTAAAAGAATTTCTGTTGTTGGTGATGGAATCAGATTAAATCCACTGGTATTCCTCAGGAGGCAGGAGGGGACTATAAAATCTTTCCCCTGAATTAAAGAGGGGAAACCAGAAAATTTGAGAAGGTAGTGTGACATGGCAGTGATACTGCATTTTTACATACATCAGATAATACCTCAGAACATGTATCATTCCATCTGGTGCTCGTGAGAACTCTGAGAGGTCAGTATTATTAATTTTTTTTTAAGAGATGGAGTTTCACTGTGTCGCCCAGGGTGGAGTGCCGTGGCACGATCTTGGCTCACTGCAGCCTCCGACTCCTGGGTTCAAGCGATTCTCCTGCCTCAGCCTTCCGAGTAGCTGTGATTATAGGCACCCTAACTATGCCTGGCTAATTTTTGTATTTTTAGTAGAGACGGGGTTTTGCCATGTTGGCCAGGCTGGTCTCAAATTCCTGACCTCAGGTGATCCACTTGCCTCGTCCTCCCAAAGTGCTAGTATTACAGGCATGAGCCACTGCGCCCAGCCTATTAAATTCTTTACGTATAGGAAATCAGAATTCAGACAACGACATGTTCTATCTAAGCGTACGTGGCTTTGTAACTCTTCATTTAATATTCTAAGAATAACTGATCTATTTAGATATCCTGATTTATGAGTTAGGGAAGCTCTGGCCTCTTCTGTTAAGTGCTGGGACCAGTCTATATTATGTGGCAGTTTTACATATTGTCTTATTGGTGTACAAGAGTTGGAATAAAAGTTTCTGGCAAACTGTCGTTTTGCTTTTATGTAATAAACTGTACACCAGGGAGCTGTACTTTCTCTGACACCTTGCCCCTTTAAACACGACACTGTAAGTACTGGATTCTTTGATAGCCGAGCAGATAAATGATTTCCACTAAGTTATTCCCCTGCTCTGCCACTCTATGGTTCTGACTGCACAGAAAGTTCAAGGGCACAGAAGTGTTTATGATACATGAGGCTCTCAAACACAGAGTCTAGGGACCCCAGGGTTGGACTCGATCTTGCTAAAAGGCATAGAAAATGCGAAAATGCCATAGCTATTGTGTTCCACTTTCATTCAGGAATCCTCCAGATGCCTGCTGGGTGAGTTTATGTATGATTGATGTCTTTTCTTCAGTGATATTGGCTTTAAATAGTAATCTAAGTTTGTCTTTTTTTGGCAAAACCTTCACAAATCCAACTTCTTTTGTATTCTGACTGCTTTTTCTTTTTTTTTTTTTTTTTTTTAACCTTTAGGACAACACTTCTCACTGCTTTACAACAGAAATATTTGTTTCACAGTTTCTTCCTACCCCTCTCCCCTATTAGGCTGTATGCTTTCTGAGGACTGGCTCCTTGTCTTATGGATCATTGTATCATCAATGTTGAGGACAAGACTTAGAACCAGAGTGAACACTGAATAAATAATTGCTTAATGGAATTGAAGAGTACATTTTTTATTTGTTCTAGATTCACAGCAACAAAATTTTTTTTTTTTAAGTTTTTTTCATTATTAGACTTGTTTTTCTGATAAGTTAAGCAGAAAATGGTATGAGACTTGGGTAGTAGGCAACTGTTGGCTATTCCTCTAGCTATCCTATAAGGAGGAGCAAAGTTGGCCTTGTTGTTGCTGTCTCTCCAGTGGAGTTGTCTGTTGTGGGGACAAATTTCTCACAACTCACTGGACCATACAGTCAAGGTGTTCCATATGCCCATAGTGTGAAAGACAAGGTCTCTGCCTTCAAACAATTTGTAGTTTCTATAGATAATAAGAAAATAGCCCAATAAACAAACAAAGCCATAATTGCAGGCTGTTGTGATATGAAAGACATAAACAGGGTGGTGTCTTAGAGTGTGGTCGGGGAGAAGGGTGGCTGCTTTGGAAAGAATTCTCAGGAAAGACATCTCTGAAGACATGACATTTGTCCTGATATCGGAATGAACAACAACAACAAAAAAATGCCAGCCACATGAAGAGCTGAGAAAAGAGCACTCCAGGCAGAGGAATCAGCAAGCACAAAGGTGTTAATGTGAGAAAGAACTTTACTTCTTTGAGTAACAGAAAGGAGACCAGTATGATTGAGGTGATA
This sequence comes from Homo sapiens, assembly GCF_000001405.40. Lineage (NCBI taxonomy): Eukaryota > Metazoa > Chordata > Mammalia > Primates > Hominidae > Homo > Homo sapiens. Next base: position 140,904,302 of record NC_000023.11, read on the forward strand.
AGAAGAGAGGTATACAATGAGATTGGAAAATTGTCAGGGGCCAGATCTTAGGAGGCCATGTACCTCATGAGAAGGAGTGGGAATTGTATTCTCAGTGTGATGGAAAGGCATGAATGGGTTTTAAGCAGAATGACATGAACTGATTTCTTTGGGAATTATCCCACTGTTTGGAGATTAGACTCTTGGTTGTGAAGGGCAAGAGTAGAAGCAGAAATATCAATTAGGAAGTTGATGACACCATCCACAGTGACTTGGACTATTCTGGCAGCAGTAAGGAAGGAGAGAGGTGAATGGATTCGGGGATATAATTTGAAGTAGGTTGACAAAACTTGCTGATGCATTGTATATGAATGATTACAGAATAGAAAGAATCAAAGATAACTCATTGGTTTTTGGTTTTAGCAACTGGAGGAATGATAGTGCCGCTTACTGACACATGAAAGACTGAGGAATAAGCAGACATTTGTTTGTTGAGTAGACAATCAGGAGCTTGGGCCATATTAAGTTTGAACTGTAGCAGACAATTATGTGGAGATGTTGAGAATATAATAATCTGCAGTTCAGAGAAGGGTGAAAGCTAAAGCTATAAATTTGGTGTATGACTGATAGTTAAAGCCATATGCCTGGGTGAGATATTTTAGGGATAAAGTATTTTTAGAGAAGAGTACCCATCAACATTGGGATCCCTCAACATTGAAAGGCTATGAAGAAGAGGATGATAATAGTAAACAAATTGAGAAGTATGAAGAAAGTAGGTAGAGTATGAAGAAAATCAGGAGAGTGTAATGTTTTGAATGCTGAGAGATGAATGTGTTTTAAGAAAATGAGTTTTTAAGACAATAACAGGGAAGAGTCACTGAATTTAAAAGCACGAGGATTATTGGTTATCATAAGAAAAAGATTAGAATGCTCAAGTCAATTGCTACTAACTTCTCAAAGCAGAACAAGGTGAGGCCATCTGTTGAAAGTGTGTGGATGAGGCTCTGACAGGTTTGAGGAAAAATATAAAGGTACAAAATGGAGATGATGAAAGCAAATGTATTGGGGGAAACGTAGAATTTCCAGGCACCATATAGTGTCCATATGAGGACTGTGATGATGAATTTAAAGAGGATTTTCCCAGGCAATATTTTTCAAAGCAATATTCAGATGCTTAGTTTTCCATGTGAGAAAATGACATATTTCACTTCAACCAAGTTTGAAATTTTGTTCCTTGCTCAGAGGGATAGAAGGACTAGTGTATAAGAAGGGGGTGGCTATAGTGCTTGACGATGGGATATAATTTGGGTAAAGGAGTGAGGAAGTGAAAATGGTGTTGGGACTTAAAAATGTGATGGGGTCAATGCATTGGAGATTACAATGTAGTTGAAAAATTGTTGGAGTAGGGGTACAGGAGAGAGACTGAAATCAAGATTTCAGATGTGGTGCAGTTATGGTAATGCTAAGCATGAGTGTGTATACATGGGAAGTGGGTGACTGAGGTGAGGTGGAGGGAGAGACAACTGGAGGAAGTCAAGAAGCTGTGAATTCAGAATATTGGACATTTCATGTGTGTGGTAACTGGTATCACTAAACATTATAACTGGACAGAAGTGGAAATGGTGTCAGGGAACCATAGGCAAAGATTTCAGTGAATGAAAAGACACCAGGAGGTCATTAGTTGGAGGCAACTAGGAGAGGTAGCAGGTGATTTCATTGATTGTGTGAGGTTTTAACGAGTTGGGGATTTTGAAGAAAAGAGAAGACATGATTTTGAAGCGGCAGTGAGAAATAAGACTGCCCCTAGCTCTGGGATTCTAGGATTATGAAAGGAAAAAAATCACTTTTGAGAGTTGCACACCCTCATGGGACAGGCAGGTCACAATTAAGATGAGGAGGTAGAGGGATGGTTCTGGGAAGAGGTAGAAGATATACAACAGATTGAATAGGAAATAAGTCCCCAAAAGCTTAGACGTGATAGGTAGGGGATTGAGTCAAATTATACAGAGCAATATAGAAAGGATGTATAGAAAAGATGAGTGAGGTAAGCAAGGATGTGAAGCATTATGGAATTAGTCATTATGGTCTCGTATAAGCGGGTGGGCAATAGTTCAAATTATAGATCCACATACTATACTCAATTCAATGATTTGGTGGTTATGTGTCTGATTGGCAAGGGCTCAGGTGTTAGAAGTGTTCTCACGAAGAATACAAAGAGATTTGATGGCCTTTGGGGTAAGTGGACAGTCATACAAGCTTATCACGTTGTGACTTTCTGAAGAAGAAGGCCATGTGAGGGGCATCCTCTCCCCCTAGTGAAATATTTGGAACTTTCAAAACACAGATTCTCTGTGGGAATCTCTGTGGGACAGATTCTCCCTTTGTGCTTATGAACATGGAGAAATGGTATCTAACTTAGTACCACTGAGCCTTGTATGTTGTGCAGCTTCTGACTTCTTGGAATGTGCTTTTTTCTGAGAATGTATGATTCATCACAAGCCAAAGTGATATGAGATAAATCCTGTGCCTTTAGACACCAATTTCCTTTCCTAAGAAGTGGATTCCAACCCTGCTCAGGTAGAGTTGTCATTGGTGGCTTAGATGTATACTGCAGGGACACATAAGCCTTGCTAAGGAAGGAAGGTTGCTCCTTACAACCATCCCATGTCTGGGTGGCAGGTATCATACCACTCTTTACAGTGGGATAATTTTTACTGAAGGAAATACAAACATTTTACCCCCAAATATATTTCTTTGACATAGTTTGAGATGGCTGTTAGAGGGCCAGCAAACAGAAGTGGTCCTGTAATGCTGTCTTCTTCGGGAAAATTTTTTATCTGTAGAGAATCTATATTAAAGCAGCCATGCATTTTCTTGTCCAGATCTAGAAAAGATTAACTGAGGGCCTGACACCTTTAAAGGTCTAAAACAAAATTTACCATCTATTCTCTCTAAGGGCTACTACCTGTGAGATTTCATTTACCTAACAAGACCACCTTTGCTACCCAAGTCTCCTCTTTTCTCCGTCTCATCACCTCTCTTGCCATTATTACCTGATTTACCACCATAACCATTTTTGACCATGCTTTGAGCTCCCATTCTTTTTGTAAGCTCAAGAGGATATATAAGCTTCTGCACCTCATTGGGTGTTCGGGTTTTCATTCTGAAGGCTCCCGTGTCATATAAAACTATGATTAAATAAATGTATATGCTTTCTCTCTTATTAATCTATCTTTTGTGAGTTGATTTTTCAGTGAAGCTTTCCCTTTGTTCCTTCACTGGTTCCTGCTCTAGGGTGCCAACTACCCTTATTCTTCTATCCCCTTTCCTGTCCATCCTACTCTTACTCTCACATTCTTCTAGGAATGGGAATGTCTTTCCTTTTGGGCCATGTTAGGGTCATCTGCCAGGTTTCCTGGGGGTAGGACTGAATCTGTCTCTACCAGCTCCTGGACATCATTTGCTCATTGTGATTATTTCTTTACCTTGACAGCTCTACCTCTGGTGCCCACCCTGACACTGATTTATTTATTTATTTATTTATTTTTGAGACAGAGCTTTACTCTTGTTGCCCAGGCTGGGGTGCAACAACGGGATCTCAGCTCATGGCAACCTCCGCCTCCTGGGTTCAAGAGATTCTTCACCTCAGCCTCCTGAGTAGCTGGGATTACAGGCACCCACCACCACGCCAGGTGAATTTTTGTATTTTTAGTAGAGACGGGGTTTCACCATGTTGGCCAGGCTGGTCTTGAACTCCTGACCTCAGGTGATCCACCTGCCTTGGCCTCCCAAAATGCTGGGATTACTGGTGTGAGCCACCACGCCCTGCCCTGACACTGATTTAAGTACACTTCTTGTTGAAGTAGGTATGGACAATAAAATGCACACAGGTTATAAGCCTGTCATTCAATAATTTTTTCAAAAGTAAATACACTTATTTCTGCATCAGTCATACCAAGCATGCCACAGACCCTCTTCATGGTCCTTTCTTGTCACTACATCCCTCCCTTCAAAGTTATTACTGTCTTGAATTTTATGCCACTCTCAATGTGTATGCTGATATTTATTCTACTGCTCTAATATCAAATGCAGTGTGTCTTTCCTTTAGCTGACTTAACTATTTGAATGCCCAGATTGTGCAACAGGACCTCACCTTGACTGTAGGTGTAGTAGACTTGTGTGATTTTAGGCTTCTTGAAGTAGCCAATCTATTAATAAGTTAATGTATGTTACTGCAAGAATTGTCCAAGTTTGTGTACTCTGGTTAAAAATGTTACATTAGCACATTTCTATGGTTTGATAATTTGAGTAGGCTCTAGATAAGCTGCTTGTGAGGATAAGGTCTTCTTTTGTGCTTACTGGATATATAAATTACATTTAGACTTAAGATTCAATACCATTCTGGACCTGAGAAATACATGCTCCAATAAATTCCAAAATCATTTGTTTCCTCACATTCTCACATAACACAATGTCTCCCTTTTATCTCCCCCTGCCTGTACCACTAAATCTCTAAACTCATCTCCTATTACTCTTGCTCTTGTTCACTCCGCTCCAACCTCAACTATGCCAGGACAACTCCCATCTCAGGTCTTTGTACTTGCTGTTCCTTCTGCATGAAACTTTCTTCCTCCAGGAATACAAATGGTTCACTCTCTCAATTCTTTAAAAAGTTTTAAATTAATTGTCGCCTTCTCTGTGAAGCCTTCCTTGGTTTTCCTATCTAATATTCCCCTCCTCTGCAATTTAAGATTTTTTGTTTTTCCTTTCTGTACTTTCTTTTTCTCATGGGTGTTGATTAATAACATAGCATGTATTTTACTTTGTTTATCTATCTTTCCCTACTGTAATGCAAGCTCCAGGAGTGCATGAATAGATGTCTGTTTTGTTCATCACTTTATCTCCAACACCTAGAAGAGTCCTTGGTGCATAGTACATACTCTATCTAGAGGTAGAGCCACCATCCCTGTCTCTGCAAGTGAGCCCAGGCTGACAATGAATATTAACAGGACGGTCTACTAAAACTGCCATTCACTGCTGCTTCATGGTACCTAGTTATGTACATAAATAAGTAGGTTATAACCAGGCCATAGTGCAAAAGGTGTACCATACATAAACTCTTCAAACTTAGCTACTGGCCCTTAATCTCACACCAATAGTTGTTCTTTCAGTGCCTTATTGTTGGATATTTAGATTATTTTCAATTTTTGATGCTATAAATACTGCTGCAATAGACATCTTTGTGTTGTAACCTTGGTGAGACTCCTATTATATTCATTTTGGTATCCCCTCTATACCTAGAATAATTCCATGCTGATAGAAGTTATTCATAACGGTTGATTAAATGAATTAAATCTGAGTGGGTAGAAATGCTTACTGTCCTATATTGATTTATTAATTCTTATTGTCAATTGTCTGCCAATGCTAGGTCAACCAGTCAGTAATATCTGCCAGTTATTTCTTTCCTTCAACGGTAATTTTTGACCATTTATTATATGACAGATGCTATTCTAGGAACTGTGGATACAGTCATGAAGAAACAAAAATGATTTAGGTCTCTATCCCTATGGAGCTTGTAGTTAAGCAGGGAAAATAAACCTTAAATAGGCATGTGTGATGGCTAACTGCATGTGTCAACTTGGGTAGGCTACTGTGCCCAGTTGATTGGTCAAACACCAGTCGAGATGTTGTTATAAAGGCATTTTTTAAATATATGGTCAACATGTAACTGTTGTAGTACTTTGGGGAAAGTAGATTACCCTCCATAATGTGGATGGGCCTCATATAATCAGTTGAAGACCTTAAGACACAAAGACTGCGGTCTCCCAAAGAAGAAGTTCTCAAGACTGCAGCAGACATCCTGCCTGTGTTTTTAGCCTGTGGGGTTTGGACTCAAGTTCCCAACACCAACTCTCATCTGAATCTCCAGCCTGACAGCCTGAAGAACACTGACTAATAGAACAGGTGTATAATTATTTAGACATAAACTATGATAAGTGCCATTAATAGTATGTCTATCAGTGAGTCTAATCAGGAACTTCGTTTTGATTAATTCAGGGATTGCCTTTTTGAAGAAGTAACTTTAAAATATATACTAGATGCACAGACATGCTGCAGGTAAAGAAGGATTTATGCAAGCAGAAGGAACCCAAGATCTGAACATCCTGTGATGAGTGGTTCATTTATAGTTAGAGTGTGTTAAATGAGCAGGTGAGTGCTGTGAGATGAGACTGGAGAGACAAGCAGGGGCTAGCTGTGCAAGATCTTGTAAGGTTATGATCATGATATTCTTCCAAAGTCAGTTACCAGCTGTCTGACCTTGGAAAAGTCAGTTAATCTTCCTAAGCTTCTGCTTCTTGATTTACAATATGGGGGCAATAAGGCCTCTCCAAGGTAAGAAGTCAATTAGATAATGTATGTAAAAAGACCTAACCCAATGCCTGGCACAGAATAAGCACTCAAGACATGAATACAGTTATTCTCTTTCCAGTTAAATCTATCCTGCCTTTAAGATGCAGTTCAGTACTCATATCCTCCATGTAGATTTTCTTAACAAGTCTGGTATGCCTCAAACTTTTTCTTTTCTGAAATCCAATTATGTCAAGAGTCTTTTTGAGGTTTCACCCTTATTGTTTCAAACTATGTTAACTCCTCCAGCTTATTTCTAAGATATTAAAGGCCAGAACTCGAGGCTATCAATTTTCTGCAGCCTCCATTCCACCATAGTAATTTGGTAAATTGGCTGATAACTCATGCTGCTCATTGCTTCTTTCATAGTATTTCTTTCACAGTCTCACTCAGCCTCTCTAGCCACTTTTGCAAGAGGCTCACTTGGGGTTAGAGGCACAGTTAGAGACTTGAAATGTGAGCAAAAGTCTATTGGCCCATTTGGGGATAGAAGCCAGTACCTTCACCTTGAGCACAGGGTGACATTTAAATGACCTTTTAGGATATGACACAAGCATTTTGGAATGTTTGTCACAGTTTTATAGCGTACACCACAAGACATCATTCAGGCTTATTTTCCATCTTTTGTTCCTTTTTTCTTTCCCCCAGAAGATCTGATAAACTATGCCTCCGGTTTCATCTCTTTTCTCTGTGCCATATTTAACGGAGTTGTTTTGTATTCATATCAAGGCGTGGGAGTGGGGTCCAATGAATTACATTTGGTATTCTAAACATTTAATTTGTTAACTTGTAAGCAAACTTTCAAGAAGTTAAGCTTTCTGTCTCTCAGTTGGGGAGGAGAAAGAATTTCCCTTTTAACTTACTTGTCACTTGAACATCTTCAGGCTATTTGTGAATGCCAAGACCAACCTGTGGGAAATCCTGAAGTTTTGCTGGCTCTCTTTCTCTCAGCAGGGATAGGAAATATATTTCTATATGCCTGACACTTCCTTCAGCTACTAAGAGAGTTGTTTTTGTGTGTGTTATCCAGCATATTTTCAAACTTGAATGGCATACCAAGAAGCCTCGAAATAATAATTTACCTCTTTTCCTTTGTGCATATAGCAAATATTTCTTACTAAGTTGAACACGGAATGTGTAAACTGGAAAATTACACGATAGCAAAATTTAAGTTGAAGAATTAGATGCACTTAAATTACTTAAAGGAATGACCTGGCTAGCAGTTGTTATTAAAGTTGCAGTTCTATTCAACATGGAATATGCTTAATAAAGTCAATATCTCTTTTTAGAAGCATTTTAATTTGCTTTTTTTTTTCTACCTTGAGTAGCTCTGAATCCTCACAGGAAGAAACATTAGGTACTATACATTGCCTCATAAGTCAAGTAGTTACTGTTTGTTGCATTGGTTGAAAATAATGCGGGATTTTCAAGCCAGAATTTAATCAATGTTACCAGGTAATTGTTCTTGTGAGAAAAGGATAAAAAGGATTTTGACTATTTGGGATAAGTTCAAAAAATAATTAAATGGGAAAGAATGACTAGTTACAAGAGTATATAACAATGGTGTCTCAAGCCAGTGTCTATATTTTAGGCAGAATATTAACATGGAATGGCCTCCACCTTGAGCAACTGGGGACCTTCTCAGTGAGAAGAGAGACGGATTGATCAAGAACCATATAGAGGCCTAATAGCCATTGTTCTGGACAGGGAATCTGGGCACCTGAATTTGACTCCCAGTTTCACTCACTTACTGCCTTGCCTAATCATAGACAGGTCACTTATGCTCTTGGAATCTCTATTTCCCCTGGAAATGATTAATACATTGAGTATCATGGGAAATAATAGATATGTGAAAACACCTAGCTCAAATAAAAGCAGGAATCTGAAGGCACTTTGGAAGTCACAAGGTTGTATTACTATCATTACCATCTTTCATGCAGCTGTTTATTACCTACAAAGCACTTTGAGATAATTATCTCCTTTCATATCTAAAACTTCAGCTTATTGTCACATTTTCACATTTTTTCCCTCATGGCTATCCTGAAGGAAGGTATAAGCAAAGAATAATTTGGCTGTTATCTCAAACCTCTTGAGTTTCCTGTTTGTTTTCCTTTGACAGAGAGATAAAGTTTGTTTGTGGTTATTGCAGACATGCCAATTTGATCACTAACTTAGTTGGTCATTAATTTCCATTGTCTGCCAACCACAACTTTTATTAAAACTCACTGCTTTATGCTTTATCTATCTTTAGGGACATTCTGATATTTCTTTCTTAGTGCTGAGAGAGAAGCACTTGACCTTTTAATATGTCCAATATCATACTTGCTACTCTCTGGGAATTTCATAAATGTATGCAACATCATCTCTATTTTTATTAGTAAGAGTCTTCTGTGTGTCGCTGTCTTCTCTGAGGTCATGAATAATCTACATTATATATCCTCTTCCTACAATGACCCTGTTACGCTGCCACGGCCAGGATATACTTTATGCCTTATCTGGCCTTTCTAAATCCTCAAAGGTTTGCTCACATTTATATTACCAAAATTATTCTCACACTAAAATGCTAACACCATGTCCATATCTAATCCGTGACTAAATTGTACTGTTATTGCGAATGTGCCTGGCATCTGCAATCGCTGATACAGTTTAAAAAAATATGACTATCACTTTGCTCCCAATAACAATTTTAGATCTTCTGCAAGGCACATAGCTTTTCTCTATCTGCATGCTAATTATTCAATAAATCAATTTTTTGCCTCCTAAAGTAGTTTGCTTAACAGGAGCAACGTATCATATTTCCATATAAAGTGCTTATAAAAATAAGATGGAATGGAGTGTTTCCAGAGGAGAATGATTATGAGGTTGAGCTTTTCATAGCTACATTATTAATTTATAAAATTATTTCAATATATTTCAAATTGTTAACATTGCACTGAAAGTGTTGTCAGCTACTGGCTGGAACTTGACATAAAATGTCTCATTCATAAAGCAATTTCGTCTCACAAGCTTTTGTTAAAATGGTCATTTATTAAACTCAGAAAAGGGAGATATCTTTTCAGTGTATTCTTTCTTCTTATGTATTTCTTTTGACTGTGTGTCCGTAGATTCAGAAATGTTTTCTCGATGACATGGCATTCTATATTTATTTGCAACAGAGTAAATAATCACCATTTTTGAAGAAAAATAAACTAGCTTGTCTGATTTGGATCTTAAATACAAAGCTCATCAGAAAATGAATTGTTTTCTTTTGCAAGAGCAACAACCAGTCAATCACTTACCGGACCTTTACTGAGCACTCCAGTATTAAAGAGAATATGCTAGGTGCTGGGCTCTATGGGAGACGCAACAAAGTGTGAGATATGGCATATCATAGGCACAAATCTATCTCTATGGGTCTCAGAAATGATTCATAACAAGGATTTATTTTATCATACTTCAATATTCCTTAAGTACCATATCTAAATCATTTTATTTCTGACACCCCATTCCCTTCTGTACATGTGCTTATCTAATATTTGTGCTTCAAGTGCTTTATGTTGAAACAGCTGTTACACAATTTTGCAAAAAGCAAACTGGCTTTAATAAAATCAATTGTTTCTGTGTGATAGAATGAACTTTAAAACTGGGGTAAACACTCAGTCCAACAATGATTTGTAAAGTAGTAGTGTTTTGCATCCAAGTCAATAATTTAGCTCATCCTTAGCTCTAGAAAGGACTGAGGGTCACCTGAGGGTTTGGCAAATCTTTGGTGGTAAGAGTTGGAATGAGAGTCTCAAGGTGAGGGACAATATAGTACATAAAAGCCAAGAGGTAGACATGCTGCTGGGAGAGAAAGAGGCTCATTATGTATAGTAGGAGGAAGATAAATTTTTAGTCAGATGATTGGGGACCTAGTCAGCTGGATTCATTTACTAACACTCTTAAAATTGGAAATTTGTACTTTGAAAATCTTATTTTTCTCTCTATTTGTGTTTTATGTCAATTTAATTTTTATATCCTCATAGCATGCATTAAAACTCTTGAATAAATGCTACCCTGCTCAGCTCTACAAAATGGATTCTTGTCAAAACCCACAGTGGAGTTTTAGTGAGTGAGCCTGGAATGATAGTGACAGTAAGAACCAGAGGGACTGACCCTTGTTAGGAAAATAAAACATGAAGGAACAAAGAAGTTAGTTAGAAGCTGACAGTAGATTCATCCCTTTCATCCTGGAGACTGGGGCACCTTGCTTTGAAATTCAGGGGCATGTGTGTGCTTTGTTTCAAAATGAAGGCCATCTCTTACTTGTGGTAAGGTGTTCTTGGGCTCGGAGCCCAACTTATCTCATTTACTAGGCTCTAGCCTGCACAGGAAAGCTGAGGTTAGATACCAATTACACTTTGGGGACAAAGTGGAGCAAAGATCTGCATATGGTTCATACATTCATTTTTCGTGTAACAACCAAGAAATGTGCCCTTGACTGAGAACAGCACTACTAATAGCCTGCTAGGGAGTTCCAGAATCACTTACCATACACTTAATTTAACAGATATTTATCAAATGTCAGTTCTATGTCAGAACCTTTGCGGGGAACTACAGACCAGGATGAAACAACATCCTTTCAAGGTTGTCAGCGCAAACCTCTATTAAAATACATGTATTATTTGGGATGAAGAATATGTTTCCTATTAACTTACAGCATCTTAACATAAATGAGGTGATTAGTGCCTGGATAAAGCTGTGCCTCAATCAAATAATATATAAAATAAGGAAAAGCTTGTTTGATTAGCTGTGTGTGTGTGTGTGGTGGAGTGGTAGGGTAGGTGGCAGAGAGAATGATATAATCCTGAAGCAGGACCAGCTACATAATTTTTGACGCTTGGTGCAAAATGAAAATTCAGGGTCCCTTGTTCAAGAATCAGAAAAAAGTGATGTTAAAGGTACGAAACTATGAAACTTCTCCCTTTAGAAATATTTTATTACTTATGAAACTTAATAGGGGTAATAGTGACACATGAGTAATGGCATAATCTTTAGAAATGCAAAGAATAATATTTGTTTCATAATTTTATAAATCAGTGCCATAATTTTATATATACAGTGAATAATGACATTTCATTAATGTGACATCTTGATTGAGCACAAGATTCTTCTGGCTCACTTTTCTGCAAATTAATTTATAATATCACCAAAACGTATACTTACAGCAACCTTGTTTTTAGTCAATATAATTGAAAGTACCATCAGTTACTGGTGACAAATGTAAGATTGCAAATCCCCTTTGATATGTTTTAATATTGAGAAGGATTTTTCTGCTCATGCAACTGTAACTGATGCTGTCAAGAGTATTTCTAGAGAAGGACAACATTGGGGTAAGGTTTTAACAAATTATTTTAAAATATAAATTTTATTACATCTAGAGCTGATGATTCTCATGAAACAATTTTTCTAAAAAGATATAACTCTTCATACAAGTCAGTTTCATGTAAGTCAGAATTTAACTTTAAATGTAAATGTAAACAATGGTATTTTAATGTTTATTTGACATTTCCTGCAACTCGTGGAGGTTATATAATTAACCAAAAGTGACTTCATCATTTATAAACCATTCAAAATGCTTGTTTATGCATTCCACCACTCTATCTTCAATTACAAGGAAATGTTAATTTTCAAATTGTCTTCATCTTTAATATTTGGTTCATCCGAAGCTTTATATGAAAATATTTATTTTCTGTTGAATAGGATAATCTTTAAAATTAATTCTTTTCTAAGCCTGTGGATATTTCCTTTGCAAGGCTGCAACAGGTTTCAAACCCAGAAATTCTAAACTCTTTGAAAACTCCAAATAACTCTCTGATATGTTTATTGCAATGTACAATGCATTTTATACTTGTTTTATAGTAATTTGCTGACAAACTTTATTGCCTAAAAACAGGCAGTTACCTGTCCCAAAATTCAAGTCAGAGAGTAGCTATTCGTGTAGATGGCAGAGGGATGGGCTTTGGGGATGGACAGGTAAGTGAATGTCCACCTTGGTCCCAGTGCTGGCCCCATATGGAGCACCCCCTCTTTTTTGGGGCTGCAGCCACTGCCATGACAACTGTAGCTTCTGCTGTTTCCACCACTATTGACTCCACCAGTCTTGACCTAGATCCTGGCCACAGCTATTCTTTCAAGAACCTGCAGTACCCTGGACTACCCTGGGTGTGCATAGTGCATTGCATGAACTGCTATGTGCATACTACCACCTGGCATATGTTGTGTGTTAACACAAATGTTCTGTTGTCCCATTAGATTTCACTTACAAACCACAAAATCAAAGATAAAATTATTCACAATTTCAAGACAATGACAGCAGGGCTTTAAACCAAGCACAGGGCCCTTCTGAGAGTGAGGCCTTGAGGAAATAGGAAGAAAACTACCTCTCATTCTGATTACTTTGTAACAGAGAACAAACCCCACAATAATACTTCTTCGAAATATCCTGCCACAAGTAGATGAACAAGATTGCTTCCACCCACAAAAACCTCCTTAATGTTTTGCATTGAATACTAGTTTTCCTCCTCAGTCATATTATTTTTGCTTGAGTTTTTTGCTTCTTTTCCTCCTGCTGATGGAGCTCATTCCAGTTAGTCCTTTGCTATTTTTTTCTAAAAATTTAGTTACAGTGACACTGAGAATATTTGCAGAATGTTGCAGAATGTTCACGTAAGCATGTGTATATGTGTTTTCGGATGTGTAAAGGAGGAAGGAGAGAGAGAGAGAGAGAGAATGAATTTTATCTCTACAGAGGCAGGGAGACCTGACTCACCTCTTACTAGATGAGTAACCCTAACTAAACCACTGAAACGCTATGACATTTCTTCATCTGTAAAATGGGAATAATAATGGTACCCATTTCACAAAACTCTTTTCAGAAATTAATCAGCAAATGCCTCTTGAGAAACTTCTTGGTATCAGGTACTGTTCTGGGTGCTAAAAATACAGTAGTTTCTTCACAGAGCTACATTCCTGTAATGAGACATACAAAATGCACAATATGCAAAAAAAAAAAAAAAGATTTAGTGTATCAGATGGGGATCAGTGTTATGAAAAAAACCAGGAAGAGTTAGCAAGGACTGGGGTAGGGAGGAGAAGTCATTTTAAATAGGGTGGTCATGGATGCCTTCTCTGGTCAGGTGGTATTTGAGCAGAGGCCTGAATGGGGTGAGGGGAAAAGCCAGACAGATTCTTGGAGAACAGCATTCCAGTGAGAGAGTACAGAGCGTGCAAAGGCCAGGAAGAGGGAAGGAATTGCACAGAGAGCAGGATGGTGGGTCATGGAGGCCTTATAGGCTACTGTCAAGACACTGCCTTTTACTCTGAGTGAAACTGGGAACCATGACAGAGTTTTGAGCCAGATAGTGACATGATATGTTCTGAGTTTTCAAAGGATCTCTCTGGCTGCTGTGTTGAGAATAAACTGGAGCTGGGAAAGGGGGAAGGAAGGAGACTAGAGAGGAAGTGATTGTCATTATTTGGGTGAGAGATGATGAGGAATAGCATTGAAGGTGGTGAAAAGTGGGCGTATTCTGGGTACATTATGATAGGAGAGCCGACAGGATTTTCTGACAGACTAGATGTGGGGTATGGAAGAGTGGAATTGAGGAAACTTCACTGTGTGGTTTTTTTTTTTTGCCTGAGCAATAGGAAGCTTCAGTGAGACAATAAATACAAAGTGCTCAGTATTGCCTCCCTCATAGTTGGTGCCCAATCAACTGGTAACATATCTAGCCGATCCCCAGAACCCGTCAACCTACATGAGGTGATAGACCAGTAAGACATTTCCTGGTCCCGACAAGCTGAAAAAAAAAAAAAAGTCAAGAACCAGCAGGTGGCGCCCAACTAAAGTTAAAAAAAAAAACGGCACGCACCAGTAGGTGGCACCGAAGGCAACCTCTATTTGCCCTTGCTGATCATTAGCATAAGACACTCCCACCAGCGCCATAACAGTTTAGAAATGCCATGGCAACGACCCGAAAGTAACCTTCTGTTTCCATGGCAATGACCTGTAAGAAAGTTCTAAATAACCCATCCCTTCATTTTGCATTAACCCACCCCTTAATTTGCATATAATTAAAAGTGGGTATAAGTGGATATAACTGAAGTTGACAACATCCCATATCCTGCCCACTCTGGGCACACTGCATATGAATTAGCCCTGCTCTGCAAGGAGCAATACAGTTCAATAAAATTTACTGTTTAACACCACTGACTCGCCCAAGAATTCTTTCCTGGCCAAAACCAAGAACGCTAGCCAGCTAAGCCCCAATTTTGGGGCTCACCTGTCCCGCACCATATGCATATAAAATGGGTCACCTTCGCTGTAATAACCTACTTAACCCTAGCTCTTTGCTCCACCAACTTAGCTCACCAGTAAGTCTGCTTCCATTTGAATTGACATTCAAGGAAAGAGATCCAGGTTGTCAGGAACCCTGGGTCGTAGTCCCATATCACTACTGGCCTGTTGTGTGATCCCAGCAAGCCCCTCAACTGCTCAGCAACCAAGGGATGTTTATCAACATGATAAAATCTAACAACATTTGCACTACTTAGCTCAGAGGATGGTGAGAGCAAAGTGAAGCCAAGCTGCCAATCATGATTGGTTTGAAAATGTGTTGATTATAAAAGTGTTATAGAAATGCCAGGTTTATTAAGTGAGCATATTCATTATAATGAGTATCCTGTGGAGATTTTAATTTCAGACAGTAAAGACTAGGGCTGTAACTCTTTTGGTTTCTTTGGAATAACAGACCTGAAGATACTGCGAAGCAAATATTTTAGTACTGTTCATCTACTACCTTCCATTTAAAAGTCTCACATTTTCTTTGGAGCCATTGTTAATTCACCTCCCAGCTATTCTCCTTTTAGGCTCGGTAATCGTAGCCCAAGTACCCTTTTCTTTATAGAATCTTCTCAACTCATTTTGTTGCTGTAATGCTGGATGGGAAATAGCTTTTATTCCTTTGTCCAATTTCTGTCAACTTTTAGTGGTCGCCTGGAGCACTGACTTAAGAAGGTTTCTGAGGCCTTGTCCAGGCTCCATGGTGAAGAATGTCCTGATTCAGGTGTTTTGGAGGAAGAAGTGACTGCATGGTCTGGATTTGACATCCCTGATGTAAGGCTTATCTTGGTTTTGCTTCTAACCTTAGAGCTCTGGCAGCATGCTAATCCAAGCTGACTGCTACGGATCTTCCTGTTCTTTTTTTATGCAACAGAAATTTTTGCTAGCAAACCTCTTGTGCATTGCCTCCTTCACCTCTTTAAATTTTAACTGCTCTCTGGCATCACTCCACAGATATAATCACTTTTAACAATTTCTTTCATCTTCCTCTGGAAACTCTTTGTGCATATGTAAGCTGATATTGATATTCTTTGTCTTTCCCCTTCTTCTTAAACAATAATGGGATCATATTGTAAGCATTTTTCACCACTTACTTTTTCACCTAATAATATAACTTGGAGCTTATTCCATATCAACACCCAACTGATGGACATTTAGATGTTTTGAGGTAGGTATCTCTGTAATAGTCTCTACTTCACACATGGGGAAACTGAGGTGCACAGCATTTACATATCTTGCCCAAGGTCATCCAGCTAATTAGTTGTGAAGCCAAGATTCAAAAGTAGGTCTCTCTATTCTAGAACTCACTCTGTTAACCATCAGGTTTTACTGGCATTGCTGATTGACCCTGGAAGTGGCTGTATTACTGAGTTTCTACTTGCAGAAATGATGACATACTAATGTGTGTGTCCATTCAAAGCACTTCCCACAGTTCCACAGCAGTTCAAAGCTTCAAAGTACATCCACACACAGGATCTCATTTAATTTTAACAAACATTTGTTGAGTTTCTACTCTATGCCAGGCACCACTTTAGGCCTGAACATAAAACAATGAATACAACAAAGTTCTTGGACGCAAGGCACTTATAATGAGGTGAGAGAAACAGACTTGTAAATAGACAATTATAACATCAAACAATAAAGAATATTCTAGTTCTTTAGACCTCTCCTACTATGTGCTAGTGGTTGGTCAGTTCATTTAAAAAATGGATTACGGCCAGGAGCGGTAGGTCACGCCTGTAATCCCAGCACTTTGGGAGGCCGAGGCGGGTGAATCACAAGGTTAGGAGTTCCAGACCAGCCTGACCAACATGGTGAAACCCCGTCTCTACTGAAAATACAAAATTAGCCAGGCATGGTGGCACATGCCTGTAATCCCAGCTACTCAGGAGGCTGAGGCAGGAGAATCACTTGAACCTGGGAGGTGGAGGTTGCAGTGAGCCGAGATTGTGCCACTGCACTCCAGCCTGGGAGACAGAGCGAGACTCCGTCTCAAAAAAGAAAAAAACAAAAAATTGATTACATTGGGGAATTACAAAAAATCAGGTACACATTTAAGTGGTTCAATCTTCATTTAAACATTTTAAATATTTAAATATACATACTTCCTCATCTTTTGATATTTTTGAGGTCTATTGAGTATACTTTCCTACTTCTTTCTTGCATAACCTCACCCATAAAGTTTTACTTCTGATTTTGTGTCAGTTTATTTTAGCTGGAACAAGAACTTAAATTAAAGTACTTGCAAAGGAATCAGGTCACAGAATCAAACATTTTAATGATTTTTCACAAACAATCGTTGCCCCACTCATACTTAATTTGACAGCAGTTGTTTTAGTGAGTTCCCTTCCAAAGCAATTATCTCAGCTGTCATAGTACAGCAACTTTTTTCTTTTTCCACTCATCTTTTTTTTCTAGTGGGTATTTACATAATATTTGACTAAATTATGTAATTATAATACAACAGGCATACGCAGCTTCGGGAACAAACTGAACTGATTTTCCAAAAGCAAATAACTCACTTCAGGGGAGCAAAAGTGGGCACTCAGTCTACTATGGGGCAGTATTGCCTAGTGACCGGCTGGAGTTCAAATTTCTGCCTAGCCACCTGCAGGCTGTGTGACTGTGAATAATTTAATCTCTCTGTGCTTCAGTGTTTTCATCAGTAAAATGAAAATTATAATAGTGTTACTGTGTGAAGTATATGAGTTCGTACTTGTAGAGTGCTTGGAAGAGTACCTTACACAAACTTCTGCTGTTATTGCTATTTTCAGATGGTAACCTATTTGTTGTAAATTTCCTGAAGGTACTTGTCAGTACGTTCGATAGAAGATTTGAAGCACTTCACTTGGTCTAGCAGTTCACTTAAATAGAGACTGATTAAATTGGGAGTATCAACAAGAAGCTTTTCCCCTATGTTTTCATCTAGTATTAACGTTTCAGGTCTTGCATTTAATTCTTTTATCCATTTTGAGTTGATTTTTATGTGTGGTGTAAGATATGGGTCCAAATTCATTATTTTCTATGTGGATATCCAGTTTTCCCAACCCCAGTTGTTGAAGAGAATGTCCATTCCCATTGTGTGTTCTTGGCAGCCTTGTAGAAAATCAGTTGAGCATATTGTACATGCATGGATTATTTCTGTGCTCTCTATACTGTTCCAGTGGTCTATATGTCTGTCTTTATGCTAGCATGATATTGTTTTAATTACTGTAAATATTTATAAGATATTTTGAAATCAGAAGGTGTGACGTTTCCAGTTTTGTTCTTGCCAATTAAACCTCAGTCAAACTTGAGGAAAAAAATAGGATCAACAAGATAAGAATGAGTTCTGCCACTGTGAGTTGAAATGAATTCTAAACTCTGATTATGCATTAAAATTACCTGGGAGAAGCCGGGTGCGGTGGCTCACACCTGTAATCCCAGCACTTTGGGAGGCCGAGGTGGGCAGATCACGAGGTCAGGAGATCGAGACCATCCTGGCTAACACGGTGAAACCCTGCCTCTACTAAAAATACAAAAAAATTAGCCGGGCGTGGTGGTGGGTGCCTGTAGCCCAGCTACTCGGGAGGCTGAGGCAGGAGAATGGTGTGAACCCAGGAGGCGGAGCTTGCAGTGAGCCAAGATCACGCCACTGCACTCCAGCCTGGGCGACAGAGCGAGACTCAGTCTCAAAAAATAAATAAATAAATAAATAAATAAATAAATAAATAACCTGCGGGGCTTTGAACACATTTTTTTTTTCAAGTGAGAGCAAGTTTATTAAGAAAGTAAAGGAATAAAAGAATGGCTACTCCATAGACAGAGCAGCCCCAAGAGCTTCTGGTTGTCTATTTTATGGTTATTTCTTGTTTATATGCCGAACTAGGGGTGGATTATTCATGAGTTTTCTGGGAGAGGGGTGGGTAATTCGGGGAACTTAGGGTTCCTCCCTTTTTTAGACCATATAGGGTAACTTCCTGACATTGCCATGGCATTTGTAAATTGTCATGGTGCTGGTAGGAGTGTCTTTTAGCATTCTAATGCATTATAATTAGCATATAACGAGCAGTGAGGACGACCAGAGGTCACTCTCGTTGCCATCTTGGTTTTGGTGGCTTTTGGCTGGCTCCTTTCTGCAGCCTATTTTATCAGCAAGACGTTTATGACCTGTATCTTGTGCCGACCTCCTATCTCATCCTGTGACTTAGAATGCCTAACATCCTGGGAATGCAGCCCAGTAGGTCTCAGCCTCACTTTACCCAGTCCCTATTCAAGATGGAGTCACTCTGGTTCAAACACCTCTGACATTTCCCCCCTCCCTTATACAAGGGAACGCTTAATCCTAAGGTTTGTAGAGGGAGGAAGGTCCATCTTCTGTAACTTCTTCAGGCTGAATAAAGACAATGATATTCCTACCTAACTATTAGGGTCTCTTGTATTCAGGGTAGAGAGGAGCTCAGTCAGAAACTGTCAGTATGGTGAAGGCCATTTGTAACTCCAACAAAAGGTAATATCTGGAAGATTAGTAAGTGTTCAGTTTAAGAAAACGTTGAGTAAGCTTATCCATCATTCCTACACAAAGAGTACAACAGCAAATATATTCCACAACAGTAAAGTAAAAAAAAGTAAATCCATCCCAAGTAAACTCAATAAGAAGGCTTTCCATGAACTGGGCAGCTGTTGGAACCAAGCTGATATGGAATTGCTATACATGCTATACATTCCAATACATGCCCAGAATTAGAATACTGATCCAGATTATTACATTAACCATCCCTCTTGTTTCTTCTGATCAGCAGCCAGAGATCACTGGTTGGTTCACAGGAATAAGCAGAGTTAGTCTAACTTGCAGAAAAAAACTCAAAAACAACTGATGAGACTATAATTGAGTAACAGGTATATCATAGTTTTTGAAACATATTTTTCTCTCTCCAGTATCCCATTTTTATGAAAGACAAATCATAGTAAGACTGATTTGCTTTATTATACTTGGCCTGATTATTTGTGTAAAGTGCAGCAAGAATAATTGTTTTTATATAGGCCTTTAAAATTGGCTTTGATGGAACTTTGTTCCATAAAAGGAATCTCAGATAAGAGTTTTTTTAAAGCTGAGCACAGTCATGGGTTTGTACCCTCAAATACCTATGAGTTGAGTAAATTCCTCTCCTCTTGAGATCCCAAGATAACAAGGGGCTCCTAGGCCTGTTAGAAAGTGACATTCTTTACTTACCACAGGTCAGGAACCCTGTACAGGGACTGTGCAGACAAGATAGGAGGCCAGTTTTCCCAAGGGGCTTTTATTGGCTCTATGCCCCACCCAAGCTGGCAATTCAGGATCTCTGGGAGTGGCCCTGGCTTCCTAGGTGATTCCAATGTGCAGCTCTAGAAGTCACTGCCTCACAGGAAGGTGTGATGGTCTTAGCACTTAATATGGTTCAGCTGTGTCCCTGTATGAATCCGTTCTCACGCTGCTAATAAAGATATACCTGAAACTGGGTAATTGATAAAAGAAAGAGGTTTAATGGACTCACATGGCTGGGGAGGACTCACAATCATGGTGGAAGATGAAGGAAGAGCAAAGGGACTTCCTACATGGCAGCAGGAAAGAGAGCATGTGCAGGGGAACTCCCCTTTATAAAACCATCAGATTTCATAAGACATTCACCATCACAAGAACAGCATGGGAAAGTCTTGCCCCCATGATTCAATTACCTCCCACTGGGTTCATCCCATGATACATGGGAATTATGGGAGCTATAATTCAAGATGGGATTTGGGTAGGGCACAGCCAAACCCTATCAGTCCCCACTCAAATCTCACGTTAAATTGTAATCCCTATGTAATCCCCATGTCAAGGAAGAGACCAGGTGGAAGTAACTGAACCATGGGGGTGGTTTCCACAATACTGTTTGTGATAGTGAGTGAGTTCTCATTAGATCTGATGGTTTTATAAGAGTTTGGCATGTCCTCCTTTGTTCATTCTCCTTCCTGCCACCTTGTGAAGAAGGTGCCTTGCTTCCCCTTCACCTTCTGTCATGATTGTAAGTTTCCTGAGGCATCCCCAACCATGCTGAACTGTGAGTCAATTAAACCTCTTTCCTTTATAGTCTCAGGCAGTTCTTTATAGCAGTGTGAAAATGGACTAATACAGCACTGAAGGATGAGTGGGATTTTATTAGGCAGATGTGTTGGTAATAACTCTTTGATCTAGGTGGTACAGATTCTTTTATCTTCATGTTTTTTGATTAAGAATCTAGGTTTCCAGACACTTAGCTCACACAGTAGCAGAGCAGGCTTTCTAAAATCAGGTCCAATGGTCTTTCCAGGACTCCAGGCTGTCAAAGCCAGGAAGGATTGAAGCAATTAATAAAAATTCATATAAATCTGCTCTGTCTTTTCAAAGTAGAAGTAGTCACAAAATGTTTTGTGTGAATTTTGAAATGAAATAAAACATCAACCTTTTTATGTAGATAAGATTTACATTCATATTTTCCTCCATAATGAGAAATGTTTTATGTTATCTGGATTGCAATTATAAGCTATATAAAAAGAGGGTTTTTTCTTTCAGTAAGTGTCTTATAGCATAAATATGATAAGAATTTGACAGATTTGCTGTTTTTTTCAAATTTATGCTAGCAATTCTCAGTAAAAAACATTTCTATCTTTCCACTGTTATTTTACCTAATGCATAAGGAATATAGTAAATAATATCATATGTGAAATCCAGCTAGAGCAGTAGCATACAAATTGAATAACTTGATGGTCTACTGAAACAGCCTCTTGCCACCCCCATATTACACACACACACACACACACACACACACACATACACACTATCTAAACATAAAAAACTCTAGCTAACTGAACTGGAGCAATAAAAATTAAGTAAAATAGAGATTACCTCAGAAGTGCATCCAAATCATACTGCAAGAATACTAAATGTGATTATTTTAGATGTTTTTTCTTCTTTAGATGTTTATAGACAGGAAATAGTGCATTTTTCTCCAACAACCCACAATATCAAGGCTTACTTGAGTGCATTAAAATAAGTAATTTTTTGTGGCAATATAATAGTGGGAAATCCAGCTTTTTTTCTTGAATTTAAAAATAACGATTTTTTTTTCTTTTTTCTTTTCTGCTCCTCTCAACCCAGCTTTTCCTGACTCCAAGAAGAACTGGGAAGAGAAGGCTTATTGATACATTTGAAGACATTTCAGAAGTAGAATTACAACTTTAGAAAGGCTAAAAGTTCCCACTTGCTTAAAGGTGATAAGAGCTGGTTAGCTTTACAAGGGCTCTAAGAACACAGTGAATATACAGACTTTAATGTGAAAAATGGCTACAAGTAATTGACTGGAGAATCCCAATTTCCAGTGGCAGCAGTCTGAAAATAAGCTGTCCACAGGGCCACACTCCCTTTAGGGCAGGGGTCCCTAACCCCTGGGCCACAGACCAGTGGTGAGCAGTGGGCCTGTGAGCATTACCACCTGAGCTCCACCTCCTGTCAGATTAGCATCCACATGAGAGTCTCATAGGAGCACCAACCCTATTGTGAGCTGTACATGCAAGAGATGTAGGCTGCATGCTCCTTACGATAATCTACCTAAAGCCTGATGATCTGATGTGGAACAGTTTAATCCCAAAACCGCCCCCCAACAACACCTCCCTGAGTACGTGGAAAAATTGTCTTGCATGAAACAGGTCCCTGGTGCCAAAAAGGTTGAGGATTGCTGCTTTAGAGGCTCTAGAAAAGAGTTTGTTCCCTGCCTCTCCCAGCTTTTGGTGGCTCCAAGAATTCCTTGATTTGTGGTAGCATCAATCCAATCTTGCCTCCGTCTTCACATCACCTTCTCCTCTATGTGTTTGTCTCTTCTCTTCTGTTTCTTATAAGGACACGTGTTATCAGTTTTGGGGTCCACCTGGATAATCTAGGATAATCTCATTTTGAGATCCTTACCTTAATTACATCTACAAAACCCTTTCCTCAAATAAAGCAACATTCACATATTCCAGGTATTTGGATGCGGACATATCTTTTGGGTTGGGGTCCCTATTCAACCCACCATGGTTTGTTTCAGTGGAATTAGGGCTGTACCATCTGCTCAAAAACATTAAAACAATTAGGAGGAGCATGAGTGTACCTCAATATCTTATTTGCAAAATGAAGATAGGGACATAGTTTGGTTAGCTAAGGTACGGTGTTTGGCTAAAATGCCATGTTTAACCAGTCAGCATCCACATCTTTAAGGTTTGCTTGTACCCGGTATAATCTCGTTTCTTGAAAACCGAGTAAGTGAAAAATTGGAGGTGAGGGCATAATAGAAACCATATAAAATAGAAAATATATACAAGTTTCTTTCTTTATTTCACTTGTTAGTAGTTCAGAACTTCATAAACACAAATATTACCACTAGCAAGCAGACATCCCCCAAACTCAAAAGTAAAGCATCGACAGATGTGTCTGGCTAGTTGGGTGAGACCATTTCCAAATACTACTTGTAAGTTACTGAGTTGGTTAAGGATCAAATGAGGTTCTGCATTTGAGGTTCTTTTTAAATTGTGTGGTATCATACAAGTGTAAAATATTGCAGTTGCTCTTTTGAAGGGGATAAGAATAAGTGTGATATCATAGATGAACACTATCAAAAAAATTTTTCAGTAAGTAGAAGTTAAAGACATTTTTGTTCGACACACCAAGCATGCTTGCACCTAGTTGGGGTGGTCATTGGGGTTTAGTGTCTGATTATAGATCAATCTAGCAGGTTATTTCCCTCTTCAAGAATGAATTGGGTTTGCATTAGAGATAATCTCCTTGTGCAGAAGTAGGTGAGTCAAGAGGAATTCCTTTCTTGCTTTATTAATTTATTTAGTTATTTATTTAGCTGATACTGATTCATTTGGGATGTAAAGATAGATGAAAATCTTAGAGAAAATGATTACACAATGAGGGAATTTGAGATCCTAGGGAAATAATAATCTGTCAGCAAGATTAAAAATCACTTTTAAGAAAGTGCATCTCATATTTGAGACATATAGTTGCAAAGATTCAGTAGAAAAAAAAATTCATCGCCAATATAATAACAGAGTTAAATGCCATAGAATAGTGGCTTTCCAACTTTTAAAAATCAAACCCCAATTTTTCCCTCAATTAATCTTACCTGGAAGCCCAATACATAAAAGAGACTAAAATGCAGCTGCTCTGGTTGTACTCTATGAAGCTGAGGGCGCGGATGAGGGCCACAATGGACTTGTCGGGGAACTTGCCACAGTTACAATTGTTTATTTCTTGTGTGATTCTTTGATCAATAGCTGTATTCTCCACCAGAGAAGACACCACTCCAGGCTGGGACTTTGATTTTGCTCTCGATTACATCTTTAGTGGCTAACACAGTGCCTGGCACTCAGTATATACTTGTGTTAATGAATGAATGAATGATGGAGAAGACAAAAAAAAAAGTGAATTGAAACAAGCTGGTCAGGCTGATGTCTGACACATCTCAGATGGCAGTGTTAATCTTTTTTCATCATCCTAGCATTTGTCACCAGTACTGGCAGCCAGAGAGAACATTGCATTTTGGTGCCTGGTGTAGTTCCTAGCACACAGTAGATTTTGGTAAATTAAATAAGTGATACTCAGTACATATTAGTTGACCAAATGAATAAGGTGCTAAATGATTGAATAAATGAATGACTGTGTTGTGATAGAATGAGGACAAGTGATTCAATTTTCTGTCTTAAAATAATTTTAAAAATAAACCCCAAACTCCGTGAAGGATCCTAATGAAAGCCTCCTAGGTGTCTTTTTAAAAAGCCAAGACTACATTTAATGTAAGTTTCACTTTGCTTATACCGATTCCCCAGAACTGCATTGTCTGAAAGTGTGACACATCACAAAACAACTGCAGCCAATGGTAATGTTAAAGCCATCTTCACTCAGTACAAACTGCTGACTTACAATTATCGCCAGGAGATACTGAGTGCCCCAAATATGGACAGCTCCAAAAGAAGTATGCCTGGTTTGAAAGAATTGTGTGCCTGTAGGAAACACACAGTCTCTTTATTTGAGAAGAAGAGGTATAAATTACAGTTGCTTGAAGGAAACCCTACTTTGTGCCTTAGCTATCTGTGTAAGCAATGTGCCATTTGATCTACAGTGTGTATTGTAGCAAGACATTGCCTACGGATGTACTTAAATGAGGGCAAACTGATTTGCAGTTTATCTAGTCATCCATAGCATTAGCAGAGTAAGATACCAAAGCCTTATGCCATAGTGATTTTGTACAAAAATATCCAAAGCTCTAAGAAAACCACGGCAGTATGTGTGTGGAGGGGAGGAGGTGGGGAGATCT